>NC_000023.11:37285837-39785837 GCF_000001405.40 Homo sapiens
ATTATACGATATATATACATATATCATATAATATATATTATATGATATATATACATATATCATATAATATATATTATATGATATATATACATATATCATATAATATATATTATATGATATATATACATATATCATATAATATATATTATATGATATATATACATATATCATATAATATATATATTATATTACATATACATACATTACATTATATATATTTATAACTGATATAATATATATATTTATATATTATATAATTATATATAAATCTATACTTATATATTATATAATTATATATAAATCTATACTTATAAATTTATATAAATCTATATTCACATATATTTATATATAATTATATATTTATGTATATACATATTATGTATATATATATGTAAATATATATTTATATATTATGTATATTATATGATATATATTATCCATTATATAATATTATATAATAGATAATATATATTAGATATAATATATAATATATATGATATATATTATATAATAGATAATATATATGATATATATTATATAATATATATCATATATATTATACAATATATAATATATATTATATATAATATATAATATATGATATATATTATATATTATATATAATTCATATATATTTGTATATATCATATATATTATATATAATTTATATATATTACTATATATTACATATAATATATATATTTATATATTATATTTAATTTATATAAATTTATATAGATTATATATAATATATACATTTATATATAATATATATTATATTTAATATATAAATATATATTTATATATATTCATATATATATTATATATAATATATATGTATATATTATATATTATATATATGTATATATTTATATATATTAGATATAAATATATATATTTATATATTAGATATAAATATATATATTTACATATATTAGATATAAATATATATATTTACATATATTAGATATAAATATATATACTTATATATATTAGATATAAATATATATATTTATATATATTAGATATAAATATGTATATTTATACATTAGATATATATGTTTATATATCAGATATAAATATATATATTTATATATATCAGATATAAATATATATATTTATATATATCAGATATAAATATATATATTTATATATATCAGATATAAATATATATATTTATATATATCAGATATAAATATATATATTTATATATATCAGATATAAATATATATATTAGATATATATAGTTATATTTATATTTATTTATATAAATATATATTAGTATACATATTTATATTTATAAATATATATTAGTATACATATTTATATTTATAAATATGTATATATTTGTCTATATAAATATAGATATTTATACATTTGTATATATAAATATATTTATTTTTATATTTGTATATATAAATATATATATTTTTATGTTTGTATATATAAATATGTATTTTTTATATTTGTATATATAAATATATATTTTTTATATTTGTATATATAAATATATATATTTATATATTTGTATAAATATATATAAATATTTATATATATAAATATATATTTATCTATTTGTGTATATAAATATTCGTATATATAAATACATATTTATATATATATTCATATATATAAATATGTATTTATATATTCATATATATAAATATGTATTTATATATTCATATACATAAATATGTATTTATATATTCGTATATATAAGTATATTTTTATATATTTCTATATATAAATATATATTTTTATATATTTGTATATATAAATATATATATATTTATATATTTGTATATATAAATATATATATATTTATATATTTGTATATATAAATATATATGTTTTCATATATTTGTATATATAAATATATATATTTTTATATGTATTTGTATGTATAAATATTTATATATTTTTTAAAATTTTTATATATCCAAATTTTTATATATATATATAGTGGATAAAGGATAAACAAAGCCTGTTTCACCCTTTCATCTTCATGAAAACCTACCTTTGGTTAACTTTCTAGTTCTGTGTCCCACGAAGCCTGATAAAAGTGGAATACCTGCATTGTTACTAGACAACTTTATATTGTTGAACATGACTCCTTACTGGCAAACTGCATCTGGACCAGGAGGATTGTAATATGACACCTGAGTGTGGTGAATTTTGTAACTGGCTATGTCCATTTCCAAGATCCTGGAGTGCTGCTCTCAAGTATTGGTACAAGAGATATTGACCCCTATGGAGCATTGGACTTCTAAGTCAGGATCGCCTCCATGTTCTCCTACGTGATCCTACTGCTTCCTAGTTGAATTTGTACTTTGAGGACAAAGAAAACTAGCTAACCCTATACTACTACAAACACTCTGATATAAAAGACACACCTAACACAGCCCTTCTGGCATATTGTGTTTCGTACCCTATATCCTTCTAGGTGGATCTACGGCCAAGTATGCTCAATTGCTTTCTGCAAGACAAATTGACTATTTGAGCCTATGGAGTTTCTCTGGTGGGTACTGCATGTAGGAAATACAAAATAGCTTATAGTAACATATATAAAAGTCACCAAAGCCAATTTTGAATCTTGTTGACTGCTTATTAAAGGATATAAAATCTAAAGTATGAGTAGAAGCAAATTAGACAAAGGAGTTTTAAAGGAAGTTGTCAGTTTAAGAGACGTAGGTGTGAGATTAAACAGAGTGAATGGGATGAGGAAGACAAACATGTTGAGTGTTACTTAAAACACAGGTAATGTCTGCCTCATATAAAATAATTTAGAAGTGACAAATGGACTATGAAATACAGAGATAGCCATGATCAGGCTGACTTTTGTCAGATATGTCTCCTGTTCAAAGAAACCAAACATTGAATGTATAAGGGTGAACACTGCTGTATGAAACACAAGAGTTTGATGAAAAACCACAGAAACCAATTAACACTGATCCAGAAGGTATAATATTGACCCCTCTGAGGCATAAACAAGTAACGGAATTTCGTAGATTTTGAAAACATCAAATCACTTATCTAGAATATTAGATTAAATTTTTCCATAGAAAGCAACTGAAAAAAAGAAGTTTCCTTGTCTGAAAATACAAGATTACAAGATCTTACTAAAACTAATCAAAAAATTGGCCTTGGTGGGGAGAGAAATGAAACAGGATCACATGGCCAGAGTGAAGTCTTAACAATAGGGAAGATCATAGAGGTAAGAAAAGAAATATTGAATAGAGTCTGGAATGCAGGAGCATGTATGTGTGGCTGTGTGGCGGTGTGTGTGTGTATGCTTGTGTGTGTGTGTGTGCGCGCGTGTAGGTAAGTTTGGTAAGTTTAGATGAGCCTGGAAGATTAGCAGGAGTGTGAATTTCACCAGATCTTCATGTTACAAAAATATGCTCAAGGAGAAGGCTATTTTGGAAACCATTGCAGAAATACAATAAGATATAGTGGTGACACGAACTTCAAGTTATGGTGGTGGGTTTTGAGGGAAATTCTGGGACTTGGCTTACAAAATTACCTAGAAAAGACCTAGTTCCTCAGGCATATGATGCTTACAGGCAAGCTGCACTACAAACAAAATATTTTCACATAAACAGATACACATTCCCTCTTGCTAGGATGAAATATATAAATATACTTCCATTTACAGATGGATTCCTTCATTATTGGAAACAGAAATACACTTCAAATCTGTGTTACAAACTTCTGAAGCAAACAATTTATTTTCCTCAGACAGTTTTACCCGTTATTTTGAAAATATAAAGAAATTGCTTGATATCTTCAATTTATGAGTGAATTTTACATTTCTACTCATGAAATGCAAAGATTAACTGCACTTGAATAGATATATGAAGATATTGAGGTTGCTGTGCAGCTTTGCTCATACAGGCCTATTTTGCACACTAGGTTTGTCAAGGACTTGAAGTTCCCTGCTATTCTGTATCTGTGTTATATGATATGAAAATAGTCATTTGTGGTAAATTTTTATGAATATGATAAAAATCTTTATATATACTCAATCTGGAAGTATAAAACTGCAAAACCAAAGTTTAACCTATAATTTTGTTAAGCAGTTTTCAGTCTGTTTTTATTTTTATTTTTATTTATTATTATTATTTTGCTTTATTTTTGAGACAGAGTCTTGTTCTGTCACCCAGGCTGGAGTGTAGTGGCTCTATCTTGGCTCACTGCAACCTCCGCTTCCTGGATTCAAGCAATTCTCATGCCTCAGCCTCCTGAGTAGCTGGAATTATAGGCACAAGCCACCACACCTGACTAGTTTTTTTTGTATTTTTAGTAGAGATGAGGTTTCACCATGTTGGCCAGGCTGGTCTCAAACTCCTGACCTCAAGTGATCCACCCACCTCGGCCTCCCAAAGTGCTGGGATTACAGGCATGAGCCACTGTGCCCAGCCTCAGTGTGGTTTTAGAACCTGATGCAAACCTATAAGGGGAAATAACAATTTCCTTATTAAATGGGCCAACATTGAGGAGTTGATGTCAGCAACATGGTATACTAGGAGGTCCGAATGTTGACCTCCCCAGAAAAATAATGATTAAACAACTACTTACTGACAAAAACAGCTCTGGGAGAGTTCCAGAATACAATGAAAAAGCTGCAGCAACCAAATTGGAGCACGAAATCTTAAGATGACAGCATAAAAATGTATCGGAAGCATTTTCCGACATCACCACCTCCGCCAGTCTGGCACAGGTTGATGCCAAGAAGGATTCCATTGGCCATGACTTTTCCCCATGGGAGAAAAGGAGAGGATCTCTCGCTACTGAGGACCCTTTCAGTCATCACTGCTCAGAGAAGGACCCATTTTTGCCTATCAACTCTGCACTAGCATTCAACATACATCCCCAGGTACTTTCGCCTCTGCTCCTCGCATGCCCATGCCCCAGACTCCAGCATCACCAATGTTCCACTGAGGCCTGTACCCCAGAAACTAGCACCACTTGCTGCCACAGTTGTGCCTGCATCCCAGACCTTGGCACCACCACTGTTCTATGCATGCCCATACCTTGGGCCCCACTGCCACAGCCACTCTTTATCTGCCTACTTCCCAGACACCAGCATTACCACTGTGTACACTCACACCCTGGACCCCAGCTCTAAGATGGACACCCTCAGTGGTGACTCCCCCTATGGTGGAAAATAAGACACCAGAAGCCTTCACTGCTACTGCAGACACATACAGCCTTGGCCACCAAAGATTCCTGTACTCTTCACTGATGTCCTCAGCTGATGGACCTTCCTAGGGTTTATGCTGCTGCACCAAGACCAGGGGACAGAACCACTGCACCTCACCTGGCTAGCAGCCTCACACCCACCCATAGATGAAGGTCTTTCCCCCACTGAAGTCAAAAAAGAATATCTCTAAAAGGTTTCATCAGTATGAACACTTAAAACATGCAGAAATATTGTTGGAAGTGGGAACGTGAAAGGTGCTGCTATGTTGCTAGAAGAAGTTCTCGATCAATGGATGACAGTTAATACTTTGGATTTCTTCATGCAGATCAGAACTCTACACTGAAGCAAGCTGTTCAGTCATGTCTTCAGGTCTAATATCTGAATATTATGGAGCAGGTGGTACTAATATTAATAATCCAGTCAAAGTTTTTGTTCCAAAATACAATGACTATTTGATGGCCTAGCTTTAGGATTATATTGATCATGAAACTTTTTTTCTTCTAATATTGGTGTCCTATTTTCCAAGAATTTTATGTCTGTGGCCAAGACTATTAAGTGTCTGTTCAAATTTTACGCCCATATTTCTTACTAGCACTTTGGGTCTGTGGTGCAACCACAAGAAAACTCCCATGGCAACACCTTCTTCAAGTGAAGGACAGTTCTCAGGGTGGCTTTGGACCAGTCGAGTTCTTTCTCCTTTCTCGTTTGTAGTTCTGAAAAATAACTGTAGACGGTGCCAAGAATGCAACATCTTCAGATAGGGCTCTGTTCCAGTGGCCCTAGAAACAGGATGTCCTTCAATACTTCAGCCCAGTGATTATTCTATCTCTGGGGTATAAAACCCAGGGCAACTTTCTGGGGTCCCTCCGCTGTGGTGAAAGTGGAGTACATGCAGACAAAACTCCATCTACCACAGGCAGCATTCCCGAGCCTTAGGGGGCTGGCTTACAGTGAATCCTAGGCTTTGTGGTCCCTTGCTGCCTATCTGTAAGGAATAAACCCTCTTCTGTAACTCATTGTGTGCATGGACATTCAGTTTCACTGAACTCAGACAAGTTGGTAACCAGTGCACAGTGAATCTGCTTCATGGTAAGTACCTTATTTTATTTGTTCAAGAGTTCAATTTGACTGATAGGCAAGAATTGGCACCACTTCAAGAATTCATTGAGAAACTTTAATTGAAAGACAAATAAATGTTTCTTCTGCAACAGTTACTCTCTTGCTTCATCTACAGCTAGAGTTATCTCAATGCTAATCTGTTATCAACTAGTGTTGTCAGTTGAGTTGTGTCTCCCTAAAATTTGTATACTGAATTCCTGTATCCCCAGAACCTCAGAATGTGGTCTTATTTGGAAATAGGGTCATTGCAGATGTAATCAAGTTAAGATGAGGTCACTAGGGTAGACCCTAATTCAGCCTGGTATCCTTACAAAAACGAGACATTTGGACATAAAGACATACACCTGGGGAGAAGTCCACGTTAAACATGAAGGCAGAGATTGAGGTGATGCATCTTCAAGTCAAAGGGAGAAGCCTAAAACAGATCCTTCCCTCATAGCACTCTAAAGGAACCAAACCTAGCAAAACTTTGATTTTGGACTTCTAGCCTCTAAAACTGTGAGATAATAAATTTATGTTGTTCTAAACCACCCAGATTGTGTTACTTTGTTGTAGTAACCCTTAGTAAACAAATACAATTAATGATACAAAGTTAGAGAAAACAGTATACAAAGAAACCCATTGTCTGTGCCTGCTGATAAAAATGTTTCCATTGGTAGTTTGGCTTCGGAGCAAGAATTTAAAAACGTAACTAATTTTGACATACTCTATGACCTGTTATTGTCATGAAGTTATACTTGGTTGTAATATATGATGACTACATGTAGTTTATTAGTTTAGATATTGTTCCTTTGCTGAATAAATTGATTGCATCTGTTTCAGGTGACAGCATAATGGATAATGAGAATTTCCACCAAATGATTAGAAGGTTTCCAAATCAAACTTTCTGACAACACGATCACATAATCAGATAGGTTTTATTCTTTTTTTTTTTTTTGAGATGGAGTCTCGCTCTGTTGCCCAGGCTGGAGTGCAGTGGCGCAAGCTCTGCTCACTGCAAGCTCCGCCTCCTGGGTTCACACCATTCCCCTGCCTCAGCCTCCCGAGTTGCTGGGACTACAGGCGCCCACCACCATGCCCGGCTAATTTTTTTTCTATTTTTAGTAGAGACGGGGTTTCACCGTGTTAGCTAGGATGGTCTTGATCTCCTGACCTCGTGATCCACCCACCTCAGCCTCCCAAAGTCAGATAGGTTTTCTTCTACTTCAATTTTACAAATAAAAAAGGCATTTTTAGATTTCCTTAATATTAAGAATATTTGCATCATTTTATATTTTATTTTCAAGTTTGTATGCCAGCGATTTTATGGATAAGATGGATGGATAGATCGTTTTTGTTTTGTTTGGATTTGACAAAATCCATGATTGTTATTTTAATCATCATAAGACATGATATGGGAACAACCAAAGTTTTTTTTTCTAAAATTCCCTTTTATGTTTTAGTCTTCATTTGGAATTTTATCAACACACAAAGGTTGTTAGAAGGTTATACGTGTACAAATTAGAAATAATTTCTTTTTAAGTATTCTAAGGATTATCTTATAGATTTTTATTTTACAATGCTTTATTCAAATTAATTTTAACACATGAAGATTTTGGTTAAGAAAAAAAAGATCTTCCAAAAGTAATCGCAAACTGTATTAGGTCATTCTTGCATTGCTATAAATAAATACCTGAGATCGGGTAATTTATCAAGGAAAGTGGTTTAATTGGCTTACCGTTCTTCAGGCTGCATAGGGAGCATAACATCAGCATCTGCTTAGCTTCTAGAGAGGCCTCAGGGAGCTTTTACTCATGGTGGAAGGTGAAACAGGAGCAGGCTCTTCACATGGTGAAAACAGGAGCAAGAGAGAGTTGGGTAGGGGAGGTACCACACACTTGTAAACAACCAGATCTCACGTGAACTCAGAGTGAGAGCTCACTTTATCACCAAGGGGATGGCCCAAGCCATTCATAAGAGATTTGCCCTCATGATCCAAACACCTCTAGCCAGGCCCCAATTCCAACATTAGGGATTATACTTCAACATAATATTTGAATGGGGATAAATATCCAAACTATATCCCAAACATGGATCTCAAAGCCACTATCTTTATTCATGTTATGGTATGGGGATGCACAAACTTTATCCCAATAAGGATAATGTATTATTTCATTCTTGCATTCATTGCTATAAAGAAATACCTGAGACTGGGTAGTTTATAAAGAAAAGATGTTTAATTGGCTCATGGTTCTGCAGGCTGTAAGGAAGCATAACAGCTTCTGTTTGGCTTCTAGGGAGACCTCAGGAAACTTAAAATCATGGTGGAAGGTGAAGGGGCAGCAAGGTGTCTCACATGGTGAGAGAGGAAGAAGAGAGAGAGGGGGAGGTGCTGCACACTTTTAAACAACCAGATCTCATGAGAACTCACTTACTGTCAGGAGAACAGTGCCAAGGGGGGTGGTGCTAAACCATTCATGAGAAACCGCTGCCATGATCTGTTCACCTCCCACCAGGCCCTACCTCCAAAACTGGGGATTACACTTTGACATTATATTTGGGTGGGGACACAAAACCAAACCATATCTTTCCACCCCGGCTCCTCCTATATTTCATGTCCTCACATTGCCAAATACAACCATGCCTTCCCAGTAGTCCCTCAATGTCTTTTTTTCTTTTGTTTTTGAGACAGGTTCTCACTCTGTCATTCAGTCTGGAGTGCAGTGATGCCATCTTGGCTCACTGCAACCTCTGCTTCCCAGGCTCAAGCAATTCTCTAGCCTCAGCCTCCTTAGTAGCTGGGACTACAGGCGTGAGCTGCCGCACCTGGCTAATTTTTGTATTCTTTATAGAAACAGTGTTTTGCCATGTTACCCAGGCTGGTCTCAAACTCTCAAAGCAACCCATCTGCCTTGGCCTTCCAATGTGCTGGGATTACAGGCATTAGCCCATAATGGATCAAGCCCAGCTGGTCTCCAAAAGTCTTAGCTCATTCCAGCATTAACTCAAAATTCCAAAGTCCAAAGTCTCATCTGAGGCAAGGCTAGTCCTTCCACCTATGAGTCTGTAAAATCAAAAACAACTTAGTTACTTCCAAGATACAATGGAGGTATGGACATTAGGTAAATAACCCCATTCCAAAAGGGACAAATTGGCCAAAAGAAAAGGACTAAAGGCCCCAGGCAAGTTGAAACCCAGCAGGGAAGTTATTAAATTTAAAAATTCCAAAATATAATAATCTCCTTTGGCTCAATGTCCCACATCCACGGCCCACTGATAAAAGAGGTGGACTCTCAAGGCCTTGAGCAGCTCCACCCCTGTGGCTTTACAGGGTTCAGCACCTGTGGCTGCTTTCAAGATCTGACATTTAACACCTGCTGCTTTTCCAGGGTGAAGGTGCAAGCTGCTGGTGGATCTACCATTCTGGGGTCTGAAGGACAGTGGCCCTCTACTCACAGCTCCACTAGGAAGTGCCCAAGTGGGAATCCTGTGTGGGGGCTCCAACTCCACATTTCTCCTCTGCATTGCCCTAGTAGAGGTTCTCCATGAAGCATGGAGATCCAGGCTTTTTCACACATCCTCTGAAATCTACAGGGAGGCTCCAAAGCCTGAACTCTTGTAGTCTATGCCTTCATAGGCTTAACACTACATGGAACCCACCAAGGCTTATACCTTGCACCCTTTGAAGCAGCATATTGAGCTGTACTTTGGCCCCTTTGAGCCATGGCTGGAGCTGGAGTGACCAGGATGCCAGGAGTAGTGTCCTGAGGCTGCACAAGGCAGTGAATCCCTTGGCCTGGCCCATGAAACCATTCTTCCCTCCCAGGCCTCCAGGCCTGTGATAGGAGGAGCTGCTGTGAAGGTCTCTGAAATGCTTTTGAGGCCTTTTCCCCATTGTCTTGGCTATTAGCACTTGGCTCCTTTTCAGTTGTGCAAATTTCTGCAGCTTGCTTGAATTCCTCCCCTGAAAATAGGCTTTTTTTTTCTACCACATGGCCAGACTGCAAATTTTCCAAACTTTTACATTCTGCTTCCCTTTTAAATATAAATTCCAATTTTCCATCATTTCTTTGCTAATACATATGAGTTTAGACTGTTAGAAGCAGCCAGGGCACTTCTTGAGTGCTTTGCTGCTTAGTAATTTCTTCTGCCAAAGACCCTAAATCATCACTCCCAAGTTCAAACTTTCACAGATCCCTAGGGCAACAGCAAAATGCAGCCAGGTTTTTTGCTAAGGCACAAAAAAATGACCTTTGCTCCAGTTCCTAATAAGTTTCTCATCTCCATCTGAGACCTGATCAGCATGGCCATCTTTGTCCTTATCACTATCAGCATTTGGGTCACAACCATTCAATGAGTCTCTAGTTAAGTTCCAAATTTTCCCCTCATATTCCTGTCTTCTTCTGATGCCTCCAAACCCTTCCAACTTCTGCTCATTACCCAGTTCCGAAGCTGCTTCCACATTTTTGGGTATCCTTGTATCAATGCGACACTCCATGGTATCAATTTTCTGTATTAGTTTGTTCTCGCATTGCTATAAAGAAATATCTGAGACTGGGTAATTCATAAAGAAAAGACATTTAATTGGCTCACAGTTCTGCAGGCTATACAGGAAACATAGCGGCTCCTGCTCAGCTTCTGGGGAGGCCTCAGGACATTTTCAATCATGGCAGAAGGCAAAGAGGGAGCAAGGCATCTCACATGGCAGGAGCAGCAAGAGTGAGAGGGCGGAGGTGCTATGCACTGTTAAACAACCGGATCTCATGAGAACTCACTCTCTATCACAAGGACAGTACCATGTGGGATGGTTTTAAACCATTAATGAGAAACCACCTCCATGATCTAATCACCTTCCACCAGTCCCCACCTCCAACATTGGGGGTTACAGTTCAACATGAGATTTGGGCAGAGACCACAGAACCAAACCATATCAGATAATTTAAGAAAAACCATGGTAATAATTTACTATATACAATGTATAACACAGCAAAGGTATAGAGTGATACACATTCTTTAATGTGTTTTTTAATAAAAGAGGAATAAGTTAAATGTCTTCTTTATTGCGGGATCTGGCCAGCAGCCTGCAATGCAGTGGGGCTCTCTCTTTGTTCCCAGGTGGATTGGCAGGTCGAGAAATAATAGACAAACACAAGACAGTGAAAGCTGGGTCAAGGGGGGTCACCGCCTTCTGGTCCTGCGGTGCCAACAATGCACTGGATATACCAGCGTTTATTATTAAGTTTAGTGAGGGCAGGGGTAGGTTAGTGAGGGATTTAGGGTCATTTGATTATGAGGTGAGATGGTCACATGGGGATGAAGTAATTCTTTAACATAACATCTGTATGCGGAAGTACAGTATACAGGGATAAGAATTTACAATATAGTGTGTGCATCAGTAATTTCTAACAGAGCCTTAAAACAGAAACAGTCTTTCCATAACCTATAATTAGCAAGATATTAATCAGCAGTAACAGTTGCAGCAAAAGCTGGTTACAAACAATCCATAGAAACAGGACGTGAAGCTAGACAACTGGTTAGACCAGAAATTCTCAGAAGGGAGTATGCCTTAACCCTAAAGAGGCCTAGAAGAGCCATGGCAAGATGAGGGCGTTTATAGCCCTATCTTATCCATACAGACAGGCGCCCCCCCCCACCCCATACGTCCGTTTATAGGCTCTCCACAAGGGTCACATTCCATTCCCAGAGCTATGAACATCTGCTTTTCTGGGATAGGAATCTTGGTGATATGAAACCTCCCTGACTGCACGTCCATTCATAGGCTCTCCGCAAGGGGAAGCACATCACGTGCTGTTGGCTCATTCTGGCAGTCCAACCTGGCATTGTCTTTACACAATCCTGCATGCAACTTTGTATTTACAATAATCAGGAGCATTTCATCTTTTATTCCATAGCAATAGTTTCAGGGGGTCTCCCTACATCTTCTGTCATTCTGCTAATAAAAGAATGGATTAAGCCCTCAGGGGCTTTCTTTGGTTTTAATTGTTTTTGTATCAAACCCAAATATATTTTTTTCTATTGGGATGGAAAGGATTATCCCCTTTAATAAGAAAACACCTATTTTTTCAATTGCACCTGACTTAGTCAACTCCAGCTGGCTGTTTAGAATGTATTAAGACAAAGAAATTATACAGGAAGATTTGTCAGACAAAAAAAAAGCTTTAAATTCACCTGCATTCTGTATTTTATAGCTATGATTTTTACAGTTACTTACTAACTTCCGTACTGTCTTTGATAAAGGTTACGTTTGATAATATTTTGTTATTTATTTTTATCTCACTAGACTGTTTAGAAATGCTTTTCAATAACACAATTTTAATAAATTCATAAATACATACAGGATTATTAAGGAAATATTAATAAAACATTTCATCTAATTTAGGCTGAAAACATACTTCATTATTTCTGAAGATACAGAGTGGGATAATGACTTATGAAAGAAAAAGAAAAGCCTTATGTAAAACATTTCACAATTAATGTTTAAGCTCTTCCAAAGCTGCCTCTTAGCCATTCTGTAGGGTTATGCTGATCTCTTATAAACAAGAAAATTGGTTTCTAGATGCTGTCTGGAATGTTAATGTCCTTCAATTTTATTTTTATTTTTTTAGAGGCATCTCACTCTGGTGTCCAGACTGGAATGCCATGACATGATCAAAACTCACTGTGGCCTCCAATTCCTGGCTCAAGCAATCCTGCCACCTTAGCCTCCTGAGTAGCTGTGACTACAGGCATGCACCTCCACAACCAACTAATGTATATTCTGTTGATTTGGGGGTGGAGAGTTCTATAGATGTCTATTAGGTCTGCTTGGTGCAGAGCTGAGTTCAAGTCCTGGATATCCTTGTTAACCTTCTGTCCCATTGATCTGTCTAATATTGACAGTGGGGTGTTAAAGTCTCCCATTATTATTGTGTGGGAGTCTGAGTCTCTTTGTAGGTCTCTAAGGACTTGCTGTATGAATCTGGGTGCTCCTGTATTAGGTGCATATATATTTAGGATAGTTAGCTCTTCTTGTTGAATTGATCCCTTTACCATTATGTAATGGCCTTCTTTGTCTCCTTTGATCTTTGTTGGTTTAAAGTCTGTTTTATCAGAGACTATGATTGCAACCCCTGCTTTTTTTTTTTTTTTTTTTTTGCTTTCCATTTGCTTGGTAGATCTTCCTCCATCCCTTTATTTTGAGCCTATGTGTGTCTCTGCACATGAGATGGGTCTCCTGAATACAGCACACTGATGGGTCTTGACTCTTTATCTAATTTGCCAGTCTGTGTCTTTTTTAATTGGGGCACTTAGCCTATTTACATTTAAGGCTAATATTGTTATTTGTGAATTTGATCCTGTCATTATGATGTTAGTTGGTTATTTTGCCCATTAATTGATGCAGTTTCTTCATAGCATCGATGGTCTGTACAATTTGGCATGTTTTTGCAGTGGCTGGTACCGGTTGTTTTTTTCCATGTTTAGTGCTTCCTTCAGGAGCTCTTGTAAGGCAGGCCTGGTGGTGACAAAATCTCTCAGCATTTGCTTGTCTGTAAATGATTTTATTTCTCTTTCACTTATGAAGCTTAGTTTGGCTGGATATGAAATTCTGGTTTGAAAATTATTTTCTTTAGAATGTTGAATATTGGCTGCCACTCTCTTCTGGCTTATAGGATTTCTGCTGAGAGATCTGCTGTTAGTCTGATGGGCTTCCCTTTGTGGGTAATCCGACCTTTCTCTCTGGCTGCCCTTAGCATTTTTTCCTTCATTTCAACCTTGGTGAATCTGACAATTATGTGTCTTGGGGTTGCTCTTCTCGAGGAGTATCTTTGTGGTGTTCTCTGTATTTCCTGAATTTGAATGTTGGCCTGCCTTGCTAGATTGGGGAAGTTCTGCTGGATAATATTCTGAAGAGTGTTTTCCAACTTGGTTCCATTCTCCCTATCACTTTCAGGTACACCAATCCAACGTAGATTTGGTCTTTTCACACAGTCCCATATTTCTTGGAGGCTTTGTTGGTTTCTTTTTACTCTTTTTTCTCTAACCTTGTCTTCTCGCTTTATTTCATTAATTTGATCTTCAATCACTGATATCCTTTCTTCTGTTTGATCGATTTGGCTATTGATACTTGTGTATTCTTCATGAAGTTCTGGTGCTGTGTTTTTCAGCTCCATCAGATCATATATGTTCTTCTCTACATTGATTATTCAGCTATTGAAGCTTGTGCATTCATCACAAAGTTCTTGTGCCATGGTTTTCAGCTCCATCAGGTCACTTAAGGTCTTCTCTACACTGTTTATTCTAGTTAGCCATTTGTCTAACCTTTTTTCAAGGTTTTTAGCTTCCTTATGATGGGTTTGAACATGCTCCTTTAGCTTGGAGAAGTTTGCTATTACCGACCTTCTGAAGCCTACTTCTGTCAACTCATCAAAGTCATCCTCCTTCCAGCTTTGTTCCATTGCTGTCAAGGAGCTGCAATCCTTTGGAGGAGAAGAGTCGCTCTGGTTTTTAGAATGTCCAGCTTTTCTGACCTTGTTTCTCCCTGTCTTTGTGGTTTTATCTACCTTTGGTCTTTGATGTTGGTGACCTACAGATGGGGCTTTGGTGTAGATGTCCTTTTTGTTTATGTTGATGCTATTTCTTTCTCTATGTTAGTTTTCCTTCTAACACTCAGGCCCCTTTTCTGCAGGTCTGCTGGAGTTTGCTAGAGGTCCTCTCTAGACCTTGTTTTCCTGGGTATCACCAGCAGAGGCTGCAGAACAGCGAATATTGCAGAATGGCAAATATTGCTGCCTGATCCTTCCTCTGGAAGCTTTGTCCCAGAGGGGCACCTGCCTATATGAGGTGTCTGTCGGACCCTACTGGGAGGTGTCTCCCAGTTAGGCTACATGGGGGTCAGGGACCCACTTGAGGAGGCAGTCTGTACATTCTTAGAGCTCAAACGCCATGCTGGGAGAATGACTGCCCTCTTCAGAGCTGTCAGACAGGGATGTTTAAGTCTGCAGAAGTTGTCTGCTGCCTTTTGTTCAGCTATGCCCTGCCCACAGAGGTGGAGTCTATAGAGGCAGTAGGCCTTGCTGAGCAGTGGTGGGCTCTGCCAGTTTGAGCTTCCTGGCCACTTTGTTTACCTACTTAAGCCACAGCAATGGCAGACACCCCTCCCCCAGCCAGGCTGCCACCTCGCAGTTCAATCTCAGACTGCTGAGCTAGTAGTGAACAAGGCTCCGTGGGCATGGGACCCACTGAGCCAGGCACGGGAGAGAATCTCCTTGTTTGCCAGTTGCTAAGACCTTGGGAAAAGCGCAGTATTTGGGCAGGAGTGTCCCATTTTTCCAGGTACAGTCTGTCATGGCTTCCCTTGACTAGGAAAGGGAAATTCCCTGACCCCTTGTGCTTCCCGGGTGAGGCAACGCCCCACCCTGCTTTGGCTCACCCTCCCATGGGCTGCACCCACTGTCCAACCAGTCCCAATGACTTGAACCAGGTACCTCAGTTGGAAATGCAGAAATCACCCGTCTTCTGTGTCGATCACGCTGGGAGCTGCAGACTGGAGCTGTTCCTATTCAACCATCTTGGGATGGAAGCCAAACTTTATTTTATTTTTAAAACTGTAGAAGCTTTGTCTCTTTTCCTAAGTCAGTTAACTGTACTTTATAAAAAGTATTTTTTATCTACCTTTGTAATTCATCAAAATAAAATACATTGAAAGAAAAAAATTTGCAATGTATCTTTCTTGAGAACACCAACTATCACTGTTTTTGCTAATCTATGTGCTCAGCATATCACATTTAATATTTGTTGAATTAAGGAATGAGGGTCAGGTAATTAAGTAACTTTTCCATGGTCACTCAGCTTTGGGAAACCCTACTTTTGAATTTACTGTTTATACTATCTTAGGTCTGCTAAAATTATGGGGCTGGTGGAGCCATCTTACAATAACAAGGAGTCAAACAAGAGAAAAAAGTCAAATGAGTACATGACGCTGGCTTGAAAATCATCAAGTTTCTGGATTAAGGACAGCAGCCATATTTATTCAGAATTTCTGTTATAAGAGAAAGATATATCCCATCTTTGTTTAAGCTGTTATAAGACAGGTTTTATGTTATTGCAGCTTAAAGTATCTGATAGATTCTCTTCTGCTCATGAGAGCCACAGCCCTTGTTTTGCTGCTCCTCGTGTGGACAGGAGTCTGGAACACTGGTTTAGAATAGCCATGCACTAGAAGTCCTGTGTAGTCAGGAAAAAAATCTGTTCCACATGACAATTAGGGATATAGAGGGTTCTTTGCTGTATGTGCTTCTAAGATTGGGAGGCAAGGAGGAAGGAAGGAAGGGACAGGGATATTTTAGAGCAAAGTTTAGGACTCAGCTCTAAAGACTGTGAGACTTAGATATCCCCAATCTATTCTAAAGTCTTTCAATGTGACCCTGGATTTACAAAGCATTTACCTAAGAGAGAAGCCCAGAGGAGTATGGAGAAAAAGAGATCTGAGGGAGATAAACATAAGAAGATGCAAAATTTACCTGAAAATGAGGAATTCACTTTCAAGTTGAGTGGCTGGATGGGTGAGGGTGCCAACTGGGGTTGAAGCCATGAGGAACAATGTCATGATGCAGGTCAGCCATGGAGGGGAGCCGTTGGGCAGAACAAGAAGGTTTCCCATGGCACCCAAGACCCATAAAACCTAAGTCAATTGCATGTGTGAGATATGTCTATGTGCATGTGCAAAGTACCTTAAGGACTGACTGCCCCTGGAACTGTTACAGATTCTCAAAGGGGTCTGGCACCTCCCAAAAATGGTGGAGACCCTCTTATGATCTGGTAAACCTGAGGGACTTTGGAAAGCAGGTGAGCAGTCATTTCAGCCCTGAGTTTAGGCTGCACAGACATTAAAAACATTTGAGAAAACTATCAAGGCTCATTTATGGAACAAATACCAGTCACAGATGGTTGTAGCTTTTTGGTGTACCTGAAATTGTGGATTCCTATCCTGATCTTACACTTATATCTCTTGAACATTGAGTTTATGTCTGCAGAGTGCTGAATATGTTACTAGATATTAGTTGTGACTGCTTCTGCCTCCTGTTTTAGAGAGGATTGGGGGTGTTCAGGGCTCCCTCCTCTATTTCTGTGGTTAATAGAGTGCTGAATATGTCACACAGAGAGAGCTCACATGGGTTCAGAGAACCACAGGTTGAGAGAAGACCTTAAACAGGCAGTCTCCAGTTTTCCAGATGAATAAATGGAGGCCCAAAATTGTTATGACGCTAACTTAGTGAGAACCAATAATTTGTTTTTCTGCAATGCCAAGCCTGTGTCCCATTCCGCGTCTCCAGACAGGAAGGGATCCCTATTTAGTGTTTTCTAAAAGGCCCCTTATATGGTTGCACCAACCGATGGTTGTCAGAAGTTTTAAGTGCCATTTTAGGATCATCAACACCCACGTCCTTGCAAGAGACCCCCTTGGGAGGCAGCAGTGATAGAAATCAGTCATTTAGCTGGGAGAAGATAGGTTGGCAATGCAGTCATTTGGAAAGCCATGTAATTTCACCTGCTGCCAATTGGATAATTTATATTCCTCTGGGTATATAACCAGTATGGGATTGCTGGTCTAATGGTAGTTCTGCTTTTACCTCTTTGGGGAATTGCCATACTGCTTTCCACAATGGTTGAACTAATTCACACTGTTCATGTCCTTTGCCCTCTTTTTAATGAGGTGGTTTCTTTTTTCTTGTAAATTTGTTTAAGTTCCTTATAGATGCTGGATATTAGTCTTTTGTCAGATACATGATTTGCAAAAATTTTATCTCATTCTGTAGGTTGTCTGTTTACTCTGATGATGGTTTCTTTTGCTGTGCAGAAGCTCTTTAGTTTAATTAGATCCCATTTGTCAATTTTTGCTTTTCTTGCAATTGTATTTTGTGTCTTCATCATGAAATCTTTGACTGTTACCCTGTCCAGGATGGTATTGCCTAGGTTTTCTTCCATGATTTTTATAATTTTGCATTTTACATGTAAATCCTTAATCCATCTCGAGTTAATTTTTGTATATGGTGTAAGGACGGGGCTTCAATCTTGTGCATATGGCTAGCCAGTTATCCCAACACGATTTATTGAATAGGCAGCCCTTTCTCCATTGCTTGTTTTTGTCAGCTTTGTTGAAGATCAGATAGTTGTATGTGTACAGCCTTATTTCTGGGCTCTCTATTCTGTTCCATTAGTCTATGTGTCTGTTTTGGTACCAGTACTATGCTGTTTTGGTGACTCTAGCCCTGTAGTCTAGTTTGAAGTCAGATAGCATGATGCCTCCAGCTTTGTTCTTTTTGCTTAGGATTGCCTTGACTCTTTTGGTTCTATATGAATTTTAAAATAGTTTTTTTTTTTTCTAGTGTTGTGAAGAATGTCATTGGTAGTCTAATAGGAATGGCATTGAATCTATAAATTGTTTTGGGCAGTATGGCCATTTCAATGACATTTATTCTTCCTATCCATGAGCATGAAATATTTTTCTGTTTAAGTCATCTCTGATTTCTTTTTTTCACTCCATTTTATTTATGTATTTTTTATTATACTTTAAGTTCTAGGGTACATGTGCACAATGTGCAGGTTTATTACATATGTATACATGTGCCATGTTGGTGTGCTGCACCCATTAACTCGTCATTTACATTAGGTATATCTCCTAATGCTATCCCTTCCCCCTCCCCCCACCTCATGACAGGCCCTGGTGTTCCCCATCCTGTGTCCAAGTGTTCTCATTGTTCAATTCCCACCTATGAGTGAGAACATGCGGTGTTTGGTTTTCTGTCCTTGCAATAGTTTGCTCAGAATAATGGTTTCCAGCTTCATCCATGTCCCTACAAAGGACATGAACTCATCCTTTTTTATGGCTGCATAGTATTCCATGGTGTATATATGCCACATTTTCTTAATCCAGTCTATCATTGATGGATATTTGAGTTGGTTCCATGTCTTTGCTATTGTGAATAGTGCCGCAATAAACATATGTGTGCATGTGTCTTTATAGCAGCATGATTTATAATCCTTTGGGTATATACCCAGCAATGGGATGACTGGGTCAAATGGTATTTCTAGTTCTAGATCCTTGAGGAATCGCCACACTGTCTTCCACAATGGTTGAACTAATTTACAGTCTCACCAACAGTGTAAAAGTGTTCCTATTTCTCCACATCCTCTCCAGCACCTGTTGTTTCCTGACTTTTTAATGATTGCCATTCTAACTGGTGTGAGATGGTATCTCATTGTGGTTTTGATTTGCATTTCTCTGATGACCAGTGATGATAAGCATTTTGTCATGTGTCTATTGGCTGCATAAATGTCTTCTTTTGAGAAGTGTCTGTTCATATCCTTCACCCACTTGTTGCTGGTTTTTTTTTCTTGTAAATTTGTTTAAGTTCTTTGCAGATTCTGGATATTAGCCCTTTGTCAGACGGGTAGATTATAAAAATTTTCTCACATTCTGTAGGTTGCCTGTTCACTCTGATGGTAGTTTCTTTTGCTGTGCAGAAGCTCTTTAGTTTAACTAGATCCCATTTGTCAATTCTGGCTTTTGTTGCCATTGCTTTTGGTGTTTTAGTCATGAAGTCCTTGCCCATGCCTATGTCCTGAATGGTATTACCTAGGTTTTCTTCTAGGGTTTTTATTTTTTTAGGTCTAACATTTAAGTCTTTGATCCATCTTGAATTAATTTTTGTATAAGGTGTAAGGAAGGGATCCAGTTTCAGCTTTCTACATATGGCTAACCAGTTTTCCCAGCACCATTTGTTAAATAGGGAATCCTTTCCCCATTTCTTGTTTTTGTCAGGTTTGTCAAAGATCAGATGGTTGTAGATGTCTGGTATTATTTCTGAGGGCTCTGTTCTGTTCCATTGATCTATATCTCTGTTTTGGTACCAGTACCATGCTGTTTTGGTTACTGTAGCCTTGTAGTATAGTTTGAAGTCAGGTAGCGTGATGCCTCCAGCTTTGTTCTTTTGGCTTAGGATTGTCTTGGCAATGCAGGCTCTTTTTTTGGTTCCATATGAACTTTAAAGTAGTTTCTTCCAATTCTGTGAAGAAAGTCATTGGTAGCTTGATGGGGATGGCATTGAATCTATAAATTACCTTGGGCAGTATGGCCATTTTCATGATATTGATTCTTCCTATCCATGAGCATGGACTGTTCTTCCTTTTGTTTGTGTCTTCTTTTATTTCATTGAGCAGTGGTTTGTAGTTCTCCTTGAAGAGTTCCTTCACATCCCTTGTAAGTTGGATTCCTAGGTATTTTATTCTCTTTGAAGCAATTGTGAATGGGAGTTCACTCATGATTTGCTTCTCTGTTTGTCTGTTATTGGTTTATAGGAATGCTTGTGATTTTTGCACATTGATTTTGTATCCTGAGATTTTGCTGAAGTTGCTTATCAGCTTAAGGAGATTTTGGGCTGAGACAATGGGGTTTTCTAAATATACAATCATGTCATCTGCAAACAGGGACAATTTGACTTCCTCTTTTCCTAATTGAATACCCTTTATTTCTTTCTCCTGCCTGATTGCCCTGGTCAGAACTTCCAACACTATGTTGAATAGGAGTGGTGAGAGAGGGCATCCCTGTCTTGTGCCAGTTTTCAAAGGGAATGCTTCCAGATTTTGCCCATTCAGTATGATATTGGCTGTGTGTTTGTCATAAATAGCTCTTATGATTTTGAAATACATCCCATCAATACCTAGTTTATTAAGAGTTTTTAGCATGAAGGGTTGTTGAATTTTGTTGAAGGCCTTTTCTGCATCTATTGAGATAATCATGTGGTTTTGTCTTTGGTTCTGTTTATATGATGGATTACATTTATTGATTTGCATATGTTGAACCAGGCTTGCATCCCAGGGATGAAGCCCACTTGATCATGGTGGATAAGCTTTTTGATGTGCTGCTGGATTCGGTTTGCCAGTATTTTATTGAAGATTTTTGCATCGATGTTCATCAGGGATATTGGTCTAAAATTCTCTTTTTTTGTTGTGTCTCTGCCAGGCTTTGGTATCAGGATGATGCTGGCCTCATAAAATGAGTTAGGGAGGATTCTCTCTTTTTCTATTCATTGGAATAGTTACAGAAGGAATGGTACCAGCTCCCCTTTGTACTTCTGGTAGAATTTGGCTGTAAATCCCTCTGGTCCTGGACTTTTTTTGGTTGGTAGGCTATTAATTATTGCCTCAATTTCAGAGCCTGTTATTGGTCTATTCAGGGATTCAACTTCTTCCTGGTTTAGTCTTGGGAGGGTGTATGTGTCGAGGAATTTATCCATTTCTTCTAGATTTTCTAGTTTATTTGCGTAGAGGTGTTTATAGTATTCTCTGATGGTAGTTTGTATTTCTGTGGGATCAGTGGTGATATCCCCTTTATCATTTTTTATTGCATCTACTTGATTCTTCTCTCTTTTCTTCTTTATTAGTCTTGCTACTGGTCTATCAATTTTGTCGATCTTTTCAAAAAACCAGCTCCTGGATTCATTTATTTTTTGAAGGGTTTTTTTGTGTCTCGATCTCCTTCAGTTCTGCTCTGATCTTAGTTATTTCTTGTCTTCTGCTAGCTTTTGAACGTGTTTGCTCTTGCTTCTCTAGTTCTTTTAATTGTGATATTAGGGTATCAATTTTAGATCTTTCCTACTTTCTCTTGTGGGCATTTAGTGCTATAAATTTCCCTCTACACACTGCTTTAAATGTGTCCCAGAGATTCTGGTATGTTGTATCTTTGTTCTCTTTGGTTTCAAAGAACATCTTTATTTCTGCCTTCATTTTGTTATGTACCCAGTAGTCATTCAGGAGCAGGTTGTTCAGTTTCCATGTCATTGAGCAGTTTTGTCTTCACTCTCTTTTAAACGCTGCTCTTAGTTCTGTGGTTGGGACTTGCCAGATAAATAACTTTATGACTATAAGCTTCTCAGAAAGGATTGTGATTAATTTTGGTAGTTTATAGAATAGATTTCTAGTATTTTTATTTCCTCTTTTCTACCATTTAATTAAGTTAGTCCATAAAGCTTCTGAGAGGTATGTTTTATTGGTGAGGGGGAGCTCTTCAACATTTATTACAGTGATACATGTATTCAGTCAAAGCTTAATAAATGATAGTTGAGTAGTCAGATTTAATCCTGAATTCTAGTAATGTGTCCATTCCCTTCTTTTCCCTGACTTCTTAGTTATGTGTAAATTTTGAAAAATAATGTGACCAGTACTTGCTTAGAATCTTCAAGAGGAGTTTGAATAGGGATGTTTTAGTTTCTTTGCATTTTGTCTCCATTTTTGACATTCCAGGACTAACAAATATTCTCTTAGAGACCCAGGCAGAGTACTTTCTTCTTGCTGTTTCTCATGCTCTTTCTGGGAATGTCCACGCCTTCCCTTTTTTTTTTTTTTTTTTTTTTTTTTGAGATGGAGTGTCACTCTGTCGCCCGGGCTGGAGTGCAGTGGCACAATCTCGGGTCACTGTAAGCTCCGCCTCACGGGTTCATGCCATTCTCCTGCCTCAGCCTCCTGAGTAGCTGGGACTACAGGCGCCCGCCACCATGCCCGGCTAATTTTTTTTTGTATGTTTTTTAGTAGAGACGGGGTTTCACCGTGTTAACCAGGATGGTCTCGATCTCCTGACCTTGTGATCCGCCTGCCTCGGCCTCCCAAAGTGCTGGGATTACAGGCGTGAGCCAAAGCGCCCGGCCTGACCACGCCTTCCTATGCACCAGGGCCAGTACTGACTAATATGTTTGGCTTTATATCAGTTGATTTTGCAAATGGTAGGGAATTTGTCAGGTCATAATGGGAAAAGACATAGGTGGAGTCTTGTGCAGGCCTCCTTATGCTCGTACCTCCTGTACAGGCCTCCTTATGTTCATACCTCCTGTGAGCGGTCACGTAGAACATCCTCTTCTTCCAGCAACAAAAATGCAGCAATGTGTGTGATGTTTCTGCCTGAGGGAATCACTTTCTGACTCAGTTTAGGGTTTCTACTGGAGTTGGCAGCATGAGCACCTTCTGACTATCGTGTACCAGAAATTCAGATGCCCAGAAGGATAGCAGGTGCTCAGAATAAACCATATTGTTTGCACAAACAGTTCAGGGACAGTAAACACCCTTGTCAATTGGGGAATGTTAAGAACCCACCTCCCCCCCGCCACAGCCCCCTCCCAGATCTAAGCTCTCAGAAAGCAGTCATGGGCAAAGCTTACAAGCAGGCCTTTTTTTTTTTTTTTAATTATACTTTAAGTCCTGGGATACATGTGCAGAACGTGCAGGTTTGTTACATAGGTATACACGTTCCATGGTGGTTTGCTGCACCCATTAACCCGTCATCTACACTAGGTATTTCTCCTAATGCTGTCCCTCCCGCCACCCCCAACCCCTCCACAGGTCCCAGTGTGTGATGTTCCCCTCCCGGTGTTCATGTGTTCTCATTGTTCAACTCCCACTTCTGACTAAGAACATGCGGTGTTTGGTTTTCTGTTCCTGTGTTAGTTTGCTGAGAATGATGCTTTCCAGCTTCATCCATGTCCCTACAAGCAGGCCTTTCTAAGGCTTGCCATGTTCACTCTTTTCTGCATAGGAGAGTTGGCTTAGACCTCAGAAAATGGAAACAGAATTACTACGGAACCTGATGGGATAGAATGATGAGGTGAAACCGACAAGGTGAAGCCTATTAAGGGAAAACAAGAGCCTTGCATTAAAGTCTGAAAGATTGATCACTAGTACCGGATGGAGGAGACACAGCTTGACAGTAACTAATGTGGAAAACACCCAGGTGGGTTTGTTCCTTATTATGAATTAACAATCTTAACTGAGTCATTGGAAAACTAATGGAAACTTATTCTAAATTAGTGGGAATGTCATGCCCAGATCAATGGAGGTAGAACTCCCATGGTATTCTGAAATGGTCAAACATCATTTGGACAGATGTATGTGTTTCTAAGGTCCTTATCCTAATAGAGATATGAATAAATAAGAAACATGCAGTGGGCAGTGTGAGTTTCAAGGCTGACACTGAAAGAGGAGCAGTCTTAGAATTTTCTTTTTTTAATTTTTAATTTTAATTTTATTTTAATATACACCTACATAGTAGGTGTATATATGTATGAGCCACATGAGATGTTTTGATACAGGCATGCAATGGGTAATAATCACATCATGTAAAATCGGGTATCCATCTCCTCAAGCATTTAACTTTTCTGTTAGAAACAATCCAATTATACCCTTTTAGTTATTTGTAAATGTACAATTAAATTATTATTGAGTATAGTCACCCCGTCATGCTATCAAATACTCGGTCTTATTTATTCTTTCTGCCTATTATTTTTTGAGGTTTTGAAAACTTTATAAATGAGTCATAGCTATTCTCTTTTGCTCTATTTGAGCAGATCTGGGGCCAATGGTAGCAGCTTTGGGGAGACAGATACAGAGTCAATATAAAAAGCAATTGAATTAGCTGACTTTGGCAGGAAGGCGTTCTCCAGTACTGGAAGTATTCGTGCTGCTGGATGAACATTTATCTGTAGACTGGATGAGACATTGAACCTGAAGACCTGAAGATTCTTTCTATACTCTAGAATCCTTGACTCTATGGTTAAGGTAATTTAGACATTTTCTGTTGTGCCTATGGCTTAAACACTGTTCAATGAATAGTCAAAGTCCAACAAGAGTAATCTTTGTCCAGAGTCTTTGATTTTTATTCTGAGTGTTACAGCAGAAACAATCAAAACGCTCACGAGCACTATGGGCTCATTCTGTAACATTTCCTTATACAGATGGCCCCTAAATTTGGAGACAAAACCTTTCACATTGGTGATACTCATGCTTGGAATTTCCACATTCAAAAAAAATCTTAAAGGATTATGTGGCAAATATCAAAATAGTACCTCAAGGAAGGACACTGTTAAATTTAGGTGTGATTTCAGGGGACATCAGCAAGTTCCTTAGTCCCAATTGACCAGAACTCCTTGGATAAAACCATCAAAACATTTTCTTGTGGAAATTGAAAATGAGTTGACTTTCAGAAGTCCCTATTGAAAAAAAGTGTCCTCTAGGGGAGGTAATGCTTCAGAGAATATGATGTAAACCAGGTGTTTCTAAACTTTTTGTATCACATATATTATCAGCAGATATATGTGTGTGTATATATATATATATATATACACACACA
Source organism: Homo sapiens (assembly GCF_000001405.40). Taxonomy (NCBI): domain Eukaryota; kingdom Metazoa; phylum Chordata; class Mammalia; order Primates; family Hominidae; genus Homo; species Homo sapiens. Next base: position 37,311,313 of record NC_000023.11, read on the forward strand.
TATATACACACACATTTACATACACACACACATGTATTTGAGTATGTAACCCCAATATGTGTCTATGCATTTATTTACATATATTCACAACTCTCTTGACTCCCTCTTATTAAAATGTACTTCCTTAAAACAGTTACAACTCTAATCACTCTAGCTCTCTGCCTACTCTGCAGCTGTGCCCTGCTACTGCATTTGACTGGAGAAAAATCCATAACCATATAGATAGGTCTCTCTTTAAATTCATGCTGCAAACCTCAAACGGGCTCTTCATGTAGCTGGTCTATCAGACTGTTCTTCTCTGATCTATTCATGCTCCTCTAAGTGTATTTCATACTTTAGTGTGCTATAAACCACTTGGGGATGTTAGTAAATACAATTTCTGATGCTGCTGTGGACCCTGAGAACCTGCATTTCTAACAAGCTTCCAGGTGATGCTGACACTGCTGGCCCCTGAGTAACAAGTTCCTGGATGACTGTTTTATACCTTGGCATCTCTGTTCAAACATTTAACACCTCCTCCCTCATCGCTATTCTCAGCTACTGTCCTGATTCCTACAGCATTGAGAAAGCCTAAGTAATCAGAAGAGGACTTCACAGTCTCCATGTTATCTACACACCTACCAGTTTTTGGACTCGTATACTCTGCCCTTCCACCTGTTAATAAACATTCAAACAGAACTTGCCTAAAAGTAAACTTCTGATGCTGTCACTAAAATCTCTTCCATGTCCCGTGCACCCATTTCAGTGGATGGCACTGTCGCTCTTCCAGTCACTCAAGTAAGAAGCCTTGAGAAAATCTTCTTCATGTTTCTTTCTTCATGCCCTATATTCAACCTCTTACCTTTACCTTCAACATAGATCCACAATCTGACCACTTCTCACCAACTCCACTGTTACCACCTGCTCCAAGTTGCCTGGATCACCAAAATCAGCTGCTAAATAGCCTCCCTGCTCCTATCCTTGCCCTCTTAGGGTCTATTGTCAACCAGCATGAGAGCAATATTGGTTGTTGTACCATATGCTATTGAGTCTAAGATGCCTTTATTTGTATGATGCAGACTTATTGTACGCGTAAGTGACATTGTCATGAAATAAACTATGACATTGTGCCTTAATAATAGTCTTGTGCAAAGCATCATTTAATCCCACCAGATTCTGTCTGCTTTGAAAATGCTTTCATCAATACCAGGATATTTTTTAACTGTGTCTAGATGCATTCTTTGATTCATTGATAGGCAATCTTAGCACACATATATCAGGAACAAAAGAAAACACAAGTCCATCTACTTGTGGATCTATTTTTTTAGACTTTTAAAGCACTTAGTTGCTTGTTGCTTTCCACGAAATTATGGGTTTTTAATCATACCTCCAACGAGGAACATTCCCTTCACTAGTATCAGATTCATACCCTACTGCTCTGTTTCACTGCCTTTCTGTTTCACCTTAACTTTCATTTTAATACCAAATTGTTGTATAATTTTTTGGATGACATTTCATAAAGCAAATAAAATCAACAGGTGTAGTACTGATTATGCACAGAATTTGACTGAAGGGAAGAAATAAGAACCTCCCTGAACAAGTTCCTCTGTGCCCAGGCAATAACAGCTATGTCTAAACTAATACATGACAAACAACAATTTTAAGACAGTTTCTAGGAAGATAATCCCAGCAACCTCAATCTAAGATGTGCAAAATTTAGAAAAATTGTGTCTTGTAAGAGGTAAAGGTCGATAAGTCAGGTCATGTCACACCCTCCAGGGCTCCCTATTGAACTTGCCAGAGTCCTTTTCATGTCCTACAAAGTGCCATATTCACTCTCTGTCCCCACCTGCAGCAACTATGCCTTCGTCACAGAGGAGTTTTGTCATTTGAATCGCCAGGGAGTATTTTAAATCTAGTCAAGAGCATACACCTTGTTTGGATTTCTGTGATGTATTCATGTGCCTCACCACTCTACACAGAGTCAAGCTAGTTCCAGCTTTCCCAGTGTAAGGGATAGCTTCCAGGAATTCTCTTGCCCACTGTGCTGATGTGAGAATGCAAGGCCTACAGTGTTTGATGAAAAGAACATGTGCTATGGCTCTTGCACCTGGAAGTATGTAGATAGCTAGAGGGAGGGAGGCAATCATTGAAGTGTATAGGGCCAGGAGCCAGTCTCTGGGAATATCTTCTAATCACCGGACATATAAAATCATGAACAGAGTGGTTGATCCACATCAACGCTTGCCTAAACAGAAGTTCTGTCCTGTAAGAAACACACGGGAAAGGCAGCACATCCAATTAAACACTGCACCATACTTCAGGACTTTTGAGGTTTTCTATTTTTTCAGCTTTGTAAAGTGTGTAATTTGTCGCCATTTCTTTCGTCATTCTACTTAAATATGCACCTAATTTTGTGTTTGTACATTTTAATTCTTTCTCTTAAAGAGAAGCCTGAAATTGTGCAAGCCTCAGGCCCTCCAAAGCTTGAATAAGCTCTGCTCTGATATTTGTACCACAGCCCTATCTCCCCCGACTCCACCTCGTCCCCGGACACACATGCCCTTAGCTCCAGCCACATGGCCTCCCTGCTGTTCCCCAGCCAGTTTTCACTGGAGCTTGAGATGTATAAAGAGGTTGGTAGAGATGGGAGCTGGAGAGCTATCTCTATGTGGTTGTGAGCCTATGATGAAGGTCTTGCTTGTGCAGCAGAGGGAGAAGCTGACCCTTTATTCTGTAATTTGGGAGGTGTTGAAAGGTTTTAATCCAGGGAGTGAAATTTTAACATACGCTGGCCTCTGCACTGGTGATTGCATTTGTCTGGAGCCCTCGTCATCCAGACATCTACATTGCTTGCTTCCTCTCCTCCCTTTTGGAAAGACTTTTCCTAGAATTTACTTTGTTTTAATTTTCTCTTTACTATAGTATTTTTTACGTCGTAAGGTAGATAGATAGGTGGGTAAACTGATTGATAGATACTATCAATATATAACCATGCTATTGTGCTTAGAGTTTATTGCCTGTCTCTCCACTAGAAGGTATACAATAAATACTAAGTGAATGAAACTCTCTTCATATCAAAATCTGTAAATTAGTCACTTATGTAACATAGAGATATTTACTCTTCTAACCAAAAGTGAAAACAATTTCTTCTTGGCCCTAAAGGGAACCCTTCACTATGCTTTGAAGAAATTTAACGTCAACATGATAGTCTGAGCCCAGGAATATTCAAGTGTGAAGAAAATGTGAATCTTCAATTGAAAAGCCCACAGGGAAATATTGCAGTATTCAGTTGTAGTCAGTGGTTGCAGATTCCTACTGCCAGAAAATGGCAGCAGGATTTTTACAGTTGAATGACTGCATGAAAATAAGCACAAGCTGCCTTTTACAGGGAGCTTCTCAGAAGCATAGCTCTGACTTCAGGAAACCACAGTATCCATACTATCTTGGTCCTTATCTACAACAATGAGGAAAATGAGTACAGCAGAAAGTGTGGAATGCTATGAGCATTAAGCCAGGCATTTGAAATGATTGTTTATTAACTTCTCTCTGTTCTGGATTTTTTGGGGTTTTATTTTTCCTGACTGAGAAGTGGGATCACTTTTCTACATCTTCATGGCACAGTTGCATCAAGGGCTACCTTTCCACTTCAGTGTGGGAGGAGATGGCAACAGGACCCTCACAGATGTTCATTTGGCTTAAGTCTCAGATGTTCACACTTCAGGAAAAGCCTTCCTCCTTGTCTTCAGCAAAGTTACAGTTAATGTCTATGTCTCTTTTGTTGGCTTGGCTGCCTGCTGCTTCAGGCAACTTCTGCCACTGTGTGAAAGGCTGGATGAGAGGCCATGTTTCTTTTTTTGCTGAAACAAAAGAAAGATTCAGGCACAATGCTTTCACCTTGGCTCAGCATGTAGACCGAGTGCACCTACATATTTCACATAGATATTCTGTGGAAACTTTCTTTTCAAGAGCAAGCATCTCTGTGTAATCGGAAAAAAACCAATTAACTTTTCTCCTACTATACTCTCAACACGCAATACTTTCAGCACACTTCAGTTCTGACACCACACTCAACAAAGAACATTTCTGCTAACCAAATGCATGAATTTTTTCTCATACTAAGCAATTCTTCAATACCAGCTGGGTGCTCCTAAAGTTTGACTCTATTCTGACACTATCTACCTAGAGATAGTGTTCAGATCCCACAGGTTAAAGGCTCTGTCCCACAATTTTGCTCCCCACTTCATGCGCCAATTGCAAGTAGTGAATTCTCAGGTTACCCACAATTTCTGGCCAGCCTGGATACAAATTAGAGATTTCCACAACCCCCTTCTCAGGCTCAATCATTTGCTAGAGTGGCTCACAGAACTCAGAGAAACACTTTACTTACGTTTACTGATTCATTATAAAGGATACAGATGAACAGCTAGATAAAGTGATATATAGGTAAGGTATGTGCAATGGGGTGCAAAGTTTCTATGCCCTCTTCACCATGTCACCCTCTCAGCACTTCCATGTGTTCAGAAACCCAGAAGCTCTCCAAACCCCATAGTTTAGGGATTTTTACAGAAGCTTTATCACATACACATGATCAATTATTAAGTCAGTCCCTAGCCCCTCTCTCCTTCCTGGGAGATGGGGGATGAAGCTGGACTAGCCCTCTAATCACAGCTTGGTTTTTCTGGTGACCAGTTCCTATCCAGGTGTCAACCATGACTCACCTTATTAGAACAAAAGATACTCCTATCACCCTGGAAGTTCCAAGCGATTAGGAACTCTGTGTCAGGAACCAAGGTCAAAGACCAAGTATCAGAACAAAAGATGTAACTAGCACTCCTATTAGTCAGGAAATTACAGGGGTTTTGGAGCTCTATTCCAGGAACTGGGGACACAGACGAAATATATATTTCTTATTATATCACAATACCACAATCTCCTGTAAAGATCAGCTGAAAAATAAAATGTGGGTGTCAGCATGGTAATACATTTATAATACAAACATATATTTGTAGCTTTGATTCATGTCTCATCCTGACCTATGGCAATTGTCAGTGAGCTATAGCTGTCTAGTCACAGCTTAGTGGACTGGCAAGGAGGGACTCTGATGGGCACAGGCCCACCTGATGGCTTGTGGGGCAAGGGGAGGGACCACATGTGTCGGGGCTTGTGAGGCTGGTCCTATTAGGTTTGTTCTTCTGTTCATTCAAGTGAATAAGACATGTGTCTCGCTCCTTCTACCCCTAGCTCTCACAGTCTACTCTCAGCACAGCAGCCAAAGAAATCCTGTTGAAACTGGAATTGGATCATAATCACTCCACTGATTCACACCCTCACTTGGGTCCTCATTTCACTCAAAGTAAAGGAAAATTATTCACAATAGCCTGCAAAGCCCTCCTTGATCTGACCCATTACCTGCTCTTACCTAGAACCCACCAGGCACATTTCTTCCTCAGGTGTTTGCATTTGCTCTCCTCACTGCCTGGAACTCTCTTCCCACAGATTTCTTTATGGTGCTTTCCCTCATCCTCTACAGGTCTCTGCTCAGAAGTCAGCTTCTCACTGAGGCTTACCCTGACCAGCACTTTTTATTTTGCACCCCCACACAGTTATATACCCAGTTCAATTCTTCTTTCTATATCTTATTTGTCTGATAGTCCTTTATTACTATCTAACATTTTATAGTACTTTTTTCTTTGTTTATTGTTTGTCTTCCCTAGTAAAATGTAAAACTCCAAGAGAGCACTAATTTTTGCCTGGTGTGTGCTTTTCACTACTCTAATCCAGGCCCCTGGACTATCAGTTGGAATATAGCCAAGGTGAGCATTCATACAGATTTGCCAGGACAGTTCCAGTTATGCCTATTGTTCTGGCAGGATTATTAATGACAGTCTCTTCACTGTCCCAAGTGTTTTTGCTTAATTTATGGTCACCCTACACAGAAGAAATGCTCGGTAAATATTTTTCAATTGAAAGACTGCTCCCTCAGGGGTAGAACTTTGTCTAGTTTGGTTCAGGCAAAGAGTCAGTACTAGGAAAGAAGCAAAATTCCTGCTGCTATGAAGGAGCCAAGACTCAGAAATGGTAGTAGAGAAGAGCAGTTGGCATCTAAAAGGTGAGTCTTTGGACTGTAGTCCATCAATCTCTGACAATCAGGAGCAGAGTTCCAATCCTCAAGAAAGAGTACAGTGGAGTTGCTGCTCTTGCAAAAAGACTTAGGGACTAGAAGGTTGACTGGAGCAGAAATATAGAATAGCATCCAATGCAGAAATACAACTTTTTAAGCTGGGGCTAAAGAGGGCAATAGCCAGATAATCACAAATTCAGTTAAAATCCCAGCTAATTGCCCAGCTAATTGTTAAGAATCCCAGGATTCATAAGACTTTACTCTCTTGAATAAACACTTTGAACCCATTACATATATTCAAATCATTCTTTTCTTAATGAATTCTGTGGCTCTTGATAGGATTCAGGACATACTACTCCAAAATATGGCACCCAGGCATTTGAGGAAATAGCAGAAGCAAGCAATAAAAGCTAAAAAGAATTCCCCTTTGTTCCTTTTCCCCTAAATCAAGCCATAAAACCTAGCTGAGTTTTCCTTGAAAATAGGTCATAAGACTCATTCCAGAGGGGTCCTGCCCTATGCCGGAGGAAAGGAATGTCACCCAAGGATGCCAAGAAGAATCTGAACAAACAAGCCTTGCTACATTTCCACCCCCTAACTCCAAAGTTTATTACCATTAGGTCATACCCTTTTTTTTTTTTTTTTTAGGCAGAGTCTTTTTTTTTTTTTTTTTTTTTTTTTTTTTTTTTTTTTTGAGACGGAGTCTCACTCTGTCGCCCAGGCTGGAGTGCAGTGGCGCAATCTTGGCTTACTGCAACTTCCGTCCCCCCAGGTTCAAGCAATTCTCCTGCCTCAGCCTCCCAAGTAGCTGGGATTACAGGCACCCGCCACCACTCCTGGCTAATTTTTTTATGTTTAATAGTGATGGGGTTTCACCATGTTGGCCAGGCTGGTCTCAAACTCCTGACCTCAAGTGATCCGCCCACCCCGGCCTCCCAAAGTGCTGGGATTACAGGCGTGAGCCACCTCGCCTGGCCCCATACCCTCATTTTGTCCAATCATGTTTCTCTACATCTACCCACTTCCTCATTAGACTTAGCATAAAATATACAGTTTTCTCTGGGTCTTTGAGTCTTCATTTCTGAAGCCTCCCATGTTACATAAAACTTATATTAAATAAATGTGTATGCTTTTGTTTTGTTAATCTGAGCTATGAACTTTGTAATGGGTAAGGAAAGAAATATTTTTCCCCCTGTACTCCTCTTCAGTTTACCTAGTTACCCTTTTTTCCAAAACATGATTTTAAATATCTTTTAAAATGTATATTTCACTTTAATTTCTGTTATTCTCTGTATTAGTTTTCTATGACTGACCTAACAAATTCCCACAAATTTATCAGCTTTACAGTATACAAATTTGCTATTTCACAGTCACGTAGGTCAAAAGTATGGGCTGGATCAGCAGGTTTCTATGCTCTTGGTCCCAGAAGGCTGAAATCAAGATCATGGCCAGCTTGGACACTTCTCTGGAGGCTCTGGGAGATCTGTCAATGTTTCCTTCATGGCCCAGGATGTGGAAGGTGCTATTACTGATTTGACAAGAAATGGCAAGTGCAGAACAAAATTAAGAGGCTAAACAGCAACCGTGAGCCCTCTCTACACAGTGAGCTTCTCCTTTGGCTGAATTTGGATGTGAAGCTGGCAATCTGTCCAACCAATCAGAGAGTGAATAAATTTATTGTGAGTGAATGTGGCAGGCATAGGGAAAGAAAGGGGTCAAGGACATGGTTGAACTCATACATGTGCCTGGCCTCTAAAAAGAATGAACTCCATTAGAGTCATACTATCTCTGCTCTTCCTGTAAATTGTGCTATAAAACATTGACATATGCTGAGACCCCATCCTTAAATACTAAGGTTGCATTCACTGTGACAGGGTGATTATTCATGAACATGTGATTAGATTGAAAAATATTGTATTAAACATCCCTAGATGAGCATCTTGTTGTTACTATATTCTGTTTCCTTCAGTAGGAATAAGTTTGATTAAATGAAGGGCTTGGAGACTTGGGTGGAGCAAGATGGTAGAATAGAAGTTTCCACCAATCATCCCCCCTGCAAGAACACCAATTTAACAACTACTACACAAGAAAAGGCACCTTCATAAGAACCAAAAATCTGGTGAGCACTCACAGTACTCTTTTTTTATCTTCACATCATTGAAAGAGGCACTGAAGAGGTAGGAAAACCTGTCTTAAACTGCCTATGCCACCCTTCCCCCATCCCCTAGCATTGACAGCATGGTACAGAAAGCATTTCTGTGTGCTAGGGAGAGAGAGAGCTTAGCAATTGTGAGGCATTGAACTTAGTGATGCCCTGTTATAGCAGAAAACAAAACTACATCAAACTCAGCTAATGCCTGGCATTTAAAGGACCATTTAAACCAGACTTAGCTAGAAGGGAATCACTGATCCTAGTGGTTCAAACATGAGTTCCTGCAAGCCTCCTGACCACAGGCAAAAGTGCCCTGGGTCCCTAAATAAACCCGAAGGCACTCTAGGCCACAAGGACTACAACTCCTATGTGAGTCCTAGTACTGAACTGGGCCCAGAGCCAGTGGATTTGTGGGGGGCACACAACCTACTGAGACACCAGCCAGGGTGGCTAAGAGACTGTTGGCATCACCCCTCCCCTAACTCCAGGCTTCACAGCTCATGGCTCCAAAAGAGACCTTTTCCTTGTGTTTGAGGAGAAGAAAAGGAAGAGGGGGAAGGACCTTGTCTTACATCTTGAATACCAGCCCAACCACAGAAAGATAAGGCACTGAGCAGAGTCGTGAGGTCCCTGTTCCAGTTCCTAGTTCCTGGACACCCCTTCCGGCCCAGGTGTGTCTAGAAATGTCTTGAAGGAAAAGACCCAGTCCTGGCAGGATTCATCATGTTAACTGAAGAGCCCTTGGACCCTGAATAACCAGCAGCAATACCCAGATACTACTTTGAGGGCCTTGGGTGAGACTTTGAGACTTGCTGGCTTCAGGTGAGACTCAGCACATTCCCAGCTGTGGTGGCTATGTGATGAGACTACTTCTGCCTGAGAAAAATGGATGGAAAAGTAAATTGGACTTTGTCTTGCATTTTAGGTATCAGCCACAAGGGAGGTAGAGTACTAAACAGGCTTTGGGGGCACCAATTCCAGGATTTGGCTCTTGGATGGCATTTCTGCACCTGCCCTGGCCCAGATAGGAGCCCGCTTTCCTGAAGGGTGAGTCCTAGGCCAGGCAGCATTCACCACAACCTGACTGAAGAGCTCTTGCACCCTAAAGGAAAAAACATTGGCAGTAGTCTGGCAGTACTTCCTGTGGGCCTGTGGTTTTGGTGGTCTCAGGATGAGGCTTCACTGCCTTTGGAAAGGGGAAGGAAGAGTGGCAAGGACTGCATCTTGTGGTTTGAGTGCCATCTCAGCTGTAGCACAATAGATCACCAGGTAAATATCTAAGGTTTTCACTCTAGTCCCTGGCTCTAAGACATCACCTCTGGACCTGCCTGGGGCTTGAGGGAGCTAGCCACCCTGAAAGGAAGGACACAGGCCTATCTGGCTGTGACACCTGCTGATCGTAGAGCCCCAGGGCCTTGAGCAAACATAGGAAGTAGCCAGGCAGTGGTTATACAAGGCCTTGGGCAAGACCCAGTACTGTGCTGTCTGACCGAGTGCAGTCTGCGTGGTGGTGGCTACAGGGGTTCTTGTGTCACTCCACTCACAGCTCCAGGTGGTTCAGAACAGAGAGAGAGAGAGAGATGCCATTTGTTTGAAAGAAAGCAAGGGAAGAGAACAAAAGTCTTTTCCGGGTCATCCAGGAATTTGTCAAGATCTTGTCTGAAATCATCAAGGCAGTACCTCGATGAGTCTGCAAGAAACACAGCATTACAGGACTTGGAGTGCCCCCTAAAGTAGATACAGCTTAGATCACAACACCTAAGCCCTTCTGAATATCTAGAAAGCCTTCCCAAGAAGGAAAGGTACAAAGAAGTAGAGACTAGAAAGTCTACAATAAATACCTAACTCTTCAATGCCCAGACACTGAAGAACATCTACAAGTATCAGAATCATGCAGGAAAACATATTCTCATCAAATGATCTAAATAAGGCACCAGGGACCAATCCTCAAAAAACAGAGATATATGACCTTTCAGACAGAGAATTAAAAATAGCCATTTTCAAGAAACTCAAACAAATTCAAGATAACACAGAGAAGAAATTCAGAATGCTGACAGACAAATTTAACAAAAAGGTCAAAATAAAAAGAATCAAGCAGAAATTCTGGAGCTGAAAAATGCAATTGGCATACTGAAGAATCTGAGCCTTTTAAAAGAAGAATTGATTAAACCAAAGAAATAATTAGTGAGCTTGAAGATAAGCTATTTGAAAATACAGTCAGAGGAGACAAAAGAAAAAAAGAATAAAAAACAACGAAGCATGTCTACAACATCTAGTAAATAACTGAGCAAACTTAACATTTATTGGCCATAAAGAGGAGACAGAGAAAAAGACAGGGGTAGAAAGTTCATTCAAAGGGATAATAGAGAACTTCCCAAACCTAGAGAAAGATATCTGTATCCAAGAATAAGAAGACAATAGAACACCAAGCAGATTTACCTCAATAAAAAGACTACCTCAATGCATTTAACAATCAAGCTCCCAAATGTCAAAGATAAAGAAAGAGTCCTAAAAGCAGCAAGAGAAAAGAAACAAATAAGATACAATGGCGCTCCAGTACATCTGGCAGCAGACTTTTCAGTGGACACCTTACAGGCCAGGAGAGGGTAGCATAACATGTTTAAAGTACTGAAGGAAAACAAAAAAAACTTTTACCCTAAAATAGTGTATCTGCTGAAAATATCCTTCAAACATGAAGGAGAAATAAAGACTTTCTCAGACAAACAAAAGTTGAGGGATTTCATCAACACCAGACCTGTCCTACAAGAAATGCTAAAGTGAGTACTCCAGTCAAAAACAAAAGGATGTTAATGAGCAATAAGAAATCCTCTGAAGGTACAAAACTCACTGGTAATAGTAAGCACACAGAAAAACACAAATTAATATAACACTGCAACTTTGGTGTGTAAACTACTCTTATCTTAAGTAGAAATTCTAAATAAAGAACCAATCAAAAATAGTAACTACAAAACTTTTCAAGACATAGACAGTACAATAAGATATAAATAGAAACAACAAAAAGTTAAAAAGTGGAGGGGCAAAGTTAAGGGATAGAGTCTTTATTAATTCTCTTTTGCTTGTTTGTTTATGCAGACTGTGTTGTTATTAGCTTAAAGTAATGAGTTATAAGATAGTATTTGGAAGCCCCATGGCAATCTCAATGCAAATAACACGAAACAAATACACACAAAATAAAAAGCAAGAAAGTAAGTCATATCACCAAAGCAAATGACCTTCACTAAAAGGAATACAGGGAGGAAAAAAAGGAGGAAGAGAAAATCACAAAACAAGCAGAAGATAACACTCCATGTCAATGGACTAAACTCCCCAATAGAAAGACATAGAGTGGCTGAATGGATAAAAAAGGCCCATTGATTGGTTGCCTACAAGAAGTACACCTCACCTATAAAAACACACATAGACTAAAAATAAAGGGTTGGAAAAAGTTATACCATGGCAAAAGAAACCAAAAAAAGAGAAGGAGTAGCTATACTTATATCAGGCAAAATAAATTTTAAGACAAAAACTATAGAAAGAGACAAAGAAGGTCACTATATAGTGATAAAGGGGCCAACTCAGCAAGAGGATATAACAATTTTAAATATATATACACCTAACACTGGAGCTCCCATATATATAAAGCAAATACTATTAGTGCTAAAGAGACAGATAGACTGTAATACCATAATGTCTAGAGATTTCAACACCCAACTTTCCACTTTGGAGAGATATCCCAGCCAGAAGAAAATCAACAAAGAAACATCAGACTTAATCTGCACTATAGATCAAATAGACCTAATACATATTTATAGAACATTTCATCCAAGAGCTGCAAAGTACGCATTCTTCTCAGCACATGAATCATTCGCAAGGATAGACCATATGTTAGGTCACAAAACAAGTCTTAAAACATTCAAGAAATTGAAATAATACTAAGCATCTCTGATCACAATGGAAAAAAACTAGAAATCAATAACAAGAGGAATTTTGGACACTATACACATATATGGAAAGTAAACAATATGCTTTTGAAAGACGAGTGGGTCAATGAAGAAACTAAGAAGGAAATTGAAAAATTTTCTGAAACACATCATAATGGAAATACAATATAACAAAACTTATGGAATATAGCAAAAGCAGTACTAAGAAGGAATTTTATGGCTAAAAGTGCCTACTTCAAAAAAGAAGAAAAACTTCAAAGAAAAAACTGGGTGATGCATCTTAAAAAATGATAAAAGCAAGAGCAAACCAAACCCAAAATTAGTAGAAGAAAAGAAATAAGAAAAAAAGGAGCAGAAATAAATGAACTTGAAATGAAAACAATACAAAAGATCAAGTAAACAAAAAATTGGTTTTTTAAAAAAACTAAATAAAATTGACAAACTGTTAACCAAACAAACTAAGAAAAACAGAGAGAAGATCCAAATAATTAACATCAGATATGAAAAAGGAGACATTACAACTGATACCACAGAAATTCAAAGTATCATTAGTGGCTACTATGAGCAACTATATGCCAATAAATTGGCATATCTAGAAGAAATGGACCAATTCCTAGACAGATACAACCTACCAAGATTAAACCATGGAGAAATTTTTTAAAAATGTACACACCAATAACAATTAACAAGGTCGAAGCCATAATAAAAAGTTCTTTAGTAAAGAAAAGCCTGGGCTCAAATGCTTCATTGCTGAATTCTATCAAACATTTAAAGAAGAATTAATACCAATGCTACTCAAACTATTCCAAAAAATAGAGGAGGAGGGAATACTTCCAAACTCATTCTATTAGGCCAATATAACCATGATACCAAAACCAGACAAAGATACAACAAAAAACAGAAACTACAGGCCAGTATATCTGATGAATATTGATGCAAGAATCTGCAACAAAATACTAGCAATCCAATTTCAACGATACATTAAAAAGATCATTCATCATGACCAAGTGGGATTTATCCCTGGGATACAAGGATGGTTCAGCCTACACAAATGAATCATATCAACAGAATAAAGGACAAATCCATATGTTTGTTTCAATGAATGTGGAAAAGCATGTGATAAGATTCAACATTCCTTCACAATAAAAACCCTAAAAAAAATTGGGTATGGGAGGAACATACCTCCACATAATGAAAGCCATATACAACAGACCCACAGCTAGTATCATACTGCATGGGGAAATACTGAAAGCTTTTCCTCTATGTTCTGGTACATGACAAGAATGCCAACTTTCACCATTGTTATTCAACGTAATACTGGAAGTCCCATGAGATTCAATCTACCAGATTGCTCTAGAACAATCAGAGAAGAGAAAGAAATAAAGGGCACCCAAATTGGAAAAGAAGAAATTAAATTATCCTTGTTTGCAGATGATATGATCTTATATTTGGAAAAACCTAAAAACTCCACCAAAAAACTACTAGAACTGATAAATCAATTCAGTAAAGTTGCAGGATACAAAATCAACATACAAAAATCAATAGCATTTGTATATGCCAACAGTGAACAATCTGAAAAAGAAATAAAAAATGTAATCCCATTTACAACAACCACAAATAAAATTAAGTACCTAGGAATTAACCAAAGAAGTGAAATATCTCTATAATGAAAATTATAAAACACTGATTAAAGACATTGAAGAGGATGTACAAAAAATGAAAAGATACCCCATGTTCATGGATTGGAAGAATCAATATTGTTAAAATGTCTATACTACCCAAAGCAACCTACAACTTTAATGCAATCCTTAACAAAATACCAATGGCATTCTTCACAGAAATAGTAAAAGCAATCCTAAAATTTATATAAAGCCACAAAAGGCCCAGAATAGTCAAAGTTATCCAAGCAAAAAGAACAAAACTGGAGGAATCATATTACCTGATGTCAAATTATTCTACAGAGCTATAGTAAACAACACAGCATGGTGCTGGCATAAAAACAGATACATAGACCAATTGAACACAATAGAGAATACAAAAACAAATTCACACACCTAAAATAAACTCATTTTAGACAAGGATGCCAAGAACATGTATTGGGGAAAAGTTAGTCTCTTCAATAAATGGTGCAGGCACAACTGGATATATCCATATATAGAAGAATGAAAATAGATTCCTATCTCTCACCGTACACAAAAATCAAATCAAAATGGATTAAAAACTTAATTCTAAGACCCAAACCATGAACCTACTACAATAAAACATTGGGGAAACTCTCCAGGACACTGGTCTGGGCAAAAACTTCTTGAGTAATACCCCACGAGCACAGGCAACCAATGCAAAAATGGACAAACGGGATCGCATCAAGTTTAAAAACTTTACACACTAAAGGAAACCATCAACAAAGTAAAGAGACAACCAACTGAATGAGATAATACATTTCCAACTACCCATCTGACAAGGGATTAATAACCAGAATACATAAGGAGCTCAAACAACTCTGTAGGAAAAAAAAGCTAATAATCTGATTTTTTTAATAGGCAAAAGTTTTGAATAGACATTTCTCAAAAGAAGGCATACAAATGGCAAACAGGCATACGAAAAGGTGTTCAACATTATTGATCATCAGAGAAATGCAAATCAAAACTACAATAAGATATCATCTCACCCCCGTTAAAATGGCTTATATCCAAAAGACAGGCAATAGCAAATGCTGGGAAGAATGTGGAGAACAGGGAACCCTCGTACACTGTTGGTGGGAATGTAAATTAGTACAACCACTATGGAGAACACTTTAGAACTTCCTCCAAAAGCTAAAAGTAGAGCTGCCATATGATACAACAATCCCACTGCTGGGTATGTACCCAGAAGAAAGGAAAACAGTATGTTGAGAAGACATCTGCACATTCATGTTTGTTGCAGCACTATTTACAATAGCCAAAATTTCGAAGCAACCTAAGTGTCTTTCAACAGTTGAACGGATAAAGAAAATGCGGTACTTATACACAATAGAGTAATATTTAGCCATAAAAAGTAACAAGAGCCTGTCATTTGCAACAACATAGATGGACCTGGAGGTCATTATGCTAAGTGAAAAAAGCCAGGCACAGAAAGGCAAACTTTGCATGTTCTCACTTATTTGTGTCACCTAAAAATCAAAACAATTGAACTCACGGAGACAGACAATAGAAGGATGTTTATCAGGTTGGGAAGGGTAGTGAGGGGGTGAGGATGAGATGGGGATGGTTAATCAGTGCAAAGAAATAGAAGAATGAATAAGACCTATTGTTTGATAGTATAACAGGGTGACTATAGTCAATAATAATTTAATTGTACATTTAAAATGACTAAAAGAGTATAATTGGATTGTTTTTAACACAAAGAATAAATGCTTGAGGGGTTGGATACCCCATTTTGCATTACATGATTATTACACATTGCATGCCTGTATCAAAACATCTCATGTACCTCATAAATATATATACCCTCTATGTACACACAAAAATTAAAATTTATAAAGGCTCAATAATTTAGATCCACTTTTTTTTTTAGAATGAACCTTTTTAATGCCCTGCTTGATTTTTGTTATCCAACCTTTACTCATGGTAATTTTATGAGAAACCATGGCAGTATTTACTTGAATAACAGTGACCCATATACTAAAAATGAATTACTTTAGAAATTGCTATTTTGGGAACAAAACTCTCTAGCATTCTCTTCAGAAATCTAGAATTATTCTCACCAGAACATGTCTCTAATCTCATTTTTAATCAGAGTCAGTCACTGGTATAACACAACATAAAACTGTCATTTATAAAGTAAAAATTGCAGACAAAATAATTTTATTTATATATATAAATATATAGATACAGGTATCCATATACAGACAGTGCCTGTTTTCTATGTAATTATAGTATTCTGATCAGAGTTTGTTTTCATGTGAACACAAGTCCTTTCACTTACTCTGGATCTAAGGATAGATCAGATCATTTCCCTGTCTACATTCCTGGAATAGATAGGAGAAGATGCCACAAATTTAATATTTATTTGAAATAACATTTATCTAAAATAATTCTCTCAGGTACTTATCTCCCCTTACCCAGCTATCTAACTACTTGTAGGTTTGGAGGTGAGGAAGTGAAAGGTAGCACAGGGGAAGCATAATTGTTATTTGCTTGAAGGCTTATATAGTTATCTTCTCTTCTTTTTCTGATAAATGCCACATCACAAATTCATCATTTCATTTCGAGTGGTGCTATGCACATGGTTGTATTGTTGTAAAGTTGCTGCTGGTCCTGCTAGATTGTTTTACATTGAAGTGGAGAGGGGGGAAAAGAAGACAAGGAGATGAGGAGTACATTCTGAACCTTTTATAGGATATTTATACACCTTAAATTCAGAAGGATGATATTTCATCAAATTTTTTCAGTGGCCTTTTTTCTATGTATAAACATCCCATAATGTTTGCTTACATATTGATTTAGTTATAGTGAACTTTGTTTCATGCCATTAAACTGTTACATGTTGAAATAATCAGGGTAAATAAAGTATATCAATGCCATTTTCATTATTTGTCTAACTCGATTTTATATGTGTTTCTATGATAGAGAAGATTCATTATGAAAGTTAAGATCTTGGTTCTGTGGTATTCTCTTTTGCCTGCATTATACCAGGTATAGGCTGCATCTGCAGCTTGGGTCCTACTGTATGGACAAAAGGGAGTAAAACACAATCTTCTCGAAAGGATCATGTTTAAACACAAACAGTATAATACCTTTCTTGTACACCGCTGAGATTTCAAGATTGTTATGGCAGTATGTACTAGACTAATCTCACCATTTACTTTATAAACCATTTTTTTTGTAAATGAAATTGTGTTTTCATTTACTACATTTGCGTTTTAAAAAATCCAATAAAAATATTTTACTGCTGCAATACATAGTCTACCTAGTTTATATTCTGGATAAAACCAAGTTTATATATAAGACATAGTTAAACTGCAGTGTACTTATTCTAACACAGTCTGTAATGCTCAGTAATAATATTTGGATCCAGTCTTAACTCCAGTTACTAAAATGAATATTTGAAAAATTATTTTATTTTTTTCTTTTTTTGTTTTGACTTTAATTTGACTTGACATTAATAAATGTAGTTTCAAATACTGAATAAAAGTCCTCTCATAGACACTTTGATGGGTACATTAAATCTTTGAAGCCATACTCAAAAAATCGTAAACATTTATAAACTGTTGTTTCAAAACAAATAATTAAAAGTATTTGATATATACACAATGGAATATTATTCAGCCATAAAATTAAAGAATTAAATCCTGTCATTTGCAGCAACATGGATTGAACTGGAAGTCATTATGTTAAGTGAAATAAGCCAGGCACAGAAAGAAAAATATTGCATGTTCTCTCCTACTTTGTGAAAACTAAAAAAGTGGATCTTATCCAAGTAGAGGGTAGAACATTGGTTACCAGAAGCTAGGAAAAGAAGGAGGAAGGGGGGGGGCATGAAAAGAAGTTAATGAAGGGATACAAAAATATAGTTAGAAGGAATAAGTTCTAGTATTTGATATTATAGTAGGGAAATCATAGTTTATAATAATTTATTATATATTTCAAAATAGCTAGAAGATTTGTAATATTCCCAACACAAAGAAAAGATAAATGTTTGAGGTATAATGGTTATCCCAATTACCATGATTTGATTATTACCCATTGTGTACAGGTATCCAAATATCACATGAACCCTAAAAATATACATACCTAATATATATTTATATATATATGAATTTGATAGTTAGCAGTATAAAAAGCAGGAATAAACCTGAAATGAATCATTTCAACCCTGACTGCAAATGATATAAATTTGATTTTTTTAGTCTTTAATATTTACACAACTAGTACAGTTTTCCAAAACCATTATCATAAGCAGAATGACCTAATTTTCAGATATTTCTGTCGTCTAAGAGAGAACTGCATATAAAGGCCAGCTTCATTCCCACTTCAGGAAAATCGATAAGTAGAATTTTTTTCCTGAGTTGTTTGTATCATCTGAAATTCATAAATATATAATTCCTAATGTACATTTTTCTATAATGCATTTTGTTCCAGGTATTCAATGTGTGTGTACATATATTTGTATTGCTTTAATTCAAAGTAACCCCTCAAAAATGTACTTTGACTAGCAAGTATGTTTTTGAGAAAGTCTATAAAGTTTACTGGGTTGCAAGCATGGATTATAGATTTTATTTTAATTAATATGGATAGTACCAGCTATACAATGCAATGTTTGTATTTAAAGCCAACTCTGACTCATCCGTGGTCATGAAAAATAATAGTAATTACAATAATTTCTAAAAGGTACTAAGCAGAGACTATACTATGTGCTTTATACATTTTTAAAATTTAATCCTTTCAGTGCTCGGAAGGAGGAGCTGTTATTTTTCTCCCCATTTTACACATTTGAAGATTGGGGATAGGTTAAAGGACTTACCCAGGGTCACACAGTTAGAAAGTGGCATAGAAAGCACTTAAATTCCCATCTCCCTGGCATCAGAATTGGTATTCATAAATCCCACCCTATTCTCAGGACCAAGTTTCCTTTGTGTGCACCAAGCCTCACAAAAAGAAATAGGACAATTTTGATTATCCGGTTGAACTTACTCACCTGGGATTCTTGAATAAATAAAAATTTAAAAGGAGTTACTTAGGGCCAAAGTACATCCAAGAAGTAAGAGTAGGTATGACTGAGCCTGATATAAAGATCTGCATTTAAAGTATTTAAGTAGTAAGTAGAAGGCTTTCACAAGTTAAAAGAAAAACAAACAATTGAGGTTAATTATAATTAGGTGAATTCTTTATGTTAAAGGAGAAATAACGATAAAAATAATTAAGTTAAACTGATATGTATACTAAAAGCTTGTTTACTAAAATTGAGATGAGCAGCAAAGAATATGTAGTAGCCTCAACTTACCTATCAAAAAGTGAACTTTACTATGCCATAAAACTTACAGTAGCCAGAGTGTCATAATCGGATTTCAGTTTTCGTAGGATCAGAGAGAAATTACATTTTAACTCTGATTAATTCCAACATCTTGTTAATTGCATACTTTGACAATCTAGTTCATGAGACCATTGACAGAATGTAAGATCAATTGTTTTTATTGAAGCTTTTCCAATTCTATTCCCTTCATAAAAATAAGCTGATACATTATATGGGAAAAATCTATATTTGTAACTAGAAAACAAACTGCTAAGCCAGTAACTTTGCTGAGGCAGGTAGCCTGCAGTATAAAGGGCATTTATTTTTAGGCAAACTGTAGGTGTTCAAGAATTTCCTATTGGCAAAGGCTATCTTGGTTAGCCACTGTGCAGAAAAGAGTTGAGATACCATGCCTTAGCATTCTATCCTAAGAAATGTCTGCTTGTAACTTTGGGCCTTGGCTGGCATCTGATAACTTGGATTTCAAGAGAGTTCCTAACATTCCCAGAACTGATAAAAGTGGCTCATTGCGCCAAAACTGTGTGTACAACCAATGTGGTTTATGCTGAACCCCTGCTTTCCTTCTTGTCTGGAAATTTGGTGCATGATACCTACATGACCAGCCTCCAGTCAAAATCCTGGGTGCTGAGTCTCTAGTGAACTTCCCTGTGCAGAAACGTCACACACATGTTGCTGCATTTTTTTTTTTCTGGGGGAAGAGTTTGCTCTGAGTAACCCCTCATGAGAGGAAGAGAACATGAAGAGGCTAGCACATAGATTTGTCCACATTCTGCCTGAATCTTTTCCCTTTATGATCAGGCTGTATAATTATACTATTTCTCTAGTAAATCTTCCACATATGTATGATTATTTGCTGAGTCCCATGAGTTTTTCTAATGAATTTCCAAACGTGGGGGGGGGTCTCAGAGACCTTTGACGCAGCCACTTTCCATAGGCATCTTACTTCCACAGACTTTAAAAAGCAGTACAGGGTTAATATGTTCCATCAGAAATTTGTGGAGAGACTTGGCATTTGGCGACTGTGCTGATAATATAAATAAACTCCAAATATATTCGCAATATGTGATTTCAATACATCACTTTGCAATGGGCATTTTGCACAGTGAAACGGAAGGAAATCAGGAAGGCAGTGGATGTACACAGCAGAAACAATAGTGGACTTTTAAAGAAAAATAAGCACAAGTGTCATTGTTCTTTTATCCTTAGGGCACAATTATTCTTTGTTCTGAGAAATGTGAGAAAAAAAATCTAAGAAGCCATGTAAAGATCTCTTGTGGACTTCCAAAAATACCAGCTGAGGGAGAAAGTAGGCAGAGATAGAAAGGAATCATGTTATTAATTAATGCTGTCTTTCAAAATTACAGAAACCACGTTTGCTACATTGTCGGTGTGTTCTGTCTGCTCTTTTTTTCAGATGTAGGAGAGCTGTTGAATATTTGTGAACAAAGGAAGCAAAAATATTCCTACTCTATGTTTTGAAATTGAATTGAAAACAGAAAAGAAGAAAGCAGGGTGTTCAAACAGATCATCACATCAAAAGAAAATATTCCTGCTATCAGATTAAATTAAAATGCTGATTCCATAATAAATATGTCACAAAGAGCTACTGTAACACAATATAACACGTTGGAGACAATAACTCCATGTACATCTTTTAAACACCACTGTAATTCTTTTCTCATCCTTTAAACCAATGTGATTTTTTTAGAGTGAGTAAAATGTAGTGTTATGACAGTGTTGAACACATTTCATGTAGTTTCACAGAGCATTTCCAGAAAATGAGTAGCAATTTAAGACAGAGATTTAATCTATTGAGAGTATGTCTCCAAATTATTTTCCTATTCTTTAAGATTCCTGTGACATTTATGCATCCTTGGCATCTACCCCCTTTATTTTTCCCCTCTCCATCCACTTACTACGTTATGTCACCTTATTTTTTTCCTACAAATTAATGGCTTCTTAATGGAGAAGAAGTTAACATACTGGCCTTAAGGGGAAATGCAAGAGGATAGAATTCAAAGAAAGCTAATGAGAATGATAAACAGTTTGAGGACTGTAGATTTTTATCATTATCATAAAATTACTCTAATTGTAATGGCAAGCCTATTAAAATGATCTGTCATTAAAATTGCAGTGCTGTGGCAAGTAATTTTGTCTATCAAATAATTTTAATATTGTCCTAAAATGATACTGTTTCAATGCTCTCAGTCCAGTTAGAATATATAAATCATTTATAACAATGACATTTTTGTTTCTGTTACACTCTTCTTAATAAAGTTGTATGGATTTGGCTTCACAAAATTTTGACTTTAAACTCTTTTAAGAAAGGGAAATGAATTCATCACTCTTTGCTTGTACTTTTATCTGCACATTCCCCGACTCTTCCCAGTGCTTACTCCATAATAGGAATTTGAAAGGGGAAAATGTAGGGGGTTATAGGAATACTCTACTCCTTTTGGTGCTATGTTATAAAAATTGTTTTTCCTTTTTAATTCATAATTGACAGGAGAACTACAACTGTAATGATTTCAATTCTAGAATTTCCATTGAGTTCTTTTTTATAGTTTGATTTCTCTGCTGAGATTCCCTGTCCTTATATTCATTGTGAGAGTATTTTTATTTACTTTCCTGGGCATAGTTAAAATAGTTCCTTTAATATCCTTGCCTAACAGTTTAGACAATTGCGTCATGTTAGGGTTTATCTCCGTTGATTGCCTTTTCTACTAAAAATAAAATGGGCCACTTTTTTTGTTTTATTGAGTAATTTTGTGTTTTACCCAGGATATTGTGAATGTTATGTTGTGGAGACTGTAGATTCTGTTATACCCTCCTGAAGAGTTGATTTCGATGTGGTTTTGTCGGCTTGTTTTTTTAATCAGGCACAACATTTGGTTGGTCTCAAAGTGCGTGGTCCATTTTCTGAAGCAGCAACAGTTCAAATTTCAGTTTATTTAGATTTAGCCGTGTTAACTTGAGCCTACCTGGCACATTTGTGGTTCAGCCACAGAAATGAAGAAAGTTTATAGAGAGAACTTGGCACACTCCCCCTCTGTCTCCTTTTCCGTGTCACTCCCTCACTTTCCCTTTCCTGTGGTTTCCCGGAACTCTGTCCTCTGAATCTTCAGGCCAGGAATACTACAAGTTTTCTATCAGAGTTTCAACCACTCCGTGTAGAGCCACCTTTGTTTTGTCCTAACGCTAAATGGTAAAAAACTAACCCTATCCCCTGTTCTTTCATTCAAGTTTCGAGTCTCCTTTTGGATATTTTCTTCCAAAATTTTGTTTTGTTTTGTTTTCCGTGGCAGGGTTGGATCTGGTAGAGCTACTCAGCTATACTATTAATAATAGCCAAACTCTACAGCTCTATGTGATTTCAAATATTACAATTGTAAAATAAACTTTGTGACTGTAAAAGTTTCTGTGCTGTTTTTGCTAGTTGCTAGTCAGATGTTATAATAAAATAATTTAAATCATTAATACAGCTAATAAAGGTGAGCCTACCAAATACAGCCTTTCTATAAGCTATTTAAAGTTTTGAAATAGAATTTTTCAGAAGACCATAAAACAAAAATAGGAAGTAAATGGAAAAATAATTACTTGGTAATTCACATTATAAATTAAGGATATCTGAGAGACGAATAAGTGGCATTACAGAAGCCATAAGGTGAGAAGTAAATGAAAAGACTGTGACCTTGATTCTAAGTCATTGGAGATAAAGACATTGTAACTCAGTGTACATTTTCTCCCTCAAAGTCTAATGTGGGTTGGCAGGGGCTTTCCTACATTTGGTGACTCAGGAATCCAGCTTCCCACCATCTTGTGATGGTGCCATGTAGACATGCTACCTCCATAACCTTTGCTACAGGGGAAAAGAGTGCCAGAGAGTTGTATGCAGCCATTTTACAGCTAGACCTGGAAATGTCATGCCACTTCTGCCTACCTCTCATTGGTTAGAACTCAGTGAAATGGCCCTAATGCAACTGCATCTGCAAAAGAGGCTGAAAATGATGTTCTTTTGTGTGTCTAGGAAAAGAAGGTAGTTTGGTGAACAAATAGCATGTCTATGCCACATTCTCCTTTTAATCAAGTCTAGCAGCAGAAGTAAAAAGACATGATTTTTACTCCAAATTTCTCTTCTCAATAAGGGTAGAGATAGTACTTTCTTTCCACAGAAAGAAACTTGCTACTTTTTGTGCAATATTACCAAGAACATTGAGAGAAACAAGATTACCTCAGAAAAAAGTATTTATAGAGTTTATTTAAAGGGAGCAAAGGAATAAAGAGTAATATCTTTATTTATAGGCAGAATAATATTTTGGGAGTTTCTGGCATTTTAAATGTCATTGCTGCTCCCTCTTAGTAGCAGTCTTCTTAGCAACCTGCTCTATGTTACAACAGCAATATAGAATGTGTGGTTGTTGTATAAGAGATAAAGGGTTTGTGATTTCTGCGTTTTTACAAAGGTAATCTATAGCCTACATGGAGGTTAGGAGCACTGGAGACCTGTCACTGAGAGTTGGTGCAGCTGGGGCTATATTCATACTGATTGGCCTTTATCCCCAAGGAGGCTGGCGGCCTGCTTTGATCTTTCTTATGTCTCTCTGTCTTGGCATGTAAGAGAGACCTACATGTAATCCATTCAGAAACCTCAAAGCCTGCAAGGTCCTCCATTGATTAGATTACTGGATCTCTCCTTAAAAGCATTCCCTGCATTAGATTTTGGACTTATTATGCATCCATTGTTTTACTGTTACAGTTGACTTTATTATTATTATTGTTTTATTTAGAAGATCTTAGCTAACTTCCATAGAGGTTTATCTGGTTGGTTTCTTTAACTGTCTAAACTCTTTTTTCAATTTTATTTAGTTAGTACTTAACATATTTAGTTTTATTTTTAAAACTCCTTTCATACACACATAAAGACAGGGAGAGAAGTAGAGAGAGAAAGTAAAAGATATATATAGTATGGTATTTTTGTAGAGAAAGTATCAAAAACGATTTTTCCAAAAAAGCCAACATCTCTTCTACAATAGATAATTTTAGCAAAAAAAATTATATTATTTTTAGTCTATAGCATTTTCTACTATAGAATTTATGTAAGATAAAGTATATGAAAAATAATCCCCAATAGTCAAAAGATAAACAAACATAACTCATAATCCCATCATTCAATCACTATTTAATATTTAGAAAACTTTGCACTGAGAATTTAATGATGTTTATAAATGGATAGAGAGCAAATTCAGTATAAAATCAAGAACAGCTGGTTAGCTGAGTAGGTGGTTCATAGAAATAGAGTGGGAGATTTGAGACATTGACATTAGAAGAGCATAAAGCAATCAAATGATTGAAACAGAGTGAAAATGTTATAAAGATATGGGTTTAAAATATTTAAAAGGAAAAGTAAAGGAAGTAGTAAGCCACAAGCAAAATTCCTTAAATCAAGAAGAATCCCTCTTGCTAGTTCATTGATGGAAAAGGTTAGAGATAGTTTATTAGCTTTCAATATAGAAAAAAAAATAATGTCACCCCTAAACCAAGTAACATTACCCCTAAGAGCCCACTGGGACTTCAGCATAGCCAAAGTGAGTCAGAGTTTTCTTCCCAACTGAAATGAAGAGCATGAGGTAAAACTAATTAATCTAATTTTATGGTCCAAGTTGGGGAAAGAGCAATCTGGCAATTTCCTCACTGGATGCAAGAAAAATAAGTTATTCTGTTTATTTTTATCTTAGTTATATATTTTATATGTATGTCTAGCATCTTTTTTTCATACGAGTACTTCCATTTGGGATTGATAACAGAGAAAAATGCACACTCAGGCTAGATTTTACTTATTATTGAATTCAAAATTGAATAAGAAATGGCTGTAAAAGCTCAAGAACTTACACAGAGTCATTAAATAATATGCAGGGGAGCATAATTGAGAGAACGCAAGGAAGAAGATAGGGAAGAAGATGAAAACAAAGGAGGGAAAGAGGGAAGGCATGTGAGAAGTAGGGAGGATTTTTCTTTACAATTCAAATAGATGTTGTTTTTAAAGGAAATGGGCCATGTATGCTACAAGTTCACAAATTCAATCTGAAAATCTCCATTACCAAAGTTCTTAAATTGCTTTCAAAAGAGATTACTGCTTATTTTCTCATAGTTTAGGCATTCTAGGTATAATCCCTGCTTAAAATATCAATGTGATTAACTTTTTAGTTTACTTTTGGAAATTTGTCTCTAATCAAGCCAAGTGTAGCCAACCAAATAATGGTCACTAAAGGTATACATGTCCTAGTCTTTGGAACTTGCAAATATATTATCTAACATGGAAAAAGGGACTTCATAAATGTGATTAACTTATGGATTTTGAGATGGTAAGATTATACTGGATTCTTCAAATGGGCCTTAAACATAATCACAAAGGGTCTTACAACAAGGAAAAAGAAGAGATTTGGTGACAGAAGAGGAAATGTGACAATGGAAGCAAGAAGTTGGAGTGATGTGAGGAAGAGGATGAAGGGAACCATTAGCCAAGAAATACTGGCAACTTCCAGAAGTTGCAAAAGGCATAGAAGCAAATCACCTGATGAAGCCTCTAGAAGAAACACACTCTGCCAACATCTTAATTTTAGACTTTTTTGGACTTTAGACAGTTCTGAGCTCCAGAACTGTGAGATATTAAATATATGTTGTTTTAAGTGTCTAAGTTTGTGGTTATTTGTTACAGCAACAGTAGGAAATAGGAAGTAAGTCAGTTTGAATAGATCTGAAAGCTTTAGAAAAGGCTATTACATACATATAATATAAGGCTATATATATATATGGAGATATAGATGGATAGATAGACAGATGGAGGCATATCATTAACTATCTATCTATCTATCTATCTATCTATCTATCTTTAAACTTGACATCTGACATGTTGGATTTTTAATATAAAATGGAAAATAATTACAGTGCTGTAGCACATTCTCCTGGAATCATGTGAAGGTACTGTTATAATATGCAATATTGCTATACCACTGTGATAGTGGTAAAACGCAGATGAAATACAAATGCGGCAGAAACTCTCTTAACTGACCTTCTCTTAAAGTAGTTGTAGATTAAGTGATGATCTCCGTTTCAACTGTAACACATAGAAACTTATGTTCACAGCACCTCGAATATTCTTGGACAATAATACTCCTGCTTACTTCTGATCCCTCCACTTAAGTGCTGTGTTCTAAAAAGAGTTGTATTTTATCCCCAAACTATTTACTTTAATTGTATGTCTATAATTTGATCATAAATATTGTGATCCTTTATACACAGTTTTAATTACATAATTTGACTAAAATGATAAATATAAATTAAAAAGAAATTTCTTGTTTCCTTAAAATGTTTTGGAAAGATTTAATGCTAATGAATAGCTACTAAAAATTGTTGCTAAAGTATGTATGGGGGAGACAACTTAAAAGTTTTTAAAGCAATCATAAAAAATCTGGAAGGGTTCCATACTTAGATTGCTTCCCAAATGTCTTTAGTTTCTTAAAGTTCCTCCTCTAAAGACATCCAAAAATGGAAATCAGAGATGATGTTATCTTGATTAAGAGCACAACTTAAGAGCCAGACATCCTGTGCTTTAATTTTATCTCTACCATTTACTAATCATAAGTTTCAGGCAAGTTTCTTACCCTCATATGTAAAATGAGGATAATAATAGTTGCTACCTCCAAGAGATAGTGGGAGGATTAATAATAGCTAGTGCATAGTAAGTGCTCAATTATTAATATTAATATTATTACTGCTACCATTTATGTGGTTAATTCAAGAATGACTACCTGGAACATTTATTGGTGGAACCATACTCAAAGAAGAGGCTTGGGCTTTATGTCAAAAAAAAAAACCTGATAAATAAATTCACATGTTATCTTTACGTTAAAATAAATTTTTCAGTCCTCTTCTTTGGCCAACTTTGCCAATTAACAAACCAGTTCCAATCCTAATCACTTCTGATGAAGGGTTTTCTTATAGATTGATTTAAATTTCTGTAAATTATTAGCTTAAAACACATATATAAGACACAAATTTTGTGAAAATTCAAAGCTCCTGTGACATATAAGCATCACTCCACCCAATCTTTTCTTCTCATCCTTGTTTTTAAGATTAATAGTCTAAAACAATGAAACAATATGCCTGCAGCCCATAACACCCCATCCCACTCTGATTCTTCTCTTCTGTCTCAATGCACCACTCATCTTATACAAGGGTCAAAGCCCTTTCAAGCTGAAATTGTCTTCTGCTGGCCCAAAAGAATTCCCTTTGTATCTGCTTTCAAACATTTCAATGTTGTTGAATCTCTGTTATTATCTTACCTTACAGAACCATGCTGAAATAGACGGTTTTAGAGCTATCCTGAGACCTAGCTTGCTGTATTGCCCAGGATCACCCAGAGAGGCCTATTGAACAGAAACAGAAAACAGGAAAGTTACAAAAGAAACAATTTCTTTTTTCTTCTTTGGGATAATAATAACTACTTATGGTTAGACAATAAAGGACTGAAGTGAAAAGAGTAGTGGGATCCCAGGTTGCTTCTGGTAAAATCATCTCAATGTTTTAGTAATTAGGAATTGGGCTTTACTCAAATGTTTTATATTGGAAGTTTGTAATTATTTGGGGACAAACTGTTCCCTACTTTTTGGATTGGATTAGGGCAAAATACCCCAAAGCCTACAGCTGATTATCAAAAGGGAAGGAAGAAAGTATCATCCAAAAGTATGTATTAAGGTCAGGCTTTGTTGGGCTTCTTCCCAAGGATTATAGGAGACTTGGCTCCTTCTCCCAGCACTAATAGATTAAGGAAAATTAATTCAGATTGTGATGAAACTTAAGATACATTAGAGCTGAAGACAGAATGGCCAACAAACATTCAGACTAAGTAGAGAGAAAAGAGAAAATTACTAAATATTGCCAATTTTATGTTTCTGTTCTGAAAGCTGGATGTTTGTTTGACTAAAGGAATTCAGGATTCAAATGTCTTAGATTAAGAATCACAGCTTTTAGCATTAAAAGTGAAAATCACGGTTCAGAGGTAATAGCACAAAGTGAGATGTCAGAAGATTTGGATTCTAGTTCCAGCTCTACCATGTATCAAGGTGAAATTTATGAAATCTCTTACTCTCTCAGAGATGAGTTCACTGGGACCAAACATTTATTGGGCTTTAATCTAGAACCTTAGACGCAGTGTTTATCCTTTCCTAGTTTTGGATTCATTATTTGAAAGCTGGGGATAATAATAGAACCAAACTATTATAGGTAGAAGTGATGATTAGAAGGAATAATGTATGTAAAGAGCATAGCACTGTGTCTGGCAGCTAAAAAAATATATTAGCTGTAATTTATCTATCCATTTGTTAAAGATGAGGTCAGAGAGACTGGCAAAAAAGGAACACATGTCAGAATTGATGGCATTAGGTGATTAAAGGAGAGCAATTGTTAAGTCATTATTTATAATTTTTTCAGCCTCTGAAGAAATGTTGGTACTCCAGAGCAAGTCCTCAAGTGACCACACCCTAGTCAATCAATCAAATTTCTGATCACAGATCTTAACTTTTCTATGTGAAGATCCAGAGTCTGTGAATAACTTTTTCATAGTACCCATTCTGTCTACTTTTAAATTAAACAATTAACCTTGGGAATACAAGAATGTGCAGAAACACAATTTATATGTGTGATTATTATTTTAGCTTTCATTCCAATATTAACTATACTGTCTTAATACTGGTTACTACCCCACAACAATTCAGAACTGTTTAGCCACCAAGAAGATGATCCAAATTCAATGAGGATTAGAAGAGGTTTTGGGGAATGCTAGAGAAATAACTTCTGTGAAAGGTAAATGGGGGAAGAAGCAGGATTGGGCAGAGAAAGCCTTAAGCCTGAGATGTTGATTTGATACCTTTGAAAGGCAAGTGGGGAGGAAGCAAGTCAATGAAAACCTCAGACAAAGGTGCAAATTTGATAAAGTCTCAGCCAACCCAAGAGAGAGCTCGGGAGCAAAGACTGATGTTAGAGAAGTGCTGCACTAGGTAGAAATGGCCAGGCATCAGTACCCCATGGTGCTCAGTCAGTTGGTGGAAATTGCCCAAAAAGTATGCATTGGCTTTCAATGCATACTTTGAAGATGGTTCTACTCCTTGTAACTAAACAGCAGTTTTCTTTCTTGACGGAAGATCTGACTGGTGTACCAGAATGAGTGCCAAAGAGAGTTTCCCATAATATATATACCTTCAATATATTTTATTAGAATAAGAGTTTTTTCTGTTTTTCATACCTGACATAATTTTAAATTGTATAATTTAAAGCATTTATATATTTTCTTGTATATACTTTACCAAATTCTTGAGTTGCTAATTTTACATAACAAATTACAAATTATAGTAGAGGATTTTAAAATATATATTTAAAGTTGATTTACTTTATTTTTAAGGCAACTAAGTAAAATATTCTTTCCTGTATTCTCAAATATAACAATAAAGTTGGCATTTAAAATGCTGAGATAACTAACCATAACATTTCATCCATATTTTTCATTAAATTAAAATTCGTAATTTTGAAATAATATTTTTGTTATTGCGAGCACATTTTAGATGCAAAACCAACATGCTCTATTAGTTTTCCAGTTGTTTGAGAAGAGAAGCTATATCTGTATATTCCAAGTATATTCTAAGAAGTTCTATACTGCAATTGTAATGAACAAAGAATCACTGCACATTTTTGGAATGTGATAAAAGAGTATTTAAAATATACCCTTCACATCTGTGAGTCATATAAATCATTCATTGAAAATGAAATATGTTTCATACCTGCCTTCGCATTTTACCAAATTCAGGATGATAGGCTATGGCTTTATATTACTGTATGATATAATGAATGCTGTAATCAAAATGTGCCATGGACATTAGAAATGAAAAGCCATACTCTGATTATTCATTGTAACAGCAAACCAGATATATTCTCTCACAAATATTTTTACAGAGACATGTGCACAGATAGATTGATTATACAGATATATACTGGAATTTCAAATTCACTTTAAGACATTTTAAGATATGTGAATATTGGTTCCCTGGATAAACTAAAGATTTAAGAAATTTAATCACTAGTTAAATGATGATCATCGTTATTATGTAACTAACTTCTGTATTCTGTAGCCAAAAGAAGTTCCCTGTATTCTGATGAGACTTAGTAAATATGGCTAGCAAAAACAGTTCATTTATTTAACATTTCCTAAGTACACCACATTTTGCTCAGTATTTTTCCAACATTTTACTATAAAATTTTTCAAACATACAGAAAAGTGGGAAGAATTGTATAGTGAACACTCACCACCTGTATTCTACAAATAGCATTTAACTTCACTTGTTTTATCATATTTTTTCCATCCATATATTCATTTATCTGTCTTTACATCAGTTCAATTTATTTTTAATGCATCTGAAAGTAGGTTGATAAATCAGTACATTTCTCTTAAAATACCTAAGAATTAACTACAGTTTAATACAGTCTGCCCTGTGTATCCATGGGTTCTACATCTATGAATTCAACCAACCATGGATCAAAAATTCAGTAATTACCAGGCATGGAAAGGCCGACCTTTTCCTATCTGCAGGCTCCACAGGGTCAACAGAGGACCATATGGGCAGATTTCGATATCTGCAGGGGTCCTGGAAACAATCTTTGCTGATACTGAGAGACAAAGGAACAACTATATTTATTTGTGTGTGTATGGTGGTGTGGTGGTGGTTTTTTTTTTCCCCAAGGTCCCAATGTGTCACCCAGGCTGGAGTGCAGTGGTGCTATCTGGCTCACTGTAACTTCTGCCCCCGCCAGGGTCAAGTGATCCTCCCACCTAGGTTTCCTGAGTAGCTGGGACTACAGGTGCATACCTCCATGCCTGGCTAATTTTTGTATTGTTTGTGGAGACAGGGTTTCACCATGCTGCCCAGGCTGGTCTCAAACTCCTGGCCTCAAGCGATCCACCCACCTTGTATTTGTGTGTGTGTGTGTGTGTGTGTGTGTGTGTGTGCGTTTTTCATTTGAGATAAAATTTTCACACAAAATAATGCATAATGCCTTGAGTGTACCATTCAATGAATTTCTACAAATGAACAAATCTGTATAACCAAAATGTAGAATATTGATAATACCCCAGGAAGTTATCTCAAGCCTTTGTACTACTTCCCAGCCAATCTCCCAACACTCCACAGGAAAATACAAATACCCCTCTTTTTTTCCCCCTATAGATGATTTTTGCTTGCTCTAGAAATTCCTATTAATAGAACAACACATATTCTTTCATGTAAGGCTTTATTCACTCAACCTTTTATTTTCAGATTCATCCACATTATTACTTATTTCAGCAGTTCATTCCTTTTTATTTCTGAGTAGTGTCCCTTTGTGTAAAGATATCTGTTTTTTTAATCCATTGTTCTCTAGATTATGGCCTGATATAAATAAAGCTGCTAGAACCTTCTTGTACTAGTAATTTTTTGTATGTATTTTTCTTGAGTAAATACTGATAAGGGGAATTGATGGATTATAAAGTAAGTATATGTGTTGCTTTAGAAAAAAATTCAGATCTTTCTTCAAAGTAATTGTATGATGTTTCACTGCCACCGACAACATATAAATGTTCCAATGACTCCATATCTTCCCCAATATTTGCTGGTGTTAGTCTTTTCAAGTTTAGCCAAACTGGTGAGTGTGCTATGTTAGCTAACTGTGATTTTATTTTGGATTTCCCTTATGACTGATGATGTTGGACACATTTTCATGTATTCATTGGCTGTATCTTTTCCCTTTTGAATTTTCTATCAATGTTTTTGTTAATTTTTAATTTATTTATGGTTGAGTTCCAAAGATTTTGTGCATATTTTGATACCAGTATTTTATCTGATACATGTTTTGCAAATTTTTCTCCCACACTGAGGCTTGTTTATTAATTTTTGTAATGGTGTTTTTTGATGAGTAAATGTATTAAATGTTTATGAAGTTTAATTTTTCATTATTTTTCATTTACAATTATTGCTTTCTTTGTTCTAAGAGACCTTTGTCTATCTCCAAATCACAAAGATAGTCTATGTTTTCATACAAAAGATTTATAGTTTTACTTTTTACATTTAGGTCTATTGTTCTGTCTCAAATTAATTTTTGTTTATTGCATGAGGCAGGAATTGAGTTTCATTTCCTTGCATATGGATACCCAGTTGTTCCAGCACTATTCATGGAAAAGCCTTTTCTGTCCCCAATGGATTGCCTTGGCTATTTTGTCAAAAAATCAAATGAATATATAAGTGGAGAGACATTTCTAGTCTCTCTATTCAACTCTATTGACATATTTGTTCGTTTTTATGCTACACTGTCTTGATTGCCATTATGTTATAGTAGATCTTAAAAAGCAATTATTATAAATCCTTTAAGTTTGTTCTTTTTCAAAATTACTTTGCATAATCTAGGTTCTTCCTTTGTATGTCTATATGCCTTTATTTTCCTATATGCCTTATATCGTTGGTCTACTTCCTTAAAAGTCTGCTTGGATTATAATTGGGAATGTGTTGACACTAAAACTAATGTTGGGATAAATGATATATTAATAATATTAAAGCTTTTCATCCATGAACATGATATATTTTTTCATTTAGTTACGTCTTGATAAATTTCTCTCAGCAGTGTTTTGTAGCTTATAATAAAGAAGTCTTGCATAGTTTTATTAAATTTACTTCTAGCCATATTATAGTTTCTGATGTTATTATAAATCAAATTTTTCTTACATTGTTCTGAAATTATTTTCTAATTCTGTGCTAGTATATAAAATGTGTTTTTTTAAGTTATTTAATTTCCAAATATAGGAAATTTTTCTAGATATGATACTGCTACACATTTCTAATTTAATTTCATTGTAGTTAGAGCACATGCTTTTTATTTAAATCCTTTTAAATTTATTACCCTGGTTTTATCATATAATCTGTCTTACTACATGAATGTTTACTAAGAATTTTTGAGAAGATACAAAAGAAATACAAAAATTAAACCCTGCTTTCCTGCAGTTAACTAACCACATGGGAGTTAAAAATGTAAAAGTGCCGAACAATATGACATTCAGGAAGGGCTAAAATTACATCATTAGTATGAATTGAATACATAAGTGATTAAAAGTCTGAAAAGAAAAGATTTATCAAAGTAGGGGATCATTCAGGGTATGCACCCCTCCAATATTTTTAGACATGAGTCTTGAAATAGGTGTTTGGCATAAACTATTGAATTGGAAGTTGGTGAAATGATTAGTAGCACAAGGGATTTTAAAAAGCATTGGCAATTCATGAGCAGAAGACAGCGTGGACTCTTCTTCCTCCTTCCTTTTGTTCTTTTTTTCACAAGGTTTTTTTCCAGCCCAGAATATTTTATGCTTTGTGATTAATGCTAGAGCTACACTGTCTGTCTCTCCACTCAAAGATCTCTCAGTGAAGAGGAAGATGTAGGCATAAATATATTAAAGCATAAGCCTTAGGAAGGGGGATGCCAGTACAGAGATAGCAAGCAGAGTATCAATAGCTGATTTACTTTGCCTTAAATGGCACCAGGAAGAATTTACATAGTGGCTGTCTTTGAGCTGGATCCGTAAGAACGTGTCTGCTAGAGAGAGAGAACGGGAAAGTCCTAACAGCACGAAAGTATAAGGTAAATACAGCTAGCAGCTTAGGGTGCATATGATGGGTAGGGGAATGAGTTTGCAAAGGTGCAAAGCAGCCAGATAACAAGATTTGATTGTGCTGAAAAAGTTTGCATTTTATGGTAAAGTGGACAGGAGTCATGAAATGTCTTTAAGTAGTACAGTGGCTTGATCACATTTGTGTTTATAAAGCTATCTGGCAGAACTGGGAAGGGTGGACTGGATTCGGGAGAAACTAAAGACAGGGAAACCAGCTGGGAGACCATGTGGTAGCTCAGGTGATTGGTGATATATCTGAAGTGAGGCAGGAAAGATGAATTAATATGTGAAACATGTAAGAGGTAGAATGAATAGAAAACTGAGGACAGAGAAAAAGTGGTCATGAGTGATTTACCACTTTTAATGTGTTTGACGGGGTGCATAGTATTTTCATTATGAAGAAAATCAAATGCAAGAAGGAAGGCAGATTTTGGAAGAGAAATTGAGTTTCATTTCTTATACCTTGAGGAGGAATAATCCATTAGCCAGGTAACTAGAGATCTGAAAATCAGGAGAGGGATTAGTGTGAGAGATTTGATTTGCAAGTCATTAATATTGACTTGACATCAGTCAAGAAGAGAACTGGATTTATACCTAACTGGTATGTCTAAGGGAGACTTGGACTATTGGATGAAGATTAGGCTGAGATAATTTATGAGGCCTTTTCTGGGCCTTTGAGTAACTATAAAGTGAAAGGAGGAGTGGAATAATATGGGGTAACTGGGAGATGGATGCTGGTGAAGTAGACAGAAGATCTGGAATACCAATTCTAAAAGTCTGGTTCTTAAGCCTGCCTTATTTATTTAACAAAAAACATATCAGAAAAAAAGTAATTGGAGGAAAGTTAAGCTCTCATCCTACATTAATTAGAATATTTTATGGTTTATGCAAGAGAAATTAACTTGAGCTAGCTTCAGCAAAATAAGATACCTTCTTATGAGGATTCAGTGGTTCCTCATAGAAGCCAATGATAAGAATGCCATTGTAACTATGAGGCAGACAACCATTGAGGATCCAGGCTCAGCTGCACTGTGTCTACCTCTTTCTGTTTCTCCCCTCTTCCATCCACTCCAGATTTGTTTTCCTAAGATTCTCCTTA
Organism: Homo sapiens; assembly: GCF_000001405.40. Classification (NCBI taxonomy): domain Eukaryota; kingdom Metazoa; phylum Chordata; class Mammalia; order Primates; family Hominidae; genus Homo; species Homo sapiens. Next base: position 37,346,356 of record NC_000023.11, read on the forward strand.
TGTTATAGTTCCTAAATTGACACATTATAGCTTCAGACACCCAGTGTTACCAATTCCCTGCTACTATTCTAAATCCCCAGGGAAGTTCTGTGGCCCAGCATGGGTGAGATGCTCCATCCTGATCCAGTTAATTCTGTGTGTGTTTAGAGGGGCCAAGGGACTCCAGGTCAATTAAATAATAATATCTGGGGATGGGATCCAGATATCAGTATTTTTTTTACAAGTGTTTCAGTTTGAAAAGCAGTGGCTTAGGCTTTGTTACTTTTATGTAAAGAAAGACTGTAGTAGGGATATTAATGCCCCCCAAAAGATATCCACATGCCAGTACCCAAAACCTGTGAAAATATGTTACATGGCAAAAGGGAATTAAAGTTACAGATATAATTAAGGCTGCTAATCATTTGCCCTTCAGATAGGGAGACTGTTTTGGATTATCTTAATGTGCCCAATATAATCAGAAAGGTCCTTACATGTGGAAGAGGTAGGCAGAAGTGTCAGTGTGTCAGAGTAATATTATTGTTGGCTTTGAAAATGGAATACAGCCATGAATGAAGGAATGTGGGAGGTCTCTAGAATGTGGAAAAGGCAAGAAAAAAGATTCTCCCAAAAAGTTTCCATAAAGGAACTCAACTCTGCTGACGCCTTGATTTTAGTCCAGTGTGACTCTTGTCAGACTTCCTCCAGGACCATAAGATAAATTTGTGTTGTTTTAAATCATGAAGTTTGTGGTAATTTTTGTACAGCAGCCACAGAAAACTAATACACAGACACTGTTAACCAGCTTTGTTAATACTTGAATACTTGGGGAGGCAGGGAGAGGGAGAGAAAGAGGGGTCAAAGGTAATTCCAAGGCTGTATTCCTTAAATACAGTTTCGATGGTGGACATCTTTTTTTTTTTGTCTGTCCATTGCCTGTCTCTTCTGAAAACGGCATCTCCCCCTTACTGTTTGTTTTCATTTAGAAATTTTTCTCTTTATTTTTTTTTCTTTAACCATGTGGTTCTAATTGGGTCCCATTCTTATGTCACATACGCATTTTCTCTTCAGGAGTGGTTACGGTACTCAATTCTACCCAATCAGATGTTTTAACTGTTGCTTTAAAAACTGGAAGTGAGAGAAGAGAGATACTTTCTCTCTGGTAGGAACTTGGTAGGTGTGAGCAACTTGTAACAGGCTACGGTGCCAAACCAGCAGAACATGACTTTGAGATGTTCTGTTAGAATGACCCTGTCTGTATTGAGAGCCTGAGCTGGAATTCAAAGCATTCCTGTTGCTGGTTCCATTTAATCCTATGGCCAATCATAGACCTACCCTTTCACAACTTGGGTTACACAATAACTTCCTGTTTTTGCCTGATCTACTTCAATCTAGTTTTTGTCATTTCAACCAAAATATCCTGAAAAATTTAGACAAAAAAGAAAAAAATAATCAAGTGAAAAGTTTTAAAAAAACACATATGCACATTTATTAAGGATGCAAATCTTACTTTTATTAGCCTAGCAATTTTTTTAAGAACATGTATGTGAAATATTTTACTAGTGAAATGAATAGGACAAAGTCCTGCTTCCAGGCACTTACAGACTTACTAATCCTGCAAAATTTGTGCCTACATTACCAATATACCTTTTGGCAATATATCTCTCTACATCCTCCCTAGGCTTATTTGACAAGTGCAAGATAGAAATGAGTTCTAGAAAATCTGATTTGTAAAATATATGAATGGAAGACAAGAAAGGTTAAATGGAAGAATTTTGGGATATTCAGATCTTTAAGGGCAATCACCAAACTCTCCCATAAAATGCTCCCATCACAGTTAAAATGCTTGCTAGGAAAGACTATTGGTGTGGTCCTGTGGCAATTCTTTTATTCTTAATAAGCCAAATGTTTCTTAATTCCATCACAATTAAAGTAAAAAGAAGGGGAACTTAGTTTGGAATAAATCACTTCAGGTCCACAGCCCAATTCACTTTGGATTCACTCAGGCGTGTGTTTATTTTAATAGCTGATCTGAAAGCATGTGAGATGCCACAGCTGACCAGACTGTAAACAGAAAAGCATACAAGTTAAAACCAAGCACGCATGCAGCATGGAATAATAATCAAGCTAGACTCCTTATGATGCAAAATGCCAGAAAACCTCCAAGCATTAGGTCAAAGTTTACACAATAGCAAAAGCCTTTTATTCTGTTTCTTAGAGGGGCTTGTAGAAGTTTAAGATTCAAGTTCTAAGATAGCTCTACCTAAAAAGCGAGGTCAAAGATGGGTTTTCTTCTCAAGATATTTGGGTAAGTTTGTACAAGACGGTTTTTTTTTTTTTTTTTTTTTTTAGAAAAAGCAGATAGTTGTCACCAAGAGTTGTCCGGAAACAGTGGCAAGGGAATTATTCCTCAAGGAAAGTGCAATTCTCTGAGCTGTAACAGTGGACAATGGTCGAATAGTCACCAACCACGATCTGGGCTCACACATAGCAAAGAGGTATATTAACTAGGATGCCCTACACAGGCGGTCTGTGGATGAGAAATCCCTATGCCCCTCACTTCACCAGGGCTGAAGAGTACGCGATGAGGAGAAATGACTAGGAAAAGGAATAATGTGTGGTGAGGTATGTATGCGAAAGAGAAAAAGGCTGGCGGGGACCCGCGGTGGCTAGGAGAGACGTGGCGGCCCAACGGCTGACTACTTGGGCCCGCGCCGAGCCAGGCTTTCTCCACGGTGCGTGTGGGAGTGCACAGAGGGGCCTCGACGGCTTTTCTGTATGTGTTATAAATAAACCCCAATAGTGGAAAGCTCCAGCAGGATGCCCTGAGCCCTGGGTCTTCCCAGCAGAAGCGGTGGAGGATCCGCCCCTCGTTTCCCACCCCCGCGCCCCACCCTGTTCCCGCCCCTTCTCTCTTAACCCCGCCCCAGCCCAGCCCCCGCCTCTTTCCACCTCCCTTCCAGTCCGCTCCCGGTTCCTGGCTCCAGCTAGGCTCGGCAGAAATAGGAGCGCGCAGGCGCGACGTGCGGCTCGCAGAACGGCGAGTAGCGGAGCGGGACCCGCTGTGAGTGTGGCGGCCGCGCTGGGTTCCTAGCTGGGGAAACGTGATCCAGGCGAAGCGCCCCAGGAAGGATTGGGGTGTGTGGGGGTGACTTCGGTTCTGCGAGGAGAAACCCGTCAGATATGCGGTAGCGTTGGTAGCGACGCTGCCTGTGGGTGTCCGGCCAGGGCCGCGTGGGGAGCGGAGTGCGTGGTAGCGGGAGTGGGTGAGGGTGGGTATGACGAGAAAAAAAATTGAAGGAATGGGGTTTACAGGCTGGAAGTCCGCACACAGACTGGGCAGGACCGCGAGGCTTGCCAACGGTGCTGGAGGGTGTCCCAGCTTCAAGTTCAGTCCCCTGCTTGGTGCCCATGAGGGACGTCCCAAGCTCATCCCTTCCTCCAGCGCTGCTTTCTCTGGTGCAGAGTTGCTAGAAACATTCCCCGTCGGAGGGGAAAGGATTTGGAGGCGGTGGGCTGTCGGCCCGGGCTAGTCCCAAGGAGGGCGTGGCGTTCGTGTGACTTTCCTTTACCCACCCCCGGGAATGTGTCCCTCTTCTGATCCATTGTGCCCGTGGACATTTTAACAAAGGCTATGACTGTTTTGTAGGCAGTGGCGGGTGACAGTGGGAGGGGGTGCGTGCGAGGTCGGTCGCGGTGCGGCCCTGGGGGATGGGAGAGCGGGGGGAGGGGGAGGCGGCGTGGGGGGAAGTGAAAGGAAGAGAAACAGTCTTCCTGCTTCAGGTTTTTCCTTCTTCCTGGTCCGCTGAATTTGATCACTGGTAGGAACAGCCCCAAGAGGGATATGACTGGAAAGTAGTGTGTGCGCGTTTGGACTCTGGCTCCAGCCACTGGTTTTTGTGATTGTGCTGTGCAAGTATTTTCTACGAGTCCCTTTAGGAGAAAAGCGAAACTAATGGGATTTGAGAGGAAATAATTGAATGAAAGGATGAAGAGGTTGAGTGACAAAACTTAGAGCTTAATTATTTGTCTGTTGATGGTCATACTATAAAGCCAGACTTTGAAGGATGCGAAGGTGTTCAAGCCAGGGTAAGTGAAAAGTTGGTTAGGCTACTGTTGATTGTTTCAATCAAGAGTGGATTATTGGGCATGTGTGTGGATGTGCTGTCAAGATCTTGGGCCGACTCACTTTAGAACCTTTGAAAATAATATTAAGGATACAAAACATTAGGGCAAATATTGTAATATTGGATAAAGCTCCATATGCTTTCATTTTCAAACTTAGGGACTTTTATGAAAGATAGTATATGTGTTCCCAAGCATAGATGTTGATATTTTTACTCATTTGTTTTAAGTTAATACAACAAAATAAACTGAACTTCCTCCTCTCCACCCCTTTCCCTCGATTGTAAATCCCGTTTTATAAACGTTTACTTTCTGATCTGAAGTATACTTAAAAACACAATTACCCCGCCCAACCCCCACCCCTGCACCAACCCCAGGCATGAGGTGAACAGGATTTCTTCTGGTTTTATTGTTATGTTATTCTTTCTTTTTCTATTTTCCCAAATTTGGGGCAGGTGGAGGGCGGGGAGTGTTAGGGATGCCTTTTCTCTTTTCTAGTGCCTGATGAACTCCTATTCATCTTTCTAGACTTAGCCTGATTCACTTCTTGAAAAATTTTGCCATCTTCTCCAGAGTGAATTAATCACACCCTTTTCTGTTAAATTTATATAACTTGCCTTATTTCTCCATTACTACTAGAACCTCAGTCTTTTGTGTTACCCTTGTACCTAGAGCTGCCTGGCATGTGATAAGCACCTAATAAACTAACTTACAGATATATATTAATAAATGCTGTTAGAAAGATGGTAATTCATAGGCCGGGTGCAGTGGCTTACTCCTGTAATCCCAGCACTTTGGGAGTCTGAGGCAGGTGGATCACAAGGCCAGGAGATCCAGACCATCCTGGCTAACATGGTGAAACCCCGTCTCTACTAAAAATACAAAAAAATTAGCCGGGCGTGGTGGTGGGCGCCTGTAGTCCCAGCTACTAGGGAGACTGAGGCAGGAGAATGGCATGAACCCGGGAGGCGGAGCTTGCCTTGAGCTGAGATCGCGCCACTGCACTCCAGCCTGGGCTACAGAGCGAGACTCCGTCTCAAAAAAAAAAAAAAGAAAGAAAGAAAGAAAAAAAAGATAGTAATTCATATTGCATAAAGTTCATGGGATAATACAAGAAATTCAGAATTCTGAAATTGTATTTAATATTTGAGCAGCATTATTTGGAATATGGATAAGTACTGTGTGGAAATATGTTCTCATGTATTAGTCATAGTTTATCCCTCTAAAAAGAGGTGCAAAAACTCTACAGATAAAGGGAAAATAGGGATCAGAAAAAGGTGAAGTTTTTAAAAAGGCCAGTTTCTGATACTGAAACTAGTGAAATTAACTATTTGTAGAAAGACACAAATAGGTTGCTGCTGGAATTTAGGAAGTACTACAAATGAATCAGGTTGCCAGATGGTATTCTCTGAAGGGTGATGTAACTAAAGAAAGCTGTAATCTAACCAGTTGTATTATACTTCTTTTACATCTTAAAGTATTTTCGGCCTTTGGCTAATGGGTCTCTTCATGTTACAGTTCCCTGATAGGCTTGGTCTAACCATTTCTGCCAAACTGTCTTTGACATCTCTCTTAACTCCACCAGGATCACTGGCCTTCCAGTTACCTCTGGCTCCTAACAGGAATTATCTTCCCCCTGTTCCTCACCTCCAGCCTTCTTCTCCTGAATGGATATATGTATTTGAGAAAATACCATGAACAAATGATCACTTACTTTATAAAAGAATGGAATTGGTTCTTTAGTTTAAAAATAAGTCAGAATTGGCTACCTGCTTAGTCTAGCCTTCTGTGCCTGCAAAGCAGACAGAGAACTATGAGCATTAGTAACCCTTATTTTTCATTTCTCCCTTATTCATCTAAATGCAAAAGCACTTTTTTTCATTTCACTTTTAAAAATAGCATTAGTCATTGTTCCTAAAACACTTCAAGTTAGTCTCTTTTTTTGACTAAAACTCAAAACTCAGGGAGGAAGAGTAGTAGCATCCATAAAACTTTTTTAAAGTTCTACATCATCTGTGGACCTACTGACTGAAAAAATATTCCAAACCAACCATTGTGATTATACCTTCCTTCTTAAAACTTTCCTCTTAGACTTCCTTCTCATATTTCTGATTTTTTTTCTCTAATTCTTTGACCGGTTAACCTCAGTCACCTCCACAGTCTTCTCAGGGTTCTGTTCAAAACTCTTTTTCTCACTGTATGCACAAGAGTCAAGGGCATGGAAACTGGAGAAATCGAAAATTGGAGGCAAGACAAGAAGTTAAACTTTTCTTTCCGAGCATTAGTTTCCTCACTTGTAAAAATGATAATTATAATACTTACCTGATAATTAAGATCAGGTATATAGTGATGTGACGCATAATGACATTTTGGTCAACTATGGACAACATGTGTGATGGTGGTTCCCATAAGATTATAATGGAGCTGAAAAACCTGGTGACTTTGTAGCCTTTGTAATGTCACAGTGCAATGCATTACAGTATATAACACTTGATAATAAATAACTATGCTAATGGTTTATTTACTATACTATACTTTTTAATTATTATTTTAGAGTATACTTCTACTTATATATTTTTTAAAATTAACTGTAAAACAGCCTCAGACAGGTCCTTCAGGAAGGCAAGAAGAAGGCATTGTTATCATAGGGGATGATATCTCCACCCATGTTATTGCCCCTGAAAACCTTCCAGTGGAACAAGATGTGAAAGTGGAAGAGTGATATTGATGATCCTGACCCTGTGTAGGTCTAGGCTAATGTGTATGTTTGTGTCTTAGTTTTTAATAAAAATGTTTAAAAAGTTAAACAAATTAAATAGATAAAAACTTATGGAATAAGGATATAAAGAAAGAAAATGTTTTTGTACAACTGTCCAGTGTATGTTTTAAGCTCAGTATTATTACAAAAGAGTCAAAAAGTTTAAAATATTAAAAAGTTTATGTAGTAAAGAAGTTATAGTAAGCTAAGGTTAATTTATTATTGAAGAAAGAATTACATTTTTTATATATTTGGTGTAGCCTAAGTGGAGACTATTTATAAAGACTACAGTAGTGTACAGTAAATGTCATAGGGCTTCATATCCACTTACCACTCACTCACTGACTTACCCAGAGCAGCTTTCAGTCCTGCAGGCTCTATTCATGGTAAGTGCCCTATACAGATGTACCATTTTTTATCTTTTATACCTATTTTTACTGTACATTTTCTGTGTTTAGATACACAGACATCATTGTGTTACAATTGCCTGTTCAGTACAGTAACATGCTGTACAGGATTGTAGCCTAGGAATAATAGGGTATACCATATTGCTTAGGTGTGTAGTAAGCTATACCATCCAGGTATGTGTGAGTACATTCTATGATGTTGACACAACAACGAAATCGCCTAAAGGCATTTCTCAGACCATATCCCAGTTGTTAAGTGATGCATGACTGTTAACAGCTTATAATGTCTAGCACATAGTAGTGCTTTTAAAATGTTAGCTGTTGTTATTTATGTCTGCTGTTTCTTGTGAGCTCCCATTATTTCAATAGCAATTAACTTCAGAATGTGGATGTATTGATATTTCCCACCCTGTTTGAGCTCCAGTTCTGTATTTGTAGATAACTCCCATGTATTTCCAACAGGTTGCTTAGCACAGTGGTTCTGAAACTTCAGCATGTACAATAATCACAAGATGCATAGATTTCTGGACCCCATACCCAAAGTTTGTGATGTCTAGGATAGAGTCTAAGAATTTCCATTTCTAATAAGTTCATAAATGATGGTGATTCTGCTGTCCCTGGGAAAACATTGAGTGGCATTTAACTGTATGGCATTCAGACAGGTTGGTGGAGAGGAAGGGAGAGGAGAACAAAAGACCAAAAATTTATGAAAATTAAGAACAGAGTGCACTTTAAGCTGGTAGTGCTTTTTTTATTTTTATTTTTATTTTTTTATTTTTTTTTTTTATTGGGACAGAGTCTCACTCTGTCGCCCAGGCTGGAGTGCAGTGGCATGATCTCGGCTCACTGCAAGCTCTGCCTCCTGGGTTCACGCCATTCTCCTGCCTCAGCCTCCCAAGTAGCTGGGACTACAGGCGACTACCACCATGCCTGGCTAATTTTTTTGTATTTTTAGTAGAGACGGGTTTTCACCGTGTTAGCCAGGATGGTCTCGATCTCCTGACCTTGTGATCCGCCTGCCTCGGCCTCCCAAAGTGCTGGGATTACAGGCGTGAGCCACCACGCCCGGCCGGTAGTGCTTTTAAGACTGTTTAGAGTGTCCTCTAAAATGTAGAGAGGATAGGACTGACAGAAGATGCTTGGATTTGATGACCACAAGGTTTTCTTTTGTTTGTTTTTGGTGTGTTTCAGGTGCAGATTGTTGGTTTAATTATACTTCTCAGTTGGTATTATATTATCATTATTGTGACCAGGAGAACATATCACAGGTATTTGAGGTAATGGCTTTTTTGTTTGTTTGTTTGTTTTTTGAGACAGGGCCTTTCTGATGCCCAGACTAGAGTGTAGTGGCGCAAACACGGCTCACTGAAGCCTCAACCTCCTGGGCTCAAGCAATCCTCCCACCTCAGCTTCCTGAGTAGCTGGGACCACAAGTATGTGCCACTATGCCCAGCTAATTTTTAAATTAAAAATTTTTTTTTGAGATGAGGTCTCACTATATTGCCCAGGCTGGTCTCAAACTCCTGGGCTGAAGTGATCCTACCACCTCAGCCTCCCAAAGTGGTGAGATTACAGACGTGAGCCACCATGCTCAGACATAGAGGTAATGGTTCTTAATCTGGTGTGTGCATCAGACTGTCATAGGGAGCTGTTTCAAACAATACACTTAAGTTTAGTGCCCCTCCCCACAATATTGACTCATAAAATCTGGATTTCAGGGTGTGGGATCTAGGCATGAAAAAATTCCCTGGTTAAGAACCATCTCTTCAGCAATGTTGGGCAGAATATGGAAGAACTGAAAATAGTTTTATTGGTAAATTGCTGGTGAAAGGAGAATAGAAGAAAAAGACTGGAGTTTGAAGATTTTTGGAGTTCAAGAAAATGGGAATATGTAAAGGTGAAAAGCCTGCTGGAGTCAAGGAGCGATTGAATGTGTAATGTTATGAACATATAATTGATGGAATACAGTACTGGAGCAGGAGAGCAGGAGAGAATGGAATTAGTAGGTACCATAAAAAGAGAGGAGAAAGGAGTGAAAAAAGTAAGTTTAAAGATGGAAGTGGGAGAAGCTGAAAGAACTCTCTTTAAGGGAGGTTTGTTTGCACACTACTGTTCTTCAGTGGAACTTAAGTAGTCTTGAACTCTTAAGTGGAATGGATTTTTTCAAGTTTAATAATGCTAGCAAATAAATCAATAATTTCAGCTATTCCAGCTACCACTAATGGCTACAAGTGTATTTTTCTTCAACTTAGTTTGAATAATTATTTTTTGAAATTAAGTCTAGACATGCTGTGTTGTAATGTTATTGCCCTAGCCCTTGCCGTAAGACTGCTATATCATAAGTTTCATATGATTTTCATTCAGTTATTCAACAAATATTTGTATGACTGTCAATGGCCAGGCATCCTTCTAAACACTGAGGATACAACAGTATATAAAACAGTTATATTTTATTAGAAATTTCCGCCTTTGAGGCGCTTGCATCGTATTTGAGGGAGGCAGATAATAAAGTAAATGAGTAAAATATAAGAAATATATATATAATTTTCTATACATATACACATAAATATACATATATGTTAAGTGACATGGTGCTGCATTCTTTGGAGAAATACAAAGCAGGGAAGGTGAATGGGGGGACCTACAGGTATTCATCTATAGGTGAATAGGGCATGTTGGAGGGAGGTAATCAGGGAAGACTTCACTGTCAGCAAAGACTTGTAGAAGATAAGAAAACCATTTATTTGGAGGAAGAGCTTCCTAAGCACAGGGAACAGCAGTTGTAAAAGTCTTGAGGTGGGTTCTTTTTGAGACCTTTCAGCTAAATATAGCAAAATGGTTTTTGCGGCTGGAGTAGCATGAATGAGAAGGGGTGAATAATAAGGCATAGAGTCAGATAAGCAAGAAGGATTGTGGGAGTGGTGGGAAGATTGCAAGAGGAGAAATTTTTGAATGGGGAGATCAAGAACTACATACTGGCCATGTTGAGTTAGAGATGATTATTTGATACTCCAGGTAGAATTCATGGGATAGGTATGGGTAAACAGGAAACTCTAGGAATGGATCACAACATTATAAGGGAAGAGAAGGGGTCATTGTTTTGCTTTGTTTTTAAATTAAAAAACTTTAGTTTTTTAGAGCAGTGTTAGGTTCATGGAAAAATTACAAGGAAAGTACAGAGAGTTCTCATATACCCCCTCTTCACATACACAACCTCCTGCACTATCAGGACATCCTGTACCACAGTGGTACATTTGTTGCTGTTCATGAACCTCCATTGACATATCATTATCACCTAAAGCTAATTGTTTATATTAGGACTCACTCTTGGTATTGTACATCTTATGGATTTGGATGAATGTATAATAACATATCTACTATTGTATTAATATTATGATATGATATAGTTTCACTACCCCAAAAATTCTCTGTGTTCTGCCTTTTCAACTGCCCTTCCTTCCAGCCCCTGGAACCCACTGATCCTTCTACTGTCTCCATAGTTTTTCCTTTTTCAAAATGTCATATAGTTGGAATTATAAAGTATGCGGCTTTTTCATATTGGTTTCTTTCACCTAGTAACGTTCATGTAAGCTTCCTCCATGTTTTTTCATGGTTTAATAGCTTATTTCTTTTTAGTGCTTAATACTCCATTGGATGTACCACAGTTTATTCATTCACCTACTAAAAAATATCTTGGTTGCTTCCAAGTTGTCGTAATTATAAATAAAGCTATTATAAATATCTGTGTGCAGTATTTTATGTGGACATAGATTTTCAATTCATTTGAATACAAAGGAGCTCAATTGCTGGATGAGAATATAGTAGTCCCCCTCCCCATCCATGGTTTCACTTTCCACATTTCCAGTTACCCAAGGTCAACTATGGTCTGAAAATATTAAATGGAAAATTCCAGAAATAAATGTCGTAAGTTTTAAATTTTGTGCCATTTTGACATGATGAAATCTCGCAACATCCTACCACATTCTGCCCAAGACATGAATCATCCCTTTGTCCAGAGTATCCATGCTGTATATGCCTTTCGCCCATTAGTCACTTAGTAGCCATCTAGGTTGTCAGATCAAAAAACCATAGCATGTATAGGAGTTGGTACTATCCAAGATTTCAGGCACCCTTTGGGGTCTTGGAATGTATTCTCCATGGATCAAGGAGGACTACTTTATGTTTAGTTTTGCAAGAAATTGACAAAGTGTCTTCCAAAGTAACTTACCGCTTTTATTCCCACCAGCAGTGGATGAGTTTCTGTTGCTCCACATCCTTGCCAGCATTTGGTGTTGTCAGTGTTCTGTATTCTGGCCATTTTAATAGATGTGTAGTGCCAGCTCACTGTTGTTTTAACTTGCAATTCTCTAATGACATATGATGTTGGGCTTTCCATATGTTTATTTGTCATCTGTATCCATCTGTATATCTTCTTTGGTGAGGTGTCCACATATTTAGTCCATTTTCAAATCATGTTTTTTTTTTTCTCATTGCTGAGTTTTAAGAGTTGTTTGTATATTTTGGATAATAGTACTTTATATGTTATGTCTTCTGCAAATATTTTCTCACAGTCTGTGGCTTGACTTCTCATATTCTTGACAGTGTATTTTGCTGAGTAGGAGTTTATAATATTAAATCCAGCTTATCAGTCCTTTCATGAATCATACCTTTGGTGTTATAACTAAAACTCATTACCATATTAGAGGTCATGTAGATTTTTTCCTATGTTCTAGGAGTTTTATAGTTTTGTATTTTACATTTAGGTATATGATCCATTTTGAGATTTTTATGAAGGGTGTAAGGCCATATCTAGATTCATTTTTTTTTCATGTGGATGTCCAGTTGTTCCAGCATCATTTGTTGAAAAGTCTATCTTCATTGTTTTGCCTTTGCTCCTTTGTCAAAGATCAGTTGACGATATGGATATACCTCTCTATTCTGTTACATTTACCTGTTTGTCCATTCTTTTGCCACTGTCTTTATTACTGTAGTTTAATAGTAATTCTTGAAATTAGGTAGTGTCAGTCCACCAACTTTGGTGTTCTACAATATTGTCTTGGCTATTCTGTATCTGCTGCCTCTCCATATAAACTTTAGAATCAGTTGTTTTTTAAAAAAAAAAATTCACAATATCACTTGCTGGGATTTTGATTGGGGTTGCACTGAATTCGTAGATCAAGTTGGAAAGAACTGATATCTTGAGACTATCGAGTCTTCCTATTCGTGAACATGGGATATCTTTCCATTTATTTAGTCTTGATTTTTTTCACCAGAGTTTTGTGGTTTTCCCAATGGAGATCTTGCTCATCGCTGATATATAGGAAAAGAATTGACTTTTATTTATTAACCTTGTATCCTGTAACCTTACTATTATCACTTATTAGTTCCAGGAGATTTTATTTAAAACAATCAATTCTTTGGAATTTTTCTACATAGACAATCATGTCATGTGTGAACAAAAACAGTTTTATTTCTTCCTTCCCAATTGGTATACCTTTTGTTTCCTTTCCTTGTCTTATCACATAAGATGGGATTTTCAGTATGATTTTGAAAAGGAGTGGTGAGAGGGGACATCCTTGCCTTTTTTCTGAGCTTAGAGGGAATGCTTCAAGTCTTGCACCATTAAGTATGATGTCAACTGTAGTGTTTTTATAGATGCCTTTTTCCATTTGAGTGAGTTCCCATCTATTCCTAGTTTGCTGAGAGTTTTTTTTTTTTTAAATCATGAATCAGTGTTGGATTTTGTTAAGTGCTTTTTCTGAATATATGGATATCATTGTGTAAATTTTCCCTTTTGGCCTGTTGATGTTCTGGAGTACATTAATTGGTTTTCGAATATTGAACCAGCCTTGCATACTTGTCATACATCTCACTTGATCATAGCGTATAATTTTTTTATATATGGTTGGTGGATACAATTGATAATATTTTGTTGAGGATTTTTCAATCTGTGTTTATGGTAGATATTGGTCTGTAGTTTTCTTTTCTAGTAATGTCTTTGTCTGGTTTTGGTTTTAGGGTAATTCTGACCTCATAGTATTGCCTTGGCTTCTAACTTCAGGAGAAATTGTAGAGAACTGGTATAGTTTATTCCTTAAGTGTTCGGTAGAATTCAGCGGTAAACCCATCTGGGTGTGGTGCTTTCTGTTTTGCAGGTTATTATTGTTTCAATTTCTTTAGTATAGTCCTATTCACATTGTCTATTTCTTGTGTGAATTTTGGCAGATTGTATCTTTCAAGGAATTGGTCCATTTCAAGGAATTGGTCCATTTCAAGGAATTGGTCCATTTCATCTAGCTTATCAAATTTGTGGGGATAAAATTGTTCATAATATTCCTTTATTATCCTTTTAATGTCCATGGGATCTGTAGTGATGTCCTTTCTTTCATTTCTGATAATAATTTGTGTCCCCTCTCTTCTTTTCTTAATTACCCTGGCAAGTTTATTGAATTCATTGATCTTTTCAAAAAACCAGCCTTTGGTTTCATTTATTTTTCCCTATTGATTTTCTGTTTTCAGTTTCACTGATTTCTGCTTCAATTGTATTATTTCTTTTCTCCTATTTACTTCAGGTTTAATTTGCTCTTCTTTTTCTAATTTCCTAGGATGGAAACTTAGATGATTGATTTCAGATCTTTCTTTTTTTCTAATGTATGCATTCAAGCTATAAATTTCCCTCTAAGCACTACTTTTGCTGCATCCCACAAATTGTGACAAGTTGTATTTTAATTTTCACTTAGTTCAAAATATGTTTTTAATTTCTCTTGGGATTTTTTTCTTCAATAATCCATGTGTTATTTAAAGGTATGTAGTTTAATCTCTACATATATGGGGGAATTCCAGCTATCCTTCTGTAATTGTTTTCTAGTTTAATTCCACTGTAGTCTGAGAGCTGACATTGCATAATTTCTATTCTTTTACATTTGTTAAGATATGTTTTATGTCCCAGAATATGATCTGTCTTGGTGCATATTCCACATGAGCTTGAGAAAAATGTGTAATTTTCTGTTGTTGGACGAAGTAGTTTATATATGTCAGTAATACCCAGTTAATTGATGGTACTATCAAAGCTGTTGAGTTCAGCCATTTCCTTACTGATTGTCTTCAAATAACACTATACCCCTTCATGGGTACAACCTCTTTGTATTGCAACACCTTTCCTACAATGGCAAAGTGATTTGGTTATCCTGAAAACCTGAGGGACCATAGAAATAATGTTGCCATTGCAAGTTGCTTTTTGAATCTCCTAAGGAAATAACTGTATGTCAAACCTTAGTTCAGCATTTACTGAACACCTTTGGTATGTAAGGGGTGTGTGTGCTAGCTTTACCTTTTGTAAATTAGCGACATAATTACTTCTCAAGATGTCATTGGGCATAATGAAATGAGAATCAAAGTGCCACAGGGCTGGGGTAATCATAGCTCTTAAAAATGCTCAAGGCCGGGTGCGGTGGCTCACGCCTGTAATCCCAGCACTTTGGGAGGCCAAGGCCGGCAGATCACGAGGTCAGGAGATCAAGACCATCCTGGCTAACATGGTGAAACTGCATCTCTACTAAAAATACAGAAAATTAGCCGGGCATGGTGGTGGTAGCCTGTAGTCCCAGCTACTCAGGAGGCTGAGGCAAGAGAATGGCGTGAACCCGGGAGGCAGAGCTTGCAGTGAGCCGAGATGGTGCCACTGCACTCCAGCCTGGGCGACAGAGCGAGACTCAGTCAAAAAAAAAAAAAAAGCTGAATAATTGCTATTCTTTCTCCATTATTGTGGGGTAATAATTGGTATAGTTATTTTCAACCTCATTCAAATACCGATGATGAGTTTTTGATAGCACTTGTTATCTTCTTGAAAGGCTTGCAAATTAAATGCACTAGAATTAAAATAACAATTTCACAATTTGAACTTTTAGGTACATTTTTTCAGTGCCTCAGAATTCGTAACCTATTATTTCTTTGGGAGAACATGTTATATTTTAATCTTTGAGTTGGAGTAAGTTGTCTGTGGTCTATTTCTTCCCTTCTTTCAAAACTGTGTCTGAGATGTGTGTTGTTTTCTGGAGTCCTAGTTAACAAAACACCTCCTTTTTCAGTGACAAAGCCTTGTTACTGAAAGCACTTTATGTTCTGTGAATCTCCTCCAATCTGTCCCCAGTGTGCTTGTTCTTTGTGGTTTGGTTTCTAATATTATGCATTCCAATTTTGTAAAAAAATCTATATGAGTAACTTGCCACAGTAATCCTCTCTGACATGTTTGCTTCAGGGAAAAAGCAGGAAAAGTCAGAAACGTAAGCCTAGGTTTAAAATTTGCTGTCGCTGCAAAAAAGTGAATAGAATATATTCCAAGTTTCTTTTTCTGTATTAGTATTACCTATGGGACCAGAATAATTATTTTGGCAAGGATATAGTTAATTTCCTGTGTAATTTTATCCTGCTTCAGTATCTTAGTCATTTTTCCTTTGATTTCTCAAAAAAATTATAGAAGTAAAAAAAGAAATTTAGTTATTTAGGTTTATAAACAGTCTAAAAATACAAATATTTTTGTTGCATTAAATATGAACTATAGTATAAAATAAATACATGTGCTCTTTGAATTTTAAACTTCCTTTAACTTATAATGCAAATAGTAGATATTAATATGTACTTTTTTATATATTTCATTCTCTAAACTATGAATGTTAACACGGTTTATATACTTGACCTTTGCAAAGTTTTGAACAGTCCACTCCTACTGCTGTTGTTCTAGCATTATTTCCTTCCTAATATGGTAGTCATTTTTTTTTTTTTAACTTTTCTCCCCAGTCATTTCTGGCCTGTCCTTAACCCAAGTCTGCCCATCCACAGATATTGAAAGCTTCCAACCTTCAGGAACTACCCTTCACATTACTCCTAGAAAGCCCCATCTAGCCCTACAGATCAAACTGTTCACTTTCAAAGGTTGTTTGTGCCTAACCTTTCTTCTGTTTTTTCTGTTTGCATTCCTCATTTGCATTTCAGTTCTTCACCTTTTAACTGAGGCTAGTTTTCTGCCAGAATCTCAGCCCCATTTAACCAGGGGTCAGACCATCATATTGTCTTTGTCTACTTGGTTTCTGGTTGGTTCCCACTACCAGGAACCAGGATGCTGAATATCCCTAGAATCCTTACCGTTGGAGTGGGTGGACTCTAGTCTACTTCAACTGGGGCTGTCAAGAGGAAAAAGGTGTCAGAGTCCTCAGCAGACTGGGAGGGGGCCTGGAGCAAATCCTGTGTTAAAATGGGATTTTGTTTTTTCCTCTGCGACCCAAACCCACTCTTGACAGTTCTCTTCTTCACATGAGAGTATAGTGATTGTTCGTTATTCAGAAGATTGCCCAAATTATTTTTTCCTCTCATCTGTTGAGCAATTCCTGGCCATATGGATTATCTTCCTTAGTAATAATACGAATGACAACAATAATAATAACCATTCTATGTTGCACTAGATATTTTATTTTTATCATTTTTATTACCCTGTAAGATATATGGCTTTTATCTCCATTTTCTAGTAAGTACATTGCAGTTCAAAGAGTTTAAGTGCCCAAGCTCACTTTGGAGGTATACAGTAGAACTGAAATATCAAATCAGGTTTCTCTGACATTACAGCATGGAGCTTTTTTTTTAGGAGACCCGTTGCATGAAGCATAGTTTTGGGCTGTCTCTTCTCATTCTCAGTTTCATACAGTAAGACTTTGTGTTTACGAAGATAAAATATATATTGAGGATTTACTATGCATGCATTTCATGCATCTAGCATTATGATCTAACATGGATTAGTGCTTGATGAATATTAACTAAAGGAATGAGAGGAGACTCTAAATTTGTTAGAAAGGGTAATCTCCCTGTGCTTAACACAGTGGCAGGCATATGGTTGGTGCTAAAAAATATTTGTTGAATTGATGAGATCACCTACTCAGGTATTGTTGAATTAATGATATTATCCACTATATCTTTCCATTAAAAGAGATGACTGTGAATTTAAATAGCTGAGCCATTGATCCAGTTGTCTAGTAAAGGAAAAGATCAGTTTAAATGGATGTTTTTTCCTTTGGATGCCTGAAAGTGTACTTGGTATCATATAATGAATTCTGCTTCCAAAAGAAGGCTGTCACTTACTTGTTTCATCTTACTTGACCTTTCACTCATTCACCCCCCAAAACTTCTTCCTTGACTTTTGCCTCTTCCCTGGATAATGCCATTAATTCCCACAACTTCCACCTCATTCTTCACACTGAAAATTCTCACATCTGTACCCAGTCAAAATTTTTCCCTGAAGATCCAGAGGCATATACATGACTGCCTACCTTAAAGTAAACTGTCTAAAACAGAACTTCTCCCCCTACCTAACACCCCACCTATATGTCTGCTTTTTCTCCTTTTTTTTCTCATTTTGTTAAATAGTGAAGGAGGCCCTGTATTTGGGATAAAGACTTCTGGATCCTGGGTATAAACAGGAATGTGACCACATGGGATTCCCTTTGCCACTCCTTTGGAGAAATCACAGTCCTGGTGCTAGAGTTAGGACCCCTATATTAAGGAGCTAATGGTAGTCTATATCACCCCCTCCAAAAAAGTTTCTGCTTTTTTTTGCTTTTCTGTTAACCATCTACTCCTCCTTGCTGATACAAGCAGGGATGATAAGAAAGTGAGCCCTCTTTCTCATTACCTCCTTTTCTCAAGCATATGTGAGAGAATGCAATCTGATTATCATTTATAGGCTCTCATCCCAAACTTATTTTAAATGCAAATCTTGAGATTAAAACCATTTTATCTTTTATCTAACATTGGATTGACTGCAATAATCATGTGATTTCATAGATTACTTTGAGAGTTTATACTGCACTCTAGGTTTAGATATCCCAGTGTCTATCTGTAGCCCATAATTAGTGAAGACAATAATATTCTCTTGAATTTTTATTGTGGTTTCATGTCCACAGAACACTCTCAAGGCTTGTGTGGATTTTTTCCCCATTCTCCATTTCTTTCTTAGCTGGATAATAGGCCACAAATTGTTTTATGGATTCCTTTTCGTGTTACTTCCCATCTTCACAAAGGTAGAGTTAACTCTCACCTCCCTCCCTGGACCTATCCACGGTTTAATCCTTCTTGTGCTGTAGTTACTGGACTTCAACTGATGGTATTAATGTTTTTTCATGTTACATTGCTACAATGGCATGTGGTTTTGCTTCTCTTTTTTTCCATCATCACACACTTGGCAGGACCAATTTGTCTAAAACCATATATGAATTGTCTCCAAACAGCCTTATTTAAGTCAGATGTTGTCTCTGTAAAACGTTGGCAAAGAAAAGTATTCCCTTCCTACATATAGTCATATTAAATAGAACTTTGTGAGGCATTGCATTCTTTTTATTCCAAAAATGTTTAATATAGCTCCATATGTAGTATTGACGGAAGCTATGAATTCTATTAAGATGGCCAAAAGTTAGTGAACTTCTGCCACGGACCCTGGTGGACTGAACAAAGGAGGACAAATGCGGGAATAAAGACAAAGACAAAAGAGTATGTTTGGAAGAAGGAGTCGGGGGCTCCTTGCTTCTGGTGAACAAGGGCCCTGAGCTTCTAGAGCCCTTCGTATTTATTGGGTAAAAGAAATAGGGAGAAGGGGTGGTTGTCAGTCAGCTGCTTGATTTAGTGCAGGCCTGCATGACTACTTTCTCCAGATGTTCCAGTAGATAACCTCAAGGAGCATGGCACCAGGAAGTGACTGCCCTCAGCATACCTTCTGGTGGCAGGTGCAGATGTGAGTTTGCCCACATCCTGCATTCATGATAAACAGTTTGCTGTTTGATCATATAGCCTCCAGTGGAATGCTGAGTTGGTCAGCATTCAGCTTACAGCTCCCAACAAACTTCTAGCCTCCTTTTTGGTATAGGTAAATCTTAGTTGCTATATAATAATCTGTTATCTGTCTGTCCATATCTGCATTTAAAGAAATGTGATTAAAACTCATTTTGTTGGAGGTTCTCCAGCCAGCCAGGGTTAAAGCAGAGTATTTCAGAGAGCACTGACTTGATCTTATTTTATAGCTTATGTTCTAGCACTTTCTTGGGTAGATATTTCTCATTGTAGTGCCTCTGTTGTTTTAGAACCATTGCCTTTGATTTGACCAGAAGCAACAGCATTATTTTCAGGGAGTATTACCAGACCTTAAGGGTATCCTTCTGTGGGACCAAGAGTGTGTGGTGAGGTAGTACAAGTGCTTCCTTCACTGTGCATAGCAATATCCTCCCACAAATAGGTCCCCTGCTTCAGGGGTGCCTGTATTTTGAGTGATTAATTGCATTAGCCTTTATGGTAGGTGACAGGATATTCTGTTCAAAACTTTATGCTTACCCTACTCCACTACCACTTTCTTTTAACTAATTCAAGTCTCAGCCGAGACTGCAAAAATTTTGAAATTAAATGTTATTCTAGTACTTCTGGTTCACCAAAAATCAGGTAAGTTCAGCATATTACAGAACAGCCTTGCTGTGCAGCACTCTGACAACTTTGCACAACATAATATAGGATATGGGGGCAATGCTTGACTGTAGTCTGACCCAATTCTTGGTGAAATGCCCTGCAATTCTGGCTAGAGCAAGGAAGATAACAAGCCTGGTAAGCTGCTGTGAGACAGTTTCTCATCCCTGTCATGTAGGAAACTGCCATAATACCATTTCTCACCCATTTTCTAGTTTCAGTTGAATGCAGAACTTTTCACCTTATACCCTGTGTGGGATAAGCCTATGAATTTTCTTGGGTTTAGTTTAGAGATGGCTCTTCAACAGCACCATGATCCATTGCTTGGACCATTTGTTATCTGTATCTTCTAGTTTGGTGTCATGATGTGAGACTAGGGACTTGGGGAACTGATACCATGCTGATTTAGCTTTCGATGTCTGTGTAAGTAATCAGTTGTCTGAATTCATCTGGGCCAAATCTCCTTTACCAGCCAAATCAATGGAAGTGTGGCAAGCCAACCTAACAGCTGTATCAGTAATACTTGTGGCCCTGTTAGCCATCACATTGCTGCTTTGGTAATGTTTAACTGTGTAACAAAGTGGGACTCTTACTGACCAAACACCCAGCTAGTATATGTACTATGGGATATTCCTTGAGCCTTCTACTTGTCTCTGGGCATAATGGAGCCCCCAGTTTGGCAGGTGGACAGAGGCCAGAGCTGTATATCAGAATTACTCTGAATTGCTTTTCTCACATTGTCAGCCCAAGGAAGATACCAAGACCCGCTCATTGGAAAGTCTTATTTACACAACTAGAAGGGCCATACCAATTCTGAAGCTGCCCTCACACACACATCTACCTGAGTGTGGTAAGAAAGGAAGCACAGTAACAGTGTTTGGGCCTACTCAGAATGGTGCACTTTGAATATGTGGTTGCCTCCTGCTCGTCAATCCTGTGGTCTCCTCAGTCTATGGTGTTTTGTGTTTCAAAGAAACCAAATGTTTGACCATATAAGCATCTGTAAAACATTTCTAGTTTGGCATAATATCTGGAAAAAATAGAAGGCAACATGGAGAATAATCTCTAAAGTATACATTTTTGTAAAAAAATATGCAATACTTGATTTTGCATTATATTCTTTTCTAATATAGGCATTTAAGGCATTTTTGCCTTCTAAGCACTATTTTAACTGTGTTTGTAGATTTTGATATGTATTTTTATTATATTTAGTTCAAAATTTTGTCTACTTTCTCTTGTAATTTATTCTTTAATTCAATGATTAATTTACAATTGTGTTTTTACTGTCCAAATATGTAGGGTTTTCCTGGTTTTCATGTAGGTAAATTTGAGAGGAAAATGTTAACATAGCAGATCTGTGTTAACATTCAGCAGATCTCCTTCATATCTCCAAGGGAACTTGGATCATGATTGACTCTTGACCAGCCACTGGGAATGTGACCCTTTGGATGTCTTTTACATAAATGGTGGATTTTTTTTTTTGTACACCTGGAGCAATGGACTATGTAGGTACCTGCTTGTCAAAATTGCTTTGTACAAACATCAAGATTGATAAGGTATACCTAGTTTCTAAGTCTTGGTTATTGTGGCTGGTCCTATAGCTGGATATGCCTATATGGCCAGCCCTCTATAAAAGCTATGAATGCTGAGACTTAAATGCTCTTGCGCTCTTCTTCAAATAGAGATATTCTGTATATGTTCCTGTATTGTGCTACTAGAGAGAAAGCACGTATAGAAAGCCTATGTCTGACCTCTCTGGGTTCTACCCAATGCATATCTTTTTCCTGCTGCTTTTACTCTGCTCCTTTTGCTGTAATACATTTTAGCCTTGATTATAACCTAATATTGAGTCGTTTTGATGAACCTCGAACTTGAGGGTGGTCCTGGGTTCCCCAAAACTGTATTCTAATTTAATTCTATTGTGGTCAGAGAATACACTCCATATGATTCCTTTTTTTAATGTTGAGACTTGTTTCATGGCCTAGAATATGATCTTTCCTGGTAAGTACATCACATGCCCTGAAAAGAATGTGTATTTTGGCATTACTGGATGTATTGTTCTATGAATACCAGTTATATAAAAGTAGCTAATAGAGTTCAGATCTTCTGTGTTTTGCTGATTTTGTTTTTCTAGTTCAGTTAATTGCTGAAACAAGATTGTTAAAATCTCTAGTTATGATTGTGGAATTATGGATTTCTGCATTCAATTCTGACAGTTCTTGTTTCATGTATTTTAAAATGCTATTATGGGATCCGTATGCATTTGGTATGATCTTTTCTATTGAATTGACCCTTTTATCATTATGAATTGTTCCTCTTTATCTCTTATAATACATTTGTTTTTTATATTTGTCTTCTGATGGCCATTCTAGCTTTTTGCTTAACTCTTTGCGAGGTGTATCTTTTCCATCTGTGTACTGTTGACACATCTGCATATTTATATTTAGAATGAATGTCTTATAAACAGTATATAGTTGCTTGGATTTTTAAAATTTTACCTTCTGATAATCTCTGCCTTTTTAATTGAAATCTAGTTCAGTAATTTTTAATATAACTGCCAATATAGTTAGGTTTAGACCTAAGATCTGTTTTTTTTTATTTTCTACATGCCTCTTCTGTTTTTTCTTCCTCTTTTCCAGCTTTTTTTAAATCCGTAAATGTTTTCAGAATTCTATTTTATTTTTCCTATTGATACTCTAGCTATTCTTTTTTTTGTACTTTTTTTGATAGTGGCTGCCCTAGGGATTATAAGATACAGCCATAGCTTTCATAGTCCACTTACTTAGTTAATAATGTGCTACTTCAAGTAAAATATGGAAATCTTACAAATTTCCAGGCCCACACCCCTATTCTTTTGATTGTAGTTATTACATGTAAAACAAACTCCCCTCTACTCACACAGCCCACAAGGCACTATTATCATTTTACTTTTAAACAGTTATTTGGTTTATATAGAGGAAAAAAAGGATAAAATAGTATTTTGCATTTTCTCCACCATTTACCCTTTCTGATTTTCTTCATTCATTTCTGAGTATCCCAATTCCATCTGGTATCATTTCTCTTCTATGTAAATAACTTCTAGCATTTCTTATAGTGCAGGTTGGCTGATGACAAATGCTTTTAGTTTTATGTGAAAATACCTTTATTTCACTTTCACACTTCAGTGATATTTTTGCTGAATATAAAATTCTGGGTTAACATTTCATTTTTTCATGCTTTAAAGATGTTTTAACAGTTTTTCAGTCCTCCATTTTTTTTAATTTAAAAATTTAATTGATGAAAATTACATAGATTTGTGTAAGATGATGTTTTAAAATTGAGCTTGTTAACATATATGCATTACCTTACATGTCATTTTTGTGGTAACATCACTTAAAATCTACTTTCTCAGCAATTTTCAAGTATATAATACATTGTTATTAACTACAGTCACCATGTTGTACAGTAGATCTCTTGAATTTATTCCTCCTGTCTAACTGAAATTTTGTATCATGTGACCAACATCTCTTTGATCTTCCCCCACCCAGTTCATGATAACCACCTGATATGGTTTGGCTGTGTCCCCACCTAAATCTCATCTTGAATTGTAGCTCCCATAATCCCCACGTGTCATAGGAGGGACCTGGTGGGAGGCAATTGAATCATGAGGGTGGGTCTTTCCCATACTGTTCTCCTGATAGTGAATAAGTCTCACGAGATCTGATGGTTTCATGAAGGGCAGTTTCCCTGCACATGCTCTCTTGCCTGCCATCATGTAAGACATCCCTTTACTGCCCCTTTGCTTTCTGCCATGATTATGAGGCCTCCCAACCATGTGGAACTGTGAGTCCATTAAACCTCTGTTTTTTTTTTTAATAAATTACCCAGTCTCAGGTATGTTTTTATTAGCAGCATAAGAACAAACTAATACACCACCACTTACTCTCTGCTTCTATTAGTTCAACTTTTTTAGGTTTCATATAAATGAGATTATATGATATTTAACTTTCTGTGCTTGGCTTATTTCACTTAATGCCCTTCAGGTTTATCCATGTTGCTGCAAATGACAGGGAATCCTTTCATTTTAAAGGCTGAAATAGTATTCCATTGTGAGTATATACCACATTTTCTTTATCCATGTATCTGTTGAAGGATACTTAGGTTGATTCTGTATCTTGGCTATTGTGAACACTGCTGCAATGAACATGTGAGTTAAGATATCTCTTTGACATACTGATTTATATTTTTTTGGATATATACCCCATAGTGGAATTGATGGCGCAGTGGCCCACCTAGAGCAGTCGCTGCCATGACACTGGCTGCAGTGGGGGAGGTACGACCAAGGCTGCTCACTCCATGGAGCCAGCAGGGGCTGGGACTAGGCAGGAGCTGTGCCCTCCAGGGCACAGCTGTAGCCACCCAAGTCATGGCTGTGGACCCAGGACTTCCTGTGCCCTTGGGGGCTGGGAGCAGGCTGGAGCCCTACCCTCCTGGGTGCAGCTGCAACTGCCCAAGTTGTGGCTGCAGACCCAGGCCTCCCTGTGCACCTTGGGGCCAGGAGCAGACAGGAGCCCCATCCTCCCAGGCACAGCTGTAGCTGCCCAGCCATGGCTGTGGACCCAGGAGTCTCTACTCTCAGTGGTCTGGGAAGGCCCCCCATGCGCCTGCCAGCTCAGAAGTATCTGCTCCTGCTGCCTGGCCTTTCCCCACTCCTGGTACCCACTCTGATCTCAGAGCAAAGTTGAGGCTGAGCCCAGGCACTGTTGCAACTGGCCAGGTGGGTGCCAACGAGCATGGGAGGGAGGTCAAGGGGGAGCTGAGAGCAGTTTGGTGCTGGCGTGCAGGCACCCTTCAGCACAAACAGCCTGGATGCCATGAACAGCGGCAGGAGGCAGACAGGCTCCTGAGTAGAAAGGGATAGGTCACCAGTGAAGCCCCACCTTCAAGTCAGGGAAGGCCTGAAGCTTGGGAGCCAGGCTGCCAGTCACACAGACTGGAGTGGGAACTTATGGTGCTTTTCCCAGCCCACCCATAGCCACTCATGGACTAGTTAGTCAGCATGCACTTCCTCCCCTCTGAAGCACATAAAAATCCCAGATATCAACCAGACTCAAGGAAAGGATGAGATGTCCAGCTGTGGAGAGTAGCTACCCACTCCAGGGTGTCCTCTCTGCTGAGAGCTGAACACTCATCAAGACACCCTGCCTGTGGAGAGGAGCTACCCAATGTGGGTCTCCTCTGAGCTGTTCTGTCGCTCAGTAAAGCTCCTTTTTGCCTTGCTCGCCCTCCATTTGTCCATGTACCTCATTCTTCCTGGATAAAGGACAAGAACTTGGAACCCACCAATGGCAGGGCAAAAAGAGCTGTAACACAAACAGGGCTGAAACACACTCCTTGCTCATTACGTTGTAGGCAACAAGAAGGAGAGAAGAGAGAAGGAGAGAAGAGCTGCTTCCCTTCTGGGAGCCCAGACCTAGGAGTTCCCTGAGCCAGGGCTGTGACACCCTGTTTGAGGCGTTGCGGTTCCTGGCATTTCCAAGCTTCTGGGTGCTACTGTGTTCCCTGGTGCCAGCCGTGGAAGCTGCTTGCAGTACGCCTGGCCCAGCCACAGCCTTGCAGGGAGCCAGCGCCCATGCCAGCATCTGGAGTTTCCTGCCCCACTTCAGCCAGCATGCCTGGCTATGCACAGAGGCTGGACCCTATACTTGCTCACAACGCTCCTCACCGCTCTATGCCTGGCTTGCCCTTGGCAGGCTTGGGAGCCAGGCTGGTAGTGTGAGCCGAGTGTAGCCTGCCAGGCTGAGTGGGTGGAATGAGCTCAGCAGGCCCAAGTAAAACTCAGGCAAAGATGCCACTGGCCACAGAGGTTTCTGGCTGGTGAAGCAACACCACAAGAATCCTGTGACAGAACTGCTGGATCATATGGTAGTACTTTTTAAATTTTTTGAGGAACCTCCATTCTGTTTTCCAAAATGGCTATACTAATTTACATTTCCACCAGTAGTGCTGAAGATTTCCCTTTTCTTCATATCTTTATCAACACTTGTTGTCTTTTACTGTTTTGATAAGTGCTGTTCTAATAAGTGTGGGGTATGTCTAGTTGTGGTTTCAACTTGCATTTCCCTTAGTGATGCTGAGCATTTTTTTATATACTTGTAGACTGTTTGTATGTCTTTGAGAAATGTCTGTCAGGTACTTTGCCCATTTTAAATTTAAGTTATTTATTTTTGAGATGGAGTCTTGTTCTGTTGCCCAGGCTGGAGTGCGGTGGCACAATCTCAGCTCACTGCAACCTTCGCCTCCCAGGTTCAAGTGATTCTCCTACTTCAGCCTCCCAAGTAGTTGGGATTACAGGTGCCCACCACCATGCCCAGCTAATTTTTTTGTATTTTCAATAGAGACAGGGTTTCACCATGTTGACCAGGCTGGTCTTGAACTCTTGACCTCTTGACCTCAAGTGATCCACCTGCCTTGGCCTCCCAAAGTGCTGGGATTACAGGCATGAGCCACTGTGCTGGGCTAACTTCGCCCATTTTTAAATTGGACTATTTGTTTTCTTGCTCTTGAGTTCTTTGAGTTCCTTATATATTCTGGCTATTAACTCCTTATCAGATGTATAGTTTGCAAATATTTTCTCCCATCCCATGGGTTATCTCTTCATTCTGTTTATTGTTCCCTTGGCTGTCCAGAAACTTTTTAGTTTGATGAAATCTAATTTGTCTATTTTTGTGCTTTTGTTGCCTGTTCTTTTGGTATCATATTCAAAAAACTATTGCCCAGACCAATGTCGTGGACCTTTTCCGTTATGTTTTCTACTAGTAGGTTTATAGTTTCAGGTCTTACCTTTAGGTCTTTAATCCATTATGAGTTGATTATTGTATATAGTGTGAGATAATGGTCCAGTTTCACTCTTTTGCATGTGGATATCCAGTTTTCCTATCACTATTTATTGAAGAGACTCTCCTTTTCCCATTATGTGTTCTTGGCCCCTTTTTGAAAAATCAATTGACCATTAAATGTATGGGTCTGTGTCTAGGCTCTCTATCCTGTTGTATTTGTCTATGTGTCTGTTTTTATGCCAGCACAATGGAGTTTTGATTACTTTAGCTTTGTAGGATATTTTGAAGTCAAGTACTGTAATGTGTCAAGCTTTTTTCCCCCTCAAGGCTGCTTTGGCTATTGGGGGTCTTTTGTAGTTCAACATGAATTTTAGGATCATTTTCTCTATTTCTGTGAAAAATGTCATTGAAATTTTGATAGGGATTCCATTGAATCTATAGATTGCTTTGGGTGGCAAGGACATTTTAACAATATTAATTCTTCCATTCCATGAAAATAGTGTGTCTTTCCATTTATTCATGACTTTTCCAAATTTTTTCAATGTTTTACAGTTTTCAGTGTACACAACTTTTACATCCTTGGTTACGTTTATTCCTAAGTGGGATTTCTTTTTTGGTAGCAACTATAAATGAGATTGGTTTCCTGATTTATTTTGTAGGTAGTTCATTATTAGTGTATAGCAACACTACTAACTTTTTAATGCTGATTTTGTATCCTGTACCTGTTTTAACCAAATTTGTTTATTACTTCTAACAGTTTTTTGGTTGAGTCCTTCAGGTTTTCTCTATATAAGACCAATAGTTTAACTTTCTATTTTCTGATTTTCATTCCTTTAATTTTTTTTCTCTTGCCTAATTGCTCTTGCTAGGACTTCCAGTTCTATTTTGAATAGAAGTTTTGAGAATGGGCATCTTTGTTCCTGATCTTAGAGGAAAAGCTTTCAACTTTTCATCACTGAGTATGCTATTAGCTGTGGGCTTGTCATATATGGCCTTTATTGTGTTAAGATACATTCTTCTGTACCTAATTTGTTGAGAGTTTATCAGGAAACAATGTTGAATTTTATCAAATGCTTTTCTGTATATATTGAGATGATCATATAGTTTTTGTCTATCATTCTGTTAATGTAGTGTGTCATATTTATAGCTTTCTATATGTTGAATTATCCTTGTGTTCCAGGAATATATTCCATTTGATCTGGTGAATGATCTTTTAAATATGCTATTGAATTCAGTTTGCTAGTATTTTGTTGAGTATTTTTGCATTTGTGTTCGTCAGGGATATTTGTCTGTAATTTTATTTTCTTTAGTGTCCATGATCCATAGTTTCTGATGAGAAGTTAAGCATTAACTGAATTGTTGTTTTGACTGTGATATGTCATTTTTCTCTTGCTGCTTTCAAGGCTCTTTCTCTTTGACTTACAGTGGTTTATTATTTACCTCAGAATGGACTTCTCTGTATTTATTCTGCTTTGAAATCATTTCGTATCTTGTATATATTCATTGCTATCATTCATCAAGTTTGGGAAATTTTCATTTATTATTACTTCAAATATATTTTATGTCCCATTCTATCTCCTCTTCTACTGGTATACTAAATTCGCTTATGTATGACTGTTCGATATCATCTATTAAGTTTTTGAGCTTCTGTTCAATTTGTGTCATTTTTTTCTCTGTTCTTCAACTTGTGTAATTTCTATTGATCTGTCTTCGAGTTCACTTATTCCTGTTATGTCCATTTTGCTGTTAAATCCATCTAGTGATTTTTTTCATAAATTATATTTTGTATTTTAAAATTTCCTTTTTTATTGCCTTTATTTCTCTGCTGAGGCTTCCTATTTCTCTACTGAGGTTTTCATGAATTGATAAATCCAAGGTCTCTGTCATAATTGAGGTTGGTTCTGATGTTCTGCCTCATCAAACTGTGCCTTTTTAGTATGCTTTGTGATTTTTTTGTCAAAAGCTGGAAATGATGTATTGGGTAAAAGGAACTGAGGTGAATAGACCTTTAGTGTAAGGTTTTATGTTTATTTGGTTAGGGATTAAGCTGTGTTTAGTATTTTCTGTAGCTGTAAGTGTCAGGAAATAAAATATCCTCTGCTGTCTTTGTTTTTTACTTCCCTGTTACATTTGAGTTCCTCTAGCAACTTTTTCTTAAGATCTGAGATATGTAATTCTTTCTGTTGTATCCCCCTGTTATTATACAGGATCCCTATTGATGTAGTAAGGTGTAGGGAGAGAAGTGTTCTATGGTCCTATGATTGGGTCTCAATCTTTTAGTGAGCCTGTGCCCTAGACTGTGACCTTCGCAAGTGCTTCTCAGTTTTGCTTTGTTTTTCCCACCTTAGGTGAAATAGGAAGGCTAAATGGGGACAGGAATTGGGCATTTCCTTCTTCCAGGTCAGTTAAGGTCTGCTAAATCCCCAGTTGGTTATGTTCTAGTAATATAGTTGGGTCCTCTGTATCCATGAGTTTAACACGCATGGATTCAACCAACCATGGATGGAAAATGTTTGGGAAAAAAAGCAATAAAGAATAACAATACAATAATACAAAATAACACAAATAAAAATTGCAGTATAGCAACTATTTACCTAGCGTTTATATTGTATGAGGTATTATAAGCAATATAGAGATGATTTAAAGTATATGGGAGGATGTGCATAGGTTATGTGCAAATATGACACCATTGTATATAAGGGAGTTGAGTATCTCTGGATTTAGGTATCCGTGGATACTCAGGAACCACTATAGTTTCACCTGAGGGCAGGCCTTGGTAAGAAAGAGAATGTTCTTGAGTGCTTCATAAAATGGCTTTTTTTTAAACTCTCCCTGCCTGAAGCCCAAAATAATTTTTCTTTTATCTTTACTGTAAGAACCTGATAGGGTTCCTGGAGCTAAAACTCACAGAACTGGGTATGGGTCTAAGATTGGGCCTCCCTGGAGTTTCTAACTCTCAAACTACAGTTTATGTTTTCTTAGCCTGATACTGGTTCTGGAGTTTTCTCCTGGGCTTCTGCTTCAGAAAGTTGGATTTTCTGTATCTGCCTGTCTGTCTCTATAGTTTGGGGGCAGTGATTTGCCCTGTAATTGCAACCTCTAATGGATCTAGGAAGAGTTGTTGATTTTCACTTTGTTTAGCATTTTTCTTGTGAGGATAAGAGTGATAACTTTCAAGCTCCTTACATTCTGAACCAGAAAATGAAAGTCAGGTTTTCATGAATTAGAAACATGTCTATTTGCATTTCATTGATGATAACCAGTTTAAAATCTTCATGTTACTTCCAACATCTGGTTCATCATGGAGTTGGACTACATCGATTTTTTTTTTCCTGTTTATAGTGTGTTCTATTTTCTTGATTCTTTGTATGCTGGGTTCTTTTGAGTTATATCTTAGATATTATGAATGCTAAATTGAGGAAATTCTGGATTATGTTATTTTCACCCAAAAAGTATTGGTTCCTTTGTTTTAGTATCTAGTTTTGTTGACTGGGCTTGAACAGCTAACTCTATTTCTTTTGCAGCAGCTCTTATCTTCATTCAGATCTTTGTTTTTGGATGGGCTGCTGAAAGTCTGGACTGTATAAGCATGGTTCAGTGTTTAGTCAGAAATGTGAGTGTATATATATATATATATATATGTGCTGAGGAGGGAGAGGATCCTATAGGTTCTGAGCTCATCATACCCAGAAATGGAAAGTTTTCAGGAATATTTCCTTGCGGGCAAAAAATCTCTGCTTTACTGAATAATCTCTTAGCAACCAGGACCATGTGTTCCTTCAGTAACTTTTGGTGAGGTAGAATCTTGTGATGTCCCAGCCTCTTGATTTCCATATAACAGGGAGTAGGGGAGGGAGACATTGTGGAGATAATCAGAAACCTTTGGAGGCTATGAGCAACCTATATAATCCCACCTCCCTCAGTTATACTGAAATTTGAGTAGCTTTTCACAGAATCTGTAAATTTTTTATTAACCTAGTTAGGACTTTTTTGAGCCAAATGCTCATTTCTACTGTTCTTAATACAATGCCTGTCACAAAGTTAGGTATTCAGTAAATACTAGTTGAATCTATTAATTAGGGATTCACCATAAATTTCTCGCCACTAATAAATTACCTAAGTGTGAACGTTTTGTTTATCTCGGAAATAAGATGATTAAATAAAAATATTTGCATATTTTTCATCTTGCATTCATGTTGATACACAGCCAATATATTTCAAGTCATTTTAAATAAAAGATTAATCTGTCCATGATATACTTTGTTAGATAAAGCTATTTAAATGAATTGTTTTTGGATAAATCCTGTAATGGTGTTTTCTACTTCTTCTTTTTAACTCATTTGTTGAAAGACGGTAGGGAATAGTGGACCAGGTAATTAAATAAAGTTCATGTTGTAGTTTCTGCCTCATATGATAGCCAAAGTAAATGAGATTATTAACATGAACACTTTAAAGATGTGTATCAAAATTAGGAGGCTTATAGAGAGTCTCAAGTAATTAAGTGTGTAGCGTAGCAAATAATGACTTTCTCTAATATTGGGGTTAAGATGTTCAGCAGAGTATGAATTATAAAATCCTCAAAATACAACTTGAAAGACTTTTGACTTTTAGCCCATTATCCTCTTGTTAATGCACATGTAAGAGATTATGTGGGGTTTTTATGTCATTATGGCAAATTATAGGCTGTACTATAGGTGCTATTCAGTATTGGATACGAATGAGTTCCAAGTAGCTTTGTTGATCTTTCACTAAAACTAGGGATTTGGCATTGACTTATCAGTGTGATTATTGTAAAAGAGATGTAGTGTGGAACTGTTTCCTGAGATTAATCCAAGTATTCAGTATCATAATTTAGAAACTCCCTTCAGTTATCTGCCCTACGTCTCCATTTACTCAGTAATGTACGCAGACTGGGAAACCTTAAGAAGGGTTGAGACTTCTGGGTTCATTACAGAGCTGTGGGTAGCCATCTTGCTGTTGTTGACTCTAGTGACCTGTAACTACAGATCAAGCTGTATGCAGCCTTTTTCTCCTTCAGGTAAGTTGGGTTGAAATCCAGTGCTCCAAGCTGCTCTGAGGCTTTAATTGCATGAGTGAACACTGAAAATGTGAAAAACAATTTTAGACCAGAATAGCAAGGTGAGTAAGGCCAAAGAATGTATTTTATGGATATTCATGAATGTCACCCACAGAATTCAATATTTTTTCCAGACGATTCTGAAAGATTATAATTTAATGGATGTTTGTTTTATTCTTCTGAGGACCCAGTTGAAATCCTGTTGATTCTGTAGCAGACTACATTACTATCCTTTGTCTTACTCTTATATCTCTGAGGTAGATGAATGCTTCAGAGGTAAGGTGTTATATTTTCAAAGGACTTTTCTATGTTTCGTTGTATCTGTGTGATCAGAAGGACAGGGAGAAAGTCTGTTTTAAAATTAGCAGCATGAGATATTAGAATCCTATAATGCTTATATGAAGTTTGGTGAAATGGTTAGCCAAAGAGAATTTTCTCCTCAGACTAGTAACTAAATTGATATGTAGGAGCAGCCTTTCCTGAGTGACTTTCCTTGATAGTTAAAACTGCAGCAAGACATTTCAGAAGCAGTTTCCAAGGAAGTGAATGGATAGTGAGGTAATTTTCTTAAGTACTTGGATTCTGATTGTCTCCAGAGGTTTTGAAGCTGTTAGTTACACAATAGACGGATTTGATCTCCTAGGATCTTTGCCAGGTTCGTAATTGCACTGAGATTTTTAATGATAACAAATGACAACATGATGTCCTTCTCTTTATTCTGGGAGTGAGGTGATTTGTACATAAGAAACAAAATTAGGTTTTAGTTTGAAAGGCTTGGAGAATCAGACTTCTTTTAGGCCAAATACAGTGGTATATCTGAGAGAAGAGTTATACAGCCATTGAGTTGTAATTGCTTGATTCATTAAGGTATCCTTGAAAATCATTAGACTGTCAGCAGCATGAGGGCAGGTTTTATGTCATTTTGGTAATCACTGAGTCCTAGCACAATAGTTGACTGTGGTAAGTCCTTATGAATTTTTGTTGGAAGAATGGGAAGTATATTGAATTGCGACATCTTTTTGCTTTTTTTTTTTTTTTTTTTTTTTTTTTAGCATGGGATTAGAGGCAGCAGTTTTGGACAGGAGGCAAGTCTTTTGGCCTTCTGCTCCTGGCAGGCAAGTCTTCATTTTTTAAGACTCTCAAGTGTCACCATGTTTGTGAAGACTTCTTATCTTTTCTAGGTGCAATTGACCTGACTAGTCTTCCTATAATGTGTCCTTTACTTACTGCTTTTATAGCGTCTGTGATGGGTTTATTGCATTTTTATTTGCTTCTTTCTACCATAGTAGAAAGTGCAATTATTATTCATCTGTCTATTCCTGGTATATATATTAGTAGAAAAATGTTCCACTGCAAGTAACAGTTAGCAATAATTATCGGCCAAGGAAGTTAATCTCAGAAAATAGTAAGAAATGTGTATAAAACATAGGTAGATATATGTTTAGTGCTATTTATAATGAAGAAATAGAACCATCCTAGACTAAAACCAATAGAGGACTGATTAAATAAATGATAAATATTTATATAAGGAACTATGAAGTCACAATTAAAATTTATGCATTTTCCAAATTGCCTGCCTTAAGTATATATGAGTTTGGTGAACAGAAAATATTCCTGACCCATATCATACAATAATCTGTATTCAACCCAATATTGGTTTTGTGTTATAGATAAAGTAAAAAAGGAGCAGTAAAGAGGAAAATGGGAAATTAAAATATTGTTCAAATCTACAGTGAAATAAAGGTAGTGAAGTAGGCAACTGGTTTGTTTAGACAGTCCAGGGGATTTGGTATCTTATTCATCAGTTATTGAGTGTATTCTCTGTGCCAACTAAGTGTTGGATGCTGTGACAAATGCAGATAGGCCAAGTCATGGCCTCCTCCCTCAAAGAACTTGCAATCTGGGGAGAATAATATACACACAGAAAATGGGGGAGCAAACGAAAATGAGTACTACAGATTTGAATGCCATAGATATTCAGAGGACAGAGTGATTACATCCTCCTGGGCTGATGAAGATACATTTCTAAGGAGGAGAAGAATTATACTGTAATTAACAGTGGCTTTAGGATTTAAATAAAAATGGAAGGAATATCATATTTAAATGAAGGAGAATGGTGTGAACAAAGGCATGGAGATGGGAAAGTAGACAGCATTTGCAGAGAACTAGCTTGACTCAAATTTTAAGATTCTTCTTGTAGTAGAAAAGCAAATAAAAAGGGCCAGAACTCCGAGAGCCTGTCTTAGAACCTCTGATTCATATTTGCATGCCTTTATATTTGTTGCTTTTAATTTGCAAGTTGCAAAAATGGGCATTTTAATATTAGAAAATCTACTGTAGGACAGTAAGCTGAGAGCTGATAATTTTCCATTCTTGGTTCAATACTTTAGTGAGGACAACATTAGATTAAGAATCAGACCTGGAATGTGGTACTACAGGTTATAATAAGTAGTAGCTCTGTAACCAAACTAAGCCTTGGTTTCCTCATCTGTAAAACAGGTATGATTATTCACCTCTCTGGACTCATTGGGTTTTTAATGAGCAGATCAAGTAAAATGGTATGAATGTGCTTGATGTAGAGCTGGGGGAGCAAGAAAAAAATCTTCAGACAGAACTCCCTCCATACCTCTGTTCCTGTACCTCAACTCTGATGAAAAGATATGTAACTAGGGGAAAGAAGGAATTTACAGATAGATTTGAATCCACCTGAAAATGGAGTACTAAAGTGGTAATAGTCCAGAAAATGTTCCCTCCACCCAGTACCATATCCTTTAGTACATTGTTTCCCGACAGTTAGACTCCAGTATAAGGTTTTGGGGATACTTTTTAGCTATAACCATATAATAACAAACATCCTATTTTCTTTTGGCTGATTGATCCCAGGGCTGCACTGATTCTGTAAACCAACTTGGCAGGATTTCCACAAACTGCTTCTGGGGAGTAGTAATTCTTAGGGAACCAAGGCTACCCCCAAATGAACTATAATACTTTGCCCTTAATTCTTTAGAATGGAACAATAATCAGAATTATCTTGGCCCATGGAGTTGCTTATCAGCAGTTCTCTCAGGACTGCTGTTCTTTTTGGAGAAGGGCCAGTAGAGTGAGTCAGATCTTTTATGTTTTGTTTATAGAGTGACCATCTGACATTGGTCTGAACCACCCAGGTGCAATGAGTTTCCTTTGGCATGATCATTCCACTAGGTATGCTTTCGATTGTGTCTAAGTTGTTTTAAGAAGCCATTTGAGTGGGCCAGTTTCTAAATATGTTATACAAATACAGAGTACATTGCTTCTATGCTATCTTGCCCTTGGCCGACTTATAAGAAAGAAGTTATAAGAAATTATGGCATTAAATGTGTTATTGTATATACTATAAGGATGTTGAAGACATCATTCATTACATTTCTTCTTTTGAGGACACTGGATAATTTTTCTGTCTAATCTCGAAATCATAAGTAATAAAGTTTCTGGGCAACTGGTTTATTTTTATCTTAGGATACCATAGCTCATGTAACAAATTATTTTTTTGGCATTGGCTACTAGGAGGTTTACCCCTTACTTTGTCAAAATTACAGAACCTTCTATATCCTGTCTCTGTCTTATCTCTCTTATTATTGATCTTTCCCTTTGTCATGTTTTTCTCAAATGCTTATTTTTAAACTTTTATTTTATCTTCTTTTATTACATGATTTTGTGTAAATCATGTTTAATTCTTTCCAGAACAGGCCTACCTAGTGTGAATAAAGTGAATTTGATACAGAAATATTAAATTTAATTTGTTGAATTGGTGTACATATTTCCTTTTTTATCATGATTTGGTGATAATCTAGGACACCAATTAAGTGATATCCAGAAATATATAACAACTGAAATTTTATATAAGATAATTTGTGAGGTAAAGCAACAATTGATCATATGCATATAATAACCCCTGCAATGAACAAACAAAGTGTGCACAGATTATATCTTGGCCCTTTCTTCTCAAGCTTCCCTGAGTCTTCATACATTTCACCTGGAAGCCTTTTATAGGAGAGGAAACATACTCCTAAAAATATCTCACAGTTGGTGAAGGAACAGAATGGACTTGTCTGTTGTGTATTGCCTGGTCGGAATCAATTATTCCACACTCACCCTTTGTGATCTAACTCTTTCACTGCCATACCATCTCCACTTCACTATAGGAAAGCTTCAATTTTTGTAGTTTATTTCAGTTAAGTATTAAGAGGCAGGCTGGTTAAATTAATTGACACATGTGAAGAGCTGATAACCCCCCTGTTTAATTTTACCAGTAGTATGCACGTGCTTGCCCCAAAGAATAAGATAGCTCTGTCTCCAGATGTCTTGATCTAGGTTTTCACACTCTTCTTCCCCAAGGAAATAATGTAGCAGTGTACTAAGATATACACAGCTATGTGTATATCTTGCAGCTATAGATATATATGATATACACAGCTATGTGTATATTTTGCAGCTACAAAAATATAATCAAATCTTAAAGGCTGCATAATTTTCCAGTGTATGGATATAACAAGGTTTATTTCCAAATGGTAAAACATTTAGGAATGGTTAAATTATGGTACATGAGTATAATGCAACTATTAAGAATCATGTTTATAGGAAGATTCTTATAATGTATGAATAAAAACATAGAATACAAACTGGAATAACATATGAGCTCAACTCATTAAAATATCTTTTTAATTCAATAGATTTTTGCATGTCTAGTATGTGTCAAGTTTAGTGATGCATATGAGGAAATAACATCAAATAAGATACACATGATTTCTGAAAGCATTAACTAAAATAGGACATCATTACAAAATCAAATCTCCCTTTGAGGATTGGTCATTTTTAATCAAATGTGATTAAGCTCATTTTCTAGTTTGTGGACTTTCCAGGACCCTTGTTTCATTTCTCTTCTGCTTTCTCTCCGAGAATTCATAGCACTCCAGTTCAATTAGATTGAGTTGAAGAGTTTAAAAGCAAAAGAAATCGATAATTCAAGCCTAGAATTCCACATTATTTTTAGATTTTCTTTACCTATGTAGTTAGTGTAACCTAAGAACATCACCTTCTCCCAGGAATCCATCCTTGTAATTTTGTCTGGGCTACTTCTGCAGGAAAAGATACTAGTTTGCAAAGGGAAAAAGTGCTTCTGCACGTGCCTTTTAATTTTATATTACAAACAAACCCACACTCATGCTTTTATGAGATGTAATTCTTATTGTTATGTAGCTTTAACAATTTAATTTTTTGTTGAGACAAATTTCCTTTGAATAATTTTTAATGATATTTATAGAACATGGATCTTTACTTAGAAAGTCTTTATTGAACATGTAAATCTTATTTAAGAATTCATCCTGCAAAATATATATTCTTGAGAATTGAGGCTAATGTTTTATTATCTCTGTCAAGTCATTACATTTTGGTTCTCCTGGTAGTTGTAATGTGATATTCTTAAACATTCACTACAGTGACATGATTTAGTATCTAGTGATGCAACAGTGTTACATCTCACAGAAATAACTGTGTCCTTCTAAGGCCTCAGAGGCATATCACATTTGTCCCATATGCTATTTGCAATGATTTCTCAATGTCATTTTTTTGTGACATGCTTATACAGTATGACAATGTGAGAGTTAAAAATGTGAGAACCTATTTCTCTCTGGTTGAATTGTCTATATTGACCTCTTGAAGTAATTTAGTGTATCTGACCTTATTTATTTTAAAATTAAAATACCTGAACTTCTTATATGATCACTTTTAAAACACCAGATTGTTACATTTGGAGCTAAAATTCTGTGCTGTGGTATGCCTAAGATGATACAACCAAAGCCACATTGTTTATTCTACTTTTTCACTTATACATGGTGTCCATTATGCATTGATCTTGTCCAGCAAAATTAACTTTTTAAACTGATTGTTCTGCTATCTGAAGAATCTTACTAAAATTTAATCGGTAAACTAAAAATAAGCACCTAATGCCATAGTGCATTCTGGTAACTCATAAAAGAAAAAAAAAAAAGAAACTAAAGCCTAATGTAGGCTTGTGAGGTTAAAGGAAGGTTAGTATATACTTACTGGCCATTCAAGGGTATATATAAATGACCATTTTTCCTCTTTTGAGAAGGGTGATATAATGCAACCACACTTACAAGTGATATACTTTCCCGTTTGCAGAATATTTACTGTTTTGCCTACTATCACTGAACTGCCCTGAGTTATATACCGCTATATAATAGGGTTAAAACTCATCCGTGTCCCTTCATTTCCATGGAAAAGACTTTCTGGACAGTGGCTAAGGCTAACATAAGATTCTTGAGCTATCTCCTATGTGTGGCTTACTTCCCACCCACCAAAATGAAGCAAATCCTGTCCAGATGCATTGTCTTCATAATGGCTTCTCTCTTTTTTGTCTCATTTCTACCTTAAGGATTCCTTCTGCCTTACTGCTGTTCTTATTTCTCTTATATTTCTAGAAGAGGCACGTAACTATATTCCTACTATTAGTTCTATCTTCCTTTTATTTTGATGACTGTTCTGTTGCTCCAAGACTCTTATTTTCACAATATTATACAGAACTCATAAGTTTAGGAAATTATGGCCTTTAGCTGATCCAAAAATTGATGTATGTTTAAATGGACAAA
Source organism: Homo sapiens (assembly GCF_000001405.40). NCBI lineage: Eukaryota > Metazoa > Chordata > Mammalia > Primates > Hominidae > Homo > Homo sapiens. The sequence continues at coordinate 37,384,656 of NC_000023.11, forward strand.
AGACTTGAAACAGGCACTTCACAAAAGATATTCAAAGGGCCAATGTGCAAAAAGGTATTCATTTTCATCACTTATCAGGAAAATGCACAATGTGATACCATTACCCCCTCAAGAGTAACAAAGATGAAAAAGACAATACCAAGAGTTTGTAAGAATATAGAGATATAGAATAATTGAAACTCTGCTGGGAGTGTAAATTGGTACAACCACATTGGAAAACTGTTTAGTAGTAATGAGTAGAGCTGAATATAGGCAGCATGTGACCCATTAATTCTACTTCTACACCCAACAGAAATAGAAATATAGGCATACACCCAACAGAAATAGAAATATAGGCATACATCCAACAGAAACAGATACATAGTTTCATCAAAAGACATGCACAAGAATGTTTACAGCACTACTTGTAATAAACCTAAACTTGAAATAACTTAAATTTCTGTCAATAGAATGAATAAATAAATGGGGATATATACCTAACATGGAATCAGTAGTGAGAATGAATGAGCTACAACTATATGCAACAATATGGATGAATCTTACAAACATGATGTTGAGCAAAAGAAGCTTGATCCAAATGAGTACATACTATGATTCCATTTATATGAAATTCAAAAACACACAAAACGTGTAATAAGTCAGGGTAGTCGTTACCCTTATTAGGAATTAGTAACTGGACAGGAAGCAGAAGGAGGGTTTCTGGGGTGCTAGTACTATTCTGCTAAGTGTCTTGATTTGGGTGCTGGTTACCTGGGTGGACTCACTTTGTGAAAATTCAACAAGGTGTATACTAATGATTCGTATACTTTTCTGTATGTATGAGATATATATGTGTATATATATATATAATATAATTTTACAAAAGAGCAGTACTATATGCTGTATTATTTATCTACCACTGCATAACAAATTACCCCAAAACTTAGCAGCTTCATGTAATAAACATTTGTTATCTCACACAGTTTCTGAGAGCAATCTAGGAGCAACTCAGCTGGGTGGTTTTGGCATAGGGTCTCTCATGAGATTGCTATCAAGATGTAGGCTGGGGCTGCAGTCATCCAAAGGCTTGACTGGGCCTGAAGCATCTGCTTCCAAGATGGCTTCCTTTTTTTTTTTTGTTTTTCAGACGGAGTCTCGCTCTGTCGTCCAGGCTGGAGTGCAGTGGCGTGATCTAGGCTCACTGCAACCTCTGCCTACCAGGCTCAAGCGATACTCCTGCTTCAGCCTCCCGAGAAGCTGGGATTACAGATGCCTGCCACCATGCCTGGCTAATTTTTGTATTTTTAGTAGAGATGGGGTTTTGCTATGTTCGCCAAGCTTATCTTAAACTCCTGACCTCAGGTGATCCACCGGCCTTGGCCTCCCCAAAGTGCTGGGATTACAGGCGTGAGCTACTGGTGCCCAGCCCAAGATGGCTTCTTCATGTACCTGTTGAGGGATGCCTCAGTGAAAGCTCTTTGTATTGCCAGAGGCTACAAAATAACCTCACAGATAACATTTTATATATGTATAATATGCTCTTACATATGTGTTTATACATATCTAACAAATGATATCATGAATACTGTTTTATAATTTTTTCTCTACTCAATACATTGTGGACATCCTTTTTTATTTTTTGATTGGCTTATCTGTAGATCTATTTTATCCTTTTTCACAGAGCTCTGTTGAGGTATAATTGTCATATAATTGGCATACATACACATATTTGAAGTGTACAACTGGAGATTTTTTTTATGTATGTGTACACTCATGAATTTATCATCACAATCTAGATAATGGGCAAGCAGTCACCTGCAAAAGTTTCCTACTGTCCCTTTGTAATCCTCTTCTCATACTTTTTAATGGCTGAAAAGCTTTATTTGCATATATGAAGTGTCTTTAAAATCCATACTTACATTTGCTCACACATAGCTCAACCTAATATTTTGTTTAAATTGTAGGATGCTCACCCCATTTAGAGAAAGAAATCCACCTCCCCAACCCCAATCAAGAACCTGCTATTGTATATCATCATAGAGCCAGATTACCTAGGTAAGAATCTTAGCCTTGCCACTTTGCAGACATTATGATCCTGGGCAAATTGTTTAACCACTCTGTATCAAATTCCTTACCTGTAAAGTGGGGATAATAATAGTTTTATATTTAACTCATAAAATTGCAAAGATTAAAGGAATTAACACAATGATCTGATAACAAAGCACTATGTTATTATCTGCTGCTGTTATTATTCCCATGGTTTGTTATGCTAAAAGCCTCTTTTCAGTTTCTCCTGATGATATTAAAGATACGAGTTGCCAGGACCTTGTATTCAAATAGCCTACCAGAACTTATCTCCTCTTTTTAATTCCTACTTCTCTGTCACCTCCCTCTGAGCATCTTGATAAAGGTGAGGAGAAGTATGTAGCTAATCATAGGCTGTTTAAGTATTGGAGAGTTTGGCTTTAGGGACATTTCATAAGGTGAGAGATACCCAAAATAGAACACTTAAAACAATTCCAAGACCTTATCAACCAAGATGTCAAAATATAAATTACATTTCTACATTAAAAAATGTTATTGATCACTTTGATGGTAATGATTACACATGTATAATAACCTTTCCTTGAGCACATACTAAGTGTATATTCTAGGAAAGATCCTAAGAATTAAGGTATTTATTGTCTTTATGAAGCATACTATATTAGTCTGTTCTCACATTGCTATAAAGAAATACCCAAGACTGGGTAATTTATAAACAAAAGAGGTTTAATTGGCTCACGTTTCTACAGGCTGTACAGGAAGCATGATACTGACATCTCCTTAGCTTTTGGGAAGGCCTCAGGGAACTTAAATCGTGGCAGAAGGCGAAGAGCCAGCACTTCACATGGCTGGAACAGGAGGAAGAGAGAGAGGGGGGAGGTGCTACACAGTTTTAAACAATCAGATCTCGGGAGAACTCACTATCACAAGAAAAGCACCAAGGGATGGTGCTAAACCGTTCATGAGAAACTGACCCCATGATCCAATCACCTCCCACCAGGACCCACCTCCTTGATTGTGAGATTTGGGTGGGGACACAGATCCAAACCATATCATTCTGGCACTAGCCCCCCACAAATCACATGTCCCTCTCACATTGCAAAATACAATCATGCCTTCCCAATAGTCCCCCAAAATCTTAAGTCATTTCAGCATTAACTCAAAAGTCCAAAGTTCAAAGTCTTATCTGAAACAAGGCTAGCCCCTCCCACCAATGAGCCTGTAAAATAAAAAACAACTTATTTCCAAAATAAAATGGGGGTATAGGCATTGGGTAATAAATCCCCTTCCAAAAGGGAGAAATCAATCAAAAGAAAGGGGCTATAGGCTCCATGCAAGTCTGAAATCCAGGAAGGTAGTCATTAAGTCTTAAACCTCCAACCTCCAAAATAATCTCCTTTGGCTCCATGGCCTAAATCCATGGCCCAGTGATACAAGGCGTGGGTTCCCAAGGCCTTGGGCAGCTCCACCCCTCTGGCTTTGCAGGGTTCAGCACCCTTGGCTGCTTTCAAGGGCTGATGTTGAGCACCTTCTGCTTTTCCAGGCTGAGGGTACAAGCTGCCAGTGGATCTACCATTCTGGGGTCTGGAAGATGGTGACCCTCTTCTCACAGGTCTACTAGACAATGCCCCAGTGGTGACGTGTGTGGGGGCTCCAACCCCAAATTTCTCCTCCTTACTGCCCTAGTAGAGGTTCCCCATGTGGGCTCTGCCCCTGGAGCAGGCTTCTGTCTGGACATCCAAGCTTTTCCATACATCCTCTGAAATCTAGGCAGAGGCTCTCAGGCCTCAACTCTTGCTCTCTGTGCACTCACAGGCATAACACCATGTGGAAGCTGCCAAGGCTTATGGCTTACATCTTCTGAAGCAGTGGCCTGAACTGAACCTGGGCCCCTTTGGGCCACGACTGAAGCTGGAGCAACTGCGATGTCGGGAGCAGTGTCCCCCGGCTGCACAGGGCAGCAGGGCCCTGGGCCTGGCCCATGAAACAGTTCTTCCCTCCTAGGCCTCCAGGCCTGTGATAGGAGGGGCTGCCATGAAGATCTCTGAAATGCCTTTGAGGAGTTTTTCCCCATCATCTTGGCTAATAGTATTTGGTTTCTTTCCACTTCTGCAAATTTCTGCAGCCTTCTTGAATTCTTCTCCTGAAAATTGACTTTTCTTTCCTACCACGTGGCCAGGCTGCAAATTTTCCAAGCTTTTATGCTCTGCTTTCCTTTTAAATATGTTCCAGTTTTATGTTATTTCTTTGCCTACACATATTAGAATAGGTGGTTAAAAGCAGCCAGGCCACATCTTGAATGCTTTGCTGCTGAGACATTTCTTCTGCCAGATATCCTAAATCATCATTGTCAAGTTCAAAGTTCCACAGATCCCTAGGGTGGGGGTACAATTCAGTCAAATTCTTTGCAAGGACATAACAATAGTGGCCTTTGCTCCATTTTCCAGTTAGTTCCTCATGTCCATCTGAGACCTCTTCGGCCTGGCCTTCACTGTCCATATCACTATAACCATTCAACCAGTCTCTAGGAAGTTCCAAACTTTCCTGCATTTTCCTATCTCCTTCTGATCCCTCCACACTCTTCCACCTCTGCCCATTACCTAGTTCCAAAGTCACTTCCACATTTTTAGGTATCTTTATAGCAGTGCTGCACTCCTTGGTACCAATTTTCTTTATTAATTCATTCTTGCAGTGCTATAAAGAAATACATGAGACTGGGTAATTTATAAAGAAACAAGGTTTAATTGGGTCATGGTTCCACAGGCTGTATAGGAAGCATAATGCTGGCATCTGCTTGGCTTCTGGGAAAGCCTCAGGAAACTTACAATCATGGTGGAAGGTGAAGGGCAGCCAGCACTTCACATGGCTGGAACAGGAGGAATAGGTAGAGGGGAGAGGTGCTACACACTTTTAAACAACCAGATCTTGCAATAACTCACTCACTCATTCTCACAAGAACAGTACTAAGGGGATAGTGCTAAACCATTCATGAGAAACTGCTCCCATGATCCAGTCACCTCCCACCAGACCTCACCTTCTACATTGGGAATTACAGTTGAATATGAGATTTGGGTAGGGACAGAGATCCAAACCATATCACATATTATCAATTTAAAGAGATGTGGCTAGGATTTGTAGGGGTGAGAATAGACTGGGATCTGCTGTTAGAGCAAAGGAAGTGAGTAGGTCTTACTGATTGGTAATGTTAGATTGAGCCATGGATATTGCCACTGTTTTAAACCTGTGTAATGGGAGTTTGTTTTACTACTTTCCCTAAACTGAAAACAACCTGTCTTAGTTGATTCAGGCTGCTATAACAAAATACTTTAGGTAATTTTTGAAAAACAAAAATTTATTGCTCACAGTTCTGGAAGCTGGAAGTCAAAAATCAAGATGACAGCAGATTTAGTGTCTGGTGAGAGCTTACTCTCTGCTTCAAAGATGGTACCACCTTATTGCTGTGTCCTCACATGGCAAAAGGGGATGGGAAGCTCCCTCAAGCCTCTTTTATAAGGATAGTAATCCCATTCATGAGAATGGAGCCTCATGACTTAATCCCTTCCCAAAGGCTCCACTCCTTAACACTGTCATATTAGGTATTAATTTCCAACATATGAATTTTGGAGGGACACCAACATTCAGACCATAGCACAATCCAAATGTCTATCACTGGTAGAATGAAAAAATGAACAGGGGTGTGTGTGTATGTACGTGCCTGTGTGTGTGCGTATAATATACAGAGCCAGTGGTAAGAATGAATCTGCTACAATTACATGCAACAGTATGGATGAATCTCACAAACAAGATACTAAGCAGAAGCCAAAAAGATCTAAAAGCATACACTAATGATTTCATTTATATGAAGATCAAAAACATAAAACTCATTTATGGTATAAGAAATCAGGCTAGTGATTCCTAGTGCTTGCCACTCCTTTCCTCACTCTGCTAATTCCAAATACAGAGCTTGTCCTCATCACTGTAGACACCACCACTACTCTTACTGTCACAGAGTGTCCAGGATCGTCTTCTTCAGGGCTTATAAGTTCCAGGGAAGTTACAAGGATGGCTATCTACAAGGAAACATTGAATGGGAACTGGCTAAAGCCTCAGGCATGGATAAAAATTGGATGGGAACTGGCTAAAGCTTCAGGCATGGATAAAAACTGGATGGCAACTGGCTAAAGCCTCAGGCATGGGTAGGCATCCTTAAGGTAGGGAGGTCATCAGCAAGGGAGTGGCTACTGCCCAAGGGAAGCCCTCAGCACATAGCCCCAGGAATGATTCTGACCATGTGCTTGCTCTTATGGTCTGTAGATGCTGAACCCACCCCCAAGGGCCTCCTGAGCATTCAAGAAATGGTCGTCACTAAAAATGCTCCTTCATTTTTAATCTGTTTGATTCCTTTCAGATCTGACTCTTCCAACCTAGGCCTCACTGATTTCTCTCTTTCCTTCAATCCAGAGGAGACTTTCTAGCCTGGGAGGTGGGTTTGGATGGGTAGGATTGGAGGAGGAACTTTGCTGTCATTATTTTATTTAATCATTTCATCTGCTAGAAGACTTCTTGCTTTTCCCGAGTACCTTAAAAGACAGAAAAACTTATTTTTTCTCTTTTTCTGACCCATACTTGTCTTTCATTTGAAGCAATAAACACAAAATGGCTTAGCTACTTGCAGGGCAGATGGTAAATACACAGTAAAGAAAGAAGCAGAAAAAAAAAATCAACTATTGGGAGAAACAACTTTAGTTAACATCTTAAAATGTCATTCCATAAAACTTGGGTTGAATTAGGTAATAAAAGTATTATTAATATTATGGAATTTCGAGGAGAAACGAGTTTATATGTGTGGTGGAGAAAATATTTGTTTTTAGATTCATAGTATTTCAGGTGGTGGCAAGATATCCAGGTGTAGATTTCTCTGAGGCATTTAGAATTGTAGAACTGAAGGGGTGGGTCAAGGCTGAATGTATAGATTTATTGGGATGGAAGGGAAAATTCAAACATCATTGTGGATGAAATAAACTATTTCTGTTAGAGAATACAATTGACTTTATGAAGTGATTTATAGGGCATCTAGATTGTTTGATGTGGTATGCAATGACGTTTTTATTCACTGAGGTGTTTCTATAGTTAGGATAATTTTATTTAGATGGTTGTACCATTATCTTTAATATTTTATTGTGCACTAGAAATATAAGTCCCACTGTCATATAAAATTAGTATCTCTCACTTGAAAGAGAATTCTCTTACTGTTGTTATTGATGGTGCTGGATCTCTGTTTCAATGATACTTACACTGGGCTTCCTTGTTTTTTTTTTTTGACTTGTTGATGTGTGAAAATTCAGTAAGCCATTTCATTGTATACACCAGGGATTGTCAAATAATGGCTGGCTGCCAGTTTTTTGTGTCCATGAACTGAGAATGGTTTTACATTTTTAAATGCTTTAAAAAAATTAAAGAAGAGTATTTTATGATACATGAAAACTATATAAAATTCACATTTCAGTGGCCATAAATAAAGTTTTTATTAAAATATAGCCACACACAAATTTGTTTCTGTGGCTGCTTTCATGCTATAATAGTAGAGTTGGGTAGTTACAACAGAGACCATATGACCCTCACAGCCTAAAATATTTATTCTCTAGCTTTTTACTGAAAAAGCCAACTGACCCCTGATATACACCAACTGATGTATCATTAGAAAACTAGTGCCAGGTGTGGTGGCTCACACCTGTAATCTCAGCACTTTGGGAGGCTCAAGCTTGCCTAGCTTTGCCCAGGTGGGTGGATCACTTGAGCCCAGGAGTTTGAGACCAGCCTGGGCAACATGGTAAAACCCTGTCTATACAAAAAAAAAAAATAATAAAATTACCAGGAGGCTTAGGTGGGAGGATCACTTGAGCCTGGGAGGCAGAGGCTGCAGTGAGCCGTGATCACGCCACTGCACCCCAGCCAGGGTGACAGAGCAAGACTCTGTCTCAAAAAAAAAAAAAAAAAAGAAAGAAAGAAAACTAGTAAAGACAAGTATCCTCCCAAAATAAATAAACCCACAGAAGTACTTCTCTTACACAGGCAATAGTTATTTAAATAACATCTTTTCCTGCCTTATTTTTCTCCTTGATAGGTACCACTATTTATCACTGTTTTACACACTATACTTTTGCTTGTTTAAATAAACAGACACAGGTTAACTATTTCTTCCCTCTAGATTGTACCTTTAGTGAGGGCAGGGGTTTGTGTCTGTATTGCTTACTGTTGGATTCTCTAGCACCTAAGCATGTAGTAGACACACAATGTATATTTTATTTGAGTATTTACATATCTGTTGAATTGAGAAACCAACCACTGAATTTGCTACATATTACTGTATCCAACTCTGAGGATGATTGGACAACAGAAACAAAGTATCCTTTGTTCATTTGCATAGCTTGCCTAGCTTTGCTCTAGAGATTGTAGGAGGTATCTCTGAATTTCAGCAACATCTAACAGCATTTTGATGCTCTTCCCTAGTGTATATAGCACTGAAGAGCAGCATGTATAAATATACATATCAGACACATTCATTTTTTAAAGTATTTAATAATATACTTTTATAATGTATTTTATATAATTATGTTAATGTATAATATATTAATTTTATATTATATTTAATATTAATTATACATAATATTAATATAAATTTACATATATCTATACCTCAAGCTTTTATATCAATTATTGTTTTTATACATTTGAAACAGTAGGCTTTGTGAAGTGAATGGCACATAGTAAATACCTAAAGGTTAAAATAATTGAAGAATTAAGCAAGCTCTTAGGTAATAGGTTATTTTATGAAGACAGAGGTATTGCTTAGTGGTTTCCCACTGCATTTACAAGGAAATCCAAATGGTTTTCCAGCCAGTAAAGCCTTGTATGATTTGACTGTTTGTCTTTGTCTCCCACCTTCTCCCTTGCTGGTTATGCTGAAATCAAACTGAACTTCTTTAAGTTACTCTATTACCTTAAGGTCCTTTATTTATAGTTAAACAAAATATTATGACTCCCCCATAGACTCTAAGCTCTATTAGGGCAGGGATCGCAGATGCCTTATTCACCATTAACAACCCAATGTTTAGCAAAATGACTGAAATATAATAAGCAGTAAGTAAATATTTTTTGAACGACTACATATGTGATTAAAAGAACACTGGGGTTGATGTCAGAAACCCTAGGTTAAAATCTTGGGAATGCATTCTGAATCTTGATCTAGGTGCCAATTACACAACTGTGTTTGTGAAAAGTCATCGAGTTTTAATGTTGGCATTTTTTATGTAAATGTGTTGATAAGTTTTAAAAAACCCAGTCCTAAGATCCTCCTATTTACTATGCAAACATGAGTAAGTCCATTTCTCTGAAATTTAGTTTTATCATTTATCAAGAAGTCTTTTTGTACCTATCTCATAGAGTTGTTGCAAGCACTGATGACATAAGTGAAATTGCCTTATCATAATAGATATACAACAAATACCAGTTGAATTTCTATTCTTTGAAGGATGTAGAAGCAGAAAGATGCAGAGGTGAAACTCCCAGAGGCCAAATAGGATGAAACTTTCACTTACAGAAGAGCTCTTAGATAGCCAAAGAGAGTTGTGACTTTAAGAGACACCACGAGGAGGGAATGAACTCCAGGGAGCGCCTGATCTCTAGAGTATGCCACAGGGCCCTTAGATCCTTTTACCCTTAAAAATTAGAAGGGCCTTGGGGTCTGGGGAAGAGCAAGAGGCTGGGATTGGCAAAGCCTTAAGGAGAGTAACCAGGTATTATAGTCATGTTGTGTCCAAGCACTGTGGTGGACAGTGAAGTGATTGACCTGCCTAATTAACCATGAGAGAGCCATGTGGCTAAAAAGTAAAGTCAACATAGAAGTCCTCTACAAATTAAAATGTAGCCTGCAGTGTTTCAAAACTAATAAAGAGCTAGATATAATTGAATCGCAGAGGATTACTGGAAGAAGAATAACTACCAAGAATAGGAGTTTCCAGTCTATTGTCACAGGAAGCCTGGGAAAGAGGGGCAAGTACATTTAAGGAACATCAAAAATGGCAAAGGAACTCTTAGAGAACCTCCAGTTCTCTAAGAGTTCCAAATTTAAATCATTCCAAATTTAAAACATCAAAGCAGCTGAAGCCAAATCATATTTAACTTAAAACATTCAGCTTACAAAATATACCTTATATCACTCTCTGTCTGAAGTAGTAATAGTTACACTTAATGTATTGAACCATATTGACCAACTAGAAGATAAACCTCAAGAACCAGATTGTACCAAAACATTTTGAGGGGAAAAATACCAAATCTTTGTTAGTATCCTCATAGGTCCTGCTTACTGTTACTAAGAACTATTAAAACTGTTATTTAATCCTCCCTCAAAGCCTGTGAAATTAGAGCTACTATTAATAACCCCATTATGGTTGAAGAAACTAAGTCTTAAAGAGGCTAAATAACTTTCCCAAGATCAGATAGATGGTAATTGGCAGACAAGGCCTCAAGCCCACATATGTATGATAGCAAAACCCATGCTCTTACCTGTTGTTGGAACTCTTTGTTGAGATGTATATAACGTGTCATCATTTAAAAGCTCACGCTTGTATGTGTCTATTAAGATAAGTATATCAAGGCTGGGCACAGTGGTTCACTCCTGTAATCCCAGCACTTTGGGCGGCCAAGGCGGGCGAATCACGAGGTCAGGAGGTCGAGACCAGCATGGCCAACATGGTGAAACCCCTGTTTCTACTAAAAATGCAAAAAAATAGCTGGGCATAGAGATGGGTGCACATAATCCCAGCTACTCGGGAGGCTGAGGCAGGAGAATCGCTTGAACCCGGGAGGCGGAGGTTGCAGTCAGCTGAGATTGCACCACTGCACTCCAGCCCAGGCCACAAAGTGAGACTCCATCTCAAAAAAAAAAAAAAAGATATCAAAACATCAAGTTATACACCTTAAATATATACAATTAAGAAAGACTATAGTAAAAAAATTCAGACTGAAAAATCAACAGGAAACAAACCTGATATGGTTCTCAGAAAAGATATACTTTCCAAAAGGTAGATAAAATATGATACAGATTCTATTATTGTCCCAAATTAAGGAAATTTTAGTGCATCTAATAAGATAAGTAATATATAAAAGAGCCTAACATTTTCCCTAGTATATTATAACATAGTAATTATTCAATCAACATTCAAACAACTGTATATTATACAGTGGTATTTTGTTTGGTATTTTCTGAACTGAAATGATAGCAGCTCCCAGGAAATTGATATAAAGTCAGTCTGGATCTCCATCTAAAACATAGTGTCCACTTTGCAACCTTCAGCCTGTATTTGGGGATGCATACTTCTGTATATAGTTGTTTGACAGTTTTAGTGATGCTGGGCTCCTAATAATGTGGATATTAGTTTGCTCTACCTAAGTACTGTACTGAACACTGCATTTCTGCATTGTTAAGTTGTCATTTCTAAACTGTATGAACAATATAAAGATCAATAAAGTCTTAACTTACAATTTTAAAAGCTGTGGTACTGGACATCTGTTCAGTGCCAATATGACTTCCATATACAAGAAATGCACACAGAGAAGAAATCCTGAAAACTGTAGATTGTTGACTCTTACTTGAATATACTTGATACGGTTTGGCTGTGTCCCCACCCAAATCTCATCTTGAATTCCCACGTGTTATGGGAGGGACCCAGTGGGAGGTAATTGAATCATGGGGGGCAGGTCTTTCTCGTGCTGTTCTTGTGATAGTGAATAAGTCTCATGAGATCTGATGGTTCTGTAAGGGGGAGTTTCCCTGCACAAGCTTTCTTTTTTTGCCTGCTGCCAATCATGTAAGATGTGACTTGCTCCTCCTTGCCTTCTGCCATGATTGTGAGGCTTCCCCAGCCACATGCAACCATAAGTCCATTAAACCTCTTTTGTAAATTTCCCAGTCTCAGGTATGTCTTTATCAGCAATGTGAGAAGAGACTAATACAATACTGAGAGTATCATGTATAACATTGTTACTGAATTGTAAACTCAAAAAAAAAAAGCAGATAATTTGTCTCTCGTTTGCCAATTTTTTTCTCTAAGGCAGGGTTTTTTAACTTTGACACTATTGACATTTTGGACTGGTTAATTCTTTCTTGTAGGGGGCTGTTCTATGCATTGTAGGATGTTTAGCAGTACCTGGCCCCAACCCACTAGATGTCAGCAGCACCCCTCTCCAGTTGTGACAAACAAAAATATCTCTAGACATTGCCAAATGCCCCCTCGGGGGAAAATTGCCTCCAGTTGAGAACCACTACTCTGAAGAATAAAATAGCGTGTGGCAAATAAAAGACACTCACCAAATATTTTTGGATTGACTGAAGACAGGAAAGAACAGTCTCCCACAAAATGTACCACTTGTGATATGCTTTGAATATCTAGGTATGACCTGGAAAAATTTCTATAACTTTAATAGTTATGTATTTTATATACATTAGAAAATATATAACATGACAAACCCATGTTTTTGCCTGCTATTTTATAGGACAGTGCTAAAGTCGATACTGAAGTTAAAAAGTAACTTAATTGAAAGAAACATTAACTGTACACAACAGATACATTAAACACAACTCATCAAATTGATTAAGGTGGTATGTGAATTACTGGAGTTTGAAGCACTCATTTATACTAAGGGAAACTTAAGCACAAATGAGCTTCCCCTAAGTCTGGTTTGTGTAGGCCACTAGAATCCTCTTTGGGAATGATCTACTGCCTTGCACAGGCTAGATACAGGTGTTGAAGACAAATTGCTTACTCTTTGAGAATTAGTCTGATAGACACTATAAGATATGAACATCAGGATGAGGTAGCATTATGAGAGTTCAAAGGAAAAAGAAATTACTTTCTACTCAGGTAATGAGGGAAAATATCACTATTGATATTGAAGGATGAATGGAATTTTTGTAGTAGATAATACAGAGGAAAAGAGCAGAGGCAAAGAGTTGGACCAGTTCAAAACATATTTAAGGGATGAGTAGAGGCTGGTTTGGCTGGAGTGTAGTATAACTATTAAGGAAGGTGGAACCTGCTTGTAGAGGGTATGTAATGCCAGGGTGGGTTATCCATAGAACAAAGATTATTTGATTTTCTAATGTCTGGCTAAAAGCTGCTTTGTTGTTATTGTTTTTAAGTGTATTGTCATTATTTTAGAAGTAATGTTTAGTTTGGGATGGGGACCTGACTGAGAATCAAGATAAATAAATACTGCTGCTTACAGAAGTATAAAAACTAACACACACACACACACACACACACACACACACACACACATACACGCTGAAAGAAGGGACCAGATGGGGGCAGGGCACAGACAAACAAAAAAATAGCAGTAACCTCTGCAGACTTAAATGTCCCCGTCTGACAGCTTTGAAGAGAGCAGTGGTTCTCCCAGCACGCAGCTGGAGATCTGAGAACGGGCAGACTGCCTCCTCAAGTGGGTCCCTGATCCCCGACCCCCGAGCAGCCTAACTGGGAGGCACCCCCCCAGTAGGGGCGGACTGACGCCTCACACGGCCGGGTACTCCTCTGAGACAAAACTTCCAGAGGAACGATCAGACAGCAGCATTCGCGGTTCACGAGAATCCGCTGTTCTGCAGCCACCGCTGCTGATACCCAGGCAAACAGGGTCTGGAGTGGACCTCTAGCAAACTCCAACAGACCTGCAGCTGAGGGTCCTGTCTGTTAGAAGGAAAACTAACAAACAGAAAGGACATCCACACCAAAAACCCATCTGTATATCACCATCATCAAAGACCAAAAGTAGATAAAACCACAAAGATGGGGAAAAAACAGAGCAGAAAAACTGGAAACTCTAAAAAGCAGAGCGCCTTTCCTCCTCCAAAGGAACGCAGTTCCTCACCAGCAATGGAACAAAGCTGGACAGAGAATGACTTTGACGAGTTGAGAGAAGACGGCTTCAGACGATCAAACTCCTCCGAGCTACAGAAGGAAATTCAAACCAAAGACAAAGAAGTTAAAAACTTTGAAAAAAATTTAGACGAATGTATAACTAGAATAACCAATACAGAGAAGTGCTTAAAGGAGCTGATGGAGCTGAAAGCCAAGGCTCGAGAACTACGTGAAGAATGCAGAAGCCTCAGGAGCCGATGCGATCAACTGGAAGAAAGGGTATCAGTGATGGAAGATGAAATGAATGAAATGAAGTGAGAAGGGAAGTTTAGAGAAAAAAGAATAAAAAGAAACGAACAAAGCCTCCAAGAAATATGGGACTATGTGAAAAGACCAAATCTACATCTGATTGGTGTACCTGAAAGTGACGAGGAGAATGGAACCAAGTTGGAAAACACTCTGCAGGGTATTATCCAGGAGAACTTCACCAATCTAGCAAGGCAGGCCAACATTCAAATTCAGGAAATACAGAGAATGCCACAAAGATACTCCTCGAGAAGAGCAACTCCAAGACACATAATTGTCAGATTCATCAAAGTTGAAATGAAGGAAAAAATGTTAAGGGCAGCCAGAGAGAAAGGTTGGGTTACCCACAAAGGGAAGCCCATCAGACTAACAGCTGATCTCTTGGCAGAAACTCTACAAGCCAGAAGAGAGTGGGGGCCAATATTCAACATTCTTAAAGAAAAGAATTTTCAACCCAGAATTTCATATCCAGCCAAACTAAGCTTCATAAGTGAAGGAGAAATAAAATACTTTACAGACAAGCAAATGCTGAGAGATTTTGTCACCACCAGGCCTGCCCTAAAAGAGCTCCTGAAGGAAGCACTCAACATGGAAAGGAACAACCAGTACCAGCCACTGCAAAATCATGCCAAATTGTAAAGACCATCGAGACTAGGAAGAAACTGCATCAACTAACGAGCAAAATCACCAGCTAACATCATAATGACAGGATCAAATTCACACATAACAATATTAACTTTAAATGTAAATGGACTAAATGCTCCAATTAAAAGACACAGACTGGCAAATTGGATAAAGAGTCAAGACCCATCAGTGTGCTGTATTCAGGAAACCCATCTCACGTTCAGAGACACACATAGGCTCAAAATAAAAGGATGGAGGAAGATCTACCAAGCAAATGGAAAACAAAAAAAGGCAGGGGTTGCAATCCTAGTCTCTGATAAAACAGACTTTAAACCAACAAAGATCAAAAGAGACAAAGAAGGCCATTACATAATGGTAAAAGGATCAATTCAACAAGAACAGCTAACTATCCTAAATATATATGCACCCAATACAGGAGCACCCAGATTCATAAAGCAAGTCCTGAGTGACCTACAAAGAGACTTACACTCCCACACAATAATAATGGGAGACTTTAACACCCCACTATCAACATTAGACAGATCAACGAGACAGAAAGTTTACAAGGATACCCAGGAATTCAACTCAGCTCTGCACCAAGTGGGCCTAATAGACATCTACAGAACTCTTCACCCCAAATCAACAGAATATACATTTTTTTCAGCACCACACCACACCTATTCCAAAATTGTACACATAGTTGGAAGTAAAGCACTCCTCAGCAAATGTAAAAGAACAGAAATTATAACAAACTGTCTCTCAGACCACAGTGCAATCAAACTAGAACTCAGGATTAAGAAACACACTCAAAACCGCTCAACTACATGGAAACTGAGCAACCTGCTCCTGAATGACTACTGGGTACATAACGAAATGAAGGCAGAAATAAAGATGTTCTTTGAAACCAACGAGAACAAAGACACACCACACCAGAATCTCTGGGATGCATTCAAAGCAGTGTGTAGAGGGAAATTTATAGCACTAAATGCCCACAAGAGAAAGCAGGAAAGATCCAAAATTGACACACTAACATCACAATTAAAAGAACTAGAAAAGCAAGAGCAAACACATTCAAAAGCCAGCAGAAGGCAAAAAAATAACTAAAATCAGAGCAGACCTGAAGGAAATAGAGACACAAAAAACCCTTCAAAAAATTAATGAATCCAGGAGCTGGTTTTTTGAAAGGATCAACAAAATTGATAGACTGCTAGCAAGACTAATAAAGAAGAAAAGAGAGAAGAATCAAATAGACACAATAAAAAATGATAAAGGGAATATCACCACCAATCCCACAGAAATACAAACTACCATCAGAGAATACTACAAACACCTCTACGCAAATAAACTAGAAAATATAGAAGAAATGGATAAATTCCTCGACACATACACCCTCCCAAGACTAAACCAGGAAGAAGTTGAATCTCTGAATAGACCAATAACAGGCTCTGAAATTGTGGCAATAATCAATAGCTTACCAACGAAAAAGAGTCCAGGACCAGATGGATTCACAGCCGAATTCTACCAGAGGTACAAGGAGGAACTGGTACCATTCCTTCTGAAACTATTCCAATCAATAGAAAAAGAGGGAATCCTCCCTAACTTATTTTATGAGGCCAGTATCATCCTGATACCAAAGCCGGGCAGAGACACAACCAAAAAAGAGAATTTTAGACCAATATCCTTGATGAACATTGATGCAAAAATCCTCAATAAAATACTGGCAAACCAAATCCAGCAGCACATCAAAAAGCTTTTCCACCATGATCAAGTGGGCTTCATCCCTGGGATGCAAGGCTGGTTCAATATACGCAAATCAATAAATGTAATCCAGCATATAAACAGAACCAAAGACAAAAACCACATGATTATCTCAATAGATGCAGAAAAGACCTTTGACAAAATTCAACAACCCTTCATGCTAAAAACTCTCAATAAGTTAGGTATTGATGGGACGTATCTCAAAATAATAAGAGCTATCTATGACAAACCCACAGCCAATATCATACTGAATGGGCAAAAACTGGAAGCATTCCCTTTGAAAACTGGCACAAGACAGGGATGCCCTCTCTCACCACTCCTATTCAACATAGTGTTGGAAGTTCTGGCCAGTGCAATTAGGCAGGAGAAAGAAATAAAGGGTATTCAATTAGGAAAAGAGGAAGTCAAATTGTCCCTGTTTGCAGATGACATGATTGTATATCTAGAAAACCCCATTGTCTCAGCCCAAAATCTCCTTAAGCTGATAAGCAACTTCAGCAAAGTCTCAGGATAAAAAATCAATGTACAAAAATGACAAGCATTCTTATACACCAACAACAGACAAACAGAGAGCCAAATCATGAGTGAACTCCCATTCACAATTGCTTCAAAGAGAATAAAATACCTAGGAATCCAACTTACAAGGGATGTGAAGGACCTCTTCAAGGAGAACTACAAACCACTGCTCAATGAAATTAAAGAGGATACAAACAAATGGAAGAACATTCCACGCTCATGGGTAGGAAGAATCAATATCATGAAAATGGCCATACTGCCCAAGGTAATTTATAGATTCAATGCCATCCCCATCAAGCTGCCAATGACTTTCTTCACAGAATTGGAAAAAACTACTTTAAAGTTCATATGGAATCAAAAAAGAGCCCGCATCACCAAGTCAATCCTAAGCCAAAAGAACAAAGCTGGAGGCATCACACTACCTGACTTCAAACTATACTACAAGGCTACAGTACTCAAAACAGCATGGTACTGGTACCAAAACAGACATATAGACCAATGGAACAGAACAGAGCCCTCAGAAATAATACTGCATATCTACAACCATCTGATCTTTGACAAACCTGACAAAAACAAGCAATGGGGAAAGGATTCCCTATTTAATAAGGGCTGGGAAAACTGGCTAGCGATAAGTAGAAAGCTGAAACTGGATCCCTTCCTTACACCTTATACAAAAATTAATTCAAGATGGATTAAAGACTTAAACGTTAGACCTAAAACCATAAAAACCCTAGAAGAAAACCTAGGCATTACCATTCAGGACATAGGCATAGGCAAGGACTTCATGTCTAAAACACCAAAAGCAATGGCAACAAAAGCCAAAATTGACAAATGAGATCTAATTAAACTAAAGAGCTTCTGCACAGCAACAGAAACTACCATCAGAGTGAACAGGCAACCTACAAAATGGGAGAAAATTTTCACAACCTACTCATCTGACAAAGGGCTAATATCCAGAATCTACAATGAACTCAAACAAATTTATAAGAAAAAAACAACCCCATCAAAAAGTGGGCAAAGGACATGAACAGACACTTCTCAAAAGAAGACATTTATGCAGCCAAAAAACACATGAAAAAATGCTCACCATCACTGGCCATCAGAGAAATGCAAATCAAAACCATAATGAGAAACCATCTCACACCACTTAGAATGGCAATCATTAAAAAGTCAGGAAACAACGGGTGCTGGAGAGGATGTGGAGAAATAGGAACACTTTTACACTGTTGGTGGGACTGTAAACTAGTTCAACCATTGTGGAAGTCAGTGTGGCGATTCCTCAGGGATCTAGAACTAGAAATACCATTTGACCCAGCCATCCCATTACTGGGTATATACCCAAATGACTATAAATCATGCTGCTATAAAGACACATGCACACGTATGTTTATTGTGGCACTATTCACAATAGCAAAGACTTGGAACCAAGCCAAATATCCAACAATGATAGACTGGATTAAGAAAATGTGGCACATATACACCATGGAATACTATGCAGCCATAAAAAAGATGAGTTCATGTCCTTTGTAGGGACATGGATGAAATTGGAAATCATCATTCTCAGTAAACTATCGCAAGGACAGAAAACCAAACACCGCCTGTTCTCACTCATAGGTGGGAATTGAACAGTGAGAACACATGGACACAGGAAGGGGAACATCACACTCTGGGGACTGTTGTGGGGTGGGGGGAGGGGGGAGGGATAGCATTAGGAGATATACCTAAGGCTAAATGACGAGTTAATGGGTGCAGCACACCAGCATGGCACATGTATACATATGTAACTAAGCTGGACATTGTGCACATGTACCCTAAAACTTAAAGTATAATAATAATAAAATAAAATAATAAAATAAAATAAAATAAAATAAAATAAAATGAATCTTAACACACACACACAGACAAAAAAGAAGGGACCAGAGACTAGAACAGCAGAGGATCCGAATGGAAAGATCATTCCATCAGAAGAAGCAAGGAGGTAACCTGGGCCTGGGGGAGTTTGGGGCTTGAGGTGATATGGGTATTAGGCCTTGAGCCTTTTATCTCTCTAAGAAAATTGTCTTATTTAAAATAAGATGCTGATCTTTGGAAGTTTATTACTGAAACGCTCGGTGAGGTGGCTGACATGTAGTATTGATTTTTGCCTCCTTGGTTTTATCTTCCCCTGGAAGATGGCTGCCTCCAGTGATGCTTGTTGTCTCCACCATGCTGACCTCTGGAGCAGCAATTCCTCTTTGAAAATCCTGGCCCATGCCTGACAGCTCGTTCCTTTGTGGTTTTTCCTAACACAACTGAAATAGGTTTGATTCTTTTCTAAAAGACTTTATTAAATATTAAAGAATAAACAAAAAATAAAATATGAGAAGTCCTGCCAGATTTACCTAGCATCTCTGATATCACTGTCCCTGGTCAAGCCACTCTCACACCTCAAATCTCCTTTCCCTACTGCTGCCAGAGGTGTCTTCTTTAAATCCCAATTTAGCTATATCACTACCCTGTTTAACTCTTTCATGCTTCTCATTCGTACATGGATTATATTTTAGTATATTAACTTTCTTTTGGTATTTCCTGGAGTAAGGATGGTTTTATAGTTATGTTGACATAATGATTATTTCATTTATCTGATTTGAATGGGTTACAGTTAAAATTGAGATGACACTTGGGAAGGGTGAGCACCTTCCTGTAAAAAGGTATGAGTTCTAACACTTTCCTAAAGGTTTCCCAGAATAGCTTTATCTGAAGGGTCAGGAGTCACTGTATTTCAAATTGTGCTTCCTATAGTGCTAGGTTTCTGATGAGGTATGTCCAGGCCACCTCCAGAAAAAATCTCAATGGGTGAGACTACAACCCTCCACCCCAATTCTGCCTGAAGAGTTCCACCCTAACCCATTTTTTATATATTGGTGGTCCGCATAAAATTTTTTGAGGGCTGTCTGCTGCTTTCAAAAAAGATGTGTTGATGAGAAGTCATTAGATGATTTCTAAAGTTCCTTTCAACTCCAAAATTATCTGAGAATCCAGCCCCCTTGACTTCTTTCTTGATTCACTTTATGCTAATTTTGTTCCATATGATTAAAATAATAGAATTTCAGAGCTGCAAGAAACTTTAGCAGTTATCTTGTCCAGTTTTCCAAAATGAGCTCCAAAGAACAAGACTCCTGAGAAACGCCCATCGCTTACAGAAAGGACTGTATAGCTAAATATTTTGAGACTGTACTTTTGTCCCATTGCTCATTAGCATTTTAAAGGCTCTGAAAAGTCTTATAATAAAGAAACCTGATTAAATTAAGTCGGTATTTCCTACATGGGAAGCATGGGCTCTGTATCAACTTACTATGACCTTCTTTATCTGGTACTAGTTTCTGCCCTATTACCAGATCAAAGAGCTCTGTTTTTGAATAACACACTTTTTAACATGCTGTGGAGGATAATTTGGGAAAACTCATATAGTTGAGCCTCCTCCTTTTGCAAAGAATTTATGATAGGAAATGATTGATCAAGTGTCACACAGCTGATTATCAGGTCTCAGTCTAATATTTATTCCTTATTGGTCTCTGCTTAACTTCAAGTAGGTTATAGATTCCTTAATGGACTGATAGTTTATGTCTTATAGCTTTACCTTTCAGGCGCTTAGTTTCATATTGGGAACATGACAAGTGAATAATAAATACATGATAGCTCTATGATTGAACCCTGTGAGAAAATGAAGCATTATGATATGAATTGGTTTCTGTGTATGTATGAGTGTTTTTTTTTTTCATCTTTTGGAAACAGAATTTCTGCTCCCCTGTGTACACCCTTTCTCTGTAATTGCAGTGTATGTTTTTTGTTTCTCCAAAGTTTCTGTTGTCAGTAGTTTATGATCATTGGTTCATACTGTTTATTGGAAATAACTCTGTGGGCTGCTTTGCCTCAGGGCTAATTTGATTAGGGATGCTGTTGTTTTACACCGTTTGGGAAAATGTTACACTTTAAAGGGTATTGGATTTGTCACAGAATGATATTGAAGGGAAGCCGGAGACAGGAAAGCTAGTAACTTGCTGGCCTGGTTATTAGCATTGGACCTTTTGGGATTTTTGTCTGCCATTTTTGTTGATACTGCTGTTTTCTGAAGAGATAAGTGTGTGACCAATTTGAGGATTGTTATTTGGCACACGCAGAAACTAGTACCAGATAAAGAAGGTCATAGTAAGTTGATATAGAGCCCCTGCTTCCAGAATATTGTGCTTCTGTCCTCTGAGGTTAGATTTTCTCTTTGTGAGGGAGAAAACATTTATGTAAGGGAGAAAGATTGGAATGTACTGAAATGAAATGCTCACATTGACCACATCAGCTGTACTGGAGCTTATCTGATGTAGCCACTCAGCCTCTATCAATCTGACTGTGTGTATGTGCTCTGTTTTGTACAGGGAATCATCATCCAGGGACGTGCCAGAAACCACAAGAAAACATGGGGAGGGGTAAGTTTCTCTTCCTTTTTAAGTAATTCAGACTGTCTCCATAGCTATTATAGTCAGGAAATTAAATTTCTAACTCATAGTATATTTGTGGACACCTAAATTGTATTTCTTGTTAGTGTTAGAAAGTTTTTGTCTGAAGCAGGGCTTTTCAGAGAAAGACCATCAACCACATTTATTCACTGGATCTTTGATTTTCTTCTTTTGTAGAGACCTCCCAGTATAGGGAGAGATGGATCAAGCTTGATACTATATATATAGTATATACTATTTTATATATATAACTCACAGATACTATATATATACACCTTCCCCAAACCCAGCTTCTTTATAAGTCTTTTTTCTGTTTTCTGTTTTCTTGCTAGTAACACAAAATAAAGAGAGTCTACTATGCAGCCAATAACAGTAGTAAAAAAAAATCATCTGTGAGGTTGATTTGTAATTTTTTTAAAAATTTTAAAGCCCGGCATTAAGAACCATTAGATGAATTCCTTTTGTTTATTTTTGCCTTCTCATAAGGCTGTTTATGGGCAGTGGACAACAGATAAATTTAAGTTCATTTCATTGTTAATATTAAGCAGCCACCACAGGGACTTCATAAATAATTCTAATTAATGTATATCATGTCAACCTAAAATAATCAAAAGGGTCAGAATCTAGTTTAAAGAGTTTATTTGAGTGCAAAGGTTGAGGACGGACTCCAAAGAATGGAAATCACTGTTTCCAGTTGTAGAAGTTTGGGGATCACTCGAATAGACAAAGTTTAGGATATTTTAACAGAATTTTAACATCTTTCTATGTAAGGCTTACTGCATAGTTACAATGACCTGATTGATCCGGGTGGTCCTTTTCTTTCAGGAAAGGTATATTTAACATTCCACACTGAAGATGTGATTGTCATGGGGTCTCTGTTTGGGGCACCATCTGGTCTGAGTTAGGTACAGGATAATAGAGTAGCAAAGATCAGTGACTGAAAGGGGGAGGTCTGGCCTCTGGTCTTTGCTATTCATTTACAAAACAATAGCAATGAGGAAGAGTGTTAAACTATAACCTAAGAAACAGAACTGCAAAATGTTATGTGACTGAAACCACAGTCACATGTCTCCCAAGGCTTAAAGTGTTTTGGGGGGTCCCAACAGCTTTTACATTTTATTAATTTTCACAATTATAAAATTAGAATGCCTTGAAGGATCTCAGAGGAAGATTTGGTGTGTGGTGTGGTATAGTACAGTGAGAAGAATACTGGATACAGAAGGCCTGAATTCAAGTTCCACCTCTACTACCTTGATCAAATCCTAGAACCTCCCTAAACTCGTTTGTTCATCCCTGAGGTGGGATTAATACATTCTGCACTTCTAGCCTCAGAAAGTTGTCGTTGGCATAATGTGATAATACATGTAAAAGTGTTTTGAGAGTTCTAAAGTGTAATGGAATACAGCAGTGGTATCTGCCCATTACTGTCCTTACTAACTATATCTTCATTGTTTTTTTAATGGATAAAAATGAGGTTATTTGACCAGATGCTTCTGTAGGCAGCATGACTGGGACTTGGGTCATGCAAGCAACTGAGAATTCTTTTGTTGCACTTTGCTTGCCCCACCCTTGTGTGGGCCCTGGTAGGAAGCCCTAAGGATTATGGATCAATCATGGAAAATATCTTCTTGAATCTTGCTGAATCAGCTTTTGTTCCTGTTTTCTCCAGAGCTGCCCTTGGAAATTGATTAGGCCTAGCTATTCTGGTTCTTTCCAGATCTTCACAAAAGATGGCAATCTCTGATGGTTTCGAAATTTTAAAACTAAATGAACTTTTTAAAAACTATTCGGAATTCTGGGACTAATCTGTGCCACGTCCTGCCCGCAAATCAGCTCTCAATGGAAGCTTCTAGAGTAGTGATACGGCTCCAATGACTGGGGGAACTCCAGGGTCCTTAGTCTCATGTCGAGTTAGATAAAACGACACAGATACACGTGGAGTGGTTTTAAGTAGTGGAGAGTTTAATAGACTAGAAAGAAGGAAGAAGCTCCCTCCTACAGCTGAGAGAGGAAACCTCGAATGTGGTGGAAAACAGCCAGTTATATGAGGAGGCTGGAGGAGGCAGTGTCTGATTTGCATAGGGCTCAGGGGATTGGTTTGACCAGGTATGTCGTTGACATAGCCTGCGAGAAAACTGGCCCTCCCACCCTAGCGTTTTAATGTGCAAATGTATCCCCATGATGTTCTACACATGTGGGGGATATGTGGGGGTGGCCATGTTGCCAGGAACATGTTGGGGCAAGGGGAAGAAGATGGTGGGAATCGCCACGTTTGTGTGGACCCAGTTTCCAGTGGCAGGTATTTGCATATCAAAGCTTGCCGGCCCAACTTTAAGAGCCTGGGCTTTCCCGCTAGACAAGAAACGTTTCTGGAGCAGCTTTAAAAGAAACAAAAACTTCCCAAGGACCCCCTTTCCTATCTATTGCCTAAAATAATTTCTTAGTAACTCCTATAACATTAGAACATCATGTTTGATCCTCACCCAATCCCAAAAGCTTCAAGTGGATTTGGAGAATGTTCTGGTTGTTGGATACTGCTATAGCCATATAGAGGAGAGAGCTGCACTGAGACGAAACCCGTTCTTTCTCATTTCCTCTATTCATTTTTAGACTGCTCATCAGGTCACTAGCAAAGGGACTGTTAGGTGCTTAGTTTAGAAGATGTCTCAGCAACTTTTTGTTCAAATGGTCAGGCAATTAGTAGTTGACCTTTGAACAATGTGGGGGCTAGGGATGACTCTGTTGCATAATCAAAAATCCATGTATAATTTTTGATGCCCCCAAAACTTAACTACTAATAGCCTACTGTTGACTGAAAGCCTTACCAATAATATAAACAATTGATTAACACATACTTTATATGCTATGTGTATTACATACAGTATTCTTGTAATAAAATACACTAGAGAATAGAAAATATTAAGAAAATCATAAGAAAAAGAAAATGTATTTACTAGTAAGTGGAAGTAGATCATCATAAAGGTCTTAATTTTTGTCATCTTCACGTTGAATCAGTGGAGGAAGAAGAGGAATTGGTCTTGCTGTCTTAGGAGTGGCAGAGACTGCAGAAAATTTGCATAGAAATTAACCCGTGCAGTTCAAATATGTGTTGTTCAAGAGTCAACTGTAGTTCTTGCTAAAGAACAGGGCATGGTAATGTAATCTGCAAAGATAGGCATGTTTCCAGGCTGGTGATGAGATAAGGGAAGTGCTTCAAAGAATGCTGCTTTTACAAATACAGAAGCTTGTGATAGCATTTTCACTGTGTTGACCACTTTGAAAGTATTTGTAATATCCTGAATCTCAAAGAGACTCTATCCTTTACTCTCTAAGCTTTGCTTAGTTTGCCTGATTACATTTGTTAATTGCTGACACTGTTATTGGGGAGAAAAAGATGCTACTGTATGCTCATTTTTCTCTTTTCTGGCACTGTACAATGAAATTTTTCCTGCACTTGGCAAAGATTCTCACAAACGTAGCCCAGTGTATCATACAGAGGGACACAGAGGAAAAATATTGCAAAGATATGACACTAGCCTCATAACATAAATTAAGGATGCATGAAAACAAAAAACACACTTGGATAACTGTACAGTTTAGGTGAGAAATTAAAACTGAGGTGAATTTCTTTTAGCATTCTTTGATATTAGATGAAGAAGTTATTTGTACATATGTGTTAGAAGAATCATTCGTTTATGTGACATGAAGGATTATAAACAAAATTTAAATATTAAGGTGGGGAAGATGAGAACAGCCTTGTATATTTAATTTTTTATTAGTCTACTACTACCAGTGTCCATTGTGTGTGGCACTGAAATCCCATTCACTATGTATGAATTCTTAAACAGGGCTTAGTATTTAGGACTCTTAAGAATCTATAATTATTCTGAGATTAACACATTTCTGTAGAGCACTTTATAACTCATAGGTATTCCCTCTACATTATCTTGAGTTGTAAGACAACCCTATGTTGTAAATAGGGATTATTATCCTCATTTTATGTATTATAAAACTGAGGCTCATAAGAAAAAGTCTTATCTGTAATCCACAGACTACTAATGGAGAGCCAAAATGCAAATCTAGGTCTTATGTTACATCCAGTTTTTTTTCTTCCAATAAACCATGTTCTGCATATCTTAATCATCAGTAGTGTGTAAGTCAATTAAAAACTTAGGAGCTCTCTGTTGCTGTGAGAGGTATGGAAGAAATTATTTTTTGATATCTGCAATGTTCATATTATCATGAGGGACTGGACAGATAGGCGAAGGGAAATGGCTCATTGTTCATCAACCTTTAGGGTAACAGCTAAAATACATGTGTATCAGATGGTGGAGTGCCTCAAATATTAAAATCCTCTGAGCAGCAGTGGTCTATGTCTGTGGTAATTCAAAAGGCAGCTACACTGATTGGCAGTGACCATAGTAGATAACAAAACAACTCAGTTCAGAAGCTCGTGCTACACAGTCCACAAGGGAAGGTGCCTAAAGTAAAGGGCCTGATGCCGCTTACCTGGCCTATGTGAAACTCACCCGTTTGACTGATGAGTTTTTATCTTTGTTGCTTTTGTTGACACAAGGAATATAATGCATCATGGAACACCAGAATAGCATGAGATGACAAGATGAGATACTGGTTCAAAAATGAACAGCAGGTATAAATAAAATTATATGTAAAATTCTAGTAGAGAACATTTTTACAAAGAGAATGTGAGGATTTTACAAATGTGTATGTATAGACTCACATAGCATTATAATATAATCAGCCTTCCATATCTGTAGGTTCCACATCTGTAGATTCAACCAACCATGGATCGAAGTTATTTGAGAAAAAAACAAAAAAATAAGAATACAACAATAAAGTGCAAATAAAAATACAGTATGTAAACATAGCATTTACATTGTATTAGGTTTTATAAGTAATCTAGAGATGATTTACAGTATACAGAAGGATATGCATAGGTTATATGCAACTACTATGCCATTTTATATAAGGGACTTGAGCATTTTGGTATCTGTGGAAGTCCTGGAACCAATCCCCAGTGGATACCAGATGACTGTTCTAGGATATTTATCTTTAATCATCTTCAAATGGTAATTAGAACTATATTTTACCTTTTCATTTCTCATCTGACCAACTGGCATATTCATGATAAAATGGTAAAAGGCCCAGTACTCCCAGTAAGTATTATCTTTACCTACAATGAATATTTTTCAGTTTTCTTGCTTTAAAAATTTTGTGATTATTGTTTTTATTACAGTGTTTCGGTAGAATTTGATTTTTAAAAATATAGCTACTTTCCATCTGAATTTTTTTCTATCTCAGAACACATTTCTATTACTGAATCTTCTAAGTGCTGTAGTTTGTGGTATCTGCTAGCCTCATATGAAGTTATTAATGGCTATTTTCACTGTCTACCTTAAAAGCAGAGCTTCTGGGAGAAGTTCATCATGTTGTCTTGATAATAGCAAATCATGAGCTAGCTGCTCGTACACATCTTCCACAAAATAGGAATAATACTTAGCCATGAATTTTCAAAAGGATTAATTTTGCTTTGTTATATACAAAGCAATATCTGGAATAGCTTAATGATTGCAATCAGGCAGGTCTACTTTGTGGAGGATAATCTGAATTAAAATATGAAGATAACTTAGGATTTTTTTTTTCTGTTTCTCCTCTTCCAGTATTTAGTCTTTGGAAATAGGTCTTACCTACCTAGCTTAGAAGAAAATCTTAGGTCTATAAAATCTTAATATGAAAAGTCAGTTTCCATTTTCATTTTCTGTACTTAATAGTAACATGACCTTAATGTCTTAGCATAAATGAATTTTTATGGTCGTGCTATAGCAAAACAGTGGTAGTGTTGCCAGTTAGTCTTTGTTTCTTATTAAAACATAGCAGCATAATTCCTCTGGGTCCTTGCATGTGCTGGGCTCCTTTATCCCAAGGAACTCAAACATATCCCCCTAGTTGTCAAGACTTAGTGGAAGGCAAGATGGTTTACAGCCACCACAGTAAATACATAAGTTCTTTAATTCACTGCTGAACTATTGTTAAGTTGAAGCCAATTCTAAACTTTAACTGAGTGTACAGCTCTATATTGTCAAATAGGGAATGAACCTTCAAACTGACAAGCCCTGTAAAGTAACTGTCTTATAATGAAGTGCCTAATTTTATTTGGCTTTATGGTTCAAGTGAAGTTATCCATTTAAAGTCAATTAATTATTTCATTTTTCTGGCCTATATTAGATTTGAGAGTCTCTTTATTGTGACATATTCAGGCCTCTTTAGTTTAGATGATGTCAATAATTTATTATAAATTCTTATCTTCAGAATTTTATAACAGTAATACGAATTTGCTTGTAGCTGACAACTGCCATAATTTTTTCTTGGCAAGTTTTTCTCACCAGAAAAAAAAAAAGAACTAACGGAGAGGTTACTTTTAAAAAACTCATTATAGTGCTTGATGCTTTTTGTCTTTGATGCAATCCTCTCTG
Organism: Homo sapiens; assembly: GCF_000001405.40. Lineage (NCBI taxonomy): Eukaryota > Metazoa > Chordata > Mammalia > Primates > Hominidae > Homo > Homo sapiens. Next base: position 37,412,784 of record NC_000023.11, read on the forward strand.
CCATTTACTTATTAAAGAAGAAAATAACCTTTGGCACATAATTTTAGAAAGGTTTCTCAACTTTAGCACTATTGATTTTTTTTAATGGAGGCAAAATTTATATAACATAGACTTGACTGTTTTAAAGTGTATAATTCAGTGGCATTTAGTACATTTTGTAACCAGAAGGTTGCTGTGCTGTAAGGAAAATAGTTACAAAATGTACTAAAGGTTGCTGTGCAACCTTCCAGTTATAAAACATTTTCATCACTTCCAAAGGAGATCCTATTCCCATTAAGCAGTCACTTAATCCCTTCCCATTATCAACATCCCTTACCAGAGAGGTACATTTGTTACAATCAATGAGATTACATTGACATGTCATTATCACCCAAAGTCCATAATTTACATTAGGGTTCACTCTTGTTGTTGTATATTCTATGAGTTTGGGTAAATGCGTAAAGAATGACATGTACCCACCATTATAGTATTATACAGAGTAGTTTCACTGCCCTAAAAAAAAATCCTCTGTGTGCCACCTATTCATGCCTCCTGCCCACTCCCTCTCCACCCCTGGCAATCACTGATCTTTTTATTATCTCTGTGATTTTGCCTTCTCAGATTGAAGAGAAAGAAGCCTTCTCAGATTGGCTTCTTTCACTTAGTATTATGCATTTAGGATTCTTTCATGTCTTTCCATGATTTGATGCTTGTAAATTCTCAACTGTTTGGGGGTAAATATCAAGGAGTACCATTGCTGTATCATATGGTAAGAGTATGTTTAGTTTTGTAAGAAACCATGAAACCGTCTTCTAAGTGGCTTTACTATTTTACATTCCCACCAGCAATGAAAGAGAGTTTCTATTGCTCCATGTCCTTGCCAGCATTTGATGTTGTCAGTGTTCTAGATTTTGGCCAGTTAAATAGGTGTGTAGTGGTATCTTCTTGTTTTAACTTGCAATTCCCTGATGACATATAGCCATGAGCTGCATAATGATGTTTTCTTCAATGACAGACCACATATATGAAGGTGGTCCCATAAGATTATATACCGTATTTTTACGGTAACTATCCTATGTTTAGATATGTTTAGATACACAAATACTTACATTATGTTACTTACAGTATTCACTGTATTCAGTAAGTTGCTTATAGTATTCAGTACAGTCACATGCCATACAGTTTTGTAGCCTAGGAGCAATGAGACTATACCATATAGCCTAGGTGTATAGTAGGTTATGCCATCTAGGCTTGTGTAAGTATACTCCATGATGTTTGCGTAACAACAAAATCACCTAACGATGCATTTCTCATGATGCATCCTGCCGTTAAGCGACACATGACCAAATGCTGTGGAGCATATTTTCATATGTTTATTTGCCATCCATGTATCTTTTTTGGTGAGGTGTTTGTTAAGATCTTTGGCCCATTTTTATATGCTTGTTTTCTTACTGTTTTAAGAGTTCTTTATACATTTTGGATAGCAATCTTTTACCAGATGTACCTTTTTCAAATGTTTTCTCCCACTCGGTGGTTTGTCTTTTCATTCTCTCGATATAATGGTGTTTTTTATAGAAGTAAGTTGAGTCTAAAGGAGAGCAGAGTATGATTCTGGAGACCAAGGTACAGTCCTAGTCCTATCATCAAGTAGCTGTGGCTTTGGGTAAGTCACTTAACCTATAGATTTCAGTGTAGTGTTCTGGTCAGCAAAATGAAGGGGTTAAGATGGATCAGTGGTTTCCAATGTGTTCGGTGAAGCCACAGATCTTCTAAAGGGGCCCCTGAGGGGCCACCATGAGGGAAGAGAGGAAAAGGAAGTGCCCCTGGTACATAACACCTCTCCTTCAGACAGAACAACTGTACTACATTGTATTTTATCTGTTTTTATTTCATGATAGGTTGATTTGCAGAGGATCCTATGACTAATAAAATTTAGAAAGCTACCAGATTCAATGACTCTCAAAGATCTCTTTCAGTTCTGAAAATCTGCGACTCATGAACATTAATTACCATCCACCTTTTGAGGCTGTATTAATGTGTGAACAGATAGGAAAGAAAGTGATAGAGGAACTAGTGGAATAGCTAATGTTATGTGCTTCTCTGATGGTGACAAATCATTCACTCTCTATTTCATGGATTTGAAGTATATAATTCTTGTTCCAATGTGGCCTATGTATTAGGTTGAACCATAGGAACCTACACTTAACATATTACGTTGAACCATATGAAATGGCCTTCAAAAACTGTAATTTCATGTACTTCAACCAATATAAATGCAGTATGCATAGGGAACCCTTGAGTTCAGAGGCTTCTTAAAGCATCTAGATCGTATATGTATAAATGAATTAATTAAAAATGTGTCGCAGCCAGACGCGGTGGCTCACGCCTGTAATCCCAGCACTTTGGCAGGCTGAGGCGAGTGGATCACTTGAGGCCAGGAGTTCGAGACCAGCCTGACCAACATGGCGAAGCCCCGTCTGTACTAAAAATACAAAAATTACCCGCGCACGGTGGTGCACCCTGTAGTACCAGCTGCTCAGGAGGCTTAAGCAGGAGAATGGCTTGAACCTGGGAGGCAGAGGTTGCAGTGAGCCGAGATCATACCCCTGCACTCCAGCCTAGGTGATGGAGTGAGACTCTGTCTCAAAAAAATAAAATAAATAAAAATGTGCTGATTTCATGGGTGGTTAACAGTCCACTTTGGAAACAAATGAGATTCCAGAATTCTACACATCAGCCCACCACCTCCTTTGGGATTGATGTACATGTAGAATCAATAGGAAGAGTTTATTGAATATAATCAAAATCAATTTGGCTTTTACAATTGCTACATTCTTTTTGGCAAATGTCAGTAGCTGCCAATAGTTAAAGGCATGTGAGGTCTAGGCTCCCCACAATTTGACTACCAGGTTACAACTAAGTCTTAGGCCGAATTTTGCTATACACGGACATTTATCAACAAGATGGCACAGTTCTGCCATATAACTTATTATATAAACTCTATGAAATCCTATTTCTTTCCTTATTTAGGATCTCCCACAATATCTTAGATAAAAAGTTCATCTAAGGCATATGTGACAGCATTCTAGCAATGGTATTCAGCTAACCCATCTAGTTAGATTAAAGCAATCAAGAATCCTTCATATCAGCAGGTAAACATGAGGCCTTTCAGGAATCAAGTCTTGGCCACCATTCCTAAGGGTACAAACTGCAGAGGCTTTAGATTTTTCTACTGTGTTCAGGCACACCCTTGACTGCTGCTGTCATTTCTGGAGCAAATTCACATAAAAACATGTCTTTCACCAGTGAAAAGTCATTTGTGAAATTCATGTTAGTGCTTACTAACAATAGCACTAAACTCCTCAATGAAACTCCATTTCTTAAATCCATCATGCTCTATTGTGGGCTGGAGAGAAAGATAGCCAAATGCGTTTGTAGTAGCTACCTTAGAAATGTGGCTGTTTCGTTAAATGTAACATGTGTCCTACTAGGACAGTTATCCACTTCTAGAGTCTAGATTACAACTATCACATAGAATACCTATCCTACAGTCTATGCTGATGAGTTGTAAAGCAATCATTGCAATATAAAATTATGCATTATAAGCTATATTTCATCTTGTGAGTTTTATCTACCTGTCTTTATTTTCTATTAAATGGTGATTATTAGTCACAGCTATTACCATAGTCTTCTATATGAGATAGAATGTAATCAGTATAGATAGGGTCCATAAACTAGAAAGGAAATCATACGGTTGTAACAACCGCAAACATCAAGACTACTGATATTGCTGCTGGTACAATTGAGGCACCAGTAAGAGTAGAACTAGCTATCTTTGGAGTTCTCCTGTTTTGGTGATTCCATCTGATTGTGTGCTTAGTCATGACAAATTACACTAATAATTCCATATTTGTTTGTTTCTTGGGAGCAAGGCATTGCTCTTGGTTCAGAAATATGTATTAGAATACCATACCTTTAAATCAGTTTACATAATTGCTATTAATTTGATTGGTGTAATCTGCCATTTCATGACGAATTCTTTTTGATAAGAAGTAGTTATAAAGTTTAAAACCCCTTTAAAGAAAACTTTGCCTTTTGCCTTCCTCTGTGGGAGAATATATTGCGCCATTTCTCTCTATGTCCTTTTTCCTTACAAAGCATAAAATCATTAGATGAGAGACATCTGAATGTATTCTCTGAAATTTGGCTTTTAAGTATACCATATTGAGATAGTTAGTGTCACTCTGGTGGGAACCATGTTTGTTTTATTTTTAAAGAATACTGACTTTATAGACACACTTTACCTCTTTTGTCATCTCTCATAGAAATCCATTTCTGGCATATTATCCACACTTTTTCCAGGAAACCTACCTGTTATCTGGTATTTCATTGTATGCCTCTGGTACTACAGATTTGTTTAAGTTTTAGGTAATGATCATAACTACTGTATGGTCCTTAGGGGGCAGATTTCAGGTATTAAATATATTAATAATCATTATTTTTTTCTCAGTCTCTTAGACTTCCCACTCCCACTAGCTCAATCCTGCAACTTCCAATTATTTTTTAAATATATGAGCTTTTTAATGGGTTTCAGTTCCCTCATTCCTGTGTAAACATATACTATATGCTATACTAAACTCTAAGTTTGCAAAAACTGGTTGGGCACATGAGTACCACCATACAATAAATTCTGAATTATTATAAACATATCAGCTATGAAAAGTTAACTTTTAATTTTCAGAAATAGTTTAACAATGGTGAAATAAATTGGGACATTGTACATATTTCCACCTTCCTAAGTAAAAATAGGAGGATGATTTAAATAGTGTCTTTTTAGTTTGCTTAATTTTGTTTTTTAGTAAGTGAAATGTCACTTCAGAGTATAAGACTTTGATTTCCTAGGAAAAGTTGTTTCCATCAGTCTGTGATAAGAAGTACCTATTTAACACCTATTTCAGCAGAAAAAAAAAGTTTGAAGGCATTATATGCAGACACAACTGAATAATAGTATCAAAATGACTTACAAGCGAGAAAACAAAGAATTATGAGTTTGACACTTCATAAGATGTTTAAAAAATAAAGCTAAGCACAGGATTGGGTGGAATGGGTGCTTTTTTGATTTTCTCTGTTTGTTTGTTTATTATTGGTTTGGGATATGGTGATTGCTTGGCTGGAAAATTGTGTATTAATATCCCAAAAGGATTCGGATCCAATACACTACTCCCACTTCCTGAAATTCTTTCCAATTATAGAACTCTTTATGGTTACAACTGAAAGTACTTAAGAAATCATATCCAACACCTTTGCTTCATCAATTAGGAAACACGTTCAGATAAATTAAGCAACAAATGTAGGATCAGGTAGCCAGTTTACTGCCAGAGCTGCAACAGGAATCCATATATCCCGACTACAAATTCAGGGCCTTTTTACCATACCACACTTTTTCCTTATCCTATAGTTTCACTTGCCTCAATGCAGGGTTGGTGAAAATGGTTAATAGATATTGGCTCTCTTAGACTTCAACAACATATCTCAAAAGGCAGCTTTCATGTGACAAACAGAAGGCTCGAATAAGCAGAGAGCTTTGCATGTTCTATAGTCTTGTATGAGAAATTTACAATTAAGCTGGATTACTAGAGATTTATTCAGAAAAGAAATCGGCTTCCTTGTTAATTTGTGGACTCTGTAGATTCAGTCTGTGGTACAGCAACATTTATACAATACTGGGAAAAAATTTTCAATTTGAGCAAATATATTTTGCAGATTGAGGATGCTTACCTTTTTAAACATGATTTAAAAGATTTTTAAAAACCATATTTTTATAGAAATAGCTCTAAATTAGATTATATAATTTACTGCCTTCTTGAACATCATCCTGAACATCATATAGCCCTTTATTGGTAACTCACATTCACCATTGTAAACATAATCATTGATGTCTATAGCCTTGAGAGCTGTCAGTGTGATGGAGTTTAGATCCTACTCTAAATAACCCCCAAAGAGCCTTCTGACTCTCTTTTCCCTTGCCTTCAGATTAATTAGCTTTCACTTCTGTTGGCTTTCAGTATGTTGATCTAGTTCAGCCCACCCTGCCCCTTTTGCTTTCTAGTTTTCATGTGCAATGAGGCTTTGAAGTCTCAGGAGCCAGGCTCCTGCACATGGATAGAGGAAACTGACCTTTGGTTAGTGTAAGAAGTTGAGGTTCCCCTGTAGATAAAGCATCAAGTGAGTTGTAATGTATGACCTTGGTCATCTCTTGTGTCTAAGTTCATGAGAATGAGAATGGGTTTATTTGAGCAACTTTTGCATTTCTGCATAAACGAGGTATTACTGTCATTCATATCTGTAGTGATTATGTAAAACATTGAATAGCCACCCAAACTATCAACCTAAAGTTCAATAAAGCATATTTTGTTATAGTTACTTGTGATTATCTAAACATACATATCTGTCATGTATGTAACTTTTCTTTCATAATCTATCCTTTCTAAGAGCTTATTTGTGGTCTGTTGTTAAAATTCCAGTGATGATAAGCTATCAACATATATTTGACCAAAGTTGAAGTTAATAAAAGCAAGCATATACATTATGGCAAAGGGTATTTCCTCACAAGTTTGTTATAAGTATCAAGTCCTTATAATAAGGACCATTTCTGGACCATTTCTTGAGAAGAAGTTCTGAAATTTTAAAATCTCATGATATCCCCAAAATATTTATGAATCATAAAAGTATATTGTAGCAACTATACAGCATTGGTTAATTGAAAAGACTTATAAGATTCTACGGGGTATATTCTCATAAGGCTTTAATAATGGCTCAAGGTATGGTACAGCAGGAGAGAGATCACTCACAAGGCCATTTTTAGTTGCACAGGACACATTTGTCTTCTAATTGTGAACCACCAAGATTATGTGCAAGATAACCTTGGTATCGGGAGCTAAGGCTCATGTGTACAGAAGATCTTTGATATCCCACTGGTCATGTAGCTGAAACTAGACTATGTAATCAATTAGTCAGGTGCAATCAGCCTATATGTTTTCCAAAAACAGTTCAGGACAAGCTACTACAGTGTGCCTCCAAGCGAATTTGAGACATTAAATAGCACTTCATAAAGCTACTACATGTCATCCCAGACTTGACCAAGGAGACCAAACTCCCAGGCATTCCTGAAGTTAAGGAGACAGACTCACGGCAAGTTAATCCTATTTATTCTATATTTCCTAAGTGTATTTTTATTATCAGCTTGATAAATATCATTTTTTTTATTTCACAGAATAACTGCCACAATGGTAATGACAGTGAGTCACACTACTACTTATTGTAAATCTGTTTTTTTGTCAAGCCCTGAGCAAAGCACTCATTTATAACTTATAACTTGAGATTGGTGTTATTTTTTCAGTTTTATAGATGAATAAGTGACGCTTAGGTTTTTGTTTTCTTCACATGGCTATTTGTTCTGACAACCCTTTTTCTTTCTAACTAGTGCACACTAACAAGCTTGGGATATCCATAAGATTAAATTGATTACTCAAAACAACCACAAGGCTCCCCCCATCAATGCCATAATGTCTTTATTCCTTTTCTGACTAACCTTGTTCCCACAAGAAATCCAATAACTCCAGGGTTGCACAATAGGTCTAGAGGAGAGGCCCTGACTCTTGAATTGAAGAAGAGCTATGGAATGCTAGGTTCATTTGTAGAAAGTCCTCATTCTCTGTTCTTGATGTTCTTGCTACTGTTTGCTACTGTTTCTGGTGTATAGTCTTATATCAAAAATAGGGCACCTATGGCCAGGTGCTATGGTTCATGCCTGTAATCCCAGCACTTTGGGAGGCCAAGGTGGGAAGATGGCTTGAGCCCAGAGTTTGAGACCAGCCTGGGCAACATGGAAAAACCCCGTCTATGCAAAAAAAAAAAAAAAAAAAGAAAAGAAAGAAAAAAGAAAAAAGAGAAGTCAAGTGTGGTGGCACACACCTGTAGTCCCAGCTACTCAGGAGACTAAGGTGGAAGGGTCGCTTTAGCCCAGGAGGCAGAGGTTGCAGTGAGCCAAGATCACATCACTGCACTCTAGCCTGGGCTACAGAGCGAAACTCTGTCTCAGAAGTGAATAAATAAGTAAATAAATAAATAAATAAATAAACTAAGGCATCCAAACCACAAACTCACACACCCACCAGAAATATGCCTGCCTTCTGACCTTGAAGAACATCCGTCATGTTCAGTCTTACAATAGAGCTCTTTGTGTATCTCTTTTATTATATCTTTGTTACCTCTTGCACTGAAGAACCTTGAGGGCAGAGGTCATCTGCTACCCATCTTTGTGACTTGTTGCATCCACTTATTTTATTTATTTTTATTATTTTCTTTTGAAGAGAAAGCATGGATGAGAGCTTATTTATTTTGAAATTATGAAAAAGTGGTTACATTTTTTTGAATAATATACTTATTTTGTGTCTGTGTATGTGTAAATATGCCTTAGGTTTGAAATATTCAATTTAATAAGAGTATTTCCTAACCGAATCTGAAGAAAAAAGGTTTAGGTTTTTCTTTATTTCCTTTAATGGGAAAACTGCATGTTTTAAATAACACCTCAGTATTGTGTTCTCAAGGCACATTTACATTCTGTATACTTGTCACATCATATAATCCTTGATTAAGGCATGCACATGATTCCTGATAGCTGTAATTTAACTCACACAATTTAAGGAGAAAGAGGCAATTAAGGAAGTGATCACTCAATTTAAGGAAGTGATGGACTTTAGTTTCAAACATCATGGCTTTAGTTAAACATCCTAACGCAAGCCCTTGCAGCCTGGAAATTGCCCCATGTTTTTAGAGGAGATAATCTGATTTCATCCTATAGATCAAAGCTGCCACCTTCTCCCTTATTTTGTTTTCGCATTTTAAAAAATTCTAATTTTAGGGGCACATGTTCTCAGGATCTCCTGAGGGCTGTGTCATGGGCAAAAAAGAAAATAATCTAGTTCTGGTATCATCATTTAGGGTCCATTAGGTTTCCAAATACTTTGATGAGCACTGGCAAATTCTCTGCCACTACTTCCTGTTCCCTAATAAATGGCAGACATAACTAATCTATAATAGTATCTTTCCTACAGGTCAGATTCTTACTTTAAGTGATATCTTCTAATGGACTGGATTTGGCAAGTGAGATAAAATCTACTTGCCAGCTGAATCCATGTAGAGTTCTTAGTATTATATTACCTTGCCGCCCAGTACAAGAAATACATAGAATATGATCATGGAATGCTTGGTAATTTGATTAGACTTGGATTAGAAGCTTTGTGTCCTGCTGTATTACCTTCCATTTGCTTATTCTTCTAAATTAGACTGCTTTCTGGTTACTGGAGTCAGTGGCTTGCTTTGACTCACCTTTTTGAGTTGGATAGCATATAAGAAAGTAATTATCTCTTAGAAGCATTTAGCTTTTTTCTCTTAAAAGTTCAAAATACATTAATGTTGATTGATTTATCTTCAGAAAAACTGATTCGAAACCCAGGGATATCTTAGACCACATTAACATATATATTGTCTTTAAAACAAGGAAGCCAATAATCCTGACCAGTTTTGCACTTGTCAGACCAAACACAAAGTATTGCGCTCAGCATAGGTCACTGTATTTTGAGAGGAAGATGATGCAGACTCAAATCCATTTTCTATGGCAAACAGATGAAGAAGCAAGACATGTTTATTCTGGAAAGGAGAAGTCCCACGGGAAACCATTTACTGTCTTTCTTCATGTATTAGTTGGCCTGTTATATGGAGGAGACTTATGCGTTAATTCAGAGGGTATAAATAAGACTAATGGCTAGGAAGTTGTTAAATCAGTAAAATATCTCTTGAAAAAGGGTACTATAGTCAAATATCACAAATGCATGTATCATGTTCCTTTTCAGATTTACAAATACATGCATGCATAATGATGTTTCAGTCAACAACAGACTGCATATACAATGATGGTCCCATAAGATTAGGAGCTGAAAAGTTTCTATTGCCTAGTGACATCATAGCATCACAGTGTTAACACATTACTCACATGTTTGTGGCAATACTGGAGTAAACAAACCTACTGCACTGCTAGTCATATAACAGTATAGTACATACAATTATATATATTGTATGTATATATATTTATTGTCATTCTGGAGTAAACTCCTTCTACTTATGAAAAAAAATTAACTATAAAATAGCCTCAAGCGAGTTCTTCTGGAGGTAATACAGAAGAAAGCATTGTTATAATAGCAGATGACAGCTCCATGCATGTTATTGTCCCTGAAGACCTTCAAGTGGGATAAGATGTGGATGTGGAAGACAGTGATATTGATGATCCTGACCCTGTGGAGGCCTAGGCTAATGTGTGTGCTTGTATCTTAATTTTTAACAAAAAAGTTAAATTTTAACAAAAAAGTTTAATTTTTAATTAATTAATTTTAATTTTTAACAAAAATTAACTTTTTTTAACAAAAAAGTTAAATTTTAACAAAAAAGTTTCAAAAGTAAAAAATACAATAAAATTTTTAAATAGGAAAAAGGCTTATAGAATAAGGATATATATAAAGAAAATATTTTTGTACAGCTGTACAATGTGTTTGTATTTTAAGCTGTGTTATTACTAAAGAGTCAAAAAGTTAAAAAATTAAAAAGTATGAAGTAAAAACATTATAGTAAGCCAAGGTTAATTTATTACTGAAGAAGGAGAAACATTTTCCTTCTTTTTATTTTCATTTAATTTTATTTTTTATTTTTTAATTTAATTTAATTTTAATTTTTTTGAGATGAGGTCTCACTGTGTTGCCCAGGCTGGTCTCGAACTCCTGGGCTCAAGCAATCCTCCCACCTCAGCCTCCCAAAGTGCTGGGATTACAGGCATGAGTTACTGCTCCCAGCCAAAATATTTTTTTTAAGAAATATATTTTTATACATTTAATGTAGCCTAAGTCGACAGTGTTGATAAAGTCTACAGTAGTCTACGGTAATGTCCTAGGCCTTCACATTCACTCACCACTCACTCAGGCCAACTTTCAATCCTGTAAGCTCCATTTATGATAAGTGCCCTGCAAACTCCTTTTATGGTAGGTGCCCTATACAGTACCATTTTTTATCTTTTATATCATATTATTCCTGTATCTTTTCAATGTTTAGATATACAAATACTTACCATTGTTATAATTGCCTATAGTATTCAGTATAGTAACAAACTGAACAGATTTATAGCCTAGGACCAATAGGCTATATCATATAGCCTAGGTGACTAGTAGGCTATGCCATCTAGGTTTGTGAAAATACACTCCATCCTGTTTGCACAATGATGAAATAGCCTAACAATGTATTTCTCAGAATGGATCCACATTGTTAAGTGATGCATGACTGTTTATACTAAATATATATGAAGGGCCCTAAAAAGTCATTCAGTGAAAGATCTCTTTAAATTTGTTAACCCTAGCATTCCATAAATACTTCACTCAGAATGTTTCCAAGGAACTCTCATTAGGGTAGTGATTCTCAAACTGTGGTAATGGGAGCAGCAGCAGCAGCATTTCCTGGAAACTGGTTAGAAATGTAATTTTATAGCCCTACCTCAGATCTATGGCATCAGAAACTCTGGGGTGGGGCCCAGCAGTCTGTGTGATAATCAGTCCTTCAGGGATTCTGATGCGGCTAAAAGGCAAGAAGTGTTAGAAAATTTTACTGTTATTCTCCAACTTAACAGTAACCTTTTGCTTTCCTTCATTACACTTAACCACAATTTGTATTTTTTAAAGTTCTAATGATATTCTATGAATCTGTGAATTCATATTCCATAATCATAATCTATTCTCTGAATTTCCTTCCTTCTGTACCTCATAAAGGGTCATAAAGGGAACCCTTTATGAGGTACAGAAGGAAATACTCATTGAAGGCCTATCATGGTTTTCACCCTGGTATAAGTGTCATCTAGCTGGTGTCAATTTGGATACTTTAAAGAATCCTAAATAATGAGTCCATATATTCTATAAAGTAAAATACTCATTTCTATAACAAAGCAAAACTTTAATCCATTGCTGGCTGTCATTGTCATTTTTAAAAGAGCACATAAAAAGTTTTTCATTTCCTTCAAAATGTTTTTCAGAAAATGTAGACTTTTTTAGCATCTTGAAAGATCTGTAATGTGCCTTTTCTTATGTCAGAATTCTATAAATTAGGAAATGTTCTAATCTCTTGCATTAACGGAGATGAAATTCTGGTGGCATTATATTTGTCTCTCCAAACAGGCAACATTCTTTTAGAAAAATGTAATTGAAATTGAACTTAAAATGTATTTGTATTTAAAAATAAAACATCTTATTTTTTATTTTTTATATTTTATTATTATTAAAATAAAAGCATCTTTTTTACATGGTTTCATAAATGTATTTTGAATGTTTATATGAAATGCCTCTGTAAATCATGCAGAAGAATTTTCTTTTTCTAAAGGACAGTGAAATGAGGTTGAATGTGTTAAAGCATCACACTATATTTAACTCAAGTACATTTAGAACAAAATTATTATTAGGATTTCCATAGAATGAATCATGGCCAAATTTAACTTCTCACAATTTTTTTTTACCTATTCTTTTCATACAAGTTAGAGCTCTCTGGGTTTATATTACTAGGTCAACTGAAGTGTTATTTATTTTTAGGTAGAGGGACAAAGACTGATAATCTAGAGACTGGATTTGATTTGGCTGCTGCTGTCTGTCAGCAGAATGCCTTGGGGTATCTACTTACAGTAATGAGTATAAGTAGTGCTATCATTATTAGTATATTTAAACACCCATGGTTTGCAGGAATGTGCTGAAGTCTGAATATAACATAGTTAATTATGTCACTGTCCCTGCCCAGGGCAACTGCTATTGAAAGGACATACTCACATCATGAGGAAGATAGCAGATACAGTGGTTTGGAGCTAAGTGTTACTTCATTGCTGACTCACGGAAAGAGGTTTAGGATGTTGGCTATGTTTTCTAAAGAGCATCTAGCAGTTTTCATCTGGTATATCAACTTGCCACATAGGTTTTTTATACTTATATTTCTTTTTAGTTTTCCTCACGGGAGAAAAAGCCAATTCCATATTAAAACGCTACCCAAGAGCTAATGGGTTTTTTGAAGAAATAAGACAGGGCAACATTGAGCGTGAGTGCAAAGAAGAATTCTGTACATTTGAAGAAGCAAGAGAAGCTTTTGAAAATAATGAAAAAACTGTAAGTATGTTGGCAATTAAAAAGTTGCACAGATTTGCCTACCTTTTTGATGTATATTTGAAATCTGCATCCCTGAATTATGTACATTGCTAGCAATTAAAAATTCCTTTGTTAGGAACTCGGAAAATGGCATCTAACTAGTAATATTCTGTGGGTTGGAGAGCTAGGTTCACTTCCCCTTGTGCTGGACTGTCTTTGAGAGCCCCGTTCCTATAGGACTCTGCTGAGCGAGGATTTATCATCTTGGCGAGTAGGAAGGATTTGATTTGCACAAAGCTTTGTTCTAGAAGGTTATAGATAATATCACTTTGCCTAATTACAGAGAAAGTGTGGAGGAAGCTAATGGATGGTGATAGTGTTTTAAAAGGTTTTACTTCTCGTACAAAAGAAAAGACATCCAGACATACCTTCCCACTCCGCGAGAATACTCCTCTTTACTTCTCTTTACTCTAGACTACATGCTATTCAAAGAGAGCAGGAATGGGACAGCACAAGGCAGGGGTGAAAAGTCTATAGAACTGCTCCACAGCTGGAAATTGTTACCAGAGGTAGCCATTGTATAAAGATTCAGTCCTGGGCAGCAGGAAAATAACCCTAGATGCTAAACAAGTGGTGTCACTTATGCTAAAAAGATACTAAATATACCTTAAGAGCAGCAGATGCAAAAGTTTTAAAGAAAGGGGTAAGAGGAAGAAGCCACATCTTAGTCAAATCACAGGGTTAGAAATAGGGAAAAGAATATATCATCCATAATACCATCATGCAATCACAAAGCACGGTTGACCTTTTATTTTCTTTCCAGCTTTTTCCCTTTGCATCCGCTTAGTCATTGTTGGTTTTATTTTATTTTATTCATTTTACTTTTTAAAAATAGTATATGTTCATTGTAGAGAAATTTAAAAATGTAGTAACATAAAATCACTTGAGTTTTTAGCACCACCAGTTTTATAATTTTGGTATATCTCATTCTGGCCTATTTTTACTACATAGATACTTCATAAATAAGAAAAATAGGATTGTAGTAGAAATAGTGTTTTGCACCATAAAGTTTTTAATAAAAACTGGCTGAAGTTACTATAAACCATAAACAAAACGTGGTTTTTGATATTGTGTTTTATCAAATAATAGAAATTATAGATATTCTACTATGGTTTTCACAAGGCTAATGGCTTTTTACCCTACTTTATCATTCTCCTTTAAAGAAATCGTAAGAACTTGTTTGGGATTTATTGTTCTAAAAGTACTTTATACAAGTGAATAATATTCTTTTACAAAAAAAATTTATTGAGTTATGTTTGACATATAAAAAGCTGTACTTATTTAATGTATACGTTTCTATGAGTTTGGGGATAGGTATACACCTATGAAACAACCATCACCATCAAGGCCACAAACATATCCATCACCTCCTAAAGTTTCCTCTCACCCCTTTATTATTGTTGTAGTTGTGTTCTGTGAGTATGGTAAGAGGACTTAACATATGATCTACCTTCTTAGCAAAATTTAAGTATATAATATAACATTGTTAGCTGTAGGTACCATGCTGTATAGCAGATCTCCAGAATTCATTTATCTTGCATAACTGAAAGTTTATACTGTTTGCTACTTCTCATTTCTTTCTCCCCAAGCCCCTGGCAACCACCATTCTCCTCTTTGCTTCTATTAGTTCACCTTTTTTAGATTCCATATATAAGTGAGATCCTGTGGTATTTGTCTTTCTATGCCTGGCTTATTTCACTTAATATAACGTCCTCCAGGTCTATTAATGTTGTCACAAATTACAGGATTTCCTTCTTTTATAAGGCTGAATAATATTTCATTGTGTGTTGTATTAGTCTGTTTTCATGCTGCTGATAAAAGACATACCCAAGACTGGAAAAAAAGGATTAATTGGACTTACAGTTCCGCATGGCTGGGGAGGCCTCAGAATCATGGCAGGAGGTGAAAGGCACTTCTTACATGGTGGTGGCAAGAGAAAATGAGGAAGAAGCAAAAGCGGAAACCCTCGATAAACCCATCACATCTCATGATACTTATTCACTATCATGAGAACAGCACGGGAAAGACTGGCCCCCATAATTCAATTACCTCCCCCTGGGTCTCTACCACAACATGTGGGAATTCTGGGAGATACAATTCAAGTTGAGATTTGGGTGGGGACACAGCCAAACCATATCATTCTGCCCCGGCCCCTCCAAATCTCATGTCCTCATATTTCAAAATGAATCATGCCTTCCCAACAGTCCCCCAGAGTCTTAACTCATTTTGGCATTAACCCAAAAGTCCACAGTCCAAAGTCTAATCTGAGACAAGGCGTGTCCCTTCCGCCTATGAGTGTATAAAATCAAAAGCAAGATAGTTATTTCCTAGATACAATGGGGGTACAGGTGTTGGGTTAATACAGACCTTCCAAATGGGAGAAATTGGCCAAAACAAAGGGTATACAGGCCCTTTGCAAATCCAAAATCCATCAAGGCAGTCAAATCTTAAAACTCCAAAATTATGTCCTTTGACTCCATGCCTCATGTCCAGGTCACACTGATGCAAGGGGTGGGTTCCCATGGTCTTGAGCAACTCTGCCCCTGTGGCTTTGCAGGGTACAGCCTCGCTCCTGGTTGCTTTCACAGGCTGGCATTGAGTGCCTATGGCTTCTCTAGGCACACGGTGCAAGCTTTCAGTGGATCTACCATTCTGGGATCTGGAGGATGGTGGCCCTCTTCTCACAGCTCCACTATATAGTACCCCAGTAGGGACTCTGTGTGGGGGCTCTGACCCCACATTTCTCTTCTGCACTGCGATAGCAGAGGTTCTCCATGAGAGCCCTGTCCCTGCAGCAAACTTCTTCCTGGACATCTGGGTGTTTCCACACATCCTCTGAAATCTAGGCAGGGATTCCCAAACCTCAGTTCTTGACTTCTGTGCACCTGCAGGCTCAACACCACATGGAAGCTGCTTAAGTTTGGGGCTGGCACCCTCTGAAACCATGGGCCAAGCTGTACCTTAGCCCCTTTTAGCAATGGCTGGAGTGGCTGGGATGCAGGGCACCAAGTCCCTAGGCTGCACACAGCATGGGGACCCTGGGCCTGGCCCAGGAAACCATTTTTTCCTTCTGGACTTCCAAATCTGTGATAGGGGTGGGTAGGGGCTGCCTTGAAAACCCATGACGTGCCCTGGAGACATTTTCCTCATTGTCTTGGGGATTAACATTCGGCTCCTTGTTATGCAAATTTCTGAAGCCAGCTTGAGTTTTTTCCTCAGAAAATGGGTTTTTCTTTTTTACTACATCATCAGGCTGCAAATTTTCCAAACTTTTATGCTCTGTTTTCCTTTTAAAATGGAATACTTTTAACAGAACCCAAGTCACCTCTTGGATGCTTTGCTGCCTAGAAATTTCTCCCGCCAGATACCCTAAATCATCTTTCTCAAGTTCAAAGTTCCACAAATCTCTAGGGCGGGGCAAAATGCCACCAGTCTCTTTGCTAAAACATAGCAAGAGTCACCTTTGCTCCAGTTCCCAACAAGTTCCTCCTCTCCATCTGAGACCACCTCAGCCTGGACCTTATTGTTCATATCACTATGAGCATTTTTGTCAAAGCCATTCAGCAAGTCTCTAGGAAGTTCCAAACTTTCCCACATTTTTCTGTCTTCTTCTGAGCCCTCCAAACTGTCCCAACCTCTGCCTGTTACCCAGTTCCAAAGTCATTTCCACATTTTCAGGTATCTTTTCAGCAGTGCCCCACTCTACTGGTACCAATTTATTGTATTAGTCGTTTTTACACTGCTGACATACCTGAGACTGGGAAGAAAAAGAGATTTAATTGGACTTACAGTTCCACATGGCTGGCAAGGCCTTAGAATCAGGCAGGAGGCGAAAGGCACTTCTTACATGGTGGCAGCAAGACAAAATGAGGAAGAAACAAAAGTGGAAACCCCTGATAAACCCATCAGATTTCATGAGATTTATTCACTATCATAAGAATAGCACAGGAAAGACTGGCCCCCATGATTCAATTACCTCCCCCAGGCCCCTCCCACAGCACGTGGGAATTCTGGGATATACAATTCAAGATTTGGGTGGGGAAACAGCCAAACTATATCATGTGTATATACCACATTTTCTTTATACAGTGATCTGTCAGTGGACATTTGGTTACTTTTAGTTAGGAGTAATATTTAGAAACTGAGATCTGGGAACTAGAATATGCTCATTGCTACCAGAATGTTGTTACTTCTGGATCTTTCAGCAATAGAGCTAGGAAAAAAAAATCACACATATGTATACATGCATACAAATTCTATATATGTCTATATGTAGAAATGTAAACATATAAACATATAGACATGTATGCATGTAGACATATATGTGAAATAACTAATTCATTATGCTGATCTCCAATTGCAATCCAATCCCTCAGGGCTCTTCCAGCCATTCTACTTTTGTAGAGATGTAAAAATTCCTTATAGATGTTCTTCCAAAATGAGAATTCCAGCACCCAAAAACATCAATATATTAATAACTCATTTGCTTAGTTGTATAATACACAATGGTTTCGGAATTGTAATATCTATACTGTAATGTGGAGAGGGAAAACTTATATTCATTCATGCATGCATGCATGCATTTTTTTAACATCTTATTTGGAAATAATTATAGATTCACAAAAAATTGCAAAGATAATACATTGAGGTCCCATGCAGCCTTTACTCAGTTTCCCCCAATGGTTACATCTTACATAACTGTAAGATCAAAACTAGGAAACTGACGTTGGTACAATCTGTATGTATAGTTCTGTGTCATTTTATCACTTGTATAGATTTGTGTAACCATCACTGCAATCAAGTAGCAGATATATTTCATTACCACAAAGTTTTCCCTCATACTACCCTTTAATAGTCACACCTACTATCTTCCACAACCATCCCTAACCCTTAGCAATCACTAATCTGTTTCCATCTCTATAATTCTGCCATTGCAAGAATGTTATATAAATGGAATAATATAATGTGGAACCTTTTGATATTGGCTTTTTAGAGTCAGCATAATGCTCTTGAGATTAATCCAAGTTACATATATCAATAGTTCATTCATTTTTGTTTATGAGTAATATTCCATGGTATTGATACACCATGGTTTGTTGAACCATTTGCTTATTGAGAGACGTGTGTTGTTTCTAGTTCATGGCTTTTACAAATAAAGCTGTTATGAACATTGCATAGGTTTTTGTATTGACATAAATTTTCATTTCTGTGGGATAAGTCACTGGGAGTACAATTCTTGGGTTGCATGGTATATGTGTAGTTTTTTAAGACACTGACAAACTAATTTGTCATTGTATAAATTACCATCTTATAGTCTCACCAACAGTGTTTGAGAGATCCAGTTTCTTTACATACTCATGAGCACTTGGTATTGTTACTGTGTTTTATTTTAGCCATTCTGCTAGGAGTGTAGTGATAACTTCTTGTGATTTTAATTTGCACTTCCTTAATGGCTCATGATATTGAACATCTTTTTATGTGCCTATTTTCTATTTATGTTTCTTCTTTGGTGAAATCTCTCTTCATGTCATTAGCTTACTTTCTGATGGGATGTTTTATTTTATTTTACTATTGAGCTTTGAGAGTTCTTTATTATCCTAGGTTTGGATCTGTTTTCAGATATATGGTTTCTAGGCTATTTGAATTTTATGTATTAATTGTATATTCTACTACTCTCGTATTGATTAAGTTTTATCATTGATTCTCAGTGTGAACAATGTTTTTTTGTTGTTGTTGTTTGTTTTTGGAGACAGATTCTCGCTCTGTTGCCCAGGCTGGAGTGAAGTGGTGCAATCTCGGCTCATGGCAACCTTTGCCTCCCAGGTTCAAGTGATTCTTGTGCCTCAGCCTCCTAAGTAGCTGGGACTACAGGTGCATGCCACCATGTCCGGCTTTATATACATATATATATATATTTAGTAGAGATGGGATCTCACCATGTTGCCCAGGCTGGTCTCGAAATCCTGAGCTCAGGCAATCCACCCACCTCAGCCTCCCAAAGTGCTAGGATTATAGGCATGAGCCACCACACCTGGCCATCATGGTGAACAATGTTTTTTTTTTTTTGAGATGGAGTCTCGCTCTGTCGCCCAGGCTGGAGTGCAGTGGCGCAATCTCAGCTCACTGCAAGCTCCGCCTCCCGGGTTCACGCCATTCTCCTGCCTCAGCCTCCCAAGTAGCTGGGACTACAGACGCCTGCCACCACGCCCGGCTAATTTTTTGTATTTTTAGTAGAGACGGCTTTCACCCTGTTAGCCAGGATGGTCTCGATCTCCTGACCTCATGATCCGCCCGCCTTGGCCTCCCAAAGTGCTGGGATTACAGGCGTGAGCCACTGCACCCGGACCGTGAACAATGTTTTTAATGCCTACATTTCTGGCCTTTTATCCATCTCAGTGCTTCTATATATCATTTCCCACCCACAGAGACAGGATGCTGCATGTCAGCAATCTTTGAAGCAAGTAGAAGAAATTCCTTCAACTGTGAGAGAATTGCTTGAGAAATTTTCTGTACTTCCGGCATCACCTTTTCCTTCCTATAGAATCATTCTCATCTTATTAGCCTACATGCCCCAGAAAGAAAGAGAAAAAAGAAAACTCTCTTAACACATCGCCATCCAACAACCACTTCATTTCTTGAAACTCTGCTCTGCCTACACTTGCTCCCCTGGTGATCTTTCCTCTTCTCATACTTCAAATGCTAATAACTTCCAAATTTATATTTGTAGTTCCTGGAGCGCTAAACTGAACTACAGACTTGTATGGCTAACTGCCTACTCAACATGTTATCTTAGAATCAAATATGGTTCTCAAAGTAAACAAATTTGCACCCCTTCCCCCAAATATCTACACTTACTACATCCTCTCTGATCTCAATAAGTAGTAACTCCATCCATCATGTTTGCTGATCTCCAGGCTTTTTGCCATCTCTGACTCCTCTCTTTTTCATATCCCACACCCCATCTGCAATAGTTGGTTCTAATATGAAAATATACTCGGAATCTAGCCACCTTTCTACTTGTTATCACTTTACATCCAAGCCACCACAACCCTCTCATCTGTATGATTTTTTGGCCCCTGCCCCATAGTTGATTCTCAAAACAGCAGGTTAGAGTGATCCTTTAAATTCTCTTACTTGCAAGGGCTTCCCATCTCCCTCAGTAAAGGCCAAAGTGCTCAGAATCACCCACCAGGTACTACACAATCAGTCCTCATCTATCTCCACCCCACAGCTTCACTCGATATATAGTTATTTCTTTACCACATCTCCTATGACACCCCACCCCTTATTCACTTTGCTGTGGCTTTCTTGTGCGTCCTCACATACACAGACAGCACGTGACCTGCCTCATGACTTTGGCACTTGCTCTCTCCTCTTCTAGATGGAT
Organism: Homo sapiens; assembly: GCF_000001405.40. Classification (NCBI taxonomy): domain Eukaryota; kingdom Metazoa; phylum Chordata; class Mammalia; order Primates; family Hominidae; genus Homo; species Homo sapiens. The sequence goes on from NC_000023.11 coordinate 37,433,427, forward strand.
ATGTCTGAGTTCCTTCACCACTCTCAAGTCTTCACTCAAGTTCATTTTCACAGTGAGAAAGCACTCTACCTTAAATTGCAACCGCTTGTCCCTTCTGTGACTTTCTTTTTTTCAAGCACTGACATCATTTGACATCTATTTGTTTTTTTTTTTAATTGTTACCTCCCCCGCCCCATCAGGACTGTTAGCTCCATGAGAGCAACATTTCTCATCTGTTTTGTTCATAGCTATGGTCCCTAGCATATAAAGCAGTGCTGGCACATAATAGAAGCCAAATAAGTATTTGATGGATGAATGAAGGAATGGATTGGCAAATCACAAAGTAAATTTAGTTTATGGGAGGAACCGATTTAAACCCAAGTTGGCTGATAGATAATAGACTTTAAAATGGTTTTTATTATGTTGTTGTTATATTTCCTTCTTTGTGCTTTAAAGTTTGTCATCTGAGTTTGTTCATGCCATTAAAACAATCCCATTTAGGATAAGGTGTGCCAGCCTTTGATCTAGCAAATGTAAGTGAAGTGGCATTCTCATTTTTTATCTGTTTCAGAACAATGTTTGTTATCTGTTAATCAGGATCTAGCATTGCCAGCAAAGTTTCATCTTAATCTTGGCAGTGAAGAAAATGATTGGATTTGAGATTTGCTTTCTACTTTTAGACTATCTTTACTATCTTTTTGTTTACTAAAATTTATCGCTCAGAATACTTTTACTCATACGTGGTTTCATCATTTCCAAACATGAAGTATGTGAATTTAGAAGTCTGCTTTCAGTAGAATGTTTATTGTTGGAATTATTTACCTAATTTGGAACACAAGTCTAATTATACAATGGGAGAAAACATATTGTACTTCACGGTCCTCATTTTCATCATGTAGAAAATGGGTCAGATTTATTCAGACATTATCTGCTGAATGCCTACTATGTAACAGTCACAGTATATACAACAATGAATAGGCTGCTCCTCATGGCATTTGAGTTCTGATAGAAACAGCAGACATATGCACAAAGGCTTATATGAGCATGCTGTAAACCTTAAATATACCCAATTTTTATTTGTCAGTTATACCTCAATAAAGCTGAGTTGTCATGCCAAAATCCTCTGCTTTGAGAATCAGATGGACCTTGATCTGGTGTCTGAGCTCTGCCATCTACTGACTATATTGATTTGCGCAAACATTTCATCTTTTAGGCCTCAATTTTTGTATCTTTTAAAAGGAGGATATTATACCTACAGTATGAGGTTTGAGGCTGTGCACTTAGCATAGTTTTTGGAACAGAGAAAACTTTCAATAAATATAATTTATTCTAGTTTTTAGGTGCTGAATTCTTGCCACTTTATTTAGGAATCATTATTTCACCACTATCACTTTTTCTCTCTTCTCTCTATGAGACTATGAGGGTTCTCTACATTTTGGAGCTGTTAATCTTGCACTGACATTGAGAAAATAGTAGTAATTCTTTAAAACAATGATTATAGAACTTTTAATCGTATATAATTTCTAGTTTATTTTGCTTGACTTTCCACAGTGGTTGTCTTCAAAGTTAAGCGTGCATAGGAACAGTCTGGGTGCTTAGCACACCTGCATAGTCCCACCTAGTGCCCAGATCTGGGTTTCTAATTCCATTCTATAGTGAAATAAAACAGGACTTTCTGGGGACATGGCTCATTATTGGGCTGGAGTGTGGAGAATACAAGATGAGCTGGAGAACATTGTGGTACCAGAAAGTAAGGAAGTGTGATAATCCAAAGAATGGGAGCATGTTAAAGGGACACAGGAGGTAACCTAAAGAAGCTCTCAGTGGCCAAAGCTGAACAATTTTAGCCACAAAATAAATGATGTAGTATTGGATTATAGCCCAAAACACAAAATAAATACACATGATTATATAATGATATAAATGCATGACTGAATGAAAAGGTGAAAAGAGAAAAATCCACACTATAGAATTCCAAATTATGTATGTAAATACTCCACCCCAGATGGTGGAGCTTAATTTTCTTCTTCCCTTGAGTGTGGCTTGAACTTAAAGACTAGCTTTCAAAGAACAGAGTATGGGAAGGATCAGCGGGTGGGGGGAGGTGGGGTAACTTTGCAATGGAGAAACCTGTCAAACTACTTTGACCTGGTAATCAAAGTTACTAAGTCACACATATGATATACTGAGAACAGACATCATTTATTTCCATCACCGCAAACTCATAACCCCAGTCTAACCATGAGAAACTTACAGAGAAATCCAAAAACCAAAAGACATTCTCCAAAATGTCTGACTACTATCAAAACAGTCAAGGTCATGAAAAAAAAATTAGAAAAGACTAGGAAACTGTCACAGACCAGAGGAAACTAGAGACATGATTAGACGAAATGTCAATTAGATTCTGGAAAAAAAGGACATTAATGGAAAAACTAATATAATCTAAAAAAAGTGTTATATTTAGTTAATAGTAATGGACTAGGATTGATTCATTAATTATAACAAATTTACCATCCTAATGTAAGAAGCTCACATTAAGGGAAACTGGGTGAGGAGTACAGGAGAATGTTATGTATTATCTTTGCAATTTTTCTGTAAATTTAAAATTATTTCAAAATAAGAAAGTTCATTTTTAAAATGCACAGTCCAGGGGTCACAAGTCTCCTTGGACCAGGGAACTTGCCTTATTTGGTAACACTTTATTAGATTCTAAAGAAAGCAGTTTAGCTAAAACCACTTAGAATACTCAGAGCTCTGCAGTGGGTGGTATTTCTAGGGATATGGATGACTCTTTTGTCTGGGTGCATCATCCCAAGTCTTTATCCCATTCTTGTGCACTCCATGTGCCATTCTGCCGCCAAGTTGCTGCTATATTTTAGAAACTGAGTTATTGATATCCAAGGATCTGAGATCTGAGTTCAGCAATCCCTTTTTAGATAATATCTCTCATTCCAAAGTGTCACCATTTAAATTTGTTTATGTAGAAATTATTGGGGAAGAAAGAGATATGCAGTCCCCCTTCACACTAGGATATGTTACAAAAACTACATTTGGAGATTGTGGAATTCAGAGCCCATGGCAGGAGGTGGCATGTAGACACTTGTGAGTTGGGATTAGTGATTACAAGAAATACTGTGTCTGAGGTATCTAAAAATTGATCACTAGGTCCTGGAGATTACTCATGGCACTTGCAGGCAGAAAGTCCGATTCTTTGGCACTGTTAGGGAAACTCTTATTTCACTTAGCCTCTCATGATCTGCTGATGGCACTAGAGCCAGATTCAGAATATTTTCCCCACCCCTAGTGACTAAAGAGTTGTTAGGGATGAGAGAATTCAGGAAAGAAGGGAGGTGGAAGTCCAGTCTGGGCAAGAAATATAGGAGGCAAACATGGGGCATTGCTGTGGCCTTCTTCTAGCCATACCTTATTCATTTCCATTGAGACCTTCTCCTGCCTTCCCTAGACGCATCCCAGACCCTCCTTGGGGAACCAAATATGAAGTTTCCCTTTAGGCACATGGGTGGTTTCCTGGAACTCCCAAAGGCTTCCTCGCTACTTCTTTTGGAACCTCTTGAAAATAAGTTAAATAGGGCCAAAATATGTCATTTTGTGCAACTGGTATTCTGAGCTACCTTCTGTAAAGATGAGGGAGGTCTGACTGTTGCAGGTCAATAACATGTTGTTCCTTATATGATTCATTTAAAGTACGTTTTTATTGATTATATCATTGATATTGTTTTTAAGTTAGTGGTGAACTTTAGTCTCTGGCAGTTGGGCCCATTTGTAGGTTATAAATTATTTGTAGTGTCAATTATTCATGTCAGGTTATGGTAGTAACTGAATTAGGAGAGTTTCAGCCTGTATGATATTAATAAAGTAGTAGACTTCTTCAGTCAGGGCGGGGGGGGAGGTGCTCTCCTGCCCATGCCAGCAGTATGTTAACCTTGACCTATAAAGTTACCTCAGCAAGTTTCCTCTCCCAGTACCAGTGCCAACCTTTTTCAGAACTATCCTCAGAGACTGGGTACCAGTGAGGCTGACAGATCTATTTGTTGTCACTTGTAGAATCATTTGCACCATGGATTTAATTTAACTTGTGGACCTGTCACCTATCATGCTGCTGCTTTGGGATCCTTCACTGCTTAATAAGCAGTACTGTCATGGTTAGGAAATGGCTCATGTATCCATTACAGAGCTGCAACCAGTCAATGGAATTGATGACAATAAAACACTGACATTCAAATTGGGATTTGAGTAGAACCCTAGGGCAGCAACTTTGCTTGGTAAATGTCTAAGGCATCTATTTTTCCATCTGAAAGATGATGTCAACATGTCTCCCATAGCATGCTGGGAAGAAGTTAGCTATGAATTCAGAGAATAAGGGGCTAGCTGTTACCTAAGGAATTATATTCTTTAGCCTAATACAGTAAACCTCTCCCTCTAAAAAAGGACAAGAAGCAGCAAAAACCACTCAACCAATGATGAGAGAGAGGTGTTGTGAAATGATATTGATAGCCAGCAGAAAATACCATTTTTTTTTTCTTTTTTGTTGGTTTCTATGGGAGGCTGAGGTGGGCAGATCACGTGAGGTCAGGAGTTCGAGACCAGCCTAGCCAACATGGTAAAACCCCATCTCTACTAAAAATACAAAAACAAATTAGCCAGGCATGGTGGCATGTGCCTGTAGTCCCAGCTACTCGAGAGGGGGAAGCAGGAGAATCACTTGAACCCAGGAAGCGGAGGCTGCAGTGAGCCGAGATCGCACCACTGCACTCAGCCTGGGTGACAGAGCAAGACTCCATCTCAAAAAAATAAATAAATTACTAAAAAGTATAAATAATTATGGGTGGTGAAAAAATATAGCTACTTTGATAAATGTATCCAGGCAAGTAGATGACCAAACCAATTAAACATCATATTTCATTGATTCTCTAATCATTTATTCATATTTTAACTTCTCTGAAATTGAGGTGCAGTTTACATACTATGACATGGCATGGATTCGTTGAAAGCAGAATTTTTTCCTTTTTTTTTTTTTTTTTTTTTTTGAAACACGGTTTCGCTCTTATTGCCCAGGCTGGAGTGCAATGCCATGATCTCAGCTCACTGCAACCTCTGCCTCCCAGGTTCAAGTAATTCTCCTGCCTCAGCCTCCCGAGTAGCTGGGATTGAAAGTGCCCACCACTACGACCAGCTAATTTTTGTATTTTTAGTAGAGACGAGGTTTCACAATGTTGGCCAAGCTGGTCTTGAACTCCTGACCTCAGGTGACCCACCCACTGCGGCCTCCCAAAGTGCTGGGATTACAGGCGTGAGCCACCATGCCCGGCCCTTTTCTCTTTTTTAATACATAAAAATGGTGTACTCTTCAATTCGTGCTATGTTATATTTGATAAAGTACAGCAACCAACCACCACTGCTACTCACTTCTCAGAGGTTCTGATCTGGATGGGGTGACTACTGTAATTCAATTATTGTTATAGTGGGTATCTGCTGATTTCCTTAATAACGGGGTTTCACTAGTTCCTTCTTCCAATGTTAGGGTACAGTCCCCTCTAGGGCAGGACATTTGATCATGACTCTCATGGTTGGTATATCAGTAACTATAGAAATAAGATTCAGTTTAGCCATTTCCAAAGTACAATAAAAGGAATTGCAAAAGAATTTGTAACTTTGCCATAGCCCTATGTTGTTAGCCCAAGTCTTGGGTACTGTCAAGCTGAAACAGGAAATCTGTCTCCTAGTGAACTACAACAACCAGTAGATCCAAAGAAGGCTCTGGTTTTCCTTGAACTGTATATTTCAGAGGGTCACACTAATGCTATAACTTAAAATGGCATTATTATTTAAATATTAAGATAGTATCCAATTCCAAAAGCTAATATTTGATACCAATCACTGCTCATCATGAATAGGCTAAAGGCTGCCTTTTCATTCCATCCCATTGTTGAAGAATGACTTATGGAATTGGTTCTAATCATCTTTTCATGGAGTCCACAAAAACCAAATAGGTCAAACTGTTCATTTCACAAATGAGGAAATAGCCCCAGAACTGTTGATTTGCCCATGTTCTCATTACAGCATACTGATGAAGCCCAAAATAGGAGCCAGGTCCCAGGTCATCTATTTCCATCTTCCTCATTCCCTTCCTCCCCTCCTCCTCATTGAACACAGTGCCCTCCTAGTTTAATTAGTGATGGTTATGCCAGGGGCTTTACAATGAAACAATTTACCTTCAGGCTTCTTATGCCAGTCCTTATTGGGCCAGTAGTAAAGACACATGACATGGTACTTATTCAAGCTCAGATATGATAGAAACAGAAAAAGTGGTGGCTGGTACCTATTCTTAGTCTTAGCCTTTGTTTTAATTTCTACTGCTTTAAAATTCTTTTTTTTTTTTTTTTTTTTGAGAGGGAGTCTCACTCACTCTGTTGCCCAGGCTGGAGTGCAATGGTGCAATGTCAGCTCACTGCAGCCTTCGCCTCCTGGATTTAAGTGATTCTTCTGCCTCAGCCTCCTGAGTAGCTGGGACTACATGTGCCTGCCACCATGCCCGGCTAATTTTTGTATTCTTGGTAGAGTCGGGGTTTCACCATGTTGGCCAGGCTGGTCTTGAACTCCTGACCTCAAGTGATCCGCCTGCCTTCACCTCCCAAAGTGCTCGGGTTACAGGCAGGAGCCACCGTGCCTGACCTCTACTAATTAAAAATTCTTTAGAACAATGTCCTTTGGGATAGACAAAGCAGGTGATATTCTTTCCATCTTTAGACCAGTATTTTAAGTGTCCAAAAGACCAGTGATACTTCCAATTTCTGAATGGAATTGGAACTTGGGGCTTTTGATTCTTAAGCCAGTTTTCATTAGCATCATACCATGTAGCTAACACACTTGCAGCCTAAGACAGAATGTCTTGAAGAGAAGAAAACCTAATAGAACCTACAATATAATTAGGCCGATTTGGGAGGAGTATAGGAGGAGGCTGATTTCCTGTTATCTGGGAAGTGGCAATCTGAACTTTTAAACAGACAATTTTGAACTTTTTTGGTTTGAGGCGGAGATCAAGTTCAAGGCAGCTACCTTTTCGTTAAAAGAAACTGATGAGGTTTCATTATAAGCCTAGAGTAATGTTTGAAAGGGTAGAAGAGATGATAAAGAAGTAGTTCTATCTAAAGTTATTGAAAATTTTCAATGCTACAGAGATTCATTTTTATTACTTTGAAAGACAGATTATAAAGATCCAGGAGGGTATTAAGTAAAATGGGATAAATTAATAAAAATTATAATTCCCTATTAACCTAGGTTTTATATTAGTTTTTCGTTAAAACTGTTGCATTCCACTTTGCTGTTTTCTATTTTATTTTATTATTGTTTTAAAATTGAGACAGGGTCTTGTTCTGTTGCCAAGGCTGGAGTGCAGCTGTGAACATGGCTCATTGCAGCCTCAACTTCCTGTGCCCAAGTGATCCTCCCATCTCAGCCTCCCAAGTAGGTGGGAACCACAGGTGCATGCCACCATGCCTGGCTAATTTAAAAAACAAAATTATGTGCAGACAAGGTCCCACCATGTTGCCTAGGCTGGTCTCAAACTCCTGGACTCAAGTGATCCTCCTACCTTGGCCTCCCAAAGTGCTGGGATTTATAGGTGTGAGACACCATGCCCGGCCATCTATTTTAAAATATTTAAACTCAAGGCAAACTCTAGACAAAACAGAACTAAATCTGGAAGGAGCTATTATACCAGAAACAAGAAAATGTTACCAAAAATATCAAATTGATATTCTCAGAATTTAAGAAAACAATAGGTTTGTAAAATGAGAAGAAGCTATTACAGAGGGGACCAATTAGGGGATAAGAGAAAGTCCTTGGACATTAGAAATGTTACTGCAAAACTAAAAACTGGACACAGGTCAGACAGTGCAGAGTTCACTGGGTTGCACATGGAACATAGTACTCATTCTCCTCCCTGCCCACTTCCACTGAAAAGGAATGCATCCCTCCCCAGATAATGGACCCAAATACCCACTTCCGGCCCTTTCCGCCATTAGCCATCCGCCTTCAGCCAGCTACTACTACCACAGCTCCCGCCTGCCTGCTCACCACATCCCAAGGTGCCTGCCATGGCCACCACCCCAGTGTTGCAGGTGCGTCAGAACTACCACCCCAACTGCGAGGCCGCTGTCAACAACCACGTCAACCTGGAGTTGCATGCTTCCTACGTGTACCTGTCCATGGCCTTCTACTTCGACCGGGACAATGCGGCCCTGGAGCACTTTAGCCGCTACTTCCTGCGCCAGTTGCACAAGAAGAGGGAGCACGTCCAGGAGCTGATGAGGCTGCAGAACCAGCACAGTGGCTGCATCTGCTTTCACGACATCAGGAAGCCAGAGCGTCAAGACTGGGAGAGCAGGCTCGAGGCCATGGAGTGCGCCTTCCACCTGGAGAAGAGTGTCAACCAGAGCCTCCTGGAGCTACACCAGCTGGCCATGGAGAAAGGTGACCCCCAGCTATGCGACTTCCTGGAGAGCCACTTCCTGAACCAGCAGGTCAAGGCCATCAAAAAGCTGGGTGACTACCTGAGCAACCTGTGCAAGACGTGAGCCCCAGAAGCAGGCCTGGCAGAGTACCTGTTTGACAAGCTCACCCTGGGCGGCAGCGAGGAAGACACCTGAGCCAAGATGGGCCCCACAGCCACGGTGTGCCTTCCCTGGGTCAGGCCACCAGGCGGGGGCGTGCATGTTGCCCTTTCAGAACGTTCTCTTCAATTTTTTTCCTTTCAGTGTTACCATTATTGGCAATAAAGTTATCTGTTCTCAAAGCAATAAAGGTGTCCAGTTGATGCGTGCCTACAACACTCTCACCTTTTAGGAATCAGGGCACATCCCCATGCAGGCTTAAAGTAGGTATCCAGCAGTCTCTCCACCCAGTCCTGTCCCATCTGCATGCAGCTCAGGATCTGTGGGGGTGGAGGGGAAAGGTATTCTATGGGCCCCTGGAAAACACATTAGTCTTCCCCTTATAAACTCTGAGGGCATGTGGGATAGGGTGGGGTGAGGTGGGGTAGGGTGGGGTGAGATGGGTGGGGTGGATGGCGTCAGGTGGGGTGTGCAGTCTTGGGCCATGGTATATGTGGGTGCATGTACATGGTACAGTGTAAAACAATGGTATGGAATTCATCCTAGTGGCTGCCTCTGGGGAAGAAGTGAAGGGAGTGGGATTGGGCAGGGATTAAAATAAAGGGGGTCTTCAACTTTTCATGAACACTTTTTTTTAAAATAAGCAAATGATAACTTTTCTTGTTTCTAGACAGCAAGATGGGGGCTCTGGATGACAGCAAGGCAGAGTACCTCTTTGGCAAGCTCACCCAGAGTGACAGTGATAATGGGACTGAGCCTTAGGTTGGCTTCCCCACAAATATGGGGGTGATTTCCTGCATATTGCCCTTACAAATCCTCTACTCCTGTTTTTATTCTTTCAATTGTGCCATTTCTTCCAATAAACTAATATGGAAAAAATATACCTCAGTAGAAGGACTGAAAAATATAAGGTCAAAGTTGGAGGTCAAATTTGTGATATGAATAGAAAGTAGATTAAATACCCCCAACTGTTAAGCCAGTGACTGGCTGCTTTGAAGAATGTAGAGGGGTTGGGGAGAGTTGAAGGTGCAGAACAGGTAGAGCCATTGTAGCTGATCCAGATGAGAGCCTAGTGTGGCTTGAACTGTGGTAGTGGCTGAGGAAATGAAGATAGATTCACTAGTTCCAGATGGATTTTGGACAAGGTGACAAGTTTTGCTCATGGACAGAAGGTGAGGACTGGGAGATGGGGACAATAAGTTCTGGTGTTTGATCTTGAGCACCTGGGTTGATGGTGCTATTCTTAACCTCAGGACATTTGCAGTGGGGACACCTAGGGTAGAGGGCTGGGGAATACATGTCATGTGAAATCTTAGATCCTTATTAGGTATCCAAATGGAAACGTGAATCAAGTAGATGGAAAAATGAATGTCAGCTTTGGAAATATACGTAAGGGAGACATTATAGATGGTATTGAAGTCATGTGATTGGATGAGCTCACCAGAAAAAGTGTAAGAGAGAGTTTGACAAATCTATCCCCAAGCTCAGGGCAGCTAACATTTAGGGTATAGTTGAGATGTTTGAACACCCAGAGAGTTTCTGTTCCCACCTGACCATTACCTTATTCCAGACCATGGCCCCCAGTGTCCACTCCTAGTGTATTTTCAAATCAGCTTGTCCTGATGTAAGTGTGACCTCTGGTTTCTCCTTTCTAGATGTGGAGAAGAGTTCTTTTGTCTTGTCTTATGGCTATGGATAGAATGAAATTATTTCCTAGTAAGAAAAAGATTCCTTAGAGAAATGGTAGTGATGTAAGCCTACGTTTTTCTCCTCTCTCCTTTCACAACTTTGCCATATCTTTTGGCCTATTCTCTACCTAAACAGATGAAATTAGTATGTAAACCTTAGATTATGCATGTTTCTGAAAAACTACTCAAAACATTTTGTTCCTTCAGTGCTACATGTAGATTATTATATAAAAGATAAAAATTACAGGTTTTGTATACAGTATTCAAAGTTACATGTGTAGCTCGAGTCTTTTTAAAGCTAACTGGTTTGAACAGTAGTAAAATATGAACAAGTTTAGCTATGCAATCATTACCTTATTTCATAACTGTAACACTTTCTTAAAAATGAGGATTATGGTCATATAAGTTTCCAGAAGGTATTCTTGCCCCTTTACTCTTCTAACTTGGTCCTCTCACTATTTCTTTATCTGCCTGATTTGAGGATCTCTCCCCTCTCTGACTTTGTCTCAGATCATATATATTTTTTCTCTCCTAGATATGAGGAAGAACAAAGCGAGCATCTTTTTGTGAGTGTTTACATTTTTAAAACCATCAGGTCACTGCGGATTCTTCTTACTTTCATACTTTGGAGAGAGTTTGCTACAGTGGTTTCTTAACTTCAGATTGCCTGGGTTCAAATCCCAGCTTAGCCATTCGTGTTGACTTGCACAAGTCATTAAATTTTTTTGTGCCTCAGTTTCTTCATATATAAAATAGAGATCACAAAAGCATCAACCTCATTGGGTTGCTGAGATTAAATAAGTTAATATATGTAAATCACTTACAGCAGTGCCTGGCATGGTGTAAGTACATTATGTGGTAGCTATGAGTTATCACCATAATCACCCTCATCACCCTCCACTCAATTCTAAGATCCTTTGTATTATTTACGCTTTGGGGGAAAGACTTCACTTGTATACATTAGCACTGTATTTCTACCCATCATGTCACCCTGCATACAGAGATGGGAAAACCCTTAGAAGCTGGTTTGGTTGTCAGGTGCCACCAGAACTCAGGAGGGTACATGGCTGTTTTTGCTGTCCCACACACAGGCTCAAGACTAGAGACAGGTTTTGTTGTGATAGCTTTCTGTGTAATCCCCCCCAATTCTATCTCAACCAGCTTTCCCTTGAATTCACCCCTAGAACACTGTGCTTGTTCTTCCCAAACCCAGGTTGCCTGAGCCTCCTATTTCCACCCTTAACTTCCTCCCACTCCTCAGAGATGGACAAGAGCAACAGGATGAAATCCTAACCCAGATCCCCACCTTCATCTGGATGTTTGGAGCTGAAAAGGAGAGGAATGGCTAGGCGGCGCTTGACAGGAGAATGAGAAAAAGGGAACACATTAGAGCCACTGATAACATAACTAAAATCGATACATCATCATGAGCTTTGGCAAAGAGGCTCTCAAGCTTTGCTGCACATTCAAATCACCTGCAGAGGTTTTAAAAAATTTCAATGCCTAGATCAAATACATAAGCTTCTGAGGCAGGACCTAGGCATCCCAGACATTAAAAACCAGTGTTAGCATCTTACTGCTCAAAGTTGGTCTGGACCAAAGTATCAGTCTAAACTGAGAGCTCATTAGCAATGCAAAATCTCAAGCTCCACCCCAGAGCTACAGTATTAGAATCTGCATTTTAACAGGCTCCCAGGTGATGAGTGTGCACACTGAAGTTTGTGAAGCACTGCTTTAGCATCCTGGTTCTCTACCTAGCTGTACCTTGGGATAACCTGGGATACTGAAAAATAATACTGATGCTTGAACTTAAACAACTTACTCGATCATGCCCCCATGCACATACTGCACCAAACACCAAAAACTTACTGTAACTTCAACAACGATTATTGAATTGACAAATATCCGGAAAGACTTGGAAACTTTTTCTCATTTCTGTTTATGTTCCACACATATATAACATGTGCACACTTTTAATCATTGTTTTATAAATCATTTGGCAACCTATTTGTTTTTTCACAAGCATGGGTTGGAAACAATATGGCCTAAAAGCATATGGCCTAGAAGCCAAATATAGCCCACCATCTGTTCTTGTAAATAAAGTTTAATTAGAACAGATGCATGGCCGTTGATTTACGTATTGCCTGTTGCTGGATTCATGCTGCAAAGGTAGAGTTAGTATGTAAGACTAAGACTGTATGTCCTACAAAGTCTAAAATATTTACTATCTAGTTCTTAACAAAAAAATGTTTACCAATCCCATTGTATAGTAACTTATCACAGGCCCTGAATTTACCTAAAGCCACCAAATATTTTTAAATGTGCAATTGTCTTTGTACCTCCAATATGGTCATTGCAGTTTGGTGCGTAATTTCCCTATCAAACACAATGTGTAGCAGAAATGAAAGCAATATACTGTATTAATTTAACCTAAGATGATAATGATTTAATATAGCACCTCCATGTAAGAGGAGTATAGAAGATACTTTTGGTTACTTAGCCAACAGCCATTTTACTCCTTCATCCTTATTAAGGCAATACTGAATTTTTTGGGGGGTTGGTGAGTAACAATGTGTCCTATTCCTAGTAATAAATTGAAATTAGTCTACACAGGTTCCTAAACTTTGTCTGGATCTTTAACTGGCTGCTATCTCAACCTGTAATTCATAGCCAGGATTCTAGAATGGGTTACCTGTACCTGTTGACTTCCCAGAAATAATGCATTTCTTTAAGTGTTAGAAGAAGTAATACATCCGTAATGTTCAGAAGTAAAATATATAAAATGATATGTGATGAACTTCCTCATGTCCCTGACTGCAGGCTCTCAAGTGTCTTTCATACCAGCCCCACTGAAAGATTACCTTCCTTAGGAGTTTTCCATATATCCTTTCTGTCTTCCCGTTTTGTGTGTTACTATAACAGAATCCCTGAGACTAATTTATAGAGAGGAGATTTATTTAGCTGACAGTTCTGCAGGCTGGGAAGTTCAAGGGGCATGGGGCTAGTATCTGCTCAGATTCTGGTGGGGGCTTTTGTGCTCTGTCATGACACAGCAGAGAAGGTCAAAGCGGAAGTAGGCACATGTGAAGAGGGACCAGACCTGAGGAGGAACCTCCCTTTATAACAATCCACTCTCTCGGAAACTAATCCATACCTGTGAGAACTAGTCCAGTCTCTCCAAAGCAAGAATTCACTGACTGCAGCGAGAAGGACACCAAGACATTCATGTGCCACCCCAGACTCAAACACCTCCCACTACAGCCCATCTCCCAACACTGCCACGCTGGTAATTTAACTTCCAACATGAGTTTTATTTTTTTTTCAGTGAACATAAAATAATTGTATTAAATATAACAAAACATAACAAAAGTATCACATACAATGTTATAGTACCATTTAAATATAACACAGAAAAATACTACAAAGTAAGAAATACAAAAACAAAAACTAGGTAAGATTTTATTTACAATAATGGTGTGCTTGCCTTGTTCATAAATTCATTCCAGTCTGGAACACAGGAAGATAATGCTACCCGCATAGCTGGTGCACCATTCAGCCCATTTCTTTCCTTTGTTTTTAACAGGGTTAAGATAGAAAACCCTAGTTCACACAAACTAGATGTGAATGGTAGTAATAGCAGGACACTCTTTCTACTTAACAATGGAAAGTCTTCCTTTACCTTAATCAAAATGCTGATAAACTTAAGGTCTCATAATCATTCTTCAATGTATATGAAGAACTAAGCTGCAATAATTCATTCTCTTCTTCAGGCACCAAGTTTAGCTCAATTATTGATTCAGAGTTTCAAAAAGCAAATGGATCTTTTACCCAACTGTTTTCCCTTAATGTTTCAAATTTTTCTTCTGGAAAGAAATGGTTAAAAGTTTGAGATAGAGAAGTGAGATGCAACAATATCTCTAATTTTATTTCTTTCAAAATGTTTTCATTAATATTCTCTTCAATATGTTGCAAAAATCTTGGAAATATGTAGTAGCTAGGATGATTACTTTTAAATCTTGCTTGCCATAACAATAATGTCTTTTGAAATCCCTGGATACATTCAACACCAACATGAGTTTTAGCAAGAAGAAACCACATCCATACCATAGCACTTACAAACTTTTGTTTTATGGAGAAGTATGCATGCCATGGATATATACCAAATAGTAACATAATTCACAGTATCCTGCAGCTTACGTTTCTCTCCTTAATGATATAAAAGAATGAGGTTTTAGCAGTCAATTTACATACTGGTCACTAGTGACATTCTGGGACTTGGGATTTCTCCTTTTGCTCATTACATCAGGACAGGTACCAATCCTCCCACTTCTTTGGTTCTGTTACCAGTGTAGGGTCTTGACGAGTCATCCAGGTTCTTGATGTGTTGAGCAAAGAATTGGACAAAACACACAAACAAAGCAACAAAAGAACGAAGCAACGAAAGCATAGATTTATTGAAGCAAAAGTACGCTCCACACAGCAGGAGCTGAAGAAACAGGCGGCTAAAGAGCCCCAGTTGCAAAATCTTCTGGGGTTTAAGTACCCTTTAGAGGTTTCCTATTGGTTACACCCTGTGTAAATGAACACCTGACCTGTGAGCAGTCAGAGGCTGAAGTGAAGTTATACCCTATGCAAATGAAGACTTGTCCTGCAACCAATTGAAGGCTGAAGTGGAGTTACACCCTATGCAAATGAAGACTTGGCCTGTGACCAATCACAGGCTGAAGTGAAAGCTCCCTATCTCCAGACCCTATTCTCCTGCTTCAGTTCTATTCAAGTGTCCTGAATCCAAACCATAACCATTTGCAAATAATTCCATCTAAATTACTAGAATTTCCTTTATGTAACCTGTGTGCCACCTTACAAAATATAGTGCCCATAATTAATTGAAACAGCATGCCACCAACCTTTGGTCTTCATCCCCCAGCCATATCATCTTCAACTGGTAGTAAATTGAATTGATGCTTATCATGCCCAGCATAATATTGTTTCCCAGTAACTTGTCCATCTTCTACTGACAGTTTTCAAGATAATACCTTACTTTTTGACAAAAGAATACAAAACGTATCTTTTAAGATACTTTTTAAAGAGCTAGAGTCTCCCTATGTTTCCCAGGTTTGTCTCTAACTCCTGGGCTCAAGGGACCCTCACACCTCAGCCTCTGAAGTAGCTGAGGGTACAGGTTTGTGCTACCACACCTCCACATTATGTATCAGTTTAAAAATGATCTGTTTCTACTTTTTCATAGCTTAGATATACATGTTACTACCTTAGAGACAAAGAAATTGACCCAAAGATGTTCAGTGACTTGCAAGTCCAGCCATTTTCCCTAGAGTATCACTTTTGATAAGGAGTCTTAAAAAGTTGGACTACACTTGCTTGGATTTTCCAACTTGGGGGTATTTCTGCCTTCTACTCTCAACAAGGCAGCTTTTGGAGTTAGGATTGGTTTTTAGTCCCCCGTCTCCTAAGGTCCTTCCTCCCCTTTAATGTCATTCTCTTTCAAGGATAGGGAGAAGCTGTAGGAGAGCTGTATATAAATGCTGCTAGGCCCTCCTCATCAATACATACTCAATGGGAAAATCATCCACTTCCCAACTTTTTTATGTAGGTTCTGACCTGATTGATCAGATTGCAAAACATGCCCCACTCTACTGTCTTTGCAATTATGAAAGCCTTGAGGTCAGGCCTTGAGTCACTCAAATTGTGTTCGTAAATGGCAGTGAGAACATTCAAAACAGAAAAAGCACACATTTTATAAAAGGGAAACAAATATTCTTTGTAAGAATCTTGCACCCAGTGCATTTTGTTCTAGCACTCAGCTCACAGGATGAAACGTCTACCTCTTGGGGCTCTTCCCTCTGAAATGGTTGTCGGACCTCTCTGGCAGCTCCAGATTGTGTTTATCACTTCTTTAATTTTATCTTAGGCTAAAACCATAGAGTTCCTTTAATGACTCTTTTCTTCATTCACTCTTTTACATCATGCTTAAGATTGCTATAAAAGTATGATTCAATTATGATAGTAATTCTTGTTTAGGCACATACATTTGTGCCACATTATTGCCAGCCACTAATGTTAAATCCTTCTAAAGCACTGCTCTACCAAGTTTTGAAATCATTTGCTTATTCTAAGTATCTTTTTGCTGATTTCAAAAGAAAAAGAACTGTATAAATAGCTTACAGAAACATAATTTGAAATTACTTGTTTGAATGATAATTATTAGAGCTGATTTCACATGAATTTTCTTCTGACCCTCTGGCCTAAAGGACATATCAGTCTCTTTTCCAAATAAATCTGTCATTGTGTTTTTATTCAGATCATTGTTACCTTAATTGAAAGTATTTAATCTGTAAAATCAGGCAGCTTGCTTTTGACTACACATTGAAAATGATGGAAGATTGAATTTTAGGAAAATAGCCAAACTGGTTCTGAATTACTTATACATCAAGGCAGATTGCTTGTTGGTTTGCTCTGGTGCCAGATGTCTTGGATTGAAATCCCAGCTCCGATGTTCAGATGTTAAATGACCTTGACTTTATCATTATGTAACCTCTCTGAGCCTCCCTTTCCTCATCTGCAAAGTGAGGATGATAACAGAGCCTACAGTATTTTATGTGTTAAAGATTAAGTTACTACCTGTAAAATTAAAATCTGGTTTACTAATTCAGTTTTTGCCTAAGCTTTGTTTTTATCCATTCAAAATAAATGCCCAATTATTTCTCTGTAATTTTTTCCAAAGGGGAAAGAATTAGACTAAAAATTTTTTATTTCCCAGAATGCCAAAAAACAGAGAAATTGAATTATGCAAGCAAGCGTGCAAAAAACATTCATGTAGATTAATCTTTGGGTATTCCAAAGTAATGTAGACAATATAAAAGAGCTACATTTTATTGTGTTTTTCTAAGGTTAGCATCATGTAATTATTTAAATCACATATATTTATTGGTATTTTTGGATAAATTGAAATAGAGTAAAAGGAAGTGGTGACCTGAGAGACTGGGAAGAGAGAGATTAAAGTCTCACCTGCAGATAAAGGAAAATTTACTATAGATCAGATACTTGATAAGTTTACTTTATTCTACTTGGTGCGGTTTGATTCCAAATTTGTAAAAGAGTCTGTTATTTTTTAGGAGTGCAACTGTGATTGGCAAGTGTACAGGAGAAAGAGATGTAAAGCAATTTTTTAAATGATGTAAACCAAAATGTTAGTACTGCTTACATCTTATGATGGAACTACAAGTGATTCGTTTTCATTTTTGCTGTTTTTGTTTTGTTTTGTTTTGTTTTGTTTTGTTTTGTTTTGTTGAGACAGAGTTTTGCTCTTGTTGCCCAGGCTGGAATGCAATGACGCAATCTCGGCTCACCCGCAACCTCCGCCTCCCAGTTTCAAGCAGTTCTCCTGCCTCAGCCTCCTGAGTAGCTGGGACTACAGGCATGCGCCACCACGCCCGGCTAATTTTGTATTTTTAGTACAGACAGGGTTTCTCCATGTTGGTCAGGCCGGTCTCGAACTCTCCACCTCAGGTGATCGCCTGCCTCAGCCTCCCAAAGTGCTGGGATTACAGGCATGAGCCACCGCACCCAGCCCCATTTTTGCTGTTTTTACAGGAGTGAAATTTTATATAATTCACTTTTTTCAATCCTAAAAGTGATAGTTATATAAAAAGTTAATGATGTGTAATTTTAGGAGCAAATTTATTGTGTAAAAAGTCTTCATACATCTATATTTAATAGTTTTTACCTGTGAATATATATCCATATTAGTGAAGCCAATGAGTACTTTGACAATTTCAGCTTTTCGATATTATCCTGAGATGAATGCTGTATCTAGACTCTACTTTTTCTTCTTTGGGCTTTTTTAAATATCGAATCTTGCATATTTTCATCTGGATTTTTAGGTGAAATTCATTGTGAACCTGTACAGCCTTTAGTAAATCATACAATGTTTCTTATAACATGTCCAGTTCCTCTTAGAATTATAGAATGTTGGAGTAATAATGTACCTTAGAGACCTCATTCAGGAGTCATTTTTATGACCACAGGGTTCTTTAAAAAGCTATATAACTAAGTGAAGTAAAATATATTACTATAAAACAAGCAGCTTTAGTGGCCATAGTATTAGTTTGGACCAAATTTGGTGTTTTATCTAAATTCCATGCCCTCATGGGACATCTGAGTTCAGAATTCCAGGTGTAATCCAACTCCCTCTATTTGTCCATTTGTTTAGTGAGCTAACTCCTCTCCCCAGCTCTTCTTTTTCCAATTTGCATTCCAAGGGCTCCCTCCCTTGATGCCAGATAATTAAATAATATGAAATGGCAGACATTTCGAATCTTATCAGTGACCCATAATACCTGCAAATAAACATGATTGTAAGAAAAGCACTTTGATAAATGCAGTGAATAGCATTGCAATTGAGGGTGATCTTTGTATCAAAGTAAGGGATAGGTAATCAGTCATTTTGAAGCAGAGATTTGATTATAATATATAAAATTAATTATAATCACTAATATGTATTGAGTATTTATATGCCAGGGACTTAATTAGACATGTTATAAATGTTATCTCACTTAATGCACAGGCAGCCTGTAAGGTAGGTTTGTATTATACCATTTTACAAGTGAGGAAACTGAGGCCTAAAGGAGTAACTTGACCAGGTTTCATAACTAGTAATTGGGTCAAGTTTCCTTTTTATCTTTTAAATACTTCTCCTACATACGTTAAAGTCTTGAACTACTGGACTACTTTTCATTTGGGATTAAGGTCCAGGTTTAGAAGTAACCTAATGTAGCTTCTTCACCAGCCTGAGGTCTCTCCTAGGAACAATATATAATTTTGACCTTCAGTCAACATCTGTGTACTAAACTTTGGGGTTGGAGAGGGAGCTGAGGAGGAATGTCTGGTGGCAAGGAACCCCAAACAGAACCATTAGAAAACAAGGTGTTTCTGGAGTGTTTGAGTACTGAAAGACTACAACTGCCTAAACTTGTACATACTATTAATGATGATAGGGATCATGTGATGAGAATCTTGTAGTTGGATATGGAGAGTGATGATATTTAACATATTTTAACAGTAAATTATTTGGTATAGTTAGTAAAGGGGAAAACCCTCATTACTTATTTTTCCCTCTAAAGTATCATAGCTGAAAATATAAATAACTCCAAGTCTTTAAAAACACTCTTGGATTCTGACTGACCATTTTAGGGAGGATCCAGAAGGAGCACAGTTATGTATTTGTAATTTCTTGTCACATGGAAAATATAGACTTGTAGGTCCTTTGATTCAGCAAATTTGGTTTTGGGTTTTTGTTCATTATGTTCATTGAACCCAGACATTTATTCATCTGGTATTTTCCATCTTTTATTCATACTGATTTTCTATTTATTTTGTATTGTATTTTCAGAAGGAGTTTTGGAGCACCTACACAAAAGCGCAACAAGGGGAGAGTAACCGAGGAAGTGACTGGTTTCAGTTTTACCTTACCTTTCCGTTAATCTTTGGCCTCTTCATTATCCTCCTTGTCATTTTCCTAATCTGGAGATGCTTCCTAAGAAACAAAACTCGTAGACAGACAGTGACTGAAGGCCACATTCCTTTCCCTCAGCACCTTAATATTATCACCCCACCCCCCCCACCAGATGAAGTGTTTGACAGCAGTGGATTGTCTCCAGGCTTTCTGGGATATGTAGTTGGGCGCTCAGATTCCGTCTCTACTCGCCTGTCCAATTGTGATCCCCCGCCAACCTATGAGGAAGCCACTGGCCAAGTGAACCTGCAGAGGAGTGAAACAGAACCTCATTTAGACCCACCCCCAGAGTATGAGGACATAGTCAACTCCAACTCAGCCAGTGCCATTCCTATGGTGCCTGTGGTCACCACCATCAAATGAAGCTGCAAACTTCTTTTTACTCTAATCATTTTTAAAATACTAATGGAAGAACTTTCTAGCACTTTACCACTACATAAATGTTCATTGACTTATTTTATTGGACTCTTACCGCATACCACTTCACACTTGTTTTATTTTCTTTAGTTTTGTTTCTTGTTATAGAATCATTATCCATGCTCATTTTTGCTAGGGGAAATATATGAAGAGGGAAAACATACTAATGGGGGTCTTTCTGTGATGTGATGAGACATACATGTAAGTGTATATATGTGTGTATAGGCATATATACGTGTGTATGCATCAACACAGTATATGTAAAACTGTCTTAAAAATCCATTAACTTCTACCTAAATCACCTGGAAGGAGAGCATTACTCACCAAAATTGCAAAACAAGGGTATCAAGAATTTGTGTAATAGCCAGTGACATGCTGTAGATTTTTGCAAACTGGATGTACTTAGCATGTTTTCTAATTCTGACTGGCTTTTGTTAACTTGATAATTCTTCATCTACCTTAAAAAGAAAAAAATTACACATAGTCATTCTTGATGTTATAAATAGAGAAAAAGTGTGTGTGAGCAATAATGCATAAGCTACTGATAACTTGCTTACAGCAGATAGCAATAAGGTATTTGGTGGCATTCGGCTTGTTTTGTAATAGGGATTTTTTTTTTGGTTGACCACTCCCCCACACTTCCAAAATTAAACAGTGTTTTCTTAGCATCTTGAATATCTCCTGCGGTGTATATTAACATCTTGATGAGACAGATTTCCAGGCAACAAAATAATTTCTAAAATGGATATATGTGTGGATTAATGACAGGCAGTAAATACCCATTACTCCTTTACTCATAGCTGGTAAAATTATTCCCACTGTTTTATTGCCTTTTACTGTACGTTCTACACTCTGTCCTACTCCCACAGAATTTTCAAGCCCTTAAGAGTTTAGTTAAAATAAAATTTTTGAAATTATTGTCTTAATATTTTTATATAGGCTGATGTCTTTGCCTCAAGATTGTTAGGAGGTAATTTTCCATTGAATTATCAACTGTGATTTTTATATTGCCCTCCAAGTGGTAGAAGAAGATTGCAAAGTCCATGTTATGCTAGGTGCACAATAAATCTAGTAATAGCCCCACACAGATCTCATCATTGTTGCTACTTCCTTTTGTATTTTCATCAGGTATTTTTTTAACTGTAGGGTTTTTACTTTTTTCTTGGAGCAGAGAGAACAGGCTGTAAATGGGTTGCCAACATAAGCTGGCTGAGAAATAAAAGAAAACAAGACAGTTGTTCATAAAGTTTCATTTTGTATGCACTGATGGCAAATTCATTAGGTCAGTTAAGGGAAATATTTGTACCACTTCCAAACTTTTCAGCGTTGGATAAAATGATTGATGAGGCAGGCAGAAGGAATGTAGGTTTCAGGTGTGTCATTTCCTGCTGCTTCCAGCTCCATCCCTACAGACTCCTCCCCGAGTCCTGCCCTGGAACCAAAGGAAGGAGGAACACTGAGGGGAATCCTGAAGTAGGAGTCAGATGACCTGAACTCAGATCTCCCTCTATCACATGCTTGCCACCACTGTACCTTGAGCAAGAATCATATCTGACCCTCAACCTCCTCAACTCTAAAATGGGGATAACATCATTTGTCCTGCACTTCTCTAAGGGCTTTACAAGGATCAAATAAGATGGTGTGTATGTAAGAAATTTGTAAAATGTGAAGAGCTATCTACACTAAGTTCGTAATGTTATTATTATTGTGCTTCATGGAGAATTTTCCCCTCTGTTTTCCTAAATTGTATGAGAGCTTTCACACAGTGAGAAATAGAGCAGGCTGCCCCATAAATGGGTAACATATTCCTAATCTGAGTGTGTGGGCTGTTAGAGAACCCCTGCCATGCTCTGGTCTGTTCTGAAACTGTGCCAACTGAAAGATGATAGTCCACACAGCACAAACAGGTTTAAGCAAATGATAGAAAGGGAAGTAAGGCGTGTGTGCTAGTTAATAGGTTTAGTAGCTTTTATGGACTAAAAATGATTGATTGTATCTTGACCCTGGTCTCAGAAATGACATTTTTACTTTTGCCATGAGTACACATCAGATATCTTTGGCTTCTATTTAAAGCTAAAGGTAGAAGTGTTTGATCCAGTGAACTGTGTATGTATGTGTGGGGTTTTTTTCTTTATTTTTAAATGAAAATTAAGACACCTTTTGTGTGGACATGTTTTTGTCTTTAATGTCAGGCTTTAGATTAGACCAGCAGTTTTCAAAGTATGGCCAATGGACCCCTGGGTTCCTTGAGAGCCTTTCAGGGGGGACTATGAGATCAAAATATTTTTATTATAATGTGAAGACATTGTCTTTTCACTCTATCTCAAAAAAAGTGTTGCAAATGTAAAACATTGCCATCTTCTCACAAATCTCTTTTTTTGTTTTTGAAAATATGGCCATTTTTCATAAAATGTTATTTGTGTTAGCATGTAATGGGTTTACTATGTTTAAATAAGTTAATACTTTAAAAATTTTCAGGTTTTTTTAGTATGGTGAATATTGATAGATATAAACCTCATGAACAAAAGTACTTTGGCATCCAGATTCTCAATAAATGTTAAGAGCGTAAGTGTAAGGGGGTCCAGAGACCAAAAGTTTTAGAGCTACAGGATTAGACATAGGAGCAGGATATTCTGTTAGTGTGATTTCTTGCAACTTTATTTTACATTTTAAACTGCTGATATTGGATATAATGCTGCTTTTTAGAGACACCTAAATTGCAGTATCAGAATGAATGTTGATGTTTGAAGCCAAAAAGCCAAATGCTTAAACTGATCAATGACTGTAGCTTTTTAGACTGTTGGTCAAAGAACATTCTACTTCACAGTAATAGCTCTATCAGCCACAGATCTCATGGTGGCTGTTGCATGATAATGATAGGATAAACAAAATACCACTGTCTTCAAGAAACATTATCTTAGGTTTGTTTGTTTGGTTTGAGTTTGATTTGGCTTTTATATTTTTTAAAATCCCTTTTGCTACCCCATCTGGTTTTATAAACTGAGTTTCTTAGCATTCGTTAAAATTAAGGGGTTTGTTTGGAATAATATATATTTTTTATGCTTTTGTCTTTCTTACCTGATTGATATTACATTCACCTTTGATTGTTTTTTAAAAGTTTATTTTTACAGAATATATTTAGTACCTTTCTTAAGGAGTAACTGAATTGAATCAACCAGTTTGCATTTAAATAAAAGAACAGGCTCAGTGGTCTTCCTGTAGAATGGTTTACATGCCTGCATGTGCAGTAGTTGTGTCTGGAATCCTAGAATTGGCACTTTCTGCCTCCTTGCTCTAAATGTCACAAAAAATTATACTTCCTTAAAGTAAATGTAATGATTTCTTCTTTTCCTATTGACCAGTACAGATAGATATGTTGTGTTTGCTTCATTTTTAATGATGACTTCAAGATTGATGATGTGATCCAATAACTGTGGAGGTAGCTTTAACTTGGTTCTGTGTAAATAGTATGTATTTTATTATAATATTTCTCATTTTAAGATGCTTGGTTTACATTAAATTATGGTATTTAACTATTTTTATGTTTATACTAGGTAGGGTCTTTCTTATGTTTCTGTGTTTTTGGTATGCTAAATAAAGCTATTTTTAAACCCAAGAGATTTTTTTTCTGCCATGTGTTAATCATATTATGGTTAGGTGGTAAATACGCTGCATATGTTCTTATTAATTATGTTCTTTTTAATAAGGTAAAATGGTTATGTTTCTTTTTTCTTACGGATTTAGGGAATATAGGTCAGTAAAAACAACAGAAATCATCTGATCAAAACCTCAGAGTGTTCTCAGCATAAGAAAGAACTTTCTATACTACTTTTGAATGACTTTGGCATGATACAAAATGGAAACAATTGCTCTAAAGGAATAGACTGAGCTCCCTGCATAGTGTAGTTTGTCAAGTCCTGGGAATAGTGTTGTCTATAGACGCCAAGGAGCCTGTTGTTTCCTGCTTAGCAGAACAGCTTGCATTTGAAAAGAAAGCACAAGATGAAAACATTGTGACCAAAGGGCATCTTCCTATGTGTAGAGCTCAAAGACTAAAAGTTGGTTTGTCACATCACTAACCAAGAACATGAGTTGATATGGTAACAAGAATTAAAATTATTTACTCCATATTCAAGGATGAATTTTAAATATAAATTATAAGTCTAATTTTATAAGCAAAAGTCCTCAAAGAGTTGTTCAAATAGTCTTTAAAAGGTACTTTTAAAAATCTATAGCAATTTCTAAAAGTTATATAACTTACACATTGATGACTACAATCATAAAACCCAAAACCTAGATCAAGAAATTTCTAGCACTCCAGAAGGCTTCCTCATTCCCCTTCCTTAAAGATACCATGATTCTAACATCTGTCATAATAGATCACTTTTTAAAAGTTCATATTTGGCTGTGGCCATATGGACTTGCCTTTTTATTTATTTATTTATTTATTTTTATTTATTTATTTTTTTTATGAGACAGAGTCTCGCTCTGTCACCCAGGCTGGAGTGCAGTGGCACGATCTTGGCTCACTGCAAGCTCCGCCTCCCGGGTTCATGCCATTCTCCTGCCTCAGCCTCCCAAGTAGCTGGGACTACAGGCGCCCGCCACCACACCCGGCTAATTTTTTGTATTTTTAGTAGAGACAGGGTTTCACTGTGTTAGCTAGGATGGTCTCAATCTCCTGACCTCGTGATCCGCCCACCTCAGCCTCCCAAAGTGCTGGGATTACAGGCGTGAGCCACTGTGCCCGACCAAGTTTATAGGTTTTAGAAGCCCATGCTGTAGCAGGCAAGTGATAACAGGCTTTAATCCCCTTAAAGCCTGTTGTGGGATGGGATACTGGCATTGAGTGGGGTAAGGGTGATTAGGTTTTAATGGGAGAGTAATGGGTGTGTGATCGGTTGCCAGGGAGGGAGTAGAGGTGTCTCATACTTGTGGGTTAAGGTGGGGGGATACGAGAGGAAGACGTGAAGGAGGCTTTGGGTTTAGAAGAAGGGTGGCAATGAGATGTGGCTGTAGTCCAGGAATAGTCAGGGAAGCAGATAATTTGGTTAAAATGTCTCGGCCTAATAAGGGAACTGGGCAGGTGGGGATAACTAAAAAAGAGTGCATAAAAGAACGTTGTCCAAGTTGGCACCAGAGTAGGGGAGTTTTAAGGGGTTTTGAAGCTTGGCCATCAATACCCACAACAGTTATGGGGGCAAGGGAAACAGGCCCTTGAAAAGAAGGTAATATGGAGTGGGTAGCCCCTGTATTGATTAAACAGGGGATGGACTTACCCTCCACTGTGAGAGTTACTCGATGGTGTCCGTGATGGTCCAGGGGGCTTCCAAGGCGATCGGGCAGCGTCAGTATTCAGCTGCTAAGCCAAGGAGATCTGGGAAGGAGTCAGTCAGACAGCCTTGGGCCAGAGTTCCAGGGGCTCTGGGAGTGGCTGCTGGGTGAGTTGGACAGTCCGATTTCCAGTGGGGTCCCGCACAGATGGGACATGGCTTAGGGGGAATCCTGGGCTGCGGGCATTCCTTGGCCCAGTGGCCAGATTTCTGGCACTTGAAGCAAGATCCTGATGGAGGAGGTCCTGTAGGAATGCTTGACCGCTGCGGCTTAGGCATGTGAGGCTTAGGCATTTTGAAGTTCTTGTGCACTGGAGGTGCGGCTGGGTTTTGTCTCACAGCAGAGGCAAGTAATTGTAACTCAGAAATGCGTTGCTGTCTGGCTGTCTCCTCTCTATTATTGTACACCTTGAAGGTGAGGTTGATTAATTCCTGTTGTGGGGTTTGAGGGCTGGATTCTAATTTTTGAAGCTTTTTTCTAATGTCAGGAGCTGACTGGGTGATAAAATGCATATTTAGAATGACACGGCCTTCTGACCCTTCAGGGTCTAGGGCTGTAAAGCATCTTAGGGTTGCTGCCAAATGAGCCATGAACTGGGCTGGGTTTTTATATTTGATGAAAAAGAGCCTAAATGCTCATTGATTTGGGAGAGGTCGGATAAAGAAAAAGGAATATTATCCTTGACTATGCCTTTAGCTCCAGCCACCTCTTTAAGAGGAAATTGTTGGGCTGATTGGGGAGGGCTAGTGGCAGAACGAAACTGTAAGCCGGACTGGGTGTGAGGAGGGGAGGTGATAGAAGGATTATAGGGTGGGGGAGCAGAGGCTGAGGAAGAATTGGAGCCTGATTCAGCCTGGCAGGGAGCGACCTGAGGAGGAGCAGTCTGGGGAGGAGGGGAGAGGTCAGATGGGTCGGTAGAAAAGGAAGATTGAAAAGACTCGTGATGCTTGGGGTTGGGACCTAGGGGACAGGCGGGAGGGAAAGAAGGAAGATTTGGGATGAGTTGCATTGGGAACAGAGACTAGGGAGGGGCCGATGTGTAAAAGAATGCCTGGATATCAAGCACCTTAGACCATTTGCCCATTTTATGACAAGAATTATCTAGATCTTGTAGGATGGAGAAATTGAAAGTGCTGTTTTCTGGCCATTTAGAGCCATTATCAAGTTTGTATTGGGGCCAAGAGGTGCTGCAGAAGAAAATAAGGCATTTAGGTTTTAGGTCAGGTGTGAGTTGAAGAGGTTTTAAGTTTTTGAGAACACAGACTAAGGGAGAAGAGGGAGGAATGGAGGGTGGAAGGTTGCCCATAGTGAAGGAGGCAAGCCCAGAGAAAAGAGAGGGTAGAGACACGCAGAGAAGGGGTAGAGGGTGCTTGCCCCCCAGGAAAGTGGTGCTTGCCACTAAATGTGAAGGATCAAGGCAGGTGTGCCCATGGTGATTAGGCACCTCTGAATCATGGGTGAATAATCAAGCAGGCATCCCCACAGTGGTTAAACACCAAGGGAAGACTGTCTTCCTGAGTCCATGACCGGTGCCGGAGTTTTGAGTTCACAGATAAAACGCGTCTCTTCTGTCTCTACCAGAAAAGGAAAGGAATTGAAATTAACAGAAGGGAGAGATTGAAGGGTGGTGCCAAGATTGAAAGGAGAAAGAGGTTGAGGGATAGTGAGAGAGGGTGGAGAAGAGAGTAAAAAGAGGCTGCTTACCCGATTTAAAATTGGTGAGATGTTCCTTGGGCTGGTTCGTCTGAGGACCTGAGGTTGTAGGTGGATGTTTCTCACAGAGCAAAGAGCAGGAGGACAGAGGATTGATCTCCCAAGGGAGGTCCCCCGATCCGAGTCAGGGCACCAAATGTCACACGTGTCCATGTGAAGAGACCACCAAACAGGCTTTGTGTGAGCAATAAAGCTTTTTAATCACCTGGGTGCAGGCGGGCTGAGTCTGAAAGAGAGTCAGCAAAGGGAAATAGGGGTGGGGCTGTTTTATAGGATTTGGGTGGGTAGTGGAAAATTACAGTCAAAGGGGGGTTTTCTCTGGCGGGCAGGGGAGGGGGTCACAAGGTGCTCAGTAGGGGAGTTTCTGAGCCAGGAGAAGGAATTTCACAAGGTTAATCGCTCAGTTAAGGCAAGAACCAGCCATTTTCACTTCTTTTGTGATTCTTCACTTGCTTCAGGCCATCTGGATGTATACGTGCAGGTCACAGGGGATATGTTGTCTTAGCTTGGGCTCAGAGGCGTGACAGCAGCTTTCAAAACCCTTTGTAATCTGGTCCCGTGAGTTTATCTAACCTTATTTCTTTCTACAGTCCAGATAATAGATATTTATAAAATTCCTATTTTGTGTGAAACACTGAGATTAGAAAGTAATAGTGTCTATAGCCTTTGTCCCTGGGAATTTTTCAATCAGACCGAAAATGGTATCCTTCTAATCTTCTAACTAGTTGTCTAACCTTAAGCTCCCAGAGATTCTTCTTGCCTAAAGTCCCATGGTACTTAACATCTTTATTAGTCTATGCTATGATTTTTTTAAGTTTTTAGCAATGAGACCTAACTGTGAAACAATTTTCATGGAACTCTAATGTATTACACAGATGGGAATGTTGTTGACTACAGAAGTGTGAAGCTTGAATCCCACCATCTGTGACCTTTCTCATCAGCCCTGCTTATTTCAGGTCAGTCCAAGTCACCTCTCCAAACCATAAAATTGGATGAACATAATTGAAAAGCCACTGTAATATAACATCTCCTATTGGTATCCAATTTCATAGCTCCTTATCTTAACACTTCAAAAAAGTCTTCAGAATCTCCTCCACTAATATACTGCTTGGGGTTCAAAACGTTCTTTTTAATCCAGTTGTTCCTAACTCGCAAACATAGCACACTGGCTACCAACATACACTGTAATAATTATGTTAATATAAGAAAGAACCATGAATGTTAATGGTTCTGATTCTTTGTTTATATCATTTCTATCATCACCGAGTTTACCCCTTGTCAGCTTGTCACCCATAAACATCTCCTTAAACCATATTTAATCTCTAAATAAAGACAATAATAAGGTCATAATTCCATCTAACATCCAACTATACTGGGTACAACCCAAAATACACTAACCCCTTCCCCAAAAGAGGAGGCAAAGTCCTTGATTGATGTTTATTCTTCTCCCTGATATCCTATAACTTAAATACTAAGATATAAAATTAGCAATACTTAAATGCTATGATACAAAGTAATACATCTTACATGATAAGGAAATGAGGAAAGAAAACAAAGGTATTTGCTTAACACAAACACACACACACACAAATGTATTTGTTACAAACTAAGGAGGAAATACTCATGACAATTGGAATCCTCATTCCTATAACTGGTCACATGGTTATGCATGATATTTATAACTACCTTCTTCCACTACCCATTCTGTTTTCCCTATGCCTTCAACAAGCACCTCTGCTGGTTGCCATACGTTACCTGATAAGGTAAACCAAATCTTCATTCCTGAAGTGTCTGGGCCATTAGGAGTCCTGCTTGAATTGGGCTGTTGTAGTTTTTCATCTCCTGCATTCCAGACATACTCTTCCTTACTTCCATTGTGGGGTAGTACTCCGGTTTGCCCTTGGTAGTCAGGATCAATCACCTCAGCCAGCACAGAAACTCCCTTCTTTGCCTGTAGATTAGAGAAATGAGGAGCACAAAGTGGCCAGGAAGCACTCTTAACTTCCATTCAATGGTATCATTGTTGTGTCTCTAGATGGAAGCATTTTTCCCTCTGGAACTAAGACCTCTAGGCTAGCAGGGGTTAAGGTGGTGGAAACAGGAAACAAAAATGTTGCTAGCAGGTTGCTGTTGGTGATAGTGAGTGGTGCCACTCCCATTTCCTTGACTTGATTCTTGGAGACATGAATCTTGGCTATGGGAGAAACAGCAGCATATATTGGATGCTGAGTAGAGGCCTTCTGGAAAACCTATCCTCAGCTCTTCAAGGTATTGCCACCTAGCTGGCACTGTAAGGAAGTCTTCAAAAGGCCATTCTACCATTGTATCAGCTGTTTCAGGATGGTAGAGAACATGGTAACATGAGTGAATTTCATGAGCACGGGCCCATTGCCACACTTCTTTTGTTACAAAGTGAAGTTCTAAATCAGAAGCAATGCCGTGTGGAAACCATGGCAGTGTGTAAAGCATTCTGTAAGTCCATGGATGGAAGCAAATCTGTATCTAATGTAAGTGCTATTCCAGTAAGAACAAAAGGCTGTTCCTTCCTTGGTAGAAGTGGTCCAATGTAATCAACCTGGCACCAAGGAGCTAGCTGATCACCTTGGGAAATGGCTTCAAACCAGGGGCTCAGTGTTTGCTGCTGGGAGATTGGGCTCTCAGTCATGGCTATAGCCAGGTAAGCCTTGGTGAGTGGAACTCTACATTGCTGAGCCAATGTATAACCTGCATCTCTGCCACTATGGCCACTTTGTTCATGAGCCCACTGGGCAATGACAGGGGCAGCTGGGGAAAGAGGCTGAGTGGTATCCATAGAAAAGGTCATCCTATCCACTTGATTATTTTGAGTCCTACTCTGCTGAGGTCACCCTTTGGTGAACATTCACATGGGACACAAATATCTTCACATTTCTTGCACATTGAGAGAGGCTTATTCATATAACCTCTTTTCCAAATTTTCTTCTCACTAATTTTCCAATCATGTTCCTTTCAATCTCTCATCATTCAACCAGTCCATTGGCCACAGGGAATAAATCAGTATATAATCACATCTGGACATTTCTCTTTCTAAGCAAAGTGAACAAATAGGTTTGTTGCTTGGAGTTCTGCAGACTAAGGATTTCTTTTCATGAGTGTCTTTCAGGA
Organism: Homo sapiens; assembly: GCF_000001405.40. NCBI lineage: Eukaryota > Metazoa > Chordata > Mammalia > Primates > Hominidae > Homo > Homo sapiens. The sequence goes on from NC_000023.11 coordinate 37,463,867, forward strand.
ATATCCCAGAAAAGGGCTATAGTCCTGTAGCTGTTCAGTTTGGGGTGGTGCCTGGATATTGTGCAGAATCATCTATAAACTTAGCCTAGTCTTCTTTTCCTCTGTCAACTAAGTGTGAGGAATTCACCATGAGGCCATGGGTGCAGGCTGAGAGTGAGAAGGCAGTGTAGCAGGAGTGAGGAACATGGGCATTTGGTCCACTTCTTCATGTAACTTACTTATGCCTTCAGAGTCCATTCAGCTCGATCACATATATACCACTTCCAACTGATGATGCAGACAGTCCTGCTGTGCACACCCAACTTTATGGTTTGGTGGGTCAGATAACACCCAGTTTGTGATAGGCAGTTTAGGTCGCATGGTCACTTGGTGACCCATAGTCAAATATTCAGTTTCCAATAAGGCCCAGTAGCAGGCCAAGGGCTATTTTTCAAAAGGAAAGTAGATACCTACTCTCCTTTTAAAATAGTGGGTAAAAGAGCAGAGGGTGGCACGTGTGCTCCAAAATCCCAAGGGTCTTCTCTGTGTTTCACTCATAGAGGCCTGCCAAAGGATCCAAACAGCATTTTTATCTGACACTGATACCAAGCACCATTGGATCTGCTGGATCATATGGCCCAAGAGCAGAGTAGTTTGCAGATCAGCCTGAACCTATGGCAGAGCCTTCTCCTTTTCTGGGCCCCACTCAAAACTAGCAGCTTTTTAGGTCACTCAGTACTTGAGTTGAAGTAACACACCCAAATGAGGAATATCATTTGGGTATTCCTCCAAATCCAAAGAGGCCTACAAGGCATTATGCCTCTTTTGTTGTTGTTGTTGGGGCCAGATGCAACAACTTATCCCTTACCTTAGAAGGAATATCTTCATGTCCCATACCACTGGACCCCTAGAAATTTCACTGAGGTAAAAGGACACTGAATTTTAGTTGGATTTATTTCCCATCCACTGGCACGCGAAATTCTTACCAATAACCCTAGAGTAGTTGCTACTTGGTGCTCACTAGGTCCTCAATATAATGGACAAGTGTGATATCTTGTGGAAGGAAAAGGCAATCAAGAGCCCTGAGAATGAAATTATAACATAGGGTTAGAGAGTTGATATACCTCTGATTTAGGACAGTGAAGGTATATTGCTGGCCTTTCCAGCTGAAAGCAAACTGCTTCTGGTGGGCATATGGGCAGTGAAGAAAGAAAAGCAATTTTATCTGAGGAATGTGAGCCATTTTAAATTATCAGGTCCAGAGAGGCATTAAATTGAGACAGCAGTCATACCCTCCTTCCCCCATTGAGCTATGTATTCATCTCTTGAAATATAACCAAGCCCTTATTATAAAGATCATAAGATGTTTGTTTTATTTATTGTCTTTTTTCTTTGTCCTCTTCCTTATCCATGCATGCTTGCTTGTATCTAGTCATTTCTATAGAGGGTGGACATTAGTTATTGATAAACTTGAAATCCTGACCCCTGGAGCTACCCTCAGAATCGATGAACTTGTTTTTCTTTTAAAGAACAGTGATCCATAGGTCATGCAGACCTCCTTGATGACATCCACAAGTTTGATTGGAACTGATGAGATCTAGATTCCAGGGAGTGCAAAGAGATTTGATCATTGGGGGATCCCACCTCCTACATTCTTACCTTACTCATAAAAGTCCCCAGTTATTTCAAAGGCAGGTCAGATTTGAGACTGTCTCACCTGCCCTCTCACTTTGGCCAAATTGAATAAACCTTTCTCTGCTCCTAAGCACTGATATGTCTGTGTTTGGCTTAATGTGCATCAGGCACGTGAGCCTAAATTTCAGGAATCGATAACAGATTTTGATGACTGCAGCAGGACACATGTGCTCATGGCCAGTAGGTCCCAGTCAGGTTGGGCAAATGGGCATCCACACAGCTGCCTGGGTGTGTTGCTTGGGGTAAGCCCTGGGGTCACCCTTCTCAGTAGGTGTCAGCTGCCCTTGGCACCCTAGGAGCTTGGAGCAGAGAAACACCTTGGACTGCTTCCTCAATTTTCAGTTTTGATTTGAAGGGCAAGTTGTTACACATGCGCAACCAAATCTCTCATTCTCTCCATTTGTATTTTGAAGAGAGCCCATTTGGGAGAGTAAGTAGAATGGTAGCCTATACTGATTTGCTTGTTTGTGTACCTGCAGTAGTTTGGTTTTGTGTGTGTGTGGAAGGATTGAATGTGGGAAATTCAGGATCAATCTCAGAGTGCAGCCTTCTTTGGCTGTGTTTTCCAGAATTGGGCCACTTTCAGCTAGGAGTCCATGAGGAAAAAGAAAATGTTTTCATTATTATTATTACACTGCTTGGCCTCAATATGCCTTAGATTCTGGGGTAAAGTGGCTTGTGAATGGGTCTTTAAATTATGTTACTATAATGCAACTAGAACTGTTTTGTAAGAGGGAGAGAAAATGGGATGAGATCCCATATGTTCGGATTTTTATGCTTTTGTGTCAGAATAAACCTGCTCAAAAAAGGTGTAGTATAACTTGATGCCGCAAAAGGAAGAATAGCCCAAACCTAAGGTTTTAGACTTTCCACCATTAGATGTAGAGGACAAGGTGCTGATCAGCACCTTGAATCCCCCAAATAATCATCCTGGTCCTCTGCCCCTTCCTCTGCCACCTGTGGCTCCAGCACATCCCCCTCCTTATGGAACATGTGGAGCAGGAGGAGGACACCCCCAATCCCTCATGGGGGAAAAATCAGGATAGGTTATGAATTCTTCTTCTTGTACCTGACAGGTAACAAAATTTGGCCAGTGAGCCACAGGCCCCTAGGTAGGGCAGTTTCCTCTCTGCTAATCCCCTGTTAGGATAATGTGAATGAGCATTTGGCTGATATGATGTGGGTGCACTCCACTTTTCCCACTTCAGATCTGTTCAATTGGAAAAGCAATAATCCCTCCAATCAAGATGACCCCAAGTAAATAGCTGAGCAATTCTCATCCATACTTCTGACCTATTATCCCACATGGGCAGATATCCAGGCTTTGTTAAATGTACTGCTCACAGCAAATAAAAGGAACATTGTCATAGAAAAAAACTAAAGAGGAAGCAACCTGGCTCCATCTTGAGGATGGAAATAATCTCCCTGAGCCAATGCAGTCAGTCCGCACCACGGAACCCAGTTAGGATGTAAATAATGGAGGTCTTCCCCACTTAGAGCACTATTAAAGTTGTATCCTTGAAGGTTTAAAGAAAGGGGTCCCTCCAAGAGCCTTAATAAAGTACAGGAGGTACAGCAGCAACCAAATGAGGCCTTCACAATTCTTGGAAAGACTATCAGACATATCAAAAGTTTGCAGGTGGAACTGGAAAATCAGAGAATGGTTAATATGAGCTTCATCTGTCAGAGTGTCCCTGATAGTCAAAGAAAATTGCCAAAGATAGATGAAGCCATTGTGTTGCCAAACACATTTAGTCTAGTTAGCTTTTAGGGTGTACTATGCTTGGGTTAAGGATCAGGAAAAGCACAAGTTAAAGCAACAAGTATCCATGTTGGTGATGGTGCTTGACTTTCAACCTAAAAGAAATGAAAAAAATCAAAGCAAAAGGAGGATCCACCCCACCTTAGGGAAGAACCAGTCCACTTATTGTAAGGAAGAAGGACATCGGAAAAAGGGCCATCCCAAACTGACCAAAGTGGCTGTCAAGCCCAACTCTCCCTCAGAATCAGATGATGGGAAGGGGAAAAGACTGAGATGAAAGTTGATACAGCCCAAGGTGTCCCTGAGACTTTGAATGACCAGTACCTGTATCCCCACAGGAACCCAAGATACAATTGACATTGGGGAACAGAATGATTGATTTCTTAAATGATAAGTTGCCACATGATCAGTAATTAACATTTGTCTCTTCCCAATTATGGGAGAAACCAAGATTGTTATGGGGATATTGGAAGGTGCCATTATTTGCCCCTTTCTACAACCCTTAGATTGCCATTTAGGAGAGACCAGCCTGAAACAGTTTCCTGTATGTGCCTGGATTCCCAGTGCCCCTCCTGGGCCAGGATTTGCTTGCCAAATTGTGTGCTCAATTTGTCTTTTCCTCCAGACACCTAGACATAGGGATTCCTCCTGAACAAGCTTGCAGGTTTCAAAAGCTCCAACTCCAACCAGAAAATACAGAAGTTTAGGACATTCCAGAGAAAATTCTCATGAGGTTAGAGGCCCTCTTAGCGCAGTGGGCAGCGCGTCAGTCTCATAATCTGAAAATTCTCATGAGGCTAAGGGAAGATATTTGGGCTTCAGGGAAGCTGGGGAGAATGGTCACAGCCAAGCTTGTAAAAAATAAATGAGGGACACAGAATACCTAATCTAAAACAACACCCATTAAAGGAGGCAGTATGAAAGGGCATTCAGCTGCTCTTGGAAGCCTTTTTGGGACAAGGACTAATTCAGCCCTGTCACTTCCCCTACAACACTCCTGTCTTGCTGGTTCACAAGCCCTGTTCAGCTGACTACTGGCTTGTGCAAGACTTCAGGGTTATTCATGAAGTAGTCCAGGACATACACCCTATGGTACCTAATCCCTATACTTTGCTGACAAGCTTATCAGGAGATAAGACAAGGTAAATCATTACATGGTTTATAATTTTGGATCTGAAAGATGCCTTCTTTTGCATACTGCTAGATACGGAGTCACAAGAGGTCTTTGCATTTGAATGGGCAAGACCAGGAATGCAGGTGAATTAGCAGTACTGTTGGAGAGTGTTATCTCAGGGATTTTTAAAATTTACCCGCAACCTTTGGGAGAATTTTGGCATGGGACTTAAGGGATTTCTGACCGAAAGAAGAATGCTTTTACAAGATGATACCTTTGTTTCTAGTAAGACTCTTAGAGATTCCCTTGAAAATACCATCCAAATACTGAGTTTTCTAACAAAAAGAGGCTATCAGATTTCCAAAAGAAAAAGCCCAAATCTCCCAAGCCCTGATCTCCAAATACTTGGAGTTTGAACCAACTAAGGGACAAAGAAATCTTCTCCCAGACTGCTGAGAGGCAATAGCCTGGGCAGCCGTCCCTACCGCCTGCAAACAACTGTGAGGTTTTGTAAGTATAGTAGGATTTTGTTGAATTTAGATTCCAAATTTTGAACTTACAGTAAAACCTCTTTATGAGGTCCTAAAGGGAAAGGAATCTGAACCCTTGGTCAGGACCTCAGAATGCCAACATTCTTTTAATAAAGCCAAAGAAAAGTTAATGACTGCTCCTGCACTGGGTCTTCCAAATGTCAGAAAATTTGTTGATGTATTTGTGCATGAAAAACAAGGCATGAGCTTGGGAGTCCTAACTCAAAGTTTGGGACCTTACTGGAGATCAATTGTTTATTTCACTAAATAGCTTGATCAGGTGGTGAAGGGTTGGCTTCCCTGCCTCCAAGCAGTAGTTGCAACTTGTTACCTCCTCTAGGAGGCTGAAAAGTTAACTCTCAGACAGCCATCACCATTCACACACTGCATCACATCCTCCCTCTCTTACAGCAAAAAGGAGGGGTATTAGCTGACTCCAGAGAGGTTAGGGAAATCCAGGCTATGTTCTTTTACAAACCAGAGTTAAAAATAAAGGCGGTCTCAGTTCTTAACACTGCTACCTTAAAGCCTACAGAAACGGAGCCAGGGCTACACCTAATTTTCTTCAGAATATTCAGCAGATCTTTTCCAGCTGACCAAACGTGGTGTATTAGCCCTTGGCACATCCTGACCTGAAACTGTTCACAGATGAAAGCAGCTTCAAGGACCATGGAAGTCATCATGCAGGGTATGTGTGGTCGGTACCTTACAAGGCACTGTGAAAGCCAAAGCCTTATTGCCAGACACCTCAGTACCTCAGCTCAACAGCGTGAGCTCATTGCCTTACTCTTGTCATCCAATTGGATAAGAACAAAATTGGGAATATTTATATAGACTCTAAATATGCTTTCTCTGTGGCACATGCCCATGGGGCTATTTAGAATGAGAGAGGGCCTTTGACTAGTGATAACAAGGAAATCAAATATGTCTCTGATATTTTGGCCTTATAAGAATCTGTAAATGCCCCCAGAGTGGTGGCTATCATCCACTATCCTAGCCATCAAAAAGGGGAAATCAACATGCCAACCTGGCAGCGAAACAGGCTGCAAAAACATTGGACTTTGAGGCCTTCTTAGCCCTGTTTGTATCGCAGGTTGATCTTACTAAGTAAGTCTCAACCTTGCTATACTGAAGAAGACTTAAAGTGGCCCAAGGATTGGGGATTTACGTCCCCAGCCCCAGGCCATCCAGGCTAGATATGTAATTTGGGAGGCATTATATTGGTTCCTGGAGCCCTCCTTAAAGATACAGTGAGTTGGCTGGCGCAGTGGCTCATGCCTGTAATCCCAGCACTTTGGGAGGCCGACACAGGTGGATCACTTAAGGCCAGGAGTTCGAGACCAGCCTGGCCAACATGGTGAAACGCTGTCTCTTCAAAAAATACAAAAACACTAGCCAGGCATGGGATCACTTGAACCTGGAAGGCAGAGGTTGCAGTGAGCCGAGATTGCACCACCGCACTCCATCCTGGGTGACAGGACAGGACTCTGCCAAAAAAAAAAAAAAAAAAAAAGTAGTGAGCAAGTTTCATCAAAGCACCCATTACAGAAAAGATGCAACCCTTTAATGGCTACGTTAGTACTTGATTAGTCCCAATATGCAATGGGTAATCCAAAATATGATCCATCAGTGCACTCTCTGTGCTCAAAACCATCCTAAAATTGGACCCGTACCCCCTGTTCAGGGGACTCTTGAGGAGATTCTCCATATGAGGATTGGCAAGTTGATTTCACAACAATGCTGTGAGTGCCCAAAGGCTATAGATATCCTTTTTTTTTTTTTTTGTATACACATTTACGGGATGGATGGAGGCGTACCCTACCCGAAATGGCCCACAGCTTACTTAAAGAGATAATCCCCTGGTATGGACTCCCTTTGATATTCAGAGTGACAACAACACAACATTTGTCTCTCAGGTAGTACAGGAAATGTCTCAGATCCTAGACACTGAATAGAAACTTTACACAGCATGGTGTCCACAATCCACAGGAAAGACTGAAAAAAATGAATCATACTATAAAAAGAACAATTGCTAAGATGTGCCAAGAAACCAGTCTAACTTGGGTCAAGGTACTGCCCTCTGCCCTGCTGAGAATTCAGGTTGCTCCCTAAAGTAGGCTCCAATTGAGTGCTTTTGAAATTAAATTGCCAAATTAAAAAGTAACCTCTGTTCAAGAGTTTGCTTCTGACAGGTTGGCCTTCCCCATGGACATGCCACTTCACCCTTTCCAGGCCAGAGACCAAGTCCTACTCAAGACCTGGAGGGAAACTGGACTGGATCATCAACTGGTCCCTCAATGGGTAGGACCCTATGAAGTCCTCCTGACCACTCATTTATCTATCAAATTGGCTGTGGTTAAACTTTGGGTACATTATACCCACAGGTAAAGATTGCCCCTCCTCAGCTCAATGTGTGAGGTAATCAACCTAAATGGACCTGTGAACCAACTGAAAACTTGAAGCTGCTCTTTAAGGAAAACTTTGCAAATAAGTAAGGCCTTCTATCATTTAATTATGATATTCTTGCTAATCCCCATAATAATATATGGGCTTATGGTGTCTCCTGAAACGAATCTTTTCCTACAATGGGCACAGCATTATACAGATAGCCTACAACAGGAAGCTTGTGGGGTTTGTGGGCTGCTACCTATATCTAGCATTTCTGGATTACCTTGGTGGGTCTCACCTCTACAAGGAAATGACTGAGTACATTTACAAACCTTAATGAAAAACAATTTACAAGAAAATCAGGTCCCTGGTGTTCTAACACAAGAAAATAAAAGGTTATGGCCTGTCATTAATGTAACCCTCCAAAACCCAGGTCACAGAAAACCTTTTACTATGAATCAGACTATTCGACAAACTTCTGAATATGCTGCTCCTCTCCTGAATGAGTTCTTGGCAACCCCCAAAGTTTTGACTATTAACAGTCACTATACTGAGGAAGGTTTCTATTTAGTTTGGGATGATTTCCTTTGGATGACACCCACCACCAGCTACTTAAATCAAGTTGACACCTTAGGAACAAAAAAAATAACTCTTATGATCATTGCCCAAATATTAATATGGGCTGGATGCCCCCACAACAATGTCAACATACTCTAGTGCTGCAACAAACTGACTGGTTTTCTACTGATTGGACACAGAGGCTAGGAATTCGATGACTAGCCCCAAATGGAACTAAATGGCTATGTGACACTGATCTTTGGCCCTGACTACCTTATTGAATGGATAGAATGGTGCACCCTGGGTTTCCCTTGGGTCCAGTTTCATTTGGAAAACACAGATGGACAGCCTGCAGATCTCCAATATGTGTTGTACCAATGGACCAGGTTGGTTTCCACTGTTATGACCATCTCCTATCCATTTCTGTTCCCTAAGTTAGTTTAGAAAATGTTATCTGGCATACCAGGACCCTCTCAAACTATATGCAGCATATGCTAAAGAATGCATTCAGAGGCATCTCTTTAGTGACCTCTGAAATGACCATGATGAGAAAGGCAATCTTGCAGAACTGCATGACCCTCAATGTCCTCACAGCTACACAAAGGGAAACCTATGCCATAATCAAAAACAAATGTCTTGTATACATCCCAGACAATACAGGAAACTTTAAAGATATTCACAAATTAATACCATGTCTGACCCCATGATGTTGCTAAACCAATGGTTATCTTCTTGGTGCAACTCTATACTCTCTTGATGGAAAAAATTAATAATTCTAGCTTTGATTATAGGAATAGGCATACTCCTTTGTTGTGGATTATATTGCTGCTGCACTATATGTATAAGATTTCAAAATCACCTCTCTCAGAGGATCCTAACACCTTGTTCAATGATACTGCAAAGAATTGCTTCTGTAAGTCCCAGAACACATGAATGTTTTCACCTGCAGGTAAATAAGGGCCATTCCCTGGACCCCTAGCAATGGCCCTTACCAGCAGGAAATAGTTACAATGAATCAACATACCAACTCCTCAAGATTGAGAAATGGAACAATGACATTGAGGATGTTGTAACCGAGCCCTTATTTTAAGTATCAGGTTGTTTTACTTAGTCTCCTTTGTCTTTGTCCTTTTCCTCATCCGTGCATGCTTGCTGGTACGTAATCATTTCTGTAGAGAGTAATCACTAGTAATTGATTAACTTCATATCCTGAACCCCGGACCTGCTCTCAAGATTGATGAACCTGTTTCTATTTCAAAGAACAATGATCCTTAAGTCATGCAGATCTTGATGGCATCCAAAAGTTTGATCGGGACTGATGACATCTAGAGTCCGAGGGGCACAAACAACTTTGATGATCCCACCTCCCGCATTCCTACCTTATTCATGAAATCCTCCAATTATGTTCAAAGGCAGATCAGATTTGAGAGACTGTCTGTCCTGATCTCTTGCTTTGGCTAAATCGAATAAACCTTCCTCTGCTCCTAAGCACTGATGGGTCAGGGTTTGGCTTACTGTGCATTGAATACGTGAACCAAAATTTTGGGATTTGATGACAGAAACTGCTTGCTATTGCCACAAGTAGCTACAAATTAACAATACTGCACAAGACAAGATAACCCAAGCCTTATAGATTAACAATATATAGCCAATCACTAACCAATATTATTTCTATAAACCAAAGAGAATTCCTGACAAACAACTTTGTATCAGCCCACTCTCTGTCCCCCTTTTTTGCCTTTAAAAATCTGCTTGTACACAGGCAACCAAAGCAAAAATGTACAAATGGGATCACATCAAGTTAAAAAGCTTTTGCACAGCAAAGGAAACAATCAACAAAGTGAAAAGACAACCTACAAAATGGGAGAAAACATTTGCAAACTACCCATCTGACAAGGGATTAATAACCAGAACATACAAGGAACTCAACCCACATTATAGGAAAAAAATCTAATAAATCAAAAAATCACAAATGATTTGAATAGTCATTTCTCAAAAGAAGACATACAAATGGCAAACAGGGATATGAAAAAATGCTCAGCATCACTGATCATCAGAGAAATGCATATCAAAACAACAAGATATCATCTCACCCCAATTAAAATGGCCTATATCCAAAGACAGGCAATAACAAATGCTGGTGAGGATGTGGAGAAAAGGGAACTCTCCTACACTGTTGGTGAGAATGTAAATTATCACAACCACTATGGAGAACAGTTTGGCAGTTTCTCAAAAAACTAAAAATAGAGCTACCATGTAATCCAGCAATTCTAGTGCTGGGTATATACTCAAAAGGAAAAAAACAAAAACAAAAACCAGGATATCAAAGAGATATCTGCACTCCCATGTTTGTTGCAGCACTGTTCACAATAGCTAAGATTTGGAAGCAACATAAGTGTCCATCAACAGATGAATGGATAAAGTAAATGTGATCTATATGACACAGGAGGGAAAAAGAAACTATTTAGGCAGATAATGAGGGCAAAGAGTCCTCAGCAGAACTTCCCTTCTAACAAAAAGCAGCCCAAGAAATCACTTCTTTTCTAACAAAGAGCAGCCTGGAAGATCGGGCTGCAAACAAGGATAAGGAGGCTGGAAGCTTGCACTGAGGGGTATGCCAGCAGCTGCACGGATAGAAGGGGCTACCTGGGACCAGGCATGTTCACCATGGGAGTTTCACTGCCCCTTTTTTAGCACATGCACAGTAAGAAACAAGCAACATGGAGTAGCTCAGGCTGAGGACTCACCTGCATAATAAAAGGTTGGGGTGAGGGCTGCCAGAGATTCCCACCATATGCAGATGGCACACATGGTCCTAACCGGTTTTTCGTGCCCTATGTAGATCAGATACCGCCTCCCCACTAGCTCATCTATAAAAACCCCTGCATTTCACTGTGGGACGGCAACCCTTTTTCCAGGACCCTTCTCTGTACCAAACAACTGTTCTCTTTCTCCTATTACATTTCTGCTCTAAACCTCATATTTGGTATGTCCACGTCCTTGATTTCCTTGGCCATGAGATCAAGAACTCTGGGTGTCACCCTAGACAATGAAGATCATTATGTTAAGTGAAATAAGCCAGGCACAGAAGCACAAACATCGCATATTCTCACTTACTTGTGGGATCCAAAAATCAAAACAATTGAATTCATGGACGTAGAGAGTAGAAGGATGGTTACCAGAGTCTGGGAAGGGTACTGGGGTCTGGAGGGGAGGTGGGGATGGTTAATGTGTACAAAAATAGTTAGAAAGAATGAATAAGACACTATTTGATTTCACAACAATGCGACTATAGTCAATAATAATTGTATATTATAAAATAACTAAAAGAGTATAATTGGATTGCTTGTAACTCAAAAGATAAATGCTTCAGAGGATGGATACCCTATTCTCCATGATGTGATTATTACACATTGCATGCATGCATCAAAACATCTCATGTACTACACAAATATATACACATACTATGTACTCACAAAAATTAAAAAAATAAATAAAAATTTGCTTATAACAAAGGCCAGACAGAGCTCATATCCAAGTGTACCTGTGTCTCAATCTTCCTCACAGCTGTCTTCATTTTGGCTCAAGTGAACGCTTTAAATTATTTATTGTGCCTCAGCCTCTTATTTTAGGTCAACATCAAGGATGGAGATAAAAGACATCTGCCAGATGCATACCAGGCCAGATGCATACCTGGGACCAGATGATGTTTTAATTTGCTGATGCAATGAACCAACAGCTGGTAAAGCAGCTGCAATTGGATTTTAAAACCATCACCTGCTTAATCTTTTGATAATCTTGTCATTCTCCAAGATTCCTCTGTGTTCTATACAGGTCAAATAGAAAAGTTGAATGGGGATGTGGTGGGAATTACCACCACCTTTGCCTCTTTCAAGTCCTTGATGGTGGCACTAATCTCTGCAGTCCCTTCAGGAATGCAGTATTGCTTTGGATTTACTATTTTCCTTGGTAGAGGATTTCTAGGGGCTTCTACCTGACCTTTCCAACCCTAACAGTTCTCACTTCACAGGTCAGAGAGCCAATGTTGGGATTACGCAGACTGCCAAGTATGTCAATTCCAATTATGCATTCTGGAAATGGGAAAACAACCACAGGATGGTTTTGGAGACCCACTAGCCCCATTGTGGGATGGACCTGAGCTAAAACTCCATTGATCACCTGGGCTCCATAAGCTGCCACTTTGACTGGTCAGCCACAGTGATGTTTTGGGTCTCCTGAAACTAGTGCCAGTTCAGAGCCAGTGTATAGTAGTCCCTGAAAGATCTGATTATTTCCTTTTCCCCAGTGCACAGTTAGCCTGGTAAAAGGTCATAGATTCACTTGAGGAAGGCTGGGAGAAAAACTAAAAGTATAAATTTTTGGTAGTGAACTGGGGTCCTTCCTCAAGGAAACCTAACCTCTTCATTCAAGGGATTCTGGGTCTGTAAACTGGCTTCAGTCTGGAAATTGATTGAGGAATCTGAGTCTCTGCTTTTATGATTCATGTTAAGCTTTTGTTCATTTAAGCTAGAACTTTTCTATTTATACAGATCAAATAAGAATTTAGTAGGCTTCCTACCTATTTCACTTCAAGGAGCACCATGATCAATTAGCCAACACTACAGTTCTGTGCAAATCAGACTATTGTGATTGTGGCTTTGACTCTGTTGTCCATTATGGTTAACAATGTGCACCTTGCCTTTGGTAATGGAGTACTGCCACTTGGCCCCTGCCACCCTGTGATCCAATTATTCCTATTGCATTTAAGTTTCCAACTCAGTGATTGCAGTTCCCTCTGTAATGTATGGCCTAAAGAGAAGAGAAATCATGGAGCTCTTGAAGTATGCTGGGGTTCTCCTCATAAAAATTTTTCACAGAATTGGTATAAAGGAAACAAAAAAAAAATTTCACCCCCAGAATATACTGTGACATATTATTTCAAGACGGTTATTCAGAAGGCCTGCAGACAGGAATACTTCTGAAAAGCTGCCTTTTGTGGAGGAGATTTGCATCTGTAGAGAAAAATCTACATTAATTAAATAAACAGCCAGGCTTTCTCTGAGGCCCTTCCCCTTGTATAGATAGGGAAGATTAATTCAACCACAGGTTGCCATCTGTTGTTTCTGAGGGGTGCTACCTGTGAGGATTCATTTGCGTAACAAAACTGACTTTACCTCTTGCCCTTCTTATTGTCTCCCTTCCATAACCCGTCTTGCCAAGTTCCAAGTCCCTATTCTTTCTGTAACCTCAGGATAATATAAAACCTTCAACCAACTGATCTCTGTTTTGAGCTTCATACTTTGTATGTGACTCCCATGCCCATATGCATATGAATAAACTTGTATGCCCTTTTTACCTGTTGTTAATCTATTATCAGTTAGTTTTATAGACTCATTTTTGTCAAACCTACAGGGGAAAAATTTACTCTTCCCCACAGGTGAAAAGTATGTCTTCTGGACCTTCCCAGTGTGGGTGAATGACAAATCCACTATAATACTCCAGTTTCCCTAAGACTTTAAATCTGGTCCTTTACATTAAACAAAGGCAAGACAGGCATTTCAACTTTGCTCTGGGCCATATTTTGATTCATATTTCAGTTAACCAACTAGCCAAACTATTAGAGTCCTTTCTAATTCCATGAGCTGCAACATTAAATGCAGAATCTCTGCTTTGTGAGCCCATATCAATAAATTTAACCTGATCAAACTTTGTGGTCCTTCCACTATTATCCTACACCCTTAGTATCTATTCCTACAGCTGCTCGCCAGATTCTGTCTCTATCAGTTAGAAAACGGAAGTAGTTATTTGAATTGTATCACACCTCCTCACGGGTAACTCACCTTTGGGGTGTGTATCTAGTTATAGGTCTAGAAACAAAGATAAACGATGAAGGTGGAGCCTAAGGTGAATCAGCATTGTCTACATGACAACTGCCTTGAGGGAGGCCATTATAGTTTCCTCAGGCAATGCAGGGTTAATCTCAGATTGAGATAGGAGGTCCAATACTACTGAAGGTGGACAAGCTAATGCTACTGTCAGTGAGGATGTCATTGACACTGGGGGTGGGTATGCCACTTCTGCTGAGGTTGGGAAGACTGCTTTCACTGGGTGTGGGGAGATGTCTTCCACTGGCAAATATGACTCATCAGAATCTAGTGGCTTGAGCCCAGGAGGTGGAGTTTGCAGTGAGCCAAGATCGCGCCACTGCACTCCAGCCTGGCGACAGAGTGAGACTCCGTCTCAAAAAAAAAAAAAAAGAATCACTCCTTTATATAGGATTTGTTTTCTTTGGTCAGCAATATGAAACTCTTAAGAATCAGTATTCCTAGGATATATTTATGGCTGGATCAGTTTCACAAGACACCTTCATATTTACAAAGGGAAGCTACAAGTTCTTTTTGTCTTTCCTTAACACATCAAGCATAAAAGCAACTTGAAAAAGTACTTTATGTTAGGTATGAGTTCTAAATTTCTTTTCAAAGAATCAATATGTCAGTATGTTCAATTCTTTACCTTCTAGTTTTAACTTAACTTCCTTATAAAGCAACCTTTTTCAATTACCTGCTCCACCCTGACTAATTTCAATCACCTGTTCCACCCTGACTCATTCCGATTCCTACTCCTGCTCTGTCATAACCATTTTTCCCCCCAAACCACTCACCCGTCACTCTCTTTAAATTAGCCAATTGGAATTAGTTTAGCCTGTGCGGTCTAATCCTAGCCAATAGGGGAATGACACAGCAGCAGGGGCCACGTGCGTCAGGGATAAGAACCCTTCCCCTCCTTTGTCCAAGTGTGTGCTCACCATTGCTCCATCTGTAAGGGTGCACCCTTCTATAGAAGTAACTTCCCTTGCTGAGAATTAAAAGAAAATTTTATATTCGAGTGCTATTTCTTTTGTGGCACCAAACTTTATATATAACAATTTGGGGGCTCCCCTGTGATTACGTTCCCCTCCGGGGACAGTCTCTGGTTCTCTCTCGTGAGGAGGCGCGGCCTGCCGCCTTGTGGTGGCCTCAGGGGTGAGAAATCAAGACCCACCCAGTGCGAGGAATAACCCAAGCTCTCAGCAACGCGGGGGGAAAAAAAACTGGCCAGCAACCTAGCTTAAAGGATCCTCACATACTGCGGCAATGACTCTGTGCACAGACCAAGGAAGGAGAAGCCACGGGAGCGGGTAAAGTATTCCGTTGGTGGTCGGAACCAAGGTAAGAAAGTGAGGGGGGAGCGGAGGAGGTGAAGTACTCCTTGGCTGGGGTGGCTTAGAGTTTAAAAAGAGGCGAGACATCCCCACTGGTGGGGATTGAACCTCACACGAACCTCCAGGAGTAGAAAAGGCAAGAAATTTCCAGTGGGGGAAATGAGCCTCACCCCAAAAAGTGAGAAATTATCAGTAAGGGAAATTGAACCTTGAACCTTACCCCAAAACCATCAAGATAGACTGAGGGAGCGAATGAGGCAATATGAAAGCCTCAATTTGGATGATCCCCTTGGGCAAGGAAGGTTGAAACTCCAATTTGTCACTAAAAGTTGGCCAGACATTTCAAAAAAGTTACAAAAGATAGACAATTGGGAAGACCGTCCCCTAAGTGAGCTTCTCAGGGAAGCTCAGAAAGTATACGTGAGTATACATGAAAAGGGACGAAGAAAAACAGAAACAAAAGACAAAACTTATGTTTTCCACCTTTCAACAGATGGCTCCAAACCCAGGTACTTCTAGACAGTTTCCAGGGAGCTAGAAACTATAAAGGGTCCGAACCCTCTTTTAAAGGATCCCAGCCTCCATCTGGAGGACCAAGGTCCTCGTCTACCAGGCCCCCTAAAGAGTATGGGGGAGCAGGGTTAAAGAATCCCAGAACTAAGGAGGAAGGACAAGATAGGTGCTGTAGATGTGGAAGAACAGGCCACTTCAAGAGAGGATGTCCTGAACTAAGAAAGGAGAAAGAAGCCCTTCCACCCATAACTTTCGAGGAAGAATAGGGGGGTCAGGGGCTCTGTCTCTTGAGTCCCACCAGGAGCCCTTGATAAATTTGGAGGTGGGACCTAAACATGAGCTTATCACCTTTTTAGTCGATTCAGAGGCTGCTCGCTCCTCTGTTTGTTTCCCCCCGTCTAATGTTGTCTCCTCCTCAGAGGAACTTTTATTCTCCGGGGTAAAAGGGGAAGGAGAGGGGAGAACAGCAGCATAAGTGGCTGGCAGAGGCAGGGAAAGACCAGCAGAGAGGAGAGAGACAGAGGAGGGAAAGAGAGAGAGAGGAAAAAGAGAGAGAGAGAGGAAAAACAGAGAGAGGAAGAGACAAAGAGGGAGTTAGAGAGAGAGAGAGAGAGAGAGATAGAAGTAGTAAAGAGAAAACAATGTACCATATTCCTTTAAAGCCCAGGGTAAATTTAAAACCTATAATTGATAATTGAAGGTCTTCTCTGTGACACTCTAACACTCCAATACCACCTTGTTGTAAGTGTAAACAAGGGCATAGCCCGAAAGCACTGAGGCCACTGACAACCCGTAGCCTTCCTATCAAAAATCCTTAACCCAGTAACCCATGGATGGCCCAAGTGAATTCAATCTGTAGCGGCAACTGCTTTGGTAGCAGAAGAAAGTAGAAAAATAACTTTTAGAAGAAACCTCATTGTGAGCACACCTCGCCAGTTCAGAACTAGCCTAAGGGGAAAAAAAAAAAAAAGCAAAAAGGTAGCTTACTAACTCAAAAATCTTAAAGTATGGGGCTATTCTGTTAGAAAAAGATGATTTAAAATTAACCACCGATAATTCCCTTAACTCAGCAGGTTTCCTAACAGGGGATCTAAATCTTAATTAATTACCATACAAAGGTCCGACCAGACCTATGAGGAACTCCCTTCAGGACAGGAGATAGATGGTTCCTCCCGAGTAATTGAGGGAAAAAGACACAATAGGTATTCAGTAATTAATAGGGAAACTCTTGTAAAAGCAGAGTTAGGAAAATTGCCTAATAATTGGTCTGCTCAAACATGGGAGCTGTTTGCACTCAGCCAAGCCTTAAAGTACTTACAGAACCAGGAAGGAACCATCTATACCAATTGTAAGTTAATTTGGACTAAACAAGGTCTTATTAATAGCAAAGGATAATTGAAATCCCAAACTTATAAGGTTTTCAACAAAAAGTAAAGTTTGCTAAAAGTTAACAGTGTAACATGTATTATCCTAACTTCTAATCTTGTGGTCTTAGGCAGTCTAGTCCACAGACATGAAGGAAGTTCGCTGTGGAAAAGAATGGTTATCATCTTTGGAAAAAAAAAGGAAGAGAATTTATGTAAAAAGAGTGTTATATGGTAAATTCTTGTCCTAAAATAAATCTACTGGTTGTTTAAAGAAACAGATGTTTGCAACAA
The DNA here is from genome assembly GCF_000001405.40 of Homo sapiens. Lineage (NCBI taxonomy): Eukaryota > Metazoa > Chordata > Mammalia > Primates > Hominidae > Homo > Homo sapiens. The sequence goes on from NC_000023.11 coordinate 37,481,265, forward strand.
GTGAGAAAGTTGAGACATGTCAAAGAATTATCTGTGAAAGTCGTGAAAAAAAAAGTTATAAAAGGGAATTTATGCAAGAAATGTTGTATAATTTAAAAGTAATTAGGCCTCCTGAATGTAAAACTATTGAAGAAAGTTTATGTGCAAGATGTATAAGGAAAGTAAAATATACCTTTGGTAAAAGGATTATAAGGAGGCATAAGAATGTGGATTTTTACCTACATTAAAAGGTTAAATATATATATATAGTTTTAAAGGTTTAAGCAAGTTTTGAAACATTAATTGTAAAGGAAATTCTGTGTGTAAACATACTGGCTAAAGTTAAAGAGGTATCATCCAGTTTTTCTGTGAACTGGACATTAAAATAAAAGCACAACAGGTTTTTCTTAAAGCACTAACCTGCTCTTTAACAAAAATTATAAAAGGTTGAAAAGAGTCTATAAAAATCTTACCTTATGGTCACATGTTAAAATTGGATAAATATGTCTACAAGGTTTTATTAAAATTGAGTTTAACATTAATAACACACTAAAGGTGAAATTTAGCTTATCTGGTATAAAGATCATACAGGAAGCATTGTCAAATATAAAATGGTGTTTGGCTTTCTTTGGTATAAAAACTAATAAAAATTGGTGCTAAAGGAAATTTCTCAGTAAGAAAGCACCAAGGACTATAAAGTCCACTGTTGATGTCCCCACATTTAAAACAAAAGATCAATTTCTTAGAAATTATATACTTGGATTATCTTCCACTTTCCTTTCCCTCAAAACTAAAAGTCTTTTAGCACAGGTACCACCCCTAGAATTTCCAGTAAACCAGCACCAGCCTGAGGATCACGTTCTCATCAAAGGGTGGAAAGAAGGAAAACTCCAGCCAGCCTGGGAAGGACCCTGCCTTGTGCTGCTAACTACCGAGACTGCTGTTCGTACAGTGGAAAGGGGATGGACTCATCACACCCGAGTCAACAAAGTGCCGCCCCCTCCTGAGTTGTGGGCCATGGTCCCAGGGAAAAACCCTACCAAACTAAAGCTAAGAAAAATTTAACTCTCTTTCATCTATTCTATTACTCTTTCTTCTTTCCTCGCTCTATTGCTGACCATCTAGTTATTAACATAACCAAGTCAATTTCACCTCAAACTATTGCATTTAATGCTTGCCTTGTTATACCCTGTGGGGACTTGCTAAGTCAAAGCTCTCTACTTCAGAAAAGTACCTCTGTCCCTCCTGACTCTCCTCAGACTGGGCATTAGTGAATTGGCACCATTTAATCCGGGGGAGATTTTGATAAAGACCCCAGTGTCAACCAGGAGTCTTGCTCCCTGTTGTAGAGCTTTTATGCCGTAGTTAGTCCAACATTCTGTAGACCACTAAAGACCAAGAGTGGACTGCTCCAAACGGTTTTTGTAATTTCCTAAAACCATACATTCATTTTACTAGAAGGACGGCCCTCCCCCCTAACTGTCAGCTAAACCAATGTAATTCTATATGGGTTATTATCTCAAACTCTCAAAGTTCTCTCCCTTTTCTAAGCCAGTTCCCTTCTTTAAGCCTGGAATTGGCTTTTATGGTATAGGGGCTGAGGTTTCAGGGACAAACCCTATTAGATTCTTTAAAATGCATTTCTTTGATCCCCCAACGCCTGCACCTTCCTCTAAGCCTTCTTCCAAAACCTCTCACAACGGAATAATTGCTCCTCCTCCATCTAACGACAAGACCAAGATAGCTATCGTAAAAGTTAAAGACTTAAAACAAACTTTGGCAATTAAGACAGGATACCAGTTGGAATGGATCAAATATTCCATCCACACGTTAAACAAAAGCAATTGTTATGCTTGTGCACACAGCAGGCCAGAGGCCCAGATTGTCCCCTTTCCACTAAGGTGGTCCTCCAGTCGACCAGGCATGGGCTGCATGGTAGCTCTTTTCCAGGATTCTACAGCCTGGAATAGTAAGTCATGCCAAGCTCTCTCTGCTATATCCCGAAGTCTGGCACCCTGTGGGTCAGCCCCCGAGGGCCATCCAGCTTCAGTCTCCCAACACTAAGTTCACTTCGTGTCTCTCACGACAGGGAGGAGACTTAGCATTCCTTGTAGACCTGAAGGGATGCAGTGAGCTTAAGAATTTTCAAGAGCTTATCAATCAGTCAGCCCTTGTTCATCCCCGAGCGGATGTGTGGTGGTATTGTGGTGAACCTTTACTGGACACTGCTGAATAACTGGAGTGGCACTTGTGCTTTAGCCCAGTTGGCTATCCCTTTCACCCTGGCATTTCATCAACCAGAGGAAGGAAAAATAACACATCGTAAAGCGAGAGAAGCCCCTTATGGGCCTTTAGACTCTCACGTCTATTTAGACACAATTGGAGTCCCATAGGGAATACCAGATCAATTTAAAACCCGAAATCAAATAGCTGCAGGATTTAAGTCAATATTTTGGTAGGTGACAATTAATAAAAATGTAGATTGGATAAACTACATCTACTACAACCAACAGCGATTTATTAACTACATTAGAGATGCTGTTAAAGGAATAGCTGAACAATTAGGGGCAACTAGCCAGATGGCTGGGGAAAACAGGACAGCCTTAGACATGATATTAGCAGAAAGAGGAGGAGTTTGCGTCATGATGAAAACTCAATGTTGTACCTTCATCCCAAACACCACCACCACTGATGGAAGTATAACAAAGGCATTGCAAAGTCTGACTACTCTGTCCAATGAGTTAGCCAACAACTCAGGGGTAAATGACCCCTTTACAGGATGGCAAGAAAAGTAGTTCGGTAAATGGAAAGGAATAATAGCCTCAATTCTTACTTCCCTCGCAGCCGTAATGGGTGTACTTATTCTTGTCAGGTGCTGTGTCATACCATGCATCCGTAGGTTGATGCAGAGGCTCATAAAAACGGCACATACTAAAACCTCCCTTAACTATCCTCCACCTTATCCAGAGAAGCTTCTTTTGGAAAATCAAGCAAAACAGCTAAGCCAAGACATGTTAAAAAAAGGTTTGAAAAGAAAGCTGTAAGGAAATACAAGGGGAGGGATTGTTAGATATGAGTTCTAAATTTATTTTCAAAGAATCAATATGTCAGTATGTTCAATTCTTTACCTTCTACTTTTAAACTTAACTTCCTCATAAAGCAACCTTTTTCAATTACCTGCTCCACCCTGATTCATTTCAATCACCTGCTCCACCCTGACTCATTCTGATTACCTGCTCCACCCTGACTCATTCCGATTACCTACTCCACCCTGACTCATTCCGATGACCTGCTCTGTCATAACCATTTTTCCTGCCAAACCACTCACCCTGTCACTGTCTTTAAATTAGCCAATCAGAATTAGTTTAGCCTGTGCGGTCTAACCCTAGCCAATAGGGGAATGACACAGCAGCAGGGGCCGTATGCATCAGGGATAAGAACCCCTTCCCCTCCCTTGTCCAAGTGTGCACTCACCATTGCTCCATGTGTAAGCATGCACCCTTCTATAGAAGTAACTTGCCTTGCTGAGAATTAAAAGAAAATGTTATATTCGAGTGCTATTTCTTTTGCGGCACCAAAACTTTATATATAACATTTAGTAGCTCTATGTTGGCTTATATGTAACTCTGCAGTTGTATTTTTCCCATCAAAATAGGGGAAAACATAATTCTTGATCCTTTGCTGACTGCAGTGCTTTGCTTTTTAGAGCAGTGTCTCACATAACTGCTAATTGACATAAAACATTATCTCAGCAACAATCACTCACACAGAATAAAATACACACATTTTTTCTAACAACAAAATTTTCATCTTTGAAAGTGATTGTTTTGACTTTATAATCACAAATCCATAATTTGAAAACAAAATTAATGGGAGTGTGGTAATTTTTAATATAAAAAGGAGTTCTCATTTGGAGAAATATATCAAGAAATATTTATGAATGAAATGATACAATGTCCTTGATTTTCTTCAAAATAGTATATCAGGTAGAAGGTGAGAAAGTTTGCCATGAGGTAATAATTTTTAAAGCTGTGAGATGAGAACATGGGAATTTATGTTTTGAAATTTTCCCTAATTAAGAAACAATTCATGCCCCCAAAATGTAATCAAGGTAGAATACAGAAGATCATTTTACACAAACATAGTTTAAACACATAAGTATTGAAAAAATAACATAGCTTTAGTTGTTTTACATTTATTGTTGAATTTAGTATGAGGTTTTAAATTCAATAAATCTTTTTTGTGCTAGTAATCAAAAGAAATTGAGAATCAATTTTAGTTTATTCTTCCTCATACTAATAGCTTACATAAGAAGTCAGTTTTTTGCCACCCTGAAGGAAAGGACCTTGAGCAAGGCACAGTGCTGTGCTGGCTTGAGGTCTGACCCGGCACACTGCCAGTAGTGGTGGCTACATGGGTGCTTACATCACCACACCCCCAGTTCAAGGTGGCTCAGCACAGAGAGGGAGACCCCATATATTTAGGAGAAAGTAAGGGAAAAGACCAAGTGTCTCTGTCGGTAATCCAGAGAATTCTTCTGGATCTTATCCAAAACCACCAAGGCAGCACCTCTACTACTCTACAAAAACCACAGCGTTATTGGGCTTGGGACACAAGTCCCAATCCTATTGCTGGGTATATACCCAAAGAAAGGAAATAAGTATGTCGAACAGATATTGTACTCCCATGTTTGCTGCAGCATTGTTCACAATAGCTAAGATTTGGAAGCAACCTACATATCCATTAACAGATAAATGAATAAAGAAAATGTGGTACATTTACACAATGTGGTACTATTCTGCCATAAAAAAAGAATAAGATTCTGTCATTTGCAACAACATAGATGGAACTGGAGCTCATTATGTTAAGCAAAGTAAGTCGAGCACATAAAGACAAACTTTTCATATTCTTATTATTTTGTGGCATCTAGAAATCAAAACAGTTGAACTCATGGACATAGAGAATAGAAAGATGGTTACCATAGGCTGGAAATGGTAGTGGAGGCCAGGGGTGGGAGGTAGGAATGGTTAATGAGTACATAAAAATAGAAAGAATGATTAAAGCCTAGTATTTGATAGCACAACAGGGTGACTATAGTCAATAATAATTTAAATTTACATTTAAAAATAACTGAGAGTATAATTGGATTGTTTCTAACACAAATAATAAATGCTTGAGGAAATAGATACCCAATTTTCCATGATGTTTTTATGCATTGCATGTCTGTACCAAAATATCCTATGTACCCCATATACACCTACTATATACCCATGAAAATTAAAAATAAGAAGTAAAATGAGCTTCTCTCACTTATACTATATTTTAAGTAGATTACAGAAGCTTCCCTGGTAACTTTTTCCAGTATTTAAATAACACCATTGTTGGATGACATAAGCTTAAGAAAATATTCATCACTCCTGGTGAGACAATACATAAATACAAAAATACATAAATATTTTATTGCACAGAAAAAGGGCAAACATAGAGATTTGAAGAAAATCTAGGAGAATGTGTACACTTGATTTATGTGAAGAAAACTTGGTTATTCTATTCTTAGAAATGTTAACTGGCAATGCAAAAATGATTAAAATTTAATTTCCAAGGTTAACTTTATTCATAACACTGCTTTTGGCAATGAAGATCTCATGAGAACTCCCTCACGGTCATGAGAACAGCACTGGAGAAACTGCCCCCATGAGCCAATCACTCCCACCAGGTCCCTCCCTCAGCATGTGAGGATTACAGTTTGAGATGAGAAATTTGGGTGGGGACACAGAGCCAAACCATATCACTGGGCCCCTGGCCCCTCCAAATCTCATGTGCTTTTCACATTCCAAAACCAATCATGCCTTCCTAACGGTCCACCAAAGTCTTAACTCTTTCCAGCATTTATTCAAAAGTCCAAGCCTGAAGTCTCATCTGAGACAAGGCAAGTCCCTTTCACCTATGAGCCTGTAAAATCAAAAGGAAGCTAGTTACTTTCAAGATACAATGGAGGTACAGGCATTGGGTAAATTTTCCCATCCAAGTGGAAAAAAATTGGCCAAAACAAAGAAGCCGGAGGCCCCATGCAAGTCTAAAACCTGCCCAGGTAGTCAATAAATATTAAAGCTCCAAATTCTCCTTTGACACCATGTCTCACATCCAGAGCATGCTGATGCAAGGAGTGGGCTTCCATGGCCTTGGACAGCTCCACCACTATCGCTCTGCAGGGCACAGCTCCGCAGCTGTTTACATAGGCTGGCGTTGAGTGCCTGCAGCTTTTCTAGGTGCACAGTACAAGCTGGTGATGGATCTACCCTTATGAGGTCTGGACAATGGTGGCCCTCTTCTCACAGCTCCACTAGGCAGTGCCCCAGTGGGGACTCTGTGCACAGGCTCCAAACACACATTTCCCCTCTGTATTGCCTCAGTAGAGTTCCTCACGAGGGATTCACCCCTGCAGCAGACTTCTGCCTGGACATGCAGTCATTTCCATATATCCTGGGAAGTTTAGGCAGAGGCTCCCAAAGCTCAACTCTTGTCTTCTGTGCTCCTGCAGGCCCAACACCATGTGGAAGCCACCAAGGCTTGGGGCTTGCACCATCTGAAGCAACTGCCTGAGCTGTACCTTGACCCCTTTTAGCCGCAGCTGGAGCTGGATCAGCTGGAATGAGGGGCACCATGCCCTGAGGCTCCACAGAGTAGCATGGCCCTAGGCCCAGCTCATGAAACCATTTTTCTCTCTTAGGCCTCTGGGCCTGTGAAGGGAGGGGCTGTTGTGAAGATCTCTGACATGCACTGGAGACATTTTCCCCATTGTCTTGGCTATTAACATGTGGCTCCTTGCTATGTTTGCAAATTTCTGCAGCCAGCTTGAATTTCTCCTCAGAAAATGGGTTTTTCTATTCTATCTCAGCCTGGACTTCATTATCCATATCACTGTCAGCATTTTGATCAAGGCCATTCAACAAGTCTCTAGGTGGTTCCAAACTTTCCGACATCTTCTTGTCTTCTTCTAAGCAGAATCCTAAAGTGTGGGTTAGCAGATCAGAGGAGTGATAAAAAGCCTAAACTCCTCATCCCATCCACGAAGAGAGGCTTGGCAGCCTCCTGAGGAAAAGCTTTGTTCTATCTCATACTATAGCCTCACATTTTTAAAAACAATTTACTTAAACTCATTTCCCAGTAGAAATTGAACAAGGAGTATTTGTTCTGTGCAGTTGCATAGGAGAAACTTGACCCTGCCAGAGGAAAGGGCTGTCCCAGGAACACTTGGCAAGAGAGGGTGGTGGTTTGTGCTGCTACGGAATCACAGCAGCTATTTTCTGCTTCTCTCTACATACCTTTGTGCTCACTAAAGCAGAGAGAGGCCATGAGATATTATACGACCCAGCGACCTCATTACACTGCATTTCATTGAAAACCTGACTGTGGTCCCACAGTTCTAGTTGAGCATCAGCCCTGACATTGAATTCTGTTTCTGTATCATCTTGGGCAAGGGCTTTATATTTAGGATCACAGATTCCTCATGGGTACAATAACCATTCCTACCTCACAAAATTGTGAGGATTCCCAAGAATGTTGAAAATCATCTAGTCTGGTAAGGACTCATTAAATCATCTACTTCTCTGGTGACAGAGCTGAGACTGGCTTCCTGGTCGCCTTCTTTTTTTTTTTTTTTTTGTGAGACTTGTTGCCCAGGCCGGAGTGCAATGGTCCAATCTCGGCTCACTGTAACTCCCGCCTCCCAGGTTCAAGTGATTCTCCTGCCTCAACCTCCCGAGTAGCTGGAATTACAGGTGCATGCCACCATACCCGGCTACTTTTTTGTGTTTTTAGTAGAGATGGAGTTTCACCATGTTGGCCAGGCTGGTCTCAAACTCCTGACCTCAGGTGATCTACCCACCTCGGCCTCCCAAAGTGCTGGGATTACAGTGTGAGCCAACCTGCCCAGCCCCTGGCCATCTTTATTAACCAGTGCTCACTGTGGCCATGTTCCTTAACCCTGGGCCTCACACAGAGCATTGAGGCAGCATGCTGCCCAAAGGCATTTCACATTTGTAGTTGGGAGTTGACGCTACTTCCATTCTCACAGTTACTTCCAACAATCTGTTCCTTTGCTTTCCTAGCCCACTTTTGTTGCTTCTTCCTCACTATACTCCTTTCCAAAGGAGAAGAATGTGCTAGGTGCCGGCATGGTGTAGTGTGGGAAACAAAGACAGACGTGGGAACCTCCTAACTCTGCAGACCTCATGGCTCAGTAGCAAAAACTGAATGGTACTATCTGTGGTACCACCTGGTTAGCCTCCCACCACCAGTCCTGGAACTAGCATTCCCCTTTTCTGGGGAACTGCTCCACACAAACACAGATTCCAGGTATGTGATTCCAGGAGAGCTTTATGTTGCTACATGTCCCACCTTCCTCACCACAGCTGACTGGCTCTGGGGTCAGATAGTCGTGATCTCTGCCCCTGTGCTTTGTGTTCCTGGCTTAAGGTTAGGTACCCAAGGACCAGCCTGATTTTATTCCAGGACATCGAGGCAGAAGGAAAGCATCTTTCCTTGATCTTCAAGAGTCCATGAGGGATTTTTCTTTTTTCTTTTCCTTTTGGAGACCGAGTCTTTCACTCCTGTCGCCCAGGCTGGAATGCAGTGGTGGGATCATGGCTCACTGCAGCCTCGACTTCCTGGGTTTAGGCAATTCTCCCACCTCAGTTTCCTGAGTAGCTGGGACTACAGGTGTGTGCCACCATGCCTTTTTTTTAAAAATATTTTTTTGTAGAGGGGTGTTTCGCCATGTTGCCCAGGCTGGACTTGAACTCCTGGGTTCCAGCAATCTGCCTGCCTTGGCCTCCCAAAGTGCTGAGATTACAGTGGTAAGCTGCCATACCTGGCCAATGAGGGATTTTAAATTTCACTCTCCAGAAGGAAAAAAAGGAGAAGGATTGAGATATGTGTGTGTGTGTGTGTGTGTGTGTGTGTGTGTGTGTGTGTGTGTGTGTGTGTATGTGTGTGTATTTGGTGCAGTAAGCAAAAGGAAGAAAGTGTGATAACCCAGAGCTATCTAAACCTCTCCTTTTTCTCATCTGCCTTCCCACTGAGAGGGTGTGTTCTGGTATGCACTCCAGTGCCATAAGCCTACAGGACCCTGTGGGTACAGCCTGTGGTTATCCAGTACCTTCTTTGACTAGCTAATTTGATTAGTTAGAAGAGGCTATCTCCTGTAACAAATGTTTCTAATCTCTTTAGCTTTTAAAGTAAATTTTTATTTTTTGTTTTTATCAAGGTCCAGTGCAAGTTGGTGGTGACAATGATGAGGGGACATTCTCCATAAGTTTTCCAAAGTTCCAGGCTCCTTCTCCAAATTGGATATGTCATATTGTAGGGTCTGTTCCTCTTCTTCACTTGAGACATGGATTGCACAGGGTGTGTCCTATAAACTAGGCCTTATTTGGCCATACATCAGTTATTTTCATATTCCAATAGCCAGAAATCAGTACATGTCCCCATCAAATCACAAGAGTAGCTTGAAAAATATGGTTACTTGTGGACCAAGATGAAAACAAATAAGCTTTGGTGAAGTTATTCTGCCACAGCGAGTTTCTCTAATTGGAAGATTTGAAAAGTACTATCAAGTTCATTTTGCTACAGACCTAAGTTTGTTCTTCAGTGAGCTGAGTCTTGTGTCTACTAATTGGTTTCAAATTCAGCAGGGAAGACACGGGGATTAGTTATTGAGTACCTAAAACTGTGAACATACAGGACTTTTCGAAGTAAATTTTAAAAAAGGAGTCTTTACTCTGGTGTTTAAGCTTTGATCCTGAAAACATATCTGAAATCACATTCCCTATCATGTGGAGTCATCCCTCCTGCAGACAGAATTAAGCTTCAGGGTGCAGCAGACATGGGTGAGCATTTAAAGGGAAGTTGACATCTACCTAGAAGACAGATCCACTAAAGTTTTCCAGTGCCAGAGAAATGCCATGCTTTGGGCATTTAGAATAGTTCCTACTCTGCCTGGGAGCTCTATACCTTTATCTCCAAAGGAGATGAGCACTCCCTAATTGACACCCTCCACCCTCCTGTTCATGGGAGAATCCTACTGGTCATCCAGACTCACAACTGTGCATTAGGTCCATGCTCATCACCGAGGCTAACCCAGTCCTTGATTCCAATCATGAATGGACAAACGTTTTCCAGATATTTAAGGAAAGTGAGGAAGATGCACAAATAGAACTAATTCTGGAGGAGGGAAAAAAGGATATAATACAGGAAACAGAAGAAAACGTTATCAGAACATACTCTCAGAGTTTAAGAAAGACAAGAAGTTTATGAAATGAGAACAAGCTGTCATAGAGGGGAACAATCAGGGGACAGGCGAAAGTCCTTGGACACTAGAAAAGTTACTACAGAATTGACGTAGCACAGAGGTCTGATAGTGCCCAATTCCCCGGGCTGCCCATAGAACTCAGCGTGCTCCCCCACCCCCACCTGTCAGAAGTCCCTCGCAGCTCCGCACCAGCCCACACCCGCCCGACCTTGTGCGCTCCTCCCCGCATAAAGGTCTCCACCGCTCACTTCCGGTCCCTTCGCAGAGCCTGTGACCACACTACCACCGGGCCCGGGGGACGACGCCCTCCACCAGCCGCCGCTGTCGTCCACCATGGTGGTGCTCCGAGGACCCCGCCGCTGCCGCCACTGCCCACGCCGATGCCACTACCCGCTCCGGGCCCCTGGCAAACCCACTGCTTTTCCCCTCCTCCCAGCGCCCGCGCTGCCCGCCCTGGGCCCGCTGTCGCCGGTGCGACGGTACCACCATCCCAGCTGTGAGGCTGCCATCAACACCCACATCAGCCTGGAGCTCCACGCATCCTATGTGTACCTGTCCATGGCCTTCTACTTCGACCAGGACGACGCGGCCCTGGAGCACTTTGACCGCTACTTCCTGCGCCAGTCGCAGGAGAAAAGGGAGCACGCCCAGGAGCTGATGAGCCTGCAGAACCTGCGCGGTGGCCGCATCTGCCTTCATGACATCAGGAAGCCAGAGGGCCAAGGCTGGGAGAGCGGGCTCAAGGCCATGGAGTGCACCTTCCACCTGGAGAAGAACATCAACCAGAGCCTCCTGGAGCTGCACCAGCTGGCCAGGGAGAACGGCGACCCCCAGCTCTGCGACTTCCTGGAGAACGACTTCCTGAACCAGCAGGCCAAGACCATCAAAGAGCTGGGTGGCTACCTGAGCAACCTGCACAAGATGGGGGCCCCGGAAGCAGGCCTGGCAGAGTACCTCTTTAACAAGCTCACCCTGGGCCGCAGCCAGAAACACACCAGAGCCCAGACAGGCCCCACAGCCACGGGGTGCCTTCCCCTGCTCGCGCCACCAGGCGGGACGTCCATGTTCCCTTTTCAGAACATTCTCTTCATTTTTCTCCTCTCAGTTTTACCGTTGTTGGCAATAAAGTTATCTGTTCTCAAAGCAATAAAGGTGTCCAGCTGATGCGTATCTGCAGCACTCTCACCTTTTAGGAATCAGGGCACATCCCCATGCAGGTTTAAAGTAGGTATTCAGCAGTCTTTCCATTCAGCCCTGCCCCATCTGCATGCAGCTCAGGATCTGCGGGGGTGGAAGGGAAAGGTATTTTATGGGCCCCTGGAAAATACATTAGTCTTCCCCTTATAAACTTTGAGGGCATGTGGGATGGGGTGGGGTGAGGTGGGGTAGGGTGGGGTGAGATGTGTGGGGTGGGTGGGGTCGGGTGGGGCGTGCTGTCTTGGGCCATGGTATCTGTGGGTGTGTATGCATGGTATGGTATAAAACATGGTATGGAATTCATCCTAGCGGTTGCCTCTGGAGAAGAAGGGAAGGGAATGAGATTGGGCGGGGATAAAAATAATAGTCTTTAACTTGACATGAAAAGTTATCTTTTTAAAACATGCAATTGCTAAGTATTCTTGCTTCTGGGCAGCAAGATGGGGGCTCTGGGGGACAGTATGGCAGAGTACCTCTTTGGCAAGCTCACCCTGAGTGACACGGATAATGGGACTGAGCCTTAGGCTGCCTTCCCCACAGATATGGGGTGACTTCCTGCATCTTGCCCTTCAACTGTACCATTTCTTCCATTAAACTGGTTAAAAAAACAGCTCAAAAGAAGGACTGAAAAACATAAGGTCAAAGCTGAAGGTCAAATTTGTGATATTGAATATAAAGTAGAATAAATATAAAGTAGAATAAATGCCCCCAAATGTCAAGGCAGTGACTGTCTGCTCTGAAGAATGTAGAGGGGTGGCAGAGAGTTGAAGGTGCAGACCAGGCAGAGCCAGTATAGCCGATCCAGGTAGGAGACTAGTGCAGCTTGAGCTGTGATGGTGGCTGAGGAAATGAAGAGAGGTCGACCAGTTCCAGATGGACTTTCGACAAAGGGAGACAAACTTTACTCATGGACAGGAGGTGAGGAGTGGGAGAGGGGGAATATAATGTAAGTTCTGAAGTTTGGACCTGAGCACCTGGGTTGATGATGGTGTTATTATCTCCCGTGGGGATGGTTGCATGGGTCCCCCGGGGTGGAGGAGCGGGGAATGCATGCCATGTAAAGTCAGATTTTCATTAGACATCCAAGTGGAAATGTGAATCAAGGAGCTGCAAAAATGTCACGTTTCGAAGTAGACATATGGGGGACATTTTATAGACGGTATTGAAGTCATGTGATTGGATGACCTCACCAGAAAGAGACTATAAGGGAGAGTATGAGAAATCTAGTCCAAAGTGCGGGGCAGCTAACATTTAGAGGATGGTTGATGTGTTTGAACACCCAGAGAGTTGCTGGTCCCACCTTGACCTTTATCTGCCCCAAGCTTATTAGCTTATTCCCAATGTCTGCCCCCAAGCTTATCTCAAAATCATCCTCTTCCTGTGAAGCTCAATGTGGCCTCTGGTTTCTCCTTTCAAGATATAGAGAAAAGTTCGCCTTTTACCTTTTCTTTATGGCTATGGATAGAAAGGTATTATTTCCTAGTCAGAAGAAGATTCCATATGGAAATGATACACCTGTTTGTCTAAGATTTTTTTCTTGTTCCCCATTAAAAACTCTTCTCCTCTCTCAGTCTACTCTCTATTTGACCAAAGGAAACCTCCATCCATGTAAACCATAACATTGTCCATGTCTGTTGAAAAATACTTAAAAACATCTATTTTCTGTGCCACAAAAGAAAGTTACAAAGAAACAAGAAACAAAAAAATCTTGTTTCTTTTGTGGGCTACAAAGGTAAAAGTCAAAAATTTACAGAATATATACTTTAGTCAGAGACACTTGGGTAGCTTGCATCATTTTAAAGCTAGTGGATTGTTTTGGGCATTGTATTAGTCCGTTTTTCATGCTGCTGATAAAGACATACCTAAGACTGGGCAATTTACAAAAGCAAGAGGTTTAATGGACTTACAGTTCCACGTGGCTGGGGAAGCCTCACAATCCTGGTGGAAGGTGAAAAGTATGTCTCACATGGCAGCAGACAAGACAAGAGAATGAGAGCCTAGCAAAACGGGTTTCCCCTTATCAAACTATCAGATCTTGTGAAACTTACTCACTACTGGTAGGACAGTATGGGGGAAACCGCCCCAATGATTCAATTATCTCCCACTGGGTCCCTCCCACAAAACGTGGGAATTATGACAGTACAATTCAAGAGGAGATTTGGGTGGGGACACAGTCAAACCATATAAGCATTTATTAAGATACAAACAAGTTTAGCAGTGCAATAATTATCTTACACATTTCCATATGAGTGCACTGTAACACTTTTCTTAAAAATTAGGATTCTGGCACTTTGAGTTCAGTTTACAGAAAATGCTATTGTCCCTTTACTCATCTTAGTCAAATTTGGTCTTCTCGCTGTAGGTCTTTCTCTGCCTGCTGTAAGGACTTCTGAATTCTCTGACTTTGTCTCAGCTATTACCTACTGAAATATATATGTCCTTTGACTGTTCTCCTGTGGATATGAGAAAGAAGAGAGCAAGCATTAATTTTTGAGTGTTTCAAACTTTAAGTTGACTGAGGGGACTTCTTAATTTTCTGTTTTGGAGAGAAAATATGGTGTAGTGTTTTCTTAACCTCAGATTGCCTGGGTTCAAATCCCATCTTGGCCACTCATTTTAGGTAAACTTGGGTAAGTTGTTTAACTTTTCTGTGCCTCAGTTTCTCCATATGTAATATAGGGATAATAAAAGCATTAACCCCATTGGGTTGTTGAGATTAAATAAGTTAATACATGTAAATCACTTAGAGCAATGCCTGGCACAGTGTATGTTCACTATGTGGTACTCATGGTTTATCACCATTATCATCCTCTACTCTTTTAACTTTTATTTAGGTTCAAGAGAACAAGTGCAGGTTTTTATATAGGTAAACTGCTGTCATGGGGGGTTGTTGAATAGATTATTTCATCATCCAGGTACTAAACCGTGTACCCAATAGTTATTTTTTTGTTCCTCTCCCTCTTCCCACCCTCCACACTCAGGTAGGCCCCAGTGTCTGTTGTTCCCTTCTTTGAGTCCACGTGTTCTCATCATTTAGCTCCCAATTATAAGTGAGAACATGTGGTATTTGATTTTCTGTCCCTGCATTAGTTTGATAAAGACAATGGGTTGGAAGCCATCATCCTCTACCCTTATGTTTCTTTGTGGTCTTTATGCTTTGGGAAAATACTTCACTTCTACACGTTGCCACTGGGGGTCTCTCTTGCATGTCTAGTAACCAAGTTGCCCTGCATACTGAGAAGGAAAAAACCTTAGAAGCTGTTTGGTTGTCAGGTGTCTCCAGGACTCAGGAGGGTACATGGCTGTTTTCCCTACCCCCCACACCTCAGTCCCAAGACAGGAGGAAGGTTGTGCTGTGACAACTTTCTGTGCTATACTCCACACCCCCCACACCCCTATTCTATCTCAACCAGCTTTCCCTTGAATTTACTCCTAGAACACTGTGCTTGTGATCCAAATTTAGAGACTAGGGTTTTTAAATGATAATTTGGTGGGTGGGGGCTAGCGAAGGGGTCATCCTCATTAATTGGGTCAAGGATTAAGTCATGGGGGTTGAGGCTGTCCTCTTGTGCTAAGTCAGTTCCTGGGTCAGATCACAAGACCAGTTAAACCAGCTTACCAGTCCAGGTGGAACCAGCTGGTCCAACAGAATGAAGGGTCTTGCACACCAGTCTTAAGTTTTACAATAGTGATGCTATCTATAGAAGCAGTTAGGGAGGTTATGAGCCTTGTGACCTCTGACTACATGACTCCTGAGCCATAATTTCTAATCTTGTGGCTAATTTGTTAGTTCTACAAAGGCTGTTTGGGTCCTCAAAGAAATAAGGGTTGTTTTGGGAGGTTGGAAAGCATGGATTTTGCATGCATGAAGGGCATGAATTTGGGGGCCCCAGGGGCAGAATGCTATCAACTGAATGTTCATGTACCCTCCAAATCATATGTTGAAGCACTATCTTCCAAGGTGATAGTATTTGAAGATGGGGCTGTAAGGAGAAAATCCTGGAATCATATAGAAATACCTTCCCCCAAACTGGGAGTGAGCTAAGAGATCAAGAAATGACTTGGAGAAGTCCAGCTTGGCGAGTAGATGAGATTATTAGGATTCACATAGGAGGCACTCCGGGACAACAGCAGGACAGCTGTAGAGATCTGCACCGCTTATTATTTTTAAAGTACTTTTCAGCTAATTTTCTGGCTCCTTGCTTACTGTGTTTAAGCGATGAGACTTTTTCTTGATAGGTTCTCAGATACTGTCTGGAATGTTTGAGTTCTCAGGGACACCTGCTCTCTGGCTGGGCAACATGGCCTTGGCTCATGGCCTGGCCTTCAGGGTTTGGGCAGCAGAAATAAACCTTTTAGTAAGCTGATTGGGACCCTTCACACTACAGGGGCCTTCAAGATATAATTAGGTTTAGATGAGGTGAGGTCATGAGGAAGGAGCCTTTGTCTGATAGTCCTTACAAGAAAAGACACCAGAGAGCATGCTCTTTCTCTCCCTCTCTCTCTGCCATGCCATTTGAGCACACAGTAAGAAGTTGGTCATCTGCAAATCAGACAGCTGTCACCAGAAACCATGTGATTACCCTGTTCTCATACTTCCAGCCTCCAGAGCTGTGAGAAATAAGTTTCTATTAAGCAATACACTCTATGGTATTTTGTTGTGGCAGCCTGAGCAGACACTTGGGGAGCTGGAAAATAATACTGATGTTGCTGTTTAAACGCACTAAGTCATACCCTCATGCAAGTATTGGATCAAACATAACATAACTTTATTGTAATTTCAACATTATTGTATTTGAAAATATTTAAAGTGAATTGGAATCCTCTCAGTTCCATTGATTTTGCATACAGACACACACACACACACACACACACACACACACACACACAGACACAGACACAATTTTGTCCATTTTGTTTTATCACAAACTGGTCTGTCTTATACCATGGATTGTTAAACTATAGCCTATAAGCCAAATTCAGCCAACCATGTCTTTATAATAAAGTTTTATTGAAACGGAGCCATGCCCATTTATTGATATATTGCCCATTGCTGGGTATTAACTGCAAAGTCAGAGTTAGTAGATGAGACAGAGACTATATGACATGCAAAGACTAAAATATTTAGTATCTGTAGGAACAGACCCTAAATTTACCTAAAAATATTCACCGGAGATTTTTAACATTTCAATGGTCTTTCACTGTCCAAAATGCTTATTGTAGCTTTCTCATACATTTTCTACCACCACTACTCTTTGGCAGAAAGCAATTGCCTGAATTATCTAATCTAATATGCTCATGATTTAATCAATTATCTCAGAAAAGAGATTATGACAGACACTATCCATTACTGATACAAAAGCCATTCTATACTTTCTTCCTTAGTAAGAGAACATTGAAGTTTTAAGAGTCATGGTGTTGACAGTGTCTTGGGATAAATAATAACTAGTCAAAATGAATCGTGAAAATTGTTTTTCTCTTTCAAGATATTTGCTTTCCTACTATTTCCTGCTGCTAGAGTTTGCCAGATGAATGAGTTCTCACCAAATACATAAATGGAAATAACATGGATTTCTAATAAAATTTTACTTGCCTGATAAATGACAGCACTTTGTGAAAATAATAATTTCACCTCATCCTTGTCATGCTGATTGAATGCTGGTATGGAGATGTGATCTTTGTGCAGAAACAGCCACTTGGTATCCATGAGGACAAGGCCAAGGGAGTTGCAGAACCCAGTGTAGAGCCCTGTCATAATTGAGTCAGAAGTATAAACTCTGACATTTAATATGCCCCAGGGTTCCTGATAAATAACAGCAGTTAGCCTTGCTACTTAAGCTACTTTGTAGATATTCTATTTGTTATGATTCATCTGATATAAAAAGACTGTAAGGAGAAGGCATTTTTCTGCTCAAAGGGTACACACATGTTGTAAGTTGAAAAAGTTCTGAAGAACCAATGTACAGCATGATGACTATAGTTAATAATAATGTATTCTATCCTAGAGTTAGGAGAGTATATATTAAGTGTTCTCACCACTAAAAAGCAACTATGTGAGGTAATGGATATGCTAATTGGGTTGATTTTGGTAATCATTTACAAGGTATACACATATCAACACATCACATTATATACCTTGAATATATATATATATATGTATATATATATATATATTTTGTCATGTATACTGCAATAAAGTTTCACAAAAGAAAAAATTAAATGCATCTTTCTCCTTGCTTTTACATAGCAAGTATTTGTCAAGCGCATGTTACGTTAGGTACCATTTCAGGTGCTTTCCAGACATTGCCTGTGTCCTTCTCACAACAACCCTGTGAGACATGGATCTCCCCTATTTTACATCGAGAAAATGGTTTCAGAGTAGTGTCACTATCTGAAACCTTATAGTTAGTAGGTGATAGAGTCAGAATCACCTGGCTTCAGAAAGAGGTAATGTCTTTGCATCATTTCTGTTCTGCTGTCATCTCAATTCCTTGTTCCACATGCCATAGGAGACTTTATTTAAGCAACAGACCTGTGGAATTGGTCTCTTCGTATCTTTTTAATAAATAAATGGCAGGTTTGTGCGTTTTGTGTGTGTGTGTGTGTCTGTGTGTGTGTACATGACCCTTCCAGGTGTTCAGACTCAGAGTCCGTGTTCTCTCTGTTGCATCCAGCCCTTAATGATCAATTTCACTCTCCATGTTCACTAAACACACAATTCCATAAACCTTGTCTGCATCTCTAACTGGCTGCTATCTCATGCTGTAATTCATAGCCAGTATTCTAGAAAAGGTTACCTGTTCTTGTTGACTTCCCAGGAGTAATGAATTTCTTTAAGTGTTGGGAGAAGTAATATATCCACAATGTTCAGAAATAAAACATATAAAAGGGTATATTATGAAGGCTTCTCCCTGTCCCTGTTTTTTGAGGGGGAGGTTTCTGTATATCCTTATATACATTTATTTTACGGAGTTATCAGCATACATGGATATATACCCTCCCCCCTCACCCAGACAGTTGCTTAATTCACAGCACCCCGCACCTTGTACCACTGGGCACACCTAGCTTTTTGGTTTGGTGAGTTAAATAACACCCAGCTGTGATGGGCGCTTCAGGTTACCCTCAAGCAGGAAGTGAAAGCTATGGCTGTGCTGTATACTGCCAAGCTGAAAATGGAAAGTTCTTTCTTTTGTTTGTTTGTTTGTTTTTGTTTACTTTTGTGTTTTTTATTTGTTTGTTTTTGCAGGCGGGGCAGGTGGTGACAGAGTTTCACTCTTATCACCCAGGCTGGAGTGCAGTGGCAGGATCCCCGCTCACTGCAACCTCTGCATCAACTGATTCTCTTGCCTCTGCCTCCCGAGTAGCTGGAATTACTGGCGACCACCACCACATCTGGCTAATTTTCTTTGTATTTTTAGTAGAGATGGGGTTTTGCCATGTTGGCCAGGCTGGTCTACAACTCCTGACCTTGTGATCCGCCCACGTTGGCCTCCCAAAGGAAAGTGTGTTCTAATATGCACAAAGAGCCCATCTGTGAAAACTAGGGGATTGTTTCTTGTTTTGTTTTGTTTTGTTGAGGAGGGGTGGTTCTAGATAAGAACTCTTTCAATTCACAAGCTGACCACTACAATAACAGGAATGAGATGTCGGTGGCCACACATGACAAAGAATACAGATGTTACAAAATGAGTTCAACAAAGTCACTAAACCAGCAAACAACAACTGGAACAAATAACAAAAACAAGCGTTGGAGTCTCAGTCTGTTCATGCTGCTATATCAAACTTCCACAGAGCGGATAATTTATGAAAACCAGAAATGTATTTCCTATATTTGTAGAGGCTGGGAAGGCCAAGATCAAGACTCCAGAATTAGGCATCTAGCAAGGGTCTTCTTGCTGTGTCCTCTCATGGCAGAAGGAGCAAAAAATGATAAAAGGGATGAACTCTATGTCGTCACATAGCAGAAAGATGGAAGAGTCAAAGGATTAGTTTCCTCCAGTGCTTTTTAAAGGTCACTAGTACCAGTGATGACGAATCTACCCTCACGACTTAGTAACATCCTAAAGGCCTCATCTCTTAATACTACTACATTGGCCATTAAGTTTCAACAGATACATTTTGGAGGGCATTTAGATAATAGCAGATGGGCTGAGGGAAAAGATGATTTCTAGAATTGCCACTTAATAATGTTAAACATGTCCAGTTTTCAACAAAAGAATATAAATCATATCAGGAAACAAAAAGTATTGCCCATACATGAGAAAGAAGAAATCAACAGAAACTGTCTCAGAGGAAATCCGGTCAGTGGATTTACTAAGCAAATATTTTAAATCAACTCTTTGAAATATTAAAGAACATCATTTAGAAAGAAGAAAAGAAAACCAGGAGAATGATGTCTCATCAAATACATAATACCAATAAGAAAATAGAAATGATATAAAAGGAACAAAATAGAAATTCTGGAATGGAAAAGGATAACAATTGGAATGAAAATTTCAGTAGAGGGAGTCAATAGCAAATTTGAATAAGAAGTAGAGAGAATCATCAATCTCCAAGAAAGGTCAGTTGAGATTATCTAGTCTGAGAATCTGGAAGAAAAAAAAAGAATGAAGTAAAATTAACGAAGCTCAGAGTACTTGTGGAAACCATCCAGTGTACCAAAACATACATAAAGGGAGTTCTGGAAAGAGATAAAAAGGGGAATATGAAGGGATATAAAGAATATTTGAGGAAAGAACAGTCAATATCTTATCAAATATGATGAAATATGTTGATTTACACATCCAATAGATTCCATGTAGGGAAAAATCAGAGATATCCCCACCAAGACACTATAAACAAAAGGTAAAAAAGACAAGACAATGAAAACATCCTGAAAGCGGCAAAATAGAAGTTATACTTCACATACACAGGATGATCAATAATATTAACAGCTGATTTCTCAACAGAAAGTATGGAGGCTGTATTAGTCTGTTTTCATTGCTATAAAGGGATATCAGAGGCTGGGTAATTTATTTAAAAAGATGTTTAATTGGCTGATGGTTCTGCAGACTGGACAAGGATGGTACTGGCATCTGTTTGGCTTCCAGAGAGGCCTCAGGGACCTTTAGCTCATGGCAGAAGACAAACTGGAAGTAGGCAGGTCATATGGCCAGAAAAGGTGCAAGAGAGGTTTGGGGGAGGCATCACACTTTACAACAATGAGATCTCATGAGAACTCACTCACTATTGCAAGGACAGCAGCAAGCCATGAGGGATCCACCCCCATGACCAAAACACCCCCCACCAGGTCCCACATTGTACCTCTGGGAATTATAATTCAACATGAGATTTGGTGGGGACATATATTTAAGCTATATCATTCTGCCCCTGGCCCCTCAAATTTTATTTTCTTCTTACATTGCAAAATACAATCATAACTTCCCAACAGGCTCCCAAAGTCTTAACTCCTTCCAGCTGATATCAACTCAATTAAAAGTCCCAAATGAAAGTCCAAAATCTTATTTGAGACTCATCTCCTTCCTCCTATGAGCTTGCAAAATCAAAACAAGTTATTTACTTCCAAGATATAATGATGGTATAAGCATTGTGTAAGCACTCCCATTCCAAAATGGAGAAATCGGCCAAAGGAAAGGGCCTACAGGCCCCATGCAAGTTCAAAACCCAGCAGGGAACTCATTAAATCTTAGAGCTTCAAAATAGTCTCCTTACACTATATATTGTGCATCCAGGGCACAGTGGTGCAGGGGATGGGCTCCTATGGCCTTTGGCAGCTCCACACCTGTGGCTTTGCAGGATTCAGGACCCATGGTTGCTTTCACAGCTTGTTATGTGCCTGTGGCTTTTCCAGGCACAAGGTTCAAGCTGCCTGTGGCTCTACCATTCTGGGGTCTGGAAGATGGTGTGCCCTTTCCATAGATCAACTAGGTGGTGCCCCAGTGGGAACTCTGTGCATGGGCTCCTATGTCACATCTCCCCTCCGCACTGCCGTGCCACTGCAGCAGACTTCTGCCTGGACACTCAGGCTTTTCCATTCATCCTCTGAAATCTAAGTGGAGGCTGCCAAGCGTCCTTCAGTCTTGCACTCTGCACACCTGCATGCTTAATGCCACGTGGAAGTCACCAAGGCTTTGACTTGCACCCTCTGAAGTAGCATCTGGGGCTGTGTCTGGGGTCATCTGAGCTGAGGCTGGAGCTGGAGCAGCCTGGATGCAGGGAGCAGTGTCCTGAGGCTGCACAGGTTACTGGGGCACAGGTTAGTGAGATTTTGCAGGGACATATATTCAAACTATACCAGAGGCCTAGAGGTAGGAAGATGACATATTCAATGTGCTGAAAGAAAAATACTGCTGATGAAGAATTCTACATTCCACAATGTATCCTTCAAAGAAATCAAAAAATAAGTCATCCCAAGATAAACAAATTTCAACAGTGATTCTCACTAGTACACTTGCTCTGCAGGAAATGCTAAAGGGACTTTACTGCTGAAAAATAAACTGACAAATTAGGAATTTCATAGGGTTCAAACTTAATATATCCATAAACTTCATGTAGAAAAAAAAGTATCAAATACTTAAGTATAATGACTAAATAGTGTTGCCAATCATGATATTTCTAGAAAGTATGCCATAGGATACCCATTTCATGAAAAATAAAGAGCTGAACTTTTTATGGTACATTTTTCACAAATCCATAACCATTAGGAAGCACTCCTTTATACAGGACTTGTACTCTTGGAACAGCAATAGGAATCTCCGAAGAACCAGTACTCCTGGGATCAATTTATGGCTAGATTAGTTTCGCAAGTCACCTTCTTCATATTTACAAAGGCAATCTTCAAGTTCTTTTTGTTTTTCCTTAACAAATCAAACATAAAAGCAACTTGAAAAAGTACTTTAGTAGTTCCATGTTGTCTTGTATGTAACTCTGCCATTTTATTTTTCTAATCAAAATGGAAGAAAGCATAACTTGTGCTCTTCTGCTGAATGCAGTGCTTTGCTCTTTAAAGCTGTGTCTCACATAACTGCTAGTTGACATAAAGCATTCTCTCAACAAAAACCATTTACTCAGAATAAAATACAGACACTCTTTCTTTCTTTTCCTCTTCTTCTTGTGTGTGTTTTTTTTTTTGAGGGGACATTGTCCATATGTTATTCAAAGTTCCAGGCTCCTTCTCCAAAGTGGATATGTCATATTGTAGGGTCTGTTCCTCTTCTTGAGACATGGATTGCACACGGTGTGTCCTATAAACTAGGCCTTATTTGGCCATACACCAGTTATTTTCATATTCCAATAGCCAGAAATCAGTACAAGACCCCATCAAATCACAAGGGTAGCTAAAAAAATATGGTTACTTGTGGACCAAGATGAAAACAAATAAGCTTTGATGAAGTCACTCTGCCACAGCGAGTTTCTCTAATTGGAAGATTTGAAAAGTACTAGCAAGTTCATTTTGCTACAGACGTAAGCTTGCTCTTCAGTGAGCTGAGTCCCATGTCTACTAATTGGTTTCAAATTCAGCAGGGAAGACACGGGGATTAGTTATTGAGTCCCCAAAACCGTGAACATAGAGGACTTTTCCAGGTAAATTTTAAAAACAGAGTCTTTACTCTGGTGTTTAAGCTTTGATCCTGAAAACATATCTGAAATCACATTCCTTGTCATGTGGAGACATCTCTCCTGCAGAAAGAATTAAGCTTCCGGGTGCAGCAGACATGGGTGAGCATTTAAAGGGAAGCTGACATCTACCTAGAAGACAGATCCACTAACATATTCCAGTGCCAGAGAAATGCCATGCTTTGGGCATTTAGAATAGTTCCTACTCTGCCTGGGAGCTCTATACCTTTATCTCCAAAGGAGATGAGCACTCCCTAATTGACACACTCCACCCTCCTGTTCATGGGAGAATCCTATTGGTCACCCAGACTCACAGCTGTGCATTCGATCCATGCTCATCACCGAGGCTAACCCAGTCCTTGATTCCAATCATGAATGGACAAACGTTTTCCAGATATTTAAGGAAAGTGAGGAAGATGCACAAATAGAACTAATTCTGGAGGAGGGAAAAAGAGGATATAATACAGGAAACAGAAAAAAACGTTACCAGAACATACTCTCAGAGTTTAAGAAAGACAAGAGGTTTATAAAATGAGAACAAGCTGTCATAGAGGGGAATAATCAGGGGGCAGACGAAAAAGTCCTTGGACACTAGAAAAGTTACTGCAGAATTGACATCACGCAGTGGACTGACAGTGCCTAGTTCCCTGGGCTGCCCACGGAACTCAGTGTGCCCCCCCTCGCCACCACCACCATCCACCCGACGGCGCGCGCCCCTCCACCCATACGGGTCCCCACAGCCCACTTCCGGTCCCTTCGCAGACCCTGTGGCAACCACCACCGCCTGGTCCCGAGGACCCTGCCCTCCACTGGTCGCCTCCGTCGTCCACCATGTTGTGCTCAGAGGCACCCGCCGCGGCCGCCACTGCCGATGCCGATGCCGCCGCCCGCTTCGGGACCCTAGCGACCACACCGCTTTACCCTGCCTGCTCCTCGCGCCCGCACTGCCCGCCCTGGGCCCGCTGTCGCAGGTGCACCAGAACAACCATCTCAGCTGCGAGGTCGCCATCAACATCAAGGTCACCCTGGAGCTCCACGCCTCCTATGTGTACCTGTCCATGGCCTTCTTCTTCGACCGGGACGACGTGGCCCTGGAGAGCTTCAGCCGCTATTTCTTGCACCAGTGGCACGAGAAGAGGGAGCACGCCCAGGAGCTGATGAGCCTGCAGAACCTGCGCGGTGGCCGCATCTACCTTCGCGACATCAGGAAGCCAGAGTGCCAAGGCTGGGAGAGCGGGCTCCAGGCCATGGACTGCGCCTTCTACCTGGAGAAGAACGTCAACCAGAGCCTCCTGGAGCTGCACCAGCTGGCCAAGGAGAACGACGACCCCACCTCTGTGACTTCCTGGAGAACCACTTCCTGAACCAGCAGGCCAAGACCATCAAAGAGATTGGTGGCTACCTGAGCAACCTGTGCAAGATGGGGGCCCCGGAAGCAGGCCTGGCAGAGTACCTCTTTAACAAGCTCACCCTGGGCCGCAGCCAGAAACACACCAGAGCCCAGACAGGTCCCGCAGCCACGGGGTGCCTTCCCCTGCTCGCGCCACCACGCGGGGCGTCCATGTTGTCCTTTCAGAACATTCTCTTCAGTTTTCTCCTCTCAGTTTTACTGTTGTTGGCAATAAAGTTATCTGTTCTCAAAGCAATAAAGGTGTCCAGCTGATGCATATCTGCAACACTCTCACCTTTTAGGAATCAGGGCACATCCCCATGCAGGTTTAAAGTAGGTATCCAGCAGTCTTTCCATTCAGCCCTGCCCCATCTGCATGCAGCTCAGGATCTGCGGGGGTGGAGGGGAAAGGTATTTTATGGGCCGCTGGAAAATACATTAGTCTTCCCCTTATAAACTTTGAGGGCATGTGGGATTGGATGGGGTGAGGTGGGGTGGGGTAGGGTGGGGTGAGGTGTGGGGTGGGTGAGGTCGGGTGGGGTGTGCAGTCTTGGGCCATGGTATCTGTGGGTGCGTAAACATGGTAAGGTGTAAAGCATGGTATGGAATTCATCCTAGTGGTTGCCGGGTGCTGTGGCTCACGCCTGTAATCCCAGCACATGGGAGGCTGAGGCGGGTGGATCATCTGAGGTCGGGAGTTTGAGACCAGCCTGACCAACATGGAGAAACTCCGTCTCTACTAAAAATACAAAATTAGCCGGGCATGGTGGTGCATGCCTGTAATCCCAGCTACTCGGGAGGCTGAGGCAGGAAAATCGCGTGAATCTGGGACGCGGAGGTTGTGGTGAGGGGAGATCCCGCCATTGCACTCCAGCCTGGACAACAAGAGCGAAACTCCATCTGAAAAAACAAACAAACAAACAAAAAACAAAATATGCAAGTGCTAAGGATTCTTGCTTCTGGGCTTCAAGATGGGGGCTCTCGCGGACAGTATCGCATAGTACCTCTTTGGCAAGCTCACCCTGAGTGACACGGATAATGGGACTGAGCCTTAGGCTGCCTTCCCCACAGATAGGGGGTGATTTCCTGTATATTACCCTTACGAATTCTCCATTCATGGTTTTTCCTTCAATTGTACCATTTCTTCCATTAAAGCTGGTTTAAAAAAAAAAAACAGCTCAAAAGGACTGAAAAACATAAGGTCAAAACTGAAGGTCAAATTTGTGATATTGAATATAAAGTAGAATAAATGCCCCCAAAATGTCAAGGCAGTGACTGCTTTGAAGAATGTAGAGGGGTGGCAGAGAGTTGAAGGTGCAGACCAGGTAGAGCCAGTATAGCTGTTCCAGTTAGGAGACTAGTGCAGCTTCAGCTGTGATGGTGGCTGAGGAAATGAAGAGAGGTCGACCAGTTCCATATGGGTTTTTGACAAGGAGACACAAACTTTGCTCATGGACAGGAGGTGAGGAATGGGAGAGGGGGAATACAATGTAAGTTCTGAAGTTTGGACTTGAACACCTGGATTGATGATGGTGTTATTATCCCCCTGGGGATGGTTGCATGTGTCCCCGGGGTGGAGGAGCGGGGAATGTATGCCATGTAAAATCAGATTTTTATTAGACGTCCAAGTGGAAATGTGAATCAAGGAGCTGCAAAAATGTCACATTTGGAAGTAGACATACGGGGGACTTTTTATAGATGGTATTGAAGTCATGTGATTGGATGAGCTCACCAGAAGGAGACTATAAGGGAGAGTATGAGAAATCTAGTCCAAAGTGCAGGGCAGCTAACATTTAGAAGATGGTTGAGGTGTTTGAACACCCAGAGAGTTGCTGGTCCCACCTTGACCTTTATCTGCCCCAAGTTTATTACCTTATTCCCAATGTCTGCCCCAAGCTTACCTCAAAATCATCCTGTTCCTGAGAAGCTCAGTGTGGCCTCTGGATTCTCCTTTCAAGATATAGAGAAAAGTTCACCTTTTACATTTTCTTCATGGCTCTGGATAGAAAGATATTATTTCCTAGTATAAAGAATATTTCATATGGAAATGATACACTTGTTTCTCTATGTTTTCTTTTTTCTTGTTCCCCTTTAAAAACTCTTCTCCTCTCTCAGTCCACTCTCTATTTGACCGAAGGAAACCTCCATCCATGTAAACTCTAACGTTGCCCATGTCTGAGGAAAAATACTTCAAACATCTATCTTCTGTGCCACAAAAGAAAGTTACAAAGAAATAAGAAACAAAAAAGTCTTCTTTCTTCTGTGGGTTACAAAGGTAAAAGTCAAAAATTTACAGACTCTATGCTTTAGTCAAAGACACATGGGTAGCTTGCATCATTTCAAAGCTAGCAAATTGTTTTGAGCATTGTATTAGTCCATTTTTCAGGCTGCTGATAAAGACATACCAAAGATTGGACAGTTTATAAAAGCAAGAGGTTTATTGAACTTACAGTTCCACATGGCTGGGGAACCCTCACAATCATCGTGGAAGGTGAAAGTCATGTCTCACATGGCGGCAGACAAGAGAAGAGAAGGAGAGCCAAGGGGTTTCCCCTTATCAAACTATCAGATCTTGTGAGACTCATTCACCACCAGTAGGACAGTATGGGAGAAACTGCCCCCATGATTCAATTATCTCCCAATGGGTCCCTTCCACAAAACATGGGAATTATGGGAGTACAATTCAAGATGAGATTTGGGTGGGGACACAGTCAAACCATATAAGCATTTATTAAGATACGAACAAGTTTCGCTGTGCAACAATTGTCTTCCACATTTCCGTATGAGTGCACTGTAACACTTTTCTTAAAAATTAGGATTCTGGCACTTTGAGTTCAGTTTACAGAAAATGCTTTCGCCTTTTTACACATCTTTGTCAAACTTGGTCTTCTCACTGCATCTCTTTCGCTGCCTACTGTAAGGACTTCTGAATTCTCTGACTTTGTCTCAGCTATTACCTATTGAAATATATATGTCCCTTGACCGTTCTCCTGTGGATATGAGAAAGAACGAGCAAGCATTAAGTTTTGAGTGTTTCAAACTTTAAGTTGACTGAGGGGACTTCTTAATTTTTTGTTTTGGAGAGAAAATTTGGTGTAGTGTTTTCTTAACCTCAGATTGCCTGGGTTCAAATCCAATCTTAGCCTCTCATTTTGGGTAAACTTGAGTAATTTGTTCAACTTTTCTGTGCCTCAGTTTCTCCATATGTAATATAGGGATAATAAAAGCATTAACCCCATTGGGTTGTTGAGATTAAATGAGTTAATATATGTAAATCACTTAGAGTAATGCCTGGCACAGTGTATGTTTACAATGTGGTACTCATGATTTATCACCATTATCATCCTCTACTCTTTTAACTTTTATTTAGGTTCAAGAGAACAAGTGCAGGTTTTTATATAGGTAAACTGCTGTCATGGGGGGTTGTTGAATAGATTATTTCATCATCCAGGTACTAAACCGTGTACCCAATAGTTATTTTTTTGTTCCTCTCCCTCTTCCCACCCTCCACACTCAGGTAGGCCCCAGTGTCTGTTGTTTCCTTCTTTGAGTCCACGTGTTCTCATCATTTAGCTCCCAATTATAAGTGAGAACATGTGGTATTTGATTTTCTGTCCTTGCATTAGTTTGATAAAAACAATGGGCTGGAAGCCATCATCCTCTACCCTTATGTTTCTTTGTGGTCTTTATGCTTTGGGAAAATACTTCACTTCTACACGTTGCCACTGGGGGTCTCTCTTGCATGTCTAGTAACCAGTTGCCCTGCATACTGAGAAGGAAAAAACCTTAGAAGATAGTTTGGTTGTCAGGTGTCTCCAGGACTCAGAAGGGTACATGGCTGTTTTCCTTACCCCCCACACCTCAGTCCCAAGACAGGAGGAAGGTTGTCCTGTGACAACTTTCCGTGCTATTCCCCGCCCCCGCCCATTCTATCTCAACCAGCTTTCCCTTGAATTCACTCCTAGAACACTGTTCTTGTTCTTCCCAAACCCAGGTTGCCTGAGTCTCCTGTTTCCATCCTGAACTTCCTCCCACTCTTCAGAGATGGACAAGAGCAACAGGATGAAGTGCTCACCCTGATCCCCACCTTTGTCTGGATGTTTGGAGCTGAAAAGGAGAGGAATGGCTAGGTGGGCACTGGGGGGAGAATGAGAAAAAGAGAACACATTAGGGCCACTGACAACATAAGTAAAATCCACATATCATCATGAGCTTTGGCATAGAGGCTCTCAAGCTTTGCTGCACATCCAAATCACCTGCAGAGCTTTTGAAAATCTCAATGTCCAGGCAGCATCCCAGACCAAATACATAAGCCTCTGGCGCAGGGCCTGGGCATGCCAGGCATTGAAAACCAGCACTAGCATCTGGCTGCTCAAAATATGGTCTGTGGACCAGCAGTATCAATCTAAACTGAGAACTTGCTAGCAATGCAAAATTTCAAGCCACACCCCAGGGCTACGGAATGAGCATCTACATTTTAACAAGACTCTCGGTGATCAATTTGCACACTGGAATTTGAGAAGCACTCTTTAGCACCCTGATTGCCAAATATGGCTGCACCTTGAAATCACCTAGATAACCTGAAAATAATACTAATGCCTGGACTTAATCAATGTGCTCAGCTATGGAGAGTGAGAAAAAATAAAAGGAAAAATAGAAAGACAAATAGATGCTAAAGAAAGGTGAAAAGTTTAGAATATTTGGTAGCTTTAGGTGAATTCAGGGTTGCGGCAAGTTACCATAAACATGGATTGGCAAAGACTTTCTATAAAGAATGAGATAGTAAATGTTTTAGGCTTTGCAGCTACTGCAAAAGACCTCTGTCTCAACTACAAACTCTCCTGCTGGAGTGAAAAAGTAACGACAAACAGTAGGTAATTGAATGGGGTGGCTAGGATGTTTGGGGCTGAAAACATTGAACAATGCCTGACTAGCCTTTTTGACAGATTCTTCATAATCACATATTCATCACGGAGGCTGTTTAAATCAATGTGCTCAGCTATACCCTCATGTCAGTACTAGACCAAATACGATAAAAACTTACTGTAACATCAACAATTACTGACTCAACAATAATTGATCTCTGTCTCACACACACACTAGCTTTTATCTATTTTGTTGTTTATCACAAACTGGTTTGTTGTATAGCATGGGCTGGCAAACTACAGCCAGCAATCCTAATCTGGCCCCCACTTTTTTGGTAAATATAGTTTTATTAGAACACAGCCACCGCATTCAATTACCTACTGCTTGTGGCTACTTTTTCACTCCAGCAGGAGAGTTTGTAGTTGAGACAGAGGTCTTTTGCAGTAGCTGCAAAGCCTAAAACATTTACTATCTCATTCTTTATAGAAAGTCTTTGCCAATCCATGTTTATGGTAACTTGCTGCAACCCTGAATTCACCTAAAGCTACCAAATATTCTAAACTTTTCACCTTTCTTTATGCATCTACGTGTCTTTATATTTTTCCTTTTATTTTTTCTCACTCTCCATTAATATTCTAGAATGATTTGGATATTTGTAATATTTTAGACACATAGGGAACACTCACACTTACTAGAATTTCAATTGTTTCCTTTCAGACTAACATCTTTGTATATTTCAGCAATTCAACCTCTTGCCTTTGTGTCTTCAGTTTAGCCTGTCTCTTGCTGTGCCTTTTTTTAATTGAGGGACATCAGTCATCCTGCTTCTGGAAGCATCAGAGTGGAACAATGCCTGACTAGCCTTTTTGACGGATTCTTCATAATCACGTATTCATCACAGAGGCTGTTTAAAGTGTGCTCGTTTTCAAGTTATTACAATCTATTCCCATCATTTTTCTGTCTGTGAGGCATTTAAATTTTATTAATATGCAAAGCTACTTCCTGGCATGAGGAGAAATAGACTTCTTCCCTTTTATATCTATTTCAAATTTTGTGTTTTATAATGTTGGTTTTGGTTTATAATCTATTGTAATGATATATTAACTGTACCACATGCACCAAGGATATTTATTTTTTTCCCTTGGGATACTTCTCTGTGCATGAGTGTTTTCCTCCCAAATGTTTAATTATTGTATGAAGTATACTGAAAATCAGAAGTTCCAATTTGAAACATGTATTCAGAACTATAAATCAAGAAATTGACTTAAGGTAAACATTTTTAGGAAGGGAGCATTCATGCAGTTATTTCTTTTCAGCCAAATAGCCATTCTTTCCGCAATTTATATTAGGTTCTGTCATGTGTTCCACACGTTATGCTTGACACTAGGAATACAAGGTGACTAGGACACAGATTCTGGTCACAGTCGGACAGACATACAAATAGATGCCTCCAATATATTTCAGTATGATCTACAAAAGAAATAAACACAAAGTGCTATGCGACTCCAGGAGAGAAACGGGATCTAATTCTCACCTGAGGAGTCAGGAAACACCTGCTGTGGAGGTGACATTGACTCTTGAAGGATGAATTGGAGTTCCACAGGTGGAGAAGAGAGAAGAGAGTACTTTAGTTATGCTTCTTTGCTGCATAGGAGCCAACAGAGAGGGAACAGTTACAAACACAAGGTTGTAAGGGGATCTAGTTGATGAGGTGATGTATTTACTAGACACAGAAGGAAGGATACATTGTTTTATATTTTAAGGAACTCCATAAAACCCTCCTCTGAAAGGTCATCACTGACTTACTAGTTAACATCAACACTGGTCTCTTTTCAGCCTTTGCCCTGCTTGATCACTCTGGAGCCATTTAATTGTGTTGGTTAGTCCTTCTTTCCTTGGTTTTCCTGTCCTCTCTTGGTTTGCCAAATATTTATCTATAGAGAACTACATAGATTTAATAATCCTCTTGGATTCTGCTTTTGGCCTCTTCAACTCTTGCTCTGTGTTTATTTCCCCCTGAGCCTAGCCACCCCCAGTGGCCAGTTTCTCTCTCTCTCTCTCTCTCTGTATGTGTGTGTGTGTGTGTGTGCGTGTGTGTGTGTTCTAGATGGCTTATCTTGACCATGACACTTGAACAGCCACCTATGAAACATCTCCCTCTGGGTGTACCCAGAACACTCATACTCAACAAGTCCCACAATTAATTCATTGTCTTTTTCTCAAATACTCACTAGATTTGCCACACCTTCCCCTACACTCACAAGTAACACATTTTATAGTCACCCTAGATTTATGGTTCTTACTCAGCCTGAATATATGTAATATCTCTCCTCTCCATATGCTCTTCTCCCCCTGTATGGGCCTTATCTTTTTCAGGCTATGATGATCTATGATCTAACAATTTTTCTAATCTCTGTACCGGTCAAAGCTCCCTAACCACAAAATTTGACCCTGGCTAGTCAAAGCAGAAAAGAAATTTTTTAAGAAGGATATACCATAACGAACTTGGAAGGCTGTAGGACCAGGCTCAGAAATGGGAAGCATCATGCAAAATGGAGCCTTGTCTGCCATCTGTCTTGTCCTATTTTCTCAAACAGGAATGGTGTTCAGATGTTGAGCTGCCCAAAGTATTAAACATATAATCTAGTTTTTCTAACCCTCTGTTAATAGATGATATTGGTGCTCTTCCCAGATCCACTTGACCAGCAGAATACCCAAATGCTCAGACACTTGTGAGCACTTCAGCTGATGGCTTATGCCTGTGACCTTCTCGGAAGGAATACCCTTGGCTAACTGGGACAGCCAATGGCTCTGTGACACAGAGGTACAAAAGCCTGGACCCTTCCTTTTCTCTCTGCTGTGAGATTTATGCTACAGGATCTGCCTTGTGTGAAGACAAGGTTAGACATTGACCAAGATCACTTATTTCCTTGACTCCTTCCCCTGCCCTATCTTGCACTACGTGTTTCCTCCAGAGCGCATGCCTTTAATAAATCCCTGCCTCAAGCTCCGCTTCCAAGGAACCCAACCTAAGACCCACCCTCAAACAGAGTTGATCACCTTCTCCTTTGTCTTACCTCCATTTATACTACATTTCTTGCTAATGGCACTTGCCACTCTGTATGGCAATTGTTTCTTCATATGCCTGGATCTTTTAATAGGCTGTAGAACACTGGAGTGCAGGAAATGCAGGAATTTTTTCTCTCATTAAGCCCTAGTATATATATAAACAGGAAATTAAAAATAATAAGTTGAACTTAATTGAAAATAAAAGTCAGATCACAGTGGATTAAAGAATGAGTAGAAGTGAGGTAGTGGAACTAGTTATTATAGTGCAAGGTTATTCTTTCCAATGTCCAAATGTTCCTTGGAATATTATTATTGGCCTACCTGTTTTATCCACCAACTAGATTGTGGATAACTGAACAAAAATACATTTTTAGTAATTAGTCTTTACTCAGAAGGATTTTTTACAAGACATAAAGTTCATGCAATCTGGTTAATTTCCCAAATGAGTCACATATATTCTTTCTTTCTTTGTTAGCTTTGTTATTACTTACTCAGGAAGGGGTCGCTTTTGAAATTTGTGACTTAGCAATTTCTTCCACTTCAATGTCAAAAATAACACTGCATGGCCAAGGCTAGGGATTTCATACATTTCTTTAGCATTTTTGAAGCCTACATTCCTTATCACTCTAGAGACATTATGTAAAATTATTTCATATTTGACAAATGATTCCAGTTTGATTATCATTTTGCCTCATCTATAGAAGTCTGTGTGTGGTGGATGTTGGACAGTCTAATAATTTACTGAACATTTGCTGTATACAAAATACTATGCTATCAATTGTTGGGGGCTAGCAGGTTGACAAGTAATATAAATAGTCTCTATGCTGAAGAAGATTGAGCTAGCTAGAATTGTGGCATAGCTTAGAATAATCTACAGAGGACCTCATCAATCAATTTCAAATTAATTAATAATTGATGCTGAGCCTGTAAGGACCAAGAGGGTACAGCATGAGGGGATGATTAGCAAGAACTAGGTCAATAAACAAAAGAAGTTTTCTGGAGAGAAGTTTGCTTAAAATGTGTTGATGAACCTCAATTTAAAAGACACTTTCTTAATATTCCTGTCTAGCCAATGCCCTCCTTCTTGTCTCTACCCTAGAATTCCCAAGACATGGACAAGAATTCATAGAATTCTGACTATGCCATAATCAAACACTGGAAGGAATTGAGTAGGTGGTGACTAGTCTATATTTTAAGTTGAGAGTCTCACTGGGCTGCCACTTGGTGTGATGCCATTGGCCCAAGTTCTGACCCTCATATTTATAAAACCACAGGTTTGACTTTCTCAGTGAACCCAAAGGTGAACAGCTTCTCCGTGAGTGATCAGCAGACTTTTTCTATAAAGTATAAATATTTTACAATCTACAGGCCATATTGTCTTTGTCACAACTATTTAACTCTGCTGTTGTGGTGTGAAAGTAGCCACAGACTATATGTAGATGTGGCTGTGTTCCAATAAAACTTTATTTACAAAATTTAAAGGCCGGCCAGATTTAGCCTACAGGCTATAGTTTGCCACTCCCTGTTGTAGAAGATTGACTCACACCAACAATATTTCCAAGTCATTAATCAGTCACCAATAGGACTCATATAAGCAGGACAGATTATTACTGCATCTTTGATCAGAAATTGGCCACTAGAGAAGCTCAACTTCAAATCAGAAGTTTGTTTAGTAAGCAACAGGTGAGGCAAATGAATGTTTTGGTTTGTGTTCTTACAGAAGTGACCCTGATATGGTTTGGGTATTTGTCCCCTCCAAATCTCATGTTGAAATGTGATATGCAATGTTAGAGGTGGGGCCTGGTGGAAGTGTTTGGGTCATGGAGGTGGATCCCTCATGAATGGCTTGGGGTCCTCCCCATGGTAATGAGTGAGTTCTTGCTCTATTAGTTCATGGGAGAGGTGGTTGTTTAAAGGAGCCTCTTACCTTCTCCTCTCTCTCTTGTTCCTTTTCTCACCATGTGACATGCCTCCTCCCCCTTTGCAATCTGCCAAAAAGTAGAAGCTTCCGGAGGCCTCAACCGAAACCATGAATATGCTGGCCCCATGTTTGTACACTCTGCAGAGTGATGAGCCAAATAAACCTCTTTGCTTTATAAATTACCCAGTCTCGGGTAGTCCTGTATGGTAACACAAAATGAAGACTCTGAGGCAATGGTTTAAATGTAAGTAATTTATTTGGCAGATAATCCCAGCAACTATCATTAAGGAAATAGAGAAATAAAAACAAGGAATGGAAAGAAGCCAATAAAATTTGCATTATTAAGCAAGATCACCAAAGTCAAGGAGAACATAATCTCCCTGGGAGAATGTGCCTCTGATTTATACCAGTCATGGCACAAGGGAGCTGGGATATTTATCCAGTAACTCGATCCATCATTGGTTGGGGGTTGCTTGTGGGGAGGATCAGAAAGAGCCCCACTGTCCAAAGAAAGGCTTCAGGCTGAGGGTTGTAGGTGCTGGCAGCTGGAAGTTGGACAGCATGTATGAACATGGTAAATGCCAAGGGGCTATGGAGGGAGGGCACCAACAGCATCTGTTAGACTTGTTTTCTCCCAAATGATATTCATAAGGTAGCACAGCTTACTGAGTAAATTTTCTATTACAAGATTTTTTTTCTGTATAAATGGAACTGCTCCTGTAAATCCAACCAACATCCTCTCCATGGTATTTGATAGGCATTAACACATATTTTTAACAGTTAATCCATTTTGTGAAATAGTTTCCCTTAACCATAGTTGGTATAATCCCAAGATAGAACATATTAGAATTGTCATGAATATAGCTTTTTCAAATTGTTTTATATTTTGTTTACTAATATCTTTTTTAATATTTGGGAATCATGGGGCTTGGGACTGAAAGTGGACCAAACCTCACCCCACTCTTATTTGGCCTTGGCGATTCAGTGTACTATCTGTGCTCTCTTGCCATATTTATTGCTAGAGGCAGCCAAAGGCTGGCCTGTGGGAGTAACTATGGAAAACAAGAGTGTGTACACACTCTCTGAGGACACACCCTAGTTTTGGAACACAACCCCATAAATGAGGAACTCCACAATGCTGGCATGTCCAGGGCAAAGTTCTTAGGCTGTTCCATTAACTTTGTGCACCACTTCCATTCTCCTTGAAGCCAACCAACAGCAGTCTAAGCCTAACAGTTGAGCTCATGGGCTTTGGCACCATGCAGACCCAAGGTAGATTACTATCTCAGCCACTTGGCTTTGCTGCATGACATATTCATTCAGACATAAATGTCAATACCTTCCTGGGCATCCTGTGAAAAATCCACTTTCACAAAAGCATTTCAGGACAATGTAGACTTTCTTAACATTTCACAGTAGAGGCCAAGAAAGAGTTCACATCATTTTCCTCAAAGCAATCAACTTAAAAATTTCAATTGACATTTATATTCTCCCAAGTCCCTTCTTGGCCTTCCTGATACAACGATTTTCTCTCTGTCCTTCATACAATGCTCACCGTTATAGGCTCCATTCTCTTCATCCTTCCCCTCACTTCTTTTCTCTTCCATTGTGATATGCAGTTGAGCCCCACTTAGCTCTCCAGCTCATCAACATAAAGGGTTCTCCAGTTAATAGGACCCACCTGCCTTAGAAGAGAAGTGGGATTATGTGTTATTTGTGGCAAGGGGTAAGGGATGAGAATTATTTCATACGCCTCATGTATCCATAAAGGACTTCTACTTAATATGTATTTTTGTGTGTATGTATGTTTCCACTTTATTCCCTGAGAACTAATCACATGTTGGTAACACTGCCAGCCTCTCTCTGCTCCTTTGTCTATTCCTTTCCAGTAGTGAAGAAGCACAACTTTTCTGATCAGAAACAGTAAGAAAAGGAACAAAGTAGATGTGTATGGCAGCCATTCAGGTGTGGCACTTGCAGAACCTCTCAGGAAAGAATTTGCCACTCAGTTGCAAGGAGTGCAGCTGGTTGACAGCCTCCAACTTTTGAAGGCCACATTCTTCTCGGGAAGCCTAGCCAATGAGGAAACACAGAAGAAATGCTAAGGCCTGACCGTTTCTGCCAATATGGGACTCAATTAACAGGAATTATTTGCTTTGGAGCTGCCCTAGGTGTTGACTGAGACTTTGTCAAATCTGCATTGAGATCCCAGGCTTGCCCTGACCAAACTTACTTTCTCCCCTTCGCTCAATCTTGCTTTCTCACCTCTTTCCTTTCATAGGTGTCATAGCCACAGCATGGTCTAAGACTTTCCCTGCCCAGTTTTGCTTCCTCTCCCTTTCATCTTTCATAAGATTTACCTCCACATATACTGTTTGCACTACTAACTCTGTCTCAGAGTCTGCTTCCAAAAAGACCCAAATAATACAGTGTGGCTCTACAGCTCTACTTCTCTTTTTCTGTCTCTCTGTCTCTCTCTTATAATTTGTACAGAAGATTCAAACACTCTTACAATCTCCATGTGCTGCATGTCTTAGGGAATGTTTTTCTGCTACGAGTGGGAGGCTGGATTCTTGGGTATATTGTTAGGGGCACAGTTTTGGGGGGCCCATTATGACTACATATCTAGTCTCATTCTGCAATTCAATCTTAATTCGACAAAGGTGATTTTTTATCTCTGTTTTATTCCTGTGTTTTATGTCTCAATTAGTTTGTGACTCTGGAGAGAAATAAAAAGGGCTGCTTTATTTATCCTTTCCACCCCAGCATGAATAGGGGTTGAATATTTAAAAATTCTTATATGTAATTTAGAAGACTTGAATGATTTTCCAAAGGCCACATAGGGTATTCATTCTGCTCTATTCTTATGAACTCATTTAAAAAATTCATCCAAAGCATGATCTTAAAAAGTAATGAAAACTGAGCAGAGTGACAGAAAGAATTTGATTAATAAAGACACTATTGCAATAATTACTTCTGCTGATGGACTTATTGCTTCCTTGAAGATGTAAGGATAGAATGTATGGACCGTGAGCATGAGGCTTTCCTAGAATTTTAGTGTGTGTATGTATGCTCAGTGTGTGTGTGTTGCGGGGTGGTTCCTTGGTCCTATACAGGTTGTTCGGAAAGAGGCACTAGCAGACCAGTTTTAGGGTACCAGTCCTTTCACATTCCTGTCTTTGGGAATCACTGTGCATACAGTTTTTGCTGAAGTGTTGGCCTAGGGCACTCCAACCTTCCCTACCAGCTGCCTGGCCCAGCTTGCCTCAGGTGCCTTCCCTGTAGTGTCACTCATTGTTGCTGCCCCATCTGTAACCTCTCAGCTTATCCAGGAGAGCATGTGCAACTTCCGTGGACAGTTACTTCTTCCTATACTACCAGAGGCTTCTTACCTTAAGTACCTGTATTTCTGTGACCTAGGACATTCTCTGGCTATGAGAGTATGCTACACTCACTTGTGAGGCAAGCCAGGAAGGGCCAGGCAATTTAATGACCTAGAAGTGACTTTCACAAATGAAGAACAGAATTTGGTGGGTACCTCTCCAATTTCCTTCCTTCTCTTGGAGGGATAATTCTAGGGCATGATGTCTCATGATTAGCAGCATGAGAGATAGCAAAGCCTCTCAGCAGGTCCCTAGTGGATTGAGCTCCCTCGTAATAACTCACTCATGAATGTGCCTTTTATTGAATGTCTTCCCCTTTCTCATTTTTCCCCTCTATGCTTCCTGGTATTACTCCTTGCTATGCACTGAATGCTTGTAACCCCTCAAAATTTACATGTTGAAATGCTAATCTTCAGTATGATGGTATTTGGAGATGAGGCCTTTGGAAGGTAATCAGGTTACTAGGGCGGAGCCCTCATTATGTGATTAATGCACTGAGAAGACACGAGAGAGGTTGTTTTCCTCCTTCTCTGCTCTCCACCATATGAGGATACTGCGAAAAGACTACCAGTTTCAAACCAGAAAGAGAGCTCTCACCAGCACCCAACCATGCTGGCATCCTGATTTCAGACTGCTGGCTTTCAAAATAGTGAAAAAAATATTATTTTTCTTTCAGCTACCCAGTCTATGGTAATCTGTTTTAGCAGCCCAAACTAAGACATCCCCTAAATAAACTGCTTGTATCTAAACCCTTCTCCCAGGATCATCTTTTCGGAGAACTCAAGCTAAGATACTACCCCCGCTCTTACCAGATTTTTTGGGGAAATTAAAAGAAAGGGTGAGGGTAAGAAAACAGAAAGGAGCAGACATGTGGAATTTAGCGGAGTTGCAGAAACTATGGAGATTTGGGGTGAAGAACAAGGAACTCCTATGGTGACTTTCTCCAAAAAGGCTTTGAGAAAACAACCCCTCTCTATTACCAACTCCCAAGGCACAGTCTCATATCCATGAGCAACCCCACTTCTAGTTTATGTGTGATTCAGTTTTTTCCAAGCTAAACCTGCTTGACTTGACGAGAAGGCCAAATAAATTCAAGCTTGCTCCAAACATGTCTCTTTAGATCAGGTTATTCTCATTTGTAATGAAGAAACTGAGGCAGCTAGCAGGTTGATCATTCGTAACACTCTTTTTTAACTATAACATTCTAAAATGTGGGAGCAGCTCTCGTCCCAATAGCAATCCATGATTAAATAACTATGAAGTTTGGAAGTTGGGCCTGTAAACATTTCTATAGAGAGCTACTTCATTCATTTTGTTTTATTCGATTCATGTTAGTTTCTAATCAGTTCCCAAAGAGGGTGGAGTATCCTCTTTGAAGGCCCATAGTTTTATATGACTTCACCTTTCTCAGACAACCCAGTGATTTGTAATCAAGAATGAATATTTCTGCCAAGTAAAAAATGTTTAACATTATCCCAGCTTAGTAAGGGGAAAGGCAGGGGATAAGGGTGGGTAGCAGGTAGAACCTTCATTAGAGTGAGATGGCTCCCTGAGGAAAACAACTGCAACTGTGTTTTTCGAGTTCTATTCTCAATTTTTTGTTTTCTTTTTTGAGAAAGAGCCTGGCTCTGTGACTCAGGCTGGAGTGTAGTGGGGCGATCTCGACTCACTACAACCTTCGCCCTGCTGGGCTCAAGCGATCCTCCCACCTCAGCCTCCCAAGTAGTTGGGACCACAGGCATGCACCACCACATCTGGCTAATTTTTTGTAATTTTAGTAGAGATAGGGTCTTGCCATGTTGCCTGGGCTGGTCTCGAACTCCTGAGCTCAAGCTGTCTACCTGCCTCAGCCTCCCAAAGTGTTGGGATTATAAGCATGGGCCACTGTGCCCGGCTCAAGCTCTGTTCTATTCAGCCAATTACCTCAGCACAGGACAGGGCAAGGAAATGGGGCCGGGGAAGGGGTCCCTGTTACTATGGTTGGTGCCTTGGGAAATATATTCCTTGGGGCTATTATTACTGCCTATTACATAAGTAAGCTCAATTAAAGCCAGGCTTATCAGTCAAAAATCTCTGCAACCAATCAATAAAGGACTCAGGATATGCAAACCGTAGTGTCATCCAACTCATGTGTTTTTAGATTTTGAGATAATATTTTTTGAATTCCTGTAGAGGAAGGAATACCTACATAGCATTGGCTCCTAAGAAAGTGACTCAGCAGGCCCCATCAAAGATTGCCATTGAATCAGGCCGTAGGGTTTGGCAGGAGGAGGAGGGCTGGAGAATAGTACAAGCTGAGGGCTGAATCACACTGGCTGGCACTGCAAAGAACCCCATCTAACTCTAGTTAATGCCAGCATTCCATCTAGTTTAGCTCACAAATGGATTTTAGGTACTTCCTGCCATGTAGACTTTCTTGCTTCTCATGCTGTGCTGAAAATAACCTGCTAAGAAACCTGGAAGACCCCCCTCCCCTTGCTTAACCAAATGTCAAAGATTTATTACCAATAATGGACAAACTAACATCATGTGCCTCTTGTTGTGGTGCTGTAACAGGGACACACAGCCATTTAAGTAGTATTTCTGCCAGAAGAGTACCTAAACCAACTGTAATCATGAGGAAACATCAGACAAACTCAAACTGAGAGATATTTTACAAAACAGCAGGCCTGTGTTCTTCAAGAATGTCCATGTCATAAAACACAAAGAAAGACTGGGAACTAGTCCATGTTAAAGGAGGCCAGAGAGACGTGACAACTAAGTGCAACACATTAACATGGATTATATTTAGGAGGAAAAAGAATAGAATGACCAGAAAAACTTTGTTGCAACAACTGTGAAAACTGAATATGGACTGTATATTATATAATAAAGAGCATGGTATCAATGTTAAATTTCTGGAATTGGATACACGTACTATGGTTTTGTAAGAGAATTTTTTTCTTTTGTTTGCTTTTCTTTTAATATTTTTAGAGACAGGGTCTTGCTCTGTCACCCAGGCTGCCTTACATTGGCTTGGTCATAGGCCACTGTAACCTTCAACTCCTAAGCTGAAGAGATCCTCTTGCCTTGGCCTCCCAAAGTGCTGGGATTACAAGTGTGAGCCATGGTGCCTGTCCCAGAATTCTTGTTCTTGGGAAATATATGAAGTTAGCTGCATCTGTCTGTCTCTTCATTCAGGTATTTCAGTGTGTGTTTGTGTGTCTGTGACACACATTTGTAAAATGTTAAAAATTGATCTATCTAAACGTAGAAAGTTATGTGTATTATACTTTATAATAACACTTTGACAGAGAAACAAGGACATCGTAAAATTGTACCCAGCTGGTGTAAGTGGTGAAACTATCAATCCAAATACATGGAATATTGTCTAAAGTTTATAAGAACCAAATTTATACAAATTATATGTTAAGATTATGGCGCAACTTAATGGAAGTCTTATATTTATATTTGTATACACTTAAATATTATTATAATTAATAAAAACTTAACCAATCTACAAATGAAGTGTAAGAAATTTAGGTATTTATCTTAACTGTTTTCAAGATAATTAATAAACTAAAAGTCTTAGACAAACTACAGAAAGTCATGTGTATTGTATATGCAACTATTTTGCAAGTTTTAAATTATTTCTAAACAAAAATTTAAACAATACCAAATTATTTATTATTATTATTTTATGAAAAGTAAATTACATACAGAAAATTTTTCTGCAAGATCCTGCTCCCATAGTAAAGTAGAAAGGGAATGGGCCTGGAGCACCTGAGAACTGGTTACTCCTAGCTCCACCATTAAATAACTGAGCATTGTGGGAGAAAGTCACTAAATTACCCGAGACTCAATTTTCTGTAAAATCGACTCCTCACATTTGCAGGACTTCTCTTCCCACATCTTCACTCTAAGAACACCAAATCATAAACTCCTTTTCAAGTGTATTTATTCTTTATTGATTAATTTAAATATAGCACCCTTCTTCCTGAGAGCAAAGCCACAAACCACCAACAATGACCGACTTCAAAATAAATGTCTGCAAATGCAATTAAGTGCATTTTAGAATAGACTTGTACTAACAGGAAGTATAATTAACTCAGAGGCATTCTTATGGAGTAATCCCAGGTTTGTTATATAGGTTCATTTCATCCATAAAGTCAGGAGAATACAATTGAGTTGTACAGAACATCAGCATATCTGACACATTTTAATAAGGGAGATACAGATTATATCCCAAATAAATTAAGAAATGGCAAAAAATAGTAATGAATAGTTTCGTTAACAAATTATGACATGATCTGCTGGCAATATTAGTCTGACTCCTACTGATGCAATAAGGCTGACAGCTAGCTGCAAAAGTAATTAATCTGAACAGAAATTGACTGTGAACTGTGCTTGGCTTAAACTTGGACTAACCATCCTGCTGACCTAAGAGAAATCCATGCAGTAAATTGCTTCAAGAGACACAGGATACAGAAAATTCTGCTTTAAAATGGTAAAGTATCATTTTCATTTTGAGACCTACTTTCAGGCACTAAATTAAATTTTAGATGACCTCAGCTTTTATCCTGTCTCTAAAAGATCCAACTCAGAAATTTGTCATGCTTCCAGTTTCCAAAACCTAGTATTGGTAGTTTTTCTGAGATGAATTCCAAGGCTCGTTCAGCTTGGTTAGGTAATTATAGTTATTATCATGAAAAAAACTAGGTCAGATCAGTTCAATTTTTTTTCTTTTTTCTTTTGCAAAAAAGAATAATATGTGAATGTTTTAGACAGGTCATTTTGTATTCAGCAACTAACTCTGGCTTTTATTACTTGGCCACGACATTGGTAGAGGTCAACTGCAAAGCAATGAGCAGGCAGGCTAGAGTAACTTATGTCAGGCGTGTGACAGCTGCATAGTGTTGCAGCATTGGCTTTTTCCTCAACACGGATATACTGAGCTACTGCCCCACCTCCAACTCTGTCATCTTGGAAAAGTGAGTTTATTTATTTATCCCTAATATGTTATTTATTTCCTTCCTTCCTTCCTTCCTTCCTTCCTTCCTTCCTTTCTTCCTTCCTTCCTTCCTTTCTTCCTTCCTTTCTTTTTTTTGACTGAGTCTTGCCCTGTCACCCAGGCTGGAGTGCAGTGGCGCCATCTTGGCTCACTGCAACCTCCACCTCCCAGGTTCAAGCAATCTTCTCCCCTCAGCCTCCTGAGTAGCTGGGATTACAGGTGTGTACCACCAAGCCCAGCTAATTTTTTTGTATTTTTAGT
The DNA here is from genome assembly GCF_000001405.40 of Homo sapiens. Taxonomy (NCBI): domain Eukaryota; kingdom Metazoa; phylum Chordata; class Mammalia; order Primates; family Hominidae; genus Homo; species Homo sapiens. The sequence goes on from NC_000023.11 coordinate 37,524,249, forward strand.
AGAGATGGGGTTTCACCATTTTGGCCAGGCTGGTCTTGAACTCTTGACCTCAAGTGATCTGCCCACCTTGGCCACTCAAAATGCTGGGATTACAGGTGTGAGCCGCCGTGCCTGGCCTATCCCTAATATGTTCTATCTGTAAAATGGGAATATGATTTTATTTCCTGAAAATCAGTGACTGAACAAAGAAAAAAGAACAAAGAGAAGATAGAACAAAGAGTTTTTACTCCACAAGGAATTGTGCATGTGGAAATGTATTATCTTCTTTTTGCTTTTCCCCAAAGCTCCTCTGAAATGAGAGGAAAGCGGATGTTTTAAAGACAGAAACCTAAAAGGGTAAGTACAATAGGAGATAAGATATCAGCAACACAATTTGGAAACTGGAAAGCAGTAAATGACCTAGGAAACCTAAGAAATGTAATTTCTAAACTGGCAGGGAGGAAAGCTGAGAACCAATCTGATCCACCCAGAAGCACCCTGAAAAGCTTAGGACTGGTGCTAATAGTAAACCCTGAAAATTGGGGTGAGGACAGGGCTAAAAGCAGAAGGATTAGGTGAACTTCTGTGTACAAAGCATTTGGAATCCAGTACACCTCCCTCACCATGTGCAGCATTTGGCTGTCCTGCCCACACTCAAGCAACAACTGGGGATTAGTCTATGGAGAGGATAAGGCAAGGAATTTCAGGACCAGAGAACACCGGGCACAGCTGAGATCAGAAGTACTGTGTGAAAACTTGGGGATTAAATAAACATTTATAGACAAAATTTGAGATGCTGCATCTCCCAGATTTCTTCCTCCACTCAGCTCCTGTAGCAATGGCAGTCTGACTTGTGACCTCCAGGCAGGTTATTGGATAGTCCTTCTCTGTAGATGTTTACATTAAATGTTCCCCAAGGGAATAGGACAGTCATGTCACCACATTACCATGTTACCCACACTCGGCAAAACCCAACTAACTCCCATAGAGTTTTCAGTCAGTTTTTCAATACATCATATTTAAGGATGAACAGATAAACCAAATAAAGTAATTTTCTGAGAAAATCCTCCAGACTGAAAGATGGAGGCCAAAAAAAACAAAACAAACATACAATTAAAAATGGAATGTGGGAGGACAAACTGAATTTGTAAGGAGAAGATAATTTTAAAGAATAAAATTTCACTGTGATGCTAGTTTCTCTCGCTGTGCAGAAGCTGTTTAGTTTAATTAGATCCCATTTGTAAATTTTGGCTTTTGTTGCAATTGCTTTTGGTGTTTTCATTATGAAATCTTTGCCCATGCCTATGTCCTGAATGGTATTGCCTAGGTTTTCTTCTAGGGTTTTTATGGTTTTGGGTTTCACATTTAAGTCTTTAATCCAATTTGAGTTAATTTTTGTATAAGGTGTAAGGAAGGGGTCCAGTTTTTGTTTTCTGCATATGGCTGGCCAATTTTCCCAGCACCATTTATTAAGTAGGGAATCCTTTCCCCATTGCTTCTTTTTGTCAGGTTTGTCGAAGATCAGATGGTTGTAGATGTGTGGTGTTATTTCTGAGGGCTCTGTTCTGTTCCATTGGTCTATATATCTGTTTTGGTACAAGTACCATGATGTTTTGATTACTGTAGACTTGCAGTATAGTTTGACGTCAGGTAGCGTGATGCCTCCAGCTTTGTTCTTTTTGCTTAGGATTGTCTTGGCTATATGGTCTCCTTTTTGGTTCCATATGAAATTTAAAGTAGTTTTTTTTCTAATTCCATGAAGAAAGTCAATGGTAACTTGATGGGAATAACATTGAATCTGTAAATTACTTTGGGCAGTATGGCCATTTTCACGATATTGATTCTTCCTATCCATGAGTGTGGAATGTTTTTCCATTTGTTTGTGTCCTCTCTTATTTCCTTGAGCAGTGTTTTGTAGTTCTCCTTAAAGAGGTCCTTCACATCCCTCGTAAGTTGTATTCCTAGTTATTTTATTGTCTTTGTAGCAATTGTGAATGGGAGTCACTCATTATGTGGCTCTCTGTTTGTCTATTATTTGTGTATAGGAATGCTTGTGATGTTTGCACATTGATTTTTGTATCCTGAGACTCTACTGAAGTTGCTTATCAGCATAAGGAGATTTTGGGCTAAGACCATGGGGTTTTCTAAATATACAATCATGTCATCTCCAAACAGAGACAATTTGGCTTCCTCTCTTCCTATTTGAATACTTTTATTTCTTTCTCTTGCCTGATTGACCTGGTCAGAACTTCCAACACTATGTTGAATAGGAGTGGTGAGGTGAGAGAGGGCATCTTTGTCTTCTGCCGGTTTTCAAAGGGAGTGCTTCCAACTTTTGCCCATTCAGCATGATATTGGCTGTGGGTTTTTCATAAATAGCTCTTATTATTTTGAGACACATTCCATCAATACCTAGCTTATTGAGAGTTTTTAGCATGAAAGGCTGTTGAATTTTGTTGAAGGCCTTTTCTGCATCTATTGGGATAATCATGTGTTTTTTGTCATTGGTTCTGTTTGTTTATGTAATGGATTATGTTTATTGATTTGCTTATGTTGAACCAGCCTTGCATCCCAGGGATGAAGCCAACTTGATCGTGGTGGATAAGCTTTTTGATGTGCTGCTGGATTCAGTTTGCCAGTATTTTATTGAGGCTTTTCGCATCAATGTTCATCAGGGATATTGGCCTGAAATTTTCTTTTTTTTGTTGTTGTGTCTCTGCCAGATTTTGGTATCAGGATGATGCTGGCTTCATAAAATGAGTTAGGGAGGAGTCCTGATTTTTCTATTGTTTGGAATAGTTTCAGAAGGAATGGTACCAGCTCCTGTTTGTACCTCTGGTGGAATTCGGCTGTGAATCTGTCTGGTCCTGGGCTTTTTTTGGTTAGTAAGCTATTAATTACTGCCTTAATTTCAGAACTTGTTATTGGTCTATTCAGGGATTCGACTTCTTCCTCGTTTAGTCTTGGGTGGGTGTACGTGTCCAGGAATTTATCCATTTCTTCTAGGTTTTCTAGTTTATTTGTGTAGAGGTGTTTATAGTATTCCCTGATGATAGTTTGTATTTCTGTGGGATCAGTGGTGATATCCCCTTTATCATTTCTTATTGTGTCTATTTGATTCTTCTCTCTTTTCTTATTAATCTGGCTAGTGGTCTATCTATTTTGTTAACCTTTCCAAAAAACCAGCTCCTGGATTCATTGATTTTTTGAAGGTTTTTTTGTGTCTCTATGTCCTTCAGTTCTGCTCTGATCTTAGTTATTTCTTGTCTTCTGCTAGCTTTTGAATGTGTTTGCTCTTGCTTCTCTAGTTCTTTTAATTATGAGGTTAGGGTGCCGATTTTAGATCTTTCTCGCTTTCTCCTGTGGGCATTTAGTGCCATAAATTTCCCTCTAAACACTGCTTTAGCTATGTCCCAGAGATTCTGGTACATTGTGTCTTTGTTCTCATTGGTTTCAAATAACTTATTTATTTCTGCCTTAATTTTGTTATTTACCCAGTAGTCATTCAGAAGCAGGTTGTTCAGTTTCCATGTAGTTGTGCAGTTTTGAGTGAGTTTCTTAATCCTGAGTTCTAATTTGCTTGCACTGTGGTCTGAGAGGCTGTTTGTTATGATTTCCATTCTTTTGCATTTGCTGAGGAGTGTTTTACTTCCAATTATGTGGTCAATTTTAGAATAAGTGCTATGTGGTGCTGAGAAGAATGTATATTCTGTTGATTTGGGGTGGAGAGTTCTGTAGATGTCTATTAGGTCTGCTTGGTCCAGAGATGAGTTCAAGTCCTGAATATCCTTGTTAATTTTCTGTCTTGTTGATCTGTCTAATATTGACAGTGGGATGCTAAAGTCTCCCACTATTATCATGTGGGAGTCTAAGTCTCTTTGTAGGTCTCTATGAACTTGCTTTACGAATCTGGGTGCTCCTGTATTGGGTGCATATATATTTAGGATAGTTAGCTCTTCTTATTGCATTGGTCCCTTTACCATTATGTAATGCCCTTCTTTGTCTTTTTTCATCTTTGTTGGTATAAAATCTGTTTTATCAGAGACTAGGATTGCAACCCCTGCTTTTTTTGCTTCCCATTTGCTTGGTAAATATCTCTCCATCCCTTTATTTTGAGCGTATGTGTGTCTTTGCAGGTGAGATGGGTCTCCTGAATACAGCACACTGATGGGTTTGACTCTTTATTCAATTTCCCAGTCTGTGTCTTTTAATTGGGGCATTTAGCCCATTTATATTTAAGTTTAATGTTGTTATGTGTGAATTTGATCATGTCATTATGATGCTAGCTGGTTATTTTGCCCATTAGTTAATGCAGTTTCTTCATAGTTTTGTTGGTCTTTACATGTTTTTGCAGTGGCTGGTACTGGCTTTTCCTTTCCATATTTACTGCTTCCTTCAGGAGCTCTTCTATGGCAGGCCTGGTGGTGACAAAATCCCTCAACCTTTTCCTGTCTGTAAAGGATTTTATTTCTCCTTCACTTATGAAGCTTAGTTTGGCTGCATATGAAATTCTTTGTTGAAAATTCTTTTCTTTAAGAATGTTCAATATTGGCCCCCACTCTCTTCTGGCTTGTAAGGTTTCTGAAGAGAGATCCACGTTAGTCTGATGAGCTTTCCTTTGTGGGTAACCAAATCTTTCTCTCTGGCTGCACTTAACATTTTTTCCTTCATTTCAACCTTGGTGAATCTGATGATTATGTGTCTTGAGGTTGCTCTTCTTGAGGAGTATCTTTGTGCTGTTCTCTGTATTTCCTGAATTTGAATGCTGGCCTGTCTTGCTAGGTTGGGGAAGTTCTCCTGGATAATATCCTGAAGTGTGTTTTCCAACTTGGTTCCATTCTCCCCATCACCTTCAGGTACGCCAGTCAAATGTAGCTTTGATCTTTTCACATAGCTCCATATTTCTTGGGGGCTTTGTTCATTTCTTTTCTTTATTTTTTCTCTAATCTTGTCTTCATGCTTTATTTCATTAAGTTGATCTTCAATCTCTGATATCCTTTCTTCCACTTCATCAATTTGGCTATTGATATTTGTGTATACTTCATGAAGTTCTCATGCTGTGTTTTTCAGCTCCATCAGGTCATTTATTTTCTTCTCTAAACTGGTTATTCTAGTGAGCAGTTCCTATAACCTTTTATCAAGGTTCTTAGCTTCCTTGCACTGGGTTAGTACATGCTCCTTTAGCTCAGAGGAGTTTGTTATTTCCCACCTTTTGAAGCCTACTTCTGTCAATTCATCGAACTCATTCTCTGTCCAGCTTTGTTCTCTTGCTGGCGAGGAGTTGTGATTCTTTGGAGGAGAAGAGGTGTTCTGGTTTTTGGACTTTTCAGCCTTTTTGCTGTGGTTTTTCCTCATCTTCATGGATTTATCTACCTTTGGTCTTTGATGTTCATGCCCTTTGTATGGGGTTTTTGCATGGGCATCCTTTTTGCTGATGTTGATGCTATTGCTTTCTGTTTGTTAGGTTTCCTTCTAACACTCAGGTCCCTTTTCTGCAGGTCTGCTGGAGTTTGCTAGAGGTCCACTCTAGACCCTGTTTGCCTGGGTATCACCAGTGGAGTCTGCAGAACAGCAAAGATTGCTGCCTGCTTCTTCTTCTGGAAGCTTCATCCCAGTGAGGCACCCACCAGATGCCAGCTGGAGCTCTCCTGTATGAGGTGTCTGTTGACCCCTGCTGGGAGGTGTCTCCCAGTCAGGAGGCACAGGGGTCGGGGACCCACTTGAGGAAGCAGTCTGTCCCTTAGCAGAGCTCGAGCACTGTGCTGGGAGATCTGCTCTCTTCAGAGCCGACAGGCAGGAATGTTTAAGTCTGCTGAAGCTGCGCCCACACCTGCCCCTTCCACCAGGTTCTCTGTCTGAGGGAGATGGGAATTTTATCTATAAGCCCCTGACTGGGGCTGCTGCCTTTCTTTCAGAGATGCCTTGCCCAGAGAGGAGGAATCTAGAGAGGCAGTCTGGCTATAGTGGCTTTGCCATGCTCTAGTGGGTTCTGCACCCAGTTCAAATTTCTAGGCAGCTTTGTTTACACTGTGAGTGGAAAACTGCCTACTAAAGCCTCAGTAATGGCAGACTCCCCTCCCACCACCAAGCTGGAGTGTCCCAGGTCAATCCAGACTGTTGTGCTGGCCGTGAGAATTTCAAGCCAGTAGATGTTAGCTTGTTGGGCCCCGTGGGGGTGGGATCCACTGAGCAAGACTGCTCGGATCCCTGGCTTCAGCCCCCTTTCCAGGGGAGTGAATGGTTCTGTCTCACTGCTGTTCCAGGCACCACTGGGGTACAAAAAAAGAACTCCTGCAGCTAGCTTTGTGTCTGCCCAAACAGCTGCCCAATTTTGTGCCAGAAACCCAGGGCCCTGGTGGTGTAGGGACCTGAGGAAATCCCCTTGTCTGCGAGTTGCAAAGGCTGTGGGAAGAGCGTAGTATCTGGGCCAGATAGCACTGTCCCTCATGGCACATTCCCTCACGGCTTCCCTTGGCTAGGGGAGGGAGTTCCCCAACCCCTTGCACTTCCTGAGTGAGGTGATGCCCCACCCTGCTTCTACTCGCCCTCCGTGGGCTGCACCCACTGTCTAACCAGTCCCAATGAAATGAACCAGGTACCTCAGTTGGAAATGCAGAAATCAACCCACTTCTTCACTGGTCTCACTGGGAGCTGCAGACTGGAACTGTTCCTACTTGGCCATCTTGCCTGGTGATCCAAAATCATCTTTTCAACAAAACTATTTCTTCTCTCAGCTGTACTTTGTCAACATGTTAAAAATACCCTTGGTAATTTACCTGTGCATTGATAACTAACTATGACGGTTCTCAGTCTTTGTTGCTTATTAGAATCACCTGGGCAATTTAAAAAATATGCATTGCTCAGAACACACCCCCAACACGTTAAATCAGAATTTATGTGGGTGGAATACAGGCCTCAGTAGTTTGTAAAGCTTCCCAGGTGGTTCAAATGTGCATCCTGTACTGAGAACCAGTGAACTAGAGTTTTATTACTCAAACTGTGGTCCATGGACTGGAAGAATCAGTATCACTCAGAAACGTGTCAGAAGTACAAAATCTTAGGCCTCATTCCAAACCTAGAAAATAAGAATCTGCATTTAAACAACATTTGCAGGTGATCTACATGCATGTTAAAGGTTGAGAAGCGTTATTTTAGAGTGCTCAAATGAATCATTGGGGTTAATAAGATCAAGGTCATGAGTGTTACCTTTGTTCCAACCTCCGTTTTGCTGTGTTTGAGGCAGACAGTCATGAGCATTTGTGTTTAACGGTTTCTGATTTTAAGGCCATGGGTGTGGATAGTCTTTTGTGTCCAAGGTAGATGCATGTTTGTAATGATCTCCCAAAGGCAAGGGATGATTCTGTTTCTTGTTAGGAGTTCCTCATTACCCCAGGAAATCAGTTCATTAATAATATTGATTACTCTGCCACCATTTATGAACCTCATTCCACAAGACCCTTCACAATCAGATTCTACTTACTTCAGTCACATTGCCGCAAAATCCCATGGTCTTTCACAAATCTGTGTTGATTCATGTTACACAGTGCTGGGCACAAAGAGAGCCCTCAATAAATATTAGCTAGCTATTATTACTTCTGCCTTGAAATGGGAAAACATCTCAGCTGGAGCATCTTTTTCCCTCCTTCCTCACCTGGAAAATGCAAATTTAGCATTCAAAAACTGACCCTGCGTAGCTCGCCCTAAGTGCCCTCAGGTGAGGGTCCATCCTGTATGCCACCTCCTGTGATTAGAATTAATCTGCTGTGGGTGCTGTAGCCCTTCCTACTCTGGGCGCTCCTTCAGAAGAGGGACCAGATGTCCTTGAACATCTAGGACTCCTAAGCCCTCCTTAAATATGTATATAATGGATCAATAATTGAAACCAAAAATCATCTCCCCGCATGGAGATTTGCCATGTACATGGCAGAGTTTCTACTCAGGCAAAATAGAAAACCACTAGAAAACATCTGGTTTTGAAAATGATGGAGTTATGAGATGCATTTTTTATGAGGCAGTTACGGTTTAAAGGAAAAATTTTAAATAATGCATTCTGTAAATTCCTGAACTATAGTCTTTACTTCATCTATATGGCTTCCAAGGAAAATTCCATATTAAAAGAATTGGACTTTTATTGTTTTATGCATTAATTTATTCACTCACTTATTACTCAACAGTAAATCACTTTAAATATCTATTCTAAAGAATTATATGTTTTAAATGCCTACAATAGGGCATGAAAATATGAAAGTATCACCCCCTAGCAGGATTAAGTGGAAATATCATGGTATGATAATAACTTACAAAGAGAGATAGTGTATATTTTGCAATTAGGCAAAATATTCCACATTTGCTGTGGAGAGCACAAGGATCCCTTTTTAGGGGATTTTGTGGCCCTTCCTCATTTTGGTGTGCTTTCAACAACCAGGGAGCTTTTCTTCAGGAGGAAGATGTCACTCGGGCTACTGGAACTGCTTTACAATGATTGCAGATGCGGAAGTATGAAATCATAACTTCTTTGATTCAGATTTGGACAACTCTGAAGGGTAACTTACACTCCAGAGTTTACTCCTGATAACATGTTGAAGCTATCCTCTGTGAGACTGGATCTAAAATGGTACTTTGACTTGTCATTTTATCTTTTCCTTTTTGCTTCTCTCATTCCCAGTAGAAGGTCCCCCAGTCTCCCAGGAATATCTTTACTAAATCCGTTGCATGTCAGTCCTCTTCTCAGGGTCTCTTTCTGAGAATCACGACTTAAGGCACTTTTTAATGCTATATTTCTACATAGATATATAAATACACATACATAGAGTTTTACACACTCAGCATTCTTTAATACTTTTTTTATTTTGCATTTGTCAATTAGTCATTTATGTTTTTATATATCTGTATTTTCCATTGGGTTAAAGGGTCCTTATGAATGGGAACTGATTTATTCCCATTGTGCCCCTGTTCTCTGCCCTCTCCCTAATCCAATACCTCATAGACTCCCATACAGAGTAAGTGCTCAAAGATGTTGTTTGTGTTTTTTCAAATAGGATAGAATACACATTCATTTTATACACATATGCATTAATTAAGAAAGTCAAATGTGATATCTGAAGAACTGTAACCACATGTTATTAAAGGTTCTTTTTTCTGGGCAGGCAGAGCATATATTTAGCAGTGTTATGCTTAAAAATAACCAAGTGAAATTTTCTTTGAAATGAATTTATCATTAAAAGTAGTTTAATGTAAGAAATGGTGAAAATAATTATACCACTACAAATTCTGTCTTTTGGACTATTTTGTGATTAATGCCTACTAAAATTATTCAAATGTAATCTGACAGATTTTTCAAAAAGCCATAATTAGAAATGAAAAAGGAGATAAGAAGTTTCATCAAATCTCTTTTCTTTGCCATCAAAACTAGTCTTACCCAGTTTCCTTTCATGAATTCTGTTCCCCTAACATATTTTCAGTTCAGCCACATTTGGGATACAGACATGCAAAACTCTCACAGCACGCAAATGAGATTAGCAACCTGGTTGCCGAGCAAAATGCACCTTTTCTCTATCGCCTAGCAGGGACATCCCCCTGGACAGGAAAAGTGGCCTTTCCTGAGTATGTCTGCTTTAACTCCATTACCTACAATGCCTTGGGATATTCTTCCCATCAAGCACTTGGACAATGAATTTCAGAAGTCATCCTATCAGATTAAATTGATCTCTACCTTCAACCAATTCCCATGCAAATTAGGCTTCCATAAACATGTAGCATGACCAAAAGAAAAAGCTGTTGCAGAAATTCTAAAGAACCTAAAGTATTTTTTTCATCACTTGTCACACGTGTTAAAGAAAAGTCATTTTTCCATGAGCTTCCCCATGCCTGAGTTGCTGCCTCATGCCAGCTCTTTATAAAAGTTCACAATTGTTTCAATGTGGTTGTTGCTATTTTCACTGTATAGTTCTTCATTCATCGTCATGGTTGGCCCTTAATACAAAGGTACGAGAAAGTATTACCGGAGGATAGCATGCTACTAGCATCAGGGTATGTAGACAGAAATGTGACTTTCTAAGATAAGGCCAAAAAATGATGGTGCCTTTGTGCAAGAGAAAAGTGTTTTTCTGTTTCTTTCAATAATTACCTATATCACAATCACTTGGGAGGGCTTGTTAAAAACAAAATTCTCAGGATCCATTCTTTGAATCCAAATTTCTAGAGATAAGACCATTCCATTTATCAAGCTCCACTTGACCATCACTGATTGCCCCAGGAGTAAGCCTATGACTCAAACAGAGCTAATGAGAGTTCTTCCTTAGAATTTTAAATTTATGGCCACTGGACTGGGTGCTACGTGAGGATCTGGAACTTTGTTTTGCTCTCTGATATATCTCTATCCCCTTGAATAATGATGGTTACATAGCAGGAGCTTATTAAATTGAATTAGTGGAGTAAGTCTCAGTTTCCCTTTGATGGACAACATTGTGAATTGTGAGGCAGCCATATTCCCCTATGCTTAGAGGAATACAAACAGAATGAGACTGTTCTAACAACACTCAAGTTCCTAATTCCAGTTGTCTTTTCTGCCTAGCTATTTCCCTGTCATTCCCCTGGCTTTATGAGCCAATGAATTGTCCAAATTTGCTTAATTTGAATTTCAAACTAAAGCAGTTTAATAAACATAGCTAAGATCTTATAATCTCTTATTTTTTAATTATTTTATTATATTTTTACCACACTTGAGCTTACAACCAACTTCTAAAATAGATTTAAAATCTGAGATGCTAAAAAGTAGAGAAGACTTGCCTCAGGTCACATGCTAGTGTATGGAAAAACCGGAAATAAATTTTTTATTAAATCTTCCTTCTTGGTGGAAAAGGATAAGTAAAACTTGGAGGAGATTGAGAACTTTGAGGTGTTTTTACCTGTAATGCTTTCCAATTAGCTTAGCATTATAGCAAAACTGGTTCAGTGATGATGGAGGGTTTCAGCCACTGGGCACTTGCAGAAATCTCATTGTACTAAAGACAGATTATCTGATACATTGTTGTCTACCCCAAATAAATGTATTATCTGTCAATGGAAAGTAAGAGTAAGGGGAATCACTGATGTTAACTTAATATTAACCACAAGGAAAAAGTGGGTAGTGATGGTGGTAATTCAGAAGTGTTAGGAATAGGAAGAGTAGTACATTGTTGTCATACACATTGTCTGACATAGATCCTGGATATGTCTGGGCTCATATTTGGGAAGCAGTTATTTCATAATTCTCACAGACAGGAATAAACCCTTTGACAGTTGCTTCATAAGTGTGGGGGTGAAACACTCAAACAAGCTGGGAAGATTTTGCTTGCCCAGCAGCCCACAGCCTTTGCTTTGGCATCAACACCCTAAATTTTCATTGGGGAATCACTTCTTTCCCACTCTCATAACATGTTCCCAGGCATAAGCATGTGACCAAAGTTTGGCCAACCAGGTTGGTTCTGGAATGGGCATGTGACCAAAATTAGGCCAAAGAGAGTCAAAATCTTGAGAGAAACACTCCTTTTCTTCATTTTATTTATTTATTAAATTTAACTTTTATTTTAAGTTCGAGGTACATGTGCAGGTTTGTTGTACAGGTAAACACATGTCATGCGGGTTTGTTGTACAAATTATTTTGTCACCCAGGTATTAAGCCTTGTACCCATCAGTTATTTTTCCTGATCCTCTCCCTCCTCCCACTGTCCACCGCCCCAGTGTCTGTGGTTCCCCTTTATGTGTCCACAGAGAAACACTCTTTTTCTATGAAGATTGCTAAACTGTAGAAAAAGCCTGCCTCAAAATGAATCCAACCTGGGGTGAGGAGAGGACAAGGAGGAAGAGGAGGCAGGAGAAAGGGAGAAAAATTTCACATCATTATTTTAGCACTTAGTGTAAGCCATGCCAGGATCTCTTGGTTTCAACCCATCAGTTCTCTTTTGGAGAAACTCAGGGCTAGTTGAGTTCCTGCCTAATACAGAGGCAGCTGAAGAGTTCATTGAAGTTGCAGAGAGAATTTGCTGAAAGACAAAGATCTTAAAAACACAAAGATGAGATGGAGGCAACTAACCAAATATGAATTGGAGGAATGGCATGAAGCCCAAAAATGGCATCAGAAAGGCAGAGAGAGTTTAGGATTATTAAGTAAACACGCAAAAACAAGACACAATTCCTTTCTTTTATTCTCTGAGAAAGAAGAGACAAAAAGTTACAGGAGTATTGGTTGTTCCATAAGTTGATAGAAGGAAGGCAAAACTATTCCATTTCTTTTATCTTATTTTTTCATTGAAGAAAATTAATTTCAAACTGAAAAAGTTAGAACAACGAAGATCAGGAAAAAAGAGAAACCCTGGACACTTACAAAGATCAGAGGTTATATCAGTCTGAAAATAACTTTTGCTGATTTAAACAGAAAAGGAATTTATTAAAAGAAAATTGTGTAGCTCACTGAAACTTTGGGAGGGCTGGAAAGCTGGGCAGAGGCTGAGGGGCAGGAATGTCGCTCTAAATCACCCCACATAAAAGCCTATTGAGGACTCAGTTGCCACCATCACTATGTAATAGATGATACAGTTTCTGTCAGAACTACCACAGCATGGGACATTTCATGCTGCCACTAAGACCCTGTCTCTGCTTCCCTGGGAATTCGATCTTGAGACAGCCAAACTTTCCACCCAAGGTGAATCTCCATAGTCACAGATATTTGGCATGGTTAGCTTCAATTCAAAGCCTGATAGTACTGACAAGAGCATCTGATTGGCAGAATGTTGTCATGTACTCACATCCTAGCTGCAAGGAATGTTGTGAAAAATCTGAATGTGGCATTTTCAATTATGTAAAAGGAAGTGAGGTCTGACCTCCACTAAATCTCATGAAGTGAGAATTCCAAGAAATAATTGTCATGACAAAAGTCATTAACCTTTCCCTCTATGTTTTCTTCTAGGAGTTTTAGCATTTCAGGTCTCACGTTTAAGTCTTTATTCTATCTTGAGTTTATTTTTGTATATGGTGCAAGACAAGGATCTGATCATTCTTTTGCATGTGGCTATACAGTATTCCTACCACCTTAATTGAAGAGAGTATCCTTTTCACATTGTTTATTCTTCATAGTTGACCATATATGGGCAGGTTTATTTCTGGATTTCTAGTCTGTTTCATTGATTTATATGTCCGTCTTTATGCCAGTACCATACTGTTTTTTTATTACTGTGGCTTTGTAATATATTTTTAAATTAGGAAACATGAAGCCTTTAGGCAGGGTGCAGGTGTACCATTGTGCTGGCGGGGAAGGGAAGGCTAGGTCTGCCTGGGCATATACGCACCAGCATAGCAATGTGGAGGGTGGCCATCAGTGCAAACGAGCTGTTGTGTATTTGTAGAGACCACTCTGCTGGAGCACTCTGCCAGTCAGGTGTGGTCCAACAACAGCTATGAGGTGGGCCCCAAGTGGCACCTGGCAGCTGTGCTGCAAGCAGTTGTGGCCAGGCTGGGGCCCCACAAGAGGCCAGCAGACTGAGAGGTGCTCAGGTTGGACTAGATCTGTCTCATGGGTAAGACTGCCCTGTAGAGTTCAGGTCTGAAAGGTCCCCTAGGGTTAAGTCTCCTATGGGAGCAAATCTAGCCTAGGGGGATGCACATCTCTGACTGTTCTCCACTACAGTTGCTTCCACAGGACAACCTCTGTTCTCTGCCCCTGGCTGGAGTTCTGCCCCTACTACTTCTCTAAGTAACTTTCCCTGCCAACTCAAGTGTCCGTGGTGGTCGAGGGGTGTCCTCCTGCTGAGATTTCAAAGGCCCACAATGAGAGTGTGTTGCTCCTTGCCTGTTAAACTCACCCCCTCTGTCGGAGTCATTGGGGGCCAGGAACACGTTCCAGTGCGCAATAACCCTGGGAAGTGTTCCTAGCTTCCTCCCACTTCAGCCCAGCCTCCACGTTTTCCCTCCGTCTGCTCTGCTTACAACTACAGGATAAGAACATGGCAGCACTGGGATATGAACTCATTTCTGCTTATCTCCAAAGGCCTTGCTCATTCATGCAGACTCTCAGAAATGAAAAATAATTCCCTTCATCTTTGTTAAATCACATGTTCCTACAGACAAATTCTCCAAAGCTTTTATGAAACCTATGTGATGCTGTAATACCATTGATTACTACAGTATTTATGAAATATACCATTCATAGCTTTAGGCTACACAGGCACAGCTACATATCAAGCTCTCTTGAATTCTCTCTCTTTCTAAAACCTATGAATTTGAAGTCAGGATATTTTCAGAAGTCCAACTGGTGTTAAAAATCCAAATAGATCAAACATCGTTTCTGTTTATATCTGTGTGACAACTAATACCAATGGGTGTAATTACAATGTGGAAAAACCCACATAATTTCTGAGGAAAGTTTATTTCACTGGAAGTAGCCGTTACCAATAAGCAATAGAAACCCTAACCAGTGGCTCTTATTTTGCAATTACACTTTTTCATCTTAATTTTAGTATATGTGCAGCCAAAGCAAACACCACTTTTTCATGTTAAGCAATGGCTAAGACTGTGTGTGATATAGGTGAAGGCTATCACCAGATAAACACCATCAAAAAGTTATTTTTTATAGTGTCTTTGGGTTTTGATTTTTTAGTATCCTTCTTCCTTTCCAACTCCATCCTCCTCTTCCACAAATATAGGTTTAGTATTAATTCTAAACTAAATGATGCCTGAGGCATTAGGCACTACAATAAGTAATCCTTTAAGTCCCACCAGAATTTGAGTTTGATGATATGGTGTCCATTGTGTAGATGAGGATACATCCTCCGTGAAGTGCAAGGTCACATAACCAAATGTGAAAAAGTAGGTCTGTCTCTTGCTGAAAGGAACTGAACATTGGATGCTGCTGCATGAAGCCCAAGGCTTCAGTGGACAACCTCAGAAACCAGTAACTCTGAGCCATATGGCATGATATTGGCCTCCCAGAAGTCTGAATAATATGTATGGGGATTTCCCAGATTTTGAAGGCATTAATGACTCATTTCTCTAGGATACCGATGTAAGTTCTTCAGTGGAAGAAAACTGGAAAATGAGTGTCTTTGTCTACAGACATAAGGTCTTAATAAAAGTAATCATGAAATTGACCTTGGTGGGGAGAGCAATGAAACAGGATTACATGGCCTGAGTGAAGTCCTAACAATACAAAAGATTAGGTACAAAGACACAAAGATAAGAAAAGGAATATTGACTGGAGTCTGGAATGCAGGAGCATGTGTGTGTATGTGTGTGCATGTGTGTGTGAGTGTTTATGTACCTAGATAAGTTTAGCCTGGAGAATTAACAAGCCATGCTTGTGTTTTACAAAAATACACTCAAGAAGAGACATGGGTTGGAAATTATTGCAGAAATACAATAAGAGATAGTGGTGACATGAACCTAAGTTTATGATGATGAATTTGAAGAGAAATTATAGGCCTTGGCTTAGAAAGCAACATAAAAAAAGACTTGGTTCTTCAGGAACACAATGTCCACAGAAAAACTTCACTAGAAATAGAATTTGCACATAGACAGATGTATATCTCACTGCTTACTTGGATGAAATATATGCATATATGCCCATTTACAGATGGACTCTTTCATCTCTGAAAGAAAAAGTGCACTTCAGATCTACACTACAGATATATTTACCTACAAATTTACCTATACCAGACAGTTTTACCTGCTATGTTTTAAAAGTAAAGCAGTTGCTTAATTTATTACTTTAAACTTATGAGTGCATTTTAAATTGCTAAGAATGAAATGAAAATTATTTGAACTTGGACAGATATGTAAGGATACTTGATGTTGCTTGGTAGCTTTTCTCATACAGATCTATTTTGCACATGAGATTTGCCAGGGAGTTGAAGCTACCTCCTATTCTGCACCTGTTTATATGATTTGGTAATAGTCTTTTGTAGTGAAGGTTTATGAACATGGTGAAATGCATACATTCAATTGAGATGATAAAATGGCATAACTCAAGTTTCAACTATGATTTTGATAAATAGTTTTCAAACCAGTTTTGGGGGTTTGATGTAATCCCAAAGGGGAAGATAACAATTTTACTATTAAAAATTGTTAACATTAATTTGGCTATAGACTCCAATTTTTGGTTAACAAAATAATTGTCATAATTATTTCATTACAATTTCAATATAAATAGAGTTATAAGTTCTCGTTTTACTCAGCACATTTTGGTGTTTTTGTTGTTGTTGTTGTTTGTTTGTTTGTTTTTTGCGAGGGGGTCTTGCTCTGTTGCCCAGACTGGAGTGCAGTGGCATGATCATGGCTCACTGCAGTCTTAACCTCCTGAGCTGAAGCAATCCTCCCACCTCAGCCCTCTGGGTAGATGGGACTACAGGTGCGCACCACCATGCCTGGCTGATTTTTGTATTTTTTGTAGAGACCAGGTTTCACCATGTTGCCCAGGCTGGTCTTGAACCCCTGGGCTCAAGCAATCCATCCACCTGGGCCTCCCAAAGTGGGGAGGGATTACAGGCATGAGCCAATGTGCCCAACTCCATTTCTGTTTTTAAGAATAATTCTTTTATTTCTGGTTTTATGTATTTTTACAAATAATTGACATGATAATGTAATATTCACAATGCTTCAAAAATGTGAAAAAGTATATGTGAATATTAATCACATAATTGATAAAATATATGAAATAATGAAGCCAAAGCAGGTCATTAAGAAATATTTATAAACATTAGGTATTGAATTTACAGATGTTGCCAAAGTTGTACATCTACAGGGCCAGTCATCATAAATTCTGATTGATGTTTAAAATGAGAGCAAGAAATACCCAATTAAGTAGTAAATTGAAAACCATCTAATCTTCTTCCGATACGTCTGTGACGTCTTCTTTCTACTTGTAAAGTCTCATTGCACGTTGAACAGGAGTCTTAACAGAGTCATAAGTCCATCCCTTCCTGGCACACAGCCTTTCAATGATGCCAGGCATTTCATAGCCCTTGCTTAGAATGAAATCCTTAAAGGCAATTGGTCCATAAAGATCGTCAAGAATATCGGGTTCATCTGGCTTTTCAAGTAAGAGCTTGGGGTCAATCAAAGGTTGATCACTTCTTAGCTTTTTCCCCAGCTTAGGCTTAAGGTACCATACTCCATACCTCATCTTCACACACTGTGCAGTGTAAGAATTCGGTGCCATCTGGAGTTTCCTGTCCCAGTCTTTTTCCTGTGAGGATTCGACCTCATCCATTTCATCTAGCTTTATTCTGTATTGCAGCTCTGAGACCCATTCTTTTATCTTCTTAATCTGTTGGTCTTCATAGGTTGCTCTCCACTTGGGGGTAAAGTCAAACAGATTCCTGATGGATTCTTCATCAACTCCCATGTCTCGAGCCCACTTGAAGTCATGCATTTTTCTCGATGTGTATCTATGTTGAAGAGAGTCAGAAACACATTCTGTTGTGCTTGGTGTATCTTCCTGAAGCAGTTCTTTTAGACAGGACGCTCGAATCTTGGGAGGCTCCAAGAAGTGATGGGACACTGGAGCTTTGGGAGGCTCTGGGGAGAGATGGGACACTCTAGTCTTGGGAGGCTCCGGGCGGAGACTGGACACCTGACGAGTCTTGGGAGGCTCAGGGCAAAGATGGGATGCCTGAGTCTCTGGAAGCCGTAGGCAGAATTCCCTACAAGACTATTTACCAGGCTTGGTGGGTTCCTTGATTGTCTTCTCCCGGCCCTCACAATAAGCCCATGCCTTCTCCAGCTTCCTCTCAGGATCCAGCAGTTTCAGCATCTGTAGTAGGAGACTGGACACCCAACTAGTGTTGGGAGGTTGGGAGGTTCTGGGCGGAGATGGAACACTACAGTCTTGGGAGGTTCCGGGCAGAGACTGGACACCTGCATCTTGGGGGGCTCCGGGCGGAGACTGGACACCCGATGAGTCTCGGGAGGCTCCGGGCAGAGATGGGACACTCCAGTCTCGGGAGGCTCTGGGCAGAGACTGGACACCCGAGTCTTGGGAGGCTCTGGGCAGAGATGAGACACTCCAGTCTCAGGAGGCCCCAGGCGGAGACTGGACACCAGAGTCTTGGGAGGCTGTGGGCAGAGATGAGACACTCCAGTCTTGGGAGGCCCCGGGCAGAGACTGGACACTGGAGTCTTGGGAGGCTGCAGGCAGAGATGAGACACTCCAGTCTCAGGAGGCCCCAGGTGGAGATTGGACACCAGAGTCTTGGGAGGCTCTGGGCAGAGATGGGACATTCCAGTCTCGGGAGGCTCCAGGTGGAGACTGTACATCCGAGTCTTGGGAGGCTCTGGGTGGAGATGGGATACTCCAGTCTCAGGAGGCTCTGGGTGGAGACTGGTCACCTGAGTCTTGGGAGGCTCTGGGCAGAGATGAGACACTCCAGTCTTGGGAGGCCCAGGGCAGAGACTGGACACTGGAGTCTTGGGAGGCTCCAGGCAGAGATGGGACACCTGAGACTCGGGAGGCCTCGTGCAGAATTCCCCACAAGGGTATTTACCAGGCTCAGTGGGTTCCTTGGTTGTCTTCTCCTGGCCCTCACAATGAACCCATTCGTCCTCCAGCTTCCTCTCAGGATTCAGCAGTTTCAGCACCTGTAGTAGGAGACTGGACACTCGATGAGTATTGGGAGGTTCCGGGTGGAGATGGGACACTCCAATCTCAGGAGGCTCTGGGCAGACACTGGACACCTCCGTCTTGGGGGGCTCCGGGTGGAGGCTGGACACCTGCATCTTGGGGGGCTCTGGGCGGAGACTGTACACCCGACGAGTCTTGGGAGGCTCTGGGCAGAGACTGGACACCCAAAGAATCTTGGGAGGCTCCGGGTGGAGAGTGGACACCCGTTGAGTCTTGGGAGGCTTGGGGCAGAGATGAGACACTGCAGTCTTGGTAGGCTCCGGGCAGAGACTGGACACCCGACGATTCTTGGGAGGCTCCGGGCGGACACTGGACAGCCGACCAGTCTTGGGAGGCTCCGGGCAGAGTCTGGACACCCGACGAGTCTTGGGAGGCTCCAGGCGGAGATGAGACACTGCAGTCTTGGGAGGCTCTGGGCAGAGACTGGACACCCGACGAGTCTTGGGAGGCTCCGGGAGAACACTGGACACCCCACGAGTCTTGGGAGACTCCAGGCGGAGATGAGACACTCCAGTCTTGGAAGGCTCCGGGTGGAGACTGGACATCCGACGAGTCTTGGGAGGCTCCGGGCAGAGACTGGACACCTGAAGAGTCTTGGGAGGCTCCGGGCAGAGATGAGATACGCGAGTCCCGGGAGGCTCCGGGCAGAGATGGGACACTCCAGTCTCGAGAGGCTCCGGGCGGAGACCGGACACCCGACGAGTCTTGGCAGGCTCTGCGCGGAGATGGGACACTCCAGTCTCGGGGGGCTCCGGGCAGAGGCTGGAGACCCAATGAGTCTTGGGAGGCTCTGGGCAGAGATAGGACACTCCAGTCTCAGGAGGCTCTGGGTGAGACTGGACACCGGAGTCTTGGGAGGCTCCGGGTGGAGATGGAACACCTGAGTCTCAGGAGGCCTCGGGCAGAATTCCCCACAGGGGTATTTACCAGGCTCGGTGGGTGCCTTGGTTGTCTTCTTCCAGCCCTCACGAGCCCATGCGTCCTCCAGCTGCCTCTCAGGATCCAGCGGTTTCAGCACCTGTAGTAGGAGATCTGGAGGCATATCTTCTCCCAGATTGGGGTACATGGCCAAGGGATGCTTGGCCATCAGCTGGGCTTCCTCTACAAATGCCTTCCATGCTGGCTGGGCTGGCAAGAGCTTGGAAAACAGGGCCACTTTCTTGAGCAGCTTTTTCTGCCTGCTTTTCGGGTCAGCTTGGGGACCTCTGTGAGAGATTTTGGGGAGTAAGAACTCGTTAAGTCTACAAATGAGCATATCTTCGGGAGACGGACAGCCATAGTGGAAGCTGTCCATGCTCTCCTTTACAAATACCCAGTTCTAAATTTACAAGAAAAAAATCAAACAACCCCATCAACAAGTGGGCAAAGGATATGAACAGACACTTCTCAAAAGAAGACATTTATGCAGCCAACAGACACATGAAAAAATGCTCATCATCACTGGCCATCAGAGAAATGCAAATCAAAACCACAATGAGATACCATCTCACACCAGTTAGAATGGCCATCATTAAAAAGTCAGGAAACAACAGGTGCTGGAGAGGATGTGGAGAAATAGGAACACTTTTACACTGTTGGTGGGACTGTAAACAAGTTCAACCATTGTGGAAGACAGTGTGGCGATTCCTCAGGGATATAGAACTAGAAATACCATTTGACCCAGCCATCCCATTACTGGGCATATACCCAAAGGATTATAAATCATGCTGCTATAAGGACACATGCACATGTATGTTTATTCCAGCACTATTCACAATAGCAAAGACTTGGAACCAACTCAAATATCCATCAATGATAGACTGGATTAAGAAAATGTGGCACATATACACCATGGAATACTATACAGCCATAAAAAAGGATGAGTTCATGTCCTTTGTAGGGACATGGATGAAGCTGGAAACCATCATTCTGAGCAAACTATCAGAAGGACAGAAAACCAAACACTGCATGTTCTCACTCACAGGTGGGAATTAAACAGTGAGAACACTTGGACACAGGAAGGGGAACATCACACACGGGGGCCTGTTGTGGGGTTGGGGGAGGGATAGCATTAGGAGATATACCTAATGTAAATGACGAGTTAACAGGTGCAGCACACCAACATGGCACATGTATACATATGTAACAAACCTGCACGTTGTGCACATGTACCCTAGAACTTAAAGTATAATAATAACAATAATAATAATAATAATAAAAACCAAATACTCAGTTCTGGGTGTCCATTGGCGGGAACCTCAGGCGCCTGTGCTTACGCTTCGCGATGTACTTGGAAGGCGGTTTGTCACAGTACCAGGGCTTGCAGTCCATGCCCGGGGACCTCGGCCGGTCCCGCGGCCTCTGGTCCCCCATGGTGGCCCTCGCTGGGGTGCCATCTCTCCAGTTCCCGCGGTTCCTGATCCCTGCCACTCTAGTCGCTAGGAGACCGCGAGCCACGCGCAGCCCAGGTTCTTCCTCGAAGAGGGGCAGCGGAGACGCCATCTGCGCAGCCTGGATTCTCCAGGGTATGGTCAGCAACGGAGTGCCCAAGCCCCTGCTCATTCCATGGTGTGTGGTCCATGGGATGGACAGAGCGCAGTTTCTTTTTCCATTCGCCTTTGGATGGACATTTCGGTTGTTTCCCGTTTTGGACTATGACAAATATTCTATGAACATTTGTGTCCATGTCTTCGTACGTACATATACTTTCATTTCTCCTGGATAAATTTTAGCTAGGAGTCCAATGGCGGGATCATATCATAGGTGTATGTTTAACGTTTTTAAGAAACGACCAAACTTTTACAAAGTATTTACACTATTTCATATTCCTTCTACTAGTGTAGGAGCATTGCAGTTTTTTCACCTATGATCCAACACTTGGTATGGTTAGTCATTTTAATTTTGGCCATTCTAATAGGTGTTTAGTGGAATCTCATTGTGGTGTTTATTTGCATTTCATAATGACTACTGGAATTGAACATCTGTATATTTGCTTATTTGCAATCTTTATCTTTCCTTGGGTGAAGTTTCTGTACAATTTCTTTTCCATTTTTAAATTGTGTTGCTGGATATCATATTTCGTTTTGAGAATCCTTGCTGTGTTCTAGATGTAAGTCCATTATCACATATATGATTTGCAAATTTTTCGCTTCATCCTTGGCTTTTCCCTTTCACTGTCTTAACAGTGATAAAGAGAAGTTTTTTAATTTGATGAAGTCCAACTTATCAATTTGATTTTTTACGGATTGTGCTTCTTTTGATGTATCTGTGAAAACTTTGCCCGCCCAAAGTTCACAAAGATTTTTTTTATTTAAATCTGTTTAATTTTTTGTAAACAGCACACGATATAGATCAAAGTTTTTATTTGAAAAAACGTGTCTATTGCCTATGTACATACGATACATTTCAGAACTATTTTTGTAAAGACTATCTTTTGTCCACTGAATTACCTTTGGAAATTTGTAGAATATAAGTTGTCTATATTTTTTATGGGTCAATTTCTGGGCACTCTTTTCCAGATTTTTCTCTCACACAAATTTCGCACTCTGTTGATTACTTTAGCTTTGTAATAAATCTAGAAATTAGTCTGTATTAGTCCTTTAACAACATTCTTTTACAAAGTTGGTTCTTCTAGGTCCTTTGAATTTCTATAAAAATTTTAAAATCAGTCTGTCAATGTCTAAAAAAATCCTGTTGGGATTTTGATTAGGATTTGGTTGAATCCATAGATCAATTTGAGGATAATTGACATATTAAAAATAGGAAGTCTTCTGACCACTGAAAAAGGTACATTTTTCCATTTGTTTATGTTATTTTTAATTTTCTCAGGAATATTTTGTATTTTTTAGTGTATACAACTTTCACATTTTTTTCTCTCCAGAGTTTTCCTAAATATTGTTTTTGATACTGTTATTGTTATTTAAATTGCAATTCCCAATTTTTTGTTATTAGTATATACAAATATTGATTTTTGTATATCTATCTTGTATCATACAACCTTGGTAAACTCACTTATTACTTTCAGGAGCACTTTTGTAGATTTCATTGAATTTTCTTTATATATGATAATGTCATCTGTGAATAAAGACAGTTTCTCTTCTTTCTTTCAAAATTGAATATCTTTATCCCCCTCCAGTCCAGTTGGAATCCTTGGTTTTCCTTTGAATCATATCAGTTAAATTCTTATCTCTCTTGTGATGTTTAAAACGATACCTACGAAAAAGCTTTCTTTTAAAAAAATTATAGACAAATTCAGCTTGCATTATTCCTTTACCATATTTTCTCAGCACATAATAATTTTTTTCCATACATTCTTATCCATTTTTAAAAAGTTTTCTTATTTCCCTTGTTAGGTGCAGCTGAACAATATTTTCTACCATTACTAGCAGGTATACCCTAGTTCCTCCTTGTAAATGAGGCATGATCAATGCCTTTCTTGCCTTTGGCTCGTCCTCTGTAAAATAGGCACAATGTATATTCCTCTTAGGTTTCTCATTAAATCCAAGAAATGGATTATGTGTAAATCAAGATAATCTATATAACATGATTTTGTATAGTATCTGGCACAGAATAAGCATCCAGTAAAGTACTGTTATTTTATATAGGATTACTACAATTTGAAAATAAAATATTCTACATTCAATGTCTAAATAAAGGAGAAGCAGAAATCATACAGATCTATTTACTTGTCACAAATATTTTCATTTATCAGTTATAAGAATCTGTTAAACTCTCAACATATTTGGTAGATTTTACAATGCATAGTTGGTAAGACCATTTTGATATGGATTTATTTTTAACTTTCTTACTTGGAAAAATTCCATGGACTGTATGTTAAATTCAAGAGCCAATGCTTCAACAATTCTCTATAACAGTACTCTAACTAGCAAGCTCATATGAGTATTCACTTATCTAAAATGGGTGAGGGTTTGAATAAAACTTCTATATTTTAAATAATCCCAGAGAAAAACACACACTGAAGCTCCTAAAGGGCAACTGGGCATCTTCAAAATTTTTCATGTGACTGTTCATTAAAACAGTTTTTGTACCTTACAGCCACTTCATTTTTTTCACTTTTCAAAGTAGAATATTATACAAAAGACTCATATCCAGAATATATAAATAATTATTAAAATGTAACAATGAGACAACAGAGAACACAAAACAAAAATGTATAATACATAGTAGTTTAACATGTATAGAGATAAATAGCTAAAGAAATAATTATAGTTGTGTGTACATATTGGTTAGTATACATGCATATATTTTATAGTTCTGTCTGCTGAGAAACTCGAAAAAAATATCACCTAAGTAGCCAAAAGTACATCCAGTGTCCAGATCTTGGTTTCTAAATACCATTCTCCAAAATAACAAAAACAAAACAGAGATATCCTTGGAGAAATGAGTAATTCTAGGCTGGGGGCAGTGAAAACACAAGATGAGCCTGGAGTATTATGTAATGCCAGAAAATAGGAAGTTCTCAGAAAACAAAAGAATAAGAGCAGATCAGGAGCCAAACTAAAAGAGCATTCAATGGCCAAAGTTAAAACAATTTAAGCAACATGAGAATTAAACTTTAAAAATTATAACACAATATAAAATAAAATATCCATGAGTCCATACTGATACAAATAATTGTACAAATAAATAAATGACAAAAAGGTGCAACTCTGTCTTAGAAGAATTTCAAAAAATGTACATAGATACTTCTCCCCCCAGGAGGTGGAATTTAAATGCCCTCCCCAGAGTGTGGGCTGGATTCTAAAAAATTGAATATGGAAAGGGAAAAATAGTAACATTTTAGTGGAGAAGCCTGGCAGTCCTCTCCTTAACCAAGTGATCAATGTTAATATCAGCAGTGAGAAGTCACGTTGGTATCATGCACTCCTCTGATAGGATGTGCTGAGAAAGACTCCACCTCTGTAGTATTCTTTCCTAAAATCCAGAATCCTAGTCTAATGAGGAGAAAACATCTAACAAACCCAAGTCCAGGGACATTCTACAAAATTCTCAAGTACTCCTCAAAACCATAAAGGTCATGGGAAACAAGCAAAGTCTGAGAACCAGTCATAGACTTTAGATTAAAGAGACATGAAAACTAAATTCAATGTGGTAGGCTGGGTTGGATCCTGGTGCTGAAAAGGGACATGGGTATAAAAAATCTACAAATCTGAATAAAGTCTGAAGTTTAGTTAATAGTAATATGTCAATGTTAATTTTTTAGTTTAAATACATGTACAATGTAAGATATTAATTTTAGGGGAAGCTGAGCAAAATGTGCATGAAAATGCTTTGTACAGTGTTTGCAACTGGTTCATAAATCAAAAATTATTCTGAAATAAAGGGTTTCCATTTTAAACTACATATTGCATCATGACAAATTATCAGCAAATCACTATTAATCATACAAGAGAGAAAGGTGTAGCGTCTTTAAAATGCATACTTGTGGCCCCTCTCTCCTTATATATAGTAAAACATAATTTTTTCGAAGTGGAGCCAGTCATCTACATTTTACATGGTCTCTAGATTATACACACCAATATGTGAGAATTACTTTTCTAAAGCCCTGTGCCTTTTATAGGCCCCAAAGACTTTCAAAGATTTAAAAAACCACAGTAGTTATGGTATTATCCAAAGTCACAAAATTTGGAGAAAATTAAATTTCAGCAAGTGCTATATGGGAATGTAAAAATCAGACAGTGGAGCCTGTGGACAAAATAATTCACTTAGATACACGTACATAACTGGTGGACCCACAGGATAATGAAGTCATGATAGAAGAGTAAAGAAGATACAAAGTTTGGTGAGTACCTGACTGGCAGTGAAAAAAAACTAGGAGTGAAAGCAACTTACTTGTGCAAACAGCCCTTCTTGGGTTAAAGAAAACTGACATCACTATAGAGTTCAGAGAAATTACAACTGGCCTGTTCAGTCAACAAGCAACAACTGCCTTAGTATGAAGTGTTACTCCAGAAATGAATAATGTAGCTTGCAAGCAAAACCAACATCAACAAGCTAATAAGTAATGTTCAAGGAAGTCAAAATGCTCTGAGCAGAGTAGCATGTAATGACTAAGTATATAAGAAAATTAAAATAAACAATGAAAATCAATGTGATGAAGTGCATTGATTTAATGGAGTCAAAATAATCCCAGTTCTGACATCTTCGTGTGCCTCTGACTGCTCTTAGTTACCTACAACCTTTACTGCAGACTTAACTCAGGACACCATTTTCATGCTCCAGCAGACTCATGTTATCTTCAACCTTGCTGCCTCTTCCACCCACATGCGGCACCTGCCAGCCTTTCTCAGATACTCAATCATTTTCATTCTGATCCAACCCACTTCAGAATTATTTTGCTTTTATTAGCTCTTGGTAAGTTTACTTTCTGTGATGATTAATTTTCTGTGTCAACTTGGCTAGACTAAGGTGCCCAATTATTTGGTCAAACAGTCTAGATGTTGCTGTGGAGGTATTTTTTAGATGTGATTTAACATTTTATACCAGTAGACTTTGAATAAATCAGATTTACCCTCCATAGGATGGGTGAGCATCATCCAGTCAGTTGAAGGCCTTTAGGAAAAAGACAAAAGATCCCCCCAAAAGACGGAATTCTCCCTCCAGACTGAAACACAGTAATCCGTTTGAGTTTCCAGCCATTAGAATCAAGACTGCAACATCAACTTTTGCCTGAATTTCTAACCCGCAACCAGCTCTGCAGACTTTGGATTTGCCAACCCCCACAGTTGCATAAACCAATTCCCTAAAATTTCTCTATCTATCTACCTACCTATCTACAAACATATATGTATCTATCCTATTATTTCTATATATATAAATCTTATATCCTATTATCCTATATAACCCCCTCTCTCTCATATATACACACACACACACACACACACACACACACACACACACACACATATACACACACACATACATTTTCTCATCTTTCTAGAGAACCTTGATTAATACACTATTCGTTTTGATCATTTTTCTACCAGTAACAATGTTCATATCTTGTCTTATGATGAGATACACTGCAGCGATTTTACCACTGCTACACCCACTGAGAATTTTTCTCAGCAAGGTATAAAATATAGTTAAGGAATAAGAAATAATACAGACTTAAAGATTTCCATTTTGCTTTTTGAATCAAAAAGCATAGAAGAATTATTCCACACATTGGCTGAATATCAGAATCACTTGTGGCCCATCTTAAAAGTATATATGCCAAGGTTCTACCCCGAGCCTGCAGAATCAAAATTCCTCCCATTGATAATGATTCACAGTCAAGGGCTGAAATCCCTGGATACATAGTAATTTGATCACAGTATCTCAGATAGGATATAGTCCAGCACTACCGTTATTAATAAAGAATTTGAGGCAAAAAGAGAACAAATGACTTACACAAGTTCTCAAAAGGTAAGAATGAACAGTGTCAGGTTAATATTTTTCATATTTCTAGAAGATTCATCCTATTTTCTGGTATAGATAAATTCCAGAAAAATATGACAGTATTCCTGTCTCCTTGTATGCACATTTGTCATCTGGTCCATTGTTCCAATTCACAAATATAAATATATTGCAATATTTAGAAAATAATTGAGCAGTGGCAGCTCTATTTTATAAGGAGGTTCAGGTACAAATGACACTCTCTAGTATACAGTTAGAGGACTTCACAAATGGCTAAAATCTTGGCAATTTTGTGTGTTGTTAAAGTAATAAAACTTTGAGGACAGGTAAATGTTACTGTGTCATATCCTCTGATTTAATTAAAAAAGACTGCTCTCACTTTCCTATTGACAGAATTTTGTAGATGCATTTAACAAATTGTCATTATTCGTAGCTTATTTTCTAGTAGCAAGCAAAATAATTCCAGAATCACTTCATATCACGGATATGAATAATGTAGAATAACCAATAATCTCAGTTGTCCATGAGTGCTGATTTAATCTTATTCCTTGGCTTCTAATGCAAAATTTGCATCTTTTACAGAATTTCCAATTCACAGAGTACTGTACACATATACACATAACCAGCTGAAAGACATGTTCTCAGCTAATGTCCAACATTGGAAGAGCAGGCAAAAATATGCAATATTAGTATTATTTACAGACAGATTGTTACCATTTTAACCTCGATTTTGAAATACAGATTGTTGGCCAGGCACACGGTGCCTCAAGCCTGTAATCCCAGCACTTTGGGAGGCTGAGGTGAGTGGATCACAAGGTCAGGAGTTGAAGACCAGCCTGGCCAAGATGGTGAAACCTCGTCTCTACTAAAAATACAAAAAAAAATTTAGCTGGGCATTGTGGCGGGCGCCTGTAATCCCAGGTACTCGGGAGGCTGAGGCAGAGAATTGCTTGAACCCGGGAGGCGGAGGTTGCAGTGAGCCGAGATCATGCCACTGAACTCTAGCCTGGGTGACAGAGCAAGACTCCATCTGAAAAAACAAAAAAAAAAAAAGAAGAAAAAAGAAAAAAAGAAATACAGGTTGTTAATTCTATGTTAAAACCACAGCTCTTAAGAATAACATATATATACATATATATTTATGTATATACACACACATATATATTCATACCACAATTCACATAAAGGTCCAAAGTTTAGCTGGTTTTAACATTAGTGATCAAAGCCTAATATATATAGGCAAATGTATGCATTCAATACACATGTGAACACACCACAGTTTTCTAAGATATTATTGAACTTTTTACAAAATGTTAATTGGGTTGTGATTTTATAAAAATAGTTCTAATATTATATTACTATCTGTGTGTTCATTTGACCTAACAGTACTCCTTACAAAGAAAAGAGTCTGAAGGATATTCTGCATCATCCCGCTGTGAAACAGCTTTATGATGCCAAGTGTCCCATACAGAGATTTACTCCAATGAACTGGTTTAATTTAGAATGTGACCTAACCAATTATATTTAATAGCATGGCTAGGAAAATCAGCCCCATAGTCTAAAAACCAGTATCTCTGGGAAAAAAATTAAGTAGACTTCTGGTTTTGCACAGGATATTGTGATTGCTATTTCCATTGCTCCTTTTACATTTATAACAAATGAATAAGCTGAATATGATTTTTCATTTTGTAGCCACAATCTCTGTAGACAAACTGATCAACTGAAATACTTACATTGATTTGGTCAATATATTTATCAATGAATAATGATTTAGGAAGTTATTTTCATGATTTGGACAATTGTGCACCTGGATTCATTTACAAACTATTGTCTTTTTCTAATGTTAGAGATGTTTGATGTGAGGAAGAAAAACTTAAGGAGGGAGACTCACATGGAGGAAATTGCGTTTTTCTCTACAGCATAATTCAGGAATACATTGGATTAGAAGTCAAAGTGATGATTTGGAAGGAACTAAAAGCACCGATATTTGATAGAGACCTGGTGAACCAGGGAAGCAATTCTAAATAGACTATTTTGGATGTGGAACAGATATTTCCAGTCATCACTGGAGTTTTTAGTCCTTGACAGTGATTTAAGGTCTTCGGAATGCTAAGCAATGTTACAATACCTGCACATACAACACAGTCATATGCTTTGCCACCAGTAGCTGCTCTCAGTGTTGCAGGACTTGTCCTTAGTTCAGCTAAAGACTAGCTCCTCGTCCGTCCCACAGCCATGAAAATTCAGGCTTGCTGACGGTTTGAAGGGTGAGCAAAGCAGAGTCTTATTGGGTGAAAAGGGAAAAAGGGGGAAGAGGGACTCTCCGCAAGGCCAGAGTTCTTGCCCGTGCACTTCCCACCTCATGCTGTTTAAATCCCAGGTTCTACACAGGAAGAGGTGGGGCCAGGCTTCTCCCTGATGCAAAGGGTGCGAACTCCTGTGTCTCCACCCAGTGTGCAGGCTGGTTGGTGTTTTCCTGGGGGACCTCCTCCCACCTGGCTGTCTTATTCCCCCCTCTAAAGAAGTACATCTAACTGCTGTTAGAATAAGGATAAGGATAAGGATAAGGATAAGGATAAGGATAAGGATAAGGATAAGGATAAGGATAAGGATAAGAACGAAGACTGATCTTAACTGCTTCCTGCTGACAAGGGGCGCTGTTTTGGGGAAATGGCAGCCAGATCGCCCTCAGAGCAGAAGGAGCAGAGTCAGAGGCTCTGGTTTTATGACCGTTTGGAGTTTGATGGCCTGAAGGCAAGAACAGATAATCTGGGTTATTAGAAAGCATGTGTCGGCCAGGCGCGGTGGCTCAAGCCTGTAATCCCAGCACTTTGGGAGGCCAAGGCAGGCGGATCACAAGGTCAGGAGTTCAAGACCAGTCTGGCCAACATAGTGAAACCTCGTCTCAACTAAAAATACAAAAAATTAGCCGGGTATGGTGGTGTGTGCCTGTAATCCCAGCTACTCGGGAGGGTGAGTCAGGAAAATCACGTGAACCCGGGAGGCGGAGGTTGCAGTGAGCCAAGATTGCGCCATTGTACTCCAGCCTGGCCAACAGTGTGAGACTCCTCCTCAAAAAAGAAAAAAGGAAACATGTATCAAAACGAAACAAGGGGAAGGGTAACAACAGCTCAAAACTTATAAGGCCCTTTTACCAGTTTGCATGGGGACGGGGAGACCAAATTCCCAGCTGGTAAAATACTTCACCCATTTGCCAGTATGTTGGGCTTCTCGGTTCCCCCTCCCCTGAGCCTAACCCCAAGCCAACCAGTTTAAAGTTTGGGAAATTAACTCTTTCCAGTTTGGAGGATGCATCTGAGGGAAGTGCTCCATAGTACAGGGACACAATTACCTATTAGTGAAGAGAGGACAGAGGAGGAGAGAAGAAAAAATAAGATACTTTTTTTTTTCAAAGGAGTCCCAGGGGTTCAGGATGCATTCGAAAGGGGTACAGACTGAAGATGAATGGCTACCCATCTAGAAAGAGGGGAGCAGGCATCCCTGGTTCCCTTCTCTGCCTGACAGATACCCGAGGTACGTGAGAGAGACAGGGAAGAGAGTCCTCTTTGCCTCTTCTGTCCTTGCATCCCCAAGTCCTGTCAACCTTGGCAGATGTGGCCATGAGTGTAAAAGCGGCTTGCACCCATGAAGCAGGGGGTCGAACGGGTGGGAATCATCTGCTCCTTCCCACGTATGCCCTATCTTCCCTGCTATCGGTAGCCTTGAATTCTCTAGACCTCATTTATGCCATGGATACTAATGTGGCCTTTATCCATGAAACAGGAAGCTTGGGCTTGGCTTAATCGGCAGGAATCAGCCACACTCACGTGCACTGTGCCTTTTAACCTCTGTTGTCGTCTGCCTCTGGATCCCTTAGATCTAGTCTTCTTTCCTAGGGCTTTGACTCAAAGCTTGGAATTAGTTTGGGACAAAAATGTATCTCATGGGGGTGTTGCATGGACTCCTTATCATAAGCTGAATGCTAAGGTGAAACTGTGGAACTGAGTCCTCCTCCAACAAGGGAGAGAGAAAAGGATGTCCTGTGACACACCCAAACACCTGGTGGCTATAGTTATGCTTGCTAGGATTTGGGTGCATGGTGTTTGTCTTTGGTTAGCTGGCTTGTTCTTACTTTCCCAAAAGGAAACCTCCGAGTAATGAGCATCCTATTGATTCCAATCCCCTGGCAGGATTTGCAGGATAATTGCTCAGAATTAGAATATTGATCCAGATTTTTACATTATCCATCCCTCTTGTTCTTTCTGAGCTGGAGCCAGAGATTGCTGGTTGGTTCACAGGAACAAGCAGGGTTAGTCTAAAAGGTAAGTGAAAACTTAAAAACAACTAGTGCATTTAGAATTTAATGACAAATGTATGATAAGTTTTGGAACATAATTTCTCTCTCTCCAGTCCTCATGTTTGTTAAAAAAACAAATCATCATAGGACTGGCGGTTTTTGAAACAGACCTTAGTCTTATACTTGGCCTGATTATTTGCATAAAGTGCAGCAAGAATGATTCTTTCTACATAGGTCTTTTGGATTGGCTTTGATGGAGCTCTATTCCCCAAGGGATCTCAGGTAAGACCTTTTAAAGCTGAGCCCAGCCATGGGTTTAACCTCAAATACCTGTGAGTTGGGCGATCCTTGTCTCTTAAGGTCCCAAGATAAACTTAGAGGTCCTGGATCTGGTATATAATTGCTCACAGTAGTCTCTTATAATCCTTTTATTTCCATGGCGTCAGTTGTAACATCATCTCATCGTTTTCTGATTTTATTTATTTGTATCTTGTGTCTTTTTTTTTTTACTTAGTCTAAAGGTTTGCCAATTTTCTTGATCTTTTAAAAACACCAAATCTTTTTTCATTTATTTTTTCTATTGTTTTTATTCTCTATTTTATGTATTCCTGGTCTAATCTTTGTTCTTTCCTTCTTTCTGCTAACTTTGAGCTAGTGTTTCCTTCTTTTTCTAATCTCTTTAGGTGTAGAGTGAGATTGTTTATTTGAGATATTTCTTCATTTTTAATGCAGGCATGTATTGTTATGAACTTATCTCTGTTAACTCAAGTTTATCCTAAAGCTGCCTCCTTATATATTTTAAGTTCAGCCTAAAGGTTTCTCTGTATATTATAAAGTATAACCTAAATGGAGTTGTACACAGACCATACCCTACTTTTCTGCTGATCACCAAGTTTTGGCCAAACCTGGCCAACTGTTCAAATCATGTTCAAATAAGGCAAACTATGAGCTGGAACCAATCTGACTGTTTCTATACCTCACTTTGGTTTTCTGTATGTCACTTTCCTTTCAATGTCCATAAATCTTCTTCTACCACCTGGCGTGCTGGAGTCTCTGAGCCTACTCTGGCTCAGGAGACTGCCCAATTTGCAAATCGTTCTTTGCTCAATTAAACTCTTTTAAATTTAATTCAGCTATATTTTTTCTTTTAGCATCTCTTAGTATTGCTTTTGCTGCATCCCATAAGTTTTGGTATGTTGTGTTTACATTTTTATAATATTTTGTATGAAATATCTTTTCTCCATTCTTTCACTTTCAGCCTATGTGGTTCTTTAAATATAAAGTAGGTCTCTTGTAGAAAGCATATAGTTGAATCTTGTTTTGTTTAAATATTTTTTATTCATTAACCTATTTTATAGTTATAGTTATTTTTATACTTTGTTACTTCTGTCTTCTAACTTCCATACAAAAATTAAAAGTGATTTGTGCACCACCAATACAGTATGACAGTATTCTGTATTTATCTATAGTCACCTGTACCAGACAGCTTTATACTTTTATATGCTTTCATTTTGCTGTTTAGCATTTTTTATTTCAACTTTAATGACTCCGTCTAGCATTTCTTGTAAGGCAGGTATAGTGCGGATGAACTCTCTCAGATTTTGTTTATTTTGGAATGTCTTTAGCTCTCCTTCATTTTTGAAGAAATGTTTTGCTAACTATAGTATTTTTGTTGGCAAGTTTTTTTTTTTTTTTTCCCATTCAGCACTTTGTACATATATCATCCTACTCCTTCTGGTCAGCAAGGAAATCCTCTGAGTCTTATTGAGGTTCACTCATGTGGGACAAATCGCTTTTCTCTTGCTTTCAAAATTCTGTATCTTTGGCATTGACAATTTAATTATAATGTATCTTACATGGATTTCTTTGGATTCACCTTTTTTGGGATCCATTGGCTTCTAGAATCTGGATGTCTTTTTTCTTCCCCAGATTTGGGAAGTTTGGGGCAATTAATTTTTAAATAAACTGTTTTTTTTTTCTCTTTCTCTTTCCCCTCTGCAACTTCCATAATGCATACAGGGGTCTGTTTGATAGTGTCCCATAAGACCCTTAGATTTTGTTCATTCTTTTTCATTCATTTTTCTTTTTCTCTTATTGCATAATTTCAGATTACCCATTTTTGAGTGCACTGATTCTTTTTTTCTGCCTGATCAAGTCAGCTGTTGAGCACTTCTAGTGATTTTTTTCTATCACTGTAGTTATTGCATTCTTTAGCTCCAAAACTTTCTGCTTCATTCTTTTTTTAAAGGAAATTTCTCTCTACTTCGAAATGTCATTTTGTTCATGCATCATTTTCCTGAGCTCATTAAAAATCTTCATGACAGGTATTTTGAATTCACTTTTAGGTAATTCATATCTGTTTCTTTAAGGTCAATTTCTGGAGATTTATTTTGTTCTTTTTTTTTTTCATTGGGCCATTTTTCCTTGTGTCTTGTACTTTCTGTGATTTTGTGTTGGTATCTGGGTATTTGAAAAATCAGCCAACTCTCCCAGTCTTTAAGGATTAGCTTTATACATGGAAAAATCTTAACCAACAAGCCTGGCTAGAGATTCTGGGGGCCTCTCAAGTCTTTTCTGTGAATATGTCTTCTCTAGACATGTGTGCAGATTCCTAACTAGAGGGATTTGCCAGTTTCTTGTTTTAAGGAGCTTGTAATCTCTTGCTCCTTCTGTGTCTTTTTGTTTCACGATGGGTCATCTGAAGCAGAAACATGACCATACAGTCTAGCCCTTTTTTACTTGCAGTGGAACCCCAGGTATCTAAAGTATGCTGGGTTCTGTCAGCTCCCCACATCAAGATAGACAGAAACCAGTACCTCAGGCAGTCCCATGAAAAGCCAGATGTTGAACACGTGTTCTAGTCTTCTATTTCTCCCTGAATAAGAAACTGCCAACCTCTATTGACCTCTGTCTGCTGTACCATGATTCCTGGGTAGCAGCAGCGTGATGCACAGCTCTTTTTTGTTGTCACGGTCCCCCAGGTATCTAGAATGTGCTTGCCCCTGTTAGTGCTCCCAGACAGGTGGGCAAAAGCCAGTCCCTCATCCAGCCCCCTGGAAAGTAAAAACATTGGAAGTACAGCCCAGTCTTTTATTTCCCTCCCCAGGGAGAAGCCAGAAACTAGAAGCTGGGAGTTTTCTCCCAAGCATATGGCACTCTATTGGGGGAGAGATTATAGCATGAGTGCCATGAATTTTCATATAGGCTTGGATGTGACTGGCTTTGTACTTGTCTGGAGTGCAGGAGCCCCTTAACTGGTGTCTGGATTTCTCACAGAGGGAGTTAGTCCATGTTTTATTGCCAAATCTGTCTCCATGGGAGGAAGGAGGATCTAATGCTTCCCATTTTGCCATTTCATGATGTCACTCTCTGTACCTTGGGCTTTTTTAATAGGAGAGAGAAATAAACTTCTATTGTGCTTACAATTTTTTTGCATTTTTATTTTTGATGCAGCTAAATCTAATCCTAATGGATACAAAGAGATCCCTTCTTTGAGTGGTAGATAATATGATACTTTAAAACTTTACAAATCTAGGAGTATATAAGTCTAAGATTCAGTGCATTTTTTTCTCCCAAATATTTTATGAAAAAGAGGAACTTTAAAATAATAATGAGAATATATACAAATATAATTCCCAGGAAAGAAAATCCTCCTCTTTATTTTTGGTTTTACAGACAGGAAAATAATGGGCCTCATGCTGTTTTGGTTAACTGGGAAAAACAGAGGAGATGTCTGGATAGTAACCTGTTAGCTAGCCTCACACTCCACATCTCTCCTTTTTGGGTTGTATACTTAGCCTGCATCAGAAACAAGAATCAGCTTGTATTAAATAAATGGTCTCACTTTATTTATATTTAATCATTTGGGAAATGAAATAGAACCATTAGAATAGATAATAGATGTCAGTTTTAAAAATAAATACTGAGGCAAAATAAATTTCTTTACTTTTCCATGACATTTTTCTGGAAGCAGGAGCCTATTAGACTGTTACGATGTTCTATTCCATTGACTTATCTCCAGGTTCCCTTTTTTAAAAGACTCGATCTTTTGAAATGCCTTTACATTCACCATTTATATGTACTTACCTACTTACCACTTCTGCATCACTAGTACTCTGTCTGAATTCAAATTTTGTATGTCTCATGCAAAACTCAAAATCCAACTGTGCAGCTTCTTGACCAAAAAAGATGGGGGGGAGTGCTGAATGTCACTATCTAAATAAAAAAGAATTTTACTGAGTAGTGGTGGCCTGGAGATTGAGTTATGTGGAGGTTCTAATTGTGAATTTCAAGTAAATATGAGTAAGCCACCCATTTGGATGGCACACAGAAATATACTATTAATAATTTTCTGGAACATCTTAATTGAAAGAGAAAATATAATTAGAAAGTGAAGACACTCATTTTATTTCTCAACTGAGCTTGGTTTGTATACCTTCTAGCCAAAAATAAAGCAAATTTCTTGTTCAGTATTTCCAGAAGCAGCTCTAATAACTAAATATCCAAGGACATCTTACAGAGGTTTTTTTCCCCAAAGTTGTGAGAGCTTGGTAAAGATCAACTGTGGGAAACTTCTATGGAACTTAAAAGATTGAAAACAACTAAGAGTCCCCCCTCAGATATTGTCTGCTTATCCTCTCTTTGCAGATCTGCTCATTCACATAGCTTTCTGTCACATGCTTTTACTTTCCTGTTTACTCTTTCTGCTGCAGAACCAGACAGCCTTGAAAAGATTAACTTTATTCTGTGTCATGCATCAACAACACAATTTGTCAACTTGAATCTTTATTACCGGTGATCACATAAAAGCTGAAAAACACAACATGATTTCTTTCTTCACCTAGAAGTTGAATTTGTCACCCTAAAAAAAATTGCTAGGCTTGTAAACGGAACACATTTTATTTAAGAATCATTCAGAAAGAACAAGGAAAACAGACTGGAAGGAGCCAAGATGGCCAAATAGGAACAGCTCCAGTCTATAGCTCCCAGCGTGAGCCACGCAGAAAATGAATGATTTCTGCATTTCCAACTGAGGTACGGGGTTCATCTCACTGGCGATTGTCGGACAGTGGGTGCAGGACAGCGGGTGCAACGCACCAAGCATGAGCCGAAGCAAGGCGAGGCATCGCCTCACCTGGGAAGTGCAAGGGGTCAGGTAATTCCCTTTCCTAGCCAAGGTAAGGGGTAACAGATGGCACATGGAAAACTGGGTCACTTCCACCCTAATACTGTGCTTTTCCGATGGTCTTAGCAAACGGCACACCAGGAGATTAGATCCCGTGCCTGGCTTGGAGGGTCCCATGCCCACGGAGCCTCACTCATTGCTAACACAGCAGTCTGAAATCAAACTGCAAGGCGGCAGCGAGGCTGGGGGAGGGGACACATTCAAAGCTGTGTGTAGAGGGAAATTTATAGCACTAAATGCCCCCAAGAGAAAGTAGGAAATATCTAAAATTGACACCCTAACATCACAATTAAAAGAACTAGAAAAGCAAGAGCAAACACATTCAAAAGCTAGCAGAAGGCAAGAAATAACTAAGATCAGAGCAGAACTGAAGGAAATAGAGACACAAAAAACCCTTCAAAAAATCGATGAATCCAGGATCTGGTTTTTTGAAAAGATCAACAAAATTGATAGACCGCTAGCAAGACTAATAAAGAAGAAAAGAGAGAAGAATCAGATAGATACAATAAAAAATGATAAAGGGGATATCACCACCGATCCCACAGAAATACAATCTACCATCAGAGAATACAATAAACACCTCTACGCAAATAAACTAGAAAATCTAGAAGAAATGGGTAAATTTCTCGACACATACACTCTCCCAGCACTAAACCAGGAAGAAATTGAATCTCTGAATAGACCAATAACAGGCTCTGAAATTGAGGCAATAATTAATAGCTTACCAACAAAAAAAAGTCCAGGACCAGATGGATTCACAGCCGAATTCTACCAGAGGTACAAGGAGGAGCTGGTACCATTCCTTCTGAAACTATTCCAATCAATAGAAAAAGAGGGAATCCTCCCTAACTCATTTTATGAGGCGAGCATCATCCTGACACCAAAGCCTGGCAAAAACAAAACAAGAAAAGAGAATTTTAGACCAATATCCCTGATGAACATCGAGGCAAAAATCCTCAATAAAATACTGGCAAACCGAATCCAGCAGCACATCAAAAAGCTTATCCACCATGATCAAGTGGGCTTCATCCCTGGGATGCAAGGCTGGTTCAACATATGCAAATCAATAAATGTAATCCAGCATATAAACAGAACCAAAGACAAAAACCACATGATTATCTCAATAGATGCAGAAAAGGCCTTTAACAAAATTCAACAACCCTTCATGTTAAAAACTCTCACTAAATTAGGTATTGATGGGATGTATCTCAAAATAATAAGAGCTATCTATGACAAACACACAGCCAATATCATACTGAATGGACAAAAACTGGAAGCATTCCCTTTGAAAACTGGCACAAGACAGGGATGCCCTCTCTCACCACTCCTATTCAACATAGTGTTGGAAGTTCTGGCCAGGGCAATCAGGCAGGAGAAGGAAATAAAGGGTATTCAAATAGGAAAAGAGGAAGTCAAATTGTCCCTGTTTGCAGATGACATGATTGTATATCTAGAAAACCCCATTGTCTCAGCCCAAAATCTCCTTAAGCTGATAAGCAACTTCAGCAAAGTCTCAGGATAAAAAATCAATGTACAAAAATGACAAGCATTCTTATACACCAATAACAGACAAACAGAGAGCCAAATCATGAGTGAACTCCCATTCACAATTGCTTCAAAGAGAATAAAATACCTAGCAATCCAACTTACAAGGGATGTGAAGGACCTCTTCAAGGAGAACTACAAACCACTGCTCAATGAAATAAAAGAGGATACAAACAAATGGAAGAACATTCCATGTTCATGGGTAGGAAGAATCAATATGGTGCAAATGGCCATACTGCCCAAGGTAATTTATAGATTCAATGCCATCCCCATCAAGCTACCAATGACTTTCTTCACAGAACTGGAAAAAACTACTTTAAAGTTCATATGGAACCAAAAAAGAGCCCACATTGCCAAGTCAATCCTAAGTCAAAAGAACAAAGCTGGAGGCATCACGCTACCTGACTTCAAACTATACTACAAGGCTACAGTAACCAAAACAGCATGGTACTGGTACCAAAACAGAGATATAGACCAATGGAACAGAACAGAGCCCTCAGAAATAATGCCACATATCTGCAACTATCAGATCTTTGACAAACCTGACAAAAACAAGAAATGGGGAAAGGATTCCCTATTTAATATATGGTGCTGGGAAAACTGGCTAGCCATAAGTAGAAAGCTGAAACTGGATCCCTTCCTTACACCTTATACAAAAATTAATTCAAGATGGATTAAAGACTTAAATGTTAGACCTAAAACCATAAAAACCCTAGAAGAAAACCTAGGCAATACCATTCAGGACATAGGCATGGGCAAGAACTTCATGTCTAAAACACCAAAAGCAATGGCAACAAAAGCCAAAATTGACAAATGGGATCTAATTAAACTGAAGAGCTTCTGCACAGCAAAAGAAACTACCATCAGAGTGAACAGGCAACCTACAGAATAAGAGAAAATTTTTGCAATCTACTCATCTGACAAAGGGCTAATATCCAGAATCTACAAAGAACTTAAACAAATTTACAAGAAAAAAACAAACAACCCCATCAACAAGTGGGTGAAGGATATGAACAGACACTTCTCAAAAGAAGACATTTATGCAGCCAACAGACACATGAAAAAATGCTCATCATCACTGGCCATCAGAGAAATGCAAATCAAAACCACAGTGAGATACTATCTCACACCAGTTAGAATGGTGATCATTAAAAAGTCAGGAAACGACAGGTGCTGGAGAGGATGTGGAGAAATAGGAACACTTTTACACTGTTGGTGGGACTGTAAACTAGTTCAACCATTGTGGAAGACAGTGTGGTGATTCCTCAGGGATCTAGAACTAGAAATACCATTTGACCCAGCCATCCCATTACTGGGTATATACCCAAAGGATTATAAATCATGCTGCTATAAGGACACATGCACATGTATGTTTATTCCAGCACTATTCACAATAGCAAAGACTTGGAACCAACCCAAATGTCCATCAATGATAGACTGGATTAAGAAAATGTGGCACATATACACCATGGAATACTATGCAGCCATAAAAAATGATGAGTTCATGTCCTTTGTAGGGACATGGATGAAGCTGGAAACCATCATTCTCAGCAAACTATCGCAAGGACAAAAAACCAAACACCGCATGTTCTCACTCATAGGTGGGAATTGAACAAGGAGAGCACATGGACACAGGAAGGGGAACATCACACACCCGGGCCTGTCGTGCGGTGGGGGGAGGGGGGAGGGATAGCATTAGGAGATATACCTAATGTAAATGACAAGTTAATGGGTGCAGCACACCAACATGGCACATGTATACATGTGTAACAAACCTGCACCTTGTGCACATGTACCCTAAAACTTAAAGTATAATTAAAAAAAAGAAGAAAAAAGAAAGAAAGAATAAGGAAAACTAACAAACCAAAAATGTATGACTCTTTTCTAAGGAGAACCAACTTAGAAAAAGAGGAAGAGGCAAGAGGTTAGGCGGTAAGCTGGCAGTGATAATCCACTTCTCAAAGCAACTACATACAGAATAATAATGATTTTGGACAAATGCTAACATTTATTCAGAGCTAGACATAAAGTTAAACCTTTATAGGCATTATCCTAACCATGCTTCGAGAAAGATCCCATTGTCTTTACCAACTTACAGATGACAGAACCAAGGCTTAGGAAGGTTAAATAACTTTCCCTAGGTCACACAGTGAGGCTTGGTGGAGCAGGAGTTTGACATCATGCCTCATTTCAATACCTCCACTTGTTCATTGCTCAAAGGCTCATAGAATTCTCTGTTATCAATAATCCTCTCAAATGTGACTTCAGCAAATATTTTTCTTGCTCCCATCCATACCTACCTAGCTGCTCTAATCGAATCACAGCAAACTACTTCAAATGGCCAAAAAACCCTGAATTATTCCAGGTCTCCTTCTTTTGCAAGTGACAGACCCCTATTTAAGTAAAAGAAGGAATGTATTGGGTTCCATAATTGAATAGTCTTTCAGGGAAGGCCAGATGCAGGCATTTTAATAATGTCATTGGGTCACACTTTTTGTCATACTTTTTTTTATTATAATTTTTGTTTTATTGGTTTATTTTTCTTTTTTATTCTAAGACATCTTGTTATTTATAGCATGTCATACTTTTTTTATTACTCAGTTCTGCTTTCCTCTGTGTGGTTTAATCCTAAGCATGCTTTCTCCTTGCAGTCATAAGAGAGCCAGCAGTAGCTGTGGGTTTAATCCTTCTACATTAGCTATCTTAGCTTTCCCAATGGTTTTAGCCAAGGAAGCTCAGGATTGCTTCTCCTTGGGCAGACCTGGGATATATGCTCCCTCTTGGGGACATGGAAATGGTATAGCTTCTTTTAAATCACATGTTCTAGGAATGGGGAATGGTGGTATCTCAAAATAAACTCAAGATGTTGCTGATAGTAGAAGACCATTAAAGCCGGGTGGTCAAGCTTCCTCATTCTGAAGTCTAGCTACATACCTTTATCCGTACTATCCCTATATTAACCAATTTCCAAAGCTCACCTCTATCAACCTCCTTGTTGTTCTGAATTTTTAACCTTCAGGACATATTGTTAACATTTTATTGCTTTACTGTTTCTCTTTTTACATCATGAGACTGTAAAGCCACACTCAGGTTTTAAAACTGAATGAGCTATTATCCTTCTTCTTTATGCCTCATATCTATTCCACTGCATGTATTCTTTGGCATGGTGGATAGTACCTTTGTTGGTCCAATTGTCCAGAGCAGAAACCAGCCATAATCTTTGACTTTTATCCTCCTTTACTCCCACATCCAGTTGCTCATAAAACCCTGTAAACCTGCTCGCTTCAGATCTCTTGACTTCTTCCAAGTCTCGCCACCCTTCCTGCTATTGCCCTAGTCCAGATTTCCTCATTTCTTGATTATTCTACTTACTGCTCTGACATATGGTCCTCCTTTAAATATGTTCTCTAATTTTTCAAGAAAACTCATCATTCTAAAGCACAGATATGATCCCACGACTCTCCTCTTCAGAACCTTTCAGCGATTCCCTGTTGTATGATTTCCATGGACCTTGGTTTCCTTATTGATAAAGGAAAGGCATAAAGAGATGATCTCTTGGAGATGATCTCCAGCTCCATGATTCTGTTAATCCTTGCCAGCCTAAAGCAGTTAGCTCTGTTTAATCATTTGGTAATGGATTTGTCTACCTTTTGGATTATAGACTGAGACCCTGTTTTTTGCTGGTTATTGCCCCTTTCTGTATCTCAACAGAATGCTGGGTCAAGTCCTGTCGAGCAGTCATCGCATATTGAGAACAGCTGGCTACGTATGACCATGGCCATTCCAGAGTCATAATATGAATTATTTGGAAG
Source organism: Homo sapiens (assembly GCF_000001405.40). Taxonomy (NCBI): domain Eukaryota; kingdom Metazoa; phylum Chordata; class Mammalia; order Primates; family Hominidae; genus Homo; species Homo sapiens. The sequence goes on from NC_000023.11 coordinate 37,566,113, forward strand.
ATATCTGCTCTTTTAAGTACCACCTCTTGCATTCATGCAAATGTATAAAAATTGTATATGAGAATTACTTTGACCTTACATGTTTGACATTGGAATTTCTTACAATAAGGAGAACTGTGAATGTGCAAGTGAAAAAGAAATAAGACAAAAAGCAGATGTGTTAATGTATTATCAACACTAGGCTATTATCAGGTTATTTAATAGCCATTGAACTATACCACCATAGGAATTTATAATCACTCTTTTCCTTCTACCCTTCTGAATGCTGGTGAAAACCTTAGAAATGACCACATGTAGGAAGCTCTTAAACGTTTCCAGTTAAATAATTTACTCTACCTAAAGGAATATCTACATCCCCACTTGCCAATTTAATGTACCTTACACAGATACATTAGTTTACAATGGAGGAATACCTGTTTTAGCAGTGTCCCATACAGCAATGTTATATTATAAGTCATTCAAATCACTCATCCATACACACACATTGTAATACCCAAAGGTATAATTGACATATACTTTCTTCATATCCACTAAGCTAGGGTGTGGACCATTGCTCCTTCTTGGCCAATGTGACCTAATCAAACTCAGTTGCCCCTCCTTCAGGTGGAATGGCGAGTGCCAATTTGCTTGCTTATTTCAGGTGGCTTTTAATTCTGGGATTACATGTGTACTGGCGATCATGATTAGCCTATAATGGCTAACAAAGTGCCCTAAATTGATAAAATGGGAAGTAGAGGGAAAAAAAGACAATAAAGAGAATCAAATCCTATGTTAGAATGCACACTTCTGTGGCTGCTTTTGGCAGAGGTGTATAATCAAGCAACTGGTCAGGAAATTATTCTAGTGGAGTAATGATATTACAATAAATAACGCTGCATCCAAATTAAGTATAGGACAATTAGAGGTGGGGCTTCAAAGAACCCTAATACTTCACCCTACCCTGTATCCATACCCTTTGTCATGCAACTTTGACATTCAACAAAAACACCTTATATTTCCTCATGTGATTTGCCAATAGACTAAGGCAGAAAAGAGTGTGTGGTCCTGAGACTAGACCCTCAGAAGTCTTGCATGTCTCTGCTTTTGCTTTAGCCCCTCTGCCATTGCCATGCAAGTATGCTGGGGTTGGCCAGCTAAAAGACAGCAAAACCCAGCCATGGATGGAAAGAAAATTTTGACATTATGAAGAGCATCACAGACATCAATAAATATCTATTGAGCACATACAATGTGTCAGGCATTGATCTAGATGCCAAGCATACAAGAGGAAACAACACAGACAAAATTTCCTGTTATTATGGGGGTTAAATTTTAGTGGAGAGAGATAGATGGGAAACAAAACAAATAGGTAAAATATGTAGTCATTAGATACTAATGGTTGGTGGAGGGGTAGTAACTTTAAACTAATAAGTTGGAGAAAGTCTCATTGAAAGAGAGGTGAAGAGGCAAGCCATGAGGTAATTTTTTGAAGAGTATTCAAAGGACAGAAAACTGCAAAGGAAAGAGGAGAATTAGGGAAAAGTTTCCAATTATGTTGTTAATCTAATAAAATAGGGATGAGTCACCACAGAGGATATGCTATAAGGAATGAAGAAAGCACTATTCAGTTATCTCAAGCATTTCTAGGATGCACCCTTTGAACAAAATTTTGGAAAACTTTTTGAAAGCATTTCTAGGATGCATTATCCCATAAAATGTATTAAATCTTAATTGGTAAGGTTTGACAGTTATACAATTACTGATTTTTTTTCATATTCACCCATAGAGAGCAATAATTTGCATAAGAGAAACCCTGATTTTAATACTCTCTTTTCTGGATAGTTTTGCATAATTTTTATGCGATTTCCTTGATGAACCCAATAATACTCTCTTCCATCCATAGTTTTGCATAATCTGCATAATAAGGACGTACTGAAGAAGAACTAGGAACTGAGCAATTCAGCAAGATCACAGAAACATGTGTTGGGAGCTGCCTGTCAGCAAATGCTGCTAGAAATTCTGTGACTATCAGGACAAATCTTGCAGATAATGGTAAAATAAATGGCCTTGGCAAGATTTTGTATAGACTGCATATTTCTTGTGGGGTCATCACTACTTTTAAAGAATCCAACTGGAATTGTTATTTCAGAACACAACGTTTTGGGTGCCTGCATACTTCTCTGTCTTCCAGACTTCTCTAAAATATTTATCTTCCTAACTGCTCATTGCCCTGTTGAGTGTAGACTATTGATTAGAGGGGACTTCCAGAGCATTGGATTATGGGAAGCTAGCAGGACATTCCAGTTACCTTGCTCCATAACACATTATCCTAAAACTTCGAGGCTTATAACAACTATATTTTTGTTTGTAATTTTTTGGGTCAGGAATTCTGGAAGGGTCTGGGATGATGGTAATCTGAAGGCTTGACTGGGGTGGATATTTCCAAAGTGGTTCACTCACATAGCTGTCAGTTGATGCTGTCCTCGGGCTGTCAATCCAAGCACTTCCAGGTGACCTCTTCATGTTGTCTGGGCTTCCTCTCGATAAGGCAGCTTCAGGGTAGTCAGATTCTTACAAGGCAGCCCAAGGCTCCAAATGTGAGTGCTGCAACATTTAAGATGGAAGCTGCATTACTTTTTATAATTAAGCCTTGGATGCCATACGGTGTTATTTCCATCACATTCTATTGGTTACAAATGAGATATAAGCCCACCCAGAATTCAGAAGAGGTTGCATGTACCTCCCTCCTGATGAGAGGAATGTCAAGGTCACATTGATTGCAGAGGAACATGTGGCATAGGAGATATTGTTGTGGCCATATTTGAAAAATATAAGCTGCCACACAGGGTTAATTAGCAAAAGTAGAATGTGTGAAGACCCCGAATTCAAGGTAAAGTATAGAGGTCACCATATCTTGTAGAGAAACAGACAAGAGCAAAAACTGCAGAATGTTTACATTCTTGTGCTCACAAGAGGAAAAGGGTCCAAGAATATAGGAGGAGTTTAGACATGTCAGGCTAAGGTTTCAAAAAAGGCCTCACTCTGTGTTCTATACTTTAGGGTACCTTAAGTCTCTCATGGCACTCTCATGGTAATTCATTCATTATTTCATAAACTTTCAGTAAATATCTACTACAGGGAGTAGTGGTAGTAGTAGCAATAGCAGTAGCAGTAGTAGTGGTAGAATAGAGACTATTCTAGGATCTTGCATATCAGTAAATAAATGCAAGAAAAAGCCCTACCCTCATGGAGAGTATATTCTAGTGGAGTAGTGATATTAAAATAAATAACACTGCATGCAAATTAAGTATAGGACAATTAGAGGTGGGGTTTCAAAGAACCCTAACGCTTCACCCTACCCTGTATCCATACCCTTTGTCATGCAAATTTGAAGTTCAACAAAAACACCTTATATTTCCTCATGTGATTTGCCAATAGACTAAGGCAGAAAAGAGTGTGTGCTCCTGAGACTAGACCCTCAGAAGTCTTGCATGTCTCTGCTTTTGCTTTAGCCCCTCTGCCATTGCCGTGCAAGCATGCTGGGGTTGGCCAGCTAAAAGAGAAGAGACATATGGGCCAGAGGCCAGTCACCTCAGTCTCCCCAAGCAAGACCCAACCCACCTCCAGACACCTGAATGAGCCCAGCCAAGATCCTAGATGCATAAACATTAAATTTACTGCCATATGCTATTAGATTTTGTGATTGCTTTTCATACAGCATTTTGGGGCAATAGACAGATGACACAACTGGGAAAAAGTGGAAGAGCTCGTTTTCTTGGAGACGTGTTTACACACAGTTCTATTTTGAAGCCAGTTAGCAGATCCCTGTTGTTGTTGCTGGCGCTACCTCTAGGCTGGAGTGTTTCGAAGAATAATCAGAGTCAGAATTAATAGAGTTGCCTCTAGATTCATGACAAGGGTGAGTGAGGTGTGGAGGAATGAAGTGGAATAAGGCTTCATTTCTGCTGGTAAAGGCTTTATTTTATGTTTCCTTGTCTGAGGGGACAAAAATCACCTCTAATGTCTGTTATGGTTGAGGGATGAGGAAGGAAGTCTCAAGGAGAAACTCAACATTCCTGTTGCTTCTTTGATGCCTTTTCCTCCTTTAACATATCAAGCTCCCTGCCTAAAAGTGGACTTTTATCATTATTATTATTATTAAAAATAAACCTGTTTTGGCAGCATCAAAGGGGGACGATGGCCATACTGTCCTTGAACTATGTGGATGTGTCAGTCCTGGCAATCATGTTGGCAAACTAAGGTTCTTTCCCAGACTACATCAAGTAAGGGTGGAGGGGCAGGGTATTTAATATCTGCTTCCCAATCATGGTGACATTTAACACTTCTGAGGAAAAAAAAATGCCTCCAAACTGGCCTTTCAAGTAAGTGGAGTAGTTACTCTCCCCACAAAGTATCAGAAACTGTTCTATGAGCCACTTACTCCTTTATGTCTTGCACAGTCCCTATCAAAAGTCAAATACTCCTGGGAGACGTGACCTCTTTAGTCTTCAAGAGTCAACACTTTGGGAAAGGCAGAATTATTTCAAACAGCTGAGCACAAGAAAGGCAACTAGCTTGTGTAATTGTTCATTTTCTGTTTTTTCCTACTGAATTGTAAGCTACAAGGGGTCTAGGACCATGTCTATCTTATTCATCCCTCTATTTCCAGGTTTCAGGACACATAGGAGACCCTCCACAACGCCCTTGGGAAAAAAGCAGAAGAGGACAAACATGGGAAAAGAAGGGAGGGAAGGGGGAGATAAAAAGCCTAATTAAATTCTCACAGAGCGTTTATCCTAATATTAACTAGTTAATGACCTCAAGATATGTATTGAGCTTTTACTATGCACGCATGGCAGGAGGGGCGTGCCCCTTCCTTGCCTTAACCTGGTGTGGTTCTTTGACTTTTTACTCCTGTATACTCGAAGAAAACAATACAAAAATCAAAGCTGGGAAAAAAGTTCCTGTATGGGGTATTTCACCGTTTTAATGCATTAAACATGATGTGCTCAAATGCCCCAGCCTTTGGGATTGAAACATTCATAATGAGAACTCCGAAGCGACCAAGATGAAATACAAACTTCAAAGAAGGCGCCCAGTTTTGTCTTGCTACTCTAGCCTAGTTCAGTGGCGCCTCAAACTTTAATGTGCATGCGAATCACCTGGCAATCTTGCTGAATATTCAGATTTGGAGTCAATAGGTCTGGAGTGAAGCCTGAGATGCTGCGTTTTTAACATGCCCCCGGGTGATGCTGATGCTTCTAACCCAAGGACCACACTTTGAGTATACAAGGGACTGGAGACCATCACCTCTACCGCCAGGTGTGTGTATGCTGAGTCCCAGCGTTCCAGATCAGTGTCCCGCACGTCCTCGGCCTTCTGCCAGTAGGGGAGGAGTCGGGGGCGGAGCGGGAGGAGTGGCGCGGGCCCCGCGTGGGTCCTGCCAGAGATCACCTCGGCCCCTTGAAGAGGCAGCCAAGCTGCGGCGGCGCAGGAGGGGGCGGGTTCAGCGAGGGCGCGGCCTCTGAGGGGGGGCGCAGGACACGCATCCCCCGCGATCGCCCGGGCCACTCGGGAGCCTCGCGGCAGCCCGGCGCCCCACTTGGCCATCCGCTCCTTGCCCGCCTCCTCTTGTCACCTCCCGTCTCATCCTTCTCGCTCCTTCCCCGCCGCATACACCGGCATCCGAGTGCCTCAGAGAGCCGGAGGTGGTGTGCGGGGCTGCAGGGCACGACTTCAAGCGGTCCTCAGCTCCGCACTAGGGGGCACGGGCAACAGCATGGACACCAAGCGCTGCTTCGCCAATCGCTTCGATGACTACCAGGGCAGCCTGCTGGCGGGCCAGTGTGAGGAGGCGGTGGCGCCCTTGGTCACCGCCACCATCGAGCGCATCCTCCAGGAGCTTCCCCCACTCGGGGGCGGCGCGGAGGCCCGAGGGGCGACGGCGGGGGCTAGCGCCTGCCAGGGGGGGCTTTATGGCGGCGTGGCCGGAGTGGCGTATATGCTCTACCACGTCTCGCAGAGCCCGCTTTTCGCCACGGCCCGGGAACGCTACCTGCGCTCGGCTAAGCGCCTCATCGACGCGTGCGCCCGCGCTGAGGAGTGGGGCGAACCGGACGCCGACACCCGCGCCGCCTTCCTGCTCGGGGGCGCGGGCGTGTACGCCGTGGCCACGCTCGTATACCACGCCCTGGGCCGGTCCGACTACGTGCAGCCGCTGGGCAAGTTCCGGGCTCTGTGTGCCGTCTGCGCGCCGGTCTCCTTCCTGGAGTGCGGCTCCGACGAGCTGTTCGTGGGCCGCGCGGGTTACCTGTGTGCCGCGCTGGTGCTCAAGCAGAAACTCGCCCAGGAGGTAAGAGGTAGCCCGGGCCGCGGGAGGGCGCTCGCCGCCTGCCCGGCCTCCTTTCCCCGGACTCCGTGGCTCGGGCAGCACTGTCCCGAGTTGCTCTCCAAGTCTTTGTTACTCTTGGTGTGGTGCTAGCATTTCTTCAGTCCCTTGAGGTCTATCTCCTGCTTTTGTCCCTCTTCTTTCCTGTCGTTTTCAGTCTCTCATTTGTTGAGATTCGGCGTCTCTGCGCTTTGTTCGTGTTTTTACGTGGCATCACTCCAGATGCCTGTTAGCTTTCTGGGGGATGACAGTGTGGCCCTTTCAAGTAAGATGAAAACCTCAGAAATGGAAGGGATTTCCTTTCCTTTGACTCTGCTGTCAAAAGCTGAGGCATCCTCGAATGTTAGAGTGCTAGAAAGTAATGGAACTTTTCGGGGCCGATGTGGAGGTAAGTTGCTTCTGGAGCCCTGGGTCTGTAACCAAGAATAACTGCTCAGCTGTGGGTCTGATGTGTTTACTGTTTTGCTTACTATTCAGTTCAACCCATGGCTCTTATTAAATGCATATCTGATAGGAGTGTCCCCTTTAAAAATACATAAATGTAGACGGAAACGTACCCGGAAATGTACCCCATTGTGGTTGAATGTGCATTATTTCACTTAAAAATATTTGCTTAGGATGGGCAAGACCACAGCTTTCTTGACAGGGCAGCTTTTCTTGATGAATAACTTTACAGTGGCTCCTAAAAGTGAATTGGTTTTCACATACATATTTTTTCCTGGACTCACTTTGAAATCAGCATGTGGTTATTAGAAGAGAATATGCCAGTTCCTGTGGAGTAGGAAAAAGAACAAAACTCTGAAGGATCATAGTGACTAGAACGGAGAGAGAGGCACTTTCATTCATAATCCCCTGGAGCCAACTACTGTTCTAGGGAGGAAGTGACACATTTAACTTGGCTTTATTTAGGTGAGAAAGGCGTTTGAAGAAAAATTAAAGGTATATAGAGTGTTTTAAAAGAGTAATTAACTTAGATCACCTCTACAGAGGCAGACAGGGTTTTTTTTTAATAGCAGGTGAGGTTGATTCAAGTGAGAAAAAAGATTACTAAAGAATGTGCACTGTGTTAGCTGGGCAGCAAAGGTTTATGTCACAAAGTTGTCTTGAAATAGTTTGCTCTGCTTCTGAGTCACTGTTAACTGCCAGCAGTTTTTCAAATGCCCTTCCAGTTGTAGAAAACCTTTTAGAAGGCCACAGAGATATTTACATATCATTTGCATTGCATTTGCATCTGCTCCCCTCACCTTGTAGTCTGGCAGCAGGCAATTTTCAAATTTTTTTTTCCAATTGTTTTCCTTAATCTTGCCTCTTCCCCTTTCCATGCCTTGAGGCCTTTTTTCCAGAATGGAATGGGAAGAGTGTGTGACCACTAGATCACACAGGTGGAAGCAGACCAGAAGGACTCTGCCCAAAAACTGGTGGTTCAGGCCATTCTGCAACACTGATCCACACAAGACATCTATTAAGACCTCTCTTCTGCCCTCCTGCCAAACCAGGTCTTTTTTTTTTTTTACTAATCGAGTTGAGGTGCTTTGGCCCCTGCTCCCAGGAGATGGAACAAGCTTCAAGGATAGCAAAAAAAAAAAAAAAAAAAAACCCACCACCACCACCAACAAAAACAGGTCTTAACCTGAGCCTGAGCAAACCAGTTAGTTCCAGTGCCAGCTGCAGCTGTGTCAATTCAAGACTTTCTGGCTTGAAAGGTGTAGGGCAGGGGCTAAGCATGCCAGGCTGGAAGCCCTTTGAGGGGAAAGTAGAAGTTTTATACCCCATCCCCTCCCCGCAAATCCTAGCCAGCACAGGACTTTGTCCTCAGTAGGTGATCCATAGACCTTGATTAGATTGAATTGCGAATTTGTGTCATTTCTCTATAAATAATCTCTCAGTATGTCCTGGGTTTCTTCCCCTCCGATGTCATTTATATTCACATTCCTCTGGCAATTCCCTCAGTTATCGCTCTAATTTAGATCCTCCCCACATTACTGGGCACATCTTTGCCACCTAATAAATAGTTGAATGAATGAATCACCATATATTGGGATTAGTGCAATATACTTTGAGCTAGAATCTCCCACTCAAGCCGTTCCATCTACCTCTAAGAAACAAATATTTCAAAAGACATTTTTCATCATGTTATTTCCCTGCTCAACATACTGCAGTGGCTCCCTATTACTTTTTCTCCAGTGGCTTGTCATCTCACAAAGTTATGATTCTTAAAAATAGCCGAGAAGGCCCCACATGATCTAGCCTCCTACACTCCTACTCTACTCCTTGCTCATTCTTCTTCAACCACACTGGCCATCTTCCTGTTTTAGTTACTTTCCTGTCTCAGGCTGTTTGTTCTTACAGTTCTTTCTACTTGGAACACTCCCTCTAGATATTTATAGCTAGATCTCTGACCTTGTATAGGTGTGTGTGTGTGTGTGTGTGTGTATGTATATATATATATATATAATTTTTTTTTGAGACAGAGTCTCACTCTGTCACCCAGGCTGGAGTGCAGTGGTGCAACCATGGCTCACTGTAGCCTCGACCTCCTGGGCTCAGGCGATCCTCCTACCTCAGCCTCCCAAGTAGGTGACACCACAGGCATGTGCCACCACACCCAGCTAATTTTTTGTACTTTTTGTAGAGACAGAGTTTCACCACGTTGCCTATGCTGTTCTGGAACTCCTGGGCTCAAGTGATCTGCCCGCCTCAGTCTCCTAAAGTCCTGGGATGACAGTCATGAGCCACTGTGCCTGGCCTTGTATAGGTCTTTACTTCCTCAATGAGGCTTTTCCTGACTACCCTATTTAAAATTGCAACCCCACCCTCAACTTATCCCCCTTTCGTGATTTGTTTTACTTAAATTGTTTATTTATGTCTTCGCTGATTAGAATGTAAGCTCCATAAGGGTAGACATTTTTGGTTTCATTGATGTTCATTGCCAAGACTGCCTGACACATTTTTAGATGCCCAGCTTTGTGTGTGTTTGCAAATATCACTCAATTTTAGTGGTGTCCCATTTATCAATATTTTCCTTTACGGTGGTAGTTTTGGTGTCATGTTTAAAGAAATCCTTTCCTACTGCCAAAGTTTCAGTAAATATTTGTTAAATGAATGAATGAATGAATTATAGTTTCTTCCAATTATTTTTCATGGCTTAAGCTCAACCAATAAAGCAGTGCTTCTTAAACTTTAATGTGCTTAGGAATCACCTGCAGATCTTGTAGAGCTGCAAGTTCCTGGGTGATCCTGATGTTGCGGTAGAGCATGCTTTGAATAGCAAGGCAATACTGTGCTGCATAGGTTTTGGCATTATACCTGCCACCTCTATTAAGGCATACTATGAGACGCCATTCTATGAAGCTTGATATGTTTATTTAAAAGGTCTATAGTTTAGAATGCTGATTACTATATTCTACCTTTCACTCTAAAGACCCACAAGAGGAATTGCTCTCAGATTGTAGAGACAGTAATAGTTGTGTGACTCCTGGCAATTGATTGAATTTTTAAAATCGTCAAAATATGTCATGTAACTGATTCTATTTCTCACTTTGTGTTGGCTACTAGGGAGTGTATGGCTAGAATTGTGGTCCATATAAGCTAGCGTACAGTACCTTAGCAGATCTATATTTATGTGTGGACATTTCCCCTGGGTTTATCTAATTTGTTTCTTCCTTAGTTTACCCTTTTCTAGGTTCTTTTCTTTTTATTTGATTTTGTTGTTTGTATTTATGTTTATAAGGTTCAGATATAAGAAAAAGATGTATGTGTATGTGGCAAGAGACAGAGAATCCCTCTCTCCAGGCATGTATTTTCACTTAACTTGGCCTTCCTGGAATAGTTCCAAGGGTTTCTTAGGCAGATATCCTTGAGCAATGGGGCATTGAAGTCTCAAGAAATCATGCCATAAAAACTTATATTGGGCCCATTCGGCTTTCCACTGATTGGTGGAAATGTAGCAGACAACGGCAGAGGGATTCTGGGGAGACCTAGGATCTCAGTTAAAATAATAATTCTGCCACTGAGTGATCTTGGAAAAATATTTTAACATCGTTGAGGCTTAATTTCCTCACCTGTAAATTGATTAATAAGAGCTTCTTCGTTGACTTGTTCTGGTTTTCATTCATTCATTCAGTAAATGTCAGGTTTCTACATGGTGTGAGGCAACTTACTAGATGCTTGGGTTCAGTAGTGAACCAAAAATAAAAGTCTGTTGGTGAAGAAAAAAATAACATCAGTCTTTTTAGATAAGTGCTCTTAGGGATGTAATCAGGAACTAACTGAGGACAGGTGGCAAAGGGGAGGGCTGCTGTTTGGTAGGAAAGCTTCTCTGTGGAGGCAGCGTCCTGGCTTATCACTAGAGCATGGGAACCAAGTGGCTGCTCTAAGAACAGGCATTCCAGGCAGAGGGCAAGAGCCCCTAAGGTAGGAAATGACTTGGACATTTCAAAGAAATAGAAGGAGGCTAGCATGGCTGGAGCAGAGAGAGAGCAGGGGATAGAGGAGTTTGAAACCATGGAAGGAGACATGAGCAGGGTAAAATCAGATCCTGGAGGCCCAAGTTAGTCAAAGTTAGGAGTCTGCATTTGTTTCGTGTTTAAAGGAGGAAATATCTTGATCTGACTTACCTTTTAAAAAGATCGCCCTGGTTTTCTGTATTAAGAGTGGATTGACAATATTAAGAATGATAACAAGGGGGACTGGTTATGGGGGGTCTAAACCCCTTTTGTGCCAAGGACTCCTTGTCAGTCTGGTGAAACCTACAGGACCTCGTCTTAGAATAATATTTTTAAATGCATAAAATAAAACACACAGAATTACAAAGGAAGTCAATTATATTGCAACCATGTTACCAAAACATTTTTAAAATGTGTGAGCAGTAGCGTATGTGCTCCTTTATCAACACATTAAATAAGATTTTACAGCAGGCTAAAGGATGATGATACTTTTGAAACAGTGATGAGAGTCAATGATATTTTGAGATACCTTCCACAGCTACAGTGTGGTATGCATCTGTGATTTCTGTAGGTGACAAAGTTACAAGTACAACTAGTGGTTTGTAGTTTACATTTGTAACGAAATGCTAATTTGTTTAAGTAAGCTAGGAAACATGTAGATGTGATTTTATTTCCCCAGCCAAAGGAGACTGGTTTGGAAGTTGCTGTGATGACCAGTCCTAGATAAAGTACCTAGTACAGTGCTTGGCACATAGTAGCTGCTAAATGGAATCAATGGTAGCCTTTTTCGCTACTACTAACAGAAAACCTAAGGTAATTCTGAATATCAGATAGAAAATGATACTTAATATGACGTATCTATCTTCCTGCTGTGATTTGAAAACAACAACAACAAATTATTGCAAAGTTGTTAATTGGGTCTTTGGCTCATTTCTAAGGCAGGTGGTTGGCAGCTGTATAAGGGGCAATGCTTTTAGCTGTAAATAACAAAATGCCCAATAAAAAGTCATCTAAATAATGAGAACATTTATTACCTCACTTAGCAAGGAGTGGAAAACTAGGCCACTCCAGGATTGTTTCAGCAACTCAGGAGAGTTATCCAAATCCAAGCTCTTTCCAGGCGTTTTCTCTGCTATTCTCAGTGTTTGAGCTGTTTCACCTTTCAATGTTGTAAGATGGCTGCTGTCATTGCAAACATAGTGTTCCCCTAACTGAAGTGGTGAGGGAAGGTCTGAGGCTTTTTTTCCCCCTGCATCTTTTTCTAAAGTCATGTAGAACATTCTATCCTGGAAGAATTTCCCTCTGACTCATTGCCCAGCACTTGGTCATTAGCCAGTTCTAGTTTCAGGGAGGCTGGGAAGGCTAGTGTTTTTATTTTTAACCTTGATCATTGACAGGTACCGACACGAAAAAAGGGAGAAGGAAATGGTTGCTGGTTGGTTACCAAAGCATCTGCCATTTGGCGTCCCTTGGCAAGGTCTGTCTTGTGACCTCCTTTATCCATTCGCTTTTCATCTCTTTGGTGTTTCTTTTCCCTTTTCCAGGTCACCTCCATGTGTCATGACACCTGTAAGGTATCTTGTTTTTGCTGTCAGCTAGTTGCCAATTAAATAAAAGCTAAGATATTAACTATTAATTAAGATTTAAACTAGCAAAGTTTGGGGAATATATTTTATGGCAGCAACTGTGTTTTTCCTACCTTTTCTTAAAAATTATTTCTCTCATCAAAGATATAAAACAAAATGAGTCTTTATTTATTAAAAATTTGTTTTAGGCCAGGCACGGTGGCTCATGCCTGTAATCCCAGCACTTTGGGAGGCCGAGGCGGGCAGATCACATGAGATCAGGAGTTCGAGACCAGCCTGGACAACATAGTGAAACCCTGTCTCGACTAAAAATACAAAAATTAGCTGGGCATGGTGGTAGGTGCCTGTAATCCTAGCTACTCAGGAGGCTGAGGTAGGAGAATCGCTTGAACCCGGGAGGCGGAGGTTGCGGTGAGCCGAGATTGCACCACTACACTCCAGCCTGGGCGGCAGAGTGAGACTCCATCTCTAAAAAAAAAAAAAAAAAAAAAAAATTATTTTAAAAGTTAACATGTTTTTTCTTTTTTTAGAACAGTCTATTCCATAAAATACCTGTATTTTATCCACTTATACAAATTATCATATTATACATATATTACACAGCTTGCTTTCTTGCTTAATGTACATTGGACATCTTTGCATATTGTATAGAGAGATGTAACATGTAACATTCTTTATACTGGTTCCATTTAATGGTTATACTATAACCCTTATTGATGGACATTTGGGTTGATTCCAGTTTTTCTCCTTTTTTTGCTATCACAAATAGTGCCATAAATAATATACATGCATATACATATACAGTAGTCCCACCGTATCTGCCAGGGATATGTTCCAAGACCGCCAGTGGATGCCTGGAACCACGGATAGTACTAAACGCTATATATACTACTTTTCTGATCTGATACCTGAGACACTTACTAAGTGACCATGGGGCAGGTGGTTTACAGAGTAGATATGCTGGAAAAAGGGATGATTCATGCCCCAGGTGGGAAGGAGAATGATGTCCCCAAATTTTATCATACTACTCAAAATGGCATGAAATTTAAAACTTATGAATTGTTTATTTCTGGAATTTTCCTGGTAGTATTTTTGGACCCCGGATGTCTGCTGGTAACTGAAACCACAGAAAGCAAAACCTTGGATAAAAGAGGACTGCTGTAAAATGCATATATACATATATAATGTATACATGTAATATATATGTGTGTATATGTATATATCTTTTCATATATGTATTTTTGCCTACTTTTGCAAGTATCTATGTAGGGTAAATTTTTAAAACACAATTGCTGGGTCAAAGTTTACCAATATTTTTTATTTGATAGAGGATTATCAAATTGCCCTCCAAAAATGTTCTACCAATTTCTATTGTCTCCATCAGCATTTGGGAGTGCCTGTGTTCTCACTGGGTTTCATCAGAGTTTTTAATATATGCTAAACTGACGAGTATAAAATTAGGATGGAGGTTTCCAGGGTAGAAACTGAGTCCCTTTATTGTTTCTTTCAACTTTTACCAAACAAAATGCATGTGTAGGATTTCATTCAGTCTTTGGATTTGAGCGGTTCCCATTTTTAAGGCAGGTGTGTGTTTCATACTGTGTAAGTAAAGCCTGAAGTTTGGCTTGAAATGGCAGCAGGGTTGGGCAAGCTGGATTTTTGTAGGCTGGGTTCAATTCCTAATTGCCTGATTACAGATCTACCAGGAAGCAGGCACTTCTATGGGCTATGGCTTAGACCCTTTGTTATGCATGACCCAGAACCCAGTGAATGATAAAATGCAGTGATGTAATAAGGACTAACGATGACTGATCACTTATTTCCACACACTGTTGTAAGTTTTTTTCATGTATTATGTCACTTTTCAAAATGTACCTAAGTGTAATTTTGTTTGTTAAAATTTTTTATCTTTAATTCACAATCATTATATATATTTATGGAGTATAATGTAATGTTTTGATACATGTGTACATTGTGGAATGAGCAAATCAGGCTAATTAACATATCCATCACCTGGCATACTTATCATTTCTTTGTGGTGAGAACATTTAAAATCCACTTTTAGCAACTTTGAAGTATAGAATACATTATTATTAACTATAGTCACCTTGCTGTGCAGAAGATCATCATAACTTATTCCTCCTGTGTAACTGAAACTTTGTACCCTTTTACCAACTTCTCCCCTTTCCCTCCCCATTTCCCCCCACCCACCTCCAGCTTCTGGCAATTACCATTCTACTCTCACCTTCTATGAGTTTGACTTTTTGAGGTTCTACATATATGTCACATAATACTACCAACAACTTTATAACATGGGCAACATTATTATCTCCATCATATCCAGTAGGGAAACTGAGGAACAGAGAGGTTGAGAAACTTGTTCCAGATCACACAGCTAGTCAGTGGCAGAGATGGGGTTCCATCTTCCCCAGGCTGGTTGCCAAATCTGTGATTTCAATTGGTGATCCTCATATTTTAATGTGCATACAAACCCCAGGGATCTTGTTAAAAATCAGCTTTTAGCTCAGTGAGTCTGGAGTGTGGCTCATGATTCTGCATCTCTACTGAGCTTCAGGTGATGCCGCTCTTGCTGGTTTATGGAGCAAACTTGAGCACAACACTCTGAATTACAATTTTTTTCCCCAATTTTATGGGGTTGCCTGTCAACAAATGTAACTGCTCCTGCAAACTTCATGATTTTCATCATTTTTTCTTGTACTGAGGATGACTTCTTCCACAGGTGCAAGAATACCAGCTCTCTGGTTTGTGGGTTATACTGAAGGAAAGAATCACTTCCTGCTGCATCTCCTTGTAGGTTTAAGGGATATGTTGACATCTATTGAATGAATGAGCAAATGCATGGATTTCTTTTTCCTAATAGATGTAATTTTTCACTGTATACAGCAAGTTTTTCAAATTCCTTTAAAGGCCCAAACAAATCACATCCCAGCAATTTTAAATTATTTCATGGTAATTCAAGAGACACCTTATTACATCATTCCCAAACAGAAAGCATGAGCCTGATAATCATGATACCAAGCCTATTTTAGAGTCATTCCACTGATTTTACCTGTTTGACGTAAAGTAGTGCTTCTCCTCCAACTCTAAATCAATTTAAACTTAAAATGATCAGACATCTTCCTTTTTATTTTCTAATCACAATGATTTAACAGACCTACTCAAAATAATTTAGAAAGCTTTAGATACAGTCTATTTATGTCTTTTCATCTGTTAATATACATTCCACGAAAACCCGAACTTATTATTTGTATTATAATTTTTTTATTATACTTTAAGTTCTAGGGTACATGTGCACACTGTGCAGGTTTGTTACATATGTATATACGTGCCATGTTGGTGTGCTGCACCCATTAACTCGTCATTTATATTAGGTATATCTCCTAATGCTATCCCTCCCCCGTCCCCACATCCCACAACAGGCCCTGGTGTGTGATGTTCCCCTTCCTGTGTCCAAGTGTTCTCATTGTTCAGTTCCCACCTATGAGTGAGAACATACGGTGTTTGGTTTTCTGTCCTTGCGATAGTTTGCTGAGAATGATGGTTTCCAGCTTCATCCATGTCCCTACAAAGGAAATGAACTCATCCTTTTTTTATGGCTGCATAGTATTCCATGGTGTATATGTGCCACATTTTCTTAATCCAGTCTATCATTGATGGACATTTGGGTTGGTTCCAAGTCTTTGCTATTGTGAATAGTGCGGCAATAAACATACGTGTGCATGTGTCTTTATAGTAGCATGACTTACAATCCTCTGGGTGTATACCCGGTAATGGGATGGCTGGATCAAATGGTGTTTCTAGTTCTAGATCCCTGAGGAATCGCCACACTGTCTTCCACAATGGTTGAACTTGTTTACAGTCCCACCAACAGTGTAAAAGTGTTCCTGTTTCCCCACATGCTCTCCAGCACCTGTTGTTTCCTGACTTTTTAATGATCGTCATTCTAACTGGTGTGAGGGGGTGTCTCATCATAGTTTTGATTTGCATTCCTCTGATGGCCAGTGATGATGAGCATTTTTTCATGTGTCTTTTGGCTGCATAAATGTCTTCTTTTGAGAAGTGTCTGTTCATATCCTTCACCCACTTGTTGATGGGGTTGTTTGTTTTTTTCTTGTAAATTTGTTTGAGTTCTTGTAAATTTGTTTGAGTAAATTTGGTTGAGTTCTTGTAGATTCTGGATATTAGCCCTTTGTCAGATGAGTAGATTGCAAAAATTTTCTCTTATTCTGTAGGTTGCCTGTTCACTCTGATGGTAGTTTCTTTTGCTGTGCAGAAGCTCTTCAGTTTAATTAGATCCCATTTGTCAATTTTGACTTTTGTTGCCATTGCTTTTGGTGTTTTAGACATGAAGTCCTTGCCCATGCCTATGTCCTGAATGGTATTACCTAGGTTTTCTTCTAGGGTTTTTATGGTTTTAGGTCTAACATTTAAGTCTTTAATCCATCTTGAATTAATTTTTGTATAAGGTGTAAGGAAGGGATCCAGTTTCACCTTTCTACATATGGCTAGCCAGTTTTCCCAGCACTATTTGTTAAATAGGGAATCCTTTCCCCATTTCTTGTTTTTGTCAGGTTTGTCAAAGATCAGATGGTTGTAGATGTCTGGTATTATTTCTGAGGGCTCTGTTCTGTTCCATTGATCGATATCTCTGTTTTGGTACCAGTACCATGCTGTTTTGGTTACTGTAGCCTTGTAGTATAGTTTGAAGTCAGGTAGCGTGATGCCTCCAGCTTTGTCCTTTTGGCTTAGGATTGACTTGGCAATGTGGGCTCTTTTTTGATTCCATATGAACTTTAAAGTAGTTTTTTCCAGTTCTGTGAAGAAAGTCATTGGTAGCTTGATGGGGATGGCATTGAATCTATAAATTACCTTGGGCAGTATAGCCATTTTCACGATATTGATTCTTCCTATCCATGAGCATGGAATGTTCTTCCATTTCTTTGTATCCTCTTTTATTTCATTGAGCAGTGGTTTGTAGTTCTCCTTGAAGAGGTCCTTCACATCCCTTGTAAGTTGGACTCCTAGGTATTTTATTCTCTTTGAAGCAATTGTGAATGGGAGTTCACTCATGATTTGGCTCTCTGTTTGTCTATCATTGGTGTAGAAGAATGCTTCTGATTTTTGCACATTGATTTTGTATCCTGAGACTTTGCTCAAGTTGCTTATCAGCTTAAAGAGATTTTGGGCTGAGACAATGGGGTTTTCTAGATATACAATCATGTCATCTGCAAGCAGGGACAATTTGACTTCCTCTTTTCCTAATTGAATACCTTTTATTTCTTTCTCCTGCCTGATTGCCCTGGCCAGAACTTCCAATACTGTGTTGAATAGGTGTGGTGAGAGAGGGCATCCCTGTCTTGTGCCAGTTTTCAAAGGGAATGCTTCCAGTTTTTGCCCATTCAGTATGATATTGGCTGTGTGTTTGTCATAGATAGCTCTTATTATTTTGAGATACGTCCCATCAATACCTAATTTACTGAGAGTTTTTAACATGAAGGGCTGTTTAATTTTGTCAAAGGTCTTTTCTGCATCTGTTGAGATAATCGTGTGGTTTTTGTCTTTGGTTCTGTTTATATGCTGGATTACGTTTATTGATTTGCATATGTTGAACCAGCCTTGCATCCCAGGGATGAAGCCCACTTGATCATGGTGGATAAGCTTTTTGATGTGCTGCTGGATTCGGTTTGCCAGCATTTTTTTGAGGATTTTTGCCTCGATGTTCATCAGGGATATTGGTCTAAAATTCTCTTTTCTTGTTTTGTTTTTGCCAGGCTTTGGTGTCAGGATGATGCTCGCCTCATAAAATGAGTTAGGGAGGATTCCCTCTTTTTCTATTGATTGGAATAGTTTCAGAAGGAATGGTACCAGCTCCTCCTTGTACCTCTGGTAGAATTCGGCTGTGAATCCATCTGGTCCTGGACTTTTTTTTGTTGGTAAGCTATTAATTATTGCCTCAATTTCAGAGCCTGTTATTGGTCTATTCAGAGATTCAACTTCTTCCTGGTTTATTGTTGGGAGGGTGTATGTGTCGAGGAATTTATCCATTTCTTCTAGGTTTTCAAGTTTATTTGCGTAGAGGTGTTTATAGTATTCTCTGATGGTAGTTTGTATTTCTGTGGGATCGGTGGTGATATCCCCTTTATCATTTTTTATTGTATCTATCTGATTCTTCTATTAGTCTTGCTAGCGGTCTATCAATTTTGTTGATCTTTTCAGCTCCTGGATTCATTAATTTTTTGAAGGGTTTTTTGTTTCTCTATCTCCTTCAGTTCTGCTCTGATCTTAGTTATTTCTTGCCTTCTGCTAGTTTTTGAGTGTGTTTCCTCTTGCTTCTCTAGTTCTTTTAATTGTGATGTTAGGGTGTCAATTTTAGATCTTTCCTGCTTTCTCTTGTGGGCATTTAGTCCTATAAATTTCCCTCTACACACTGCTTTAAATGTGTCCCAGAGATTCTGGTATGTTGTGTCTTTGTTCTCATTGGTTTCAGAGAACATCTTTATTTCTCCCTCATTTCGTTATGTACCCAGTAGTCATTCAGGAGCAGATTGTTCAGTTTCCATGTGGTTGAGTGGTTTTGAGTGAGTTTCTTAATCCTGAGTTCTAGTTTGATTGCACTGTGGTCTGAGAGACAGTTTGTTATAATTTCTGTTCTTTTACATTTGCTGAGGAGTGCTTTACTTCCAACTATGTGGTCAATTTTGGCATAGGTGTGGTATGGTGCTGAAAAGAATGTCTATTCTGTTGATTTGGGGTGGAGAGTTCTGTAGATGTCTATTAGGTCTGCTTGGTGCAGAGCTGAGTTCAATTCCTGGGTATCCTTGTTAACTTTCTGTCTCATTGATCTGTCTAATGTTGACAGTGGGGTGTTAAATTCTCCCATTATTATTGTGTGGGAGTCTAAGTGTCTTTCTAGGTCTCTAAGGACTTGCTTTATGAATCTGGGTGCTCCTGTATTGGGTGCATATACATTTAGGATAGTTAGCTCTTCTTGTTGAATTGATCCCTTTACTATTATGTAATGCCTTTCTTTGTCTCTTTTGATCTTCGTTGGTTTAAAGTCTGTTTTATCAGAGACTAGGAATGCAACCCCTGCCTTTTTTTGTTTTCCATTTGCTTGGTAGATCTCCCTCCATCCCTTTATTTTGAGCCTATGTGTGTCTCTGCATGTGAGATGGGTTTCCTGAATACAGCACAGTGATGGGTCTTGACTCTGTATCCAATTTGCCGGTCTGTGTCTTTGAATTGGAGCATTTAGCCCATTTACATTTAAGGTTAATATTGTTATGTGTGAATTTGATCCTGTCATTATGATGTTAGCTGTTTATTTTGCTCATTAGTTGATGCAGTTTCTTCCTAGCCTTGATGGTCTTTACAATTTGGCATGTTTTTACAGTGGCTGGTACCGGTTGTTCCTTTCCATGTTGAGTGCTTCCTTCAGGAGCTCTTTTAGGGCAGGCCTGGTGGTGACAAAATCTCTCAGCATTTGCTTGTCTGTAAAGGATTTTATTTCTCCTTCACTTATGAAGCTTAGTTTGGCTGGATAGGAAATTCTCGGTTGAAAATTCTTTTCTTTAAGAATGTTGAATATTGGCCCCCACTCTCTTCTGGCTTGTAGAGTTTCTGCCGAGAGATCCACTGTGAGTTTGATGGGCTTCCCTTTGTGGGTAACCCGACCTTTTTCTCTGGCTACCCTTAACGTTTTTTCCTTCATTTCAACTTTGGTGAATCTGACCGTTATGTGTCTTGGAGTTGCTGTTCTTGAGGAGTATCTTTGTGACGTTCTCTGCATTTCCTGAATTTGAATGTTGGCCTGCCTTGCTAGGTTGGGGAAGTTCTCCTGGATAATATCCTGCAGAGTGTTTTCCAGCTTGGTTCCATTCTCCCCATCACTTTCAGGTACACTAATCAGACGTACATTTGGTCTTTTCACATAGTCCCATATTTCTTGGAGGCTTTGTTCGTTTCTTTTTATTCTTTTTTCTCTAAACTTCTCTTCTCGCTTTATTGCATTCATTTCATCTTCCATCACTGATACCCTTTCTTCCCGTTGATCAAATTGGCTACTGAAGCTTGTGCATTCGTCACGTAGTTCTCGTGCCATGGTTTTCAGCTCCATCAGGTCATTTAAGGACCTCTCTACACTAGTTGTTCTAGTTAGCCATTCATCTAATCTTCTTTCAAGGTTTTAAACTTCTTTGCGATGGGTTCAAACTTCCCCCTTTAGCTCGGAGAAGTTTGATCGTCTGAAGCCTTCTTCTCTCAACTCATCAAAGTCATTCTCTGTCCAGCTTTATTCCGTTGCTGGTGAGGAGCTGCATTCCTTTGGAGGAGGAGAGGCGCTCGATTTTTAGAATTTTCAGGTTTTCTGCTCTGGTTTTTCCCCATCTCTGTGGTTTTATCTACCTTTGGTCTTTGATGATGGTGATGTACAGATGGGGTTTTGGTGTGGATGTACTTTCAGTTTGTTAGTTTTCCTTCTAACAGTCAGGACCCTCAGCTTCATGTCTGTTGGAGTTTGCTGGAGGTCCACTCCAGACGCTATTTGCCTGGGTATCAGCAGCAGAGGCTGCAGAACAGCGAATATTGCTGAACAGCAAATGTTGCTGCCTGATTGTTCCTCTGGAGGTTTCATCTCAGAGGGGTACCCGGCTGTGTGAGGTGTCAGTCTACCCCTACTAGGGGGTGCCTCCCAGTTAGCCTACTCAGGGGTCAGGGACCCACTTGAGGAGGCAGTCTGTCCGTTCTCAGATTTCAAATTCCATGCTGGGAGAACCACTACTCTCTTCAAAGCTGTCAGACAGGGACATTTAAGTCTGCAGGGGTTTCTGCTGCCTTTTGTTCGGCTATGCCCTGCCCCCAGTGGTGGAGTCTACAGAGGCAGGCAGGCCTCCTTGAGCTGCGGTGGGCTCCACCCAGTTTGAGCTTCCTGGCCACTTTGTTTACCTCCTCAAGCCTTAGCAATGGCGGGCGCCCCTCCCCCAGCCTTGCTGCTGCCGTGCAGTTCGATCTCAGACTGCTGTGCTAGCAAGGATCGAGGCTCCGTGGGCGTGGGGCCCTCCAAGCCAGGCATGGGATATAATCTCCTGGTGTGCCGTTTGCTAAGACCCTTGGAAAAGTGCAGTATTAGGGTGGGAGTGACCCGGTTTTCCAGGTGCCATCTGTCACAGCTTTGCTTGGCTAGGAAAGGGAATTCCATGACCCTTTGTGCTTCCCGGGTGAGGGGATGCCTCACCCTGCTTTGGCTCACACTTGGTGCACTGCACCCTCTGTCCTGCACCCACTTTCTGACAAGCCCCAGTGAAATGGACCCAGTACCTTAGTTGGAAATGCAGAAATCACCCATCTTCTGCATCTCTCACGCTGGGAGCTGTAGACTGGAGCTGTTCCTATTTGGCCATCTTGGAACCACATCTGTATTATAATTATTTAAAGAGAACATAGTTCGTAGTTTTTTGTTACAGAGTAAATGGAAAAATAAACACAGTAAAACTTGTTTTAAATGAACTTAATTATTTATTTTGCCAATAACTAAACTCAGTGCTCTGTAAGGAGATTGTTTTAATGGAATTTTATTAAATGTATTGGCCTTTGAATGTGAAAATGATAGATTATATTAATTTCTTACTAACTTCTTCACTAATTACACTTTTGCTGGTTAATTTAGTAAATGATGTTTGTCATGTGATTGGCTGCAACACAATATACAATGGATTTCCTCCAAGTGACAGGGCGGTCCTGTAGTGTCCCCACATGGTAATGGTCTCTAGGTAAACTGGTTCAACAGTTCGTGATGTGTCCAAGTCTTTCTCTTCATGATTCAACTTTACAAGTTCATCTCTGACCACCAGTCAAGTACCATGTCTTGACTGGTTTGTCTCATAAAAAAACAAGTTGTTTTCATTATACACACACACGCACACAGATATATGTATGCATGTGTATATAAGATACACATGCACACATCACTAAACTCTTCCTAATTATTTTCTTTATGGTTTTAGTTACTAGGGAAACCTACCAAGATAACAGGCCCATTATTCTTGGGGTGCTAGCCACTTGATCAAACTGAATTTTCAAGAAGTATTTGATCTTTCTTTTTGCAAGCTGAATAAAGGAGTGTTTTGTGTAAGATCAGATTTTCTTTTCTGAATAGCTTTAACCATTCAATGAACCAAAGAAATGAATGACTTTGGCCTGTTAAAGTGTGAGTATGGCTATCTGGGTCATAAAGAAGCGGTTTTTCAGATGAGAGACAAAGTCTTACAGACTTCATTGGTAAGAACATCTAAATGAGAGGTGGCAAAACAAATATTGGTTATGGCATTATGCGCAGTTAGCTGTTACTGTGCCCATCTGCTGGCTCCATTGCTTTGCATGGAATGGATTCCCCGTGCTCAGTGGTGTGTTGAAATCTGGTGTCTATGGCAACAAAAGCATCACCAATCTCAAAGCAAGCACTGTTGGTACCAGCTGAATCTCCACTCACACAACGACTTTAGGAAGGAGACACAGTCTGACAGACTTTATGGCTATCTAAGGCCAAAGAGATCCAGTGTCTAACCAGAAACAATATATTGTCCTTATGCATATATCATTAACATAATCTTGCTTTTTAAAATGTTTTTTTTTTCTTCTGAGACAAAAAGAATTGCACATTTATTACAAATTGCAATTGTTGAAATAGTCTGGACTCTCAATGAAGACATTAAAGCATGATGGTTAAGAACAGCCTTTTCAGATTCAGGTAGCCTTGGGATTGTCAGACTCCACTGCAATATCTGATTGACTTTAAGCAAGTTATTTAGCATCTCTGAGGCTTAATTTCTTCACCAACAAAATGCAATTCAAGCAGCACCTACCTCATAGGTGTGCTAGGAAGGGCCACTGAGAATGTGTGGTAACATGCTTGGCAGAGGATGCTCCCAGGCATAGACTACGAATTCCCTCTGTCAGCCATGATTTTGAGTATTGGTGGGCTTCAGCATAGGGTGATGAGACAGTGTAACTGCATTTACACTGGGATGGAGTACTCCACCAAATGTCAGTATCTGTGATTCTTTTTTCTTGAATCTATCTGACAACTATAAACCCTCCTTCAACCTACTACTTGGTGAAGACAGTGGCTGCCAGTGTTCTGGATATTGATTCTGAGTATTGGTGTGCTTTAGCGTAGGGTGCTAAAGCAGTCTACATTGACTAAATAGCATATGTATTCTTTTGGATGTTCAGCCAATCTGTCTTATATTCCCTGTGGTGGCATTCAGAGCTGCTATGTCCTGGATGGCAACAGCAAAGCTTTGAGATTTTCACACAGAGGCCTTAAAGGGCTGGAGGGAAGCCCTCTGCTCTGCCATGCAGGAGATTAAGCTGAGCTGCTCAGGCAGATTATATGTCAAAGTAAATTGAGTGGGCATCACCCCTAAAACAAGAACTTGTGTGAATTACTCTGCACTTCCTCCAGGGAAAGGACTCTTTTCTCTTTTAAAAACTGTAGGATCTTTGCAGTGTTATAAGAATTGGCTTTCTTGTCTCTGATTTGTGCTTCTTGGAGTAAATCACCTGATTGGCTTGAAGATACTGTAAATTGCCATATAGGTGATGTTGGAATATTTGCTTCTTGCTCTGTTCCCCACTCCAACCCCCTATTCTGAGTGGTGGATTCAATAAGCTATTTTTTGCTCTTAAGTTCTCGTCTTTGTTTCTAGAGATAATTTGCTTACATAGCACTAATTCAGATTTTCAGAGGAATTTCAATAGTTGTGACACTGTCAAAGTGACAACTTCAAATGAGTTTTCCTCAGCAAATGTTCCAGGTCATGTACATTTATTAGCTTGTTTCAGAAAACGGTTAATACAGTTAAGGATTCTTTCAAGTGTTTCTTCAGCTACTGGGCTCAGAAATTATTTTTTTCTTGCATTAATAGACTCCTCTATTAGTATTTGAAAGCTGTGTGATATAAAGCTATGTGACTCACTGTCAGTTTTACAAACTTAAATCTGCACTTCACTCTTTCATTCCTAGCTCCTATTTATATTCATTTATCACATAATGCTTTTGATGTTAACAACTACACTACTCTAATAATAAAGCTATAATTATGACTTTCCCCTATCCCTAATCGGGGCTGGGGGTGTCATGTGTATTGATTAGCTCTGCTTATGATCTTCAGTACCACACCAACTGGGTTCTAAGTCTTGGCTTTAATCTCCATGTGGGTCTGTTATTTTTTTTTCTGACACAAGAGTTTCTTACACGTGAACATGCATTAGAATCCCTTGAGGGCTTGTTAAAACACACATCGCTGGGCTCCACTCCCTAAATTTCTGGAGATGGGCCTCAGAATTTTCACTTTTAACAAGTTCCCAGTGATACTGCTACTGCTGCTGCTGGTCTGGGGAATACATTTCGAGAACGAATTTCTTAGACTGTACCCTTAACCTTGGCCAAACATCTCTGAAATGTGGGAACTAGGTGAGGGCATATGGCAGCAGTACCATAAACTTATCACCACTGGAAAATAAATCAAAAGATAAGACTTACTGTGTGACAGGCACTAAGATAAGCATATTTTCTTCATTTTACAGGTGAGACAATTGTGACTTAGAGAGGTTTAGTAACTTGCCTATCATCACACAGCTAGTAAAGTAGTAGAACCCACGTTTGTCTGACTATATAACTTCTTAATTTCTATAGATTTAAGTCAGGTAATCTGTCTGCATGTTTTTCTACTAAAGCACAAGGATCTTGGGCTTGCACCCCAAGATGTTTGGAAGAATAGCCTGAACTCAACTCAACACTAGAAAGATTCAGGAATTAGAGGTTCTAGGCATCTCTGGTGTTAGTGGTGGTGTGGGTCATGTATGAAAACAGAATTAGTTGCAAGTTTGATAAACAGTGGTTAGACTCCCAGATACTTTCCCAAATCTGAGCAACCAGATGATGGTCTTAGGCCAGATTTCCCAAAGATGACCGTGAGATGTGGATTAATATGGAATTGTTGATTAAGGAAGTGTTCCAAGGAGAAACCAGTATAAGAATGGGGAAAGTAGGAAGCAGTGAATGGAAGGAAATGAAGCAAGAGTGTGATCTTAGGCTAAATTCCAGCCTCTGTCTCATCTTGTAGGGAAGCTCTAGAGTGTATATTACACTCTAGGCTAGAGGTACACTGTTGTACCAGTAATGAGCTCCAGCTGGTGGTGGGGGGGGTATGTACATTTTCAGGTACTACAGACTCTCTTGGCATGCTGCTGAAGTTGTACTTGTAGCCCAAAGTAGGGCTCTAAAGAAGCCTGCAGGTGAGAGTTGTTAGAAGCAAAGCATATGGACATAGGGGGATGGACTCAAAGAGCTGATAAAGAAGCATCTGAGAAGGTTTGATAGGGAAACCTGCAGTTCCTCCACCTGGGCCCTCCACACCTTAGTAGAAGCCCTGAGATTCACTTTTTTGACAGATTGAATTAAAGAAACTCAGCTTTGAGGCCCAAGGCACAGTCCAGGGCACAGTCAGTGGTACTTCACTGAAAGCAGAATGACCTGAAAGTTTACATGCTGAATTGTGGGCGCCTCCCTCCTGCACACACATTTAGTTAACCTCTTCCTGAAATCCACATCCAGAACATTGGCAGCCACTGCCTCCAACAAGCAGTAGGTTGAAGGACGATATGTGGTTATCAGATACATTCACAAAAAAAGAACCACAGATACAGACATTTGGAGGAGTACTTCATCCCAGTGTAAATGCAGGTACACTGTCTCATCACGCTGTGCTAAAGCCCGCCAACTGGCTAGCCCTTTCCCATACCCAGAATTGCCAGTGAACTTTTTAGGATGAAACTGTTAAATAGGAACGGTCATTCAAAAGACATTTGAGGAACATGTCTGATTTAAAAGGCAGTGATGGTAACAAAATATACAAATAGGAAAACAATCTTGGAGGAAACAGATAATACTGCATAAGAAAATTTCCCAAATGCCCAAATCTATAATTAATATTGTCAGAGAAGAAAGTAATCACATGTCTGAAATGAAAGCAGGATATTATTGAAAGGACTGTTGAGAGAACAGAAAAGAACTCTTAGAAATAAAAAAAAGATAGCAGAAATAAAAATAATTCAGTGCAAAAATTAGAATATTAAGTTGAATAAATGTCCCTGAAAGTTCAGCCAAAAGACAATGAGATTGATAATAAGAGAAAAGATTAATTAGAAATGTCTAACCTCTGTCTAGTGGTCGGTCCCAATTAAAAGAACAAAGTGAAAGAGGAAAATTATGAAAAAAAGCAAGAATATTTTTTATAAGTGAAATACATGAGTTGCCAGATTTAAGAGACCCACCAGCATATTGGATGGGAAAACAATAAAGAAGAGTCTCTAAAAATTTCCAAAAAGGAAGAAACCTGGTTTCATACAAGGATTAGCATTGGACTTTTCATAGCAATTTAGAAATTTAAAAGACAATGAAGCAAGGTCTCCAAAATTCATAGAGAAAATTCTTAACTAGAATTCTATAGCAGCCAAAATTATCAATCAAGTGTGAAAGTAGAAAACATATCTTTAGCTATGCAAGGTCTCCAAAAAGATACCCTTTTTGTAGTTTGTCAAAAAGAGGGAATGAACCAAAACATTGGAAAATATGGGATCACAAAACCTGAGGCCCCAATACCAGTGGGGCCACAGGGAACTTCCAGGGTGGTCTTAAAAGGACAGTCCAGGATCACGGCTGAGTATTAATACCAAAGGGAGAAAAAGGAGACAAAAGTAGGACTAATTGCACATGATATTGCTCAATGAATATTGATTTAGCCAAATAATGTGATACTATTATTTTGGGTAGGTAAGAAAGGAGAAGTATGTATGGAGAGATCATAAAAAAGCTAAAGTTTCATATTCCATGTTAACAGATTAATATATAATGCCTAAATGAACAAATAAAGAAATAGTTGTATAAGGATGTCATTTTTAAAATATGGAGATAAGTTGCTAAAAAAATACACAGATAAAAGTGTTTTAATTTTTTGCCTCAAAGGAGTTGATATATGGCTGGGAATAGGTGGGGGCAGGAGTCTGCTATTATTTTGAAGAGCTCTTGACTTTTAAAACAATGAACATGTATTTCTTTGAGAAATATAAACATCAAGAAAATAAATGAGGGCTCCTTAGCTGACTTTACCTGTGCTTTTTGGCCATTATTTATACACAGTTTGTTTTGTTCTTCACATTTACCCCCTTCCTGCTCAATGATTAAACAGCGTTGTTGGAGAACATTTATGGAATGCCATCTAATAACAGAAATGATGTGGTCATTTATAGATAAATTTTGTCAGCAAACATTTCCCCATCAAAAATATAGCTTAATATATCCATTATATCCTTATAAGCCATAGTAAATTAAGATTTAATGATGATGTTTTATTAGTAGAATAAAGAGTTGAATAGCTCTGTGTTGATTCAAATCTTCCTATGGCTTTATTTACACAGTTGTGCCTTCCGTAGTAAAGTATTGAGTTAAAAATGAGTACTGGACCTATATTAAGCTTCTACCCAGTGAGAAGGGGTATGGGGATAGGGCCCAGTTAAAATAATGAAAAGTGAAAAGATAGATGATTAGAATACAATAACTGGTTGAACCATTTATCTAAAGCAGAGCAAGAATAACAGTTTTTCATGGCAGTGACTCTAAGATACTCCAAGTTTTTAAAATGCTTTCAAGTCATTGCAACCAAGATAAACTGATAATTATATAGAACACTAAGTTGCTAAGTGCTTTTTACATAAGCTGTCCTATTTAATTCTTGCAATATCTCCTCAAGTTGGATATTATTACCACATTCATTTTCAGAATAGAAAATAGAAAACATTGCAGAGAGGTTAAGTAGCTTTCCAAAGGTTATATGGTTGAGAAGTAGGATAATGATAACATTTATTGCCCAAGCAGGATACTTTTGACAGGCATCAACCAGTGGGGAATCTAACAACAGATACAACCCAAGATTTACCTATGGGACTTATGGCCCCCAATTGATAAGAGATGGAGCCTAGTCCAGAACTCAAATTCTTCTCCAAAGTTGTGAACTTTCTGCTGCCTTGGGCTGGTAGTATCATTAATGTTAAACGAAATTCCCCATTAGCTAATTATACCAATAAATGTTGACTGAATGGCAATTGTTTTTGTTTGTTGAGAGAACTTTCATGGGAATGGGCAAAGCTTCTAAACCAGTCTTGGGGATTCAGGACTGAATTAGTTGCTTACTCTCACCCTAGACTCACCAAAGTAGATTGAAATCTTGTAGAGGGAAGGTGTCTGGGGGTCATTCAAGTACAGGTTAGAAGTCCTGAATAGAACATAATAAAAGGACTGGTAGTGCAATGCTGGAGACAAGCATGTATGGTTAAGTACGTGGAGCGAAATTAGATGGCAAGTTGTGCAATAAACCACAAAGCAAAAAGTTTCTAACAAATTTGTTCCCTGAGTTTCTTCTGCTATTTTTCTCACAAGCCATTTTTATAATGTTCTTGCTCCCTTTTCCCTGGCATTTCTGGCTGCCCTTTTGGGTGTATTGCTCACTGGACGTACAGAATCACTTTTGTTTTCATCTTACATGTTTCCTAGGGAGCCTTCAGCTGAGGCAACTCCAAGCTCTTAATTGCCACTGCCTTTTTACTACTACAGAGCAGAATGATAGGCACCTTCCTGGCAAACAGAATATGCTCAATACATATTTGCAGAAGGAAGGAAGGAATACAGATGACGTGTTTTTAATTTTATGAAACCAAATAACCCCCTTTGAGGCTCAAGTATAAAAATCTAAAGAAATGGCAACCTACATTTTAAAACTAGCTGTTTACATGCTCCTGCTTAAATGTGTTTTCACTTTTATGGGTCTGACAGCAGAGCCACTTAGGATTAAGTATTTGATGGACAGGATTCTTAGTTGGTCATGAATATTGTCACATTTTCACATACAATCTGCCTTTTGACAGCCAAAAGATGGCAAAATTCTACCACTTGTATATTATAAAATGGGAAGTATCCCTAGCTTGTGACAGATCCAAATGATCCACTTACGCGTTTCTGTGCTGACAAGTAGAACTCTCTGATTGTAAACATCTTTTAGGAAACTGTAATTTTGTCCTAGTACAATACCTGACATCTAAAAAGGCTTTTGTTTGGCTTTTAAAAATAATCATCATTACTTTTATATTCATGCAGGTGATAAAATTTCATATATATTTCTGGACCCTTATCTCCTTATGTTTAAAGCTTGCATTCACTCTTGATAAATTGAACATTGACTAGCTATGCACTTTACAGCTATTAGAATTTCTCTTTTTGTCTGTTTCTTTTGAAGGGCTTGCACTTTTCCTGTAAAGAAGAATGGAGAGTAATATAGAAAATTGTCACTTTAATTTTATATTAATGTGTTGTTCCCCAAATAGCTGTTAAATTCAATGTTCATGAATTATATATGTATGGAAGAGTCAAAGCTTATTTCCAGTAAGTTTACTTTTACCACAGCTAAGAAATGAATATCTAATCATATCCTTCTCCTAGTGAATAAAGACACCTGAAGAAATAATTACATCAGAAGTTGGAAGGAAAAATGGGTCCTCGTAATTTTTCTGAAGCATACTATGACTTAATATAATATTTCTCCATCTTAGATAGCATGAGCTTTTAATTAGCAAGGTGGCACCCTGTATGGAACAACTGTTTCTGAGTTGTGCTGTTGATAATTGAACAAAGATAACTCCCTATCAGTATCTCCAGCAGTCAGAGAAAAATCTCCAATTCTTCCCTTTAGCGCAAGTGACTTCTTAGAGGTTCTACTAAAATTGTTGTGTCAAATGGCTTTTAACATTTTGCTTTTGAGCTTAAGGGATTTTATGTTTTTCATCAGGCAAGCTGTGTTCCTGTCCTGATGAACCAAATGCGAATCAAAGGCAGAACAATCTTATTGTGATTTCTGTTACTGTGTAGCGTTTTTTAAAAGAGATTTCAGGCCAAAGGTAGTACTTTCTCAGAATTCTGAAGCTGTGTTCTCTGGCAGTTACGATTCTGTCATACTTTCAGTATGTTCACAGTGTCTTCTGATTTTTGATTGCCAGGAATTCCTTTGTCTTTTGCTTTCTTAAGTTTCATTTGGTGTGTCTTGTGTATATTTCATTTAAAATATCCTACTTGTTATATGTTGTGCTTCTTGTAGTTGTGGATTCACATCTTTAGTGACTTCTAGAAAATTCACAGCTGTTGTCCCTTCAAATATTGCCTCTTCTCCATTTAACAGCTACATTGAGATATAACTTATATATCATACAATTCACCCGTTTAAAATATACAGTTCAATGGTTTTAATATGTTCATGGGGTTGTACAACCATTACCACAGTCAATTTTAGATTTTCCTTACCTCAAAAAGAAACCTTGAAGCCATTAACAGTCACTCCTCTATTCCTCTCAACCCCATCCCACACTCCTGCTGACCTAGGTACCCCTAATTTAGTTTTTTTCTCTATGGATTCGCCTATTCTGGGCATTTAATACAAATGGAATAATATAATATATGGTCTTTGGTGACTGGCTTCTTTCACTAAGCAAAATGTCTTTAAGGTCTATGCATATTGTAGCATGTATTAGTACTCCATTCCTTTTTATTGCCAAATAATATTCCTTTGTATGAATGCATCATATTTTACCCATTTGTCAGTTAATGGACATTGGAGTTATTTCCAGTTATTGGCTGTTATGAATAATGCTGCCATAATGCTGTTTTGAATAATCCTGATCATTTGTGTACAGGTTTTTATGTGGACATAAGTTTTTATTTCTGTTGGGTATATAACTAGGAATGGAATTGCTGGATCATAGGGCAACTGTACATTTAGCATTTTCAAAAACTGTTAGAGTGTTTTCTACAGCAGCTGCACCATTTTACATCCCCACCAGCAAGGCACGAAGGGTTCAGTTTCTCCATACCCTCACCAACAGTTAATTATTTGTTTAGAGACAAGGTCTGCCTCTGTCACCAAGGCTGGGGGTGCAGTGGGGTGATCATAGCTCACTGCGAGTTTGAACTCCTGGGCCCAAGTGACCCTTCCACCTCAGTCTCCCTAGTAGCTGGAACTACAGGCACACGCCACCTTTTTTTTTTTTTTTTTTTTTTTTTTTTGTAGAGGCAGGGTTCTCGCTATATTGCCCAAGCTGTTCTCGAACTTCTGGGCTCAAGCCATCTTTCAGCCTCAGCCTTCCAAAGAGCTGGGATTACAGGTGTGAGCTGCCAAGCCTGGCCACAGCACTTATTATTATCAGACATTTTAATTATAGTTATGTTCATTGGGTATGAAGTGTGGTATCTGATAATCATTTTGATATGCAGTTTCCTGATGACGAATGATATTGACCATCTTTTCATGTGCTTATTGGCCATTTGCACATCTTTGGAGAAATGTCTACTCAGATACTTTGTCCATTTTTAATTGAGCTATTATTATTTTTATTTAGTTGTAAGAGTTCTTTATATATTCTGGATATGAGTCCCTTATCAGAAATATGATTTGCAAATATTTTCTGCCAACCTACAAAAGTAGGTTGTCTTTTAACTGTGTTGATGGTTTCCTCTGAAGCACAAGTTCTTAATTTTTATAAAGTCCAGTTTATCAACTTTATCTTTTGTTGCTCATATTTTTGGTATCATATCTAAGAAGACTTTGTCTAAATTGAATTCATGATCTTCTCCATTGTTTGTATCAATGCTTTGCTACCTTGGCTGCCCATTAGGATCACCTGGGGAGTTTTAAAAATTCCTGAGTCCAGGCCATGCTCCAGACAAATTAAATCTGAATCTCCTGGGCCAGGTCCTAGGCATCAATAATTTTAAAGTTCTTCAGGTAATTCCAGTGTGCAACCGAGGTAGAGCACTCTGATATGCAGTATCTAGTCAATTATAGTAATCTGTCTTTTGTAAGATGCATTTTTATGTACCAGTAAGAAAGAGAAAAATCACTGTCAATCAAAATGACACAACACCTTCTTATCACTTAGGATTTTATACTTATTGAAGGACAAGTATAACTTATCTTTTAAAGTTATTTAGACATTGATTTTATCATGTATCACTCATGTGTATACCTAACAGAAAAATATAAGCAAGATACGTTCATTAAGATATTCATAAAACTTTCTTACAGTCGGACTTCTACAGTCCTGAATCACTTCTTCCTCAGTCACTGATTTCCGTGATTTTTCACAAAGTACCTTCCTTTGTACCATCAAAAGCAGTAGTGATGCAGAATTTCTTAAAAGAGTGTTCCACTTTGTCTGTGGCATTTTTTCCCAAGTAGTTGACACCTAGTTTGAAGGTTTTGATGCACATGCACAGACCACGAGAGTCACGTCCTACTGCCTCCTGGCCGATGGTGATTTTGACATATATTCCAATTTCAAAGATGTTAAGATTTTTTTAAAAAAGTATATCTTGGAATTGATAAAATTATGTAGTTTTTTTATAATAGGAAAAGGGACTTCGAAGTATCTAGACTAGTGCTACTCAAAGTATGGCTTGCAGGTCAGTGCCATTCTGCAAATTTGTTACTAGTCTACACGATGTAAGTATAGAAATTTGAGGTAAGCACTTAGGAACTTTATGAACAATTAGACTGAGTAATTAGAGTGAGTTTTCTCCGGTAATTTCTCTGGTGATGTATCAGTATGTTATTTTGTGAAAATATCAGTCCATTATGGATTAGACATTTAAATAAAAACAAGACTATTTCTTCACCAATGATAGTTTGAATACTATTGATCCTAGTGGTTCTGAAATTTTAGTGTTCATCAGAGTCACTTGACCCAGACTGATAAAGCACAAGTTGTTAGCCTTACATAGATCTGGGGTAGGGTGGGATAATTTGCATTTCTAACAAGTTGCTAGGTGATGCCAGTGCTGCTGATCCAAGTACCACACTTTGAGAACCACTGTCCTAGACCACTATAATGCTGGCAGCAGAAATTTTGCCAACGGTTTCCAGCTTAATTTGTAGAACACAAAGTCCTGATGCTCTCTTGGAAAGTTTCAGCTTCCAGTGATCACTCTTAGTGAAGTTAGAATAACTTCTTTAAAACTCAGTTTAATCTCCTCTCCTTGGTGCACTGTTCAGAGCACCACAACATACAGTGGCATAATCACTGTAGGCTGCAGAGTATATGTGATCATGTTTGGTTAGATGTTCACAGTCTTCTTAGAAGAGCAAAACATGAATTTTATTTTTCAAGTGAATTGGTGCTATGATGGGTATAATTAAGCTCCCAGTTCTGAGAATTCTGTGGGCACTCTGTTGACAGCATTCTAGAGACTGGCTGCTCAAGTAGCACAAATATCCAAGGTAACCCTTTCCAGTGGCATAAACCAGGCAGCCTGCCAGACTTCTGAGATATTTGTATTGGCTCATCGAGGTGACAGGAAGAAGTTTGTTTATAAAAAATCGGCATTGTGTATCCATGACATGCTTCCCAGAAACAAATATTGTTATCATTGTCATCTTAAAGAATAAAGTAGCCCCCCCTTATCCTCAGTTTCACTTTCTGTGGTTTCAGGTGCCTTTGGTCAACCACAGTCTGAAAATAGGTGAGTATAGTACAATAAGATATTGAGAGAGAGAGGGAGACCACATTCACATAACTTTTATTACAGTATATTATTTTAATTGTTCTATTTTATTATTAGTTATTTTTGTTAATCTCATACTATGACAAATTTATAAATTAAACTTTATTGTAGGTAGTTATGCATAGGAAAAATAACAGTATACATGGGGTTCGGTAGTACTTGAGGTTTCAGGCATCCACTGGGGATCTTAGAATGTATCCCCTATGGATAAGGATGGACTAGAATATATATCAACCTCAGAGACCTTAATAAATGACCCATTAGGGAAAAATTAATATCATTGGATGAGTCAAATATATTAATTATTGGTGCCACAGGCAGAGTAACCTTCCTTCTTGCCACCATGGCAAATGCTGCTAATCTTTTCAGTGTCCACAGGCAACATCTGTAGCCCTCTGAATATTAGATGATGCATGCCTTTCACTGGGATGGGAATAATTAACACCCTGGTATTGTAACCTGCTATGAACCTTATTAGAGTACTAATTCAGTACTTCTCAAACTTTCATGCACCTGAATCACTTGGAGAACTTGTTAGGGGGCTGGGATGGGGCCTGAGATTCTGCATTTCTTTTAAGCTCCTAGTTGATATCTGTGTTCCTGGTCTGAGGACCAAGTGTTAAGTGACAGGATGCGAAACACTTTTGAACCCCTGCTTTTGTAAGGTCGCCTGTCTGACAAACTAGCAAGTGGGACAGTGGTATAACCCTTTACCAGAAGCTTAGCCCACTCACCCAAAGTGGTCATTGCCTGTGTCTCTACTCAGTAAAAACATTCAGCTGACACTAGGGATACTATTCGTGTTGGAAACCACTCCTTTTATGTCTATATACTTTAAGATATTTTTACCTTGGGCATGAAAAATGTCAAATTTATTTCCATCAGAAAATGCTGTTTGGTGGGGGAAGAGTTGTCATGAGTAGCATATTGTGGGTAATTGCATAGCATAATATCAGAGAAAAGCCCCCAAATACTAAGGAAAGATAAAAGATGCAGCCTCTGTGATATGCCACTTAATGATGTCCTCAGAAAGCCACAGCTTTCCCTTGTAAATTTCAACTTATGATCAATGATCAGTTGTGCATGGGATGAGTACTGCTTTAATAAAATGATAATTTCATTGCTTCCTTTGGTCTTGGGTGAAACTCGAGTGACGAGATATTATTGAGTCTGTGTGCAGTCATGGCTCATTGTGGATACTTAGCATGCTTCTATTCTCAAGGAGCACATTACAGTAAACTAACAAGAATTATTTTAAATAATGAAATCTACCCAGATCTGAGGGCAAATGCTAGATTCCTTTCCTGGATAAATGTCAGTTAGCAATGCTTTTAGCTGCAAATGATAGAAAATATGACTTACAGTGCCTTAAAATAGGGTTATTTTTCTAATACATAAAAAAGTCTGGAAGTTGGTGGCTGCTAGCAAATGAGTTCAATGAGTTGGTGATGTCAAGGCCAGTGTCTCTGGACTTCATTGCCTTTTTTGCCTTATGGTTGCAGATAATGTGTGGAAGCTCCAGATACCATGTCTATGTTCAAGGCAGGAAGAAGAGTGAAGTCTGTACC
This sequence comes from Homo sapiens, assembly GCF_000001405.40. Classification (NCBI taxonomy): domain Eukaryota; kingdom Metazoa; phylum Chordata; class Mammalia; order Primates; family Hominidae; genus Homo; species Homo sapiens. The sequence goes on from NC_000023.11 coordinate 37,601,758, forward strand.
AGATATGTCTGAACTTATCAGGGAAACGAAAGCTATCCAATAAATCTCCAGCAAATTTCTTTTTATGTCTATTGAGCAGAACTGTTACATGGCCATGTAAGGGAATCTGGAAAGCTTGCATTTATCTGGCCTACCTTGAAAAATATTGGGGTCCTATTAGCAAGAAAGAAGGGAGAGATTGCTACTGGGTAGGCAACAAACTGGTGCCATGCCAAAAGTAGCTAGAAGTAAAATTTCCCCGCCTGATGTGATTAAACTTCGTTCTTAGCAGAATGCAATGATCATTTCTAGGAAAAAGAGTGAGTGTATTGGGGCAGGTTGGGAGTTTTGGTAGAGAGAAGAAGCAAAGGTCAAACAGTATTTTGACATCCAAACTCCACTCCCTCCCAGTGAGAAATTATACATATATATATAGTTTTGAAGTAACAAACTATACCTGAATTCAAAAGGAAAGGCAAACAGACATCATGTTATGCATGCAAAGCAGTTTGCAAATTCAACAACAGAATTTCTAAAGTCATAATTATGGCAGCTCCCCTTATTCTGCAGTCTTTTTAGAAAGTTCAAGTATTAAACAGCTTGTGTTGTCAGCTTAATGAATCTCTAATGATTTTGAAAGAAAACTCTGTACCATTAATTATCATTAGAATGCCTCTTGGGACACTTCAAGATTCCATTTTTGATAAGAAGCAACCCATAAGGTCTTTTCCTAAAGAATGAAGCAGCGTAAAACATGAACATCTTGGGGTATAGTTCTTTAAAAAATTTTCTTTAGACATTGATTATTTGAATAATAAATATTTCTCTAATGATGTTAGTATATATTTGTTTTTGATTTTTTAGTCAATGTTCTGCATGAGCTAAAGTTAATTAGATTTGATTGGAGTAGGATTTTATACATAGATGAGCCTGGGTAACTGTTTTTGTCCCCTTTTTCATTTAATCTTATTAAAATAATTTAATCACTAGGAGGTAACTCTTCTTTTGAAATTGAGGAAAAATGCAATTTTGGTTGGAGGGGTGATTTTTTTTCTCTTAATTAAAAACAGCATGTACAGTCAAAATCAGTCTTTTCAACTTGGTTTTGTAACATTTTGAAGGTGATTGCCTTGTTTAATCCTTTCTCTGTGCTTTCTGTTTCTGAATTAGCTCATACAGTTTTTATCTGTAGTCTAGTCACCGGATAAAAAGGAATGATTTCTGTGTTGTGTAGATTTTAGAATTTGGGGAGAAAAGTGAGATAAAAGACAAACTTTAATTTAGTTTCACTGATCTAAAGGAAATAGAAGTGTTTTACAGATTCCTATAGGAAGTCTGGCAGGGAATGTCAATTGTGAAAAGATATAGGTGGGCCATTTTCGATAGATCTTGAATCAAGAGATTAGTTCTTACTAGAGAATCACTTTCCTGCTTCCAAAAGAAAATGTGAAATAACTTGTGCCAGGATCTAAAAGATGAGCAGGGTCCTAGTGGGACAATGTGGTAGAGATATCAGAAACTAGATTTTCCAGGAGTTTTATGCATGCCTCAGAGTGAATGAGCTGAATTGACAGACTAGGGGAGATGTGAACATTGAAGTGGAGTGCTGTATTCTAACTTCCCATTGGTTCCACTGCCCCTTTGTTGACATATTTGTAAGTACTACTCCCTCTTTTGTGTCTGTACAGAAGTTGGCACTTTGGGTCCTGAGCACTGCCAGTGCTGAGAGTTCTTTGAGAGCAGACCCGAAACCTCAAACCCGAAAGGGTAAGGAGTATATCCCGTCTTGTTTTCCACCATACTTGGTGTTCAATGAATTGATGAATGAATGAAGAACCCCACTGTGGTTCTTAGACTTGTGTTTGTATCTCATTTTAAGATCTACATTCTCATTGGCAAATCATGCCTACATTCCACTGTACTTTAGTCAACTTGTATTGAGAGACTACTTGGTGTGACTTTGAAAAATTATTGAAATATCTTGAACTTTTCTTTTCAGAGCACAATGATTAGTGGGGATACCTTGTGCAGAAGAAAAGGGAAAAAAGGTGGCGGGGATAGGGAAAAAGAAAGAAGTGTTGAAGTTGATAGGCATGAGCACATTCAGGTTTAAATTAACTTTACAAGTTGCTGCTTAAGAAATATACCTAAAAAATGGGCAGCTCTGCTATTATTGGGAGACGAAAATATTATCTCACCTCTACAAAATGAGGCTGCAATATTGAAACAATGCCAGCTTCCCTGCTGGGCAGCCTGCCGACATTTCACTTAGGCACTGAATTCTTTCTCAGCTACTCTGGCATCTGTGCCCTTCCTGCTGTTCCCCACTTTGCCAAAGGCTCAGCCTCCCTGAGCCATGTGAGAATCTGCCCTTTGTTGTACTTGAGCAGAGAATGTTCCCAACATTTCATTTGCTCTTCTCCTGGTGAGCTGGAGAGGAAGAGAGAAGCAGTGTGACAACTGTTGTACTCTCAAGCCAAAATGTCAGAGCTGTTCTGAAGCTAAGCACCCCATCTTTGAAGTCATTGGCCTCCCTCCAAGTCTTTCTGGCTTTGAAATGGCAGTCAGATCTGCATTTGTCCTATGAGGTGCTGTAAGAGGTTCTGCAGTGGTTTTAGATTTGGAGCTCTTGTTATGAGTCATCTGGAGAACTTTTTCAGAGATATTCCACCTTGGGCACATGTGTCAGTTATTACTGGTGCGTAACAAACGACCTCAAAACTGAGTGGCTTAGGTTTTGTTTTATTATTATTGTTCGTATGTCTATAGGTCACCTGATAGTTCTGCTGAGCTGGGTCAGGCTTGGCTTATTTGGGTTGGGTTTGCACATGTGTCTGCAGTTAGGTGAAAAGTCAGCTAACACTGGCTGGCCTGGCACAGGCTCACTTATACGTTTTTCAGCTAGCCAGCTATTGACTGGTGTGACAGGGGTGGCTCAAAATCAAGAGCAGGGATGGAAGCATGCAAAGCCTCTTAAGTTTGGAAGTGTTGCACCGTCACTTCTGCAGCATTTGGTTGAACAAAGCAAGTCATGCAGCCAGTTCGAACAAAGCAAGTCATGTAGCCAGTTCAGTTGTGAAGGGTAGACAACTGGATTCCACTTTTTGATGGAAGGAGCTACAAAGTAAAATAGCAAAAGTCATTGATGCAGAGAGGGAAAGACTTTGTGGCAGGCTTTGCAATTTTTCACAGCATGTGGTCTCAGAGGCAGCATGAAATGAGAGATGCATTGAGATGTGTGGATGTGTGTTCTTGGTTTCTACATTTCTGTGAAGTGTGAGATGTGTGTGCTGGAGAAGGGGAGGGGCAGATGCTGAGGAGTATTTCACACCCCTCTATCCCCTTTGTCGCCATCATCTTTCATTAGGGCTGCCACAAATAATCCCAGACAGCTTTCTTCACAGGTATCATGGGCCATTTATCCTTACGCCTCCGAAGGGCCAATGTTAGGTATTAAACTGCAGATTGAGGCCACAGTGGATGTGGTATTATTCAGTTATGTGCTTTTGCTATTTGTTGTTCTTTTGAAAAGCAAAAAAAAGATGGGATAGTGATTATGCAACCCCATTATTAAGCTATTATATTGTTGCTTTTGATGTAGTTCCCACCTTAAGACTGAAATACAATGACTCAACTTCTGAGATTTCCTTCTTAGACCAATGCAAGTATACAGCCCACTTAACAACAATGAAGGTCAGTGGTGCACATCTTCGGTATATTCATCTCATCCCTGACTCCATTTTAGTTATCCTACTCTTATTTTGATTTCTTATTATCCTCATGATGGCCTACAGGACCCTAAAAGATGAGCAACAGCCCTTCCTGGCATTACCTCCCTGACCTCATGTCCTACCTGTGTCCCCTAGGCTTCTACTGCTTCATACACACAGGCCTCCTTACTGTTCCTGAAACACAGGTACACTCCCCACTTAGGGCCTTTGCATGAGCTGTGCCCTCTGCCTAGAAAGCATCACCTGGCTGACATGCTCACCTCCTTCAGGTATTCAATACAATGACACCTTTTTGACGAGACCTACATGGACCCTCTTATTTAATACAACACACTGCCACGCTCTCACCAAAACATCTCAGTCCTCCTCCCCTGCTCTGCATTTTCTTTTTTTCTGAACACTGATCACCTTCTAGTATACTAGACAGCTTGTTCATTTATAATATAAATTTTGTATTGTCTGAACCTCCTCTTCCTGTGTTTTGGAGATCCCCAAGACCACCCCAGGATCAGTGAGTCACTGGGAGAACTCAAAGGACTCATATGGTTATAGCCACAGTTATGGTTTATTACAGTGGAAGAACACAAAGCAATATCAGCAAAGGGAGAATTGAATGGATTGAAATACTGGGGAAACCAGCGCAGGCTTCCAAGGGTCCTCTCCCAGTGGACTCACATAGGATGCACTTAATTCCCCTACCAATGGGTTATAACAATATACATGAAATGTTGTCTACCAGAGCATTCTATTAGAGACTCAGTATCCAAGGTTTTTATTGGGGGGTGGTAACATAGGCACCCCCTGCCCAAAACATATCAAAATTCCAGACTCCCAGAAGGAAATTAGGTGTTCAGCATAAGTCACATTGTTTGCACAATTTAGATGCAGTGAGCCAGTCTTACCAGTCCTGGGAATGGTCGTCCCAAAATTCAAGTTCCCAAATGCCAGCCAAGGACCAACCTTGCAAGCAGGCCTTTTTAAGAATAGCATTCCCAGTGCTGCTATGTTAACACATTTCTCTACACCATGCAGGAATATCAGCTCTTTGAGGACAGAAATCTTTTGTTTTGTTCCATGATGCATCCCCTAAAACCAGTGCCTGGTAGGTGTGCAGTAAGTATTTGTTGAATGAATAGATGGAACCCAGACCCTTGAGTTAACTGTCTCTATAGCAGAAATACCACACAAAGGAGGAACAAACTCCTGATTTACCCCCACGAGGCTTTACCTGAACCAGCAGTCCCACGTACGTGTACTCCTACCCAGATGTCTCCGTGTCCAAGGAGCCTGAAACGAGCTCAGCTTCCACGCCCTAATCTGATCCTGATTATTTCACATGTAAGTCTATCTATTCAACAGTGTTTCAAACACTTTTGATGGAATTATGCAGCATACAAGCTGGAAAAAATTCTTCTCCCTTAAGAGCCCATTTGCTTAGATGCAACATGTTCAGAATAACCTAGTTAGTTGCTTAGTGAGGGTCTAGTCCTCTTCATCTATTTTTTGTCTTCACCACATTTGTCTTTTGCCATCCACAGTGCCTAGCACTGTGCTAAATAAATGCAACATTGCCTTTAAACATTTCTTTGGACTGAAAACTGGCTTGGGGGGATCATTTGACTTTACCAGTGGCTGGTTTTGACATTTATGTCAGCAATTTCGCAGTTTCTTCTTCTAATGTTTATTTTTAAAGGCAAAAGTGCCAAGTTAAATGATTCCCCTCTCCCATAACATACATTTCCTTCTTCTCTTTCTACTTCCTGAACCATTTTTCATTGTGGCTATGTAAGCTCTTCCATTTACCTAGTATCAGTGACTCTTTAGGTAAAAATCTCATTTTTCATTCTCTGTGCCATCAGTAATAGAAGGATTAAGCTAATTTCAAAGCTACTTGTGTCAGGATTTCATCCAATCTGGAAAGTCTATCTGTGTCATCACAGGTTTGCGTGTCACATTCTGAAGTTTGACAAATTGATGGAATGAATCATTTGTTGAAATTCAACAAAGAGCACCCAGCCCGTGTTCTATTCTCTGCTTAAGATTAATCTCAGCTCAATATTACTGAATTGAATTTATCAGCAGATAAAAAGAAATATTTTCAAAACAAATATCATAGTACCAGCTTAGAATATAAATCTTTCATAACATTTGTCATCAAAATTGTTTTAATATTATTGCAAGAATGTGTTGAAATATTCCTACCAATAGAATATGCTAGGTTGGCATCTTAATAACAACTCTAATGCTGAGTCATTTTGTATAGGGAGAATATTTTTATGAATGGAAGAGGAATTATGAATCTATTCTTAGGTCAAATAAAAAATAATTGCACATCAAAATTCCTGGGCTGATCAGATGAATTAAGTTTCTGGCTAGCTGAGAAATGACAAATTCTGAGGGAGATAAACTGTCAGGGTGCATTTACCAGCAACTTTAACAAATGATTTGGTCTTGACAGAAATGTTTTAAATACAGCTTCTAGCTGTTTAAGGTATTTAGTCATTTTGACAAGACTGGGTTAGCCATTCCTGAAACTTTAAAAAATCTGACATGAAAAAAATGGAACCATATGCCAAGATATTACAGTACTTAGCTAGTGCTTCGGGGGGCAGTGACTTTGTTGCTTCCTAGAACTAGTAAAAGCCTTAAACAATTTGTTTCCCAGGTCCTTCATTTTATAGATGAGAAAACCAAAGTCCAGAGAGAGGGGCATACAGTAAACTAATAGCAGAACACAGAACAGAACTCAGGTCTTTTGGCTTTCAAGTCACTGTATCATTGTAATTCAATTTTATGTTTTAAGGCAGTGGTTCTCACAATGCAGCAGGCATCAGAATCACCTGGAGGGCTTGCTAATACACAGATTGCTGGGCCCTACCTCAGAGTTTCTGTTTCCATGGGTCTGGGATAGAGCCAGAGAATTTACATTTCTATCAAGTTCGCAAGGAATAGTGATGGTGTGGCTCCAGTGATCACACTGAGAACCACTGGTCAAAGGGATAGGAGGGATAGGCGGGAAAATAAGAATAAATGTGGAATTTCCTGCAGAAGGGGAAATCTTTGATTGGAGCAAGTATTTTACTAAGTATTAGTAATCAGGGAATGGAAGGGTCTGTTAGTAAGTTTACTTTTCCTATTGCCCTTGTAATTATTACTAGATAAGGTTTTTACTGTTGGCACAAATGCCTCAGGAATTTCTTGCCTGGCTCAGAATTATGACCCACTGGGGACAATGATTAATTGTAAATACTTCTTGAGAATCCAAATCCTCACTAAAAATTATCAAATTGCCTTTACTCATCTTGAATATTCACATTAACATAGGAAAAAAGAGAACCAGAAATGATGACTGAAAATGAACAAAATGGGTAATTGAGTTGACAAAGAGAATTAAACTTAAAACAAGAATTTGATTCCCTCCGATTTTGTTTGTCTGGGCCAGTTAACAAATTTATTGTCAGAAATGTGCTTTAAGTTTTCCTTGGTGCTACAGAATGGGAAGATTTCCTGATACTAAGATTAAGTCTAAAAAACAAATTCCCACTGAGAGTCTAAGCACATATTTTCATTAACATACAGTTTATTTCCACTTATTTTCTGTTTTTATCTTTTGGTCAGTATTCATCAGCTAGTTACATTCAAGTAGATGCTTTACAATATATTGAGACAAAATTTTTAGGTAAATTGGTGATAACAGCCTTCCTTCCTGAAGTCTCCTTTCAGCAACCTTCCACCTGCTAAAAAGAAATCCATATTTGCCTACTTAGATGCCGTCTTTATTGTACCTTTCATCCTCCTAGAGAAGGAAAAAATATTCCTTGTTGATCTGGAGGCTAAACTAAGGTTTTGGGAGAAGGGGAGAATAAAACTTAAATGGCTTCTGGAGCTTGAGAAAGCACTGATGTGTAAAAGGTCCTGAAGCAGCTATGAGGGACAAAGGAGGTGGAGAATCGGGAAAGGGTATGAGGAAGTGTTATTGTGGATTAAGAATGGATTTCTGTTATTGTACTTTGAAAGCCAAGTAAAGAAAGAGCTGCTTTTTAATTATCTGTAGATGCTAAAAGAGATACTGCACTGAGATTGGACCACATGGGTCCTTGAATTTATTAAGTTTACCCAAAGTACCTAAGACTCAATCTCTGCTCTAATAACATTTGTTTCTTAGGGGGAATCAAGGAAATCCATGGAAAATTAAGTTTCCAAGAAAACCAGAGTGGATGGGATAAAAAAAAACCCCTATATGTATAGTGACACACTATACATATCTATAAATTAATAAATATTTACAGTCACATGAAAGCTCTTGCAGTTGGTGAGATGTGAAGCTTTCCCTATTGCTACAGCAGACTTAGAAAAGAGATAGGGGCATGCAGATTGAGGGGAGAACCTGAGAGTACAGGCTTCAAAAAGTGGAAAATATACTGTGACTTTAAAAAATATTGTTTTGGTAAAACCCTGAGTCAGCTTTCCATTATTGGGAAACCAAGAGGTATCAGTTATCTACTGCTGCCTAACAAACCACCTAAAAACTTAGTAGTTCAAAATAATGGCAATCATTTATTTTGCTAGAAAATATGCAATTTGGATGGGATTTGGCAGGACAGTTTGTCTCTGCTCCTTCTGTTGTTAGCCGAGGGGCTCAACTTGGGGCTAGAGGAACCATTTTCAAGATGCTCATTCACATGGGTGGCAAGTTGGTACTGGCTGTCTGCTGGGAATTCATCTGGGGTTAGAAGCCTTGGTTCTTCCCTGTATTGGCCTTTCCATGAACTGATTGGGCTTTTTCATTGCGTGGTTGCTGAATTAAGTGAGCATCCTAAGAGAATATAGCAAAAGTGCATGACATTTCATGACCTAGCCTTGGATATCATAAAATGTCAGATAATCACACAGCAATCACAGTGGCCATTGAGGCTCAATGGGAAAGAGAGTGGCAAGGTGCTACAAAAACATGTGGATGGGCTTTTGTAGCCATTTTTGGATAATACAGTCTGCCACAAAGGGGACCCTAAGGTATGTTCTATGTTTTCAATTAGTATTTACAACAGCCAAAGAGATGGCTCAGTGTTTCTCATCTTGCTCCTTTTTCTCCCTCTGTGCCCGTAGATAGAATGCTTGGCCCTTACTACAAGGCCAGTCCCAGATGCAACCCTGCTTTTCCCCCCATCTTTGTTCCTGAGGCCAATTTTGGCCACTTATAAACACTTCAGGTCACAGAGCTGAGAAGGAGACAGTCAAAAAAGAATTAAATAAGAGAAGCAGAAGTTGCAAATATTTATCAGTGGCCTTTCTAACCAACAGTGGCCCTCCCTGACACACTGAGAGATTCACCAAGATTAGAACTTCACCTATAGTAGCCACCACATTTATTATACTGTATATAGTCCTTATTTTAGTTTGGGTTCCCCCAAAGTACATCCCGAGACAAGGATTTGGGAGTAAGTAGTTTATTTGACAGGTGATCCCAGGAAACATAGTGAGGGAGTGCAAAGTGAGATTGGGCAGGGAGGAAAGCCAATAAAATGTGTGATAATAAGCAGGTTATCCCCATGAACAACTAGGGCTCGAGCCCATGGAGACTCTTGATGGATGGTGTAGAACACATCCAGAGTTGTCCCCTAGAAGGAATTAGGAAAGTAGAGTATTTATACACAAATCCCTGTCCCTCATTGGTTGGGGGCATTTGCTCTGACACTTGCAGCTTGTCCTATTCCAGCCCAAACACGCTCATGAAGCCAAACAAAGGCTTTAGGCAGATTGAACAAATCTTTCCATTATCTTTCATATGATGCTTCTGGGCAGACCAAAACAGAAAGCAGAGTGCTGATTAGCCTTCTCTCCTCTTCTCCTCCAATGGGTGTCCTTATACCTTGGCCATCTCCTCTGCTCCGTGGCTGTGGTGGGTTTTTTTTGATCCTCCATCCCAAGCTATGATTTGAGGTACCTTTGCTCCTTTATTATACTCCATCCTTGCCACGAATGTAGGCATAGTCATCCTGTCATTTTAAACAAGGAGGATAGGGCCTGTGGTCCCCTTCTGGTGTGGAAAGTGTAAAGGTTCCCTGAATGGCTAGGGTCAAGGTAGCAACCAGTAGTTATAGAAAAAGGATACATAAGGGAAAGGAAAGGACTGATATAGACCAGTGTTTTTAAAGTGAAGCTCCCAGGCCGCCAGCATAACTGGACTGCTTGATGTAAATCTACACCAAGAAGCAACATACTGAGGAGCTTCAGAGCATAGGCGTTGGAGCCAGAGTGCCAGAGTTTGAATCTCTGAGCTACTTACTAGTTGCATGACCTTGGGAAATTACCTGAGCCTTCTGTGCCTCATTTTCCTTATCTGTAAAATGCACCTAGGTCATATGACTGTTTTGTGGATTAGGTGACATAGAATGTGAAATGAATGTATACTGCCTGGCAGTTTCTAATAATGTACCTTTTATTTTATTTTATTTTATTTTATTATTTTATTTTATTTTATTTTTTGAGTTGGAGTTTCGCTCTCGTCTCCCAGTGGTGCGATCGTACAGTGGCACGATCTCGGCTCACTGCAAGCTCCGCCTCCCGGATTCAAGCAATTCTCCTGCCTCAGCCTCCCGAGTAGCTGGGACTACGGGCATGGGCCATGAGTCCTGGCTAATTTTTTGTATTTTTAGTAGAGACGGGGTTTCACCATGTTGGGCAGGCTGGTCTCGAACTCCTGACCTCAGGTGATCCGCCCACCTTGGCCTCCCAAAGTGCTGGGATTACAGGCGTAAGCTACAATGCCTGGCCTATTGTTTTTATTATTATTTCTAGTTCATATCCTACACATAGTGAATCATAATCTATGAGAATGGAACCTGGAAATCTGCATTTCTAACCCCCCTTCCCCATGTGATTTATATGTATCCTGAAGTTTGAACACCAGTGCTTCAAGCTGAGAGCCCAGGAGAGAGATCAGGTGATGTCAAGACAGGATTGTTTAACATAGTAACATCTCATTTCCCCAGCAACTTTGGGAAATTAGGAGTTTCTTATAAGTGAGTTCTCCAGATGGCTGAGACTGTTCTCTTTAAACACTCAATCTCAAAAGTTAACACTTGATGTATTATGCTTAACTGTAAACGATATATCACATGCTTACACAGAGAATTCTGGAAAGTAGTATTATAACAATATTTTTGGAGTGACTTAGTTATCATCAGACAGCCAGGCAGATGGTAAGTATTTATTGACTGTCTCACTCTGTCCCCTCGTTTTGGTAGGTGCTGAAGATACAAAGATGAACAGGACCAAATCCCTGCTTTCAAGAGTTTCACTGTCTAGTAGAAAAGAGATCAGGAAATGTTGACACAGTGAGAGAAGTGATAGAATAGAAGGCTGTTTTGAGCTTTATTACAGGGAATTCCTAACAGCTATAAAAGTGGGAAGGATATGTTACCCTGATGTTGAGCCCCCTGAGTGCTTGGGCCTGCTATCTTATAGCTACTATGTCTCTCCCTTGCTGTCAATTGACACTCCCTGTTTCTATCAATTTTTCTGCCTTCAAAGGACATTCCCATCCTCATCTACTGTGCTTCCTTTATTCTGCTGTGGTCTGGAAACCAGATACCCTGAACTTGATGAGAGGTTGCCGTCTTAGAAAGGCCTTCTCTGACCTTGCTATCTAAAGTAGCATGCCCCAACTCCACACACAAACTCTGCATCTCCTTACCCTGCTTGATTTTTCTTTATGGCCTTTAGTACTACCTGACATCATGTTACATATGTTTGTTTATGTTCCATGGTCTACTTTCTTCATTGGAATGTAAGTGTCAAGGAGGCAGGGGCTCTGTTGTTTAGCACACCTCAGTATCTAGCACCTAGGACATGGCCTGGCTCAGGGTTGGCTTCTAATAAATATTTATTGGATGAGTTATAATAGTAGCAAATAAGTTTCTTTTTAAATTTTTTATTGAGGTATAGCTTGCATATAGTAAAGTGCACCCATCTTAAGTATTCAACTCAATAAATATTGGTTAAATGTGCATACTTTATAAACCACACTCAGACAAAGATATGCAGCATTTCCAGCACCTAACCAGCAGGCTCCTTCAAACAATGCCCATACAGGACCTCCTCCAAAAGATAACTACTCTTGTGACTTCTATCATAATTGATTAGTTTTGGTGATTTTTGAATTTCATATAAATGGGATCATGTAGTTTGTGCTCTTGTATGTTAGCCTTTTCAACATTATGTCTGTGTTGTGTGAAGCAGCAGTTCATGCCTTATTGCTTGTAATATTCATTGCATTTACTGCAGTATGTTTAGTCCATTCTACTCACATGTGTGTTGTTTCTAGGTTTTGGTGTTTTAGAAAATGAGCTTTGAGAAAGTCCGTGAAAGGTGCCATGAGTAGAGGGCATGGATTCGATAGCAACTATTCTGTGTGCTTTTCCTCATTACCCCATTTTATCAGTCCTACATTTCTCGAACTGTCCCCTTTCTTCCTGCTACTTCAGGGTTCTGATTTATGCTTGGACCTGGGATGTCTCTCTGGAACTAAGTCAAATTTACAAAACCCCTAGTTGGACTAGTGTTGTAGTAAACCCACATTCCTGCCAGTTCATCCCAGGACACCCAGGACACAGAAGCAGAATGCTGATTAGCTTTCTCTTTGGATATCCTCTCTTTTACTTCCTCTTTTGTCCTTGGTTCTTGTTTGCTTTCTGCTAATTCCCTCCACTAACTGGGGGCACCTTTGGGCCTAATGTGTTTTATAGCCATGATTCTCAATCATGGCTGCACATTATAATCACTTGGGGAACGTAAAAAAAATACCCATGCCTGGGCCCCACTCCAAGGCAATTAAATCAACATCTCTGGGGGTGGGACCTGGGTATTAGTATTTCTGAAAAACTGTTCAAGAGATTTTAATGGGCAGCCAAATTTGAGCACCACTGCGGGACACATTTTGTTTTAGGAAATAGTGCAGATGTGTAGAATCAACTCACTTCTTTCCCCCGGCATCAGGCACAACCAATTTGTTTCCACACAACTTACCAGATGAGACTCTTGAATGTTGTCAACTTTATAAATCTTAGGGAGCGATTTATATGAGAACTGCTTAAAAACAAGGATGTCAAAGGAAGCGGCTTTTTCTTCTACCATGGTTGTCACTCTATGGTGTCAAGAGAAGTGTTAGTTGAAATTTGGCTCATGAATTACAATTTAGATCAAACTCCAAGCTGTGGCAGGGATGTCTTGACTAGCATTGAGTGGATACTTCTGAAAGACTTGTGATTTTTAAAAACATGTGTACCACATATAAGCACAATTAGCACTACTAGGTTACAAGTGTAATAAGGCCAGGGTCCATTTTATAATAATCTTTTTCCTGACAACATTCAACACCATTTTGTGTACTGCAACTAACATTTACTGAGTACTTTCTGTTATTTACTACTCAGCATTTACAACTCAATCCTCACTATTATACCAGCTGTCTTACTGAGCACTTATGTGTTATGCCCTGTTCTAAGCTCTTTAAAGATATTCATTCATTTACTTTTCTCAGCAACCCTATGAGTTGGGTTTTTATTATTATCCCCATTTTACGGTGAAGAAACTGAGGCACAAATTGGTTAAGTACCATGCCAAGGCCTCACAGATGGTAAATTGTAGAGCTAGGATTCACGCAGTTTGGCCTCAGAGCCTGCTCCCTTATCATCTACCCTGTGCTTCTAAAATTTTAATGCGCGTAGAAGTCCCCAGGGGATTTTGTTAAAATTTGGATTCTAATTCAGTAGATCTGGGATGGGGCCTAGGAGTCTGCATTTCTAACAAGCTCCCAGGTGGTGTTGATGCTACAGATTTATGGACCACATTTTGAGAGGCAAGAACATAACTTATGAGATAATTTCTATTATTGTTCCCATTTTCAGGTAAGTACTCTGAAGCTCAAAGAGGATAGTGGTATTACCAGCTTCTCATAGCAAATATACAGTGAAGCTGTAATTAGAATTCCTGCAGTTGGGTGTCAAGTGTGATTGCCTAACTGCTCTGCTTAGGTGCTTGGTAAATGGCTATTGAATGATAACTAAACTGATATTCAGTTTACTGCTGGGTCTAACAGATGGCTATTATATAGTCAAAGGTTGGAATGTATTGAATAGAACTCAAATAATTATATGCCTTCCGTCTGTTCTTTTTACACCTTGGAAATGAATCTAGTATCAATTTTCATCTTTACCACATTTTCTTCTCATAGCCTAAGCAGGTTGTTCCACCCTTGCTGTTAGCAGGGAACACAAAGGAAACAACTCAGCAAGTTTTCGTTGAGGATATCTTTCTGTGGGCCTGTTTACCATTGCCTTTGCTTTTGAAAAAATAGCACAGAACTGGAATCCTGCTGATATAAATATTTCTCATTAAATTGTCTGAATAGCGATCCCAGTAGATATAGAAGCAATATTATTCAAAATAATTAAAAAATAATGCCACTATTTAAGGTTTTGCAAAAATATTATTTTCCACTTTTGTACAAAAGGAAATATTTTCATCAGTAGCCTTGACTCACACTCAGTGCAATTTTGTGGTGGATGAGATTCAGGCTCCCATTCCCCATTGTGTCCTAATACCATGGATTTCCTCCATGAAGGGTCTCCTGAGAACAAGGCCCATCAGAGATCAAAACAAGAATCAAATTTAGTGTTCTCTATAACAATTCAACCATTAATGTTCCAGGAAGAACTCTCTATCCACTCCTACCACTCTGAAATATTTTCCAACCAGATAATGCATATATATATGTGACAAAGAGCCTTTGCCTGGAAGAAAATTTATTTACTTATTAGATTATTTTAAGAGGCACTTCTTGGCTCAGAGAACTGGAGGGAACAAAATATATAATATAAAATATGTGGCTCATAAAAATATGTGACTTCACACAACCAAAATCAGGGGCGAAATGCTAGCATCTCTACATTGTAATGGGGTCCAGTGTTAAAAAAGGACTCTTGGCTGGATTTTATTGACTAGCATTCTAAAGTTGTTACTTTCTCTGCAGAAATGTCAGGGAGGTACTAGCTTGTCTCATTTATCACTGATGGGAATAATAAACCTGACTAGAAGATCAGTGACTGTATTCACTCATTCATACATTCAGTTCCTAAATAAAGATTGTTGAGCATCACTATGCTAGGAACTTGAGGTAACAAGGAGAATAGCATATGGTTTCTGCCCTCAGGGAGTTCACAAAATTACTAGGGATATAATACAAACAGGAACAAGGTTAACAGTAGGAGATGGTATGTGACAAGGATAATACAAATGGTACACAGTTTCTTAGAGTAGTGTTTTATCAGAGTGGTCCCTGGGCCAGCACATCAGTATCATCTAGGGACTTGTTTGATATTCAGATTCTTGGGCCATACCTCAGACCCACTGAATCTGAACCTTTGTGGATGGACCCCAGCGGTCTGACTTTTAACAAGATCCTAAGGTGATTTGTATGTACATTAAAACTTAAAAGTGCTCTTTTGAAAGATCACTTCTATCAGAGGAAGAACAACACATTAAGGTCTTGTCCTTGAGAGCTTATAACTCAAAAAAATGACATTTGAATGTGAATAATCAAATCTGATAAGAAACACTCACACATGTGACTATAGGAACAAGGAAAAGTGGGTGGGGGGGAGGGAGAGAGAGAGAGATTGACTGATTTAACCCTGTGGTAGTTGGAGAGACTGGTGAATGTTTCCTGGAGGGGCCGTTGGAGGATGAAGAAATGCTGTCAGTTTGAAGTGCATTTGGCTGTAACAGAAAACCTGACTGAGAGTGATTTAAAGAAGAAGGGTTTTTGTTTCTCACATAAGTAGCCTGGAGGTAGGCAGTCTCCAGCGCTGATTCAGTTATTTAAGGATGCCAGGGTTCTGGGTCAGCGTCTCCTTAGACCTCTTGCTTTCTGCCTTATGATCAATCATAAGATGGCTGCTGTAGCTCTGAAAATCACATTCTCATCCAACCATATTCAAATGCAAGAAGCAGATAGGCATAGCACAAAAAGATCCCTCTTCTGCATTCTTATCAAGGTGGCAACTCTTTTCTAGAGGCCTCCCAGCAAATCTCCACTATGTCTGATTTACTAGAACTAGAACATAAGACTACCAGTATACCAGGGTCTGTTCAACTTTCCATGACTTCTAGTAATCTCAGCCCAATATTCCAGGAGGATAGAGCTGCTGTTAGCAGGGAGCAAGTGCGTTTCAGTGGGAAAGCTTTTGAGTAAGCCACCAACAGCCTATAGCCAGGAAGACTAGAGTAGATGGAATCAGGAGTAAGGGCATTTCCCCAAAGAGGGAAAGGCATGAATGAAGGCATGGAGGTGAAGTGTGCATGAAGAATGATTACTAGATGAGTTTGGCTAAAGCATATGAGTCTTACAAAGGAATTTTTAGCCATTAAAAAAAATCTGTGGAACCTTTTGTTCAATTGGAATCATGTGCAGAAACCCAATTCACAGAGGAAAGCATACCTGCTTCAGTCAGAAGTAGGGTGGGATGCCTGGAGCCAGCCTGCTCTGTCTCTGACCTACTTCAGCTGAAAGGGCTTCTTGAAAGCCAAACTGAAGAACAATGTCCCAGAAACTGCTACTTTGACCCTGCCACACCCAAGATTCTCTGGGCCCCTCTCCCTGCAGGAGGCCACAAGGCATTCATCAAGGTCCCTCATTTGGCCCCAAACTGGAGCTTCACAGGTATGTATGGAAATATAATAATCCAGGCTAGGGGTACCTGTGTATGCGTTTTTGTGGTGTTGCTTTTTGCAGATACCACATGTGACCCTGTGTCTCTTAATTCCATTCCTGACACTGAATTGCTAAAACAGTAGTTGAGGAGAGCATTGTGGTAAAACAACTAGAGGAAGGGGAACACTATTAGTGGTGATTAGTGGCTTGCCTCTTCACTTCCTGCCCTTACAACCCTGTGTTAGTTTCCTAGTGTGGTCATAACAAAGTACCATGGATTAGGTGGTTTAAACATCAGAAATGTATTATCTCACAGTTCTGAAGGCCAGATGTCAGATCAAAGTGTTGGCAGGGTTGGTCCCTCCTGAGGGCTGTAAGGGGAATCTGTTTTATGCCCCTTCCATAACTTCTGATGGTTTGCTAGCAGTCTTTGATATTCCTTGGCTTGTAGATCTCTGCCTTCATCTTCATATGACGTATTCCCTGTATGCCTTCACATTGTCTTCCCTGTGTGCATGACTGTCTTTGTGTTCAGATGTCCCCATTTTATAAGACACAGTCATATTGGATTAAAACCCACCCTGATGACTTCATCTTAACTTGATCATCTGTTTTCGAATAAAGTTATATTCACAAGTACTAGAGGTTAGGACTTCATCTCTGTTTGGAGAGACACAATTCAACCAGGGAATTGTGGAAGATGGCAATGAAGATTTATCCCATCTTCATTCAACCCCTAACACATCCTATATTTCAAACCTTTGCTTCCCTTTTTCTAAGGCCTTCTCCTCTCACTCTTAATCCTAGTGGCTATGCTCCAGTTGTTTAACTCTTGTTATGGTGGAATTGAGTGGGAAAGATGGGTTATTTCAAGGAATGTTTCATCCTCACTATTCTGTTTGAAGACATAATTGTGTAGAATAATGTTTGAAAATAAACACTGGCACTCAATTATATTAATTCAAGATTGAATTATAATTCAATCTTGTGCATGGGATCCTAAGTTTGAATAAAAAAGTGCAGAATCAAAAGACCAAATAAAAATTATCACAATTATTACCAACATTACCTTGTATAGCACTTTCGCACAGATTATCATTTGAAAGCATATTCTTTTCTACCAGCAATCAAGATCCCCTTTTCACATCTACTTTTGCTTGACAATAAATTCTCCTTGAGGATGTTTCCTGACAGGATTGTCTGCGGAAAATCCTTTACTTAGAGTTGTAACCAGAATCTTCCTAAATTTAGCAGAGTTCATACAACACTGAGCTGAAACCCAAGTAAGGGAGATGGACAGAGACAATAAATGAGACACTGAAGAAATATAAAATGGAATTTAAAAACTGTAAATTTTAGGGGGGTAAGGGCACTTACAAAAGTGGGGTTAAAGAACCAAGTTATTTTTAGATTATGTGGTCCTAATTTGGCAGCATACTTTATTATTAAATTTTGAAACTTGCTAATGAAATACTAGTTCTTAGTGACAAAATCTGCCCTTGATCAAGGAAGCAAAAAGGAGAAGTTACTCCGCAGGTATCAGTCTCTCCACTTTCTTACATTCAATTCTGTTGTCAAATGTTAAGACTGTTTCCTCTCATTCAGTGGAAATTTCCTTCAGCTTATTTTTCCTGGAAATGGAAAACAGCTGCGCAGAGCCTTCATTCAACCCTCTACTCAAAGGCTCTTATTTGCATCATCAACTATTTGCTTTTCTCTATCCCAATCTATCAATAAACTAAGTTCACATCTCTTCTTCAGAGCATTTTTCTCCCTCAGTGTGGATGCCCCATCCTCATAAAAGCATGACACTTAGTCATTGTTTATACTGTCATTCCTACCTAGAAACGTCTTTCCCTCTTAATTTTTTTGGAAAAATGTACCCCATCTTCCTTCAAGACTTAGCCAGGGAGAGAGCTCTGGAGCACATTTGGGAAGGCATGAAATGGGGAAGCCCCCAGGAAGGAAGGTAGACAAATCCTCAGGGGACACAGCCTGGTTTTCTCCTCTGTGTAGACTCCTAATGTGCCATTCCCAAGATGCTCCTCAATATTGACGAGTGGGGTTTTCTGGAACTGTACATTCCTAAGAGCCAGTTGACTTCTAGAGTGAAATACAGAATGTGGGAATCTCCAGAGAAAGAAAGCCCAAGGCAAAAGAGTAAGTAACTCTTAGAGTCTCAGACATGGAAAGATAACTGGTAACACTTGGCTGCTGGAGAATGAAACCCCTCCTAAAGGCAGATATTCAGGCCTGTGATAGAATCATTGAATTTCATCTACCTAGTTCCCATCAGGCCTGGGGAAATGGGGATAAGCTGCAGAGTCTACATGGTCTTACAGAAGCTGAAGCAAGTTGCAGAGAAATTTCAAGGACTTTTAAGTCCAGTATACCTTGGATTTGGGGCACTACTCCAGCACAAATTCCTCCCTGCTTCATGCAGATTTTCATTGCCGATGGCCCCACTTCCAGAACCAGAAATTCCAACATTCCTATGGCGGTCTTACTTTCCGTTGCCCCAGGAAGCAGAAATGGGGACAAGACTGCAAGACTGACCATGAGACCATGGCCTGGACTGAGGGGCTCAGCTACTTTCTTAAGTACCTTCAGACCAGAGATAACAGCTGTTTGGAACATATAAATGAGACCTTGTCTCTGGAACAATCATCTGGCTTTGGTTATTCATTATCATTGAACCCCACATGCCTCACTTAGAAAGATGTCCCTTCCAAAGCTCAGAGGCCCTCACCATCGCATGCATGCTCCTCTCCTAGTACACTTCTGGAGTGGCCTGAAGAGCTGGAGAAGTGGGCACTCAGCTCACATCTCAACCCAGATCTCCACAGATCACATCCTTGTTTCTGTCACATCAGTAGTCAGTAGTGCCCCCATCTCATTTATATCCAAATTAAGAACATCTTAATATGAGATTTCATCCTTTCCAGATTGACCCATCTGGATTTGGATATCTCAGTAACAAGATACTTTGTCCTTTTTCATCATTACTTAGCTCCTCAGTTTGCAATATTTGTGTGTCCCTATTATTCTTGTCCAGTTATACAAGCCTTGAGGTAATGCACTGTCTTTTATTAGTTTTTCAGACTCCACACAGAGATTGACACAGCACTGGCAGAACACATAGATACCATTGCTTAATAAGAAAATTCAAGATACTTGGTTGATTCTGAAGGACATCACTTCTGGGATCCTGAGCTACAGGCATTAAGCTTAAGGAAAACCTGGTTGAAGATCATCTTTATGGTGAAAATAAGTGTTGGTGGATCAATAGCAACCCATTACAGATATTTTCACATTCACTGAAATAAAACTTTAAAAGTGGCACTCTAACTAAAGAGAATATCAATAACATTTTATCACTTTAATATTTGGTTACTTTTTTCTATTTTCCTCAGCTCACTGCTATTTCAATGAAATGATTTGTTTTGCTTTGTTGAAGAAAATATTCATTAGTTAAAAGATAATTTTGGACTATGTCTGGTTGTATGTCCAAATATTCGGTCTTTCTGATTTTATGAGATAGTTGACCCTGAACTCCAAGTGGCCCACCTTAGTTAATCACCATATTCCAGGGATGTGAAGGAACTTGGAAGCTTGAAATGGAATAAGCTGCATTGGAGCCAGTTGCACTCAGCCCCCTTCCCCTTGGCTGGTGGTATCCCTTTGGCCCTGCTTCATGGCTTTAGGCCAAATTGCCTCCTGTCAGCATCCCTCATACACCTCTCCCTGGTGCCGCGTGAGGATAGTTCACAGTTCTGTGGCCTGGGATGACTCTCATCTTCCTTCATCTTTCCCAAGACATTATTGCCAAACACTCTCCTCCTCTACCATTGTTTTACCTCCTAATCCTCAGGTCTCTTTTTTTCTAAGAACCACCCCCGTCCCCTGAGATTGTTCCCTTCAACTTGACATTTCCCTGGAATCACAATTCTTATAGTGGTAAAAAGGTGTCAGAATTATATGTACATGAAAGGAACTCAAGTTGGAGAGAAACTTGGATACCCATAAAGGAAAGTTTCCAATGCTTTCATGTCAATACTTTAGCTCATTTTACAACCCACCGCCTATATATCTTGTGCAAGTCATTTTCTTTCTTTGGAATCAATAAGGGTTCCCTGTGTCTTCTCTGGCATTTCCCAAACAGGGTTGTCATGATAATGGAGATTGTGCAAAAAGAGGGACTTACTATCAAATACTTTTTTTTTTTTTGCAAACTCTATCCCACTCTTAGAGATTCATACTACACTGAGAAATCCTACACTGAAAAAAAAATTTTTTTAACTTTCCCAAGTATTTAACCACAGGAGCCTCCCCACCGTTTCCCTTATACTAATCATCTGTTATCATCTGGTAGCACAAAATTTTGTAAATGCATGAGTAATACATGAATTGCACACTTCTTCATGTCTTTTGAGCCTGCTGCAAACTGAACTGAGCTTCTCTATTCAACCTGAATGTTATCTTTTTCTCCTTCACAACATGATATGTTATTGCACTGGTGTCTATTTGATCAATTTGCTGGTGGTCCATCAGTAGGCCTTTGCTAATGCTGTTTTCCCCACCTGGATGTTCTTACTTTTAGGTACAGCTTATGTTCTAAATCCCTTCTCCAACTGCCTATACTCTGTCTCCATTACTGTACCAGATTAAGACCTACTTTTGTCCTTACAACTGTACATTCCCATAAGACATGGCTATATCACATCCAACTGCACTATTTCTCCTTAGCTCCTTTTGAGGATATAAGAAATTCACTAAACACCACTTCATTGATTGATGGATTATGAGGATATTATTTCAACTGTACAATTGGCACCTTTTCATAGGCAGTTTTTCTACATTGAGTGCAGGGTCATTTTTTGTTGTTGTTTGTTTTTTGTTTTTAGCTAGGTACAGTTCAGTTCTTACCTAAGAATACAACTATCCTGCATTCACCACCATGAAAGCCAGTGCACTTATTTCCACTTTATTTTAAGGAGAGCATGAATGTTGTGGATTTATTTACTTTTTCTAATTTAAGAGAACTGGCCACTTTGAAATTTTATAGTGTCTCAGTGCCTGAGAAACACTTAATTCTCCTGAACCAGCTATAACATAGGTGTAAATTGATGGTATTGTCCCTTCAGCCTTTCTGTAGTAGAAGATGCACCAAGATAATGTAGACATTATCTTTGCTGTGTCCTCAGAGTTATGTAAATAACCCTACTTCCCTTCCTAGCTGAAAAACTGTCATTAGTTTGTGTTTCAGGTCATTCTCTGTCTACTGAATGAAATTCAATAGTCCTTGAAAATTCAGCCTTCCCCAATCTAATCACTACATCATTGTTTTAAAAAGTGATTCTTTTAAAAGCATTGATTTTTAAAGGCTATTAGTTTTTGTTTTTGTTTGCTTTTTAAAATACTTTTAGTACTGTTCAATTATTTATTATATGATTTATTTTTATTAACTAGAATTCATTTTTTAAAGTATTGCATGTACTTGGTAAAAACAAAAATAAAAACACATCCAAGTGTACAAAAGAGTATATAAAATGAGAGCTAAGTCTTTCTCTCACCTCAGATTCCCAGTATCCAGTTCTCATTCCCACAAGCAACCAATTTTACATGTTTGTGAATCTTTCCAGGAATATCCTAAACATATCCATGAGCATGCATATGTGAATGGAACATGCTATGCATACTGTATATAACCTGTTTTTTATTTGACATTATATGTTGTGTAGCTTTCTATATCAATACATATAGATCTGCCTTATTGCTTTCATGGTTGAATGGTATTTCATTGTATATAGATGTACCACACTTCATTTAACTAGTACCCTAGTAACAGACATTTTAGTTGTTTCCAGTCTTGCCATTGAATATAACACTGCAGTGAGTTATACATACATCTTTGTATATCTGGGAAAATATTTATTGGAATTAAGACAATTTTTTATCAATGTTGCCAAATTGCCTTCCAAAGAGGTAGCGCCTGTTGACCTCTCTCAACGGTGTATGAGAGTGCCTGTTTCCCCACAAATCGCCTGTGCTATAAATTTTACTTACCCATTTCTTCCACTCTGCAAGATTAAAAATGGTAGCTCATTTTAATTTGCATTTCTCAAATTAGGAATGAAGATAATCTTTGCATATGTTTTAAGTCTTTTGCATATTATTGTATGCAAATTTCTTGTTCATGTCCTTTCCCATTTTTCCCATTGAATTGTTGCTCTTTTTCTAACTACTTTGTAAAATTTAAAATATTAATATCATGTTATGTATTTTGCTAACATATATAAAATCATTCCTCTGTGTTTTGTTCTACTGTAACTTTTATGATTACTTTTTTGATGTTTAAATATTTTGTCCATCTGGAAATTAATTTATTAAATTAATGTAAAAATAACACAATTTAAATCACTGTAAGTTCCATGAAAACAGAGGCCAAGATTCTTTCATTAGCCATTGTATACCTAGTGTCAGACACATTTATTTAGTACTAATTGTGGCCAAAATATAATGGGTAGCACATTTCCGGGATTTTCTTTGCTCTTCTTATCTGCCTCCTCTAAGAAGCTTCTCTGACCTGACGTTCTGAGGAATAAGAGGTCATACCACCGTTTACTGAAACATCAGCAGTTGGTTGGCAGTGGTGGATGTGACAGTAGTGATCAGGGAGTCAACACTGCTCCTGGCCTTCACTGCTTCCTCCTCAAGATGCTCAGAGCCTTGAGTAACCCCAATAAGTGTATCAGCTCACATTCACCACTTTCATGGCACCCCCTTGTGAGATTTAGCCACTTTTCAACTGCCTGTGTATAGAAGAAAACCCACACTATTGTATCCTGGTCAGGCTGCGGGCACTAGGGAGAAGGGGAAGTTATAGAAGACTCTTTGGAGAGCTCATTGACTATGGCAGCTACCATGCAGTACCATGTGGTGACACTCCTGGGTGGTTACAAATTGAAGCTCACCTGTATCACTAGTTTGGAATAGGGCTGGATGAACTTCAAAACACTGTTTTAGTTAGTTATATTTAAATACCTAACAAATATCCCTAAATCTCAGTGTATTACAACAACAAAAAGTTTTTATTTTTCCTCACTCATGGGGCATCTCTGTGTGGATTCAGCTTGGCTGCATGTGTGTCTGTCCTGTTCTTCTTGGACTGTCAGTTACCCAAAGCATCTTCTTTTTACAGAAATTGCAGAAGTTCCAAAGGACCAGCCAAAACCATACCACCATATTGAGCTCACAAATGCCAAGTTGAAGGGACCTCCTGGTAGCTTCTGCGTACCCATAATAGAACACAACACAGGGTACTGATAAAGATAATGGATTTTGGAGCCTCACAACACTGGAATGGCAGACACTGTTATCTCTCCTTCTTCCATGGTGATGGATCCTAGTCCCCAGAGTCGAGACTCACAATGTCAGATACTTCTCCATCCTTCCTTGCTGCTGTAGGTAGCCATGTTACACGGTTCTGGCTAAAGAGATATCAGGAGAGCTCTTCCAGGTGTCCTTGAAATTTTTTTTTTTTCCTGTTTGAGCAAGCTACTTTTCAGTACCTCAGTGTTCTCATCTGCAAATTTGGGCTAGGTATAATGTACAGAGGTGTTGTACTAGTCAATTCTTGCTTTGTAACAATCCAAAATCTCAATGGTTTTCAATAACAAATACTGATTTTTTTGCCAATAGGTCTGCAGGTCATCTGGGATTGCTCTGCTTCAGGCTGTATGCAGGGTTCAACTCTATATGTTTCAAGACAAGACAAACTATGCAAGCTTTTGCTTATATCACTAACATTCCTTTGATCAAAGCAATTCACATGGCCAAGACCATTAATAGGGCACAGAAATATGCTTCAGCCACAATGGAAAGCAGTACAGTTACATGGCAAAGATGTGGATATATAATCCTATTACAATAGAATGAAGACTGAACAATATTCCATTCCATCTTCTCACTTCTCACGCTTCCTAGGTGTGTAGACATAAGCAAGCTACTAGCTTCTCAGAAACTTAGTTTCCTCATCCTCAAGATGGCAGTGGGCCCTTTTCTCTGAGTTGGTGTAAAGATAGACAGAAATCATTTGCCATAGGAGACCCTTAACAAAAGTTAGCTCTTCACTCCCACAACTCAGTTCTGATTGTTTACTATCTAAGCTTCTCCCAGAAGATAGGTGTGTGATTTAATATTGGCATTCCATGAGTTGATGAGTGAATGAGGTCACCAATATGACAGCTCCCTGAGGGAGGAAGCAAACCATTTATTCACTAAGCAAGTATTGAGCACCTGAAATCATTATTTCAAGGTCATTGTCATGCTTTTTCATGCTTCAATAACTGGAATTTTTTTCTTTTTTTGGCAGATGACCCTTAACTCACTCTGACAAGATCATATGAACACTGATATTTTAAGACTGATTTTGACTGCTTTATAGGCTCCTTCTACTGGAGTAAAATGGTATCTTTTTTTTCCTGAAGACTTCAAGATAGTTTCACTTTAATCAAAAGCAAATGCAGTAAACAATTTGCTGCATTGCTAGACTGCCTTTTCATATAGTGTTTCTGCTGCCATGTCCCAAATTTACCTGTCACAGAGCTATAATACTGACTGGTACTTCTTTTTAAAACAGAGCTTTACCAAAGGCACTGATTTTAAAGAATGGTCCAGGAATGTGAATTAATAATAAGCAGCTTCTTGTTCCCTGTGAGTAACGCCCTTGTTACTTCAATTCTAACCTTCTCAGTTTTAGAACATCTGTGAGTATTATGGGAAGGCTGTGTTGGACCTATTTAGAGGTGCTTGCTAAGAGGAAATGATCTCTAGTCACCAGGTTTGCTATGTTATGTAGGTAGACTATGATTTTCTATAGAAAAAATGAGGATGGATGCAAAGCCAACACTTCTTTGCCAGGGAGAGCCATCCTTTCTTGGGGCATACACATTGTCAAGGCTGTCAAAATGAGATTTCTTGTGAATCTTTTAAATAAAGCCATTATTCATTGTTTAATGCTTATGGAGTTTCTCTTTATTTCTGGCTCGGCAGTATGCCATATATGTCTCCTTCTTTCCCACCTCTTCACCTTTTTGGAGTCACTTTTTCTATTTAAATTACATAGTAGGATATTTCAGCGAGATCTGAACTGATTGATTAAAAGAAGCTTCTATGTGATAGTGTAGAATAGAGGAGAATCTCACAGTAATGCTGACTCCAGGGTATGTGAGGTAGTGGTAACACCTCCAGTCCTGCCATAGCCAAAAACAGTGTTCTCCTACAGCTTTGAAACTCAAAGGATGCTCTGAATCAGCATCCCCTGGCATCACCTGGGGACTTACAGATGCAGAATCTCAGGCCTCACAGCACACCTACTGACTCTGTACTTTAACAAGATTGCCAGGGAATCAGCATGTACATTACAATGTGGGAAATACTGGTCTAGAGTAAGAGGAAAGCACACAGTAATGCCAACACTGAGGTATTGGCATTACTCAGTGAGAGAGTGCTAGCACCTCAGAATCTGTCATAGCCAGGAACAGCTTACTCCTGTATTCCACTGAGGTCTATGATTAACACCCATGGGCCCAGGGCCAGCTCCACCCATTAGCTTTATAACAGTGGGCAGTAAGCCCACAACCTCTGCCCTGAAATCAGTGCTCAGTATCTTTGTTGACTGGTACTTCCTGATTTTGACCTCATGGACCCTGACCTCTTGCACCTACCAATCTATGTTCCACTGACTTGGCTGATTTAGCTGACTACCATAGTACGTTTAATTTATTAGCTGGTGATCTTTGTCAAACTCCTGTGTTCTAGACCTTCCCAGCTTGAATGTAACCAGGCTTAATGTAACCACACCTTACTGTTGAGATAGTGTTAAAAGAGCCTGTGGGTCTTTAACAGCTAAATCCTTAAATTAGTCATAACTTTTTCAATTTTAGGCAATAGAAATTCAACTTGAAATAACATAATTTTAAAAGAGGGGGCACCAGTATGGGTCAAATATCATGTCTCTCTAAATATGATGTTCTGCAAAGGACAGGACATCACTTTTGAGATTTTCCTGCCCCAAATGCGTAAGGTAACTTTAATCATGAGGAACATCATACACATCCAAATTGAGGGACATCTTGTAAAATAAATTGCCTGTACTCTTCGAAAATTTGTCAAGAAAGAGAAAGGCTCAGAACTATCCTACATTAATGAAGTATAAAGGGAAGTGACAATTAAATGTAATGTGTGATTTTTTTCAACTTGATGTTTTTTTTATTATTATTATACTTTAAGATTTAGGGTACATGTGCACAATGTGCAGGTTAGTTACATATGTATACATGTGCCATGCTGGTGTGCTGCACCCATTAACTCGTCATTTAGCATTAGGTATATCTCCTAATGCTATCCCTCCCCCCTCCCCCCACCCCACAACAGTCCCCAGAGTGTGATGTTCCCTTTCCTGTGTCCATGTGTTCTCATTGTTCAATTCCCACCTATGAGTGAGAACATGTGGTGTTTGGTTTTTTGTCCCTGCGATAGTTTACTGAGAATGACGATTTCTAATTTCATCCATGTCCCTACAAAGGATATGAACTCATCATTTTTTATGGCTGCATAGTATTCCATGGTGTATATGTACCACATTTTCTTAATCCAGTCTATCATTGTTGGACATTTGGGTTGGTTCCAAGTCTTTGCTATTGTGAATAGTGCTGCAATAAACATACGTGTGCATGTGTCGTTATAGCAGCATGATTTATAGTCCTTTGGGTGTATGCCCAGTAATGGGATGGCTGGGTCAAATGGTATTTCTAGTTCTAGATCCCTGAGGAATCGCCACACTGACTTCCACAATGGTTGAACTAGTTTACAGTCCCACCAACAGTGTAAAAGTGTTCCTATTTCTCCACATCCTCTCCAGCACCTGTTGTTTCCTGACTTTTTAATGATGGCCATTCTAACTGGTGTGAGATGGTATCTCATTGTGGTTTTGATTTGCATTTCTCTGATGGCCAGTGATGATGGGCATTTTTTCATGTGTTTTTTGGCTGCATAAATGTCTTCTTTTGAGAAGTGTCTGTTCATGTCCTTCGCCCACTTTTTGATGGGGTTGTTTGTTTTTTTCTTGTAAATTTGTTTGAGTTCACTGTAGATTCTGGATATTAGCCCTTTGTCAGATGAGTAGGTTGCGAAAATTTTCTCCCATTTTGTAGGTTGCCTGTTCACTCTGATGGTAGTTTCTTTTGCTGTGCAGAAGCTCTCTTGTTTAATTAGATCCCATTTGTCAATTTTGGCTTTTGTTGCCATTGCTTTTGGTGTTTTAGACATGAAGTCCTTGCCCATGCCTATGTCCTGAATGGTAATGCCTAGGTTTTCTTCTAGGGTTTTTATGGTTTTAGGTCTAATGTTTAAGTCTTTAATCCATCTTGAATTAATTTTTGTATAAGGTGTAAGGAAGGGATCCAGTTTCAGCTTTCTACATATGGCTAGCCAGTTTTCACAGCACCATTTATTAAATAGGGAATCCTTTCCCCATTGCTTATTTTTGTCAGGTTTGTCAAAGATCAGATAGTTGTAGATATGTGGTGTTATTTCTGAGGGCTCTGTTCTGTTCCATTGATCTAGATCTCTGTTTTGGTACCAGTACCATGCTGTTTTGGTTGCTGTAGCCTTGTAGTATAGTTTGAAGTCAGGTAGCGTGATGCCTCCAGCTTTGTTCTTTTGGCTTAGGATTGACTTGGCGATGCGGGCTCTTTTTTGGTTCCATATGAACTTTAAAGTAGTTTTTTTCCAATTCTGTGAAGAAAGTCATTGGTAGCTTGATGGGGATGGCATTGAATCTATAAATTACCTTGGGCAGTATGGCCATTTTCACGATATTGATTCTTCCTGCCCATGAGCATGGAATATTCTTCCATTTCTTTGTATCCTCTTTTATTTCATTGAGCAGTGGTTTGTAGTTCTCCTTGAAGAGGTCCTTCACATCCCTTGTAAGTTGGATTCCTAGGTATTTTATTCTCTTTGAAGCAATTGTGAATGGGAGTTCACTCATGATTTGGCTCTCTGTTTGCCTGTTATTGGTGTATAAGAATGCTTGTGGTATTTGTACACTGATTTTGTATCTTGAGACTTTGCTAAAGTTGCTTATCAGCTTAAGGAGATTTTGGGCTGAGACGATGGGGTTTTCTAGATATATAATCATGTCATCTGCAAACAGGGACAATTTGACTTCCTCTTTTCCTAATTGAATACCCTTTATTTCCTTCTCCTGCCTAATTGCCCTGGCCAGAACTTCCAACACTATGTTGAATAGGAGTGGTGAGAGAGGGCATCCCTGTCTTGTGCCAGTTTTCAAAGGGAATGCTTCCAGTTTTTGCCCATTCAGTATGATATTGGCTGTGTGTTTGTCATAGATAGCTCTTATTATTTTGAGATACGTCCCATCAATACCTAATTTATTGAGAGTTTTTAGCATGAAGGGTTGTTGAATTTTGTCAAAGGCCTTTTCTGCATCTATTGAGATAATCATGCGGTTTTTGTCTTTGGTTCTGTTTACATGCTGGATTACATTTATTGATTTGCGTATATTGAACCAGCCTTGCATCCCAGGGATGAAGCCCACTTGATCATGGTGGATAAGCTTTTTGATGTGCTGCTGGATTCGGTTTGCCAGTATTTTATTGAAGATTTTTGCATCAATGTTCATCAAGGATATTGGTCTAAAATTCTCTTTTTTGGTTGTGTCTCTGCCCGGCTTTGGTATCAGGATGATGCTGGCCTCATAAAATGAGTTAAGGAGGATTCCCTCTTTTTCTATTGATTGGAATAGTTTCAGAAGGAATGGTACCAGCTCCTCCTTGTACCTCTGGTAGAATTCGGCTGTGAATCCATCTGGTCCTGGACTCTTTTTCGTTGGTAAGCTATTGATTATTGCCAGAATTTCAGATCCTGTTATTGTTCTATTCAGAGATTCAATTTCTTCCTGGTTTATTGTTGGGAGGGTGTATGTGTCGAGAAATTTATCCATTTCTTCTAGATTTTCTAGTTTATTTGTGTAGAGGTGTTTATAGTATTCTCTGATGGTAGTTTGTATTTCTGTGGGATTGGTGGTGATATCCCCTATATCATTTTTTGTTGTGTCTATTTGATTCTTCTCTCCTTTCTTCTTTATTAATCTTGCTAGCAGTCTATCAATTTTGTTGATCTTTTCAAAAAACTAGCTCCTGGATTCATTGATTTTTTGAAGGGTTTTTTGTGTCTCTATTTCCTTCAGTTCTGCTCTGATCTTAGTTATTTCTTGCCTTCTGCTAGCTTTTGAATGTGTTTGCTCTTGCTTTTCTAGTTCTTTTTATTGTGATGTTAGGGTGTCAATTTTGGATCTTTCCTGCTTTCTCTTGTGGGCATTTAGTCCTCGAAATTTCCCTCTACACACTGCTTTGAATGTGTCCCAGAGATTCTTGTATGTTGTGTCTTTGTTCTCGTTGGTTTCAAAGAATATCTTTATTTCTGCCTTCATTTTGTTATGTACCCAGTAGTCATTCAGGAGCAGGTTGTTCAGTTTCCATGTAGTTGAGCGGTTTTGAGTGAGTTTCTTAATCCTGAGTTCCAGTTTGATTGCACTGTGGTCTGAGAGACAGTTTGTTATAATTTCTGTTCTTTTACATTTGCTGAGGAGAGCTTTACTTCCAACTATGTGGTCAATTTTGGAATAGGTGTGGTGTGGTGCTGAAAAAAAATGTCTATTCTGTTGATTTGGGGTGGAGAGTTCTGTAGATGTCTATTAGGTCTGCTTGGTGCAGAGCTGAGTTCAATTCCTGGGTATCCTTGTTAACTTTCTGTCTCATTGATCTGTCTAATGTTGACAGTGGGGTGTTAAAGTCTCCCATTATTATTGTGTGGGAGTGTAAGTCTCTTTGTAGGTCACTCAGGACTTGCTTTATGAATCTGGGTGCTCCTGTATTGGTTGCATATATATTTAGGATAGTTAGCTCTTCTTGTTGAATTGATCCGTTTACCATTATGTAATGCCCTTCTTTGTCTCTTTTGATCTTTGTTGGTTTAAAGTGTGTTTTATCAGAGACTAGGATTGCAACCCCTGCCTTTTTTTATTTTCCATTTGCTTGGTAGATCTTCCTCCATCCTTTTATTTTGAGCCTATGTGTGTCTCTGCATGTGAGATGGGTTTCCTGAATACAGCACTGTGATGGGTCTTGACTCTTTATCCAATTTGCCAGTCTGTGTCTTTTAATTGGAGCATTTAGTCCATTTACATTTAAAGTTAATATTGTTATGTGTGAATTTGATCCTGTCATTGTGATGTTAGCTGGTTATTTTGCTCGTTAGTTGATGCAGTTTCTTCCTAGTGTCGATGGTCTTTACAATTTGGCATGATTTTGCAGTGGCTGGTGCCAGTTGTTCCTTTCCATGTTTAGTGCTTCCTTCAGGAGCTCTTTTAGGGCAGGCCTGGTGGTGACAAAATCTCTCAGCATTTGCTTGTCTGTAAAGTATTTTATTTCTCCTTCACTTATGAAGCTTAGTTTGGCTGGATATGAAATTCTGGGTTGAAAATTCTTGTCTTTAAGAATGTTGAATATTGGCCCCCACTCTCTTCTGGCTTGTAGAGTTTCTGCCAAGAGATCAGCTGTTAGTTTGATGGGCTTCCCTTTGTGGGTAACCCGACCTTTCTCTCTGGCTGCCCTTAACATTTTTTCCTTCATTTCAACTTTGGTGAATCTGACAATTATGTGTCTTGGAGTTGCTCTTCTCGAGGAGTATCTTTGTGGCATTCTCTGTATTTTCTGAATCTGAATGTTGGCCTGCCTTGCTAGATTGGGGAAGTTCTCCTGGATAATATCCTGCAGATTGTTTTCCAACTTGGTTCCATTCTCCCCGTCACTTTCAGGTACACCAATCAGATGTAGATTTGGTCTTTTCACATAGTCCGATATTTCTTGGAGGCTTTGTTCGTTTTTTTTTTTTTATTCTTTTTTCTCTAAACTTCCCTTCTCACTTCATTTCATTCATTTCATCTTCCATCACTGATACCCTTTCTTCCAGTTGATCGCATCGGTTCCTGAGGCTTCTGCATTCTTCACTTAGTTCTCGAGCCTTGGCTTTCAGCTCCGGTTATTCTAGTTATACATTCGTCTAAATTTTTTTCAAAGTTTTTAACTTCTTTGCCTTTGGTTTGAATTTCTTCCTGTAGCTCGGGGTAGTTTGATCATCTGAAGCCTTCTTCTCTCACCTCGTCAAAGTCATTCTCCATCCAGCTTTGTTCCATTGCTGGTGAGGAACTGTGTTCCTTTGGAGGAGGAGAGGCGCTCTGCTTTTTAGAGTTTCCAGTTTTTCCGCTCTGTTTTTTCCCCATCTTTGTGGTTTTATCTACTTTTGGTCTTTGATGATGGTGATGTACAGATGGGTTTTTGGTGTGGATGTCCTTTCTGTTTGTTAGTTTTCCTTCTAACAGACAGGACCCTCAGCTGCAGGTCTGTTGGAGTTTGCTAGAGGTCCACTCCAGACCCTGTTTGCCTGGGTATCAGCAGCGGTGGCTGCAGAACAGTGGATTTTCGTGAACCGCAAATGCTGCTGTCTGATCGTTCCTCTGGAAGTTTTGTCTCAGAGGCGTACCCGGCCATGTGAGAAGTCAGTCTGCCCCTGCTGGGGGGGTGCCTCCCAGTTAGGCTGCTCGGGGGTCAGGAGTCAGGGACCCACTTGAGGAGGCAGTCTCCCCATTCTCAGATCTCCAGCTGTGTGCTGGGAGAACCACTGCTCTCTTCAAAGCTGTCAGACAGGGACATTTAAGTCGGCAGAGGTTACTGCTGTCTTTTTGTTTGTCTGTACCCTGCCCCCAGAGGTGGAGCCTACAGAGGCAGGCAGGCCTCCTTGAGCTGTGGTGGGCTCCACCCAGTTCGAGCTTCCGGGCTCCTTTGTTTACCTAAGCAAGCCTGGGCAATGGCGGGCGCCCCTCCCCCAGCCTCACTGCCGCCTTGCAGTTTGGTCTCAGACTGCTGTGCTAGCAATCAGCAAGACTCCGTGGACGTAGGACCCTTCGAGACAGGTGCAGGATATAATCTCCTGGTGCGCCGTTTTTTAAGCCCGTTGGAAAAGCGCAGTATTAGGGTGGGAGTGACCCAATTTTCCGATTTTCCAGGTGCCGTCTGTTACCCCTTTCTTTGACTAGGAAAGAGAACTCCCTGACCCCTTGCGCTTCCTGAGTGAGGCAATGCCTCGCCCTGCTTCGGCTCGCACATGGTGCGCTGCACCCACTGTCCTGCGCCCACTGTCTGGCACTCCCTAGTGAGATGAACCCGGTACCTCAGATGGAAATGCAGAAATCACCCATCTTCTGCGTCGCTCGCGCTGGGAGCTGTAGACCGGAGCTGTTCCTGTTCAGCCATCTTGGCTGTCCCCTTTGTAATGTGTGATTTTGGATTGGTTCCTGTGACAGAAAATAAAATAGCTGTAAGAGATATTATTGGGATTATTGGAAAAATTTAAATATAGACTAGATTAGATAATAGTATTGCATAAGTATTAGATTTACTGATTTTGATAATTGTACTGTAGTTAGGTAGGAGAATGTCCATGTTTATAGGAAATATATACTGAAGTATTTCTGGATAAAGAGGCATCATGTCTGCAACTTACTCCAAAACACCTTTCCTCCCCAAATAGAATGATTGAGCAAATGTGGCAAAATGTGAACAGAATATTACCATGGGTAAATGGTATATGAGAATTTTTGTACTATTCTTAAAACTCTATGGAATTATATACAAAAATTATAGGAATAAAAATAAATTCAAAGGGATGTTATTACTAGATACTGGGAAACCTCACAGAATTAAAAAAAAAAGAGCGACATAAGACTCAGGGCAGCATGGAAACCTTGAAAACTGGAAGTGAAAACTTGATGCCACTGGAACAATTCTGATCTGGACAGACTTCTTTGACAGAGATAATAGAAACCTGGAACTTTAGAGCAAGAAAAGACTTTTAAGATCCGTTTCATGAATGAGAAAACTGACATCCAGACAGCTAAAGTAACTTGCCCAAAGATAATGAATATAGTTTCCACTTGCAGACATTTAAGATTCCTTTTCCTGTTGATTTTTGAATGGATACCCAAAGTTTGTTCTCTTTCTTACACTTTTAAGTTAGAATATGAGATGAAGTAAGGACAAAATTAACAAATAATGATAAATATGCTGTAACATGAATATATATTCTGTAAACAAATATCTAAACATTTCCCCACACACAATTAACATGTTCTCCCCCCAAATTTTGTCCTTATATGTGTATAATAAAATATTTAAACATTAAAAACCATAGGTAAGCATAGTCTTTTTGTATCATTTAACACACCTGTCCCTATCCCCACCTTCCCCTTCCCCTTTCCAACCTCTAGTATCCTCTGTTCTACTTTTTATTTTTATGAGATCAACTTTTTTATTATATAGTTTGAGATAGCTAGAAAGAGGATTTCGAACATTCCCAACAAAAGAAATCACAAATGTTTGAGATGATGGATGCTAATTACCCTGATCTGATAACTATATTTAATATATATATATATAAACACATCACTATGTACCCTATGAATATGTATAGTTATTACTTAATTTTTTTTTAACTTTTAGCTTCAAGGGTACATGTGTAGGTTTGCTACATAGGTAAATTGTGTGTCACGGGGGGTTTGGTGTACAGATTATTTCATCACCCAGGTAATAAGCAATAGTATTCAATAGGTAGGTTTTTGATCCTCACTCTTCTCCCTCCCCCACCCTCAAGTAGGCCCCAGTGTCTATTGTTTCTTTCTTTGCATCCATGTGTACTCAGTGTTTAGCTCCCACTTATAAGTGAGAATATGCAGTATTTGGTTTTCTGTTCCTGTGCTAGTTCACTTAGGATAATGGATAGAGCCTCCAGCTCCATTCATGCTGCTGAAAAGGACATGATCTCATTCTTTTCATGGCTGCATAGTATTCCATGGTGTATATGTACTACATTTCCTTTATCCAGTCTACCATTGATGGGCATTTAGTTTGATTCCATGTGTTTGCTATTGTGAATAGTGCTGTGATGGACATACATGTGCATGTGTCTTTATGATAGAATGATATCTATTCCTTTGGGTATATACCCAATAATGGACTTGCTGGGTCAAATGGTGGTTCGTTTTAAGTTCTCTGAGAAGTCACCAAACTGCTTTCCACAGTGGCTGAAGTAATTTACATTCCTACAAGCCATGTATAAGCATTCCCCTTTCTCTGCAACCTCACCAGCATCTGTTAGAAAAAATAACTTTTTAAAAAGCTTGCGTAATTGTCTTTCATGACAATCTTATATGAAAGTCAGCTAGAAATTTGAATTTCTTCGCTTATTATATGGGTAAGTACAGTCTGTCCTCTTCCATGACATTTTTCTCACCTCGTAGAATACATTGACTCTCAATTGAAAAACAATGCTAATCTAGACAATTCTTAGAAATGTCCCTCATGATGTGGAGTGACTATGATTGCAGTCCATTTAGAAAGTATAATATCAAGCATGGGGGGTGCCTAGAAGCCATCTAGTCTGTCTATTCCTTTTAAAGGTGAAGACTGTTTGCACTTGGTTACTTAAACACTTTCTTCATCTCTTGCACCTGTTTCATAGTAAGGAACAGATTTTAAATGGAATATTATCTATTTGCATATATTGAAATAATAGTTATCTTTAGATCA
Source organism: Homo sapiens (assembly GCF_000001405.40). Classification (NCBI taxonomy): domain Eukaryota; kingdom Metazoa; phylum Chordata; class Mammalia; order Primates; family Hominidae; genus Homo; species Homo sapiens. The sequence continues at coordinate 37,636,911 of NC_000023.11, forward strand.
CTTCTGAAGTAGTATATTTAGAGAAAGCCAAGCATCCTCTAAGCATGCTTTCTACAGTTCTATATTACTTTTGGTTTAGAAAAGGCCTTTGTGTAGTGATTAGACAGTTATATTCAGAGCTGAGAAAGCAGCCTTGACCAATTATCTCCACAACAGCTTTGGAAATAGAATGCAAATCCTAGCCAAAGGATCCTAGGTGGTGGAGCACAAAATTGAATATATAGTGACATAGTGTGTGGCAAGAAGCAGTGCATTTTTGAAAAAGGAATTAAGTGTGCCTTCCATCATCTGTGTTCAGACATGATCATGAATGGCTAACATAAATTTTCAGACAATATGGATTCCTATAGTTCAGTGTGGTGACGGACACTATTGCCGACCAGAGCTCTTTTTGCCACATTGTCCTTACTAATATAACCCTACTTTTATTTGACATAGCGATTTTTGCCAATAATTGCTTGATTTTTCAGCTTTTCTTTCTGTCAGGTTTGCCATGTCATATAACACTAGCTAATGACATGTCAGTGTAAATATGCTAGGGTATTCTGGGAAACCTTTTGGTTTCCTGATAAAAGAGAATACATGCGCGTGGCCCCTTCCTCCCATTTCTTCCCACCTTGAATGTAAACATGGTGTCTGGAGTTGGCAGCAGCCATTTTGTGCCTATAGTCCACCATGAAGTAAGGAAGTGCAAATTGTGTCATCCTGGCTCTGACATCACAAGTCACTAAGCAATATCAGCAGTCAGCCAGTTTCAGACTTTTTGTTACATGAGAAAAATGACCTGTTGTTTGATTAAGCCACTAGAAGTGAGATTTTCTATTCATTTAAGTTAAATACATTCCTGATACAAATAGAGTAGACCCTTCTGGGAATGTCTGCCTAGCTCAGAATAACCCCATTTCTCTGTGAAGTTTCGTCCTACTTCTCCTCTCGGTGGATCATTGCAGCCATCTTGAATTAGTTGGCCCTGCTCCTTCAGCTAGAGTGGATGCCATTGTGTAAACACACCTGAATGAGGCTGAACCTGAATGAGGCTGAATGTATCAGATTCTCCTAGGAATTTAAAATTGGGTTTCAGTAACTCTATTTGATCCTGTAATGTGACTAAAACTTAGGGATATGTTTAAACTTGGAATGAGAGAGAGAGAGAGAAAGAAAGAGAGAGATAATATGATGGGAGGTCACCTTCAGCCACAGAAAAGTAGAGAAAGAAGACTTGTAGAAAGTGAAAGAGAGGCAGAGACCCATGTCACCAAGAGAGAGAACACTGGCTACAGCCTGGAGGATTTCTGGGTCCAAGCATTGGTTCCTTCTTGGTCCTAGCTGCCCTCAGGTTTCAGGAGCTGACTCAGCTTTCTTCCAGATAGGGGGACAGGCAAGGTTGTGCCCTGTATAAAGGCACCTGGTCAAAAGGGCAGGGGAAGTGAAATCCAGTCATGGTGTTCTGGTCACCAAGCCCTGGCATGAGGGTGTATCAGCCTGGAGGTAATGTACTCTTTTATGTAATTCCTCTTCCCAGTAGGGTGTGTACTTTTTTCTATTTCCAATAGTCTTAGGAAGACCCTACTTCAGGATACCTAGTAAAGTTGTTGCCTCCTACTTACAACCAAAGGGCCTTGACATTCAGACAAAATGTATTAACAGACAGCTAAACTATTCATTCTACCATATAACAGATATGCTGTTCAATTCCCTGATTTATTTTTGCTTTTTTATAAAAAAAATTGAAGTATAGTTTACATATAGCAAAATGTACAAATCTTAAGGGTATAACTCAGTGAATTAACTGTGCATTTCATACATCTATTAACCAGATCAATATACAGAGCATTTCCATCAATCTAGAAGGTTCCTTTATCCCAATGAATATCATTCACCCCACACACACACACCCAAACCCCCAAACAGGTAGGTAACCACTTTTCTGACCTCTATCACCATACTTTGATTTTGAACTTCATAGAGATGGAATCATACAGCAAATACTCTTTTGTGTCTCACCTCTTTTTTCATTGTTCATGACATCCAGCCATGTTGCTGCATGTATCAGTAATTGGTTCTCTTTTTATTCTTAAGTAATAGTCCATTGTATGAATATACCATCATTTATTTATTCATTCTGTTGACGTATATTTAGGAAGTTTCCAGATTTTAACTCTTATGGATAAAGCTGCTGTACATATTCTTATACAAATGGGCCTAGGCATTTATTTCCCTTGGATGTTGATGCACTGTAATAGATATCCATATTATATATATATCCATATATACATACATATACACACACATATATACATGTATGTATATATATGTATGTGTGTACCTACATACATATACACACATACATATATATACATACATGTATATATGTGTGTGTATATGTATATTATATATATATATAACATGCATGTATGTAGGTAAATTCTGTCTTGAGTCGTTCCTTCACATTGTAATTGAGAGACCGTATTTTTAAAGTACTGCTTCATGACCAATTACATATCTAGTGAACATGTTCTCTTTACATATTAAACATGAGGCTACTCAGTATCATGGGGAAGCCTGCTTTGGTTTATTTAAAAAGTGGTAAATGGTCAGTAGTATTTTGTGTTACAGCTAATGAGGCAAACTTATAGTGAGGGTACCTGGCATTAAGCTTATAATTAAAAGTCTAGTCTGTGACTAGGAAAATATCCAGCTATGCTACATGAACCACATGAGATTAAGCTCAGTTGCTTGTTCTAACCACCTGTGCTATTTGCAATACTAAATAATGCTGGATTTGCTATGCAAAGCCCTGTAAAGCAGTGTCTGTGTCCCAGCATCACACGTGGAGCTTTTTTTAAAAAAAATGAGTGTCTGATTCTTCTCTCTTACTTCCCCCAAAGTCTTGGTCTAGATTGAGATCTCTGTTTGTTTGTTTTGTTTTGTTTTGTTTTGTTTTAACTCACCATGTAATTATGTGCTATAGCAGCTGGCCATTTCTTTCATATGTCCATCCTTACAATTTTGGCGATTGCCTTCAGTTGAATTCACATTGGAGACTATGAATGAGTTTTATCTCCTGTTAAACTTTCCCCAGGCAACACGAGGTGACGGTACACAATTCACTTAATATTGATTACTTTATAAACATGCCCTCATTAAAATAATAACAAATTATGGACAGTGGCAGAATAAGACACATTTGGCGAAATAAAACATGGAGCATGATATGAGTTTATTCAGACTACCCCACTAGTATGTTATATTAGGCTGTTTTCACACTGCTATAAAGAACTATTTGAGACTGTGTAATTTATAAAGAAAAGAGCTTTAATTGACTCACAGTTGCACATGGCTGGGGAGGCCTCAGGAAACTTAGAATCATGTTGGAAGGGGAAGTAGGCACTTATTTACATGGCGGCAGGAGAGAGAGCACAAAGAGGGAAGTACCTCACTTTTAAACCATCAGATCTCCTGAAAACTGAGATCTGAGAACAGCAATGGGGAAGCCCGCCCCCATGATTCAATCACCTCCCACAAGGCCCTTCCCCCGACATGTGAGGATTACGATTTGAGATGAGATTTGGGTGGGAACACAGAGCCAAACCGTATCAAATGTAATCTCCATAGTGGCAGAGACTTTTCTCTCTTTTGCTCACTGATGTTCTCCTAGTAAGCCATAGCAGGGCTCAATAATTATCATAGAACAAATCTTTGTCTAAGACAAAGACCTTAGTTACTAACTTACAAGGTTATAAATCCTGCTTTGCCTACTACTGGTTACACATCTCAGTTGCTCATCTCAGCCATTCCAGGGCCAGTAGGCTCCCCAGCTGCATTCATTTGACAGTGACCATTTGAAACTTGTCAAAGATTAAATCTAAGGAAGAGAATTTGGGTAACTTCTTACCCTTAACAGAGTAAGGGTGTCAATTTACCTTCTCTCCTCTTCAGCCATAGAGCCAGCTCCCCCTGAAGTCCTCTATTCCTTTCTCCTTCCACTAGGCATAAAACAAAAATTGAATCTGGCCATGGTGTCACTTTTGTTCCTGGTAGTTAGGGGATGCAGATGGTGGTGGCAACTCCCTTGATCACACCTTCATGCTCTGGTCACCTCAAATATCCTTTTTAGATATGCCATTTACATAGAAAATGATTCTATCTGAATTTTATATTCTAGCTCTCCTAAAGATTACTGGTTAAAATTATTAAAAGAAGCCAGAAAAAGAGAAACCAGAAATATTTTCCCTTTAAAATACCAGAAAATGTCAACATAACAAAACTGCTGCTTTGGACATGATCACACAGAGGATGGATTCCCTACAGTACATAAATGAATAAGGGGAGAAGGATGGAAACATATATGTCCATTTTATTTCATATATATATATATAAAATATATTTCCCAGAAAGGACCTGGGAAGTTACTTCATTTTGCAGATGAATACAGTGAAGCCAGAGAGGTTAAATCACTGACTCAGGGCCATATTACGACAAAGCTAGAAGTTCTGAATTTTCCAACCATGGTTACCAGACCCCCCGACATACCCCGTAGCTTTAGGTTTCATGTTATACACAGAAAAGGTACCATTCATGGCCCAACCAGCACTATATCACACTGCTTCCTCTACATCCAAGGAATACATTTATTAAAATGTATTTTAAGGTACTAAAGGAAAAAGGAAGAAAGATCTAAGCAATTTTAAAGTATCTCTGCCTTCCCTTCTGCAATTATGACCTTCAGGGCATCCATCAATCCTACAGGCCCATGTCAAAGAACATGGGAAAAGATATCTTTTCAGCTTGTTCTGTTGAAAGCATCTAGGTGAAAGAGCTATTAAGCCTTAAAATGTCACAAATTGTTCAGATATTGTTCAACCAGGACCATTTTTGTGAATACCTCTCTGAGATGATGACAAAATAGGTAGTACATAATAGAGTCACTTGAGTGGAGGGAACTGTGGCTCCTGGAAAAGAAGATAATTGCTTCATAGCACTTGGTGCTAAAGCTCCCACAGGCCTCCTCTTTGTCTTCCCAAAGTGACTTTTAAGGATTTGAGGATCTACTGTCATGGTGACGGATTGGAGGGTGTCCATTGCCCCTGACCTGAAGCTGGATAAGTGGAAGAAATAGGGAGGTCACCCAGGGCAATGGCAGCAAAGAGTGTTTTCTACTCTTTGTCCCTGGGCTCTAGGATAGCACTTAACGAGAAAAATCAATTGCAACCTTGTGAGTGCAGTCAGAACTGGAAACTGCATTTAAATTTGCCTACTCAGGCAGTCAGCCCCACTTTAAAGAGCTTTAGAGTTAGAGATTTCTGTGGCAACAGAGGTGCACGTGGGCAAAAATTGCTTTGCAGGGTAGTGAAGGCTAGCAATGTTGTTAGATTGGCACTTTATGGCTGCCCAGTTTATGTGGGCTTGGCTGTAAGTAACCCAATGAACAGTGACTTTTTAAAAAGGGATTAGATTTTCTCTTATAACAAGAGTTTGGATATAGGTGGTCCTGGTTGTGGTACAGATGCTCAATAATGTCCAAAAATCCCAGAATTTTTCTTTCTCCTCCATCATTCTCAGAATGTTGGCCTTTCATTCATGTGCTCATAGCTGCAGAATGCAAATTGGCTGCTACTACTTCAGGCCTCACATATATATTCAAGGCAGCCAAAAAAAAGGAAAGGAAGATAACAGCCATGTATGTCCATTTTATTTCCATGTATTATGAAACAAAAAGCTTTCCATGAAGCTCCTGCAGATTCCTCCATTGATCAAGTGAGGCCACATAGCCAACCCTAGCTACAAGGAATGCAGGGTACTTGGCAAGGGACAATGGGATTTATATGTTTGGCTAAGGCTAATTACTGTCACTTAGGGCTAGACACAATTGCCAGCCTAATAAAACTGATATTCAGTTAGCAAGAAATAAAGAGAAAAGAGATGTCGCTAACTAATAGTGTAAGCCACTATGAATTCAGAATTGGCCTTTCAAAATAGGAAGGGCATTTACTGTATATTTGACAATAAGCAACTATTCATCCCTATATTTCTATACTCTCTAGTACATTATCATGTACCAAACAGGCACTTGAACATTTTGAACCATGGTTTGAGAATACTGTAATGACATACTCATTTAACAGTGGCTTAGAGAAAGGTATGATGTGAAATAGTCAACAAAGCATTCAGCCTTAATAATGTCGGCATTCACTTTGGGTACATCAGGAGACTGACAACTGCAGATAATTCAAGTAACTGATGCCAGGAAGCTACAAAGTGTTCTAGTCCTTTAAGCTTCCTATTAGGAAGAAAGTACATAAGAAAATAGACATATTGATAAAATAAAATGCCTAGAATAGGACAAGTTGAACCTGTGTTCTAGTTTCACCACAAAAGATTTTTTGCCTTTTCTCTAAGAAATTAAACTGCTGAAACATACTATCATGTTCACATTAAAGAATTACAGCCCAAATCTATATACAGTATATAGATTTATAAATGTCATAAAGACTTGAATCATAAAATGCTATATGTGTAAGACACATTAAAGACCGCCTCAGCCTGACTTCTTATTTTTCCAGATGAGGAACTGAGGTCCAGAGAAGTTGCATGATTTGTCTAAAGTTATATAGTTAGTTCGTATCTAGAAACCAGATAAACTTGGGAGACATTTTGAAAGAGCAAAGGAATGACATTTTGGGAAAAGTGGGACAGAGAAGGCTGCAAGTGTGGTGATGATAAAAGTAAATACACAGACATGAAGGGTCATACATTGCTAGTTTATGAATTAAAAGTTAGAACAATTTAGGAATGCAGGCTGACATAAGCTGGTCCTTGGGTGGAAGATGAGGTATAGGAAGTAGGCAACAGCATGGTTATTTTATGAGAAGTATGCTGAGCTCAAACCTCCAAGGCCTGGAGTTCAGTCACTATTGGACTTCAGATGTCCCTTTTCACTATAGCTTGCAGGCATTGTGCATGTGCTTTATGCTAGGAACCGTGCTAAGTATCTTATATGAAACCCTTACAGCAACCCAGTGACATAGATCTTATTATCACTACTTTTTACAAATGAGAAGAATGAGGCTAAGAAAGAATAAGTAACTCACAAATTCACACTACTAGAAAGTGGTAAAGCTAAGTTTGGAACTCAGGTGTATCTTACCCCCAAGTCCCTGTTTATCACCATGCTATTCTCCTTTTTATGTTCAAAAACCAGATTCCTCCAATGCTTTGGAGAACCATAGAGCTTGGAACCTAGAGGCACCTTAGATGTCACCTAGTACAGTGCTACTCAAGAGGTGCTTTTCTGGCCAGGAGCATCACCATCACCCAAGATCTTGTTAGAAATGCAAGACCTCAGGCCCCACTCCACAGCTACTGAGTCAGAATCTCTGAGGGTGAGGCCTGGGAAGCTGTGTTTTAGCAGGATCACTAGATGGTTTTTAGGAACACTAACATTTGAGAAGCTGTGGCCAGTGAATAGATACTAGTCCAGCCCCTTTATTTTAGATGAAGAAATGGAGGTCTGATGACTTAACCATGGGTATGGTGCCAAAGGAGCCTCAAGCCCTGATCTCCTGATTCCTAGTCCAGTGCACTGTCTGCTGTGTTCTGTGGTTTCCTCATTAGCTTCCCACAATGTGCATTGGTGCCTGTGTTGGAAACACTGGATGGCATTTAGTAGACTTCTGGCCTGACCCAGCATGTTCATTCATGTGCACATCAGGTTTCTCCTTCCATTCCTCCATGACTCAGACCAAAGGCATTTCTCTATACTCGGGAGGTCTTTTCCATATTTTCCCTGTAGCCCTCCTCTTCTTCATTATCATAATCATAGTATTATTACTTTGCTTTTTAAAACTACTTTTGCATTCATTCAGTATTTCATGTCAGCAGTTCTCAACCTTGACACTCTTTGTAATAACGTGGAGAGCTTAAAAAGGATACTCATCCCTGGGTCCCACGCCCAGAGAGTCTGATGTAATCAGTGTCGGGTGTGGACAGGGCATTGGGATTTTTAAAAGCTCCCCAGGTGATTGCAGTATGCAGTCAAACGTTGGGAACTGCTTTTTCATAAGAGTCTCATTATTACCTGAGGAGATAGGTGGGGCAAACGTAATCCTGTTTTTGTAGATAAGGAAGCTTGTGCTCTGAGACATTTAGTGTCTTAGAAGAAAGAGAATAAAATCATCTAGTGACAGTTGGTGCAGACTGGGTTACCAGCTACTTCTGATAAATCTTTAAAGCCAGCAGTCAGGCTGTAAGAATGGGGTAAAACCTGTTTTTCTTTTCTGGTTTCTAGTGTTTTCTGGGTTTATGTTTCTTCACATGAGAAGGGAAAAGAAACAACTGTGAAATGGTACCTGGGACCAAATGTTTATAACTGAAATTCCATGCTGAATCCCTTTAATGACTGGAGGATAATCATCAACTAGAGCAACCTGCTTCCTATTCCTCATAGCCCAGCATAATAATGATCAGGGAGCATCAGGAAAACCAGATGGAAGGGACTTGCTCATTCTGCACCAGCACACATGCCCCATTTAGAGACCAGTTAAGAAAATAACAAACCTGGCCACACTGGCTAAAAGAGCTCCTCAGTGGAGCATGCAAATATGGACATGTCTGTCTTACATGCAGAATATTGGAAGAGAATTTCTTATCGTTGCTGTGTCCCTTTTCTGGGTAATCTAATCATTTAAATGATAATATGCAACACTTTTGCTTGATGCTTCCTCTCGCTGCCTTGAATGTCGTTGGGAACTTCTATTGTTCCTTCGGTCTAACTTCTCACCTTTTCCAAAAGAAATCCTCTGCTGCAACCAGCCTCTCTATTTTCATAATCCTTTGCTACTTCAAGTGTGGTTGATGAACCAGCAGTGTCAGCCTCAGCATCACTACTGTTGTAACAAGGAGCTTGTTAGTAACAGAATCCTGGCCCCATCCTAGACCTACCGAATTAGAATCTTTGTTTTTTATCAAGAGCCCCAAGTAATGTGTGTGCACCTTGAGGTTTTTGAAGCATTGCCCCAATACACAGGACTCTCCCCATCATCCAATAAGTTAAAAATGCTCTCTTCCCCATGCTTTCATTTACCCACTTCCTACTTGTCCTTCAAAGCTCAGCTCATATTCCTCTTCCTCTATGAAGCCAATATTTACTCCATTCACGTTACTCCTTTACAGTACTACTTTTAGGATTTAAATGAATGCTGAATATTTCATTATTTAAATGTTTTGCATGTCTACTTAGTCTCATTATTAAGATTCCATGTTTCTCCAACCTAGCATAGGCTTTGCACATAATACTCATGAATTATTCAGTTTGTCAAGATCAGTTTCCTACTTGAAGGTTTTTCTTAAGCCCTATTTTGTATCTTTAAGCTTGCTCAACACCTTTTCTGCTCATGATGTTCTCTGGAGGTCACTATGCACTGTAAGAGTGCTCATGATGTTCTTCCTCAAAGAAGCTCCTCCAAGTTTCTGTCTTCTCAATACCTTAAGTAAATCTTTATCTGCTACAGAGATTTCCTGAAAGGCCTGGCTCTTTCTTGTAACCTAGTGGATTCCAAGTGAACTACAACCCCAAAGAGATATAGGAAGTAAAAATTTAACCACTTGTGAATATTGACTTTGTATAAACAATTTCTCTAACTTTTTAATTTGAAATAATTTGGACTGGGAATTTTAAAAAATAAGTTTAATTTTGGAGATGAGATGTTTTACTACTCTGTTCTGGTGCCCATAGGAAACTCAGGATCATCTTCTGCTGTTTCATGTGGGACAGGCCACGTGGTGGTATCTCTTTTGCTGGTCCCAGACCCTGAAGCAAGAGACACACCTCTGAGGCTGCCATCTTCCTGAGTTCCAGGCAAAAGGGAGGCACATATCCTAACAAACTGTAGATCCTCAAACCTGTCTGGAGGCCTGTTGTAAGACTCCTAAGGCTTGGCATGATGGGATGGAGGTAGGAAAGCAGGAACACCACACTCACACTGACTTTCAACTTCTGGTTTCTTTTCTATGTCAACTCATCCCACCTTGAACAGCTTGTATCTCCATCCTGAGTTTATTCGGAACTATCCTTCAAATCCATTGTTTTATGGTATCAATTTTAAGTATTAAAAATACCCAGGAGGCTGGGTGTGGTGGCTCACACCTGTAATCCCAGCACTTTGGGAGGCCGAGGCGGGCAGATCACGAGGTCAGGAAATCGAGACCATCCTGGCTAAGAGGGTGCAACCCCGTCTCTACTAAAAATACAAAAAATTAGCCAGGCGTGGTGGCAGGCGCCTGTAGTCCCATCTACTTGGGAGGCTGAGGCAGGAGAATGGCATGAACCTGGGAGACAGAGCTTGCAGTGAGCTGAGATCATGCCACTGCACTCCAGCCTGGGCGACAGGGCAAGACTTCATCAAAAAAACAAAAAAACAAAAAAACAAAACAAAACCCAGGATCTAACAACCCAAAAACTTTTTTCTTTATTGTTCATGCGTATCAAAAGTCATTTGTCTCATTCCAGTAGCTCTAACTTTAAAAAAAGACATACAAAAAAGTCATTTTGATGTTTATTGGGTAGTCAGATGGCTTCTTTCTCTAGGCAGAAGCCTATCCTACCAACAGGATGATGAGGCAAAGGATTGGGTGAAATAAATTGCTGGGTGAAAACATTAAGTTAATATCAGATTCTTACTCTGTTACATATATGTTTGCTATGATATCAGAGTGACCCTGCATTCTATGCAGATGGGCACTCAGGGCATTTTGGACTCTTGCATGATAATGTTGGTGGTGCTTGAGCAAGGCCTAGGGTGGGAAGTCTAGCACCTCCTTACAGTTGTTTCAGATTCTGTAAGGATTGCCTGTCAGGTCAGACTTAGAACTGTACTTCTGCACTAATAATTCATTGTCACCTTAAGACGCATACTCCGTATATTGTAAAAATGTTTCCTTGGGCTCTACCCACTTCCAAAAACGTGTTTGGGGTGGTTTACAACAAAAATTCACAAATACAGTGAAACCATTAACCATTCAACATGGATTAAGGTTTAAGAGGTAAAATGTTTATAGCAAAACCCCTAGGGTAAAGGAAGTTTCTGCACTAAGCACAGGAATTAACTCTGCCTTTTGGCCCTCAAGACTAAGACAAACTCTCACTTCACTTTGTTAGGTGGGCTATGAGGGTAGCTTATCACTTAGGCCTTCATACAGAGGCGTTAGAAAACTGTGAACAATATCTTCAACAGCAGTTTTACAAAACTTGTCTTTTTTTAAAAAATCAACCTTTCCTTTATATAGAAACCAAAGCCACGATAGTCATAGTTAGAAAAAATAATCTGTGGAAAGCCAGATTTGTATACTCCAGATATACAGTGTTGTCAGGACCTAACCTAATATTGGGAAATTTAAATAATTTATAGCTAATGTATCTTAAGCCAGTGCTTCTCAAACTTTCATGGGCATATGCTACCATCTGGTGATCTTTTTAAAATTCAGTTTCTTGGCTAGCCATGTGCAGAAAACAGAAACTGTACCCCTTCCTTACACCTTATACAAAAATTAACTCAAGATGGATTAAAGACTTAAATGTAAAACCCAAAACCATAAAAACCCTAGAAGAAAACCTAGACAATACCATTCATGACACAGGCATGGGCAAAGACTTCATGACGAAAACGCCAAAAGCAATTGCAACAAAAGCCAAAATTGACAAATGGGATCTAATTAAACTAAAGAGCTTCTGCACAGCAAAAGAAACTTTCATCAGAGTGAACAGGTGACATACGGAATGGGAGAAAATTTTTGCAATCTACTCATCTGACAAAGGTCTAATATCCAGAATTTACAAGGAACTTAAACAAATTTACAAGAAAAAAACAACCCTACAAAAAGTGGGCAAAGATCTGAACAGACACTTCTCAAAAGAAGACATTTACATGGCCAAAAAACATGAAAAAAATTTCAACATCACTGATCATTAGAGAAATGCAAATCAAAACCACAATGAGACACCATCTCATGCCAGTCAGAATGGCAATTATTAAAAAGTCAAGAAACAATAGATGCTGGTGAGGCTGTGGAGAAATAGGAAGACTTTTACACTGTTGGTGGGAGTGTAAATTAGTTCAACCATTGTGTAAGATAGTATGGTGATTCCTCAGGGATCTAGAACCAGAAATACCATTTGACCCAGTAATCCCATTACTGGGTATATACCCAAAGGAATATAAATTATTCTACTATAAAGACACATGCACATGTATGTTTATTGCAGCACTATTTACAATAGCAAAGTCATGGAAACAACCCAAATGCCCATCAATGATAGACTGGATAAAGAAAATGTAGCACATATATACCACGGAATATTATGCAGCCATAAAAAGGAATGAGATCATGTCCTTTGCAGGGACATGAATGAAGCTGGAAGGCATCATCCTCAGCAAACTAACACAGGAACAGAAAACCAAACACTGCATGTTCTCACTCATAAGTGGGAGTTGAACAATGAGAACACATGGACACAGGGAGAGGAACAACACACACCAGGTCCTGTTGGGGGATGGGGGGCATGGGGAGGGAACTTAGAGGACAGGTCAATAGGTACAGCAAACCACCATGACACACGTATACCTATGTAACAAACCTGCACATTCTGCACATGTATCCCAGAACTTAAAGTAAAATAAAACAATAAAAAATAAATTAAAACAAATAAAATTCAGTTTCTAATTCACTGGGTCTGGGCTGGGGCCTGGGAATTTGAATTTCTATCAGGATACCTTTACTGCTGGTCCATGGACCACACTTTGAGGAGCATATACCTCTTAGAGATATCAGAGGTCTCAAATGGGCAATTGACAGAAGTTTGAGGACAGATAATTTAAGACTGGACAGATAATTCTGAGTCCTCCATGACTCACACCAAAGGCATTTCTTTATACCTGGGAGTTCTTTTGCTAGTTTTCCCTTTAGCCCTCGTCTTCATCATTATTATTATATTGTATTATATTATTATTACTTTGGTTTTAAGAACTATTTTTGCACTCACTTAGTATTTTATGGCAGTAGTTCTCAACCTTGACCACTCTTTGTAATCCACTGGGGAGCTTAAAAAAGATCCCGGCCAGGCGTGGTGGTTCACGCCTGTAATCCCACCACTTTGGGAGGCCAAGGTGGGCAGATCGCCCGAGGTCAGGAATTCGAGACCAGCCTGGCCAACATGGTGAAACCCCGTCTCTGCTAAAAACACAAAAAATTAGCCAGGTGTGGTGGTGGGCACCTGTAATCCCAGTGACTCAGGAGGCTGAGGCAGAAGAATTGCTTTAATCCAGGAGGTGGAGGTTGCAGTGAGCCAAGATCGTGCCACTGCACTCCAGCCTGGGTGACTGAGTGAAACTCCATCTCAGGGAAAAAAAAAAAAAAAAGCCCCAATGCCGGGTCCCATGCCCAGAAGAGTCTTAGCATGTACCTTATCATGCACCATAGATGCAGGTATCTTTGTTATTTTGAGTGAAAGGATCTAGTATGGTAGGTAGGAAAACTGATGTGTTTATGTGAGGGATGAAACGACAAATGAAAGGTTTGGCTTTATATTCATATCTATTCTAGTTAGGCTCTTTTTGCAAGAAACTGAGACTCTCAAATGACTAAAAAGAAAGGGCGGAGTATGGGGGTGGGTATTGTATGGAAAATTGGTAGGAAGCCCTAAAGGGAGTAGCCCTAAACTGTTAGGAAGAGGGAGCTATAAGGACGAGCTACTTTTCTTTAACTTTCTCTCTTGGTATCATTGTTTCTTTTAGCATATCTGCTGCAGTCTCCTTTCACTCTCTTTTTTTTTTCTCTTTTTTTTTATTATTATACTTTAAGTTCTAGGGTACATGTGCACAATGTGCAGGTTCGTTACATATGTATACATGTGCCATGTTGGTGTGCTGCACCCATTAACTTGTCATTTATATCTCCTAATGCTATCCCTCCTCCCTCCCCCCACCCCACGACAGGCCCCAGTGTGTGATGTTCCCCACCTTGTGTCCAGGTGTTCTCATTGTTCAATTTCCACCTATGAATGAGAACATGTGGTGTTTGGTTTTCTGTCCTTGAGATAGTTTGCTCAGAATGATGGTTTCCAGCTTCATCCATGGCCCTACAAAGGACAAGAACTCATCCTTTTTTATGGCTGCATAGTATTCCATGGTGTATATATGCCACATTTTCTTAATCCAGTCTATCACTGATGGACATTTGGGTTGGTTCCAAGTCTTTACTATTGTGAATAGTGCAGCAAGAAACATACATGTGCATGTGTCTTTACGGCAGCATGATTTATAATCCTTTGGGTGTATACCCAGTAATGGGATGGCTGGGTCAAATGGTATTTCTAGTTCTAGATCTTTAAGGAATCGCCACACTGTCTTCCACAATGAAAAAAACCATTATTTAAAAAATTAATTATTTTATCTGTGCGGTTATGCCTTTAACTTGACATGCAGTTAAATTTGTTTCATTTTATGACTTTTTAAAGTCTTTAGAGTTGGCAATTTTGTTATTCTTTATAGTTAAGTTTATGTTTTTTAACTAATTAAAAGACTTACCAATATTAGAAAATAGAAATAATGTGAATATGCACACTCACATTCTTTTTATTTGTGTCCTTTTTCCTAATCCCTCTTTACTGATATAATAAACTTTCTTTTTCTGGTTTTTGCAAGTTTTTTTTTTTATACTTTAAGTTCTAGGGTACATGTGCACAATGTGCAGGTTTGTTACATATGTATACATGCGCCATGCTGGTGTGCTGCACTCATTAACTCGTCATTTACATTAGGTATATCTCCTAATGCTATCCCTCCTCCCTCCCCCAACCCCATGACAGGCCCCAGTGTGTGATGTTCCCCTTCCTGTGTCCAGGTGTTCTCATTGTTCAATTCCCACCTATGAGTGAGAACATGTGGTGTTTGGTCAGTCTCCTTTCACTCTCACTGCTGGTCAGTCTCCTTTCACTCTCACTGCTGGGTGGTTTATTCTGTTTTTCTCCATCACAGCCCCTGCTTACTCCCTGTTGACCTCAGTTTATGCATGGACCCATTCCTGACCTGTCTTCAGCAGCAGCTGGGATTGCTGACAGCTTCATTTTTTTTTTTTTTGAACATGCATTTCAAATTGTTGAGAGGAGGAATTTGATTGGCATTGTATGCCTTAGGACACTGGCACACCCAAGACTTAGTTGCTATTCGCATATTCAGTCAGTGCTGATGGGGGAGGGGCAGGAGGTGTTTGATGCCTAGAAAAAGAAATACAGCTAGCAAAGACTGCCACTTCCTGTAGGTAGGACTCTTGCCTTGGGAAGGAGTCAGTGGTGAGGCCAGCATTCTGTGGTTTGGTCCTTTTTATTGACTTTTTTTTTTCAAAGAAAGTCATCTCTCCTCTGCATGGAGGTAGTTCAGTCATAGCATGACTTTCAGGCAGGGCCAAGAAATATAGTATGAGCTTTATTGCCCTCTTGTCTCTTCATACTCAGGCCAAACCAATAGGAATATTTCACAAGGTCAGTAAAGTGAATCAGTTAAACTAAACAAAACGGTTTAAACCAAACCACCTCAGATTTGCTTCGTATTTTTGAAATATCTTAATTTATTTTAATTCAATGTAAAAAGAAAAGAATCTATTCCATCCAAAATATCAACAAATGCATTGATCTTAGGGGCTACAACTACAGGAGAGGGAATAATTTGGGTTTGTTTGGTGAAGGCCTGATGGCCAGGGAGCCCCGCTCTGCCATTCCTAGTCATTTTTGTTCCCCCACCGGAAATGCTGCTCCCTCATTCCCAGGATCTCAGAGTGTCTCAAAAGCACAGAGGCCATCTTTGGAGGCAGTGGGTGTGCTCATGCTTGTGCTCCTGTGTACTAGGGGCAGAGAGTGGAGGGATATTTGAGAAAGCAGACACAGGAGAACAAGCTCAAGCCCTTACCCCAGAATCTCAACTCCCTTCTTCTTTCTGTACTGTTTGTTCGGGGGCGAAAAATACTCTTCCTCAGTGTTCCCCACACACAGGCTTTTAATGAACTCTGTTTTTAGTTTTTATTTGCTGATCAGTAAACTGAGGGTAGGTCTTGTCTGTTCCCAGAGATAAAGAACTGCATGCATAACTGGTCTCTATCCAGCCGAACAAGCGCCGGTTTCTCTTTGTTTTTCACAGTGTTTCTGAGAGATAAGAGGAAACCACCCAGACATGATACATGACCATGGGAGGTTTTGAAATAATATTTTATAAACTCATTCCCTATTCTAAGCTGTGGATTCGGGATAGAAAGAAAGGGGGAGGGCACCACATATAGTGTAAGTTGATTTTTTTCTGGGTTAAAAATAAGCAGGCAAACACACACGTACACAGACATGCACACACACACACACACAACATATGAATAAATGTTCAGCTGGGGAAATAAGCCAATTTTCAGTTATAGGCATGAAAGTCAAATAGGAAAAATTTTAGTAGTGCAAATGAATACATCCCTGAAAATTCAGTGACTGTTTCCTACCACAAAAACTTCCTCTGTCATATGGATTCAAAATCAATATTGAGCAGAGCCAGATATATTCCCAGAAGACTATGGGATTCAATCAGGATAGAGTCCAATTAAGTGCATGCCCTTCAGGGCTTTTAGCAGGTTTCTGAGAAAGAGGGGTTGATTTGAGACAAATGATGATGCAAGATTTTAAGTAGTGTAAGACTAAACTTAAGATCAGTTGGCACTGATAAAGACACAAAGAGTAAATGTTTTCAATACCAAATGAAAATTATGGTAGCAATTTGAATGGTTGTATTTAATCATTTAGGAGAAATTTGCTATTAAGCTAAGGAAAGAAGACTTGGGGCTGATATGATAGGACAGTGGGGATGCAGCATAGGAAGATAGGGTCTTCAGGAATGTTAGGAGGAGTACACTTAAGAGACAGAGAGAGTGGTTAATAAAAGGGAAATTTAAGTTGAAAGCCATGACATCATTATTTCAGCAAATAGAAAAAAAAAAAAGAGAATGTAGTCTTACTGAAGCCGAGTCCATCTTACCTACTCTGCATTACTGTTTCTTTCTATCTCTAGGCTCATGAGCTTTAGTTGCTCTATTGTAGACTCTTGTCTATATCTCATCTCCAGTGCTGGATGGTAACTTGCCTGTAGGGAAAAAATATGTCTCATGGTTTCTCAAATTTCTCCACAACACCTAGTGTGGGACCTTACTGGAATAGTAGCTCAATAAATGTTAATTGGCAGAATTAATTAATGAATGGTATCCTCATGAAGTAATTATTTTTCCAAATTAAATGCTAGATTTTGGGAAACCAAAGCTGGATTATATTTTTTCCTTCTAATACCAGGTAAATCAGAGGAGCAATTTATGAATAAATCATTAGAAACTTATTTCAAAAGGAATTGGCTGGTCTAATGCTGGATATTGGGTAGGAAAATTAAATGTGTCAGTTTTAGGAGAGAGGCCAAAATCCAACGGACTTTTTATTGATCCCAGATTCATTCAATCAGACTAAACTTAGATGTTTTTTAGTTTTGGTTAATCTGACCAGTACGTTTCCTGTGCAGGTCTACCTTTTGGGAAGATTGGCTTCATGAGAGCACAGGTTCTGTCTATCTTGCTCACTGTCATATCTCCAGCATCCAGAACAGTCTTGCCTGGAATGTAGTAGAGGCTTAAGAAACAATCGTGGAGCGGAGGGAAAGAGAGGGACGGAGGAAGCGAATAAAGAATGAAGGGAGGGAGGGCTCTGAATTTCATACCAGTTAAACTGTCACTTATTTACTCACTCATCGGTTGTGAAGGACCCCCCTCAGACTCTGTGTTAGGCACCAAGGATACCAAAATTATGAGGTGCCACAGTGTTTGCTCTCAAAGAACTGATAGTCTAGTGAGAGAGAAAGAGAGAGCTCTAACACAACAGAGAGAGATCTAACACAACAGTGCTGTGCAGCAGAGCAAATGTCACTGTCATAAAGGGAGTGTGCCAAAGGGAACATCTAATTTGTCCCAGGAAGGGCAGGATGCAAAACATATGGCTAACCTGAGCAGAATCTTAATAAATGCAATGATGCTTTGAAGGCTTGAGAACCGTTTAATCTCTATAGTCCTAAAACCGACTGTGGACAGATTGAATAAAACATGGAAGACTGCAAGTCATTACATTTTAGCCATTCTCTATTCAGAGTCATTTTGATATTAGAAGTTATTTTGTGTTGACACTATTGGACTTTGGTTTCATTCAGGTAGTACAAATGCCTACAGTGAGTCCGTCATACTGCAGCTTATCACAGAATCATGGCTTTATAAGTACAGTCTTTATAAGCACAGTCTAAATAACACAAATTGAAGGTCTGATGTTTGGGCCAGACCTACACTGTACACCAGGAGTAACAGCTTTGTTAAGCATAATCAGTTAGGACCACTATTTGTTCTTTTCTGAGCAAATCCTTGTTCCTGTGACAAGGATTAATGATATGACAGCCATAAGGTAGTCTTTGTATTTTATAGCAACCTATAGCTGTAAAGGTGTGTGTTTTCCACCGAAATGGCAAGTTTTCTAAAGAGGGTAGGTTTGACAACTTGACAACAAAGGAAGAATCAGTGGTAAAAAAAGAATAAATTTTCGTTGACTAAGTTTATTTACATATAGTACAGGATTCTGTGGATATGATGCTAGACTTCTTAAGCAAGAAAATTCAGTGTCTAAGGAAAAAGGAGATCCTGCTTTGACTTCTACTTCTGGATTTCCTTATTCAGGTGCTGACTCCAGCACAGATCAAGTCAATTTGTCAGGCAATTCTGGACTCTGGGAAGCAGTATGCCATAAAGAAGAGGAAACCATTCCCCCTGATGTATTCTTACTATGGAACCGAATACTTGGGTAAGTGAAGGTGTTTGCATGGGCCTGTAGGAAGGAGAAAGTCTCTAAGATACTACCAAATAAAGGCTGGAAGATTTTGTTTTTGCCATAGGTCATTACTAGTCATTTAATAAGAAATACTTTAAAATTTTCTTTAAAAACCTATACTGATACATAACACAAATCACAAGTTAATATTTGTTTTCGTAGTCTACCTGACAGAAATGTAGCTATTTTAACAATTACTTTCACTAAAGACTAATATCTTTATTCTAGATTGTAAGCTCATTGGCCTGATTTTGCTGAAACATTGTGAAAACTTTTCACACACGATTGAAAATAGTGCCTCTGCATAGGGAAGTAGGATTCAGCCACTAACGTTTTGAAGTTTTTAATAGTAGTGTGTTTATAACAGACTATTGAATTGTAATGGCTAATGGTGAGCTCTGGGCCATGCAAAAAAAAAAAAAGGGAAATTAGTTACTCTTCTTTTGAGTCCTTCAATGGCTTACCATTACTACTGAGCAAGATTTGCAAGGCCCTTTATGGACCACCTGCCTCTTTCTCTAGACTCAAACTTTATCTTTACCCTCCAGGTTCTGTCCAGCATAGTCTCCCACATGCGGTGTTCTCTTTCCACCTTTGTCCATGTTCCTTTTGCCTAGAATGCCCTACTTCCCCCAACCCCTTTATCTATCTGTAATAATTATACCCAGATTTCAAGACTCTGCTCAAACATCATTAATCTGCTGAAAAATGTTCCGTGCTTTTGGAAAAAGGGTTGTTGAATCCTCTCTGGAGAAAGATTCACAAGTTTCAGGTTTTCTCCCAAAGCAAAACTGGGTAACATGCTGTCATCCTGCGTATACTTCTATTGGAGCCCTTATTACACTGTAATTAGTGGCTTACCTGCCTAACTGCCTGAGCAGGCTTTGTACACCTTCAGGATGGGAACTTTCTCTCATTTATCTTCATGATTCTTAGACCTTCACCACAGAGCTTGCAAATAATTAGGGAACCCAAATGAATGAATGAATAGCTAATAAACAACTTCAATGAGTTTTCTCAAAGAAATTTTATGTCTGTTTAAGTTTCCCCAAAATCAAACGCTGAGACAAGGATTTGGGTGTAAAAGGTTTATTTGAAAGGTAATTTCAGAAAGTGTTGATAGAGATGTGGAGAAATGAGACAAGAAAGAGAAAGAAGCTAATTGAGTGTGTAATAATGAGCAACTGTGGACAACTGAGGCTCAGTTCCCCTAGGGAATCTTAGAGACTTTATAGAACACATCTCAGAATCGTTTCACCCAAGGGGTGAGGAAGCTGGGGTATTCATCCACCAACTCTCTGCTTTATTGATTGGCTGCTCCTAGAGGTATTAATTCCCTAGCAATTCTGTCCTGCCCCTTTGGGCAGGGCATACTCCTGTGGCCAGAGAAAGCCTCAGGCAAAATGATAGATGCTTGAGATATGAAGCGGGAGCAAAGATGCATCTGAATGTTGAGTGTAGATGAGGTGATGAGCCAGGGCACTGACAGTGTCTGCTATAGTCCCCTAATCTATTCCATTCATTTTTCTGGTTTTATTTTTTGAGACAAGGTCTTGCTCTGTCACCCAGGCTGGAGTGCAATGGTGTGATCATAGCTCACGCAACCTCGACCTCCTGAGCTCAGTTGATCCTCCTGCCTCAGCCTTCCAAGTAGCTAGGACTACAGGTATGCTTCAGTATGCCTGGTCAAATTTTTATCTTTAATTTTTTTTTTTTTTTTTTATAGAGACAGGGTCTTGTTATGTTGCTCAGGCTGGCCTTGAATTCCTGGCTCAAGTGATCCTACCACCTTAGCCTCCCAGTATTTTTCAGGTTTTCGTTACAGAAATTAACATTCTGGCTTTTTACATATATATAGCTTAAACTATATTTCTATCTAGTGCATAAATATTTTCCTGAAAAGCAAGCTTTTTTTCCCAACAATTTCGAATCCAGCAAAATAAAGATATTTTCACATTTCATGATCAGATTTTAAGAGCAATAGAAATTTTGACTGAATACAAACTGTAAAGCTGTTTCCAGGGAGTCAAGAGTTCTGAGTATGGCAAAGTAAAAGATCCCTGAATGCAAAAAGAAAGCTTTAAAGTTATAGAGTTGAGTTTAAAGAGCAAGCCATCAGAATACATTGACCCTAGTACTGCCCACTAATCGGGATTCTACTAACTGGGAATGAGTGAAAACTCCTAGAGGGACTGGACTTTGACCTTTGTTAAGCTAACTTCTTTTCCAAAGGCAGGTTCAGGCCTTTGCTAGTTCAATACCCATTGCTAGTTCAGAATTCTCTGAGGAATTCTCAAGACTTTGCTCAGATGACACTGTCTGTATGGAACCTTCAGCATCCCCTCCACCTCTGAGGCCAAGTTAAGCTCTCCTCCATTCCTTCTATTAGTCCTTGTAGTAGTCATGGTTCTCTAGACAAACAGAATATGATTTCTTATATAACTAAATGATTTATTGTAAGGAATTGGCTCACATGATTATGGAGGCTGAGAAAGCCAGATCCAGGAAAGCCAATAATGTAAGTTCCAGTTTGAATCCAAATCTGAAGGCAGGAGAAGGCCAATGTCCCAGTTCAAAGACAGTCAGGCAGGACAAACTAATTATTTCTTACTCAGACTCTTTATTCTATTCAGGCCTTCAGTGAATTGGATGAGGTCCACCCACATTGGAGAGAGCAATGTGCTTAGCTCAGTGAACAGGTTCAAATGTTATTTTTATCCAGAAACACCCTCACAGACACACCCAGAAGTGACGTTTAACCAAATATCTGGACACTCCATGGCCAAGTCAAGTTGACACACACAATTAACCATCATACTCCTGGTACACATTGCTCATAGAACACTTATCATGTCATGTTCTAATTATTTCTTTACAAATCTGGCCGTTTCATTGGACTGGATGGAGAGGTCTTCAAATGTATCGACCAAATCATGTTTATCTGTATAACCAGGGTTAGACAGTGCCTAATATGCAAGTGTTAAATGTAAAGGATTAAGTAAATGAATATCAATAACTAGTGTTAACATTACAAAAGAGGGATTTAGTCTGTTTTGTGCAGTGATCTATCCTCTGTACCTAGAACAGTATCTTGTACAGAGTAGATGCTTAATACTTGTGTGTCGAATGAATAAAAAAATAAATGTTTAGGATACCTAGACCAAATTATTTTCAAGCATTTTAGGAGCATTTTCATGAAAGCTACTGATATTTCAATTACAAAGTTTTAAAAGATCTCTTCTCTAAAACAGAGTTTGGTCAGCAAATTTTTTCTGTAAAGGGCTAGAGACAGTAAATATTTTCAGCTTTCTGGGCCGTATGGCCTCTGTCACAAATACAACACTGCTGTTGTAGCCAGAAAGCAGCAATAGAAAATATGCAAATGAATGAGCATGGCTATTCTTTAATAAAACTTTATTTAGAAAAACTGG
This sequence comes from Homo sapiens, assembly GCF_000001405.40. Taxonomy (NCBI): domain Eukaryota; kingdom Metazoa; phylum Chordata; class Mammalia; order Primates; family Hominidae; genus Homo; species Homo sapiens. The sequence goes on from NC_000023.11 coordinate 37,659,270, forward strand.
CAGTGAGCCATATTTGGCCTGCAGGCTATAGTTTGCTAGAAGCCTAGTTCTTAGGCAACTTAGTTATCACATTGCTATATGAGCTTTCAAGTAATATTGGCTTTATTGTTTTATATCCTGTTGATCTTTTCACTAAATCAAACTAGCTGTCCTCCCAATTGTGTGAATTTTATGCCTTGTTTGTTAATACAGGGGCAGCTCACGGCTTGTCGTCTATTCTTCAGATGCTTCTTTCTTACCATGAGCATCTCAAGCCCTCAGATCGGGAATTGGTATGGCAGAGCGTGGACTTTCTCATGGAACAGGAACAAAACTGCAACTGGCCACCTGAGCTCGGCGAGACCATCGAGAGAGAGAATGAGCTGGTGCACTGGTGCCATGGCGCTCCAGGTCTCACACACTCTGTTACCTAAAAATATTGCCTTTCATCTAGGTTAGCCACAGGGTGGTTCCTTTTCTGAGAAGTGAGGATAGCTAATCTTATGTCATTACTATGTGAGATAAAAGGGTCAAGATGAGATTTTTCAAAGCCAAATGTCCTGATCAGTAAACAACTTCTGAAAATGGTCCTCTACATTTTAAAATATATGATCTATATCTATTTGTTTATAAAGTTAAACTAACATTGTCCAATAGAAGTATAATATGAGCCACATATGTAATTTTCATTTTTAGTAACCTCATTAAAAAAGTAAAATCAGGCAAATTAATTTTAATAATATATATTATAGTTCCCAGTGTACCCCCAATATTACCATCTCCATGTATATCTGATTTGAAAATTGAGATATTTCACATTTTAAAAAGTATTCAGTCCTTGAAATCCAGCATATACTTTATACTTATGTCAAATGTCAATTTAGACTAGCCACATTTCAAGTGCTCAGTATCTACATTGGATAGTGCAGATCTGGAGCCTGGCAATTCAAAATGTGGCCCCTGGAACCAGTAGCATGAGCAACTGAGAGCTTGATAAAAATCCAGAATCTCAGGCCCCACCCTAGACCCACTGAATCAAAATCTACATTTTAACAGTATCCTTAGACAAATCGTATGCACTTTAAAGGTTGGGATGCACTGTTCTACAACTTCTTCAAATGAGAATTTCCATCAGTACCAAACAAAATGTCTAGAAACATGAATAGTCATCCCCAGTAAACTCTGTGGAATTGAGGCTAGAAATTTAGCAAACCCTATCTTTTTCCCACTTTTAAAAAATTCCATCACACTGCTATTAAGCCTTCACAGAAGGGGTAATTTGAAAAAAAGTTAAATTCAAATAAATAAATTAATATTGGTTAGATGGCCAGGGGAGAGATTTAAAATACCAAAATAATACAAAATTCTTAGATTCTGAGTCGATTTAATTTTCAAGGCCATGCTTCAATCCCACAAGCACAGTTTTAAAATATATTTGATTTCTCTGTAGTTTTTTTACCTGAGTTTCATTACCTTTTCCTCCCATTAATTAATGGTCTTTAATCCAACTATAATTTCATTTTGGGGGGTACAGTTTGAGTTGATGAATAATAATCCTTGAAAGTATAGTCTTGAGTTGATGAATAATGTAAGTCGCAGTGTATTGGTCATATTTTTTCTGCCTGCTACATTTACCTATGGAAGGAAGTTCAAAATGTGTGCTTGTACCAGTATCCATGCATTGTGTGTTATGTCCAGGCTAACTTCTGCCAATTATGATTTGAGCCCATTTCTTTTTAATTTGACCTTTTTTGTGGGCGGGGGGGGAACAAGTTATTTACCATGCTGGAAATGATATTTCTTCTTGTTAGCCTCAATCCTTCCATTTCTCATTTATTTTAATTATTCTCAGTGATGGTCTCTGGATATCCTCCAAGCATACCAGCAAGGATCCTTGAATTTTGGAGACATACCAATTTAAACACAGAATATCTTAAAAGGATTCAATGTGCTAGTAATAGTCCTGAAAAAAGTGGGAAGATAATCTACTAAAATGAATGACTGGGTCAGTTAATTGATGTGGGTGTCTTGCAGGGCAATTATTCCATCCTTTCTGTATACTAAATACCATCTGTCTTTGTAAATCATTTACCGTAACAGTGCAGCATAGGATTCATCACTTTGGAGACTATATCCTCCTTTATCATTCATGTTCAGTATCTAGAGAAGATTAAACATAAGTTTTAAAGAAAAATCTTTCAGTCCATGTATTCACTGGACTACCAAAAATAAACCAATTCAAAAATGAATAAAAAACTAAGTGGGGCCCATTATTTTACCAACCCCTATCCCCACCTCAAGGGTATTGGTCTTTCTTTGAAGAGATGCTCTAAAAACAGCATCAAGATTGATTATAAGTCTAATCAGTGCAGTCCAAAGACCACCAAGATTTTGCAGAGGTTGGCAACATCTCCAAAAATTCTATGCAGGAAACGAACTATAAAATAATTTTCATTTATTTAAGGAAAACATTTTTGAGAGTAGATTTATGAACAGTGCAGATGGTTTGAGGCAGCAGACTAATTCTGTGATTAAAAACCTGCCAGAAATAATTCACAACGTGGAGCTTCATTAATGATACCTTATCTGTTCCTATAATTGTTTCCTACTGGTGCTCCTTCAACCCACCTCCACAGGTGACAAGCCTAGTTATCATTTATGCAGTGTAGAAATAGTTCTTTGAGTTAATAACTCCAGCTTCTAATTTCAGCTCCAACACTAACCAGTTTACTGACCTTAAGAAAGGGTGACTTTGTTTCTTTAGTGCCTTTGTCTCTTTATCTGTGAAATGAGCACTTTGAGACTGAGTAGTGGAACTCAATCTTTTTATCACCACAGACCCCCTTTTATACTTTGGTCCTTTGCCATTCCTGAGGGCTGTTCCTCAAGAGCTTTGTGAACAAGACATTTTTAAATACCTTGTGTGGCATATAGCTTTTTTCTCAATAAGTGCAGTAAAGTATTACAGGAAGATTAATGTGACCCCTTCATAACCTTGACAATTCTGAAATACAGGACCAAAGTCATTTACAAAATCATTAAAACAAATGCTGTGGCTAAAAGAAACTCTCAACCGCATTAGGTTACATCATTGCTGTGGTAACACTGACAATGCATTTCCTTGACTCTGCATGAAGTACAGGAGTGGGTATTTTTTTAAAAAAACTCATTTCATAAAAGCTCTTGGGTAGGTGACTTTGAATAAAGAACAACAAGGCTTTTGCAGTGCAGATATCGTTGGTCATTAAGCTCTGTAGTGCGCACTGTACAATGCATGCCTCAGCGGAATTACACAACCCAGAATGGACCTCAGTGGTGATTCTCCAGTGTGTTGAAGCTATACGTGCCAAGTGTGGCTGTCACAAGGTCCTATTAGATCCCATATTTTCAAAAGTTTAGTCTCTCAAAACATATTTATTAAGTAATAATTCTTTTTCCCAGTTGCATTTGGCAAAGTCATACATCATTACTGACTCAGGCTTCTTATCAATGCACAATAATTAGTGTTCCTATGATGAAATGATGTGGCTCCTGGTTCCTATCAAAAGCAAAGAAACCCACCATTCCTTTTTTTTTTTTTTTAATTAAGCAGCCTTATTGTGGCTTCCATTATGCTGGGTTAGGAGCCAACAGGTTTACTAAATTTTGGTTTAGAAGTTTTGCGAGGTCACTTCCATGTAACATTCTGTGATCCAGGATGCAGGAAGAGGCTCTTTCACCCTGGCCAGAACCACAGGATCAATACCTTTTAAGCGTTCTGGGGCTCATGGCCTGGTACAGCAATTAGACCATCTCACCCTTCTTCCTTCTACATCTCTCATCTATACCCCAGTATCAGCCTGTGCTGGGTTGAGAAATGGGGCACTTTATGGTCAACAGACATGTATGAGGTTCTTGGCATTTGCCAGACACCATGCCACACACTAGTGGAACAAAAGTGAACAACATACAGTTTCTGCTCTTGAGTAGTTTGCACTGTATTAGGGGAGGCAGCCATGGAAATAGGTAATTTTAACTGGGTTCTGTGTAAGTGCTAAAGTTTGTATAGGATCAATGAAATCTCAGAGGGGTTCCTCATGCTGCCTTCAGGTCCAGGGAAGGCTTCCTGGAGGTTGTGATGCCTAAGGTAAGTTAGCCAGATCAAGAAAGGTACAAAGCTTGTTCCAAGCAAAGTGAACCACATTGGTAGTAAGAAGCATGGAAGCACTGTAGGTGGTTTGGTTCTACTGAAGTGAAAAGTTTCAAGAAGGGAATGGAGGAAAAGAGGTGGGAAAATAGAAAAGGAGCTCAGTCACAAGGGGCTTTCTGTGTCATGCTAAGGCATCTGGGTAATAGGGAGTCATTTAGTAGTTTAAGCAGGGGAATGTCATGGTCAGATTACGGTCCTAGAAAGGTCATTCACTCTGCCACAGAATGAATTTAAGGCATGGCAGACCTGGGGACAGGAGGCTAAAGCAATCATCTAAGAAGGACACCTAGAGCCTGAGAGAGGCCAGCAAGAGCAGGGTCTTCCCACCCACCTTCCTTTGATTGGCTGTAATACCCTCCTTCTTCACCAAGCTCTTTCCTCAGGTTCTAGAATTAGAGCTTGGTATCAAGAGGAACCTGTAAGGGAGCAGGGAAGCAGAACAGGCCAAAGAGGAGCATGTCTTACCTGGAGACTAGCTTCACCCTGAGTCTGAGGAGAAGCTAAGAAACACAGTTTACATCAAGAAGCTGGGTCTCTCTTGAGGCAAGGAAGTCAATATTTTGTATCCCTGTGTCATCCCTGTGAGGGGTGGCTGCATAGCATAGCCTCTCATTTGTCTGAGGGCAAATCTCTCAAGAAGATGCAGCAGTGAGCTTTGTTAGTTGCCAACTTTCACAGGAACTGGGAAATGAGGCACTTGCTGGCAAGGTAAAGCTGATCCATGCAGGTCATCAACAGCATCCAGTACACCTTGCTAATTCCTTATCAACCCCCAATAATCAGGTTAGATGGTGTCACCCCTCTAGTAGTCATCTCCTTCTACCAAGTGTGTGCTAGGGGCCCTCCTGTGTGCTTCCATGAGACTTCTATTTCCCCTCACATAGTCTAATTAATACTTCCAGTTAAGCTGAAAAACACCATGAAGATAGATGCTTTTTAAAAGCTTAACACCTGCTACTGTGCCTGGCATATAGCAGATGCCCAATTAATATAGAAACACTTACCAAGTTCTGTGAAATGTCTCTTTCATTGACTTTCTATTTTTTTAGAGAAGCTTTTTTTGTTTCTTTTTTTTATTGAGGTGAAATTTACATAATATACAATTAACCACTTTATTATTTTTTATTTTCTCCACTTTTACTTTGATTCAGAGGGTACATGTGCTGGTTTGTTACATGGGTAAATTGCATGTCACTGGGGTTTGGCGTACAAAGGATTTTGTCATGCAGGTAGTGAGCATAGTACCGAATAGGTAGTTTTTCAACCCTTACCCTCTTCCTACCCTCCCTCCTCAAGTAGGCCCTGGTGTCTATTGTTCCTATCTTTGTGTCCATGTGTTCTCATCATTTAGCTCCCACTTATAAGTGAGAACATGTGGTGCTTGGTTTTCTGTTCCTGCATTCATTTCCTAAGGATAATGGCCTCCAGCACCATCCATGTTCCTGGACATAATCTCTTTTTTTATGGCTGCATAGTATTCCATGGTGTGTATGTACCACATTTTATTTATCCATTCCACCACTGATGGGCATCTAGGTTGACTCCATGTGTTTGCTACTGTGAATAGTGCTGTGATGAACATACACGTCATTGGCTTCATTTTTGTCTTTCTGCTAACATAACCAGCTCACAGCTACCCTGTTACCCTTCTTTAGGTCTCTCCTGATACCACTAAAATTGGGACATTTTGTCCATAATAATCACATTGTCATATAAAAAATAAAAGCCAACCAATCCAAAGCAAAAACACTTCCATTGATTCCCTGATGACCACAGAGTACAGTCCAAGCTATCTAATTAGATTTGTAAAACCATCCATAATCAGAACCCAGTCTAGCCTTCTTCCCCACTGGTCTGTTGGTTAGAACATTGCCCCACTAGCCTTCATGTGGCTTCTTCCTGCCTCCATGTCTTTGCCCTTGCTAATCTTAGTGCTAGATAGAATGCCCTCCCTGCTTCATCTTGGGCCTGGAATTCTCTATGTATCCTTCAAAGTTCTGAAAAAGTGCTCCTTCCATTTAAGGCCTCATCTAACTATCTCCGTAGGGAACTTCCACCTTTCTGATTCTGCTAGTATTATTGAGAGAACCATTTATTTTATGTTCCAGCAGCATCATGAAATATATATCCTATTATGTATCAGTCATATGCATATATTTTTATCTCCCTTTTTAGAGAGTGCCTTCCTGAAGGGTAGGAGTCATGTTTAGCATTTATTCAATATCACCCAGGGCTGGAACTGACTATATAATTTGGGAGGCCCATAGCAAAATGAAAATGCAAGTTATTTTTAGAAAAATTATTAAGAATTTCAAGGTGGTAATAGCAGAGCATTAAACTCAACATGGAACCCTTTTAAGGAGTATGGGCTGTAGGCCTGCACAGGTGGCATGCCCATGATTCCAGCCTTGTCTAGGGCTGTGCGTACAGTACATAATCAATGACTACTCTCAAATGAATGGATGCAATGAATGAATGAATGTATGAATAAATAAGTTCAGTTCTTTTAATATCATCATTTAGTTTGTGCAAGGTACTTTGTTCCTAAAACTGAGGTAGGAGAATGCTGTAGGTAAACATTGTCAGTAGTTGACTGGAAAGCATTGACTGAACAAAGAGCTTGTTGCTTTGTAAGTATTAACCACAGGCTATATTAAAGGATACACTTAAAAAGGGTATGAAATCATGACTCTCATACAAATATAAAAAGAATATGTATGAACCATTTTACTGAGCTCATTATTTAATGAGGGAACCAGAAAGATGTTACAACTGTTTCAAAGGGAAATCCAAAGAGTAGACATATTTATATAGGCCATTAGGAATGCTGAAATAAATTTGCTTAATAGATGCAAAACTGGCTTCTTCCACAGAGGCAGAGGGAAGTCAACCTCTACCAGACAGAGTGTGAGTTTCTAGGGACAGAAAATATTTACATTACTATCAGTTTTCTACAAGACAATTTCTATCTCTACAGAGTTGTAAAATAGCCTAGTCAAAGCAATGAAAGGCAATGATAACCCTGATTGATGAGGTAGTCAAGATACCAGCTATATTTCAGTCTTTCACACTTTTTATATAGGAGAAAGGTAGGCTATGCAGGAGAGAATGTGATCTTGTGATACCAACCTCCTCACTGAATATGAACACCCAGAACTTGGGGAAAATCATTTCTATTAATAGCTGTTGCTTCTCTTGTTTCTCTTGTAACTGATACTACTTTTGTTGAAGAGCTTTGAAGGAACAGTTCTTTCCTTGGAACAATCAGGGTGGGAAGGACTCACTTCACAGCTAAAGTAGAAGTCTTGGCAAGATCCTTCTGGAGCATTGTTTTTCTTGGAAAAACTCCCAGTTTTGCTTTTAAGAAAATGTGTATAGTTATAAGTACTTAAACATTACAAATTTTAAACTACAAATTCATTACAATACAAATATTTAGCCATTTCAAATAACCAAATATACATAATGCTTACTAGAGTATGCGTCATTAAATATTAACCCATTTGTAAATTAAATTTTAGATTTTATCAATCTATGTACGTCAATAAAAATGTTGCTCTTTCTCCCGGGGCCAACCCCACAATACAATTAAAACAAATTAAAATCTCACTGGGAAAATAAGATTCTCTTATAGAACATTCTAGCACCTTCCTACTCAAAGTGTGGTCTTTAGAAGGATGCTTGTTAGAAATGCAGTATCTCAGGGCCCACATCAGAACTACAATATTAGAATCTGTGTTTTACCAGTACTCAGGTGATTCATGAGCTTTTTATTGTTCTGGAAGTTCTGCTCCAAAGTATTAAGTCCTGAAAGTCACCTCTAATATCTTTGATGTTTTCACAGGAATTGCCTATCTGTTTGCCAAAGCTTATCTGGTTTCCAAGAAACCGCAGTACCTGGACACATGTATTCGGTGTGGGGAACTCACATGGCAGAAAGGCCTGCTAAAGAAGGGGCCTGGGATTTGCCATGGAGTAGCCGGCAGTGCCTATGTCTTCCTGCTGCTGTACCGGCTCACGGGAAACTCTAAATACATCTACCGAGCTCAAAGGTCAGCTGTTCTTTATGGGTCTTTTTTTTTTTCAAAATTTTAATCTAATTATTTTTCTGAATTACTAATATAGTCACATGGTTTGAAAAGCATAAAAATAAATACATCAACTGTGCCTTGTAGCCATGCAGTTGACTTCCCTAGAGACAGTTTCTTGGTTATCTTCCCAAAGATATTCTATATACATAGTGTATAAGTAAATGTCTTAATCCATTTGAGTTGCTATAAAGGAATACTTGAGGGTGGGTAATTTATCAAGAAAAAGTTTCCTCTGGCTCATGATTCTGCAGGCTCTACAAGAAGCATCACTAGCATCTGCTTTTGGTGAAAGCTTCAGGAAGCTTCTACTCATGGCAGAAGGGGAAGGAAAACAGACATCACATGGGGAGAGAAGAAGGGAGAGAGGAGGAAAGTGCCAGGCTCTTTTTAACAGTCATCTCTTGGGAGCAAATAGAGTGAGAGCTCACTAATTACCAGAGGATGGCATCAATCTGTTCATGAGCAATCTGCCTCTATGATCCAACCATCTCCCACTAGGTCCCACCTCCAATACTGGGGATCAAATTTCAACATGAGATTTGAAGGGTCAAATTTCTAAACTATAATACATATATATGTGTGTGTGTGTGTGTCTTAGGGGGATATTTAGGTTATTTCTAATATTGTGTACTACAAATAATGCTATGATGACTAATCTTGTGCATATATAATTTTGCACATGTATAGGTATATCTGAAAGATAAATTTCTAGAAATGAAATTGCTGGACTATATATATATATATATATCCTAGTTATATATATAAATATATATATCCTAGTTATATACATAAATATATATATATTTATAATTTTGACAATATAAAATTTTCCTTTATAGTTCATTCCCTGTAAACTTGATAAAGATGGAACATCTGCTGTATACCAGACAACATTGCTTTTAATAGATATTACCTCTGACTGGTAAGCTGGGTAAACTGGGCCAGGAGGACCATAAATGAACTCTAAATAATCTGATAGAAAGCACAAGTAGGGGCTTCCCTGAATGCAGAGTGGCATGAAAGTGGCATTCATTTTGAAGGGACTTAGAAGCTGTCCATAACCATGAATGGTTACAAAAGATATTGTTTTCCTTTGTGGCACTTAGGTCTTCTAAGCCAGAGTGTTCTCTCATACCCACCCATGTAGTCTGGTTCCCATGAATCTGAGCTGTCACTTGGCAGAGGTGGGAGGGGGTCCTAGAGTAGCCCCTGTACTGTTGTGAAGATTCCCACTGAAAGTGTACAGCTGATAATTATCAAATTGATTGTGTGACATTTAACAAATCACTTATTAAAATGAGCTAAGTGACTGTTAAGTGATCTTTAACAAGGTCACACAACCTTTAACAAGTCACTTAGCTCATTTTAACAAGTGATTCTCCATTTCTTCATTCATAAAATATGGAAAATAGTGCCTACCTCATAGGGATGTTTGGTAGTTTAAACAAGTTAATGTATGAAAAATCATTTAGAAATAATGCTTGGCATATAGTAACTGCAATGTAAATGTTCATTGTTATTAGTATAAATTTGAGTTTTATAATTCCAGACTTTTCTTTATGTGTAAATGTATGTTCACATAAATGTATATGTGTACATGTATATTTTAATGAGCTCCTACTACTATATATGTATAATAGTTCTATACATACTGTTTGTAGCTTATAATTTTATTTATTTATTTATTTATTTGAGACAGGGTCTCACTCAGGCTGGAGTGCAGTGGTGTGATTTATGGCTCACTGTAGCCTGCAACTCGTGGGCACAGCTCAGCCTCCTGAGTAGCTAGGGCTACAGGTTCATGCCACCATATGTGGCTGATATGGTTTGGATCTGTGTCCCTACCAAATCTCATGTCGAATTGTAATCCCCAGTGTTGGAGGTGGGGCCAAGTAGGAGGTGATTGGATCCTGGGGACAGAGTTCTCATGAATGGTTTGGCACCATCCCCTCTTGGTACTGTATAGTGATAGAGTTCTCAAGAGATCTTGTTGTTTAAAAGTGCATAGCACTTCCCCCTCCCCTCTTGCTCCTGCTCTGGCCATGTAAGATGTGTCTGCTTCTCCTTCACTTCCTACCATGATTGGAAGCTTCCTGAGGCCTCCCCAGAAGCAGAAGCTGCTATGATTCCTGTACAGCCTGCAGAACTATGAGCCAATTAAACCTCTTTTCTTTGTGAATTACCCAGTCTCAGGTATTTCTTTATAGCAGTGCAAGAATGGACTAAAACAACAACTATTAATTTTTTGTATGCAGAAACAGGATCTTGCTATGTTGCCCAGGCTGGCATTGAACACCTGGCCTGAAGCTATCCTCCTGCCTTGGCCTTCCAAAGTGCTGGGATTACAGGTGTGAGCCCACCACCTCCCCGCTATGTTTGCAGCTTATAATTTTAAATGAACAATTTTTAAGGGACATTCTTTATTTCATTTTGTATGAATCTATCTCATTTTTTAAAATGGCTATATAGTTATTCACTATGCATGTATGATAATTAACCAATCCTTAAATAATGGACACTTGACATTTGTGTAATCTTTAATAACACAAAATTTCCCCAAATATCCAATACATACATTTCTGTGCACTTGTGAAAGCACTTGTCAGAAATTTTAGAATTGAAGTCATTAGATCCATAGGTATTTCTTGGTCTATAAATAGCCTGTCTTTATCCTTTGCCCATTTTTTTCCTGTTGTGATGCTTCTATTCAGAATTGTAACTCTTTGTCAATGTATGCTGTAAATACCTTCCTGCTTTGCCATTTCTCTTTTAATTTTGTTTGTAGCCTTTGTCATACCAAAGTTTTAAGTATTTTTCTTGTCAAAGTTTTCAATCTTTTCTTTAAAATTTCTAGATTTTCTGTTATGCTTAAAAAGACCCTTCCCACTTCAGGATTAGAAAACTATTAATTTACATGGGCTTGTAATAATTTTATGATTTTAACATTAAAATTTTTGATTCTGCTAGAAATTACTTTTTAAATGGTCTCAGATAGGTATTTATTTTTGTTTATTAAAAAAAATTCTAATAGCATCTGTTGACCAGTTACCCCCATGATTTGAAATTCCATTTTTTTATAAACTGAATTTATATAAATATATGAGTTCCATATTTTCCCCATATTCCACCTATCATTCTCTTATTTATTCTTTTAATTGTATTTTAGAGTCAATTTGTCATATTTTTAAAAAAGCTCACAGAAATTTGATTGGAATTTCATTGAATTTACAGTTTGCTTAATGAGAATCAGCATCTTTAGAATATTGAATTTTTCCATCCAGAAACATGGTATACCTTTCCATTTATTTAAGTTTAAACAAATGTCATTGGTAAAGTTTTGATCTTATGAAGAAGATCTTGTATGTTTTTTGTTAATTTTATTCCTGGGTATTTTATGTTTCTAGGTTTATTGTGAGTGGACTCTTTTCCTTCATTATATTTTCATATCATTTATTACTGGTATTTATGGAAGCTTTTAAAACACACATCACTGAAGTTTATCAATTCTAATATGTAATTTTTCATATAAATATAGATTGTATCTTATAAGTATTTTTCTTTTCATAAACATCATAATAATATAGCTGCCTTAATGAACTCCATTACTGTTTCTATTAGTTTTTTATTGATTCTATTGGGTTTTCTAAATAGATACACACATATCTGCAAATAACTATGATTCTGTTACTTCCTTTCTCATGTGCATGGTATTTTTTTTCCACTACATGGTTCTTCTCTATAACAATGCAACCCTATAACAATGTTCAATAATAAGAGGGATAGTAAACACCCTTGCTTTTATGCTGATTTTACTAGGAATGCTCCTATGTTTTACCGTGGTCTTTTATATTCACTTCTTATAATGTTTATCATTATAAACATTAGATTATAAGTGTTAGATTATAACACTTCTCTGTTCAGTGTAATCCAACGGCTTCCCATATGATTCAGAGTAAAAGCCAGTCTTTCCTACGAATGAAAGGTCCTACATGATCTAGCCTCCCATTACCTCTCTAATCTCATTCCCTACTCTTCTTCCTCCTGGTTCTGTCTACCACTGTGGCTTCCTTGTAATTCCATTAGGATGCCAGGTACACTCCACCTCAAGACCTTGGAAGTTTTGGTTCCCTCCACCTGTAATGCTCACTTTCTACGTATATCTCCTAGCTCCCCCATTTCAGTCAGACTTTCACTCAAAAGTCATTTTCTCAGAAAGGCCCTCCCAAGTCAACTTATCTAATATTTAATGTTTAGAAAACATAAATTATTTTTTGTGATATTTACATGAATGCACTGAAGGGCAAATACTAACTTATGTAAGTCTTTGATTTGAAGCTCTGTTGTTTAGGAAATCTGTTAATATAATTGATTCATGGTTTCTTAATCTCTTTAGGTGGAAGCCAGACCTGTTGTTTCCCAAATATAGAAAAAGAAAGTAATTTTGGATATCATCTAGGCTAGTGGGATTTCACCTTTGGGCTAAATTTCATCAGAAATGAATGAAATTCATTTATTCCCTATAAAGCGTATTAAAAGGGATCAGAACAACCCCTCTATTTTCTTTTTTGTAATTTTTAATATTTTAATTTTTTAAAATTTGTGTAAATGTATGGGATTCAAGTTTAATTTTGTTATTTGGATAGATTACATAGTGGTGAATTCAGGGCTTTAGGGTATCCATCACTCAATGAACTTTGTACCCATTAAGTATTTTCTGGCAGGCCAGTCCTAGCTTACAGAGTCTTGGTTATAAGATTTAGGGTCCAGGTCTCTTTAGACAACTTACATTTCTCACTAACAGGTAGAAGACTGGAAATGTGGAGGTAATATCTGAGTATTGTTTGGGCATTGTGTGAACAAAAGTTCTCTGAAACGGAATGTGTAGGAAAGACACTATTCCAGTGAACAGTTTGCAAACAGAGGATACACGGCCTGCGGTGTAAAATGAAGCAGCCTTTCAGCGCTGGGTTTTATAGCAAAGTTGCCTGCCCAGGGTCAGGTCTTTTTATGCAAATGAAGGATTGAATCTCAGTTCCGATTGGTCAGTGCAGCTGAGCCCTGATTGGCCATGGCAGGTGACTCTGATTGTTTGGCTTAGGTGTGATCTGATTAGTTACTTTCCAAGCTCAAAACCAGAAGTCTTTGTCACCTGTTTCTTCCAAATGGCGGGTGGAGGGCTGGCATATCTTGGCACTCACAACGGGAACTGGTTTGGAGAAAGGTCCTGTGATGCTTTTACAACGTCTTTCTCAGAACACAGAGTACATGATCACTCCCTCACCCAGCCATAGCTGCCTGGTTCTGTTTTAACTTGGAGCACCTCAGTTTGCCATGGGGAGCCCATTTTGTCTGTTGGCTAGGGGCATACTTTAACAATTGCATGTTAAAAAATATGTACCTCCCTAAAATGAATATTACTTGGTTGTCACCTATTATTTTTTAACATACAGTTGGATTTTATGGCTGCATAAAAATATTTGACAACTTCTTAATTTTCTTTTATGTTTATTCAATCACTCGGGTTTTCTACCTCTTCTTTTTGGTAGTGCACATATTTCTATAAGACCATCTAGTTCTTATGAATTTTCAAATATTTGACATAGAGTTCTAATCATATAGTTCCATAATATTTTTAATTTCCTATATCTGTGGCTATGTGCCCTTTGTGATTTCTAATGCTTTTCCTTCCTGGTGAGCTGCACCAGTGTTTTTTCTGTCTTGTTAATCCTTTGAAGGAACTGGCTCCTGGTTTTGCTTATTAATTTTTTTTGTTTTTCTCTTTTGTTTTCCACTTTTACTTCCTTTTATTTTGTTATGTTCTAGAGTTTATACATGCTGAATTAGAAAGCATTCCATCATTTTATTAATAATAATGGTAACTCACAGATCTATGAATTTTCTTCTGCATTCAGTTTTGGTCATAATCAATGGGTTTTGATATGAAATGTTTTCATATTTTATTGTGTCTTCTATTCTTTTTAGTCCTGTAATTAGCATGCTGACTTCTATTTTGACTGAGAACGTTTTAGAAAAAAAAATTTGTTTAATTTTGCACCACTGGATAGATTTTTGAAACATTTTTCACAAATAATAACACAAAATACAGGTCAGAATACAATGAAACTGCTACCCTCAGACATTGCTGGTACTATTTTAAGTTGCTATGTATCATTTAGAAATTATTTTGAAAAGCATAGAAAAATATTTAGCATATTTTTAAGTGAAAAAAATACAGGATACCAAATCATATATACTTTAATAACATGTAATAATGCAACAAATAAATGAGTGCATGGGGGAAAGGTCAGAAGAAGAGCTAGCAACATTGTGGGTTTCTTTTATACTATGATTTTACAAATCATCTTTTTGTTTTATAAATCTTCTTTTATTATATGTTTATGTAAAAAGTAATATTTTCTATTTATTGAATGCTTGCTATATTCTCAGAACCTGATATATAATACCCTTTATCTTTACATATAACACTATCCAGTTCTGCAACTTCACCATTTTAAAGTCAAATTGAGAAATTTGCCAAAGGTCATACAACATGAAATTATGGAATCTGTGTATCTCACTTCCAAAGCCCTTGCTCTTTCTACTATACCAGGGGTTCTTAATCTAGGATTTGTGAGTTTGCTTGACAAAGAGATTGTGTCTCAAACTTAAATGTAACATTTCCTTCTTTTCTGAATGTAGGTAGTAAGTCACAGAAGTATTAGTAGCTGTGACTTTGCAAACAATAGAATTCATAGATATTCTCATGTCATATTACTCTTGTTGCAGATATTGTAAAATCTTAATTTTACAATATGCAGAAATGCTAGCAGTTACTAAATCCACTATTGTACCTTGGAATTTAATGTGTTAGCAAATAATACATATGTTATTATATCACAAATTTGGCTTTAAAATTTTTGTTGTGTTTTAATATAATTATTTTCCTTTGGAATCCTGTGTGGCTTATTTTATACACTTGAAAACTTTTTTTCTGAGGAGCCCAACTGAAGCTATATCATGATGCTGGCTATATTATTACAAATTTAGAAGTAACTCTTACGATGCATTAATAGTCTACTGTTTAAAATTTTAAATTCCATTTTAAAATTGTTTCATATTCAGGAAAACAGTTATAGAAAAATTGTAACAAATATAATTACAATCTGTTTTCTGCTAATTTATTTTAAGTTGCCGTATGTAATTCTAAGAGCCCTAAAAAAATCAAATAAATAATTACCCTTTGTAAGACCCCCTATGTAGTAGCAGTAACCTAAATTTATGACAGTATCAGCGCTTGGGCCTTACCAAGCTGTGAACTCCAGCCTCTGAATTGGTGATTATTTGTGTTCTTGATGGGAATGAGTAGAGCAAGTCAGTAAAAAAAGATGATGTAGGTAATGGCACTTTGGAAGCTGTAAACTACTGTAAAAATGTTACTTGTTAAAAATAATCTGAATAATATTTGTGGCAAATATGGGTAAAAGAAAAAAGGTCTTTCATAGGGAATTTAGAGGCCTGTGATTTAATTTAAGGCGAATGTCTCAAAAATAATCTGTCTTGTAGCTGCGTTTGCTATATGATGTTATCATTGTGAAAGGTTGCTGCCTTTTCCTATTCATCTTATTCCCTTGTTTGCTCACAGCACAGATTGTATAAAATCTTGCCCATTTATTTTTACAGTCTCTGCTTTTTGTCATATATAAACAAAAACCCAGCTTAGAGGTAATGTCTGCAGAAACACAGCATATTTACTTTTTTAAAGGAACAGTCACGTATCACTTTGCTTCTTTTCAAGATAAATAAAAGTAGAGCAATTTGTCTGTCTTTTTTTACTTTAATTACTGGATGACAGAAAGAATGAGATCCTTGAAAATTCCAAACTGCTTTGCTTTGCAAACTCTAAGAATAGTTGGATTTGCTTGCCAGCATAATTTGTTGTGAAACATACACAGTTATATAATGGATCTTCTTCTTTAACAGAGAAAATGTGTTTCTTAAAATACTTAATTATATAATTCTGGAAAGAAAATTATGCTAAAACTTTAATAGAAGAGGAAGAAGCAACCCAAGGTCCATAATATGGAAACACTCATGTTAAACTGTTCATATTTTCTTCTTCTCTTAGGTTTGCTCAATTCTTATTTACCGAGGAATTCAAGGCCGGTTCTCGGGTCCTTGAAAGTATATACAGCTTGTATGAAGGCTTCTCTGGGACAGTGTGCTTTCTGATTGACCTGCTGCAGCCCAATCAGGCTGAATTCCCACTCTTCAGCGTCTTTGTTTAGAAGGCTCTATCTTCCACTGTGGCCCTGCAGAGATCCCCTGAGCCAAGCCGAGGCAGTTTCCACATAAGCCACATTCAATGGTATCGCAACCATGAGCCTTAACATTGCCATCAGAAGGAAGGAATCAGGCAGGTGAAGGCAACATGATGCCAGATTTGAGAAAGGATCTGCAAAATAAAGATACCACAATTCATCTTAAAACTGCAGAGATTTAATGTGTCAGGGAATAGATGTGAAACAAGGGATCATAGGAAAAGGGGAAAGAGAAATGATCTGTTTTTCAGTTATGACATAGAAAACCAAACTGCAAGTGTAGACTATGACAAAAAATACACTAATACCTTTGCAATCTGAATGAGAATTTGACCATTTGTGTGTGCCCTCTACCCTTAAATTCAGAAATAAAGACAATAAAAAATTAAAATAATTGCCCAGCTGAAAACTGCTATGAGGAATGGATTGTCAGGTTGCTGAAGTATAAAAATAAACTCTTGGTTGTCCTGTGCTTATACTTATTGAAATTTATGGTTTTTACTGAGCAAAGATATTTGCATATGAATCTCTATTTTTTTCATTACCCTGGGCAATTTAAAGAAATCATATCATAGCGTAGTTCAGATACTAAAATTTGAAGTTTCCTTAGGCCCTAGAACATCTCTTTTCCTGGTTCCTTTTTTTTCCTCAAAGCTCAATTAGAATAGCAAAATTTATAAGCTAGTAAACTTATACTATAGCAAGTGTTGCTGTAAAGTGTTTTTCTCCATAGGAAGTGTGAACTGTGTATTGTCTATTGTTAGTAATTTTAAAAATGCCTTTATGTACATAATCTTGATGGAGCTATTAGCTGAACTATAAAATATGCTCTTGGTAAATATCACTAATTTCAAAGATCAGGGGAACCACTACAAAGACGTGTCATTTCTGCCTTTGTTTGGGACAGGCAGACAGGCTGAGGAAGTCACCAGTGATTGTGGAAATAATTTTGCTCCATTTTATACTATTAAATGAAGAGATGAGTGAATTCTGTGGTTGGTTACCTTACCTTCCAAGATACAGGGTCCACTAGAAATTGGCTGTAATACTCATTGAGCCAAGTTGTCATATCAAATTCAACCCTGCTGTAAACACATAGAAGTTGTGAAACTGCTTCAAGTAAATAGTGGTTTGCAGAACACTGTAGGAGCATCTGTCACTTCATTATGCAGAGCATAAGTTGATCCTTTTCCTAGAATTTTGTCAGTGGCAATTGCATATATCAGATTGAGTAGGAAATTGTGTACTGTATAAGACTTATTTAAATAGTCATTAAATATTTGGATATATTATGTGTGTGTGTGTGTGTGTGTGTGTGTGTATGGTGTGTATTCCATATCTATTCCCATGTAAATCCAAATACTTATTCTTTATTTCAGTAATTCTTAACTTGAATCATAGACTTTGGAACGAGTTAGGGAATGCTCTGTTGCCTAAAAAGCAAACCTACAAGTATGTTGGTGTGTGTATGTGTATGGACCAGTTTGTTTGTGTGTGTGTGTGCTCATTTTGAGGGGACAAGGATCTCTAGCATTCATAACATTCTCAAAGAATCTGACCAAAGAAAGGTAACAACTATCTTTGTGTATTTTATGACTGTGTGTGTTTGCACTCATTGCAATAAAGTAGGACAAAATGATTTTGAAATGCATACATCTTTTCAGCTTCCTGTTTCATTTTTACATCCTCAGATACAACCATATCAAATTGGCCTCAGTTGTTCATCAGTGAAAATGCTCAGTTTGGGGTGATACCACATAAATAGCAGCTTTCAGATGACTCCCCACATTGGGTCCAGAAGTTCTTTCATATAGGCTGAATATAATAACCATCCTATATACAGAGCTTTATGGAACACATGCAGTTTTTATCGTCCAAGAACCCCTCAAGATGTGTTTGGTAAATGCTCCAAAGTCTTACAGCTAGAAAAGGACAAAACCAGGATTCAAACCCAGGGTTTCACTTTCTAAGTTTATTTATTCAGTATTCTAGACTAGAATCTGGGGATACAATAGTGAACAAAATAAACTTTCCCTCAAAGCTACCTTCTGTTTCCATTTGCTGTTCCTTTCACAATTCATCCTTGAGACCTGAAACCTAAAGCACTCAGAACTGATACTCTAGTTCATTATCATATCAGTTCCATTTCTAGTAACTTCAGAAAAACAAGACCACTTTCAGGCCTATCTGCCCTTTTAAGTTCTGATAGGTCTGATGATGATGTGCTAACCATTTTGATTTGTGTGTCAAATCTAAGCAAAGACCATGTTTGAGTATTGTCTTTATGAAATGACATTTCGGTAAATTAGAAACAACAATAGGCTTGTTTAGCCCTTAAACATGTTGATGAAACTTTTCATTTTCCTGAAAGAATTATAGATTTTGGAAGGTCCTCTTCTATATTATTTTTCCAAGAAGGGGAAAACGATTCTTACATTTTGCTGTAGGAAAGTGTGGCATGTTACTTCTTATTTAATTATCCAACTTGCCCCCCTTCTCTGTGGTAGCATTTTTAATGTAGTACTTAAGGCTGTTGTCTCTTAAAGGCTACAGGGGCATTTTCACCACCACTAGTATAACTTTAATATTATTTACTATATACAGCATGAGCAATTATAAACCCTGAAGGTAATAGTGGAAATGTTTGAGGATACATTGAAATAGTCTCTCAATAATGGGGAGACTGCATTATGCTTTGATAGCAAGACATTTTGGAAACCATTACAACTCTGTGTATTTTGTTTCATTAATGTAATTACATACCATCTCTTCCACACACACCCCAGAATATTATACATTTTTATTTTGCCCAAGCCTGTTTCAGTCATCAGTTTGTAGTCTTTTACTTCCACTTGTAACTTGATAACTGAGTAGAACAGGGGTTTGCTAGAGTATATTTCCCTGTGCTTCTTTAGGTAGTTGACTATGCTATTAAGATAACAGTATTTGCTTACTGATAACTTGAGAAACAGTCATTTTCTTGGTCTGTGCTAAATTGCATCTCTTCCAGTGGCAGCTTATTTCTTTAACTTTTTTGACATATTAAGATTTTAATCATGGTAATACTGAAATTGTTTCAAATTTGAAAGAGCGAACCTCAGTAACTTCAATGAAACAAATGGGTTTGTGATTTCTAGCCATGTTAAATGAACACACAATTAAAAGGAAAACCATTAGTGGTGCAAAGAGCCCTGTGCTGGAAATCTCAAAGTCTTGCTCTGCCACTTTTAGGGGCCACTGTAGTAATAATAATAATCACCCTGTCTACTTCACAGGGTTGTTATAAAAGTTGTCAATGATAAAATGGATATAAGTGAGTTTTTTAATGTGCAGATCCTTTATATATTTAAAAGGGATGTTATATTTTACCCACTATATACATAGAAAAATCATGCCCAGTTATGACTTCCAATAAGAATTTCAACCAAATAGAATCTCTATATGTGGATGTAGTGCTTGAGGTCTGGGTCACTAGATGGATAAAAACCAAGTGTACATTTTTTTATATTCTACCACCAGTCCTGAGCACAGCACTTTGCCTCAGAAGGTTCTGATTCACCAAGACTTACTACATGGGAATAGACTGATTTAGCTCAGGAGCTCCTTTTAATGCAAATATTTATTTTGCTTGCTGAGAACAAAGGATTACAGTGCCAATAACTCAAGAAAAGGAGCAGGCAAGCCAGGTCTGTAGAGAGAAAATGAACTGGAAAATAAAGTAATTCTGGGGTGAGTTTGATCTGCACTTTAATTCAAGTCTCAGAACCACGTGACATATAGTGATCAAAATATACTCTCAATTGCATATTAGGCCTTCCTTTGGGGACCTGGGCTATTTATTCAGCACTGTCCCAAATTAATAGCTAAATGACTGAGCCTCAAATTTGCCGAGCCCGTGTAATATTGGTATAAATTTGGCAAGGAAAGCAAATGAGAAGGCAGGCAAAGGGGTGGGTGAGGGGAAGCTTGCTGAAGCTCAGTATCTCAAAGTGAGTTGTGGATGCGTGTTTAACACTATAAAGAACCAGTCCATTCTTACCCATGAGTTTTATTGCTTTCTGGGACCTCTAACCCAGGACCACCCCTGATTCACCAACTTCTCCTTCTTCTCCTCTTTAAATATTATAGTTCATTGTGATATGTTTTTCCTGTATCTGCTCTATCATGTGACCTCCTTTCGCCTGGGAGGGCAGATTTTCTCCTTATCTCTTCCATCCATGTCTGTTCTTAGCTAAGAGTTCCAGCCTCAGTACAGCTGGATTACCCTTTGGACAGAAGGGCAGACAACCTCAAGGTCAGCAGCAACAGAAGTTGGGCCTAGTAGTCAGATCACAAGTGAGTGTGGCTATTCATGAGAATAGGGTGGTGGTGGCATTTATCCTGCTTCCCCTCCATAAATAAACCTGGTAATTTTATTTTTAATGTTACAAAAAAAGTTGATGCTACATTAAATGTTTTACCCTCATCCATTATCATAAATCTCATACTGGAGGTGTGATCTCTCTTCTTGTTTCTTTAATTGAAAGTACCAATGAATCGAGGCCTGGTGGATGATGCCTTTAGAGTTTTTTGTTTTGTTTTGTTTTTGTTTTCTTGAATCATTGAAACTTGTCATTTTTATCTAGACTCTTCCACAAATGGCAAAGTCACTTATCTGCAGAATTCCCAGAATCTTCTTTTGCCTTTGTGCACCTGCTAATTACCCCCTCTGAACTGAATTTGAAAAAATTAATTAAAATAACCGAATCACCCATGTTTTTGTTCTTGCAGGGTTTGGTGAGTTATGTGGATTAAAAGAACAGACTATCCTCTCTCTTTTTTTGTCTTTCTTCTCCCTGTCCAATACTGAGGAAGAAGAGGGAGAAGGGGGTAAAGATACATAAGGCTTAACTACCCAGGGTTATGAAAACAGTTTGCAAAGTCTTCCTGTTTGCTTCCCTTTTGGTTTTTCTTAGTCCCTGTAGGAAAAAGTTTACCCCTCTGTGTGCGAGTGTGTGTGTGTGTGTGTGTAAGTAGTTGAGTGAAAAAGAATGAGACTGACTTAAGGAGAGTCAATATCGCATATGAATCAAAAGCCAACATTTAGCTATTAGATAGATCTCAGTGAAAGGATATGTTCAAGCTAAGTTGATTAAGTTTATTAAACTTATTTATTAAGCTTGACTAAGCTTATTAAAACTTCTGCTAGGTTGAAGCCATTAGTAACCATCTGTAGAAGATAACAGCCATGAGTTTCACAAATACAGCAGCAGTGTCTGCTAGAATTGTGCTGTGAGCCACGAATGCAAACCACATATGCAATTTTCAAATTTTCTAGTAGCTACCAAAAAGGTAAAAGAAAAAGATGAAATTAATTTTAATAATGTATTTGACTTAGCCTTATATATCCAAAATGATAGCATTTCAATATGCAATCAATATAAAAACATGAATGAGCTATTTTACATTTTTGTACTGAGTCTTCAAACTCTAGTGTGTATTTTATACTTACTATACATCTCCAGTCTCGAAGTAGCCACATTTCAAGTGTATAAGAGCTGCATGTGAGTTGGCTATTGTATTGGACAGTCCCATTCCTGTTTCCTAGTATTGATAAAGTCTTCCTACCTTCCTTCGTTGTTATGGGAGAAAATGTAAACAGAACCTGCCTATTACACGAGAGCTGCAATATTTCCCCAAATGCAGCCCAGCAGTACCATGAGCTGCCCTGTGGAAAAATTTAATCTGTGATTAAATAAGTTAGGAAAGTTTTATTATTTTACCCCCTTTTGAAGATTACATGGTACATTAACATATTAAAGATTGAGTAAACTCTCCTGGGTAAAAAAACCTGTTTGACGTTGTTTAGTTGTTGAGTTCTGTGTCTATAAGAATCCTAGAAATTGCCACAAGTGTCTCTCCATAAGAAAAACTTTGTGTTTTCCTCTCTTTCTCCACTCCTTTTGGGGCCCATTTCTATTTATCTTTGTATTCAGAATCACCCGAGAGCCACAATATCTCTTTTGTTCTAGAACAACCACCTCCTAAATTGAAACCAACAGATGGCTTTAAAGTCTTGCACTTGGACATAGATCTTCAGAAAGTACCAAAATATATACCTTCCTCTTATTCTTTCAGAAACGGTGAACACTCTAAAAAGATGTGGGGGTGTGGTGGGGGATATGTGAATGTGTATATGTGTAAACACCAAATACATACAGTTTCTTAAGTAGAGTAATGCAATTCTTGCTGATGTTTTATTTTTATTTTTATTTTTTTATTTTTTTTTTTTTTTGAGACGGAGTCTCGCTCTGTCGCCCAGGCTGGAGTGCAGTGGCGGGATCTCGGCTCGCTGCAAGCTCCGCCTCCCGGGTTCACGCCATTCTCCTGCCTCAGCCTCCCAAGTAGCTGGGACTACAGGCGCCCGCCACTACGCCCGGCTAATTTTTTGTATTTTTAGTAGAGACGGGGTTTCACCGTTTTAGCCGGGATGGTCTCGATCTCCTGACCTCGTGATCCGCCCGCCTCGGCCTCCCAATATTTTTATATTTTGTGTGTGGTGACAATGTACATGCTTTAATGTGTACTGTTCTAGTAATATGTATGAAGTAGCTGTGACATAGCAGTCAGTTTTAAAGATACAGACTATAATTGACTACTGTCAATCTTTAACAAGTGATCTTTTTGCAACTTGGTTTTAGTGGGGTCTCTGACGTTGTCCCCACAAGTTTCATTTTAAAATCTATGCTTAAGTGGCAGTTACCAATATAATTAATTCTGCTGCTGAATTTGGTTCATATTGAATGTGGTAACCCTTATATGTGGATATATTCAAACATGTGGATTGATTTAGATCATCCGTTTTGTCTTTGTTTTTTAGGACTTTGCTATTTCAATATTAAAGATGTCTTTTGAATACTGTAGCAGCAGTAGAATCCCTATGTTCTTGAAAATGCAAAATGTAACATGAGTTGCACATAGACTCTCTAGCAGTAGAAATGGAATATTCTAAGTGCAGAAGTTTGGTTTTAGAATCTGTTAAGGAAGGACGGCCCAATCTTTGAAAAGGTACAGCTTTCTCAACTTTGAACATCTGGGGGAACTCTTCTTGGAAGTCTGAATTTTAATATCTTTAATCCAATGGCTCTAAATTAACAAACATTAAAAAATGGATTTCGTAGAATCAAATTATTAGGGGGAGCACTTTGCAAAGCCATATACTGGTGAATATATACTGGGTCAAGCACCACATGTTAGTTTTGGAATGTGTATTTCCCAGCGAATAGAATTTACTGCTCCAAAAAGCTTTTTTGGCATAAATCACAATACTTACAGAAATATAATTGTATCATTGAAAAAAACAAAGCTCACCTTCCTAATGATACATTTCACAAACTGCACATTAGGGCAATTTCTTACTTATGAGGAGGTACAAAGAAATACTCTGTCAATATAGTATAACTGCTTATTTCAAATTGTATCTAGGAATGAATAACTACTATTATTTAAAGTACTACTGAATTTTGAGGAACTGATCAAAGAATTAGTATTATTAATAAAATTGTACTATTTGCAATATATTTGCCTTGGCACAAATGCAGAGTTAAAAACATAAAATTATAAAAAAAAATAATAGTGATTGGTTGTTACTACTTTAAAATCCTACTAATTTCCATTAGCACTAAATCAAACAGCACTTATCTGTTGTATACAAGTAAAATTTTGAAAGACTCGGACACAAAATGAAAGGCTTTTTAAAAATGTCTTTGCCATAACAGGTTATATGACCTCTTGCTAATTGTTATATTTCCTTAGGGGCACTTTGAGGCTCTTTCAAAGACATCTGCAGCAATTAGGTCTAAATTTAGAGTAGAATATTTTGCCAGATATTTTACTATATCACAAAATGTCATACTACTGTATTTTATAATAAAACCAAATTCTCAAGTATTCTGGTATGTTACATATTAATATACCAAAACATCACTTTCTATAAGTCTATTATTATGTACATAATATTTTTAAAAATAATGGGTATTTTGGTCCTAGTGAAAAAGTATAATGCAATACATGACATTAATCTTTAGTCAAAACCCATTGAGGTGTCTGACAGGGAAATTAGCAATCATAAGCTATAAGATATATATTATTTTCAAGGACAAAATGGCAAATGATAATACAGAAAGACGTGATCACTGGAGCAAGTTAGCTGGTGTGCAGACTAAGAAGGATCAACTTGCAAATGCTCATCAGAATTTAGCTTTTGTTATTGGTTGTTCTGCAGGGGATAGTACTAGTCAGTTGATATTGCTTCCCTTTCATGTGGGAGTTTGCTCACAGCCCACTGCATGGTATAATGAAATCTCTATAAGCAAGATAGAGTCAGAAGCTTAGAGATGCACTTTATGGTTTTTACAACTGCTGTTACAATGTTCTAAACACTGTGATCTTTCCAAATGTGTTTTCTGTATTCGTTTTGTACTGTAGAAAATAATTCGCTATAAACTGGACTTTATAGTGTTTAAAGCGATGTTATTTATTGGCTTATTGCCCCTCCTTATAATACATTTATGTACAGTACACTTAATGTAAAACCTGTGATAATCCTTTGCCTTAAAATAAAATCTAATGCTAAATATTCAGTGTCCTGATTAATAATTCTAAGCTACCAATTTTTCCTTTAAAGCTAACCATGATGTCAAGTAAAACATTACACAAATACTCTGTGGAGTGTTGCTGCTGATTCTGTATTTGTGGCAGTGTATGTATCTTGGCCCAGGACATGGTGGCCTTCTGGGTTCTATAAATAGACATTAGTAATCCTTTTAGGGAAAGGGCCTGCTACCTCTCAGCTGCTGGCTGAATCTGCCCCTTAACTCATAAATGGATTTTCTCATGCCACATAAAAAACAGAAAAACAGCCCACCACATTCTCTCCCTGTACCTCTTTTTTGGTTTGATTCCTTTTGAATCTTTATATTCTATTTGTGTTTACATTATTTTCCTAAATAGAAAAATGCCAGAGATGCCTGAAGATTGAAATCACCCAATTTCAACAGGGGAAGAGATCTTATAATTATTTAAGTCTAATCCCTTTATGGAACCTGAGTTTCAGAAAGATTTAGTGACTTGATCGAGGTCTGAGGGACGGGGGTGGACTGAGTACATCCTGATATCAAGAAGATGGTGGAAAGTTCAATGGGCTAAAAGGAGTTGTGTTAGTCTTGGTATTGGCACACCAATAAGCAGAGGTCTGTCTTGGAATAAAAAAAACTACTTCCTTATTAGGCCCTGATCTTTGCCCTGAATTACTTACAGTTACAGAGGAATATATTTTGTAGGCAGTTTTTCTGGGAGGTAAGGACAGGTTCCTAGAGACGATCTTTGACGCCTTTTCACCACTGGAAGCAATGCTTCAGACCACTGTATTTGGAAGACAAAGGGACATGCTCACATGGCACAGTGAAAAGTGAAATCTTTTCCCACTTGGTGGTGGGTGCATGACAATATACTTGCACTTTGAAAAGCCTCTGTGTGGTCTGGTTATTTTTAAAAGGCCAGAAATGCTGGCCCTTTGAAGAATCACGCGTTTCCTCGGCCCAGAAAATAGACTGGGCTAGAAAGGCGCCCGGACTCCAATTCTGGGCCCGGGTGGTTGCAGTTTTTCAAAGGGATGTGAACGGTTTCCCAAGATAGGACCCAAGGGACTCTAGGACCCAGAGGCTGCGCGCGACGCCCGCAGGGCGAACTGCATCCTTTTGAGCTCCCGCTCCATGGCCTGAGCCGTCGTAGGGCGCGGGTTCGCGGCCCGCCAGGGGACGGTCACCACAGAGACGCAGCCGGCACTGGCGAGCGAGCGAGCAGGCGGCGCACGGAGCGCGTGGGCGTGTCCCGGCGGGGCTGCGCAGCTCGCCCCACCCCACCCCACCCCAGCCAGGTCGGCCGCCCCCACCAGGTCCAGTTCCAGAGCCCAGGCCGGTCGGCCGGGCCCGCGTGCCCTCGGCGGGCTGCGCAGAGCGCGGGAGCGGTTTGGGGCTGGGCATGCTGGGAGCCCCTCGGGCAACGGCCGCCGCCGCCACAGCCACACAGCCGCCGCCACTGCGTCCGTCCCCGGTGAGCGCCGCTGACGCGCGGAGATGAAATTCCCGGCCTCGGTGCTGGCGTCCGTGTTCCTGTTCGTGGCCGAGACAACGGCGGCGCTCAGCCTGAGCAGCACCTACCGCTCGGGCGGGGACCGCATGTGGCAGGCGCTGACGTTGCTTTTCTCGCTACTGCCTTGCGCGCTCGTGCAGCTCACGCTTCTCTTCGTACACCGCGACCTCAGCCGCGACCGCCCGCTCGTACTGCTGCTGCACCTGCTGCAACTTGGGCCCCTTTTCAGGTGCGTGCAGAAGCCCAGAGCCAGCCCCAGGCCGCAGCCTCGGTCCTGTAGCCTGATCTCCCCACCTGCTCGAGTGGAGGGAGGCGGTTTTCCTGTGGAGACAGGTGGCTGAGCCCCAAGCCGGTCCGCCATGCCCCTCAGCCCCATTATTCCAGTCAGGAACGCGACGAATCATGGCATAATGGTTATAAAGTTGGGGCACACTGAATTCCTGTTAGGTTCCGTCAAATGAAATAGCCAACATTCAACTGAAATTGACCAACAAAAATGGCAGTTTCTTGTGGTTCAACCTCATTAAAGACATTGGTTTCTCTGGGGTCAAGTAGGCTCTGACAGGATTGGCTTGTGTTGTCACAAACCCTTGGGAAGTGTGTTCTAAGCTGTGGTTACGGGGACAGCATGTACAGGTGATTTAATTTTAATTTATCAAACACATGGAGCTTACTGTGTGCCAAGCACTGTTCTAAAAGCTTTAACAGTATTTAATTCTCATAGGGAAGTCAAGAAATCCATGCACCATTCTTTTCTCTTGGTGGCGTTACGAATATTATGGGATATGGAAACATATGGGGTTCTAGAAATGTCTTCCGGCCCTGGCAAACTTATAAACGTAGCCATTAAAGCTGGTGCACAATGCACCATGAAAACAAAACTTGCTGTGTGTTAAGTAAAGAAAAACTGTTGGTGACATTTCTGGAAATTAATTTTTATTAACACAAAGCAAGTAGAAATACATGGTAATAAAACAGACTGGCTTATCTAAGGAGTTTAAAATGTGTTGTTTTAGTACCTTTCATCACTATAGGAAAAGCAAAACAAAGGCCGTCCATTTGGATTAGAAATAAGTTTATAATACTGAATTTTAGACATAGGCGACAGAGGAATTTGAAGAGATGGAAAGGCCAGAGAGACACCTCAGCTGCCAGAAAATTCAGCTAGCCCTACCAGGAAATCTCTCTCTCTCTCTCTCTCTTTCTCTCTCTCTCTTACACACACACACACACACACACACACACACACGCACACACACACATTGAGGAGCAAGATAAATTTTACAAAGTTATAATTTTTTTTTTTTTGAGACAAGGTCTTGCTTTATCAGCCAGGCTGGAGTGCAGTAGCAAGATCATAGCTCATTGCATCCTCCACCTCCTGGGCACAAGTGATACTCCTGCCTCAGTCTCCAGAGTAGCTAGGACTGCAGGCAAGCGCCATCATGCCTGGCTAATTTTCTTTTTTCTTTCTTTTTTTTTGTATTTTTTGTAGAGACAGAGTCTCCCTATGTTGCCCAGGCTGGTCTCGAGCTCTTGAGTTCCAGTGATCCTCCTGTCTGGGCCTCCTAAAGTTCTCTCTATGTTGCCCAGTATGGTCTGGAACTCCTGAGCTGAAATGATCCTCCTGCCCAGGCCTCCCAAAGTGCTGGAATTACAGGCATGAGCTACCACGCCTGGCCATAAAATTTTTGCACCTCATATTAAAGAAAACTGTTCCAGCTGACACACAAACTACTGACTTGTAGTTTGCACACAGTCACAGCAAACTTGGTGAACAAATTTCTCAGCCTCCAGAAGCTGCAGAATCCTAGAAAGGAAAATAAACAGGTACACTGGCAGGAGTGGGAGGTTGCTGCTGACTTCTTGATAGCTGGGGAAGAGTCTGGGGAAAAAGAAAGGGAGGGAGGGGAATTTTAAAAGTCCTGCAACCTGGAGCCATTTAGTGAGGAGAGAGTTAGTCCTTCCTAGCCAGGTAAGCCCTGTGGTCTGGACTGTATTCTTGCTCAGTAAAATAAGTGTGATCTGACTTTGGGCAGGGCACTTATCATTTCTTTCTTTCTTTCTTTCTTTCTTTCTTTCTTTTTTTTTTTTTTTTTTTGAGACGGAGTCTTGCTCTGTCGCCCAGGCTGGAGTGCAGTGGCGCGATCTCAGCTCACTGCAAGCTCCGCTTCCCAGGTTCACGCCATTCTTCTGCCTCAGCCTCCTGAGTAGCTGGGACTACAGGCGCCCGCCACCACGCCCGGCTAATTTTATTTTTTTGTATTTTTAGTAGAGACGGGGTTTCACCGTGCCAGCCAGGATGGTCTCAATCTCTTGACCTCGTGATCCGCCTGCCTCGGCCTCCCAAAGTGCTGGGACCACAAGCGTGAGCCACCGTGCCCGGCCTTATCATTTCTTAACATTATCTGTGAGAAGAAAACAGATAATGTTTAAGTGGAGTAACAGGAAAAAGGGGAACTGACATTTCTCAAAAGCTTCTTGTGCTAGATGGTTTGATATGTACTTACATGCCTCAATTCATTGAATCCTCACCATGACATAGACGTAATTGTCCCCATTTTGTAGGTGAAGAAAATGAGGCCTCAGACTATGTTCTCAAGCCTCCTTAAAAAGAGCTAATTATATTCCCTATGCTCAGTGGAAGAAAGCAGAGGACTGTGTAGTACATTCTATTAGTAGTTCCATTTTAAATTAAGAAAAAGTTTGGTCATCTTGGCAATCCAATAAATGATAATACCCTATCATTGCTGCCATTTAAAGTGTTTCTAAACACGAAGAGTAACCCAAGACAAAGCTAATGACATAATATATATAAAAACAGGATGACAAGTATAAACCTGAACTCAAGGAAACATACCAAGATGTTAAGAATAATAATTTCTGAATAGTGGGGTTATGAGTGATAATATCCTGGAAAATATATAAAACTATATAATAAAACAATTATCTACTTTTCTATATTTTTCAGTTTTTACCATAAAAATATTTTAACTTTATTAAGGAAAGAAAACTTTTGGTGCTTTGAAGAGATAACTTCTCAGCTATATATAAAGTTTCAACACTATAAAAAGACCTATTTCCAGAAAGTTCTGAATGGGCCATTGTCTTCTTGGAGCAAAAACAAAATAAAAGATAAAAAACAAAACAACAGGCAAACCCCTTCCATCAACAAGGAGTCACTGATTCTAATGCAGCTGATTTATTTCAAGGAGTTATTGGACCCATGACCTTAGAGCTGAGATACAAAATGTGGTTCCAAGTCTCTTAGCTTCCAGATTAAAAGAAAAGCAGTTTGTTCTTGTGTATTAGCCTGACTTAATATCTTACTGGAATTTCTTCCTGCTGACTGTTTGATTCTGTTTTAACTCTAAGACATCAGCTTTACATAAAGATAAAAATTATTTCCCTCAAACAAAGGAGAGGCATGGTGATTCTTACCCCCTTCCTTATGGATTGGATTTAATAATATTTCTAAATTGTTTTTTGACAGTTTAACTCTTCTTGCCTTTGGATGAGTACTAGCCAAACTCGTGTTTTTGCTAGGTAGATGCTGCGTTTGAGTTCATGCAGCACGATGGCCCAGTTAAACTGCAATACATTACACTAATGATTCTGGACTAAATACTACTAACTAGGCTTTGCTCCTTCTTTCCTTTAGGGAGGCATAGGGAGAGCACCATATTTCATTTGTATCAGTCTTGTATTTAAAATGGTAGTTACAGTTTTTATGATTGTTTTCACATTAAGCCTGAGTTTGAATGATACGAACTTTGGATAATGCCTTGAATTTATTTATAATTTTAAGGAAAATCTTATTGCGCATTATAATAGATACTCTAGCAAACCAGAGCAGGGAAAAGATCTCTTACCTAAAACACAAAAACATTTTAAAAATTCTGTTTATCATTCTTTTACATTTATGCTAATTTTTATAAATTAATTGGGAGGAATAAATATAAATGAGTTACAATTTCAAGGAATTCCCCTCATTTCTTTTTTATTACTGGTATAGTGAGGAAAAAATGGTACATGAAAAATCTGAGCTTATAAAATAAAGGCTAAGAAGTTCCCGAAACCTTTCCAGAACATTGCAAAATGATTCACCATAGTATATCTTTCTATATTAAACTTTATAAAGAATTTAAAATATTAATAGTCTACATTTGAAGAGAATTTTTTTTTCATTTGCAAGGTGCTTTTACATACAGTATTTAATTTCATCCATGGTAAAACCCTGTGAGTTAACTGTCATTATCTTATTTTTACAGTCCAGGAATTGAGGTTCAGTGAGATTAAGCAAGTGGCTTTTCAAAGGTTTTGCAGCATTTTCTATTTAACCAATTTGGGTTTTGTGTAGGCTTACAGAGCATGTGTGTCATGTGAAGATAATGTGGCTTATTGGAAATTATAGTATTTCTTTGGAAAAAGTATTTTAATTAGGGTCTCTGGTACCACAGATTATTTATGCTCACATCAGCATGCATGATTTCAGCTAAGGAATAAGCTCCTTCTGCTATGATACTTGAAAAGTGGGATATATGATGCTTGAAAATGGGATAAAGTAAAAAATAAGGATCAACCTACTGATTATCTACATTGGGGTTAGCAAACTGTACCCCACAGGCCTAATACCCCCATCACCTGTTTTAGTAGGTAAAGTCTTATTGGAACACAGCGTTGCTCACTGGTTTATGTACTGGCTACAACTGCTTTCACATTGCAGAGACAGACTTGAGCAGTTGCAACAGAGACCATGGCGTGTGAATCATAAAATATTTACTTTTTTATAAATACTTCACAGAAAATTTGCTGTCCCTTGGTGTAGATGATACTGAAAAACTACCTTGAGTATTCAGTTTTGATAAAAGTATCTAATTTCTGGCTTTATTTAGACCTCTCAAGCAACAAACAAATAAAAAACCAAAAAATAAGAACAGATTTTGAGTAATTAGATGAGTCTTGCAGAATTCCAAGAATAGTAGTTTGTTTCTTATCAGTTTTCCTAACCAACAGTGGCAGGAGGTCTTGGGGCCTTTTACAAATGTATTAAACACCTATGACTACATGTAAAACTCTATGCTAATACAAATGTATCACCTGGGAAAAAACAGTGGCTTACAAGAGGTTCCGCCTGAGCTTTAGGACCTTCTTTCATTTCCATCAACTGATCATGGAAGTTTTACTTTGTCTACAATTCTGCAGAAAGCTTCCAGTTTCATATAGCCCCTTCCTTCGCATCAAGAAAATTACTTTCTCCTCTGAACCCTCATTTCGTTCATTCAGTTCTTAGCATATGCTGGTATTTAATTTGTATGTTTTAGTCTTTCAAAACTCTAAGCTTGATTTTATTATGCAAGTAAAACATTTTTTGAAATGACAGAAGAGCAGAAAACAGATTTGCACAATGAGGAAAATAAAAGCTCTCATTTGACTGCTCAGACAGAACAATTCCTAATGTTTTTGTTGTATATCTTTACTAATATTTTTATAATGGTATGCTAGTAAACTGTTGGGGAAAACAAGCCCTGATTTTCAGTGTTTGCTGATTTCTCAAATGCGTATATTCTCATCATGATTGATCAAGCTACCAGTTGTTTAACAACTGGCTCACAAAATTCCTATTTTAACAGTCTGCTCTCTTGAGTCAGTATGAGCCAGCTCAAACATTTCACTGTTTATATGTATGTGTGGGTATGTGTGTGTAATCTGTATATATTTTTTATATATGTGATTTTCTTTTTACAAAAAATGGAATTTAAAATATATGATTCTATTGTAATTTGCTTCTTTCACATACCAAATATGGTAAAAATACGTAGCCTGGTCAACATAGTGAGACTGTTTCCTCACAAAAAATAAAATTAGCTGGGCACAGTGGCATGCATCTGGAGTCCCAGCTACTTAGGAGGCTCAGGAGTGAGGGTCCCTTGAGGCCAGCAGTTGGAGGCTGCAGTGAGCTATGATCACACCACTGCCCTCCAACGTTGGTGAGAGAGTGAGACTGTCTTTTAAAAAAAATTTATATATTGGTATATGTACTTCTATACCATTGATGTTAAGGAATGTATAATGTTTCATTGAATTGATATATTAGGGTTTATTTAATTATTCTTTCATTTTTGGGACCTTTAGAGTATTCCCAGCATTTTGCTATTATACATAATGCTATGATTTAAATTGTTGCAATACGTTTTCTTCTAAGTGAGATCATACGTGATAACATGTCATAACTAAAAGTGCTATATAAATATTAATTTTCGTTTATTATTATTATTATTGTGCATATGTCCCACTATCCCATTTAGATTGTGAGTGCCCCCAAATGAGGCAGGGGTATCCAGCTGTCTGCATTCCCCACAGCACTTAGTAAACCACACCCGCATTCATCTCATATTTGAGAATAAAGATGATTATCAGTTTATTCTGTTTTTGTTTTGTTTTAGTTTGTTTTTTTGAGACAGAGTCTCGCTCTGTCACCCAGGCTGGAGTGCAGTGGCGCAATCTTCGCCTCTTGTGTTCAAGCAATTCTCCTGCCTCAGCCTCCCGAGTAGGTGAGACTACAAGGGTGCACCACCATGCCTGGCTAATTTTTTAATTTTTAGTAGAGATGTGGTTTCACCATGTTGGCCAGACTGATCTCAAACTCCTGACCTCAGGTGATCCGCCTGCCTCAGCCTCCCAAAGTGCTGGGATTACAGGCGTGAGCCACTGCCCCCGGCCAGTTCATTCTGTTTTCTAATCTTTGATGTGATCAGTGGTCCAACAGTGTAAAGTTGCTAGGCCTCATACAGTCCTCAGTCATTAATTTGAGTTTTCCTTCAGAGAAAATTCAATTGGACGTGCTTGGGATTGAACTCATGGCCTGAACTTCATTGACATTATTTCCAACTGAAAAAACTGGTCTGTGTGGTTTTACATTGTTTTCATGTAATATATTAAAGTGTTCTTGACCCCATGGGACAAAATGTCGTACACAAATCAACCCCCCCCCACACACACACCCACACACACCATACACCTTCTTTCTCCTAGCAACAAATGAACAATGGTATTAATCACAAAATATGTCCACTTTGAGCTCACCAGAAAGGTTCCTGCATTTCCTCTCTTACATCAAGCTTTATTTTATTATTTCAAATTATAAATACATTCCAGTTGCCGTAGTCACCTCAGGATGAGAGTATAAAGTTAACATTATAACATAAACATTCAATGAAATAGATTAAGCCATTAAAATCTTCTGGCAGCATCATAAGGTTGTTATAAAAGTGCATGTTAGAGGAGGGACAAAAAGTCCTTTAACAAGTTACAAACCTACGGCCATGAATATTTTTCTTACTCCTAGGGAAAACACATTTTTAACCAGCATTTTATTATGAAAATTTTCAAACACACAGAAGACAAGTTTAAGGAATTCTATAGTGAACACCCAAGTACTCACCACCTAGATTCTACAATTAACATTTTGTTTCACATATTTATCCATCTATCAATTCGTGTGTGTGTGTGTGTGTGTGTGTGTATGTACTTCAAAGTTAATCACAGACATCAGTATTCTTCCCACTTCAGCATCCATATTTTTACCTAGAGAGGAAATCCAAATTTTAAAAGCCAGGTATTCTCTCAGTCTGGAAAAGTCACTGATTAAGTCTGGGACTGACTTTAGTCCCGCCCTGTAAGGACTTATGAAAACAGAGATAGGTAACATGTTGTGGTCTCCCAGTGAAATGCTAGATGGCAAGCTGCCCTGTGCTGGAGGATTTCCGAGCCATAGCTTCTGCTTTAACTGGGGTGGTTTGGGGCATCTTTTGGATGTGGAACACACACACGTGTGTGCGTGCATGCATGCATGCAGTCACACTATATAATCACCATTTTTCACAGCAATATGACAAAGTGGGTATTATATCTGCTTTATAGTGGAGGGAATGTGCTGGGGTGGGGATAGTAGGTGACTCGGCTATGGCTACACAGCTAGTATGTGTCAGGAAGGGAAACTGCACATTTTTTCTGTGGCTCTGGAGCCGGAACCACTTTCCATTCTCTAAGAGATTTCCTTGCTTCAGTGGCCTTTGGTATTACCTCTTCATTTGGTTCTCATTCAATTCCCATTGGCCTGCTGGAAAGCATCAAGAGGACTGCATACTGAGAACTGGTCCTTGGAGTAGTTGATTTAGAAGAGTGACTATAGTTCAGAGTAGCCAAGTCAAGGCTTTAAGAATCAGGCTAAAGGTAAGTAGGATGAGCATGGAAAGTCAGAATCCTGTCTGTCTCTAATTATTATGATTTCCTGATTTGTTTTCAGGTGTTTTGAAGTCTTCTGCATCTACTTTCAGTCAGGCAACAATGAAGAGCCTTATGTCAGTATCACCAAGAAGAGGCAAATGCCAAAAAATGGCCTCTCAGAGGAGATTGAGAAGGAGGTGGGCCAGGCAGAAGGCAAACTAATCACCCACCGATCAGCGTTCAGCCGGGCGTCGGTGATCCAGGCTTTCTTGGGCTCAGCCCCCCAGCTGACCCTACAGCTGTACATAAGTGTCATGCAGCAGGACGTCACTGTTGGAAGAAGTACGTGTATTTTTTATTTCTGCCTGCATTTGGGGATCAAAATGAGAAGCAAAATATGCAGTTTATTTTGTTTCAAAGGAAATTTGTTCTTAAGTGCACTTAATTCTGAATCTGTGTTCTAGTTACTATGCTCAAAACTCAATTAAAATAACAACGTTTATTTTGCTTATGACTCTGCATTCTAGGCAGGGCTCAAAAGGGTTACCTAATCTGTGATCCACTGTGGATCAGCTAGGGTGGCTCAAAGGTAGGGGGCTAGAATCTATTCAAGGCCCCTTCACTCACATGTCTTGTTGTTCACATGTTTTGATATTGGCTGTTGCTGGGAGTTTCAGATCTTCTCCATTTGATTTCTCTGTGTGGGTGAGTTTGGGCTTCCTTATAGCATGGTAGCTGCTTCCAAGGGTGAGTGTTCTAAGAAGGAGGGAAGGCCAGATGGAAGCCACATCAGCTTTTGTGATCCAGGCTTGGGAGTTGTGGGACATCACTTCTGCTTCCTTCTCATTGTTGAAATACTTACAGAGTTCTGCCCAGATTCAAGGGAGAGGAGAGGGAAGCAAACTCTGACTCTTGTTGTGGAATGGTAGAGTTCTAGAAGATCACCTGGGACCAAAAATACCACTGTGGCCATTTTTAGAAAATACAGTTTACCAGAGGCTGAAAACACAGCTACTGGAGGCTGCTTCTCTTGGGATTTCACTCTGTCTTTCAGTGCTAGTTCTAAACTAGTTGAGACAGTTGGCTTAACAACTTTGTGGTGAATAATGGAACAAGGCCACTTTCCTGTCTTCTTAGACTTGTAATAGGTATATCAGTTTATAAGTCAAGACAATATTCTACCTTTGGGCTATTCTCACATCATCAAATTAAGAGCAGATTTTGGTTAAGTTAAAAAAAAAAAACACTATTTGCATCAGAGTCAAGATTTTAATGAAAAGCCTACAAATGAGAAGTGGAAACAACCCCCTCCCAAGTATTAATATTATGGGTAAACGAAAACCATTATGGTAAGTTTTATTATCGGTATACAAAATGATTTAAAAGCCGTAAGTTGAAAAAATACATGTTTAAGAAAACATTGAAGATAAGAAAGACTCTTATTTATTTTACTTCACTCAGTTTTATCCTCTTTCTGCCTATGTTTTAGACTGGCTAGTAATAATTCATGTCAGAGTCACAGGATACTTACATGTTAGAGCCATCTCCCTTATCCAGGTTGCCTGATTATGATTCTTAAAATATGAGTCAGGATCTTAAGTAGAGATCTTGAACCTTAATGGATCAACATTTATATGTAAATACTTTCCGCAACACCTGGTAGGGAGTAAAAGCTCAATAAATATAGCAACATCCGTGTTCTCTAAGGAATTATAACTGGAATGGGTCTTGACCAAGCTGCATGCCACTATACTCTTTTTCCTAGTTTATTGTTTTTCCAAGTGGCAGGGATACAGCAAGAAATCAGATGTGATGATAGCCTATTTGATTTTTAGAGGTAGATCCAATTTTTTTCCTCAAGTTTTTTTAGTGAAGATTGTCTCACAGTTGAAGGGTTGGCAAACTACATCCCATGGGCCTAATCTGGGCACTGCCCGTTTTTGTCAATAAAGTTCTATTGGAATGCAGCCCTGCTCTTTCATTTATGTATTGTCTGTGACTGTTTTGGGACTAAAACAACAGAGTCGAGTAGTTGCAATAAACATAATGTGGCCCACAAAGCCTAAAATATTTACTAACTTTTTACAAAGAAAGTTTGCCAACCCTTGTTATAATTTTTCAGACATAATTCTGTTCAGGAAAAATAAAATCTGTCTTGTAAAATGTCAGTGTCACAAGGGATATCTGAAATGTCCCAAAAGAACTTGGAAAAACAGAAGTCCTCTGAGAGTTAAATGATAAATCAAATAGATATGGAAAAAGGAAGTGGGCATGGTCTTGTTAAAAAGATAGATGGCTGCCATTTATGCAGGTCTTGACTAACCCCAATCACTGCCTTAACATATATAAGGAGGGAATATCTCACCCGGAAAGGGTAAGACCCTTATGAATGGAGCATGGTCTAGGGTGTGCCACAAAGGCAAATGTTGGTAGTGTCTGTCATGTGGTTAGAAATGCATTTGGTGCAAGGAAGAAACACCTAACTGTAAAGTTAACCTAGAGTTTATTTTTCTTATCTAACTGGAAATTGGAAGTAGACAGTTGCTGACAGTATTTCAGCTGCTCAATAGTGGCAAAGTTGATGTCCCTGCCAATCCATTGGCCTTTTGCTTGGGTTGCTACTGCATTTCCAACCATCATAGCTACATTCAAAATAGGAAGAAGGGCTGAAGAAGGAAGGGTAGATATATTTCTCTTTTTATTAATGAATATAGCTTTTTCATAAATTTCCCTAATAGACTTTACTTTGTCTTCCTCCTTTTATTAAAAACTATAGCTTTTCCAGAAATCTCCCTAACAGAAATGACTTTAGGTCTCTGACCAGAACTGATCAGTCATTTAGCTTAAAGGGATGCTAGGAAAGCCAGGTCTAGGAATGTTTGCCACCAATGGCTTAGACTAATATTCCTCAAACTTCCCTGATGATGATGATTAGAGTTACCTGGGGGCTTGTTAAATATATAGATTACCAGGATTCATCTCTGGAAATTGTGATTTGCTGTGTCTGGGATGGGAGCCAAGGTTATGTGTTTTCTTTTTATTTCCCTTTTGTTATTTAAACAAGGGCTCCAGGTGATTTTATTATCAGCAAAGTTTGAGAACATTGGATTAGACTAGTCATGGCCTGCGTGTGGTTGGGCCCATTGCCACCCATAACAAAACCATGTTCTCTTAAGATAGTGAGAGGAATGGAAAATGAATAGGCAACTGACAGTGTCTGCCACATCATCTAAATGCAGTCCAGATGAATAGAAATGTGTCCCTCTTGACAGAAGGACATAGAGTCCATCACAACATGACCCTATTCAGCATTCAAATTCTGTAACTCTCTCCTCTCTCTCTGATTCTGTGCTCATTGAGCAAACATTGATGGATTTGGCATTAGCAGAGTTTGCCATGAGGGAGAGAAGGGAGAGCCAGCTACATGGTCACTGGAGAGTTATTGTTTTTCTTCATTGCAATATAATTCATATAACATAAATTTCACTACTTTGGGTGTACAATTCAGTAGGTTTCAATATATTGACAATGTTATACAATCACCACCACTGTCTAGTTTTAGAACATTTTCATCACACCAAAAATAAGTCCCCTATTCATTAACAGTCACTCTTCATTTCCCCTGCCCCTAGCCCCTGGCAGCCTACTAATCTACTTCCTGTCTCTATGGATTTGACTATTATGAATCTTTCATATCAGTGGAATCATATGCTATTGGGAAGTTTTCTTTCTCATAGTCAGTGAATAACGGACACTGTGTCTGTGAGCTTCAGTCTTGGGTGAATTTGGGCATCCTGAGATTCCCTGAGTCTAATCAGTTCTCAGCAAGGGCTTGCTCAAGTCTCCAGATCTTGGAGGATGGGTTGGGTTGAAGCCTAAGTGAGCATACCAATGTTACTGTGCTTTGTGAAGGCCCCTGCAGCCTGCCATTTGGCTTGCCTGGCCCTCACAGTGCCCTTCTCTATTCTACTCAAGGTGGTAATGTTGGTAGTAAAAATGGCTGTTTCATGAACCCTTGATTTGTGCCAGGCACTGTGATAGGCATCCTTGTGTTTCATTTTCAGTGTCCCTGAGGTAGATAATATTATCTCCATCTTAGTAAAGAGGGAAATTGAGCCAGACACAGTGGCTCACACCTGTGATCCTAGCACTTTAGGAAGCCAAGGTGGGCAAATCGCTTGACCCCAGGAGTTTGAGACCACCCTGAGCAACATGGCGAGACCCCATCTCTACAAAAAATACAAAAATTAGCAGGGAGTGGTGGTGCATGCCTGTGGTCCCAGCTACTTGGGAGGATAAGGCGGGAGGATTGCTTGAGCCTGGGAGGACCTTGCCTCAAAAAAAAAAAAAAAAAAAAAAAAAAGAGGAGGAAAATTGTACTTATAGTCAGATAGAGGAGCCAGAATTTGAGGTTAGATTTGTGTGACTTTATTTATGGACTCAATGAGTATTTCTTGGGTATGTTCTGTGTTTCAGACCCTGTGCTGGTCTCTGAGGATAAAGTGGTGAATAAGGTAGGCAGGCCCCAATCATCTTCAAATAGGATATATAAACATCACACAAATTATTAATCAAATGCATATTTTATTTAAGGTAAATCCTGCAAAGTGAAAGATAAGTAGCCTCTCTGAGGGTATATTGGGGGTTGTCTAACCGAGTCTGGGAAATGAGGCAAATGTTTCCAAAACTTAGATTTAAACTGAAAACTGCTAGATGAAGAAAAGAAGCCAGGTGAAGAAAAATCAGGAAAGAGCATCCCAGGATTTCAAGCTTTATTCCAGAGGCAATGGGAAGGCACTGATGAGTTTTAAGCAACAAGTGTCATGATCAAATTTAGTTTTAGAAACTGATTACTCTGCAAAATGTATTTGAAGAGAGTGAAGAAACAAATGGAGAGGCTAGGAAGTGGGCTACTATAGTTGTCAAGGTGAGAATAATGGCCTGGACTGGAATAGTCAGAGTGGATTATTGGAGCAATATTAAGAATGCGTAAGTGGAACAATGTGATGATTGATTGGATATGAAGGTGAGGCAGTGAGAGATGTCAAGAATAATTCCCAGTTCCTGATATGGACTGCTGTAGCCATGGATCTCCATTTGTCTTGGTAGTGACAGGTTTGCGAGGTATATTTTACTTTCAGTTCCAGACTTAAAGAAATGAATACATTTTAAAGATTCTATTTAACTCATGAGAGAACAAGCAGATGTTCTCTTCGGACCAGCTTATAAGATAACCCAAAGGACAGACATAGGAATATTGACTAGAGATATCAAAATGAATATGTAAATGGAAGTAAAACTGGTTTTATTACAGCATGGGGGGGTGACATTTGAACCTCTACTGTACAAGACATTGAGCATGTCTGTTAGTGACTTATAGCTTACAGAAGAATGTAAATGAGCTCACTGGCAATACAAAGCTAGAATCAGAGAACCTGGATTGGTATACTGAAGACAGGACAATGTTTTGATTGAAACACATTTTTTTTGTTGTTGCTAGAATGTTTAAGTCAAGTACAAAGTTAGACTTTCCTCAAAAAGACGGTCCAGTTATTAGGGTGAGCAGGTTCCTGTCAGAAACATTTTGAGGCCGGGCTTGAT
This sequence comes from Homo sapiens, assembly GCF_000001405.40. Classification (NCBI taxonomy): domain Eukaryota; kingdom Metazoa; phylum Chordata; class Mammalia; order Primates; family Hominidae; genus Homo; species Homo sapiens. The sequence continues at coordinate 37,699,808 of NC_000023.11, forward strand.
CAGGGCTCAGTGAACACCAATAATATCACAAAGTTGAGGTTGTCTTGAAGGCAGCTCCCTGACCAAGGAGGGCCTGGAGCACAGTGGGCGGGAATAAGCACTGGTACCTGGAGAGGCTCAGGCTAGTGGGAAAATCGACGAGGGCTGATCAAAACAAAACTCACCAAGACCATGTGAAGGCAAAAAGGAGCCTTAGAAAGGAGATTCTTCCCTGCTCCACAAAAGCCTAGCTGCAGTTTCCTGTTAGCCACATGGACGGCTTTCTGCGAGGTCAGTATGCCCAGTGCCTGAGCTCATCCACACCTGTTTTCCTGGTTGTTATTCTCTAGTATCTGATGGCCAACATCCTGGAGCAGGCAGGCAAGAAGGCCCAGAACAATTGCAGGGTGCGCATCACACCAGAACACATAGAGAGGGCCATGCACAAGGATAAGCAGCTCAGATGCCTCTTGGAGGATGTACCCACCATCAGGTTGATGAGGTGCCCCAGCCCGAGAAGGAGGGATGCTTGGGTCTGAGAACCTGGCAGGACTTCATCAACAATTTCATCCAGCCTCAAAAATTCCCATAGATGAGAGACCCCAGGCTGCTGCCATCAGCCCATGCTATTAAAGTCTTTAATGACAGTGCCCCTGACTTCTCTCAGGTTCTCTCATTTTGGGTTGGAGGTGTCCTTGAGACATCCAGGAGAAGCTATCCCATAGAGAGCTGAATGGGTGGAAGGTGTTGCCAGTGTGGGGTGTTTGAATCAGTGATTTTAGAAGGGGCAGTTTCCAGTGGTTGGTGAGAGCACTGGCCCTGGCGGGAGGAGCTGACTGGGGATAAAGATATAGAGACTTCCTCATTGGCTTTGAACTGGAAGGCCTTGTGAGGCCAGGTAGTTGCTGGGAGCCTCCTAGGCTTGATAAATTCCTAACCTGATGCTGGGACCTAGGGTGGAGCTGCAGACTCTGACTGAGGTGCGGGAGGCTTTATTCAGAATAGCAAAGGTCTGAAGTCAGAGGGCAGTAGCCACAGGGATGGGTGGAGAGGGGGCACACTGCATACTAGCTGGCATGAACTTCATGGGACAGGCTTTACATGGAGATTGAGGAGTGATGGGGAAAACATAAGGAAAAAATGCAAAAAAAAAAGTTATGGTCATGTTATTTTATTTATTTATTTGTACCCTGCCTCATTCCAAAAGAGGACTTGAGACAGGGATTAGTAACTGGTACTATGACACATTGTTTGGAATATATTCTTCTGTCCTCTTGTGGACACTGTTAAATTAAGTAGTAACATTATATAAAAGCTCTCTGGCCTAGGACATGCAATCCAATCAGTTCTTAATGGTTACAAAATATTACAAAACTTATTTGTAAATGTATTCCATTATAAACACAATTATCAATCGCATTCCCAGAAAAAATAATCTGTGTATGATCATGTATTTCATAGAACAGCATAGAGTTATCAATGGCCAAAAACAGGTTCAAAAGGTATAGAAATAACCTATGTAATTCTGTCTTGAGTGATGGCCTCTAAAGCATGTACTGTACTTTTAAAAACTTGTGCTCTGTACTGTTTAAAAAAGGTGTCACATCAAGTGTTGTAGCAATCTGTCCCCTTGCCTGTGAATGTCCATATTTTAGGTTTTCACCTGTTCCTTGGATCCTCTGTGGCCACATTCTGCTGCCTGTTGGCCAGATGCTGCCCAGCCAGATTCAATAACAGATCAGACAACCTGGGTTTGAGATCCTAGTTCACCACTTTCTGGCCATGTGATCTTGGACTTTCATTTACTCCTGCTGGGCAGGTTTGCTCATGTGTAAAATAGCAGAGAGTCCCTCTATCTTTAGTTTTCCCAAAGATTGAGTCCACTTTGGATATGCACAGTGTGGCCCTTAATAAGCAGCTGCATCTGTCTCCTCCCCTAACCCCAGACACGCAGGCAGGCTTCCCCAGGGTACATCTGGGTCTGGTTCTCAGGTTACTGTTGGGCACTTGGGCCACTGGCTGTGAGAGTGACATCCTGCTGAGCCCTATGGAGAGACAGGAGAGTGCCCAGCAGAGGAAGGAGACAGCGGAAGAGGGACACGAGCCAGGCAGTCCCCACTCTGGTGTCCCTTTTTCTCCTCCTGCCTTGTGACTCGCCCTCTCTCTGCCTCTGTCTAAGCAGAAGGACCCAGCTTGGCCTTTGGCTAATTCACAGGAGTGTCCTGAGAATGAAGGAAATAGCGGTTATGTGTTTAAAAACTGGGCTGTGAGAAACCCATGTCCTGGACACAAAGATGTTTCACTTCGGCCAGGGGAGGGGGTGCTGCTGTTGCCATGAAGTGATGAGCTGAAGGAGACTCCCCACCTGAAGCTGCTGGAGAGAGGCCTGCTTGCAGCTCAAATGCACAGAAGAGGAAGCGAGCAGCTGGGCTAAGGCTGGGAGTGCTCCACGGCGCTCCCTAAGGAATCATGCAGTGGTGGGGTGGGCAGCTTGACAATGAGGTGCCTGGAAATATGAGGTTCAGTGGACATGATATGGCAAGAAAGACTTCTGGGATTTAGACAAGCACATCTTCCACATGGCCCTAAGGACAACCCTGACAGTACTAATCTCTAATATATTATTTCCTAAAGCGCAGTCTACAAAGTGGCATCTTACAACTCAATCTGGATGGCAGATAGGTTTGCTAGTTCTAAGCAGACATCTTAAAAGAAAATTAATGAGCTGGTAGCATTTGAAAATCAATAACATTTTACCTGAAAGTCTGGATTTCTGGCTCTCTTGAGAAGTAAAAAGGAGGGTACACATGATTACAGTCACATAGAGATGACTAGCTACTGCACCATGAAGACTGGGCCTCTGGTTTGCCACATTCCTTCCACACTCTTCCCTATAAAGTCCCATATCTGATTCACTTCATTAATTTATAGTAGTTGTCTGATTAATAGAGATACTTGAGTTTGTTACTCTCACTACAAGTTAATTCTAAGTTCACAGTACTCAGAACAATCAATCTCATTTAATGAAGTAGTATATTGTGCATTGCTTCTCAAAATATCATTGGGGTAGGACCAGTAGTAGCAAACTTCCTTGTTTTTCTTGTTCCAGTAAATTGTGAACTGATATGTGGTTGTATTACTAGTATGCCACTCATATTTGACTTGTCATTTGAGTTTAACAACTGCACTGGTATATACCTTGTTCAAAAAGTGAGCCCACTAATTTAAATGTTGTGGCTAAATCAGATGCTATACAGATTCCTAAATGCCAGCTCTCAATGTCCATACTTATCATAACTGACTGGTAACAGATATTTCATTGTACCAGTCCTCAAACTTTTTAGATTTAGATTTAGATTTTAAATCTAATGAAAAGCAGTAAACAGGACCTACAGTTGGTATTGTTTCTCCTTCAGAGTCTTCATGAAAACAGATTTATCCTTCTTATATTTAGGACTTTAGCATAATACTGGTGAAAATGTTGCTGAACTACTTCTGTTAAAGCAAAAGATATTAAGGAAACCAATTAGCATCAGTGGGGCATGTTAGATGCGGCAGATGTGAGATTGTTGAGTTCTGAAATGTAGGATAAAAAGAATTCACCAAGGCAACTGTGAAAGGGAGTCTTCATGAAAGGAGAGGCAGAACTGGGTTCTGGTCTCCTACAGTGTAGTTTACTTGGGGACCCATCAGTTTCCAGTGAGAAAAATGGAAAAATTATTTCAAAACTCAGCTAGAGATGTGTACTTATGACTGTGCTCTTTTCCTAACAAAATAGTTCTATGGAAAATGGGTAAATAGGGTTCAGAGTACAGGGTCTCCATTTTACAGCTGAGGCCACTGAGGCCCAGTGATAGTAATCAGCTCTTATAAAGTCACATGGTGAGTGGGCAGCACAGTAGAATGATGGCCTGGCCTTCCTTACCTGTTATTGGGGCTCTTTCCTCTATTGTATCCTGAAAAAGGGGTCTCAAAAGAGAAAGTGTTTAATGTTCTCCTCTGAGAAAAAGAAGCTAAAGTCTTCAATACCAAGGTGTTAGGGTCTCTTGGATTTCTTGGGAAGCACTCAATAACTCACTCCCAAGAATATTCACTTGTGCTTTATTTGGGTAAGGCCAGACAGGTCAGGAGAAAAGTGCTGATTTTATAGTATAGGTCTTTGGACTTTGCAAACTTAGATTTTGTTCCACTGGACATTGTATTAAACTGTGTTATGAACACAAATTTGTCTCAGTTAAGGTGTTCTGGAAATTCTGACTCTGTCCACTAACCATTATCTTAAATGTGGTGATGTGATGTCATGAGAAGCCTGTGTTCAGGAGCCTAGTCTTTGAAGTACCTGAGGTAGTGACGTTTTTCATGGTGCTCTAAGACAATCCTTCTTTGCTGAAGACAAAATCTCCCTCCTGTAGCTGATTGTAGGGTCATTAGGGAAACATCAGTGTAAATAAAAAACTATCTGGAGAGCCAGGCATGCTGGCTCATGCCTGTAATCCCAGCAACTTAGAAGGTTGAGGCAAGAGGAACTTTTGAGGCCAGGAGTTCAAGACCACCCTGGGCAACATAGTGAGACCTCCGTCTCTACAAAAATATTTTAAAAATTAGCTGGATGTGGTGGTATATAACTGTAGTCTCAGCTACATGGGAAGCTGAGCTGGGAGAATCTCTTGAGCCAAGGAGTTCTGAGCTGCAGTGAGCTACGATTGCACCACTGCACTCTAGCCTGGGCCACAAAATGAGACCACAATTCTTAAAAAAAAAAGTATCAGCCGGGCGTGGTGGCTCACGCCTGTAATCCCAGCACTTTGGGAGGCCAAGGCAGGTGGATAGCCTGAGGTCAGGAGTTCAAGACCAGCTTGACCAACATGATGAAACCCTGTCTCTACTAAAAATACAAAATTAGCTGGGCTTGGTGGTGCATGCCTGTAATCTCAGCTACTCGGGAGGCTGAGGCAGGAGAATCGCTTGAACCCTGGAGGTGGAGGTGGCAGTGGGCCGAGGTCACGCCATTGCACTCCAGCCTGGGCAACAAGAATGAAACTCCGTCTCAAAAGAAAAAAAGTATCTGGAGATGATAGACACTTAAAGTGCCTGTGGTTCACTTATGACTTGTGATAAAGTGAAAAGTCTAGTGGAAGTACATAACAAACATAATACAACTGAAGAAGAAATTGTGACATACAAAATAAGATAATAAAGCCAATGTAAAAAAGTTTTGAACAAAACATATGTAAGCATAATGATTAATCCTATTTTGAAGTAAGTCTACAGTAGATTCTAGACATCTGTATTTTACTATACCTCCATAAAAAGATTTGATGTGTATCCTCAATTTAAAAAGCCATGAGGGAAGATGCTTCATAAAACTTAAAAGAGAAGCCAGGCGTGGTAGCTCACGCCTGTAATCCCAGCACTTTGGGGGGCCAAGGCGGGCGGATCACGAGGTCAGGAGATCAAGACCATCCTGGCTAACATGGTGAAACCCCGTCTCTACTAAAAATACAAAAAAAAAAAAATTAGCCGGGCGTGGTGGCGGGCGCCTGTAGTCCCAGCTACTTGGGAGGCTGAGGCAGGAGAATGGCGTGAACCCGGGAGGTGGAGCTTGCAGTGAGCCGAGCTCGCGCCACTGGACTCCAGCCTGGGTGAAAGAGCGAGACTCTGTCTCAAAAAAAAAAAAAATAACTTAAAAGAGAAAGTTGTGACTAGATAGTTTTAGAAATCTACTGAAATGATGACTGTTAACACTATAATTTTATTGCCTAATATTATGAAGGAAAGCACCAGCAGGACTATGATCATTAGAAACATACTATGGACAGTGGGGGCACTGACAAATCTCTAGGAACTTCTCATACAATCTAGAACTTCTGAAATATTTATACTAATAATATATTTCATATTCAGATTTAATCTAGGGAAGGCTGAGTACCTCTTTTCTTTTTTTCTTTTTCTTTTTCTTTCTTTCTTTCTTTCTTTTTTTTTTTGAGACAGGGTCTCACTCTGTCACCCAGGATGGAGTGCAGTGGTGCAATCATGGCTCACCGTAGCCTCAAACTCCTGGGCTCAAGCCATCCTCCCCACTGAGCCTCCCAAGTAGGTGGGAATACAGGTGCACACTACCATGCCTGGCTGATTTTTTTTTTTTTTTGAGACAGGATCTAACTTATGTTGCCCAGGCTGAAGAACACCTCTTTTGATTTTATTTTTTTCCATGCAACTCATCAATACTAACAGCAACAAAGCTAATTTTATCTAATATCTGTCTTTTTATAAGGTGAAAGAACAAATCTTTCCTATTTTCTAGGTACTCTGTTGGAAATCTCAAAGATAAGTCTAAGTGTAAAAGATTTATAGAGTTTCATTTTATTTCATTTAAAATTTTGAATTTTATTTTGAAAGGCAAAATTGCTAGAAGATTTGAGAATTAAGTTAGGATCATGAGTGACTGAGTACATGAATGGTTGTAGCTTGGCTATCTATTAATTAAAGTGACAGTACAATGTTTAGATAAACATCCAAAAGACCTTGACACATTCTTAATGCAAATTTTTTTTGTTTTTGAAGAGAATAATCAAGGGCATGATAAAGTCAGGGAAAAAAAGTGTTATTGTGGTAAGATGCCAAATCCCTACTTTTAGGATAGGATTACATAGGTAATATTTTAGGCTAAATTATGACCCCAAAGATATTCAGGTTCTACTCCCTGAAACCTGTGTATGTCACTTTATATCTGCAAAGGGAACTTTGCAGATAAAGAGATTGAGGTTGGGAGATTATTGTATTGTAGGTCGTGCAGGTGGGCCCAGGACAAATGTTCTTTTTTTTTAAAATTAATTAATTAATTAATTTTATTTTATTTTATTTTTATTGATCATTCTTGGGTGTTTCTCGCAGAGGGGGATTTGGCAGGGTCATAGGACAATAGTGGAGGGAAGGTCAGCAGATAAACAAGTGAACAAAGGTCTCTGGTTTTCCTAGGCAGAGGACCCTGCGGCCTTCTGCAGTGTTTGTGTCCCTGGGTACTTGAGATTAGGGAGTGGTGATGACTCTTAACGAGCATGCTGCCTTCAAGCATCTGTTTAACAAAGCACATCTTGCACCCCCCTTAATCCATTTAACCCTGAGTGGACACAGCACATGTTTCAGAGAGCACAGGGTTGGGGGTAAGGTCATAGACCAACAGCATCCCAAGGCAGAAGAATTTTTCTTAGTACAGAACAAAATGAAGTCTCCCATGTCTACTTCTTTCTACACAGACACAGCAACCATCCGATTTCTCTATCTTTTCCCCACCTTTCCCCCTTTTCTATTCCACAAAACCGCCATTGTCATCATGGCCCGTTCTCAATGAGCTGTTGGGTACACCTCCCAGACGGGGTGGTGGCCGGGCAGAGGGGCTCCTCACTTCCCAGAAGGGGCGGCCGGGCAGAGGTGACCCCCACCTCCCGGACGGGGCGGCTGGCCGGGCGGGGGCTGACCCCCCACCTCCCTCCCAGACGGGGCGGCTGGCCTGGCGGGGGCTGACCCCCACCTCCCTCCCGGACGGGGTGGCTGCCGGGCGGAGATGCTCCTCACTTCCCAGACGGGGTGGCTGCGGGTGGAGGGGCTCCTCACTTCTCAGACAGGGTGGCTGCCGGGCGCAGGGGCTCCTCACTTCTCAGACGGGGCGGCTGCCGGGCGCAGGGGCTCCTCACTTCTCAGACGGGGCGGCTGCCGGGCGGAAGGGCTCCTCACTTCTCAGACGGGGCGGCTGCCGGGCGGAGGGGCTCCTCACTTCTCAGACGGGGCGGCCGGGCAGAGATGCTCCTCACCTCTCAGACGGGGCAGCGGGGCAGAGCCGCTCCCCACATCTCAGACAATGGGCGGCCGGGCAGAGACGCTCCTCACTTCCTAGATGGGATGGCGGCCGGGAAGAGGCGCTCCTCACTTCTCAGAGTGGGCAGCCAGGCAGAGGGGCTCCTCACATCCCAGATGATGGGCGGCCAGGCAGAGACGCTCCTCACTTCCCAGATGGGGTGGCAGCCGGGCAGAGGCTGCAATCTCGGCACTTTGGGAGGCCAAGGCAGGCGGCTGGGAGGTGGAGGTTGTAGCAAGCCAAGATCACGCCACCGCACTCCAGCCTGGGCACCATTGAGCACTGAGTGAACGAGACTCCGTCTGCAATCCCGGCCCCTCGGGAGGCCAAGGCTGGCGGATCACTCGCAGTTAGGAGCTGGAGACCAGCCCGGCCAACACAGCGAAACCCCATCTCCACCAAAAAAATACGAAAACCAGTCAGGCGTGGCGGCGGGCGCCTGCAATCTCAGGCACTCGGCAGGCTGAGGCAGTAGAATCAGGCAGGGAGGTTGCAGTGAGCCGAGATGGCAGCAGTACAGTCCAGCTTCGGCTCGGCATCAGAGGGAGACTGTGGAAAGAGAGGGAGAGGGAGACCGTGGGGAGAGGGAGAGGGAGAGGGCAAATGTTCTTATAAGGGAGAGGCAGCAGCAGGCTTGATCACGGAGGAAGAAGACAATGTGAGGAGTGAAACAAGATGCTGCACTGCTGGCTTTGAAGATGGAGGGAAGAGGCAGGAGCCAAGGAATGCAGTTGTAGAAGCTGGAAAAGGCAAGAAAATGGATTCTCTCCTTGATCCTCTGGAGGGAACATGCCCCTGTTGACACCTTGACTTCAGCCCAGCCAAACTGATTTCAGACTTCTGATCTCCAGAACTGTAAGACAACAAACATTTGTTGTTTTAAGCCACTGTGTTTGTGGTAATATGTTATGGCAGTCATAGGAAACAAATTTACGCCAAAAGTAATCTTTTACAACCTCTTATTAAGAACAGACCAGTACTCCAAGAAAACTCATTTTCACAGAAAAACTAATTCTAGATTTGTTTCAATGAAATATTTGCTTCTAAATAACCCACTATTTACTTTTGACAGTCTCACAAATAAACCCATCAATACTGAGCCAGATTTGGCAAAATGTTAACACAAAATTGTGTTCCTTTCCAGACTCTTTCTGCAAACCTCCTACAACTTTCTTTATTCATTCAGGTTTTATCCTTCACCATTCTTCCTCATTCCTATCCTGGAACAAGTCATTTTTCTTTAGAACAGAAATATACTTTTTTGCCCATAATAAAAATTTCATTATCTTGAGATTCCTAGTAATCTCATTCACATGTATTAATTATAACTTTTAAGCAGCCCCTTGTATTTCACAAAGAAAATGAAGGAGTAGATAATTGTGAATTTCTGTCATTTTAGCAGCCTAGCCAATCTCATGAATATACTTCACTGAGCTTTATCCAGCCACATACTTCCCTTATTTAATTCCACAGTGTGGCAGAAATGAACATGTTCATTTACAGACCCAAAGATAGAGCCTCTTTGTAGCATGTACAAATAACAAGCAATAGTGTATAAATGAAAACTGTACTTACTAATAAATTTTTCAGTATTCTATCTTACTTAGAAATGATCTAGAAAGCCAGTGAATGGCCAAGATCTTCAGTTATCTAAAGATTTTGGAAATGCTCTTCAGGGTAACATACTACACAACCTCATTACTATGGAACTATAAATTTATCAGAACAATGATTCAAGTTGCTTAAAAATAGATTTAAGTTTTTAAATTATTTTAAATATTTAACAGGAGTAAGTCTAGCTCATTTGATCAAAAAGCTGTATAAGTTTAGGAGAAACATACTCAAGAGTATAAAAATATATGCTTGTATTAAATATGACACTGATAAATCAGAGATGTTTACATTAAACTCAAAGTCTTAAACTAGTCTTATTTGCCAAAGAGTTACATAAATTATAGAAGTCTGAATTCTTAAAATGGTTTTGAGTTGGTTTCTAGGATAATACATTTTTTAAACTAGCACATTTAAAAATCAATAGTACAATTTCCGTATTTTAGGAAATTCTAGTTATATTCAATTTATATAAGCAGTTATTTTTCTGGATATGCCAATCAGAATAGAACTCTTTTAATTTGGGAGAGTTTATAATCTAATATATTAGTACTGTGCATAGGTAGGAAAACATTACACACTCGTACAATCAGAGGTGAGGATATTACAGACATATAGACATACAGATAGAGAGAAATAGAGTTTGTAGCTTCAATTCTTCAATTTCAGGCATGGATCAAGAGTGAACACAAAATCAGAAAATCTCCTCAGTCCAGATTTTAATAGCTCTTTTCCTCTCAAAGGGCATGAAATTCTTAAGTGATTTGAGCTTAGAAAAATAAACTAACAAAAAGGATGACAAACCAGACTTTCTGTTGCCTGTCACCCAATAGGGACTAGATTTCTGTAAACCATGGATGCACTTAGATCTCCAGATTGTTAGACCTTAAAATTGGATTTCAAACCATTTCTCTCAATAAGGGGGAGTAACTTAATGGCTTTAAGTGAACCAGAACAAAACAGAAACACAAAATTTGTAGAGAGAGGATTTCAAATGAGAAGTCGAGGGTGTCAACAAAGCTCTACTGGTGCTCTGGATTCACCTATGAGAGCGAAGAAAGGACATGCTTAGGCTTTAACTGCTCATGAGGTGCACTTCCTTGTCAGCAATGTTTACCTGACTCTTACAGGTGAATCTATTGGACATCTCATTATGACTTCCAAAGTTGTTAAAATATATTTTTCAAAAGGGTAAAATTATGTTGCTCATACAGATGTGAACCTGTTGTTGTTTACTTGTAAGGAAATGAACAGATGTTATGGCCGGGCGTGGTGGCTCACACCTGTAATCTCAGCACTCTGGGAGGCTGAGGTGGGTGGATTACCTGAGGTCAGGAGTTCGAGACCAGCCTGGCTAACATGGTGAAACCTCCGTCTCTACTAAAAATACAAAATAAATAAATAAATTAAATAAAAGAGAACCAACAAAGGATTGTTTAGAGATATCAAAATAAGTATGTAATTGGAAACAAAACTTCTTGTATGACATTTTGAGAGGGAAGACAGTTGAACCTGTATTGAACAATGCATTTTGCAGTATGTATCGGTGACTTGTCAGATAGCCTATATCCTGGAGTTGAAAAATAATAAGACCAGCAACAACAACAGGAGTTACATCGCCCCACAGAATGTGGAAATGCCGGTGCACAGGCCTGAGTGCCACCGATTCTTTAGGGGTGGGACAGTCAGTCTAATTGACATGTCCCAATTCAAGAAGAATTGCTGATGCCTGGGTTCCAGAGCCTGGCAGGGGTCCTCACAGCCTCATCCTTCGGCAAAACCACTCAGTTGAGGAAGCCCCATACTGTTGCCATCAGCAAATTCTCTCAAAAAGTTTAAATCCATGGATGTGTTTCTGACTCCTCTCAGTTTCTGTCATTTTTAGTTGGAGGTGTCTGTGGGGCATCTAAAAGAAGACATACCATAAAAGATTTTTAAGATTTAGTATGGAGGCAGGAATGGCTGTGTAGCCTGGAGAGCTACATAGGCTGATAGCAGGCTTTGGATGCTCTGAGCCGTATGTCCATGCAGCTGTGGTGAAAGATTCTGTGCACGTTGCCAATATCCTATCTCGAGCATGTGTCGCAGCACACACTGCAGTGTTTCTCTTCCTTTGTGCCTCAGGTCTTTCTCCTCTGGCAGGGAATGCAGCTCAGGTACTGATGAGAAGTGTGGGTAAGGTAATGCCCATGGGGCCACCCCCAAACTAAGGGAGATGGTAGTTGATGGATAAGACTTCAGCCTCTCTGTCCTTTAGATGGATAATTTGGGGTACAATTTACACAATCCTTTGTGGATCTCCAGTGGGAATGAGCCCCATTTGCTATAGTGGTAACCAGTTTAAAAATGTAGTCTTGATTAGCCTTGTTTCCTCCCCTCTCCCACTTCCCACCCAACTCCTTCAATTCTGCTTTCTAGGCTTACCTCCCAAATGAACCACCTGCACCCGGATGCTTGCCTCAAGCTCTTCAGTTTGAGAGTAGTCATCTAAATAGAGATGATAATTTGAATCACAGTTGTCTAGGCATATGCAGCTGTGAAAAAGACAGCTAGGTTCATCCAGGGACAATTTCTGTCACAGATGATGTGACAGAATTGAAGGGTAAGCATGTTTGAGGTTTGTGCAAGAGAATGAATGAAGTTTTACACCAAGTATTCTTAGCTAGAAGTGGGAAAATAGAGGATTTATTTCACTGGAGGGTTTGGTAAAAATTAAAAAAAACAATTGTAGTAGCTCTTAGGCAAGCAAGTCAGATGGATAGAAGGTGGTGGTCACGATAGGGTGTTTGAATTAGTGATTTCAGAGGTGTTTATTGACTCTTGGATTCCTAGGAAAGCACTCTTAATAACTCAATCCTGCAATTTCACTTCTGCTGTATTTGGGGGCAGGCTGAATAGGCTAGGATTCATAGGTCTAATTTTATACTACAGTTCTCTGAACTTTGATAACCTGATGCAATCATCTTCTATTTGATCAGGTCGCTGCCCAGAGATCTACTTTGGCCAGACACGTTGACTAGATTCTGAAAAAACCTTACTTAATTTTTTGCTGTTTTCTGGACCAACTGTATTTTATGAACTAATCTAATGATAATAGCTTTAATTCATATATTCTTAGAGGAATATTGTGAGGAGGGAGTTGAAGGGATAGCTTTTTATGTTTGTATGTGGTGCTTTACATGATATAAGCTTATAAACTTTTGGCACAACATCATCTGTTTTTTGCATGTGTGTACTCACACACATACACAGAAAACACAAAATTTCAGAAAGTATGAAGGGAAATACACTGGAATATCAATTAGTTGTCCTGAGATAGCGAGAATATGGGGTACTTTTTTTCTTTCCATTTATCTGTGTTTTTCATGCTTTCACAATGAGTGTAAGTTTTTGTTGCAATGGAGAGAGTGATTCATCATGGGCTACTCTGGGTGGCTGTGGGTCTTTGTTTTGCTCGTTTGTGCATGCCCAGTTCTGGCACATATGACCACTCAATGTAAGGTCAGTGAATATGAGTTAGGCAGGGAAGTTAAATTAATCTCAGTTTCATAGACGAAAAAAGTGAGGGTATCATTTGAGATGTTTTCATTGCAAGTGTTAGAATATGCAACTAAAAGCAATTTAAAATTGTAAAAATGTATTACTTCATATAATAAGTTCAGAGGCAGAGTGATCCTATGGTTGACTAACTTACTAGCACAACAGTGTCGAGGATCCAGGCACTTTCCATCTTTTTATCTGTCTTCCTTGGCTTCTTATTGGTGTCTCCCCTGATGATTGCAAGAGGACCATGTATCCATTATGTATTTCTGCATAATAAACCACCATAAAACTTAGTGACTTAAAGTAATAGCAGTCGTTTCTCTTCCTTATGATTTTGTAATTTGTGTAGGTATCTGCAGGGCTTACCTTGCTCCATGTGGCATCAGCTGAGGCAGCTTGACTAGGGGCTGGCAATTTGGTACTGTTTAATACTGGTTGCTTAGCTGGGACTGAGGGCTGGAGGCCTTGGTTGTTTTCCATGTGGACCTCTCTTGGCTTTTTTACAACATGGAAGCTAGATCTTAAGAGTGAGGATTCCAAGAGACATGAAGGAGAAGTTTTCAGTGTCTTAATATGTTGTCCTGGAAACCAGAATCATTTTTGCTTGATCCTATTAGGAGTCACATGATCTCAGATTCAAGAAGAGAAGATATAGACCCTACTTGTTGATAGGTGGTATTTCATAGGACTTCAGGAGCCATGTTTTAACACATCTACAGGTAGTTTTAGGTCTAGACATTACATGCAGACATGATGAAGAGGGAGGTTTCTTCCTGTGTACTTCTTTTTACTGAGGAAGAATGCCTCTTTTTTTTTTTTTAACATAATTCTATTCAGTTTCCGTTAGCCAAGATTGGGTCACATGTCCATGCCAAACCAATCTCTAGGTACAGGAATAGAAAACGAAGTTACAGATTTCTCTGAGGTGTAGATATCCTTGACCCTACAGAACAGCTGGGCAAGGCCTGGAATGGATAGACCAGCTTCATCCTCTTAACCCAATGAATACTAATTACAAATAGTATAATTTTTGTATTTGTCTGTGACAGAGAATAAGTTAGGAGACTGGTCTATACTAATCTTTATTTACTCCAGTGGTCAAACCTGGGATCATCTTCCTTGAACACATGGAAGGGTGAGCAGTACCTAATCAGAATTAGAGTTCTGCCTTTAAGGAAGAAGAGAGGAAGGATACCAATTAAGTTGGAGACCCACAGTATCTGCAACACTGAGGTTTAGGAAGTTTAAGGGCCCAAAGCCAAGACTAAGACCCAGTTTTTGGACACTTGACCCAATGTTAGTTGTTTTAACCAACACTGCTTCTCATGGAGTTGGAGAATGTTAGAGGTAGAAGGGACCTAAGAGATCATCATGTTTGATTTTGCACACTCTGTAGAAACCACTTATTCAGTGTCCCTGAAAGGTATTCCACCAGCCTCTGCTTGATTATATTCAGCAGTGGAGCTGTCAGTATTCAAAAGACACTTCTATTGGTGAAGTACTCCTTGTTAGAAATTATTTCTTATATAATAAGAAATTAAGTGGGACTTTTCCTTTTCCTGCAGAAATGACATCTGGCCCATGTGCTGAATATATTACATTCAGAAAAAAAAAGCCACTAAGGACTGGCCAGTCTTCTTCTTTCAGAATTTTCTGAGAGTGACAAACTAACACTACCACAGTCAACCTCACATACCCCTACCTTCCAATTCTAAAAGGACTTACCTGGGGAGAAAGGGCAGAAGAGAATAGGATCTTCTGTAACTTATTTATGGTGAGAGGTTACTTCCTCCCTTCCAGAAGCCACTTAAAATAGAATTTCAAGATGAAGGGTGCTAGCAACAAGGGTAGCCAAGCCACTCCCTGGCTTACGAAGCTGGGAACCCATAGGCCTATCTAACAGTTGCTCACCTTCCTTAGAGATAGCTTGTTGTGTGTACCCTGGAGTTTAGGAGTATTTATAAGCATAGCGACTGAGGCCTGCTTTTCATTTGTAGATTCCTGAAGGAGGGAGACTTGAGGGAATAGCCTGGAGTGAATAAAGACTGTGGTGCCATATGCCTGGAAAGGGGGTGAGAGGTCTCTGCTGTATCAGCTAGCTATTGCTGAAAAACAAACCACCAAAGACTTAATGGTTTAAATAACACATTTATTGTTGCTCAATCGTCTACAGCCCTGTTGGTGTGTTAGGATTCTCTAGAAAAGCATTATATAGGTGTATAGTGTGTGTATATATATATATATCTCCAAATATATACATATATGTGTATATATATTTCCAAATATATACATGTATACGTGTGTGTGTGTATATATATATATTTCCAAATATATACAAATATGTGTGTGTGTGTGTGTATATATAGTCCTCTTTGCTTTATCAAATCTTTACATGACATATTTGCTTTAGATATATATTTTTTTCCTTTCTAAGCAATAAAATTTATAGTATAGTTGGGGCACCCTGTGAGTCTTCCTTGTCATGATTTCAGAGTTTATCATTCTTGTGCATGATTTATAACTTTGCTGCATAGGCACAGTATCCATAAATAGGATATATTGATTTTGTAGGTCTTTAAACTTTATCACACTGCAAATAACATTCTGAAACTTGCATTTTTTTTCAGTCAACATTATAGTTTTGAGAACTATACACATTGATGAATGTAAACTTAGTTTATTCATTTTTGTGGCAGAAAAGTGTTCTATTGCAGGGTGGCCAACCTTTTTCTGTAAAGGTATGGAAGAAAAATATTTTAGATTTTGCAGGCCATCTATGGTCTGTGTCACATATTGCAAATCCAAGAAAGAAATAACTTGTATATATCTGATAGTAGATTGGATGCCCTGGTACTTTTTTCACTTTATTGGCTTACATTTCTAACAACAATTCCATTTAATGGTTTTCTGCACCAGAGGTCATTTTCAGCTATAGTCAGTATAGTATACATAGCTGCTATAGCAACCTAAACAATGGTCCATATGATTGTGTAATGGTGTATGCTTATTATAAGATTATATTAAGTCTACAAGACTTGAAGGTGGGTTCATATTCATTCCTCCTAAATTAAACCCACCTCCAAATGGGCCAGGGGGGAGAATGCTTCCATCCACCCACCAAGAGTTTTCACTTAGGTTTGGCTTTGGCATGATGTCGGCTCTGATTTTTTCCTGGAGTTTGTGACCACAAGTCAATGGAAGTTACTTAGTGGTACACAGCGGGAAGACATATGCCTCCTACCCACCTCCACACAAGGGTGTCTTGTCAAGGCTGTGCCTGAGTTTAGGGAAACGTGTAACTGCTGCTTATATAGCTATTTGAATAATCCAATATCCAGTATAGACCTTCTGATTCCTCACCCACATCTCTGTAAAGTAAGTAGGTCTTGGTAGTGCTGCATAGAATTAGAGGCACTGAGCAGGTATAATCACACACAGAAGAAGTGATATCCTCACAAGGTCCAAACCATTTATTGTTTATTCTTTATATCCTACCTGTTTCTAAAAGGCTTTCATGTTGTTTACAACCATGGACACATACCAAACATGACCATAAAATAAGAAGAACAAAAAATAAAGTATTTGAAAAGAGGGAAGGGAAGATAGATTGGGAGGAAAAGTACACTGAGGATTATTGTGGTAGTTGAAAAGATTAGTGGAGGTAAGAATGTGCATGCAAATATTTGTGAGTGTCTGTGGTTCAAGGGTTGGCAAAGGGAAAAATACAAGAAATTGCTTCAGTCATGGAGGATCTAATGGCCATGCTGAATTATTTACAAGGTTCACTGTACATGAGTAGCTACATTTTAAGAGGATTTGTGATGCCTTGCCCTACCTGAAAATCTGCAGTAGAATAGAGAAACTCTATCTTGGGATTCTGAGTGGTCTTGCTACCATTTTGCTGTTAGATACCATTTTGCTGCTACCATTTTGCTGATAGAGGGCCCCATACATGAGTCTAGGATCTTACTTCCTTGATCTGGCTATCTAAAGGAAGAGTTTTTTTGTTTGTTTGTTTGTTTTTTTGGTGTAACTCAACTCACTGATGTCCCTTTTCTCTGCCTGAGGCAGGATGATAAGGAAGGAGGACAAGTTGCTAGGGCAGATAGAGGGATCTGCTTCTGCCCCACTTCTCTCTGATCATTGGTTATTCCTTGAGAGGCAATTCTCAGAAACCAGCTTAGCATAGTGAGGCTTACCCATTCCCGGGTGCCTGACCAGCATGATTTCAGAAGGTCTTTACATATGAAATATTCACATAATAGAAGACAGACGTGAAATTTGGGCTCAGTGGAAGCAAGGAAGAATTGGACAAATCCTCAAAGTACGCTTGGTGGATTCTCCAGACTCCTTAGGGTCCTGGGCAGTTTTAAGGGTAGCAGACTCCTTCCTGCCATCAAGTGATAAAAGAGATAAAATGTGGAGCTGAGACCACTGCTAGGGAAATAGACTAATTATATTTATTTAGGCAGAAGAGCCTACTGGTTAAGGCTACGATTCTGGAGCAAGACTACTTAGGTTGGAATTCCTGCTCTGTTAGCTGAGTGATCTCTGGAAAGTTACTTAACATCTCTATGTCTCCACTTTCTCATCTCTATTATGAGGATAATAACAGTATCTACTTTATAGGATTGTTGTTAGAATTAAGTGATTCATACCTGTAAAATTCTTACAATAGTCCCTTGTCATGAATTAAGAGTGCAATAATTTTTTGCATAAGAAAGATGAGCTGGAGGAGATCTTGTCATCCAGGTACTTAGGCAAGAAATCGAAATACAGCTGGGAGAAAAGAACAAAATCACTCAGGACCTCTGAGGATTATAGAGTATACAGTTATAATCACATCATGTGGGTTGTGAGTGATGGGCCATAGTATTTGTTCTCACAATTCTGAGAACAAAACAAGATATAAATATGTATTGAAGGAAGAGTCCTCAATTTTTGACTAAACATCTGGTAAACTGGCAGATGTTCAAGAGAGATTTTGGTAACAGTGAGATCTTAGTCAGTAAGACTTTAAGAATTTTCTTTTAACAGTACTAGGGTATCATACTGGTTATATCTGCAGAATGAGTTTTGCTATAGTAATCTAAATAGGGGTTTATGTAATGTCTATTTTCTACTTGGCATTTTGCCAGGGTAGGGAAAAATATCTCTGAAACAACTTCATTGTAACAATGAAATGATAGTCCTTTTTGCCTTTAAAAATTGTAATCTAATAAACATTTATCGAGTGCCTACTAAGTATAGTAATAGTGTACCTAGTTTTTTCAAATACATATTATTATTGAAGTATAAAGTACACACAGAAAACTATACTCATCATAAGGGCAAATCTTGATTTATCACAAAGTAAACTTACTCATGTAGTTCTGTATCCAAGGTGAGAAACAAAAGAGTATCAGAATCCCCAAAAGACTCCTTATGTTTCTTTTCAGTCACTTTCCTCACCCACCTCCCCCAAAGGTAACCACTAAGCAGAAAGCCGACTTCTCACACTACAGATTATTTTTTCCTGGGTTTTAAAATTTTATGTAAATGGAATCAGGGTTCTGGTTTCTTTCACTCACACTGTATTCATGAAAGTTATCCATATTGCAGTTTGTAACAGAAGTTTGTTCCTTAGCATTGCTGTATAGGATTCCATTGTATGAATATACCGCAATGTATTGATACAGTCTGCTTTTGATTAATATTTAGGTTATTTCCAGATTGTGACTATGACAAATAATGCTTCTGTAAATATCCTTGTGCGGGCCTTTTAGTACACATATATATGCAGTTCTGTTGCATGTATATGCAGGAGTAGAACTGCTGGGCTGAAAGCAATGTCAATGTTTAGCTTCAGTAGAGACTGCAAAGGCAGTTTTACCATTTTACACTCCCATAAGCAGTGTATGAGAGTTCCAGTTGCTCCATATCCTTGCCAGCACTTGGTTTTACTTTTTGTGATGGAGTAGATGTATAGTATCTCATTGTAGTTTGAATTTGCATTTATGACTAATGAACTAATTTTCTTTTCATGTCTTTAGTGGCCATTTTAGGGGTATGTTTGTGTGTGTGTATGTGCATGCATACACATGTGTGAAATGACTGTTCAGGTATTTTCGCTCATTACAAAACTGAGTTGTATTTACCCTTTTGGTCCTTGTTCATACCTTCTTGTATCTCCATGCTTCCACATAGGATCATTTCTTGTGGGCCTGAAATACTACTTTTAACATCTCTCCTTTAGTGCAGATCTGCTGGTGACAAATTCCCTCTCCTCATTTTTGTTTTGACAGAAAATGTATTTCTTTTCCCTTCATCTTTGGGACTGTGTTACTTCCTACTTTTAGATTATCATTCATCTTCCAGCTTCCATTATTTCTGTTGAGATGCTACTGTCCTCTGTCATTATTGTTACTCGTTTGAAGTTCATCTGTCTACTTATACTTTCTGACTGCTTTTAAAGACTTTCTCTTTGACTTTGGTGTTCAGCAATTTTAACATGATATGCTTAGTTGTGGTTTTCTTCATATTTACCTACTTGAGTTTTGTAGCATTTCCTCAATCTGTGGTTTGATATTTTAGCAGTTTGAGAAAATTCTCAGCCTTCATTGCTTCACATATTATGTCAGAGCCATTCTTTTCTCTCTCTTTCTCTCTTTCTCTCTCTCTTTTTCTCTATCTGGGACATTTCCACTCTACTGTAAGTTTTTCATGCTTTTTCTTTCTCCATTTGAGTGTTTTCTTCTGACCTACCTTCTAGTGAGTACTAATTATCTTTATAGCTGTATCTAATCTGCTATTAAACCTGTTTATTTCTTAATTGTAATTATGGTATTTTTTTAGTTCTAGAATTGTCATTTGAGTTTTTAAAATAGTTTCCAGTCTCTGATAAGTTCCCAATTTTGTCACACAATTTTAAAATCATATAAATTATAGTTATTTTAAGTCCATGTCAGATTATTACAAAATCTGTATCTCCTACAGGTCTATTTTTATTATCTATTATTATTTTTGGATTTTGGCCATTTTTTGTTGTTGGCATACCATGTTATTTTTAATTTAATGCCAGGTATTTGTAAGAAAAAAACTAGAGAAAATTTGAGGCTCTGCATGAACTATCTTTCTCCAGGAAGATTTTGCTTTTGTTTATGGCAGTCAGATGGACTAGATGCAGATCAACTTGACTCAGTCATGACTTGAGATGGTTGAAATCTATATCAATCTTTGCGAGGGCTTAATCTCTTTCCAGTCATCCTTACTCCTGATGTCCTTTGAGTTTCTACTAGAAAGCTTTGGGTGTACACCAGGATCATTATGGGGCCTGAATGTCAATATTTGCTCCCATACCCACCAGCTTTGAGAGATTTCTATAAGTTGTATTCATATTATTTGTTTCTTAGTACTCATTTTCATTTGGGAAAATGTCTTGAGGGAAAAGGCAGCTTCAGAATTTTCTCGAGAGATTTTTTTTTTCTTTCAAAAGTCTTAGCCCCAGGAGTACTCACTGCTTTGGAAGATCTCTGATGCCTTTGAACAGATGTTTGCCTAGTTGTTCTTGACAGAAATAATGGATTAAACAAGCTAATCTGCCATGCTAGTATGGAAATCTTTTGCTTTTTGATGCCTTTTTTAGGGAATTCAAAAAGCATGAGAAAATAAAATTGGACTTTTTTGTCATTTTAAATGTTTGTTGATGGCCACAAGGCTAATTACTGTTTTATCCTTTTTTTCTTTTCCTTTTTTCTATCTTATGAATTTCAGAGGTACAAGTAGTTTTGTTACATGAATTTATTGCATAGTGGTGAAGTCTGGGCTTCTACTTCTTCCGTCACCCAAATAATGTACATTGTACATTAAGTACATTAAGTACAATGTACATTAAGTAATTTCTTATCCTTTACCACCCTCCCAAGTCTCCAGTGTCTATCATTTCACACTGTATGTCCATGTGTACACATTATTTAGCTCCCACTAAGTGAGAATATATGGTATTTGACTCTTCTGAATTGGTTCACCTAGGATAATGGCCTCTGGTTCCGTCCATGTTACTGCAAAAGACATTTCATTCTCTTTTTATGACTGAGTAGTATTCCATTATATATCGCATTTTCTTTATACAGTCATCCATTGACAGACACATAGTTTGATTCCATATCTTTACTATTGTAAATAGTGCTACGATAAACATATGAGTGCAGGTATCATTTTAATATGGTTTATTTTTCTTTGGGTAGATGCCCAGTAGTAGGATTTCTTGATTAAATGGTAGTTCTGTATTTAGTTCTTTGAGAAATCTTCACACTGTTTTACATAGATCTTCTATTCATTTTACACTCCCACCAACAGTGTATAAGTGTTCCCTTTTCTCCCATCCTTGCCAACATCTGTTATTTTTATTACTTTTTTATAATAGCCATTCTGACTGGTATAAAATGATATCTCATTATGGCATTAATTTGCATTTTCTGATGATTAGTGATGTTGAGCATTTTTAACATTTTATTCTATAATATATATTTGGTCTATGCAGATCTGGCCTTTGAATTCTGACACACTTTTTGGGATACCTATAGGACAATGTGAAATCTATTATAAGTTTGATTCATAGTTAAGAATGAAAAGCAACCACAAAATATATACAAATGGCCAATACCCACATGAAAATAGGCTGGAAATTATTAGTCATCAGGGAAATGCAAATCAAAATCACAAGATACAATTTCACACCCATTAGAATGGCTAGAATAAAAAAGTTAGATAATAAGAAATGTTGATGAAGATGTGGAAAAATTGGAATCCTCATAGACTAATGGTTGAAATATGAAATGGTGCAACCTACTTTGGAAAACACTATGGCAGTTCCTTCGACAACTAAACATTACGTTACCATATTACCTAGCAACTCCACTTCTATAAACTCAAGAGAAAAGAAAATATATGTTCACACAAAAATTTGCACATGAATGTTCATAACAGCACTATTCACAATAGCCAAAAGGTAGAAACTATCCAAATGTTTATCAACTGATGAATGGACCATGTCTTGTATATCCATACAATGGAATATTATTTGGCCATAAAAAGGAATGAAGTACTGATACATGCTACAACATGGATGAACCTTAGAAACCTTATGGTGAGTGAAAGAAACCAGTCACCCAATACCACATATTCTATTATGTTATTCATATGAAAGTCCAGAATAGGGAAAATTTTAAAGATAAAAAATGTATCAGTGGTTTCTTAGGACCAGTGGGGGCAAAATTGATAGCTAAAGTATATGGGGTTTCTTTTTGAGGTGATGAAAACTTTTTAAAATTGACTGGTGATGGTTGCACTTATATGCGAATATTTAAAAATCATTAAATTGTTCACTTTAAATGTTTGTGAATTATAGCTTCATTATTATAGAAATTTTTCAACATACAAAAAGATTGAGAGGATGTTATAATGAACCCCCATGCATCTATCACGTCTTCAACAATTATGTGTTTTTACCAATGAAGGATTTTTTTTAAGATGCAGCTGACATAGGCAGATTCATACACTAGGGGAAAAGAGTCAGGATTAAGAGAGTAGTTGAAAATTTAGAAGGGAAAGATGATAATTGATACAGCAAAGTTTTTGAGGAGGCAAGTGATAGAGTGTAGTGCAGGTGGGGAGATCCCGGCTCCAGATCGTAAGAAAGACTCTTTGTTCACTGAGTTGAAAGAAAACAGATAAAAATTACTGTCTCTCAGAAATCTGTTGAAAATTCTAATTTTCAGAAGCTTGCTTTGCTAACTTCCTCCAGTTTCCCTCTGCCACTGCACTCCATATCCCCTTTGGCTTCGCCAGTTACCTCTTTGAAGTCATTCACTAATTTTTTTGAAAAGTCTATTCCATAAAAGCATTTCATGAGTTCAGTCATTTTACTGAAGATTCAATGTCTACAGAGAGTAATCATAATACAGAAAACAACCATCTACCATCCTCCATCTTACAGCCAGACTCTGTTATTTCTCTAAAGCAACAGACACACTGTTCCCTTGTACTATAAATAGAATTGCTTTCCTAAGAGGAATTCTGGGGAAGAAAATATTCTCCATAACTTTACATAGAGATTAAGTTTTTGGTGGCAAGTCAGGAAATGAACAAATCCATGCCTAGTGACAATTAATTTCTCTGTGAATTAGGAAGGTTCATCTGGAAAGAGTTCATTTGGCTGGAATTGGGTAGGAGGAAGCTTTAGAAGTATGCCAAGGGTTTGAAATATTGCCAAAGCCTTCCTTTTAGCTTTACTTAAAGTAATGTCTTCCCTTCTAATAATAATGAAAACAGCAAAATGCCTCCATCCATACACACCCCTAGGAAATGAGATTAGGATTACTAGGGGATGTTAGACTTCTGTGAAATGCCACTTAAATAGGCAGTACTGCCAATTTATCCCCTTTTGTGTTGGCTCTGTGAAGATAAGGTTGGGAAATATTGTCAGGGAACTTTTCTCCATTTAAGTCTGAATCAGTAGGTATTTGCATGAGCATCATTCTCATCGTTCATTAGATGACAGCTTAATTATAGAGCTGGAAATGTACATTGGAATCATTTTGTACAAGCTTCTTGTCTCCCAAATGTGTCTCCCTCCCTGACCCCATTTCTATCTGTGACATTTTGTAGTGAGCACCCAACAGTAGCAATGATAATTAAAGCCAATGATTTCAAAATATTTTTTATGCATTCTCAGAAGGTTTCTGTGGTTGATTACTACTAGACACCAACTGGGTAATAATTGCCTAATTCTCTTGATAGAGAAAAAGATGTAATTTGGAAATAATTGACTGAACAAGAGAAAAATGGATAGATACTAGAAAAAATTATGTGGGCCATAGTATTGCTTAAAGCAATAAATATTTTGGAGTTAAAATACCATAAATATAACAATATAAATACTGTACATGTGTGACTACTTACCTTAGATTGTAATAATTTATGCTTAGCTCATCTTCTGCACTTAAAATATTTTTCTTATACTGGAGAAAACATAAGGACTATGAAAAAATGATTTAATAATGGATCCTTAGAGTTTGGAAATTTGTAACCACACATACATGTATAAGTAATATACAAAGTATATCACTAATATGTTCTGCTTTACAATGCTCCATTGAATTAGCCTCTCAGGAAAAATAACTTAGTGCAATTACTTCCCAGTCAACTCAGGTAATGGTGTTTCTACCTTTTAAATTTGATTAGTAGATTCCAGTCTTTCCAGTGAATGACATCATTAATTAAACTCAGTGCCAAAAGACTATGAGAAAAACTGATGCTTTGAGTAAGAGTGAGCTTCTCTCCCAGGCAAATAAATACCAAAGCTTCAGAGTTTTTATGTCTAATTATAGATGTTTTTCCATTTATTCGTAAATAGGAAAAACCTTTATTCCTATACATTTTAAATTGTACATTTAGATAGAGACAATTATGTTACATGGACAGAATTACATAGAATTGAATTTTAAGAATCAAGCATGGATAAAGCTACAACAATCAAGACAGTGTAGTAGTGGCAAAAGAACAGACAAATAGATCAATGGAACAGAATAGAGAGCCTATAAATAGACCCACATAAAAACAGTCAACTGATCTTTGACAAAAGAACAAAAACAATACAATGGAGAAATGATAATTTTTAAAATTCTAGACACAGACCTTACACCCTTCACAAAAAATTAACCTGAAATGGCTCACAGACCTAAATACAGAATACAAAACTATAAAATTCCTAGAAGATAACATAGGAGAAAATCTAGGTGACTTTGGATTTGATGATTGCTTTGTAGATACAACACCAAAGGCATGATCCATAAAAGAAAGAACTAATAATCTGAACTTCATTAAAATTAAAAATTCCTGCTCTGCAGAAGACGCTCTCAAGAGAATAAAAAGACAAACCACAGACTGAAAAAATATATTTGCAAAAGACTTATCTGATAAAGGGCTTTTATGCAAAATGTACAAAGAACCCTTAAAACTCAACAATAAGAAAACAAACAATCAAGTAAAAAAAAAAATGGGCCAAAGACCTTAACAGATACCTTGCCAAAGATGGACAAGATGGCAAATAAGCATATGAAAATATACTCCACATTATATGTTATCAGGGAAATACAAATTAAAACAATAATGAGGTACCACTATATACCTATTGGAATGGAATATCATTTAGGCTTGAAAAATAAGGAAATTTTGCCATTTCTCAACAACGTGAATGAACCTGGAAGATATTATGCTAAGTGAGATAAGCTAGACACAGAAAGAAATATACTGCATGATCTCATTTATATGTGTAATCTAAAAAAGTCAAATTGATAGAACCAGAGAATCGAATGGTAGTTACTAGGGGCAGGAATGGCTCTGGGAAATAGGGTGATGATGGTCAAAGGATACAAAGTTTCAGTTATGTCAGATAAATAAGTTCTAGAGATCTAATATACAGCATGGTGACTGTAGTTAATAATACCTGAAATTTGCTAAGTGTTCTCACACAGAAAAGGTAACTATGTGAGGTGATAGATATATTAGCTTGACTATAGTCATCATTTTACAGTATATATGTATAACAAAATATTATGTTGTACACTTTAAATATATTGGCAAAAATCCAGAACACTGACTACAGAAAATACTGGTGGGGATGTGGAGCGATAGGAACTCTCATTCATAGCTGTTGAGAATGCAAAATGGTACAGTCATTTTGGAATACAGTTGGGAGGTTTCTTATAAAATTACACATGCTCTTACCCTGCGATCCAGCAAACAAATCACACCCATTGGTATTTACCCTAAGGAGTTGAAAACTTATGCCCCTCCAAAAATCTACATATGGATGTTTATAACAAATTTATTCATAACTGTCAAAACCTAGAAGCAACCAAGATGTCCTTTAACAAGTGAATGGATAAATAAATTGTGGTACATCCAGATAATGGACTATTATTCAGCACTAAAAAGAAATTGGCTGTCAAGTCATGAGGAGATATGGTGAAGAAAACTTAAATGTATGTTACTAAGTGAAAAAAGTCAATCTAAGAAGGCCACATATTGTATGATTCCAACTATATAACATTCTGGAAAACGTAAAACTATGGAGACAATAAAAAGATCAGTGGTTTCCAGGAGCTGGAGACTAGGGAGGGATGAATAGGTGGAGAACAGAGGATTTTTACACAGTGAAACTACTCTGTATGATACTGTAATGGTGGCTACATGTCATTATACATTTGTCCAATGTGTAATGTCCAATGCACCCATAGGATGTACAATGCCAAGAGTGAGCCCTAATGTAAATGTAAACTTTGGATGATAATGATCTGTCAGTATAGGTTCATCAGTTGTAAAAAAATGTACCACTCTGGTGGGGGATGTTGATAATGGGGGTTGTTGATAATGCTTGTGTGGGGTCAGGGAATATATGGGAAATCTCTGTACCTTCTGCTCAACTTTACTGTGAACCTAAAACTACTCTAAAAAATAAAGTTTATTAAAATGAATAAATAAACATTTCAAGATATTTTTAAAAAATGAAGCAGCAGGCATGGAAGGGTATTATCTCAATTTTATGGGTGAGAAAACAGAACCCAGAGAGGTTGCCATTTTTTCAGTGTAAACTGGTGAGACAAGAAAAAAACGAGAGCCAGGCTGTCGGTTCCTAACTCATAGCCCTGCTTCCCATCCTTCCTTGTGCCAGTATTTAGAGATGTTGGCAGCCTGTAGTAAGTGATTATATTTCAGTTTTGACCACAGTCTACTTATGGGTTGGCATCATATATCTTAGATAGTACAACTCAAGGCCAACAGTGCTGTGCTCTGGAATGTAATACCACGTTCCATTTAAATGAGCTACATCTTGTCTCCCCAAACTTCTGCTTCTATTATAAACTGGATAAACCCATTACCCATAAGTCATTTTAAGAAATAAACAGAGTTGAAACTTCTTGAAACACTAAGGACTTTCAGCCCAAGACAGATAGACTCTCAGTAACAGTGAAGTTCTCGTTTCTTCAGCTCCCCACAGAATTTAAGAATGCAACCACAGTGAGTATTCTATAGTCAGTGTATCAGTTTAAAAGATCCTGCAGATATAGAGGAACATACTGAGCAACTTATTACTGTTTGTATATCTACTGCTGGTATGTGCTGAGGGACATCAAAAGGAAATATCAGATTTGGTTGGTCGGTCTTGATTCCCCAGAAGCTTAGAAGCCAATTGAGGAAACAAAACACACCATGTAAAGGACTCTACATATTCAGACAGGCCCAGATGAGGTCAGGAATGTATTTTAGTGTGAGTTACCCTGAAGCAGGCCCTACGAGAAGAATTTGAGTGCATATATCTGGGGAGGAAGATGTAAGGAGTGTGGAAGAAGAGAAATGAGGCAGGGAAGGGAAGGCAGCCAATAAAGGGAGACAACTATTAGACAACTATCACCATGCGTGACTAGAAGTTAATCCAAAGAGCAAATACTAGGAAATGTCATAGAACACATGCCTCAGAGATATTCTCTCTGATGGATGGGGAAGCCATAGTACTTGTATTCCAGCTCCTAATCTGGGCTGGAATTGGGGCATTGAGGGCGCTCTCGGGAGTATTAATTCTTGGCACTTCAGCCTGACAGGCACCTGGATGCAGCAGCTTTCTGCAGTTCTGGAAAACATACTCAAGCACAGTGGGCAGATGCTAACAACTGGAAGTCAGGCTGTGCACATAAAACAGAAGAGTCCAAGGAATGCGGGTGGGGTGCTGACAGAGTGTCTGCTGCAGTAGGATTCCTAGTGGAGGTGAGACTTGATGATACTCTCTCTTTTCTCCCCAGGTCTCCTCATGACCATATCCCTGTTGTCCATTGTGTATGGAGCCTTGCGCTGCAACATCCTAGCCATCAAAATCAAGTACGATGAGTATGAAGTCAAAGTGAAGCCTCTGGCCTATGTCTGTATCTTCCTGTGGAGGAGCTTTGAGATTGCCACTCGAGTTGTAGTCCTGGTCCTCTTTACCTCCGTCCTGAAGACCTGGGTGGTGGTTATAATACTCATCAACTTCTTCAGTTTCTTCTTGTACCCCTGGATCCTCTTCTGGTGCAGTGGTTCCCCATTCCCTGAGAACATAGAGAAGGCCCTCAGTAGAGTGGGCACCACCATTGTACTATGCTTTCTAACTTTACTCTATACTGGTATCAACATGTTCTGCTGGTCTGCTGTACAGCTGAAAATTGACAGCCCTGACCTCATCAGCAAGTCCCATAATTGGTACCAGCTACTGGTGTATTACATGATAAGATTCATCGAGAATGCCATCCTCCTCCTCCTGTGGTATCTTTTCAAGACTGACATCTATATGTATGTGTGCGCACCTCTGTTGGTCCTGCAGCTGCTCATTGGGTACTGCACAGCCATTCTCTTCATGCTTGTATTCTATCAGTTCTTCCACCCTTGCAAAAAGCTCTTTTCTTCCAGTGTTTCTGAAGGCTTTCAGAGGTGGCTCAGGTGTTTTTGCTGGGCCTGCAGGCAGCAAAAACCCTGTGAGCCGATAGGAAAGGAAGATCTACAGTCATCCAGAGATAGAGATGAGACACCTTCTAGCAGTAAAACAAGTCCTGAGCCTGGTCAGTTCTTGAATGCTGAAGATCTCTGCTCTGCTTAATGGGACCCAAGGTCTCAGAGCACAGGCATATTATTTTCTGGGTTTGATACTCGTTATTCATACAAATAATGAGCCCTACACAGGGAACAAGGCAGGAAGTTAGCTGTTAACTCCTTGTGAGCTGCTTCTCTTTATAGAGCTCTTGGGTATGTAGAACTGTATGGGAAGAAGCCAGGAAAACCTCTGAGTGTTGAAGGGGCAACCCAAGGCATCACAGTTCACAGGTAACCATGTTGTGTTCTTCTAGGCATTACTGGCCTTTTCACTGACAAGTTACCCCTGAAATCTGAGTTGTACTGGTTAGATTCATTAGGTTGAATGAGGAGAGGGGCTTACCTGTTCTCTAGTTTTCCAGACTGCTGGTTTGGGTAACCTGAAGTTTTATGATCCCTGAACATAGTTTTCACCCAAGAGCTGTCCTGGTGACCAAAAAAGATTACTAGGGTTTTGCCATCAGCAACATCATTCCTGTCAGAGCTTTCAGGGAGGGCTGTTCAAGTTTGGTTTTTGAATAGACAGAGGTTTCATTTTCATCTCATTAGGGCTTTTTTGTACATAGCCAACTGTAGCCACCCTGGCATGCTGTCTCTAATTGATTCAAGGGCCTAGATTTGGAGACTTTGTTCCTTAGCATCCATGGATGCAGAAATGAGTGATAAATTTGGCCATGAAAGCCCTGGAATTTTAGGAAAGTTGTGATTCTTTGATATGTTGATGAAATTCTGGATCAGGAGGGGTGTTAAAACATCAAAATGATGGCGACTTGTATAAGTAGAATTCTTACCATCTTACTCCTGCCTCCCCATTCCTTGCCTGTCAGGACCATTTTAGAAGAGTTACCTTGGTTAACTTAAGGGTTTTTTAGAAAACCCCACAGAAATCTCTCACCCAGTTCAGGTGTATAGGGAATTTTCATTTTCATTATTTCAAGGAATAGAGTTTTCCTCACTACCACTTGTAATTAGAGATTGACTTCAGAAACTTTTTCTAAATTATAAAGACGGAATGACCAGAAAATTTTTGTCTTTCATGGAATGCAATTTGACTTGGCATAATTGTGAGTTAATTTGATAAAGATCTCCAGTTGTATCCTCTGACACCCTTTAATGTTCTATATAATTTTTCCTTTAATCGGAGACCCTATTTGTTTCATTAAAGAGGATTGGGTAGCATATCCTCAATTATCTTGGAAAAATGCGTAGATCTAGTGCCATTATTTCTACCATTAAAATCTTGAAAGCGAAATACTTGAAAAGAGGTGACCATAAAGATCACACCAATTTAGAATGAATATTAAAGTCTGAGAAATTTACAAAAGGGACTCTATGGACTCGATTTTACCATATGGAATAGGGATCCACTTCTCTGTTAACCTACAAAACGTATTTATCTGGCCATTGCACTTCGGATAATTTTCATTTTTAATTCCTCTTGGTGTCAAATTTTTAAGTAATTTCATGCACACAGGAGAAAATGCAATTTGATAATCAGTTTCCACTACATTCGGAGGTCAAGAAAGCAGTATATATTCTTTCACAAGGCATCCATACTGTTTAATATTTATAGAGTTCATAGAAATACATCAATAAGCTCCTAAATTATAGAGCCTCAATTTTGGTTTTTCTCATTTGAAATGTTTTTGATTTATCAATATTTGTGGTTTAACTTTGTGGGGGTGTCCAGGCAGTAGATCATTTTTTGTCTATTTTTAACCAAATAAGAATAACACTCAAGACTATGTTCTCCATCCCAACACATCACTTACCACTTGCACTATTCTTAATAGGCCTAAAATAGTGAGCATATATAATCAAAATAATACTTCATACAACATATACTTCCATGCACTCTTCATGTAATCACATATGTGCATAGATACACAATCGTATTACATAAAACACCCTTGAAAATATATGACTTTGAATAAAATAAAGCTACCATGTTAATACATCATTTTTTGTTTCTTCCTAATTAACAAAAGGGCTCTATAATGATTAGGAGAGCTGTAAGGCCATTCTTTAGTCATTCCAAGTGTATATTTGTATCACACCAGTTACTTGTGTTCATTGACACCAAATATTTTCAAGCTTTTTGTGAGAAAGAGATTCTTGCCTTGAGGCTCTGCAGTGGCAAATGGTAGGGGCAATAGCGCTCCCTTTTCACCTGAAATGCCTTCAGCTCAGGCCTTGGGAGTGAGGTGTGGGAGTAGCCACCAGCCTCCCACTGACTAGGCATGTTAGGAATTAGACAAGGATGGAGAGACTGGTTTTTTCCAGCCTTGGTTTGGAAGCTTGTCTCAAAAACCATTACAAAATCTTAACCTTCAAATACATTCTAAATCACTTTAATTTAGAAGATAGGTGAGCAACTTGAGTGATCCCAAACCAAACTAACAGTGCTGGTTTGTCCGACACCCAAAGCCCACTTCACACATTTATAAGGACAGAGATTTGGTAACTCATTTGGGTATTTTGTCAGTTTTAACCCTTAATATACAGGTATCCCAGCTTTGGGCACATGTATGTCCATTCACTTTCAGGAAGGGGTGTCAGTACTTTCTTTCTGTGTGGTGAAAACATAAGCCATGGTGAACTGATAATTTTTGTTTTTAAATTATTTATATTACTGAATTGGCAAAATTACAGTTCACACTGCAGAGCTAGGTTGTCCTATTGGCATAAAACAAACCAGCAACTTTTCTCATGTGTTTGGAGTTAAAATGTGTTTTTCAGTTATAATTTCAATTTTTAAATTTCTTGGTGCTTTGTCTAATTAATTACATCCCATAACTTGTCAGGATAGTTGCTCCAACTGAATTGCTATCATTTGGCTGGATGGGGGTGAAGTATGTCTTCAAAATATATTGAAGTAAGTTCATCAAACATGTTTAGACTTCCTCTCATTGCTGGAGACAGCCCAGTGTAGAGATTGGCACTTCCCTGTCCAGCACTACAACTTAATTGCTCTATGCCTCAGTTTCCCCATAATACCCTTTTCCAACCTACCTCACAAGGTTATCAGAAAGATCAAATTAAATAATAGATGTGAAAATGCTTTGAAAATGTTTTTAAGTGCTATGCATATTTATAGAGTTATTATAGTTATTCAAATCCATAAGCAGGTTATTTTTATTTTTTTACTGTTTGAAAAGAAATAAGTAGTGTCATTCATATGAGTTCCTGAGTGGATATGCGAATCTTTGGTCTTCTCGACAGGTGCCCTTTCTCTTACCACTAGTTGCTTACAAAAATAGCACCCAAACACATGGCACTTGGAAGAAAAAGACCCACTGAATCTGAGAAAGTACTTTCTGGTGGCAAATGAATTTATCATTTTAGTATAGTTTTCGATAAAGGATATAGCAACATCTTTTGATAATTGTGCTTTACAACTTGAATGCTGATTCAAGGCATTATTTGGATGTGAGTTTAATCTTTTCAGCCTTGTAAATGGGAAAATATATATTAAAATTGATTGTCAAATACAGCATTTCTTTGGAAACCACCTTAAAACATTAGTGCTATGGTTATGAGTGTATGTGCCAGTACTTACCAGTCAATGCATTGTGGATATGAGCTTTCGTTGACTGCTTCTCTGCAGTCGTTGATGCTAATAAATATTGTCCTGTTTCTTCATATAATAAATTAATTTTTCAATTTCTCCTTGTATTTCATTCTTTATACAATTCTTACATGGCCTTTTTACTTCAGGGACTATTTTTAAAACAGAAATTTTAAAATTGTTTCATTGTAACTGATTATAGTTTTATAAACTCACCTGGAAATTACTTCTGTAGGCTGAGAAATTTGAGAGTGCTAAGATTCAGCCTTGCAGAACAACAACAGTCCATGAAAACCTCTCTGATTGTTTTATAGACATTTACTCCACTTGTTAAAATTACACTGCTGGATACTAAGATTCTGTTCAGTTGTCCATCAGTTGCCATGCACAATACAAAAAAGAGAGGCAATACACATCTCTTCTAGACAAACATAAATATATACTGATTCAGAAATATAAAACACCAAAGAAATGGCTTGGTATTAACATACATAATCAAATGTAAATGGTTGGGAAAAACATCAGTCATTAAAGGGATCATTTCAGAGCATGAGAGAGACATGGACTGTTTCAATAATTCCTTTGCTTCTGAAGGTGGCCTTGGAATTTGCAAAGACTTAGCTATAGGATAAATCTCTTTAAAAACAGCTTTATTGAGGCACAATTGACATACAAAAAACTGCACATATTTAATGTATACAATTTGATGAATGTGTACATATGCAAACACTCATGAAACCATCACCACAATCAAGGTAATAGACATATTCATCACTTCTAAAAATTTCCTTGTCCCTCTTTGTTTTTGTTTTGTTTTGTCTTTGTAAGACACTTAACATGAGATCTATGCTCTTAATATTTTAAATTCACAATACACTATCGACAACTATAAGTACTATGTTGTACAACAGATCTCTATAACTTACTCATCTAACGTAACTGAAACTTTATATCCATTGAACAACAACTTCCCATTTCCCCTACCCCCCAGGCCCTGGCAATTGCCATTCTATCCTCTGCTTCTATGAGTTTTGCTATTTTAGACACCCCATCTAGGTGGAATCATGTAGTATTTGTCCTTCTGTGTCTAGCTTATTTCACTTAGCATAATATCCTCCAGATTCTTCCATGTTGTCACAAATGGCAAGGTATCCTTTTTTTAAGGCTGAGTAGTATTTAGGAATATGCCATATATTCTTTATCCATTTATCTATCAATGGACATTTAGGTTATTTTCATATCTTGGCTATTGTGAATAATGGTTCAATGAACACTGGAGTGCAGATATCTCTTCAAGATCCTGATTTCAGTTATTTTGGATACATACCCAGAAGTGGGGCTGTTGGATCATACGGAAGTTTTATTTTTTTAATTTTTTGAGGAGCCTTCATACTGTTGCCCATATTGGCTGTACTATTTTACATTCCTATCAACAGTATACAAGTGTTCTAATTTCTCCAAATCCTTACTTACATTTAATTTTTTGTTTTTTTGGATAGTAGCCATCCTAACAGGTGTGAGGTGATATTTCACTGTGGTTTTAATTTCTAGTTTCCTGATGATTGGGGATGTTGAGCACCTTTTCATATACCAGTTTTCCATTTGTATGTTCTCTTTGGAAAAAGGTCTATTCCAGTCCTTTGCCCATCTTTTAATTGGGTTATTAAACGCTTTCTTTTATTGAGTTGTAGGAGTTTCTTACATGTTTTGGAGATTTTCAGATATATGGTTTGCAAATATTTTCTCCAATCTGTAGATGTTTTTCCTTTGCTGTGCAGAAGTCTTTTAAAATAAATATTTTCATGTTAAAAAAAACTGAGTATTAACAATTATAGCATTCAAGTAGGTCAATATAAAATTATTTAATTTGGTGTTTGTTAATGTTTTATTTTGAAATAATTTTAAACTAATAGAAAAGCCTGAAGAATAGTGCAAGGAATTTCTTTATACCCTTTACCCAGACTCACCTATTATTAATATTTTTCCATGCCCGTTATCATTGTCACTTTCTCTCTCTTTCTTGTAAACCCTTTGAGATTACACTGCCAACGTTACACCCCTTTATTCCTAAATACTATGATGTGTTTTTCCTGTGAATAAAGGTATTCTCTTACAGAGCCACACTATAGTTATCAAATTCAGGAAATTTAATATTGACACAATACTAATATCTAATCTAATATCCATACTCCAGTTAACAATTGTGCCAGTCACTTTATTTGCTTTCACAAAGCTTGTGAAAACCATGTGAATCAACTCAGTTCTCTTCTGTGGGGTTGTCTTTATTTAAAACTATGAGTAAGTTTTAACTTTTCTATGAATAATGGGAGATCTACAGCAGACGTTGAAGTTATTTGAAGAAAATATGTAGATGCTATCAGTACTAACTAATAGCTTAAAAACTGGAAATTTGAGATGTTTATTGGCAAGCTGGGTAATTCTTTTTCATGAACATCCTTTTTAGGCTTCAAGTGTTTGCTGTTTAATATTTGAATCTGTAGTTCACTCCCATCCTCTGCCCTGCTGTTATAACTCTATTTTACAGTGTTTGGGCCCAAATTTTAAAAGATTAGGAATGAGGTGAGTTAAGTAGATATTATTCTGCTATGACCATATTTCTCTGGGTGTCCCTCTTCCAGGAGACTATATTTTCTATGAACATCTCTCCAACTGGGAAAGAGCTCAGAAATCTCAACTATACATTTTAATTAAATGAATAACATTTTGAGCATTTCCTCTTTTTCAGGGAAAGGCACTTTATAGCAGCAGAGATTTGTACAGAGCTGGAAATTCAGAAGCATCCCAATCTCTCCTTTCCCAACACACACACACACACACACACACACACACACACACACACACACAAACACACACACACACACACACACACCCTGTCAGAGTAGACCCCAAATATGCTAAGAAGTTGAGTCTGCCACAGAAGCCTGCTCTAGGGAATGACCTAACATCTTATCACCCTCTCTGCATGGTTGTTTCTCTGGAAATTATTAGGCCAAGGAGATCTAGAATACTTGGTTTAAGCAGGTTTTAGAATCCAGAGCATCTTTAAAGAGTGTTACAGCAGCATGCAGCCGTGTCTCTCTGCTGCAGGTTATCAGAAAACTTAACACTCAGACTCTGCTGTAGCATGCACCTTTGTGTGAGGGAGTGGAGGGTTTGCCTCCTCCCAAGAAGGATAGATTTAGCTAAATCAATTTTGAGGTTCTGCCTGTGCTTTCACTCCCTCCCTGCCTCCTATCCTGAATTAATTTTCTATCTCTGAATGATGAGTTCCTGATTGAAACCTGATTAGCCTGCTTCCTAAAGCCGTGGAAATACCATCTCCCTTAGACATATACATTATGCATACTGGTTTAATTTCTTATCAGTTTGCTTCCTATCTTAATTACCTAAACTCTACAGTTAATGAGTTAGGTTTTCAGGGGTGATAGCACTCAAGAAATAAAACAGGATTTTGAAATTCTATTTTGGAGTGGTGCTGCAACACCACACCCACCGCCACCCTAGCAGGGAGGAGAATGATTCCCTTTTGTCATCTTCCCCTAACAAGGTGACCTTCTTAATTGGATTGGCAGAATTTTCTAGAAAAATGGTGCCTGGCTGTAGGGCTGCAGGCCTCCAAGAATCAGAGGTATTGTGATCCTCTCCACTACTACAGATATCTGGCACACACTTGTGCAATTCTTTTTCAAACCAATGGGAATGCTGTTGTGAGTGATAGGACAGGACTGATTAGAAGTGTCACTGTAGTCAAAGTAATTTTGTCATTTTTCTCCCAGCTCCCACCATGAACAAATATTAAAAATTCAACCACTGTTATGTGGAGGGTGACCTTAAAGTATGTCTTTTGTAATTGAGGTTATTGGGATCTATTACCCTGGGAAGTTTTTTTTTTTCTGCTGAAATATTTTCTCCTATGGACTTATGGTATAGTCTTTTCCTTTTAAAATGAGGATAGATCACCCACACATCATGCGGCTTCTCTCATTTACAGCTTGATTCAAGAGATCAGGAAATATGTTTATTTTAAAAGTGTACTGTAAATGTCCTACCTTAAAAAAGTACATTATCTACCTTCACAGGAAGTATGTAATCAAGGTGAAATGCTTCTATCGTTTCAAATTATTACTAAATGTATATTACTATCATAATATCCATCAAAATAATATGATTTCTACAGTCTTCAATTCACCTCCCAGTTTACTTCCTTAGCCTTATTATAAATAATATCAGGGTGCTTTCAGCTACAATTTGTAGAACACCTGGTTAAAAGTGGCTTAAACAATAGGATTTTGTTATCTATATTAACAAGCAGTTTGGAAAGAGGTGATTCTAGATTCTGGCAGGCAAACTATCCTTGGGCCCCAGAGGCTTTCCATCTTTCCTGTCACCTTCAACCTGTTCCTCCATCTTCACGCTTGTCTTCACAT
This sequence comes from Homo sapiens, assembly GCF_000001405.40. Taxonomy (NCBI): domain Eukaryota; kingdom Metazoa; phylum Chordata; class Mammalia; order Primates; family Hominidae; genus Homo; species Homo sapiens. Next base: position 37,736,472 of record NC_000023.11, read on the forward strand.
TATTGAAGCATAGTAACCTGACCTCCAGGTATCACGTATACAAAACTGAATCTGAGCTTCTCCTTCTTGAAAGATGGAGAAGGTCCCAAGAGTTCCGGAAGGAGGCAAAGTGGTCTTTTTCAGCCGCCAGGGTCACACATTTCCTCCAGTACCGTGAGTTACAGAGAAAAAGTCCTAATCCTTCTGCCTGAATGTTGACCTTATTTTCTAGGTCTTAGAATTCTTTGGTATTGCTTTACATTTCATTTCCCACCCCTCAAACTGAATTTATTGTGTACTTTCTCTGGAGAACTGGTTCCGAAGGAAAAAGAAAAGCAAGCTTTCTATTAAGCCCTAAAGAGCTAACAGGGTACAGCAGGACAATTTATATCCAGACAGAGCGTTGGGGTAATAGGAGAAAACAAATATTATGTTCTTGGAGCCCTGGTATCATTTGCATATTTCCAAAGGAAAATAAATTTGATGCTAGAATGCCATCTCTTTAAAAGCACTCAGTTCAACATCTAATACTAATTCCACAATATTAACACCAGCAATGTCCAGTATGGCAGCAACTAGCCACATGTGACTACTGAGCAAGTGGGATGTGGTTATTCCAAATTGAAATGAGCTCTAAGTGTAAAACCCACATGAGATTTTGAAGATTTAGTATAAAAATTCAAAATATCTTAATAATTTCTACATTTGATACCATGTTGAAAAGATAATATTTTGGATATATGAGGCTAAATGAAAGATACTATTAAAATTAATTTCACTTCTTTCTACTTTTTTTTACTGTGGTTACTAAGAAATTTAAAATTTCCCCTGTAGCTCCCATATCTGGTTTGTGTTACAGTGGACAAGACATTTTACAGATATGTACACTAAGTGTACACCAGAAAAATGCCAGATTAGCCAAGATCTGTTCCTTGGATGGCATTTCCCTTTTTTCATGTCAGGAAAAGTGTGTTTACAATAAAAACAAGGATGTCTCACTCTAATGTATTATTTATGTGCTCAGAGAGTGTCCTGAGCAATGAGGAGATGTTTTCTTTTTCTTTTCTTTCTTCTTCTTCTTCTTCTTTTTTTTTTTTTTTTGAGACAGAGTCTTGCTCTGTTGCCCAGGCTGCAGTGCAGTGGCTCGATCTCAGCTCACTGCAACCTCCACTTCCCGGGTTCAAGTGATTCTCCTGCCTCAACCCCCTAAGAAGCTGGGACTACAGGCGCCTGCCACCACACCCTGTTAATTTGTTTTGTATTTTTAGTAGACACAGGGGTTTCACCATGTTGGCCAGGCTGGTCTCGATCTCCTTACCTCAAATGATCCGCCCACCTCAGCCTCCCAAAGTGCAGGGATTACAGGCGTGAGCCACCATGCCTGGCCTAGATGTTTTCTATTAAGTGGTTTCCAAACATGGCTTCCCATTGGAATCACCTGGAGATGATGGGGTCGTTGAAAATGCTGCTGCCAGGCCACACCTCAGGCCAATTAAATCAGTATCTCTGGGCATGGGACCCAAGCATCAGGGTTTGCATCTGGGCTCTCCAGTATTCCAGAAATCTTTCTTTATAAGCAAAAGTAGGTGTCTGGGGCTTACAACAGTCAATCAGTCATCAGATATAAGTATCTAAAAGTAACAGAATCACTGATTTCCTCACACTGTGTTCAGATGTTCAAGTAAATGTAGCTTCTTTATATCCTAGATGGATTTGAACTTCCTTGTGATTTCCTGCCCGAATTGGGTACCAAAAAAGGTGGGGGGTGAGGAACCAGCCTTGCTAAGCCCAGTGTCCCCATCTCTGCTCACCAGGTGCGTCTGTCTCTTTGGAGTGACTGCACGTCTATGAATTAAGCACTCTATTTTTCAGGATGCCTCCCCTGCCCTTCTCCTTCCCTGAGATGGCAGCACCCAGGTGTATGGGAGAGACACTGCGTGCCACCTCCTGGCAGAGGGGTACCAGGACCTACTGGCCTGAGGCTGGGCCCAGGGCTGGGTCAGGCCCGAGTTTGCTCACATGGGTTCCTCTGAGTTCTGCTGGACTCTGCTGCTGAGCTCTTCAGCTGTCAGGGCCTGTCCTCTGCTTGCTTCCAGGCCTTGGCTTGGGTTGGTCTACTGTGAGCTGCGGCCCAGGAGCCACACCATGGCCTCTTCCAAGGGCCTGGACTGGGCAGTTCTACACAGGGGCACCATGGAAGGCTCTCATCCCTCAGCTTCACATCCCACCCTCCCATGGATGAGGCTGTGCTCCTGGGTTCCACATTGCCTCACCAAAGGGCCACTTTCTGCCCTCTGTCAGCATGACCACAGCTCTCCTGCTTGGGAATGTGGGATCAGACAGCACCCCAGACAAGGGACCCTCAGACAGTGCCCAATGGGAAGAGACAGAGAAACCCCTGAGCCTCTGGTATTGCCTCAACCAATTTATTGTGTCCTTCCCAGGCTTAGTTGTGGAGGAGGCTGTCAGGATACAGGGGCCTCAGTAACAGCCTCCCTCTTCCCACAGTCTATGGATGCCTAATGCCTCTTGCTCTACTTCATAGCCTCCTTGCTCTAGGCCAGCAAGCCTCCAGTGCCAGGCATCCCAGGTTGAAGCAGTGTCCTCTCTGCACTGTGGGGGCACTGTGGCCTCAGCCCTCTAAGACTTGCTTTTGATCTGCTAAGTGAGAGATACACAAAAAATAAAAAAGCAAGAAATTAATTCATATTACAGGAGAAAACCATCTTCACTAAAAGGAAGACAGGAAGGAAAGAAAGAAGGAAGAGAAGACCACAAAATAACTAGAAAATAAATAACAAAATAGCAGGAGTGACTCCTTACCTATCAATAATAACATTGAGTGTAAATGGACTAAACTCTCCAATTAAAAGACATAGAATGGCTGAATTGATTAAAAAAAAAAGATCCAGTGATCTTTTGCCTATAAGAAACACACTTCACCTATAAAGAAACACATACATTGAAAATAAAGGGATGGAAAAAGACATTCCATTTCAATAGAAACCAAAAAAAAGAGTAGGAGTAGCTATACTTACATCAGACAAAATAGATTTCAAGACCAAAAGTATAAGAAGAGACAAAGAAGGTTACTATGTAATGATAAAGTGGTCAATTCAGCAAGAGGATATAACAATTATAAATATATATGCACCCAACACTGGAGCACGCAGATATATAAAGTAAATATTATTAGAGCTAAAGAGAGAGAAACCCCAATACAATAATACCTGGAAACTTCAACACCCCACTTTCAGCATTGTAGAGACCTCCAAGACAAAAAAAGTCAACAAAGAAACATCAGGCTTAATCTGTACTATAGATTAAATCGACTTAATAGATATTTACAGAACATTTCATCCAATGGCTGCAGAATACACATTCTTTTCCTCAGCACATGGATCTTTCTCAAGGTTAGACCATATGTTAGGTCACAAACAAGTCTTTAAACATTTTAAAAAATTAAAATAATATTAAGCATCTTCTCTGACCACAATGAAATAAAAGTAAAAATCAATAACGAGAGGAATTTTGGAAACTACACAAACACCTGTAAATTAAACAATATGGTCCTGAATGAGTAGTGGGCAACTGAATAAATTAAGAAGGAAATTGAAAAGTTTCTTGAAACAAATAATAATGGAAACACAACATACCAAAACCTATGGGACACAGTAAAAGTGGTACTATGAGGAAAGATAATAATAGCATTAACCGCCTACATTAAAAAATAAGGGTTAGTTTAAATAAACAACCTAATGATGCATCTAAATAACTAGAAAAGCAAGAGCAAACCAAACCCAAAATTAGTAGAAGAAAAAAATTATAAAGATCAGAGCAGAAATAAATGAATTTGAAATGAGGAAAACAATACAAAATACCAATGAAACAAAAAGTTTGTTTTTTGAAAAGATAAAATTGACAAAACTTTAGCCAGATTAACTAAGAGAAGACCCAAATAAATAAGAGCTGAGATGAAAAAGGAGACATTACAACTGATACTGCCAAAATCTAAAGGATTATTAGTGGCTAGTATGAGCAACTATATGCCAATGAATTGGAAAATCTAGAAGAACTAGATAAATTCCATAAATTCCTAGATACATACAACCTACCAAAATTGAACCATGAAGAAATGCAAAACCTGAACAGACTGATAGCAAGTAACAAGATTGAAGCCATAATAAAAAGTCTCCCAGCATAGAAAAGCACAGAACCCAATGGCTTCACTGCTGAATTCTACCAAACATTTTAACAACTAATACCAATTCTACACAAACTATTTTTAAAAATAGAGGAGGAGGGAATACTTCTGAACTCATTTTACGAGGCCAGTATTACCCTGATACCAAAACCAGACAAAGACACATCAAAAAAAGAAAAAAAGAAAACTCCAGGCCAGTATCACTGATGAATATCGATGCAAAAATCCTCAATAAAATAGTAGCAAGCTGATTTCAACAGCACATTAAAGAGATTATTCATCATGACCAAGTGAGATTTATCCCAGGGATGCAAGCATGGTTCTACGTATGGAAATAGATTAATGTGATACAGTATATCAACGGAATGGAAGGCAAAAACTGCATGATCATTAAAATTGATGCTGAAAAATCATTTGACAAAACTGAACATCTCTTCATGATAAAAACCCTGAAAAATCTGAGTATAGAAGGAATATACCTCAACATAACAAAAGCCATATATGACAGACCTGTAGTTGGTATCATATTAAATGGAGAAAAACTACAGGCATTTCCTCGAAGATCTATAACACGATAAGGATGCCCACTTTCACCACTGTTCTGTAAATCCTAGCTAGAGCAAACAGACAAGAGAAAGAAATGAAGGGCACCCAAATGGAAAGGGAGAAGTCAAATTATCCTTGTATGTAGATAATATGATTTTATATTTGGAAAAACTTAAAGACTCCACCAAAAAAACTATTAGAACCAATAAACAAATTCTGTAAAGTTGCAGAACACAAAATCAACATACAAAACTCAGTAGTATTTCTATATGCCAACAGTGAACAATCTGAAAAAGAAATAATCTCATTTACAATAGCTACAAATAAAATAAAATACATAGGAATATAGCAAAAAAGTGAATGATCTCTATAAAGAAAATTATAAAACATTGATGCAAGAAATTGAAGAAGATGCAAAAAATGGAAAGACATTCCATGTTTATGGATTGGAAGAATCAATATTGTTAAAATGTCCACACTACCCAAAGAAATCTACACATTTAATGTAATCCCTATCACAATACCAATGACATTCTTCAAATAAATAGAAAAAACAGTCCAAAATTTATATGGAACACAAAAAGACCCAGAATAGCCAAAGCTATCCTAAGGAAAAATAAAACCGGAGGAATCTCATCACCTAACTTTGAATTACACTGCAGAGATATAGTAACCCAAAGGGCACAGTAGTGGCGTAAAAACAGACACATGGATCAGTGGAACAGAATAGAGAATCCAGAAACAAATCCACACACCCACAGTGAACTCATTTTTGACAAAGGTGCCAAGAACATACACAGGAAAAGACAGCCTCTTCAATAAATGGTGCTGGGATGATTCTACATCCATGTGCAGAAGAATGAAACTAGACTCCCATCTCTCACTATGTATAAAAATCAAATCAAAATGGATAAAAGTCTTAAATCTAATACCTCAAACTATGAAGCTACTAAAAGAAAACATTGGGGAAACTCTTCAGGACACTAGAGTGGGCAAAGATTTCTTGAAAAACACCCGACAAGCACAGGCAACCAAAGCAAATATGGACAAATTGGATCTCATCAAGTTAAAAAGCTTCTGCACAGCAAAGGAAACGATCAACAAAGTAAAGAGACAACCCACAAAATGGAAGAAAATATTTACAATCTACCCATCTGACAAGAGATTAGTAACCAGAATATATAAGGAGCTCAAACAACTCTTTAGGAAAAAAATTTTATAATCTGATTTTAAAAAGGGCAAAGGATCTTAATAAACATTTGGCAAAAGATAAGACATACAAATTGCAAGCAGACATATGAAAAGGTGCTCAACATCATTGATCATCAGAGAAATGCAAATTAAAACTACAATGAGATATTATCTCACCCCAGTTAAAATAGCATTTTTTTTTTTTTTTGAGACAGAGTCTCACTCTGTTGCCCAGGCTGGAGTGCAGTGACCCGATCTAGGCTCACTGCAAGCTCCGCCTCCCGGGTTCACGCCATTCTCCTGCCTCAGCCTCCCAAGTAGCTGGGACTACAGGCGCCCGCCACCACTCCCGGCTAATTTTTTGTATTTTTAGTAGAGATGGGGTTTCACCGTGTTAGCCAGGATGGTCTTTATCTCCTGACCTCGTGATCCGCCCGCCTCGGCCTCCCAAAGTGCTGGGATTACAGGCATGAGCCACCATGCCCTGCCTAAAATAGCTTTTAACCAAAAGACAGGCAATAACAAATGCTGGCAAGAATGTGGAGACAAGGGAAGTCTCATATGCAGTTGGTGGGAATGTAAATTGGTACAACCAATATGGAGAACCTAGTTTTCTTTACAGTAGGTTTAAGTGGGCTTAAAATATTCAGTAAATCATGCTCTAAGCAGATGTGCTGTCATCTAGGCTTTGTTGTTTCATTTCTGGAGCACAGGCAGAGTAGATTTGGCATAATTCTTATGGGCCCTAGGAGTTTGGAATGGTAAATGATCATTGCTTTCAGCTTAAAGAAAAGAAAGAAAATGTGGTACATATACGCACTGGAGTACTATCCAGGCATAAAAAGGGATGAGATCCTCTCATTTGCAACAACATGTGTGGAACTGGAGATCATTATGTTAAGTGAAATAAGCCAACCACAGAAAGACAAACTTTGCATGTTCTTCCTTATTTGTGAAAGCTAAAAATTAAAACAACTAAACTCATGGATATGGAGAGTAGAATGATGGTTACCAGAAGATGAGAAGGGTATTGGTTGGAGGCAGAGAGGGTGTGGTCAGGAAGAAGTGGGGATTGTTAAGTGGTACAAAAACATAGTTAGAAAGAATGAGTAAGACCTAGTATTTGCCAGCACCACAAAGTGACTATAGTCAAAAATAATTTAGTTGTACATTTTAAAATAATGAAGAGTGTAATTTGTTTGTAACACAAAGGATAAATGCTTGAGGTGATGAATACCCCATTTACCTGGATGTGATTATTATGCATTGCATGCCTGTATCAGAATATCTTATGTGACCCATGAATGTATACACCTATTATATACTTACAAAAATTAAAAACAAAAAAATGAAATTGCAGCAATTCAGTCACTTCTTTATACTCCACTTCTAATTCTAGCTCTCTTGCTATTTCTACCACATCTGCAGTTGCTTCCTCCATTGAAGTTTTGTATCCTTCAAAGCTATCCCTGAGGGTTAGAATTAACTTATTCCAAATTCCTGTTAATGTTGATATTTCTGACTTTCTCCCATGAATCATGAATGTTCTTAATGTCATCTTAAATGGTAACTTTTTTCAGAAGGTTTTCAATTTCCTTTACCTAAATCCATCAGACTAATCACTGTGTATGGCAGCTACAGCCTTACAAAATGTATTTCTTACATAATAACACTTGAAAGTTTAAACAACTCTTTGATCCATGGGCTGCAGAAAGGATGCTATGTTAGCAGACATGAAAACAACATTCATCACCATGCACATTTCCATCAGAGTTCTTGGTTGACCAGGTGCAATGTCAATGAGCAGTAATATTTTGAAAGGATTTTTTTTCTCTACAGTAGGTTTATGTGGGCTTATTCAGTAAACCATGTTGTACACAGATGTGCTTTCATCTAGAAATGTGCTTCATTTCAAGAGCACAGGCAGAGTACATTTGGCATAATTCATATTGGCCCTAGGAGTTTTGGAATGGTAAATGAGCATTGTCTTCAGTTTAAAGTTACCAGCAGCATTAGCCCCTAGCAAGACAGTCAGTGTCTTTTGAAGTTTCGAAGCCAGGCATTGTCTTCTCCTCTTTGGCTATGAAAGTCCTAGATGCATCTTCTTCCAATACAAGGCTGTTTGTCTACATTGAAAATATGTTGTTTAGTGTAGCCACCTTCTTCAATGATCTTAGCTGAATCTTCTGGGTGACTTTTTGCAGCTTCTCCACCTGCACTTGCTGCTTCACCTTGCATTTTTATGTTATGGAAACAGCTTCTTTCTTTAAACCTCATGAACCAACCTCTGCTAGCTTCCAACTTTGTTTCTGCAGCTTCCTCACCTCTCTTATCCTTCACAGAATTGAAGAGCTAGGGCCTTGCTCTGGATTAGGCTTTGGCTTAAGGGAATGTTGTGGCTGGTTTGATCTTCTATCTCGACTATTAAAACTTTCTCCATATCAGAAATAAAGCTGTTTTCCTTTTTGTCATTTCTATGTTGACTGGAGTGGCACTTTTAATTTCCTTCAAGAACTTTTCCTTTGCATTCAAAACTTGGCTGTTTGGCACAAGAGGTCTGGTTTTTTGCCTCTCTCAGCTTTCAACATGCCTTCTTCACTAAACTTAATCATTTCTAGCTTTTGGTTGAAAGTGTACATGTGTAACTCTTCCTTTCACTTGAAAACTTAGAGGCCACTGTAGGGTTATTAGTTGGCCTAATTTAATATTGCTGTGTCTCAGGGATAGGAAGGGCTGAGGAGTGGGAGACAGATGGGGGAACTGTCAGTTTGTGGAACAGTCAGAACGCACACACGTTTATCCATTAAATTTGCTGTCTTATATGGGTGTGGTTTGTGGAAGAATTCCGATAGTAACATCAAAGATCACTGATCACAGATCATCATAACAAATACAATAATAGTGAAAAAGTTTGAAATTTTTCATTTCTTTAAAACATTTCAGAGAATTACCAAAATGTAGCAGAGACACAAAGTGAGCACATGCTGTTGGAAAAATGGTGCCGATAGACTTGATTGAGATAGAGCTGCCACAAACCTTCAATTTGTAAAAAAAAAAAAAAAAAAATGCAATTATGTTCAAAGCACAACAAAATGATGTATGCATGTATGCCATTTCCAAAGGAATCCCTTGGCAGTCACATTCCCCTTGGCCAGCAGGTGGCAGTGCTTGCTCATCGAGGTACAGAATATTGACCCTGCCTTAGCATCAGGGCCCAGCAGGAGTTTTAGCTTGCTGTTTTACGCTGCATGTGTTCTAATTTTCTCCCTTTTATATTTCTTATTCTGTGACTTGTTGTTTCTTTCCCACCACTTCTGTTCCCCTCCAATGCTAGACCCATCTCTATTATGCACCTAACAGCCTCCTCAAATATGTGCCTTGTAGAATGTGGCCTTTCAGGAATGTAGGTGAGGCTTACGTATCACCCCCTGAAAGTCCCAATGAGAAATAATGCATTTAAAACAAGCCATCTTGAAAAGCCTGAAAAATTATGACTAAATCACAAAATATTAAGTCCTAAAGGGGAAGGGAAGACAGATACTCAGCTGGCCTGCCCATGTTCACCACTCCAAACCCATGACAGGCCGAGATGCTCAGTGTGAGGCTCTGTTACCACACTGGGACTTGCCATGGCTTCAGAGTCCTTCTGAGCACAGCTACTCAAGAAGCTTCTCCTCCTAACAGGCAAGCATGACACACTCTGCCAAACCAGGAAGGGCAAGTTTCTGTAATAGGGTACACTATATGTGCAGTTCCCAGGCATTACATCCTGCATTTAGCTGCATTCCAGGGGCCACTGGCTAAGTCTTTCCACCTTTTTCTCTTCTCCAGTATGATAACAACAATGCATTAATAATAGCAGCTACTATTAATGAGCCCATGCTATATGTGAGGCAATTCATGATTCATATGCATTATCACATGTATTCTTCAAAACAAGATGAAAAGTAGAAGTTACACAAGTGGAGACCACAGACTAGGTTAAAAAATTGGTCAACGGCAAAGTCACACAGACAATAAGGGGAAGAACCAACATTGAGTTGAAACCATCTGACTTTCAAAACCTTACTCTTAACCTCCCACTCTTTTGAGGTACTCCAAGCCACCACATGTTCTCCCTTCAGCTGCTAAAAGTGGAGCAACGCCATCACCCCCATGTCCACCCACACCCACAATTTCCCTTTGCCACCCCCCACTCATAGCTCTGCAGATCAGATTTGGCAGCCGATCTGCTGCTCTGGAAAGGCTGTGGTCCTTTAGTTCAGGGTCCCATCTCCAGCATTATGGGAAAGAGGCCCTATAGTACCCAGGTAGGCAATCAGCCCAGTGGCAAAGGGTAGCTGGGCTTAAGGCGAGGGACCTCACACCGCCAGCAGGGCTGCAGGAGCCTGGTGGACTTGTGGCATGTGGGGAAACCCGAAGGGAGGCTTAGAGGTGGCATGTCCCCTGATTCAGAGCTGGTGTTTGGCGTCTCTGAGTCATCAGTAATTCTCCACACCCTGGGGGAGGGCAACTCCTCAAAGGACCCATAAAGAAATAAATTCTCATCTGAGTGGCTGTTGAGGTGAGGGAAGGGGTCAGGTCTTCTGCAGCCTGGGTGAGGTATATGAACAAACCATTCTTGCAAAAACTGGCCTGGTTTCTCTGTGAGAGCACTGTCGAGAGATGTCACATTCCTGTTGCTTTCATTATGTGGTGCATTCCCAGGTCTGATGAAGAAGAAAGAGAGGGGCAGATTGCCATGATAGTTTTGGTTGACTGCATCACTAATTTCATTGACCTGAAAAATGGGTAGCCATGGAAACTGTGGAAGGCTTGTTCTGGAAGGGCCCTACTAGCCTAGTGTTGCTATATCTTTTGTAACTTATGTTCCAGAAGTCTTCCACCTGTGGGTTACAAACTATTAATGGATCCTCATATAAATTTAGTGAATCTCAACCAAACATTTTTAAAAAGGAAATATACAAGAATCAAATACAAATGAGATATCCTACAGCACTCCTCATGTTGAGTCAAGTAACCTTTGGGAGAATTTTTGTTTCCATTCTACACAGTTATGAGTACACCGAGTCACAATATAAAATGTGTTCTTACTGTGGCTGTGGTCAAAAATGTTTGTAAACTGGCCAGGTGTGGTGGCTCATGCCTGTAATCCCAGCACTTTGGGAGGCCAAGGTGGGTGGATCACTTGAGCTCAGGAGTTCAAGACCAGCCTGGGCAACATGGTGAAACCCCGTCTCTACTAAAAAAAACAAAAAAAAAAGAGCACAAAAATTAGCTGGGCATGGTGGCATGCGCCTGTAGTCCCAGCTACGTGGGAGGCTGAGGCACAAGAATCGCTTGAACCCTGGAGACAGGTTGCAGTGAACCGAAATCACGCCACTGCATTCCAGCCTGTGCAACAGAGTGAGAACCTGCCTCAAAAAAAAAAAAAAAATGTAAACTGCTGCTAACCCAAATCTCAACTTTACCGAAAGGAAAGTTCCCCTTTTTTATTTTTCCAGAATTTATAGCACTAAATGCCCATAGGAGAAAGCAGGAGAGATCTAAAATCAACACCCTAACATCACAATTAAAAGAACCAGAGGGGCTGGGCATGGTGACTCACACCTGTAATCCCAGCACTTTGGGAGGCCAAGGCCGGCAGATCACCTGAGGTCAGGAGTTTGAGACCAGCCTGACCAACATGGAGAAACCCCGTCTGTACTGAAAATACAAAATTAGCCGGGCGTGGTGGCGCATGCCTGTAATCCCAGCTACTCAGGAGACTGAGGCAGAAGAATTGCTTGAACCTGTAGGCGGAGGTTGCGGTGAGCCAAGATCGCGCCATTGCACTCCAGCCTGGGCAATAAGAGCAAAACTCAGTAAAAAAAAAAAAACAAACAAGAAAAGAAAAAAAAGAACTAGAGAAACAAGAGCAAACAAATTCAAAAGCTAGCAGAAGGCAAGAAATAACTAAGATCAGAACAGAACTGAAGGAGATAGAATGAAAAACCCTTCAAAAAAATCAATGAATCCAGGAGCTGGTTTTTTGCAAAGATTAACAAAATAGATAGACCACTAGCCAGACTAATAAAGAAGAAAAGAAAGAAGAATCAAATAGACACAATAAAAAATGATAAAGAAGATATCACCACTGACCCCACAGAAATACAAACTACCATCGGAGAATAGTATAAACACCTCTACACAAATAAGCTAGAAAATCTAGAAGAAATGGATAATTTCCTAGACACATACACCCTCCCAAGACTAAACCAGGAAGAAGTCAAATCCTTGAATAGACCAATAACAAGTTCTGGAATTGAGGCAGTAATTAATAGCCTACCAACCAAAAAAGGCCCAGGACCAGTTGGATTCACAGCCAAATTCTACCAGAGCTACAAAGAGGAGCTGGTACCATTTAATTTTTTGATAGAGAAGTGGTAAATCATGAACTAGGCTGAAATAAATCAAACTTAGACATATGCGAGGAAGGGGACAACGCTCAGGAAGATTCCTACCTACCCTGAAGAATTCCAGAGAAACTAGAGGCATGAAGAAGGGGAAGAGTGAAACATAGGAATGAAAAGAGTCAAGTCTGTCATCCAACGGATGGAAGTTTCAGAAAGAGAGTATAGAAATAGCACATGAGAGAAAAGTGCCAGAAATTATAAGATACTTTATCTGAGCCAAATAATACAAGTCATCATATGGATAGAGTCCACAGAGTAGCCATCACCTTGAAAATAATTTCTTATGTCTAGACATATTGTTACAAAATTTCAGAACATGGAGGTTCAAGTAAATTTGCAACAGCCTCCAGAAGGGAAATATTAAAGCAAAACAAAACAAATCAAAACACAGGTAACCCATAAAGTAGCAAGAATCAAACTTGTTTCAGCAACACTGGAAACTAGAAGACCATGGACCAAGGCCCATGGACCAGGGACCACACCTGAGAGAGAAAAAGCATATGCCGTCTCTTTATGTACATATGACCATGGGAAATTTCATAGAAACTCAAAGTTCTGCCGGAAGTGGTATTCAACCTAGAATTTTTTTTTTTTTTTTTGGAGATGGAGTCTCACCCTATTACCCAGGCTGGAGTGCAATGGTGCGATCTCAGCTCACTGCAACCTCTGCCTCCAGGGTTCGAACAATTCTCCCGCCTCAGCCTCCCTGAGTATTGTGCGTATGAGATTCCTATGTTCAATGAGACTTGCTTAAATTTGCCTTAGGCCTGAGCAACATGTCTCCCAAACAGAAAGAATTTACTCTGCCTATAGTTGGGCAAGCCCTTTGGAAACATAAACATAATGATTTGAGGTAAATGCTGCCCTTCTCCACATGTAAATAATACCCATTGCATTGAAAGAGCTTTGATTTATATTTATTATACATTCTGTCTTCTAGAAACACACTAGTTAAATAACAATAAATTCAAGCAACATGAAAAAAGAAAAGATTTTTTAAATCCCATGAATATATTTCTTTTGTACTATTTTAAGAAAATTCATTCATTCCATTAGAAATAATAATACCAACAATAAAAATACGGTGGTCGGGGAAGGAGTTCCATTTTCAGTTCTGGTAGAGCAGCTTATATCACAACAACCCTCCCACTGCAAACAGCTATAAAAGCTACGTAAAATGCAAAGAACATCAAGAGGCAATAAAAGAAGTCAGGACTTTTGAGGCCCAGGTCCTAAGAGTAATAATATACATTGAGATGGGTGTGGCCTTTTTTGTTTTTCCCTGCTTAGAGTCAGATTTTTATGGATAAATAAACAAACACTGCTGGGGTTTTGATTAGGATTAAAGAATACCATTAATGAACTTGACCTAATTGATGTATGTAGAGCAATGCACTGTATAATTACAATATATAGTCTTCTCAGGTGTACTTAGAAAGTTACCAATGTTAACCATATTATGAACAATGAAACAAGTTTCAGAACATTTTAAAGGAGATTATGGTCTTCGCAGAGAATAGAATTAAATTAACTATCAGTATCAAAATGATAAATGGAAAAATCATTTAATAAATAAAAATTAGAATTGTTCTTTCTGTTATAAAGAAATTGAGGCTGTAATTCAAAACCTACTCTCATAACAAACTCCAAGTGCATTTGGCTTTACCAGCGAATTCGTTCAAATATTTAAGGAACGCATGAAATTACACCAATATTATATATGCTCTTCCCTAAAATAAGTAAGTTTTGCTACAGCTGGTCAGAGTGTAAACTGGTACCATAACTACTTCATAAACTATTTGGCATCCTATACTAAAGTTAAATCAATGTAATCTTATGATCTAGTAGCTTTACCTCTATGTACTCATAAGAAATGTGCATATATATTTACCAAAATGCATTTTCAAGAACATTCATAACAGTATTTTTAATAAATGTCCCAACAGAAGAAACCCAAATGCCATTAATAGAAAAATAATTGCATGTGTATATTCATACAAATGAAATACTATGCTATTATGAAGATAAATTAATCACTGCTTCTCACCACAACATGGATGGATGAATGAAGCCAGCCACAAAATAGTACATGCAGAATGGCTCAATTTAAATAAATTTTACTTTATATAAAAGTCACACATAGCTAATTCATGGTGAAAGAAGCCAATAACAGTGTTCACAGAGGATAATAACTATGGAGAGGCCCATATAACTCAGTTTTCTGGTAACATTTTTTCTTGTATTAACTCTGCAAATTGAATGTTGTATTAATAGTTTCCATCAGTCAAAATAGTGAGGTTCTCTTATTTCTATAAAATACTTTCAGTTTCATCCATGTTGTTTCAATGACAGGATTTCATTCTTTTTATGGCTGAATAGTATTCCATTGTGTATATATACCACATTTTCGTTTTCTATTCATCCATTGATGGAACTTAAGTTAATTCTTATCTTGGCTATTGGCTATTGTGAATAGTGCTACAGTAAACATGGTAGTGCAGCTATCTCTTCAATACTGACTTGCTTTATTTTGGATATATACCCAGTGATGGGATTCCTGGATCATATGGTACTTCTATTTTTTGTTTTTTTGAGGAATCTCCATACTGTTCTCTATAGTGGTTGTACTACTTTACATTCCCACCAACAGTGTACAATCATTCCCCTTTCTCTACATCCTTACCATTATCTACTATTTTTTGTCTTTTTGATTAAAGCCATTTTATCTGGGGTGAGGTGATAGCTCATTGTGGTTTTGATTTGCATTTTTCTAATGATTAGTGATGGTGAGCATTTTTCATATACCTGTTTACCACTTGTATGTCTTCTTTTGAGAAATGTCTATTCAGAACTGTATTAGTCCATTCCAGCATTGCTATAAAGAAATACCTGAGGCTGAGTAATTTATAAAGAAAAGAGATTTAATTGGCTCATGGTTCTGCAGGCTGTACAGGAAGCATGATGCTGACATCTGCTTGACTTCTGGGCATGCCTCAGGAAATTTACAATCATGGCAGAAGGTGAAGGGGGAGCAGACACATCACATGGCCAGAGCAGGAGCAAAAGAGGGACGGGGGAGGTTCCATACATTTTTAAATGCCCAGATCTCGTGAGAACTCACTCACTATCACCAGGACAGTACAAAGGGGATGGTACTAAACCATTCATGAGAAATCCATCCCCATGATCTAATCATCTCCCACCAGACCCCACCTCCAACATTGGAGATTACATTTTGACATGAGATTTGGGCTGGGATAACATCCAAACTCTATCAAGATCTCTTGCCCATTTTAAAATCAGATTATTTGGGCATTTTTCTTGATGTGAATACTTTATTAAATTAATGAATGCAAACCACCTATCACAGAACCTACTAGTAGGTGATGTTCGAGGAATATTGGTTCCTCTTTCCATACCTATGTGGTCATCTTGAAATTGTGTGACCTCCTTCACATAAGAACTGGGCAAGAGAATTTGGATAATTTAGTGCAGTCTACCCAAAAATTCTTAACAGGAACTCCAAGCACGTATCTGCAGGGCAGCAGCAGCAACAGACTAGCCATTCTTTCCAGGGCTTCTTCCATAGCTAAAACTCAAAGAAACATTTATGCCCATGTTTCCAAGGAGGAACATATGGCCAGACATCAGCCATGTGTTCCTCCATGTTCTGAAATATAGAAAAAGATAAACTTCCCACATGATTTTTTTTTTTATTTTGCCTCGTTTTGTCCCTTAGACTTGACAGTTGTACATTTTATCTGTGGTAAAGGGGATGCATTATTTACTTCTTCACTCAGTGAATACTTTTTCAGAGATTTTTCTCTTTCATATGAAGAGCACCCATCCCTTATTATGTGTTAATCAAACTTAATTTATATTCTCTCTCAGCATTTTTTGTGTGTTTCTAATATATATTAAAATGTGACAAGAAGGTGTTTGAAAATAAAATTCTCATTCCATTGTGGTATATATACACAATGGAATACTATTCAGCCATAAAAAGAATGAAATCCTGTCATTGAAACAACAGGGATTTAACTGCAAGTATTTTATAGAAATAAGAGAGCCTCACTATTTTGTTACGGGCTGAATTGTGTCCCCTTCAAAATTTATATATTGAAGTCTTAGCCCCTAGGACCTCTGAATGTGACTTAATTTGGTGATAGAATCTATAAAGAGGCATTTAAATTAAAAGGAAGTCAGAAGGTGAGCTCTAAACTAATATGACCTTATAAGAGGAGGAAGTTGGGGCACAGGCATGTACACACAGAGGAAAGACCATACAGAGGAAAGACCATATTAAGATAAAGGAAGAGGATGACCATCTACAAGCCAAGCAAAGGGGCCCCAGAAGGAAACCAAACATGCTGAAACCTTGATCTTGAATTTGTAGCTTCTAAAACTGTGAGAAAATAAATTTCTGTTGTTTAAAACATCCAGGCTGAGGTACTTTGTTATGGAAGCCCTGTCAAACTAATGCAACAACATTTCCTCCCATTAGATTTCTTAATTCGTGTATAGCTGGCCTGATAATGTCTTATCAGCTACCCCAACTCAATTGCTGCAAATACATTTTTAAAAGTTCTGGTGGTTGTAGTTGATTGCACACTTCTGTATGAGCCAATAATGTGAGGCAAGTCTTTAAAAGGGTAGCACAATCAGTCTGAGGTTACACCATAGATATGGTTAACCATAGTGTGGTCTCCATAACATAGGAAGTCAAGATCCCCCTTCACTCTTGACCAGTCAGATTGCACCTAGAACATTTTTCTCAATTCTGCATACCACATTTAAAGAGGAAGACAAAACCCATGCGTTGTGCAGCTACCACATGTCGAGCATCAGACTATGTGCACTGTGTACACTTAGTCCTCCCACCAACCCAATGAAGATGGTATTAATACCCACCTCCCATTGTACAGATGAGGAGACTGGGGCTAAATGAGGTCAAATAGGTTGCTCAAGGTCTTATAGCTTGTTAGTGCAGTGGTCAGGATTTGAACAAATTCTATGTAAGTTTATCATGAAACCACTTTGCAAGAAAAGAAGGGCAAACAGGGTGGGGAGGTATTTGGCTACTGAGCCACCTGGGAAGTTTGGCAAAGGTTGAGTGTGGTTCATCTAAATAAAAGGAACCAAGAAACTCTTTAAATGTATTTGAGGGACTCTTGTCTCGAACCAAGAAACTCTTGAAATATATTTGAGGGAACAGGATCAAGCAAGGACAGCTCTTCCAATTCTCCCATCTCTTCTACATTCTCTTAATTCATCTGGGCAACAACCTGGTCATCCCCATCCCCTACAAAACCTTCCCACCGGACATCTGTACTTCTCCTCCCATGGTTAATAGCCTCCCCTACACCCTCAACTATTCTCTGAACATCTCCACAACTTCATGGCCTTCTTTCCTCCAGAAGACCCCATGGCCTACAGACAGCTAAGCTACAGCAGTTGGCTCTCCAACTACTCTACATGCCATGCTATGAGAGTGGACTAGGCTATGAGAGTTGTTTTTTTCCTAGCTCCTCATTGACATTTCTATACTTTCAATCCTTCCACTGCATGCAGATCCCTGTGCCCCACTGAGGTGTGGGCCTCTCGGCTCTAATTCCCTCTGCCCCTCCTTTGTAATGGGGGTGGTCCATGTACTGCTGTGTCCTCACATGAGTTGCTTTATTAAGAACTCGGGCACTGCATTGCAGCCTGCCTCTCCTCGCTAACATTTGCCATCTTTCTGGGTGACTTCAGTGGATCCAATACCCTGCCTCAGTCATCCTTGACTTCCTCATTCAGAGATCTTCACCTCCATGGACTCCCATAGCCACACTCTGAACC
This sequence comes from Homo sapiens, assembly GCF_000001405.40. NCBI lineage: Eukaryota > Metazoa > Chordata > Mammalia > Primates > Hominidae > Homo > Homo sapiens. Next base: position 37,754,685 of record NC_000023.11, read on the forward strand.
CTGTCATCTCTCAGAAGTGCACTGCTTCTGAAATCTGCATCTCATACACCCATCCTCTGACTACCACCTCCTGTTCCCTGGCTTCCTAATTCACTCACACCCAAGATGACTGTCCTTCAACCTCATCAAACTTTGAGTTCTTTTTGACTCTTTGACTTTGCTCCCATCTTGTGTTCACTTCTTGGCATTCTACTCATCTTAGACTCAGTTCACTTCTGCCATTTTCTTGCACAAATCCTGAATTCTCTCATGCAGTGCCCTTCTGTACCACCTGCAGGCAAAAACCAACCCTGATCAACTCAATTGTCCTCTATACTTGCTCGTGGGTGGGTAAGAAAAGCTAGAAAAGCTACCCACAGACTCCTACCATTACTGATTTATGAGCTCCAGGCTCAACTGGGCCCTTATCTGGGCCTGGAAATCATTTTGCATTTCTACAGTCAAGTCTCCTTTCTGAACAAAAGATACAACATTGAAAACTGTCTTCTGTTTCCTGAAATGTCTACTCACTACCTCACTTTCAACAGATAACCTTGCCCTCTCTTTCACAAAGGAAATGGAAACCACAAAGAGGAAGTCCCTCACCCTGCTGTCCCCAGCCCTACAAATCCTCCTGCATCTGCACTCTGCTCCTTCCCTCTTTTTACAGAGAGGAGGCCCCTCCTGTCTAAAGCAAATTCCATTTCCTTCCTGCCTTGGGCTCAGAAATCTCACCCCATCCAAAATCTTCCATGGTTAGCCTGTCCCTTTGTTGCGACTCTTTCTCAATATTTACAAGCTCCTATATTTTTTAAAATAATAAAACTAGGTCCTCCTGGTGTTCACATGTTTTCCCAATTGTAGCCAAGTCCTCTCATTCTTATCACAGCCTCAGACATTTTGAGGTGTCTCACTACCTCACCTCAACCCACAACATCTGGCTTCCCTCATTGTTTTCCAGTAGGCCCCTTACTGGGGTCACTGTCAACTTCTTATTGTTAAACCAAGGGTCACTTATCAGCCCATTTTTATTTACACTCTTGGCATCAAATGTGTAGTACCTGAGACTCCAGTAGTTGCCAAGCCCCATAGTTGCAGATTTGCATTCTCTTCCCTGCCTGCCTTTTCTCTTCTCTATTTCAGACCCCTCTTCTTCTGCTGTCCTTCAAACCAAGATCTCCAAGCAGCGTTCTTCTTTGGGGCATCCTCCTTTCTAACTGCTGCACTCTCTTGTGACTTTGTTTACCTTATCCTTATCCATGACACCCATACCTATGTCTCCAGGCCAGATGGCCAGATGTCGTTATTGGACTCCACCTTTATGCATCCAACTAACCAGCCAATATGTCCCACTTAGAGATGGTCCCTGCCCAACTCATCTAAACTCAATCCTGTGAAAAGCTGTATTCATTCTCTTTCTCCACATAATGGTTATTCTTGCTGTGCATTTTTTCCAGGGGATGACATTATCATTAACTCAGATTCCCAAGCCAGAAACCTGAGGCCAGCCTTGGCCCCTTCCTGCCTCTCAGCCCCATTTTAGCTTATTATTCAGTCAACAATTCATGGAAATATTACTTTTGAGTCTTTCCATTTCTCTTTCTTGCCATTCTCTGTATTCTCATCTAATTCACATCACTAATATCTCTCCATGTGGTGGTGTAATGTGTATTTGCTATATTCTTTCAGAATATTCAATTATGCTGTAAAAGACAAGAAAATAAATGGGATGAATGAAATTCATACAATGTGCTAGGCAAAGATGACTGTTGTAGTCAGGTCTGACTGCCATAACAAAATACCATGGACTAGATTGCTTCAAAACAGAAATTTATTTCTCACAGCTCTGGGAGCTAGACATCAAGATTAGGGTGCCAGCATGGGCAGGTTCTGTGAGTGCCCTCTTCTGGGCTTGCTATTGACTGCCTTATTGCTGTGTCCTCCCATGACCTTTCCTCAGTTTGTGTGTGCTCAATGTGAAGAAAGGATTTCTCTCACTTTTCCTTTTCTTATACAACCACCAATTATATCATATTAGAGCTCAAACCTTATGAACTAATTTAATCTTAATTACTTCCTAAAAGCCCTATCTCCAAATACAGTCATATTAGACATCAGGACTTCAACATATGAATTTTGGAAGGGCATAATTCAGCCCATAGCAATAAATAACTTATTAACCTTGAAGGCATGTAAGATAAGTGAAGTAAGTAGAACATATATGTGTGAACATATAAAATGATGGAAAGATCAAGGAAACACTAATACTTATTGATATATGTGATAAATATACATGAGGTACAGGGGGCACACCATTTTTACTTCAGGAATGTGAAGCACTCTGTATTTATGAAGTCTTAATTTGGCCACCCATTGGTGACACCCATCTTGGTCCCATGTGTCCTATGCCTAAGAAATACAATTAAGCTTTTAGCTGTTCAGCAGCCTTATTAGCAAGCCACAACTGTAGCCAGGTGTACTTGTCTTAGCATCTCTCAGAGGACAGTGCATGTCACTGCTCCCAAGCCCCTTCCCTCTGTGGACCCCATACTCAAACCTCAACTCTGGTGTTTATAACCATACCATTAGCAAGGAAGACTGACTGATGCAACAGAGAGAAAGGATGAATGCCCAATCCATACCCCAGGATTCAAGTAAAGTAGTTCTGCTTTTTTGAACACTGTCCTACATGTGTGAACCTATCTCATCTCTTTCCCTTTGATTATTGCTGTGTGCATTAAAATTTACTTGGTAAATGGTTTGTGACCTCTGGGATAGTTTGCCTGGTGATTTACTTGGAGGCTACCATTGCATCAAGGTAATTTCCCACGACAGATGGATTGTATTAATGATCTCAATCTTTGACCCTTCCCTAAATGTACACCCTTTGCTATGTGACTTTACAGTTTCTTCAATCAAAAGACAAAATGTGTTTTCCTGTCCTTTGAAATTTAACTCAGCCATGTGGTGTGTCTTGCCCAGTGGAGTGTTAGCAGACATGATACTAGCAGAGGCTTGATAGAATTCTTGTCTGCTTGGGCTTGCCCACCTGAACCTCTTCCATATCTATGCGAAGGATGTGCCCAAGCTTGCTCACTTTTCCCAGGAGGAAAATAAAACACACAGAGTGTGAAGCCAATCTTAGCCAAACCCAGTCTATATGACTCTCAGCTTTCTGTAGATGCCCAGACAAACCAAGTTTAGATTAGCCATCTATCATCTGATCTGTATGCTCATGAGAAATCGTCTTTAAATGTTGTTTTAAGCCACTGAGTTTGGGGTACTTTCTTATACAGTAATACTCACTTAGACAAATTCTGTAGCCTCTTAACTTGTTTTCCTGCTACATTACTCCCCTCCAATCTATTTCTTACTGAAGTCATTGTGCTCTTCTACAACACAAGTCTGATTACCTTATTTCCTTTCTTAAACCATTTGATGAAGCTTATATTTATCTTTAGATTAAATTACAAACTTCTGCATAAGCTTGTCCCTGTTTATTCAACTAGCCAGCCTCATTTCTCCACCTATAAATTTCAACTATGGTGAACTATTTATATATCCTTAACTGAGCCATTCTCTCTCTTACTTCTAGGCCTTTAAACATATCATTTTCTCTATAGGGGATATGTATTAGTTTCCTAGGGCTGCTATAATAAAGTATCACCAACTGGGTAGTAGCTTTAAACAACAGAAATTTATTGTCTCATATTTCTAGAGTCTAGAGGTCTGAAATCAAGATGTCAGCAAGATCTCACTCCCTCTGAAACAACACTCATCCTTGCATCTTTCTAGCTTCAAGCGGTTGCTAGTAATCCTTGGCATTCTTTGCCTTCTAGCTGCAGCACTTCAATCTCTGCCTCTATCATCACATGATCTTCTTCCCTCATGTCTTCACATCCGCTTCTTATAAGGACACCAGTCATGTTGGATTAAGGGTCCATTTTACTCCAGTATGACCTTATCTTAACTAAATATATCTGCAACAATCTTACTTCCAAATAAGGTCACATTCCAAGGTACTGGTATTTAGGACATCAACATATATTGGGGGGACACAATTCAATCCATAGCAGAATACTCTTCCAAATGGCCTTTTCTGGCCATTAATCCTACTCATTCATCAGATCTCATCCTTGCTATCAGTTTTCCTTGGAAATCATTCCTTGTCTCCAAGATCTAGTTAAGTGCCACTTAACTTATGTATACATAAGATGTCATGAGTTGCTGAATATGGAACAATTACATTAAAAACTTTGATTTAGTGGCCTCCAAATTAATGGGATCTTATTTTATTATGATCTTATTTTATTATGAATGTAATGGTGGTACACCGAGGTTTGATATGGGCTTTGTTTTGTACTAGATATATATCTCTAAGGCATATTATAAAGCCATATTGGACCAGAAATTCAAATACTTTCATGACTTCCTCTCAATTCCTCATTGCTGTTTCCCTTTGTATATCAGCATTATGTGTCTTTCTAGATGCAGACAAGCTTTCTTTGCTCTTTGTCACATAGAAACTTATGGCCATTCTGTTGTCCCCCAGGTGAGTTTAGGTATTACTCACTTGAGGTATTACAGTCACTCACAAGGACAGAGATAGGGTATCCAAAAATTCCAGGTAAAATAATCTGGTTTGCCCAGCTTAGGGTAGTGTTAACCAGTTAACCAACCAGCTATGGCCTGGGATAAGGTTATGCAGTTCAAACATGATTTCTGTGGGTATGTGGGTGTCAGTGTTCTCTGAAAAATGGGATTTATTAACTGGTGGTTGGAACCATACCCCAAATGTAGTGGTGTTCATCATAGTGTAATTATGTAACAGATTGGCTTCGCCTACTTAATAGAAATAGTACTAATGAGTCAGAGGACATAGGTTCCATTCCCAAATTAGTAAGGGAGATTTTCTTGGTTCATTGCCAAATAGCACATTGAGCTATGGATAATTGTCTCAATAACACTTTGGTAAGAATGTTTCCCCATTCCTTTCCTGGTCTAGCTTTCATAAACTATAGAGAAGAAATGAGGAATGGGGACTTCACAAACTCCAAGAAAATAAAGACTAAAATTTATTTCCTGATAGACCTTGACTTCACGGAGGGCAGGAAATGCCTCTTATTTATCTTTGTCTTTTTTGTCCCTCCCCAGAAACTAAAACACTTCATGGGCCATATAAATCTTCTAGTAGACCGAATTAAAATGGACTGGACCAGGCCATTTTTAACTTCAGACACAGGATGATTTGAATACTATTGAAAGCAATGTGTAAACAAGATGTCATGGGTTGCTAAATATGGAACCAATACAATATAAACTTCTCATGTTACACCACTAACTACACTGTGTATTAATTGCCTGTGAACACTTCTGCACCATCCACTAGGCTATGAGTTCCATGAAGAATGAGAAAACCATGTTTGTCATGGTTACCACTGTTTCCATAATACCTAGAATGGTAGATTGATTGTAGTAATAAAATCAAGTAATGGCTTTTCTCTAGCCACACTTTACGGCTGCAGCTTTGTGATACCATCTCACTCTGAGTCATTGGCCAAGTGACTTGCTTTGGCCAATCAAATGTTAGCAAATGTGATGCAAGAAGAGGTTTGAAAAGCTCACACCTGTAATCCCCGCACTTGGGGAGACTAATGTGGGCAGATCACATGAGGCCAGGAGTTTGGGACCAGCCTGGCCAACATACTGAAACTCTGTTTCTACTAAAAATATAAAAATTAGGCAGGTGTGGTGGCTCACATCTGTAATCCCAGCTACTCAGGAGGCTGAGGCATGAGTATCGCTTGAGCCTGGGAGGCAGAGGTTGTAGTGAGCCAAAATCTTGCCACTATACTCCAGCCTGGGCAACACAGCGAGACTCTGTCTCAAAAAAAAAAAGAAAAAGAAAAAGAAAGAAAAGAAAAGAAAAGCTCATATATATTTCCTCTTGCTCTTTTGTAAGATTTGGCTCACTCACTGTTGCATCTTTAACTCATCATGAGAGTAAGTCTGGGTTAGCTTTCTGGAAGGATAAGAGGAACCAATGAAGAAAAACTGAAGCCATCCTAAACCAGCTAAGAACCAGATGCCTTTCAAACATATGAATGAGTTCAGCCAAGATCAACAGAGCCACCTATCCAACCCAAAGATGAGTGCAGATATATAAGTGACCCTGGTGAAGACCAAGAGAACTACCTAGACAACTCATGGACCCAAGAACAATAATGCATGATTAATATTTTAAGCCACGATGATCTGCAGTAGTTTCTATGCAACATTTTTGTAGCAATGAATGATAAATATATCTAACCCTCAAGATTTGTTCCAGGTGCTCTTTTTTCTCAAGCCTCTTTAAATAAGTTCTCTAACCCAAAACAGTAGATCAATTATTTTCTCTGCTTGTTTTCATGGAGTTCTCTCACCTCACTTATTTTAGGCTACATTTATGTTCATCATTTCCTATAACTTATCAGTTGATGGGCCTTGAAACTGTGACTCTCTAATTTCCTACTTGTCTCTCTTTTCTCTTTTCCAAATTGATAAATATATATTAGAAATACAGTGGCCATTTTTTCTTTTTCTTTTCACACATACTTTTAGCAAGTTTATTTTTCCTCTTAACTGCTAGGCCTTATGTCACTCTTATCCACTCAGTGTTATGCCAAAGCCATTGCATACTTGGTCATGAAAGCTAATTGCTAAACTTTCAGAAATTTTGTAAACTGGATATTAAATATAACCATCTTTGAAATCTGCCATGGTGGAAGTATTTACACCACAGAAATGGGCAAATTCTACAAATCAGGGCTGCCTCTCTAAATCCAGAGATGCAGTTATTAAACATGTACTAGTGTATGTACCATTGTCTATACCATTTATATTTTATTGATGAAACCCACTCACCTTTCAACCTCTCTCAGAGGGGCAGATGTACTGCCTGAGGGATTAGAAAGCTGAGAGGAGATAGGTAAAGGTAGTAGAATCTCTGGAAACAGAATATAAAAATTTGATTTCCTATGCATCTGTGTCTCATGGATGCACAAATTTCTGCAGCATTCTTTCTACAGACTGTCTTAACTGGAAAAGGCATTATGTGTGTGGGTGTGACCAAAACTCTAGCATTTACTTTCCTCACTGGTGCTGTGATAGAAATTACCCAATCCTTAGCTGCCCATCCTATAAAGCTCCTTCTTGTGCTTGAAGAATCCACCACTGTGACAGAAGACGAAAAGCTGAAATATTTATTCTCTTTGATTCTTGGCAGATGGAGCAAAAGCAGAAACATAATGAGATGCTTCCAGGACTTTATATATTGATGAGAAGTAGGAGAGTTTAGAATCCCATTCTACTGCCAGTGCTGGTGGTAGATGCCACTGATCCAGATGTTTTCCTTTGGCATCACCTTGGCTTCCCTTTATTCTTGCCTTGTTTCCCCTTCTGTTTCTCCAACCTTCCTGTCAATCTATCAAGACATTGTGTAGCTTTTTGATAAGTTATGTTTTGACAGAGTTAATCAAAAGTTGGCTTCTGTTGTTTGCAACTAAATGCCCTGCTTAAAACAAGCAACATGCTGAGAAATCCATGAAGGTGCCACCAGTGGATATGGGAGACATGAAGTGGCTGTTGATGCCACCACCTGGATGTGGTGCCTGGTTTATGCAGCTAGACTTCCACTAATGGATTAACTCAGTTGAAAGGAGTGTAGCTGACTTTCACATTCAGTTATGCTTTTTCTATAATATTAAAGCTCTTCATTTAAGTAATTTAAATAAAAGTAAAGTATGCTGCATTGAAGAGGATATATAATTTTGAGAAAGATGTAGTCACTAACACTGAGAGAAATAAGGCATATATTTTTTTCATTAATCTTTCATTGTTCTCCCTCAGAGCTTGACCTAACAGTTTCCACCCATGACTTTTCCTTGAGTACTATAAAATTAAGTTAAATTTTCTTGGCTATTCCTTCTTTGACTGATTGTCTTTGGCTCCTAAATCCTTTAGCAACTTTGCACCAAAAGCACTAGCACCATTTATCTCTTGATTTAGAAACAAAGAGATACAATTATGACTATATTTTCTCAATATCTGAGCTAATATTAGAGGAATAGCTAGATCTGCCTCTTCATGACATTTAGAAGAAAGTAAGACTCTGGATATCACTCTCAGTTTTGTCCTTTCTTTTATTGTGACAAAAACAAAAGAAAATGTACTTGATGGCAAGGTCTTTATGAAAATCTCATGAAAATCTTTTGGTTTTCTATTCAAAGTGAGTTTTGTTACATAGTTAAGTTCATTAATTTCGCTTTGAATTTTAAAGATTGCTCTTTGAATATAAATTAGGTTTTCTACAAGTATATAAAATATTTTATTGTTTCCAAGCAAATATATAAAACAAGGCACAGTCAGAAAAATAAAGATTTGATTAAACCAATTTTCTTAGATACCTGCTAGTATATTATACATACATTTCCTACATATAACTTTTAAAGTGGTACCTAAAATGAAGCTAATTCACAAATTAAAAAAATTTAAACAGTAAAGAAATAAAACAGAGAAATTCAATAAAGACAATACTTCTGCCTTTACCCTCACTTCCTGCTTTCTCTGAGCCTAGAAATCAGCCAGAGGTAGAAGTTTAAGTTCTTCTTAGCTATTTTCCAAGTATGTATCTTGCCCAGGACATGTGTGTGGGCTTTAGTTTTCCTAGTCTACATGGAAGCTTTTCAAAGCCCTTATTCACCCAAGGAATCTCACACCAAAGATTTTCCTGCCAGAGTTTTATTGTGTCCTTTGTTTGTTCCAAATGTTTTTATTTATTTATTTATTGCCCTAGATGATAGTGGCTTGCTTTTCAAAGTTTTGAGGAAGGAACTTCACATAACCACTTCTCTACCCTGAGAAAGCTCCAAATTAGGTAAAACAAAATTAAGCACCTTGTGTCAGTTCTTCAGGGAACCCCCAAACAGATCAAAACAGACAAACACTATTCTGCTCTGCTGAAACACTTTCTGCTCTGTTGAAACAATATCTGCTCTTCTCCCTTCAGAACCAGGTGCCCACAATCAGAATGAAGAATTCTGTCTGAAGATCACTGTCCCACTGAGAAGGAGTGGGGTGGAACAAAAGTAAAATGCCACAAAGCTATCATGTTGTGCTTTCTCCTGGTTGAGCATTCACTTAGTTGCTGTAAACCTTTCATTATCTTCCAGGGTCCTGAGAAGTTTCATCCTGATTGCTTTTTTCACAGATTTTTCAATGGTTCTGGGGATATACAGGCCCCTAGATTTCCTTACTCCACCTGTATGACTATTAGGCAGCTCAGGCTGCCATAACAGAGTACCAGAGACTTGGTGGCTTAAACAACAAAAAATTAGGATTATTGGATTAGGACTCCACCTTTATGACCTCATTTAAACTTAATTACCTCCTTAAAGATCCTGTCTCCAATTACAGTGACACAGAGGATTAGGTCTTCAACAAATGGGTGTGAGGAGAAAGGGACAAATTACATTGTCTTTTTTGCTGACATCATCTTGACTTCATTATTATTATTATTTTTTAATAAAACGAAAACCTTTCCCAACAATGCTTTACCCTCCTTTGGAAGATTATTGAAGGCTACTTTCAAGGAAGTTTGGAAGAGCTATTATTTGTTTTTCATCCTTTATATTGAGGACAACAGAAAAGAAGGGAGATGATAAAACATTTGGAATAGTCAAGACAATGCCTGCTATGCTGGTATTTAACAAACTAAACTATTCTGGGGAGATGTGAAGTGGAGACAGCCAGAGGGAATCTCATTTTGACTCTAGGGTTGCATTGCTCATGATGCCTCTTTGATTTCAGCTATTTCATCAACATAGTAATTGTATATATTCACCTGAGACCCAAGCATTGCTCATAATTGGGACATATTGCTAGCTGTTTCATGAGAGTTTTGGGATCTATAGTCAAATGTGTATCATAAATCCATGGACCCTTCACCAATTTGATGGGCATGTTTCTTTTCTTTCTTTTTCTTTTCTTCTTTTTTCTTTTTTCTTTTGAGACAGGGTCTCTGTCACCCAGTCTGGAGTGCAGTGGCATGATCACTGCTCACTGCAGCCTCAAACTCTTGGGCTCAAGCAGTCCTCCCACGTCAGCCTCCTGAGTAGCTGGGATTACAGGCACACACTACCATACACAGCTAATTTTTTTATTTTTTATTATTTATTTATTTATTTATTTTGAAGAGACGGGGTCTCACTGTGTTACCCAGACTGATCTCGAACTCCTGGACTCAAGCAATCCCCCAGCCTCAGCGTGCCGAAGTGCTGGGATTACAGGCATGAGCCACCACATCTGGCCAGGCATGTTTCATTTTTAAATCCAATCAGCACTTTTAAAACTGAACCACACTTACAGGACTGATATTTATCCAATTATATATAGATATAGATATTTAAATTTCAAAAGCAAATAGAAAATTTTAAATTACTCCATAGTCATCAATTTTTTAAAAAAATTATGATTTCACTTCCACCAAAATGTTTGCCTGTGTTCAAAATATTTATTTAATCCATTTAGGCCAGGAAAGTTTAGCAAGGAAAATGGGTGTAGTCTCAGAATTATATACAAATATGATTTGAGTCTGAATACCTTCATTTCCTTGAACTGAGGGCAGTATTCACACTTTATGCTTATAGTTTCAAGTTCAGAGTGTGCAGATGTCTTTGCACATCCATGAGAAAGTAAAATCTTGTGATTCATTTGCAGTCTTGCTGATTGACTTTCTTAGGATTCTTTAATTACTGAGATACTCAGTCTCAGAAAGCAATTCTGTAAATCTCCCAAATGGCCACAAATGAATAATCTCATATTAAAGTATAATAAATATTCATTATCTGCTTTACTTTTTTATGTCCACTATAAAACAGGCTGATGAATAACCCCTGGTTTACCAATAGGAAGTTGACAGCAACCTCAGTAAGGTCTTACTGGAGAGAAATGAGGGGAAGCAGATGTTGTGGGTTGAGGTGAGGGAGTGAGATGCCTCAAAATGGCTGAGGCTGTGATAGGGAAGAAAGAGCTTGGCTGGGATTAGGAAGACATGTGCACACCACAAGGATCTGGTTTCATTTTGTTTTTAAATAGAAGCCTGTAAATGTTGTTGATAGGAAGCTAATCTACTTCAATTTAGGACTAGCTTCTGCCTTATCCCACAAGATGACCATTAATTCAAGGTTGATGTTGTGTTGTGCTTGTTAATTAGCTTTATGAAGATATAAACAACAGAAAGGGACTATAAAACAGGAAAAGGAAAACCAGCAATAATTATCGTGTATCCCTTTTTTCCATGATCATCATCATGAACAGGAAAGCCCCTTATCGGCCATATCATTTCTTGGGACAGATATTCTGTTTTATTCCGTGACCTATTCCTAATCTCTGTGAGAACCACTTCTATCCACCATGACATTCTCTTCCACAAACTCCAGAGCAAGCCTCACATCAGGTAACACTGTAAGTTTCTCCACCCAAGAACATCACCCTTTCATTTTACTGTACTGAGCAGTTTAACTCTTCTCTGACTCAACCTCTAACCCCTAGACCAGGCAGTGCCTTTCAATTCCCAAAAAGTCCATCAAAGTGTCTGCCCTACTAGAAGAGCAGCCTCTCCTCAAAACTAATTCCCCAATTCCCAGAGAAATGTGCACACACTGAAGATAGCTTCTGAGGTGTTAGATTTTACAAACCATTTTCTTTTAAAATAATTTCATGCAGAAGATAAAGGTATTACAAAGAAATCCAAGGTACTCCTGATCCAGATTCATCAACTATTAACATTTTGTCACATTTACGTTGTCATTCTCTCTCTCTCCATATGATTATTTTTTTCTATTTTCTTTTTTCTTTTTCTTTCTTTCTTTTTTTTTTTCTTTTTTTTTTTTTCGAGACAGAGTTTTGATCTTGCCACCCAGGATGGAGTGCAATGGCGCGATCTCGGCTCACTGAAACTGCTGCCTCCTGGGTTCAAGCAATTCTCTTGCCTCAGCCTCCCAAGTAGCTGGGATTACAGGATAAGGATCCTGTAATTACATTGGGCCCACCCAGATAATCCATGAAAAACTTTCTTTCTCAATAGCCTTAATTTAATTACACCTGCAAAGTCCCTTTAACCGTATAAGGTAACATATCCACAGGTTCTAGAGATTAGTACCTAGACATCTTTGGTTGGGGGTAATATTTATCCAACTACAAATGGATATGATAATTTTACATACCTCATAAGGTGGTTGTGAAAAATAAATGAGACAAAGCACATAAGACATGTGGTGTGTATAAAATGCTTTGTAAATGTCAGCTGTTGTTAATAAGACCAAGTTGTTTGTAAAAAAAGATTTTTCAAGGAAATAAGCCAATATAATACAGGATGCATACTGAAAAGTTTTAGTTCAAATCAATAACTAGAGATTTCCTCATTTTTCCTTTATTCTGATGAATTAATGTATACAAGTCATATTTAACATAAAGGGGTAAAATGTAAATCTTCATCGCCAGACATTTTCATTTTCTATTAAGTGAAATGCCAGTAAAAGCCACATTCTTAATGCCTTTAATTGCCTAGATCAGTACACTAACCCTTCTTCCCCGAATACCTCTTCTTCTACTTTGTTATTTTCTCTCCCAAACAAGAGATAGAACATTTGGATCCCATTCCAGCAAACTTCTTCAACTTTTATTAACTCTTGAGATTCTGGTGATGAAATAAAAGTGAGTTTCTTTATACCATGATTTACTGAGAACCCTTCTTGATATAAGCAGTAGAAATACAACTGGAACTGTTTTCCTTAAGCAGAAAGTGGCAGTGGTGGGAATTTATGGCTTCTGTAGCCAGGTTAAATACAGTGATGTGGCAACCAGGTCCAAGATCTTGCCCAAGATCACTCAAGGTCATCCCAGCTTCAGATCTCCTCGTGGGATTGCTGAGGCCTTATTGTGACCACATGATAACTCAACTGCTCCTTCTGCCCACTTCTGCTTTCTTATTTTTCATTGCCTTTTACAGCTATTTACCTCTAAGAACACTCCCTAATGAAACTCCTGCACACTAAACTCCATCTCAGAATCTGCTTCCCAGGAAACCCAATCTAAAAGAATAATTGAGAGGTCCAAGTATCTCAGGCAGATCAGACTCAATAATTCAAACACTGTAATCACATCTGTCTCCAGACTTCTCTATCCTTCCCTAAATACTGATTATGATTTTGTTTGTGTTGACATAATTTTTATGTAGCTATTTAGCACAAGGTGGTCCAAATGGCCTATGGCAGCATCAGGCATACATCATTCACAAAGAGAGAAAAGCTTGACTTTCTCTTCTCCAAAGTTCCTAAAACTCCACCCCACCATGCAAAAAACTAATTGGTCTTCCTTGGGTTAAATGCCCACCCCTGGGACAAACACTGAGTCCAGAGGAATGAAGTCATTGCAGTAGCCATCCTTAGGCAAGGAATGTGGGGCTACACAAATCATAGAAGGATATAGAGTGGGAGCATGATGGTTCTGGAAAGAATAGGATACATGGCAGAGATAAAGGGAACAGAAATCCATTTTTCATTAGCACAAGGAATAAAACTCATTAAGAACCTTGGCATAGTAACACATCTCTCTTTCATCAGCAATTTCATACATGCACCTTGACGTAATTAGGAACATAATTTTGTGGTTGAAATTTATTTTTATTATTGTGACAGTCTACAACTACTGTATTATTCCATTTCAGAAATTTTTTGACTATGAGTTTTAACCTACTATGGAAAGCATAATATTGAGGTTTATAATAAAAAATTATATTTGATTTGAAGTAAAAAGGTCCAGAGCACATTCTCTCACTAACTGGCTATAATCTCAAGAAAGCAACCAAGCTTTTCTGAAACTTAGTTTCCTAAGTAAAATGTGGACCACTGGGGTGGAGCCAAGATGGCCGAATAGGAACAGCTCCAGTCTACAGCTCCCAGCGTGAGCGATGCAGAAGACGGATGATTTCTGCATTTCCAACCAAGGTACCGGGTTCATCTCACTGGGGAGTGTCGGAAAGTGGGTGCAGGACAGTGGGTGCAGTGCACCGAGCGTGAGCCGAAGCAGAGCGAGGCATCGCCTCACCCAGGAAGCACAAGGGGTCAGGGAATTCCCTTTCCTAGTTAAAGAAAGGGGTGACAGACGGCACCTGGAAAATCGGGTCACTCCCGCCCTAATACTGCGCTTTTCCAACGGTCTTAGCAAATGGCACACAAGGAGATTATATCCCGCACCTGGCTCAGAGGGTCCTATGCCCACAGAGCCTGGTTCATTGCTAGCACAGCACTCTGAGATCAAACTGCAAGGCGGCAGTGAGGCTGGGGGAGGGGCGCACGCCATTGCCCAGGCTTGAGTAGGTAAACAAAGTGGCCAGGAAGCTTGAACTGGGTGGAGCCCACCTCAGCTCAAGGAGGCCTGCCTGCCTCTGTAGACTCCACCACTGGGGGCAGGGCATGGCCAAACAAAAGGCAGCAGTATCCTCTGCAGACTTAAATGTCCCTGTCTGACAGCTTTGAAGGAGTAGTGGTTCTCCCAGCATGGAATTTGAGATCTGAGAATGGGCAGACTGCCTCCTCAAGTTGGTCCCTGTCCCACAAGTAGCCTAACTGGGAGGCACCCCCCAGCAGGGGCAGACTGACACCTCACACGGCCGGCTACTCCTCTGGGACAAAACTTCCAGAGGAACAAACAGGCAGCAACATTTGCTGCTCACCAATATCCATTGTTCTGCAGCCTCCGCTGCTGGTACCCAGGCAAACAGGGTCTGGAGGGGACCTCCAACAAACTCCAACAGACCTGCAGCTGAGGGTCCTGACTGTTAGAAGGAAAACTAACAAACAGAAAGGACATCCACACCAAAACCCCATCTGTACGTCACCATCATCAAAGACCAAAGGTAGATAAAACCACAAAGATGGGGAAAAAACAGAGCAGAAAAACTGGAAACTCTAAAAATCAGAGCGCCTCTCCCCCTCCAAAGGGATGCAGCTCCTCACCAGCAATGGAACAAAGCTGGATGGAGAATGACTTTGACGAGTTGAGAGAAGAAGGCTTCAGACGATCAAACTACTCCAAGCTAAAGGAGGACGTTCGAACCCATGGCAAAGAAGTTAAAAACCTTGAAAAAAAATTAGACGAATGGCTAACTAGAATAACCAATGCAGAGAAGTCCTTAAAGGACCTGATGGAGCTGAAAACCAAGGCTCGAGAACTAAGTGAAGAATGCAGAAGCCTCAGGAGCCGATGCGATCAACTGGAAGAAAGGGTATCAGTGATGGAAGATGAAGTGAATGAAATGAAGCGAGAAGGGAAGTTTAGAGAAAAAAGAATAAAAAGAAATGAACAAAGCCTCCAAGAAATATGGGACTATGTGAAAAGACCAAATCTACGTCTGATTGGTGTACCTGAAAGTGACGGGGAGAATGGAACCAAGTTGGAAAACACTCTGCAGGATATCATCCAGGAGAACTTCCCCAATGTAGCAAGGCAGGCCAACATTCAGATTCAGGAAATACAGAGAACCCCACAAAGATACTCCTCGAGAAGAGCAACTCCAAGATACATAACTGTCAGATTCACCAAAGTTGAAATGAAGGAAAAAACGTTAAGGGTAGCCAGAGAGAAAGGTCGGGTTACCCACAAAGGGAAGCCCATCAGACTAACAGCGGATCTCTCAGCAGAAACTCTACAAGCCAGAAGAGAGTGGGGGCCAATATTCAACATTCTTAAAGAAAAGAATTTTCAACCCAGAATTTCATATCCAGCCAAACTAAGCTTCATAAGTGAAGGAGAAATAAAATACTTTACAGACAAGCAAATGCTGAGAAACTTTGTCACCACCGGGCCTGCCCTAAAAGAGCTCCTGAAGGAAGCACTAAACATGGAAAGGAACAAATGGTACCAGCCACTGCAAAAACATGCCAAATTGTAAAGACCATCAAGGCTAGGAAGAAACCGCATCAACTAACAAACAAAATAACCAGCTAACATCATAATGACAGGATCAAATTCACACATAACAATATTAACCTTAAATGTAAATGGGCTAAATGCTCCAATTCAAAGCCACAGACTGGCAAATTAGATAAAGAGTCAAGACCCATCAGTGTGCTGTATTCAGGGAACCCATCTCACTTGCGGATACACACATAGGCTCAAAATAAAGGTATGGAGGAAGATCTACCAAGCAAATGGAAAACAGAAAAGGGCAGGGGTTGCAATCCTAGTCTCTGATAAAACAGACTTTAAACCTACAAAGATCAAAAGAGACAAAGAAGGGCATTACATGATAGTAAAGGGATCAATTCAACAAGAAGAGCTAACTATCCTAAATGTATATGCATCCAATACAGGAGCACCCAGATTCATAAAGCAAGTCCTTAGAGACCTAGAAAGACACTTAGACTCCCACACAATAATAATGGGAGACTTTAACACCCCACTGTCAACATTAGACAGATCAACGAGACAGAAAGTTAACAAGGATATCCAGGAATTGAACTCAGCTCTGCACCAAGCAGACCTAATAGACATCTACAGAACTCTCCACCCCAAATCAACAGAATAGACATTCTTTTCAGCACCACACCACACCTATGCCAAAATTGACCACATAGTTGGAAGTAAAGCACTCCTCAGCAAATGTAAAAGAACAGAAATTATAACAAACTGTCTCTCAGACCACAGTGCAATCAAACTAGAACTCAGGATTAAGAAACTCACTGAAAACCACTCAACCACATGGAAACTGAACAACCTGCTCCTGAATGACTACTGGGTACATAACGAAATGAAGGCAGAAATAAAGATGTTCTTTGAAACCAAAGAGAACAAAGACACAACATACCAGAATCTCTTGGACACATTCAAAGCAGTGTGTAGAGGGAAATTTATAGCACTAAATGCCCACAGGAGAAAGCAGGAAAGATCTAAAATTGACACCCTAACATCACAATTAAAAGAACTAGAGAAGCAAGAGCAAACACATTCAAAAGCTAGCAGAAGGCAAGAAATAACTAAGATCAGAGCAGAACTGAAGGAAATAGAGACACAAAAAAACACTTCAAAAAATCAATGAATCCAGGAGCTAGTTTTTTGAAAAGATCAACAAAATTGATAGACTGCTAGCAAGACTAATAAAGAAGAAAAGAGAGAAGAATCAAATAGATGCAATAAAAAATGATAAAGGGGATATTATCACCGATCCCACAGAAATACAAACTACCATCAGAGAATACTATAAACACCTCTATGCAAATAAACTAGAAAATCTAGAGGAAATGGATAAATTCTTCGACACATACACCCTCCCAAGACTAAACCAGGAAGAAGTTGAATCTCTGAATAGACCAATAACAGGCTCTGAAATTGAGGCAATAATTAATAGCTTACCAACCAAAAAAAGTCCAGGACCAGATAGATTCACAGTCAAATTCTACCAGAGGTACAAGGAGGAGCTGGTACCATTCCTTCTGAAACTATTCCAATTAATAGAAAAAGAGGGAATCCTCCCTAACTCATTTTATGAGGCCAGCATCATCCTGACACCAAAGCCTGGCAGAGACACAACCAAAAAAGAGAATTTTAGACCAATATCCCTGATGAACATTGATGCAAAAATCCTCAATAAAATACTGACAAACCGAATCCAGCAGCACATCAAAAAGCTTATCCACCATGATCAAGTGGGCTTCATCCCTGGGATGCAAGGCTGGTTCAACATATACAAATCAATAAATGTAATCCAGCATATAAACAGAACCAACGACAAAAACCATATGATTATCTCAACAGATGCAGAAAAGGCCTTTGACAAAATTCAACAACCCTTCATGCTAAAAACTCTCAATAAATTAGGTATTGATGAGATTTATCTCAAAATAATAAGAGCTATCTATGACAAACCCACAGCCAATATCATACTGAATGGGCAAAAACTGGAAGCATTCCCTTTGAAAACAGGCACAAGACAGGGATGCCCTCTCTCACCACTCCTATTCAACATAGTGTTGGAAGTTCTGGCCAGGGCAATCAGGCAGGAGAAGGAAATAAAGGGTATTCAATTAGGAAAAGAGGAAGTCAAATTGTCCCTGTTTGCAGATGACATGATTGTATATCTAGAAAACCCCATCTTCTCAGCCCGAAATCTCCTTAAGCTGATAAGCAACTTCAGCAAAGTCTCAGGATACAAAATCAATGTACAAAAATCACAAACATTCTTATACACCAATAAAAGACAAACAGAGAGCCAAATCATGAGTGAACTCCCATTCACAGTTGCTTCAAAGAGAATAAAATACCTAGGAATCTAACTTACAAGGGATGTGAAGGACTTCTTCAAGGAGAACTACAAACCATGGCTCAATGAAATAAAAGAGGATACAAACAAATGGAAGAACATTCAATTCTCATGGATAGGAAGAATCAATATCGTGAAAATGGCCATACTGCCCAAGGTAATTTATAGATTCAATGCCATCCCCATCAAGCTACCAATGACTTTCTTCACAGAATTGGAAAAAACTACTTTAAAGTTCATATGGAACCAAAAAAGAGCCCGCATTGCCAAGTCAATCCTAAGCCAAAAGAACAAAGCTGGAGGCATCACGCTGCCTGATTTCATACTATACTACAAGGGTACAATAACCAAAACAGCATGGTACTGGTACCAAAACAGAGATATAGACCAATGGCACAGAACAGAGCCCTCAGAAATAATACTGCATATCTACAACCATCTGATCTTTGACAAACCTGACAAAAACAAGAAATGGGGAAACAATTCCCTATTTAATAAATGGTGCTGGGAAAACTGGCTAGCAATATGTAGAAAGCTGAAACTGGATCCCTTCCTTACACCTTATACAAAAATTAATTCAAGATGGATTAAAGACTTAAATGTTAGACCTAAAACCATAAAAACCCTAGAAGAAAACCCAGGCAATACCATTCAGGACATAGGCATGAGCAAGGACTTCATGTCTAAAACACCAAAAGCAATGGCAACAAAAGCCAAAATTGACAAATGGGATCTAATTAAACTAAAGAGCTTCTGCACAGCAAAAGAAACTACCATCAGAGTGAACAGGCAACCTACAGAATGGGAGAAAATTTTTGCAATCTACTCATCTGACAGAGGGCTAATATCCAGAATCTACAAAGAACTCAAACAAATTTACAAGAAAAAAAGCAAACAACCCCATCAACAAGTGGGCAAAGGATATGAACAGATACTTCTCGAAAGAAGACATTTATGCAGCCAAAAGACACATGAAAAAATGCCCATCATCACTGGGCATCAGAGAAAATCAAATCAAAATGACAATGAGATACCATCTCACACCAGTTAGAATGGTGATCATTAAAAAGTCAGGAAACAACGGGTGCTGGAGAGGATGTGGAGAAATAGGAACACTTTTACACTGTTGGTGGGACTGGAAACTAGTTCAACCATTGTGGAAGTCAGTGTGGCGATTCCTCAGGGATCTAGAACTAGAAATACTATTTGACCCAGCAATCCCATTACTGGATATATAACCAGAGGTTTATAAATCATGCTGCTATAAAGACACATGCACACGTATGTTTATTGCGGCACTATTCACAATAGCAAAGACTTGGAACCAACCCAAATGTCCAGCAATGATAGACTGGATTAAGAAAATGTGGCACATATACACCATGGAATACTATGCAGCTATAAAAAAGGATGAGTTCGTGTCCTTTGTAGGGACGTGGATGAAGCTGGAAACCATCATTCTCAGCAAACTATCGCAAGGACAAAAAACCAAACACCGCATGTTCTCACTCATAGGTGGGAATTGAACAATGAGAACACATGGACACAGGAAGGGGAACATCACACTCTGGGGACTGTTGTGGGGTGGGGGGAGTGGGGAGGGATAGCATTAGGAGATATACCTAATGTCAAATGACGAGTTAATGGGTGCAGCACACCAACATGGCACATGTATACATATGTAACTAACCTGCACGTTGTGCACATGTACCCTAAAACTTAAAGTATAATAAAAAAAAATGTGGACCACTGGGCAATCACTGGGCAGTCATAAAGATAAAATAACATATATACATGAAAGTGTTACGCATAATGTAAAAAGCTTATAGAAAAAATAATCATTTCTCAGGTATGAAGCTACATTTTAATAACCTGAAAATATTTTAAGTAATACATTTATTATGCATATATTTTCAAAGACAAGAATGATGTTATTGATTATGGTAATATGAAGGTTACCTCAGATTGTTACCACTTTCAACCTGCTCACAATGTAAATTCTGTTATCAATAACTAATAATAGAAAAGAACATATTATTATATATTCCTGTTAAACTTTTCAAATATAGTACACGTAACTCTGTGAACAAATCTTCCCTCTAGGGCGTTCCCTAGAAAGTCCTCGATTTAGCTAGCAGTGTTTGCAAGTTTGCATTTTCTCTAACAATTCTTAATCAATCACCATCATCATCATGGTCATATCAATTGCTAAACATGTCCTGTGACTATGTGATAGTCCAGGCATCAATCTAAAATCTAAAAAGATTTGTGCTTTACAATCCACAGTGAAAGAATAAACAAGGCAATGCTTTAAATAGAGTTTTTTTTTAAATTAATCTTTTCTTTATATCAACTTGGATATAATTAGGCAAAAATTGGGAAAATATGTGTCATATCTAATATCAGTTTCTCACAGTGCCAAATTAATTAACTAGAATAATGGTGATTAAACTCTATAGACTACTTGATTATTGCAGAGGAATATAATTTTTAATTTAAGCTTTCAAGAATAAATCTTAGACTGCAAAATCAGGGAATTTTCTGGATTTGGGTCTACTTCTCTTCTCTCATTTTTTTCTCAACCAGAGATGTTTGGGATTTCAATCACAAGTGTGAGGATATTGGACATTACTGCATAATGGGTATGGTGAGTACTTCCTTATGTTCACCACAGTCTAGTTTGCTACTAACAGCTTAGGAGAGAATGAAAGCCAATGAGGGTGGGAGAAGATAAACTGTTAGCTAATGCATACAGGTTCAGTTTTCTTCATCTCCATGTCTAGTCAATGCCTTTCAACTAATACCTGTTACTCTTTCATCAAACTTTCTGCCTGCCTTTCTAAGAGCAGTGCACATTACATTTTACTTAGCCAGTGTTCTCAAAAGGGAAGTTAGTAACTTTCTGTAAAAGAAAGACTTTACTCTTCATTGCAACTGATCTCTCTCTCTCCCACTGTAAAACTGATTGAGGTGCTTAAGGTTCTCAAGAAATTGCTACTCATAGCCCTGTGATTACTTTTATAAAGGCGGGGGGGAGGGGAAATCAGTAGAATGGAATGGTTGATTACTCAGGGAAAAGATTCTTTCTTTTTTGAATTTTCTTCTCAAATTATGGAGGGAAGGAAAGGGAGTGGGAAAATGTTCAAGAAATAAGTTTATGTGAAACTGGGAATGTTATTTCCTGGTATATGCAGATTAATGATCCCTTTGTCATTGCCTCCCCAGCAGAGCACAGGCTTCAGGAGGCAGGTGGAAAAGTATGAGAAAGGCTTGAAAATTTAAGTGGGATAAAGGAAGATGATCCAATAGGCAGAGAAAGAGAACAGTGGGGATAAGTACAGAGGAAAAGACTGATGAGTTCCAAGAGCTTATGGTGAAGCAGTCATCTTTGTAGAGGAGTTTGAGAGTGGCAGAGATGAGGAGAGAAAGTGGATTTTTAAATATGTTTTATTTTTCTTTGGGTATAAAGGCCTCACTTCTTTGAATACATGAAAAAAATAAGTACAGATATGAGTAACTTTTTTGTTTCAGTCAAAAAACAGAAACCACTGTATTTCAACAGGGGGAATTTCATACCAGGAAATTTGTTACATGGATTATGGAAAAGTAGAGAATCCCAACATGGGGTGCAGAGGCAACATAATATAAAGATGAACAACTACAGGAAGTGGTTACCACCCTAGGGGTTAGAGGGAAACTAGGAGGTGGTGGTGTAACTTGAGTTCAGAAGCCAGGGCCACCTGGCAGAATCTTGAGCTACAGTGGTGATGGCTAGGACTAGCTCATGCCACAGGGGGAGAGGCTGACTGGTGAAAGTTGGAGCCTCAGTGCAGATGCAGCCCCTTCATGGATGCCACTTAAAGCAGAAAGCTCAGGGAAGAAACACTATGGCTTATCTCCTGCTATCCATTCTCCAATTCAGCTAAACATACTAGAAGCCAGAGGGCCAAGGAGCCTGGCAATACAATTTTCTCTGAAACACAGTAGAGCAAGGAAAGTGGGGAATAGACCTGAGAGCAAGAGGCAAATAATTGGCACATGTTTTAATTGTCTAAGTGTGTTTCTTTGAATTCATCTCTGTGTGGAACAGAACCACGAGACTAACTTCTCTTTATGTGGTTTACACATGGTCTAAGAGCCATAGCATTCTAAAAAGTACCTTTCCTTGAATATTAAGAAGTGAAAAACACTACTACTTTGCTAATTATCGTAATTACAGAAGCTTCCCAAGTAGTTCATGGACAACAATCAAAAGAGTACTTATGTCTTTTTTTTCCTTCTTTTGTTCCCTTTCACTCCTCCCATTTCTTTTTTTTTTACCTCCATATTAGCTATAACTGCTGTACAACTACCCTTGTGCAATTAGTCAATATTGATCTCATAATGGGGTTACTATCCTACCTTCCTGTCTCTTTCATGTCTTGAAGAGTGGGTACCAACAAGGGAAATGATGCTACATTTAGCTTTTGGCATCTACCATATCTGACATATCTTTGTGCTGACCCTGTTTACTCACTTAGCATATAGGATGTCATGTTTGCCTGGAAACATGATTGCCATCTAAACATTTTGGTATATTTCTTGTATTTTGTCATGTTTTCCTATAGTTGTATGTGGAGTGATTTAATGTAGGGTTTTTAGTGTAGGCATAGTAAGGCTTTTTTCTAGTATCTTGGTCAAAAGTATAACCAAATTTCTTGGGTTTTAAATCCCAACTCTACTATTTGCTAGTTATGTGAACTTGGCCAAGTAACTGAACTGCTCTGGAACTCAGTTTCCTTATCTGTAAATATAATCATAATAATAGAATCTGCTTTACAGTGGTTGAGTTGTGAGGATCAAATGAATTGATGTGTGTGTGTTTGCATGTGTGTCTATATGTGTAATACACACATATATGCAGTCATATCACTTAACTATGGGGGATTTGTTCTGAGAAATGTATCCTTAGGTGATTTTGTTGTTGTGTGAAAATCATAGAGTGTATTTACATAAACCTGATGGTATAGTCTACTACACGCCTAGGCTACATGGTATAGCCTATGGCTGCTAGGCTACAAACCTTATCGTTTTTTATTGTACTGAATACTGTCAGAGATTCTAACACAATGGTATCTAACCATAGTTAACCATAGAAAATAGACAATAAAAATAAAGTATAAAAGATTAAAAATGGTACACCTGTATAAGGCACTTACCATGAGTAGAGCTTGGAGAACTAGAAGTTACTCTATGTGTCAGTGAGTGAGTGGTGAATGGATAGGAAGGCCTAGAACATTTTTGTACACTCCTATAGATTTTATGAACACTGTACACTTAGGCTATACTAAATATGCAAAACATTTTGTTTTTTCAATAATGAAATAAATTTAGCTTACTGTAACTTTTTATTTATAAACTTTTGCTTTTTTAATTTCTTGACTCTTTTGTAATAACCCTAAGCTTAAAACAAAAAAAATTTTACAGCTGTACAAAAATGTTTTAATATCCATATCTAGAAGCTTTATTCTGTTTTTAAATTTTTTATTTTTATATTTTACCTTTAAAACATTTTTGTTAAAAGCTAAGACACAAACATACACATTAGCCTAGGCCCACACAAAGTCAGGATCATTAATATCACTGTCTTCCACCTCCACATTTTGCCCCACTGGACAGTCTTCAAGGGCACTAACATGCATGAAGCTGTCATCTATGACAGCAATGCATTCTTCTGGAATACCTTCTGAAGGACCTGCCTGAGATTCTTTTACAGTTAACTTTTTTATAAGTAGGAGTATACTCTAAAATAATGATTAAAAGTATAGTCTAGTAAATAAATGAACCAGTAACATAGTCATCTATTTTTACTATCAAGTACTATGTAATGTACATAATTGTATGTGCTATACTTTTACAACTGGCAGCTCAGTAGGTTTGTTTACACCAGCATTGCCACAAACACATGAGTAATGTGTTATGCTACAATGTCACTAGATGGTAGGAATTTTTCAGCACACACACACAAGTATATATATTATATATTATATTATATATTATATATATATGTATATATATATATATATATATAGAGAGAGAGAGAGAGAGAGAGAGAGAGAGAGATGGAGTCTTGCTCTGTCGCCCAGGCTGGGGTGCAATGACACAATCTCGGCTCACTGCAACCTGACTCCCAGGTTCAAGTGATTCTCCTGCCTCAGCCTCCTGAGTAGCTGGGACTACAGGTGCCCACCACCATGCCCAGCTAATTTTTGTATTTTTAGTAGAGACGGGGTTTCACCATGTTGGCCAGATTGGTCCCAAACTCCTGACCTCAAGTGATCCACCCCACTCAGCCTCTCAAAGTGCTGGGATTACAGGCGTGAGCCACCGTGCCTGGCCAACACCATTATAATCTTATGGGACCACTGTCATACATGTGGTTCATCATTGGCCAAAGCATCTGTATTTATATATGTATGTTTCAAATTATATATATATATATATATATATATATATATATATATATGATAGCTATACATGAACATACACACACACATATATAGACATATATAGCACATAAAATTGGCACATATTAAGCATTTTGTAAATATCAACCATTACAATTGTTACTACTTTTCTCAGCAAGGCTATGAATGCTGTTCCAGCCTGTCAAAATCACACCTGTTTAATGTGTTTTACCCAGCACGAAGTCATGTCTAGTTGAGTGGCTTAAAAATTGTGATCAAATAGCTGGTTAGTTAAAAAGTTATTTCACTGTGTAAAATACATCCCTTAAAATGCACTGTTATTTATCTCTTAGTTGTAGAAATTGGTTTCATTTTCCACTATGTTTAATTGTGACTGGATCATTATAGACCCTTTTTTTGTAGTTGTTGAGGTTTAAAGATTTAAGTTTGTTATGGATGCAAGCTTTTCAGTTGACCAATGATTATTAGCCAATTTCTGATAAAAGAAAAGGAAACCGATTGCCCCAGGGCTGCTGTTTTCATTTCCTCATTGGAAGAAGAAGCATAGTATAGAAGAAAGGCAAACACAACACATTCAACCTCTGCCACCATGGGGAACTGGGCTGTGAATGAGGGGCTCTCCATTTTTGTCATTGTAAGTACCAACAAGAGATAAGTTATAAATTCTCTGACTTCTCGGGGTTATCTTGGAACTAAAATAGACCAAAGCTTTTTTGTTCATTTGAGGAATTGTGTTGAAACTGATTTACCATGTGAACCTATATCTATCTGTAAACAGACTGAGTCCATTCTTCCAAATTCCTTAATGGAAAGAACATATCTGGGGGCTCACTTCTAGCTTACTTCTGAATTCCTAGGAGGAATAAATTAGCCAGCATTTCGCAGAAGGAGTAGAAAATATTTCATGCTAATGATCTCTGATTCTGAGTTGTTTAGTAATGTTTACTCAGACGCACATGTCTATGTGTTTATACTACTTTAAAAATGACAAATTGAAATTTTATACCATTTTCTAAATAAAAAATATAAGATTGACTCATGTATGGGAAGTAGGCCTTTATTTCAGTAATTACACTAAATATAATAAAACTTCTCAAATTTATTTTCAAAAACAAGTACCTTCTTTTTTCAGAGATCTAAACTTGAGTTATTTATAAGATTTATAAAAATTCAAAAGAACAGAATTGAAATAAGTCATCTAGATTCATAAATATGTAGTATGTATATTTATATATAATTGTATATATATATAAATCAATATAGTCTGGAGAAACTATGTAAGTAAAGATATAGCTAATTTACAAGTGGACAGAATGATTTCTGTACTTTTTAAAACAAAGAAAATCAACTGTTCTCTTAAAATGGTGTTATCAGCAAAGCAATAATGGACAAATTGGGTAGATAGAAATACGATTTTTAAATAGCCTTTCTAAATAACCAATAGAAGCATTACACAGATGTTAAAAAGTACAATTATGAATGGAATATGAATGGAGCTTTTGTAAAAATTTATCATGAAAAATAATGAGTCTTTGAGTTTTAAATATAGAAAGCAATTAGTGGCACAAATAAAAACAACAAATATTTTGTTATAAAAAATGTTTACGCCAAACCAACATTCTACTGCAACAGAGAATTCTTCCGAGTATTCGAAGCTGTAAACTTAACTTCTTATCACCATTTTTAAGGGCAAATAATTTCTATAGAAAGTAAGTTCAAATTAAACTTTTAGCTCTCGCCACAATTTTTCCCAGGAAATGACCTCCTTCTAAATTATATACTCATGCACTTGAAAGTGAAAACACAGCTTGGAAAGTCAGAGTAAAGAAAGAATGACAAGATCAGGAAATTGGGAAGTTGCTTTAGCACTTTTTTCTTTGTAAAGAGAGAATATTATCAAGTGTCTAGAGCATATAATAGCTTCAAAGCATAGTTGAGAAAAGATCACTATGGAGCTGAAGGTAGAGAACTGGGTAGTGTGACCACTTGATCCAGTCAGTGCTTAGGATAAAATGAACTGTCATGATCTAGAAAGCTGTTTTTGTTGTAAATCCCAAGCCCCTCACTATGCTCAATATTCTCTCCTTGAAGCATTAAGTAAAACTAATCAAGGAAAATGGAAGGCTTGGCATTTTAGCTGATGAGAATTCACTAGCTGGATTACTGTGTGGTAGAGGGAGGTGATTAGCACCTGTGAGAACAGAACGCAGTGTCATACTGGTGGAGGGAAAGCAATAGTAATATGTTCCCTTCCTTTCTCATTTTAAGTGGAGTGGCCTGCTATCAGCTACCTATCCAAGGTTAAGCAAAAGAGAGGGGAAAAAAAGGGAGTGGGGTAATGTAAGACTGATAATTTGGTATACTGGCCAAATCATAAAACAATCATGGGGAACAACACAGGGTGGAGAGGTTTTAATTATAGACAAGTGTAGTGACACTGTTGAGGAAAGAGCTGGCTCTAAGCTGGTTATATCCAGCTTTGTCACTACCTTTGTCAAAGTTGGACTTGGGGAAGTCCTGACCCTTATCTGACTCCAGTCTTGTGTGGAATCTACTGTGGAAATGCGGAAACTTCATGCAATTATTTCTGTTTGTGCAGCTGGTTTGGCTGGGGTTGAACGTCTTCCTCTTTGTCTGGTATTACCGGGTTTATGATATTCCACCTAAGTTCTTTTACACAAGAAAACTTCTTGGGGTAAGTATAAATTCCATCCCATGCAATATTGGCTGGTTCACATTTCTCATCAGACATTCTTGTTCATCTTCCTGTTAGCATTTTAAATACATATTCTGACCAACCCAAACAGTACCATTAGCCTCACTCCCTCCATTGCAACTTCCTGGGCAACAGTCACTTAAAGCCTTCCAGTCTGGGACCAACAAAAGTGGGGCAGAGGGCCCCAGTGGCATCCTTCCCCAACCAAGAACCATGTGCCATTGTTTAGCTTAAAGGAGAAATCTAATACTCACTCTGAAATGGAAGGGCAGGTTGGAGCAATCCATCCAGGAGTGACACATGTGGGACAAGTGGGACTTTCCATATTTTCTAAGTCACCTAATTCCTAGTACTTTTTTGCATGAAGAGCTCTGCTCCTAATCACATGTTATGAAATGATCTTCAGAAAATAAATCTCTCTCTACATATAAAGACTCGAGGAACTTGCTCAAGGGCCACATCTGTTGACTAGGACAGTAGAGTGAAGGCCCTTCAGTTTCCTTGGGTCCTTTAGTATTCTGAGTTTCCTTGAACTGTCAGGCCTCTTGCCTCCAGAAGACATCTGTTACATCATGCTGAAACTATGAATTAATTGCTTAATATTAATTATTATAAGTATTATAAATCATAAATAAATAATTTTAGCATATAATTATGCTAGATCATTATAATTGTTGTTAGCTTATTCACATTGATGCTTTCTCCCGCCAAAATATGCAACTTCTTTAGACATTACAAATATAATAATTATAATGCCAAAGCATTATACCATACCAATTTAAGATACTGTTAAGATCAATTTAAGTGCTAAGAAAATATTTAAAATCTTTAAAAGTCTTGATACTTAACTCTAGTTAATGATATGCACCTTAAGTGTTAAAGAGAAAGTGAACTGTTGTCTGTAACTTACTTTGAAATGCATCAAAAATTAGATGAGTTGATGGATGGATACAGGAATGGATAGATAGAATGTGATAAAGCAAGCATAAAAGGTATAATCTGGGAGATGAATAAACAGGTATTTATTGTAAATTTCCTTCAACTTGTCTTTATGTTTGAACATTTTAATAATAAAATGTTGAATTAGGGCAAAAGGTCAATTTCAGATGAAAACAAAGGGTCCTAGCTAGCCCTAAAGGAAAACCGTTGGCTCTGAAGGACCTTCCTGTACAGATCACTTGGTGTCTCTGGTGTGTGGCCTCATGCTAAGAACCTTGGGGAAGTGGGGACAGGGCATATTCTGTGCTCAAAAAAGTCACTCTGCTCCCTTTCCCGCCTCTTCTAGTCAGCACTGGCACTGGCCAGGGCCCCTGCAGCCTGCCTGAATTTCAACTGCATGCTGATTCTCTTGCCAGTCTGTCGAAATCTGCTGTCCTTCCTCAGGGGTTCCAGTGCGGTAAGAGAAAATGTTTTACTAAGTTCCTCTAATTTTCAAAGGCCATCAAGCAAAATGCCCTTTTTTAGGTAAAAACAAATGAATGATTTGGGAGGATTCCAGCTTCTGTAGAATACTCATGAGCCAAGCCATTATCTAGTATATTTCTGTGCTATTTGGGGATGGAGCTCCCTAAGACAACTATTTGGAAAACAAATTTTGAAAAAACACACAAAACCACCTATACCTCAACAGTAGCAATGAAGTAGCACACACGTACACGTTTACACACACACACATATATATATGATAGATATGCATATATACAGAGCTTTAGGAAGTTGACATGTGATATCTGGGAGTTAATCTTTCAGTGTCATTCAAAAAAATTTAAGTCAGAGGAAATATCTTCTGTGGATAATATCTCAAGGAGATGGAGTCAATGGACAGAGTCACACTATAATGAATGTAACCAAGAAGTGTTGGCTTCATGGAACTGGGGAGCATAGAGCTTTCTAAATGTCCAGAATTCCTTTGACTCTCACTCCAACAATTTAGTAAGCCACTAAATGTACTGTGCTAGAAGGGGGAAAAAATAAGTAGGAAGAATCTCTGTAACCCATAAAATGGTATACAAATTTCTTACTAGTATTATTGTACAAAGATGACAAACAAGGAACTTAAAATCTACAAGTGTACTCAAATAAATATTATACAAAGCAAAATATGATGGGTTCCACAAAGCTTTACAAATAAAATACTATGGGGAAGCAAGAGAGAAGTTGTGTCAGGTGGGGCAGAGAATGAAGAAGGGCATTTTAGAGAAGGTGACATTAGAGATGAGTATATAAAAATAAGCTTCT
Source organism: Homo sapiens (assembly GCF_000001405.40). Lineage (NCBI taxonomy): Eukaryota > Metazoa > Chordata > Mammalia > Primates > Hominidae > Homo > Homo sapiens. The sequence goes on from NC_000023.11 coordinate 37,784,443, forward strand.
AAGAGGTGTAAAGGAGAGAGAAAGGCATTCTATGTGGAGAAGATGGCATGGACAGAAGCACAGGAAATAGTGAGGAAATCGTATTCTTGAAGGCCAAGAATTGGCATAGCCTTGGCTTCTCTTTGTATTATTATTATAAATATTTTTTTGCCACCTGTGACCACACCAAAGAGGGTAGCTGGGAAAAAAGTAGGGATTGGTGTCCTGGTGGGACCAATTCCGTGGTTCATTAATGACTAGTAGCTTCTAGGTTTTTTTTAAAAAATAAAAGGTATAGTAAGCTTTTTGAAAAAAATACTTATTAAGTAGAGATCACTTATGGAGGACAGCAGAAAGCAAACTACTTTTGTGGGAATGTAGGGATTGTACAGGGCAGATGCCTGACATAAGGCTGGAGAAAAGAGGTAGGATTTTACTGGTAAACTAGAACTGCATATGTATAGTTGAGGAGTTCATGCTTAATTTGGCAATTACAGAATATTTGAAGGAGGCAGTGAACTAAACTGTAATAACAAGCATAACTTGCCTTGAACTCTGCCTCATTTTTCCTAGTTACACTAAATTCATGCTGATCCAGAGAATTTTTTTCTTTAAGAACATATAACATTCAATTTACTAATATAGGACTAGAGGCTATAATTTAGCTTTTATTTTATGACTTAACTATTTACAAAATACCATTTCATCTTAAACCAACTGCCAAAATTGGGCTCTCACAAATCTAAAGTACAAGTTGGCAGAAATAACTGTTACACCTTCGCTTCCTCAGAAAAAGAAGAATGTTGATAACCAATTTAAGATGTTCCAGAAAGAGTCGTGATATCTTCCTCTGAAAAATTCTGTGATGAGGTTCCTTTCCTTAAGCCATAAATTCTATGCTACGCAATGTTGTCTTGCAAACTGAGAGCTAACCAAAACCAAAAACTAACAACAGTACTTGGTATTAAACATTGATTACAAGGATTTCCAAAAAATCTTCCAAATTTAAGAAATCACAGAGGTAAAATTACACTCAATTGAAAGTTTTATTAATGAGCCACCTATTGTAAAGTATAACGTTTAATATATCGTAAGTGCCCAGTGAACATTTGCTAAATGAAGCCCATGCACTATAGCTTATTTTTGAGTTGGGTTCTCTATCACCCAGGCTGGAGTGCAGTGGTACGATCATAGCTCACTGCAGCCTGGAACTCCTGGGCTCAAGTGATCATCCCTCCTTGACTTCCATACATGTGGGGATTACAGGCATGAGTCACCTGCCTGGCGAGTTCCTTGTTTCTAAGGAGACACAATTCATTTTTATTCTCCCTACCCCCATTAGAATAGTTTCTATTTAGAGGAAGTAAAGCCTGAGAAACAGGCAATGTTTTCACCAAGATGGCCTGTTAAGAAATCTTGGTTAGTCTACAAGTCCAAATTTCACTGCCGGTGAGCACCATGTCCCATGAGCAGCACATGTTGTAATGCCAGCTTTTATGCCTCCTGTGACCCAGGAGGGAAGATCTGCATGAGAGTCTCTAAAGACAGGGATGAAATGAGACTGCCCTTCAAATCGCAGAGAAGCTTGGCTGTATAACTACATAGATCTTTATATAAAAGAATATGTTTTAAAACTATCAGCAAGCAACATTCTTTTATAGATCAAGCATGTACTTTCTTCTGGGATTCCTAACCTGAAATGTGAACTTTTCTAATAAAACTTCTTCTGTGATTGTGATTAAAATGAGTGAGTGTGCTGTAACTAATGTTGGAAATCATATAGCTGCCACTCATTGAAGCTTAATGGAATTCACCGCATGAAATCTGCACATCAAACCAGTAAAGTGGGAACAAAATTAAATGGAAGTGTTGGCATTCAAACCCAGGTCATTGTGTCCCCAGAGCCCATTCACTTTAAATCATGCTGCCAAAACTTCTTGAAATTGTGCTGTTGCAGTATTATGATCCTAGAAAGCCATTATATATATGAGTGTTTGAGCATGCCAAGTAACCTAGACTAGAAATGACAAGGATGTTATAAATACAAGGACTTAATAGTAGGACACTATATAAGCAAAATAACCACGAACTTGCATTCAGTTTCTAGAGGTCTCAATCATTGAAACTTTGCTTTGTAATCCTTCTGGTTACCTAGAGAAAGAAAGCCCCAGGGTTGCCCACCCCACCACTCCAGGAAAGGTAGGGGTAAAGGCTCTCAGACTGCTTTGTTGAGAAAAATGGAGAATGGGTGAAGCTCAGCACACAAAAATCTCTGAGGAAGCCTTAAAAACCCCCAACTTGCCATGCAGAAACTAATTTCTGTCTGGATGGCAGTCCTAGTCTTAAGATCAGAAAGAAACAGGAAGGTGAGAGGGTGAGGTTTTATCTGTTACCTTATATAGTCTGGGAGTCAGAGGCACTCAGTGTGCCTCTATCTTTAATCACGTGGTCTAGCACTAGTCTCTTGGGCTTTCTGTCTCATAGTTTTTTTTTTTAGTTGAAAAACAGGTCAACTAACACAAATGTAAGAAGGCATATGTTGGTCTAAAAGTATATTAATTGTTTAAGTCTGTCAATTAGTGAGTTGTCAGTCAATAAATATTTGTTGAGTGCCATTTATGTGCTAAGCACTGGGGACATGTGGTAAGTAAAGATTAAGTTATAGATAGGCCATGAGCTTAAGGAGCTTAGAGTGTTAACAGGAGAGACAGAGAATAAATATGGAACTTCCAAATTATAAACAGTGCTATGCAAATAAGGTAGTGTTATTCATATTTATCAGATATTCTACTGCCAGCAGGTGTGGATATTACTGTCAACTTACTTGCCTGAGTTCTGTAGATTCAAAGTTGGATTTTGTAATTTCTCCCAGTTGCGTATAAATATCTAAATCAGATACATTGATGGTGCGTGTGGTGAGATCAAGTGTACAAAAAGTAGAGCTTTTGAGTTTCTGTAAAGTGTTACACCCCATAAAATATGTACTTCTTTTTAGTTCCACTTCCCATTTTCTTGAAATATTTTTTTCTTACTCAGTTTCAATAGAGCATAGAAATCTGCTGAAGTGACTCAATAATCTCCCTTGCATTAGAATGGTAGTTTATTGAAATCGGGCAAGGCTTCCGGTGACAGTAACAGAGAAACTTCCCTTTAGAAGTCAATGGCAGAAAGTAAAGTAAGTTAGTAAGGAAGCTATGGGGCATGATGGCAACGTGGATAATTGGGAAGTGGCTGGCAATAATTTAGAAGTAACTCAAAGCATATAAATGCAATCTGCCTGATGATGGGGAACAAAAAATTATGGGCAGTCACAGACAGTAAAGTCCTTCCTTCCTATGCCACCAACCGGTTGTCTCGCCTCCTTTTTTAAGGAAGTGGTGAGGAGATGGTATTCTTAAAAGCCCAGTATCAGCATGACTTGTGGCTTCTTTTTGGATTTGTTTGCCATTCCTGTCCACACCAAAGAGGGTAGGTGGGAAAAATTAGGGATTTGTGCCCTGATGGTTGGACCCACTCCACTGATCCATTAGTTACTAGTAATCTCACTTTTTCCTTTCAATATAATATATGTGTTTTACATTAACTAGCTTTTTAAAAATTACCTATTAAGATGAAACAGAGTATCATTGAATGGACAATGTATTTCCCAATCACATCTCTCCACTGTTCTGGCTTTCAGTTAATTTTTCTCTAAGGATCTACAGTTAAAGCTATCAGGGGGCATCAACATATATTATTTTACATTTTTTATGATCCATGGTGATTATGATGATAAGGATAGGACTATGAAGACAGTGTATGTTCCACAACAAAACCATATTCGTTTGCTTTAAATTCGGCGTGCAGGAGCCAGTGAATTTTCCCCAAAAAATTTCAAAAGGATTTGTCAACAAATAGAAAAGAACAGTGTGTGGCAAGTATAGACATGGGGGTAAATTCATCTCTATAGGTTTAGTATGATCATCTCCAGTTCCAGGGCATGAAAATGTACTTCATTTATGCAGCCAAATAATGATTAAAAGATTTTTTTAAGTACATGACATACTGTTTTTCACACAGGAAGCTTACCTGCTAGCTGGGGAGTGCAGCCTTACTAACTGAAAACTTAAATAATGATACTAAATAACATCAAATATTGATTAAATACCTGTCAATGAATATATGCAATAGGGATTTGAGGGACTAACTATGATAATTATACAGGTGAGGAAACTGGAGACTGAGTATGTTGTTCGATGTCACACGGCTAGGTGGGAGGACTGGGACCCAACATAGGTATATCTGAAGACAAAACTTGCTCTGAAATGTGTAATTCAGTACTGCTTTCCAACCCTACTAATTCTCATTCTCTGATTCTTTGGACTCCAACCTAGTTTCACCACTCCTGTAAGGACTGTATCAATCATCTATCGTGTAACAAATTACCACAATAACTTAAAACAACCCCTGTTTATTAGTTTACAGTTCTGTAGGTCACAAGTCCAGCACCCAGTTGCTGGGTTCTCTGCTCAGAGTATCATAAGACTGAAATCAAGGTGTTTTCTGGGCTGAATTCCCACCTGGAAACTCTAAGTAAAAACCCTCTTCCAAGCTCATTCTTGTTGGCAGAATTCAGTTCATTACAGATGTAGCACTAGAGGTCCCTGTTTCCTTGCTGGTGATCATCTAGGGTCCACTCAAATCCTAGATGTTCCTGCATTCCCTGCCACATGCCCTCCTCCACCTTCCAACCAGCAGCAGTGCTTCAAATCTCTGACTTCCTCCATCTCTGACTTCTAAACCCAGATTTAAAGAGTTCATGTGATTGGGTTTGTTGGCCCAGATAATCTCCCTATTAAAGTCAACTTGGGACTTTACCTCTGCAAAATCCCTTTTGCCATATAATGTAACAAAATCACAGAGTGATGTCTCATCATTTTCACAGGTCCAAACTCAAGGGGAGGAGATTATATAAGTCATTGGGGGTCATTCTAGAATTCTGTCTACCACAAGGACTCTCAGAAACTATAGAGGAAATTAAGTTGAAATTTAAGAAGCCAAAGAAAGAAAGAAGGAAAGAAAGAAAGAAAGAAAGAGAAAGAAAGAAAGGAAGAAAGAAAGAAAGAAAATAAATAAATAAATAAATAAATAAACTATAAAGGAACATGGCAATTGGGAAACAGGAAAAAGTTATTTCCTCAAAATTTTAAGGAATACAAAGTAGAAAATAATTTTCAGCACTTGTAATGAACACAAAAGACAAGGAGGCTATATAAGAAAACAAAGATGGTCAACTTTTCAACAACAGATCAGTAAAATGTATTTTACAAATAAATTTTTATTTCAAAAACATTAAGTTTGAAAATTTGTATTTTACAAGTTTTTATTTCAAATAGGAAACCATTGTTTTGAGAGTCTGAGTCATTGCTCAGCTCCACTGGTGAACATTTAATTATAACCAATGCATTGGTGCTCCACCATATTCCCTAAGCACTGGCACTTCCAATCCATGCGACAACTGCCCTTTGCAAGCATCATTCACTCTCTGCCTGGGGATTTTCTTTCAGCTTTCTCCTGGGGCAAGCCTGAAATCCCAGGGGATTGATGTCCTGAGAGCATCCCTCAGAGCAGCCCTCAGCCAATCATGGATGGCAGTTGGTGGTTGAACACCCAAGCTTCTTAACCCGTTAGGTAAAAACCAAAGAACGAAACAAACAAAGTAAATGAATAAAAAACCCTTTGGGATAAGTTCTACACAGTCTCCCAGAGTTCCCTGGTGTGATCGAGCCCAATGATATGATATGATCATGGTAGCTGATATAATAATGCACTCTTCATTAATTTCCTTCCCAGTCTCATTTTTACCCTCGTTTTCTATGACCACCTTCCGGATAGAATACTTACACTTAAATTCTTGTCACAGGTTTCTAGGCACTTAGAATAATAGTGACTATATTCCTGCATTTGGTTTGGTAGAAAAGGGCATTAACCTTTTATAGACAAATAGACTTGGATCCCAGCCAATGTGCAATTTTAGCTTTAGTTTTCTTACCTGTAAAATGAGGACATTAAGATTTACCTTGTTGCATTAAATGAGTAATGATTATGGGTAAACTACCTAGTTCACAGAAGGAATTCAATAAAGCATAATTTTTTTATTTTTCCTTTTTCTGGAATCCTCAGTGTCTTCCTTGCTACTATTTCTGTAATTTCAAGAACCTGACCTCATGGTTTAAACTTCCTGCCCTCCCTAGTTATGGCTAACTGAGAGATAGATGGTGGAGTAAGCACAATTTTCTGTGCAATTATATTTTCTACAAAATCAGAGTATTTTATTAAAAATAAGTAAGCCAAATATTAAACACCCCTATATTTAAATTGAATAAAACATTTAGAACCAAATATTTTAAGTACATAAATTTTCTTTGGTACTTCACTCTCTTGTTCTTAAAGTTCCCTGAATCTCTGTGACAGTGCATTTAGACTATGGAACAAAGCAACCAGAGCAAGACATTGGCCAGTTTTCAGGAGAGCCAAGCTCTAATTCAACCATAAATCAGTTTAAATCAGTTTTTTTCTTTCTTTGAGCATTGGCACGAATTGAGATTCAAACTCACATTTTCTAACATATGTAGGTTCGTCAAATACACTAAAATACTGAGTACAATAGTATTTTTAATGCCAAAGGAAATCATGTAAAGTATGAAATATCAGAATGTTTATATAAACTCTAGTATCAGATGGCCTGAGTTTAAATCCCAGCTCTGCAACTTATTAGCTGTGTGACCTAAGGCTAGGTAAACTCTCTATCCCTTTGTTTTCTCATCTGTTATGTAGTAATAATAATGGTACCTCCCTTGTACCATTATTGTAAGAATTAAAGAGTTAATTTGATTATTACATTAAAGATTAAATTAAATTAAATATTACATCAATTACATTAAAGATTAATGTAAGAATTAAATTAGTCAATGCATGTAAAACAGTTGCAGAAGCTCTTGGTAAATGTTAGCTATTGTTATTTTGGCTATTAGCATTTGGTCAATGATCTCCCCTGTGATGTTGTTCACCTACATGGGCAGGTGTACCCTTCTTTCTCCTCTCATAGTGTGTATGTCCTAGAACAGTGTTGTTTGAAAACTATTCACTTGTTCTAGAACTGTTCACTTGTCTGTGTCCCCACTTGACTATGAGGTATGTGATGTTAATTTCTACATCCTTTGTTTAATGAGTAAATTAATCAGAACTAGAAACTATGTAGCTAGATATGTTTTTTGTACAAGTTTATATTTTTATACAGTTAAGCAATGGATTCCAGAGGAGACTTTATGTCACCAGTATGAGAACAGAAAACATACCAGTTAAGCCAGCCATGTCACTTACTGGCTGTTTGACCTGAGGAAGATGACTGCATCTCTCTGAACCTCAGTTTCCTCATTTATCAAATAGATATAATGATACAGTTTGCAGGGTGGTCATGAAAATTAAATGAGATAATATGTATCAAATGTTTGACACATAGCAAGCTTTCCTGTTAACAATTACTATTCCATTCTTTCCCCCTTAATCCAAAGTGCTGCTCAACAAGAGTTCGAAGACAACTGGACAGGAATCTCACCTTTCATAAAATGGTGGCATGGATGATTGCACTTCACTCTGGTAAGTTTATTAAAGAAAACTTGGAACCAGGGAGTTCCCTCTATTCATAGATACCTTTTTATATAGGAGATCAACCAGTTTTATAGTTAGATTAAGTGGTGGTTGGATATGTTGTATTTTTTTAATGAGTTTTGCTCAAAAGTATTTACCACACTTTCTGCCACTTCAATATTAGGATTTATTCCTTTAGGTTTTAAAGCATTTTTATTTCAGGATTTTCCTATAAAAATGAAAATATGCCATCAGAAAAGTCAATCCTAGTGTCCTCACCCTTTGCTATTCTTTCTAGTGTCAAAAATGTTAATTCACTCATGAAAACTTATTTATTCTAAAAAAAGTTCTTGGTTGCATGTGTGAATTTGTGGACTTTTTGCAGCAAACCTACAGGAGCCATAGCCCATAAATTGAGAATCCCTCAAGACGGTCATTATCAGCTAAATACCTTCATTATTATTATTACTATTGTTATTGTTATTGCATGTATCCATACAATGGATATATATGTGTGTATATAGATATTATATGTTATTATTAAAATTATTAGGGTGGTAGTGTCAGTGCAAGAAGGGCTGTATTTGGGACCCTTATCTAATTCCACTAATTCACTCAACAAATCATTCATGTGCCAGAGAATATATAAGCACAGTGATAAAGCAGACTTGTACTCTGCCCTTAAAAAGTCTGTTCCTAGCCTGAGTAAAATAGGCTTAGATTACAGGCATTTAACTGAGTTTCTCTTCTACTAGTAGATCTGGCAGGCTTTTTTAGCAGTGGCAAATAAATAGTTCAAAAGAAATATATGATAAAATCTTGTTAGAAACTGGCATAGTGTACGGATTAAGAGCACATATTTGCGTGCCAGAGGTACTGGATTTGATTCTTAACTCTGCTGCTTCCTAGCTTGATGACCTTGAACAAGGTTTTAAAGCAGTCTATGTCCCAGCTTCCTCACCTGTAAGATGAGCTGATATTAATAGTACCTACATCATTGAGTCAATGTAAGGATTAAGTCATTGTGAAGTACTTATAACAGTACTTGGCATCTAGTAAGCCCTATGTAAGTGTTTATTAATAAAGAATGCAATTTTTAAGACAGAGAGATTCATACCTTATGGCCATAGGTTTGTATCAATTCAATCAAATTTGTCATCTCTCTCTGGAGGTAATTTCAGAGTCAGGTTAATGGGCCAGCAATTAGGCATTCACTACATGAGTGTTTTCTTGTTTGAGCCCAAATATATTATGGAGAGAGATAATGAGAGCATATCTAAACACCTTCAGAAACTAAGGCTATTGTGTAGAATCTTATAACTTGATTGAGTCTTTAGGAGCATATAGCTCAACATCTTCATCTTACAAATTAGGAAACCAAGACCAGAGAGTTAAGTCATTTTCCCACAATTACACAACTAGAGAGGATCTTACCCACTAGAATTGCCTTGTCTCCTTGGTTCTGGAGACCCAGTTCTTGTCTATAAGTGTCCTGGGCCTCCCTTTGTCTCCCTGTGGCTTATCATAGAGTCAGAGGCTGTCCCAGAAACCCAGCTTACAATAAATTTGTTCATACCCTTCATTCTCTTTGTTTCTCTTCTCTGCCCTTTTCAGCGATTCACACCATTGCACATCTATTTAATGTGGAATGGTGTGTGAATGCCCGAGTCAATAATTCTGATCCTTATTCAGTAGCACTCTCTGAACTTGGAGACAGGCAAAATGAAAGTTATCTCAATTTTGCTCGAAAGAGAATAAAGGTAAGCCTCTCATTATCTGACTTAGATATTCTCTAGGCCATTACAATTGAGGACTAGATTTCAGTGAGTGAAGACCTCTCCTTTGCCAAAAAAAAAAAAAGTTGGCTAACCATCAGAGGGACAAGTCTGTAGGTTACAATAATGGGAGTATAGAAAAAAATGTCTCCCACACTCCTCACCTCATGTGTGGAGGTCTCTAGATGTTTTCCAGGTCTTTAAGCTCATCCATGAGAATGTGTGCATGTGAAGCCTGGAGTAACTCAGGCTTACCTGTGACTATGCCCACCAGTCAAAGAAAGCTGGGAACACATGTCTAGTCGAACAAGGTTTGGTTTATTACTTGCTACAGCAAAAGAAATCTCACACCTTGAGGAACTCTGGGCATCTCAAGGGGATGTAAAGTGGATTTAGAATTTAGGATTCTGTTAGATGGTTTGGGGGAGGATTTAAGAATGCAAGGATTTTCTCTGGATCAGTTATGGTCAGGAATTGGGGGTAGTTCTCAGATAAGGTATCTTAATTATTTTTTCTAGGAGGCAGAGGGAACAGAATAGGACTAAGTCTATAATAGGCAAAGAAGCAGTAGTCATTGTCTAGGCTCAGACATGATTTTGGAGTGGTTTTGCTTTTATCTCACTCCATCACAGTCACAGAGTGACCTCCTCAGAAGCTGGTGTTTTGTGAAATTATTTATGTGAAGTAGGGAACATCCTGGCCTAAGTATTAGTGTAAGGCCAGCCACCAGCTGACAGTTGTGTGATGCCTTTTTCTTTTCTTACCAACAACATCTGAGGGATGGCCTGTGTCTACAGATTGTCATTCCTTGAGAAGCACATGTGCACTGGGAGTAACTCAGCATTTCTCTAGGGGTAGCCAGGAGGGTATCCAGAAGTAAGAACTTCTTCTATCCCAGCAGTTGTTGAAGCTTCCTACACTCAAAGACAGAAGCTCCAAGTCTTCATGCACCCAATGACTTGGGAAGATGACTAAATCACATTAATATGCACTGAATTCTAAAAATGTTTTCTTGTGTTTAGAAAACATCCTTAGTTTTGGAAAAAATAATTATTATTCTCAGACTTACATGAGAAAAACTTGCCTGATATACTTAGGGAGGGAATTAAACAGCATCATAAAAAACAGATTTTTTCTACAATATATTGGGTAATTTTTCTTTTACATTATTCATTGTTTGCCCAATGATATATGAGGGTGGCAACATTAACATAACTAGGTAAATCTACACTATCATGCTCTATTCAGTTGTTCCTGGATCACTTTTACTGTATCTATGCTCTCCTACTCTTCTAAATGTTTTCATTTTCAATAACCTGTAACTGTTTCCTCCTCAGAGGACTGCCCTGGGGCTACTAAAGTCCCTTTTCTCACAGGCTCAGAGATCTTGGAAGGTTGGTGGGGGGTGGCTGAATGGTTACCTGTTCCTGTGCAAACCGTTAGCCAATAACTGGTGGATGCAGACTATGAAACCTGGCTTCCTTGCCTTGAGACAGGATAAACTCTAAGTTGTAACTTACCCTCCAGAGTTGCCTTGCAGGATCAGGCTGAAGCTATCCCCTGTGAGACTGCCTGATTTCACCCCCTTGCTTGACTTGTTTGTCTTTTCTATCCTATTCCCTACTCTCTTACCAGTTTCTCTTGGAGCACATGTTTTCTAAGTCACTTGCCCATGAAGTCTCATCTCAGGATCTGCTTCTGGGGAGCACAGCTGATGATGTTCAGCATTCCCAGAATATATTTGCAAACTAAGCACTGTGGCCCTTTCAAAATCAAAGGGAGAAAGAGCCTTCAGACACTTTTAGGACATCCTGTAGTTGATTGATTTCCTTTATTTTCTACCCCCTTAGAAATAACTATTTAAGTACATCAGTTCACATTTCCTATGACATCTTAACCATGTAAGACATTTTAAAATTTAGAAACATCTATTTCAAATCTATATCTGTCTGTGAGGGATGATTAGGATTATTCAAAGAGGGGGTGAAAATATCTATTGTTCTATACATTGGACACTTTATAATAGTCCTGCATTTGAGAACCTATAATATTGTGCTTGCGCACATGTGTGTGTGTGTGTGTGTGTGTGTGTGTGTGTGTGTGTGTGTGTGTTTATATTTTACAGAACCCTGAAGGAGGCCTGTACCTGGCTGTGACCCTGTTGGCAGGCATCACTGGAGTTGTCATCACGCTGTGCCTCATATTAATTATCACTTCCTCCACCAAAACCATCCGGAGGTCTTACTTTGAAGTCTTTTGGTACACACATCATCTCTTTGTGATCTTCTTCATTGGCCTTGCCATCCATGGAGCTGAGTGAGTGTTTAAATTCTGAAGTGAAGGATTTCATGTCCCTCAATTTCTAGGCAGGATGCTCCATTAGAGGCACAGTGACCTCCTTGCCTGTGTGTGGTTAGCCTGTCTGCTAAGGGAATGTGAGAGGATAGCAGAGGTCAGTTTGATAGAAACCAGTCAACATTGGCATTTTTGTTTCATGCACCCATGTAATTGCTATTCATGGTGAAGTTATATATAGCAAGCTTGAAAAATACACCAAAGTCTGAGTATCTTTGCAAATGTATAAAACATATTGAGAGCACTGGTAGGATCTGGAACATCTGCAATGATATCCTCTATGGTTTAATCACTAGTAAATTAAACAAACCTCCAGACTAGAAGAGTTAATGATTAATCAGTTGAAGAGGTTTGTTATAGTTCAATAAGTTTTGATTTAAGCCCACAGTCATTTATTTGTTGTCTACCATGTATGAGGACCTATCTCAGGCACTGCAGGAAATACAAGCAGGAAAAATATGTGGTTGTTGCCTTCAAACATTCTAATATAATGAAAGTAGCAGCTAACTTCTATTAAGGGTCTGTGCTAAGGGTTTGACATGATATATTTCTTTTAACCCCCAAAATGTATAGATTTCTCACTATCACCATTTCTTGGGGATAGTAATTGCAGACAAGAAACCTGGAGCTAAAATGTTAAAATATGCAGCCTAAGCCACCTCTCTGGTAAGTGGCCCAGCTGAGATTGGAGCCAGGCAGTCTAAAGCAGGCTGTGATAAATGTTCTCTTAGAGACACACAGTTCCTGGCTATGTGGTTAGGAGAGTTTGCCTGATTGGAGATCCTCTTTCATACCAAGTTTCCTTTTTTGTGCAGTTTCATACCACCTGCACACAAAGGCAGGCCTGGGGAAGTTCCCTGGTGGGTATAGGGCTCCAGGAAATTAGGGTTGGAGGAAGTAGAAGCTCAAGACTCACTCTGCCCAGAGCCCAGTTGGTGGCCAAGACATGACTGTGAAAAAGGGGAAGGGTGGGGAAAGCTGCATTGGGCACTGCATTCTTAAACTACTTGCTGACTGTGACCCCTGATAAACTCTTTGTAAGCATGGAGAAATCAATGGAGACCAAGAATCTGATGACTCTCTTAAAGCACTCAAATATCTTTAAATGGGACTTAGTCATAATCCCGTGTTTCAGGTAATCCTAGAGAAGAGAAATAATTTCTTCCCCTCTCCAATTTAGTAATTCCACCACTTTCTGTTTGTATGGTTTCGCAGATACTCATCTTCCTTTGAAGCAGACAGAGGAGATATGTTTATCTCCTTCTCCACTTGAAGAGAATCTGCTCTTTACACTGGTTAGGTGATTTCTCACAGTCTCATGGCTCCGTAGCAGCTGAATTGGGTTTAAAATGCAGGTTTCTGGACTCCTGGTCCTGGCATTGAGAAGAGAAGGAGAAAATCAGATTATTTTCCTATCATTTACTTACCATGGGAACTTAGGCATTTTGAACTTTAATAGTTATTTTTTGGACTCTTACTTTGTGTCTGGCATTTTTTATACATCATGCAAATTGCTTATTATAATGAACCTTTAATGAGGTACTATTACATCTGTTTTACAGCTGAAGGAACTGAGGCTCAGAAGAAGTTAAATAATTTGCCTGAGTCCACCAAACTAGTAAGGGGTAGAAATGAGATTTGAACCCAAGTCTGTCTGACACAAAACACAATTGTTTTCACCAAAACATTCTGCTTTGAGTTACTAAATCATTCTGATTTACATTCTCATGTAAAATGGGGGTAATAATACTTGCCTCTCAGGCTTGTCATGAGGATTAACTGAGATAATTTGTGTAAAATGACTTTCCCCAAGCCTGGCACATGATAAGTGCTCAATACATGATAATTCTCTTCCCCAAGACCTAAGGATAGAAAGGAGTGGTTAATGAACTTGAATTAAAACATTCTCAGAATACACCAAATGACACAATAAATTTTAGGTCTCCAAAACAAACCTTTACAATGGGTTTTCTGTGTCTTTTCTTCTTATATATTCTGAAGATGCTGTCATTTATGTTCCTTGAAGTCTACTCAACGTTGGGCCTTCCTCTCTCTATCACCAATAATTGTCTTATGATTTGGTAGTTGCTCAACTAGCATTTATTGAATTGAAATGAATGGGCTCTGAGCAATTCAAGGTACACACTATTAGTGTTGATGTCTGTGAGAATGTTATAATCCCTATATAGTTAAGTATCTCAAACTGGTTTCAAAATTTGGTTTGATTTAGATAATTTCCAAACCCACAAATAAGGCACTTCTTGTAAGCTTCAGGGCTACTGTATATGACTGTCTCAGTTGTCTACTATAGTGGGTGCCTGGCCAAGGACAATAAAGTTAGCCCACACTTTGATGATTGAGCCCTTTGCTTATATCTTCATAGGAAGGGTACCATTTTCTAATTTGCACAAAGGCACTGTAGGGGCCAGCAGTCACTCTGTTAGATTTGCAATTTTTCTGCTTTTGTTTGTTTGTAAATGAAAATGATACTTGAGACAGAAGTAGAAATTCTCCCTTAAGAGAATTTGATCCAACACTTACCCTCTATAATGTTACATGTAAATATCCCTTTGGTAATTGCACATATATTTTTTCTGTTGCTGAGTGTTATGCATTTTCTTTCCTTTCATCTATTCAGAGGGAGCAATAAGCTATCGCTTTTAAGTGAAAAGTACAGGGCCTACATCAGAGCACTTAAAATATATGCAGAATCTTTTAATAAAACAATTTAATTTCCTATTACTAAATGATCTGGACTTACATTTTTCACCCAGACGAATTGTACGTGGGCAGACCGCAGAGAGTTTGGCTGTGCATAATATAACAGTTTGTGAACAAAAAATCTCAGAATGGGGAAAAATAAAGGAATGCCCAATCCCTCAGTTTGCTGGAAACCCTCCTATGGTATGTACAATTCATTGTTGTTATTACAGTTTCATTACTGACAATCTTTAACCTGTGTCTAAGAAACATGTACAGATGTTATACATCTATATAGATGTCCATTACAAATGTCATGGAACAGCTAAAACATGTGTCTACTTTTCTCTGCTATACTTATTGGATAGAATTGTTTCTTGAAAACTAAGCTTTGCATTGTTCTGTTATTAACATCCTGATATAAAACTTGGGAAAATAGTGTTTTTAGAAGTGCTGTTTTGGTTCAAGAAGTTCCATCTCTTTTCTTCATGACGACGCCAGCTAATGATTTTTAGGGGGACACTTGGGATTCCATCTTGAGCTGAGTTGGATAGCTCAAATAAATCACTTATAAGGAGCAAAGGGCCTCTTCAGATACCAGCACATAATACTTTCTATACAGCTTTCCAATTTGAAAAGGAAATTGATGAGGTGGTACATAAGGCTACCTTTAGGCATTAGGAGTTTTCTGTTTATGAGGCATAAAGGAGGCTGGACGGCGAGGTTCATACCAACATCCCAATGGCATCATGTGGTGGGCAGAAGTGTGGCAAGGGTGACCAAGGAAATACATGGTGAAATACTTTCTTCCTTCTATTGGGAGCTCTGAAGGGTTCCATTTTGTGTATTCTCATAACACTGCTCCATAGAGTAAGATGTGGGCCTTGTAATCTTCATATCATTTTCCCCATTGGCAGATGGTATACTTTGTTGGTTATTGTGCTAGCCATTGGTATAAAACTAGGCAAAAATCAACATTTGTGCAGGGCTTCTGAAGAGGATTATTTTTTTTTCCTTAGGCACAGTATAACATAAAGGCAAATTTTCCATTCCATTTTCTCCTTTCTTTTTTCCTACTCTCTTAGCATAGGAGCACTCTTACTCTAGACACAGCATACTATATGAAGACGTAGGATCTTTAAGCATCTTTTCCCATTAATGGAAGCAACCAGACATATCAGTGAATTGGCTCCACTACATGCAGACATCAATAGAAAGGATAAAAAGGGAACTGTATTGCCAATCCTCTTGTGGGCAGGGGAAGGCACATTTCCTCGATGACAGCTGGAGTCAGAGTACTAGTACCTTAGCAGAAACCTACCTCAAAGAATTTCTAGGTATACTAGCAGCAATATCCAAATCTGGCTCCATTCAGTGGGGCTCCATGGTAGCACTCAGGAAACAGATAGATGATTTGAGACTGTTTTATATATCTATCCCATTAAAACAAAGGCCAACAACAGAACATTGTTTATATTTGGGGCAAATATTCTTCAAGTTTGGCTGAAGATGGAGAGATTCAGGTGCTCTCAATTTCCAACAGTAAGTTTCCTATAAAAGTAATCTAGTAGAAAGATTATATGTGAGACTATCGGAAGCACTCTCTTATCTTTTCCCCCTTAGAATACATTCCGGAAAGTCATTTTTTAGATAATATTGCTGTCTAAAATTCTTTGCTAGTTTAGGTATTAAACTAGAAGTCCAATTGGCTGAGTTTCAGGATGGATCTGTTTGACCTCAATGTTTTTATATGGCCAATAATGCTACAGAGTAATTCCAGTGTTCAGAAACACTGCATGTTCTGACCCAAGAAATAGCTAAAGAAGTCTGAAAAGCTCTAGGTTTGTCTCCATTCAGCAAGTGCATTGCATACTCCCAGAATTTCTCAGAATATTGGAGAAACAGCCAAACTCTTGCATAAAATTTGTCATCTTGCAAATTTGTCACTGTGACTACATAACTAAGAGAAAGCAATCACAGTGTTGCATTAAAAATATTGTGTTGCTGAAATGTTATCCTTTAAAGAAATGTTAATTCTGAAACCAACCTTGCTTTGTTATAGGGTTACTGCAACTGTAGTTGCAACACTGAGAGGAAATCCCATTCTTGTGAGGAGTTCCTCTTGGGAAAGTTTTATCTTGTCAGTACAGTTCCCCATTGTGACTAAGGAGAATGTTTACTTTTACTGGCTCAAAATTATCTTAGTTTCAGATATTTTCATATATTCCATTGTAGAAGAAATTTATTTATCTAATGTCAAATATTTAAGCAAGCCTACAAAGATTAACTTGGCTTCTAAAATTTTTCTCCCTCTGAATATTTTGTTATCTATTACCACTTAATGTATCTCATTTTCATTTTTGCTCTGATTACAGACTTGGAAATGGATAGTGGGTCCCATGTTTCTGTATCTCTGTGAGAGGTTGGTGCGGTTTTGGCGATCTCAACAGAAGGTGGTCATCACCAAGGTACTGATTGGTTTAGTAATTACTAGTGGTCAGTGTCTAACTATATCATGGACAAGTCTTCCCAACTCCTCTATATCATTGATCAGATGTTACAACAGAGAGAAGACCTACAATTTATTTCAATTTACTTAGCTCAATAATCAAATGTTTGAGCCTTTAACTGGGGAAACTACAAGTTACCATTTTTGATGTTAAAATGAAGCCAAGTTCTTTCTGGACATCAATCTCCCCCACCCATTGTGTGTGTGTGTGTGTGTGTGTGTGTGTGTGTGTGTGTGTGTTTGTGTCTGTGTGTCTGTGTGTTTGTGGAGGGGAAGGCGACAGAGGCATTATTTGGTTAGTTAAGAGCAGAAAAGAAAAAGAGGTGAGTTCAAAGGGGCATAAATTGAGTCTTAAAATTTTCAGATGCCAAAAGAACCAGAGATCTAAGGGTAGGTCTCACTGAGGCTGAGCTAGTTTTTCAGGTTGTCTTTACCACCTTTTCTGTGCTGTGTATGTAATAATCTAATAGGAAAGTTGAAGTGCCCAAAATTTCAACAAGTTAGTAAATAAGCTGCCTCTCAAATTTGCTCTCCTAATTCCAAGTCTAGAGTGGCTTTTCCTGAACTCTAATCTGTTTCTCATCACAAAATAAATAAATATCCAACTAAATAAATGTAAATGGAACTCCTTGTTATAATTTCAGGAAACACTAGGAAAGTCTATCTTTATCAAATAAAATTTAATTCAATTCAACTCAGTTCAAAAAGTATTTGCCAAAACCCTACTGTGGGTTATTTTTGCAAAACACACAAATTCTTCCTGTCCTCCACCCTATCTTTCCTCATTTGCTGTCTATGGTGGGTCATAGTAAAGTTAGTTCAGCTGGCTTTGGAAGTCTTGAAATATAGGAAACCACAACAGTTCTCCTTTTGTGATATTTATATTGCATTATAAGAACAATCCCACAGATCAGCAAAAACAGTTGCTGCAAAATTTCCCTTACTAGACTAGAGATGACTGAGTCAGACAAGTATTTTTCTTAAACATACCTTTAAGGAAAACTTGTTTTCCTTTGAAGAAAATAGATATTTGTTTTCTTCTCATATAAATAAATATGAGAAACAAGATGTTATCCAAAAGTATTCCAATGAGAATGCTGTCCACTTATTTAGTTACATCTCATTTGTGCCTATGATAGCAAAATTGTAATATGGTAAAAATTTTTTCCACAACACAAAATTGCAACATGGTAAACAATTTTCAACATAATTTTAATTTTCTGTTTTCAAAATGAAGCTTTACAACTCCTTATTTCAGAACAGAAGGGAAGTTTGTTATAGTTTTTATCATGTAAGATGCATTTAAATCACAAGTTCTGGAAACGTTTGACATTTTTTTAAAAAAGAATTTTTCACTCTTCCACAACTCCCTGTTCGAGAAAAGCCCAGCAATATCAGTTAACATTAGGAAGCTGCTATTTTATTTCTATTGATTTTTCTTTCCTTTGATGTCCCTTGGTTTGTCTTTAATTATACATATAAGGTTCTTCTAGAAGTCTTAGGAATCATCAAAGAAACAGTATATTACTTTCTGTATTGCTCTTCACTGTGTTCTATTTTTTAAAAAAATTATCCAGTCAATAGTTGATGGACATTTGGATTGTTTCCTGTTTTTTGCTATTATGAATAAAGCTGTTATAAACGTGTGTACGTAGACAGATGAGGATGGCAATGGGTGGGTAGAAAAGATGGTGTACTCCCCAGGTAGGGAGAAATGTAGAAATAACGCATGGAATCAGGCAGATTCAAGGTGTGATTCAGGACAAAGATAGACCAACTTAGTTAGTCTTGTTTTGGGGAATGTTGCTACATAACTAGTCAATGGGATCTCCTTCTTCTGGCCAGCTATTAGGTTGGTGCAAAAGTTATTGCGGTTTTTGCCATTAAAATATGGCAAAACTGCAATAATTTTTGCACCAACCTAATACTAAGGCCCTCTCTCATCCTCTTGGGGGATAGGAAGGCTGAGCAGGAAACATCAGTTTTTGTAAATTTTTTAGCACTTTTTTGACTTCTGAGAGGAAAAAAAAATCACAATAGGCTGATTTCTTATGTTGGATTCCCTGGTAAAGACTGAGAAATAACTGCATGCAGAAGGTTTCTAAGGAATTCTATAAGAGATAAACCTGGAAAGGAAGTAAGAAAGGCAGGAATGGGGAGAGAGAAAAGCTGATCCTCTTTCTAGTTGTAACTGTGGCCTCAGCTGATACTACAGGGAGTGTGGAAATTGAGATGGCCTCTTGGAGTTAACCTAAGTTAAGGAAAAGGGACTAGGCCTTAGTATCCCTTAATCAGCCCATCATTAGTAATGGGCTACAACTGAGGGCAATTCCCTGTGACAGACACATCTGCTGGAGGAACTCCTGTGTTGTCCCTAAAGCAGAGATCTAAGTGGGCCAATTTAGCTCAGTTTTTTATCCATATGGACACTAAAAAGGCAAGTATTTAGGAAAAATGTCATTTCCAGACATATGTTTTATTCTATAGGTGGTCACTCACCCTTTCAAAACCATCGAGCTACAGATGAAGAAGAAGGGGTTCAAAATGGAAGTGGGACAATACATTTTTGTCAAGTGCCCAAAGGTGTCCAAGCTGGAGTGGCACCCTTTTACACTGACATCCGCCCCTGAGGAAGACTTCTTTAGTATCCATATCCGCATCGTTGGGGACTGGACAGAGGGGCTGTTCAATGCTTGTGGCTGTGATAAGCAGGAGTTTCAAGATGCGTGGAAACTACCTAAGTGAGTAAAAAGTACATATTACCAACGTATATGAGTTCAGGAAAAATGGCACTAAATAGCTCCTCTTCCTCCATGTTTTACTAAGTCTCCAACAAAACACACAGGTTCTAAGAATATAGGTAGCTATTTCTGTGGTCACCGTTTCATATGTGTAGTGTGTTTATGCATATTTTCATAAATCTTATGTGAAATATGAAAACCTTGAATCAAATATTAGAAATAAATACTCCCAAATTCCTTTAAATATGTAAGGGTCAAGGCCAAGTTATATTAACTTTCCTAACAAATATAATTGTAGTGTATCAAAAATATTCTTAAATTTTCATTGGCATAATTTATTTGAGGTTAAATGCCATATATTAGCCCCTTTGCCTCCTTTTCCCTGCATGCCTAACATGCTATAAGGCACTTAGTAGGTGCTAAAGAAAGGTTTGAGAGTTTGTTGAATAACTCAATGAATAGATAAATGAAAAGTGGAGACATTAAATCTACAAGATGTAATGATGCAGCAAATCCTCACTTCAGGGTGCACCGTATGCAAGAATTTCAAGAGTGGGATGTCCTGGCAAGACATAGGGTGTGTGTGGAGGGGGCGTTGTTGTGTGTGAAGAGGGGTGGGGAGATTAAAAAAAAAAAAAACTTGTTCTGAGTTACCGAATGTTTTTGGTTAGCCAAATATTTCTCTTTTTACTTCCAAACCCAACGTTGGCACTAAGTTTGGTTACTTGAAAGCTATTTCATAGAAGGAAGCACCCAATAGATACATTATTCCAATTTGAATTAACATGTTGCACATCCCCAATAATTATGGGTGCCCCATCTCACTCTGAAGAGCAAGACATCTCTGTAACTATCTCCTCCCCATTTCCCTTCAGGATAGCGGTTGATGGGCCCTTTGGCACTGCCAGTGAAGATGTGTTCAGCTATGAGGTGGTGATGTTAGTGGGAGCAGGGATTGGGGTCACACCCTTCGCATCCATTCTCAAGTCAGTCTGGTACAAATATTGCAATAACGCCACCAATCTGAAGCTCAAAAAGGTAAGTCCTTTCATTTATCGGAGGGCCTTAGAGCAGTAACCATACTCTGCCATGTGAGGCCTGAGAGTGCTTTCAGGGCTAAGGTTGGCAGAGACCATGGGAAGTGAAGAAAAGCTTCCGGTGGTTCCAGAGAGACAGGCTTTTCTTCAAAAGAATATTTGTTAAATCTAATGTGCTTCTAGATAAGTAGGCCTATTAGTGAAGGGAATATATTGTATTTGTATAGTGTTGCTGGAAATTCAGAAGAAAGAAAGTTGGGAAAGTATTCACAGCCCCAACTTAATAGCTGTAATTTTTGTATATTCTCTTCTAATATTTTCCATGTTTACATATTTTTAGAAGGTTGTAAATATTAAGTATGTATAATTTCATGTCCTGCTTTTAAAAAAACATTATAGAAAGTGTTTTTCAATGTCTTCACAGGCTTTATAATGATGACTTTAAATGATCTCTTCATGTTCTATTGAGAGGATATTGAATAATTTTTCTTTCATCTTGTGTTAGATACTGAGATTGATTCAATTTCCAGCCGCGCCCCACCCCCTCCACTCACCCAATACTTTTTTTGCAAAGGGAGGAGAGGAGACCTGAAACTCTACTTATGAATATCTCCTCAGGATCAATTCACAGGAGATTTTTTGGTTACCTATAAATTTGGTTTTATTGTGTAATAAAGGGCATCCTAAATAAACCTCAGGCCATTCTAATAACTGTAAAGATAAACTCTAATAGGGACATTAAGCCTACCTTGACTTTTCATTCTCCCTGTACCTCTTTTCCATGTGGAGGAGATGTGCATAGAACCTTATTTTTCCCCTCGGAACTCATGAATGTCTGGCAGTAGCAGCCAGGGAAGAATTTCTGTGGCAATCCCTGCTAGTCTAGATTCCATCAGGCTTTCTGAGAAGAGGTTCGAAGGAAGCCAGAGATTCTGGGAGAGTAAGAGCAGACTCAGAGGGAAATTTGGTGGGCTAATAGTTTTTTCTTAAGTTGTGTATTTCTGAGGTCAAGTTACTTATTTACTGCCCTGCTAGAGTGAAGGCCAGAGCAGGTTCATGTAAACTACCCTGTGAAATGTCCAGAGCCTTCTGAAAATCTATGTTTCTAGGCATTCTGAGCATCAAGAAAAAGTTTAGGTGACAGAAAGTGGAATTCCACATGGTAATGCTGATAGGGCCTGCCAAATATAATCTGCTTCATGATCCACCCCATTTTCAGATCTACTTCTACTGGCTGTGCCGGGACACACATGCCTTTGAGTGGTTTGCAGATCTGCTGCAACTGCTGGAGAGCCAGATGCAGGAAAGGAACAATGCCGGCTTCCTCAGCTACAACATCTACCTCACTGGCTGGGATGAGTCTCAGGTAAGGACAAGACTCCAAGGCTCAGGTCCTTCCCATAGTGTACAGGGCTTACGAACTTCCCCTTGGTTATTGGTGTGTCTTGTGTACTATTTTTTCTAAGTATGTTTAGTGGATTTGGTGATCCGGTCCATTCACTCTCATTTAGTATCGCCACATTATATTTAGACTGCTCAGATTAGAATCAAAGCCAAGGAGCCTGTGAGGGAATAAAAGCCATCACTTTGACATTATTAGAGCAATTCTCCCACCAGGCACTCTGAAACCAGGTGATTGAGATGATGCACAGGGTTATTTTGGGGAAAATTTAGCTTTCTCTTTCTCTCTGTCTCTCTCTCTGTCTCTCTGTCTCTCTCTCTCTGTCTCTGTGTGTGTGTGTGTGTGTGTGTAAAACAGACACTCCCCAACTTAATAATGGTTCAACTTATGATTTTTCAACTTTACAATGAAGTGAAAGCAATATGCATTCAGTAGAAGCCATACTTCAGTACAAGCCATACTTCAGTACTGTATTCAATAAATTACATGTGGTCTTAAACCTTTTATTATAAATAGGGTTCATGTTAGATGATTTTGTGCAATTGTAGGCTAATATAAGTGTTCTGAGCACATTTAAGGTAGTCTAGACTAAACTAACTATGATGTTTATTAAGTTAGATGTATTAAACCCATTTTAGACTTATGGTATTTTCAATTTAGTGATGGTTTTATCAGGATATAACACCATTGTAAGCTGAGGAGCATCTGTTTATATAACATACATAAGCATATAAAGGATTCTGTATATATATATTTTAATATGTATTTATATATGTATCATATATATTTATATGTACTATGTATATATGTATTTATAAAATCATTTAATTTATATGCTTTTGTATGTTTTATAATATACTCACTACATTTATAATTATTATGCATATATATTGCCAGGTATTATTCTTATGTATCTAGTCACATAGATTGTCTAATTTTATCATGTCACCAACCCTATGAAGTAGCTCTTATTATTTTCCACACTTTACAGATGAAAAAACTCAGACCAGGTTAGGTCATTTTCCTAAGAGCACCCAACAAGTAAGTGACAGAGACAGAATGTGCCAGAGCCTGTCCTTTCAGCATCTTGCAGTAGTTCATGATTATCATTTATAAATAAATTACTATATATCTAATGAATGTGATATATATGCATGTATGTGTGTGTGTATGTGTGTGTACAATGAGAGTGCTCTTTCAAAAATGTTTGGAGACCACTATAATAAAGTAGCCAATAGTTCTCAACTGGGACAATTTTGCTCTGCTCCTCCCCAAGACACACACCAGAGACAGTTGGCAATGTAAATATCCTACAATTAAAAAGACAGCCCCCCACAACAAAGAATTATACAGTCCCAAATATCAACAGTGCTGAAATTGACAAACCCTGAAACAAGGTAATGATTCCTGGAGTGGTAACATCTTTGTAAGTAAGCAAACGTTAATGACTTGGCCTGGAAGCAGCATAAGCTATCACCATGAGTGAGGAGCTAAGGCAAGAGTCTCTGCATATTTCTGTCCAGTGTCTCAGCTGGTGTCTTAGTCCATTTGTGCTGCTATAACAAAACACCCAAGACTGGGTAGTTTGTAAAGAACAGAAATTTATTTTCTCAAAGTTCTGGAGGCTGGCAAGTCCAAGATCAAGACACCAACAGGTTTGGTTGTCTAGCAAAGGCTGCATCTTCTGGGTGGGAGAAATACTGTGTTTTCACATGGTGGAAAGAAAAAGGGAAGGCTCGTCAAATACTGTGTGATGACTCTTTTCCAAAGCCCTTAACTCATTCATAAGGGATGATCCTTCATGTCTTAATCACCTTTTTAAGGCTCCACTTCTTAATGCTATCACATAGGCAACATCTGAATTTTGGAGAGGATACATTCAAACTGTAGCAACTGGGCATACATAGACATTGACTCCACAACCCTGGGAATCTTCCATGTGCACCCTGTCACTGTGAAGACTGAATTCCCATTTGGGTTTCAACATATTGTTTATCACAGATTCTCCAAGTCTTAAAGGAATCTTGTAGCAAATATAGATTAGGGAAACATAACGATAAGAATTGTTGCTCCATAAAAAGTGGTTTCAAAATGCCAGTTCTGCAATTTAAAAACAAAACAAAAATGCTTTGATAAAAATAAAACTCAGGAAAAAAATCTATAGTATATAAATTGCTTTACTGTTCTGTTATTTTAAAAGCCATGCACAGGTTTCTTTTTTAAATCAGTTATTTATTTGTATTGAAAAAGTAATTATTTTGCTTTGCAAAACTGATATCTATAGAATTATTAAATTGGAGTGCCCACCTTTCTTAACCTCCTCTATGACCATCATCCATCTAGTGAATTTCAAATCTGATTTGCTTTTTAAAAATAAATTTAATTAACCACTTTTATGAAAAATACCTGTTGCTCAAACTGAAGCCTCCTAGAATGGTAGCAGAAAAACAGTATGTGACTATATACACATATGTGCGTGCACACACACACATACACACACACTAGCTTTAGGCTTGATTTGATGTCTTATGCTACCAAAGTATTGCTGCATTTTAGTCTAAAATTGTTACATCTCTTAGTAATTCTCCCAAAGGAGTGGAAGTATATTAGGGTGGAGAGAAAAAGTCAAACATAGAGCAGAGAGAAAAACAGTGAGACACTATTCATCCATCAATGCCTGACTCAAATACTGCGGCCCTAACCCTTCCCCTATTCTTCCACTTCACCTTCCTTCTTTGTTCTCATTAGGACGCTTGTGCCTCCTTCATGACACACATCATACCCTGTTCGACATATGGGATTATTTATATTTATACTTCGAAGTCTCCCTTTCTAGACTGTAAATTGCTTGAGAGAGATCCAGTTTATTTATCTTTGTTTACCTTTCAGCATCCAGCAGGGTGCCTTGGTTAGAATAGCTTGTGAAGGATGTAAATACATTGTATGTGCTTTTACAGAATGTCTCTTTTTTTTCTGAATTCATGTCCTTTCCTGTAGGCCAATCACTTTGCTGTGCACCATGATGAGGAGAAAGATGTGATCACAGGCCTGAAACAAAAGACTTTGTATGGACGGCCCAACTGGGATAATGAATTCAAGACAATTGCAAGTCAACACCCTAAGTAAGGAGTCTGTCACCAAGATGTTTTTGAGGCTTGCATCTGCCTAAAGCGGCAGCCCCTATACATATCTAAACTTATATATTTTAGAAACTCAAATATGTATATTACTATATAAAGATTGAATTCATGCCCAACAGAAGATTCCAGATATCTTCAACTTTAAGAAGGATCTTTAAATTATACCAAATTACCTGGAGATTAATTAAAAACAAGTATTTCCAGGTCCCCATCTCAGATTTTCTCAACCTGCCTGTCCCAAGTAGGGCCACAGCTTAGTTCTTTTCTTTAGTCACCTAAATTTCATTAGTGTATCTACTTCTTTTAAAGATTCAATATAATTTATACATATTGTTAAGAAGACACTGTCCCCACTTTCAGTTCTAAAAGCTTCTGGGTCTAAAATCTTAAGTTGACAGATGTCTCAAGGTGCTTTCTGCTCTCACTAAAACTTTAGTCATTATAAAACCTTGAGGGGGATCCCTTATCTTGCTAGAACACCTAAGAAACTCAAGAGATCACCATACGTGTACCCTTCAGACTATTGCTTTTTGCACTGTAAGGAGCATACAAAGTGCCTGGGGATCTCTTTAAAATGCAGATACCAATTTAGAAGATTTGAGGTAGGGCCAGGTAATCTGCATTTTTTAAAAAGCTGACGCCAAGGCTACTGATCAGAAACCACACTTTGAACAGGGCTTCAGACTCTAAAATTTAGAGAAATGAAGCCACACTGAGTGGTTGGCATAGTTAGCTTGTTCCTAATTTCAAGATGCCAGGGGGCACAGAGCCCTGAAGGAAAGTAGCCCACGGACTCATGAATTCACCACCATTTTCTCTGTGATAGAAGTTTCCAAAAACCTTGGTTGGATTTTACTTTTGCCAGGGAAGTCAACTACCTTTTGAACTATCCAGATGCTCACACAAACAGGCTGAACCACACTCCCTCTGAGCAATATGATCCCTTTGCTATTTGTGGAAAAGAAAAAGGAGCAGAGGGGACTCTGCCCTGGGGCCTCAAATTAACGGGAAATTCACCTACCTGCTTTGTAGACATCTCATCCCAAAGCTTGAAATTGTCTTTTTTTTTCTTTCCCAAAAGTACCAGAATAGGAGTTTTCCTCTGTGGACCTGAAGCCTTGGCTGAAACCCTGAGTAAACAAAGCATCTCCAACTCTGAGTCTGGCCCTCGGGGAGTGCATTTCATTTTCAACAAGGAAAACTTCTAACTTGTCTCTTCCATGAGGAAATAAATGTGGGTTGTGCTGCCAAATGCTCAAATAATGCTAATTGATAATATAAATACCCCCTGCTTAAAAATGGACAAAAAGAAACTATAATGTAATGGTTTTCCCTTAAAGGAATGTCAAAGATTGTTTGATAGTGATAAGTTACATTTATGTGGAGCTCTATGGTTTTGAGAGCACTTTTACAAACATTATTTCATTTTTTTCCTCTCAGTAATGTCAGTGGAAGTTAGGGAAAAGATTCTTGGACTCAATTTTAGAATCAAAAGGGAAAGGATCAAAAGGTTCAGTAACTTCCCTAAGATTATGAAACTGTGACCAGATCTAGCCCATCTTACTCCAGGTTTGATACTCTTTCCACAATACTGAGCTGCCTCAGAATCCTCAAAATCAGTTTTTATATTCCCCAAAAGAAGAAGGAAACCAAGGAGTAGCTATATATTTCTACTTTGTGTCATTTTTGCCATCATTATTATCATACTGAAGGAAATTTTCCAGATCATTAGGACATAATACATGTTGAGAGTGTCTCAACACTTATTAGTGACAGTATTGACATCTGAGCATACTCCAGTTTACTAATACAGCAGGGTAACTGGGCCAGATGTTCTTTCTACAGAAGAATATTGGATTGATTGGAGTTAATGTAATACTCATCATTTACCACTGTGCTTGGCAGAGAGCGGATACTCAAGTAAGTTTTGTTAAATGAATGAATGAATTTAGAACCACACAATGCCAAGATAGAATTAATTTAAAGCCTTAAACAAAATTTATCTAAAGAAATAACTTCTATTACTGTCATAGACCAAAGGAATCTGATTCTCCCTAGGGTCAAGAACAGGCTAAGGATACTAACCAATAGGATTGCCTGAAGGGTTCTGCACATTCTTATTTGAAGCATGAAAAAAGAGGGTTGGAGGTGGAGAATTAACCTCCTGCCATGACTCTGGCTCATCTAGTCCTGCTCCTTGTGCTATAAAATAAATGCAGACTAATTTCCTGCCCAAAGTGGTCTTCTCCAGCTAGCCCTTATGAATATTGAACTTAGGAATTGTGACAAATATGTATCTGATATGGTCATTTGTTTTAAATAACACCCACCCCTTATTTTCCGTAAATACACACACAAAATGGATCGCATCTGTGTGACTAATGGTTTATTTGTATTATATCATCATCATCATCCTAAAATTAACAACCCAGAAACAAAAATCTCTATACAGAGATCAAATTCACACTCAATAGTATGTTCTGAATATATGTTCAAGAGAGAGTCTCTAAATCACTGTTAGTGTGGCCAAGAGCAGGGTTTTCTTTTTGTTCTTAGAACTGCTCCCATTTCTGGGAACTAAAACCAGTTTTATTTGCCCCACCCCTTGGAGCCACAAATGTTTAGAACTCTTCAACTTCGGTAATGAGGAAGAAGGAGAAAGAGCTGGGGGAAGGGCAGAAGACTGGTTTAGGAGGAAAAGGAAATAAGGAGAAAAGAGAATGGGAGAGTGAGAGAAAATAAAAAAGGCAAAAGGGAGAGAGAGGGGAAGGGGGTCTCATATTGGTCATTCCCTGCCCCAGATTTCTTAAAGTTTGATATGTATAGAATATAATTGAAGGAGGTATACACATATTGATGTTGTTTTGATTATCTATGGTATTGAATCTTTTAAAATCTGGTCACAAATTTTGATGCTGAGGGGGATTATTCAAGGGACTAGGATGAACTAAATAAGAACTCAGTTGTTCTTTGTCATACTACTATTCCTTTCGTCTCCCAGAATCCTCAGGGCACTGAGGGTAGGTCTGACAAATAAGGCCTGCTGTGCGAATATAGCCTTTCTGAAATGTACCAGGATGGTTTCTGCTTAGAGACACTTAGGTCCAGCCTGTTCACACTGCACCTCAGGTATCAATTCATCTATTCAACAGATATTTATTGTGTTATTACTATGAGTCAGGCTCTGTTTATTGTTTCAATTCTTTACACCAAAGTATGAACTGGAGAGGGTACCTCAGTTATAAGGAGTCTGAGAATATTGGCCCTTTCTAACCTATGTGCATAATTAAAACCAGCTTCATTTG
Organism: Homo sapiens; assembly: GCF_000001405.40. Taxonomy (NCBI): domain Eukaryota; kingdom Metazoa; phylum Chordata; class Mammalia; order Primates; family Hominidae; genus Homo; species Homo sapiens. Next base: position 37,813,015 of record NC_000023.11, read on the forward strand.
TTGCTCCGAGAGTGTTTCTCCAAGGTTTTCTATCTTCAAAACCAACTAAGTTATGAAAGTAGAGAGATCTGCCCTGTGTTATCCAGTTATGAGATAAAAAATGAATATAAGAGTGCTTGTCATTATAAAAGTTTCCTTTTTTATTCTCTCAAGCCACCAGCTGCCAGCCACCAGCAGCCAGCTGCCAGCCTAGCTTTTTTTTTTTTTTTTTTTTTTTAGCACTTAGTATTTAGCATTTATTAACAGGTACTCTAAGAATGATGAAGCATTGTTTTTAATCTTAAGACTATGAAGGTTTTTCTTAGTTCTTCTGCTTTTGCAATTGTGTTTGTGAAATTTGAATACTTGCAGGCTTTGTATGTGAATAATTCTAGCGGGGGACCTGGGAGATAATTCCTACGGGGAATTCTTAAAACTGTGCTCAACTATTAAAATGAATGAGCTTTCTTTGTGTCTGTGTTACTGATCTTTGTATTAAAGGGTAAATTCAGCTAGTAACAATTTTCTCTACCCCGGTGGGGTTGAGACACTCTGTGTTTCTGTATATGATATGCCAAACACTTCATGGTTTATGGATTGGGAAGTGAAAGCTGAAGACTAAGTTCTGTGCTGAATACTGTTGATCCTCACAACACTAATATAAGGGACAGGGAGGGCAACTTAATGTCATAGACAGAATTTCAGAAACGAAGAAGCCCCAGTGTGACATCTTTGTTCCACGTCTACTGAACTTTCATGTTCTAACTTCACAATTGAGTATCATCAATTGTGGGCAATATGGGCAATTGTGGGCAATTGTGAGCAATTGTGGGCATATATGCTCATGCTTCTGTGATAGCCCTTGTTCTAAATGAGTCAACCGGTTACGATCTCCACTATTTAGGAAATGCATAGGGGTGTGGGCATGACATGTTCCTGTGGGAGTCAACAGGTGCTGCCATGGAGGGAAAGGACATTACCTAAAATAAATGGCAGTAATAGAAATAGCCAACATTTGGTAAACACCTCCTACTATGCCGAACATTTTACATACACTTTATTTAATCCCTCAGCAACACTACAAGGTAGCCGTTTTATCCTAATTTTGTTGATAAGAAAACAGTCTGAACGAAGATGAATGAGAAGGAAAAGTACCCATAACTATTGGGTGACTATGTCAACATTCAATCCACATCTTTCTGGGGACAAACTCCATGTCCTTTATACTACACTAGCAGATTACACTAGGTATAAAAAATTAAGGATATTTTCTTTCTCTCTCTCTCTCTCTCCTTTTTGTTTGAGACGGAGTTTTGCTCTTGTTGCCCAGGCTGGAGTGCAATGGCACGACCTCAGCTCACCGCAACCTCTGCCACCCGGGTTCAAGCGATTATCCTGCCTCAGCCTCCTGAGTAGTTGGGATTACAGGCATGCGCTACCGCGCCTGGCTAATTTTGTATTTTTAGTAGAGACGGGGTTTCTCCATGTTGGTCAGGCTGGTCTCAAACTCCCAACCTCAGGTGATCCACCGGCCTCAGCCTCCCAAAGTGCTGCGATTACAGGCATGAGTCACCGCACCCGGCCAAAAACTAAGGATATTTTCAAAGCAATTATGCTAGGTACAAATTATGTACCAAGAATAGCTGGGTAACAGTGGTAACATAAATCTCTAGTTTATACCATTTAAGTAGCTTGGTATCTTAGTTTAGAAACACTGGTTAATCTGATTCATGCTCATTTTTACTTTTAAATTATGATAAAATAGAACCTATCAAAAAATGGAATTATTTTGCTTGGAGAAAAGAAGGCTGTAGGGTGACTCAATAATATTTATTAAGTCTACTTTTTCATTTATATTTATTTTATTTATAAACAATTTCTGTCTTTCAGAGAATGGCCAGCTGTTGTCTATAGTTTTGTGTGTGTGTGTGTGTGTGTGTGTGTGTGTGTGTGTGTCTGTGTGTAATAAGATTGCATGAGGAAGGAGCTAAATTTCTCAACCATAAATTCAGTTGGGCAAAAAACAAAGTGTTGACAGAGGCTAGGAAATCTGACCACTAGAGATTTTTAAAACCTGGAAAAATGATCAACCAAGTGGCCTGAGATTCATTTAAACTTGTAGCCTTTATTATCTTGTTGTAGTGGTTGGGGAATGAGGTAGTCTAAGTAATTGGATATTCCAGTTAATACTTATTGCTAATAGATTCATAATTTTCAAGGAAGTGGGATGCTATAAATTATAAGAAGAAACTAAATCCTGAAATACACTTCTTCTTGGATTTAAAAAATACTAGGAAATGTTGTACATGAGCAGAGGCCACTGTGAGCTTATTTTCTAGATTTTACTCTGAAGAACTAATGACATGAAGACTGTGCTTATCTGACTTTTGAAAATAGCCCGAAGTATTTTCTTCCTACTTCATAGAGGACTGCTCCAAAGACAGCAAACTTGATTTATATAAGAAATAAAGTCCAAAAGATCTTCATAAATCTTAAAATTACATTCGATTATAAAGAAATCACCAAGTTTAGCATTATGTTAGATCCCTTGATTGCTAAATATCACTTCCTCTTTTCAGTAATAATAAAATCACTAACCTACTTATGCTCATAGAAAACACTAAACATCACTTTTTCTGATCAGATGAGGGCAAGTCAGGGCATAAGGAATGAAAACGACTTCGTTATTTCCAAGAGATTCTAGGGCAATTCTTAGAAATCTTTATGTCGATTGATAAGAAAAAAAAATTATGCTACCTAAACATCTCTTGGGAATAGCAAATGTGCTTGCATTGGCTGAAAACCATCAGGGAACACTATTAACATGGGAGTTATTCCAGACCAAGCTATTGGAGATCAGCACAGCTATCTGATTATCCTGTTTTCCAGGTGGGGGCTCTGCATAACTCGCGGCTAAAATATCACACTCACATCTATGTTATCAACTTCCTGCTGCATTCCTTACCCAGTGCTTATTCCGCTGGGACAAACATGCCTATGGCTTTACTGAGATCGAAGGCAACAGCAAGCTTGACCATGCCCAACTCACAAAGAAAGTCAGATGCAAAACAGCCTTTAAGAACATGAGTTTTTGCCCTTCCTTTATAGAAAATAATCACAAAACTTTCCTTTCCTTTTGGTAAATATAAAAATGCATTTTGAGAAATTCATTTCCTCTTTGAGATATTGTTTATCAAATGGTGAGGGGATGGGAATCGGGGGAAAATGTAAAACAAATGAATGGTAACCATATTAATAGAAAAAACAAGATAAGGAATATAATGAATAGTGTGTTTTTTATTGTTTTTTTTTAAACAGTAATGCTTGAATTGATTGCAAATTGGCTCAGATTTCCGACTTCTCCCTGGATCCACATCCTCTGCAGTGTGACTTTGTAATTCCTTCCATCATGAGGAGTCCTTTTGCTCATCCCTTGAATCTGGGCTATTCTCATAACGAACTGACCAATAGAATGTGGCAAAAGTGACGTGTGAGTTCCAGAGTCTAGGTCTCAGGAAACCTAGTGTGCTTCTCTTCTCTCTTTTGCTTCTCTACCTTTTCCATACAGAATGCTCAGGCTAGCCCGCTCAAGGGTGCAACCTATGGGGCAGAGCAGAGTCAGCCTACTTAGTCCCAGCCCTAAGACCCCAGATATGTGAGAGAGAGCCCAAGACTAACAAAACTGCCCAGGCCATCCACAGATGACTGTAGATACATGTGTAAGTTCAGTTCACATCCTCAGAACCACCCAGATGTCCTGTAGATGCATGAGAAATGTTAAATGCTTGTTGTTTTAAGCCACTAACTTCAGAGTAGTTTGTTATATAACAAAACCGCTGATGCAAATGGCATCAAAAATTGTTGAAAGAGAGATGGGGGTTCAGGGTGAGAGCTGTAGGTGATTGTATCTGTGCTAATACCACATAGCCCTTTTTTGGGGATTGCCATGAATAATATATTAGCTTTGCTATGAGTAAAATACTATATCCTCTGAATTGTCATGAATTACGTGGAGTCATACGTGTTTTGGAAGTGTGAAAGTCCCTGGGCTCAGATAAAAGGTGTTGCCATCTGGAAAGTACAGGTAGTTTATTTCAATTCTGCTCCAATAACTAGCACGTCATTCCATTCATGTAGAAATAAGCTACTGGCTATCTCACTATCTGAAATAGAAGTATGAACTGTGGGTAAGTGGGTGAGGACAATGTCTGAGCAACCAAAAAGGAGCTCAAATCCACAAACGGTACATTAAACAGTGGCGAAGTCAGTCAGAAATTCACTCAGAGTTGTTGTGTACTTGCCATAACCAGCTTAGTCATGTTGGTCCCAAAGTCATAGTTGATGAGAAGTAGCAAGTTAAGAGAGAAAGACTTCTAGAGATAGGTACATACACAATGATAACAAGTGACATCAGAGAACCTAAGGAAGGGCAAAGAAAGAAACACTGCAAAGCAGACTCAAACACTTAAAAGCATAGCAGCTTGGGGCCAGTTAGTGTAAGAGAAAAGGAGCTCCATATGCCTCAATAGAACCTAAGAGCATCATTGTACTGCATTTATTCATTCATTCACTTCACATGTTTATTCAACAAATGCTATGTATACTGAGATTTTTCTCTGGTCATTGTACTGGCTAGAACCTAAAGGAGTGAGACTATTAATTAGAGTTTACAATCTGGCAATGATATTAACAGTCTATTCACAAAAGGGTTAACTCAAGTTAAGCCGGCCTAAATGTTTATGCAAAATAGGATTTTTGCCTAAGTCTAAAGGGTATCAGAAAAGTGTAGCCATTGAGAATGACTCATTTCATGGTGTTCTCGGATGGCTTAAGTATTATTAATATGTCTCCATTTCTAGTGCAGGAACCTCCACGTTTTAGAGGAAAGGAGGAAAGAATTTGTGAAGACTGTGCCTAAAAAAGGTAGAAATTTGTTTACAATTTATTTAAAGATAAAAGTAAAGAACTAGGTTGCTTTAAAAAAGGGAGGGAAAGAAAATCAAAATACATCTTATTTGAGGCATTAAAACTTTTTTAAGAAAATAAAATTTAAAATAAAGTTGTATTCTTCTAAAAATAATTTTTTAAACCAGCTGAAAATGAAAAATGCAGATTATACTAAGAAGCAACTGTTTTACATTCTGCTTTCTGAATGGTATTTAAAAACTCAGTTATTTTCAGAAATGAGGAAGTCTTGATCTGCTAGATGAAGGTCGGCTGCAGGTGGTGTTTATTGCTTTATGATGGCAACAAACCGTAAACCCATCACTCAGTAAATATTAAACTGGCTGAATGAATCCAAAGCATGTCTAACATACAGGAAAAACACAGCCCTGTTAAGCAGTCTTGAAACCCACAAGCTACATGGAAAACACAGATTCAACTACATCATAAAAATTCAGACAATTCTGGTTCAGGATGAAGAATTGATCCTAAGCAATTTTCTTTCTCTCTCTCTCTCTGAAGACTCTTAAATGGCATTTTAAAAATAATAATGGGGCCAGGCGCAGTGGCTCACGCCTGTAATCCCAACACTTTGGGAGGCCGAGGTGGGATCACGAGGTCAGGAGTTGAAGACCAGCCTGACCAACATGGTGAAACTCCGTCTCTACCCAAAATACAAAAATTCCCGGGCATGTGGCTCACGCCTGTAATCCCAGCTACTCAGGAGGCTGGGGCAGGAGAATCGCTTGAACCCGGGAGGTGGAGGTTGCAGTGAGCCGATATCGCACCACTGCACTCCAGCCTGGGTGACAGAGTGAGACTCCGTCTCAAATAATAATAATAATAATAATAATAATAATTAGCATGTCTTTTAATTAGCATGTTATTATTATTATGGTTGCCAGGTGCAGTGGCTCACACCTGCAATCCCAGCACTTTGGGAGACTGAGACAGGTGTATCACCTGAGGCCAGGAGTTCAAGACCAACCTGGCCAACATGGTGAAACACCATCTCTACTAAAAATACAAAAATTAGGTGGGCATGGTGGTGGGCAAATGTAATCTCAGCTACTCAGGAGGCTCAGGCAGGAGTAATCTCTTGAACCCGGGAGGCGGAGGTTGCAGTGAGCCGAGATCGTGCCACTGCACTCCAGCCTGGGTGACGGAGTGAGACTCGGTCTCAAAAAATAAAAAATAAAATAAAAATAATAATGATATAACCTGTGTAAAGAGAACAGAAGAGGACTATCGAGAAATAAAAATTTTTACCATGTTCCTAGAAGCTGGATAATTGATAGAGAAGTGGTAAATTATGAATTAATTTGAAAGAAATAAAACTTAGAAGTATTTGAGGAAGGGACAAGGCTCAGGAAGATGCCTATCTCCCTGAAGAATTCCAGAGAAATTAGAGGCATGGAAATACCAGATACAAAGAAGGGGAAGAGTGAAACATGGAAATGAAGAGTCAAGTCTGTCATCCAACTGACGGAAGTTTCAGAAAGAGAGTATAGAAATAGCACGTGAGAGAAAAGTGTCAGAAATTATAAGATACTTTATCTGAGCTAAATAATACAAGTCATCATACGGATAGAGTCCACAGAGTAGCCATCACATTGAAAATAATTTCTTATGTCTAGACATATTATTACAAAATTTCAGAACATCGAGGTTCAAGTAAATTTGCAACAGCTTCCAGAAAGGAAATATTAAAGCAAAACAAAACAAATCAAGACACAGCTAACCCATAAAGTAGCAAGAATCAAACTTGTTTCAGCAACACTGGAAACTAGAAGTCTATGGACCAAGCCCTATGGACCAGGGACCACATCTGAGAGAGAAAAAGGATATGCCATCTGTTTATGTACATATGTCCATGGGAAGTTTCATAGAAACTCAGAGTTCTGCTGGAAATGATATTCAACCTAGAAGTCTTTTTTTTTTTTTTTTTTTTTTTTTAGATGGAGTCTCGCCCTTTTGCCCAGGCTGGAGTGCAATGTGCAATCTCGGCTCACTGCAACCTCCACTTCCCAGGTTCAAACGATTCTCCTGCCTCAGCCTCCCGAGTAGCTGGGATTACAGGTGCCCGCCATCATGCCCAGCTAATTTTTGTGTTTTTAGTAGAGACGGGTTTCACCATGTTGGTCAGGCTGGTCTCAAACTCCTGACCTCATGATCTGCCCACCTTGGCCTCCCGGAGTGCTGAGATTACAGGTGTGAGCCACCGTGCCCAGCCTCAACCTAGAATACTATACTTGGCTAGCTTAGCCTAGGCACTCTGCTAAAAAGCAAAGTTCCAGGCAGGGATTAAAATACTTATATTTTGCTTGGGAGGTATAAGCCTAAGGTGGTGAGCATGAGAAACCCAGTAAGTGAGGCATGGGAAGATGTGAAGCATCACCGCACAGCCACCAATTCACAATGAGCCCCAAAGAACCATACTCAGCATGTGTGTGTGCTCAGTACAAGGGTGTACCCTTCCTATCTGTTTTTCATTGGTCAAGATTAACTCCATGATACAATACACACTCTCACCCCCCACCCATATACATTTCTAGGTTACATCATCCAGCCTCAGTGACAGGTCAGGAACTAGACCTTACACTTTGCATTGGGACATTACATCCAAATCGGGAAGAAGAGGGGCAACCCCACACAGATGGGGCTCTGACCATAGAGGGAAAGAAGGTACACTAAAATTAACCTTACCTAAAATTGCATCATTCTTGAGAAGTCATTGAGGTTGTATTTCTGAAAACCAAGGAAGTAATCTAAAATGAATGAAGAAATAAGACCTAAAAAGCAATGGCTTTACCCCAGGAGAGCAAAGAATGTTCTATGATTATGGCTGGACAGTTGGCTCTGAGAACAACTATTTCAGACAGAAGCAGGGGACAATGCTCCAACAAGATCTACAGGAACAGCTTGAGCATATGGTGAAAGCATTTGGTGGGAGTTTTAAAAAAGAATCTATTCAAACATCACTCTAGAAATATTCCCTTTGAGTGGTATAGTCATGATATTAAATTCGTAGAGAAAGAAAAATACTCCTAGCACACCACTCAGGTCAATGTTGAAAAGATGTCTTTCATAATAATGTAAATGTGTATTGATTTTCTAATTTTAAAATTAATTAACAGACAAATTACAGAAGACTTAGACTATTACAAAATAGAATGTAAAGTTATCAACCATGACAATATAAAAGCACAATGGAATGGGTGGAATATTGACCACACCTGAGGGAGAAAAAGGATATGTCATCTGTTTATGTAGATATGACAACAGGAAGTTTCATAGAAATAATTTCACATGCCCAGATGTGTCACAGAAGTAGCTGAAAGACACTGGATCTGATAGGGAAAATGGACAGATTACACTATGTCCAAGGGCCCCACCCAACCCTGTTGACTTATATAAGATTCTGGAACCATTACTCAAATTCCATGGGTGACAGTAAGTCTATAATCCTAAAAAGACTGGGATTAGTTTTCCTGCTACATGATAGAAGGTGCTTAAAAGAGAATTACACTTTGTTAGAGAAAAATAGAGTCATACATCGTGCACACCTCAGTTTGGAGACAGCTTTACAACTACTCTAGATGTGTGCAGTTATTTAATGTAACATTGAAAACATTCTAATTGTTCATCAATAAGAATTTCTAGTACAATGTATGTTCACTGCAGCACCGTTTACAATAGCAAAGACTTGGAACCAACCCAAATGCCCATCAATGACAGACTGGATAAAGAAAATGTGGCACATATGCACCATGGAATACTCTGCAGTCATAAAAAAAAATGAGTTCATGTCCTTTGCAGGGACATGGATGAACCTGGAAGCCATCATTCTCAGCAAACTAACACAGGAACAGAAAACCAAACACCGCATGTTCTCACTCGTAAGTAGGAGTTGAACAATGAGAACACATGGGCACAGGGAAGGGAACATCACACACCGGGGCCTGTCAAGGGGAGGAAGAGCATTAAGACAAATACCTAATGCATGCGGGGCTTAATACCTAGATGACAAGTTGATAGGTGCAGCAAACCACCATAGCACATGTATACCTACGTAACAAACCTGCACTTTCTGCACATGTATCCCAGAATTTAAAGTAAAATTTTAAAAAAAGAAGTTATAGTGTATCCACACACTGGAACACATGTTAAATAGTCATATAGTTAGATCTATATGTGTGACTCTATTCATGTTACAAAACAACACTCTACGTTTATGTGTGTGTGCATGCATGGGGGAATGGGGGCATACATGCACACGCATGTGTTTGGGTGCATATCAAAGGTCTGGAAAGACACACATCAAAGTATTAATATGATAATCTGGGGAAATAAGAGGAATTTGCGTTATGTGAAAGGGAATTTTTATTTTTACTTTATATTATGTATGCTTTGTTGTTTCTGAGGATATTTTAATTCAGATTATGCATGATCTGATTTGTGCACATATATTGTTTATAAGATGTTAGCCTCTTCTAAATTTTGATAAGAAATTCATTTCCAGGCCACTCATGTCATCCCTGTTTCAAAAACCCTTGAAGGCTTCCTGCTGCTTCAAGAAAGAGACTTAACTCCTTAATGTGGCTTAAAAGAGATTTCATGATTTGGCTTGTGTTTACTCCTTTTGCTTTACTTCTTCATTTCTTGATAGTATACCTACTGTCAAGGGGGCAATCTCAAAGCTCTTCCAACCTGTCACAGCATTATGTGCAAAGTCCATAAACTTTAGTTGATACTGAGACGTTTCCATCATTTCTACTGTCAAGCCAGTCAATTCTCAGTTAACAGCAAACAACAGACTACTAGCATTATGTTTTCCATCTTTCCCTCCAAATCTACACATTCAATAGGCACATGATTTTCTTCCCAAGTGACTATAGGCAACATTTATAACAAATGCTTTGCCTCTGCTTAACAGGGATCTTCATCTTTTCAGTCTTCAATATGTTTCCTTAACACCCACCAACCTACCACTCTGTCAAAGTCACTCATTTTAGATTTTGTTATAGTATGCCCTAGCCACTGTATCAATTTCTGTTTTACTTAGTCAGCACCTGGTTCTGCTGAAGTAACAACCCCCAAAATCTCAATGGCTTAAAGCAACTAGAGCTTATTTATTGCTACATTATGTGATCATTGCATGTTGACTGGGGCCAACATTTTTCTTTCTTATGGACCCAAGCTAAGATGGACTCTATCTTCTTGCTTCTACAATGTGCCTGGAACTTTACATACTTCATCTTGTTTAATCTTCACAACAATTATTATCTGTGCTTTCTAGGAGAGAAAACTGAGTCATGGAGATATTAAGCAATTTTCCCAATGTCATGCATCTAAGAAACAAATCAGTTAGGACTTGAATCTGGACAACGTGTTTCCCCCTAAGCTTACCCTATACCTTCGTAAGATATTTATGAAGAGTCATGGTAAATGAATGGAGATAATAAAATTGACTGGGATGGGAAGAAGGGGTAGGGGTTTATCTCAAAAACTGATCTTGGAAGAGAATGATAATTTCAAACTTAAATTTTAATTAGTGACAGTATATAAAAGCAAAATTATGTTATGATGTTAAACAAACAGCTAAAAATTGGGTGAGAATAACATGTCTCTATTTTAGTAATTCCATTTACTCAGCAAAATGCTTATGGCACGATTCTTTAATTTAGTGCAGTACAGCTTGTATGTCTAGGGCCACTGTGAGTCCTGGAGTGCCTGGGATTATCTGCGTAGATTGGACATGAAGGTTTAATGGCCATGAAACAGGCAGTATTGCTTGACGCCCTAGGATTTGTATGGGAGAGCTGAGGTAGACGCTCAACCCCCGGCAGCATTCTAGGTGGAAAAGAACCACTATAAAAGGAAAAAGCTGGGGTCCTCTCACAGACTTTGCTCCGGAAGCTGAACAGAGTGTGGTGGAGAGGAGCTTTTTGAATGCAGCACTGAGTAGTGTGTCCCTTTGTCCCCTGATGCAGGATGAGAGTTCAGGTGTCTGTTAACTAGTTGAGCTCCAGGAAACTGGGAACTGAGAACAGACTATAGAGGACCATCATGTTTTGAGGTCATGTGGAATTGTCTCTAACACTTGAGGACCATTTCCCAATCCAGCAAGTATCTGACATGGCAGAAAAGCACAGCAATGTCAGTGAGTCTGTGAGGCAAGTAACACCTGTAGCGACAGCTACAGCCAGAAGGGATGCCATCCACCTCATTAGTGTAGGACACAGATGATCACTCTCTCCTCCTTGCAAAACTTTCTTCACCTGGCTTTCAGGACCACACACACACTATTCTAGTTTTCTTTTTTACCTCACTGCCTGTCCCCAAGTCTTTCTTGTCCCGGTAAATAGAAACTCCATTTGCTTAGGCCAAATATTTAGCCTACCCCTGACTCTTCTTTCTCATACTTACCACATACAATTCATTATTAAATCCTGTCAACTTTCCCTTCAAGCCATTTCCAGAATATGATCCCTTCTCCCACACTTCTTACTATAGCCACAGTGACCATGTCAATCCTCTGCTCAAAACTGTCAGAGCTGCATCATCTCACAGATATGGTCCTACAAGATCAGATTTCTTGTCACCTATTTGATCTTATTTCCCATCATTCTCTCCATTTCTCACTGAGCTCCAGCTACACTGGCCACCTTGCTGCCCCTCACACATACTGAAACTAGTGCCACCTTAAGATCTTTACATTTGTGCCCCTCCCCAACTTCCTGGAATATGTGGCTTGCTCTCTCACCTCCTTCAGGTCACAGCTGAAATGCCATCTTTATTAGAGAAATATGCTCTGACAGTACCATCTAAAATAGCAGCCCTGCCACCATCCCCTCCTTGAATAACTCCCAATCTCCCTCTCCTATTTCTTATTATTACCTCTCTATAGCACTTATTGCCATCTGAACATATTTGTTTATTGTCTGCCTTTTCACTAGAATGTAAGCTGTAGGACAGAAAAGTTTTATTTGTTTCCTGAGAGCCTGGGCTTGTTTTGGCACACAGTGAATACAAAGTAAATATTTACTGCATGAATTACTGACCTAACCCCATGTTGCGTTTGTAGAAAGAGACCAGCAAAGGAGAATGAGTCTTGGGAAGTTAGGCTAAAAGAGGCCTTGGAAAGGCCACTGAGGAATCCAAATGAGACACAGCTGAGAGACCTTAAAAAAACAGAAGGAATTGGAATTCCAGTGATTTCTCTGAAAAAGAGTTGCTACAAACCAGAGACTGCTGCTGTTTTTCAGGGGCCTAGGAAATGTGGTTCCAGCATGATGAGTTTAAAGTTTGACATATTTTAATCAGCTTAGCAAAGGCATTCGTTTTATAGAAAAAGCTGGATATATGTGACTATATATCTTGGGTAGGGGGTCAAAATGAGCAGAGAGCCATCATTTTGAATCTTAGGGAGAGCACAAACTTCGAGGCTTACATTCACAATACAATCAATGGCATCCTTCTGTCCCCTGGTGGCCACACAGCTAAACTGCATGAAGAGATAAAGTCTTTGAAGATAAAACAAAACAATAATTTCAAGGTAATATCTTTCAAAGCCTGTACCAACCATACATGTGTGTGCAGTGCATGTGTGTGTGTGTGTGTTTTAGCATAAAGATCTCCCAAGGTTTCTTTTTCATGAAACATGTCCGTGCTGCCTTACTCTGAGTTCAGCATTAAAGGGGACCAGTTGAATGGAAGACATTACCCTGACAGCTACCTTTTGCTGTAAAACACACCCCCCAGTCCAGACCACAAACAAGCTCCTTTCATAGCCATCTGCCAGGTGTGTTTGTAGAACTGATATCTGTTGAAGCTTGGAGGTTTGTATAGGCAACCTTAAAGTCTGGGATTCTACAACTTTATGATGATTCTTTCTCATTCTATCCCCTTCCAGTCTATGAGTCTGGGCATCCCAAATTTTCCCACTTCAGGCTTTCACTTGTTGGAAGCATCTACATCATCTTTGGATTCACTTCTATTTGTCCCATTTTAGTTCTGCAAAACCTTACAACAAGTATTCTTGAAGAAAAAATACCAGAATAGATCCTGCACAGATGAAAAGAATTAATTTAGCATTGTATATCTGTTACATGCAAGCTTGTATAGATTTAGGTATGTGTAACAGATATCTAAATGTCTGTTCAATTCTTGGTTTGGAGTTGCTAGTCCATGATATTAAAGGTGAAAAAGGTCCTGTTCATTTTATAGATGAATTAAGTGCAGTGAAATGCTTACTTCAAGATCACATAGCCAATTGGAGGTAGAGCCAGGACTAGAATGCAGGCCTTCTTACACCTTACCAAATGCTGCTGTTGGCAGCAAAGAGACAAAGCTATCAGCATCGACGAAGCTGACCCCAGTGAACAGTGCTCCCTGTGGTTTTAGATAGTTCAACAAACCTCGTTCAGCTCAGCAAACAAGAAACTAAACTTCATGACATCCTTAGTTTTGCTCTGTGCCTGGCTGCCTAGACCTACCAATCATGATTTCCAGGGGATTCCAACTCCATGATATCTCTTACATTCATCAATTTTCTTCCAACTTCCACAGAAATTGCTGTGGTTCAGACGAGTCATCTAGAAGAAACCCTGTTGCAAGTTCTATACAGCACACATGTGCCAACACACACACACAGAGACACACACACACACATGCTTGCATGTACACAAACACACACACACACACACACACACACTACCCATAAGTATATGTAAAGAGAACGGCGGGTATTATATCCCAAGCATGCCAAAAACAGTAGGCCCAGTGTGTATGACTGTTGTGCTTTTTTGGGGGGTAAGCTGTGATTCACAATGAATTCCATTTTAGAATGATAATTTTAAGGGCTGGCACAGGATCTCTTTAGCTATATATGTATACATTGTATATCTGTACATGAGAGAGCCACTTGCTATTTTTAAGAATATTGTTTTCTCGCTTCTTAAAACAAAGTATTATTTTTAAATTACAGAAGAAACACTATTTATTAAGATTTGAAAGGTATACATCCTATAACCCAGTAATCTCACTTCTAAAGTGGATACATGGACCCAAGGAAGTTTGTACAAAGATATTCATAGCAGCATTGTTTTGTAAGAGTGGAACAGTAGAAACTACCTAAATGTTCATCAATAGGAAAATGAATAAACTGTGTCCTATCCATACTGTAGATACAGTATGGCAGCTAAACTCAACAAGGTGAGTCTGTATATACTGACATGAAAAAAAATCCCCAAGGCATACTGTTCCATAAAAAGAGCAGTCTGCAGAATCATATATATTATTTACAATAAAAAATACATTCATTTATTCATGTAAATGTGCAGAAAAGCCTGGAATCTTATACATCAAAATGACAGTATATTTTACCTCATGGGAGTACATGGGAAGGTGGGGGACAAAGAGAAGACAAGATGAAGGGCAAGGGGCATTTTAGGCTTTTGTTATATCATGATGTTTTGGCTGAAAAACAATATCATGTATTGTGTAATTTAAATTAAGTACTAAAAATTAATATGTAATTGTTTAACTATTTCAAATCATATAATACATAAAATAAAAAGTGATATTTCATCTTTACTTTTCCATAATTTATTTATCCCTTCCCCTTTTGGTGGACACTTTAAAGTTGTTTTCATTTTTTAAATTTGTTATTACAAAGAAAATTCTTCTTTGCTTTTTTTCTTTTTCTCACTCATGTTATTATTTCTGTAGTATAGATCTCTAATACTCTGGTCATGGAACATAAGCACTTAAAAATTTGACAGATGCTGCCAAATTGCCCTCTAGAAAGACTACGCTAATGATTCATAGAACATTAGTTCTGTCCATGTAAACTCCCTAGTTTACATTACCAAGCTTGCTACAATAGCAGTTGCACCCAGACGTTCTGATGGGGCCTCAAGTCCAGATGATAGCTGGCTTCATTTCCTTCCCTTTGTCGGTTGACCATTGGTGGAAAAAGTGCAATGTCTGACCAGATGGCCCAATCAATAGAGGGAGCTGGGGTAGAGTGAGAGGGGCTACTAGAAGACTAAATCTGCAGGAGCTATGAAACGCCGACAAATTAATGACCCATGGGCTACATGTGACCCACAGACATGTTTCTTTTGGCCTGTATAATGTTGGGCTACAGAGTGTGTAAAAAAATATGACTCAGTGGTAAGCATTAAAGGAACAGTGCTTAATCCCCAACTTGTGATGTTTTCTTTCAGGTCGTTCTCTATGTACAGATTTATCAATTCATATAAAACCCCTGATATTTCTTTATTTCCTCACTCCTTCCATGAGAGGTAAAATGGCTCCTTTTTCCCTTTTTCTTTGTAGCTGGTTCACCAGCAGAGCACGTTTCTGCCTTCAACTGGGCAATAATTCAAATTCTGGAGTTTAACATTAGAAAGACTAGCTGCCCTGAGATAAGTTCCATTCTGGAACAGAAAGGTAATATTTTTATTTGAAGCTATCTTTATCTTTGTCTCCCAATTGATTCAGAATTAAACTAGGAAAGAGATGTACTATTGATTGGACCTCCTTAAACCCAAACACCATGTTCTAAAATATGGAAATTTTGAAATTGAGAGATTGTGCATCATAATTGATATTTCTGGATTTTTTGAAAAAACTGGAAGATTAACCCTGAGCCCTTGTTTCTAAATTGTGTGCTATCCAACTTATCACAGTCCTTACTATTCCCTATTATCTGATACCTAGAATGAGAGACCACTGACATTGAGCCTCATGTGATAATAAAATTGTAGTAGACAGAGTAATACACCCCCCACCATCACAAAGATGTCCACATTCTAATCCTCAGAACCTGTCAATATGTTCATGGCAAAAGGGATTTTGCAGGTGTGATTAAGTATAGGGACAATATCTGGGGTGGGCCCAATATAATCACGAGGTTCCTAATAAGGGAAATATGAAAACAAGAGGCTCAGAGTCAGAAATGATGGAAGCAGAGGTCAGAAAGGAACGGGATTTGAAGATACTACACTGCTACCTTTGAGGGTGCTAGAAGGAATCACTAGCCAAGGAATTTAAGTAGCCTCTAGAAAGTAGAAAAGGCAAGAAAAAGGATTCTCTCCTAGAAGCTCCAGAAAGGACACATCTCTGCTTATACCTTGATTTTAGATCAGTAAGACCATTTTGAACTTCTGGCTTCCAGAACTGTAAGTGAATAAATTTGTGTTGTTTTAGACCACCAAGTTTAAGTGGCAATCGGAAACCAATACAAAAGTTAAGGAGAAAGTCAAACACTTCTTATACTGGTACACCTATCACGAGAGGGAAAACAAATTAGATCAAGATGGCTATACATTTCAGTAATAATGTGAGAGAGTATTTCTTTGTTTTGTTTTGTTTTTAAGAGACAGTGTGTCACTCTGTCACCCAGGTTGCAGTGCAGTAGTGTCATTCACTCTAACTTCAAACTCCTGACTCAAGAAATCCTACTGCTTCAGCCTACCTAGTAGTTAGGACTACAGGTGCACACCACCACAGCCAGCTAACTTTTAAAATTTTTGTAGAAACCGTGTCTCACTATGTTGCCTAGACTGGTCTTGAGCTCCTGGCCCCAAGTGATCCTCAAGTCTCAGCCTCCCAAAGGGCTGGGATTACAGGCATGAGCTACCACTCCCAGCCTACATTGCTGATAGTTTAGCCAGCATCCAACACTCCCCTTACCTTTCATTAAAAGTACTCTGATTTTTGTTTAAGTATTTAATGCTCTCCCATATCTTTGATATACTTTAGGGAAAACTAATGCTTCTCTGGTCTAAATGTGATTCTATCCTTGCTACAATGAATCATTCAGGAGCCCAAATTTAAGAAAGTCAATGAATAGAATTTCCAGATTAAGAGATTGGCTCAATATTGGGTATGTGGCTTAATTTTGTTTTTTTTTCTTCCTGTATTCTTTCTAGCTAGTGACCTAATTTTTACCAGTGCAAGTCTGTGAAATTGTTTCCTGTTTCTGTATTACAAACAACCTCAAAACGTAATGGATTGGCAGAAGTCAATTGGAAGATTCTTTTGCTCCACATGGTGTAACAGAGTTACTAATGTGCCTGCATTTAGCTAGGAGTTTGGCAGGAGGTAGAAATTCCAAAGGTGGCTTTTTATTCTTTGGAGTCCATCTTCAGATGACTTCTCTTCATTCAGTAGTCTAACCTGAGCTTCTTTACGGTATGGTTAACAGATTCCAAGGAGGAGCATTCCAAGAGACAAGGATGCAAGAACACAAAGAGAAAAATACAATGTGTAAATAAACTTTTGCTTTTTCATCATATGTCTCATTGGCCAAAGCAAGTCATATGTCCAAGTTCAGAGTCAATGAAGAAAGTGACTACACAAGGGCATGAATACCAGGAGAAGAGATTTATTGCAGGCCACTATCCACCACAGGAATGCTTAGCAGAGGTTTAAGGGAAAGAAATTTTCTTATTTTTAACTATTCAAATATATTTTCTTTCTTCCTCTATTCAATATGGTATACGAATGGGAAGCCTGGATCTGCTTTAGCCATTTTTGCACAATGATGAAAATCAGGCTAAGGATAAAGTCAACTAACAGAGTAGGCTAGGCTAAGGATAAAGTCAACAAACAGTGGGACACAAATGAAGCAATCACAGAGAAACAGACCTTAGGCCACAGGATTAAGTCAACCTGAAATATGTTTTATTTCTGGACTTCCAAATAAGTTAATTAAAAGCATTCTAACTATACAGCAAGTGAATTCCATTACTGCATATTTAACATGCAAAAGATGTCTGTTGACAGAGTATAACTTAAAGTGCCATTATGAAACAAATCATAAGAACTATGATAGAAACATGGAAGTGTTTAATAATAAAAATAATAAACTAAAAAAAAAGAACTGAAATGTCAACAGTGTTTGCTTTGGAAAGCAAATTGGTGATGCTATTAGGAAGTACAGTTATTTATAAAGTAAAAAAAAAAAAATTGCTTGTGCAGGAAGCCCTTTTAGATACAGCATATATAGAGTTTGAGGTGGAGTCAGAAGGCCATTTAGAAGCCTCCATCTGGCCAGGCCTGATGACTCACACCTGTAATCCCAGCACTTTGGGGGACTGAGTGGGGCAGATCACTTGAGGTCAGGAGTTAGAGACCAGCCTGGCCAACGTGGTGAAACACTGTCTCTACTAAAAATACAAAAAATAGCCCAGCGTGGTGGTGCGTGCCTGTAATCCCCACTACTCAGGAGGCTGAGGCAGGAGAATTATTGCTTGAACCTAGGAGGCAGAGGTTGCAGTGAGCTGAGATCGTGCCACTGTACTCCAGCCTGGGCAACAGAGCGAGACTCCATCTCAAATAATAATAATAATAATAATAATAATAGTAATAATGGTGGCCAGGTGTGGTGGCTCACGCCTGTAATCCCAGCACTTTAGGAGGCCAAGGCAGGCGGATCACCTGAGGTCAGAAGTTCAAGACCAGCCTGGCCAACATGGTGAAACCTTGTCTCTACTAAAAATACAAAAATTAGCAGGGCATGGTGGCAGGTGCCTATAATCACAGCTACTTGGGAGGCTGAGGCCAAACACCGCATGTTCTCACTCATAAGTGGGAGTTGAACAATGAGAACATATGGGCACAGGGAGGGGAACATCACACACCGGGGCCTGTCGGGAGGTAGAGGGATAGGGTAGGGATAGCATTAGGAGAAATACCTAATGTAGATGACGGGTTGATGGGTGCAGCAAACCACAATGGCACATGTATACCTATGTAACAAACCTGCACATTCTGCACATGTATCCCAGAACTTAAAGTATAATAAAAAATAAAATAAATTTTTAAAAAAATCTCTGGACACATGTTTCTCTTCTGACATTATAGGCTCTGAAGTAAGAACCACAGTCGTCATACAAACCTGGGGAGTGTTGCGCAGGCATTTCCTTCCTACTCACGGCTGTGCCGTCAGTGCATTATTAATCAAAGCTTGTTCAATCAACACTCTCTCCTGCCAACCTGTTCAACACAATCTGACATTTGCTAAATGTGCTTCAAAGAAAAAAGAAGGAAAACACATGGCAAAATATATGAAAAATATTTAACTTCACTAGTAACAGTAGTAATCAGAGAAATGCAACTATAGCAAGATACCTATCAAATTGGCAACAATGAAAAAGTATAGCAATACCATTTTGGTAAATATATGGAGAAATAGTACCTTCTAGAGGGAATGTAAAATGATGCAACAACTTCAGAGGGTACTTTGGCATTACACTGCATTTAATAAAGAATGAGATAGCTATAGATGTTGATTTAGCAATATCTAGCTACGTACTCTAGAGAAATCCATATATGTGCACAAGAAGACTTGTCCAAAAATGACTAGTGCAGCATGGTCAATAGTAATAAGCAACATAAATGTCCCTCTGCAGGAGAATGGATGAATGGATGCACTGGAATATTATACCTCAGTTAAAATGAATGACATAGAGTATATGTATCAACATGACTAAATCTTTAAATTACAATGTGCAGTAAGAAAAACAAGTTGCAGAATAATATACAATGCATAGTAATACATAAAAATAATACTCTTTTTATGAAGTATGGCAACATACCAAACAATACCATACATTTTTTCTTGGTACCTACAAAATTGTAATAGTAAAAAAACATGCAAAGGAATGCTAAGCATCACATTGATGGCAGTGAACACCTCTGGAAAAGAGCAGCTAGAAATGAAAATTGGGGCATGAAGAGATCTTCATCCGGATCTGTAATGTTTATCTTATATTTTAGAAAGAGAAATTAATAAAAATAAATAGGGCAAAATGTTAACGTTTGGTGAAACTGGCTGGAGGATTGTTTTTAAAAAAGAACAAAACAAAACCTCGAGGAGTAATCTGGCCTAGAAACTCCTTCTAGGATTGACAGTGATAAATTGATCCACGTTCCTCAAATGGTGGATAGTTGAAAACTGAATTTGAAAACGTGCTTTCTGATTATTTTAGATACATCATACTCTATCACCAATGATAGAGTGAATAAAGAGCAACAGATAAAATCCATGAAATGCAGTGTTGAAAATTAAAGATGATGACAGCAAGCAATCAGAATGCTAGAAATGCCTCAGAAGAAGTTATCCTGGGCCATTTCGCAAATTTTTATTCATGTTTGGAAGTAACTACATTTGTGAACAGCTGTTTCTTCAGGACAAAACTAAGAACTGAATAGAACTATGTAATGCTCCCAGTTAAAGAAATCTAGGCTAAATTCTTTACTGCACATCACAAAGAGAAATAAAAGACCTTGACATTGACATCTTGGGCCTGAAGAAAAATGTTGTTAGACTCACATGAAAGGATTAGAACATTACAAAAGCAAAACTAAAATTTTCCTGTTTCTATTGGTTTTTAAATTTCAAATTTAAAACATAATTTCCAGTGTTGTACAAATTATTAATACTGACATCAAAGCTTAAAAAATAAAGCTCAATTCTATTCACAGCAGCTGATTTTTCTAATACCGTATATGTTACCTACCTGCTCTCTGATGGCACACCCTTCCCCCTGCAATATGGCTTGGCTGTTCTGGCATCTCACTTTATCTTTCATTATGTCTCTACCCAGGGTTGTATCAAGGAGGGTAGTCAGAATGGTCCTCCCTGGGTATAAGCAATAAGAGGGTGCATTGTCCTTTAAATTTAAAGGAAATTTAAAGACAATAATAAAACTAACCAAAAGTTGATCTGCTTTTAAAATGTTTTTTGTATGAAATTATCTTTATCTCACCTTCATTTTTAATTGAAATCTGTATTGATAAATAGACTTTATGAAATTGTAAGAAATAATAGGGAGAGATCCTATGTATTCGTTTCCCAGTTCCTCCAGTGGTTAACATTTTGCAAAACTGGAGCACAATGTCACAGCCAGGATATTGGCATTGATAAGATTTGATTTTAGTCAGATTTCCCAGTTTTACTTGTACTCATTTGTGTGTGTATTTAGTTCTACACAATTTTATGACATCTAGGTTTGTGTATCCACCACCACAGCCAAGATACTGAACAGGTCCAGCAAAAGGATTCCTTGTGTTGCCCTTTTATAACCATACCGAATTCTCTCCTGCCTCCTGATGGAGGAGGTTCCTCTCCCTTCACCATCTCTGTCCTCTGACTTCCACTAATCTGTTCTCCATTTTTTAACTATTGTTTAAAAATTTTTATATAGATTAAATCATACAGTATGCATTCTTCTGAGATTGGCTTTTTTTTTTTTTTTTGAGACAAGTTCTCACTCTATCTTTCAGACTAGAGTGCAGTGTCATGATCACAGCTCACTGCAGCCTGGACCTCCTGGTCTCAGGCGATCCTCCTGCCTCAGCCTTCGAAGTAGGTGAGGCACAGGTTCACACCACCACACTGGCCACTTTTTTAATTTATTTTTTTGGTAGAGATGGGGTTCTGCTTATGATGCGCAGGCTGGTCTCAAACTCCTGGGTTCAAGTGATCCTCCTGCCTTGGCCTCCCAAAGTGCTGGAATTACAGGCCTGAGTTGCTGCACCCAGCTGAGATTGGCTTTTCTACTTAGTATAATTCCCCAGAGATTTATGCTATTTTTTTTTTTTTTTTTTTTTTGCACGTATCAGTAGGTTTTTGTTTTTGTTTTGTAATATTCTATGTATGTACCACAGTTTGTTAAGCCATTCACCCAATGAAGGATATCTGAGTGGTTTCTAGATTATTGCTATTACTTATAAAGCTGTTATGAACACTCATGTCTAGGTTACTGATCTGATTTTTTATCACCTGGAAATTCTGTCATTTACTGGAGTAGACTATTCCCATCAACCTGTTTCCTGCCTAGTACATCATGCTCTCTGCCACAATTGCTGCTGATACCATTATCAGTACTGCTGCTGGTGTTAGTAGTATTGAAGCTTGGACAGTCTTCCCTGGATTGGAGAGTGGTAGAGAGACGAGAGGGCATCTGTAGCCGCAGCTCTGACATTAAGAAAACGTGGGCTAATCCTTAACCAGACCCAAGTGTTTCTGCTTCTCTCTTCATCTGCCCTCTTCTCCGCCTGTTAACTAATACTCTGCTTATTTTCTAATCCAAAATTCAGAGGGAACTAGTTTGCTTGGCTTAGCTAATGTGCCAGCCGCCTTATGGGCTTAAAATCCGTCTATGGATGAATCATCACTGGGTCAGGTGCTCATGCCTAATGCAATATGTACTCACTCCTAAATACAGCATCTATTTCCCCAAGCTGAAGGGCAGGATTATTTGATCTGTGGGCTATGCAATTTCTGCTAACAGGAGGTATTGAGTAGGCCATGACTGCAATGTCCAGCAAGCATGGAAAATTCTCTAGGTAAACTAGAAGCCCATCTTAATCATAAAGTAAGCCAAAAATAATAAAACACCCACAAAGTGTTGAATTTTTATAATAATGTTCTTCAAAAAATATGGTTGTAAAATAAACCCCAAGATAAGAAGATAAAAAATAATCTGTAATCCAGTGAAAAGTTAGGTGATGCGCATCAGAAAGGAATAATCTAGTTTTGGAAAAACTGATTTATAGCCCTTCTTTCTTATAATAAAGAGATCACAAGTTTGGTTTACTGATAAGGTTCCTCTGAGTCCAACATGATAAAATCATAATAGGTAAATGTGTTTTGTGTTCGATTGTTTATAACAATTAAAACAAAGGCCCAAATCATTAAGGTATAATTTTTAAAGTGACCACACAATATATCTTACTCTAATGTAGGGGTTGGTAAACTCTAACCAGCCTGCTACCTATTTTTATATGTAAAGTTTTATTGGAATACAGTCATACCCATCCATTTACTTGTCGACAGCTGCTTTTACACTACAGTGACATACTTGAGTAGTTGCAAAAGCAAAGCCTCGAATATTTACTAGCTGGCCCTTTACAAAAGAAGTTTGCTTTGTTTAATTACCAATAACCCATTATACCAATCCTGATCATTTTTGGTGGTATTCTGTATGAGCATTAGCTGCAAAAGCCCATGTTAATTCATGCAACTTAACCCATATCAAATTCCTAGCCTACAAAATTAGAGGTTATAGAAGGGTCAGTACATGCCACAATCTAATCATTTTCAAAGAGATTTTCTCCATAAGGCCTTATAAGAAATAAAAATAAATTGACAGAATTTTCATTAAATAATACTTCCTCATATAAAACTCTGCCCTGAGAAATCTAGATTGAAATATCTCAAGTTAAAGCTGGTTGTTATGGTCTAAATGTTTGTGGCTCACCCAAAGTCATGTCGAAACCTAAATACCAATGTGATGGTGTTGGGAGGTGGGGCCTTTGGTAGGTGATTAAGTTATGAGTATGGAACCCTCATGATTGGGATTAGTGCCCTTACAAGAGAGACTCCAGAGAGCTGCCTTGCTCCTTCCACCTTGTGAGGACACAGCTAGAAGCTGTCGTCTATGAAGGGGAAGCAGGCTCTCAATAGACACTGAATCTGTCAGTGCCTTGATCTTGGACTTCTCAACCTCCAGAACTGTGAGAAATAAATTCCTATTGTTTATAAGCCACCCAGTTTATGGTATTTTGTTATAGAAGCCCAAACAGACTAAGACAATGGCATTCATGAAAAATGTATCTAAAATGATAAAGCATTCAATAAAATTAAAAGGTATGCATTTGCCATAAAGTTGAATATTTATTACTAGATAAGCCCAGGCATCAAATTCCCTGACCTAGTTGGGGGTAGCTGTGAAGGAACTTTCTGATATGGTTCTCATCTTTTAAGGATCCCAGAATAGGGGTGGTTGCCCACATTTTGTCTCCCATAGGGTCAATATATATCATACTAGCAGTCCTGCAAGTGTCTGTACAGGATACTAGCTTTAATCTTGAGCTCCTCAGAAGACATTTGGGGAAAGGATATTCTTCATGAAGCAATAGGGGCCATTTCTATCTAGACCTGAATTGTCAATACATCATATATATCCAAGAATGCTGTGGAATGATATTCAGTGGGACCACAGGGAGAATTACAGTTTGCAACTAGACAAAGTGGGCTAGAGTCTCCTAAACTACTGATGTTAAGGCATATTGATGATAGTCATCTAAATCTTGTAAGAGATGAATGTTTGAGATCTTTTCGGCCGGGCAGGGTGGCTCGCGCTTGTAATCCCAGCATTTTGAGAGGCCGAGGTGGGTGGATCACTTGAGGTCAGGAGTTCGAGACCATCCTGGCCAACATGGCAAAACCCCATCTCTACTAAAAATATAAAAATTAGCCAGGCGTTATGGCGTGTGCCTGTAGTTCCAGGTACTCGGGAGGCTGAGGCAGAAGAATCACTTGAACCTGGGAGGCAGAGGTTGCAGTGAGCCGAAATTGCATCACTGCACTCCAGCCTGGGCGACAGAGCAAGACTCCACCTACAAAAATAAAAAAATAAAAAAATTTCATAAATATACAAAGGTTAACTTTAGAGAATTACTTGACATTAAATCCTCTTTAACCACAAATATAGCTCCACCTTCTAGGTTATAAAACAAATGCCCCTTGGGTAGATTCTAGCACATGAGGTGAAATTTATTTACCTCTTAATCTTTTTTTTTTTTTTTTTTTTTTTTGAGATGGAGTCTGGCTCTGTCACCCAGGCTGGAGTGCAGTGGCACGATCTTGGCCCACTGCAACCTCCACCTCCAGTTTCAAGCGATTCTCCTGCCTCCGCCTGCCGAGTAGCTTGGACTACAGGCATGCACGACCACGCCAAGGTAATTTTTGTATTTTTAGTAGAGACAGGGTTTTGCCATGTAGGCCAAGCTGGTCTCAAACTTCTGGCCTCAGGTGATCCATCCACCTCAGTCTCCCAAAGTGCTGGGATTATAGGCATGAGCCACCATGCCCGGCCTTAATCTTTGCTTTGGTATCTGCTGTAAGAATGACTTCTGCCACAAAAAGTCACACACTTTTTCTCCCACTTTTTAAAAAAACTGTTATCAAAAATAGGCAACTATTTTTACTTAAACTTTGAAAATATAATCCTGGACGTCTTAAGATTAAAGAATGTGATGATGAAAGCAGGTAACACTCAACTTGGAAAGAAGAGCAGAAAAGTACTTTCACTAGAGAAATCGTAATGAGAGGTTGCCATCATTTAGGCAGCATGTGGGTACTTTACAAACATAAAATTAGAGCGTTACAAAAATCCTTTGAATTCCCTAATTTTACAAACTTAAAGTCCTTAATTAAAAACAACAACACAATTGCAAGTTGACAAATAAGACAAAATCCCTTGCAAAAAATAATCATTAAAAACTAGTAGTTACAGAATATATTTTTACACTGATTTTTGAA
Source organism: Homo sapiens (assembly GCF_000001405.40). Taxonomy (NCBI): domain Eukaryota; kingdom Metazoa; phylum Chordata; class Mammalia; order Primates; family Hominidae; genus Homo; species Homo sapiens. The sequence goes on from NC_000023.11 coordinate 37,838,285, forward strand.
AATGAAATTTTGTGTTAAAATCATAAAATAAAAAGCATAAAATAGAAGCTATTAATTATGTTGTAATGGTAAATACTGGATTTGGGCTGCTATTTTAATGGTATTTATTCTGCATAATATGCATAATATATCTATGTGGTCCCATATTCATTTATCCTATTTAGAATTGCTTTCTTTTTTCTTTTTTTTTTTTTTTGAGACGGCATCTTGTTTTGTTGCCCAGGTTGGAGTGCAGTGGCACGATCTCGGCTCACTGCGATCTCCGCCTCCCGGGTTCAAGCAATTCTCCTGCCTCAGCCTCCTGAGTAGCTGGGATTAGAGATGTGTGCCACCACGCCTGGCTAATTTTTGTATTTTTAAGAGAGATGCGGTCTCACCGTGTTGGCCAAGCTTGTCTCAAACTCCTGACCTCAAATGATCCACCTGCCTCCCAAAGTGCTGGGATTACACAGGTGTGAGCCACCACCCCCAGCATTTCTTCTATTTAGAATTTCTAAGAGCAAGCAGAATGTCATTTCTCTAACTATTAAATGATTATCCAGAAGCAAAAGTACAGCACAGGAAGATAATATTTATTATATTTTAACTAGAAACAGAGCAGATAGCAAGTTCACCAGGTAAAAATTTTTTTTCTTAAATTATGCTTAAACAACAATAATAAAAAACAAGTCTGCATGTATATTTTGGTCACTATTATGATCTTCCAGGGCACAAAAGCCAGCAGCATAAAGAAACATGAATAATGACTGAGAATTTTTGATGTGCCAAAAACAAAGATCACTGCATTAAACTCCTTTATTTTGTTAATATTATTCTTAAACATTGAACAATTATTAATTATTGTTATTTGGCAAAATATCAAACATGCACATAGTATTCCTACAAGAATATTGCCTTAATATTGTCAATATTAACGCTAAGCTTATTCCTCTCCAAAATTCAATGAGTTATGGTTCCGCTCTCTATATGTATTAGTGTTAGTGGTAATATGCAAAACTGATTTTGTTTTCAGGGTTAAGTAGCAGATTGACTTCGCATTTGGTGGCCAGCTGTGTACCCTAATTTTTCATCTATTTTCTTAATAAATTTAATTACATTTCATAAGCCCTGAGATAACGTGCTAAGGATTGTATACTTTTAATCTATACTTTATTCCACTCAATTTGAACCCCACATAATAAGTCTTTTAAGTTATTTACAGATGGTTGTAACTAAAGCAATGACAAAATTTACTACTTGTATAGGTAAGACTGATAATAAGGCCTTTAACTAAGAGTTGCATATTTTATATGCACTTTTAACTTGCTAGGAGCAACTCTTAAAATTACATCTATAATTCTGTCAGAAAGCAATAAGTGCTTTTCATTTTGCTTACTTCCATATGTGTAACCAGATTCACTTTTTTCCTCCCTTGTAAAACAACTACTTTCTTTTCCTTCCCCAAATATTAATACGTCTTCCAACTGAACAATTGCTAAAAGGAACTTAGCATTTGCACAGCACATTGACAACTATGGTGCTTAGCAGAGACATATGCCCATAATAGGCATCTGATAAATGTTTGTTCCACATGGAATGAGTGAATTGTAAGGCAGCTGTTTGAGTCATACACTGTTCATCATATACTGCAACTAATTTTATTTAACTAGGAAATTCAGTTTACCAGATTTAATTTACCCTCAAGTGTAAATCCAAAAATTTGAAATTAAAAAAAATTGATTTACTAATCCTCAGAAAAAGTAAACAAGTTAATCATAGTTGTTACTATACTATTAGTTGATAGAAAATTAAAAAAATTATTACTTTCCACTAAATATTAAGTACAACTGAGGGGAAGAAAGTTTAAAAAAACTTAAAAATGTTAGCTAATTCTCATCATTTTCTCCACATTTATCCTTGCAGCTTTTTTGTTCATATATTTATTCCTGTTAACTTCTCTAGCTGAAAGAGAATTTTATTATCTGAATGGAGTTCCCCATCACCTTAGGTACAAAATATTAGTGAAAAGCTGGTGTAAATATAAGATTGTATTTTCATGTCATGCCATATTTCTAAATTTATTTTTTGCTAGCATTAAATTTTTCCTATTTAAACGATGCTGTATAGAATATGAGCTAATCTGCCAATTACTATGATATTGCTTGCTTATAATATTCAGTTTTTGTTGATAGCTTTAAAGCATATTGCACGCTTTTCATCTAGCACACTAGTAAACAACTATTACTCTTTTTGGAAAGGATACACTGACAAATTCTTAAGTTAATGGCTTTAGCCCAACATTTTTAGTCAGTTAAAGAACAATAGCAATGGCAAAAACGTTGACAATACAGTTCATGGTCCGGTTCTCCCATCTTACGGTACAGGTTCCTGAAACACAAAAAAAGGATTTTGAAATACCAGCAAAACATAAAAATTATCAGAGAATATATATATATATATACACACACACACACACACACACACATATACACACACACACACACACACACACACACACACACACACATATATATATATATATATACACATACATTTTTCACATGTTTTAATATCTTATTTCCTTCAACCTGTTAAGTTTTCACATTTCATATCGGTCTGAAGGTATACTTGTTACTAGGTACAAAGCAATACTGTTGATAGTCTTTTCAGAATTTAATCAGAATTAAATAAGTACTTGGTTAAAAAGTGCAGTTTGACTTTGCTAAAAGTTGGATTTTGTGTAAATCAGCTTAAGATCTCTTACCATCAGATGTGGTATCCCAAAAACAGGAGCTGGCTGTGTGAAAGCCATATGCGCTCTTCTGGACCACTGCACAGGTCACTGCAAATAAAGTCACAGAATGAGGGCACTTACAGACAAAGGAAAAGAGAACCAAGGTCAAAGTGTGTGAGTTCAGAGCTCTACAAGCCGAAAACAAGACAAAAAACAAACAAACAAACAAAAAACAGAAAACAAAGCGTTCAGCAAATAGATTGAAAAAAAAATAAAAGACTCTCATCTTTATCTACCATCATGATTTTGACCCCACTGGATTCAGTTGGTTTTCTGACCATTGTCATTACCATTGGTGATTGTATTGCAGGAAAAATATCAGTCAAATTCTGTGCTTTGTACCATGGGCAGAATTCAGACACAGAAATGCAGGAAATACTCCACTTTATAAACAGTTGCTGTGTGGAATTACAGGTAAAGAGGCATGGGACTACCGAAAGAAACACAGTTGAGCTAAGGGGGGGTCTCAGTGGAAAGAAAGAACTGATGGAAATGCAAAGGGTGATGCTACCAAAGAAAAGTAGCTCAAACTGCCTTTGAGTAGTGAAAGATCTTCATCTTTTAAGTATTATTATAGATTATCTTTGAATGAGTAAATCAGAAGTCCTTTATACCCTTTTAGTATCCAACTTAAATGTCTATTGTACATATACCTTCTCAAAATTCAGAGAAAATCACAATGACAAAAGCAAGTGAACTAGTGAGGAAGGATACTGATACTTACCAATATATTTATAGGCTTTTCCCAACTTAACCAGGTGTGTTAAGGATTGTTCCACTATGCTTGCAGTCCACTGGTTGATGTTGTTGTGATTATAATCTTCACCACCTAAAACCCCATCTACACACTAAAAGGGCACAGAGGGCAGTTAATTTAGTCAGTAAAATTGTTCAAAAAGAACAATTTTTACACAAATTGCAGTAAAAATTTATTCAAAACATAAAATATACTTATAGCTCAATAAGGCATCTTAGAAAATATACACTTGGTAAACATTGATTATGCACTGTCTCTAATTGCTTAAGAGTTTTGAAAGAGTTTCCACTTGCATTATCTCACTCTATGAGATACTATGGGCCATATAAAGATAAATATGTCATGGCTTCTGTGTAAATAACTTAATCTAGCAGAGAAGCTAATAAAAAAATTCGAATATCTATAACACAAGGAAGACTAATGATAAATTATGTCATAAAAATTATGGTGGGGAAATTAAAAGGTGCTATCAATTGGTTAACAAGTAGCTTTGAAACAGCTGGGATTTGAACTAGGGCTCACATGCTAGAAACAGGATGGGACTAATTTAAAAACATAATTCTTATGTATACTAATTATATTCTCATTCATACTATGTGATTGTTTAGCTATGAAACAACAACTGATTATATTCTCATTCATACTATGTGATTGTTTAGCTATGAAACAACTAGCACACTTGCCACTGAAAGTAAATAAAGATGCTCTAGAAAGATAAAGTCAAATATCATAATTTCCCATAGTGCTTGATTTCATCCACTTCTGACACCTGATTAAAAGCACTGGCTCTAGTATCACAATCCTAGGTTTTAAGGCCTACTTTGACACCTATCTGCTATGTGACCTTTAGCAAGTGACTTAACCCCTTCAAATCCCTATTTTCCTAATCCTTATAGTAAGGATAACAGCATCATCTTATCAGGTTGTTGTTAGGATGAAATGAGACAATGAATACCAAGTGCTCAAACAGGACTAGCACAGAGTTAGCATATAAATAATGTTAACTACTATTATCATATTGCTGCTGTTATATTTTATATTTGAGTGATAAAGCCTGGATAATAAAGCACTCATTTAATTCATTTTTAGAATCTAACACACACATGCAGCTTCATTTACTATCATTAGACTCATTTAATTCATTTTTAGAATCTAGCTTAATAATACACACATACACACACATGCAGCTTTATTTACTATAATTAGACCACAGTAAAGATTTATGAAGGCACTAATACAAAATCTTAAGTTGGATAGTATAAAATCTTCACTAATGATAAAATATGAAAAGAGAAATGAAATATTTTAGCAAGGTTGACAAAAGTAATATGGCTCAAATTTTTCTCCTAGAAAGCTCAATAACATGACAAAGTAGGAAGGGTAGTGGCTTAAGGATCAGGGGAATAGAATTTTAATTCTGGCTTTACCATTCCTAAGCTGGTGACCTTTGGACAAACCTATTCCTCTCTTGAGATCACCTTTCCTTAAGGATAAAGTAAGAGCACTCATTTTTCTTTCAGGTTATTTAGTAGGACCACTCCAAGTTTTGCTCTAAACAGCAGAAAACACCATGGGGTGTGGGTGCCACTGTAAATAGCCCTGCTAATTACTATTAATTAACATCTAGCCTAATTAATTACATTAACATGGAGGCCCATGAGACAATGAGGTCCTTAAACAGCTCTGTATTCTCAGTGCTAAACTCAGGACCTGGGCACTTAGCAGGTATTCAACAAATGTTGTTGAAGCAATATTGGTTTTGATATACTCGCTGGGTATCTTAAATCAAATACACTTTAGACTAAATTCTAAGTCATTTGTAGCTCACTTTTTCTTCGACGATTTTTTGGGGAAGCAATTTCTATTACTAACACTAAAGAAAATGTATGCATATTACTGATAAATGGGTGTCTCTGAGTTCAGAAGGAAAAACATATTAGCATAGGGGCTCAGAGCAAGAAATCAAAGGAAAGAAAATAAGATCAATAAGAAAATAAGATCAGTAAGGAAATCAGAAATAACTGCTGAAATTATGTAATCATCTAGGAAGTGCTAAACTGTTTTAAAATGTTGCTCATTCTCAGGCATTTCCAATGTCTCAATGGAAATGTTTCAATGGCAGAAGAGGGTTGGTTCATGGGAAGAGGAAAGATAGACATTTAGCTGCAAGTAACCTGTAGCAAAGCTGAGTTTCTTTGCAGTCTCATATTTCATATAAAAATTCAAGAGAAGCTTGTTTTGACTACATAATGCATCAGAGTTTGTTTTTATTCAAAAATGTTTTCAGTTATATTATTTATATTACTTAACTCCCTCTCACAAATATTCAAGAAAAACTGATGTTCTAAAATGCATCCAGTGACTTCTAGCACCACCTAGCCACTGCCGAGTATGTATTTCCCAGTTGAAAAAGCATGATTCTTTTAATTTGATATAATATTAAAGTAACAGGCATATGGTTTGAAAAATCCAGTAGAACAGAAAAGCTTAGAATGAAGAGTTTCCTTCCCACCCTTTCCTTTCCCATCCCCAGTCCCATTCCCCAGAGGAAACTCATCAGTGTACAACTGTTTTTATTTCTTCCAAGGGTTACTTATGTATCTCCAAATAATGTTTATCTCACTATTTCCTGATTTATGAATTATAGGCAACATCCATGTAACTCCTACTATGATAGATGAAAATTTGGTTCCCTCAGACCACCCGCCCCCTTCTCTCAATATAGTGAAATCACGATTTTTTAACTTAAATATATTTACACTGTTAGAAACATGTTTCTTTTCCACTCTGGATGTTTTCTTCAACGCAGAGGATTGTTCTTTAACATTCCTGGCCTCTTGTCCTGTCAGTTATTCCTCCCCATGGAGGTGGAATGAGTTACCTGGTTGGTGGGTGATAACCATTGTTCTAACATCTCATTTGGGAGTCTCCCAAATGTGTTGAACTTGGGCTTTAGTTTCTCCTTCCCTCTCCACCCAAACCAATGAAAGGCACCAGCCTGAACAAGTGTTTCTCTCTGCTGACTCAAACTTTCTCTTGGATGACTCTTCCCAGGGCTGAACTGAATGGGAGTTAGCAAAACAAGGTACAATCATCAAACTGGTTTTTATCAATAATAAAGGTGGTATTTTGTTCTCTTTCTAATGGCTCTTTTTTCTTTTCATTTGGTTCAGAACTTAAGGAAGAAGGCACTATTTAAATGGAATCCCAAATAGCCCAGCATTCTTTCTTTTATGTTCCATCAACCAAGGACAGTCTTTCCTGACTTGCCACTTTGAAAACTAAGATCACTCCCTTCTCATTACCTCCACTCCCTCTTCCACCTCCCAGTTTCCCTCATTTGTGCTTTTACATTGTAAAGGTATTAAAAACCTTTGCTTTCTACTTTTAATAATTAAATACTCTCAGGCTACATAGATAGAATGCATAATTCTGAAGTATTCAAATATGGCAGGATTTTCAGGTGCCTGTCTATTCCTCTCAGACCTTGAGTTAATTCTAGCTGTGTAAGGCCAGACCTGGGTGTCAAAAAATACCTTTCCCACACTGTGGTCTGTATGTGATACCTCTAAAATAATGAACGGTCCCCTGCCAGAATTAATTCCCAAAGGTAATTTCTTTTCTATTTGCCTAAAAGGAGTTTCAAATATTTTTCTTAAAATTTTGATTCACTATCATATCAATGCTTAAAATATGTTAAATGATCATTTTTTCCAATTATATTGGGCAAAAAAGTGTACATGCCCAAAGGCAGATATTTCTAGGGCTTTTGTTATCTATTTTATACAATATACATATATATTATACATATACTTTACATTATAAAAGTTGACGTGTGTACATATATATGCGTACATATACTTTATAGCATTAACATTTAAAATAATGTTTGCTTTCTGGAATAAAAGTTATTTTATCCAAAAGACAGGGCATCAATTTTAAACCAGTTTTCTAGACTAAGAAAATCCTTAAGCATCTCTTTCAGAATAAGCCTCAAGATGCTGATAGCACACAACAAAATATAGAAGGACCCCTATAAAGAGTTAGTGGATAAATATTTAAAATCTTGTTCTTGGCCGGGTGTGGTGGTTCACGCCTGCAATCCCAGCACTTTGGGAGGCCAAGGCGGGTGGATCACCGGAGGTCAGGAATTCGAAACCAGCCTGACCAATAAGGTGAAACCCCGTCTCTACTAAAAATACAAAAATTGGATGGGTGTGGTGGCGGGCGCCTGTAGACCCAGCTACTCGGGAGGCTGAGACAGGAGAATTGCTTGAACCCAGGAGGTGGAGGTTGCAGTGAGCTGAGATCACACCACTGTTCTCCAGCATGGGTGACAGAGCGAGACTCCATCTCAAAAAACAATAAAATAAAATAAAACAAAACAAAATATTCTTCTTTTAACAGTAAGGTTTCTAAGTTTGTGCTGAAACTCAAAATATAGCTTTTAAAAATCTCCACCAGTGCAGCAAGCTTCAAGAGAAACAAAATGTATGACTCACCTCTTTGACAATATTGTGGGCTTCCTCAGCATTGAAGCCAACCTAAAGGGAAAACAAAAGGTAAAGCTGCTTTCAACACAGGCTTACAAGTATGACGCTACACAGAATATCCTAGGCTGGCCTAGACAGGTGTTAAAGTGTTAAAGGGCATCAGGTCTACAGAAGGGGCCAATCTTGCCCCTAAACACTTAAAAATACTGAATGCTTTCCCTACCTACCTCCCGTGAGGTCTGGGGCAGAGCCTGCAAGTCTACATTTTTTTTTAAAAAAGTGCTTTATACTGGTGATTCTAATGAACATCCTAGATTAAGAATCATTGTATTGTAAAACGTAGGAAATAAGCAAGAGGTGACTATGAGGATGTTATGTGTCATAAGAATATAGAAATGGTTTCAGCTAAGTGAGAGAATGAAGTGGTCCATATGAAGAGAATGCTTAGTAGACTATTTTCAATTTTGTTTTTAACTTATGCTAGGCAAAAATTTCTAGGCAAAAATTCCTTTCCCAAATTAAAGATTATGAAAATACTTGATAACTCAAGATTAATATCACTTTAGTACTATAAAGTGGTCTGACAACTTAGTCTTTTCTTTGGAGTCCCCATCAATAACAGGGAGATAACAACTGACATCATGGGTTTCTGGTGAGGGTTGGGAAAGCCTGAGTCAGTAAGCAAGGGCTCGTAATCCATAAAGCACCTCCTTGCCTAATCCTGGCAAGCATTACCGGGAGCGGGAATGGCAGTGCCACCAGGACCCCGAGACTCCGAGCCATGGGGGCTGCAGCACCCGCGCTGAGGAAGCCAAGGGACGGAGGCAGCAGCGGGAAGACCCGTTTTCGAGGCCCGCCCGGTAGGAGGGCGGCGCCCGTCACCCCATGCCCACTCCTCGCACCCAAGTCAGGCCTCGTCCTCCCAACCCTGCCCCGACCCCACCGTCTGATCCGCGCGCTCCTGGCCACCCCTCCCACCCCGAATCTCAGGACTTTGGGGTGGGGAGAACGGGTCGGGCGGGGCGGATCCCGGGCCCAGGGGAGAGGACCCGGGCTCGGAGGACGCCGCACCCCAACTCTTGGGACCGCCCTCGCTGGGAGACCACCCGGCAAGAGCCCCGCGCAGAGGAAGGCGGGAGTGGGGGGCGCTCCCAGGTAGCCAAGGGGCGGTACCTCGTCGCAGTGGCGATGGTACTCCTCCATGGTAGCGCCGGCTCTCCCTGGGGCGGAGCGACACGCCGGTAGAGCACCGCGGCCGCGCACTGGCCTCCGGGGAGGCCCCACCCCCGTTTATGGCCTAGGGCCTTTCCCTACGCAATCCCCGCCTTTGTGTCGCAGTGGCGTCACCTGGCAGCGCTGGGCGGGCTTCGGGCAACGCCAGGCGTCACTTCAGGCCACGCACTTTTTCCTCGCTTCCTCTGCCCTTTCTGGAAACAAGGGATGAATGTAAAGAACTGGGAATGGCGCCAGTGTGGATCAGATGGGGTGACCTAGTGGCAGTTAGTCTAGACTCCGCACTAGTGGTTGAGTGCCCACTGCTGTGATTACTTGCACGTATTTGTTCATTCACCATCATGTGGCACATAAATGTAGTTAATTTCGTGGTAAACCAGCCACTTTGATTTGTCCACTTACTAGCTATGTTACTTGGAAAAATTCACCTCCCACAGCTTCAGTTTTCTCATATGGAAACTTACCATCATACCTATTTCACTACTGGTTGTAAGGATCTGATGAGAAGCTGTATACACGGCTCCTAAAGTAGATGCTTCTCAACAAGAGAACAATGACTACATTTTAAAATAAATGTAGTAATTTTAAATTAGTAATTTTAAAATAAATGTAGTAATTTTAAATTAGTAATTTTAAAATAAATTACTAATTTCCAGATGATCCTAGACACTTCCTCAAAACCTCACAATAAGTCAGAGGAGTTAGTTCTTCCATCACTGCTTTTATCAAGATGAAACTGAGGTATAGAGAATTTAATTTGCCCAAGGTCATACAGCCAGTAGGGTGTAGAAAAGGGACTTGAGCTCAAGTAGTCTGATAGCAGAGCCCAAGCTCTTAACCACTGTATTACTTTCCTATTGCTACTGTAACAAATTACCGTAAATGTAGTGCCTTAAAGAAACACAGTCCTGTTCTCTTACAGTTCTGTTACCAGTGTAGGGTGTCCAGGTTCTTGGCTCTTTGAACAAAGAATTGGACAAAACGCACAAACAAAGCAAGGAAAGAATGAAGCAACAAAAGCAGAGATTTATTGAAAACGAAAGTACACTCTACAGGGTGGGAGCGGGCAGAGAAGCCGCTCAAGGGCCGGGATCCAGAATCTTCTCTGGTCCAAATACCCCCTAGAGATTTCCCATTGGCCACTTGGTGTGCACCCCATGTAAATGAAGTAGTGGCCCACAATCAGAGGCTGAAGTTACAAAGGCCACACTCCTATGCAAACGTCTGATTGGTTGCAAGAAAGCAACCATCAGAGGCTAAAGTGAAGTTACAAAGTTGCACTTCTATTCAAACAAAGATTTGGCCCATAATCAGTTTGATTGGTTGCAGACAGCAACCAATCAGAGGCTGAAGTGAAGTTACAAAGTTCCACTCCTGTGCAAATGTCTGATTGGTTGCTTTTTGCTCTTTGGTTGCAAAAAGCAACCAATCAGAGGTACTTTAAATTTCCCATCTGCCCTGCAGAAAAGGTGGGGATTTGCAAAGGGAATAGCCTCTGGTCCTTTTGTTACTTAGGCATGGAAGGTATGGAAGGTTAGGGTTTTCCTTTTTTTTTTTTTTTTGAGACGGAGTTTCACTCTTGCTGCCCAGGCCGGAGTGCAATGGCGCGATCTCGGCTCACCCACGGCAACCTCCGCCTCTCGGGTTCAAGCGATTCTCCTGCCTCAGCCTTCTGAGTAGCTGAGATTACAGGCATGCACCACCACGCCCAGCTAATTTTGTATTTTTAGTAGAGACGGGGTTTCTCCATGTTGGTCAGGTTGGTTTCGAACTCCCGACTTCATCGACCTCAAGTGATCTGCCTGCCTCAGCCTCCCAAAGTGCTGGGATTACAGGCGTGAGCCACTGTGCCTGGCCAGGGTTTTCCTTTCAATTTAGTTCTATGAAGTAAGCGTGAAACAGTTTTAAGTTCCCTGCCTCCTGACCCTATTCTCCTGCCTCAGTTCTGGAGGTCAGAAGTCTAAAATGGGCCCATAGAGCTGCATGCCTTCTGGAGGCTCCAAGACAGACTCTGTTTCTTTGCCTTTTCCAGCTTCTAGAGATTGCCTGCATTCCTTGGCTCATGACCCCTTCCTCCAAATTCAAAGCCAGTAGTATCTTTTCTCCTCTCTCGCTTCTGCTTCAAAGGAAGTGTGAGGCATCTCTATAAACGAGAGATGTATGACTCTTGCCCTCCTGTTTCCCTCTCAAGACCCTTAACTTAATCACATATGCCATGTGTCTTTTGCACTCTGTATCATATTCACAGATTCTCAGAATTCAGATGTGGACAAATTTGAGGGGGAGCATTATTCAGCCAACCACAACACTTTTCTATTTTGCTCCCCAGAATCAAAGTTGGAAACCATTAGTCTTCTAGTCCATCTCCCTTATTTTACAAGTAAAACTGAAGCTGAGAAGATAAAGTAACTTCTACAGGGCACATAGGTGTTAACTGGACTCCTGGGCTTCTGAACCTCAGGCTCTTATTTTATGAACTTAGAACCAAACAAGGCTGTTTACTTGATAGTATGGTGTTTGTTATTGGTTCTCCTAAGTTGTGGATCATGCAGGGTTACTGCAGAAAAGTGACTGTAATTCATAGAGGAAGCACATCCTCTTTCAAGAATTTTTTTTACCAAAGTTTTCATCCTATGAGCAACTCCGGCAGTCTATTCATGAGAAGGATTCGTAGTGTCTTTGTGAACATCAGTTTTATTTCCCTAAAGAACTGTTTCTATGCCTGGGTGGGTTAAACCCTGAAGTTACCTAATCTTAATACTGCAAGAGCTACACCAGCACATCTCAAGTTTGTGTTATGTGATCATTCATGATGCATATAAAGTGAGATGAAGAAGTGTTGTTCCAGTTACCATTCCTGTGTAATAAATTACCCCAGAATTTAGCAGCTTATTTACTATATTATGCTCATGGATTCGTTTAGTCAGAAATTTGAACAAGGCACAGCAGAAATAATTTGCCTCTGCTCTGTGATGTCTGGGGCCTCAGGTGGGGAGACTCAAAGACTGGAGGAAATTCAATGGTGGGGACCAGAATCATCTGAAGACTTGTTCATTCACATGTCTGATATCTGGGCTTGGATGAATAAAATATTAGCACTTCCAACTGGAGCAACAACACATGGCCCCACCGAGTGGATTGGCTTCTTACCATCATGGCAACCTTAGGGTAGCCAGATCTTTTACATGGCAACTCAAGGCTCCAAGCATGAGGGTTCCATCGAGCATGGCAGAAGATATGTCACCTTTTATCACCTAGTGTCACGAGTTACACAGCAGCCCTTCTACCATACTCTAATCATTGAAACATTCACTCAGATTCAAGGGGAGGGGACACATAATCCACTTCTCAATGGGAGAAGTGTCAAATAATTTGGGGCTCATGCTTTAAAACTACAAGTGGGTTTATTAACTAGCATCCTGTGGTTGCAAGTAACAGAAGACCCAAATAGGATGAGCTGAAATAATGGCATTTATTTTTTTATATAACCAGACTGATATGGTTTGGATCTGTCCCCAGCAAATCTCATGTTGAATTGTAATCCCCAGTGTTGGAGGTGGAGCCTGGTGGGAGGTGATTGGATCATGGAGGCAGATTTCTCATGATGGGTAGCACCATCCCCTCAGTGCTGTTCTTGTGAGAGTAAGTGAGTGAGTTATTATGAGATCTGGCTGCTTAAAAGTGTGTAGCACCTCCCTCCTCTCTCTCTTCTTCCTGTTCTAGCCATGTAATATGTGCCTGCTTCCCCTTCACCTTCCACCATGATTGTAAGTTTCCTGAGGCCTCCCCAGAAGCAGGAGTCACTCTGCTTCCTGTGCAGCTTGCAGAACCACGAGCCAACTAAGCCTCTTTACTTCATAAATTATCCAGTCTCAGGTATTTCTCATTGCTGTAAAGCAATGAGAGAATAGACTAATACACAGACATACAGAGGCAGAGATATTCCAGGTTCGTTTAGTTGCTCAACAAATTTTGGGGCTTCTGTGCTTTTCATCTTTCCATGCCAATATCCTCAGCATGTCAGCAACATTTAGCCTCATGGTCATACACGGCTGCATTAGTTCTGGTATCGCTAGGAACAAAGATATCACGTTCAGTGACTAAGATGAGCATTTTCTGGGGTTGATCGGATTTTCTTAGGAAAGAAAATCTTTATTTCAAGTCCTCAGGAGTTTTCTCCTCAGGTTCCAGTGGCCAAGATTGGGCCACGTGACTCCCCACCGGGCAAAACATATGGGACAACAAATGTTTGTTTTTTCATTCTGTATGGTGAAAAGTGAGTTCTGCCAGCAAGAAAAAAAAAATTGATATAAAGTAAATGTTGGTAGGTCAGTCCTTTCCAAACTTTTCCATGCTATGGCCCACATAGAGGATAATACTTACATGGTACATTGAGGTAAACTGGAGGGGCTTGGTGGGCATCTGTATGGGGCTTGGTGAAAAAATATTTTCATTACTTTATATAATTATATGAAAAAATAAAATAGAAAGGGTGTTAAAATTGAATTTTTTAAAGCTTCCAAATAAAACCTCTTTCAATGCTTTAGTGAGACCCTCAATCTTGGTTTCACCCATATAATATTTTATATCTGGCTCTACGCATTGAACAGCCATAAGCAATTCCTGTTAATGAGTTTTTAATAATTAATTTTCCCTAAATATGAATAAATTATATTGTCTAGAAAGGTTTGCCATAGAAGCAGCTGATAAAAAACATTTGGACCCACTTTACAAACCACTAAAATTATATTTAAAGACTTCTGTAATGGTAGACTATGTAATTAGGACCATCTCTTTCACTGATAATTACAAAGGTTGGACAAAATATAATAGACATTTGCTCAAGGGAATTGGATTTTTTAACAAGATAGGGAAGAATTATGGATCTAAGACATAGAATAATGAAACCCAGAAAGATGAGCATGGCATTTGGGATAACTTTTTACCTCGAGGTGAGAAGATGTTAAGCCTTTTGCTTATGGGCCAAGGGGTAAAATAATCAGACTGCATGTCCTGCCAAGGAAGATGATTCTGGTAAACAGTCTTGCTTTGGGTTGAAACCCCATGGATTAAACCCTGGGAGTGAAACACTCAAACTTGATCTTGCAGACTGAATCTCAGTTTTAAATTACCCAAACCCCTAAAATTGAATTAAGGTGATCCGGAATTGCTAATGCCTCTAGCCAACTTCTAGAAGCCAATGTAAATTCTCTCTGAAGGAAGAAAACATTATCTTAGGTCTCAAATCAGACATATGATTTTTTGCATACATCAAGTGGACAATAAAATATAACTAGACACATAACGAGACAAAACAACATTATCTTAAATCAAAAGACAATGGAAACAGCCCAATCAGGGATGAAGATGATGGAGTTATCAGAAATAGACTTTAAAATAACTATGCTTACTATATTAAAAGAGATAAAAGACAGGGTTGAGAATTTCATCCAATAACTTGAAATTATAAAAAGTATACAAATGGAATTTCTAGAAGTAGAAAATACAGTAACCAATTTTTTAAAAAGAACAAAGAATCGATTCTATAGTGGTTCCTACAAAGCTGAAGATTAAGTGAAGCTTAAAAAATTGGACAGAATAGACCGGGGCGCAGTGGCTCACGCCTATAATCCGAGCACTTTGGGAGGCCAAGGGGGGCAGATCATGAGGTTAGGAGATCGAGACCATCCTGACTAACATGGTGAAATCCCGTCTCTACTAAAAATACAAAAAAATTAGCCAGGCGTGGTGGTGGGCACCTGTAGTCCCAGCTACTCGGGATGCTGAGGCGGGAGAATGGCTTGAACCCAGGAGGCAGAGCTTGCAGTGAGCTGAGATCATGCCACTGCACTCAAGCCTGTGTGACAGAGTGAGACTTTCTCTCAGAAAAAAAAAAATGGACAGAATAAAATAGCCAGAGTAAAGCACAGAGACATAAATTAATGTAAAATACAGAAGAAAGCATACAGACAAAAGTAATACCATGAGAAAGTTTAACATACATAGTGAGATTTCCAGAAGGAGATGAGACAGAATGGACAGAAACAATATTTAATGAAATATTAGCTGAAGGTCTTCCAAAACTGATGAAAGAACATATTAGTCAGAGTCTCTGTAGGAAGCAGATGAAACTCCCAAAATATTAATTCAGGGAGGATTTATTTACAATGCTGTGTGCTGGGATGGTGGATATAGCAGATCTATAAGGAATAGGTTCAGGAATCCAGTATAGCCTATCACTTTTCTCCATCAATATCCATCCACTTGCCCAGCTACAGAGGCAAGGACTATAGCAACTATTCTGTGTTACTTCATCCCCTCTCCCTTTTACCTCCACTGATCATAGCTAATGTTTTTGATTGCAGGTGGTTGTGTGACCAACTTAAATGCTATAATAGATGATGCACCTCCTCTATATGTCAAGCAGCACATTTTGTGCTCTACATCTACTATATTTCCAGGGACTCTGTGATTACAGTTCCAATTAATGTCAACAATGTCATGGATCAATGTGATGTGGTACAGCTCTAAGATATGAGGGACTCCCTTAAATCTGACGTGGAGGTCTTCTAGTTTTTTATTATTATTATTTATTTATTTTTTAGATCTAGTCCTGAATCCAGACTTTCTAGTTTTTTAATTCATGTTCTTCATTTCATATTTATAACTCTTATATTTTCCCTATCTGTACTTTCTAAAGCTATAATAAAGCACCAGGTGACTCCACAATCTTTATAAGAAACTTTGTTGCTATAGAGATTAAGCGCTACAGCCACTTGACCTCCAGTGCCTTGCCCTCTACCTGCATCACATCCTCTGATGATAAAGTGAGTAATCATTATGCCACATCGTGGTCATGAATTACATATGCCCTATTTCTTCCCAGTAAGAAGATTATCCGTGTGCTCCTTTAAGTATATGAACAACCAATTCTCAGAATTTCATTTTGAGTATGTGTGTATATAAAGAGATTTATTTTAAGATATTTAAGAGTCACTTATAGTTTCCTTTTTTTGAACTGTTTCTTCCTATCCCTTTCCCATTTTCATACTTGTTGATTTGTGAGAACTTTTTATAAATAACAAATTATCCTTGTGTTTGTGATGAGTTACACATTCTTTCTCCCAGTTTTTTTCCTCTTTTTATTTTGCTTAAGATAATTGTTGCCATACACACTTTTAAAATATGAATATCATTAATTTTATCAAAAAATACTTATTCTAAGTAATTGGCTGACACAATTGTAGAAGCTTGGCAAGTCCATAATCTGATGAGGTAGACCAAACAGGCTGGAGGCTCAGGAAAGGGTTACAGTTAGAATCCAGATGCAGCCCGATACAGAACAAGGAAGTACCAATGTTACAGATAAAGTCTGAAGACTATCTGCTGAAGAATTCCCTTTTGCTCTGGGGAGGTCAGCCTTCCGTTCTAGTCAGGCCTTCAACTGATTAGATAAGGCTCACCCACATTATGGAAGGCAATCTGCTTTACTGAAAGTCTGGTGATTTAAATGTAAACTCAACCAAAACATCCTCACAGAAACATCCACAATAATGTTTGACCAAATATCTGGGCATTGTGGCCCAGCCAAGTTGACACAAAAAATTAACCATCACATGCTACTTCTGGTACCAGTTACTGTATCAATCAAGTTGCCAAGAAGAAGCAGATGGCACACTAAAGTTGGCATAAATTGAAGAGTGCTCATTTACAAAGATGTGGGCAGGTGAACTAATGGCAAGTGATAGTGAAAGAACATGGGGCTAACAACAGTGAAATTGTCACTACTCCTAAGCTGTGAAGTTTGAGGGGAAAGAGGATTAAACAGTCATGTTGACAAGGCCACTTTAAGAGGAAAAATGATCTTTTGTCAAGGGATATAACAAGCCCGAGGTGGCCTCCACAAAGGGAACTCGGGGAATAATTATCCTGACCCTTTCTCCTTCCCTCTGATCTCTTATTGCTGTTTCTCATTAGCTGAACCCAACTGGAAACTAGAGGGCATAGGAACGACTGTAATCCATATAGGTCAGTTTCCCAAAGCACGAAGGAGTGTGGACTGTGTATGGGGAGAGACAAACAGAATACTTAGCATAGATCTTAAGCCACAGGTCCAAGAATCCCTATGATCCCCAAGCAAAATGAATAAAAACTGTATTTTTGCACCTCACAATAAAATGGCTGAAAACCAAAGGAAAGAGAAAAATTGTAAAGTATCACTGCCTCACCCAAAAAGACAAATTACCTTCAAAAGTGAGACAAGAAGATTCAAATCTGACTTCTCATAGAAACAGTGGAAACTCAAAGACAATGTATTTTTAAATTGATATCCAGTAATTGTACAGATTTATGGGGTGCACAGTGACATTTTGAGAAATGCATAAAGTGTGTCATGATCAAATCAGGAGATTTAGGATGTCCATCACCTTGCACATTTATCTTCTCATTGTGTTGGTGTTTGGGCCGTTTTTGCATTGCTATAAAAAATACCTGGGGGAGCGCAGTGGCTCATGCCTGTAATCCCAGCACTTTGGGAGGCCAAGGTGGGCCGATCACCTGAGGTCGGGAGTTCGAGACCAGCCTGACCAACATGGAGAAACCCCGTCTCTACTAAAAAATACAAAATTAGCTGAGCATGGTGATGCATGCCTGTAATCCCAGCTACTCGGGAGGCTGAGGCAGGAGAATCGCTTGAACCTAGGAGGCGGAGGTTGCAATGAGCCAAGATTGTGCCATTGCACTCCAGCCTGGGCAACAAGAGCGAAACTCTGTCTTAAAAAAAAAAAGAAAGAAAGAAAGAAAGAAAAGAAATACCTGAGGCTGAGGCTGGGTAATTTATAAACAAAAGAGGTTTTAATTGGCTCGTAGTTCCAGAGGCTGTACAAGGCATGATGCTGGGATCTGCTTGGTTTCTGGGGAAGCCTCAGGGAGCTTTTACTCATGGTGGAAGGTGAAGCAGGAGCAGGCACATCACATGACCAGAGCAGAGCAAAATGAGAGGGAGGTGGCATACACTTTTAAATAAACAGATCTCATGTGAATTCACACACTATCCTGAGGACAGCACCAAGCCATGAGAGATCTGCCCCCATGATGCAAACATTTTCCACCAGGCCCCATATACAACATTGGGGATTACAGTTCAACATGAGATTTAGAGTGGACAACATCCAAACTGTATCATTTTACCCTTGGCCCCTCAAAGCTCATGTTTTTCTCACATTGCAAAATACAGTTATCCCCGCCAGTAGTCCCCCAAAAGCCTCAACTCCTTTCAGCATCACTCAAAAAAGTCCCAAGTTCAAAGTCTCATCTGAGACAAGACAAATATCTTCCACCTATGAGCCTGTAAAATCAAAAATTAGTTATTTACTTCCAAGATACAATGGAAGTACAGGCATTGGGTAAACATTCCTGTTCCAAAAGGGAGAAATCAACCAAAAGAAAGATGAGCCCCATTCAAGTCTGAAACAAAGCAGGGCACTCATTAAATCTTAAAACTCCAGAATAATCTCCTTTGACTCCATGTCCCACAATCCAGAGCACACTGATGCAAGGCGTGGGTTCCCAAGGCCTTGGGCAGCTCTGCTCCCATGGATTTTCCACACTGAAGTTGCAAGCTGTTAATGGGTCTTCCATTCTGGGGTCTGGAGGATGGTGGTCTGCTTCCCACAGCTCCACAAGGCAGTTCCCTAGTGGGGACTCTGTGTGGGGTCTCCAATCCCACATTTCCCCTCCTCACTTTCCTAGTACAGGTTCTCTGTAGGGTCTCTGCCCATGCAGCAGGCTTCTGCCTGGATTCCTAGGCTTTTCCATACATCCTCTGAAATCTGGGTGAAGGCTGCCAAGCCTCCTTAACTCTTGCACTCTGCATGCCTGCAGGCTTAACACCACATGGCAACTGCCTAGGTTTATGGCTTGCACCCTCTGGAGCTTGTGGCCCAAGCTGTACTTAAAACCCTTTGAGCCAAAGCAGGAGTTTGGGCAGTTGGGATGTGGGGAGCAGTGTCCTGAAGCTGTGCAGGGTAATGAGGCCTCCAGCCTGGCCCAGGAACCATTCTTTCCTCCTGGGTCTCTGAACCTGTGATGGGAGAGGCTGCCTCAAAGATCTCTGAAATGCCTTTTTTTCCCCATTGTCTTGACTATTAGCACCTGGTTTTCTTGTCATGCAAATATCTCTAGAAAGTGATTGCTCCATTGCTGTCTTGGATTCTTCTCCTAAATCTTCAGGGCTTTCTAGATATAAGATCATGTCATCTTCAGAGAGGAACAATTTGACTTCTTCTTTTCCAATTTGGATGCCTTTTGTTCCTTTATCTTGCCTAATTGCTCTGGCTAGGACTTTCAGTAATATGTTGAATAGGAGTGGTGAAAGTGGGCATCCTAGACAATGTATTTTGACACCTTCAAAACACTGAAAGAAAATACTCTGAACTTAGAATGTCTATACAGCAAAAAACCCTTCAAAAATAAAGACGAAATAACAAAAATTTAGGCAAATATAAATGAAATTAGAAATTAGTTACCAGCAGTACATTCCAAGAAATACAAAAATTTATACTTTTGGCAAAATACAAACTAATTTTAGATAGAAGTTTGGGTGATGTAGGAAGAAATGAAGAGTAATTACAGGGCTACATTTAATGATTATGAACTCTATAAAACAATGATAATAATATCTGTGGAGTTTAAAGTATATGCCAAATTCAAATACAGGATAACAGTAGCATATAAATTGAGAGGAGGCTAAATTGAGTTAAAGTGTTCAAATGTCCTTTTATTGTTCAAGAAATGGGTAAGGTATCAAGTAATATTATACTTTGATAAATCAAGAATGCATTTTTGTATAGAGTAAAATGCACAAAATGAAAAATTTTTTTTCAGTGTATAATTACCAAGCTAACAGAGTAGAGAAATAGAATTTTAACAATACTCAGTTAACCCAAAAGAAGGCAAAGAAGGAGAGAAAAAAAGAACATAGTAAAAGCGAGATAAATATGTAAAAATAATAAAATGATAGATTTAACTCCAAATATATCTGATTTATAATAAATATAAGTAGATCATACATTCCACTTAAATAACCAAGGACAGAACAAAACACACTCCACCTATATGCTGATTATAAAAGTCACATAAAAATATCAAGGATGCAGAAAAATTTAAAGTAAAAGGATGCAAAATGAAACATTATTTAATGCTGGCATATATGTTTTAATAGCAGATAAAGTAGGTTTTAAGGCAAAAGACATTACTAGAGGAAAAGAGACACGTTTCATAATGGTAAGAGTCAATTCACTGGGTGGACAAAAGAGTCCAAAGTGTTATGCACTTAAATATGGGAAATAAAAATGAATACAGTTAAAAGATGAAAAAGATAAATTCACAGTTGTATGGAAGATTTTAATGCTCCTCTCAATAGATGACAGAATAAGCTAGCAAAAAGTACATTAGAAAAGATAAAGGAAATGTGAGCAATATGATTAACACATTTTATAATTGATGTGTGTAGAACTCTGAATACAACAACTGCAGAACAATTCTTTTGATGTACAAAAAGTACTTTAAGTGAAATATATTATCTTGCTTGAGGAATTTAATCATTACTTTTATGAATAATGATTGTAATATGGTGATAGATAATTTGTCTATTTGTTTTGTAGCTAGCAGTCCTTCAATTTCAAACCATAGAGAAACATATACTCCCATAAGAAAACGTTCCGGGAATTGGAAAGTATTTATTTTGCTTCAAAACGATTCATCTTTGAGAACCAGAGTTTATTGATCGAGTTACAAAGTACCATTTTGGGAGTGAAAAACTTTGTGGATTTGAATAAGATACTTAAGATCAGTTATTAATGTTGTCACTAGTAGGCCATGATATAAGTGTTCATAGAACTCTGTAATTTAAAATGCAAACTCTGCTTCCCTACAGGCTCTGTTGTAGGCAACTTCTTCTATCATTCTTTTGTTTCTAGTATGTAAGGCACTGTAGTCAAGACTCACACGTAGTACTATTTCAAAGCCTTTGTAATATCTGGTCCCAGTATGGCAAAATGAGTTTTATTTCATAGTACAAGCCATTATTACAAAAGAAAATTGCAAGGTAATACATTTTTTTAATTACCAGAACTAATTATCAAAAATAGAACACTAATTTTTAAATTACCTTACTTAGGATGAATATAGATCTACAATGGGGCAGGGAATAGAAGATATAAATGGAGCGGGAAGTTACTGTGCTGAGATATCCTTTCTTTCATTTCCAAGGAATTGATCACTAATGTAGATATTTGAGGAGAAATGTATTGACAATGAGGATTGCTATGCTGTAATACTAGTCTTTGGAGAATTGAAAGGAATAGGATTTTAACACTGGCTGCAAATCAGAAGCACAGGATGAGGTGTTAAAAAAATTTTTGTGCTAGACCCCACCCCCTTGAGATTCTGATTTAATTGTTCTGGAATCAAAACTGGCATCAGTAGTTTTTCAGAAGCTTCCCCAGGTGGGTGATTATGACATGTAGTCAGTCAGGGTTGAGAACCCTTGGTGCAAAATCTTTTCTTCCCCTTCAGATGTCATTACAACAAGGTAAATTCACTTTTGCTGGACAGGCTTAAACATAGTTCTGCTGGATGTTAGAACAATACATTCTGCTACTTCTTGGGAATGTTTTTGTGTCCTATGGGTTTGTCATTTATTCATTCATTCATTCAACAAAGGTTTACTTAGCACTCTCTATTGCCAAACATTGTGTTAGAGAGGTAGTCCTTAACCAGGGCAGGTTTTTACCATTGCCCCCACCTCCACCCCAGGGAGATTTGGCAATGCCTGGAGACATTTTGATTGTCATAAGCAGGGTGAGACCTACTGGCTTATAGTAGTTAGAGGCCATGGATGCTGCCAAACTTCCAACAATGCACATGACAGTCCCCTACAGTAAGTTATTTGCCATAAAATGTCAATAATGCTGAGGTTAAGAAATCCTGTATTAGAAGATGGGAATGAACAAGAAAGATTGCCCATCTCTATGGAGTTTATGATCTATTAGGAAAGGCAGACAATACACAAACACTATATATATATCATATATATATATATCACATATATTTGTCATATATAGATATATATCATATATACATATGATATGTACATAATGTGTATTATATGACAGCAGGAACATCGCCATCTTGGGCAAGCCCTTCATTCTAAAGTTCACCTAATAAAAAACTGCCTAAATCCAAAGGGCATCAGCCTAATGGCTAAGGTCAGCAAGACCATAAACCACAAATAACATCTCCAACCAGAAACATTCCAAACTCCTCCCCGACGAGAGACATGCTAGCTCCGAGATCACCTCCCTTTGGCCGGAAAGATGCCAGCCTCAAGATAAACCCCCTCCAGCCGGAAAGATGTCTGTCCCAAAATAAACTCCCCTCCTCCCAGAGACATTCCAACCCTGCCATAAATCCTCTCCCTCACACTGAAACATTCCAAGCTAGTGATAAGCCCCCTCACCCTAAAACAAATATATTCTCTTAGTCTGTAAGAGAAAGTGCTCCTGACCAAAATTGGCCAGAAACCCCTCTCATATTTTATCTAAAGTAAAGGTGTCTTTAACTGCCAATCTGTGTTTCATGTTTCTTTCCTCTTTCTTTAACTCTTACATTATATATATATGTGTGTGTGTATATATATATATGTGTGTGTGTGTGTATACACACACATGACGAGGTAGCTGTAAGTGTTATAAAGAAGACGTAAGAAAAGTAAGGGAATAGAGAGTGACTAGGGTGAGGATACTATAGATAAGGTGAAGAGGGAAGAGTTCTCTGAGAAAATGACATTTAGATAATCACTCAAATAATGTAAAGAAGTTAGACAAGAATTTGAAAGTTACATTAGAAGTTAGATTTGAAGTTTGACGTTACATGAGAGAGGACGATGGATTTTCTCAGAGTGTGGGGAAGGAAATAAATTAGAAAAATATGGTAAAATCTCAGGCAACTCAATTGCGTTTTGTGGTCATAATTTTAAAATGAAACCTATCATAGATGTTGCAGCCTCTGGCCATGTTCAGCTCTTGGAAGCATATGGAGAAGAGTAGGGTTAACCCGGATTGGGGCTTTTCCAAGTGATTTTGACTGAGGAAGAGAGAATCATGGCCTTCAAAGGCATTTTCAGGGGAGTGATTGGTCTGATAGCTTGTGGATTCTAAGCTCGGTAAGTAGTGATGGACAGCGAAAAAGTGATAGGATCATTGAACTGTAGGTCAAAATGGTGTCAGATAATTACTGGGGTGAAGGTTCTAGAAAAAGTGAGATGGAAGCAAAGAGAGTAGGGGTCAGAAAGTTGGATGATTGAATATGAAGTATATATACATATTTTTTTTTGTTGTTGTTGTTTTTTGAGACAGGGTTTCTCTCTGTCATCCAGGCTGGAGTGCAGTGGTGTGATCTCAGCTCACTGCAACCTCTGCCTCCCAGGTTCAAGTGATTCTCCTGCCTCATCCTCCAGAGTAGCTGGGACTACAGGTGTGCACCACCCACCCAGCTAATTTTTGTATTTTTAGTAGAGTTGGGATTTTGCCATGCTGGCTAGGCTGGTCTTGAACTCCTGACCTCAAGTGATCTGCCCACTTCGCCCTCCCAAAGTGCTGGGATTACAAGCATGAGCCACTGCATCTGGATGAACATAAAATATTTTTGAAGCCAACATCTAAGCAGGAGTGAGGATTCCTCTTCTTCTTGGTGCCTCTTTTATATCCTACTGTGGGCATTGTAGCCAGGAGAGTGGTACAAGAAGCTTTGTATTATCAGCTGGGGGACGTTATTATCAGGTTCCATGATTTTGACTTGATATCTTTCCTGGCTTTTTCATATATGGGGTTGTGAGTATGAGTGAATAGGGACAACTGAGTACAAATCCTAGAGTACAGTGCCATGATAAACATACTGGGCAGGGGGAAATAAGCAGGCACCAAGGAAAAATAGGAAATAAGACTTTTCCATATAGGTTGATCCCTTTTCTCCAGACGTTCATAGATTCTAT
The DNA here is from genome assembly GCF_000001405.40 of Homo sapiens. Classification (NCBI taxonomy): domain Eukaryota; kingdom Metazoa; phylum Chordata; class Mammalia; order Primates; family Hominidae; genus Homo; species Homo sapiens. The sequence goes on from NC_000023.11 coordinate 37,862,593, forward strand.
ATGAGACATCTTATATCCCTTCTTTTTTTTTTGCCTCCTGCCCTTGTTTCTGCCATACAATTTTATTATGCTTTAGTATTTGTTCATGTAAAGATGAAATTACATTTGTGCCTCAGGCATGCTCTGCCTGCATAATCACAATAAGAATGTTTTTGGCTAAGGTTTGGAAAACTTAGTTTTTTTGTGTTTTGGTCCCTCTTGTGCCCACCATTTCTAGTGAAGGTTGTGATTTTTTAACCATTTATTTAACTAAAAATTCTACTAGTGTTGTGGCTAATTTATGCCCCACCTCATCCTCATATTACAATCTTTAAACAAATATCAAACTGAGAATATTTCCTTCCCTCACAGAGAAAAAATCTGTTTTTTATTTAGTGTCTGTCTTTTAGTGGAAAGAATGCTGACCTTTTGATACAGGGTACATAATCTGACCCTGTTGTTTATTATAATGCTTTATTGCACTGAAGGGGCATATGAACTGGATAAGAAAAGCACATGTACTGCATGAATCAGTTCAGTACTGTTTCAGGGAAAGAACACATGCAAGGAGATCCATTTAGTTATACTCAGCTCTTAATTTCTGTGATCCTTCTAAACCATGTCTCACAAAAGATATTTCCTGGTGTTTTTGAAGAGCTGGAGTAATGTATTTACTAGCATAAAATGGCTTCATTAGGTATAGCCATTTTGTTCATCAAAAATCTGCAGCTTTATCACAGGGAATCATTCATTGTCAAAGTGCATATGCTAATGACCTTCTTCATAGTCAAAGCACATTTTAAGTATTTATTCATAAGCCAGATGAGGACTTTTAAAGTAGTTAATTTTAAAACAAAGTGACCTTTGTACAGGGAGGGAAAAAACATTGAATATGAACAAAATGAGCATTTGTGTCATGGTTTTACACATAATAGAGTATTTGCCAAGCATCAGCACCAATCATGTATACTTATTCAACCCATGATGCAGCCCTGGTTTTCAAAAGCATAATCAAATATAAACATATATAGATTGACCTCAGTTGACATTAAGGGATTGTGGATAGTTTTCTCCTTGTAACAATCATAATTATATTCTATTCTCCTTAGGTAAAGACATGGATGATGTAGATGTTGAACAAGGTGCTGAAGCAACATGATTATACACATTTCTCATTCCTAGTGGGCTGTTTCAAGGTATAAAAATTAGAAATAGGCACTGATTGAAACATTCAAGTCTCAGTTTTCTCCTTCTAAACACAGACGAAGACTTGGAGAACAATAAAAACTGTTTACAAAGGGTTTTCTATCCACATGGTCTTATCTCCATATTACTCTGAGTTAATGTTTGATAGAATGGGGGTATTTGGAGCCAAGAGATCGTCAGTCATTATAGTGAGGACATCAGGTCAGTGTGGTGGGATTGTATTTAAATTTGTATGAGGCCCTCACTGAGGGCTTTTAACTAGGATAATCTCTCCTGGAGTGATTTCGGCATTTGGTTTTTGGCTATTTCTTTCAGGAATTGTCACAAAGTGAAGAAAGCTGTAATCTTTCTCTGATTCTTTGTTGGTTAAAAAATTAACCCAGCTAAACTCTTGAATTGATCCAATTCATTGACTTTTCTCCACCTAAATCTAGGCTGGTTGAAAATGTCTCTCAATGAACAGACTAGGGCTCTGTAACTCTGTGGTCTGCATCCACAGTGGGGTTCTCAGAGCAGGAGGGGAAACCTCTGATGATTCTCTGATCTGTTCAGCTTTGGTTCTCCACCACAGCCATTTCAAACATTTTCCCACTCTCCACCTCTCTGACTCCAGAACATTCCTGTCACTATCAACATATTGCTTCCCACTTTAGCAAGAAACTGGATCCATCATTTGAGGGCTCCTTTAACTTCTTGTCATTGAATGAAAGAACACACTTGCATGCCTAGCTATTATTTGCTTCCCTTATAACAGAGTGGTAATTCTTCCACAGGTTCTTTGACATTTGTTCCTTCTATCTTATTCGCAGACCATGGAATGACATTTTTCTTCTTTCTCCTTTGCTTTTAATCCCACTCCTTCCAGTGTTTATTGTAACTGCCAAACTGCTTATCTTGTATCTCTTACTCAAATGTAAACCCCATAAGAAGCAGGGAACTGGTCTATCCTGCTCCCCATTGTATTTCTAGTGCAAAGATCTATGCGTGATTCAATAAATGTTTTTGTTTTTAAATTAATGAATGAGAGCTAAGAGGGTTGTATGGTGAGGCAAACTGGTATTATAGAACACAAAGTGTTTTAAAGTTCAATTGCAGTGGGGTGTGGTTTGTCCCATGTGTAATCCCAGCACTTTGGGAGGCTGAGGCAGGTGGATCACTTGAGGCCAGGAGTTTGAGACCAGCCTGGCCAACATGGCAAAACTCCGTCTCTACTAAAAATACAAAAATTACATGGGTGTGGTGGCACACACCTATAATCCCAGCTACTCAGGAGGCTGAGGCATGAGAATTGCTTGAACCTGGGAGGTGGAGATTGCAGTGAGCCAAGATCATGACACTGCACTCCAACCTGGGCAACACAGCGAGACTCTTTAAAAAAAAATGTTAAAATTTTTAAAAAATAAAGTTCAATTGCAATAATTTTGGTTTTATTGAGGTCCCTTATGATGGTCTATACTGATAGGTAGTCTTTGATCAACAAATCAGTGGCACTATTAGAAGATTTATCTGTAGTTGCTTGTTTATTTCTAACTCAACACAGAGTCTATGTCCTCATCCAGTTGTCCAGTTTATGGCATTCATACTATGCCCTGTTACCCAGAGACTGCTAATGTGTAAATTTCACAGTAAATACTTATCAGAAAGGTAGGCAATAACACTCAACTTGATAAGGAAAAGCTGCATAAGAAAATGTTTTGATAGAATTATGCTTACTTATTCTATCAAATTTAATGGTGCATTGCATAATATATGCTAAATACCAATGACATGGTTGAACATAGTGTGCTTTCCCCACTATATTAGCCTGTTCTCACACTGCTACAAAGAACTGTCTGAGATTGGGTAATTTATAAAGAAAAGAGGCTTAATTGATTCACAGTTCAACATAGCTGGGGAGGCCTTAGGAAACTTATAACCGTGGTGGAATGCACCTCCTCACAGGGCAGCAGGAGAGAGAATAAGTACAAGCAGGGGAAATGCCAGACACTTATAAAACCATCAGATCTCCTGAGAACCCACTCACTGTCATGAGAACAGCATGGGGGAACCACCCCCATGATCCAATCACTTCCTACCTGGTCCCTCCCATGATAAGTGGGGATTATGGGAACTAAAATTCAAGATGAGATTTGGGTTGGGACACAACCAAACCATATCATTTCACCCTGGCCCCTCCCAAATCTCATGTCCTCACATAACAAAACACAATCATGCCTTCCCAACAGTCCCCCAAAGTCTTAACTCACTCCAGCATTAACTCAAAAGTCCAAGTCCAAAGTCTTATCTGAGACAAGGCGAGTTCCTTTCACCTATGAGCCTGCAAAATCAAAAGCAAGTTAGTCACTTCCTAGATACAATGGAGGTACAGGCATTAGGCAAATAAATACACCTGTTCCAAATGGGAGAAACTGGCCAAAACAAAGGGGTTACAGGGCCCATGCAAGTCCGAAATCCAATAGGGCAGTCATTAAACCTTAAAGTTCCAAAATGTTCTCCTTTGACTCGTATCTAGATCATGCTGATGCAAGAGGTGGACTCCCATGGCCTTGGGCAACTCCACGCCTGTGGCTTTGCAGGGTACTAAGCCTCCACCCCCCAACCCCCGGCTGCTTTCACAGGCTGGCATTGAGTGTCTGTGGGTTTTCCAGGTGCATGGCATGACGTGTCAGTGGAGCTACCATTCTGGGGTCTGGAGGATGCTGGCTTTCTTCTCACAGCTCCACTAGGCAGTGCCCCAGTGGGGACTCTGTGTGGGGGCTCTGACCCCACATTTCCCTTCTGCACTGCCCTAGCAGAGGCTCTCCATGAGGGCTCTGCCCCTGCAGCAGACTTCTGCCTGGACATGCAGGTGTTTCATACAACCTCTGAAATCTAGATGGAGGTTCCCAAATCTCAATTCTTTTCTTCTGTGCACCCACAAGACCAACACCACATAGAAGCTGCAAGGCTTGGGGCTTGCGCCCTCTGAAGCAATGGTGTGAGCTGTACCTTGGCCCCTTTTAGCCATGGCTGGAGTAGCTGAGACACAAGGCACCTAGTACCAAGGCTGCACAGAGCAGGGGGGTCCTGGACCTGGCCCAGAAAATGACTTTTCCCTCCTAGGCCTCCAGGCCTGTGATGGGAGGGCCTGCCATGAAGGTCTCTGACATGCCCTGGAGACATTTTCCTCATTGTCTTGGTGATTAACATTGGGCTCCTCATTACTTATGCAAATTTCTGCAGCCAGCTTGAATTTCTCCTCAGAAAATGGGGTTTTCTTTTATATCGCATCAGCAGGCTGCAAATTTTTAAAACTTTTATGCTCTGCTTCCTCGTGAATGCTTTGCTGCTTACGAATTTCTTCCACCAGATACCCTACATCATGTCTCTCTAGTTTAGTTTCACAGATCCCTAGGGCAGGGGCAAAATGCTGCCAGTCTCTTTAGTAAAGCATAGCAAGAGTTACCTTTGCTCCAGTTCTCAAGAAGTTCTTCTTCTCCATCTCAGACCACCTCAGCCTGGACTTCATTGCCCATATCACTATCAGCATTCTGGTCAAAACCATTCAACAAGTCTCCAGGAAGTTCCAAACTTTCTCACATCTTTCTGTCTTCTGAGCCCTCCAAAGTCACTTCCACATTTTTGGGTATACTTAATGCAGCACTCCACTCCCTGCAGTACTAATTGACTGTATTAATCCATTCTCATGCCGCTATAAAGAAATGCCCAAGACTGGGTAATTAATAAAGAAAAGAAGTTTAATTGACTCGCAGTTCCATATAGCTGGGGAGGTCTCAGGAAACTTACAATCCTGGCAGAGGGCACTTCTTCCCTGGGTGGAAGGAGAGAGAATGAGTGCAAGCAGGGGAAATGCCAGACAGCATGGTGCAAGCTGCCAGTGGATCCGCCATATATGATGCTTATATATCATATGACGCTTATAAAACCATCAGATCTTGTGAGAATTCACTCACTATCATGCGAACAGCATGGGGGAAACCACCCCCATGATGAAATCACTTCCCACTGAGTCCCTCCTATGACACATGGGGATTATGGGAACTACCATTCAAGATGATATTTGGGTGGGGACACAGCCAAGCCATATCACCCACCAAAAATACATTCAGCCATTTACATATAAAATGAAAGTGAAAGTACAAAAGGTCAACTCCAGGAAGCAATGCCATCCACTAAGTGAGAAAACAACTATTTAAGGTCTATCATTTAGAGGTTATATTTCAGGTTCAAATAAAATGAATCATTCACTCCCAGCTAGTATGTATCATGTTGTGAATCTTTCTTGAAGAGGAGTAGGAGGAAAAGAGCAGCATAAAATCTGGTTGCATGTCACCTTTCATCTTAGTAGTCTAAAACAAATTTTGGTGTTATGTCTTTGCCCAACAGACTATGACTTGCTTAAAATTTTGGAACAAAATGAAATGCATGCTACTTTTATTTTAAATAATTATTTCAATAAATGTTTGTTGATAGCCTGTTATGTTCTAACACTGGCCTGGTCTTTGAAGTAAGAGGAGAAAAGATAAACTGATGCTTCAACCGGGCTGATTCTTGGAGAAGCTGTAGATGTGAATGAGGGTAAGGAAGGTGGAACTGCCAGGAAAAAGTAACAGAATGCATGAAGGCATAGAGGCATGAAAAAGCACGTGTGGAAAATTACAAATGCTTCAATTTGTCTAAAGAAGGGCATATATGGAGATATAAATTTGAGAATCCTTAATATATAGGGGGTAGTTAGATCACCCAGGAGGAGTATGCAGAGAGAAAAACAAACACAGAGGCTGACATATTAGGAAACGCTCATATCCAAGGGATGGGATGGGCAGTAGAAGAGTCCTTAAAAGATAGATAAGAACAATTATAGAAGAAGTGATCACATGCACACATACACACACACACGCACACACACACAGAGAGAGAGAGAGAAACAAAAAAGGTAATAGAGTAGGTAAATTGCATTAATGGCTAATTTTTACCCCTCCCTATATTCATTCCCGTTGTCCTGTACATTTTCAGTGCTCTTCTACTCTGACTCTAGGCTCAATCATACGGCATACTTTAGCCAGTGAAATGCCAGGAAATATGACAAAAACAGAGGTTTGAAAAGCAGCTTGCACAATTTGTCCTGTACTCTTATGTCTCTGCCATGAGAAGGACAAACCTGGGTAGGTCACTGCCCATAGCAGAATAAGTTATTCTCAGCTGAGCCCAGCCTAGATCAAACAACCCCCACCTAACCCACAGACTTGTTTTGTAATAATAAACGATTGTTTTTCATTAGTCACTGAGTTTTGGGGTGGTTTGTTATGCAGCAATAGTTGACTAATCACAGTTTTCAAAAAGAGAGTGAATGACAAAGAAAGAAAATGAGATAAAGATTGAAAAGAGCACATTTAATTGGGTAATTAGAAGGATTCTGCTTACCTTAATTAGGGCAAATTTAATGGAGCAGTGGGTTTGAAACCACAACTGCAGAAGATTTGAAGAGTGTAAAAATAGAATAATCTACTGTTTTGTGGAGACAGACTAAACGCAATGTGGAGAGGTAGAGGGCGATAGGTAGATGGGTATGAATAAAGAGAAAGTGTGTTGTTTGAAGATTGTGGAGATATAAGTACATTTATATGCTTAGGAGACAAAACCAGCAAAGAGAGAGTAGTTGAACAAACAGAAGAAGGAACGACTTAGGCAGAGTGATCTCTGAGCAGGTAGAAGGCAATGAACACTAGGGCACAGAAAAAGGAATTAGCTTTGCTTAGAAGAAGGGGTATTTCTCCACTGAACTGGGAATGTAAAAATAAGGATGGGAATAGATAAAGATAAGTTTTCAGGAAAGAAGGGAGTGGGAGAAGAAAAGTGAAATGGAGTTCCCATATTATGGCCTCTATATAAAGTACAAAGTGATATTGGGTAGGGCATTCTGCAAAGTCACATTGCAAAGAGTAAGAAGAATGATAAACATTAATAGCTGTTACTAAGTGAAGACAGGGAAGATTTACTCTAGTATTGAGGACATACTAAAGCTGGGAATGATAAATTTGTAGTGGTAAAAATGCATGCTTGTATGATTTCTCTAGAAGGACTTTATAATTCAAGTCTAAGAGAAGATGGGCGATTGCAGAGATTCTAATTTGAAATATTTCAGGATAGTGTGATAGAAGGCAAGAGTTAATAAATATAGAAGGAACAGGTGGGCGCGGTAGCTCACGCCTGTAATCCCAGGACTTTGGGAGGCCGAGGCGGGTGGATCACAAGGTCAGGAGTTCGAGACTAGCCTGATCAACATGGTGAAACCTCATCTCTACTAAAAATACAAAAATTAGCCAGGTGTGTGCTCGCTTCGGCAGCACATATAGTAAAATTGGAACGATACAGAGAAGATTAGCATGTCCCCTGTGCAAGGATGACATGCAAATTCGTGAAGTGTTCCATATTTTTTTTACACTGTTGGTGGGACTGTAAACTAGTTCAACCATTGTGGAAGACAGTGTGGCGATTCCTCAAGGATCTAGAACTAGAAATACCATTTGACCCTGCCATCCCATTACTGGGTATATACCCAAAGGATTATAAATCATGCTGCTATAAAGACACATGCACACGTTTATTGCGGCACTATTCACAATAGCAAAGACTTGGAACCAACCCAAATGTCCAACAATGATAGACTGGATTAAGAAAATATGGCACATATACACCATGGAATACTATGCAGCCATAAAAAAGGATGAGTTCATGTCCTTTGTAAGGACATGGATGAAGCTGGAAACCATCATTCTCAGCAAACTATCGCAAGGACAAAAAACCAAACACCGCATGTTCTGACTCATAGGTGGGAATTGAACAGTGAGAACACTTGGACACAGGAAGGGGAACATCACACACTGGGGCCTGTTGTGGTGTGGGGGGAGGGGGGAGGGAAAGCATTAGGAGATATACCTAATGTAAATGATGAGTTAATGGGTGCAGCACACCAACATGGCACATGTATACATATGTAACAAACCTGCACGTTGTGCACATGTACCCTAGAACTAAAAGTATAATTAAAAAAAAAATTAGCCAGGTGTGGTGGCACGCATCTGTAATCCCAGCTACTCAGGAGGCTGAGGCAGGAGAATCACTTGAACCCAGGAGGTAGAGGTTGCAGTGAGCCAAGATCAAGCCACTGGACTCCAGCCTGTGAGAAAGAGTGAGACTCCATCTCAAAAACAAAACAAAACAAAAATCCAGAAGGAACAAATAGGGAAGGACATTGTATCAATATAACTTTACAGTACATTCGTGAGCAACAGAAAACCTTACCATATGTGATAGGTTAAATAAGAAATTATTTTTCTCATACAACAAAAATCCTGAAGAAGGGGCTTAGGGTCGTGTTTTGACTCCACAGTAACATCAATATATCATTCTTCTTCCTCATCCTTTTTGCATGGCTTTTATTTTTGTTGTTGCAATATAGCTGCTGAACAAGGGCATCATCCCGTATGAGTTCCAGGCAGAAAGGAGGAGGAAAGGATCAAAAGCTTTCTCTTAATGAAGTGTTACTTTGGGAGGGCAGTTTTCCATTAAATCTCCCCTTAACCTCTTTGGACAAAAGTGTATCACATTGCATCTCTTGTTGCAAAGAAGACCAGAACTTCAAAGCTTTAATATTCTAGCCACTATAATAGAGGGAGGCCCAGGAAGAGGGGTTTGATGTTGGAGTTAAGTGAGCCAATGATTAGTGTCTATCATATAAGTGAGACCAACAGGAGCTGACATGTTGCAAAAAATAAAGGAACCAAGGATAGAAACTAAATAAATTTGAAAATCAGATGTGATGAGACATGCGAGGAGGCTAACAGATGTTGGAGATTATAATTTCTGGTGTGAAGCAATTTAGGCAAGAAGAAATGGTTGTTGAAGAGTCATAGGGTTTAAGTTTCTTGGAATTCAGAAGGTCAAGAAAACATCAAACTAGAAAGGATCTTCCATATGGATATTGACATTTCTTAAGATGATAGAGGGACTTGCGGTTTTAGTAAAGTAAAAAGTTAGTCTATAATAAACCATATCCTCTTCTGAAGATTACATCAGAATGAAAACATGTCCTGTTGCACATTCTTAAACCCCAAAAGAAATTAGAATGACTTAAATCGGGCAGCAGTTCCCAGAGAAAGTTAATATTCACTGACATATCAATTACCGATTTCTTTGTAATAAACCAATTCAAAATGTAATGACTTAAAGCAACAACCATCTATAATTTTTCAGAAGTCTGTTGGTTATCTGGGTGATTGGAGTCTTGCTAATTTCGGCTGCACTCAGCTGATTTTGGCTTGGCTCATTCACATATCTATGTTCAGCTGGTGAGTCAGCTGGTGGCTGGCTGGTCTAGGTTAGCCTCAGCTGGGATGACTAAGCTCTGCTCCTCCTGCTCTATCATCTTTCACCAGGCTAGCCTAGACTTATACAAAGGAAAGAATCCAAGAGATAAAGCAGAAGTAAGCAAGATTTCTTGCCACCTAGGCTCAGAATTGGAACAACATTACTTCTTTTGCATTTTGGGCAAAGCAATTCATAAGGTGGTTAGATTCACAAGGTGGTTAGATTCCTCTTGGTGGGAGGAATCTATCACATTGTTTATTTTCTTGAGTCATTATTGTAATTCATGGCCATAGAAAGTCTGACTATTATATATACTTCACGAAAATAAGCATAAATGTTTAGAGCTTGACTAAGTGGCTTCTTTTAGATTAGTCAGATTGGATTATTTGAAATGTCAGTGGTAACAGTGATAAACATGGATAGACATACCTCATTTAGAATTTTGTATAGTTTTTTTTCTTTTTCAGGTTGAATTGCTAACCCTAGTAGCTACTATGCATATTGAGCTCTTGACACCTGTTTAATAATAATTTTTTCATCATCTCCCAAGCCATGTAATAAAGTACAAACTCATCATTACATTGTTTGGCTACCATGTGCCTGATTTATCAGGCAAATTTTTAGAACACTGGTGAAGCTCGAGCACACAGTAATAGCTTCCTACTATTTCCATGAGAACGATAAAAGAGAGAGAAAAAATTTTTTGTAAATCCAACGATCCTTCACATGTCTGAAACAAACAACATCAAGCCTGTTTTTCTCAAAGCTGTGCCTACCAAATGTTCCCCTGACTGTGTTTGCCCCAATCCAGAGCACACACACATCCAACTATGTCCACATGGCTCATCCTCTCCCTGCTTCTTTTTGCCTTTCCTCTTACCCACCCTCCAAGTTAGCTCTATATGAATGTGGGTTTGGAAGAGAAAGAAAGCAGAACACTCAGCCTGTTTTCTCTGGATGAATGAGTTTCACAAACAATGACACTCCCCAATGCCACAAAGAAGCTGTTACCAGGTGTGGGACCTGAGGAGAAATACAACTCCCGTACCAGTTGTTCTTTGATGCACCACTTCAGGAGCCATGAAACAGAGGAAATTTAAGATCAATCATAGCTCTTCACACAGTTCCATAAAACATTTTTTCCCTTGAAAGTCACTTTACTTCTAATGATACTTACCATGCCAGTGTGTTAAAACTGTCACTGAATCAAGCTTTTTATTAAGTTGTCAGTGTATCCAGTGTTTCACAGAACCTCTGTGGGGGACTTTCTTGTCTTTTAAACCTACACATCTTTGCCACATAGGCTTTCCTCCATAATTAGCACTGACAGGTTCTCTTTAGAGGAAATATCCCACTCTCAGAGTACAAGAGGTAGCAGGTGGGTGGAAATAGATTTGAATCATTTATGAGACAGGGAAAGGGAAACCAACAGTTTTCATGGCATATGGCTGTGAAGAGAATATTGAACGAATGGGTTCTGGACAAGTGAAGTCATACAAGTCAACAGTGAATTGAAGTAATAACACAGGTTACTTATTCCAAGAGAGCTGCAACATTTTGGAGTGAGATTTTCCCCAATTCAGGATCACATTGCTGAGTACATAACCTTAGTCTACATTTCTGTGGTCTGAGACTATTCTGGGAACCATAATATTACCCTGTGGCCACCCATCTATGGAAGTCTTGGCAAGTCAGAGCCTCTTGGTGTCTGGGTGGTTTCTATAGGATATCTTCTTCCTTGGCTCTACTGATTTTTATGGCACTAAACTCTGAACACCCATTCAGTTTCCTGTCCCTTTCCCCATCCTAATAGGCTCAAATTTTTAGGAAACCATGAGTCTACCCTCATATCACTAGAAATTCATTCACTTAGCTTAAGGTAAAATTCAAATTCACTGAATGTCCTTTGACATAAGCCAGGTACATATTTGGTGGTTTTAGTAGAGCCAGCCCAGAAGGTTCCCATCTATGTGGCATGATCTGAGATGGTAGACTTTGCCTACAACATCCAGATATTTGTAATTCATGTGAACAGCTTGCCAGGGAATCCAAAGTTCCTACTACTGGAGTAAATGATCCTTTTCGCCAGATCTAATCTGTTTCTTTTTCTTTTCTTTTCTTTTCTTTTTTTTTTTGAGATGGAATTTCACTCTTGTCACCCAGGCTGTTGTGCAATGGCGCTATCTCGGCTCACTGCAACCTCCGCCTCCAGGTTCCAGTGATTCTCCTGTCTCAGCCTCCTGAGTAGCTGGGATTACATACAGACTTCCGCCACCACGCTCGGCTAATTTTTGTATTTTTAGTAGAGACGGGGTTTTGCCATGTTGAACAGGCTGGTCTCCAAACTCCTGATCTCGGGTTATCTACCCGCCTCGGCCTCCCAAAGTGTTGGGATTACAGGCATGAGCCACTGCGCCCAGCCCTAAGTTTCAAATTTAAAAATTCACTTAAAATTTCCATTTAAATTCAATATGGTATAGAAACATAATATTATAAGTTAAGATAGCATGCTGTGGACTTCTTATTTCAGCGCTAACATGTAAAGAGCTTGGAAAGTTGTCACTCCCATCCTTATGACAGGAAAAGGTGAACTAAAAATCAATGATTTTTTCTTGGACCCATCAGAGAACTGAAGTACAGGGCAAACCATCACCCTGAAATCTGGAGAGATGGGTGAATTAAGAGAGTCACAGATGAGGTCTGTTAACCAGGAGCAGAAGCAGCTAGAGCCATAAAACGGTAGGAATACTTAAATGGCAATAATAAGAAATTGCTAGAGGTAGAGCGTGGACTAAAATGAAAGGAAGAAACTTCTGGGATGCAGTCTTATGGCGGGGGGGTGGGATCCATATTTTCTTGAGATTTACCTCCAGGATCCCCACCACATACTTATGGGAAAAAAATTGAGCATGATCTCCTGGTGGCTCTGGTAGGGTAAAAGGAAGAGCAACCATCTTGAAATATGCCCAGGGTATTGTATATGACAAAGGCCTAATCTCCAGGGGAAAAGACTTTTAACCAGGATCTTATTCCAAGTTAAGGAAGGGCATTTTTCCTACTCCATTCCCTTCTAGCATTTCTCTCTCACAAGAGGAGAAAAATAAAGCCAGGAAACACTGGTGATGGTCACAGCACAAAGGTACAGGCCTATTAAAAGATTAAGATTTCATCATAAGTTTGTAGAATGCTTTCCCTCCCCAGTACCTTACCACCACACCAATAGGAGTCTAGTAAAATGGCAGTGGATTTTAGCTGAAATAGCAGCAAGATGCAGACTCTTTGAGGAGTATTAGGGAAGCCCAAAGTCAACAGGGGAGGCAAAAACAAAAACACTAGAGGAATTTGAAGCCTCAGACACCTATAGCTACAGCAAACATTAAACACAGACCAACTTCTAGCCAGGTTAACGTGAACATTTACATTAAAGGCCTATTTGACATAATTTCTATTTTCTGATACATTATGTCTGGCTTTTAACAAAAAAATCAAGCCATTCTAAAAGGCAATAAAAATCACAGAATGTAGAAACAAAACAAACATCAGATCCAGATCTGGTTCTGACAAAGATTTTAGAATTATCAGACAGTGGATTTAAAATAACTATAATTAATATGTTATGGGTTCTAATAGATTAAAAAAATAGATAAAAACAGACAACACTCAAGAACGGTTGCATAATTTAAGTAGAGAAGTGGGAACTCTTAGAAAGAATTTTAAAAATGCTAGAGATCAAAACCACTGTAATAGAAATTTAAAAATGCCTTTGATGATCTCATTAGTATACTGGACATGGCCAAGAAAAGAATCAGTGAGCTGGAAGATATTGAAATTTCCCAAAATGAAATGCAGAGATATAATGCTATCTGAAAACCTTCAATAACATATCAAATAGTAATTTTATCATAATTATACCCATCAAACAGTTAAAACATGTTTTAGGAAGAAATATGAGATTGCATAGGGGCCATGTCTTTCAACAGAAAAACTATATTGGTCCATAAAATGTTTCAGTAAGTTGATTACTTATAATCAATTATTTCTGAAATAGGAGGAGGGTTCTTAGCAAAAGCATTAGGTAGTGTCTTATTTCAGAGAACTGGAATTATTGTTATCAGCTTCTGTATATTGCTTTAGCCGTTTTAGCAGAGAATAAATAACAATGGCTTTAACGAGAAGGAAGATTTGTTTCTTTTTTTTTGGAGATGGGTGTCTCGCTCTGTCGCCCAGGCTGGAGTGCAGTGGCGAGATCTCTGCTCACTGCAAGCTCCGCCTCCCGGGTTCACGCCATTCTCCTGCCTCAGCCTCCCGAGTACCTGGGACCACAGGGGCCTGCCACCACACCCTGCTAATTTTTTGTATTTTCAGTAGAGATGGGGTTTCACCATGTTAGCCAGGATGGTCTCGATCTCCTGACCTCGTGATCCGCCCGCCTCAGCCTCCCAAAGTGCTAAGATTACAGGCGTGAGCCACTGCGCCCGGCCAATTTTTTATATTTTTAGCAGAGACAGGGTTTCACCATGTTAGCCAGGATGGTCTCGATCTCCTGATCTCGTGATCCGCCCGCCTTGCCCTCCCAAATTGCTGGGATTACAGGCTTGAGCCATGGCACCGGGCCCGATTTGTTTCTCTTTTATATGAATGTCCAAGCTGCTAAGTAGGACAAAAGGATAAAGAAGCTCTGGTCCATAAAGTCACTAAGAGATTTTCATTTCGTTCTTCTTGTTGCTCTGACATCCTCTACGATGTTTTTCTTATCCTCAAAGTCAAAGGTGACTCAGCATCATCATATCTGTTTTAACCCATGTAGAAAAAAGGAGAAAAATAAGTAGAGGTCACTCATCTTCCTTTTAAGAAAGTGACCCAAGAGTTGCACAGACCACTTCTGTTCACATTGCTTTGACCAGAATGTGGTTGCCACACCTAACTGCAAGGGGTCTGGAAAAAGTGGCCTTTAGCTGTGTGCCTAGCTACCCAGTTTTAAAATGGAGATTTCTTGTACTAAAAAGGAAAGGAAGGAAGGAAGGAAGGAAGGAAGGAAGGAAGGAAGGAAGGAAGGGAGGGAGGGAGGGAGGGAGGGAGGGAGAGAGGGAGGCAGGCAGGGAGGGAAAAGGAAAAAAAAAAGAAAAAGGAGAAAAGAAAAGAAAGAAAAAGTGAGTATTAGGGACAATTAGCAGTCTGTGCCACAGTGTACCTTCTGAACACCCAAGTATCCATGAATACCACTTTCCTCCAGAATACAATCAAAACAGCAAAGCAGTTACTTTTTCCAGCTCAAAACATAGCATCTAATATGCCACTGGAGGGGTAAGACACAGATTTCATTCACAGGTGTACCAGAGTTGACTTGCAGCAGCTTGTACCAGTTCACAAGAAACGTTTGTTAAAAAGTTTCAATTTTGTGATCCAGTTGTTAAACACAATCATTACTAAAAATTAATTTGTATATAATGTATCATTAAACAAATTATATTAAAAATAAGGTAAATATTCAAAACTCATCTTTTGAAAATTATTTTACTATGTTTTACTATTGCCAGGCAGACCTGTGCTTTGCTTTGTTGAACTTTGCAGATATGTTTTTCACAAATTGAAGGTTTGTGACAATCCTGTGTTGACCAAGTCTGCTAGCACCATTTCTCCAACAGCTTGTGCTCACTTTATGTCTCTGTGTCACATTTTGGCAATTCTCACAGTATTTCAAACTTTTCATTATTATTATATTCATTATGGTGATCTGTAATCAGTGATCTTTGATGGTACTATTGTCATTGTTTAGGGGTGCCATGAACCATGCTCATATAAAATAGCGAACATAATTAATAAATGTGCGTGTGTTCTGACTGCTCCACCAACTGGCCATTCCCCTGTCTCTCTCCCCGTCCTTGGGGCCTCCCTACTCCCTGAGACCCAACAATATTGAAATTAGGCCAATTAATAACCCTACAATGGCCTCTAAATTTTTAAATGAAAGAAGGAGTCACATGTCCCTCACTTAAAATCAAAAGCTAAAAATGATTAAGCTTAGTGAGGAAGTCATGTCAAAAACTGAGACAGGCTAAAAGCGAGGTCTCTTGTGTCAGTCAAGTTGTGAATGCAAAAGAAAAATTCTTGAAAGAAATTAAAAGTGCTACTCCTGTGAACATGCAAATGATAGGAAGATACGGAGAAAGTTTTAGTGGACAGACAATCAAACCAGCCATAACATTTCCATAAGTCAAAGCCTGATTCAGAACAAGGTTCTAACTCAAATTCTATGAAGGCTGAGAGAGGAAAGGAAGCTGCAGAAGAAAAGTTTGAAGTTGGTTGGCTCATGGGGTTTAAGGAAAGAAGCTGTCTCCATAACATAAAAGTGCAAGGTGAAGCAGCAAGTGATGATGTAGAAGCTGAAGCAAGTTATCCAGAAGATCCAGCTAAGATCATTGATAAAAGTTAATACACTAAACAGTAGATTTTCAATGTAGGTAAAACAGCCTTCTATTGGAGAAACATGTCATCTAGGACTTTCATAGCTAGAGAGGAGAAATAAATGTCTGGCTTCAAAGCTTCAAAGGACAGACTGTATTGTTAGGGGTTTAATGCAGCTGCTGACTTTAAGTTGAAGCCAAAGTTCTTTTACCATTCCAACAATCCCAGGGCCCATAAGAATTATGTAAAATTGACTCTGCCTGTGCTCTATAAATGGAACAACAAAGTCTGGATGACAGGACATCTGTTTACAGCTATTTTACTGATATGTACTAATATTAGTTTACTAATTATTAGTTTGCTAATTATTTTAAGCCCACTATTGAGACCTCCTGCTTAGGAAAAAAAATATACCTTTCAAAATATTACTGCTCGCTGCTCATAGACAATCCATCTGGTCACCCAAGAGCTCTGATGGAGATGTACAAGAAGATTAATGTTGTTTTCACGCCTGTTAACACAACATCCATTCTGCAGCCCATGAATTGACTTTCAGGTCTTATTATTTAAAAAATATATTTCAGTAAGGCTATAGCTGCCATACATAGTAAGTCCTCTGATAGATCTGGGCAAAGTAAATCAAAAACTTTCTGGAAAAGATTTACCATTTTAGATGCTATTAAGGACATTCATGATTTATTGGAGGAGGTCAAAACATCAACATTGACAGAAGTTTGAGAGAAGTTGATTCTAACCCTTATGGATGACTTTGATGGGCTCATGACTTCAATTGAGGAAGCAACTACAGATGTGGTGGAAATAGCAAGAGAACTAGATTTATAAGTGAAGCCTGAGAATGTTACTGAATTGTTGCAATCTCATGATAAAATTTTAACAGATCATGGTTGCTTCTTATGGATGAGCAAAAAGTGTGGTTTCTTGAGATGGATTCTAGTCCTGGTGAAGATGCTGTGAGCATTGTTGAAATAATAACAAAGTATTTAAAACATTACATAAACTTAGTTGATAGAGCAGCAGCAGAGTTTGAGAGGATTGACTCCAATTTTGAAAGAGTTCTGCTGCAAGTAAAATGTTATCAAACAGCAACATACTACAGAGAAATCTTTCATGAAAGGGAGAGTCAGTCAAAGCAACAAGCTCTATTGTTGTCTTATTTAAAGAAATTGCCATAGCCACTCCAGCCTTCAGCAGCCACCACCCTGATCAGTCAGTAGCTACTGGTAGAGGCAAAAGCCTCTACCAGCAAAAAGATTATGACCTGCTAAAGGCTCAGATGATCGTAAGCATTTTTAGCAATAAAGTGTTTTAAATTACAGTACATGCATTGTTTTTTAAAGACATGGCACCATTGAACACTCACTAGACTACAATGTAGTGTAAACATAACTTTTATGTGAGCTGGGAAACAAACTTATTTGTATGACTCACTTTATTGTGATAACCATTTTATTGCAGTTGTCTGGAATTGAACATGCAATATTTTTGAGATATGCTTGTATCTAGGCTATTGAGGTTATTTGCATCTATATCATCTATATGATGGGAATACTATCTAATGATGTGGAAATCTCTTCCCAACTTTGCATTGTAGCTTGAAATTACACATGATGGGAATATTTACACCACAGAGATCAACACTTGCTACAAATTAGCTCCCACTTCCCCAGCTGAAAAGCTAGTTGTTAAACATTTAACAGCACGCCATTGTTTCCATTATATCTCTTTGACTAGAATTTACCCACATGGCCGCACCTATCTGCAAAGGAGGCTAGGATATGTAGACTCAAGCTGAGTGGCCATCTAAAATTTGGGAATTCTGTCAGCAGGAAGAGAGAGAGAATATATGTTGGCGGATGATTAGCACTCATATTTTAATGTAGAAGAGCAAGATCCGGATAAGTTTCTATACCTGGGATCCACTCTTGTCACTAGTTCGTCTTTCTGGGGAGGGCAGGTATCTAGTCAGCCATCTTGAACCAAAATTTTGTCATAGGTTCATTAGCAGAGATTATAATAAACTCAAGATAGAGATTTTAGTACCTGTCTAGTCCATTATCACAGGGTTAGTGAAAATTCAAGATTTCAATTTATGATAGTAGATTAATCCCATGAAGCAAGCTTTTTTGTCTTATGCCCAGTTTCTAGAAAATGTAAAAAATAATTATAAATATATAAATAAATCTATAAACATGCTGGCAAACAGGAAAATGAGCCCATTGTAACCCAGAAACTATGAAGAATCACTGAGGGGAAGAAAGGTGAGATAGGATTCAATTACGTACCTAAAACCCAAAATGTGCCTAGGTGAATGCGAGCTTTGAAAAGTGGGAGCCACACACAGAGAGCTCCATACCTGGCTCTGCTTTCAGGAAGATTCAGATGAAGACATTGGATATATACAAGTATAAAAGGAAGTCCGTACTTTTGATTTGCTAAGGAACTGGAATATGGGGGTACCTAGCCCCGGGCTCCTCCTTCCTTCCTTAGTGAAGTTCCTATAAAGGTTCATCTTGTTTTAAACTTTTAAGCCTGTGAGTATTTTCTTTTCAAACGATATAGCAAGCTCTACAATTTAGTGCTCAATAGAAGCTCCTAGGTTAGAAGAGATATGACCGGTGACTGAATGCAATGTTTGTGTGTTTGTTTACAAAGCAAACATCCACACAAGCTGTTTGCTTTTTCTACATTAAAGTATAATAAGGATATTTGGACCACATAATATGGTCAGAGACTTGTCTTATGCATATATGACTTATGTTAAATGAGCATTATACCCAAATATTTTATCTTTCAAAATCACGTTAGAACTGAGAACAAAAATCCAGGAGTAAAACTATTAATATTCCCAGGATGATGGATGTTGAAGTACATACTTCTTCCTCACCAAAAAAAAAAAAAAAAAAAGGCGAGTATCTATTTTTAGCAGTATTTTCCCTCAGGAGATCAGAAAAGCCATTACAGAGTTATGGATGAATTCTTGGTTCAATAATAAGAATGACTAATGCTTCTACGGATTTAACAGAGCTGGAAAAGGCTCTTCAGATAAACAACATTTTAGAATGTTGGAAATTTGCATTTTGGAAGGAAGGAAAATGAAATTATAATTTTATTTTTAAATGATTTATCTGTTTCTCATTTTTGGATCATTAGACACATATCTTGAAATAATAGTAATTCAGCACTTACTATAAGTAAAGTGCCACTAAGCCCTAAAATAAACACAATGATGCCCTCAAGGGGCTTGCAATTTAGAGAGAAATAAGAAAAAGATATCTTAGCTCAACTTTTTAAAAAAATGTTGAGGCCAAGTACATATTGACTGTTTCATCTTTAAAGCAGGTTCTGTCTTTCTCAACAAGTTGGGAATGCCCATGCTGTGAGATTTGTAATATTAGGTAAGATATCTGTAATTCCTCAATTTATTCACTAGTTAGAATATAGCCTGTGTATCTTAGTTTAGAGAGGAATATAAATCCTTTATAACAAGTCCACCTTTACCCTAAAGGGGATGAATTAGGAGAAGAGGAAGAGAGGACAGGACTGAGCTGATAAATTTTCACAAGTGCCTTGAAAGTCTGTTTTTAGCTATAACGATAATTGATTTTAGTAATGTGTACACATTCCCAGCATTTTGCCCTTTTTCACCTTTTGAGAATCCTTGGTTGTTGGATTACTGATGCTAGGTTATTAAGTGAAGAGAATTAGAGAAAGTGAAAACACTAAGTTGATTTACATATGAAAGGGTATAGAGTTACTCCCAGAATAGAAAAATCTAGAAAGGCTGGAGATCTATGTGAGAGAGTCATCTGGGAGATTAATGAGAGAAAGGAGAAAGATTGAGAGATGCTACCATAAATGAATGGGCAGAGTGATACCTAAAAGCGTAATTTCTAGAAGCTTTGCTCCCTGTTGAAGTATAGATCTTCTTTACTGCTCTGTGAAAGACTTTAGGATATTCTGTAATTCCTTGGTATCTGAGAGGGATTGATTGGTTGTGTTACTGGAAAGAGGTCCCAATCCAGACTTCAGGAGAGGGTTTTGGATCTTATGCAAGAAAGAATTCAGGGTGAGTCCACAGAGTAAAGTGAAAGAAAGTTTACTAAGAAAGTAAAGGAAGGCTGAGCGCAATGGCTCACACCTGTAATCCCAGCACTTTGGGAGGCCAAGGCAGGCAGATCACTTGAGGTCAGGAGTTCAAGACCAGCCTGGCCAACATGGTGAAACCCCGTCACTACTAAAAATACAAAAATTAGCCGGGCTTGGTGGCATGCACGCCTGTAATCCCAGCTACTTGGGAGGCTGAGGCATGAGAATCGCTTGAACCCAGGAGGCGGAGGCTGCAGTGAGCCGAGATCATGCCACTGGACTGCAACCTGGGCAACAGAACAAGACTCCATCAAAAACAAAAAGAAAAAAAGAAAGAAAATAAAGGGATAAAAGAATGGCTAGTCCATAGATGGAGCAGGGCGTTCCCAAAAGCAAGAGGAGGAAAATGCCCACGTTAGGTACAATGCTTGATTATATATAAGATAAAGCAAAAAATCATGGGGGAGATGTGCTGTACTACAAGGGCTTGTAACAAAGGTTTGTTAATGTTTATGTAAATACTGTCTTCTGCAAGAATATATATTATTATCTTTAAAGTTAAACTTAAACTAAGAATGCTTTTGTTTTTAAGATATCAGGACATCAGAACATTTCCTGGGTCTGATATTTCCTAGGTCTATTAAATCCTGGCTCTATTCAGTAAACAATATTAACTTTTTTCCTTAACTGTAAACATCCTGTGACTAAGAATGCCTAACCTCCTGGGAATGCAGCCCAGCAGGTCTCAACCTCATTTTACCCGGCCTCTATTCAAGATGGGCTCCTCTGGTTCAAACACCTCTGACGTATTTCCCCCCTTCCTTTTACAAGGGGACCCTTCATTCTAAGGAGCTTTTTTTCAGGCTGAATAGAGGCAATGATATTCCTGCCTTAACTATTAGGATCTCTTGTATTCATGGTAGAGAGGAATTCAGTCAGAAAGTATCAGTATGGTGAGGGCCATTTATATAACTCTGGGTCCCAACAAAAAGTGATATTTATTTCTCTTGTTTCTTCGGAGTAGCAGCCAGAGATCACTGGTTGGTTCACAGGAATAAGCAGGGTCAGTCTAAATTCCAGAAAAAACTCAAATACAATGGATCTAAAAACAAGTGTTCCATAGTTATTTAAAAATATATTCTTTTTCTCTCCAGTCCCAATTTTTATTAAAAACAAATCATGGTAAGATTGATTTGTTTGCAAAATAAGCTTTAGTATTATTATATTCAGCCTGATTATTTGCATAAAGTGCAACAAGAATGATTATTTGCCATGTAGGCTCTTTTTAAAAATTGGCTTTATTGGAATCTCAGGTTAAACTTTTTAAAGCCTTGAGCCCAGCCATGGGTTTATCTGTTCCTGAACATACCTGTACAAGTTGGGTGAATTCCTCTCCTTTCAAAGTCCCAAGATAACTTGGGCCTCCTGGGCCTGTCAGGGACCTGTACAGGGACTGTGTAGAAAAGGTATGATGCCAGTTTTCCCAAGGGGCTTTTATCAGCCTATGAGTCAAATTTGATTCCTTAAAGCAGTCTATTTATATCTGAAAGCACACCATTCCAGTCAAAGCCTTGGTAAAATAACAAGTGTCTCCAATTGTGTCCTGTTATAAAAGAAAACAGATTCTTATTGCAATTCTTATGCAAATAACTATATTGCCATAAATTAACAATGCTCACAGATAGTTTCTAAATTCTGGAGAAATTTGGTAGAGAGAAAGAAATATGCTCCAAATTTTGTTTATAGAAGTGTGCTTTACTCAATTGTTAAAAGCTGTAAATAGCTCAAAAGAAAAGTCTCCTTGATTCTGAAATGAACCAGAAAGTTTGTCAAATATCAAAGGTTTAAAACACTTGATATTATAAAATAGAATCTCAGGTCACCATAAGTCATTTATTAGCCAAAATGATAAAGATTTTAAAAACGCAAAAACCTTTACTTACTGATAAAGGGAAGACTTAGCTTTCCAAACAATCTTTCTTTTTTTCTCTCTTCTTTTAACAACAATTTTTCATTATCTCTTAATATTACATGAAAATCTTGTTCAAGAGAGAAAGCCAAATTTCAACTTTGTATTAGTGTACTATTAATGTCAAACCTAATTCTTAATAAAACCTTATAGACAAATCTATCCAATCTTAATCTGTTTGACAATAAGGTAATATTTTCAGAAAACTTTCATAACCCTTTACAATGTTCTGCAAAAAAGCACATCAGTGTGCTAAGAAAACCCTGCTGTGCTTTTATTCCAATGTTCAAGTTATGGGGAAACTAAATAATATCCCTTTAGCTTTAGCCAATATGTTCACACACAGAATTTCTTTTACAAGATTAACCTTTCAAAAACGTTCCACAACATACTCAAACCTTTGGCTTTTTCCTATTTAAATTAAAACAATCCTTTAACCCTCTAAGCTAGGCAAAAATCATGCTCCCGTGCCTTCTTATACTCTTTTACCAAAAACACATTCTACTTTCCTTATAAACATTGCACATGAAACTGTTTCACCAGTAGTCTCAATTACATATGTTACAATGTTAACTTTTAGCAACTTTTATTTTTGGTAAAAAAAAAATCCTGGTAAGTAGGTGATTTTAATTATGTATCAAGTGTGGAGCTTAGGACACCAGACAGAAGTGCAGATAAGGTTTGATTCTTTCCAGCATAGCAAGGGGGCATGGCTAACTCTACATGTCCCAAGGCCTTACCTAGAATCTAATGGCTCTAAAGCAGGTAAGTTGAACAATTATCAAAAGTCAAAGAACCAGACTGTGTAGTTTAGTAAACACAGTATCCGAGCGGCCTAATTTAGATTTTCAAAACATTTTTATGTTACCAATAATCTTTAAAATTATCTTTATTTCCCAAAGATTACTAAAGCCATGTGAACTAAAAGGCATTAAAGTTTCTTTTTTCTGGAAAGATATTTAAATGCTTATTACTTTTAAGCCAATTAATCAGAGCTTTCATTTATTTTGGTAGCAAGATATCAGACACATACAACACATAAATACACAGATGGACAGGCAGGGCAGATTTGATAGTTAAAGATTTTTCATTTGCTAGATTTTAAGTTTTTCTTTCACATTTTTATGCCAAATTCTGGGTCATTAAAAAGAGGGAAATGCTATAGGACCAGACAGTGCAATGCTTTTACCACAAATTTTACTGCAAGGACATTTCCCTGAAG
This sequence comes from Homo sapiens, assembly GCF_000001405.40. Lineage (NCBI taxonomy): Eukaryota > Metazoa > Chordata > Mammalia > Primates > Hominidae > Homo > Homo sapiens. The sequence goes on from NC_000023.11 coordinate 37,885,851, forward strand.
CTGATGGGCAATCCAAAACCAATCAGCCCATCTCCTGTGAGAGTTTTAAATTTTGAGGGAGGGGGTGGTGGTGGACATTTTCATATTTTGCAGGTGGCTAAAACCATGCTTCTCTGATTCAAACATGCAAGTAGTGGACTATTTCTCCCCCATAACTGCCATTAGCCATCCCCAAAAGTGTATTTCTTATCTAGTTATTACAAGCCAAGGTTAAAAGCTCTTTAATAATGCAAAGTAATTTTTGATATCCCCAAAAGTCAAAAAGTCAGGTAATGCAGTGCAAAATGGAGGACAGCCTTAGATTTTTACAGGGATCTATTCACTTACAATTCCTGGGGCTTTATGAGGAAAACAGAGGTTTCTCTCAAAAAAGGGTCTGTGGTGCCTTATCTGTATTTTTCCAAGGAGTGCCAGGCTGTCAAAAATCATTTTAGGCCCTTTCATTTGGGCATTGAGGGCAAGAAAACAGACTGGGGAAATAATTCAGTCAATTGATGAGAACAAAACAAAAAACATTTTATCAAACAAACAAGACCCAAGAAGAGAAAAAGCATAAAGGTCTTTTAAGTAAGTTTACAGATAGGTCGTATGCTTTTAATTAAGCTGATTTTTAGCCAAATCTCTTTTAACAGACTCTAGCCAGGACAAACAGCCAATATTTCTGGGTTTTGAATTTTACCAAAGGTAACCTCCCAGGTGAAACCAGTAAGCCTTAACTAAGGGTATGACTTAACCATGAACACACAAGGTGTCTTCAAAGAAATGGCAAGCAGTTTTACAAGTTTTAGAGTATCCAAAGTATCAGAGAAAAGAAAATTTGAGACAGGAAGTCAGAAGTTGTTCATGGAGGGGTAAATAATCAGTAAATGGCAAAGGTCACACAAACATAAAACCAGAAGGGACTCATTACCTAAGCTGGGAATTGAACATGAGCTACCATTGTAAAGAGATAAAGCCTTAGCTACTGGGCTATAGCATGGAGCAGTCTCAGGTGCTCTTCCCAGAAGGAGCCTAGAGCAGCCAATTTTGAGTTTTCAAATGCTTTTAACTACTCATGATAATTTTTAGGGCTAACTATGACATGAACCTCAAAATTCCCACACCCCAGATGGTGGATACCAAGAGAAAGTACCCCCAAATGGTCACAAGGTTAAGCTCCCAAGGACATAAAACAAGACAAGGGGTAAACCTCATCTAGTTCTTGCTTCAGGTATCTGTAGCAAACTTTATACCTGACCAGTTTGTTAAGCCAGCTTGAATAGTGGGCTTAAAGGGGTCCTAGGCCCACATTTTATTCTATGGTACCCCTTTTTATGACAGAATGACACAGAAAGGCAAATTCATAGCACAAAATACACTCGATTCACTATAGCCTAAGACTAGCCTCACAAATCCTTTTTCCAGTTAATCAAAACCTTGCAGAGGAGACAAATAGTGATTTTTACCGTTTATTCAACTGGTTTACACAGAAAGAGAGAGACCAGAATCCTGACTGCTAAGAAATTCTTACTCTTTTGCTGGCATGCCAGGTTTCTGGACTTCCTTTCTCTGGGTGGTTTGATGGCCCTGCTTACTGTGCCATAGCTTTGTGGGCCAAGACACATTACAAAAGAAAATCATGTTTTTCCAACTTTGCAAGATGCTGCCCAATGAGCTGCATGTGGGAGCCAAATTAACATTTTGCACTCTGGCTGGGGCAAAGTACATGTGACAAAACATAGACTTTAGCCATCCCACTCAGCACCTAATATCAACCTGGCATGGCTCAAATTTGCCCTCATTGGCCCTTGTTGTCTTTGATCCACTCAAAGTGGGGTGGAATGTTGAAACCAGGAGTTTCAACACAGGGTCTCTAGGCAAGATGGAAGAACAGACAGTCGCCCTGAGTGATAGAAAAGATAGGAAAGGGAAAAGAGAGAAAGATAACAAGAAAAACATTGCTTACAGCAGAGTGGGGGAAAGTGAGGAGCTCAGGGAAACCAGAAAAAGACTCACCCATTGCGGCGACACTGAATCAAAAGTTCAGGCGGTTGCTTGTCAGTCACGAAGGGATCTTTAGCATCAATCCTATTAGCTCTCAAGTTTCCCACTTTGGGGGAGAAAGAAAAGTTCCCCATGTCCCATAATTTTGCACGTGCCTAATCCTGTCACCCACAACCATGAGATACCAAATTTCAATAGACAATCTTAGGGATTGAGCTTTAAAATGAAACTAAATTCTTCAGTGCCTTTTTGTCCCCAGTGTTTCTCAGCTTTGTGACGGAGCCAACAAGCAAACAGATGGAAATCAGGTGGTGCATGGGGTAAGGGAAAGTTAAAATTCCCAGAACCAATTAAGCGAGGTCTCCTGAAAGTGGCAGTGAGCCACCGCACCAGGCCACACTGGAGTAGATTTTGAAGTCTGAAACCTAGAACTTGTCAAATAAACCGCCCTAATAAAAACACCCCTGTCAACAAAGGGCAGTTCTAAGGCTTGAAGTCAGATCTGACCCTCGAAGTTGACACTCCAGCCTCTTTGACTCTCAGGTCTTTGAAAGAAAAGGGAAAGGTCCATCATGACTTTATTCCAGAGTGAATTTCTTTAGTTTTCAGAAGCCACTTTACCATAAATAGATGTGCCTTGGGGGCCGGGCACAGTGGCTCACGCTTGTAATCCCAGCACTTTGGGAGGCCGAGGCGGGCAGATCACGAGGTCAGGAAATCGAGACCATCCTGGCTAACACGAAGAAACCCCATCTCTACTAAAAATACAAAAAATTAGCCGGGTGTGGTGGCGGGCGTCTGTAGTCCCAGCTACTTGGGAGGCTGAGGCAAGAGAACGGCGTGAACCCGGGAGGCGGAGCTTGCAGTGAGCCGAGATAGCGCCACTGCACTCCAGCCTGGGTGACAGAGCGAGACTCCATCTCAAAATAAATAAATAAAATAAAATAATTAGCCAGGCGAGGTGGCGGGCACCTGTAGTCCCAGCTACTCGGGAGGCTGAGGCAGGAGAATGGCGTGAACCCGGGAGGCGCAGCTTGCGGTGAGCCGAGATTGCGCCACTGCACTCCAGCCTGGGCAACAGAGTGAGACTCTGTCTCAAAAAAAAAAAAAAAAAAGATATGACTTGGGAAGTGAAATTCTCTAATCTGAAACTTTATTGCAAAAATTGTGGGCATCTAGGAGAACTGGAGTTGTGAGCAGGTCAGAAGAGAAACTTTGCTGCTTCCTTTGTCAATGCTGTATGGAGAGAAATTTGAGATGCTTTGGATATTAAAAGAAAGACTGGAAGGCAGAAGATACTGAATTAACCACACCAATGAAGAGCGGTAAGCAGACCATGCGAGTAGCAAGACTATTTCTGCAGAGTTCATAACAGGAGCTGTAAGTGACCCAGAGAATACTCACTGTGGAAAGTTGAGATATCATTAGGCTCTATGAGACTTCAGGTTGTAGCATTTTACTTGTTGCAAATTATGTAGTGGAATTATACTTCTTTATCATAAAAATCTCTTGCGTCGTGGTGTGGCCAGGGCTCTTTCATATATGGGAGTTGGTATCAGTCTACTAAACAGTCCAGTGGAGACAGCTCTTTTTGTTTCCTATTGAAGTCTCATACTAAAAAATAAAAGCTGACTATTTTACTACAAATATCATTAATCCTAAAGATAGTTTTAGATGGTACACAGGTTTTAATGTTTTTACAATAAGGTCATATGAAGCCAAAATAACTCCTGGATGTGGGATGGGCTTGAGTGGGGGGGATAATCATACAAAGAGTTTTTATTAGATACATTGAAAAGCAAAGTAAAATTTACCTAATAATAGCCCACCCAGTGGAAAATAATTGCTTTAACTTCTCTTGGATATTTTAATCTCAATTCTGACAAAATGAAGGCCTCTTGGCAATTTAACAGTTCTTTGGCTTTTAGCTGAAAGAAAATAAAAAAAAAAAGGAAGTGCCACTAATGCTTGAGATAAATACTAAGTCTTACAGGACTGGAGTTAAGTTGTTTTCCAAACAGATAAAAACATATCACAATTATGCTTCATTTAGGTTTTATTCCCTGCATTATTTTATCTTCATTGTGTCATACTAATGTGGCAGACCAGGACTCACTAACACAGGCCTCCATAACAACTGTTTCAGCACTGACTGAGTGGTAAAGTTAAATATTAAAAGCTGATAGAGCCAGTGCCCTTATACAAAGGCTGGAAGGTAACAAAAGCCCACCAAGAGTTTTGCCCAGGCCTTTCCTGGGCCCTGAAGCATGGCAAGATAACGAAGGAATTCTTAACAGGACCTTTTTAGGATTAAAAAATTTTATTGGGGGTCTGAAGAAACTCCCCAGGCCTCCACAAGCAAGCTTTATTGGGGACTAAAGGAACTCCCCAAACCTCCATGACCTACCAGGAGACAAGATAAAGGTAATCACTCCAGCACCAGGACCCATTTAGATTAAGTACATTTACTGAGGCTTCAGAGGAAGGTCTTCAGGACTCAGATCTTAGTTATAGATTAAAAGAAGTTAATCACTTCTGTCTTTAGATGAATGCACACTTACATCTAGACATATAGCTTAGAAGGTATATAAGCTCTGAAAAACATTGTAATTTTGGATTGGTCTGGCAATAATATCCAGGCCTTCTCCCTGTAACTGGTTACAGAAATAAAAACTCCCTTCTCTCCTAGTTCATCTGCATCTCATTATTGGGCCGCAAGGATCAGCAGCCCGACCCTTGGTTTGGTCCGGGAACACTAATACCTAATATTCCCAAATGTATGTTGGCCTTGCCACTGTGAAGGAAAATTAAATGGGAGTCACATGTCCTCTTATGTTTTGCATTTGTGTTTTGCTCTGCGTAAAAATCATGCAAACACACTCCAGTTGAAAATGGATACAGAATCGAAATAGACATTTCTCTGAAAAAGACATATAAATGGCCAATAAGCACACGAAAAGATGCTCAACATAACCAATTATTAGGAAAATGCAAATCAACGTAACAGCTGAGAGACCAACCTACTAGGATGGCTATAATAATAATTTTAAAAAACAGGCTAGGTGTGGTGGCCTATATCTGTAATCCCAGTACTTTGGGAGGCCAAGACAGGAGGATCACTTGAAACCAGGAATTCAAGACCAGCTGGGCAACAAAGCAAGACCTGTCTCTACAAAATAATAAAATAAAAATGTAAAAAGTAGATAATAATGAATGTTGATGAGGAGGTGGAGAAATGGGAGCCTTATAGTTTAAACATAGAGTACCATATGATCCATCAATTTCACTCCTCAGTATATATCCAAGAAAAATGAAAACAAATGTCCACACAAAAGCTGATACATGAATGTTCATAGGAGCATTATTCAAAATAGTCAAAAAGTGGAAACAACCAAAATGTCCATCAATTCATTAATGTATAAATAAAATGTGCAATGTCCATACAATGAAATATTACTCAACAAAATAAACGAACTAAGTATGGATACATGCTACAGCATATATGAACCTTGACAGCATGCTAAGTGAAGGAAGCCAATGACAAAAGATCACACATTGTTGATTCGATATATGTAAAATGTCCAGAATAGGCAACTCGGTAGAGGTAGAAAGTAGATTAGTGCTTGCCTAAGGCTGGAGGATTGGAAAAATGAGAGGTAACTGCTGATAGTTACAGGGTTTCTTTCTGGGGTGATGAAAATATTGTAAAATTGATTGTGGTGATGGCTGTACAACTCTGTGAATATACTACTATTGAATTGTACACTTTAAATGGGTGAATTGCGTGTTATGTAAATTATATCTCAATAAAGCTGATATACACACATACATACGTGTGTGTGTGTATGTGTGTATGTGAGTATGAATTATCCAAAGGATTTCATATGAGTGTTTGTGTTTTCAGGCAAATATCATAGGTATACTTATAAAGAAACAAACATGGTTCTCTTTATCTTCTGTAGGCCTCTTGGCAATGCTTTGCAACTCTCTTTTTACAATAACCTTACATTCTCTGGGCATCTCTGATAGATGTATGGAAAAGCAAATCTGGGAGCAAGGAATTCTTAGGGAAAAAAGCTTGCATCCTACTTCTGCCCCAAATTGTTCATCTCCTTGGAAAACTAGATGTGGATGAAATATGTAAAGCAACTTATTCTGTGGTTTAATTCAAAAACTATATTGAAGTTCCTTAGTTGGCTTTGCACTGAGGCAGGAACTCTGGGAAAACAAAGACACGTGAAACAGAGAGATTACTGGGTAATGGGATAACAGTGCATGAATAAATAGGTCAACTACTAACCTGAGAGATAAATGTAATACAAGCCATAGGTATACCTGGGATAAAGAAGGCTTTTAAGTAGAGCAGTAAATAATAGGCTGCCTTCTGGCTAGATAGATAACAGTAAAGGGGCATAATTTTATCCAGTGAATGTAAAGCACACGACATTGGAGCCAAACACATATTAAAGCAACTTCTCAGAAAATTGATTTCTAGTATATGTCAAAGGTTTTATTTATTTATTTATATATAATATATATAATACTTCAAGAAAGTTAAGAATAATCCTATTCAAGAAAGATTCTTTACCTTCATTTGCTATAAGTTTGAATAACACCTTTGACATATACTACATATGTGTATATGTGTATATACATATATATGTATATAGTATAGTATGTTATATATACATATATAGTATATGTATATATGTATGTTATATATACATATATTGTATATACGTATATATACCAATATTAGTATGTATGTATATAATTGTATATACATATATACATATATTAGTATATATGTATATATTAGTATATATACATATATTAGTATATATGTATATATTAGTATATATACATATATTAGTATATATGTATATATTAGTATATATACGTATATTAGTATATATGTATATAATTGTATATACAGATATACATATATTGTGTATATACATATATACAATATATGTATGTATAATATATACACATATACTATATATGTATATATAACATACCACACTCTATACTATATATGTATATATAACATACCACACTCTATACTATATATGTATATATAACATACCACACTCTATACTATATATGTATATATAACATACCACACTCTATACTATATATGTATATATAACATACCACACTCTATACTATATATGTATATATAACATACCACACTCTATACTATATATGTATATATAACATACCACACTCTATACTATATATGTATATATAACATACCACACTCTATACTATATATGTATATATAACATACCACACTCTATACTATATATGTATATATAACATACCACACTCTATACTATATATGTATATATAACATACCACACTCTATACTATATATGTATATATAACATACCACAATCTATACTATATATGTATATATAACATACCACAATCTATATATGTATATATAACATACCACACTATATACTATATATGTATATATAACATACTACACTATATACTATATAGTATATATAACATACTACACTATATAGTATATATAAGTTTGAATAAAACCTTTGACATATACTATATATAGTATATATCATCTATATATAATACATAGATTGTATATATAATCTATATATAATATATAGTTAGTATATATAATCTATAGATAATCTATAGATTGTATATATAATCTATAATCTATCTATAGATAATATATAATCTATAGATTATAGATTATATATACAATCTATATATAATCTATATATTATCTATAGATTATATATACAATCTATATATAATCTATATATATAATTATATATAATTATATATAAAATCTATATATATAATCTATAGATAAACTATAGATTATATATAATCTATAGATAAACTATAGATTATATATAATCTATAGATAAACTATAGATTATATATAATCTATAGATAAACTATAGATTATATAGAGATTAGTATATATAATCTATATATTATATAGAGATTAGTATATATAATATATAATTAAGTATGTTAATCTTAATTGCTTGATAAATTTTTAAACCTATGTAACCACAATTCACAATTCAGGTTATGGTAGAGAACATTCCCATCTCCCCAAGTTGCTCCCTTGTGCCACTTCCCAATCAGTACTACTTTATCTTACCCAGGTAACCATTTACAAGTTTTGCCTTTTCTTGAACTTCATATAAATGATATTACACTATATGTCCTCTTTTGTGCCTAGTCTTCTCTTGCCCTACAAAAAAATGTCTGTGAGCATCACCCATGCTTTTGCATGTAGCAGTAGTTCATTCCTTTCAATTACTGTGTACGTATATTTATGACTATATCACAGTTTACTTGTCTATTTACCTGTTGTTGGACATTAGAGTTGCTTCCAGTGTTTGGCTATTATAATTAAAGCATCTGTGATCCTTATTGTTTAAAGCTTTTGGCAGAACATGCACTAATTTCTTTTGGGTATATACTCAGGAGTAGAATTGTTGGGTCATTGAGTTTGTATAAATTAGCATTTGGAAATACTGCCAAACAGTTTTCCAAAGGAGTGGAAGTGTACATATTTACACTCCACCAAGCAATGCATTGGAGTGCCAGTAGAATATATTTTTTAAATAAGATGAGAGTATGGCTAGATACTACTGTTAAACTGGATAATAGAAAGAAGGTCTGGTTCTGGAATCCAAACCAAAAAATGACTGGGTGAGTCGTTAATGCATTGTGAGCATAGATTTAACTTCCCAGACAGGTCTTCTGATGGCTGATTTTATGTGTCTATTTCACTGGTCTAAGGGATAACCAGACAATTGGTAAAACTTTATTTCTGCAAGTGTATGTGAGTTTTCTGGAAGAGATTAGCAATTTGAATTGGTAGACTGAGTAGGGAAGCTTGCTCTCACCAATGTGGGTGGGCATCAGCAAATACATTGAAGGCCTGAATAGAACAAAAAGGTGGAGGAAGGGTGAATTTCCTCCCTGTTTGAGCCTGAGACATGCATTCATCTTCTCTTGCCCGATTAGTGACACTCCTGCTTGTGTCTGCATCACTACTCCCTCTTTACTGACCCCATCCCCACTTGTTTTCAGTCCTTTGGATTCTGACTGAGTTATACCACCAGCTTTCCTGGTGCTCCAGCTTGCAAAGGGCAGATCATGAGACTTCTCAGCCTCTATAATTGCGTGAGCCAATTCCTGTAATAAATCAATCTCTCTCTCTTTACCTATGTCTATGTCTACATCTATGTCTATCACCTTTGACTCTGTTTCTCTGGAGAATCCCGACAGAGCTGTAAATCTAAACATCTATTAGAAAAACGCTCAAACATTTTTATCAGAAATGCAAAATACTTCCAGGAGTGGTTGTTAATTACATCCTCAAAAAGCCCTGCTCAAAGACTTAAGTTCAAAGCTAGATATACCATTTAATAATTGTATGATCTTTGGTAAATTACTTAACTTCTTTGTGCCTTTCTTTCCTTAGCTGTAAGCTGGGGACAATAATATCTACCTCATAGGATTAGTCTAGGGTTTTAGTGTCTGGCACAGAGTAAGTGTTCGATTAGTTTTTCTTTTCCTTCCTTCCTTCCTTCCTTCCTTCCTTCCTTCCTTCCTTCCTTCCCTCCCTCCCTCCCTCCCTCTCTCTCTCTTTTTTTCTTTCTTTCTTTCTTTTTCTTTTCTTTTCTTTCTCTCTCCTCTCTCCTTCCTTCCTTCCTTCTTCTGAGGTCAAGTGTAAATTGCAAAAGAGTAATGCCATTTTGAACTCTTAAAATTATCTTAACAAACAAAATTATAGGGCAACATTGAGAAAAGTGGGATGGTGGAGGATGGTTAGGGAAAAGAAAAGAAAAAAACGTAGGAAGGCAAGACATTATGTCCCCATCCTTAAAATAATGTTCTCTCTCGGAGGTGGTTAAGTAATGTGCAGAATAGAACACCTGATATTCTAAAAATTAAACTTCATTGTCTATATCAATATTAAGCACATTAGAAAATAGACTGATTCAGCTTTAATGATATATTACAAGTGGATTTGCATTGAATTGAAGCTAGGTCCATGTGAAAGTGTATCAAAATTAAAATCTCATTTGCATATATAGCATCAGTTAGTACAAATGTTTTTTGCATGATTATGCTCCCTCTAGGAGAGGCCATTAGGTTGATTTGCATTCATTTAAATGTTCATGTGGGATGTTGATTTTGTCTGTGCAATTACTAGGGTAGTTAATACATTGTTCTATTAAAACAGCTAAAAGACTGCACAGATGCTGTAACATACAAATGTAGCAATTGATGGGTTGATTGGAAGGAAACCTTCTCACATAAACAGTCATCTTTTCTTCAGTGTGAGCAAAATAACTGAAACTGATTCTTCTACACAAATCCCTCTCAACCAGTGTTATTCTTGTGTCCTGGATTCACAAATGAATGGAGAGTCTTTTTTTCAATATGCAAAATAAATAAGTAAATTACATGGTATGCTAGAAGGTGTGGTAGCTTGCAAATATGGCCACAAATTCTTCTTATCCCTCTTTGCACATCTGTTTATCATGTTTCCTTGCAGCATGTCTTTGCAGCTCTTCTCACCAAGAATTGGAGTCTATTTTCTCAACTCATTAAATCTGAGCTGGCTGTGTGACTTGCTTTGGCCAAAAAGACTTTAGCAAATAAGATATAAGCACAAGCAGAGGTTTGAAAAGTGCTGGTTCGCTGGGGCTTACTGTATTACTGCTCTTGAAATGCTGAGATGACCATGTGAATGAATCCAAGGAAGCCTCCTGGAAGATGAGAATGCTGCATAGAAGAAAACAGAGGTCTCCAGCTGACAGCCTGCCAAACACTAGAAATGTGAATGAGGCCATTCTGGATCATCTTGTCACCAGCTGACCTCCCAGCTGACTATCAGTGCATGAGCAAACCCAGAAAAGATGAGCTGAGCCAGTCCAGTGTAGAAGAATTGCCCAGCCAACCCACAGAATAATGAGCTGAATAAAATGTTGTTTTAAGCCATTAAGTTTGTGATGTTTTATTACTCAGTAATAGCTAACTGGTACTGAATGTTATAATTACTGCAGAGAAAAATAGAGCACAGAGGGAGGAAGTAGAAGTGTATATGTGTATGCATGTGTGTAGAGGAGGGGCTGTTGAAATTTTAAATAACTTTGTCAGGGAAGGCCTTGTTGAGAAGATACATTTGAACAAACATTTGAAGGAGATTTAAGTAATTCATGTGGTTATTTAAGAGAAGAACATGGTAGGCAAAAGGAATGGCAAGTGGAAATTTCCTGAGCCATAGCATGTCTGGCTCTTTTTGAAGGAAAGCAAAGAAGTCAGAGTGCTGGAGCACTATAAAAGATGAGGGCAGAGGGCCGGGTGCGGTGGCTCATGTCCATAATCCCAGCACTTTGTGAGGCCGAGGTGGGCAGATCACAAGGTCAGGAGTTCGAGACCAGCCTGGCCAATATGGCGAAACCCCATCTCTACTAAAAATACAAAAATTATCCGGGCGTGGTGTCAGACACCTGTAGTCCCAGCTATTTGGAAGGCTGAGGCAGAAGAATCACTTGAATCCGGGAAGCAGAGGTTGCAGTGAGCCGAGATCATGCCACTGCACTCCAGCCTGGACAACAGAGCCAGACTCCATCTCAAAAAAAAAAAAAAATGAGGGCAGAGGGCAGAGAGTTAACAAGGGGCCAAATACATGTCTCATGTGAGAGTATGACAATTAATCAACATGGAAGTAAAAAACTGACATGAGCTGAACCGATCAGTTTCTCCCTCCTGAAACTGTGAAACTTGAGACACAGAGCCCCAGAGACTGGGAGATGTTGGAGCTGAAGTCACCTTACTGGCTGTCATAGCCTGCTCAGTCTGCTACACCATAAGTACTATAAACTGGGTAGCTTATAAACAACAGGAATTTATTGTTCACAGTTCTGGAGGCTGCAAAGTCAAGGTGCTGCCAAATTTGGTGTCTGGAGGCCGGGCACGGTGGCTCACGCCTGTAATCCTAACACTTTGGGAGGCCAAGACAGGCAGATTGCCTGAGCTCAGGAGTTTGAGACCAGCCTGGGCAAGATGGTGAAACCCCATCTCCACTAAAATACAAAAAATCAACTGTGTGTGGAGGTGGGTACCCGTAATCTCAGCTACTCAGGAGGCTGAGGCAAGAGAATTGCTTGAACCCGGGAGGCGGAGGTTGCAGTGAGCCAAGATCACGCGCCACTGCACTGCAGCCTGGACAACAAAGTGAAACTCTGTCTCAAAAAAAAAAATCTGGTCTCTGGCAAGGGCCTTCTTCCTCAGAGATAGTGCCTTCAAGTTGTGTCCTCACGTGGGGGAAGGGGCAAGGCAACTCTCTAGGGTCTCTTTTGTAAGGTACTGATCCCATTCAAGAGGGCTCCACCCTCATAGCCTAATCACCTCCCAATTGCCCCACCTCCTAATACTATCACATGGGGTATTAGGTTTCAACATATGAATGTGGGGGGACACAAACATTCAGACTTTAGCACTGCCTGAACTCAGGGGGCCATAGAATTCATACTTTGTTCTAGTTGCCAAATTTCAGGAGCTGACTTGCTTCTTGTCCTTGTCAAGGTTCGATGGTTGAACTTGTTTTTTGAGTCTGTGGAACCCTCCTGAATCATTAAAATGAATTTGTTCCAGCACTCAATCTTTTTTTCTTAAATAAAGCAAAGTTAATTTCTGTTGCTTGCAAATAAAAACGCTTAACTAATATAATTATCTTGTGATTTCTCTCTAGTTCTTTAATATAGTCCTTTTCTTCTGAAATAGATTATTAGTTTCTTAGAGACAGGAATAATTCTTTCCATTTATTTTATATCCTTCCTCTATGCAGCTATACTTATAGGACAAGATAATAACAGCTAGGCATTCATTCAATGATTATAATGTGTCAAGCACTGTGCTAAGTACTTATGTAGATTATCTTATTTAAACTTCATGAGAATTCTGTGAATAATTACTCTGATTATTTCTCTTTTTTATAGATGAGGAATCAGAAACCAGAGATGGGACATGGCTAATAAATAGTGGAGTGGAGACTCAATCCTGGGCAATCTCACCTAAGAGCCCACATTCTTTCAGGACCCAGCACTTAGTAGGTACTTAAAAATACTTGTGTATCGATATATTGAAAAGTACTAAGTATCCACAAAATCACATTCATTAAAACTTTGGTTTGCAGTAAGAATACTTGAGACAACGTAGAATTTTGAATAAGAATCTTATAACATACCAAGGAAGAAAATATAAGAAGTATTATTTGTAGAAAAATTCAATTATTCCCAGTAATAAAGAAAAAGCATTAATCTATTATACATCATTTATTATTATTAATCTTTATTATTATTGTTATTTTAGAGACGGGCCTTATTAGGTCGCCCAGGGTACAGTGCAGTGGCGCAATCATAGCTCATTGCAGCCCTGAACTCCTCAGCTCAAGCATCCTCCTGCCTCAGCCTCCTGATTAGCTGAGCTAATGAGGCTCAGGCTTGAGCTACCATGCCCAGCCTACATAAATCTTTGATATTTCTTCTAACAGCCCTAAAAGATAAGGTAGGTATTATCATGCTCACTTAACTGATTAGGAAACTTAGGCTCAGAAATTTAAGTGCTTTGTTCCAATCTGTTAACACCCAACCCTAAAGGTGCTAGATTCAGTGAGCTGAAAATGCTCACTGAAAACGCAAAATGCAAAATGCCTAATCCTTAGAACCAGACACTCCAGTCACCATTTATTTGTCCATGTCTGAGTTCACAACACATCCTCTCTCCCTATTTCATTTGCCATTTAATTATGTGCTGCCCCATGACACTGGTGTGCTACTTCATAATTATGATCGTGTTATTTTAGTGCCATGCAGCTTCATTGTAATTTTACTTGTGAGACCTTTTTTTAATATATTGGGTACCTATAAGAATGAAATATTTCCATAACAAAACAGATTTACAGTCAGCTTGTAATGGTTTAATGCCAAGATGTTATAGAACTATCTACCAATGAAGAAAGGGTTGAATTGAATCAGATAATGATTATATGGGCTTTTCAAATTTAAAAAAAACAAGCAACACTTCAGAGAGAATTTATATAATTTGCAAATATAGGTAAATATGTAAGCAAATCTTCATTATATCATATTCAGTATTTGTTCTCTTAAGCATAAGAGTTGTGCTTGTCCGTATAGAATAGGCTGAATGAAACTGAAACAAGTCTTGCTTTCTATAAGTTAATATTTGGGGATTGGTCACACACAAAGACACACACACACACACACACACACAATGGTGAGGGAGGGGCTTACCTCTTTTATTTACTGTCCCATTCATAATGCCTAGAACAGTGCCTGGTGCACAGTAGGCAAATATGCACTCAAATATTTCCTTAGTGCCTACCACAGGCCAGATAGTGTTCTAGGCATTGGGGATACAGCATTGAATAAAACAGAATTCATACTTTCATAGTTTATATTCTACAAATGGGAGACAGAAAATAAAGACATAAATGAATATGATATTTAGTATGTCAGATAGTGATAAGGACAATTGGAAAAATTAAGCAGGAATAAGGGATAAGGTGGGAGAGTTGCCATTCAAAATAAAGTAGTAAAAGAAGACCTCAGTAATACATGACTTTTGAAGGAGGCAGTCAGGAAACATTTCACCAGAAGATGACAATTAAACTGAGTCTTGAAAAACAACTAGGAGTTTTCCAGGAAGACAAGAAGGGAGAAATATATAGAAGATGAATAATTCACTTTGAATTCTAATTTGCATCTCCTTTTACATGTAGTGGCATCATTTTTAAGGCAGATGGTGTATAACTTTGCTCCAGAGTTAAGAATTCTCTTTCCTGAAAGCTCCAGGGATAATTCTGATTGGTTCTGCTTGGATCATGTGTCCATCTCTGAAACAATTACCATGGCCAGGCAGGTAGTGTATTCTTATTGGCTGGCCTGGGTCATGTGCCCACTCCTGGGATTTTGTTTTTTTGTGTGTGGAGGGGGCTTCAGAGCCCCTACTCTGTGTAATCTTCCCCAGGAGATCATCAGTTAGGGGAGGCAAAGAAAGTAACTTTTCTCTTTTTGATCTATCAGGGTTTGCAAGTTCCTTTGAAAGAAGAGAATTACAGAAGTATTGAGACTGGAAGGAGCACTTAGTGCAGGACCACAGGATGACTGACTCCTCAGCACAGCTTAGCATCCTGGTGCCAAAGTGGGTGCTTCACAAAGATTTATTGTATAAATAGAGAGGACTATCACAAACCACATGTTGACTGAATGACTCCACCATTGTCTAACCACTGATTTTGAGGGGATCCCTTGGGACTATCCCATAGATCCAAGTTCACCTTACCTTGGGAGCAGATGGAACCAGACCCCAGGTGCTCTGCCATGAATCTCCCTCAGGTGATCCGGGCATCCCAAAGATCTTACCTCATAGAAGCTGTTGTAGAAGCAATTGCAGGAAGAGGCATTGATGCAGCGTTGTCATTAAGCAAAAAGCCAGGACTGCTGACACTACCCTGCCAGCAGACAAGCCTGCAGCTGGGCCTGAGGCTCTCACAGGATGCAAGGCAAGCACAGGATTCATATGAGGGACAACTATCTAACCGGAAAACACAAAACCTCCATTAAGCCTTCGCTCTGCAGCTTTTCTCAGAGATCCTTCCTGTCTCTCCTCTACACTCCCAAACTGAAGTTCTTCTCTAAGAAGTAGGCCCATATTATTCAATCATAAGAAGGAATGAAGTTCTGATGCATGCTACAACATGGATGACCTTGAAAACATTATGCTCAGTGAAAGAAGCCACACACAAAGGCCCACATATTTTATAATTCCATTTGTGTAAAATGTCTAGAATAGGCAACAAATGAAAGAGTTGAGTATTGTGTAAGGGAAGTTTGAGATTCCTATTGCCATTCAGGTGAGGATGTTGAGCAGGTTGCTCAACAGGTTGCTTGATAAGTGTCTGGAGTTCAGGAGAAATAACCAGTCCAGAGGCATAAATTTGGGAGTCATTAGCAAATAATTGGAATTTTAAAGCATGAGACTAGATTAGACTACATGGGCCTGATAAATATTTGATAGGTAATAAACAAATATACACAATATCTTCTGCTATAACACATTATCTATAACAAATAGTATATATGTAATAGGAAATAGGGGAAGAATGTCAATACCATGTGGACGTTGGGTTGAAGTAGAATTTTAACCTTCAGCATGAAAGGAAAAATCCCTCAATTTGGCTGCTGCAGTGTCAAAAGCCCTTTTAGCTTTATTTATGTTTTAAAATTAAAAGTGAGGTTCTACACCCAGGGCTTCCTCTCCAAGGAAGTAGACCCTCAGCCTTGCATGATTCTTGCCTCAGGCAGAGTGTACTTCTTCCTGTGCGCACCTTAATAGCAGCCTTTCTGTCTTAGACTTCCACTTCCATCTGCATTGTCTCAGCTCTCTCAAGTAGAATTTCCTCTCTATTGGTTTCTTGCATGTTTAATATCTACTGAGGTGGCCTCTAGCCATAACAAGCTGTGTGTCTGAGCTGTGCACAAGTCATCACCTGATATATTATTTTAAAAAAATTGTTAATGCTCTGCTTATAAAGGTACATAAGTTTTGAGTGATCTGCCTTAACTCTTATGCCTTGTTAGTTTTAGTGTGTGATTTTGAAAAATGAGAGATTTTTCAGCCGAGTATGTCATTTTATGTCAGAAATGCTTGTATACATATAATTGACATGCTACTTTTGTTCACATCTTTCCTGGCAGGAACTGAAAGGTATTTATATTTATGTTTCTCTCCCTCCGCCAAAATAAAACAAAACAAAACAAAGAACAAAAACCCAGGAATGGGCACATGACCCAGGCCAGCCAATCAGAATATACTACCTACCTGGCCATGGTAATTGTTTCAGGGATGGACACATGATCCAAGTAGAACCAAGAATTGTCCCTGGAGTTATCAGGAAAGAGAACTCTTTTAACTCTGGAACAATGTTACACACCATCTGCCTTAATAATGATGCCATTACAAGGGAAAGGAGACTCAAATTAAAATTCATTTATGCAGCCAAAAAACACACGAAAAAATGCTCACCATCACTGGCCATCAGAGAAATGCAAATCAAAACCACAATGATACACCATCTCACATCAGTTAGAATGGCAATCATTAAAAAGTCAGGAAACAACAGGTGCTGGAGAGGATGTGGAGAAATAGGAACACTTTTACACTGTTGGTGGGACTGGAAACTAGTTCAACCATTGTGGAAGTCAGTGTGGCGATTCCTCAGGGATCTAGAACTAGAAATACCATTCGACCCCGCCATCCCATTACTGGGTATATACCCAAAGGATTATAAATCATGCTGCTATAAAGACACATGCACATGTATGTTTATTGCGGCACTATTCACAATAGCAAAGACTTGGAACCAACCCAAATGTCCAACAATGATAGACTGGATTAAGAAAATGTGGCACATATACACCATGGAATACTATGCAGCCATAAAAAATGATGAGTTCATGTCCTTTGTAGGGACATGGATGAAGCTGGAAACCATCATTCTCAGCAAACTATTGCAAGGGCAAAAAACCAAACACTGCATGTTCTCACTCATAGGTGGGAATTGAACAATGAGAACACATGGACACAGGAAGGGGAACATCACACACTGGGGCCTGTTGTGGGGTGGGGGGAGGGGGGAGGGATAGCATTAGGAGATATACCTAATGTTAAATGACGAGTTAATGGGTGCAGCACACCAACATGGCACATGTATACATATGTAACAAACCTGCACGTTGTGCACATGTACCCTAAAACTTAAAGTATAATAAAAAATAAATAAAAATAATAAAATTCAAAGTAAATTACTCATCTTGTATATATTTCTCCCTTCTTGTCTTCCTGGAAAACTCCTAATTGTTTTTCAAGACTCAGTTCAATTGCCGTCTTCTGGTAAAATGTTTCCTGACCACCTCCTGCCTCCTCCATGAAGTACTGTGAGCTTCCTTCTTATTCCCACAGCACCTTTGTACACATTTCTCTTACAGCATTGTTATGTAACTTTGCTTTATTATCTGCTCTTCCCCTTCCCCCACCCCTCAGTCTGTGGCATTCTTGATGGTAGTCACATTACCTTATCCATTTCTATAAACCTAGGACCTAACACAATGTCTAGTATGCATTAGGTGCACAGTAAATGTGAGTTGAATGAATTAATGAAGATATGGCTCTGGTAATATATGGCTGATTGCTTTGCGCAAGAAGACACATTGTCTTGGAGGCACACACGCACACACACACACACTCACTCTCTGGGGAATGTAAGATTTTTGATAGGTAAGAATTTTGATCCAATCTTAAAACAAACAAAAAAGAGGTGTGTGTGGGGTGGTCCGGGGGGGGGGGTGATATTTCCTGCAAGGTAGGGTTCGAGGAAAGGCACTTCATTAAAATTAAACTTGAAAATAGGGCATTGGGAGAGAATGCAGAGTGGGGGGGACTTTAGAAAAAGAGAACAAATAAAATTGGAAATGAAACACTGCCTTATAAAATTAGAAAATAGAGGTAGAAAAACTGAAGGCTGGTATTATTCAGGGAAGTAGGTATAGACAAGCAAGAAAAGTAAAGGTAAAGAAATGGAAAAAGATGGAAAGTAGAGGTGGGAGCCAGAGACAGGGGGAGGAAGGTCCTGGATAGTAGACTTCTGAGCTTTCAATAAAGCTTTATTTTCCACTATGTGTTAGGCCATGTGCTGGGTTATTAGTACATTGAAATGAGTAACTTATATTCCCTACGCATCCAATTATGGGGGAGATCTCAGTTTATAATGGTATAAGAAAGCAATGGGATGACAACAAAGGGCGAGTGTTAGGGGATATTGCCCACTTTTTGAAATTGGACCCCCATCCTTTACCAGAGTTGTAAGAAGTCTGACAGCTGAAATGCTGTCCTCAAGTTGAGAAAATGGCCCACCCCTTCCCTATTCTTGTTTCTTTCTCTCTGAACTCTATAATCCCTCACCCTTGCCAGGGCTAAAGGAACTCTTTTTATACATTTTCTTCCTTCCAGTTTTGATATGGTGAAGGCAGGACTGAGGGCTCATCACCCCTACCCCTCCTCCTAGCAGAACAAGTTGACCTTTACCAGAACACACCAGGTCATGAGTCAGAATTCCCATGCCATGTTTGCTGAAGCTATTAACTCTTCTAAGTCCTGGCACCCCAGGACATCTTGACCGTCCCAACGAAGCACTGCCACCAAAACCAGTTTGGGTGGAGCCTTGGCTTTTCTTACTCCATGTCAAATTAGGAAGGTGACCCCTGGCACCAGGGTCCCATCATTCCCCACAGTACTTTTCCAAGACCCAGGGGGGATATGAGAGAGGAGAGACTTGCAGCCTCCTCCACAAGGAAGGGGGCTCCTAGGAGATGAGATGGGAGTAACTTGTGCCTTGGCTGTGGTGAGCAGTAGGGGTACTCCTGGTGTAGGTACAAACTGTGGGAGGTTTGGGCATAGCCATATCCACCTTGCAGGTGGATGTGTCAGATGGGCCATGGTGTGTGTGTGTGGGGGGGGCGTGGGGGGTGACAGTTCCTGCAAGGTAGGGTCCGAGGAAAGGAAAGACCTATGGAAAAGGATACACCTGGGATCTTGAGGAGCCAGCTGCACCTGTTTCTGGGCTGAGAGGCTTCCGGAGCCACCACAAGGTGGAGACCAAGGATGGCGGGGGTGGGGTCTTTGCAGACCGGTTGTTAAGTCCTGGGGCTGGCTGTGCATCCTGAAGCCCGTTTGGCACAGCCTGCAGGAGGGACTTTGCAAAGCCGCGTCCAGGTAGTATATGAAAGGTGTGTTGAGCTCAAATGGTCAGCCCGGGGTCATGGGGTCCTGGGGTGGCGGGGAGCCGAGAAGAGGGAGATCCACGAAGGAGGCTTTCACCCCTTGGCAGCGGGCGGCTGCCTTGAGGGGCGGGCTGTGCCTGGCGCGACTCTGGCGCCGCCGCCTGGGGGCATCCGGCTGTGAGCCCCGTGGATGGGGCGCCTGGAGACCGCGTCTCTCGAGGCACTAGGTCCTGGTACTTGCTGGGGGTGGGGAGGGAGAGGGGCGCACAGCGCCGAGAGGCGGACGCCAAGCGCGTGAGTCACTCTGCTCCCCTGGGTTAGGAGCGGGACTTTGCCTCCCGCCTGGGGTCTGCATTTCAGCTCCAGCTTCAGTGACTCATCCCAGCAGGCTGACCCCCTCCTGAGGCTGGACCAGCTGCCTCTCCGTCTAGGTGAGGGCCAGGCAAGTTTCTCGTCTTCTGATGCTTACTGTTTGGGGGACTCGCGGGGAGGGGGTCTTCCAGCCTGTGTCTGTCTGCCTTTGCTTCCTCCCTCTGGCTCTCTCCATTGGAGACAGAAAGTTAGATTTAAAAAACGCAACAGAGAATATAAAATCTATGCTCAGACCCCAGATAAACAAAACTCTGGGGCCATATTCTTAATTTACCGGGTACCTTCACATGTCCGAATGCGGCGTTTATGGAGCTAGGAATGTTTTATTTGTTTCGTGTATTTCCCTCCTCTCCCCCATTTTCCTCCGGTGTAATTCTTAGAGGTGGGGACAGGAGAGCCAGAGGGCTTAGCTGGGATCCTTTGCCAGAGTGGCTTCTTCATTCTCTGCGAGGTAGCAGATGTTTTACTGTAGCCTGAGTTGGGATCTTGGAACAACCCTCTCCAGCCCAGGACATGCCAGCGCTTAAGGTAACTGCAGTTGTTGCATATCTATCTCGTTATCACTGACTGAATCGAAATGTTCCGGAGGCACAATTAATGTGAATGCCAGAATGTTGAAACAATTCATTGAAGGACACTATTGAATGTTTTATTTTCAAAGTATCGTATTCCAGGAAAATTTTAGAAGACTATTGCTGGTTTTATTTTCTCTATTTTCAGATATGCTCCAAAGCCTATTATTCCCTTGCAAGACAACCAGTGAGGACCTATTCTGTTTCTTATAAGGATTTAACAGTGCAAAACTACGTGTTAGTTTCTCCTCTAAGGTTAGGGACCTCCTTCTGTTAACCTCTTTTAGAAAAATCATTTTGGTGGTGGTGGCGGGGAGATGTTTCCCCTTTCTCTATCATTAAATGCAAAATGTTTCTGTGACTATTAAGTAAATACTAATTATTGTTATTTTTGCTTAAAAGGAGCAGAGGAGAGCATCTCCCAGAATGCATGAATTTGTGGTTCATATTGATAACTGATTGCTTTACCATCAAATTGTTTGGTTTGATGCAATGTTAACAAGTGGTCTTAATTCACAACACAGAAGTATTCTATTCCAGAAAACAACCCTGCTGATATGCCTGCCACCCCCACCCCAAAATGCACACACAAAACCATGTTTTTGTCTTGCTTTGTGGGAGAGAAAAATGGATGGGGTATCTTTTCTGGCAGTTGATTAGTCCCCGATCTTTCTTGAATTGTCATTTGTTTTATAACCTATAATTATAGAAAAGAACCCTCCTTGAAATAAAATTAATAAAACCTTACATGTTTAGTCAGATCACAGGAATAATTTTTTAGAGTTGAGTGGAAGCTTCCATGATCCTCTTCCAATGTCGTCCCCGGGGAGCCGTTAAGCTTCCCACTTCTCTGATAACATAACTCCTCTACTCTACATACCTCTATCTTAGCTCTTACCACCTTATGATTCTAGGTTTACATATCCATCTTGCTTAGAGTAATAAAATTTATTTGGAAGCAAGGGTAATGCCTTATTAATCTTTGTATCCCTGGAGCCTAGTAAAGTAAGGTCTGTTGAAAAAAAATGAATGAATAAAATAATTTGGCAGTCCAGATTAGGTTTACCATTCCTTGAAATCCACCTGTGCATTCTTTCTCTTCACTCCTAAAAGATAAGTCATTTAATTCAATGGTACTCAAAGTGTGGATCCTCAGAATACACTGTGTTCTAAATAAATGAGAGTTTTCTATATTTGAAAAAATCTATATATTGTTGTGAACTTTAATATTTAATTTTTTATTTTTTATTTTTTATTTTTTTGCTGAAAGTAACAGAAAAGCCAACTAAACATGGCTTGTAATACTACAGAAGTTTAGCTGGGCGCAGTAGCATGTGCCTGTGGTCCCAGCTACACAGGAGGCTGAGGTGGGAGGATCCCTTGAGCCCAGGATTTTAAAGCTGCAGTGAGCTATGATTGCACCACTACATTCTAGTTTGGGTGACAGGGTAAGACCCTGTCTCTAAAGAAAAAAAAAAAAAACAAAGAAAATAGAGAAGGCTGACAGTAGGTAATAACTGGAGTTGATACAGTGACCCAACAATATCAGGGTTCTGAGTCAGTGTCTTACCCTCATGGCTTCAAGATGGCTCTAACAGCTCAAGACACTCGGTCCTAATCCCATGTTCAATGACAGGAAACGGGGTGGAAAAGGTCAGAGTATTTTTCCTCATGCAACTTTCTCATCAGAGAAAAAATATCCTTCCCCAAATTTATCTAACAGAATCCTACTTTTATCTCATTGGCAATATCTGGGGCACATAGCTGCCCTTAGTGGCAAAGGAGACTGGGAAAGTATCCGTTTTTTCAGCTTCTATAGTGGAAAGGCAGCCAGGGAGAGGCAGGTAGGTGATGTATTTGGGGAACTGACCAGAAAGTCTTCTAGACTGTCAAGAAAATAAGTCTTTTTGAACCTGTGATCGTATCAATGTTCTGGCCAAGTAAAATACTAAATATTAATCAATGTAGCAAAAGCACACATTTAGAGCAGATTTCCCCTCTCCACATGGGTATATGGTATTTTAAGGGTGCCAAATCACTTTTATGGAGTGTGCTAACTTTTAGAGACTGCACCTTGCCTGTGTGTGTGTGTGTGTAATCTCATAGGGTTTCTATTAAGTATGGATCAAACCCTCAAGTTCCTGGAAAAGAGTAAATATTCAGTAAATAGTTGTCCTTTGAGTGGAGTGTTGAGTTTGGGAGCTTCAAAACTTCACAGGGACATGGGAAAGGATTTAGTGAGGAAAAAAAACTGATGAGTGGTTTGCTGCCAATGCCTTGGAAGGCTGGTTTACAGCATCTGAATGTCTTTAATTTGGATCCTAGGAGCCTGGAGGGAAACTTAACAAGAGGGAAAAGAAGAACCTAGGGAGAGGTAGTGGCACTGACAACTTGGTTCAACAGATTATCTTTGGGGACCTTCTCTATACCTGTACTGGGGAAGATGTACTACTGCCCCCCTCCCCCACACACAGTTCAAAATGGTCCCTAGCACACACACACACACTAAAACTTAAAAAGTTGAAGCATGAAAAGAGTGTATATTATTGCCCGCTTTGATTTAACTTTCTCTTTTCCAGTAGAATATTCTCTCAAATACTTACAGAAGGTAGTTTTTGGACATCATGGTGGGAGATCAGATAAGCAAGTATCGAGAGATTGAAATTTAATGATTACAATTGTCTTAGATTTCTCATCAATGAAAAGAATGGAGTAGATCAAGCTTGTCCAACCTGTGGCTTGCAGGCCACATGCAGCCCATGACAGCTTTGAATGTGGCTCAACACAAATTTGTAAACTTTCTTAAAACATTATGAGATTTTTTTTCAATTTTTTTTTTTTAGCTCATCAGCTATCATTAGTGTTAGTGTATTTTATGTGTGGCCCAAGACAATTCTTCTTCCAGTGTGGCCCAGGTAATCCAAAAGACTGGACACCCCTGGAGTAGATTAGCAGTGGTATTCAAACTTTGTTGCACATTAAAAATTACCTGGGGAGGTTTTTTTGTTTGTTTGTTTTCTGTTTTTATTTTTTTTTTTGAGATGGAGTCTCACTGTTGTTGCCCAGGCTGGAGTGCAATGGCGTGATCTCAGCTCACTGCAACCTCTGCCTCCCAGGTTCAAGCGATTCTCCTGCCCCAGCCTCCCAAGTAGCTGGGATTACAGGCACCTGCCACCACACGCGGCTGATTTTTGTATTTTTAGTAGAGACGGGGTTTCACCATGTTAGCCAGGCTGGTCTCCAATTCCTGACCTCAGGTAATCCACCCGCCTCAGCCTCCCAAAGTGCTGGGATTACAAGCCTGATTCATCATGCCTGGCTGGAGAGGTTTTTAAAATCAAGATTTATGAGCTGATCCTCAGACCACTTAAATTGGAACCTCTGGGAATGGAACCCAGGTATCAATATTTTAAAAACTCCCTAGATGACTCCAACATGTGCCTGAGTTTGGAAACTATATTAGTTTGCTAGGGCTGCCATTCAAAGGACCACAGACTGGGTGATTTAAGCAACAGAAATGTTTCTTCTCACAGTTCTGGAGGCAGGAAGTCCAAGATCAAGGGTTGGTTGATCCTGAGGCCTCTCTCCTTCACTTGCACCTGACCATCTTCCCCCTGTATCTTTACTACAGTCTTTTCTCTGTGAATGTCTGTGTCCTAATCTCTTCTTATAAGGATGCTGGTCATATATTGTGTCAGGGCCTAGTCTAAAGAGCTAATTTTAACTTGATTACCTCATCAAAGGCCTTATCTCCAAATAGTTATATTTAGAGCCCCTGAAGGCTGGGACTTCAACATGTGAATTTGGGGGAGACACAATTCAGCCCATGAAAGAAACCATTGGACAAGTACAACATTTCTCAAACTTTAATGTGCGCACCAGTCACCTGGAGGCCTTATTAAAATTTAGATTCTAATCCAATAAGTCTAGGTGGGGTCTGAGATTCTGCAGTTCTAACAAGCCCCTAGTGATTTCAATGTTACCAGTTTACAGATCATACTTGAAGTAGCATGGTTCTGTCTAGATGAGTGGTTCTCAAACTTTAATGGACATCGGAATCACCTGGAGAAATTGTTAAAAGCAGATTGTTATGATCCAGCCCCAGAATTTCTGATTCCATAGGTGTCGGGGTAGAGCCCAAGAATTTGCCTTTCTAACAAGTTCCTGGATGATGTTGATGCTGCTGGTGTAGGGATGATACATTGCAAACCATGTATCTCTGACATTTTGAGACTTTATGGTATTGGATGAGTCAGGGTCATTACATACATCATTGTATGTGAAGTTTGTAATTCTAATTGCTGATAGCATTACTTTTTTTTTTTTTTTTTGGACAGAGTCTCACTCTGTTGCCCGGGATAGAGTGCAGCGGCGCCATCTCAGCTCACTACAACCTCTGCCTCCCAGGTTCAAGTGATTCTCCTGCCTCAGCCTTCCGAGTAGCTGGGATTACAGGTGTCTGCCACCATACCCAGCTAATTTTTTAAAAAATATTTTTAGGAGAGACGAGGTTTCAGTATGTTGGCCAGGCTGGTCTTGAACTCCTGACCTCGAGTGATCTGCCTGCCTCGGCCTCCCAAAGTGCTGGGATTACAGGTGTGAGCTACTGTGCCCGGCCAGCATTACATTTTTCTTTTTGCCAAGCATAATTACTTTTTCTGTTAATAGGACGAAGGATGAGAAAGTGGGAGAAAATGCTGTATTGGGATTTCTTTTAATCTCATACAAATAGAAGTGAATAAATACAGAGGCTACACATCAGCCCATTAGTCTCTATTCATGTTTGTTCTCCAATCATAGAGCTATTTTGCAGCTTGCTCTTCTAGAAGCTCAAAGCTGATTTTATGAGATTGGTTGCATACTTCTCATATGCGATTTTTAAAGGATTAACCATTCTAGAGATTTCATGGGGCATTGCAAATTTCCCCCCTAAAACATTAATTTTAAATTATTTCTAATTTAATCACACAATTGTTTCTACACGAGACCAACAGTGAGCTACATCAAAGAGTATCCCCTCCCCAAAATTATTGGATATGAAGAAAATATTTTACCTGACTTCATAGAATTAAATCGGTAAAATTCACATTTTGTTACTGTTATTAGAAAATTTGATATATATATATGTGCTATATATAGGTGATATATATACACACACATACATATACGTACATGTATATTGTATACACACAGGTTATGATTTTCTATTTGCTTAATTTAAAGCATTTTATGTTATTTTAAATTGTTCTTAAAGCTCTATTTATATCTCCATATGAAACAGTGAAAATATTTCTATTTTAAACTTAAAAAGGTATTCAACTTGTAATCCAATAAGTATTTTAAACAAAGATGTAATCAGGTTTCTAGCTGCCCCATTTACTCTGGGCCTATTATCTAAAGAATGGGTCTTGCTAAAGTATTTCCCTTACAACTTTTCCAAAGTTATGCCAGATGTATAGGGCTTCTATTAAGAATAGATTTACTATGCCATAACTGTTTTGAGTTTACCCTCATAGCTTTCCCACATGTTCCACATTCTTGGTGAATTTTTCCAGTAATGCACCTCCCAGCACTGTCAATGGGAAGAGGTTACCTGTCATGTTTCTAGCCTGAGCTTCTGACCACCAGATAACAGAAGCCCAATTGTGGAGATGGATACAACAAGCCCAATGCCGTTAAAGATCTGAACTGTATAATTAATTCTGTTTCTCCTGACTTCATGCTCAGCAGTCAGCCTTAGGATGCCACATGTTCATTGCCTTCAGGGTGAGAATAACCTGGTCAGAGTGTCTGGTCTCCCTGACAGTTATATCTCCCATTGTAAATTACTAAGCCGCCACTCTAGCTTTAAACACTTATGAGTGTTGTGGGTGTGAGTCAGCACCCAACACCCTCAAACCTAATAAATACAGGGACACTGATAAAGATCAGTTATCTGGGGGTTGGCTCAAAGCTAGGCCCTGATGCTGATGACTCATCGAAGTGAATTAATACCAGCTAGCATTTATTAAGTATTTTCTGCATACCAGCCACTGTGCAATTTTATTTATATTATCTTATTTTTCCTCATAACAACTTTGTGAGGTAGTCATGTTAATTTCCATTTTACAAATAAGAAGACTGATATATGTATATTAAAAACCTGCTCTAAATCAAATGACTATTGTGGCAGGGACTTTGAGTTGCCATGCAATATCTATTCCCACCTTCTCCCTTAGTGGCAGAATACCAGTTTTATTACTGGTAATGATGTATCTAGCAAATAGTTTCTATTTCCTGGCATCCCTTGTATCAAGGTGTGAACCTATGACTGAGTTCCACCAGTGAGAGGTAATTGTGTTGTGTGGTACTTCTAGGAAGCCTGCTTAAAGGGATTTGACTTGGCTGGGAGGAGGGCCCTTTTGTACCTCCCCCTTCTTCCTCCTGCTGTTAGTCTTGAATGCAGGCATGATGCCTGGAGCCATCTTGGACCATGGAGTGACTGACTGGATGTAAGCTAGCATTAAAGATGCTGGAACAGAAAGGTAGAAGAAATCTGGGCCTGTGGTGGCACCATGGAGCTACTGTGCCAGCTCTACCACAGAGATCTTTGTCTGCTATTGAAACCAATTGGCATTCTGTCAGCAGAGATGAAAGGTAGAGTTGGCTATTGGTAGGCAGTGGACAGTGTTTTCATGCTATATACCAAGTACCTAATATTTGATCTGTGATAGATACATGTGTTTGAGTTTCATCTCTGCCACTTACTAGCTATGTCTATTGGACATCTTTTGTGCCTCACTGCACAGCCTTATAGCCTACCATTTAATTAAGCCGTTAGTCCATTAACCAGCTTTATGTGGGTAAAACCAGAGAGTGCCTTGCCTTAGCCTCACAGCAAATATCTCACTTCTCACTCCAGGACTTCTTTGATGTTTCAACAGGAAGGCCTGTTGGAACACTCTTGTACCCACACATGTGTGTTATGGAATGTGAGGGAGTTAAAGGCCCAAGAGCCAACCCTTGACCAATGTGAGATGGGAACCTAAGATAAATAGTCCCTCCTCCATCCTTGGCCTGATAATTCTCAATTGCCTTTTAATAGTGTTTGTTTCCAAGAGATTCTCAGAGGGTCTAACTAAGTAGGATTACGCCCTAGTTGTTTACAGTTGTGACCAACTCAAAAATACACTCCCGTATTGGTTTTCTCTCTTCTTTTCCTTTCCTGAATTTCCTACTTCTATTCCCTAGTATCACTTCCCCAAACAAACTACCTACATTGAAACTCTTGTTTCAGCCTCTGTATAACCTTCTGTGTAACCTTGAAGTAAGCTATGCTGACAAAACTTTTTAGCACTTGCTGACATTTTTATGTCCCTTCTATGATGAGGCAAAATACTATCTTTGGTGTACAAAGATGAAAATACATCATGAGATCTGATAATTCCAACTATTGTATGAATGTGGATCAATAGGAACTCATACTTTATTGATAGGAGTACAAATTGGTACCATTCTGGAAAAGAAAATTTAGTACTGTCTTGTGAAGTTGAACATTTTGCATACCCTATGACCTAGCAACTTTATTTCTAGGTATATCACCTAGACAAATACTCCTACATGTGAAGCAGGAACTCTCCTTAGGAATGGCCATAGCAACATGGTTCATAATACAAAAATTCTGAAATAATCTAATTGTCCATTGATGGAAAAATGATAAATAAATTTGGTATTAATTATTATTTCAACAGAGTAAAAATGAATTAACCATTTCTCTATGCAAGAACACAGATGCATATTATTAACAAAATCACCAAAAACTTCATGCAGTTGGGTATCATTTTTATAAAGCCCAAAAAAAAGCAATACTACACAACACATTCTTAGGAATCATACACACATGATAGATCCTAAAACAAGGTGAACCCAAAATTCAGAATAGTACTGGGGAGACAGAGATGGGATAAGGTAGGAGCAGATAGTAGAGGTACGAACATTGATGATGTTCTGGGTCTTGAATGCGGTGATGGGTTCATAAAGGCTCATTTAGTATTACTCTTTATAACTTATTTAAATTGATACAGATTCTTTTATATACATCAGATTTTATGTAATAATTTAAAGAAATGAAACCATCACCAACAAAGATGCTGTACTAACAAAGGACAGCCTCAGTGAAAAGCCTCCTCTAGCCCTCACTCTAAACTAATGGCTCTCAGAGTCAATGTTTCTCATCATGTAATGTGTTTTTTTCTTTTGTGTTGTTAAGTATATTGTAATCAACTAGAATGGCAGGGTACAAGATTCCGTTTTTCTTACGGCCCTTCAGGGTCACATCCTCTAGTATATTTAGAAAAACACAGTTTGTTGTGTCCTCTCTGCGCCTGTGTCCATTTGCCTGTGATTCTTCTATATGTCCTGAAGCTGCCCATTGCTCTTTGCTGTGCACAATCCACCTCTTATTTTACTGCTGTCTCAGCACAGCACACAGGGGCTACGTTCCTCCTTGTTTCGTGTGTGTGTGTGCGCGCGCATGCACGTGCACAGGCGTGTGTTGGGTAAAATGGTAGTGAGTAGGGAGGCAGTTGACATGACCTTTTTCTTTATACTTCCAAACCTACTCCTTGCTTTCCTTAACAATGCCACCAAACAAAGCAGTAAAACTGTACCAGATTTTTGAATTTTGGGCCAGGATTTGTAATCTTTAAATCATTTGTGCCCTGGAACCTTTGATGAAGTCGGTGACCTCCTTATCAGAATGGTGGCTTAAATACATAAACTCAAACTCACTGGATTACAAAGGAAGCAAATTGTATTGAAATACGGTTATCAGAAATTAAAAGCAATTGTGTGGTATAGTACTCTATGTACTTTTTAATTAAGTTATTAAGCAACAAGATCTAACGGTGGATCTAATGACCTAAATTTTAAAGTAGTAATGATTTTGAAACATATTACATGATATCTACAATAACTGTAATATGATATGAAAAATATCTGTTTCTTTAGTGACAGTCACGGGTACTGCTAATACTACTGTGGTTTGTTGCTTACATTCATACTTGCAGGAAATATTAAATGTCAGATAAAGATTAGTGAACATAAGGATGTCATTTTTTTTTCCC
Source organism: Homo sapiens (assembly GCF_000001405.40). Taxonomy (NCBI): domain Eukaryota; kingdom Metazoa; phylum Chordata; class Mammalia; order Primates; family Hominidae; genus Homo; species Homo sapiens. The sequence continues at coordinate 37,915,758 of NC_000023.11, forward strand.
ATCCAAGTTCATGGACTCTTTAAATTCTACTGATATATTCTTGGGGGTTCGTGGACCCCAGATTGAGAAACTTGCTCTAAGCAAAGCAAAGGAAACTACAACAGATGTGGGAAATAATTTTAAACTGAATACCAAATATTACCTAACCCACAGCCTACAGAGAAAGCAGTTACCTCTAACCTTTCATGGAGGGTAGGAGAGCCGTCTCAGTTTCCATTCTTACCTCACAGATCTTTTTTTTTAAATAATAATAATAGCTACCATTTATTGAGCACCTACTCTACTGTGTGCCATAAGAGGACTTTACTTTTCAATTTTCTGCAGACAAGTCTCCATACTTCCGTTAGGAACTCCTGCCTCCTTCTCAAAGGATCTGATCTTGCTCTTGGATTCATCAGTCTTCCTTCTCCACTAAGAGTTGCCCACTTTAGAATAACTCCCTAATGGCTCCCACACAACAGCATAAGGTGGGCTTTGGCAAGCTGAGTCTTGTTTCATTTAAGACCTTTACACTGCAGTGAGCTGTAATGAGCGGAGCCCACGCACCCCTCCTAACCTTCCACTAAAACACTTACTTTCAGGGATAGCACAATCTTAATACATAAGGAAAAAGAAGCATTTTCCTGACTTCTCCATAAATTAAAAGACTGCTTAAGCATACAGGAAAGCTAGTACTGTACACTTATTATGCAGATCAGGTATAGTTATTTATTCATACCATAGCTGCTTTCAAATGGGCTCACTACTGAGCTATATAGATCTTGTGATGGCTGTTTTCTGAGCTACACAAACACCTGGCTCCAAGTTTGAAGTTTCTGTTTGTATGAGTCTGATTAGGTGTTTAGATAGTGCTACTTGTATCTTCTACAATACCTACTGGTTGAATGACTGATTGATTTTAATTATTTTTTCAGAATTAGTAATGGATTTTTAATAAACTTTATTTTTAGAACAGTTTTGGTTTGCAGAAAAATTTTGAAGATAGTAGAGAGTTACGTATACCTATATCCAGTTTACCCTATTAAAATCTTACATCAGTATGGCACATTTGCTACAGCTGATGAAGCAATATTGATACATCATCATTAACTAAGGCTCATGTTTTATTCAGATTTTCGGAATTTTTACCTAATGTCCTTATTCTGTTCCAGGATCCCACGCAGTCTTCATGTCTCCTTAGGCTCCTTTTGGCTGTAACATTTTTTCAGATTTTCTTTGTTTATGATGATCTTGTCAGTTTTAAAGAGTACTGGTTGGACATTTCGTAGAAAGTCCATAACTGGGATTTGTCTGATATTTTTTACTGATTAGACTGGGGTTCTGTATTTTTGGGAGGAGTGCCATTCTCATAACATCATATAAAGGGTATATACTATCAACATAACTTATCATTGTTGATGTTGACCTTGATCACCTGGCTGAAGTAGTGACTGTCAGATTTCTCCACCATAAAGTCACATTTTTTTCTCCCTTTCCATACTGCATGCCCATATTTAAGGAATCAGGAATTATGTTCCACCTCCTTGAAGGTATTTACAAAAATTATTTAGAATTTTTCTGCCCTTTAAGATTTGTCTCTTCCTTCCTTCATTTATGTGTTTATTTATTCAATAATTTATTTGTATTTGTATGGATTCATGGTAATGAATTTTTAGCTAAACAGCTCCAATCTTATTTTTGGCCAGTGGCATGAATTTCTGTCACAAACTATGGCTAGCCCTATAGTTCCTAAGCACAGAAAAGAGTAAAACCAATAGCTACATACAGAATTTGTTTCACTATTGGTCTATTCATCTATCTCTTTCCATTTCCTTATCTAATTTTTTGTCTAATTTTTCACCAAAAGAATAATTCAGTAACATTAAAAAATTCAAACATAAAAGAGCACACAGTGAAAATTGCTTTCCACCTTTTCATGTTTTTATATCCCTCTTCAGCGGCAACTCCTGTTAACTGTTACTGATGTTTTTTTCAGACGTTTTCAATGCATTTATTAGCAAATAGCTATCATTCTGCTTCTTTATACTCTAAGGAAAAAGGCCAGGAAAGGGACAGCAGGGCAACAAAAGGAAATAAGAAAGGGGAGGGCAGGAGCAAACCAAAGATTATGAGGTTAATCATAGAATTCTTAATTCAGTTACTACATTTGCTTGGCAAACAATTCACTTTTCCAAGATTTTTTTCTGGTGTAGTTTTCCCACTATTGTGAGTTTCAACCCCTGATGATCAAGCAGTGTGGGTATATTACTTAAGTTTTTTAGTTGAAAACAAGTAAATCCCCTCTGCCCAGTTTAAGCAGAAGAGTTTATTTGAAGGTATTAGGTGGTATGATTTTTATGGCCCCAATTGTCTCCATCCCTAATCTTGTCTTTTGGACATGTGACTTTGTAGTTTCTCTCACTAAGGATAATATCTATATGTCCCTTGATTCTGAGGTTGACTATGTGACTTGCTTTGGTGAAGGAGATGTTAGTGGATATGAAGCACATAGAGGCTTGAAAAAGCATGTGCACACTTCTACTTCTGTTTTTGTTCCTCTGTCAACTTCAGGAAGATGACAAGAGCCAAAGCTAGCCTGCTGGAGGATGAGAGACATGTGGTACAGAGCCAAGTCATGAAAGTTACCCAAGCTGAAGCTATCTTGGATTGTCTAACAGCCACTTGATCTCCAGGCATTTAGGCAAGCTGAATTGCAGCTGACTATAGATATATTAGCAAACCCAGCCAAAATCAGCCAAGGCCAGGCCATCTGAACTCTGTAGATTTATGGGATAACTAAATGCTTATTTTTGTATGTCACTGAAATTATAGGGCTGTTGTGCATCATTTTATGGCAACAAATAACTGAGGATGGTACTTCAAGGAATTTCTGGGAGAGGCAGAGAACGTGGTTTGGATGCTACATGGCCAGAAGTACCAGTAATCACACTGCAGGATGTTTCTAGCAAACACTTTGCCCCTGCTGCCTCATGGTGCTCAGCATCTGTCATTCTGGAGAATAGCTATTAGAACCTTCACCAGTGCTCTCCAAATGAACTGAATGCCTTGAACTCACTGCTTGAAAGAATCACTGACATCCAGCACAAAGTTCACATTCTCATTCCAGTCATCCCGTGGATGCATCTGACTACTAGATTATAAACCACAATTAGAACTCTAGCTGCAAGGGAGTCTGGAAAGTGTGAGTGAGTGTGTGTGTGTGTGTGTGTGTGTTTAGCTTTCTAGCATCTGCAGTACAAGAAGGCCTGCTAGAAGGGGTTTGGAGAAAGTGTGAGTCATTCTCCAGTATCAGCCATGGAGGCATAGACAAAAGAACTCAACTTCCCGATCCCCTGAGTTTCTTCTATCTCTGCATAGAGATGGTCAAGGTGTTGACAGGACTTAGAATCCCGAGGGGAGGACCCCTGGACCCTTTGACTACTCTACACAGAACTTGACATGGCAGTTTTAGCTCTAGAAAAGCAGTTTCATTCTGATATTAATGACTAGGGGTACTCCTTGTTTTTCCTCCCTTGGCATTTGGCAAAGTGAGTAGCCAGGTGAAACAACACTTTATTCTAATTACGTTGGACACTATAAACAAGGAGTTTGACCTCATTTCACGTTCTCTAAAGCTGAGTAAAAGGTTATAGTAAAAACACTTAGAGAAGTATATTGTATATTCTTATATAGGGAGAATATAAAGGAAGAAAGAAATCTCTGTCTGCCCCATATTCATATGCCAATTCCCTTTGATCTAAGTATCCTAAATACCTAAAAGGTGATCATATTAGGCTGATACATTGTAAACTCACCCTTGCTCTTTAACCCTACTCCCACCACAAGCTAGAATGGTTGTCTGCAGTGTCTGGTCTGGGACACATGTCATTAACTGATTGATAGAAGACATTTCCACAAAACGAAAAGGCTTTGGATATAGATGTATTTATTTGTAAAGTGCCACTTGTAATATTGGCCACATGAAACCTTTATTTGTTCTCCTCTATTTTTCTTCTGAAGACCTTGTTCTAGCTAAATATTTGCTGAAACATTTTTGTAACCTTTTTGTGTTTTAACTTAATAGGCAAAGCCATGCTGTTGTTGACACTAAAAGCACGGAAAAGAATTACATTTGGGCAGTATTTTAAGGGGTGCTTTTAAATTAATCTGGGTGAGAAATTAAGTATACCTCGTATCTGTATAGATAATATCTGAATCCTTGACTGGTTACCAGTAAAAGTAGGAGAAAATCCACTGGAATATATATATGCTTCTGAAGAGCATATGGTCTGTGAACATTCCCAACAGTGGAACATGACCAGAGCATTTACTGGGAGGATCAAAAGATATTCTGATGTTGCCAGGATGCTATTTGGCCCATGTGGATTTGCGCATTCAATCAGTAGGTTTAATATCCTTTGTAATCAATGAAAAAATCTGAATAAGAAATAATAGTCCATTCAGCTCACAGGGAATTTGTGATAACCACTCATTATTATTGTTATTTCCTGAAGTAGTTTACCTTGTATTTTACCAAAAATATTTGGGACGAGGTCTGAAACTTCTGCTCACCAAGGTGCCAAACTGGCATCAAGACTTCAGGCCATGGAAAATCTACCTCCACAGATGGAGTCAAATCTGTGGAGGTAGCTTTTCCTCCTACACCTCTCACTGCAGCTCCCACTACTCCTCTCCCTGTAGAATCGTCTCCTCCAGCCAATTGGTAGAACTACTGGACTCTAGTGATATCATATACATTTCTATATTTTTTCTGTACCCTTTGCCATGCCTAGAGGACCTCCCTGGCTCTCTCTTGGCATCTATGATCTGCCTGGATGAGATCAAGATAAAACTTAGCCATAAATCCAGAATTCTTGTGGTTTGCTCAGCCTTTGCCCACCATTCTCTTCTCTGAACTTCTACCATGTTTATATCTAGCATCTAGGCTAGCCCTTCTGTGCCCCCAATATGTCTACTCATAGCTAAAATGTTAGTTTCTGGAGGATAGACCGATTTGCAATTCTGTGTATCCCCATTCCCTACATCAGTGCCATATGGATACAATAAATACTCAGTTGATGGAATATGATGCCTAGAACATCTAGCACAAAAACCACAATGTTTAAGGAGCAAAATTCCTTGCATTTACCTGGAGCTTCCTTCACAGGCCCACCTGACTACTGACTTCATTCTTATTCTTAAAAGGGTCACATGATCCCTTTCTTACAAAGGTCACATGATTATTTTACTGCTTCCCTCCAGTAATAGAGAGGAAAGGGCTCTGTATTGGTCTTTCATCTCAATTTTCTCCTTGTGCTTTCTGTGCATGAGGTGCCAAAGCAGTGTGGCCCTTGATCTACTCGCTTGACTGATTCTATTGTTTAATCGCCACAACAACCCTAAGAGTAAGTGCCATTATTATTCCAATTTGGAGATATGGAAACTGTCATGGAGAAGTTAAGTAACGTATTATCTCAAGCTATTAACTGGAGGAGCCAAGATTCAAACCAAGACATTACGGCTCCCAGGTCTGTGCTGTTAACTCCTATATGAAACTGTCTTTCCTGATGCCCAGGTATTCCATTAGATGATCCTTGAAACCTCAGAGTTTCTTGGGTCAGAAAGTTTAAGTAAACGGAAGAAATTACAGATCCGGGAACCTCTTCTGTTATTCTCATTGTGCTACCAAGAATCCCACAACATCCTCTTGGTGGAAGAAACAAATGATTAGGAATTTAGTATATGATATTCCCTCAAGGCTGCAAAATACAGTACTTCAGAATTATTCACATCATTAAGATCAAATCTGGTCTATAAGTAAATGCAGATTCAGGATGTGAATTCACACTAAGTAAAGTACAGTGGTTGGAATTCTGCTATTGCCACTTACCAGTTATAATATGGGTATGTTACTTTACCTCTTTTATCTGGCACTTAGTAAATACTAAATAAGTATTAACTACTATTTCTATACCACAATATTTCCCTGTTTCTCTAGCCATCTATGCTTCCTTACAACAAAGCACAGTGTAAAGCTCTTTGCCTCCACCTCATTGGATTAAATAAACAGGTCTGTAAATATAAGAGGGAACAATAATAGTGAAAAAATTGGATACTCAAGAAGTCTAGATGATCAGAGTGACTTTGTTTCTTTTGTTAATGAAAGGATGAGTTGGACGGAAAAGGAGTGAGTCACACTGACAACGAAATGCTACCAATTTAGGATTTGATTCATTATTTTATGACCGTTGCTTGTTTCCTGATGCTATTCATTGCTTATTCATTGGAGGAACAATAATCCCATTTTGGCTTTTGTGGTTTTATAGCTGAGACATCCACTTTGAAGCACATTAGCTACACCTCTCCCTCTCCCTACTACTTCATCACCATCTCAAACATCAGAAAATCAAATTTTGAAAATTGCCCAGAAGTATTGGGTGTACAAAAACATTGGTTTCTCCTTTGGAAGTTCTTCCTGTGAGGGTTTAAGCATGGGGATTTTATAGAGGAGATGAACATCAGGGATATTTGTGGCAATGTCACTTCCCTTCTCTTAAAATGGTGTTGGATGGAGAGCCTCCGAGGTAAAGATTCTCAAATTGTCTGCAGTTATAATGTCCAAATATTCGGGAGAAAATCCCATATGGCAAGCAATAAAACAAAATTATTATGACTTCCAGTTGATGATCCATTTTTAAAGGGATAGTTTGAAGTAATAAAGTAAGTAAATATTAGTCTAGGGAAAATGTGGATATACTTTATGAACTATTTAAATACAAACTATCTTTTCATTTTGTGCCATGACCTGAGACTACTCAATGAATTTTCCATATGTATACATTTGCTCTTACATGTGCCTTTTGGCAATGCCCTTTATTATCCTTGAAAACAAAGGCACCACTATAGTATAATTCAAATGTGTCTAGTTCTTCAGTCCTTAGAGATTGGTGGAGGGGCTGCATTACCTCTCCCTTTAATATAAACTAGGAACATGATTATTTGAGAATGTTGGGGGTCACTTTCCTCTCCCAGTAAGATTGAGGAACCCTGGGTATTTTTACGTGTGTCACAAGCTTAACGTGAATTTTCTCTTGTCCCCTCACTTAGTATCACATACATAACAGCTTTTCTTTCAGTCACCCCTGCTTCCTAGTAACTGGTTCTCCATGATACTACTACCTCTCTCTGACCCATTTCATCCCCAAACTGTGGAAAACAGCCTCTTTCTCAAAACCCAGCTAACAGAAAGTTGTCTTGTTTAAGGCTTGAGGATAATACCAGGGATTTACAATGCAGAAAGGAAATTTAAAACTTGGTATCAGATATATTGTGCTTTCCGTCCATTGGCCCTGCCCTTTTGCAGGGAGGCACACTGTCTTTACTCTCCTTATCTCTTGGCCTGCAGCCATGTTGCAGATGTCCACTTATTCCCCTGCTGTAAGAGTCATTCTTTTCATATCCTCAAATCTTTCTTTTCCTCTATGCCAGAAGAAGCAAAAGCTGTTTACAAATTGACCCTGGGCATAACAAAGACACTGTTCTACATTATTCTACAGAATCTGTTCATGGTTTCTCCACTAGTTTAGTCTTGAGTGTGTAGTAATCTCTCACCTGCTTGGTTACAAAGATGCCCTTAAGTAGTGTTTCCAAGAATGAAAGAAGTACTGTTTCATTTATTACTCTGAAGAGTAAAAATGACTACAGGTTCAAAAAGCATTTTTGATCCTCTAGTCCAGTGGTTTACAAAGGGGAAATATGACTATGGAATCTATAACAAATATAAACTTTATATATATATAAAGAATGGCATACATATACGTATATATATATATCTGTGTATATATATACAATTCTCAGATATATTCTCAAAAGGTTTAACTCCAAAGGTTAAAGGTCATGGAACTCATGTGCTTAGCAGTAGGAGGGGCTCCTTGTGTTAGAAAAACATCACTACCAACAACAACAATTAAGACTTTGCTTCAAAGAACACTGAAACCCACTTAGTCAATATTGTGAATTTCACCTGCAAATCCTGTTTCTAATTTGATTTAAGTGCTTATGATTTAACTCTTTATTAATTACCTTGGTAGAAGCAGGTGACATTCTTAGTTACCATAAGACTTTTCCCTAGTGTGTTGTTCAAAAAACATTGGTGTTATTTGAGGAAAGACTTAATAGTTAGTGACTTAATTCTAAGCTTCTGGGTTTATTTCATTCAGTTAAGTATTTAGGCATATGTTTAAGAGGTTCCCGCCAAGGTTCTGACACTCTACCAGACACCGAAGATGATTCAGACACAGATGCCACTCTCATAAAGCTTATATAACCTCTTGGGGAAAATTGACACAATATAAATAAATACAAAGTAGAAAGTTCTGCATGCCCTAAGGTAAGTCTAGATAAAAAGTAAATTTACATCACTTGGTATGCAAGGCAGTATAATTTCTCTGACTGGCACTTTCCAGTAGCTACGTAGGGCATCCAGCTTTAGCTTCACGACTTTGAATCCCATCAGTCATGGGTTCAAATCCTACCTCTGATACTTAACGACTATATGGTCTTGGGTTATTCACTTATTTTCACTGAACTTTAGTGTCCCCGTTTATACAGCAAGCTTACTAATACTTCAGAGGTTGATGATGAGGATTAAATGAGATAACATATATAGTATATAAAGTGTGTGGCACATAGTAGGTACCTGGAAGGTGGCTTCTCTTTTCCCATTGCTCCATAAACTGACCAAATAGATGTAAATACCTTAATGCGTGAATACTTATTGTATAGCTTATAGAAGAAGTAAGAAGTTACATCTTCCAATCTGAAGGCATAAAAATTTTATGAAATACTTGTAAGTTACTTTATCATGAAGCTTTCCCTGACTGCCCTATATAAAATAGCAAGAGTACTCCTAACCTCTTTTTTACTTCATTTTTCCCTACCACATATCTGAAATATTACATATTTATTGTTTCTATTAATTTTTGTTGATAAATATTAGTTATACATATACCCCAAAAGTTGTACATGTACCCAAAAGGAGTACATGTGGTATTTTGATACCTGTATACAATGTGTAATGATCAAATCAGGGTAATTGGGATATCCATCACCTAAACTATTTATCTTTTCTTTGTGTTGGGAACATTACAAATCTTCTCTTGCTGTTTTGAAATACATAATAAACTATTGTTAACTAGAATTTCCCTACTGTACTATCAAATGCTGGAACTTATTTTTTTTTATCTAAATGTCTGTTTGTATCCCTTAAGCAATCTCTCATTCCCCCTCCCCCTACCCTTCCCAGCCTCTGATACCACCATTCTACCTTTTATCTCCATGAGATTCACTTTTATAGTTCCCATATATGTGTGAAAATATGTGCTGTTTGTCTTCTGGCTTATTTCACTTAACGTGATGACTTTCAGTTCCATTCATGTTGATGTAAATGACAGAATTTCATTTAAATTTTTAATCTTTTCTAATCTTTTTATGGCCAAATAGTATTCTATTGTGTATATATACCACATTTTCTTTATTCATTTATCCATTGATGGACACTTGGGTTGATTCCATAACTTGGCCATTGTGGATAGTGCTGCAATAAACATGGGAGTGCAGATGTCGTTTTGATATACAGATTTCCTTTATTTTGGAAATATTACCAACACTGGGATTGCTGGAGCATATGATAGTTCTATTTTTATTGTTTGGAGGAAGCTGTTTACTGTTTTCTGTAGCAGCTCTGCTAGTTTCCATTCCCACCAACAGTGTATGGTGTTCCCTTTTTCTCTGCCAGCATTTTAAAATTACTCTTTTTAATAATAGCCATTCTAACTGGGATGAGATTGTATCTCATTTTGGTTTTGGTTTTAATTTTTTTATTTCCATAGGTTTTTGGGGAACAGGTGGTATTTGGTTACATGAGTAGGTTCTTTAGTGGTGATTTTTGAGGTTTTGGTTCACCCATCAGCCAAGCAGTATGCACTGAACCCAATGTGTAGTCTTTTATCCCTCACCCCCCTCTTCCCTTTCCCTCAAGTCCCCAAAGTCAATTATATCATTCTTATGCCTTTGCGTCCTCATAACTTAGCTCCTACTTATGAGTGAGAACATATGATATTTGGTTTTCCATTCCTGAATTACTTCACTTAGAATAATAGTCTCCAGTTTCATCGAGTTTTCTGTGAATGCCATTAATTATTTCCTTTTTATGGCTGAGTAGTATTCCATCATATATATATGTACCACAATTTCTTTATCCACTCGTTGATTGATGGGCATTTGGGCTGGTTCCATATTTTTGCAATTGTGAATTGTGATGCTATAAACATACCTGTGCATGTATCTTTTTCGTATAATGACTTATTTTCCTCTGGGTAGATACCCAGTAGTGGATCAAATGGTAGCTGGATCAAATGGTAGTTTTACTTTTAGTGCTTAGAGGAATCTCCATACTGTTTTGGTTTTGATTTGCACTTCCCTGACGATTAGTGATGTTGAGCATTTTTCATATACCTGTTTGCTATTTGTATATCTACTTTTGAGAAACGTCTTTTCAGATCATTTGCCCATTTTACAATACGATTGTTTTTTGATATTGAGTTGTTTAAGTTCCTTATGTATTCTAGTTATTATTTACTTTTTTTTTTTACTGGCTGACCCCCCTCCCCAATAGAACATGTTTCACAAGAGCAGGGGCTTTGTCATTACACTGCTGTGTTCCTGGAGCCTAGAATAGTGTTTAAAATATAGTCAGTGTGCTCAATAAATATTTTTTAAATGAATGATTGCAGGAATTAAGTAAAATTTTAATCAAATAAAATTTAGGATTTTTCTATTGGTTTTAGTAATAAATAGAAAACTTTTGACAAGTGAAGTGGTAGTCACTGCTATATTGGATACTGAGGCTTTACAACTGCATCATGTCTGTTAGTAATGGTCATCTCTTAGCTATTTTTTAAAAAATTTTCATGTGGGCTACCAGTCTCCAGAATCTCTTTCTCTCCATGAACTTTATCATTCTCTCTCAACCGTGATAATTTATTTCTGTCAGGGGTATCCATGATTTCATATTTTAAATTTCTAATCTTCGTTTCTTTTTTCTCTCTGACTCAGTAGTTTGTGTGTGATAGTTGCTCTGTCATATTTTCACCAGTAGGTGCCAGTATTTGATATAACTTATAGAGACAGATCTACCACTTATGGAGGATTGCCTTTCCAGGAAATGTTCTCTCTCTTGTAGATAATTCAGAAAGAGCAAACCATTCTCTCTGCTTGCAGTAAGCCTGTATTGAATCTTCTTTACCTACAAAAAGATGGCATGATTGGGGGGTGAACAAAAGGCTCTGATAGCATTTTTTCACATAAATAAATGCAAATCCATATGGAATCCTTCTGACGGATATGTCTACATACTGGAAAACTTTAAAAGATGTATTTCAATCAACCTAAAAGTTAATTATGCCATTCCATTCCTCAAATATTCAAGAAAGTCTTCCATGCATTTGGGCTACACAGCAGCAAATCCATAATCATGGTTCCCAGCTTGCATATTAGTTTTAGTGTTTTGTTTAAGGCTCTCTGGTTGGGGGAAGAGTTTAATGTAAGATTACCTTAAACCAAATCAAGATACTTTCGAGAACAAAGGGATTCTTATGAGAGACTAAAGCAGGTAAACAAAGGCAGCTCCGACTGATAAAATACTTGTTTGAAGGTGTGTGGAGGAGATGGTGGTATGCAACTTTTAAAAACTGGCAGGGCTAGGTGTGGTGGCTCACTCCTGTAATCCCAGAACTTTGGGAGGTCGAGGCGGGCGGATCACAAGGTCAGGAGATCAAGACCATCCTGGCCAACATAGTGAAGCCTCGTCTCTACTGAAAATACAAAAAAAAATTAGCTGGGTGTGGTGGTGCGCACCTGTAGTCCCAGCTACTCGGGAGGCTGGCAGGAGAATTGCTTTAACCCAGGAGGTGGAGGTTGCAGTGAGCCAAGATTGTACCATTGCACTCCAGCCTGGGTGACAGAACAAGACTCTGTCTCAAAAACAAAACAAAACAAAACAAACAAAAAAACTGACAGAATTCACAGATACTCCTTCTGTCTTATCGTGTACTTGCCCTGGATTCTACTCTATAGCATCAGTCAAGCCACCATAACTTTTCTTGGAAGTGAAAAAATGGCCTGAAAATATGGCTAATCCCCAAGATAACTTTAAAATACTTTCAGAAGTAGTTTCAAAGAAAACACAATGGAAATGGTGAGGTTATACAGGTCTGGCTCAAACCTTGTGTGAGTTGATATGGAAAAGAAAATTTGATTTTATTACTTAAATATTTTACATGAATTGCAAAGAGGAAGTGAAGGCATTACATATATACCTGTCCAGAATCATTCCCTGATTTCATGACATTTCCACATTTGTATCTACTTGTTCACTGCCCATGCATGGGGGCTGTATCAAGTTTTGGGGGTCCTGCACCTTATACTATTTAAGTGGTTGCCATTAAGAAAATGGTTACAAAATAAATATCTCACACATTCAACCTAACTAGTCCCCCTTTCCAGAGAAGGAGCTTTCTCATCCATTCACTGCAGTCCCTTACCTAATACATACCCTCACACCGGGGGTCAGCAAGCTACTGCTTTGTGAGCCAAGCCTGGATCACCACGTTTTTGTATTAGAACATAGCCACATCCATTCAGTTACAGATTGTCTATGGGTACCTTTGTCTTACACTTACCAAGTTGAGTAACTGCCACAGAGACCACAAAGCCCTGCAAAGCCTAAAATATTTACTCTCTGGCCAACTACACAAACTGTTTACCAACTCCTGCCTTACACAGTAGCTGTGGGTTCTAGCCCCACTTCTCTCTGGATCTACCCAAGAGAATCTAAAACAACCATTCACCACATCATAGGATTGTATAAGACATCAGGTTAATCAACTGGACAAACCCTCGTGCCTTTTGATTTTGTCTTCTAAGAAGTCCAAAATCAAATTTAGTCCTTATTATAATAACTCATCCCTGATTACTGGCACAATTATTTTTCCATTTCTCATTAAATTTTATTTTTTCTTTATCTTAGTCCAGTGGTAGTGACTTTTTGGTAAGCCATCTTATTTCTTATCCGGAAGGTGGAATTTAAGTGGTAAGCTAACATGGTAAATTATTATCAGTCTGCCTAATTAGTCATATGTGCTTTAGAATATTTAAAGCAGGACTAAAAGTTGCTATTTTTAAAAAGCTACCTTGGAGTTTGTGCTTGTAACTCCCAAGGTGAAGACAGAATTTATCACTGGGATACCTGAGCTTTTGTGTACACAAGAAAAATAATATTTTAATGCATCTCTTAGTTATGCAGAGGCAAAGCCCAGATCTTACAATGCATAAAAATGTAAAATGTTGTTTTCTTTGGAGTAAGACTGCATCTCTGGAGGATTATTGTGCTATTAATGGGCTTTTCACCTGTTTTTTCTTCCTTAAAGGGAGTGTGTTGTAGGCCCAAGAGTTTGAGAGAGAGCACAAGACAGAGGTCACTAATCTGAGGAGATAAGGGCTTTTCTTCTCAGCAACAGGATGGCATGCTGAGTGGCTAAAGAGGAAGGGGGTCAATATGAGACCTCTGGGAATGAATAAGACCTGTGGGCTCTAGAAAACTCAGAACAGGTTTTAAATCTTTCCAGATTAGTGTTTAAATTACCCTCTGTTTACCACAAAGCTTCAATAAAGTTTTTAAAATAATAGCCTACTGTTTATTTTGCTTTGGTAAAAGATGGGCAAGGCTGTATTATGCTTTGCATCAACTATTGTTGAGATAAGTAGAAGTGAAGAAGGTACCATGCAGAGGAAAACAAAAGGGAGGGGCAGTTACAAAATGGATAGGGGTGGTCTGAGGAGGATTGAAGAGGTGATCCTAGCCTGATCTGAGACAAATGGCCACCTTTGGGAAACCTCAGAAGCATTTGAGGAAATTATTTCCTTTTGCTAAATCAAAAGAGAGATCTCAGAAAGCTGGAATGCCAGAGTTGCTTATGTAAAGCACTTTGACAAATATGTTATTAGATGACTTTAGGGTTATGAATGAGAGACGTGAAAACTATAACTGATTTGGTTTTCATCCTTCTAAAAAGAAAAAAATATAATAAGAATTCAGAATTCAGTCAGGCTGCACAGAGGTTAACTGAAGGAAGTTAGCTGAAAATTAATTGGAATTCGGGGTCGACTTCTAGTTAAGTCAAATGGAACCATTAACTTTAGGGTAAAACCTGAAACCAACAAAGACCAATCCCTCTCAAAAAGATAGAGAGTCTCTTGTTTTCATAGCAAATGTATAAAAGGGTAAGGGCACCTATTAGGGCCTTACCCTAGTAGATTCTGTGTCCTGACAACCTGACCCGTCCGCTGAGATGGTAACCCTGGTTTAACTAGTTGGTAATTCCAGTTTGCTTAAGCATTGAGATTGCTATGTTGAGACAGCTGGTTATCCTTAAATATTATAATTTACTTTTTTATTTTAATAGAACCCCAGATTTTTAGCTGGGCACATGTGTGCTCAGAATCAAGATTATATTTCCTAGCCTTCTTTATAGCCAAGTTTGACCATACGAATATGTTTTTGTCAAAGGGATATAAGAAGTGATGTACAACATCCAGAAGCTATCTCTGAAGAGAGAAAAAGCCTATCTTTATTCTTTCCCTTTTTTCCCTTCTTTGTGGCTGGAGTATAGATAAGATGGCTAGAACTGGAGTAGTCATCATTGGCAATGAGGTGACCTATACTAGAGCAACAAGATAGAAGGAGCCTGGGTCCTTGACATGATGAAACTGCCGTACCAATCTGACTGCCTTTCTCTAGACTTTTACATCAGGGGAAGTACATTTTTCCTTGGTCAGCTACTTTTGCAGGTGAATCTCATCCTGATTAATTTCGCACAAAATGCTCAGCTCCCTTGAAATGAAAACATTGTGTCTTAGTTGTTAAGTTTATTTTCTACCCATGGAACATGAAGAACAAACACAGGGTTTGCATCAGTTATCTCTCTCTACTATAATGCTGTGTAACAACCACAAAATCTCTGTGATGCAACTCAAATTTCCTCCATGTGTCCCTCATCCTCCAGCAGGATAGCCCAGGTATGGTCTCATGGCAATGATAGAGGAAAAAGAGAACAAGTACTTTTTCAAGCCTCTAGTTGTCTCATGTTTGTTAACATCACATTTTCCAAAATAAGACATGTGCCTGGACTCAGAATCAAGGGGTAGGAAAATATATTGTCTCTTGATAGGAGGAACTGCAGTCAATTGGCAAATGGCATGGATACAGGGAAGGGTAAAGAATTTACGTCATTATTTCAATCATTCTAACCTTCATATTAAAGTTTTAAAAATAAGCTTAGAATTAAATTTTGGGATAGGTTTTCATAATAATTGTAATACTGTATCCATTTGGTATTTAATGGTTTTGCAATATCAGAGAGAATTTGGCATGTTAGAGAATATGCAAGACTTAGATTATGATTCCAATTCCAAATGTAAGATTTTGTCATTGATTTTAGTCTTTTGAATGATATTTGGAAAGTGTGAGATAAATTTACTAAGTTAGCAAACAGTACTGAAGGCCTAAGAGAAGTTCAGGTTCACTAGGTCTCAAGTTGAATTTTTAGATTTTCTAGCATTAAGTTTTGTGAAAATATCTTATTTGGTACTCTTCTGAAATGTTAGCCCTTCTAAAAGGCTTTCCCTGACCATTCAATAAAAAGTGACTATATCACTTTACCTTCTCTTCTATAGAGCATTTATCAGTATCTGGAATGATACCATATACTTGTTTATTACCTACTTTACCCACTAAAATACAGTCTCCACAAAGGCAAGCATTTTGTTTTGCTTGCTGCTGTATCCAGAACACTTATAAAGGAGCTTGATATATAGTAGGTGCTCCAAAATTTGCTGAATGACTGAATAAAGCTTTGGTTTTAGGTCATGGCTTTGAAATACTTAAAGAGAAATTTTAATATAATAAATTTATGAATGTAATTCAAATCCTGTAAATTAATTAACTGAATTATAAACAGGGCTAATAGTTTGAGGAGTTCAGTCTGCTCAATTTGAGTTGACTAAATATTAATTAAAGGTTTTCTAGTCAGTGGCTAATAGTTTAAGGAGTTCAGTCTGCTCAATTTGAGTTGACTAAATATTAATTAAAGGTTTTCTAGTCAGTCACTGTTAAAATTTAGTGTGTATAGAAATAGAATAATAGGATTTGCAAACTGGTCTTAAAGACTTATAGGAAAGCTAGCTTGTTAAATGTTGTTTTAGTAATTGAATATTATTTTTAAAAGTAAATTTTAAGAATTAAAAAAATAAAGTAACAATACTGATTATTTCTGAATTAAAAAACTGTGCAAGGACTTAGGAATCCTCATACTGTCCACACGAAGTCTGTATGATGCACATATCGAGGGGCATGGAGCAGTAAACAGCTGAGTCCCAGAGAAGGAGCGAGGAGACATTATTTACTGGGATTGCTGTCACTGTGGAGAATGATGATGGTGTAACACAGGAAATGTAGGGGTTGGGGTAAAATGGAGGGGGAGCCATCTTTACTTTAAAGAGATGGGTAAACCTTTTCATGTCTTCAAAACTGAAATTGACTTCTGTCTCTCCAAAAACCCCATGATGAGTCAAGACAGAGTTGAGGAGAGAGAATAAAGGAATATTTAGGAGGAATTATGGTAGCATTCCTTTTATAAATCAATTGAAAAGGAGAACAAATAAACAATTTTCAAAGGCTTAATGATAAAGGTACCCACTGAGGGTGTTGGAATAGCAGTAATGGCAGTCACAATGACTCTGGTTTTCATCAGAGCAGAATCTCCTGTTTCTGGCTTTAATTATCTACCATTTTGGCTATATTGTCACATAACAACCACCTCAAAAACTAGTGGCTAAAAATAATTATTTTATTTTGTTCACAATTTTGTGGGCAAAGAATTTGAGAAGGGCTCAGCAGGACAAATTTCTGGTTCAGATTGTATGAGCTAGAAAAGATGGGACTGCGAGGTTAGCTTCCAAGAAGAATTTTTTTACCCACATGCCTAGTACCTTAGTGCTCTTTGATCTCTCACTCTCTACATGTTGTATCATTCTTCAGAGCCTCTACGTGTAGCTTGAGATTCTCACAGCATGATGGTCTCGGGGTAGTTGCCCTTCTTACAGGATGGCTGGCTTCCAAGAGGCAGAAAGTAGGAGTTGCCAGGGCAGTTATGGCCTACAAGTGGAACTGGAGTAGCATTACTTCCACTGACTCAGTTGGTCAAAGCACTCACAAGGCCTGCACAGATTTAAAGGAGGTGGCGATATAGACTCCACTTTTTAATGGTGCAGTGTCAATGTCACATTGAGTGAAAATGGCAGAGTAAGGACCTCTGAAAATTCACTCCTACATAAAAATAATAAGAACACTGAAAAATGGTCAGAATCAACATTTTCAGAACTCTGGAAATTAACCAAAGGGTTGCGCTAATCTGGGGAGCATTTATTCAAGAACAATGGCTAAAACTCATTAAGAACTGCAAAAATTTCTGGCATTTTAACTTTCCATATTCCCATCCCCCTCTCTTCAGCCCCATGGTAGCCTTAAAAAAACCAATAGCCTACAATCAGTGAAAACCAGCATCCTGACAGCCACCGGAAAGGGTAGAACAGAGTTGAAGCACTCTGCAACATTCCAGAGAATTATCATTATTTGACCTGTCTGTGGTTCCCTGAAAGATCACTCTCAAAGCTGTCTTTATTTTACCTGACTTGGAGCTTGCTCAGTATGTAAAGCTTTTTCTTCAGAGAATTTGTCAAAAACAACAGAGGCAATTGTTGAACCTTGAAGCTGCCTGAGGTGGTACATAGATTGCAATTGAGGTAGACAATAGGCTAAACAAAAAACTTAAATGGAATAACTGGAAAATGAAATGTCCATGGGGGCTTCAAAAATTGTAACATGTTTCTGGAAATCTGGAGGGCCATGCACATATATAGGGCTCTTTGCATGCTCAAGAAAAACCTGAGAAGTCTCTAACTTTTTATGTCTGACTAACCTCAAGGTGCTCTGCAAATAGGAAGTAAAGGCTAAGTTGGAGTTGTAAACTCTCTGCCTGAGTGTTGAGGGGGTGCCTCAACATGCACTCAGAGACCCTCAACAAAGACTAGGAGACTTATTGGTTTCAGACATGTAAGGAAATCTCAATCTAATCATTAGCTAACAGAGTAGAGACTCCACTGGCCACACATGACAAGAAATACAGATTTCACTGAATTAGTTTAGAAAAGTCACTAAGCAATCAAGAAACCCTGGGGAGGTAGGAGAAATTGATTTCCAGAGTTACCACATTATATTATTTTAAATGTCCACTTTTAAATTACGAGGCATGCAAAAGAACAAGAAACTATGGCGTATCCACAGGAAAAATGAGTCAATAGAAACTATCTTTGAGGAAGACCAGTTGCTGAGGTTACTGACTTGAAATCAGCTATTTTATAAAGAGCTGAAGGAAACCACATCTAAAGAACTAAGGAAAAGCATAGAACAATGTCTTACAAGTACAGAACAGAACATCAATAAAGAGATAAAGTATTTAAAAAGAAACTTGCAAGTTGAAAAGTTCAATAACTAAAATAAAACTTTCAGTCGAGGTGTTCAACAGATTTGGGCAAGCAGAAGAAAGAATTAGTGGACTTGATAATAGACTGATTGAGATAATCTAATCTGAGGAGCAGAAAAAAAAAAGAAAAACATAGCCTAAGAGACCTGTGGGACACCAGCAGGCATACTAGCATATTCATAATGGGAGTCCTAATAGGAGAAGAGAGAGAAAAGACAGCAGAAATAATATTTCTTTTTTTTTTCTTTTTTTTTTTTGAGATGGAGTCTTGATCTGTTGCCCAGGCTGGAGTGCAGTGGCACGATCTTGGCTTATGCAACCTCTGCTTCCTGAGTTCAAGTGATTCTCCTGCCTCAACCTCCCAAGTTGCTGGGACTACAGGCACCCGCCACCACACCCTGTTAATTTTTGTATTTTTAGTAGAGGTGGGGTTTCACCATGTTGGCCAGGCTGGTCTCAAACTCCTGACCTCAAGTGATCAGCCTGCCTTGGCCTCCCTAAGTGTTGGGATTACAGGCGTGAGCCACAGCGCCTGGCCGAATGCTTCAAAATAAAATGGCCAAAAACTTCACAAATTCAATAAAAGATATGAATCTACACATTCGAGAATCCCTATGAATTCCAAGTTGGATAAACTCAAAGAGATCTACATTTAGACAAACAATAATCAAACTGTCATCATGAAGAGAAACCTTTGAAAGCAGC
The DNA here is from genome assembly GCF_000001405.40 of Homo sapiens. Classification (NCBI taxonomy): domain Eukaryota; kingdom Metazoa; phylum Chordata; class Mammalia; order Primates; family Hominidae; genus Homo; species Homo sapiens. The sequence goes on from NC_000023.11 coordinate 37,935,101, forward strand.
AATATCATCACAGATCAGGAATCTCCAATAAGATTAGCAGCAGGTTTCTTATCACAAACCAAGGAGGACAGAAGGCAAAGTGTTGATATATTTGAAGTGCTAAAAGAAAGAGACTGTCAACTAAGACACTAAGACTTCTATATCTATCAAAACTATCATTCAAAAGTGAAGGAGAATTTAAGGCATTCCGGATAAATAAAAACAGACAGAATTTGTCACTAGCAGACCTGTCCAACAGGAAAAATTAGAGAGTCTTTCAGGCTAAAATGAAAGGACACCAAACTGCTACTCAAAACCATGTAAAGAAATAAAGAACCCAGGTAAAGATAACTACATAGTTAAACATATATAAAGTATAGCATAAATTTATTTTTTCTTTTTAACTGTTTTTTCTCCTCTTTGATTTAAAAGGCAATTTCATAAGGCAATAATTGTATGTCTGTATTGATGGGCATGCAATGTTTAATGCTTTAATTTTTATGACAATATCTACACAAATAAGGGTGCATAGAATGGAGATAAATTGGAGCAGTGTTTTTTGTATTATGTTGTAATTAAATTGGCATGAATTTGAGCCAGTTTGTTTTAAGTTAAGATGTTAATTGTCATTGCCAGGGCAACTACTAAGAAAATATCTTAAAAAAATACAGTAAAAGAAATGACAAGAGAATTAAAAGGTACACCAGAAAGTATCTTTTTAACACAAAATAAGGCAATAATGGATGACTAAAAGAACAAAAAGGCATAAGGCATATAAAAAATAAATTTCAAAATGGCAGACACAAATCCTGCTTGACGAGTAATCGCATTAAATATAAGTGAATTAAACAGCATAACGGATTTTTAAAAATGATACAACTGTATCCTGGCCACAAGAGACATACTTTAGATTCAAAGTCACAAATATGTCGAAAGTTAAAAATGGAAAAAGATATACCATGCAAATAGTAATCAAAAGAGAGCTGGAGAGGCTATTCTAATATCAGACAAAATAGACTTTAAGACAAAATTGTTGCTAGAGATAAAGGAATACATTTAATAATAAACAGTGTCAATCCAACAAGAAGATATGAAAATTATAAACATATATGCACCCACGAAGAGAACATCAAAACACATGAAGCAAAAATTGACAGAAAAACGTATGTGATGGGAGATATTGTTGTGGCCATCTTTAGAAAATATAATCTGCCACATGCACTAGAAAAATTACACTATGTTTAGTATTCACATTATCTTGTTCTAGTAACTCTCATTTAGATATCTGTTATAGAAATTAATGGACTGATTATCCCTCAAATCTCAAGATCATTTATTAAGACTTCACATTAGCATCCAGAGGCTGAGGAGGCTGAGGAGTTCATATGATACAGCTCATATAATTTTAAAAAGAAAGTATCCTTTTATCTAGGCTTTTCATCTTTTATATATAAGCCTGCCTTCCCCTAGAGGTCTAGATATAATGTATTGATAGCCAGCTATTGAGGACTGTAGGTGATTCACTCACCTCCGACTTCTAGAGGCAAATTCTTATGGTCAACCAGGAAGCTGAGGCTTCCTTCATTGAACATTTAGAATGCGGTTATTCACCCAACAGTTGATATAGTCCATGTCATACTCATAAATTGTTCCCACAAGGGGACAGTATATATCAAAACAGACTAGGTGCAGTGGCTCACGCCTGTAATCCCAACACTTTGGGAGGCAGAGGAGAGCAGATCACCTGAGGTTGGGAGTTCGAGACCAGCCTGGCCAACATGGAGAAACCCTGTCTCTCTTAAAAAAAAAAAAATACAAAAATTAGCTGGGCGTAGTGGCAAGTGACTGTAATCTCAGGTACTTGGGAGGCTGAGGCAGGAGAATTGCTTGAACCCGGGAGGCGAAGGTTGCAGTGAACCGAGATCATGCCACTGCACTCCAGCCTGGGCAACAGAGCAAGACTGTCTCAAAAAAAAAAAAAAAAAGTACGTTGACAGATGTGGTAGGTACATTTTCTAGAAATTCTCCCCATGATTCCAGGTCCCAATCCCCAGGACCTGTGAAGGTAATTGGGTATGAAATTTGTGATTGAGTCTTGACTCATACATTGAGTCTTGTTACAGCTGTGTTACTTCATAACACAGTTGTAAAGGTAAGCTATCAGGGTATCGAGTAGCCTAATCTAAACACATGGGCCCTTAAAGTAGAGAATTTTCTCCAACTGCTGGCAGAAGAAGAGGGCAGACGGGAATGTCAGAGACATTCAAAACGCAAGGCGGCTTTGATTCACCACCATTCCTAGCTTTGAAGATGAAGGGGACCACATGAAAACTGTGGATGGCCTCTACAAGCTGAGGGAGGCTGTCAGCTGCCAGTCAGAAAAGGAAGGGGGACCTCAGTCCTACAACTGCAAGAAATGAAGTCTGCCAACAACTTAAATGAACTTTAGGTTGAAGCAGATTCTCCCCCAAAGCCTCTTGAAAAGAGCTCAGCCAGCCAACATCTTGTGAAACTCAGCAGAAAATCTAGCCACGTCCACCCAGAATTATGGCCTACACAACTGTGAGGTACTAAATGAGTGTTCTTACAAACTGCTTAGTTTATGGTAATTTGTTACACATCCATGGCAAACTAATACAGTGGATCAACAGAGTACCAATGTGGAATCCCCATTAATTCTTATCTTTCTTCTTCCCATGATCACATGAGTGAGCTACACAGATGTTGTATATAAAGCAAACATGAAGATGTCTATGACAAGCGATGGGCATTGCAAATTCAGGGATTTCCCCAACACAGACAGAAAGTCTATGGATTTAATGATTGTTGCATATGTGATACAGGTTTTATTATTGCTTCAAAACATTATGTTTCATTATGGAAGGGGGTTGGGCTGTAATCCTGGCTGGAGGATATATGAACTAAGAAAATATTACTACATAGATGATTGGGGGAATATGTGAGAAATGAATACATGATATATGTGCACAATTTCAACTTTATTTTTACTGCAGCAGATAATGATAAGATGTATTTTCACTGAGCCTGCAGAATTTAAAGGGCTTGTCCAGGGAGATTTTTGAATGTACAGGTTTGGAAAGTTTTCAGAAAATGAATAGAGAAACTTATCTATGGATGTCCTTTATTGTCCAATCTTCCGTCATTGAAAATAACCCTTTGTCAGGCACTGGTGATAACTATCAAATTGTTAGTCATTCTGTAGCCCCACTAAAGTAGAAAATCTTTCTGCTCTCAGATGCTGCATCTCTCTAATAGTAGCAGCCTAACCTTGCACCTTGACATGAATCAACTTGTGGCTGGCTTTAAAATACTTAAGCAAATGCTTATTTGCATTGAATTTTTCATTTCTTTATACTATATCTCCTTGTTGTTCATAAAGTCACATGCTTTAAAACTTTGGTTTGAATGGAAAAGAAACTTAAAGATACAAAGAGCTGAGGATGATCCCTAACCCACAAAATAAGAATTTTCCATCTCTGCCATTCATTGTGTCATTTTGTCATATTCTCTCTCTCTGTCTCTCTTTCTCTCTCTCACCCCTCACTCCTTTCCTCCTTCCTTCCCTCTTCAGCCTCCTCCCTTGCCCCTGTTTTAAATATGTATTCCTATCCCATTGTAATGCCAAAATGCTTTAGACTGAGCACAACCCTCACTTGAGCTTTTTCCCTTTTATCAGCTAAGCTTGGAATTTTTCAAAGGTTAGATATGATTACTTACTGTGAAATACTAAGACAGACCTTCTGGCAATTGTTCTTTCATCCAAATGAAGGGTTGAACTTTCAAACAGTTCATTTACTAGGTACTGCACCTATTCAAATGAGCCTGCATTAATACAAAAATTTTTGAAACAAAGTTGTTGAGATTGTTTGAAAAATGGTCAGGCGCGGTGGCTCACACCTGTAATCCCAGCACTTTGGGAGGCCGAGGCAGGCAGATCACCTGAGGTCGGGAGTTTGAGACCAGACTGACCAACATGGAGAAACCACGTCTCTACTAAAAATACCCAAAAAACTAGCTGGGCGTGGTGGCAGGTGCTTGTAATCTCAGCTACTCGGGAGGCTGAGGCAGGAGAATCACTTGAACTTGGAAGGCAGAGGTTGCGGTGAGCTGAGATCGCACCATTGCACTCCAGCCTAGGCAACAAGCAAAACTCCTTCTAAAAAAAAAAGAAAAAAAAAGAAAAAAAAAGAAAGATAACCCATTCCACAAGAAGAAGATCAGTTTCCTTACAAGCAGATTATTGTTTTAGTCACAAATTTATACCTAGGCTTAACTTCTTTCTATGTTTTAGCTTTATCTTTATTCTTCTATCCTTCCTCTGCTGTGCTGGTGCTGTGGTAGAAATTATCTAGAGGAAGACCTGTATAGGGCAGCGGCAGGGCCTGGCTTAAGATGAGACCTGGAGAGTATTGCTAATAATTACAATGGGAAATGGAAAGGCTATCTTAGAATATTTTATGTGCTATTCATTGTCATCCTAGGTGCACTGGCTGAGCGCCATCAATTATACACATTAATGCAATTAGTCAAGATACAGAAGCTTGTATTCCAAATGAAAATTTCCTACATCTGAGGCATCTGTGTAAAAGGTAAGATGTGCTACATTTCCAAAACTGTGTCTAAAATTCTATTTACAATGGGTTACGAACTCAATACCCCTAGAGGCAAGGCAGGTAGACAATGAGGAAATGGTGATAACTATGATAAATTGGGTGTGTCTGCCCTATCTTTTTGTCTTGTTTTGTTTTGAGATAGAGTCTCCCTCTGTTGCCCAGGCTGGAGTGCAGTGGCGCAATCTTGGCTCGCTGCAAACTCTGCCTGCCAGGTTCAAGCGATTCTCCTGCCTCAGCCTCCTTGAATAGCTGGGACTACAGGCGTGCGCCACCATGCCCAGCTAATTTTTTTTTGTATTTTTAGTAGAGATGAGGTTTCACCATGTTGGCCAGGCAGGTCTCGAACTCTTGACCTAAGGTGATCCGCCCGCCTCAGCCTCCTAAAATGCTGGGATTATAGGTGTGAGCCACCTCACCTGGCTGTGTCCACCCTATCTTAAGGAGAGAGCCATTCTCCAACCTCTGCCTTTTGTTGCCACACAGATTCTGAGACCACTGTTGCCTGATCCTGATTCTTGAAAGAGGAAGCAGAAACATGGATTATTTTATTTGAATTCCCCTATATGTAAATGCTTATTCCTTTTTCATACAAATGAAACATAATAGACAAGACAAACAAAACACTCCTATAGGCTGGATTTAGCCACTGGATCATTAATATCAAGGTGACCATTAAAATCAAGGGTTCCCATGGGAGACGGAACTTGCAGTGAGCCGAGATCGCGCCACTGCACTCCAGCCTGGGCGACAGAGCAAGACTCCATCTAAAAAAAAAAAAAAAAAATCAAGGGTTCCCAGTGATCTCGTTTCCCACATTGGTTCTCTCTCTTTTACTAGGTATACATGTTTAGTATACAGACAAGTATTTTCAGTTAGGGATAGGTGTGTATGTATATATATATATATATATATGTATATAATTTGTGCAAGGATGTTATCTTTTGCATGAAAATCAATCTAGGTGTATGAACTGGGCCTGTAAAATTTATTGGAAGTCAGTAATAAATAAATATGACCACTGTGTTTATTTTACTGTCTTCTGATTAAATTTTGTGTTGACTCTGGGGTAAATTATCTGATATGCTGCAATGGGATATTTCCAGGAGACTTATTTGGAAAACCTGATTAGAACCCAGTAGAGGGTAAATGACAGAGTCCAGTGAAAGAAATCATTCTTGGAGGCAGTTGTTTTCACTCTTCATGACTATTTCTAGAAATAAGCTTTAGGGAAGGATGTTGCCTAACTAGGGCTTACTGTAGAGGGATTTTCCTGTTCCTACTGGCAATTTATGTAGTTACTATGAATCAGTGGTAGAATTAGATGCATTTGTTGACTGAATCAATTGGAGTTTCTGTTTGTTTTAAATCAGGCATACAATATATCATGCCTTACAATGACAATTAAATACAGATTTAGAATCACTGGATTATTAAATGTAAGTGTCATAAGGACAAGTAAAATGCATCGACTTCAGGGATTCCCTGCCAGAAAGTCATGCTTACTGGATTCATTGCACAGCCGTATCTGGGACCCGCTCCCCACCACATCCAGCTTGTGCAGGGACAATCCCAGAAAGAAATGTAAAGTGGCTGATTACAATTTTGGAGTGTATTTCCTGAGACCCCTTACCCCTTTCTGACCTTGTAATTCATCATTGACGTTAACATAATAATGATGATTGAGGTAATAAAGCCTAGATCTTTAACATATGAAGTTCAGAGACCATAGCAGAGGCTGCTGGTGCCCTACCATCCCTTCCGTGTTCACCCGGACATGCAAAAGGCTGCTTGCTGCAAAAACCTGCTACTATTACTCTCTGTCTGAGGGCTTTTTTTCCCCTGTGGTCAAAGAGGCAAGCTCTCCTTGTGTCTAGGATAAGGTCCCCAGAAGTAGCCTTTAACCAATGACTGATGGGAAGTTGATGGATAAAAACACCCCAACTTCTTTGACTGTCAAATTATGTATCTCTAAGACGTGACTTTGCATTTCCAGCAAGTTCCCATGTGATGCTTATCCTGCTGGCCAGGGACTACACTGTGAGAGCCACTGTACTAAAGACATTGAACCACATCAAGGACTGAAGCATTTTAGGATTTGATCACGTGTTCTTTTCATAGAATAATTTTCTAAAATCTATTTTTACTTATGCCTCCTACCCACGGAAGTCAATTACTTGAAATAACTTGTAGGGAAAAAAAAACTTTTCATTTATATTTTATCTTAGCCATTCCCTTACTGTGATTTTGATTTTCTTGCTGTCAGGGTTAACCGTTTTGGTAGGCCTAAACTACCATTAAAAGTCGTTAGTGGTATAAATTTTCTAATAATTCAGAAAAATTCTATTGTATTATTTGTGAATCTAATTGAGTTAATGAGTTTTATTCTACAAATAATATTTATAATAATAGGTCTTTCATAAACATAAGCACAAATTCTTTCATTAGTACATTTTTCCTGTATGTCAACATTTTAAATAAAGTACATATGTGAATTTTATGGCATTTTTTCATTTGTGATCATATATTTCTTTAAGGGAAATAGCACATCACTTCAGATTCCTGTTAATTTTACCTGCTGTCATCTCCTACTTAAATGAGTCATGTCAAGTATTACGTGCTGCTTCTCCTGACAAGTACCTGAAAGTTGGAGCAATTTTCACACACTCTGTCCTATTCTTCTGTCATAGTTCTTCAATGCATTATGGGCAGGAAATGACTTTGACTGATGAGAAGAGTTAGTGGGAGGATGTTCAAATCAAATGGCACTTATCCTTGCCCTCCACCCCCTTATCTCTAAGAACTCCCCACAGATGGCTTACGTTGTCCTGGGCTGGTTTATGGTATAGCACCATTCTCTGCTAAGCTCTTGAACACCAGCTCATCTGCTTAATTCCAGGTCTTCTCTATCCGTTCTGGGCTCTCCTATCCTCTTCCCCATTGCTGTGCTTCACTTCTCCCTTTTTTCAAATAAAACTAACATATGGCTTTTGTGTGTGGCCGATTTCTAAATCTTGGAAATAACAGGGAAGGGAAAAAATGGTGACAACCCAGCCCAGTACCACAAACTTACAACAGAATATCATGCCACCATGTTCTCAGTTCTTTAGCTATGCCCGATCACAGAGAATTTCTCCTCAGGCCTCCATATTGCTTATATCTTTGCCTCTTCCTCTTTCTGTCCCCTGCTTTCATCCCTTCCTCCCTTCTTGCTGGCCTCCCTTCTGGCCACCTTAGTCTCTCTTACTCTGTTTCATGGTGTAATTTGGCTCTCATTCATTTAAAATTTGAGCAAGGGTCCTCACATTTCTCTATGAACAAGTCAGTCAAGGCCCATCATCAAAGTATTTTTCTAAACAAAAGAGCTATCTACCTCTGAGAAGATTTGAATCATTCCCCTAGAGAGGATGAAGTGACCATAGTCAGTATTGTTTTAAGTACCATTTTAAATTCTCACTACATTTGTTAAAGGGAAGACAATAGGGAGGCTTACTGCTGAGAGTATTTTTGTGAATTGACACAGGTTTGGAAAGGAAAACTAAGGTGAATTAGGAAGTGCATTGCTGGCTTATGTTAAAGAAGAAAATGTTTAAGGACTCTTGCTAAAGATGGTAATGAAGGCTTTATTTGGGGAGACTATTGGCTATAGGTAGAGGAACCACTGCAATGAGGTCTTGAAATGGGGGAAGGAGACTGGGCTTAACTCTGACTCCAATAAGGCCAAGTGGGGATTTACAACCAAGGAGCAGGTTGAGGGTCAGTGGGTGGAAAATTACTAAAAGGAAACCTCAGGGTAAGGGTGACTCTTACTAGACCAACTCAACATAACTCCTGCTGAAGGCTGGCCAGGGTGATTTGATATCGAGGATGGGGGATGAGAAATTTGATTATACAAAGTGTGGGGGATTTTCAGTAAACTAACTTAGCCCCATTCTTGCTTATACTTGATTCTACAGGGACAAAGAGGGGAGCCCAAGGTCGGAACTAGGTTAAAGGAGGGAGTCTTTGTTACTTAGAAGTCAGATTCCTCGTTTTAGCTCTGCTTCTGTCTGGCAGTGTGGTCTTTAACAAGCCACTTAATGTCTCCCAGCCTGTGTTTCATTTGTAAATCGAGAGAATTTGTTCTGTGTCTTTCAAGCTGAAGCATAAGCCTAAACAAAACAAACAAAAATTCACCATGGCTCCTGTTGAAGCAAGGGAGGAGTCCAGACCTACCCCTTTATTTTTTTCTCTCCCATGGCCTCATCGGCAGAGTTCTGAACACACTAATCTAGATGATTTTCATAAACAATTGTTCCCTGCTTTTCTGGAGCTTTTTATCAAAATTCAGTTTACTATAAATGCTCCTTATATGTCAAGCAGAAGCCTCTCAGGTGGAAGCCTGAGAAAGGAACTTCCCATGGCCTGACATAGCTGAGGAATTTTGGAGCATAGTCGTTTCATGTTTATTTATGGATTGTTTATGGCCCTAGGCTAAGCTATAACCAAATCTTCTTACTCACCATCCTATGTATTCTTAATATTTAAAAGTCTATCACAGGTCTGGTCTGTTTTGGAAATGATGTACCTGTTGAAAAAGATTTTTTTTTTTCTGGGAAAAGAGTCTGGGGGCATTTTGATTGAGATTTGACATTTGGCAATAATTGATGAGTATGTTTTTTATCTTAAAATGCCTGTGTAATTGATAATATACTTAAAGAAATCTATTACATTAGCAGGTGATTCCATGAAGAAGGCAGAAATCACTTAAACCTCTATAGCAGGAATTTGTGACATACCACAAAACTGCCCCAACCCCTTGGGAACTTGATTTCCATTCACTTGTGGAGATGAGTCCCCTGCACTTGCCAGACACCCATGCCAAGTGGGCAGTGGGGCAAAAAATGGAGGGTCATTCCATGAATGCGGGCACAACTGAAAGTAAGTTAACACCTCCAGAGACAATCCTTAGCCAATGGTGAGTAGGAGTAGGTAGAATAATGCCCCAGCCACTCCTACCTTTGATGGTATAATTTTGAAGAGCATTGTGTGCAGTTCTTCACAGTATCCTTAAGGAGACTGAGTCTCATTTTTCTATAGAAGTAGAATACATTTGATTTTTTCTTCCTTTCTCTGTCTCACTTTCTCTATCTCTCACTTTTGCATCCTGGGATTACCTCATAAATACTTATCTGCCTCCAAGTCCTTGCCTCAGGGTCTACTTTTGGGGGAACCCAAATTAAACTAACTTCCAAAGCTGGTACAACTTCCTATACTAATAATTAAATAGATGGTCGACTGATTTCAAAGCAAAGCTTTTGCATTCTGCAACTACTCTTAACTTTACATATATGTTATTGTTTCAATAAATTGTACTGTGTTCTTGAGAATACAATCTGAAGCAAAGCAGAGATATAGGTATAGTAATTCTATTTTTACAAGAATTATAAATTGAGATAACTGTGAATTATATGATTTTAGAATTTACCTTTTCAGCTTTCATGGAGCAAGTTTGTTGAGGGTTTTTAATTCAGTAAGAAGAAAAATATGATGTGGTTTTATTTTTTTCTGTTAACTGTCCCCCAACTGTGTCAACACCCCTTTCCCAAAGATTTGATACTAACTTTATGACATCTTAGTCAGATTTCATGACTCTCATCTTACTTTGTATTCCTGGAAATAATCATTTTATTTCAGAAAATTATTTTCTCCTCAGTGGGATGGGAGGGAATAATCAGTCTCCATGAACAGCGCCCAAAAGACTGGTGACTTTTCCACCTTCTGCATAGTTCTCCAGTCTTGATGGGAAAGCAGGGTGGTGTTGGTTGATGATAAGGGTGACACTGTCCTGGCACCTTCCAATAGACCTGATCTCCACTGTTGGTGGCTCACTGAAGACTCAATGAACTTAGAGCGTGTCTTCAAATTGGGCCTTAAAATTCCATCTGCATCCTGTTGTGGTATGTTTACTTAATCTTAACAGTAAACAAATTTGTACTTCCTGAGTTCGCATCAGCAAGTCTGTTGTTAGAAGTCAGTTTGAGTTTTAGAAATTTATTAGGTATGATTTACTCATGAGTAAATGAGAGTTGGCTAAAACAGGTGGAATGACAAAATCAGAAGCATCAAAAATCATGGCTACAGTCACCTTATGACTATCCAGAATTAGAAGGCTCTATGCAGAGATTTGAGAAATGGCAACAAATGAAAGTGCCAGCATCTGTAGTTCAGCATTTGTAGCTGTGGAGTATGTAGATTCACTTTTACCTGACAGTCCTCTGCAAGAACCATTTTAAAATGCTTGGAATTGTATGTTAATAATTATACAATGTTCTAGATTGCAACATGGGGATCTGCTATTGTTCATGAAAACTTTTATTTCTTGTTCTTTTTACCTGGGTTTCTATTTCAATTTATACCTTGCATTAAAAAGAATAACATTGAAAAATATAAACCAGAGACATAGGAAAACCAACGGAAGTGCTTTAAATTACTTCTCTTTAATCACTTTTGTATCCAGCTGCTTTTATGTGTGGAACCTATTATTTTACAGAGTATTTCAATATTCTTTATGATTGAAAAAGAATGACAAAATGGTATATGCTTTTGGTAAGGTGCTTTGGCTATACTACAGTCTTTGATACTACTTGGCACTATTTCTAAGCCTGCATAGATTCTTTTACCACAAAAAGAATATGTAAATAGATTCATAAAATTCATCATGAGTTTCAAGCTCCATTTGGAATAGAAGCTGAATATGCACATCCTTTGGAAATTCTAATTCTTGGAACTGGATTTTTCATTGGAATCATGCTTTTGTGTTACCATGTAATTAATTCTTCTTTGGACATGGGTGACAATTTATTTGATAGAAACTATTGATGCCCATCGTGGTTATGATATTCCTCTCAAACCTTTAAATCTCATCCTTTTCTATGCTGGTTCTCAGCATCATGATTTACACCACATAAACTTCATCAGAAAGTATGCTTCTACATTTTCATGGTGGAATACAATTTTTCGAACACACTTTCAGTTTAATGTTTATAGTGAAAATATGAAGAAGTTTGAGAAAAAGCTGAATAAATATCTCATATAAACCTTTCTGAAGATATACATTTTCCTGAATTGAAACTAGTAGCTAACATTGCTTCTGGGGAGCAGAAATAAGCATGTGTCTTGGTTGCTAAGTGATAAAAGGAATATTGATAACCTCTAATTATCTTCCTAGTGGAGACTTTTTCTACTTTACACACAGATTCCGTATATGTAGGAATACATGGATAATAAGTATTTCCTGCAAAACTGGTCCCCTCTTCATCACCTCATTGCCTTACTCTCTCTCTTGCCCCACTTTCTTCTCTCCCTCATTTCCTCCTCTCCTTAAACTTTCCTCTTTCATTCACTGTCCCTTATTTCTCCCTCACTTCTGAGGGGCCAAATTGATTGTCTTCATATTATAAGGCTCACCCTTTTCTTGATAATCTCTGGTCAATCAGCTTCATTCAGTGATTGCTTTGTGAACATTCCTGTGCATCATAAGACATTTCCTATTTCCATCTGATATGGTTTGGCTCTGTGTCCCTACCAAAATCTCACCTCAAATTGTAATCCCCACGTGTCGGAGGAGGGACATGGTGGGAGGTGATTGGATCATGGCGGAAGTTTCCCTCATGCTGTTCTCGTGATATTGAGTGAGTTCTCACAAGAACTGATGGTTTAAAAGGATGTGGCTTTCTTTGCTCTCTCTATCTCTCCTGCCACCATGTAAGACATGCCTTGCTTCCCCTTCACCCTCTGCCATGATTGTAAGTTTCCTGATGCCTCCCCAGCCATGCGGAACTGTGAGTCATGTAAACCTCTTTCCTTTATAAATTACACAGTCTCAGGTACTTCTTTATAGCAGTGTGAAAATGGACTAATACACCATCAGAAAACTGATATCATTTTAGCTAAGATTTACATCTTTTTGGGCGCTGTGTTCTGGCCACTCTTTCTCTGTTGGGTAAAAGAAATAGAAACTGCATAGATTTGGCAGACAGACTTTGGTGTAGATCCTAATTTTCCCACTTTGTAAGTTTGGCTAAGCTAGTTATTTTTTTCCATATTCAGTTTCCTCACATTAAGTGAGGCTAATAATAGCCACCTTGAAGGATTTTTGTGAGATTAAATAAGATGAACTATTTGATTATTTGTTAACATCTTAATTTGAAAACATTTTCTCCTGTGCCTCCCCAACTCCATTTCATATTTCTTTTCCTGATGTTTTTATACATTTCCAAACAAAACCAAAGTACCAAATGACTCAGTCAATTTAAGCCCAAATACACAGAGTTCCAAATCTTCTTCATAGCTTCATTGTTTCAGTATGAGAATATTTCTTAAGTGGGCAAATTCTACTCCAGGAGGCTTCAGAATGGTCAGGAACTTTTTTTCTTATTTTCTTACACTTATTTCATTTAGATCCTGCATAATTCCTCCCAAGTTTATCCTATTACCAAGCAGTCTAATGGACAATAATGACAGGGAACCTTATATAACAGAGTAGTAAAGGTTAATGACAACAAGAGGTATAACATGAGCTGCTTTTATTTACTAGGAATATTAGTTGTTCTAGAATTTAAAGTCCAAAAGCATCACTGGAATCAATTTTCTAAGCATTAGTTTTATGTTTTATTTTTAAAAATAAAAAAGCATATATCATTTCAAGGAATATTATTATATGTTATTATAAAATTATATATTATATTATGAAATCATTTACATAATTTTTGCTTAAATTATTTTTTGCAACTTTATTGAAGTATAGATGATGGTTAGAATTTATATATTTACATATATTTTTATATATATTTAGAGTATACAACTTGATGATTTGATATATGTATACATTGCCACTTTCCCCATCTGCCACCACCTCCCCGCCTCAGCCTCTGGTAACTACCAAGCTACTTTCTATGTTCAACTGTTTTAGATTCCACATATAAGTGAGATCATGGATGTTTGCCTTTCTAGGCCTGGCTTATGTCACTTAACATAATGTTCTCCAGGTTCCTCCATATTGTCACAAATGACAGGATTTCCTTCTTTTTTATGGCTGAATAGTATTCCATTTTGTTTATGTACCACATTTTTTAAATTCATCCATTGACAGACACTTAGTTTCGCTATTGTGAATAATGCTGCAGTGAACATAGGAATACAGATATCTAAGGGGGAGAGATTTTAAAACAAACTGAGCCTCAATTTGTTGCTATTTCTTTTCTGTATGTAAACTCTAAAGGTTCCTATTCAATTTCAGTCATGTTATCTGATATGGTAGCCATTCACATTGGAATCTAAAAATCATTTCCAACCCGTTTCTTCTCTTGTCCACCTCTACCATGGAGGCTGAAAAAACCTGAGACTCACTTTCCTATTCTCCCCTGCCAATGAGATATAAGGGAAGTTATTATGGGGCTTCATGGAAAGTTTGTACTTTCTAATAAAAGGAACAAGGTACATAAATGGCTTGTCTCAGTCTAATTTCTATGAATTCCTGCCTTTAAATGCTACTTTGTTATTGTGATACTTGCAGCTAGGAAGAGCATCTTGAAACCATGAAGCAACCATTCAAAGAACAAAATCCCATATGCTAAGGATGGTCAAACATAACAGCAGAAAAAGCCTATGTCCTTCATGACATGGGTGAGCCACCAAACCAACCTGACATTGAGGTACCTCCAATGGTTTATATCATTGCAGTTTGTTTATTATTGTTGTTGTTATTCATATTGCTATTGCTTGCTGCCCAAAGCATTCCTCATTGATTAAATCTGGAAAGAGTAAGCTATCATGCCATTAGTGCTTCCACCTTAATCAGCTTAATTTCTTACACCTCACAAGATCTGAGAAGAACAGGTACATTTTGATTGTGGTTAGAGGGTAGAACATGAAAAAAGGAAAAAATAAATAATGTTCACCATAATGAGGGAAGCTTATTTGGCACCAAGGAAGACAAAAAAGGAAAATATACACTAGTTAGGGAAAATAAAAGGAAATGTAGAGTACATGTTTTGCCCTTTTAGTTGCACCTGGGTGCCCAGTTGACCCTGGGTACAACATTTAAAAAAAGTTGTGTTTAATTTGTAATTATATGCTGTTTAACATTATAATTGCATGTGAACCATGACAAATTATTAATTCCACTCTAGATCTCTCCTGTCATATAGACAGTGGTTTGAATGCTTAGGACATGGAAATCAATTTCTTGACTGGTCTAAGGTACACATCATTAGAAAAGAATACCTGTTGCAAAAAATTTTTAAATGTGAGTGATTTGTATCCTTTGTTGTTTTGGACTATTCATGCTCCCAGCCCTTTTCCGTATTTTATGAAGTCTTTAATCAATACCTATTTAAATCTTTGAGGAATGCCATCATGATCAAATTGGAACTTCAAGAAGTTTGAAAGATTTTCTCTCAATAGATTGAGTCACTGCCTTTCACCTGTTTTCCTACTTAAGGAAATATAAATTATGTATTTAAACATCCTCTTGCTCTTAGATATGGTATATATGCTTCTGGGACCCTTTCTGTTGGCACCTGTTCCTCTACTCTACAGTATTTCTCACTTAGAGGAAACCTAATAAATGTATATCTAAAAGATATTGCTCTATTGTGCATATATATTTTATGAAATAATTATTTGCTGAAAGTATTTTCAGAAGAGCTGTTTTAGGTAGGAAGATTTTCAAATACCATTTGATAACTTATATGTGAATTACTACCTTTCAGAAATAATAACTGTAAAGCAGGATATATCTTTATTTACTTTTACTTTTCCGAAGGTTTGATATATGCTTTCAGTCTTCAGAACCTGTACTTGGAATTCTGTTTATAACCGAGAAGTATGCAATGCTTTCCTATTTAAGAAACTCAAACCAGCGTATTGCTTTTTTGGTGGCTTTAATATTGGTTGAAATTACCTTTAATGTATGATGTATATTCAGTTGGTTGTTATAGAAAATATTATTCATTAACAGTTTTATTATAAAAGACAGTAATTGAAAATACACCAAATATTGATTTTTGACCAAATTAAATAAGTTCTTTTTCTGAGAGCTTTTCAGGCTATGAAAGTATAAAGATGTTTGGAAACATATCTTGATATGTGTTCATTTTAAGGTATACTGAAGTTTTTCAATTGTTAATCAGTGCAGCACATGATGGGTGTTATCCATCCAACATGTAATACAATTTTACTTTTATAGCAATTACCGAAATTGACTGAAGAGCCTGAGTAGAACAATAATCATGGAAGAAATTGGAATATGTGTAAATTGATCTGATCTGAAGGGCAGAAAGACTTACGAGGAATAAAAAAAAAAAAGTTATGGATCCATAAAGTAAAAGAATTTTTTTTTCAAAGTTTAGTTCACTATTATATACCAAAGAAAAGTGCCATCTGACTAAGAAGCCCTGTTCTATTAAATTCTTACTAAATATCTGTTTCTATGTGGAAATAAATGCTAAACTCCATTATCTTGCTTTCATATTACTAACATTAGATTTGTTAAAAGATCCTCGGTAAATAAGTGAATTGATTTCAATGGTGATTTTTTGAATCACATGTATTAATAGCAAGAAAAATATATTATTTGGGATTAGGAACAGAAAATATCAAAAGCATTTTAATAAACGGTATAAATATGTTTTATGAGTTTTTTTAAAAAAATCAGTCATTCATTCATTTACTCACTAAGTATTTACTAAGCATGCCGTATGTGTCAGGTTCTGCCCTAGGGTGGCGGATTCCAATTAAAGCATGAGTAAGACAGTCTCACCTCAAAAAGACAGTAGGAGAGATAGACTGATAGGTCATTATACTGTGGTAAGTACATATAAATATGTACAGCAAATTGTGAGGAGCAAGGAGGAGAAAACCATAAACTGGGTTAAGGAGAGGCCCAGGGATTGCTTTCTGGAGAGGTTTTGAGGAACTACAAGCAGTGTTGCTGTAGTAAAAATTGTAAGGCAGGAGTGGTGAGGGATGAGTCTAAAGAGTTAGCTAGGGCCAGACCTTGAGGGTCTTGCTTGGAAGTTAGACTTTATTCTGTGGATGGTGGAAACCCATTAAAGAAGTTTTAACAAAGTGGAGAAGGAATACAATGGGGAGAAATGGTCAAATTTCCTTAGAGAAAGGTCCTTTGGTGGATACATGGATCATATTCTTGAGGAGGATGGGCTAGACACAAGGAGACCAGGCAAATCTATTGCAGTAATCCAGGATCAAAGATATGAGGGTTTGAATCAGAGCAGTGGCAAAAGAAATACAGAGGGGGCTCTGAATTCAAGAAATGTTTGGAATATAGATTTGTAAGATCTAGGAATTGTTGGAATGTAAAGGTCAGGGTGAGGAGGGAAAATCAAGGATATCTTTAGGCTTCTCTTTTGGGTGAATTCAGTATTACTAACTAAAATAGAGAGGGGAGTTATGTCAATAAGCTATTGTTCCATTAAAAAGTACAGGAAAATTAACTGGCTTAAAACAACAATAATTTATTCTTCTTCACGCTTCTGCTACTTGATTGAGAGTTAACTCTTCTGCACTTGGGTTTGTCTAGCCCTGGGTTTGTCTGCACTTAGCTCCAGATGGTAGACAGGGTCCAATTTTTGCTGACCTTACTCTTGTCTTTATTAGACTTATGGGCTAGCCAAGAAATGTTCTTTCCATGACAAGGTCAAAAGCACAAGAACTGAAGTTGCCAAACTCCTACTTGAGTTACACCTGTGGTTATACTGACCGAAGCAAATCACGTGGATAAGCCCAAAGTCAAAGGGTAGGGAAGTATACTCCATCTCTAGTGGAAGGAACTTCAATGTCATTAGCAAAGGTAACTGGGGTAAGGAGAGGGCCAGGGATTGCTTTCTGGAGAGGACACTAAGAGGATGGACACTAGGAGGGATGAAGAATTTGGGCCAATAATTCAACACCCTTATTGTTATTGTGAGTGATAGATTTGAGGGGAAGAAGACTGGAGGTTAAGAGGCTATTTCAAAGATGGTAAAAGTCCAGAGCAGTGGCAGCTGGAAAAGAGAGAAAATGATAGATTCAAGAAGTATTCAAGGCCTGGACATTGTTATAACATGGAGGACAGATTTAGGGGAAAGAGTCAAGGATGACTCTAGGCTTCCAATTTGACTGACTGAGATATGGAAAGAAGGATAGTGGGTTCAGTGTAGGAAACATTGAGTCTGAGAGAGAGTGACAAAGAATTTTATCGTCAAAACCAGGGCACTTCAGAGAACGTGAAAGAGTGCTATTAATAATTACGCCAGAACCACCAGGGTAAACATGTCTTGGGACTGATCTCAGGAAAACGAGTTTATATTCACTCTGGAGCGAGTTGCCTTTGGGTAATCAAAGTGAAGTTATTGAGCATCAGAGAAAGACTCTGTCTAAAAAATAAATAAATTAATTTAAAAAAGTGAAATTATTTAGTATAATGTTGATATTTGAGTATGAAATTCAGTGGAGAGAACTGGTCTGGTGATATAGACTTGGGAGTTATCATTCATAGTTTAAAGTTTGAAAGCATGAGTCTGGTTGAAATCATCAAAGGAAGCATATGCAGGATGAAATGAATATAATAGAATGAGAAGATGTTGCTGGAGTAGATGACAGATGAGGAACTTGAGAAGGAAAAGTCAACAAATAAGAATTTGATTTAAGCCAAAGAGTAGAATTTAATGGACAAAATAATCATATGAGAACACTCAGGGTCAGAGCTGGCTTTGAGTATGACTAAAGTTAGAAATTTTAACACCATCTTTTTTTCCCTCAGACTCTCTGTTTTTTTGTTTTGTTTTGTTTTTAAGCTGAGTGACTCTTTGAGGCTAGAGTCATGATCTTAGGCAGTTCCAGATTCATATTCTATTAGCTCCAAAACCAGAAAAAAAAAGGAGTTTTTTCCTTGTTATCTCAAAATACAAAATAAACCTGAGGGAAGACTCTAATTGGTCAGGTATAAGTCACATGCCCATCCCTCTACTAATCACCATGGCTAGAGAGTTGGGGACCCCCACATTAGTGAAGATGCAGGAGAGCAGTGGGGGTAAAAGTCAGATTACAGCAACTTGAGAAGTGACTGAGAGGTGGTTTGGATGCAGCAAGTACAGATAAGCATTTTAATAAATTTATTATAATAAATATGAAGAAGAGACAAACTATACAGTAGACTACATGAAGGGCAATGCGTATGTATTTTAGATTTGTTTATAGGCTGAGATAAAGGAATCAGTGAAACTTGAGATATTCAAGTTAAAGAAAAAAAGAGAATGCTTGTTGGAACAAGATCATGGAGCAAGTCTGAGGAGATGAGATTTAGGACAAAAAAATGAAAGAATGTAGATTTGAAAAGGGAAAAGAACATCTAGTCCTCTGAACCTATGATGAGGTACAGCTAAGTGTGGACATCAGTAAGTTAATGGAAGGGCAGTATATTGAGAGAGCCAAGGCTAAGAGGGAGGGCATCAGGGCCTGAGTAATTTCAGAAGAGCATTGAAAAGTCATTGAGGGCACTGGCTTCAGGAACTGACTGAAGGTAAGGAAAAGAATTCACAGGTGATTAGGCTTAGCTGATTTGTGGACCACGAGTTTGTCTTCTCACCCAGTCTGTAGGGCTGTGTGATTTTTCTCTAGCTGTCCTGGATATGGGCATGAAGAAGGTAAATTGATCTAGGGTTGGTGCTTTGATGAGTTCACGTAAATGGGGACAAGATGCTCTCCTCAAGGAAACATACAGCTTTAGAGGCAAATACAAGGTCTTAAAGATAAGTAAGCAAGAACAAGAAGGGAACTTTACTTATTTCTGGCATTCTGACATGGTAATGGTAGACCTCTCTATGAAATAACATTTCTAATTGACCTTTGCTTTCAATTTCTGTTGTGATGAGAAGTTTATAACTCTTGGACCATGCTGGAGTAAATCAAAACATAACAGATGTTTCACAATTTGCAAAACTGATTTAATTGTGTTTTATGTTGTATTATATTTCTGATAGTTATAACTTTCCTCCCCATCTTTCACCACACACGTACGCACACACATACACGCACAAATGGACATATAGCAACATCGTGTGCAAAGCTCTTTTGGTGTCACTATGAAGCTATGGTGAGTTAACATAATCAGAACATAATTTCAGGTCTCTAAGTTTCAATTCCAGTATGCCATATGAAGAAAAAATATTATCAAAAATAGAACAACTTTTATATAACTTTTATTTAATGATACCAAAATTCTTAGAGGTCATTGCAACAAAGTCTTATCAATAGCAGGAAATATTTTGCAGCATACTGTAAAGAACACTGGATCTTTTTACCACTAACGAGATACGAGATCCAGGGCAAATGAGTTTTCTCATATCTGTAAAATTAGGGTTATGGTCCCTTCTTGTATACCTCACAATGTGGTTATAAAAAAATCAGAGAGGATGTGGCAAAAAGTGTTTTATAAATAATAAATGAGATTATAATTTATTGATCAATTTTTTTAACATTACATTTATATTCATTTGGTACCACAGCATGGATTATTTAAAAACTGATGATTACACATTGGTCTCTTTCCAGGGAACTTAGAGGAATGGTTTAAATTGGTTGCCTATTATATGTAAGTTTGTTTAAAAATATCTAAATTATTTATGCTTCTTTCAATTTATGTAATAGATTTTAAGAGTCCAAAGATGATGACTCAAACTATTTACTTTGTTTTACTGTGTTTGCAAAATGAGTGAGGTAAAAGACTGGAATTATCTGCCAACATCGTCTGTATTGTGTTATGCTAGAAACATATAATTAGATGAACATTTTTTACTTATTTTTGTTCTTAAGGTTAAGAGACGACAGCCTTTTCTGACTGGGGAAAATGCTCACATCTTTTTAGTTGAGACTCACCCTTATGTAGCAATACACTGGCCGGGAAATGTAAAGAAAGTTCTAGGTTTTAAGTAATTAAATTTATGATTATCTTTCCCTAAAGGACTCTGTGAATTGGCTCAATAGCTATTTCCTACCTCAGGATTCAAGTTCCATGTTGGGCTTTGGTAAGGACTCCTTCACTCCTACTTCTAGACTGAGTCCCAAGCTTCCAACCTGAGCATTTGTATCATCTGGGGCTTCTTAGGCATCACCACAAAGTGATCATGAGAGGAACAGGAGACAAATGCAGACCTTAGTCATTTACTTATGGCCTGTTTTCCATGGTGGACCAAGTTGAAATTGAACACACCCATATACAAACATCCATACTGTATTGATTCTCCTAAGCCAACTCTACTGGTTGAACTGTGTGGGAAAGATACAAAATGTAACTACATGGACTAATCTTGCAATTCCAAGCTAAACAATTATTTAGCATATAGTCTCAGTTTAAGATGCAAAAGCAGAAACTATTGTGGCCAGAGATTTTAGAATTCTACATCTATACTTGTACTTCACTTTGCCTAGTTGCTGGTTCTTGTCTATGCTCAGTGTAATTTGGGGCACTTTACTGAAAAATCTGTACTTAAATCAAGTCATTTAATTAATTAGATAATTAATTTAGTTCATTTTTATTTTGGTGAGAACATTTAACATGAGATCTACCCTCTCTACAAATTTTTAAATGTACAATGAAGTGTTATTTACTATAGGCACAACGTTGTACAGCAGATTTCTAGAACTTAATCATCTTGCATAAGTGAAACTTTGTACCGATTGAATAGCAAGTGCCCATTTCCCCCTGCCAGTCCCTGGCAACTGCCACTCTAATTTCTGCTTCTGTGATTTCACTATTTCAGATACTTTATATAAGTAAAATAATGCATTATTTGTTCTTCTATAACTGGCTTATTCCACTTAGCATAACGTCCACAAAGTTCATCTATGTTATCTCATGTGGCAGGATTTCATGATTTTTTAATAATGAATAATATTCAATTGTATTTATATACCGTATTTTTTATCTATTTATCTCTAGTTGGACATTTAGGTTGTTTACATATCATGGCTATTGTGAATAATGCTGCTATGAGCATGGGAGCGCAGATATGCCTTCGGGATCCATATTTCTATTTAATACCAGTAAATACCCAGAAGTGGGATTGCTGGATCATTTGGTAATTCTATTTTAAATTTTCTGAGGAACCTCCGTATTGTTTTTTATAGCAGATCCACCATTCTACAGTCCCACTAACACTGTACCAGGGTTGCAATTTCATCACATCTTCACCAACACTTGATATCTTTCCTTTTTATCTTAGCCATTCTAAGAGGTATGAGGTGATATCTCATTGTGGTTTTGATTTACATTTCCCTGATTATTAGTGATGCTGAACATCTTTTTATATGCCTCATGGCCATTCGTATGTCTTGTTGGGAGAAACGTCGATTCACAGTTTTTGCTCACTTTTTAAATTTGGTTGTTTTTCTGCTACTGAGCTGTAGGAAACCTTTATATATTTGTATATTCGCCCCTTATCAGATATATAGTTCGCAATTTTTTTTCTCATTCTGTAGGTTGCCTTTTATCTGTTGTTTCCTTTTCTGTGTAGAAGCTTTTTGGTTTGATATAGTCCCCTTTGTCTATTTTTTGCTTTTGTTGCCTGTGCTTTTGAGGCTACAGCCAAGAAATCATTGCCAAGAACCAACATTATGAAGCTTTCCCTGCTGTGTTTTCTGCTAAGAGTTTTAAAGTTCAGGTCTTACACTTAAGTCTTTAACTCATTTTTAGTGAATTTTTGTGTGTGGTGTATGGCATGGGTAGAATTTCATACTTTTGCAAGTGAATGTCCAATCTTCCCAGCATCATTTACTGAGAGGACTCTTTCCCAGTTGAGTGTTCTTGGCACCCTTCGTGAAGGTCTGTTGACTACATGTATGGGTTTAATTCTGGGCTTTCCATTCTGTTCCATTGGTTGTATAGGTCTGTCTTTATGCCAGTATCATACTACTGGGTTACTGTAGTTTTGTAATACATTTTGAAATAGTGAAGTATGATGCCTCTAACTTTTTTTAAACAAGATTGTTTTGGCTATTCTGGGTATTTTGTGGTTCCATATGATTTTAGGATTTTTTCTATTTCTGTAAATAATGCCATTTGAATTTTGATAGAAATTTCACTGAATCTGTAGATTGCTTTAGGTAGTATAGGTATTTTAACAATATCAACTCTTAGTCAATTTTCTGTTGCTATCACAGAATACCATAGACTGTGACTGGGCGTGGTGGCTCACGCCTGTAATCCCAGCACTTTGGGAGGCCAATGCAGGCAGATCACTTGAGGTCAGGAGATCGAGACCAGCCTGGCCAACATGGTGAAACCTCGGATCTACTAAAAATACAAAAATTAGCCAGGTGGAGTAGTGGGCACCTGTAATCCCAGCTACTCAGGAGGCTGGGGCAGGATAATTGCTTGAGCCTGGGAGGCGAAGGTTACAGTGAGCTGAGATCGTGCCACTGCACTACAACCTGGGCAACAGAATGAGACTCCATCTCAAAAAAAAAAAAACAAAAAAAACCCAGACTGTGTAATTTATAAAGTTTATTTACCTCATAGTTCTAGAGGTTAGGAAGTCTGAGAGCATGGTACCAGCATCTGCTAATAGCCTTCTGGCTGTGTCATAATATGGTGGAGGACATCTTATGGCAAGAGGGAAGAGTGTGTCAGCTCAGATCACTCTTCCTCTTCTCATAGAGCCTCCAGTACCATCATGGGGGCCCTAGCTTGATGACCTTATTTAATTCTAATTACCTTTCAAAGACCCCATCTCCAAATCCCATTAACATATGGATTTGGGGATTAAGTTTCCAACACACACACGACATTTAGGGGACACCATCGAACCATAGCATTCTGCCCCTGGCCCCCAAATTTTATTTTCTTTTCACATGCAAAATGTATTAATTCCATTCCAGTAGCCCCAGAGTCGTAACTTGTTTCAGGATCAACTCAGAAGTCCAAAGTCCAGAGTCTCATCTGAATCAGATATAGATGAGACTCAAAATGTGCAATTTCCTTGCCAGCTGCAAGCCCGTGAGATCAAAACAAGCTATGTATTTGCAAAATGCAATGCTAAGCACAGGATAGTCATTCCTATTAAAGATGGAGAAAATAAGCAAGAAAAAATAAGTAGCTGGTCTTAGCACGTCAAAACCCCAACAGGGAAACAACATTAAACCTTAAAGCTTAGAATGATCTTTCACTCCATGTGCCATCTCTGGAATGTACTGGCGTGGGAGGGGGGGTTGGAATCTTCAAAGCCTTGGGCAGTTCCATCCCTGTGGCTTTGCTGTGCTCAGCCCATGCAGCAGTTTATACAGGTTGGAGTCTTATGCCTGCAGTTCTCCCAAGGGGACTGAATACTTGTAGATCTACAATTCTGAATTCTTGTGGGTAGTCCTTCCCCTGCAGCTCCACTAGGCATTGCCCTAGTGGGGACTCTCCGTGACAGCTCTAGCACTGACTGAGGTGTGGCTCCTCACAAGAGGGCATTAGCTATGGGGATCTGCCCGCAGACCCTGACCTAAACGACGGATGAATAAAACGTACACTGACACACAGATATTCTGTTTTGCCAGTCCTGCTGACTGTCCGACCACCTGCACACCAAGAGAGGTTTGTCATTGCGGCCGGCCCTGAGCAGCTCGCACTCCAGGCATTTATTTAGTACAGAATTAACAACAGAAGCTTTGAGTAAACACACTTGTGGATAATTAACATGGTTAAGAGAGTAGTTCTACTAATGATTAAAGCTCAGGTACCGCGGTTTAAAGTAAATACCATTAGGGGGCAATAGCCTTGGTCAACCTTCCCCCATGAGGGCCATCTGGCTCAAAGGTTAGTTATTGGAGGTAGGGTAAACAGACTTAAATGAGGAAGACTCTGTTGTCCCTAGTATTTACCTTATGACCTAATTCTCTAATGTAAGAACCGGCTGCCTTCAGCCTGTTCAATTATTACAAGCTATGTAAGCTTTCGGCCTTCCAAACGGTTTGTGACTATTCCCTATAACTTTCCCTAATATGTCCCTTTAATATTTCTGCCACCATCCTGAGTGAATCCCAACAACTGACCTTACATTTCTGCTCAGCATTGCCCTTGTAGCGGCTCTCTGCTGTGGCTCTACCCTGTGACAACTCTCTGCCTGGGCCTCCAGGCTGTTCATGCCATCCTTTGAAATCTGGGTGAAGGATGTTCCCACAGCTCTTACATTCTGCACATCTCCAGAATTAGCACTTCATGGATGCTGCCAAAGTTTATGTCTCATACCGTTTAGAGTGGTAGGTCAAGTTGCACCTGGAGCATCTTGTGCCACAGCTGTTATGATGAGGAGTGCTGCACCAGAATGCAAGGAACAGAGACCCAAGGCAGCCCTGGCCAGTGGCCCATCCCTCAAAACCATTCTACCCTCCCAGAGCTCTGAGCCTGTAATGGGAGGGGAAGACTCGAAGATCTCCAAGAGTTTTTCTCCTGATGTCCCGATAGTCTCTGGCTTTGTTTTATCCATACTAATCTCCTTATCAATTGATCACTTAGTCACACCCTTGGTTTCCTGTGCTGAAAATGCTCTTTCATTCTCTACCACATGTCCAAAATCATTTCACTCTGCTTTCATTTTAATTACAAATTCTCTCTTCAAATCATCTCTTTCCTCTTTTGTTTTACTATAAGCTGTTAAAAGTAGCCTTGAAACATCCTGAATGCTTTGCTGCTTTCGTATATGTTCCACAAGCTATTCCAGTTCATCACTCTTAAATTCTGCCTTCCATAAAGCATTCAACCATGAACATAGTTCAGCCAAGATTTTTGCTACTTTATAACAAGAATGGCCTTTTCTCCAGTTTCTTTAGTTCCATATGATACCTCATTAGAGTGGCTTTTACTGTCCGTATTTTTATCAATATTTTGGTCAAGGCCACTTAAGCAATCTCTAAAATGTTTTAGAATTTCTCTGGTCTTCTCCTTTTTCTGAGCCCTCACCAGAGTCACTGTTAATGCACCATTTATGGCAATGCAGGTATTTTTTTTTCCTAGTCTGTTCCTCCAGATTATTTTTATTTATTTATTTATTTATTTATTTATTTATTTATTTATTTATTTGAGATGGAGTCTCACTCTGTCGCCCAGGCTGGAGTGCAGTGGCGCAATCTCGGCTCACTGCAAGCTCCACCTCCCGGGTTCACGCCATTCTCCTGCCTCAGCCTCCTGAGTAGCTGGGACTACAGGCGCCTGCCACCACGCCCAGCTAATTTTTTTGTATTTTTAGTAGAGACGGGGTTTCACCGTGGTCTCGATCTCCTGACCTCATGATCCACCTGCCTCGGCCTCCCAAAGTGCTGGGATTACGGGTGTGAGCCACCGCGCCCGGCCTCCTCCAGATTCTTACAGCCTCTACCCATCACCCAATTCCAAAGCTGTTTCCATATTTTCAGATCTCTGTTATAGCAATGGCCTCACTTCTTGTTGCCAATTTTCTACCTTAAGTGCATTTTCCATTGCTATGGCAGAATACCATAGACTGGGTAATTTATAAAGAAAAGAAGTTTATTTAGTTCATGGTTCTGGAGTCTGAGAAGTCCAAGAGCATGGCATCGACATCTGGCAAGGTCCTTTTTGCTTCATCATAACATGGCAAAAAGCATCATGTGACAAGAGGGCAAATGTGTGTTACCTCTCTTCCTCTTTTTTTTTTTTTGTTAACTAGTTTCTAAATTGTTATTTATTTTTATTTGTAACAAGCCATTTACTTAAGTTTATGTAAAGGGATAGTTTATGCTTAAAGGATAGCAGAGGTTGTTGCTGTTCTATTTAGCGTATAGCAAACATGGCCAGATTTTACTTTTGAACTTCCTGGAAGCTCTTCATTGGACCTTGAGCTAACACAATATATCTTTTGTCACCAAAAGAGTATTATTCTTATGTCATAATGAGAACAATAATTTACATGCTTTGCATAATAAATGCCTAAAAGACATTTTATTTTATGACTGCATTATTTTTCTTGCTATAATGGGGATATTGTAAATCATATATTTGTATAATATTGATGGTACTTATTTATTTTTTATATGTTACTGTATGATGTACATTACAAAATCAAAGCAATTTGTCTTGATCTCTTAATCTTAAGAGTAACACTTTAACTCACTTAATCTTTCTAATGCATATTACAAGTGATGTATACTTTTTTTTGAAGTTACATACTTGCCAATTTAATTTCAAAGCTACAAACCAAGCTCAAGTCTCAAGTGCAGCAAATGCCTCTGAAATGAGGTTTCTATGGATTCATAAACATAAAACAATCAGTGCAAAAGAATAATTGAAATGATTTGTCTCCTACTTTTTTTTTTCTTGTCCCAAGCATTTTTTTTTAATTATACTTTAAGTTCTAGGGTACATGTGCACAATGTGCAGGTTTGTTACATATGTATACATGTGCCATGTTGGTGTGCTGCACCCATTAACTCGTCATTTACATTAGGTATATCTCCTAATGCTATCCCTCCCCGCTCCCCCGACCCCACGACAGGCCCCGGTGTGTGATGTTCCCCTTCCTGTGTCCAAGTGTTCTCATTGTTCATTTCCTACCTATGAGTGAGAACATGCAGTGTTTGTTTTTTTTGTCCCTGCGATAGTTTGCTGAGAATGATGGTTTCCAACTTCATCCATGTCCCTACAAAGGACATGAACTCATCTTTTTTATGGCTGCATAGTATTCCATGGTGTATATGTGCCACATTTTCTTAATCCAGTCTATCATTGATGGACATTTGGGTTGGTTCCAAGTCTTTGCTATTGTGAATAGTGCCACAATAAACATACGTGTGCATGTGTCTTTATAGCAGCATGATTTATAATCCTTTGGGTGTATACCCAGTAATGGGATGGCTGGGTCAAATGGTATTTCTAGTTCTAGATCCTTGAGGAATCACCACACTGTCTTCCACAATGGTTGAACTGGTTTACAGTCCTATCAACAGTGTCAAAGTGTTCCTATTTCTCCACATCCTCTCCAGCACCTGTTGTTTCCTGACTTTTTAATGATCACCATTCTAACTGGTGCAAGATGGTATCTCATTGTGGTTTTGATTACCCCTCTTCCTCTTTTAATAAAGCCTCCAGTACAATCAGGGAGGCTCCACTTTAATGACCTTCTCTAGTCCTAATTACGTCCCAAAGGCGCCACCTCCAAATACTATCAACATACAAAATTGGGGATTAAATTTCCAACACATGAAATTTTGGGGACACATTCAAACCATAGCAGGTAATATGGACATTTTAACAATATTCACTCCTTCAATCCATTAACATGACATGTCTTTCCATTTATTTGTGTTTCCTTTAATTTCTTCATCTGTGTTT
The DNA here is from genome assembly GCF_000001405.40 of Homo sapiens. Taxonomy (NCBI): domain Eukaryota; kingdom Metazoa; phylum Chordata; class Mammalia; order Primates; family Hominidae; genus Homo; species Homo sapiens. The sequence goes on from NC_000023.11 coordinate 37,963,079, forward strand.
TGTATTTTTTGGTGTATAAGTTTTTTATTTCTTAGTATTTTAAGTATTTTAAATGTTTATTTAAAACTTAAGTTTATTTCTAAGTATTTTATTCACCTTGATGCTATTGTAAATGGGATTGTTTTCTTAATTTCCTTTTCAGAAAATATATGGTTGGTATATTAATATACAACAAATCCTTGTATGTTGATTTTGTTTTTGTTTTTGTGGGTTTTTTTTTTTTTTTTTGAGACGGAGTCTCACTCTATCTCCCAGGCTGGAGTGCAGTGGCGTGATCTCAGCTCACTGCAACCTCTGCCTCTTGGGTTCAAGTGATTCGCCTGCCTCAGCCTCCTGAATAGCTGGGACTACAGGCATGTGCCAACACGCCCGGCTTATTTTTTGTATTTTTAGTAGAGACGGGGTTTCACCATGTTGGTCAGGCTGGTGTCGGTCTCCTGACCTCATGATCCGCCTGCCCCGGCTTCCCAAAGTGCTGGGATTAAGGTGTGAGCCACCATACTCGGCCTTGATTTTGTATTTTTAAACTTTACTAATTTTTAAATTAGTTCTGTTTATTCTGGAGTATTTAGGGTTTTCTACACGGAAGATCATGTTACCTGCAAAGAGATTTTATATCTTTCTTTCCTATTTGAATGCCTTTTATTTATTTTCCTTGCCTAATTGCTTTTGCTAGGATTCCAGTACTATGTTGAATAGAAGTTGTGAGAGTGGGCATTCTTGCCTTGCTCCTAATCTTAGAAGAAAAGCCTTCAGTTTTTTATTATTGAATGTGATGTTAGTTTTGTTTATTATGTTGAGGTAATTTATCCTTATTCCTAGTTTGTTGAGTGTTTTTATCATGATATGGGGTATTACATTTTGTCAAATGCTTTTTTTATTACATCTGTTGAGACGATCATGTGATTTTTATCCTTTATTCTGTCAATGCAGTGCTATGCTCTGAATGTTTGTGTGCCTCCCCCTATTTCTATGTTGAAACTTAATCACCAATATGATAGTATCAGAAGATAGGGCCTTTGGGAAGCAATTAGGTCATGAGGGCAGAGCTCTTAGGAATGGGGTTAGTGCCCTTACAAAAGAGGACCCAAAGAGCTCCCTTGCCCCTTCCATTATGCAAAGACACAGATAGAAGACACCATCTATGATCCAGAGAGCAGACCTTCACTAGACAAAAAATCTGCCTGGGCCTTGATCTTGAATTTCTCACCCTCTAGAACTGTGAGAAATAAATTTCTGTTGTTTATAAGCCAACCAGCTTATGTTCTTTTGTTATAACAGCTTGCACAGACTTAGGTAGGTGGTGTGTATCACATTTATTGATTTGCATATGTTGAACCATCCTTACATCCCAGGGATAAATCTCACTTGGTAATGGTACGTGATTCTTTTAATGTGCTATTGAATTCTGCTTGATAATATTTTGTTCAGGATTTTTGCATCTATATTCTTCAGGAATATTGGCCTGTAATTTTCTTTCCTTTAGGTATCTTTGGTTTTGGTTATCAGGTTAATGCTGGCCTCATAAAATTAGTTGGTTAATGTTCCTTCCTCTTCAATTTTTCAGAAGACTTTGAGAATTATTGGTTTGAATTCTTCTTCAAATGTTTGGTAGAATTCATCAGTGAAGACATCTGGTCCTGGGCTTCTTGTCATTGTCAGAATATTTTTGATTACTGATTCATTCTCATTATCATTATATATATATGTTATGATTTTCTATTTTTCATGATCCAGTTTTGGTAATTTGTATGTTTCTAAAAAAATTATCCTTCTAGTTTATCCAGTTTGTGTAAAATTGGGTAAGGTAATCTCTTATGTCCCTTCTGATTTTGTGGCAGGGGTTGTCATGTCTCCTCTTTAATTTCTAATTTTATTTATTTCAGTCTTCTCTCTTTTTTCTTAGTTATTCTAGCTAAAGGCTTGTGAATTTTATCTTTCCATAAAAACTCTAAATTTCATTTTTTTATTGTTTTTTGATACTCAATTTTATTTGTTCTCTAACCTTTATTTCCTTCTTTCTTCTAACATTTGTCTCAGTTTATTCTTTTCTAGTTCCTCGAGGTGTAAATTTAGGTTGTTTTCGAGAAACCTTTCATCATTTTTAATATAGGAATTTATTGCTGCAGACTTTACTTCTAGTACTGCTTTTGCTGGACCCCATATAGTTTGGCATATTGTATTTTTGTTTTCATTTGTCTCAAGATTTTTATTTTATTTTTTTCTGTAGACCTCCTCTGTGGACATCAAGATATTTTTAAATTTCCCTTTTGATTCTTCTTTGATCCATTTGTTATTCAAAAGTGTGTTATTTAGCTTCCACACATTTATAAATTTTCCAGTTTTTCTTTTGCTATTGATTGCTAGTTTCATTCCATTATGGTTAGAAAAGATATTTGGTATAATTTCAATCTTCTTAAATTTATTAAAGCTTGTTTTTGGGATCTAACGTGATCTATATTGAAATTTTTCTCTGTGTGCTTTAGAAGAATGTGTACTTATTACTTTGGGGTGGAATATTCTGTATATGACTGTTAGGTCCATTTGTTCTATACTGTTGTTCAAGTCTACTCTTATGATATTGATTTTTTCGTTTGGATATTCTATCCATTATTGAAAATTGAGTATTGAATCGCCTACTATTATTGTATTGCTGTCTATTTTTCCTTTCAGTTATGTGAATATTTGATTTTTATATTTAGGAGCTCTGATGTTGGGTGCATATATATTTATAGTTATATATTTCTGTTGCATTGGCACTATTATCATTATATAATGTCCTTTTTGTCTCTTGTGACAGTTTATGACTTACTATTTTGTCTGATATAAGTATAGCTACTGTTCCTCTCTTGATTACCATTTGCACAGAATATCTTTTTCCAATCTTTCACTTTCAACCTATTTGTGTACTTAAACCTAAAATGAGTCTATTGTGGACAATGTATAGTTGGATCTTATTTTTTTACCCATTCAGCCACTCAATGCCTTATTATTGGGGAGTTTAATTCACTTACATTTAAAGCAATTTTTCTTAGGGAATCATTTATTATTGCCATTTTGTCAATCAATTTCTGTCTGTCTTTTAGTTCTTTTCTCCCTTTTTTCTTCTCTTGCAGTTTTCCTTTGTGTTTCATAGATTTTTGTATTGATCCGCTTTGATTCCTTTCTGTCTCTCTCTGTCTCTCTTATTTTTGTTTATCTTCTATAGTTATTTTCTTGTGGTTATCATAAGACATATTTAAAATGTCTTATAGGAGTCTATTTTAAGCAGATGAAATGTATATCACGTACAAAAACTGCATTTTTACCTCTGCTTCACACATTGTTATTAATCTCACAGTTTGCGTTTTTCTTTTTCTTTTTTTTTTTTTTTTTTTGAGACAGAGTCTCACTCTGTCACCCAGGCTGGAGTGCAGTGGCACGATCTCGGCTCACTGCAACCTCCGCCTCCCAGGATCAAGCGATTCTCCTGCCTCAGCCTCCTGAGTAGCTGGAACTACAGATGCACGCCACCACGTCTGGCTAATTTTTGTATTTTTAGTGGAGACAGGGTTTCACCATATTGGCCAGCCTGGTCTCGAACTCCTGACCTTGTGATCCGCCTGCCTTGGCCTCTCAAAGTGCTGGGATTACAGGCATGAGCCACCGCGCCCAGCTCCATGAATGTATTTTATAGTTACTTTTAATACTTTTGTCTTTTAAGTTATATAATATGGTTAAAAGTGATTTACCCACCAGCATTACAGTATTATAATATTCTGAATTTGCCTATATATTTACCTTGACCATCGAATTTTATGCTTCTGTATGCTTTCGTTTTGCTGTTTAGCAACCTTTTATTTCAATTTCTGCATTTTTTGTAAGGCATGTCTAGTGTTAATGAACTCCTGAAGCTTTTGTTTGTTTAGGAGCATCTTTATCTTTCCTCACTTTTGAAGAATAGTTTTGCTGTTATGGTTGACAAAGGGGTTTTTGTTGTTGTTGTTTTCTGGAGATGGAGTCTTGCTCTGTCGCCCAGGCTGGAGTGCAGTGGTGCGAACTCGGCTTACGGCGACCTCTGCCTCCCAAGTTCAAGTGATTCTCCTGCCTCAGCTTCCCAAGTAGCTGGGACTACAGGCACCCGCCACCATGACTGGCTAATTTTTGTATTTTTAGTAGAGACGGGGTTTTACCATGTTGGCCAGGCTGGTCTCAAACTCCTGACCTCAAATGATCTGCCCACCTCGGCCTCCCAAAGTGCTGGGATTACAGGCGTGAGCCACCATGCCTGGCCTCTTTTAGTACTTTTATTATATTATTACACTCCTTTCTGGTATGCAAAATTTTTGCTGATAAATCCTCTGATACTCTAATTGAATTTCCCTTATACATGCCAGGTCACTGTTCTTCTGCTACTTTCAAAATGCTCTCTTTGACTTTAACTTTTGATAATTGATTATAATATATCTTAGTGTAGATTTTCTGCGTTCATCTTATTTGGCATTTATTGGGCTTTCTGGATCTGGATGTCCATTCCCTTTCCAAGATTTATGAAGTTTTGGATATTATTTATTTGAATACTCTTTCTGTCCCTTTCTATATCTTTTTTCTTTCTGATGCTCACATAATGCATATGTTGGTTTGCTTTATGTTGTCTCATAAGTCTCTTAAGTTTTATTCACTTCTTTTCATTCTTTCTTCTTTTTGCTACTCCGACTTGTTAATTTCCAATAACCTGTGTTTGAGATTACTGATCCTTTGTCACGCTCCTGGCTTCAAGCAGTCTTCCTTCTTTGGCCTCCCAAAGTGCTAGGATTATAGGCATGAGTCACTGCACCTGATTTTGCTCATCCTTTCTTCTGCTTGATCTAGTCTGCAATTGAACCTCTCTAGTGAATTTTTCAGTTCAGTTATTTATTGAATTCTTCAGCTTCCAGATTTCTGTTTGGTACTTCTTATATTTTCTCTGTTGAAATTCTCACTTTATTTATGCATTCTTCTCTTGACCTCCTTGAGCATCTTTATGATGGTTATTTTGATTTCTATGTAAGGTAAATCAAATATCTCCATACCATTAGGGTTTCTGGAAATTTATCCTGTTCCTTGTTCTGGAATATATTTTCCTGTGTCTTCATTTTCCTTACATGGTTTTAGTTTCATAGTACTAGAAAGGCGAAAACATCCCCCAGTTAGATACAGTACCCATTTTCATAAGACATTTAGGTAAAAGGGGTTACAGCTACCTTACATAAAGCTTGTTTAAACATCTTACACCTGTTATAATTCTATTAACCTGTATGTTTTTATGTTCTGATCCCAGGAAGCCTTTTTACCCCCAGACCATTTTACCTTTTCTGGTGAAAAGGGTTTGAAAGGGGGTTGGGTCTGTAAGACCTATGAGGATAGCAGATTTGATAAGGCTTCTTAAATAGTCCTATGATTCTGTGGGAGGGGCACCCATGTAAAAAGGGCCCCCTTAACCCCCAAATTTACCATGATCCAGATAATAGACATATTAGGTGGGAGGATATCACAGTTATCATAAATCTAGTCCAACATGGCTTGCGTATGAAATATATTAACGGTTTCATCTGGGGTACTTCACTTGGTATTTTATAGAGAGAGTTGGGCAGTCCCCTTCTTAGGGCAAATAGACCTTTTAATGGCATTATCTGGCCCACTAGGCTGATCGCTTTCTCAGGAATAACCCCCTGTGCATTAGTGATTGTTCAGTAATGAGCTGTTGGTCCTGTATTAATCCAAACAAGCTTTTAAAATCTGTAGCATTTAAAATTAAGAATTTTGTTCTTAAAGTGGTTATTTTTACAATCCACTATAGTGAAGTTTCTTTAAAGAAGCCGAATTATACCAATCTACAAAATGGAACAATTTCTTTATATTACACCCTTTGGTTTTAAATAGTTAATTGGTTTTGCCCTTCCCTCATATCGACTATTTTCTTGGTAACCATAGGGCTCAGAGTTTTGTTGCCCTGGCTTGTTCTTTTTAAAATTTACTTAGTTTTATCCGTATAAGTTCCTTTATTATAAAGCAACTTTTAAATAGATCTTTAAGCAAAAAAACTTACTTTTTTGAGAATTGACATCCTTTTGTTTATAAAACTTTAACAAAAGCATATTTTATGCTTCTCCTATTTTAACTTTTTAGTAACCTAAATTTCTAATGGGGGAAAAAAATCCAAGGGTTTAAACAGGACTTTAAGATTTTTAAATTACTGGAGAGTTTTCAGATTAAATTTACCAAATTAATTTTTACCAAAAAATTACCAAGGTTATGTAAATTAGAAGGCATCTGAGCTAGCTTTTACCAATCTAATAAGCACTTACATTTTTTAAGTTACTTGATTAGAGCTCTCACATGTAGTTTTGAAGTGAAACATCACTTCCACATGACACATATAAAGATCGAGATATAACAGGCATGCAGAATAAAAGCCATGTTCAAAAGATACTTAATTTGCCTGTTTTCGAAAACAATTTTTCTCCCTTACTTAGATAATTAGTAAAAGTTACAGGAGCCAACAAAAGGTAGAGGAAAGGAAAGAGCCATCATTCAAGGCCTTTCCGTTTTTTTTGACCGAGTCTTGCTCTGTCGCCCAGGCTGCAGTGCAGTGGTGAGATCTCGGCTCACTGCAATCTTCACCTCCTGGGTTCAAGAGATTCTCCAAGCCTCAGCCTCCTGAGTAGGTGGGATCACAGGCACCCACCACTACAGCCGGCTAATTTTTGTATTTTTAGTAGATACAGGATTTCACCATGTTGGCTAGCCTGGTCTCAAACTCCTGACCTCAGGTGATCCACCAGCCTTGGCCTCCCAGTGTGCTGGGATTACAGGTGTGAGCCAAGGTGCCCAGCCTGGCCTTTTCAAAAGAGAAAGAGTGGCACTTTTAAGATATCAATCTGAAGAATGTTAAAGAAACAGATTATAGAATTTAAAAGTTTAAAAACTTCTTGCATTAAAAATAAGTCAGTATTTGTAATAAAATTTTGTTTTAACCAATTATTTAGTTTTGTATTAGTGCATTTCCTTTTAATATTAAAGACCCATCTCTAGAAATATTATTATGATTTCATTTTAATTATAGCCAACTGAATTATACAACCCCTTTAAAAATTCATTTTGCTGACCTTACTACGACTTATGTAGTTCATTCACAACATGTTTAGACTGTTTTGTCTTAAACATCCCTCTTTCTTGTACAACCCCGTCATTTTTATTTTAGGGCAAAAATTTACCACACAAGATTCTTTCCTATATAAAATTACTTTTTTTTACCTTTTTTTTTTTTTTACCAAAAATACCTCTTTATATCTTTAACTTTCTTTACATCTCTTATTTTCTGATTCCTTTACCTTGTTTTTTACATAACCCTTAAATAAGCCTTGAATTAGACAAAGATATTTTACCTTTAATAAGAATATTTTTTTAAAAAAGGTTTTCCTGTAATTCTTAAATTAGAATTGCCCATTTAATACTAATTAATAACCTTAGATCCTAAATTATGACAAGTTTGTTTAAAAGCATTTATCCTGTTACGTTTACCTGATTAATTTAGTAGTTTACCTAGATTATTTACAAAAACTGTGATAGCCAATATTTAAAGTTATTTTTCTATTAACCATTCTTATAGCTGTGAGTTTCAGGTATCTACTTAAGTAATAAAACTTATGGTTAGTTTTAAGGGTATTTATACCAATAGCTGAGTATTTAGCTGTTTTCATTTAAGCCAACCATATTTCATAAGCATATACAAGCAAAGATCATTCTGTCTTAGGCTGGGTTTTATAGTTTATAACCCTTATGGCAAATCTTATAGTATTCTGCAGGAATAAACATGAAGCTACTTGATTAATAGATGCAAACATAATGTTAACAATTCTAAAGACATTGCTGATATTATTTTACCAATAATTTTAACGCCACCTTATTTAGTAAAGATTTCACTTAAGTCACATGAGCTTGAAAAAGCATTTGACTAGTCTTCCTTTTTTTCTAAGTATCTGATTTGAGCACTTTTTAAAGCCAATTAATTAGAGCTCTTTACATATTTTTAGTATTGAAGATGTTGTGTACATACACATAAATATATAGACGTATTAAGCATGCCAATAGAAGCACATTGCATAGACTTATAAAGACCTTCTTTTTTTTTTCATGTTTTAAAAATCTTACCCCAGGCAGTTGTCAGCTAAATAGCCTTACATTTGTGTATTAAAAGCAACTCAGGTGAAAATCAGATAGCAAAGTTTACATCATAAGGTAAGAAGAGAAAGTCTGGTGTGCTAGAGGGAAATTAAAAAGGATTCAATTGCCAATTGAACATAAAATTATAGAAGTCTATTATAAAGGCCTTTAAATATACACACACACGCAAAGTTCCCGTAGCTATTACTTCAGTACTTTAGCCATGAGACAAATACAACTTTGCCAGTTTGCAAAACAACAACAACAACAATAACAACAACAACAACAACAAAAAACCACTGTTAGATGGCAGTGGTTTTTATCTCAGTTGAAAAGTAACAGCAGATTTAAAGCAGGCAGAAAATAAAATAGAACCCAAAAGCTCTATAGTTTGCAGGTCAACCTTAGGACTCTTTTTCCTTAATGTAAATGTGCACAAAGACCATATTACTTCCATTTTATATAACTCTGGCAAGTACAGGTGTGATAAAACCTATGGAGCGCCCAGAAGGGGGTCATTCTCCTTGTTTTATCTTTATTCCGGCTTTTTTTTTTTTCTTAAAGGAGGAACTGAGCTGTGCCCTAGGTTCTTGTGTGGTGGATCCACGTGTGCTGTTTGTGGGATCCATGTGTGCTGTTTGCGGGCAGGACTCTACAGTTTGTCACCACTGAGTGTTTCTGCCCTCTTACGTGTCTCAGTTTCTCTCTCCAGAGGTCTATGACCTCTGAAAGGGCTCAAAACGCTGGGTAATGAGCAATTCTATGCGTTTCCTGGACGAGCCATTTTTTAAAATTGATTTTTGTTGGGGATTTCCCTGCAGGGCCGCTGCACATCTCGGGGAGTCAACCCCCCAGACACTCCCATGAGGCTCCCGGTCACCCAAGGGCACCTTTCAGCTGGGAGGAGCAAATGCCCTTTCTCTTCAGAGATGAAAAACTCAGTCTCTCATTTATCTAGGAAAACAACAGCTCAGTTCCTCACACAAATGCACACAGACAAACCGGAATAGGATAAATTTTAGTAGAAAAAGCAATAGAGAATTCCCTTTAGAATGCATCTCTGAACTAGAATTAGGATCCTTAAACAACAACTTCCTAGGAGAAAACCAACTCAGAATAAATCAAGGACCATCAACCAAAGGGAGGTCCAGGACTCAGAGGACTCACCAGTTCCACTGGAGGAGAAGCTCCAACGCGGTGGGGCTTCAATGGACCCCTGCTGATACGTTAGCTCCGGTTTCGGGCAACTCCTTCGGGGTCCTGAGTCTTCTCTGAGGCCCCATATGTTTTGGGAGCCAGATTATTGTTGACGAAAAGAGTCAAACTCTGTAAAATATTTTAAGAGATTTATTCTGAGCCAAATATGAGTGACCATGGCCCGTGACACAACCCTCAGGAGCTCCTGAGAACATGTGCCCCAGGTCTTTGGGGTACAGCTTGGTTTTACATATTTTAGGAAGGCACGAGACATCAGTCAAATACATTTAAGAAATACATTGGTTTGGTTCAGAAAAGCGGGACAACTCGAAGCGGGGGCTTCCAGGCTATAGGTAAATTTAAACATTTTCTGGTTGACAATTGGTTGAGTTTGTCTAAAGACCTGGGATCCATAGAAAGGAATGTTCAGGTTAAAGATAAAGTATTGTGGAGACCAAGTTTTATTGTGCAGAGGAATCTCTCAGATAGCAGACTTCAGAGACAGCATGTTGTAAATTGTTTCCTATTGCACTTAAAAGGTTGCCTTGCTCTTAGTTGATTATCTCCTGGATCGAGAAAGAAAGGAAGGAAAACAAAGGGGGAAGGGGCTTCTCTATAGAATGTGGGTTTTTCTCACAATAGACTTTGCAGGGGAATTTCAAGGTCTGGCAAGGAAATATATTTTGGGGTTAAATATTTTTTTCATTGTCTCATAATGTTATGCCAGAGTCAGATTGAAAAGTAAGTCACAATACATAGGGTCAAATAAAGCTCATCTGATGAGAATTTATGGTTTGTAGGGCATGACTCCCTCGACCCCTTAGGTAGGAATTTGGGTAAGAAAAAAAATCAGAGCGTAGTCCTCAAATGCATCATCAGAAAAGGTCACCAAATTATTGGAGTAGCGCACTCCAAAACCCTGTTCTTCCACTAAAAGAAAAATTAAGCAAAAGTGGTCAGAATCAACTTTTTCAGAACTCTAGAATATAATCCCAAACTTACAATGACTAGGGGAATGTTTAATGAAAGAAGCTGCTGAAGTTTGTTAAGAGAACTCTGATGATTTAACTCCTCACTTCCCATTCCCCACTCCCACCAGCTCAGTGGTGAGTATCATAAAAACAGCAACCCACATACCTGGTGCAGCTTGCTAGTACCAGAGGAGCAATATAAAACACTTTTTTTTTTTCTTGAGACAGAGTCTCCCCCAGTCGCCCAGGCTGGAGTGCAAGTGGTGCGATCTCGGCTCACTGCAACCTCTGCCTCCCGGGTTCAAGTGATTCTCCTGCCTCAGCCTCCCGAGTAGCTGGGATTACAGGCACCCACCACCATGGCTGGCTATTTTTTTTTAAAAAATATTTGTAGTAGAGATAAGGTTTCACCAAGTTGGCCAGGCTGCTCTTGAACTCCTGAACTCAGGTGATCCACCCAATTGTGCTTGTTTAAAGACTTAAAAATAAGGACACCATGCTAAGTGAAATAAGCCAAAAACAGCAAGAAGAATACTGAATAATTTCACTTATATGTAGAATCTAAACAAGTCAAATACATAGAAACAGAGTAAAATGGTAGCTACCAGGGGTTGGTGGGTAGGAGAAACAGGGAGATGTTGGCCAAATGGTACAAAGTTGCAGTTATATAGGATTTATAAGTCTAGAGATATAATGTACAGTATGGCAACTATAGTTAATAATACTGTATTGTAGACTGAAAATTTGCTAAATAAATGTCTATCAGCTAATGAATGGATAACAAAATGTGTTACCATCCATACAATGAAATATATTCTGTCATAAAAAGGAATGGAGTGCTGATACGTACTGCAACATGAATGAACCTTGAAAACATTATCGTAAGTGAATAAAGCCAGTCAAGAAAAATCACATATTATATGACTTTATATATATGAAATATTCTCAGTAGGTAAATAGAGAGAAACAAAACTAATGGTTGCCATGGGCTGGGTGAAGGTAGGTATGGGAAATGATTGTTTGGGTAGTGAGCTTCCTTTTGGGATGATGAAAAGGTCCTAGACTTAGGTAGTAGTGATGGTTGTACAATATTGTAAATGTACTAAAGGCCACAGAATTGTGCACTTTAAAATGGCAAATTTATGTTAAGTGATTTTTACTACAACAATAATTTTATAAAACAATGAGAAACAGAATGATGAAGCAAATGTGGTAAAGTGTTAACATTTGGGAGTCCTGTTTGAATATGAGAACTATTTGCAATTTTGCAGATTTTCTATAAATCTGAAATCACTTCAAAATAAAATGTTACAAAAAGTTTCAAGACTAATGAATCCAGATAACAGATTGTTGGGTTATTCTTAAGTAAAAGAATAGGCAACTCTTCCACTGAAGGTGAAGGGCAGAAGGGAAGTATGTGTGTGGATTTAATTAAGTTTGTAACTGGATCACCAGGGTTATAGATCATCCCTGGGATAGGGGTGGGGTCATTGTTCTTTCTGTGTAATAGAAGGTTAGTGCTTTTGCTGAAAGAGAATGTCTTAGCATTGTACCCTCAGAAGTTAATACTGAGACAGGGTTTGCGTGAACATAGTTTATTTGGGTGTTACTTCCAAAAATCACCATTAGATTTATTTAGGAAGTTAGACAGGTAGGAGAAGTAAGCCAATAAAATGTGTACTATGTAGCAGGTTTCCGCTTTGGCCAACTGTGGCTCAGTCTTGCTGGGAAATGCTGGGAAACAGAGCAGAACATACATCAGAATTACTCCATTTTAGAAGCAAGGGAACTGGAATATTTCTTCTCCATCTTCCACCTGTCATTGGCTGAGAGCTCCTCCCAGGGACATTAGCTTTCCACGACTTCCAGTCCTCCCCAGGCCAGCTGAGATAAAAGATTTTAGTTGAGAGGTATGGGTGTTTACAGTAGGGTGAAGTCAGCATGTACTGGAGCAGCAGGGACTGAGGAAATATTTGAAAGCATTGACAGCACCTTCAATAATGAGATAGAAAATGAGGAAAAACATGGTTTGAAGAGAGTGATGAGGTTAAAAAATATATACTAGTTAGGAGTGGGCAAAGGGATCCTCTAGGGAACATGTATATTGGTTGCCATGATTGCCATGCAGGCTTTTGAACCTGATGAAAGTTGGTGTCCATGGATTTATCATGGCACCAATCCTCCCATGGTCACAGAGTGGGTGGAGTATAGAAGCTGTGGAAGCAGTCAGGAATTTGACCTTTTGTGTTTTTCTTAGCAATTGTATAAACCTATTAGCACATCTCACTGAGACTTCGGACTACGAAAACATTTGCTCGTATATTTTCATATGAAGTAGAATACTCTTAAGCTGGTTCTCTTTCTTATACATACTTAGGATGTGAACCTCAATATATAAGTTTATATTTATATAATCCTGTTGTTTTCAGGATTTCCAGGCTTTAGATATCGGTACATTTTATAAGGTCATGAAACTAAATCTTCGTCAGCACTGGATGAATGTGCCAACTCAGTGCATAGTAGTGGGTACTATATAAAAGTAGAGTGGCCTCTGCCCTCCAAAGCTCAAAAACTTGCAGGGGGTGAGAAACCTGTAAATAGATAAGCAGGATACAGTGGATTCAGTGCTGTGATAGAGATGCATAATAGATGCTCAGTTAACATTTGTTGAATAACTGAATGAAATGTGATCCAAGATACAATTTTTCTTGTTGGAATATGCTTATCTTTAAGGGTGTCATCTAAGTTGACAAAATGTTGCAAATGGCATGTTCTTAGATAAAGTTAGTGACTACAGACTTCAACTGTTATCAAGAAAAGATGTAAATATTTACCATCACATGGTGAGAAGGTTTTCTTAACTCTTGCATAAGCAGACTAGGGAAAACAGAAGAAAACACTGTGACCCATAATTTTCCAAATTTGTTTTCATGGGAGGGGAGAATGAGACACATGAGTCATTTTCACTTCTGTTAGCTGATTTTTCTCATGATTATTAAGCCACAGAGGCCACATTGCTTCTTCTATGGTGATCAAGTTTAACAGAGAAGCATCATGAGTCCTGAAAGAATCTCACTCCATGACGATGAAGTGTGTATATTCTGGGAATAATAATGAACTCATCTCACCTTGACACTCATAAAAGTGAAAGCCTTTAGTAGCTAGATTTTAAATATTTTACAATTGTTTTATTAGCCATGCAACAATTTCTTAAAATTTATTTTCATCTAACACTAGAGACAAATAAAGAAAAGTCCTGGCCAGGCATGGTGGCTCACGCCTGTAATCCCAGCACTTTGGAAGGCCAAGGCGAGCAGATCACCGACCAGCCTTGCCAACATGGTGAGGCCCTGTCTCTACTAAAAATACAAAAAAAAAAAAAAAAAAGAGCTAGGTGTGGTGGTGCACAACTGTAGTCCCAGCTACTCGGGAGGCTAAGGCAGGAGAATCGCTTGAACCCAGGAGGCAGTTTGCAGTGAGCAGAGATTGCACCACCGCACTCCAACCTGGGCAACATAGCAAGACTCCACCTCAAAAAAGAGAAAAATCCTTCTCTATCTCAAAGAACTCACAATCTTTTGTTTACTAACATCACTTTACTCTTAATAAGAATTTGACTTTACTTTGAAAAAATTATTTATTTACTCAACCAATATTATTTAGCACTGATTATATTCATAAGAATGTGCTAGAAATCAAGCACAGTAGATGAAAAAAGGAAGGTCCCTACCATCGAAAAGCTCAGATTCTTGCAGAGGGAGAGAGACCTGTAAGCATGCAAGAACAATGATTTCAATATTGTTATAGGCCAGGAAAAGAAGAGAAAATATCTGCCTAGAGAAATTAGTGGAGACTTTAGGAGGAGAAGCCATCCTACTCAGTACTAGGGATGGAAAAAAAACATTTTGTAGACATCAAGGAGAAAGAAGGTGGCTTGGGGGTAGGAAAGGGAAGAGGGAAGTGGAAGTATGAAAGGCGTTCCAGGTAAAGGAAACAGGAGATATACACTCAGCAATTGTGACAGAGCATAGAATGTTCTGGAAATGAATGGTCAGGGGGTTAAATATTGGTTTGTGTGGGGAGGAGGAAATGAGGAATAATGCAAGGGAGGTAGGATAGGGAGAAATGGTGAAGAGTCATATGAGATGTATTCTGTACTCTACTTTGTGGGGTAGAAGGGACTGAATGTTAGGGAAATACTGTTGTGTCCACCTTAAAGATACAGGATGAACAACCACCCAAATTTGATTTCGGTATGGGGACCAATGATCACACACACACACACACACACACACACACACACACACACACACACACGAAGAGGGTATGAAGATTTCTTACTCACATAATAAGGCTTTCTAGGAAGAGTAGGGTGACTCACAAGCAGTAAAAATGGCTTGAAGTTTTATGGTGGTTAGTGAGTAAGGCCAGGGTGGTTCCCATGCACAGGAAGGGGTTGGTGGCGGTTTGAATTTTCCACTGGCACCAAAGGAGAGAACACCTAGACTTTATTGTTAGCTTGATCACTTGTAGGATAGAAGAAGAAAACGGAGTGTGGCTTTACAGCTATCAGAAATCAAACATTTAAAAAATGGAGTCAGTCTCTTTATTTCACTAGTGCAATCACATTTTTGAAAATTCAAATCAAAACCAAAAAGAACCCAGTAATAGTGAGAAAATAACCTGGAAAAGGATGAGAATGGACCAGAGAAACCAGCAGGAGGTCGTGGCAAATACCTGGGCAAACGAAAATGAGGTCCTGAACTATCACACTGACAATGAGGATGGTTTGGGGAATATTTCTAAGAAAGAATTGAGAGTTGGTGCCCATAATGAGTGAGAGAGGCTATTAGATGACTTTGAGATCTGATTGGGCAACTGGAGAAAAAATGACAACTAATGATAGGATATATGGGAGGAAAGACAGGTGGTGAGGGGGAGACAAGTTATTATTTCAGTTTTCAACATGTGATTGAAACGGCTTAGAGCCACCTTGTCTTTTGAGAAATGAACCGCAGTAGTTCCAGGCTCTGTCTTTTCCCAGATCAACTTATGTGATCACATAACCTGGTCACACATCATAATGCTTACAAATAAAGCCCCTCTGTGAATCTCAATTGAGCATGATTTAATTTTCATTTTCTATGGAAATTTTATTGTTTCTTTCCCTATTACAAAAGCAATTCATGTTTTATATAAACAATTATGAAATATAGACAAGTAGAAAGAGGAAAATACAAATGACCTTCCATGAAGAAGTGATAACTAATACCATTTTGGTGTATTATCTTTTAGAGAGTACCATTGGAGCCCAAATATGAGAACAAAATAACCTAGAAAACTGAGAAAAAGCTTCAAAGATGAAAAAAATGTTTTATTTGGGTCTTTAAGGATCTTGAGTACATTTACTGGCTATAAAGGGGAGAAGGTGAGGTGAAAATGGAGGTTCAGGAGAAGAAGGAAGGGTAAACATTTTAAAGCTGAGATTGTGCAGTACATTCTGTATTATAACATAATGATTTTAACTTAATATATTATTTAACTTAATATTTAATTTAATCTATTATGAACACAAATTGTAAGTGAAATTTTTGCAGTGAAATACATACAGTGATTTTGACATTTTGTTTTGTAACCAAAGAGTGTGTGAGACAGGTCTCCATCAATTTAGAAGTTTATTTTGCCAAAGATAAGGAAATGTCCAGAAGAAAAAACATGAAATTACACAAACAGTCTGTGGTCTGTGCCTTTCTCCAAAGATGATTTTGAGGGCTTCAATATTTAAACGGGAAAAGTGGGCGGGAGGGGAAAGAAGGAGGTTATAGTCACATTACTGAATCCACATGTTGCAAGAGAAAAGGAGCAGGTAGGGGAAAGGTTAATTATGTATTCATCTCACTTTACATAAGATAAGGTGAACATAGTGTAGCCGCTGTGGGGATATTAAATCTTTAATATCTAGCTATCTGCTTCTGAACAAAAGGAAAGACAGTTTCTTGCATGACTCAGCCTTCAGCTTAATTTTTTTCCTTTTGGATAGTGAATTGGGTTCTGAGTTTTTATTTTTTTCTTTCACAGTTTGTATTATGAATAAAGCATACTAGATAGACTATCTTTCTGACTCTGGAATTAAAGTAAGGAGGTTTTTAGATGTGATAATAACCACTCTCCACTTTCTCTCTCATTCTGGCAAAATGTCTGAGGGAAGATCTCACTCTGCAAGTTTAGCTTTCATGAAATGTTTTCAAATGGAGTGATGGCTCCTCCTAACTGAAGACAGATCTTCAGTCTTGTGTTTGCTTGCCACTGAATTGTGAGAGTACTTTTTCTCTGTAATAGAGTAAATGCTTGACCATTTCTTTTTTTAAATTTTCTTTTCTTTTCTTTTTTTTTTATTATACTTTAAGTTCTAGGGTACATGTGCACAATGTGCAGGTTTGTTACATATGTATACATGTGCCATGTTGGTGTGCTGCACCCATTAACTCATCATTTACATTAGGTATATCTCCTAATGCTATCCCTCCTCCCCCTACCCCACGACAGGCCCCGGTGTGTTATATTCCCCTTCCTGTGTCCATGTGTTCTCATTGTTCAACTCCCACCTATGAGTGAGAACATGCGGTGTTTGGTTTTTTGTTCTTGCGAGTTTGCTGAGAATGATGCCATTTCTTACTGCCTAAAGAATTAAACTTCCTTTGCACCTATCTATAAGTAAAATTCTTTCAACTTGACTTAATTTGTCACTTTTGGAAATTACATAATGAAGTGTTTTTCAGACCACTGGATTATGTATCATGGAAGTGTTTTCATGCACTAAATCCATATGGTGGTTTCAATTGCCAATAGAGGAAATACTCTGGATTCCCCACGAAGTACTGGGAGCCTGGGGTTCTAGTGGTTCCACAATTAGGTAGTGTGCAACAGTTATCTATTGCCCCAATAATGCTGCGTAATAAACTGGCAAGCCTTAGTAAATCAAAAAACAACCAGAATTCTACTTTCAGTATAACAGTGTGAGATGCTCTGCAAACTCAACCACTTAAAATCTCTAGAAATGATCCTAAAGGCGTATAGCAAGGGAATAAATGTTTAAGAAAATCTATTAAAATTGGTGGGAATAGCAAAAGTCTATGGTATTTGAACTAAGACCCAGCCTATTCTTCTCCCCTTCAAACTTAGTGAAATGGAAACTCCACTTAGGACTGGTACAGCAAAGAACACAGGGTTCCTTCTCCCTCCAGTTTCCATTCCAAGGGCTACCTTTAAGAGAAGTTCAGGACTTCAGCATTTTTTAACCTGCCCGCAGCTACCTGTTGCTAAGGCTAAGTTCTGGACAAGGTGACCAAGAAGTGGGGGCTTGCTTCTTCATCCTAGCCTCCAGTATATAGGATGGAATCTCTACCTTAGGTGTGGCAACATTGAGTATACTGGGACCTGATCATCTTTGCATAGATTCTAATCCATGTGTGATCCACATGGAGAGAGGCAAGCTGAGAAGAACTAATGTTACTACCTATGTTCAGAAGTGTTCAGCTCCTATGACAGGGATGTCACTCAGAGAATAATGTGCCATTATCTCCATTCCCAGCTTGAGAGCCAAGGTATAGAGATTATTCCCCGGAGGAGAAGCAGGCCATAAAAGATAGAACCGTGAATCTCTTCCAAAGGAACTGACTTTATTTGCAAGAGGAAGTGGAGAAATTCAAGCCTAATGGCATTCTCAAAAACAGTGGAAGTTGTTTTAAAAGACAGTTGAGAGTAGATTGCTAAATTAATCAGAGATATAGACAAAACTGTAAGCCGACTGCTTTGCTGGAGAGGAGCTTGGAAAAGGACAGGTGTGATGAGCCCTACTGGGGACAGAACAAATTTTATTTTTGTTTTATTTTTGAGACAAGGTCATCTAGGCTAGAGTGCAGTGGCGCGATCACAGCTTAATGCAGCCTCAACCTCCTGGGCCCAAACAATCCTCCCTCCTCAGCCTCCTGAGCAGCTGGGACTACAGGTGCATGCCACCATGCCTAGCTAATTTTTGTATTTTTTTGTGGAGATGGGGTTTCTCCATGTTTCCCAGGCTGCTCTCAAACTCCTGAGCTCAAACGATCCAACTGCCTCAGCCTCCAAAAGTGCTGGGATTATAGGCATGAGCCACCGCGCCCGGCCTGAGAGCAAATTTTAAACATTGACCTAGGTAACTAACCTGTCAAGAGAGCCCAGACTAGATTGGATCAGTCTATGGAGCAATTTATGCCCTATGTTAGAAGCAACAGAACAATCAGCCAGTAATTAGTGGAATTTAATGGCTGGATGTGATCAGGGAAAGAGAAAAAGAGAGCTCTGCCCAAACCAATGTCATCCCAGGGTAACTATGGTCATTCCCAAGTCTGCACCTCATGAGGAGCAGCATCAAAGGTTTTATACTGCAAGAGAGGGAGAGTGGGTTGAACTACACTTCACTAAAATAATCTAACCAGTCACTAAACAAACAGGCAGAAAACAGTAAGTACTTAGAGGGGACCAATACCCAGAGTTGCCACAACATATTATCTAAAATTTCTGATTTCCAACACAAAATTGTAAGACATTCAAAGAAACAGGAAAGTATAATCCATATACCAGAAAAAAGCAGGCAACAGAAGCTGCCCATGAGAGCAACAAGACATGTGATGTAACAGACAAGGACTTTAAAGTTGTAATTATAAATATCTTCAAAGGACTAATGGAAACTGTGATTAAAGAAGTAAAGGAAGATATGAAAATGCCACATCAAATAGAGTTTACTAATAAAGAGATAGAAATCATAAAAAGGAACCAAATTGAAATTCTGGATTTGAGAGTTATAATAACTGAAATGTAAAGTTCAATAGAGGGCTGACTAGTATATTTGAATGGCAGAAGAAAGAACCCATGAACTTCATGATTTGTCAACTGAGATTGCCCAATTTGAGGAGCAGAAAGAAAAAAAGAATTTAAAAAAATTAAAGAAAGTTCTTCAGGCTGAAAACAAATGATCCCAGATAGTAATTCACATCTATGCAAATAATGACTAAATAAGTAAGATAAACAGAGCACTGGTAAAGGTAATTATGTAATTATGAAAGAGAGTGTACATGTATTTTTTCCTATCTTCTCTTAACTGATTTAAAAAGCAATTGTATAAAGCAATATGTAAATAATGTATGTCATACATGTAGTATATAGAAATGTAATCTATTTTTCCAATAATACCACAAAAGGGGATGGGTGGGAGAAAAGCCATATTGGGTTAAGGAAGTGACTCCAGATGATAGCTGAAATCCACAGAAACAAATGAAGAGAGCCATAAATGAGAAATAAGAAGGTTCATATAACAAAAGCTATAAGTATATGTTTGCTCTTTTTCTCTCAGCTTCTTTCCAATACATAAAATATATAAAATAATAATTATGTCAATGTATTGCTGGGTTTGTAGAATTTATAGATTTAATATATAATAATAAGACCATAAAAATGGGGAAATAAATAGAACTATATAGAAATAATGTCTCTGTATCTCAATGGAATTCAGTTTCTGATAAGTTAACATATGATAAGCCCTAAAGAAATGACTAAGGAAATAACTCAAGAAAATATAGTGAAAAAATAAAGAAAATTCTACAGTAGAAAATATTCATTTAATGCAAAAGGAAGCAGTAAAGCAGTAATATAGGAACAAAAAGGACATGTAAGCTATAAAAAACAAAAAGTAAAATGGCAGAGGTAAATCTAACTATATTAGTAATAGCATCAAATGCAAATGGATTAAACAGTCCAAATAAAAGGCAGTTTGTCAGGCTGAATTAAAAAACAAGATCCAACGTGTGTTGTCTATAGAAAACATACTTTAGATTCAAAGACAAAAATTGATTGTAAGTAAAACAATGGCAAAACATAATCGTGCAAATAACCACAAGAAAGCTGGAGTGGCTATATTAATGTCATAGAAAACATATATTAAAATAAAAAATGCTACTAGAGATAAAGAGGGACATTTTCAAATGATAAAAGGGTCAACCCACTGGGAAGATATAACGATAATGATCATCTATACAACAGAGCACCAAAACATATGAAGCAATAAATAGACAATTTAACAATAATAGAGACTGAATACCACACTTCCAGTAATGGAGAGAAGTAGGTAGAACATAAACAATAAAGAGGATATTTGAACACCACAAACCAACTAGACCTATTAGGCTTGCATACAACACTCTACCCAACAAAGTAGGATGTTTATTTTTCTCAAGTGCACACACAACATTCTGAATAGACCATGTGCTAGGCCATAAAATAAACCTCATTAAATTTAAAAGGATAGAAAAAATGTCCACTGTTTTTTCTTTCCACAATGGAGTGAAACTACAAACAAATAACAGAAAGAAATGTAGGAAACCCACAAATCTGTGGAAAGTAAACGACACACTCCTAAAAAACAATGGGTGGAAGAAGAAATCAAAATGAAAATTAGAAAATAATTAGGGATGAATGAAAATATAAACATCACATACCTAAACTTATGAGATGCAGCTAAAGCAGTGGTTAGAGGGAAATGTATAGATGTAAACACAGATGTATATTTAAAAGGAAAGAGGATCTCAAATCAATAAATTAACCTTCCACCTAAGAGACTGAAAAAAGAAGGGCAAACTAAACTCAAAGCTAGCAGAAGAAAGGAAATAATACAGACCGGAGCAGAAATTAATAAAATAGTGAATTCAAAAAAATAGAGAAAATTAAAGGAACTAAAAGCTTGTTCTTGGAAAAGATGACAAATTTGACAAACTTTTAGCTAGATAATAAAAAAGAGAGAATTCATATTGCTGGAATCAGTAATGAAAAGGGAATATTACTACTGCCATTGCAGAAATAAAAATTATCATAAGGAAAGGCCATGAACAATTTTATTCCAATAAATTAGATAACTTAGATAAAATGGACAAATTACTAGAAAGGCATAAACTACTGAAACTGACTCAAGAAGAAATAGATAATCTGAATAGACTTCTTCTAAGAAATAAATAGATTGAATTAGTAATCAAAAAACTACCTACCAAGAAAAGCCCAGGCCCAAATGGCTTCATTGGTGAATGCTACCAAATATTTAGAGAACAATTAATACTAATTCTTCACAAACTCTTACAAAATAATGGAAAAGGAGGGCTAACTTCCTAAATCATCCTATGATGCCAGCATTGCCCAGATACCAAAGCCAGATAAAGACATCACAAGAAAGGAAAACTACAGACCATATATCTTAAGAATATGGGTACAAAAACCTTCAAGAAAATAATAGGAACTTGAATCCAGCAACATATAAAAAGAATTGTACACCATGACCAAGTGGGATTTATCCTAGCAAGGCCAAGTTGGTTTAACACCCCAAAATTAATTAATGTAATACACTACATCAATAGAAAAAACATATAATAGTCTCAATTGATTTAGAAAAATAATTTGACAAAATCCAAAACCATTTCAAGATAAAAAATATTCAACAAGCTAGAAATAGAAAGGAACTTCCTCAACTTGATAAAGGGTATCTATGAAAAACCTACAGCCAACATCATACTTAATAGTGAAAGACTGAATGTTTTTCCCCTAAGATGAGGAACAAAACAGGATGTCTGCTCTAACCACTTCTACTCAATATTGTACTATGGGTTCTACCCAGGGTAGTTAAGCAAAGATACAAGTAAAAGCCATCTAGTTTAGAAAGGAAGAAGTAAAATTAACTCTATTCATGAATAACATTATCTTATATATAGAATATCCTAAAGAATCCACTAAAAGTCTATTAGAACTAGTAAATGAGTTCAGCAAGGTTTATGGGATACAAGATCAATATATAAAAATCAATTGTCTGAGTTACGAGCATAAATGTAAACAAAGAAAAAATGTTAAAAACAAAAATATCAATTGTCTTTCTATACACTTCCAATGAACAACCTGAAAAGGAAATTAAGAAAAATAATTATAATGCAACCTAAAATAATAAAATATTTAGGAATAAATATCACAAAAGAAGGGCAAAGACTATACTCTGAAAACTACAACATATTGTTGCAAAAGTAAACATTTAAATAAATGGAAAAACATATCATTTTCATGGATTAGAAGATTTAATATTGTCAGATTGGCAATATTCCCCAAATTTACCTACAGATTTAACATAATCCATCCCTATCAGAATCCCAGTTTATTTCTTTTTTAGAAATTCACAAGTGGAACGTAAAATTCATATGAAATTTCAAGGGACTCAGACTAATTAAAAAAATATTAAAAAACAAAATTGAATAACTTACATTTCCTTATTTAAAATGTATTACAAAGCAACAGTAATCAAGACATTGGAACTGGTATAAACATAGACAAATGGATTAGTGGAATCAAATTGAGAGTCCAGAAATAAACCCATACATCTATAGTCAAATGATTTTTGACCATTCAATGGGGAAGGAAGAGCACTATCAAACAAATTGTGCTGGTATAACTGCATAGCCACATGCAAAAGAAAGAAATTGGACCCTTACCTTAGACTATATAAAAAAATTAACTCAAAATGAATCAAAGAACTAAATGAAAAAGTTAAAACCATAAAACTTTTGGAAAAAACATAGGAAAAAAATCTTCATGACCTCTTTTTGGGCAATCGATTCTTATATGTGAAAAAACACAGGCATCAAATGAAAAGAATAGATAAATCGCACTTTATTTTTATCAAAATAAAAACTTTTGTGTTTCAAAGGACACTATTTTTTTTTTTTAAAGAAGGAAGGGCTTTATTCAGCCAGGAGCTTCGGCAAGACTCACGTCTCCAACAACTGAGCTCCCCGAGTGAGAAATTCCTGTCCCTTTTAAGGGCTCATGACTCTAAGGGGGTCCACATGAGAGGGTCGTGATTGACTGACCAAGCACGGGGTATGTGACTTGGGGCTGCATGTACCGGTAATTAGAACAGAACAGAACAGGACAGGGATTTTCACAGTGCTTTTCTATGCAATGTCTGTAATCTTTAGATAACATAACCGATTAGGTCAGGGGTCGATCTTTAACTACCAGGCCCAGGGTGTGGCACCGGGCTGTCTGCTTGTGGATTTCATTTCTGCCTTTTAGTTTTTACTTCTTCTTTCTTTGGAGGCAGAAATTGGGCATAAGACAATATGAGGGGTGGTCTCCTCCCTTATTCCCCCGCTTTGAGAACCTCATTCAATAGTGGAAGTTCTCACTTTTATTCTCACTACCCATGTCTTCTTGCAAGACAGATCAATAGTGATTCATATAGTACACTTGTGCTGAAGCATTTTGGTGAACTAAGGTAGTGATGAAGCTTTTTATCATTTGAAGAAGTACAGGTAGCAAACAAGGGAGCAGTAAGCAGGTTTCTATTACTATTATAACTCATAAGAGTTTTAAATCTTTTTTTATTATTATACTTTAAGTTCTAGGGTACATGTGCACAACATGCAGGTTTGTTACATATGTATACATGCGCCATGTTGGTGTGCTGCACCCATTAACTCATCATTTACACTCTCATTTTTTGCACTCAGGTTCAGCATACTTACTAGCTTTCATTTAAAACATGCCAAATACTTTACTAGTCTGGGGATTTGTCCATGGAATGTTATTTATCTTACCACTTCTCTGACTCATTCCTTATTCTTGTGACAGTTCTAAGGTTCAGTGTCATTTCAACATTCCTCCATAACCCTATGTAAATTACATCCTTAAAATAACATTTAAAATAACATTTTAAATGTGAATAAGTGATTATCAATTGAGAATAATTTTGTCCTCTGGCTACTTTTTGACATCACAACTGGAAGATGCTACTATCTAGTGGATAGGGGCCAAGGTACTGCTGTCCTTTTTTACCAGGAACAGCCTTTATGCCACAAAACAAAGAATTATTCAGTCCAAAATGTCAATAGTGCTAAAGTTTATAAACTCTGCTTTTGATCATGCACAATAAATTTGAAATACATATTTGTTTGGGTGTTTGTTTTAACATCTGTCTTTCCTACTAGACTGGATGTTTCATAAGGATGAGATAGATAATGCCTAGTTTGCTTAACATTGAATATCCAGCATCAACCTCAGTGTCTGATGCCAGGTAGCTACATGAAAGGATGAAACAGCAGGCATGAGGTAAGAAGAAAAGGAAAGGCTTTATTAGGAGGGTATACAAACATTTCTGGGTATAGAAGATGCTGTCAGTGCCCTGTCCATACTCCAACAGCTCATACCATTTAAGTAGATATTTGCCTGACTTTCAAATGTCAGAACCCTTATTTCTTTGTGTGAGACCTTTCATTAGGTCATCAGAGCCCACTGTGCTCAATAATATGACAGTCCAGAACAGTGGGACATCATCTGCCCCTGGAAGATGTGTTTACTACAGCGTTCTCTAAAGTTTTACAGTGACATTAGCTGCTTGATAACGAATACTTTGTTTGCTTCCTTTCCTTCTCTGTCTCAATTCCTCTCTTCCCTGCCAGAGTTTCCTGGGAATAACTCCTGTGATAGGCCGAGTAATGGTCCCCAAAGATACTTAGATCCTAACCCCTTGCACTTATGAATGTTGCCTTATATGGAAAAAGAGAATTCACAAAGATGATTGTGGAAGATGGGAGATTATTCTGTATTATCTGATAGAACCTAAGGTCAATCACACAAGTTCATAAAAGAGTGAGGCAGAGGCGAATTTGACACAGAAGAAGGAAATGTGACTACTGAAGAAAAATGCTATGCTGCTGGCTGTAAATAGGAAGGAAGGGGCCCATGAGATAAGGAATGCAGCTCTAGGAGCTGGGAAAGTCAAGGAAACAGACCCTCCTCTAGAGTCCCCAGAGGGAGTATGGCAATGTTGACACCTTATTTTCAGCCTAGTGAAACTGATTTTGAACTTCTGACCTCCAGGTTTGTAAGATACTAAATGCGTGTATTTTAAAGCTACCAAATTTATGGCAATTCATTAGAGCAGCCATAGGGATCTATCACAATGTTTGGTCCCTGGAAGTGGGTTGCTGCTATAAGAAATATCTAAAAATGTGGAAGTGGCTTTGCAACTGGATAATAGCTATAGACTGGAATAATTTTCAGGAGCATTATATAACAACCTTAGATTATGTTGAACAGATCATTAATAGAAATATGAATGTTCAAAGTGTTCCTGGTGAGAGCTCAGACATGAGGAACACAGTAGAGAAAGTCTATATTGTCTTAGAGAACACCTAAATTATCATAAACAAACTATTGATAGAAATAAAATGTCAAAGGTGTTGCTGGTGAATGCTTAGAAAGAAATTAGTAACATAATATCAGAAAAGGGAGTTTGTGTTATATAGCATCAGAAATCCTACCTGAATTGTGCTCTACAATTATGTGGAAAGCAGGACTTGTAAGCAATGAACTTGAATATTTAGCTGAGCAGATTTTCATGCAAAGGATTAAAGGAATGGCCTGTTTTTTATTGCTGTTTATAGTAAAATGCCAGAGGAAAGACATAAATTGAGGGAAGAACTGTTAAGCAAAAAGAAACCAGAATTCAATGATATGAGAAATTTTCAGCCTATCCAGATTGCAAAAGACACCAAAATTAGGAAATTCATTGCCACAAAATCATCCTCCAGAGATAAAATCAAGGGCGTGGCTAGACATCCTTTTGTTAGTGCCTTTAAGGGATCAAAAGATCAAAGTATTCAATCACATAGATGGTGTTTTGAAGAGATATGGGGTGTGCTTCTCAGAATAAGCAAGGAATAGAGATGGGATTTTCTATGAGGGATCTTGAAGAAGCCTCTTGTCTAATGGCATGAATCCCCATGACATACATAAAAGGCCTGTAAGTTTTTGACAATGTTATATCAGCAGAAACAATGCCAGCTTAGACTGAAAGGGACAAATAGAGGAAGAAATGAAAGAAGTCTACAGGACTCTCAAAATTTGACAGGAGGAAGCAGGCTGATAAAACTACTCAGCTGTAAACATATGCTACCATTCAAAATAAAGGAACAATGACTGAGGGCAGAACCTAGAGGCCAGAGGGCAGATTTATGACCCCAGGTGAAGTCATAGGATCAGAGTCATCAAAGGGAGGAGTCTCAAGCCTTAGAATATTCTCAGGCCTTGAAACCTAATGGTTGGATTTTGAAAATGCTTGGATTTGAGACTCCTTTTTCTTTCCACTTTTTCCCTTGTGGAATGGCAAAGTTATTGGCTGTAAATGAACCAAAGTCAAAGGGAAAACACAGAATTAGTAGAGAAGAAAATTAAATAATAGAAAAGAAACATCTCTTAGTGCTTTGGCTTCACCTAGGAGGGACAAGAAATACACATCTGGGCTTAAACTGAGCACAAGATGCACTTCTCTATCAACTGTTTACCTGGCACTGACAGGTAAACTTATTGAACATCTTATTATTATTATTATTTTTGAGACCGAGTCCCGCTCTGTCTCCCAGGCTGGAGTGTGGTGGCACGATCTCGGCTCACTGCAAACTCCACTTCCCGGGTTCACACCATTCTCTGGCCTCAGCCTCCCAAGTAGCTGGGACTACAGGCGCCCGCCACCACGCCCGGCTAATTATTTTTATTTTTATTTTTATTTTTAGTAGAGACGGGGTTTAACTGTGGTCTCGATCTCCTGACCTTGTGATCCACCCACCTCTGCCTCCCACAGTGCTGGGATTACAGGAGTGAGCCACTGCGCCCGGCTGAGCATCTTATTATTAATTGAAAAATGACTAAAATATATTTTTCAAATGGGGTAAAATCATGACACTCATACAGATATGAAATGAACACATGCTAAAAGAAAAAGATGTTATGACTGCTTCAAAAGGGAAACCAAAGAGTTGATATGGGAATATTCATCAGTAATATTAAATGATTGTGTAAATGGAGGCAAAACTGGTTTCATAAGGTGAAGAACAACCGAACCTCTACTAAAGAATATGCTGTACATGTATCAGCAGCCTACAACTAACAAAAGGCTATAAAAGACTTCACAGATAATGTAAGGCTGGAATCAGATAACCTGCAGTGGTGTCCTAAAGACAGAGCAAAGTTTTCCACTGAAGCACACATTTATTTTTATAATGTCAAAATCAGGTAGAGAGTTATAGTTCCCTCAAAATCAAGGTTCAGTCATTAGCGTGACTAGATCAGTGTCATAGACATTTCTAGGCTGAGGTCTGATAAGGGACCAGTGGACACCAATGAAATCACAAAGTCTAGGGATGTCACAAAGGCAGCTAGCTCCCTGACCAATAAGGGCCTGGAGCAGAGGGATACAATAGGCAGGACTAAGCACTAGTGTCCTCAGAGACCTACTTGAGCTAGAGAATCAAGCAGAGCTGATGAGAGCCAAACCCAGCAAACATCATGTCAGAGAAAAAGAACTGTAAGAACTCGTCTACAAATAACAACCAGACTCAAGACCCTTCTAGAAATGAGCTACAGGTCCCTAGGAGCTTCGTGGACCGCGTTGTGCAAGATGAACGAGACGTCCAAAGCCAGAGTTCCTCCACAATAAATACCCTCCTTACCTTGCTCGATTGCCTTGCTGACTACATCATGGAGCGGGTAGGCTTGGAGGCCAGCAACAATGGCAGTATGCGCAACACTTCACAAGATAGGGAGAGAGAAGTGGACAACAACCGTGAGCCCCACAGCGCTGAGAGTGATGTGACTCGCTTTTTGTTTGATGAGATGCCCAAATCCAGGAAGAATGACTGAAGACTGGGTCCCAGAGCCTTGAAGGGAACCTCACAGGCTTAGCCAGGGCAAAAATGTGTCACAGCTGAGGAATATCTGCTGTTGTCATCAACAAGTGCTATTAAAGGATGTAAATCCATGAGTATGTTTCTGACTCCTCTCAGTTTCTGTCGCTTTGGGTTGTAGGTGTCTGTAAGACATCCAGGGGAAGCTATCCCCAGAGAGCTGAAGGCGGGGAAGGGGTGGCCAGTGTGGTGTTTGAATCAGTGATTTAGAGGGGGCAGTTTCCAATGGTGACAGTGAGGGCGCCGGCCCTGTGGGGAGGAACTGGCTGGGATAAAGACACCGAGACTTCCTCATTGTCTCTGAACAGGAAGGCCTTGTGAGGCCAGGGAGTTGGCTGGGGGCCTCTGAGGCTTGTTGAATTCCCAGCCTGATGCTGGGGCCTGAGGTGGAGCTGCAGACTCTGACTGAGGTGCAGGAGGCTTTATTCAGGATAGCAAAGGTCTGAAGTCAGAGGGCGGTGGCCACAGGGGTGGGTGGAGAGGGGCACACTGGCTGGCATGAAGTTCATGGGACAGGGGCTTTACATGGAGATTGAAGAGTGAAGGAGAAACCATCATGAAAAATGCAAAAAAGAAATGATGGCCTGCTGGATTTCATTTCTTATTTCTTTATGCCCTGCCTTATTATGAAAGCGGATTTGAGACAGGGATTATTAGCTAGTGCTGTGAATATATCTTTTTGTCCTCTCTTCAGGACACTGGTAAAATAAATCAAAAGAATATATAAAATTTATGATCTGGCCTAAGATGGGCAATTCAAGAAGTTCTTAATGGTTGTTAATTATTAATGAATCAGCTTAATTATAAATGTATTTCATTTAAAACACGATTAACAATTTCATTTTTAAATTGAATACTTATTCATTATAATTACCATATATTGCATAGAGCACCAAAGGATTATTAGTGACTCAATCCATGTTTTAAGAGGTATAGAAATAATTCTGTCCCAAGTGGCGGCCTCTAAAGCACATGCAATCCTTTTCAAAACTTCCTGCTCTGTGCTAAGTTTAAAAGAGGTGTCACATCAAGTGTTGTAGCAATCTGTCCCCTTGCCTGTGAGTGCCCACATTTTAGGTTTCCACCTCTTCCTTGGGTCCTTGGGAGCCACAGTCTGCTGCCTGCTGGCCTTTCACAGAGGGTTGGTCAGAGGCTGCACAGCCGGCTCCAACAATGGGAGCTGCGGGCCTGGGTTTCAGATCCCAGTTCACCACTTCCTGGACATGTGATATTAGACCTTCAATTACTCCCTCTGAGCAGTCCTCCTCATGTGTAAAATGGGGGTAGTAAAAGTCTCTCCATCTGTGGGTTTTCCCAAGATTGAGTCCACTTGTGCCTGTAAACTGCTGTTCCACACAGTGCATGCACAGGGTCCCCCTTAATAAACAGTTGCATCTCCTTCCTTCCCTAACAGCAGACCTGTAGGCAGGCTTCCCCAAGGTGCAGTGGTCCTGGTTCTCAGGTGACCACTGGGGACTTAGGCCACTGGCTGTGAGAACCACATCCTGCTGAGCCCTGTGGAGAGACAGGAGGAATTTGGGAATATTTAATTTATGTAAGCAAAAGAGACTTTATAATCGAACACGTCAATACCATCCAGAGGTAGGAAAACTTTACATAATCACACAATCAGAGGTGGAGCTATTTCAGAATTACAAGCACATAGACATATAGGCACAGAGAGATAGAGCTTATAGCTTCAGTTCTACAATTTCAACCGTGAGTCAAGTGTAAATAGAAACAGTAAAGTTCTCTGATCCAAATATAAAAAAAAAAACTGTTCTCCTCTAAGAGAGTATAAAATTCTTAATTGATTTGAGCTATAAATAGACAAATGGACAAAAGACTGTCAAACCAGATTTTCTGTTGTCTTTTACACAACAGAGACTGTATTTCTATGAATCATTAACTCATTTACACAGCTCTCCAGATGGTTGGATCCTAAAACTGAATTCCCAACCATTTGGTCAACAATGAAAATAACTTACCTAATGTCAATGAACAACAACAACAACAACAAAATACAGAATTAGTAGAGAAAAATATTGAAATAAAAATTAAATGTTGAAACTAAAATTAGAAAAACACAATGAACAAAGACTTATTTGGGCTTTGGAGTCACCTAGATGAGGCAAGCAAAGACATTCCTGGGTTTAACCAAGCATGAAGCACACATCTCTGTCACCAAGTTTGCCTAGCTCTGATAGATGAATCCACTGGGTATAACATTGTGACCTTTAAAAACAGGTAAAAGGTATTTTCTAACAGAGTAAAATCATAACACTCAAACACCTATGATATGGAAATGCGTTGAAACAATCGATTAACTCGTGAGGAAATTGGCGGATATTATAAGCCATTCAAAAGGGAATTCAAAGAATAAACATAGGAACATTGATCATGAATGTTTAAGTAAATGTATACATGGAGGCAAAATTGGGAGCAAGGCAGTGAACATGTCTGTAAGTGACTTACAGCTTCTAGAGGGAATGTAAATTAGCTCACAGACAATGCAAGGCTAAACTTAAAGAACCTGGAGTGGTGTCCTAAAGACAGGACAATACTTTCATTGACACAATTTTTTGCTAAAATGTTAAATAGAAAATGAGCTTTTCCTTAAAAATAAGTTCCAGCTACTAGGGCAACCAGGTTCCTCTCAAAAAGAAGTTCCAGTTACTGGGGTGACCAGGTTCCTCTCAAAAAGAAGTTCCAGTTACTAGGGCAACCAGGTTCCTCTCAAAAAGAAGTTCCAGTTGCTAGGGTGACCAGGTTCCTCTCAAAAAGAAGCTCCAGTTACTAGGGTGACCAGGTTCCTTTCAAAAAGAAGCTCCGGTTACTGGGGCAACCAGGTCCCTCTCAAAAGGAAGTTCCAGTTGCTAGGGTGATCAGGTTCCTCTCATGGGCTTTTCTAGGCTGAGGCCTGATCAGAGCCCAGTGGACACCAATGACATCAAAAAGTGGAGGTTGTCACAAAGGCAACTCCCTGACCAATGAGGGGCTGGAGCATAGGGATACAGTGGGTGGCAATAAGCACTGGTACCTTGAGAGGCTCAGGCCAGCAGGAAAATCAAGCTGTGCCAATTGGGGCAAAACCCAGCAATTCCTCATGGCTGGAAACAAAATGTTCTGTAGGCCTAGGAGACAACGCCTTTCCCATTCCAGAAGAGCAGAGCTGCAGTTTCCTGTCAGCCACTTGGAACGCTGCCTGCGAGAAAGTCAGCATGCCCGGCACCTGAGCTCAACCACACCTGTTTTCCTGGCTGGTGTTCTCGAGTATCTGACAGCCAACATCCTGGAAAAGGTGGGCAAGGAGGTCAAGAACAGCTGCAGGCTGTGCATCACCCCAGAACACGTGAAGAGGGCACTGCAAAAGGATGAGCAGCTCAGATGGATCTTGGAGTTGGAAGATGACACCCACTCTCAAGTAGAAGAAATGCCCCAATCTGAGGAGGAAGAGGAGGAGGAGGAGGAGAAGGAGGAGGAGATGGTGGTGCTGGTGGTGATGGGGGGAAGGAGGAGGAGGAGGAGAAGAAGGAGGAGGAAGGATTCCTGAGTTTCGGAGCCATGCGGGACTTCATCAGCAACCTCCTCCAGATGCCAAAATTCCCATAGATGAAAGACCCCAGGTTGCTTCCATCTGCCCAAGCTATTAAACTGTGTAAATGCATGACAGTGCTCCTGACTCGTCTCCGTTTCCGTTGCTTTGGGTTGGAGGTGTCTGTGAGACATCAAGGAGAAGCTATCCCCAGAGAGCTGAAGCGGGGGAAGGGGTGGCCAGTGTGGAGTGTTTGAATCAGTGATTTAGAGGGGGCAGTTTCCAATGGTGACAGTGAGGGTGCCGGCCCTGTGGGGAGGAACTGGCTGGGATAAAGACGCCGAGACTTCCTCATTGTCTCT
The DNA here is from genome assembly GCF_000001405.40 of Homo sapiens. Lineage (NCBI taxonomy): Eukaryota > Metazoa > Chordata > Mammalia > Primates > Hominidae > Homo > Homo sapiens. The sequence goes on from NC_000023.11 coordinate 37,995,135, forward strand.
GAACAGGAAGGCCTTGTGAGGCCAGGGAGTTGGCTGGGGTCCTCCGAGGCTTGTTGAATTCCCAGCCTGATGCTGGGGCCTAGGGTGGAGCTGCAGACTCTGACTGAGGTGCAGGAGGCTTTATTCAGGATAACAAAGGTCTGAAATCAGAGGGCGGTGGCCACAGAGGTGGGTGGAAAGAGGGCACACGGGCTGGCATGAACTTCATGGGACAGGGGATTTACATGGAGATTGTGTTGGGATTGTCCTTAGGGCTATTTGGGAGATATGCTTGTCTGAATCCCAGAAGCCTTTCTTGCCACATGATTTCCACTGAACCTTATATTCCCAGGCAACTCATTGTGAAGATGCCCACCCCACCACTGGATGATTCCTTATGGAGAGCTATAGAGCATTCCTAGCTTTAGCCCAGATGGTCACTTTCTCCTCTGTGCATTTGAGCAGCAAGCAGGCCTCTCTCCAGCATCTACAGGAAGGAAGTCTCCTTCAGCTGATCAAATCATGGTGACAACAGCGCCCTCTCCACTTGCCAAAGTGAAACATCTTTGTTTTCAGGGTATGTGTTCCTGCTAGTCCAGTGTCCTCCATTCAAGTGAGTCCCTCTAGGATGGGTAATGGCAGTGAACTGATCATTTTCCTCAGATCTTGACATGTTGATTAAATAGCTGTCTGGTGTTTAAAAGCTGTTGATGTTGCTTATGGCTGTGGCTTATTGTAGAACTAGATATAATGTCCTGGATACACTGGAATGCACATCTGAGGACTTCATTCAAGGCAGGAGAAGCCATAGTAGGTGGGTGGCCCATGGCAGATGAGTCCCTCTGTGTAGTCAGGTGGTCACCTTACAGTTTATGCAGTCGTCAACACTAACGGTCACTCTGACCTTGTAAGGACCCGGGCTTCTGGGCTCTTTCAGACTCTGTTTCATGCCTGAGGTGGAGTTTGGAGGTTGACCCTGGATGAGCCCCTGTTGCAAGCTCTCTGCAGAGTCAAGGGGCATGGGAGAGTCAGCAGGAGGCACTGCTATCCCTTTAAGAATTGTGCTCAGCTGTGCTCGTGGGTTTCAGAGGAATCGTGGGGGGCCACAGCCAGCATAGCTTCAGACTAATGCATCACCCTGCCAGATCCCCCTTCCACACATGCAAGGAATTCTACACTCAGGGGAGGTGGGGAGGCAGAGAGAATCACTGTTATTGGGAAGGCATGAGCCCACCCATATTTAGGCCTTTTGTGCATTTCTAACAGGAGGGAGGGAAAGGTGAGGAAGGAGTCTCTCTGGCCTGTATCCTGTGGTCAGGACAGCACTGGTGGCCAGTGTCCTATTGGGAGTGTGAAAACTAACGCCCAAGTGGGCAAGGACAGAGGCCGGGGTGACTGTGGCTGCCAACCAGGCCAGGGATCACAAGCAGTGTCAGGGCAGGCTGGTGCCAGACTCAGGTCAAGACTGCAGAAAACTTCATGTGTGAAGATAGACAAGCCCCAGAGTCAAGCCTGAGGGCAGGAGACTTGGAGGGTAAAGGCAACTTTTTGTTGGCTTTACCGCAAGGCCTGGTTATCAGGCTCGTCTCCCACCTAGAGCATCTTTTGGGAAGCAAAGCATTTTGAAGGCCCAGGTCTCCTGTTCCCTTTATGTGATAGATCCTACATGATGTAGCCTATGGGAGATGGCCTGACTCCTTAGAGAGTACCTCCGTTACTCCCAAAATAGGAGTCTAGAAAGAGAGGTACTTCTATCAACATCTAACACATCATTTTCCTAATCCTCAGATTACAAAGTGGCAGCTCACATACCTAATCTGGACAGCAGATGAGATCATTAGAACTACAATGCTGTTTTTAAGGAAAATTATTTTGTTGCCAACATTGAAAAATCTAGATCTTTCATCTGAAAATCTCAATTTCTGGGTTTCCTTAGAAAATCAAAATGTCTCGGTATATATGTGGCTACAGTTAGATAGAAATAATTAGCTGCTACCCCATTAAGACGAGATATTTAGTTTCCTACATTCCTCATGATGGCAGTGGTGGCCCATCTGGGGTGGCCGTTGCCATCATGCCAGCTGCAGCAGGGAGCCATGACCAGGGCTGCACACTTTGTGGAGCTGGTGGGAGCTGGGGACAAGTGGGAGCCCTGTCCCTTTCAAATTGGTGTGGCAGTAGCTCCCCGGTTGCAGCCGCAGCTGCCCGAGCGGTGGTTGTGGACCCAGGCCTCCCACTCCATGGAGCAGGCAGGAGTCCTGCCCTCCTGGACACAGCTGCAGCCATCCAAATCGCGGCTGCAGACCCAGGCATCCCTACCCTCTTGGAAATGTCTGCTCCCCCTGCTTGGCTCTCCCTGCTGTCAGTGCCCACTCCAATCTCAAAGCAAAGTCAGGGCTGATCCCAGGTGCTGTCACAGCCAGGTCAGGTGTGCACATGCTTGGGGCAGTGCTGACACACCAGTTCCCTGCTGCCTTAGCCCCCTCCAGACTTTGGGCTCTGACAAGCTTAGGAAGGGAGACAATGGGGGGCCAAGGACAGCTCAGTGCTGGCCTGCAGATATCCCCTGGCACCTACAGCCTGGGTGCCATGAACGGCAGCAGGAGGCAGACAGGTTCCTAGGTGGAAGGTCCACATTGAGGCCCCGAGTTCAGGCCAGGAAGGGCCTGAAAGCTGGGGGCTGGACTGCAGTCCTACAGACTGGAGCGGGAATGTGTTGTGCTTTATCTGGGCCCACCCATGGCCACCCGTGGACCAGTCAGCATACACTTCCTCCCCTCTGAGGCCCTTAAAAGCCAGAGGACTCAGCCAGAGCTGAACAAATGTTGGGACCACCAGCTGCAGAGAGGAGCTAGCCACCCCAAGTCCTCCTCTCTGCTGACAGCTGGGAAGATGACAGGAAGACCTGCCTACAGAGAGGAGCTTCCCACTCCAAGGTCTCCTCTCTGCTAGGAGCTGAACACTCATCAGGACACCCTTGCTGCAGAAAGGAGCTGCCCCCTGTGGGAGACTAAGCTATTCTATTGCTCAGTAAAGCTCCCCTTCATCTTTCTCACCCTCCACTTGTTGGTGTACCTCATTCTTCCTGGTCACAAGACAAGAACTCAGGACCCGTCAAATGGTGGGGCTAAAAGAGCTTTAACACAAACAGGTTGAAACATGCCCCTTGCTCGCCATGTTGCAGGCAAAGAGAAAGAGAGAAGAGTTTTGGCCCTTCGGGGAGCCCAGACCTGAGAACTACTTGAGCAAGGGCTGTCACTCCCTCTTTGGGGCTCTGTGGTTCACTGGCATCTCCAAACTTCCAGGTGCCACCATGTTTCCCGGTGCCAGCTGTGGAAGCTGCTTGTCGTGCGCCTGGTCCAGTGGCAGCCTCACAGAGAGCCGGCACCTATTCTGGCATCTGGAACTGCCTGCCTGCCCTGTTGCAGCAGCTGGCATGTCTGACTGTGTGCAGTGGCTGAACCCCACGCTTCCTCACACACCCCTTGCCGTTCCACACCTTACTCCCCCTTGACAGGTGTGGGACCCAGGCTGGTAACATGAGCCAAGCACAGCCTGCCAGGCTGAGTGGGCACAGCGAGCCCAGCAGGACCGAGCACAACTCAGACAAAGGTGCCACCTGCCACAGAGATTTCTGGCCAGAAAAACGACACCCTAAAGATCTCATAACACTTACTCTTCCCTATTGTATCCGATTACTGACTCATCCCTTTCCTTAAAGTACCTGTCTGGCTTCTATAGATGAGTTCATTATTCTCACTGTAATTTAAATCTCCAACTCTAATGTTCAGAAGGATTCCTTCTCTAATTACTATAGTGCAGTGCAGCACTCCTCAGATTATTTATGGTGTAAAGCCACTATTTTCTATTTTTCATGTTCTATTTAATTTAGAGATGATATGTGGTCCTATTGTGCATGACTACTGTATGGCTCACCATTGAATCATCACTGGAGTTTAACAACAGTCAGACTGGTATACACCCTGTCCAATAAGATGACTTCACTCACTTAAATGTGTGACGAAGACAGATTTCTATAAAGGATCCTGAATGGTGGTATTCAATTCCTGTACCTGTTGCAGCCAATCAGTAATAAAAACTTTGTAGCCGTACACTGTTCCTAAAATCACAGTGTGTGTAACACTGGAATGGTGAATTTATTGTATTCTATTATTTTAGGAGTATGATTTTAAATGTAATGAAGGGCAATAAATAGAATCTGCATTTGGCATTTTCTTAATGTGTGTCTTCCAAAGGACTTTATGAGAGTAGAAGATTTGATCCTCTTAATGTTCTAGAATAACTGTAGGGAAATATCTCTAACTTATTAAAGCAAACTCTAGTAAAGGAAACCAGTTAGCATCAAGGAGGCAGGTTACATACCATGGTTGGGAGTTATTTGCATTCTGAAATGTAGGATGAAAATAATTCATCAGCTCAACTGTGAAGGGGAGTCTTCATGACAAGAAAGGGGAAAATAGTGAAAGGAGGGGCAGAAGAGCTGACTTCTGGTCCCCTCAGTAGAATTTACTTGGGGGACCATCAGCTTCTGTGGCTGTAAAATGAGGTTGGAAAAATTATTTCAAAGGTCTTCTTGAGGTATACAGTTATCAGACTATGCTCTTTTCCTAAGAAAGAATCTCTACTGAAAATGGGTAAAAGGGGACCAGACTTTTTTTCTAAGTTCTCCATTTTACAGCTGAGGTCACTGTGGCCCAAAGATGATAATCAGCTCTTTCAAGGTCAAAGCAGGGATGAGAGCTGGTCATCCCACCTGTTGTTGAAGCTCTTTCCTCTCCTTTATCCTTAGAAATAGCGCTCAAGATAGAAGGTGCTTAATGTTCTCTTCTGGGAAAGTGAAGCTCATGTGTTCAATGCCAAGATGTTGGGGTCGCTTGGATTTCTAGGAAAGCACTCACAACAACTTGTGAGGTCTCATTCTTGATAGTGAGTCTTGACAACACTCTCACTTAACAACTCACTCTCGAGAACTTTCACTTGTGTTTTATTTGGGGAAGCCCAGACAGGTTGGGAAAAAAGGGCTGATTTTATAATGCAGGTCCTTAGACTTCGAAAACCTAGGTCTTGTTCCACTGGACGTTGTGTAACTGTGTTGTGAACACAAATGCTTCTCAGTTAAGGTTTTCTGGAAATTCTGACTCTATCCACTGACATTGTCTTAAATGTGGTTATGGGGTGATATGATGAGCCCAAGCCCAAAAGTCTATTTTTTGAAAAATTTTATGGGTACATAGTAGGTGTATGTATTTATGGGTTACATAGAAATGGGAAAAGTTCCCTTGTCCCCCTCACAGGGCATGTGATGGACGTGTGGCTCACTTCTTCAGTGCCCTGCTGCTCAAACCCCTAGCGGGAGCATGCAGACTGGTAGGTTGTGGGGCTCTGACCCCATGGCGGTATCTAAAGGTGAATGTTTACAGATGAAGCCTCAGTAGGCATGTGTTACAGTATGCTCTTTCAGTTTAGCCATCTGTAGGTAGCTCGTGTTAGTCAGCTCAATTAGACCCACTGCCTTATCGCAAGGACAGAGGGCTTTCTGTATCCCAGGGTTTCTTGCCTTGGTGTACTGGAAGAATCGGATCACACATGGGCTTGGAGAACGAGTGCGAGGTTTTATTGAGTGGAAGTAGCTCTCAGCAGATAGCGAAGCCAGAAGGGAGATGGAGTGGGAACGTGGTTTTCCCCTGGATCCAGGCCCGCTCAGTGGCCGGGCTCTTCTCCGACCGCCCCAACCGAACTCCGCATTGTTTTGCTGGTCAATGGCCTGCCAACCTGCCAGCATCTGCCAGTGCCTGTCGGTGCGCTCTGCCAGCGTGCTCCTCTTGATGTCCAGCTGCTTGTTTCTCTGCCCGCGAAGATCTTGGGGTTTTTATAAGCACAGGATAGGGGTGTGGTGGGCCAGCGTGGTCTTGGGAAATGCAACATTTGGGCAGGAAAAAATGTCTGTCCTCACCTAGGTCCCTGGTCACAGGCCCAGGGGTGGAGCCCTAGCCACAGACCACACCCTCCCCTACCCAGCACTTCCCTGCCCTCCTCCCATATCAACATGAGATATTTTGATGCAGGTCTTCAATACGTAATCATCACATCAGGGTAAATGGGGTATCCATGACCTCAAGCATTTATCCTTTGTGTTATAAACAATCCAGTTATAGTTTCTTTGTTAATTTAAAATGTACAATTAAATTATTTTGGACTATAGTCACTGTTGTGCTAGCAAATACTAGCATAGAAAAACTAGAAAGAATTAATGTCTTATTTATTCTTTCTATTTTTTGCACCCATTAACCCTCCCAACTTCCCCTCCAGCACCCTACTACCCTTCCTGGCCTCTGGTAAACATCTTTCTACCCTCTGTTCTCACGAGTTCAAATATTTCAATTTTTAGTTCCCACAAATATGTGAGAACATGTGAAATTTGTCTTTCTGTGCCTGGCCTATTTCACTTAACATAATGACCTCCAGTTTCTTCCATGTTGTTGCAAATGATAGGATCTCATTCTTCTTTATGGCTTGGTAGTGCTCCATTGTGTATATGTACCACATTTTCTCTATCCATCTGTTGATGGACATATAGGTTGTTTTCAAATCTTGTCTATTATAAATGGTGCTGCAATAAATATGGGAGTGCAGATATCTCTTGGATATACTGATTTCCTTTCTTTTAGTTATATACCGAGCAGTGGGATTGTTGGATCATATAGTAGCTCTATTTTGAGTTTTTTTAAATATATATATTTTTTACTATACTTTAAGTTTTAGGGTACATGTGCACAATGTGCAGGTTTGTTACATATGTATACATGTGCCATGCTGGTGTGCTGCACCCATTAACTCTTCATTTAACATTAGGTATATCTCCTAATGCTATCCCTCCCCACTCCCCCCACCCCACAACAGTCCCCAGAGTGTGATGTTCCCCTTCCTGTGTCCATGTGTTCTCATTGTTCAATTCCCACCTATGAGTGAGAACATGTGGTGTTTGGTTTTTTGTCCTTGCAATAGTTTGCTGAGAATGATGGTTTCCAGCTTCATCCATGTCCCTACAAAGGACATCAACTCATTGGTTTTTATGGCTGCATAGTATTCCATGGTGTATATGTGCCACATTTTCTTAATCCAGTCTAACATTGTTGGACAGTTGGGTTGGTTCCAAGTCTTTGCTATTGTGAATAGTGCTGCAATAAACATACGTGTGCATGTGTCTTTATAGCAGCATGATTTATAATCCTTTGGGTATATATCCAGTAATGGGATGGCTGGGTCAAATGGTATTTCTACTCTAGATCCCTGAGGAATCGCCACACTGACTTCCACAATGGTTGAACTAGTTAACAGTCCCACCAACAGTGTAAAAGTGTTCCTATTTCTCCACATCCTCTCCAGCACCTGTTGTTTCCTGACTTTTGGATGATCGCCATTCTAACTGGTGTGAGATGGTATCTCATTGTGGTTTTGATTTGCATTTCTGTGATGGCCAGTGATGATGAGCATTTTTTCATCTGTCTTTTGGCTGCATAAATGTCTTCTTTTGAGACGTGTCTGTTCATATCCTTTGCCCACTTTTTGATGGGGTTGTTTGTCTTTTTTCTTGTAAATTTGTTTGAGTTCATTGTAGATTCTGGATATTAGCCCTTTGTCAGATGAGTAGATTGCAAAAATTTTCTCCCATTCTGTAGGTTGCCTGTTCACTCTGATGGTAGTTTTCTTTTGCTGTGCAGAAACTCTTTAGTTTAATGAGATCCCATTTGTCAATTTTGTCTTTTGTTGCCATTGCTTTTGGTGTTTTAGACATGAAGTCCTTGCCCATGCCTATGTCCTGAATGGTATTGCCTAGTTTTTCTTCTAGGGTTTTTATGGTTTTAGGTCTAACATTTAAGTCTTTAATCCATCTTGAATTAATTTTTGTATAAGGTGCAAGGAAGGGATCCAGTTTCAGCTTTCTACATATGGCTAGCCAGTTTTCCCAGCACCATTTATCAAATAGGGAATCCTTTCCCCATTGCTTGTTTTTCTCAGGTTTGTCAAAGATCAGATAGTTGTAGATATGCGGTATTATTTCTGAGGGCTCTGTTCTGTTCCATTGGTCTATATGTCTGTTTTGGTACCAGTACCATGCTGTTTTGGTTACTGTAGCCTTGTAGTATAGTTTGAAGTCAGGTAGCGTGATACCTCCAGTGTTGTTCTTTTGGCTTAGGATTGACTTGGCAATCTCCTTAAGCTGATAGGCAACTTCAGCAAAGTCTCAGGATACAAAATCAATGTACAAAAATCACAAGCATTTTTATACACCAATAACAGACAAACAGAGAGCCAAATCCTGAGTGAACTCCCATTCACAATTGCTTCAAAGAGAATAAAATACCTAGGAATCCAACTTACAAGGGACGTGAAGGACCTCTTCAAGGAGAACTACAAACCACTGCTCAATGAAATAAAAGAGGATACAAACAAATGGAAGAACATTCCATGCTCATGGGTAGGAAGAATATATATCGTGAAAATGTCCATATTGCCCAAGGTAATTTATAGATTCAATGCCATCCCCATCAAGCTACCAATGACTTTCTTCACAGAATTGGAAAAAACTACTTTAAGTTCATATTTTGAGTTTTTAAAGGAACCTTCAAACTGTTCTCTAGAGTGGTTGTACTAATTTGTATTCACACCAACAGTGTACAAGTGTTCCCTTTTCTCCAAATCCTCACCAGCATTTGTTATTGCTTCTCTTTTGGGTATAAGCCATTTTAACTGGAGTAAGATGACATCTCATTGTAGTTTTGATTTGCATTTCTCTGATGATCACTGATATTTAGCACCTTTTCATATGCCTTTTTGCCATTTGTATGTCTTCTTTTGAGAAATGTCTATTGAGATCCCCTGCCAGTTTTTAAATCAGATCATTATATTTTTCCCTATAGAGTTATTCGAGCTCCTTATATATTCTGGTTATTAATCCCTTGTCAGATTGGTAGTTTGCAAATATTTTCTCCTGCTCTGTAGGTTGGCTCTTCACTTTGTTGATTGTTTCCTTGCCATGCAGGAGCTTCTTAACTTGATGTGATCCCATTTGTCACTGTTTGTTTTGGTTGCCTGTGCTTGTGGGGTATTACTCAATAAATCCTTGCCCAGTCAAATGTGCTAGAGAGGTTTCCCAATGTTTTGTTTTTGTTGTTTCATAGTTTGAGGTCTTAGATTTAAATAGTACAATCGCATGGAGAACCGTTTGTAGGTTCCTCAAAAAATTCAAAATAGAGCTACCATATGATCCAGCAATCCCACTCCTGAGTATATACCCAAAAGAAAGGAAATCAGTATATTCAAGAGATATCTGCACTCCCATGTTTACTGCAGCACTATTTACAATAGACAAAATTTGGAAGCAATATAAATGTCCATCAACAGATGAATGGATAAAGAAACTGTGGTACATATACACAATAGAGTGCTACCATCTATAAAGAAGAATGAGATTCTGTCGTTTGCAACAACATGGATGGAACTGAAGGTCATTATGTTAAGTCAAATAAGCCAGACACAGAAAAAAAATTTTGCATATTCTCACTTACTTGTGGGAGCTGAAAATGAAAATAATTGAACTCATGGAGATAGAGAGTAGAAATATGGTTACCAGAGGCTGGGAAGGGTAGTGAGGTGCTGGGGGGAAGTAGGGAGGATTAATGGGTACAAAAATAGAAAGAATGAATAAGACATAGTATTTCTTAGTACAACAGGGTGACTATAGTAAAAATAATAATTTAATTGTGCATTTTAAAATAATGAAGACAGTATGATTGTATTGTTTGTAACACAAAGGATAATTGCTTGAGGCTATGGATACCCCATTTACCCTGATGTGATCTTTATATATTGCAAGCCTGTATCAAAATATCTCTGTAACTCATAAATATATACACCTACTATTTTTCCATAAAAATTACAAATAAAAAATCCTAAAACTCAGCCCTTACAAGATCTGCAGGGGAGACAGAATTTGTAGGTTGATCTCCCAAATTCATCAGGCTTGGAAAGGACCTTAGACTTTCTGCATAACTACATTAGCAAAACCAAACCAATTCTATGGAAATGCCAATATTAATAGAACAAATATTAATACTCCTCAGAGGGAGATAGCAGAGTCTTTACACTATATGATCCCCATTGTCCAATATGCAATAAAAAAATTCAACATGCAAAGAAACAAGAAAATATCACCTATTGTCATAAAATCAGTAGAAACAGACCCAAAAATGTCCAGTTGTTAAACTTCATAGAAAAAGACTAAATCAATTATTATGTATTCAAAGAACAAACAGAAAATAGGTTCAAAGAATGAAAGGAAAATATGATCTTTATAAATGTACAGATAGTGAATTTCAGCAGAGAAATGGAAACTATAAAAATAACCACATGGAAATTTTAGAGCTTAAAAAATTATAGTAACTGAAATTAATAACACACTAGATGGGCTCACATTAGTTTGGAGATGGCTAGCATCAAATGAGCTTGAAGACAGATCAAAAGTAATCATCCAATCTGAAAAAAATGGAACAAAACATGTATCTCTAAACTTTTTAAAGGTGTTGTATTGACTTCTTTTGTATGAGTTTTTTAACATAAGAAAGTAATAACTCTCTTGGTACTTCAAGCTAGACTCACGTTTTCGATTCTCCAGGACACCACCTTTGGGGTTCCCCACTGTAGCTAAAAGGGACCTGGCTATGGTAACATAAATGGGTAATCACCTTGGCAGAAGTGATCTTAACAAAAATTTCACTTACTTCAACTAAAGATTCAGTACCATACAAGCACTGAGAAAACCTCACTCATTCTCTAATGTTCAGCTGAGCAATCACATACTGTTACACATTTGTCTTCTAAAAGTCATACATACATAGCACAGTGCTATGATTAGATACCTGGACTATGGTTATGGAGTGCCTGGATTTAACTTTTGACTCCAGTACTTACTAACTGGGTGACTGTGGGCAGACTACTTAGTTTGTTCATTTGTAATATGGGGATAATAATATTATACACCTAACACATTTGGAGAATTATTGGAGAGGATATATGTAAAGCACTTACAACAGTGCCTGGCACATATGTGTTCATTGTTATCACGTTTCTCCCAGGTTTTTTAAGAATAGAGATTTTCAGGGGTAGAAGAATATTAAAAGAGTGAATCACCTTTAAAACACTGGTGTAAAAAATACCTCATGTCAAAAAATGTTTAAAATGTGCTTTAGATGAAACCTGTTACCTTTCCCCTGCTGATCAACAGAGACATTCCTTTTTGAAAGCTCAGCTTTAGAGATACTGCCTTCTTCTTGAAATAGCTGTCTGCAACAGATAAACATTACTCTGTGCTACTGGGTGTGTTCAATGTGTAAATAGATTGTGGGAATATGAGAGGCTGGTTTTTCAAGTTCCTGCTCCAAGTAGTTCACAAGGGTCAAGTAGTCCAGCATTCTACAGTTTGTGTGTTTGAGAGAAAAATAAGCCCATAAAAACATTCTAACCTTCAGATTAAGGTAAGACTAATGCGTTTAGGGATCTCCAGTGTGATATCTGATTTCTTAATTTCTGTATTTTGTGTGTGGTAGGGGAGTAGTGGGATTTGCTGGTCAGGAAGAAAACAGCTCCTTCCACCATTTGATATTGTATTTTACAGTAAAAAAGGGAGAAATATGTACAGAAGGGACATTTTGGCCATTGGTAGCTATGAGTTTAATGGATTGAGGAGAGAAATATAAGTATCTTTTTGTTATTAACACTTGATTCTATCTATGAAGTGAAGCATTGCACTAGGTTCTACTGAAGAGTGAGTGCCTCCAGGAACAAATATGCATTCTAGTGACATAAAAAAATCAAATTCACAGCAGAAGTGTTGCATCATTTTGCTATAAATCTCTCACACCTCTCTATATAAACCTCTCACATCTCTATATAACATAGATTGTCCTTTTGCTCTGAATTTCTTTCATTTATTAGAAAATTTAGATGTTTCATTTGGAATTATTTAATTGTTTTTACATTCAGTTCCATTTTTGATATGGACAAATATCCAGTATGGATATAAATTCAGTAGAAGGATTAATAAAGTCTGAAAAACCTGGAATAATTTCAACATGAATATGATACTGTAACAGCTTACAGAAATGCGATATTAACTGTGAACATTAATATACTCTGAAAAGATGCATCAGGGTTTAAAAAATTTCTCCTTAATGTAGATTGTTTTAATTACCAATACTGTCTTCCTCATTTAAATGAAAAACGTAATTTTACAACTATTAATATATAACTTCTCTTTGCTCCAAGTATATGTGTATGCCTGGAGAAAAGCATATGCCTGGAGAAAACAGGAGTTATATATTTATAGCATTCAAAATAGTATAAAATATTGTTTACATGTAATAATGCATTTAGAAGTACTACTTCAGTAGTAGCCTCCTTAAAAAGTATTTTAAACACAGGAATTAAGTATATAATTTTTTCATTTTGTAATAAGTTGTTTATATGTTATTTGGACAACAGCTTACACACAAAAGTGTTACAATTCATACCCTAGGTCTTAAATGCATGAAGCCATTTGTTTGGACTCTAGTGAAATCCTTAAATTGGTCCTTGCATCCCTCAGTATATATATGTACATACCCACATATACATGCATATTTACATGTGGGCAACTAATAACTGAGAAAATGTCTTACTGCTCTTTTAGTTGTTGAATCATGCTTTTTCTATGTATTTATGATTTCCTGAAATTCTTTGCTATTTTAAGTTTGGGTATTAGCTATGTTATCCTTCTATTTATTCAGATTTGTTAAAGTCTTCTGATAGGTTTAGTGAATAAAATTATTGAGCTTCTACCTCTTTTCTTTTGGAGGCCCATTTAGTATTTTTGTTGAAATTACTTCCTTATTATTATTTAGTATGTTAAGGGAAGGAAAAGGAAATGTAGCTTTAATATGTAAAATGAGCAGTTCGTTTTACTTAAGCTCTATTATATGATGATGTATCTTATGACTATTTTGCCATCCTGCGTAAGCACTTAGCTAATCATCTTTAATACATTCTACTTAAAATCTACTTGTAAATATGCTTTTGTACATTCATATCTTACTTGTCTGTGGTCTCTCATCCTCTTTCTCTCTCACCCCTCTATATACATTCACACATTTTCCATGATTTCACAAAACTTCTCTCCAACCTCGTTCCATTCCTGGTTATCTCTTTCTGTGGGGAGTATCATCATTTCCTTTGACCTCTGTTTCTCTACATCTTCCATCTTGCTTAGCCCATGGACTTTTGATTTTACTGAAGACAGCAAAAAAGCAGATGGTGCTTCTGTTACTTGCAGAGTTAGCAACCGCTGTGGTTACCTTAGGTTCTGAAAGATTATCTAAAATAGGGAGGAGCTCCTAGAGGAACAAAATATAATAAACATGTAGTGTACTGGGATAAAAAATTCACTTGATCTGGTCTCTCTCTCCTTTTAACAAAAACATTTCTCTAAGAAGTGATTAATAAAACATACCCTACTGCCTCACTTTCTCTTTTAAAATCTTTCTTTCAAATTCCCCTATGACATAAAATCAATCTTCATCACTTTATTGACACTGTACTTCCAAGGGTCACCTGTAGTGCTGCTAGGAAATTCAAGTACATTCATTTATTTATGTATTCATTCATCCATTCAATAAATATTTATTTAGTGACAGCTATGCATCAGGCATTGCTGAGCACTGAAGTTACAGTAGGGAACACTTAAGTCTGCCTTTATATATCTCCAGTCTAGTTAGGAAGGGTGTTAACTCACCCAAATAATTCATTACAAGTGTGATAAGGGCTATAAGGAATACTTTTCCAAATTCTCATTTTATTCATCCCCTTGGCTCTATGTGACACACATGATCAATTCCTACTTCTTAAATTTTCTCTTTCCTTCTTGTCCATGACTCTATACTATTTATTCAACTGCTTTTCTACCACTTCCCTTCTTGTCTATTTTTCCTTTTCTCTTCCTTAAGTTTGGGTTTCCCTCAAAGGTTTAGCATTTATTTAGCCTATAACCTATTACGTTTTGCCTTTCTCTATAACTTCTTATCAACCCTTAGTTTTAAATATCACCTCTAAGTGGATACCTCCAAGACTTCCATTTCCACATCTTATCTTTTCCATCTGCTATACATTTTCCCACTTGTATGTCCAAGGGTCACTCGACATTCATCATGATTGTAGCCAAACTCACAGCTTTTATGTCAAACCACTTCCCCTTTCATTTCATTTGTTTCTGTGAATGGCATTAATGATCTCTTGGTTTCTCACATTTGAAATCTTGGAGTCAATTTTGCTTCTAACTTTTCCTTTGCTCTCAATATCCAAACCACTACCAAGTCCATTCATTTCTTTAATTATAATGTATCTAGAAGCCATCCTCTCTCATCTCCCTTTTCTGTTATTTTTTTCTTTTATTCTCTATTTTCTCATCCTTTTTTCCCTCAGTCTAAGAGCTACCTACAATTCAAGGTTTTGGTCAGGCCCCATCTCCATCAGAAAGTCCACACCTCATGGATATCTTCTTTTTCTAAGCCCCAGAATCATTGGGGTAGTGAAAAGAACATAGCCAAAGAGCCAGGTTTAAGTTTTGATTCTACCATTCACTGCCCCCTGTGCACTCTCTGTGAACCACAGTTTCCTCAGACTCATTCTATCTCATATAGTGGCCACAGGAACAAATATAGTCATGGAGAGGAAATCATTTTGAACTATGAAGAACTATATAGATATTAAAGTAAGATTTGTTGCTGGAAGAATAACTCAGTAGCAGAGACCAAAACCCCAGGTCTTAACTATTGAAATCATATTGTGCAGGGGTTGAGAGTGTTGACTCTGCAGTCAGATGACCTGAGTTTGAATCTCAGCTCTGCTACTTACCAGCTGCATGAAATTGAGAAAACTTAGTTAGCTTTCCTGTTGCTGAGTTTCCTCACTGTCAATTGGGGATAACAATAGTTTCTACTGATAAGAGTGTTGTAGGATTAGAACGTTTAGTAAATGTAAAATACTTAAAATAGTGCCTAGCTCATAGTAAGTGCTCTGCAAATGTGGAAGAGGTGGTAGGGGCCTATGAGGCTAAGTGTGGTTACGAGGTGAAAGCCAGGTATTAGAACTGAGCCACCAGATGGGGATTAGGTACAGCAAGGATGCAAGCACAGAGCTACAGACTGGACACATGTACCTAGATGAATCCCTCATGATTCAGATAAAAAAAAGAATGATCTTGCCATTTGGGGCAGAACTGAGCAAATGATGGAGGTATGAACGTTCTGAGCGACCATTCGGGGCACAAAAATGGGGATAACAGTCTTTCAGACACATTTTCTTTTTGTTAAAGAAGAACAAATGTTAGATTGCCCTTTTGTGTTGTGAAATATGTCAGTATATCATGGAATCAAAATGTCAGTATCCAAATAAATGTCCAAATGTTGAGAAAGCTGACTCAACTGTCCTCTATATTCTAGAAATCCGTCTCTTTAACAGTCATATGCTTATTGCATTTCAGAGGACAAGGGCCCTTAGAAATGTCATTCCTCACAATTTATAGGATTATTGCCCAAAGTGTGTATTTTTACTAATACACTTGGAGATTAGTTTGTTTGATTGTTTCATGTCAGAAAGAAAAATAATAATAATACTTAGAATATTCTAAGGGTTGTTCTAAGTGCCTTAAATTTTTTAACTCATTTAATCTTCACAAGAACCTCATGAGATGAACATCATCATCATCAACATCATCGCCACTACCATTTACATAAGAATAAACTGAGGATCATAGAGGTTAATTGGTAATTGGACCAGATTTCAAATCCAAGCAGCCCAGCACCAGAGGCAATTTTCTCAAGCACTGAGTGCTATCATATCAGCAACTCTGTGTTTTAGAATCTGGTTAAAAGGGCATGCTCTGGAGTCCTAGACTGCTGTTACATGTTGCATCTCCAGTTTTCCTTGACAAGTGGTAATAAATGTTTGATATTTTTCATAATTGATAAAAATTACTTACATAAGATTTATACTAAGTAATCCAATGTCCAGTAATGCTGTGCAAGAAGAGTCTGGTTTTTCTCATCCATTATTCTGTATTTGAGCATCAAACAAAGGCCTCAAATACTGATGCTCTCTGTTTCCTAGAGAGTATGTTATACTGCTGGCCGGGCGCGGTGGCTCACGCCTGTAATCCCAGCACTTTGGGAGGCCGAGGCGGGTGGATCACGAGGTCAGGAGATCGAGACCATCCTGGCTAACATGGTGAAACCCCGTCTCTACTAAAAAAAATACAAAAAATTAGCCGGGCGCGGTGGCTGCCGCCTATAGTCTCAGCTACTCGGGAGACTGAGGCAGGAGAATGGCGTGAACCCAGGAGGCGGAGTTTGCAGTGAGCCAAGATCGCGCCACTGCACTCCAGCCTGGGCAAAAGAGCGAGACTCCGTCTCAAAAAAAAAAAAAAGAGAGTATATTATATTGTTTTGCCCTGTACTTAACTGATGTTGTACCCGTGTACTTAACTGCTGCTGCTGCCCGTGGGGATATTTTCTAGGGTATCTGTGAGTTTCCATCTTTGTCTTTGCTAACTATTTCAAAAGTTCAGGCTCAATTTTTGGAGTTGCTATGTTTGTTTTCTATTTCCTATTTTAACTACTTCTTGTTCATTTAAATGTTCTCTCACCGTAGTTTAGTGGGATTTTTTTTTTTTACTTTTCTCTAAGCGTTAGCTACAAAAATAACTTAATAGGCTTTTAGTTCATTTTCTTCTTCACTGAATAAGAATATTAAAATCAAATTTACCTTCACCGAACACTTAATAACTTTTTTCATTTCCAAGAAGGCCCAGTGCCATTTGTAACTCTTGTTAAAGTTTAATTTAGCAGTTTCCAATTTTTGTAACAGTCGACTTATCCAGGCTAATTTGATTTAATATTTCTAACAGAATGCCAGGAAACACTCTGTTCCTACAATAAGAACATGTCTGATTCATTTAAATGAATAAGAACACGTCTGGTTCATGTAAATAGACTTCAGCGGCATTTTTGTTTTGGTGTTGTGCAGTCAAAAAATATTTCCGAGAGAATATCAGGACTTGGAAAGAAACCAAGAAAATGAATACAAAACAACTCTAAGATACATATCATTCTAAAGCAAGTAAAATCCTCAAGACCAAATAATATAATTTAAACAACCATTTAACATTGATAATGTTTACTAAGAATGGAAGTGGTAGACTTTACCAGAAAATATAGTTGAGTTGGGGTGGGACGTGGGGGTGTGCAATAGAGAAACCAAACTTGGAAAGAAGCCATCAGATAATGATGTTCCAGGTTCAAATATAAACTTTAAATCCAAATATACTTTTATCTGGATTATAAAAACGAAAGTTCAGCAACAGCCCACTTTGTAAACACAGAACAAGAGTGATCATATCAAACAGGTTTACTTAATACAAATAGCAGAGTATAGACAAATCCATTAATATATCCCCCTAAGAGCTATTTATGTACAACAATAGTCTTCTCTCCCTGGTGTGAAGTTACATTAAAATCAGTATATGATTAAAATTTTTGAAATTGATTTCATTAAATCAAGTGACATTATATCAAAGATCAGTTTTCAAACAAAGCAGTAAGAGCCTATTGCAAAATAGGCATTTTTCCCAACTTTCAACAGATAATGGTATATCCAAAGATGTCTGTGGCCACAAACAAATGTATAATTTTTAAGTTGCATATTTTGACTAGAACTAGATATGTACTAAAAAACCATTTTGTGATGAAGAATCACTTCCCACTAATTGAGAGACCAGCACAGGGAGAATACTATTGATCTTAAATACAAGGAAGTCCAGACATTAATATGGAAAAAATATAGATTGGGATGTCCTGTTTGCATTAGCCATGTTCAAGAAGGAAGAATTTAATTTGCTTTGAACTACTCACAGCTGCCATCTAATTATTTTTGTTGACTGTTACAGAGTTTGAGCTCCAAACACAGGAAGGTTATTTCTAAATCAGTTATACACAACAACCAAACAGCTATTGATTTTCTTTCAAGTGAATTCCCATCTGACTCTTATTGTTCTTGTGAATAATAGTCATATGTATGGCTTTATACTTAAGCACAATAGGATATAACTAAATATTGGCTCAACTCAGACCTAAAGAGTAGGTTCCTGAACAGTGAGAATATCATCTAGTGATAATCTTTCACTGCTTATACTGGGAAAAATGTTGAACCTGGGTCAGCAAACATGAAATGTAGGTTCAGTACTGCTCCTAATGATAATGCCAAAGGCTCACACTTTCTGAGGATTTACCGTGACTCAAGAACTATTCAAGTGTTTTCTATGTAACCAAGGCATACAGAGGTTCAGTCATGTTTCTCAGAAATTTTAGAGCCAAGATTTAAACCAGAGTTCCTGCTTTGTACCAGAGTCACTTTGGTCAGCTTAAGTAACTTCCAAAGGCATCTTCCTGGGGTATTTTTTCCTGCTGCACCAATTTTTACCTTTCTTCCTGATTCTCAGGCTCACTCAATCTATACTGGTATCTGCGAACCTGTCACTGACCTCACCCCATCTCCAGCATCTCACTGATTGGTTTCCTCTCCATGATCTTTTCTTAAGGGGACCCTGCATTCTTTGGGCCCCTCATCATTACTCAAGGCCCCTAGATCTACTGGCCCCCTCAGTCCTCCTAGTCCCTCAACCACCACCAACTCCTCCTCTCCTAGCTTAGCTCCCCCATTCCTGCTCACAGGAGCCAGGTAGCATCAGGACCTCCCCAATCTCATTTTCCTCTCTACCCTCTCCACACTCTGACTACTGTTTCAGCTTTTATTTCTTTCTTTAGTCAGGGCAATCTGCTCTGATGTCATATCCTACATCCTCTCTACACTGTCATAATAAAACTCTTTTGGTATGTACAAGTGTGTACCCTCCAAAGCAGGAGTGCTGGGCACTGGTATAAATTTGACCAATACAAAATTAAACACACACACACACCTGTGTGTTATGTTGTATATTATGTTATATATAATATTGTTGTGTGTGTACATATATGTTATATGTATGTATATTTAATTCTACAGTATATTATAGTGGTCAAGAGCACAGTCAATAGAGTCAGACCCCTTAGTCAGAATCCAGCTTCACCACTTACAAGCTGTGTAACACTGGACAAGTTACTTAACCTCCCTCTGCCTTGGTTTTCCTACCTGTAATATGGGAATAGTGAAAGTATCTAAATCAAATAATTGATATTGTAAACCAAAAGGTATCTGAGACAGGTCTCAATCAATTTACAAAGTTTATTTTGCCAAGATTATGGATGTGCCAGTGATACAGCCTCAGGAGGTCCTGACGACATGTGCCCAAGGTGATTGGGACACAGCTTGGTTTTATACATTTTAGGGAGCCGTGAGACATCAATCAGTATAGGTAAGATGAACATTGGTTCAGTCAAGAAAGGCGGGACAACTCTAAGCAGGGAGGGGGCTTCCAGGTCACAGGTAGATAGGAGACAAATGGTTGCATTCTTTTGATATTTTGATAAGCACAATTTACAGGAATAGTCACTTATGCCTTAGTCTGGCTTAGTGAAAAAACAGGGCAAAGGAAGCAATCAGATACACATTTGTCTTCTGTGACAGAGGGATGACTTTGAGTTCTCCCTGTCCTTTGTCCACAAGAAATTTCCCTGTGAGAAAAATTGTGAGGGAGGTATGTAGCTTTTTTATCTTTGTAGGTATCTTATTTAGGAATAGAATGGGAGGCAGGTTTGCCCAATGCAGTTCCCAGCTTGACTTTTCCCTTCGGCTTAGTGATTTTGGGGTCCAGAGATTTATTTTCCTTTCACAATGTAAAGATTGTACTGTTCATATATGTAAATCAAGAATTCATAACAGGGCCTGAAACTTGTATATAAGTGCTGAGTGTTCACTATCATTATTACCATGACTCATAAGGAAAAAGCATTAAGGCAAGTATAATAATGGAGCAGGAAATATACATTTAAGTGGAAAATATAGTACAACATGGATAATATGACATGTGTGATTAATTACGACTTGAATAATGCGAAGCATGTAATTATTTTTGGCTTTGCATTTGATATCTGAGGAATCCCACCATTTCACATGAAAAAGTGCATGTGACAAGGAATCTTCCAGGAATTTTGCATTAGAAGTTCCTTTTGATCCTCCTCAAAACCCTGTGAAGTTAGTACTATTATTATCTCCACCCTGTATGAAAAGAAACCAAGGTTCAGAGAGGTTAAGTAACTTAGTTTCTGTAACATAGTAATTGCCAAAGCTAGGATTTGAATGCAGAGCTTCCTGACTCCAAAACCTGACTCTTTGCAATTCTCCACTTGAGGTGTCCATTGGAACCCCATAGGACGTTAAAAAAAATCCATGGAACACAAACTCAAGAGATTCTGTTTTTTTGAAAAGCAGCTTTTGTGAGATATAATGTACATACTGTACAATTCACCCATTTGAAGTGTACAATTCAATGTTTTTTTTTTTTTAGTCTATTCACAGTGCGTTTAGCCATCACCACAATCTAATTTCAGAACACTTTCGCTCTGGGCGGGCATGTCCACAGAATCCCTGGGGTCTTAATTTCAAAGCCACAGACCTTGTAGGAGTCTTGAATGAACTTCAAATGATTTGTGAACTTTTTCTAGGATCCACAGCTTTCACTATCTTCTCTAAAGTGATAAAAATATAAGCCAAAAATGTATTAAGAAACTCTAGACCAGAATGGCCTTGAACTTTAAGGTACAAATCACTGGGGGACCTTGTTAAAATTTAGATTCAAATTCAGTAGCTCTGGAATGCGCTAGGCCTACTATCATTAATTTTAATGATAGGAATGCTCACTTTAAGTTAGATGTTATGTGCCCTAAAATTCCATTCTTCTCTTTAGTAGATCTATGCTATGAAATAACTGCACTCAATTATTATTGTTATATTTTTAATGTCATCGGTAAAATATTGGCAGACATTTATTTTCTTGATTGATGCATACTTATCCACAAAATAGCTATGGTTTTGGCTCTTGGCGCAAAAAGTCTAAAATATTTACTAATTGTTCCTTAATAGAAAAAGTTTGCCAACCTCTAATATAGACCATGGGGGAAAGCCACCTTTAAGGAGCAGAAATGTTGTTCATCTTACTCTCCACAGCTCCTTGCTACATGTGGCAGACATGACATTATCAATCAGACTTATAGGAATCCTAACCAAGTATGAGGGGCAGCAAGCTGGCTATATTTATGTATAACTCCTCCTCTAGAGGAGAAATCTGGGCAGATGAGGGTCAACTTCACTTTTAGTTTAAAAATACATCTCCCTAGAGCTTCAAGCTGCTCTCCTGGGTGATAGCATGGGTGGGTGTCCACAAAAGACCTTCATGCATTTTCAGTTAGGTCATGTCTCTATGATCTTGGAAGCAAGATTCCCTAAGAGTAGTCTGCAATCCATATAGAGAGCTTGGTTAATTGGGTTTGGATGATGGTTCACCAAACGTACAGGTAGAATATTTTATCTTCTTACACTCACCTTCAAGCTACTTACATTAAGGTGTTTGTTCAGAACATTGAACTTTCAAGAGCTGTCTGACCATGCATTTCATATGTATGAAGGCATTTCTGCTTATTTTCCAACACTAACTCACTTTGAATGCTGCAAAAATGATCTATGCTATGTTAATGCCTGAATATGCATGACTTCAAAATTCTCCAGGCTTCAGGTGGTCTCCTGCACCATAAGCCTCTACTGCAGAGCATCCTCTTAGACATCCATCTTGAACTATTTTTTCCTTATGTCTTAGTCTATGACTTTAGATCTCCTAACTAATGGTTGATTTTTCAGCCAATTTTGTTGTTGTTGTTGTTGTTGTTTTTTGATGCGAGAGGTTGCCCATTCTCAAAACCCACTTCCTTCTTCCAACCAATGCCCATTGCTACAAGGCCCGCAACTGTGTTCAGCTTTCAGCATGCTCCAGGGGAACAAGTACAAAGTCTGACCTGGATGGAATTAGATTATGCACCAAAATAATTCCAGGATTTACTAATTTATATCATTAGAAACCTAGAATGTTAGGCCAAGGAAGATGTAATATAACACTGGATTAGGCCAAATGTATTGATATGGTGCATTTTTCAGAGATTCTGGATTTAGTGTGATACTTCTTGCAGCTGGAGGTGTTGTTAACAGTTTACTTGATTGTTTAGTTGAAATGTGAACTTAGCAATGACCTACATCATTGACTCTGTGTGATATACTTGACTCCCAGTTCATTAGACTTAACTAACTGCTCCTCCCATTCTGTTGATCATCCCTCTTCAGTCTCTTTCATCATCTCATTTATTCCTCTTGTCCCTGGACCAAACCGAAGATCAGGCTGCTTATTCTCATGGCCCGATAACGAGATTCAGATAAGCTGGGAAAGAAGGAAGTTTATTTCTGTAACCGGCTATGGCTGAAAAATATCTCCAGACCAACTCAAAATTACAAAGTTTTTTGACTTTGTAATTTTGAGTTGGTCTGGAGATATTTTTGACAAAGAGCTTATATACCTTCTAAGCTATATGTCTACATGTAAGTGTGCATTCATCTAAAGACATAAGTGATTTACTTCTTCTATTCTATAACTAAGATCTGACTCCTAAAGACCTTCCTCTGGAGCCTCAGTAAATTTACTTAATCTAAATGGGTCCAGGTGCCGGCGGTGATTACCCTTATCTTGTCTCCTGCTAAATCATGGAGGTCTGGGGAGTTCCTTCAGACCCCCAATAAACTTGTTTGTGGAGGTCTGGGGCGTTTCTTCAGACCCCCAGTAAAGTTTGTTTTATCCTAAATGGGTCCTGTTAAGAATTCCTTCATTATCTTGCCATACTTCAAGGCCCAGGAAAGGCCTGGGCAAAACTCTTGGTGGGCTTTTGTTACCTTCCAGCCTTTGTATAAGGGCACTGGCTCTATCAGCTTTTAATATTTAACTTCACCACTCAGTCAGTGCTGAAACAGTTGTTATGGAGGCCTGCGTTAGTGAGACCTGGCCTGCCACACTCTGTCCATTCTTTAAATATTGTTGCTTCTCATGATTCTATCTTTTGCCCCTTTCACTTCTCTTCCTGGTAATCTCACTTGCTTGCACAGCATCAACCACCATCCACCATCGAGGCACCAATGATTCCCAATTAAATACCTCTAGTATAGACATCTGATAAGCTATAAACAGTTTATGGGAAGTTTCCTATTCTAAATGCCTTTCTGGACAGGTCTTTGTTGTTGCATCATAAGTACCTTTGTTGTTGCACCATAAGTATCCGGACCTCAACATATCTAAATTGCAATTAATTATTTTTTTTTCTCTTTCAACGTTTTTTGTCTTGTACTCTCCATCACTGTGAACAGTATTATCATCAACATTTCTAGGCTTTACCCCCGTGTTACTGAATCAGGCTCTCTGGAGATAGACACCCAGAAATCTATTTTTAACAATATACTTAGGTATTCTTATGCACACTAAAATTTAAAAACCTTTGCAGTTCCCCATGCTGGAAACCTCAGAGTCATTCTCTTTTCTCTTCCATACCACCCACATCGAAGAGGTCACTGGATCTTATTGAGATTATTCTAAAACGTCCCAAAAGTGACTCTTATTTTCCTTCCCACTACACAGCTTTAGTTCCTAATCTCTCCCTGGCACTTCTGCAAGAGCCTCCTCATTTTGTCTACCTGACCTTTCCCCTGTCTTTCATCCAATCACTGAGTGCTGGTCTTTCAAAAAACAAATAAAAAATTCAAATATGATTGCGCTGTTCCTTGGCTTTAAAGCTTCAACAGCTTGATGGCATGAGAACAGTTTTCAGGCTTCTTAAGGTCATGGAATTCTTTCTTCAAATAAAATCCTACCAGGAAATCTAACTTATAGAACAGATGAAAACGGAGCTGCTCTGTTTGAAGCAGTCGTCGGCGCCACAGGCTTGGCCACTCAGCCTCTTTCGCTGTGTTTCCTAAGAAAACATTCCTGAAGATACAGTTTGAAAAACACTGGATAAAGTCCATATTCTTTGTTTGGATGCCAAATTCCTCCCACTCTGACATCCCCCTTTCTCTTAGCTTTCCAATATTAACCCAGACCCCAGACCTGGAGTTAGTCACTATTTCTTCTGGACTAGTTGTGTGTTCTTATGACTTTTTCACATTTGCTGTCTCTACAACCTAGAATGACCACTTTTTTCTTCCTAATTGTTTTTTCCTTTGTGTTCTCAAAGCCAAAATTGGGATTTATGAAACTGTGATTTTATGTTTATGCTTGTCTCCACTAGAAAATAATAGAAAATAGAGAAGCCCCTTGAAAACAGAACCTATGCATTCTTCATGAATGTATCCCCTAGATCCAGCACAGTTTCTTTTTTTGTTTTTTATTTGTTTGTTTGTTTGTTTGAGACAAAGTCTCACTCTGTCGCCCAGGCTGGAGTGCAGTGGCGTGTTCTTGGCTCACTGCACCCTCCACCTCCCACGTGGAGGGTGCCTCAGCCCGGGTGCCTCAGCCTCCCAAGTAGCTGGGACTACAGGTGTGTGCCACCATGCCCAACTAACTTTTTATTTATAGCAGAGATGAGAGCTCATTATATTGCCCAGGCTGGTTTCGAACTCCTGAGCTCAGGTGATCCGCCCGCTTCGGCCTCCCAAAGAGCTGGGATTACAGACCTGAGCCACAATGCCTGGCCCAACATAGTTTCTGACACATGATTCTATACGTGTTTACTGCACGAACATTTATATGCTCTATAACTCATTCTATCTGTTCTTTGGTTTTATATTTTCTTCAGACCGAACATGTCTTTTTGAATTAAACATCACTTTAGGAACTAGATGTATTAACTTCAAAGCTATATGACACTCATACTGTTCTTTGCCTGTGTTGTAGCCTAGCATGATAATTATTGATAATCAGTGGATATATGCATTGTGCATCATGACATATGAAGCAGAGGTAATATGGCTATAAGATATTTTTGACAGAAATGCCATTTGCTGTATTTTTTTAACTGATTTTATATGTAACATGTATTCATTGTAAAAACATATAAAGAAAATTATAAAGAAGATATTAAAATACATTTATAACTATCCAGAAATAGACTTAATATTTTGGCTTATTTTTTCTCATTCTTTCTTCTATAATACATATATGTGTGTGCATATATATATATATATATATATATATATATATATATATATATTTCTTTTAATATAATTGGGACCATACTGCATAAGTAATTTTGTATCCTGAGTTTTTTTCACTGCCTTTGTATTGTGAGCCTTCAAGCATGCCATCACATATAAAAAGACTATTAGTATTATTAATAATGGTATTAATTAAAAATTATGATGTTTCTAAGGAATTGCTAAGATTTATAAATTCTTAATAGAAAGTCTAGGAAGCCAGAGACCTCTGGGTATTTTGTGAATCAAAGGGAATGGAGGTTTGTGTTGGACTGATGCATTTTAATGACGTATTGCTTAACTTCATTGAGAATAGAAACGATGGAGGGGTCTAAATTTTCTGAGCATCTGTTATATGCCAGGCATTGTGCTAGACACTTTTTATACATTAACTCATTTTAATATTCAAATGATATATTCTTCAAACCCAGGAAGTAGATATTAATATGCCCATTTAACAGATGAATAAACTGAGATGCAAAGACAAAGTAGCACATCTATGTTATTATCTCAGGGAGTAGAATTTTAATTCCATTAGTTTCCAAAGCCCATACCCTTTCCTCTACCCCACACTTTCTCCAACACCAACTTTGAGAGGGTACACAAAGTCAGTCTTTTATTCTGAAGATGTTGTATTAGCAGTGCTTACCCTGTGGACCATAAGCCCTTGGGTGACCACAGTTTATAAACCCCTGAAATTACCTCCCTTTGTCATTAGAATGTATATGTATATTTTTGAGGTAGAGAGCCTATAGTTGTCACTGATTATCTAAGGGATCAACTGTTCCCAACAATGTTTATGAATCTCTACTGCAAATAATGGGATGTATACAAGTATTGCAGAAGCCCTTTGAGGAGTCTTTAGTTTTGCTTGTCAGGCCCTGTGGTGAGGGGCTATATTCCAATTTTCATTTTAGGCATCACTTCTCAAATGTCTTATTTTGCATTTAATTCATAAATTTATTCATTTGGCAATATTTTCAAATACCTACTATGGTGCCAGGAGTTGTGAGGTGTTAGGAATACAGGGCTGATCAAGACAAAACGAGATATCCCACAGAGCTTAGACATTAGCAGGGAAAACCAATGCATGTTGGTTAAAATCAGCATTTTAAATCAGCATGATGAGTGCTTGGCATAGTCCTTAGCATTGTTCACCAAATATTTACGATTTCTTCCTCTTGTAGGCAGATGGCAGGATACCATTTACTGGCCCCCTTGTAATTGGGTAGGGCTAAGTGACCATCAGTTCTGTTTAAGGAGTTGTAAGTAGAAATAATGTTTTTCACTTCCAGGCCAGGACATTTAATTCCTACTATGAAACCTTTCAGAACTCTTTTTTCCCTCTGGTGTGGCAATTGGCAGTGTTCAAGATGGTAGCTCCCTAAACAGCCTGGATTCTTGAGGGATATATAGCATGGCCAAGAAATATGAAATAAACCTGTGCTGTTACAAGCTGTTGCAATTTGCGAGTTATTTGTGTCACAACATAGTCTACCCCAGTACTGCTCAAAATGTCTGTGATGAAGGATCAGGTTGTTTGTTACTTTTATTTTCAACCTGGATAGAATAGTATTTTTGCAAAATACAATTTAAGTAAATTAGCAGATAAATGAGACATGAAATACATAAACATTCAAGTACAAATTTTCATCAGATTCAACAGATTTAAAATTACTCTGTCAAATTACTATAAAAATTTCTAAATGCTTATTCTTAATTTCTTTACTTATATAATTGCAAACCAGTAAGTTTACAGACCTGCACTGGTTTGCAACCCAAACTTTGAATAAAGCTGTATTAGCCTATCCCAACTGATACAGTGTTACTGTAAGAGAAGTATGAAAATGTATTGGATAGATACTATGAGTTTCCAATTGCTGCTGTAGCCAATCACCACAAACATATTGTCTTAAAACAATACAATGTATTATCTTACAGTTCTGAAGGTTAAAAGTCCAAAATGAGTCTTGGGAGACTAAAATCATGGTGTTAGCAGGGTTGCATTTCTTCTGGAGCCTGCAGGAGAATCTGTTTCCTTGTCTTTTCCAGCTTCTAGAGGCCATCTGCATTCCTTGGCTTGTGGCTGTTCCTCCAACTTCAAAGCCCATCACCTCAGCCTCTGCTTATGTCGTCACACCTGCTTTTCTGACTTTAACTCTACTACCTCCCTCTTGTAAGGATCATTGTGATTACATTGGGATCACCCATCTAATCCAGGCTAATCTCTTTATCTCAAGACCTTTCACGTAATCACATCTGCAAAGTTTTGCCATCTAAGGTAACATATTCACAGGTTCTGGGGATAAGGATGTGGACTTCTCTGGGAGCCATTATTCAGTTTATCATAGATAGCTAAGCTAAACTAGGAGTCAGCCATTTAAGTAGATCCCTGTGGATACTTAGGAATTAGGAGATGGAGAAATGGGGGAAGTATCCCAGGCAGAGTCTTACAAATAGGAAGATCTGGAGGTGAGGAAGATTATGGCTTTTTTAGAGGAATGAACTTTTGAGTGTGGTTAGAGGATAGATACGAGAGAGAGAGATCAGCAAGGGACAAATCATGAAGGGTTTTGTAAACCATATTAAACAACTTGAACTCTTAAAGAGCAAAGGGAAGACATCAAAGGGTATTCAGTATAAAAGCAACAATTATCAATTTGTATTTTGGAATTGCATATAGAAGAGCCAGATTGGAGGCACAAAACTATGATGCTGATGAACCACGGTGGTGTCACCTAATTCACAGCATGTCTGAAACCCAAATCCATTATTTCCCACAAAAGCCAGCACATTCTCCATCTTCCCTATTGTTTTCTTCTAGGATTCAATTCTTAACATTATTTTTAGCCTCTTTCTTTCTTTGGCTTCTTACTCTAGTCAGTCACCACACCTTATTGGTTCTTGAAAATTTTTTAAAGACATAATATATGGTTACATGAATACATCCAAAATAATAAACAATATGGAAATAAGTCCCTTTTCATCCCTTCTCTGACCCCTAACAATCCAACTCTCATCTTCATATGCAACCTGATTCATTATCAATATGTATTATCCTGTGCCTTTTATTATGCATTTACATTTATTATGTACATGCATATATCTACTGCATTGTTTTAAAAGCATTTGCATTAAAAAGCATAATTATCTTGTCTATTTTCAGCTCGCAATATAACTTAGATATTTTCCATGTCAATATATTTATTTTAAATGCCTCATTTTAAAATTGAACATCGGTATTGCTCTCTTTTCCAGCTTCGAGAGCTTCTAACTCTAATAGATTCTAACAGTTTCTAACTTTAGACTATTACAAACTTTATCTTATAACTTATTTTTCAAATCTTTCTCTTTTGAAATTTTTATTAAGGCTTTCTCTTAGCCAGCATTTTTAAAGGTAGAAGTAGTCTTCTCTTTAAAAATATCAAAATACACAATGCCAAGAAAATAAACAGTGATCTTAAATATTAGGTTGGTGTAAAAGTAATTGCAGTTTTTACCATTAAAAGTAATAGCAAAAACTGCAATTACTTTTGCACCAACCTAATACCTTTTTCCAAACTGAGAGCTCTGTGAAAATTCACAGTGGACATTAAAGACTCTGAGAAGTTCTGTAGAAAAAAAAATATTTAACTTGGTTTAACTCTACATATCCAAATTTTTTGTTGAACTACATCACTTGATATGGTTTGGCTGTGTCCCCACCCTAATCTCTTGAATTGTAGCTCCCACAATCCCCACGTGTTGTGGGAGGGACCTGGTGGGAGGTAATTGAATCATGGAATCATGGGGACGGGTTTTCCCATACTGTTCTGGTGATAGTGAATAAGTCTCACGAGATATGATGGTTTAATAAAGGGCAGTTACCCTGCACTCGCTCTTTTGCCTGCCACCATGTAAGACGTGCCTTTGTTCCTCCTTTGCCTTCCACCATGATTGTGAGGACCCCCACCCCAGCCATATGGAAATGTGAGTCCATTAAAGCTCTTTTTTTTTAAATAAATTACCCAGTTTCAGGTATTTCTTCATAGCAGTATGAAAATGGACTAATACAGCACTGTTAACAATTCCATATAATATCTAATAACATCTCATGGGATACTGTTGTTCCATGAAGTCACTGTGTGGCCTCAAATGTAGTGGTTACAAGCAGGGTCCCTGAAACCAAACTATTCTGAATTACTTACCAGTTGACCTTGGGCAAGTTACTTAACATCTCTGTGCCTCAGTTTTCTCATCTATAAAATAGGAATAATAGCAATTTGTTTCATTAGGAAGTCATAAGGATTAGTTGAATAAGTGTTAGTGGTTATTATTTGGAGCATTCTGAGGATACTGCTCTTGAAGTATTGGTATGAAGTTGATGGCACTGTTAGCCTCTCTACTGTTATTTGAAGAATCCATATCATTGTGAAATTAAAAAAAAAATCTTGACTATGGCACTCCCATATAATGTACCACACAGAATTGCCCGTGTGAGAAGAAACAGCTCTGTTGCAAAGAAATTCCTGTAATTCCATAGCATCTCTCTTTGAGTCATTCAGTTTGGGGTTCGTTGTAAAAGTACTACTTTTTTCTCTATCCACAGCATGACAGTTCTTACCTTTTGACAGTCTTGTGGACTGCTGTGCTTGTGGTAATCCAATCACAGCTGCTTTGCAGGATGACTGCTCCTCTATTTGAAAGGCATCCTCAAGGGTATTTTGCGTATGTGATTTAGCTTGTATTCTAAGCATCCTAAACATCTCTGTAAGTGTGCTGAAAATTCATCTAATTTGTATTGTCACATGGTGACAGTCAAACAGGAAATTAACTTTATTTCTATTAATTTCATCCTAAGAGCACTCTCAGAAACATTCTATATTTAAAGCTGCATTTCAAGTACACAGTAATGAGATATATTCAGATATACCCTTTCCTTTGATTCAAATATCGGCCCCTATTATTTTTAGGTGTGTGTTACTCAAAATAGATGCTTTTTAAACTTATGTCCCTTTGTGATGCTATGAGAGTATTTGACTACCACATCTTTTTGATAATCAGAAGTTAATGACTTGTCCAAAGTTATCTATGCTGAAAGGCAATAGAATGACATACAAAGCATCTTGCCATCTTTCTAAACAGCTTAGCATAGTTCAACAAAGTTACTGGCCACAGAGGGAAAAATCTACATCTATATTTAAAGAGAGAGATCTGTTTAAGTTAGGAATTGAACAATAAAAGAAAAATGAATTTCACCCTCCTAATCTGACTAGTGTTTACTAGCCCCATTTAACTAAAAGAATGAGGATCAATTACTCATTTTTTTCTCTACTTGATTAAAATGTGTAATGGGTAAGGGATTCTCCAGGTGAGGTATGAAATCGCTGAAAAGAGACACACAGTGATGATATATCCTCAGGTGAAGTCATTGCAGTCCAGATGCTGGTCTTCAGTGCAAAGGCTGAAAAATTTGATTTGGTTAGCACACAGCAAACAGATCTGACATGGGTTCAAACTAAACCAAATATGGAGAACTCCATAGACAGGACCAGAACATTCACTCCTGAAGGGAGAGCTCTATGGGAAGCCAACTTATAATCAAAAGTGTCTGGAAGGAAGTGAGATTGAGCAAGGGTAATTAGCTGTATGATTTGAGTGATTCGTGGCATGAAAATTTCTCAGAATGAGGCTCCATCACCTAGCATGGAACATGCGCTACAGGGAACAAACAACTATTTTCATTTTCATTCCCTTTCTCTAGTTGGAGTCTGGATGGGCACTGACATCACCTAGCTCCTTAGATCTTCCTTGTCTATGCCTTGGTTCACTGTCTCCTTTTCTTCACCCTGTATTTCTCCGGAAGGACTGCGTTATCATCAACTGCATTCTATCTTACTAAATTTATAGTCATAGTTCAGTGCTGCCTTCTGGAGAAAACATCCTGATTTTCTTGATAGAGTTTTGCCTACTTCTGATCTCCTTAGCCAACTGTTACTGGAAAGGGGTCCCGATCCAGATCCCAAGAGTGGGTTCCTGGATCTCACACAAGAAGGAATTGGGGGTGAGTCCATAGAGTAAAGTGAAAACAAGTTTATTAAGAAAGTAAAGGAATAAAAGAATGGCTACTCCATAGGCCGAGCAGCCCCAAGGGCTGTTGGTTGTCCATTTTTATGCTTATTTCTTGATTATATGCTAAACAAGGGGTGGATTATTCATGCCTCCCCTTTTTAGATCATACAGGGTAACTTTCTAATGTTGCCATGGCATCTGTAAACTGTCATGGCACTGGTGGGAGTGTAGCAATGAGGATGACCAGAGGTCACTCTTGTCACCATCTTGGTTTTGCAGCTTCTTCACTGCAGTTTTATCAACAAGGTCTTTATGACCTGTACCTTGTGCTGACCTCCTGTCTCATCCTGTGACTTAGAATACTTAACCCTCTGGGAATGCAGCCCAGTAGGTTTCAGCCTCATTTTACCCAGCTCCTATTTAAGATGGCATTGCTCTGGTTCAAACACCTCTGACATTTTCCCCTTCCCTTTTACAAGAGAATCCTTAATCCTAAGGGTTGCAGAGGAATGAAGATCCATCTTTTGTAACTTCTTCATGCTGAACAGGGGTGATGATATTCCTGCCTAACTATTAGGGTCTCTTGTATTCAGAGTAGAGAGGAGCTCAGTTGGAAAGTGTCATTACAGTGAGGGCCATTCATAACTCTTGAGTTCTGACAAAAGGTGATATCTGGAAGATTAGTAAGTGTTCAATTTAAGAAAATTTTCAGTAAACTTATTTTGCATTATTACACAAAGAGTACAACTGCAATATATTCCACAACAGTAAAGCAAAATAAGCAAAATTATCCCAAGTAAACTAAATTAGAAGGCTTTCCATGAACTGGGCAACTGTTGGAAACAAGCTGATATGGAGTCACTAGCCAATTCCAATATGTGCCCAGAATTATAATATTGAACCATATTTTTACATTACACAGCCCTTTTGTTTCTTTTGAGATGCAGTCAGACATCACGAATTGGTTAACAGGAATAAGCAGGGTCAGTCTAAATTGCAGGAAAAAAACGACAACAACAACAAAAAACAACTGATAAGACTAGAATTTAATAACAGAAGTACCATACTTCTAGAAACACAATTTTTCTCTGTCTAGTTTTCCATTTGTATTAAAGACAAATCATGGTAAGACCAATTTGATTGCAAAATAATCCTTAGTCTTATATTTAGGCTGATTATTTGTATAAAGTGCAGCAAGAATAATTATTTTTCACATAGGCTTTTTAAATTGGCTTTGATGGAATTCTGTCCCATAAGAAATCTCAAATAAGACCTTTTTTTTAAAGCCAAGCCCAGCCATGGGTTTATATCCTCAAATACCTATGAATTAATTCTTCTTCTTTTTTTTTTTTTTTTGAGATGGAGTTTCACTCTTGTTGCCCAAGCTGGAGTGCAATGGCAAAATCTCGGCTCACTGCAACCTCTGCCTCCCAGGTTCAAGTGATTCTCCTGCCTCAGCTTCCTGAGTAGCTGGAATTATAGGTGCCTGCCCCCATGCCTTGCTAATTTTTTGTATTTTTAGTAGAGATGGGGGTTTCACTATGTTCGCCAGGCTGGTTTCAAACTCCTGACCTTGTGATCTGCCCACCTCAGCCTCCCAAAGTGTTGGGATTACAGGCATGAGCCACTGCGCCCAGCCAATTCTTCTCCTCTTGAGGTCCCAAGATAACCTTCAGCTCCTGGACCTATTAGAAAGTGATATTCTTTACTTACCACAAGTCAGAAACCCTGTACAGGGAATGTGTAGACAAGATATAAGGTCAGTTTTCCCAAGGGGCTTTTATTGGCTCTACAAATCAAGTTTGATTCCTTAAAGGAAAATGCATCATTCCAGTCAAAGCCTTGGTAAAATAATCAGTTTCTCCAATTGTGTCCTGTTGCAAAAGAAAACAGATTCTTATTGTGCTTATGCAAATAACTATATTGCCATAAGTTAAGAATACTCACAAATAGGTTCCAATTCTGGAGAAGTCAGGTAGAGAGAAACAAATATGCCTCAAATTTTGTTCACAAGAGTACACTTTACTCAACTGTTAAAAGCTATAAATAGCTCAAAAGAAGAGTTTTCTTGTCTCTGAAAAACAAAACAAAGGATCAGCAACGTTTTAAGCAAAAAGTCAAAAAGATCACTTTGGTCTTCTATTAGCTCAATCCATGCAGTTAACTCCTGTCCTGCTTGATATTTATTAACATTTCAGCTTTTCATGAGAGTCCTGAAAGTTTTTTTCTTTATTCTAATGTCATAATCCCCAATGTTATCAGAAACCTGCATTCAAGAACACCTGTTAAAGTCCTTTAGCTGACTATAAACCACCTTTTAAATAGGATTAAAATAAGACAACAACTGTTGGTGGATGACAAAATGTCTTAGGGCAGTCACAGTCAAAAGATATGATTGACAAAGCAATTTGATTACCTCGGTGGCAATGTTGACAATGTTTCCTGTATGATTTTTATACCAAATAAGCCAAACGTCATTTTTATATTAGTGTACTACTAATGTTAAACCCTATCCTTAATAAAACTTTATAGATACATCTAACCAATTTTAATATTTGACCATAAGGTAAGATTCTTATACCTTTTATAACTCTTTACAAATTTATGTTAAAAAGTAGATTAGTGCTCTAAGAAAAACCTGTTGTGCTTATATTCCAATGTTCAATTCATGGAAGAACTGAATAATACCCCTTTAACTTTAGCCAATATGTTCACACACAGAATTTCTTTTAAAAGATTAGTTTGTCACAAGACTTTCCCAACTCACTCAAACCTTCAAGCATATCCTATCTAACTTCAAACAATCCTTTAAACTTTTAGGCAAAAAAAAGTCCACATTCCTATGACTTCTTATAATATTTTACCAAAAACGCATTTCAGTTTCTTTACACACCTTGCATGTAAAACTGTTTCTTCAGTTGTCTCAATAACATATTACAATGTTAGCTTTTAGCAATTTTTACTTTTGGTGAAAAACCTGGTTAGTAAGCGATTTTAATTATGTACCAGGTGTGGCACCTAAGACAACAGATAAGATTTGACTTTTTCCAGCATAGCTAGGGGGCATGGCTAACATCACATGTCCCCAGGTCTTATCTAGAATCTAATGCTCTAAAGTAGGTAAATTGAACAATTTTCAAAAGTCAAACAAGCAGTTTATGACCTTAAAGCATTTAGAAAGCTTAATATCTGACCTGTAAAATTTAGACCAAATGTCTTTATTTTATCAATAATCTTTAAAACTGTTTTTACTTTCCAAAGATTACTTAAGTCGTGTACTAAAAGGCATTACACTTTTTACTTTTCTGACAAAATATTTGATTTAAGCTCTTATTTTTAAACTAATTAAAGTTTTTAAAAATATCTCACACACACACACAACACATATAAATACACATACAGAAGAAGATTCAGTAGTTGTAAGACTTTTCATTTGCCAGTTTCTAAGTTTGTCTTTAAGGCATGCAGTTTCTAGGGCTTAACTTGCAGGCACAGCTGGAAGGCAAAACAGATATACAAAATTAAGGATCCCATTTTTATGCCAGATCCTGGATCCCAAAAAGAGGGAATCAGCCCATCTCCATAGGAGTCTTATCTCTCAGCGGTGGGTGGGGACTTTTTTTTAACCTTCTAGGTTGCCAACAGCATACTTCTCTGATCTAAACATGCAAAAAGCCACATATTCCCCCAATAACTGCCATTAGCCTTCCCCAAAAGTATATTTCCTACCTAGTTATTACACAACAAAGTTCTCTCATAATACTAAGCAATTTCTGACCCCCCAAAAGTGAAAAACGTTGGATAATGCAATGCAAAACAGAATAGAACCTTAGATTTTTAAAGGAATCTATCCATTTCCAATTCCTGGAGTTTCATGAGGAAAACAAGTTTTTCCCAGAACCCAGTCTGTGGTGCCTCCTCTGTTTTTCCCAAGGAGTCTCATGCTGTTAGAGCTTGAATATCCGCTTTAAATAAGCTAAATTTTAACCATAGCGCTCTTTTTAAAAAGTCCTTTTAAATCTCTTATTACCGAACCAGGCCAAATGGCCAATATTCCTGTCTTCTGAACTTTACCAAAGGTAATCTCCCAGGTGCTCAAAGAAAGGAAAAATTCCAGAAGGGAAGCCGGAAGTTGTTCATCATGGGTGGGGAAGAGAATCTACAAATGGCAAAAGTCACACAGATATCAAACTAGAAAAGACTCATTCCCTAATCCTGGAATTGAAGCTGGGCCACCGTTGTAAAATGGTGAAGCCTTTGATGCTGAGCTACAGCATTGGGCAGTTTCCATTGCCCTTCCCAGAAGGAGCTTAGAGCAGCCAATTTTGAACTTGCAAAGGCTTTTAACTTCTCAAGGTAATTTTTAGGGCTAACCATGAATTCCAAAGTTCCTGCTCTCCGGAAGGTGGAGACCAAGAGAAAGTACTGCCACATAGTTATAAGGTCAAGCTCTCAAGGAAATAAAATAAGATGAGAGGGAAACTTTATCCAGTTTTTTGTTTTTGTTTTTTTTAGGGACCTGCAGCAAAGTTTGTAACTGACCAGTTTGCTGGGCTGGCTTGAACAGCGGGCTTACAGGAGTCCTAAGCCTGTGTTCTATCTTAAGGTACCCTTCTCCATTATAGAACAACACAGAAAGACAAATTTATAACACAAAGTACAGATTTTACTACAGCTTAAGACTAGCCTCACAATTCCTTTTTCTGATTAATCAAAACTTGATAGAGTTTTGGCTACTTCTGATCTCCTTAGCCACCCATTTACACACCAGTTACGATAATATTAGTCTGTTGGTCCAGGTACAGATGAATAAAAATTCATTTAGGACTAATTTTCTTAATTAAACTCTCACAGGGCAATTTTATTTCTCTTATATTCTCACTTGATCTCTCGTCTTCTCTGTCACCTTCATGTGCTACCCATGGTGTTACTTCCCTCCCTTCATCCTCCTCACAGGGCAGACTCTTGGATTTTTAGAGAGAAGATTTGTATTTATAGCCCAAGGCAGGGATAGCTATAAGCTTCAGGTCAAGCATTTTTATAGCTACCAACCCCTTGAATAATTTCTGAATATGATTCTATAAAACATTCACAAAGTAAAGTCTAAGTCTGACATTTCAAACACAAAATATGTCTTCAATGAACCCTGGGTGTAATGATAACATAGTCATTCACTGAGTTTTCAATTTTTTTTCCATTTCATCACAATACCAGATGAGATACACAAGGGGTTGAAAAAAACAACTGTGTTCTTTCTCTGCGGAGACTGCAGTTGACAGTGATGCAAAAAACAATTAACCTTTCTGAAAAGCCCTGTTTATCCTAACCTTATTGTTTCCTGTTCTTTTCAAACTTGGAGCACTCTGGGCCTTGTTGCCTCTAGAGCTTTCAAGATGGAGGGAAGACCTGGAGTAAATCCAGAGAATATGCACTAACCTGAACAGCTTCCTAAGAGGGGGCTGGCTCTTTGTCTGTAGGAAGCAGTTCATTTCTGAGTCATTTCAGCAAAGTTCTGGTTTGGTGTACACTGTATAGAACAAACACATAGGGGTTTGTGGAAGTCGAGGAAGCTCTGGACAAGATCCTCTCCTTTCAGATCTCCTGAGATTTTGGGGTCAGCCTGACCTCATGGTTACTGGGAGGCCCCAAAGCAGCCTTTAAGTATGTATGTAGTTATTCCTGGGAGCCTTCCTAGAGGCAAGCATACCAAGTGTAACTTGCAGGTAAATTGTAGTTCATAGATCTTGGGGAAAGCTAAGGGACAGTATCATGGGATGATGCCCAATCACAAAAATCAGGTAGATTACCCAAGAAGTCATCATTCTTAAGCAGCTTTAGAGAGAGAATCCAGGTAACAAACCAATGAAAGAATGTGCTCAAGAGTTAGGATGAGAGTCAGGGCCTGGTGAGCTTCTTATGTTGACAAAGGGGTAGTTTTAAAACATCCATTTTACAATATACAATACATACCTAAAATAATTCACAAACAACCATGTACATCATGAGATATAAACACTCATTTTGAGAGCAAAACATTACCCAATGCATTGAAGCCGCTGTGTTCTCTTCTGTAATTGAATACCTGTGTCCACCAGAGGTAATCATGATCTTGAATTTCCTAATTTGCCTATATTTATACTATGAATGTAGGCATTTCTAAATTATATATATATTTGCAAGTTATATACTTCACATATATATGTATATATGTATATGCTATCATTTTTCATGAATTCTTCCGTAACGTAATTTTTTTTTTAAGAGACAGGGTCTCACTCTTTTGCCCAGGCTATAGGGCAGTGGTGAAATCTCAAAGCTCACTACAGTCCTAGGCTCAAGTGATTACCTCCTGCCTTAGCCTTCCAAGTACCTGGGACTACAGGTATCTGCCACCATGCCCAGCTAATTTTTAAATTTTTTGTAGAGACATGGGTCTCACTATGTTGCCCAGGCTAGTCTGAAACTCCTGGCCTCAAGAGATCCTCCCACCCTGGCCTCCCAAAATGTTGGGATTACAGATGTGAGCCACCACACCCAGCCTGTAACTTAATTTTTTTTATTCAGCAGTGTTTGTGAGATCTATTTAGGTTGATGCATGTAGCAGAGGTTCGTATTTGTCTCAACAGCAGGGCTTTTTATGCTGTGGGCCTAGTTTTGGAAAGGAAGGAAGAAAGAAGGAGGGAGCCACTTAAAGGCCCTGATCTGTTATGGGCAGTCCAGATTGTGCACTTAGTGTCCCAAAGTGGTGACCCAATTCACCCATCAGTCAGCTGCAAGAGTGGCGACGTGATGCAGCTGGCGGAGGAAGCTAATTATAATGGAGAAAACTGAATTTGCATAGAGAACCAGGAATCAACTAAATCCAAATAACATTTCCTGGTTAAAAAAACACTAAATAAAGATTTAATAAATGCATGTTTACTGTTTTAAAAAATAGTTTTTTGAGTTAGATACAACAAAATTTCAAAAATTAGGCAGTTTTACAAGTGCTATGGGAAAAATAGCCTAATTAAATTTTTCTCTCCTCTTTTTTTTCTCCACCGTCTTAGTGTTTTCTGCATTCTCTCCCAGCGGATCTGATTCCTGTTCTGAAGAATTGAAGTTGAGCATCGTTAGTTAAATTCAGCTGCTGCCTGACTGTATACCACAGCAAAGGCTTTGGAAACATTTTTCAGTTAAAACAATAATGACTTTCTTGGAGTGTAATCCCAGTGGAGGCTGTTCTACGTATAGCCTGAAAGAATACTTAACTACCATACGCAATTCTGCAGAGACCTTGTAAAAATCACACTTTACACCAAACAACTGAGTGATTCTGAATTGGTTGGGGGAATCTTAGTTGTAGATATCAATTCACCTTCTTGAAGATTCAACCACTGCTACTCAGAGCTGCTGCTGAAATACCATGTCTAAGAACTCAGAGTTCATCAATCTGTCATTTTTATTAGATCATGAGAAGGAAATGATCCTGGGCGTCCTAAAGAGAGATGAATATTTGAAAAAAGTGGAGGACAAGAGAATAAGGTAGTATTCTTTTTATTTTTTCAGTCCTCCTTGACTGCTTTCTGTTTGTTTGAAGCAATTTAGATCAGAAATGGGCCAAGTGCAACCACAATGGGGACAGATGTCAGTTAGGAACTTCATGAGTTCTCATCAGTAGCCCAAATATCGGAAAACTTTGGCATTTCACCATTTAGCCAGACATGAAAATGGAATTTAGCTAATAAAGTGGTATTGATGAGAACACTTAATTTGCTAATAAAGTCATAATTTTTAGTTAAGAGGAAGGACTACCTAAGTTTGAGTACCAGCTCTGGCAAGTATTAGTCGTGTGACTTTGAGCAAGCTACTCAACTTCCCTATGCCTTGGTTTCCTCATCGGTAAAACAAAGATAATAACAGTATCCACCTTATAGGGTTGTTGTAAAGATTAAGGAAGTTTATACATATGTAGTGCCTGTCACCTAAGTGTTCAATAAATGTTAGCTATTATTTATTTGTAATGCCATTGTCAGATCAGTCTTACTGGGGATTTGCCTCCAGCACAGCTGCGAGAAGAAAGGGACCTGGAGAGTAAAAATTTCCCATCATACCCCAGAAACCACTTGAATTTTTAAAAATAAGTTTCTTGTGAAGAAAGTTGAACGATGTGGGCACAGTTGAATTTCATATCCACTGTAGGCAGAGCTCATATTTAGCTGGTTTCCCCGGCATGACTTCACCTAATATTTCAGCCAGCATCAATTCTGATTGGTTGCGTCGCCTGCTCTAATTGGTCACATCATTGTTCTGATCATTTGCAAAATCCACTGTGATTGGCTGCTGCCTGTACCGTCTTTGTTTTAAAATATATTTGGTCATTACACCTTACCCCAGAAAAAAAGGAGCAGAAATAGTGTTCCTTCCTCAGTCACTGCCAACTATGCAATGTGTAGGTTTTGTGTCTTGTATGGCTCCCCAAGCTACAATCAGAAGCTTATGTTTATTTTACCTGAGGAGAAAACTTATCATGTGATTATATTCACATGTTGAAAAAATCTTTAATGTGCCCAAAGCCACTAGGATCTTTAGAAATGGAAATAATTTAAGTATTCTTGATTGATGTTTATTTCACAGTTAAGAGCCCAGAAGCTTCATTTCCACTTTTCCAAGATATTCAACTAATCTTGAAGAAACAAAAGTTTCGATGAAAATTATTGCACTTTTTCTATGCATAGAATTCAGGTGGCAACAAAATGTAGTTAATAATTTCAAAGAAATCATGAATAATATTTTTGACATTAGTAGTCAAGTCATGAAAAGTAAACTAATTTGTGTAATGCCCTGCCAAAAAAAATTATGTTGTTTATAGGGGGTGACATATTAACTAGGAATTGATGACATTCCAAGGGGAATTTAAAATCATTTCTGTCCTGGCTAACACGGTGAAACCCCATCTCTACTAAAAATACAAAAAATTAGCCGGGCGTGGTGGCGGGTGCCTGTAGTCCCAGCTACTCAGGAGGCTGAGGCGGGAGAATGGCATGAACCCGGGAGGCGGAGCTTGCAGTGAGCCGAGATTGCGCCACTGCACTCCAGCCTGGGCGGCAGAGCCAGACTCCGTCTCAAAAAAAAAAAAAAAATCATTTCTGGCCGGGCGTGGTGGCTCACGCCTGTAATCCCAGCACTTTGGGAGGCAGAGGTGGGCGGATCAGGAGGTGGGGAGATTGAGACCATCCTAGCCAACATGATGAAACCCCGTCTCTACTAAAAATACAAAAATTAGCAGGGCGTGGTGGTGCACGCCTGTAGTCCCAGCTACTCGGGAGGCTGAGGCAGGAGAATCACTTGAACCCCAGAGGTGGAGGTTGCAGTAAGCCAAGATCACGCCACTGCACTCAAGCCTGGTGACAGAGTGAGACTCTGTCTCAAAAAAAATTATTTCTATAGGAATAAACAATTTAATAACCAGATGCCCAGAGACAATGAAGTACAATGAATAGGACTTTGTTCTGAATATTTGTTTCTGTCATTATCAATAACTTGTATTAATAATTGTTGGCTGGGCGCAGTGGCTCACGTCTGTAATCCCAGCACTTTGGGAGGCTGAGGAGGGTGGACCACCTGAGGTCAGGAGTTTGAGACCAGCCTGGCCAACATGGCGAAACCCCGTCTCTACTAAAAATACAAAAATTAGCGGGTCACAGTGGTGTGCGCCTGTAATCCCAGCTACTCGGGAGGCTGAGGCAGGAGAATCGCTTGAACCCAGGAGGCGGAGCTTGCAGTGAGCCAAGATCGTGCCATTGCACTCCAGCCTGGGTGACAGAGCCAGACTCCATCTCAAAAAATAATAATAATAACAATTATTATTATTATACTCTTTCTTCCTTTTTCTCATTCCATTTTTCTTCCCTAGTCTTCTTTCCTTATTCCCTATAAGTAAATTCGGTTAAATTGGGTGTAATATACAACAGAGTATCAAGAATAAAGTCATTGGTTTCCTGGCTCTTCAAACTTTTTTGAGAATAGCATAAGAAAGGCTGTTTATAAATCCAAGAGATACTTTTACAGAAAAGAGATTTTCTAAAGCTACGTCTTGTCTCCTTGTTCCATCTGCATTAACTGCATTAGATGTGTTGTCTCATTTTGTTCTGAGTTCTTGTAATATGACTCAGGCTTCACCACTCTTAACAGCTTGGTGTATTCAGAAGTCATTCCAAAGTGGGTGGCAT
This sequence comes from Homo sapiens, assembly GCF_000001405.40. Taxonomy (NCBI): domain Eukaryota; kingdom Metazoa; phylum Chordata; class Mammalia; order Primates; family Hominidae; genus Homo; species Homo sapiens. The sequence continues at coordinate 38,036,696 of NC_000023.11, forward strand.
GATGTTGAGGGTGTATGCTGTTGAATCACACAGCCAGAGTTCAAATCTTACTTTCGGCATGAAATATCTGTATCATTTTAGACAAGATGTTTCCATGGATAAATCTAGTTTCCCCATTTGACAACAGAAATAATATCAGTGACATCATAAGATTGTTCTAAGGATTAAATAAGCTAATATTACAAACAGCTTAGAGCAATGCCAGCATACAGTAAGCACTCAAAAATTGTTGGTTATAATCATTAGCCCTATAGTTGGTTTGTGGTGCCCTTGATTTGCTAGTTGCAGTAGACACTATCAGTGCTCTACTCAGATCCCCTGGAGTCCCTCTCACCTCCTAGTTTTCATGCACTTTATTCTAAGGACTTGAAGTACAAAATTACCTTCGGGTGACTGGAGTTTCCCATAGGATTAAAGAGACACAAGTGCCAGGTAAACTTGAGTGTTAACTGGGTAGCCCAAAGCCAATGGTTGACGGGTACAGAAATCCATTGCCTCAAGGCAGAACAGACTCTGCAATGCAACTTAAGCTCCAGAGCTTCCCGTGGGATGATGCTGAGGCTGGACTTCACCTAAAAATCACACCCTTGCTTAGCCCCTCTCCCTGCCTTCTCCTGCCTCCCTTACTCCCTTATAGATTTCTCTTGAGAGCACTACATAAGTCGCTTGCACACAAATCTACATAGCAGAATTCGCTTCTAGAAAACCCAGTCTGAGACACTATGAAGTTTGTATTACCAAAGCTATTACTATTTAGTAAAGTTCGTTTCAGGGGAAATATAATAAGTCTGCAAGGTGAGCATTAAAATAAAGAATTTTGGTTCATTTGATTTACAAGCTATGATCTTCCCAACAATTTTTATCACAGTCATTGTGGTTTACATACTGGTAAAGAAAAAAGTCCAAGCTAAAGAAAGAAGCCCAAGATTAAGCATCTTGGTCAGATAATATAACTTTCTGTTGGCTTTTCTCCCTTTATCTCCTCTGAATAGCCATTTTATTATGAATTTAAGTACAACCTAAATCAGTTCAGGGTACCTTAACTTTAGCGCAGTGGGTCTGCATGGCAATTAAATTCTGCAAACATTTTTCTGATAGATAGATAGATAGATAGATAGATAGATAGATAGATAGATAGATAAAAATATTTATTATAAAGAATTGGCTCATATGATTATGGAGGCTGAGAAGTTCAGACCTAGGAGAGATGATGGTATAATTTGAATCTGAGTCCAAAGGCTGAGAACCGGGAGAGCTGATGCAATAAGTTCCAATCCATGTCTGGCAGTCAGTAGCAAGGGAAAACTGATGTCCCAGCCTGAAGACAGGGAGAGAAAATTCATTCTTACTCAGCTTTTTACTCTATTCAGACCTTCAGCGGGTTAGACGAGGTACATCCATATTGGGGAGGGCAACCTACTTTACTCAGTCTACTAATTCAAATATTAATCTCATACAGAAACACCCTCACAGAAACATCCAGAAATAATGTTTAACAAAATATCTGGGCTCCCAGTGGTCCAGTTAAGTTGATACAAATAATTAACTGTCTCAGGAATTTATATAAAGCTGGCTATAGCCCCCGTTCCCACACTTTTGTGAATTGTATAGCTCATCCTGACTCTGTACCCCCGCTTCTGTTGAACTCTCCTCTCTCCTTGCATCTCACCACTTATGGCTATTCCTTACTCTTTTCTTTGCCAGGCCAGAGAACTTAGTCCTTTTTCCTTGATATCCTCCAAAACCATCAATACAAGAAATTTAGATGGGTAACAGATTTTATTACAACAGTAAACTTTGGTGCTAGCTATTACAATAGTTTTCATCATGCTATAGAGGTACAAATGGATATTTTGGGGGGAGTCTAAAGGAAGAAGTAATTAATTACAAGTAAGATAGAAACTGAAGCAATGGTTTCACAGAAAAGGTGAACGTTTGTGCTTGCCTTTGAAATGTGAAAAGGACTTTTCACATTGGCAAATATAGGTCAACTATGTTTTGGCTGTTTACCATGAGCCACAAAGCCACCTTCAGACTGTACTAATCAGTTTCAGAAGGAAATGGAAACCAAAATTTTTTTTAGACTGAAAAAGATTACAAAGAATAAACTTATCTGAAAAGTTAGTAAAGTGGAGTTTGGGAGGCAGTGGATTTATTGTTCGTTTGTGTGTTTATTTGTTTGAATAGCTTGTCCTTTGAGATAAAAATGTAGAAGACGGAGAAAGCGTAAAAATTGTACTGAATCAATATTTTAGGCCTGACACCCAAATGTGCTTCACAGTCCACATACCCACTAAAGTGTGGCATTGATTAAGGTGGGACTGGTCTTTGGGGACTCGTAAAGGTGCTCCATACCCAGAAGGCACATGGCAAGCCTGATAATTACCTCCAGGCATAAATCATCAGCTGGGGAATAGGCATCTGTCTACTACCATTGCATTTTAAGTTCATTCAAGAGGCTGAAATATATTTGTATACATTCTTCTCCTTCAGACTAAGCAGGAAGGAGTGGTAGGAGATAGCGAGACACAGGTTTTCACTGTTAGAGGGTAAGAATATTTTTAAGGTTCTCTATGGAGAGCAAGTCACTCAAATTTATTGACGGCTTTACTGCAATGAAGAAAAAGCAGAAATGTTGCAAATAAAATTGAGCTATCAACAATTATTGCAAATGGATAAAAATACTGACAGTTTCGAAGCACAAAATGGAAATCATTGTTGATTATTTTGATTTTGTACCTTAGATTGCTTTTCATTTACTTCAAAAGAACTCAGACTAACATGTACGTGGGTCATAATATCTACTCCAAAAAAATCTCATTAACAAATTTTTACTCTACTTGATCTCTCACACCTAAAAACAAATACTGTTAAATATCTACTTTGTGGTATTGACTTGTACTTAAAAATCCTCAACTTATTAGTGAATATTCATTTCAGCAGTATATTGTGAGCTTTATTCTCACTAAGGGTACATCATTTCCATTTGACCACCATACATGAAAACATATCTGCACATGTTTTCTTTGGCACCTAATCTTGGGCTTGCCTCAGTGGTAAACTCTATTGGTTGCCTTACAACATAACATTTCTCCTTTCTTTCTATCCAAATCAAAGTTTTATTCAGCTCTAGCAGTGAATTTTTTAAACAAATTTTTTCTCAAAAAAAATTTTTTTTATTTTTTAAAAAATGTTTTAGGCCAGGCGTGGTGGCTCACGCCTGTAATCCCAGCACTTTGGGAGACCAAGGCGGGCAGATCATGAGGTCAGGAGATCGAGACCATCCTGGCTAACACGGTAAAACCCCATCCCTACTAAAAATACAAAAAATTACCCGGGCGTGGTGGCATGCGCCTGTAGTCCCAGCTACTGGGAGGCTGAGGCAGGAGAATCGCTTGAACCTGGGAGGTGGAGGTTGCAGTGAGCCGAGGTCGCACCACTGCACTCCAACCTGGGCGACAGAGCGAGACTCCATCTCAAAAAAAAAAAAAAGTTTTAAATATTTGTGGGTACATAGTAGGTGTATATATTTATGGGATACATGAGATGTTTTGATACAGGCATGCCATGTGAAACAAACACATCATGGAGAATGGGGTATCCATCTCCTCAAGTGTTTATCCCTTGAGTTACAAATAATCCAAATAAATTCTTTACTTTAAAATATATTATTAAGTTATTATTGACTATAGTCACCACACTGTGCTATCAAATAGTAGGTCTTATTCATACTTTCTATTTTTTTAACTCATTAACCATCCCCCCCCCGACCCGAGCCCCACACTACCCTTTCCAGCCTCTGGCAACCATCCTTCTACTATCTATGTCCAGGAGTTCAATTGATTTGATTTTTAAATCCCACAAATAAGTGAGAACATGCGAAGTTTGTCTTTCTGTACCAGGCTTATTTCACTTAACATAGTGATCTCCAGACCATCCATGTTGTTGCAAATGACTGGATTACACTCTTTTTTATGGCTGAATAGTACACCATTGTGTATATGTACCACGTTTTGTTTATCCATTCATCTGTTGATGGCTGCTTCCAAATCTTGGCTATTGTGAACAGTGCTGCAACAAGCATAGGAGTGCAGATATCTCTTCAATATACTGGCTTCCTTTTTTTGGGTATATACCTAGGAGTGGGATTGCTGGATCATATGGTAGATCAATTTGTAGTTTCTTGAGGAACTGCCAAACTGTTCTCTATAGTGGTTGTACTAATTTACATTTTCACCAACAGTGTATGAAAGTTCCTTTTCCTCTGCATCCTCGCCAGCAAATGTATTTTGGTTTCTTGTGTAAAGCTGGCTCAGTTGAAATGCGCCACTAAATAAGCCAGAACTTAATATCTCCAAGAGACCACAGACCCCAGCCTAGTAACTCCCATTCACCTTATGGTTTTCTCTTAATGTGACTGATTTTGTCATTTCAGTGCTAGGAGAAGAGAAGGAAGGAGAAACAGGAGGGGAGCGTGCATTCAAATTGCTTATTTGGAATCCTGCAGATAAGTTCAATATTTGGTTCAAATGGATTTGAAGTGATTTCAAGAATTATACATTCAGCCTGGAAGTCAGGGAGTCTAAGCGCCAAGCAATAATACCCTTTTAATACACTATAAATGTTTGATCATTTGTTTGTTTTTCCAAATCTTATCACTCTACCACTAAGAGCAAAATTAGTTTGACCTTCTCAAAAGCCTAAAGACTCATTGTCCCCATAAAACACCAGGAGAACTGTTGGACTGGACTTCTAGTTTGGTAAACACTTTGGTTTAATCCTAATAGAATTGCCACAAAGCTTCTTAACGGATTAACAGAAACTCCCAGCATGAACATACTGGCTCCCTAATGGAACTCAAATGCTTAATGAGTCACAGAAAAATGAACAAAAATATTCAGATCTGCCTTAAACCTTGGACGTTTTCCTAGCAAAGACCTTACCAATTTCAATATATAATTACATTTAGGGAAACTAACTTTAATTTTGATTCTAGAGCATTTTTCTCCGAGGAAGCGTTACTTGTAAGGTGCACCATAGGCACAGGGCCACAAATACCTGATATTCAGAGACATGTTAAACATTGGATTGTCCAAATAAATAAACTTGCCAGATCATTTTTAATATTTTTTTACATTTTATTTTATTGACACATAGTAGATGTACATATTTTCAGGGTACATGTTATAATTTCATACATTTATATAATTTGTAAAGATCAAATCAGTGTAGTTGTGATATCCATCACCTTAAGTATTTATCTTTTCCTTATGCTAGAAACATTCTAATTATTCTCTTCTAGCTATTTCAGACCATTTTCTTGGGGGTTTGAAATAATAGATCACCATAGTCATAAGTAAGATTGTTACCTGAGACTATATCTATTATCTGTATCTACATATGTCTCTATATAGAGATCTATATTATTTCAAATTATTAACGTGTTTATATTATATTCATATAAGATATATATTATTTCAAATACCTAGACTATATATAGAAATATATATAGAGATAGGTTTTCTCTCTACATATATAAGTGGAGAGAGTCTATATAAAGAGAGACTCAGTATAGGCTGGGGATTGGTTTCAGGGCCCGGGTGTATACCAAAAGCCACACATACTCAAGGCTAAAGTTGGCCTTGTGGAACTTGTGTATAGGGAGAGTTGGCCCACTGTAAATGTGGGTTTCATATTCCACAAATACTGTGTTTTCAATCTTCATTTGGTTGCAAATGCAGAACTCAAGGTTATGGAGATCCAACTTTGTTTATTTTTTAAAAATCCACATATAGATGAACCTGGGCAGTTCAAACCCATGTTGTTCAAGGATCCTCTGTATATTTTTTACTCTTCCCCATATTCCCATTTTACTACCCTTTCCCTTCCTTGTGTATTGTCTCTAGCCAGAATTGGTATAGAGGTCATGTCTCTAGGCAGCAGGGGTTAGTTGGCACTCACATCCCAAGAAACTACCATTCCCTTTCAATGCAAATTGCAGAAACAGAACAATAAAGCCCATGTAATCCAGAACCTGGCTGAATGTTGGGGCTGGAAGGGGGAGTAAAGAAGACCCATCCCCTCAAAGGTAAGTCAGCTCATAAGGGAATATCTAATATCAACTATATCCTTGGAGAAATAGGTATTTTATTCCTAAGAAAATGATATAAGTGAAAACTTCACTAATAAAAATGTCACCACTAATATTTTAGATTTCAGGCAAGTGACCATTTTATATCAACAGTAATCTTATAAGAATGTTCCTATGTTAATAGAAGTTATGGTTTAACCAATTTAAATTTATAATAAGATTAGGCTAACATGCATTTCATAATTTTTATAATTGTTCTTTTATTGCAGAGTAATTAAGCATAATGAAAATATTTAATGCAAAGAAATTAATAAAATTCTTACACAGCAAGCAATTTTTTAAAGTTTTTAATCTCAGTATTGTGCTAGGATCTATAAAGGGCATCAATGTCTGCAACTTTTAAAATACCATAAACCTCAATCCACTTAAACATTTAATATCTTCTGATACATATTTTCATTATAGAATCAATGGGCTTATTACAGAAAATTACATAACCATATAATATGAACATTAAAGTCTCACATAGAATTCCACTTTCCAGAGGTGAATAGTCTCCATTTGTGTTGAATTTCCTTCCTGTCACTTTTATGTGTATATATATACACATATATATATGCAATTTTCATATAGTTGGAAATTGCATGAAATTTACATATACATACTGTATAAAATATCATAAACCTCAATCTGCTTAAACATTTAATATTGTCTGGTACATATTTTCATTAATAGAATCAATGGGCTTATTATAGAAAATTAGATAACCATATAATATGAACATTAAAGTCTCACATAGAATTCCACTTCCCAGAGGTAAATAGTCTCCATTTGTGTTGAATTTCCCTCCTGTAACTTTTATGTATGTATGTATGTATATATATATATATATATATATATATATACATATATATATACATATTTTCATATAGCTGGAAATTGCATGAAATTTACATATACATACTATATATGTAAATTTTATTCTTTATTTTTGCTTTGCATTATTTCATGAACATTTTTCATGTCATTAAAAATTATTTGTAAACATTTTTATTGGCTGGATAAGATTTCATAACATAAGATTTTTCCATATAACATGAATGTGCAACGTGTTTCTTAACTATTTATTCTTATTTCCATGAACATTCTCATTCTTAAATCCTCTTATATTGTGATTCATATTTTGAATAATATTTCCTTAATTTTAAAAACCGGCAATCTGAGAAAATTGATTCAATTAAGACCATGCATCTTGTGAATCAGATTGTTTATTGTTTATCACAAATCTCACCTTCCTTTCGTAGAATCTGAAAGTTTGTAATTAACTGCCAGTGATGGTTTTCAGTGAAGCATTTAAGGAAAGAACAACACATAAAGGAAACATTTATATTCATATTCAACAAATTTCAAAGAAATGGTGACAACATTTCTTGTATCATGTACTGATACTGACAACTAGGGAAACTGCTCGAAATGTGTTTTGCAATAACCTTTATCTGTGAAAATGTGAATCCCCATAAGTATCACCTAAAAAGGTAAAATGGGAAAAAGTAAGTACTGATAACTGCCTTTGCTGAACATATAACCCCTTCCCCACCACATTTAAAATAATTTAGTTTGCACAAATTCAATTTAGAGTCATTCTAGAAATAAACTTCAGTTATACATTTATAAAAACTAAAATGGAAACCCTCTAGTATGTGTCCATATTCAGCAGCAGAATTGGTTTTAAAGAATTTTTCATGAGCAACATGTTCTCTCTAAAGTATCAGTTTTTTTGTATGAATGCCCAATTTTCTTCCATCAAGTCAATTCTATCATTGCATTGTGATACCAAATATTTTAAGAAGCCCAGCATTTTATCTTGGTTGTTTTTTAAAGAAATGCAGCTTTCCTACTTCTTGCTGTACTGATTCTATCTCCATCTCTGTTTTTTTCTGAGTAATTTATCATATTGATAACAAGACTTTCTGATGTTTTTAATACTCGAGCAAGGTATTCTTTGGGTTTCAGATTAGCAAAACACATTCTTGTTTCTTAATGGGCCAGGAAATTGAGACAATAGTTATTTTAAGATAGTTCCATGTGGGAGACTTGGTTTGCTAATTACGTATGAGATAAATTTCTGCTATGATAAGACTATAGTGAATAAACAGCAAGGTATCAAATTGCAGTGATTCCTAACTCCTTTAGAGTTGTAACGAGCTGTTTTTGTCATATTATTTATAAGATCCCTGTCTTAGGTTGGATTCCCCCAGAGGTAGACCTTGAACTCATGATTTGTGTGCAAGTGATTTATTAAAGAGAAACCATAAACTACTAGTAGGGAAAGCAACACAGGAAAGGAGAAGAATCTAAGCAAGGGTGAGAAGTCAGGCAAAATTTGGCAGAGGTCACCATCATCATGACTTTACAGAGACAGATAATGTTTGCTGTTTTGTCTCCATTGTCCTTTTTAAAAAGAATTCAGAATGAATGCTTGAGTCATTGTCCCTTTGCATATATGAGCACATTTAATGTTTCTGGAAAATCTGTAATAAGTCATTGATTCTCTTAGGTTATAAGGGATTGGTTAAGTTCTTCCTCGTATTTCTGTGGTTTTAATTATTTTCCCTAAAACTGTTACTTTTCAGCATTATTGCTCCGTTGTTTTCAGTATTTTTTGGATTTGGGTTTTTTGTTTTGTTTTGTTTTGTTTTTTGTCAATTGCCTGTCAGTTGACATGGTTTTGTGAGATTTTCCGGTATATTCCTATGAGCCAAGCTTTTTAATATCAGGAAGTTTCTTCTGCAGATATGAAGACTTCACAATGCCCTCTTTCCTTGAGACTATTTGTAAACATGAAATTGGCACAAGTCACAAGACTTCTTTATCTAAACAAGTGTTCTTTTACTCCTTCTTCTTGTTACTTTCTCTTAAGCAGCTTTTTATCCAGGCATAACTTTTTCCCAGTTCTCAGAGAGTTGTGATTCTTTTTAATAGCCTTTGATTTGAAAACTAATCAAAAGTTATACAAAATGTATTAAGATAGAGTCATGCTTGTTGAAGAATGACTCTCTTGGGGAATATTTGTCATGAGAGACTTTGTGATAAGATCCAGTTTGGGCAGATGCCATATGTTGAAAGAAGCTGGGCGGGCGGAAGAAACCCTCCATGTTTACTGAGGCTTAACTTTGAGTGTGCTCAGCATGGCTTTGCACAGCTAGGAAAGAAACAACAGTCATGAATAAATACGGAGTCCTTTCTGAGCAAAAATATTTTAATATATTGAGAGCCAGTGGGAGGATACTGGTGTGTGGGAAGAGTGCAGATTTTGGAATGTAAAATTCAGGGTCTGAATCCTGACCTCCTTATTTAATAGCCCTGTGACCCACAAGTTACCTCTCGGAGATTCCACTTTCCTGTCTATAAAATGGGAATCATAATGTATTTTTCATGGGTTGTTGTCAAAGCAATGGTATGACATGTGTATTAGTTCGTTTTCATGCTGCTGATAAAGACATACCCAAGACTGGGCAATTTACAAAAGAAAAAGGTTTAATGGACTCACAGTTCCACATGGCTGGGGAGGCCTCACAATCAAGGCAGAAGGTGAGAGGCACGTCTCACATGGTGGCAGACAGGAGAAGAGAACTTGTGCAGGGAAAATTCCCTTTATAAAAGCATCAGATCTCATGAGACTTATTCACTATCATGAGAATAGCATGGGAAAGACCCACCCAAATGATTCAATTATTTCCCACCAGGTCCCTCCCACAACACATGGGAATTATGGGAACTACAATTCAAGATGAAACTTGGGTGGGGACAGAGCCAAACCATATCATTCTGCCTCTTGCCCTTCCCAAATCTCATGTCCTCACATTTCAAAACCAATCATGCCTTCCCAACAGTCTCCCAAAGTCTTAACTCATTTCAGCATTAACTCAAAAGTCTGCAGTCCAAAGTCTCATCTGAGACAAGGCAAGTCCCTCCCATCTATGAGCCTGTAAAATCAAAAGCAAGTTAGTTACTTCCTAGATACAATGGGGTACAGGCATTAGGTAAATACAGCCATTCCAAATGGGAGAGATTGGCCAAAATGAAGGGGTTATAAGCCCCATGCAAGTCTGAAATCCAGGGGGGCAGTCAAATCTTAAAGCTCCAAAATGATCTCCTTTCACTCCATGTCTCACATCCAGGTCACGCACGCTGATGCAAGAGGTGGGTTCCCATGGTCTTGGGCAGCTCCACCCTTGTAGTTTTGCAGGGTACAGCCTCCCTCCTGGCTGCTTTCACGGGCTGATGTTGAGTGTCTGTGGCTTTCCTAGGCACACAGTGTAAGCTGTCAGTAGATCTACTGTTCTGCGGTCTGGAGGACAGTGGCCCTCTTCTCACAGCTTCACTAGGTGGTGCCCCAGTAGGGACTCTGTGTGGGGCTCCATCCCCACATTTCCCTTCCATACTGCCCTAGTTGAGGTTCTCCATGAGGGCCCTGCCCCTCCAGCAAACTTTTGCCTAGGCATCCAGGCATTTCAGTACATCCTCTGAAATCTATGCAAAGGTTCCCAAACCCCAATTCTTGACTTCTGTGCACTTGCAGGTTCAATACCACATAGAAGCTGCAAAGGCTTGGGGCTTGCACCCTCTGAAGCCGTGGTCTGAGCTCTACATTGCCCCCTTTCAGCCACAGCTGGAGCAGCTGAGATGCAGGGCACCAAGTCCCTAGGCTGCACACAGCATGGAGACCCTGGGCCCTGCCCATGAAACCTTTTTTTGTTCCAGGCCTGTGATAAGAGGGGTTGCCGCAAAGGTCTCTGACATGCCTTGGAGACATTTCCTGCATTGCCTTGGTGATTACATTTGGCTCCTCATTACTTATGCAAATTTATGCAGCCGGCATGAATTTCTCCTCAGAAAATGGGATTTTCTTTTCTATCGCATCGTCAGGCTTTTATGCTTTGTTTCCCTTTTAAAACTGAATGCTTTTAACAGCACCCAAGTCACCTCTTGAATGCTTTGCTGCTTAGAAATTTCTTCCCCCAGATACTGTAAATCATCTCTCTCAAGTTCAAAATTCCACACATCTCTAGGGCAGGGGAAAAATGCCACCAGTCTCTTTGCTAAAACATAACAAGAGGCCAGGCACGGTGGCTCATGCCTGTAATCCCAGCATTTTGGGAGGCTGAGGCTTGCAGATCACAAGGTCAGGAGATCGAGACCATCCTGGCTAACATGGTGAAACCCCCTCTCTACTAAAAATACAAAAAATTAGCCAGGCGTGGTGGTGGGCACCTGTAGTCCCAGCTACTTGGGAGGCTGAGGCAGGAGAATGGCATGAACCCGGGAGGTGGAGCTTGCAGTGAGCTGAGATCACGCCACTGCACTCCAGCCTGGGCGACAGAGTGCAACTCCATCTCAAAAACAAAAAAAAAATAACAAGAGTCACCTTTGCTCCAGTTCCCAACAAGTTCCTCATCTCCATCCGAGGCCACCTCAGCTTGGATTTCATTGTTCATATCATTATCATTTTGGTCAAGGCCATTCAACAGGTCTCTAGGGAGTTCCAAACTTTCCCACATTTTCCTGTCTTCTTCTGAGCCCTCCAAACTCTTCCGACCTCTGCCTGTTCCCCAGTTTCAAAGTTGCTTCCACATTTTTGGGTATCTTTTCAGCAGTGTCCTATTCTACTGGCACCACTTTACTTTATTAGTCTGTTTTCATGCTGCTGATAAAGACATACCCGAGACTGGGCAATTTACAAAAAAAAAAAAAAAAGAGGTTTAGTGGACTCACAGTTCCTCTTGGATGGGGAGGCCTCACAGTCATGGCGGAAGGTGAAAGGCACATGTCACATGGTAGCAGAGAACAGAAGAGAAATTGTGCAGGGAAATTCCCCTTTATAAAACCATCAGATCTCATAAGATCTCACTATCATGAGAATGGCACAGGAAAGACCCACCAAATGATTATCTCCCACCAGGTCTCTCCCACAACACCTGGGAATTATGGGAGCTACAATTCAAGATGAGATTTGGGTGGGGATGCAGCCAAACCATATCAACATGTAAAGTAAAGTGCCTGTTATTATGTGGCTAAGTGTTGTGAAATTTAGGTTTTAATGATAGGCACTGCATGTGGAAGCTACAGCACAAATGAAAGCATAATTTTTTTTATATTCAGAGTACAGAAAGAAGGTCTGGTCAGCCTTGAATTTTCCTCAGGCAAATATGAAATACCACAGTGTTGATGGCATTGTCTCTGAATCTTACAAAAGATGGGAGTGCAAGGAGCTGTGCAGGCATCAGAATCAGGCTGCTGTGACATTATTCTGCCCGCATATATTATTTTAGTGATTTTTGTGTCATTGTTGACAATAGACTTTGTCAGTCACTGTGGCCTTGCTCTCTTAATGGAATATGAAACACTAGTTCTAGAGAAGTACTTAGCTTGCAGGCATTACATCAGAGGCTGAAGCAAAACCTGACAGCAACATCTCTGCAAGTGGAAGAAAGAATAAAAACTAATATTTCCTGAGTTCTTATTGTATTTTTTTGGGAAATAGGTTTGGCTGCGGGTGACAGAGACACATTATAATCATGACTTAAAATGGGAACATATTCCTGTCTAACGTAAAAGTCTGGGTTGACTGGTGGCTTTTGTGGTATTGTTATGGGGGCTGCATTAAAGCAGGGGTCTGGACTCCCTATCTTTTGTTGCTCCACCATGTTGAGAGTTTAGCTCTTGATCCAGGATGGTTCATTCCTATGTTCTCATCCCAGCTTCAGGAAAAAGAGAAGAGGTCAAGGGAAGAGGATTCTCCCTCTTCCATTAAAGGCATGACCTAAAGGTATATCGTTTCTGATTACACTCCATTGGCCAGCATTTAGTATCATGACAAAACCTAACTGCAAGAAATACTGAGAAATCTAGTTTTTATTCTGAGTGGCCATGAGTATAGCTAGATGTTCCACTAATAAAGAAGAAAGGGAGAACAGATATTGGGAAACACATACCAGAATTGTCTATTCCATAATTATTATGTGTCAAGCTGTGCTAAACACTTACAAACATTGTCTTACTTAATGCTCATAACAACACTGTAATGCTGTTTTTACAGAAGTATTTTGAGACACAAAGAGGTTAAGTCTCCTTAAGTCTTGAGACAGAGAGACGTTAAATAATTGTCTTAAGGTCTCAGAGGAAATAAGTGGCATAGCCAGAACTTGAACCCAGGCACTCTGACTTTAGAACCCTGTGCTCTGGGCCACTGTGTAATCCTTGCTTGCTCATTATCTCCCTTAGGCCTTGATGTGCTCTACTAGATGAGATTGTTTAAAAGCATCAAGGAATTAAAGATACTTTATAAACTGTTTATTCATGGCTTCCTCTTCAAGGCAGCTAATTGCTTCCATTCTAAAATTCCTATCTTATTTGGTGTAAAATGGTGTTCAGTACAATTTGGTCCAGACAAGATAACACAAGAAAAATAATGCCACACAAATGTGACAAGAATTTTAATGAAAGCAATTCCTGATTTGAAAGAAATGTGTCTATGTGATGATAAAGCAAAAAGTCTTTTTAATACATGGAACATTTTTGATGATGGGATGGAAAAAAACATTCAATATATCACTAGAATACAGAAATGAAAAGATTGTATCATTCAACAACCATCAAGATAGTTAATCTTTTCAGTCTTTACAATTTCAACTACATATAGGTCAGCAATTTATATGTTAATATAAATGTATCTATAGAGCAACAAGGAAAATTAAAGAATGTGAAGCTGTTGTAGATTTGGTGGTCAGAGAAAACCTTCCCTGGGCAAGCAGCAGTAAAACTAAAATTAAAAAAAAAATAAGCGGGAGCCAGCCAGATTAAGAATTAAGTTGTATGTTTATCAGTCAATATAGGTTAAGTGATGCTGCAGTAACAGCTCCAAACTCTTAGTGGCTTAAAACAACAAAGATTTCTCACTCATGCCACATGTTCATAACAGGATGTCTGGGGACTCTACTTCATGGCATTTTCAGACCAGGATCCAGACTTGCAGAGCAGACACTATTTGGAACATTGTCATTCTCTATGGAAAGAAAAGGGTGTGTGGTGAACCCTGCCCTTGATTTTAAAGCTTTTAGCTGGGATTACTTACCACGTTTCATTGGCCAGTGTGAGTCACATGATGACATCTAATGCCAACAGGGCAGAAAGGTGCAATCCCAACTTGCTTTCAGAAGTAAGGAGAATGGGAAGTATTTAGTGAACAGATAAATGACTACTGTTTTGGGTGATGGAATGTGGAGGGAAGGCATTCCCAGCTGAAGAAATAGCATGTTCAAAGGCCCTGAAGTGGGAAAGAACTTGGTATATTTATGAAACTTTAAGAAGAATTATGTTGCTGAATCCTATCTCCTATCTGTAGACAGGAGATGACCAGAGGGAAGAGGGAGCAGATTAGGCAGATCTTTACAGGCTATGGGAAAGAGGTATAAATTTCATTAAAAATATAAAGGAAAACTACTGGTTGGTTTTAAGCAGAGGAACCACATGATGTAAGAAATATTTTAAAAGAGTATTGACTAATGATATTGATTATTCCATGGAGAGTAGATTGGAAGGGAATTGAAAGTAGGGACACCTAATAGGCACCTTTTCAAAATTCTAAGTGAGATTGCATGGTGGTTCCAGTTTAATGCAGTCTTATTTGAGGCAAATATTCCATCTATTTTAGACATTTTTTAAATTATTAATTATTATCCATTTCAATCTCCTTCCCATATGCCTCAAATTCATACAGCACTTCAAGCCACTGCAGTGAGCCACAGGGAAGGAATAAAGGTTTTCTTTTCCTCTTCTTTTACTTCTTTTTCTCTTTTCTCTTCCCCTACTAAGGATCTGTGCCTGCTTATGTTGAAGGAAAGGAAAGAGAAAAGTTATGCTTCATTGCTTGAAATATTTGGTGATGGGACAAAGAGGTCTCCTTTCTGTCGTCATTACCATTTCTCCATATGAAACTGATAACAGAAGGCTGTGATATCTTCTCACTCTGTTTAATCCACATGAATGTTCAAAGAGCTGATATTCTGCCTCCAGGATGTTTGTAGGGTAGGAGACGCACAATCCCAAGCAGGGTTCCTTCTGTTCTGGCTCCAAGGGGAAGTGAGGCTGAGAGGAGAAATGATGGATAATGAGAAAGTGATGTACTCATTAGAACTGAATAATGGTTTCAACAGTGTTTAAATTCATGATTTTGGATATAATATAATTTCTAGAGATAACAACTTCCAGGGTTTCTTCATGAGAGTGAATGGTGCACATGGACAGGAAGGTCAAAGAAGATGACCAGGTCAAAGAACTGAAAGCCCAGGGAGTTGGATGTGTTATGCCCAGGAATGATGTACTCTGTAAGAAATGAAGCCAAGTCAAGGGTATATCCATTTCCTGTGGCTGCTGTAACAAATTACCACAAACTTGGTGGGGACTTAAAAGTGCTTAGTATGGCTGCCTGTTGCAACACATGAGTCATGGTGTGTCATTTGTCTCCTTAACTAACATAAAGGGTAATGGTAATTCTTAGTAGATGTTTTGTTTAGACTCATTTTTTTCCTCAATACCAGAATGCCTAGCACAGTGTAGGCGTACTATAAGTGCTTGTTGGATGAATGAGTGAGACATGAAGTCAAAGATTTTAAAAACTTTGCTCTACAGTTTGAAAATTCTCTTTTTATGAATCTATCATCAGGCTGAGAAATAAATGACCTGGTTCCTGATTCCATCTGTACTGCTTATTATTTTTAACATGAGTCTTACAATACCTCACAAGCTAGTTTGAAAGATCAAAAGAAATAATAAATAGCTTTAAATATTCAACTGCTTTATTACCTAGCATGAAATTGGATCCTGAGCAGTATATACAATAAACTAAGGCCTTTGTTCCTGCCTTTGGGAAGATGCTAGTCTAGATGGGCATGACAAAGTTTAACACCACAAATGTAAAAAGATATGGTATAAAATGTGTGGGATGATTCTCAATTTTTTTTTCCTAGAACATAGACATTCTGTGTTGAAGAAGAGATTGGCTCAGTAGCACCAAGCAATGACATGTCTGTGAAGCATTTAAGTGAGAAGGAACCTGTCTTCTGGAGCAGTGTTTTACAAATTTGGCAATATATTGGAATAAACAGTGAAGCTTTTAAAAATCCCGTTACCTAGGCCACATCCAAAGCTAATTATGTTAGAATCTGTGGAAGTGAGATTTGCGAATCAGTATTTTTAAAATCTTTCCAAAGTGATTCCAATATATAGCCAAATTTGAGACTGAATCTCCAAAGCTGTGCTTCTCCAACTCAAATCACCTGAAAATTTTGTTAAAATGTAGGTTCTGATCCAACAGGGTCTAAGGCAGTGCCTGAGATTCTGCATTCCTAAAACGTTCCCAGGTGATGCTGATACTGCTGGAACAAGGACCACACTTGGAACAGCAATTTTCTAAAGGATAAATATATCACATGTCAGGTAGTAAAAGAAGGGACATGGAACCTATGTACCAAGCAGCATGCTGGGAACTTTACATTTATCATCTCATTTAATCTTTAAAACAATCATGAAGGAATATTATTACTCTCATTTTAGAAATGAAGAGACTGGGGTTGAGTGGGTAAATCATTGCCTGAGGCTGGACAGCTTATTCATGATGGAACCTGGATTTAAACATAGGCATGTCTAACAGCAAAGCCCATAGGCTAATAGAAATTGTTGGAAACTTTCAAATGCTAAGCAGAAGCTTTTCGATGTGAAATGGTAGGCAGTCTACAGCCATACCACTCTGAAAGCACCTGATCTCATCTGAAATGGTAGGCAATGTCTTTATTACTTTTCTTAAGTGCATGGAGATTGTGCCTACAATGATGCTGAGTTTGATTTCACACTCCTGCCTCAAGTAGTATATATAGGCAGGTAAAGAACCAGGTACTGTGTATGCCTGTAACCTGGGGCCATGCTCTCTAGTGTTATGGTATCAAAGATATCCTAGAGAAGTTACAGTAGAATGAGAATAAATACTAATAGCAAAATAATAGTGCTGGAAGAGAATGTCAAAATTCAAAAGTAAAACACAAACATTTTATTTTTCAGTTACTGATATCAAAGGATTGTTGCCTCTGGAGGGAGAAATTGTATTTCCTGAAAATATTTGGTTCTAACTCCTTGATTCAAATGTCCTTCCAAATGAAAATATCTCTTGATTAAAGAGATGGGAATTGAAACTAGCGACACCAAATAGGCACCTTTTCAAAATTCTAAGTGAGATTGCATGGTGGTCCCCAGTTTAAAGCAGCCTTATTTGAGGCAAATATTCTATCTATTTTAGACATTGTTTTAGACATTGTAGATATCTCTGCTCCTGTTTGTTTTTTTAAGTGATTTTTTTTCCCCTCTTCTTTCAGGAAGCTGAAAAATGAACTCTTAGAAGCAAAACGTAGAAGTGGGAAAACTCAACAAGAGGCCAGCAGAGTTTGTGTTCACTGTCACAGAAACCTGGGCCTAATCTTTGACCGGGGAGACCCTTGTCAGGCTTGCTCACTGAGGGTATGCAGGGAGTGTCGAGTTGCAGGCCCCAATGGCAGCTGGAAGTGCACTGTCTGTGACAAAATCGCGTGAGTTTCTTGATTTTTCATGGAAAGTGGAGATTGATGACTGAAGGGATTGGAGTGGGGAAGGCAAAAGAGAAAAAGAGTATTTTAAGTTTAAGGATAGAGAGTGCAGGTGAAATTACAGCCCAATCACAGGCTTAGCAATGCCTTGGCAGGGCTCTGGGGTGTGTGTGTGTGTGTGTGTGTGTATGTGAGAGAGAGAGAGAGAGAGAGAGAGAGAGAGAGATACAGAAAGAATATTTTTTTAAAAATTGCAAAGCATTGTAAAATTGGAAGCCTCACTGAACCATATCTCTTTCTTTTTAATCATTATTAATATTATTATTTTAGGGACAGGGTCTCACTCTCACCCTGGCTGGAGTGTAGTGGCTGTTATCATGGCTCACTGAAGCCTCGACCTCCTGGGCTCAAGTGATCCACTCATCTCAGCCTCCAGAATAGCTGAGACTACAGGCATGCACCACTACACACAGCTAATTGAATGGCAGGGTCTTGCTGTGTTGTCCAGGCTGGTCTTGCACTCCTGGACTCAAGGGATCCTCCAGCCTTGGCCTCCCAAAGTGCTAGGATTACAGGCATGAGCCACTGCACCCGGCCACTCTTTCTGTATTTCAAAACTTCCCCTGAGCATCCTTGTCTCAGGGCCCCTCTTGGCTTCACGTGGCTCCTCAGAGGGCATAGATAATTTCCCTGAGACATTCTTAGACATTTGAGGTGACTGGCAATATGGTTCTCACATGTTCAGCCTGCTCTGCACATCAGCTGACAAGCAAAGCTGGAGTACTTCCCGAATTTCCTCCAAACCGAATTTCCTCCAAATTCTTTCTCATTCCTTGAGAAAGAATGAAGGGAGAGAACCTTCCCATTTGCCTCTCTGTTTAGCCTGTGGGAGTGCAGTAAGCACAAATTTCACTTTGCCAACTTGGGTGAAAGCCAAGAGTCATTGTTTTCTCAGTTCAGTTAAACCAGTCTTAGTCTGATTCAGTCTCTACTGCTCCCCTCCTTTTGAGAAATTTCCCCTGAATCCACTGGTATGTTTTCTCCCTCCCAGTGTCTGTCTCCTCTGCTCTGGGAGGTGCCTCATAATCTCATCTCAAGGCAGCTGAGTGTTCATCTACCTTTCCTGTGAATCCAATTCATTGGTTTTTGTTTTGTTTTTTGCCTAGTTAACTCATCCTGTTACAGTAGTTTAGGGGCTGTCTTGGGAGGAAAAGTAAATAGTGAGATAGTAGAAGTGATCTTTCATTTTCATCTTCTCTAAATGAGGACTACCGTTCTGTTGAAGACGCCTATATTCAGTGCTTACATTTTTAGCCAATGTTATGTTCCCTGTACTGTTTCACAAAAGTGATCCTGAATAGAGCAATTCAAACTATGTTTTAATACTGGATTGAGATAAGTAGGGTTATTTTTGTGAATACATAGCAGGTATATATATTTATGGGGTACATGAGATATTTTGATACAGGCTTGCAATATGTAATAATTACATCAGGGTAAATGGAGTATCTATTACCTCAAGAATTTATCCTTTGTGTTACAAACAATCCACCTATACTCTTTTAGTTATTTTTAAATGTAAAATTAAATTATTATTGACTATAGTCACCCAGTTATGCTATCAAGTACTAGATCTTATTTATTCTGTCTAACTATTTTTATACCTGTTAGCCATCTCCACTTCCCTTGACCCCCACTACCCTTCCCAGCCTCTGGTAACCATCCTTCCACTCTCTATGTCCATGAGTTAAATTGTTTTAATTTTTAGCTCCCACAAATAAGTAAGAACATGTAAAGTTTGTCTTTCTGTGCCTAGCTTATTTCACTTAATATAATGGCCTCTATTTTCATCCACGTTGTTGCAAATGAGTGGATCTCATTCCTTTTTATAGCTGAATAGTACTCCACTGTGTATATGTACCACATTTTCTTCATCCATTTATCTGTTGATGAGCACTTAGGTTGCTTCCAAATCTTGGCTATTGTGAATAGTGCTGCAGTAAACATGGGAGTGCAGATATCTCTTCAATATACTGATTTCTTTTCTTTTGGGTATATACCTAGGAGTGGGATTGTTAGATCATATGGTAGCTCCATTTTTAGTAGTTTAAGGAACCTCCAAACCGTTCTCCTAGTTGTACTAATTTACATTTTCACCAACAGTGTGTGAGAGTTCCTTTTCCTCCACATTCTCACCAGCATTTGTTATTGCCTGTCTTTTGGATAAAAGCCATTCTAACTGGAGTGAGATAATAGCTCATTGTAGTTTTGTCATGCATTTATCTGATGATCAATGTTGTTGAACACCTTTTCATATGCGTGTTTGCCATTTGTATGTCTTCTTTTGAGAAATGTCTGTTCAGTTCATTTGCCCATTTTAATCAGATGATTAGATTTCTTCCTAATCAGATTATTAGATTTTTTGTAGAGTTGTTCAAGCTCCTTATATATTCTGATTATTAATCCCTTGTCAGATGGGTACTTTGCAAATATTTTCTCCCATTCTGCAAGTTGTCTCTTCACTTTGTTGACTGTATCCTTTGCTGTGCAGAAGCTTTTTAACTTGATATGATCCTATTTGTTCATGTTTGCTTTGATTGCCTGTGCTTGTGGGGTATTTCTCAAAAAGTGCTTGCCCAGACCAATGTCCTAGAGATTTTTCTGCGAAGTTTTCTTATAGTAGTTTCATAGTTTGAGGTCTTAGATTTAAGTATTTAATCCACTCTGATTTGATTTTTGTATGTGGTGAGAGATATGGGTCTAGTTTCATTCTATGCATGTGGATATCCAGTTTTCCCAGCACCACTTGTTGAAGAGACTCTCCTTTCCCCAATGTATGATTCTGGCACCTTTGTGGAAAATGAGCTCACTGTAGATGTATGTATATGTTTCTTCATTTTTTATTCGGTTCCATCGGTCTTTGAATCTGTTTTTATACTAGTACCATGCTGATTTGTGTATGCTATACAGCATAAAAACATAGAAATTATAGTTCTGTGGTATAATTTGAAATCAGGTAACGTGATTCCTCTAGTTTTGTTTTTGCTCAGGACAGCTTTGGCTATTCTGGGTCTTTTGTGGTTCCATGTAAATTTTAAGATTGTTTTTTGCAGTTCTGTGAAAAATGTAATTGGTATCTTAACAGAGAATGCATTGAATCTGTATATTGCTTTAGATAAACAGTTTTAAAGAAACGAATCTTTTAAGTTCTTTTATTACTTACTTTGGATACGTTATTTTGATTTACTTAAGCAATTATTCTCAATTCTTTATCTCACATAAATAAATTTTTCTTAGTCCTTTCTGTCATCAGCAAACTTCCTTCTCCAGATCTGGGAGGATGAACAGTGATGAAATAAACAATATATGGATTTCAACATAATCTTTTACTGATTTGAAGGAGCTCTTTATATATTCTACGTACAAGCTATGTTGGTTACCTATATTGCAGATATCCTCTCTCACCTCCTGACTTGGCTTTCCATTGTCTTAATGGTATCATTTTATGAACAGAAATCTCTACTTTTTAGTAGTTCCATTTGTTAATTTTTTCCTGGATTACTAGAGGGATTTTTTTCTGAATCCTGTTGAAGAAAACTTTCCCTAACACCAAAATCATGAAAATATTCTCCTATGTGATGTTTTATAATTGTTATTGTCTTACCTTTTATCTTTAAACTTATAATCCACCTGAAACTTATTTTGTGTGCATACTGTGAATTAGAAACTGATTTTTATATTTTAATGTGGGAATTATGCAGTGGCTGATTTGAGTATCCTAGATAACTCTATTCAATGATGTTTGTTAATTGCATTGTCCAAGTCTTCCATATACTTAGTGATTTTTAATCTGCATATCCAATCAGATATCGAGAAAGGTATGCTAAACTCTCTCAATAATAATTGTGGATTTCTTATTTATCCTTTTAGTTTTGATTATATTTGCTTTATATATTTAGATTTACTACAGAGTTACCCTTTCCACTGCTCTTTATTCTTTGCTATATCTCTATGCTTCCATCAGAATAATTTTTCTTCTTCCTAAAGGGTACCCTTTAGTATTTCCTTTAGTGTGGCTTTGCTGGTGGTGAATACTCTCAATTTTTTTCTTAGCATGGCTTTATTTCACTCTTAATTTTCAAATGTGTTTGCACTGCTTATTGAATCCTAGGTTGGATGTTATTAACTTTCAGTAATTTGAAGATCCTATTGGCTTCTGATTTCCAGTGTTTTTATTAGGAAATCAGCTATCAGTATATTATTGTTCCTTTGAAGGTAATATTTTTAAAACGTTTTTAATATTTTCCCCTTTTTGTCGTGTTTTCAACAGTTACTATAACAAACCTATGTCTGATTTTCTTTGTATTTATCTATTTTGATGTTCCTAGAACATCTTGAACCTGTACATTAATATCTTTTGTCATATTTGAAAACTTCTCAGGGAATATCTCTTTAGATATTTCTTTTCCCCCATTATCTGTCTCCTCTATGCCAGGTAGTCAAGATATGCATCTTAGTAATATTCAGCATCTTTTAGATATCTTTATGCTCCCTTCTGTATTTGTTATCCATTTACATCTCTAAACTCAGTTTGTATATTTTGTCTGACCTATATTTCAGTTCATGAATCCTGCCTTTGTGTCTAATTTGCTATTAAACACATCCATTTAATTCTTAACTTCAGTTACTGTGTTTTTCAGGTTTAGAATTTTCATTTTGCCTCTGTTATGTTTTCTAACCGTCTGCTGACCTACTCATTTTTTTCTTGTAATTTCTTGAAGTAATTATTTGGAATTATGTTAAAATGTATAAATTATAGATCTGTTATCTGAGTCCCCTACGGGACTACTTCTATTGTTTATTGTTTCTTGTGGTTTTGGTCATGTCTTTCTTCCCGTAAACCTAGTGGTTTTTTATTGATGGCCAAAATATATGAAGAAATGGTAGGACTTAATGAGACTCTGTATAATATGCCTCTATTGAGAATGTACATTTTTCTTCTGAAAGGGAATTAGGATAAGGCTCTTGCATATTTAAGATTACCTTAATCAAGTCAAGGATTGAACTAATTTCAAAATTGGGACCTTGGTCCCCATGAGGGCTGATCTGTTTCTGGATCACATAAACTCATAGGGAATACTCCTTCAGAGACTCATAACATGCCTATTAGATAAGAGAGGCAATTGGTTTTATATTTTATGGATAGTGTAAACAAGAACGCTAAGAGTTAGATGTGTGTTAGTAGAGTTGGGATGAGTTTAAAAGTTTTGGGGTTTTTTGTTTGTTTGTTTGTTTGCTTGTTTTTTCACACAGCTCTTTTCCCACCAGATTCTGCCAAGATGAGATTTTCCATTTTAGAGCAATGAAGAAGAAAATTGAATTTTAACTAATGACTGATTTGCTAGTCCTCAACTATGGAGTCTGAGGATTTATGGGGGAATTTCTCAATAACTATTTCTCTAAATTTATAAAATACTATTTGATCGTTAGTATTTATTTTTGTCATTTATATTCCATGTTTGTTCACCCTCTTCTTTACACCCAAGGCCCTCACTCACTTAGACAACAGTAACCAGGGACTGTGACTCAAAAACTCTTCAATCAATTATAAGTCATCTTAAGCTTCTGTACCGGGAGAAGAATTTTATCTTTAACTTCTAAATATCACTATCTAAATATATCTATCTAAATATCATTACAAGGTAATTACTGAGGTATACTTTTCAATACAAGATCCAAGGAGATTGTGTATTCACACATTTTGCCATCAACTAATCTGCTAGTTAGTACGGATGATAACTAGAGGCCTAAGTCACTCATACCGCTCTCCTACATTTTATCAGATTAACTTTAGGTTATTTTAATGAGAAATTAACTTTTAATATAAGTCAGTGGAATTCGGAGATTGTTTTAGAAGCTAGCCTACCCAAATTAATATAACCCTTTCCTGTGGTTTTTCCCTTAATACTTACATGCTCTATATTTTACTTATTTATCTTATTATTTTTCTTTCTCCACTAGAATGTAAGGGCAGGAGTTTTTATCTGTACTGTTCACTGATGTAGTTCTAGTGCCTAAAATAATGTCTATAGTAGGTACTCAATGAATACTTGTTAAATGAACAGATAGATGAATGGATAAACAAACAAATGAACAATTGAATGGATGAATAAATGGTTGGCCTCTACTTAAAGTATATCAGGCTTAAGCAAGTGGAACAAATGTAGAACAATTGTGGTTTTCTTCTGTCAGGAGCATGGGATTAAAAAGAAATGAGCCATGCCAAATGCATTTGCCCTCTGAACAAAGTAAATTCCTAACTGTCACGTAAAGATGTAACATAAGTTGTTGTCAGAGGGTATAAGAATAAATAATAACAAATCAAAACTTCCGTGTCTTCCTTGGGACATGTTAATGCATTGATACAGAACTTCTGAATCAATTGCACTAATTTTATTGGTGTAACAATAATTTAATAGACCCAAATATCCACCTATATAATTAATCCATTCATTAACCCATCCATCTATCTTTCCCACACATTTATTGATAACCTGTTAAGTATACTAGGGACTAAGGATACAAAGTTGAATAAAAAATGGTCTATCTTCAATGGTTACACAGTATAAGGAGGAAGATGAGTTTATTATTTTATTCATAAATTTCTGTCTTGATGCGTTAAAATGTCTTAAGGAAGAAACAGCTCTTTCAATGTGTGATTCTAACCCTTCTATGACAACAACTTGTCTTTTAGTTATATCCTTCTGTGACAGCTAGAAATTTACATGATGAGTATTTAATTTGATATATCAAAATTACTTCTCATTTTTAAAGCTGAAAATCAGAGTACATTACTTCTCCAACATTGCAACTGTTAGTCTGTGTGATATTAGAGACTTAAACTATATCTCAGTATTGGAAGTATCTTGTTTGCTATTCATGGAGTGGTTTTCAAAACGGAAGCATAAATAATATTTTATTGGCAGCAAACACTCTTTGTTTATTGTGAGAGAATATTGCAGCCCCACTGAGCTGTCTCTATATTTAATAGACCATAAAATTGAAATTCCCACCCTGACCTCTAAGAGATGAGATGAGTCAGAAGGTGACTCACTCTCTAATCAGTTGGAAGTAAATGACCTTTATTGTCATTTACTTTGGATTGGGTAAAAGTAAAGAGCTTTTATTGCTTTAGCACTGAAACGATTACAGCAAGGACTGACAGAGGAAGGTTACCTGTTATAATGGGCTGAGCAGGCCCTGACATTTTCTCCAATCCCTTCTGATTCCAACAAGTTGGCTATTGTAAGCCTAGTTTTTAAACTCTATAAAAAACATGATAAAAGGGACCTTGACACAGCCAGTTAATTCATTTTTCTATCTTAATAATACCTACAAAATTCCACATTGTTATGTTAGCTGAGGCAGTTGCAGTCCAACACAAAGACAGTCATAATGATCATTTTTTCTAATTAGTACCCAATTGAATTCAGAAGGCCCCAAAGATAAAAGCAACATGAGTTGGAACAAAACATGAAATATTTTTTCTTTTTTTCTTTTTTTTTTGAGATGGAGTCTTGCTCTGTCACCCAAGCCGGAGTGCAGTGGCGCAATCTCGACTCACTACAGCCTCTGCCTCCCAGGTTCAAGTGATTCTCCTGCCTCAGTTTCCCAAGTGGCTGGGACTACAGGCATGTGCCACCACACCCGGCTAATTTTGTTGTATTTTTAGTAGAGATGGGGTTTCACTGAGTTGGCCAGGCTGGTCTCAAATTCCTGACCTCAAGTGATCCACCCACCTCAGTCTTCCAAAGTGCTGGTATTATAGGTGTGAGCCACTGTGTCCCGCCAAAACATGAAATACTTCTAATATGGCATTGATGGGCAGATCTTATATTCATGCTATGTTGCAACATATTACCGTGCTATATGTCCTTGTGAGAATCTTTGTCTTTTTAAATTAGGAAGATCCTGATGATATTTTTATTTTTGATTGATTGGTAATGATTACTGCAATGGATAAAATATAACTGAAATAGATGAAAAATACTGAGTGTTTATCAGTAAAATAGATTTCAAAAAAGATAATACTGATGGATGGAACATACACAGAGTGCAGAAGACGATGTATACACCTTTGTTATAAGAAAGAGAAATACAGCCCCTGACATCTGGAAACTGGGCTCACACTGACAAACCTAGTCCCTTGATGTTAAGAGCTGGTCTTGCACTTACAGGTAGGCCATACTGTTATCCTGTTGGACATCAAGCAGTCTCAGGGTACCAGAATCCCACAAGATCATTCTACAACAATAATAAAGTAAACAAAACAAGAACACTTTGTAATCTTATCTAAGCATAGATGAAAACAAGGTGACTGTTGAAACCGCAAATTACCGAACATCCCCATTTCTTGACTAATGTGAATAACCTCCTACTTTCTTACCAATTAGAGCTTTAGCCTAGCATTAGTCTGCCATCCTTCTAAATAAAATTTATCAAGATACCAATGTTAGAATTGTCCCCATTCTCTGACATCGCTTAATCCAGAGAAAATCCCTGCTCCATCTAACTCTCCCGAAAATTACTAACATAAACCCAAATCCTATAGTAAATCCTTTCAAGTGCCCTCTTACTGAGACTCTCCATGATTCCTCATGGTATGTGGAGTTTTTTTTTTCATTATTATGGGCAAAAATCTCAACATGTTTGTCCATAGGTGGGACGAGCATCTGGTCATCTTTGGCCTGATGAGTGAGTATTGGTAATTGCCACATAGGTCATTTCAAAATCACTTCTAATTTAGCAAATTTTCATAGTGCAGCTACAAGGGAAAGATTCATATTGGAGTAGTCCTACATTTACCCAAAGATTTCTTGAATGGCAAGAAGCTATTTTTAGTCCCTTGACATGCTATTTTGCATCAACTATCAATTATATACAAGTGCCTCCACGCTTGTATAGAATGAGGTGTTCACTATGAGTATGGTACCTTAATAGCTATATAAACTAGAAAGATTTTTAAATCTAAAAATATAGTACATATCCAAGGTACTCTATAATACATATAGTTTAAACAATAATAAAAATAGCCCCTGTGTATTCATTACCCAGTCTAAGAATTAGAACATCTTGTTTTGTATTTTTCATTCCCTTGCTTTACTTTATGGTTTTACTGCATTTGGATGTGTCTCTAAGTAACATGTTTTCTAGTTTTGTATTTTTGAATATTATGGAAATGGAAATCATACTACCTGTATTCTTTTGTGATGTTTTTATCTCAACAACATGTTTGTGAAATACATCCATGTTCGTGTGAATAACATTACATTCATCTACACTGTTGTTACATTCCCTTAATGCATCTATTTTCTGGTCAACAGACATTTAGATTGTTTCAGTTTATAATTTTACCAAAAAATGCTGCCATGACATTCTTATACATATGGCCTGACAAACATGTATGAGTGTGTACACTCAATGGTGGGATTCTTAAATCTGTGGATCATGACCTATTGGTAGGTAGTAACTAGCATTAAAAACAAGTGGTGGGATTTTTAATCTGTGGATCATGACCCATTGGTGGGTAGTAACTAACATTAAAAAAAAGTGGAGTAAAAAGTGTCAGTATAGATATACATATATATATGTGTGTGTGTGTGTGTGTGTATGTGTATACTTATACATGTGTGTATTTATTTTCTGAGTTGTGACATAAAATGTATTTCTTATTGTGACCTCTGCCAAAAATGCTTGAGAAGACTACGGCAGATTGTGCATCTGGGAATGAAATTGCACACCAAACGGTATGAGCATTTTCAGCTTGACAAGATAATGTTAAATTCTTTTTTATAGTGGTTGTAACAATCAAAACCCCACTAGCATTGTATAAGTGTTTCCTTTACTTCATGATCTTACCAACACTTGGCTTCATGAACATTTTTTATTTTTTCCAAACCGATAGATATAAAGGAATATCTCCCTATAGTTTCAATTTGCATTTTACTGCTTAAGTATGAGGTTGAGCAGCTTTTCATATATTTATTAGCTTTTTGTGGTTCTTTTTCTGTGATATGAGTATTTATGTGTATTGCACAATTTTATTTTAGGTGCTGGTCTTTTCCTTATTAATTTGGAGGTACTCTTTATGCTTCCCTTCATCTCTAAATATGTTTTTGCTTTGAAGGCTATTTTTTCTGTTATTAATACAATTACATCAAATTTCTTTTGGTTAATAGCTGCATACATGTTTTTCCAACATTTGACTTTAAACCTTTCTGTGTCCATATGTTTAAGGTGAGTCTCTTTTATGTGGCATATGTATTATTTTAAAATATAGTATATGTTATATGTATTTTAATACTTGTTATACTTATATGCTACATACATTACATATGTGCTGTATATACATATACCTGATATATATACTATATGTAATTTTTAACATTTAATCTCATAATATTGTTTCTTAAATTATAGAGTTTAGTCTGTACTCACTGATTACTGCAATATTTACATTTATTTCTATTATCATTGTGATTCCTGAAATATTTGCATTTATTTATTTTATCTGTAGATTCATTAAAGTGTATTTTTCTCATCCCATGTTATCCTTTCTACTGGTATTCGTATTATATGCTTTTTTCATTTTCAGTGGTTACCCTGGAAATTATAACATTTATATTTAACTTTGCAAATCAATAGCTAAAAGAAACTTGGTATTCTTGAACTCTAAATATTATTTTCCTGGCTGATACATAATTTTTGTCCTTTGTTTTAGACATTTCTTATTGTATAATCCAACAATTTATGTCATCTCATTTTTCTTTATAAATCAATGTTTGTTTAGATTTTTATATATTTTATCAATTTCATTGTTCACCATTTCTTTTTATACCTCAGACCTATTTTACCTCTCCTGAAGTATAGTCTTTAAAAGTTCCTTTAGTGAGAATCTATTTGGTGATAAATTATCTGTTTTCATTATGTTGAAAATTTCTTTATTTCATCCTCATTCGTGAACAGTGATTTCTGTGGATATGCAATTCTAGATTGATAGTATTTTCTCCCAGCACTTTGAAGATGTGTCATTGGTTTCTGGATTTCATCATTGCTATTAAAAATCAACTGTCATGCTAATTGTGGTTCTTTTGTAGGTTTCCTTTTGCCTTCCTGGCTACTTTTAAGATGTTCCCTTTGTCTGTAGTGCTCTATAGTTTCACCATAATGTGTCTAGGGGTTTCTTTTCACTTTTCCTGCTTGGAAAGGAAGAAAGGAATAAATGTACACCAGCATCTTCATATGGCCAAGGTCCTTGTTTGTCTTCTTCACCTCTGTATTCTTAGCCTTAGCCCGGGGCATGACACATAGTAGAAATGCAATAAATATTTGCTGTGTAGGCCGGGCGTGGTGGCTCACACCTGTAATCCCAACACTTTGGGAGGCAGAGGTGGGCGGATCACTTGAGGTCAGGAGTTTGAGATCAGCCTGGCCAACATGGTGAAAACCCATCTCTATTAAAAATACAAAAATTAGCCGGGTGTGATGGGGCATGCCTGTAGTCCCAGCTACTCGGGAGGCTGAGGCGGGAGAATCGCTTGAACCTAGAAGGTGGAGGTTGCAATGAGCTGAGAGCATGCCACTGCACTCCAGCCTGGGTGACAGAGTGAGATTCTGTCTCAAAAAAAAATGCTGTGTAATTAATAAATGTATAAAAAAATTGAATTAGTTTCCTTATGAATAATAGAAAGGAACTAATATCTTATCTCAGAGTATCTAATAAGCATATCTTGTTGCAGATGTCTCCAGCAGTTAATAGAAAATAAAGGAGCAAAATGAATCTTTTGGTCATTATTCTTTTTTAAGATAAGATTACCTATTTTCCCCTGTAAAACTATAGATAATTTAATTTGACTTTACATTCATATAAGCTTCCAAGTGAAGGCTTGAAAAGTCCCAGAGGTTTAGTGTTAAAGAAAACCAGGACAAAACAAACCCTGAACTGTCAGTAATCATTATTCACAAATAAGTATAGCCCACTGTGATTTTAATCAGGCCCATTCTTCAGAGTATGACTTACAGTGCATAAAGTCTATGTCAAGTCTTGTGTTTTTCAAATACTAGATTGACATGACAGAGAGGGATATAAATTTTATAGTGGGTGGGATTTTTATTTTCTTTTGTCTTTTACCCCTTCTGTATTCTTACCACTCCACCCTCAACACACAAACATGCACACGCACACACACACCCCACAATCACAGCCAATCATATGCAATGCTATGTTTGTTATTCCTTGGACTCTACAGGTTTTCACCCTTCCTCAAAGCCCTGTTATAGTTGACAAGTATGAGTTCTCTTCAGACAATTTTTCCAAGTATAAAGCATGTGGGATTTCAATACAAATCCTGTCTCTGACATAATACCTTTATAACTTTGGGCAAATTGTTTAACCTATGTGAGCTTTAGTTTCCTTGTCTGTAAATTGGTAATGGTAATAGATACTTCATTGCTTATAGTGAGAATTAGAGATACCGTATATAAAGTGACTAGCCTATTACTTGGTGACTGACATGCACTCACTAAGTATTAGTTTCCTGTTCTACCAAGCCTTCTGTCTGCCTCCTGACAAGACGTGACACCTGAGAGGGTGACAAAGGCATAATCTCAACAATCTGTTCTGGTATTTTCTCTGAAATGACAAATGACTCAAGTGCATTATCTGAGTTGAACAAATACAAGACTTATAGTTATTATTCTCCAAGGGTAGCAAGAGGTAATGACTAACAATTCTGGGAAGATCTTATTTGTGTTAGGTGTTGGCAGCTCTAAGCATGCATGGTAAAAGTGATATGGAGGCCCATTTCCTGGAGAATGTAGACTGGATGTGTCCACTTTCTTCTGTCACACATGAAACTGCTGTCAGTATGCTATCTACTCCATCTCACATCCAAAGAACATATCAAAAAAAAAAAAAAGATCTAAGGCCTTGGCATGCCACTATTTAGCAATTTTTAGTCACTGAACTATAGTATTCCCCCTTGTTCTTATTTCTTTTTGTGTACTCTTTGCCTCCTGCAAAAGTTAAAAACTCTTCTTTTTTGTAATAAAACACCAGAGAGCAAATATTTTAGGCTTTGAGAGCTATGTGGTCTACCGCTGCAACCACTTAGCTTTGTAGTTGTAGCACAAAAGCAGCCAAAGACAACACATAAACAATTGAGCATGGATATCTTTCAATAAAACTTTATTTATATGATCAATGAATAAAGGACTCCCTATTTAATAAATGGTGCTGGAATAACTGGCTAGCCACATGCAGAAGAATGAAACTAGACCCCTATTTTTCACTATATACAAAAATTAACTCAAGATTGATTAAATATTTAAGTGTAAGACCTCAAGCTATACAAATTCTAGAAGAAAACCAAGGAAGTATCATTTTGAATATCAGCCTTGGCAAATAATTTATTACTAATTCCTCAAAAGTAATTACAATAAAAACAAAAATTGACAAATGAGACCTAATTAATCTAAAAAATTTTACACAGCAAAAGAAACTAACAGAGCAAACAGACAACCCACAGAATGGGAGAAACTATTTGGAAACTATGCATCCAACAAATGTTTAATATCCATAATCTGTAATAAAGTTAACAAGCAAAGAAGCAAATAATCCCATTTAAAAGTGGGCAAAGGACATGAACAGACCCATCTCAAAAGAAGATATACAAGGAGCTAACAAGCATATGAAAAAAATATTCATCACTAATCATCAGAGAAATGCAAATCAGAAGCACAATGAAATACCATCTCACACCAGTCAGATGGTTATTATTAAAAAGTCAAAAAATTACAGATGCTGGTGAGTCGTGGAGAAAAGGAAATGCTTATACATTGTTGGTGGGAATGTAAATTTGTTCAGCCACTGTGGAAAACAGTTTGGAGATTTCTCAAAGAACTAAAAACAAAACTATTATACCATTCAACCCAGCAATCCCATTACTGGGTATATACCCAAAGGAGAAAAAAGTCATTGTACAAAAGCACATATACTTATATATTCACAGCTACACTATTCACAAAAGCAAAGATATTGACTTAACCTAGGTGCCCATCAACAGTAGATTGGATCAAGAAATTGTGGTACATATACAACATGGAATACTATGCAGTCATAAAAATAATGAAATCATATCTTTTGCAGCAACATTGATGCAGCTGGAGGCCATTATCCTAAGCGAATTAATGCAGGAATAGAAAACCAAATACTGCATGTCCTAACTTATAAGTAGGAGCTAAACATTGGGTACATATGGAGATAAAGATGGCAACAATAGATACTGTGGACTCCTGGGGGTGGGGGCAAGGGTTGAAAAACTACCTATTGGATACTATGTTCAGTACCTAGGCAACGGGATCGTTTATACCCCAACCCTCAGCCTCACACAATATACCCACGTAACAAACCTGTACATGTACCCTATTAATCTAAAATAAAAGTTGAAATTATTTTTTAGAAGACCCTATTTATAGACCCTGAAATTTGAATTTCATATACTTTTCACATGTCATTAAGTATTTTTATTTTGATTTTTTTCAACCATTTAAAAATGTAACAATCATTTCTAGCTTGCAGGCTGTACAAAATAGATGATGGGGTGAATTTGACCCATGGGCCATAGTGTGCCTACCTTTTCCCTTTTGTTTCTGAATTTTCCTTATTCATCTTCTTACAACCTATGCAATTTCCTGAGTTGAATATTAGAACAAATATATTTCTATGTTAACTTATCATAGTAGTTTTCTATTGCCACCTTAACTATTACTACAGCTTAGCAGTTTAAAACAATGCAAATGTATTATTTCACAGTTTTGGAGCTCAAACGAGTTTGACTCGTTTCTCTACTCCAGGTTCTGTAAGGCTGAAATCAAGGTGTTGGCTAGTTGAGTTCTTTTTTCTATAAAGAGATTCTGGGAAGAATCCACTTCCAAGTTCATTCTTGTGGACAGAATCCAGTTCCTTGTGGCTGTCAGAATGAGGTGCTCATTTCCTTGTTGACTGTTCACGGAAAGCCATTCTTAGCTCATAGAGGTCTCACTTTCCAGTCATTGCCTGTGGACCTCTACACCTCAGAGCTTTCTCAGCACATAAAATCTTTCTCATATTTGCAATCTGACTTTCCATTCTGCATTGTCTTTACTGACTTCCTCTTCTTCCTTTGTGTTTAAGGGCTTATGTGATTGCTTTGGGCCCATGTGGATAATCTAGGATAATCTCACTATTTTAAGGTCAGCTAATTAGTAACCTAATTCCATCTGTAATGTCTGATCACATCAGCACCTGGATTAGTGTTTGACTGAATAGCCAAGAAACAGGAGACATCTTTCGAATTTAGAATACCACAATTGTCACCTGGATTTCCAACACTGTGATACATAAGTCTATAGATCACTTGAAATGTATCCAGAAATAACTTAACCCATTCAAGCTTTTGGTTTTGGTAGGTTATATCTTAGATTTGACCGTATTCCATAAGCGTATTTTATATAGTTACTGTTATGGAGCTTATCCAATAGTCTGGGCTTCTCAATAGGTAATATAACCACTTGGGAGTAAATCTATGGTAGACAAACTATGGTCTTACCTTTCAATGAATACTTTTCTCCAAGGTTAACATTTTCACTTTTTGCCAGTAGTGGAATGGTGTTTCATATATAATTTACCTTTGCCTCAGATTCCGAAGCAGATTTCAGGATAATTGCTGAACAAGCAGATTTCAGGATAATTGGGGAAGAAGGTTGACATATTTTTCAAGAGTGACTTTTCTATTTGAGATCCAGCTATTGATTTTCAAGTCCAATAAGTTGCTGAATCAAATGGATATAATATTCTGGGGCTTGAAATGCCTATTTGACTCTCAGTTGCTTTTCCTCAGCCACCATATCAGACATGTCACCAATTCTTACTGATTCTCATTCTCAGTGGGCCAAGTGTATGTGTCTTTCCCTTTACTCCTCACCTCCATGATACCCTGATTTGCATCTTCATCATTTTCTATCCTCTTTATTGTTTAACTTTCTAATTTGCCTGCCTACCTCTGGTTTCTCTCTTCTTCATATATTTAGCCAGAGATTATGTGATTCAATCTGAACTTTAGAAAAACTGCTAGAATGACATTCCACCTCTTTACCTCAGCATTCAAATATTTGACCCCAAATCCTACCTTTTAACTCCAGTTTTCAATAGAATTCTCCACAAATCCTTTACCGTAGTTACATAGTCCTATTTACTATTTTCAGAACATGCCCATAGAGGTTTTGGGACAATAGTGCTCACCTAATCAGCTAAAGCCATTTCTTAATTTTTAATTAGAAATATATTTAGTCTACCGAATGACTTCTACAGCTGTTAAAATCCTTGTGATATGCCAGAAAAGGACTTTTATAGCAGCATAACTACTATAGGTTGAATTCCAGGTATTCTAATTCATTCCACAAATATTTCCTGAGTGCCAGTTACTGCTCCTGGAAATGGTGAACAACACAGCCAAGGTCCCTGCCCTCATTTCACTGATGATAATAAGAACTATGAGAATATGAAAAGAAGGGTAATGTGTTAAAATTATGAGAGAGTAGTCATTCATTTGAAAAACATTAATTGAGATCGTGGTCTGTGAAAGACTTTCTTGTAGGTACTATGGAAAACAAAAGATGAAGCAGACAGAAATCAGTTCTCAGAGCATTTACAACCCAGTCGAAATGAGAGGGTAGAAATAATACTGAAGGACGCTATAAGTAATGGGAGAAGTACAGACAAAGAAGAGGATTATAAGCATTTCAGGAGGGAAGATGGGGGTGATTTCATGTAGCCATTGCAGGTAGGGTTTAAAAGATGGGTGTGACTATTCAAGGATCCTTCTTTCCCATCTTTAACATTGAACTTATTACCAAATCCAGGCAAGCACTTCCACCACCTATGATCTGAATTTATTACTCCTCTTTTAGTCTTACCATTGCCCTAGCATGGGTGCCATCATCTGTCTCCTGGACTATTACAATGGCCAACCTGTCTCTTTATCCTATTCTCTCATCAGTCTAACCCACTGTACATGTTATATCAAAGAATCTTTTCATCACAGAGATCTGATCATAAGTCTGATCACAGAGTCTGATCATGACCTCTTTTTCATTCCAAACCTTTACTTGATCCCTATTGCTTGCATTGAAGATCACTTATCCACTAATGCAGTGGTTAAGAACTTGAGCCCCAGGTCAGACTTATTGGGATGGGATCCTGGCTCTGCTACTTACCAGCTGTGTGATATGAGGCACATTATTTTATTGCTCTAAGTCCCAATTTCCTCATCTATAACATTAGGATAATAGTGTTTACATAAGGTTGCTATGTGGATAAAAATATATGAAGTATGAACCGTAATTAGCAAGTACCTAGCAGATAGTAAACATTCAATTAATACTGGCTATTATTATCACCATAAAATACTCCAGAGATTGAGATAAACTTTATAAATAATTTGCTGTTTTCAGTTTATTAGGGATTTTTGAGAGTTAATTATGTGGCTAAATAATTGAATTTCAATGCTCTTCCCTTTTCCCTTGAGTAGGCAGCTAAGGATTATAACTGGTGAGTGGTTTTTTGAAGAAAAGGCAAAACGTTTCAAGCAAGTCAATGTTCTCGGCACTGATGTTGTCCGACAGTCCATTTTAAGAAGAAGTCCAGGTAATTAAAGCAATTATGTGGTTTCACAACTGTTTTCATCTCCATTTGGCTAACTAAATAACTTCTCTATGTTATGTAGTTAATCAGCATAAATGAGTTTCTTGAATCCCTTAGGGCATTTCACAACTTGGTAGCATGAAATCTAGATACGTAATTCATACAAGACAAGAAGAAGTCAGTAGAAAACAAAATTCACAATGATTTTCCATATATCTCACCCACTAAGATTTTCAAAGAAACCATTTGTCTCCATCATAGACAGTTCTCTTTCTGAATGCATCCAATATTTTACTAAACACTTAAAGTAACATAAAACAGATGAATTAAATGATTCACATTGTGAAAGCAATCCTTGATTTTTCAACAATATTTATTTCCGATTTCCTTTCAATGTTACTTTTTAAATCCAGTGGTTCTCAATCAAAGATTGATAATATGTACCTTGTCTCCCTCCCTCAAAATGGGAGCATTTGGAAAGGCAAGGGGGGCATTTCTGGTTGTCACAGTGACTGGTGAGTCAATGGCATTTGGTGGGAAGGAGCCAGAGATGCTAAATGGCTTGAAATGCATAGTCTTACTGAATGAATACTGGCACCAAATGAAAATAACACTTTACCTTGACAGTGCCTTTTGGTGCATTCAAATTACAATTTAGTTAATTAAAGATGGAGTAAACCTTGTGATTGGGAGCATGTTTCTCGTATATGGTGTAGTAAAAGCGGAAGAAACATCTTTCAGCCTGTTTCTAGGCTTATCTCATCTTTCATCCAGAGGAGACAAGTGCCCTTGTATTTAAGTCTGGCACATATGGCGAGAAGGCTTGGAACTGATTCCAGTGGTACTTCTGGGTGTGGCACTAGCAAGGAAAGGCTTTTCCACATAGGTCACACAGATCCGATACTACAGAGAGATGGTGTGGAGTACAGTTAGAATTAGGCAATCAGCCATGGCCTCTTCTTCCACTCAAACCCCAGTACCTTCCAGAATGTAGGCAGTTCCTCAAGTCACAATATATTTGCACAGATGCCCACCCTCCCAGGAAGTGTGGCTTATATGCCCAGAAATTAGGACATCATTTCTACAACCTCATGCTAGAACTCAGTCTCCAGGGATTTGGAGATCTTAGGAGACCATGTTCCCCTGCTCTAAAAATATCAACAGAAGGCTGATGCAGTCATCCCTAGGAAGGTTATCTCAGTAAACCTCCCACAGATGAGTTCAGGATCTTTGTCTTCAGTTAACTCTAGAACACTCAACAAATTAGAACTAACTGTGTGACAGAAAAACTTGGGATGGGAATGGCATTGCCAATTATTATAGACTTCCTTGCCCTGAGCTAATCTGGGAAAGTGAAAGCAGAATATAAATTTGCTCTCATTTCTGGCCATTTTGTATGTAAATTTCTCTTCTGATTGTTTGTTAATGAGGAGCTGAAGAAGTACAGAGCCAAGAGCAAACCCGCCAGGATGCAGAAAAGTCAGACACTTCACCTGTTGCTGGGAAGAAGGCCAGCCATGATGGGCCCAAGAGAAAGGGGTAAGACATGGTCTTTCTGAGGGAATTTTTGATCTTTATTCCAGACACCTCTGAAATGAAGACTCCTTAATTTTTCAAGTTTGATGTCACTTCAATGACCCAGAGGAGGTCAGAGACTCAAACAAAGTAACACTTTCTTATCATTCTCCTCAGGAAATGCAGTTTTAATAATTTTCAATAAGTAAATAAAAGTCCTGTCTGACCTAAGCACAGAAGAGTTTTCCTTTCATTTGACATATCCAGTCTTGCACTATATGGTTCCCATTACTTATAAGTAGAAAGTTTCATGCCAGGATCAGTCTATAAAGAGGTGACAACAATTTCTGTTGTACAATGTCAATACTCCTCCCCTCCAACCTGTGTGCTGATATATAATTTTATCCAAAATAAAGATTTATTAATTGAGCTTAAAGCACCATATTCCCTATTTAAAATTCAGGCTTCCTTAAGAAAAAAAGTCACATTTGGCCACCACAGTAACTTAGTTCAGTAAATGAATACAGAATATGGATGCCAAGTACTGAGAATAGGAATGGGAGGTACATAAGGGAGCAAGAAGTTTCTTTCAAGGGAGAAAAGTGGATCCCAAAATATAGGCTATAAGGACCAAAAGGAAACTGCATTTTTCAGTTTTTGTTTCTCATGCAGCTATTGGCCAGTTTTTGTGACTGAAGTAGTGAGAGTTCTAATGTGCACCAAGTCATTTTATGGTCCTTTCTGTTTTTTTATTATTATTGAGATGGGGTCTCATTATGTTGCCTGAGCTGGCCTTGAACTCCTGGGCTCAAGCAATCCTCTTGCCTTGGCCTCCCAAGTAGCTGGTACTACAAGTTGTATGCCACCATGCCTGCCTAACTTTATGGTCCTTTTCAGACAGCATTGCTTCATTCTCTCAGTAGAATGCAAAGTGAGAGGGCATTAGTGTTAGAAGATTTATCTGGCTGTACAAAATGTCTAGGGTTCTTTTAGAATCTTGGGCTGTCAGTAGGAATACAATCTAAATGTCATCTAACTCAAGCACTCATGACAAACCATGTTTTCATTGATGAGCAGAGATGAGTTGGAAAGATAGCCTAGAGTATCCTGTATATCCTATCCTATGTATTGATCCTTCCTACCATCTTGAGTTCATTTATCACTCTTTGGGTCACCCACAATGCTTTGTGCCTTTGCACCACCAATCATATTGCACTCTGACACCCCCTCAACACACACACACACACACACACACACACATGCACACACTTAATTGTAAGCTTCTTTAGTGGTAGACCAGTGGTTTCTTTGCTTCTGTGTTGCAGTATCTAGCATGGCACCTGACTCATCAAAAACAATCAGTGGCTTGATTGAATAAGTAACTCAGAGCCCACAAATGCCTCTAGGAGTTGTCATTTGCAGACCCCAGCTCAGGCATCATAGAGTAGGTTACAGAATAGTGGACTTGGAGATAGGAGACAGTAACTAACTCACCATCACAATCAATTATGCAAATTCTGAATCATTGAAACCATTGTAGCACTGGGCTGAGCCTTAGATTCTGATTGTTCTCAGTCATCAAGGAATATAACATCTATTTGGGGAGAAAAGGTACACACCTGAAAAGTTACTAAGTATAAAAGAATTGCAGGAAAATTTAAGATGGCAATGTGAGCTTCCTAAAAGCCTTTCTAAAACAGAGGAGGGTGTTCACCACAAGAGATATCCTAAGGTTATAAATTACTGAGTACATATAAATAAGCAGGTGGACAATAAGTGCCAGTTGAGTATAGGAGTCATCCAGAAAGACATCAAATTGTACATGAGATTTGAGGAGGAGATAAATGGGGTTCAGGATCACAAAACGGAGGAAGAGTGACTCCAGGCAGAGGAGATACCTTAA
Organism: Homo sapiens; assembly: GCF_000001405.40. Classification (NCBI taxonomy): domain Eukaryota; kingdom Metazoa; phylum Chordata; class Mammalia; order Primates; family Hominidae; genus Homo; species Homo sapiens. The sequence goes on from NC_000023.11 coordinate 38,075,578, forward strand.
GTAGAGGACATGCATGAGGTGGTTCTCAGAGCAGCATACCTTGACATTATATTAAGTGCTATTCTCACCAAAGAAAAAATGTAATTTTCCAGTAGATTAAAGCTTCAGATGCTTTGACAATGACACTATTCCAGGAGTCTTTGAAACAGAGACAACATGGCAGATTCTATTAAGATTGTGCCAGTACCTTTGGAATCCATGTTTTCCTCTAGAAAACTGTAGAATGTAAATGAAGTGTATCTCCCAATGCCATTACAAAAAGGAATATAGCTTTGATTTTCTTATTCAAGTACATTTGGAAACACCCATGTTTTGGGCACATGGTATCCTGGATCAGGACTTTAAGTTCCTAAAAGGCTGTTTCTGCTTAAACCCCAAATAATTTAGTGAAATTGGAAGGTAATCAGATTTTATCCAACATGAGGCACAAGAATAAATGTCATGGAAGATAATAAAGATGAGTTTAGTCATTCGTTCCACAAGAGTTGGTTGGATTCCAGTATAAGCCAGGCATCATTCTAGGCTCTGGAAATCTGTCAAGGAACAAGAAAGGCAGAGTCACTGCTCTCATGGAGCTGCAGTCTAATAAGCAGCTACCTCAGTTTGTCCAAGAGGATCATCCTGGCTTCCCTCTCTGAGCAAAGGGAGTTCAAACTCTCTATTCTCACTATTCCTGCAAACAGGCCCAACTCAGGGAATGCATCTTCTTTCTCAGGTGACAGTGCTGAGTTCTCAGAATAGGCAGTCTTTTGCTTAGTAGTGACCTACCAGCAAGTGGTACGGTCTTGAGAGAACGGCGTAACCTTCCCCATTATCACCCTTGATACTGTATTGCAGAGGCACTGGGAACTCTCCAGAACCTCTCAGCCCTAAGGCTGCTTTATTGAAGAATCCTTTATTATTAAAAGTACTAGAAATTGTATTCTTGAAATGATATTTTTAAATGCTTTCTTTCTTATCTAATTTTAAATACATATATATAATTTCAGATTTCTTCTTAGCAAGTTCAGATCGGCAACCAGAGGAGAAATCATAACTCCCAAAACTGACACTGGGCGGAGCTATAGCTTGGACTTAGACGGTCAACATTTTCGGAGTTTAAAATCACCTCCTGGTTCAGACAGGTAAGAGTCATACAGATTGAGCAATGATGTAGCCTGAGGTTAAGGTTGATATATTCCCATTCATAGGGGGATTTTAGGTATCTGTGAAATATTACCACTTGGAGAACTCCTAACACATAATGTGAAAATTCAGGAAGATATTTTTTAGTTGATATGGAAAGCACGTACCCTACTTCTAGAATTACAGCTATTGGAATTGCCTATGTCACCTGCAGGGATGAAACTTTATATTCTGGCACTTGGGGCTGCAGTTCAAATGGAAATGTACAGGGCAAGTAAATGTTTTTCATTGACTTCTTGAGCTTTTTCTATTTAAGCTCCTGAAAAAAAGAAACCTCTGAGTGTCAAATACATTCCTTGCAGCTTTTAAAAAATTATTAATAATTTTAAATTTGAATTTCCTCAGAGACTTTTTCATAAATTTCACTTCCTTTCTAGTTCCACCTCTTCTAACTGGAGGAGATTATCAGTGGAGCCAATTGAGAATGTCCTATCCACAGATCTATCACTTGTCAAGAAAAATAATGAGAAACACAAAGGATAGCCCAGAGCATAGTCATTTTATATCAGGCGTGATTTTCTGTATCCTATTGGAGCATAGTCAAGACTTATTTTCATGATTAGTGTATTATCAAAGCTAGCAATGAGAAAAAAATATCCACCTTCATATTTCACTGGTTTGTCCAATTGTTAACTCCCTTTCGTTTGCTTGTGTCTGGGGTAATTTTGCAAGCCAGATAGTACAAGTAGCAGATTTTCTTTTCTCCTTAGGTTAGGAAGAATGCAAGCAGAATTGCATTCTTCCCTGTAATCCATTTTAGAATGCAGACCAAAAAATTTCCTTAGAGGGGACACTATTTTGACTATTGGGTTATTTTTTCATGGTGACTCTCCATAGCTGTTTCTTTTGTCCCTATAACAGTCCTGCATGCAAGCGTTACTTTATGTAAAACCATACAGAAAAAAAAAATTACAAGGAAGCGTAAAGTCATTTATCACCCATTATCAAAATATTAATACTGTATTCAGTATTTCCCAAACTTTCAAGAATGCTGATATATTCCCTTTTATGATTACAAACTGTTAAGCTATGGTTGCCTTTATCCTTGAAATAGTTTCATTTGTCTTCCATTGAGGTAGCTTCATGCTGTGTCCCACAAAACTTTCTATAAACATCTCATTTTGGCTGGGCACAGTGGCTCACATCTATAATCCCAATGCTTTAGAAGGCTAAGGCAGGAAGATTGCTTGAGCCCAGGAATTTGAGGTTACAGTGAGCTATGATCATGCCACTGCACTCCAGCATGGGTGACTGAGCAAGACCTTGTCTCAAAAAAAAATGAATAAATAAATCTCATTTTTGTTTTTCATAGTTGGACTCCTGACTCTGAGATAGTAGTGGTCAAAATTATTTAGAGACAGTAAGCAACTAATTTGGTGTTCTTTTTGCTCAGCCTCCTGGGACTCCATGGATGAGCCACCTTGGCTAACACTTAAGGCTAGCATTTAAGAAAGGCAATATATACAAAAAGAGGAAAGACAATGTTCCTTGTTTTTTGTTTTTGTTTTTTTTTTTTGAGATGGAGTCTCGCTCTGTCTCCCGGGCTGGAGTGCAGTGGTGCAATCTCGGCTCACTGCAACCTCAGCCTCCTGGGTTCACACCATTCTCCTGCCTCAGCCTCCCGAGTAGCTGGAACTACAGGTGCCCACCACCACGCCCAGCTAATTTTTTGTATTTTTAGTAGAGACGGAGTTTCACCGTGTTAGCCAGGACAGTCTTGATCTCCTGACCTCATGATCCACCCGCCTCGGCCTCCCAAAGTGCTGGGATTACAGGCGTGAGCCACCGCACCCGGCCAATGTTCCTTGTTAAAGAAAAAAAAAAGGCTGCCAGCCTAACAAAATTAGATTGTGCTATTTTAAGTTATATGTCTTACAGTTACTCAACAAGAATAATAGGGAGCATGGTCTCCAGTATCAGTGCTTATACCGTAATGGACTCTATCTGCCTCAGTTTACTCTTTGTGTATTATCTACTACTAGGCATAAATAACCAAAACTATAAAGCCATATGGACATGCATCACCAAGTACTGGTATATTGACCCAGGAGCTTCTTGTTCTTTTTGTAAGCTGAAAGAAAGTCCCTAAGTAGACTTTATCTTAAATTGTAAATACCTGAAATGGCTTACACATAGTCAGAAGTAGCCAGGAGTGCTTTGGCTTAAGCATGTTAAGAACAATATTTTGCCACTAAGAAAGTGAGTAAAGATGCTCAGGAGATCAATAGAGCAAAATGTCCTTTCCCTTGAACGTGCATTTATCACAGTGATGACTCATTAATGGACTGCCACAGTGAGATGAGTTCCATTATTTCAAAATGAGTCCTTAGAAAATTGAGGCAGGAGGTAGCCCATCTTTTCTTAACTTCCATCATCTGAAGAGACTGTAAGATCCCAGTCTCTTTGGTCTATTGCCTGACCCAGCTTACTAATATTTCCCCTTTTTCCCTTACAATGCATATTTTTTCATGGATCATTGGTATTTTCATGGAGCAGCTGGGCTTCGGCATTCCTTTTTAAGGCTCACATCATATAAGAGTGTAAATGATGTTTTATCAGATGTGCAGTTGGCTTTCTTTTCAGTAGTTTCAAAGCAAGGGAAAGTATGAATAGATTAAAGAAGCCCTAGCAGCCTCTCAGAAGAGCTTGTCAAATGGATGTTCACCGGTTGCTAGGGACTTGACACATGAGACAAAGAATATTTTTAGGAAAATAAATGTAAGCTGTAGTTAATAAACAATATTATTCAAGGTAGTGATTTCTAATCCCTACAAAGTTGTGATGAGCTGTCACTGTGGTATGATTTACAAGATCTCTAACTTAAGTCATGCTCTCCCAGAAACAGACCCCTAGACAAGGATTTATAAGCAAGTGATTTATTATTAATCAAGTGATTCCAAGAGAAACCAGGAAGGGAGTAGGAGAGACAGAATAGAGAAGAGGAAGAAGCTAAACAATGGTGCTAGCTCCAGTGTGGTCTGAGGACTCAGCCTGATCCTGTAGGAGACTCTAGAGCATAAACTATATCCCTGAGCTTTTTCCACATTGAGGAGCTGGACCATTGCACTCCTATACCAGTCAGTCATTGACCATGGCCTCCCTTGAATAGAGTCTCTAGACTTAGCAAGTGAAGATACAGGATGCCCAGGTATGTATAGTTGAGACTAACAACTGTTTTTTAGTATAAGTATGTTTCATGCAATATTTGGGACATCCTTATACTTAAAATTAATTTTTTTATCTGAAATTCAAGTTTAACTGCGAGTTCTGTATTTTATCTGACAACTCTTCTATAGGGGTGAGGGGGAGACAAACTCCAGGGCATTTCTAGGCCTCCAGCTCCAGGGCTAAAGGGAAGGTCTCTGAAGGTGGCAGGTGACATCCATTAGCAGAAAAGAACTCAGGATCTAGGGAGGAGCATGCACAGCTGGTAAAAGGAATCTGAGGGAGATGCCAACAATGTTATCTTTAAAAACAGAGTAAAACTAGAACTTTGAACCTAAAATGCATTTTGTTCAGTAAAAATGGAGGAAGAATGATGCTGTTTCTCAGTAGCGTTTCTATCATGTCATTGGAGAATATGGCAATATCTACATGGAATGTGAACAGACGGTGGGACCTTGTTTGGTCTCGTAACCAACTAGGTTCTCATCTTTCTGCCCTCCCACTCCTCCACTCCACGCACACCAGTTTCATCCAGTTATTCCTAATTGCTCTCCAGTGGATCTGGGACTGATGGTCACAGTCTCTGTGAAGCTTCACAAGCTGCTTTGCTTTGGCTGTGATCCACCAAAAGCAGAGACCACACCATTCAAACCAGCCCTTAGCTAGTTCTTGTCCTCATTTCAAGCACTGCCCCTCTCTTTTTCTCTCTCTGTCCAGGAAATATGGCACTTTGGATATTATCATGAATTTAAAGAATCATCCATTCCTCATATCTATTATTTTAGTAAAGTGAGTTTATTAAACCCATTCTATCACTAAATGATGCCTTCTTTTTCATCAGAAATAAAATTATTCTCCTGTCCTGAATGTAATTTTCATTGACATCTTTGCAATTAAGGTGCCAATTAGGTGGCAGCCTCTTACTAGAAATTTGAATATAGCAAGGTGGGAGTGTTTAACTCTGAGTCAGGACCACATCCACAAAGTCAACAATGGTCTGTTTTGCGTATTAGATAAAACATTACATAGCTAGTTGCTAATGCTATTAGCAAACTCCATTCCTTACCAGGCTTAAAAAAATGTTCAAATGTATAGCATATCTCTGAAAGTATGTACATTTATTCTATAATGATCGTTCGGTGACTCAACAGGATAAAGGCTGTGAGCATTGTCCTCCAAAGGAAAATTACTTTCACCTCTTTCCTGTGCCTTTCCCTCCTTTGTCACTGCTAATTCCTTTTTTTCCATTTTAATCTCCTTTGGGTAAGCTCAGCCCTCCTTAGGAGGAGCGAGGGGTGGGCAATCAAAGCCACAAGCTGTAGCAAATGCTAACAGCCTAAAGCAATTCGCAAAACCATGGTGGCCTGAGAAAAGTGAATTTTAATTCCAGGGAGCAACTGACACATGATAAAACAGGAGAGGAAACATGAATTCACCAGAGTATTTTGTTATGCTGTGACCTTATCAGTGGGAGATACACAGTCTGAAGTTGCAAAAAAAAAAGAACTTTAGCTAGAAACTTCTATTTAGAACTCAAAGCCATCCTTTTCTAAACTCATCCTTTGCCCACCATATGCACAAATATGCACTTGATTTGGGCTCCTTTGGAAGACAATCCTGAAATAAGGATTCAAGAGTAAGTAATATGTTCAGGATGTGGTCTAAGGAAACAGAGATAGGAGAGTGGGGAAATGAGCCAGGGAAGGGAAGGCAGGCAAAAAGGATATGTCATTAAGCCAGTTGTTATTGTGGGCAACTAGAGCTCAATCTCACTGGCCAATTCTAGAAAACCGTGCTGAATGTACCTCAGAGTTATCCAGTTAAGAGATAGGGAATCTGGGGTATTTTTACAGCAGCTCTTTGTTCAAAATTTATTGAGGGCTGCTTCTAGGGCACTAACTCTCTGGCACTTCCGACTTGCCCTGTTCACAGGGGCTCCATGCTCCCATGAGTCAAAAAACTCCTCAGGCAGGGAGTTCTGGGTATTCCCAGTAACCAAGATTCTGTGGGTAGAGGTAAGTGCTGAAGGCAAATGGGCAGGGACACTGAGAGTCTGCTACAACCTCCCTCCCAAACTGCTCTCAGACCTCCTTCAAAGACGCAGTTTGTCAGACCACTGTTCAGCCCCTGATTTCTGTTTACTTTATATTATGTGTGACTTTCCTCATTATAATGTCAATAATGTGAGAAGGTATGGAGGCTCAGTAATTCAGCCACACCCATGCTTCATTCCTGTGATCAAATGATTGTAAGCCTGAAGCCTCCTCCTTGCTGTTTTGTCTGTTTCTCCAATTGTTTCCCATGGATTCACTGTCTTGGCATGCTCTATTTCTATGAACTAAATCTAACACCTTCCCCTCCTCCAATTTAATAAATTGCTCTTTTACTCACTGCTACCTAAATATGTATTATGTGACATGTTACCACTCTCAGGGTAGCTAAGATACAATAGATAGCCTTTCTTCTTCTACAGATCATTGAAGAGCAGAGATATGTGACTTGGTCATCTATGCATTCTATTCATACAAATGAATTCAACACACAGCTCTGTTAACATTATTGACCTAGTACTATATATGCCAGATGGTAAATGTGGAAGTTCTTAGACAGTAATACTGTTCCACCCTTTTATGAGCTTCCAATTTAGCAGGAAGGCTGGGATAACTAAACAAATAATTTAAATACAATATAGTAATACGATTTTAAAAAGATGTTCTGCGTGCTATGGGAAAACCAAAGATAGGCATTTATCCTTTCAAAGGATTCAGGTAAGCTTCATTGAGGTGATCCCTAAGCAGCTTTTAAGAAATGAGGAGGACTTGGCCAGGTAAAGAAAGATAGGAAGAGCATTCTACACAGAGGAAATAAAAAGTACAAAGGAAAATAGACATAAAGTAGACTGTGTGCTGAAAAGAAACTGTTCAGAGTTTCTAGAGTATAAAAATTGAAGTATGGTGTACAAGAGATGAGGAGATGGAGAGGTAAGTTGGACCAGGATGTAGATGGCTTTGGATGCCTTAATACCTATCTTCTTATATGCAATATAACATCCTACTCAGAACAAGAGGTTGGCAATTCTGAACTACTAAGTATGGAGTAAGTATTTGTTCCATTTAGTTGCTGAAAGTTAAGTTCTGTTAAACACTCCCCTTTTTTGTGTGTCTATGGGGGAAGGTAGTTGGCTTTCTTCTTGCCCCCGACTTCTAATTGACCCAAGGCTTTTCATGGCTGCTGGCCTCTCTCCTCAAAACGGCTTCTGGTCATTATTTAGAAATAAGACATTTGATCAGAATTTTAATGGGATGCTAAAAAACAAAAATATTATCACGTTGAGAGTACCACCTGTTCTTAAGATCTACTTCTTCATACCCAGCTGGAGTCCCTTCCTCATGGTAACTGTCTCCTCCATTTTAGAGGGAGTCTTCTTAAAGGGAACAAATCCATTAAGGAAACACTAAACATTTTAAAACCCTCAAACAAAGCAGCTTTTGTTTTATTAAGTCAAATTATAAAGCTATTTCTATAGTTAACATTAGGATTCATTTGGCACAATTTCATTGAGTGCCCACTACCTTATACTACTCTTGTCCTCTTTCCAAAAAGGAAAAGGAAGATATGTGCGAGTAAGCCATAGAAGGCCAGTGGCTTCAGGGGACATTGCAGCTACAGAAGCTGCTTGAGGAATTTCCATGTCTTTCTCATCTCTCTGCTTCCCTAATTCTGCTTTGAAGTGATCCTATGATGGCTCACTTGGGCCTAAGTTTAACACACAAACACCCAATACCTGAAATTTACTTCTTTTGGGTGTATTAGCTTCTCCAAAGAGTTTAGTTTTTAAATAGACTCATGTGTGTGTGTGTGTGTGTGTGTGTGTGTGTGTGTTTGTGCGCATAGGCACTGTGGTGTTAATATATATATATATATAGGTTTTCATCCATAGTTCCTGCCTCCCAACTTCCATAGTCCTTGTTATACTGTTGGGTCACTTTAGGCCTCAGAAAACATAAACTCTCTCTCTGACCTTCTGCTGTCCTTCTTTCACCCGCCAAAGCAGGACTCTAACCTGATTATGGTTCAAAAGACCCTCATTCCGGAAACCCTGCCTCATAACCTAGAGGAAGGAATGCTACACAGAGAAACCAAGAAAAGTCTGAACAGACAAGCCTTGCTAGGTTTAGATCATGCACTTTCTGTCCAATCACATTTTTACATGGTTGTCAATCATGCCTATGTAATGAAGCCTCCATAAAAATCCAAGAGGACAGAGTTCAGAGAACTTCTGGATAGCCACACATGTGGAGGTGCCAGGAGGGTGGTACACACAGGGAGGGCATGGAAACTCTGCAGTCCTATCCCCATACCTCACCCTACGCATCTCTTTAACTGTATCTTTTGTAATAGCCTTTATAATAAACTGGTTGATGTGTTTCCCTGAGTTCTGTGAGCCACTCCAGCTAATTAAACACAAAGAGGGGGTCATGGGAACCCCAAATTGAAGACAGTTGGTCAGAAGTTCTAAAAGCCCGGACTTGTGACTGGTGTCTGGGGGAGGACAGTCTTGGGGACTGAGTCCTCACCCTGTGGGATCTGACACTCTCTTTGAATAGATAGTGTCAGAATTTAATTAGAGGACACCCATCTGGTGTCTGCTGCTTGGTGTGTGGGGAAAAACCCCACACCTTTGTTCACCAGAGACTTCCGTGATGATCGATGATTGTTGTAGTACTGTGAGAGCAGAGGAAAAACATACTTAGAGTTTTTCCCCAAACTGGCATACACACAGAGATCAAAAACCTTTTCTGTAAAGGTACAGATAATATTTTTGACTTTGTGGTCCATATGATCTCTGTCTCAACTACTCAACTTTGCTCTCAGAACATGGAAGCAGTATAGACAGTACATGAATGAATGGGCTGCCTGAATTCCAGTCAAATTTTATTTATGGGCACTGAAATTTGAATTTCATATAATGTTCATGTGTCACAAAATATTATTCTTCTTTTGATTTTTTTCAACCATTTAAAAATGTAAAAACTACTCTAAGCACACGGGTATATAGAAACATTTGGTGGGCCCAAATATGTCCACAAGCCATAGTTTGCTGACTTCTAGTGCAACACATTCACTCACTAAGACAAAGTGTCCTTCAGTGTATCACAGTCTGAACCACAAGAACAGCTTAGCTCTTTTCATGTCAGTACTGTTGAATTAAAAAAAAAAATAGTGGTAGAAGCAGAGGGAGCAATGCAGGTGGAGAGATGTCTGAGATCAATGAACTTTTATCCACAGCTTAGCACAGTGGTTTTCAGCCTTGGCTTCATATTGGAATCACCTGGGGAGTTTTAAAACATCCTGGCACCTAGATGCCACACCCAGAGAGTCCCATGTGACTAGCCTCAGTATAGTCTGGACATGGGAGTTTTAATGGCTCCCCAGGAGTTTCTAATGTGCATCTGAGGATGAGGGCCACTCATCTCACATAAGACTATTAATAAAGACACAGCACTTGGGGATCACCAAAGACTAGAAGATTGAGCTACATTCATTTTTAGTTATCTCTTTCCCATTTAGCAGGCTTATCTCACTTTCTAACTGCAACCTTCCTTGGCCATCTTTCCTGCATATTCATTGTAGATCCAAAATAACTATAAGAAGTTAGGAAAGCTCATAAACCTCAGAGAGAATATTTTGCATTGTCTCTGTGTTGTACTGCACATTAGTCTCATTGTCCCAGTGAGTTTTAGGATCTCTCAGGTTCGTGCTGCCTTAGGAGAGCACACATTTAACCATATGGGAACAGGCTCAACACTATCAGCCACTCTGGGAAGGTTGGATCCTGGGAAATTATTTCCTGGCTACAACTCCTAGGAGACCTTTATGTAAAGCAGAAAGGCAATTACATTGTAATCTCTACCCCCTATCCTTGGATCCTCTGTCTAGAAATGGATGTATCTGGGAAGCTGTTATCAAGATTTTGGAGCAACATGGTGCTGTGCTGAACCCCTATTAACCTCAATAGGGAAACTGCCAGGTTCAAGAGACTCAGAGCCAGCAAACGAGACATACAATTTTATTAGCATCTTACACACAGGGGACAGAGTCCAGCAGTGGTGGGCTGGGCAGGAAAACCATAACCGCTTGCAAATAACAATGCAGTTTATATAGCATTTTCACTTAAAACCTTCCCCCTAAACGACCTCCACCTGGAAACCTTCATTTAACCCAAAACTCAGGGCCTCAATCCCCGGTATGGCCCATGTTCCATGAGAAGGGCCAGGGGCTCAGATGTTTTTCATAGGTAAGAAACAAACCTCAGGGCTGGCCACTCCTGGATTCCCTAGCTTGGAACAAACATTCAGATGCATCTGCCACACAGGGTCATTGTAAGAGTATACTGAAATGATTGCTGTCAGATGTGTTTCCCCTACCCATGGAATTAGAGATAACAAAACAGAAGGCTTTTAAAGTATATTTCATAAGGTAAAGTAAATTAAACTTTTTCCTAATCTGGAAAATGTGTCTTTCAGCAACCCAGAATATCCAAACTCCCAGACAGTGACATATCCCCACATTTGGGCCTTTTACAGTGAGATAAATGTATCTCTTTCTTGCCGGTTTTTACTTAACCACATTTTAGCTTGAAGGTTTGTTGGCACTGATTTATCATACTTCTTATTTAAATCTGAGTAACATTATAGCTGGATTAAAAAATAGCTTTTTCTTAGTTGACCTTTACACTTCACAACTTTAATTTTGACTTGACATAGCTTTTATCATTTTCCAATTTAAGTGGCAAAGATTCGTGTATTTTATGTCATATTTTACATACCTTCTAAATGAGTTGGCACACAAATATTTATGATAATATGCCTTATTAGACTAAACCTTTTTTGAGTTTAATCAACTGGAAAAAATTTTTTGAGAAGCTCACAGTAAATGTCAGGGACAAATGTGAAATTCTATGTCATTTTTGAGATAATGCTGCTGGCAATGATAATTTGCAGTAGCTGACTTACAATCACAAGAATTTTTTCCTTATTACAGGATAACTTCTTGAATGTCATCACCACAATTAATCAACTTCTGCCAGAGCTTCTACATAAGTAGCACTTTTGGTTTCAGCAAGGCTAATCCATGATGGGGCGTTTCTCAAAACCACCTGGCTCTGGGAGGACCTTCCGCACACACACAAGCAGAAACACCCACATGAGTCCCTTTGGTTCATAACTTCTTGGGTCATTTCTGCAAGATTGACCCCTGCCCTTTCTTTTTAAAGGATATTTTACCTGAAACAGTAGGGAGACATATTTCTGTGTTAACATTGTTCTAAAGAACCTATGGTCACAGTACAGCATCAATGGGAAAGTCTCTATGCCTCTCCTAAGTAGAACCTCTGAGATGAGCAGAATACTTGGAAGGGTACAAATATGGCTAACTGTTGTCAAATGTAGAAATGTCATGCTTCAGGTAGAAGGGTTCAGGAAAATCACCAAAGAAATTAGAATTCCAAAGTGTATCAATTTACTTAATCACAAAATTTTACTCTCTTGTCAGAATCAACAGGCACAGTCTTAGAGATCTTCTCAGCTGAGTTCATAGCACTGTAATTTACTTAGACTGCTATTTCTACAAAGAGGAAGCCAGAGATCCTTTCTGCAGAGACTGTTTAGTAAAAAAGAAAAGCCACCCTTTAGTAACCACTCTTTAGTAACATAGAAAATTTTCATAATTCTCTTAATCAAGTCCCAAGAAACTAATTCCTAGCTCTTTGCTCCTTTGATTAACTTCTGTTTGATAGTTCATTCTATAAATGCAAAACCTGCCTGGCTGGAATGATTTGTTCTTAGTGAAATGATGAGTAAGCAGTATGAGAAACTAGAATGGTCACAGGCTTTGGGTAGACTGACAATACTGTTTTTATGCTGATTTTATCACATGCTAACTCTATGATAGCATAGTGGTATGTCGGTGTGTGTATGCATGTGTGTTTGTGTACATGCATACATGTATGGAATAATTAACCTCTCCAATACTCAATTTCTTCATTTAAAAATATTAAATAATATTCTAAAACATATTTTACAAGGATATTGGGGGATGGAAAATGGCTAACACCTAGAAGATACTAAGTAAATGCCACTGCTATTCATGATTATTGAAGGTGGTGGTAGCTGGTAATGTGGTCCAAAAGAAATTTGGTTTTGGTGACTTCTCTGGTGCACAGCTTTGAAAAAACTTAGGAGTTGTGGTTGACAGTTCTATCCAATGGTCATTGCCTATTCTTCTGCCTGATTTATCTTCTAGTAATGATATGTGCACATTTAAACATTCTTTTAAAAAATATTCCTTTATTCTATTTAACCTTTCCTCTTATTGGCTCAACTGTAAGTCCTCATCACTATTAACCACTGCTGGTATGCTTTACCAATAAGATGTGTACTATTATATGTGCATTTGTAACTCATTAAGACAGTAACTGAGAGAGTAAAACTCATAAGGGCTTCTATTTTACCACTTAGCATATTTTGTGCCCACTGAGGGAAAAGAATAAAATGGGAACAAACACTTCTCTTAAACTCCGACTTGTCAAAATTTATGTTGACTTATGAAGCTCATTTAATAAGAAAATTGTGAACACCTCAAGGGCAGGAACCACTTTTTCATTTATTGTTATTGGATTGAATTGAATAGTTTTAGCACACATGAAAGTGATTCAAGCACATTTACCAAATGTCATTATTTTTGTACCACATTTATTAAATGTGCACCATGAATTAGACACTAAAACAACACAGAGAAATGAAATATAACTTCTAATCTTTGATTAAATATGTACTGAGTGGCTTCTTTGTACTAAGGCACTACAAAGCTGCTGGAGATACATGACAATTATGGCATGGACTCTGTTCCCAAGGAGTTCATAGTTTAATGAAACACCCAAGCTCACATATGTGGATCCATTAGGGAGCCAAACAAGACATTTTGCAGTCAAATACTAAATACAGTAGTCTGGCAAAGACCGTAAGTCAATAGGAATTGAGTGGAACAGAGGTTGACAAGGCTTATGCTTGACAGGAAAGGCCTAATGGGGAAGGCTGGACTTCATTTGCCCTTGAAGACTGAGAAAGATGTGTATAGACAGAGAGTGGTTAAGAGGGCATAACAAGTGGAGACAAGGTAAGCAAAGGCCTCAGGAGGTGGAAGTCAAGATGGTGAGCTGAGAAAATGGTAAGGAACCCAGACTGGCTGAGAGAATGCTGGTAAGCAGAAGGAAACAAAATCAGAAAGATGGGGTGAAGTTTAATTACTGTGGGGCAAATGGGGACAAACCTAGTGATCCCCTCAGGGCCTTTGAGGAGGAAGGTAACATGATAGTTTCTAAGCAGTTCCAGTGTGACTCTTGTGAACTCAGTGCGGTTCATATGTTCTTATCAGTTTCCTCATCAGCTTTACTCTGCCTGTGTATTTGGTTGCTGCTCTGCTTCCATGTTAAAGTCAGAATATGCTTTCTCATTTAGGGGAAGCACTGGCTCATCAGATCTCAATGACCAGGAACCTGGTCCTAGGACCCCGAAGAGCAGTCGGAGCAATGGTGTGACCCCAGGCACTCAGAGTTCACCAGCCCCAAGCACACGAACTGTGACCTCAGTCATCAGTAGAGTAAGTACACAAACCTGATGAACACCGTATTAGTTCATTCTCACACTGCTATAAAGAACTGCCAGAGATTGGGTAATTTATAAACAAAAGAGATTTAATTGACTCACAGTTCTGCATGGCTGCAGAGACCTCAGGAAACTTACAATCATGGCAGAAGGAGTCTGTCAAACACTTATAAAACCATCAAATCTCGTGAGAACTCACCATCATGAGAACAGCACAGGGGAAGCCTCCCCCATGACTCACTAATCATCCGCCACCAGGTCCCTCCCTCAACACGTGGAGATTGTGGGGATTACAGTTTGAGATGAGATTTGGGTAGGGACATAGAGCCAAACCATATCAGACACCCAGTCTCTGAAATTCAACCTCACCACTGCAGCATGGCTAGGTTTCAACTCTGTTTGTATCAGAGCATGTTCTTTATGCTGCTGAAAGGTAGAAGCTTCATCAGGACTGAACCTCCTGCATCTTAGCTCCTGGCAGGAAACCCAAAATGAAAAAGGGAAGAGAAAGACCAGGTTCAAAGGTAGCACTTGTATGATGGAGTTTTAAATTGCTATATGGCTTAAATAAATATAAAACATTTTAGAAGGCTCTGATTTTGATCCTCTCTGTTACTTCTTAGAGAAAATATTCATAGGTTGAGTGCACAAATTTTTCCAAACTGATTTAAATCTGGAAAAGTAGAACTTTTATCTAGTTTTTAAAGTAGAAATTTTTATTTTCTTTTCTATACATCTGTTAACATAGGGGTCAACACATAATGAAGGCTTAAATTGCATTTTATATTTATATGTGATCAATTATATTTTCTACTGGTTTTCTCTTTTAAAAGAGAATATGAAAAAAGTATTTGGGGAAAAATATTCTCTTTTATTAAATATTCTGTTGGAAGTTATATTTGGAATGAATTAGCATTTGTGAGATTTTTTTATTTAGCAGGAAGCTCCATCCACATTGCTGGCATCTATATTTGATAAATCTTTATATGAGCAGTGAGTTCATACAATACAAACAATTATTTGACTCAACCAACATTTAATGAGAACCTACTATATGACAGGCTCTAGTCAAGCAAAGACTTGAAGGAAGTGAAAGAATTAGCAATGTAGTTTTCTGGGGCAAGGTGTTCCACCACGCAGAGACAGCACTGATATTCAGCAGGTACATGCAGGGAAGGCTGCTCTACTTCCTTGTAGCTGGCCTCCATCTTGATTGGTCAGTGCCCTTGCTCAGCCAGTTTCTAAAATATTTTTAATGCCTCTAGAAGAACAGCCAGTGTGGAGCCCCTGAGGTGGGAGCACACCGGGTATGTTCAAGGAAGAGGAAGGAGGCCAATGCAGCTGTGGTGAATGAATGAGGCAAAGTGAACTAGGAAATGAATCCAAAGAGGTCATAGGGCTGGATAGAGCCTTGAAGAGTGCTGTGTGCAGTCAGCATTCACTCTGATTAAGATGGGGGAAACTGGAGGTTTTAGAGCAGAAGAGTAACACAATCTGCCTTATCTTTAAGCAGGATTTGGGGGCTGTGCTGAGAAGCAGCTGTAGGAGAACAAGAGTGAAAGCCAGAAAAGCAATCAGTAAGCCATTGTCATACCCCATGTGAGAGATTGGGTTTTGAAACAAAGAGATAGTGGAGGTGGCGAGTAGTCAAATTCCGTTAAAGCATTCAGACAGACTGAAAAACAGTAATAGATTTATTTAAACATCTATAGTCTAAATTGTAGTTGTGAAGATAAAAGGCATATTTAAAACTTCATAAATATTTATGCTAAGGTCAGCAAGCCATTTCTGTTCAATAGCTAGAAAGGTGCATGGATAGTTGACGAATACACTCACCTCTTGGAATCTAAAAAGGAATGATATTCAAACCACTTAGTGACCAGTCTGGCAGGGATGTTGAGAAATCACAACAGACACTGGCACAAGGCTGGGGCAGTATGCGGGGGCCCTTCTATGTCATGCACTAAACCTGAATTATGGGGAAACCTGGGCTTATAGATGAGAGGGAGCACAGGGAAGTGGGAGGTGGACTGGGAGTAGTGCTGTTTATTAACTGACACAGAAGTATTTTTAAAAATTTAACATCTAGTACAGTTGTCCCAGTGGGTAGCAGCTGACAATCAGTCCAATGACCAATAAGTTAATCAAGTTTATTCTCACAACAAGGTTTATCTTTCTACGTACAATTTGAGATTATTAGGGGGGAAATCACCCTTTTCATGTGCTAATACCCTCAAAACTAACAGCCCCTACTTGTGTATTTCTTTGTTAAACAGCACCTAGATCTCTGCAACAGAAATTCCCTGCAATTTAGTAGAGTATATATACATATACATAGGCAGTGCCTATGCTGATCTCATTCTTGCAATCTAGCTGGTCTAAGCTGGTCTTTTCTAAGAGAAAAAAAGAAACAAAGAGAAGTACTTTCTATTGAATAAAAATAAGACAGCACAGTAGTTTATGAAGTACATTTGCTCTTTCATTAAAAGGGAAGTATATAGCATTAGATGGCAAGTATATAGCATTAGATGATGAGCAAGGTAACAACTCAGTTTCTCCCATTTCTTAGCATCTCTTTGTTTCAATGTTCTTTTCTGCTCTAGCATGAAAGAAAATATATTAGTCAGGGATCTCCACAGGGATAGAACTGATAACATATATATAAGGGAGTTTATTAGGGAGAATTTGCTCACACGATTATAAGACAACATCCCACGATAGGCTGTCTGCAAGCTGCGGAAAGAGAGAAGACAGTAGGATGGCTCAATCCAAGTCTGAATGCCTCAAAACCAGGGAGGCCGACAATGCAGCCCTAGTCTGAAGCTGAAAGCCCAAGAGCCCCTGGGAGGCTGCTGGTGCAAGTCACAGAGTCTAAAGGCTGAAGAACCCGGAGTCTGATGTCCAAAGGCAGGAGGAGGGGAAGCCAAGTGTCTGGTGCAGCTTGGGAAGAGAAAGAGTGAGCAGACTCAGCAAACAAGCCGCTTTTCCCTGTTCTTTCGTGTGCTTTGTTCTAGCCACACTGGCAGCTGATTGGATGTTGCCCACTCCACACTGAGAGTAGGTCTTCCTCTCTCAGTCCACTGACTCCAATGTCAGTCTCCTCCAGCAACACCCTTACAGACGCACCCAGAATAATACTTTATCAGCCATCTAGGCATCCCTCAACCCAATCAAGTATACACCTAATATTAACCATCACAGAAAACTTTTAGAGCATGAAAGTCTCTAACCTGTCCTCTACTATGATGCAACCTATTAATTTTAGGCTTGACACCCTGAACCTCCAGGGTATGTATTGCTTGTTAATGACAGTGCAATATTAATTGGCCTATTAGTGCTCAATACTAATGATACTCACAGATCACCTGTGGGAAAACTTGCCATTAACATAATTGCCTCCAAGGAACTTGGTCTTGCTTCATTAAAGGACTCCATGTGTGAACAACTTTTTGAAGAGGTGTTGAAAATTGACCTAAACTAATTTATCAGTTTGACCTCTGTCACACTCCTGATAAACTTTTCTTGTTTATGGCAATTAGAGGAAGTTAGGAGCTATATACCTCCAGCTACAGGTATTATGTGTTGGAGAATAATAAGATACTAAAAACAGTCTAAATTGAAGCTGAATCAATTAGCATATTAAGCAAGTGAAAGCCACATTTCACTGTAATGAGTTCATCAGAGTGTCCCTGAATGTCTAAGAGATGGGCAACAAGGAGGGAATTATTCCTCTAGGATTTCAAAAGGCACTTTTTGATTGTTTACAGAAGGGAGAATTGAAAAATCTGTTTTAGATTTGATCATTATCATACCATGATGTAATTTGAATGGACACTTAACCTCAGCCCAGTTCTGGAAAGGTCCAAAATTTGTTATAGTTGTTGTTTTAACACTCAAGAAAGCTTCGGATGAGGCAGCAGTCAAGCCCTGCCTTGGTCTATGGCAGGGCAAAGGTCACAGACAAAGTTGGGTCTATGGTCATGGGCGAAGTCGGGACAGAATTTTCTTTACCATATGTTACAATAAATGCAAGTCCCAGACTGAATTCTACCACATGTACAAGCATTTATTAACAAGCAGACACCACACAAAAAAAATAACTATTCCTGTGAGCTTGGGAAGTTTTCTCTCTTTATTTTTTTATGAACATTGGTAAGTACCATGCATGAAAGTCATTCCAAAATAGATGTAACCACCCATATTCTGACCAGCCAGCCTTCTAGATGGAAAAGGTACATGACATCCTGTTAAATGGGGGTGGAAGAGGTAAGGGATGGTTGAAGAGAGGGTATGTTGAAAGAGGGAACAAAATAGGACCAAACAGAGTTCTAAGCTTGAGTGCTACTCTGAGAGTGTGAATCTTGACAGATTATTATACATCCCTCATGTAAGATTGAGGGTACCTGTATAATCTTCCTTATTAATCATATATTAGAACACTCATTGATTTGGGGAATGAGAAATTGTCCGGATACCTTTTGCACTAATTAACAAACCTCTTGGAATGGATTTTGGATAGCAATTATTGATGGTAAATTTTGAAGTTACATGGACTCCTGGTGAGGGTCCTTCAAATGTCAATTAGCTCCTCCTAAATAATAATACATATAAAGGTGTTTATACTGAAGTATATTTATGTAGATGAATTTTATAGTAAATTACAGTCAGTATAATTTTTTTCTCATTTTTACTTTGTGGGAAGGAGTATGGTTTTGAAAATTCCATGGATTTGGCTGCTATTGAAGGTACCTCTCAGGAGCTCACAAAGAGTCACCGCAGAAACACTTCTGGCACACCTTCCATAGCAGTGTCTGGAACCTCTCTCTCCTCAGGTGGGTATTTACAATGTGCCTACTTTGTTGTTTAAAATGACTAAATCAAATGGAATTGACTGCTATGTGTGGTATTAAGTGGATGTTTCATCCTTTAAAAAATAAGCATTCCCTTCTTTGACCTATGGTGGTAGGCCACTCCATAAGAACTGCTTGAAGATAGACCCAGGTAAAGCTTTGGGCACCTTACATTCATGAAAATTCCATTTATTTAGTACATACTCTTGCCAGGTATCATCACTGAGTTTCAGTGCTACATCAGAATATCAATATTTGAATGAAGGAAATATAAATTATTCCAGGATACATTTGCTATAACAGATAAGAATGCTTGCTCAGAGTTCAAGGAAATGGTAGTTCAATTGATATAGTAGTCAGAAGTTCCCTACATATAGACAAAAGAAAATCATTCTGTGGTTTAAATAAGAAGTTATTTGCAAGCAGCACTAAAGTATTAATAATTACCCCTTTCATTTGCATGGTACACTCAAATATGTCATTTTACTTCATTATCACAACAGTCCTCTGAAGCAGCTATTATTCATTTTGAAATGTTAATAGCTATGACTAAGAAAATTCTTCGGAGAAATTTGTCATAATTTTGAAGCTTATGTCCCATACATGGAATAAAAATCATGATGCAGTCTTCAACATTAAAAAGCTACCTGTAACCTAATGATTATATATGCATAAAGCCTAAGGCAGGATTCTGTTTGCTGAACTGAGGGGTCTCTTCTAGCCAGCCAGCTCCCAAAGGATTTTCTAAATGTGTGTGGTTATTGCTACATTTTGCTCAGGAGTAAAAAAGCTGTTCACCTGTTAATTAAATTTTTAAACTAGTTTAGAAACCAACATCATAGGGTCTACTACTACTACTTCTACTCAACAGCTCCTGTTAATTGAGTACGTACTCTGTGTCAGGCCTATGCTAAGTACTTCTGCATTATTTTTTTCATCAATTCAAACTTAAGTACTTGATTACTCTCTCCAATCTTTCTCATTTATAAGTAACTATATTGATCTCAGTAGTGCTTTGGTATAGAACTATTTTGTGGAAATAAGCTGTCCTGACTTGGTAAGCTGTCCAAAGCATTACTAAGAGGTGCATTGCTCTGTAACTTATATTTTCAAAAAGTGAAAACAAGGTGTTCTTCTGATGAAAGACTCTTCTGGTCCATTAAGAAATAGAACTTCCTCTCATTGCATCTATAGCCTCTCATTTTTGTGTGAAAAGAACTTGCTATATCACTTCAAAGTGGCAGTTTAGAATAGGTTGCATTGCATTTTATGTCAAATCTGAAAACACAGTGAATTCTCTAAATATTGCAAGCAAGAATTGTTAATGTTTTTTTTTCTAAATTTAAGGGCCCATTCTAAGAGAGTTTTTTAAAGTCTAGGAGCAAAGCAGTTGCCTTAAACAGCTTAAAACATAGCATTTTACAGTAGAACATTTAACCTCCTGTGATAGAAGGAAACATGAACACCTAAGTGTAATTCGGTCCAAGGCAATTACCAAAATATTATTAAAAATAGAAGTATGTTATCATAAACAGCATGAAGTTACTGACTCCGACTGTTGCTTTCATGGCACTATTTATGATCTGTGCCTAAAAAGAATTGAAATAAAGGTGAAACACTTGGAATAAAAAATGAAATCTTCTCACAAAACAGGCTGACTCACGTCTTTCTTTTTCCTTTCCACCTTCCAGATCAGAGTCGATCTGAGTTAGATTTGAGTGAGTCATTTACAGAAGACTCAGAGGATACTGTAAGCATAAGAAGCAAGTCTGTCCCTGGGGCTTTAGACAAGGTAAGTTGGATGTGGAAGAAAATATAATGAAGAGGAGGAAATAAGGGCATAATCTTGCTCCAAGTGGTTTCACTTTTAGGTGATGATGAGTTGAGAGTAAAGAGAGGATATACAATCATCTCTTCCTGTTAGTCTTCACAGTCAACACATAAAAACCGAAAGAATAACTTAGAAAATATAATGGGTAATCATGTTAATGAGTGAAGGTTATGTCTAAGAAAACACATGTTGGAGATTTCAATTTCTGGCTAAAGTCTTATCACTTAATCTAAACCTGGGAAATGAGAGATCCTAACATTTTCCTTAGCCAAATATTATTAGAAATATCTGATTACATATTTATATCAACATTGCTATATCTCAAGTTACCACCAATAAATTCACTTCTAAACTGAGACAAAATTATGTGAAAATTAATGTTTCAGTGAACTCATTTCTAGAATGAGAAGGTTAAATTAGATTATTGTAAAGGTTATTTCCCAGTCTAATATTCTGATATTCAGATTTCTGTAATTGCTATAATAAAATACGGACTCCTTGGAAGAAATAGAACACAAATGTAAAATGGTATTGATAGTTTTTCCAAAGCACACTAGGAAACTTAGAGTTCTAAAATGAAATAATATTTTCTATAGTACAAAAAACTGGGAAAATACTTTAAAATCTACCTCCAAAAGAGAGATGGGCAGTGAGATTAAATTATTTCAAAGTTTACTCATGTTCAACCTTTAAAGAATTACTAATTCCAACATTATTAAACTATTAAACTATTCGTGATCTTAGAAAACCATTGAAATCTTTTCATTCATTGTATGCAGCCAGTATAATCTTGACACTCAGACTTGATTTTTAAAATAGTTTGAAAAATAAAACTACAAGTCAAACTAGTTTACGAATATACATGCAAAACTTTAAATATAATATCAATTAAAATCTAGCAGTGAATAAAAATAGCAATAAGTAAGTTTTATGCTAAGTATGGGTGGAAGAATGAGTCTATATAAGAATATTTGTCAGCATAATTTATATCAATATACTAAAGAAGAAAATGACATGATTCTGTATGTAGAAGATACTAAAGGATCTACAAAAATATGACTAGAACTGATAAACAAGTTCAGCAAGGTTGCAGGAGATAAGATCAATATACAAAAATCAACTGTATTTATATATACTAGCAATGATCAATTGGAAAATGAAATTAAGAATATAATTCCATTCATAATAGCATGAAAAATATTTTTCAAAAGTAAGGAATAAATTCATTTTTAAAAGTGTAATACATGTGCATTGAAATTAACAAAAATATTTCTGAATTAAAGGAGACATAAATAAGTAGAAACATATTCTGTGTTAATGGATTAGAAGATTCAATATTTTTAAGATGGAAATTCTCTCCAAATAAATTTGTAGACAATGCAAGCCCAATCAAAATACAAGCAGGATAATTTTGTAGAAATAGAAATTATTATTCTACCATTTATATGAAAATATATGGGACCCAGAATAACAAAATCAATTTTAAAGAGCAAAGTTGGAAGACTTATACTACTAGATTTAAAAACTTACTCTACAGTTATAGCTATCAGTACAACACAGTATTGGCATAAGCATTGGCAATCAGTGGAATAGAATTGAGATTCCAGAAAAAAAAAAAAAACTTTATGGCCAATTGATTTTTGGTACTTCAGTGGGGAAAGAATAACCTTTTCAACAAATCATACTGGGACAACAGGATATCCAAATACCACAAAACATAAAAGAACTTTGACTCTTAACATATACCATGCAGAAATTAAGCAACGCAAAATGGATTATAAACCTAAATGTAAGAACAGAAACCATAAAATTCTAAAAGAAAACCTAGGAGAAAATCTCCATGACTTTCAGTTAGGCAAAGAATTCTTAAATATGGCACTGAAAGCATGATGCATGTATTCAAGAAAAAAAACTGGTAAATTAAATTTCATCAAAATGAAAAATGTTTACACTTCAAAAGACACCACTACAGATGTGAAAAGTCAAGCCACAGACTGGAAAAGTATTTTCAAATTATATATTTGTTAAAGGACTTGTATCTAGAATATATTTCTTAAAACCCTTACATTCAATATTAAAAAGACAAATAATCATATTAGATAATGGGAAAAAGATTTGGATAGACATTTAATCAAGAAGATTTACAAATGCCTAATAGCTGCATTAAAATATGTTCAGCAACATTAGTTATCAGAGAAATGAAAATTAAAATCACAATGAGATACCACTTCACACCCCCTTGAATGGGTGTGATTAAAAAGACATAATAATAAGTGTTGATGAGGATGCGGAGAAATTGGAACCCCCCTACATTGCTAGTGGTAATGAAAAATGCTACCTACAGCCATTCCGTAAAAGAGTTTGGCAATTTCTTTAAAAGTTAAACATAAATTTACTATATGACATAGCAATTTTGATCCTAGGTATCTACCCAAGAGAAATGAAAACATATGTCCACATAAAGACTTACACGCGAATGGTTATAATAGCCAAAAAGTGAAAATAATAATATCTGGTGAATAGATGGAATACAATGATATATTATTCAGAAATAAAAAGAAATGAAGTACTGACACATACTACAACATGCATGAACCTTGAAAATATTATGCTAAATGAAAGAAACCAGGCAAAACTACATATCATATAATTACATTTATATGAAATGTCAATGAAAGGAAAATTGATAGAGAAATTAAAGCAGATTAATGGTTGCCAGGGAGTGAAGAAGTAGGGACTGACTGCAAACAGGCATGGGGGAGCTTATTGGGTTGAAAATGTACTAAAACTGGATTATATTGAAGTTTGCTCAACTATAAATTTGCTAAAAATCACGGAATTACATGCATACAATAGGTAAATTTTATGGTATGTAAGTCATACCTCTATAAAGTTGTGGGAGAAAAAATTAGCAGCAAGGAAAATAGCTGGAAAAGTGATAATTGTTAAAACTAGGTAATCAGTTATAAGGGTTCATTATGCTATGCTTTCTATTTTGTGAATGTTTGAATTTTTTAATATCCACTTTTGAAAAGAAAGTAAAGAAACATGAAGACTGGTACTTTATGTGATGACTACTGGGTAATTGTATACCAAGAAAGAGCAAAACATAAAAATATAGAAAAGGGGCAATTTGAAAAAATAATAGGGATAATAGGGATGCATTTTTTCAGAATTAAAGAGCTTATTAGTTTCGGCAGCTTTTTGCTGAAGTTTTTAGAGTGTTCTATATATAAAATCATGTCATCTGCAAACAGACAATTTTACTTCTTCCTTTCCAATTTAGATGCCTTTTATTTCTTTTACCTGTTTAATTGCTCTGGCTAGGACATCCAGCACTATATGGAGTAGAATTGGTAAGAGTGGGCATACTGTATTGTTTCTGATCTTAGAGGAAATGGTTTTAGCTTTTCAATGTTGGGTATAATGTTAGCTAAGAGCTTCTCATGTATGGTTTTATGTTGAGGTAAATTTTTTCTTTATCTCATTTGTTGAGTTTTTAGTATGAAAAGATGTTGATTTTGTCAAGTGCCTTTTCTGCATCTATTGAGATGATCATATGGGTTTTATCCTTCATTCTGCTAATGCAGTTTATCACAACTATTGATTTGTTTATGTTAAACCATCCTTGCATTCCAAGGATAAATCCCACTTAGGTTGAATGAGCTTCTTCATGTGCTGTTGAATTCAGTTTGCTAGCATTTTGATGAGGACTTTTGCATCTATGGTTTATCATGGATATTGGCCTGCAATTTTCCCTTTTTTTGGTAGTATCCTTGTCTGACTTTGCTATCAGAGTAATGCTGGCTTCATAAAATTAGTTTGGAAGTGTTCCCTCCTCTTCAATTTTTGGAAGAATTTGACAGGAATTGGCATTAATTCTTCCTCAGATGTTCAGAAGAATTCATCCATGAAGCCAGCACTTTCTTACAAGATGCTATTCTACAAGATATTCCAGCTCATCTTGTGGGCTCATCAGTGAGAAAAAGGCAGCTACAATAAGTTCTCATTTAACATCATCAACAGATTCTTGGAAACTGCCACTTTCAGCAAAATGACATATAACAAAACCATTTTTTTCCTCATCAATGTTTTAATGAAATGACATTATTTGAGGACCTGCTGCACATCCTTTCACTTAAAATTACAGTTTTCAAGAACCTATGGATGACGTTAAGTGACAACTTACCATAAACCAATATAAAAATAAGCAAATTTTGAACAAGTATTTCACAAAACAGGAAATCCAGTTGGCTGATTATCACAAAATGGTATTCAACTTAGTAATAAGAGAAATGAAAATTAAAATCATGAAGACTGTAAACATCTACTGGATTGGCAAAAATGAAAAAAATATCTAACAATACCATCTGTTTGCAGGCAAGGAAGTGGAGCAAAGGGAACTCTCATATACTACTGGTTAGACTGTAAATTGGTGTAACTACTTCTGAAAATTTGACATTATCTTTAAAATGATATAGATAAGCACGTGGAGATATGTTCACCCCTTGACTTGACAATTCCTCTCACTGGTATATATTCAAGTGTGTGAACATATATACTGTGTTGTGTGTATACTGTGGTGTGTGTATATGCGCCAGGATACATATTCACAGAATATACATATCAGTGTTGGTCACAATAGAAAAAAATCTGAAAATAACCCAAATATTCAGCAACAAGAGAATGGATAAAGTTTTGGATATCATACAATGGAATATTAAATGACAATATAAATGAACAGGCTACAAAAATATGCCACAATTTTGATGAATTTTAAGGCAATATTAAGCAAAAAAAGCAAAACTCAAAGGAATATATAGCATTTAATTACATTTACACAAAGTACAAAAACAGGCAAAACGAAATCATTTTGTTTCAGAGTATACGCTTATGCAGTTAAACTATAAATAAAAGCAAGAATGTGGTTAACCATAAGAGTTAAAATATTAATTATTCCCGAGGGGAGAAGGGGCTTGTGATATGGACAGGATACACAGGGAGCTTCTGCTTCATCATTTGATTTTGTTATTATACTATATATCTATGTTTTATGTACTTTTTAATATGCTGTATCTTATAATAAAGACTTTTTTAAAGCAAGCCCAGAAGTGTACATCATAATCCTGATTTATAAAACTATAGTTAAAAAAATTCCCATGAATGTATACTTATACTCAGATTTGTGTATGTTTTTATATGATTTTTCACATAAACAAGGAGAAAGACATGGAATGTAACATGTGCAGCAGGATGCTAAATATTAATTTCACCTGGTGTGAAAGGAGGGGAAGGAGGAGAGGAGAAGCAAAAAAGAAAAGTGCCCATAATAAAAAGCAGTATGCATGATACAATCTATCTATGTGTATATATGTATGTGTGTGTGTGTATATATGTATGTGTGTGTGTATATATATATGTGATGATATAATCAAAAATATTGAAATTTGATCATTAATATGTTAATGAGAGACCTAAGTTTTTAGTTTCCATTTATCTATATTGCTTGAAATAATTTTACTAGGAAAATACATCACTTAAATAACTAGGCAAAAAAAAAAAAAGCCATTTTATCATGAAGGAGAAAAAGAAATGGGAAAGGAAAAGTAGAATCTGGGATTGGAGATGAGAGTCCAGTATCTAGTTCATCCTAGTGGAGAGATTTTTGAGATATGCTTTACCATCTTGGCAGTGTGTGTGTGTGTGTTTGCACACACACACAAATTTTTTTTAATTTTAAAGTAACGTAAGTACATTGCCCAACATGAATCACCTTAGAGGTAGGAATTGAACCCAGGTCTGTATGATTCCAAATTTCATGTTCTTTCAATAAAGTAAGCACCATTAGAAAGGAGACCTCACTCTCCACCCCCTATCCCTGCCCACTTCTCCGATGGTATAATTCAGATTGACCGGAGAGGAAAAGAGAAAAACCTAGGAATGGAGTGATTTCTAGAAATTTTTTATCTGATTCTCAAATATTTATGAAAGAAAGTGGTTTCTCAAGTGAAAAAACATTCTAGAAAAACAAATCAACCAACCCACTGATTTTTCCCTTTCTTTTTTAGGACTCCTTGGAAGAGACTGAAGAAAGCATTGATGCCTTAGTGTCCTCGCAGTTATCTACAAACACTCACCGTCTGGCAAGTGGCCTATCAACTGTAAGCAGTTCACTAGGACATGTGGAAAGTTTCTTTTCCCTCTTTTTGATTTTCTGTGCATTTCCAAAGGAGATATGAATGTTCTTAGGAAAATGTGTGATAATGAGTTAAAAGTCATTGTAAGATCCTGCTTGCCCTTTGCCCACAGAGTACATTTCAGTCTAATTTGGTGTGGGTTTTTTCTCAGGCTCCTGATTTCTTCCTTCTTCCACAGTCCTCACCCAGGTTTTAAAATCTCCTCACTCCCTAGTTCAGGCTCAGTCAGCTCAAGCCTATAAATTATTTTTCAATTATCTGCTGACACATTTCCCTGACACCATTCTCTAAACTTCCCAGCTGTCCTCCAGACTGCTGCCAGTCATTTATCCTAAAACACATGCCCAATCAGGTCTGTCTTCTACTCAAAACCCATCCATAGCTTCCCACTGCCTACAAAATAAAGTCCTTTCTTACTTTAGTGTTCAAGGCCTTTTTTGAGAGGAAGGCCCTGTGTCCTTGTATCTAACTGTGTGTAAGTCTTTTTCTTGGCTTCTCTGATTTCTGTTGCTCTGATGCTTTTTTTCTTTTGATCTTTGGATGACTTCTCTAAAGAGTTCTCAAGCAGGTTCTGACAGGAAGTGGACCTACCTAAATGTGCCTGATGCTGACTCAGACACTGTGAGTTTTCAACCTTTCCTTTTTGTTCTTTCCAACCATACTTCACAAATTTCATGGTCTGGGAACTATGATTAAGCAATTTGTCCCACATTTATCTTTTTCCGACTTATATACAATTAACCAGAGGTTATCTTCTAAAAGATTGATGAGATGATCAGAAACCAAGTATTCCAATTCATTAAACATTGGAATCTGAACACCACTCAAAAGACACATGCTCTAAAATGATTAACTATCAACAAAACCTTTGAAGTAAACAACTATTTTAAATCACAGCCTTAGCTTGGTTAAGAGCATATAGTTTAGTTAGTAGTAAAATTGCCATAGGTGTCTTAGTTTCTCACAAGCCTCCGTATTTGTGGGTTCCTAAATTTCCTTCTATCCGTAGGGGCCCTCTGCTTACAGAGGATTTTCTTTGAAAATGTGGCTACAGAGATCTAGTATAGACACAAATCAGTGATATAAGGAGGTAATCAGGTATGGTGGGGTAGTCCTCAGACTAGAAACTTGGAGATCTTGCTTTATTTCTTGGCCATACCAACAATTTTTGTGAGCCAGAATTTTCTCATTTGTAACATGAGTAGGTTGGGGTTTATTCTTGAAACCTTTGATACTCAAAGCATTCTCTATGGACCAGCAACATTGCATCTCTCGGAACAGATACCCCAAAACTTTCTCAGTTCAAAAAGCCCCTAATGTCTCAGTAATTCTTTCCTGGCACTCCTACACTAAAAGTAGCACCTGACTAGTCCATTCATTAAGTAGTTAGAACCAAATAATGTAATAAGCAGTGTATCCTAACAACTTACTAGCCATTTGTAAAAAAATGCTACAAGTGAAAGAAATTGAAAGAAAAATAGTATTTTTATTTCATCCTTAAATAGCACCTATTACTTACCACTAATAGGATATGTGTGCCTATTGAGCACTACACAGTTACCAAATCTTGGAATCTGATTGGACATCACTACTTTCATTTCCCATTTCACATTGATTTTTATGCAATACTTGCTTTTTGTTGCAGCAACTGCCAAAAACTCAGCTTCAGACAAATAGGAGTTCATTGAAAAGAATAAAGTGTGGTTTAAAGTTGACACTGTGAATTACTAGTTAGTGGCTTACATGGTGTCTGATAGGTGTTGTTGTGTTTCCCTTGAGAATTTAAAATATTTCTGTGATTCCCCTGTGAGTTTGCTGTGGTGCTCTGTGGTACCTCGATACACAGTTTCGGAACTGCAGGCCTAGGAGTTTGTTAGAACAGCCAAATCTCAGACCTCACCCCAGACTGAGGAGATAAGCGTTTTCAGTTTAAAAAGGTATCTGGGTGCTGCTCAAAGCCACCTGCTAAACATGAAAATTCTGTTGCTTTGTTTTAGGAATAAGAAAGACAGATTAGGTCACTCACTGGCTTTCTTTAAGCTGTAATTTCCAAATAATTATGGAATTATTGGTCTGCTCTTGCCCGTGAAGAAGCTTAGAAGACATGTGACCACATCACCCACATCCTGTTCTTTGGTCAGTCTCTACTTCCAGAAATTGGTGGAACATAATGGCTTTTACCAAAAGCAAATTATGAAAAAGAAGACAGTCTAAGGTCCCTGTGTATTTACCATAGTCTTGACTTCCCAGTGGTTCACAGAAAAGTGGTTTTGAAACTATTGGGTCATCCACGAAAGACCTCCAGGTGGTCTTTTGTGACAGTTACTGAGATACATAGTTTTCATTTCTAGTGCCAAAGGATAATTTTATTACATTTACAGTAGTCACCTTTATCCACAGAGGATACATTCCACCTACCCCAGTGGATGCCTAAAACCTCGCGTAGTACCAAACCCTAGCCAAGAAACACCAAGGTCACATTTTCACTTAAAGAAAGCACTTTTGGCTTCTCTTTGACATATGTAAATTACTACCATCATTACTCTTACACTGTGGAGTCATTATTAAGTAAAATAAGAATGAGTTGAACACAAGCTCTGTGATAGCAGGACAGTCAATCTGATAACTGAGACAGCTAAGTGACTAATGGGCAAGTAGCATCTGCAGTGTGGCTCCTACAGTGTGTCCAACTGGACAAAGGGAGGCTTCACATCCAGGGTGGGATGGAGCAGTATGATGTGAGAGTTCATCATGCTACTTGTGAACCCCAAAACTCTGAGGCATGTCTCAGTTAATTTAGAAAGTTTATTTTGCCACGGTTGAGGACCGGCACCCCTGACACAGCCTCAGGAAGTCCTGCCAACGTGTGCCCAAGGTGCTCAGAGCGCAGTTTTGTTTTATACATTTTAGGGAGACATAAGACATCAATCAACATATGTAAGATGAACACTGGTTGGGTCTGGAAAGGCGTGACAACACGAAGTGGGGAGGGAGCTTCCAGGTCATAGGTAGATAAGAGACAAATGGTTGCATTCTTTTGAGTTTCTGAGTAGCCTCTCCAAAGGAGGCAGTTAGATATGCACTTATCTCAGTGAGCAGGGGGATGACTTTGAGTAGTATGGGAGGCAGGTTTGCTCTAAGAAGTTCCCAGCTTGACTTTTTCCTTTAGCTTTCTGATTTTGGGTGCCCAAGATATTTTCCTTTCACATACTCAAAACAGCATACAATTTAAAACTTATGAATTTTTTGTTTCTGGAGTTTTCCATTTAATATTTTTGAACCGCAGTTGACCATGGGTAGCTGAAACTACAGAAAGTGAAACTGTGGATAAGGGGGACTACTATAAATTAAAAGCTGTCTCATGTCATTAGTGTCTTGTCAAAAGCCTCATTCATTCTGGTAGATTTGGACTTTTTTAAAATTTATTTTCCTGATTGGTTGGTGTGTGATTTTATTGTGTAGTAGTTTATTTTGTGGGCTGCTACTTTATACAGATTTACAAAGCCATGGTCATATACTACTCATGTAGCCACACAGCTAGCTACTCAGTTGAGGGAAATCATGGAAGCTGTGGGTATGTGATGTTCTTCTGATATGTCCTTGTTAAAGCTGTAGTTATGGCTCCCCGGAGACTGATGGGATGCTCCATGTAGGTGTCAAAGAAAGCAGTATGTGGCTCCTGCTAGCACAGAATATGAGATAAGCTACCCTTTGTCCCAATCAATGTATTCTACACCTTATAGTAGATTGAACTTGAGTCTAACAGTGAAAATGGAGAAAGCTGCAGAGATAGACGAGAAGTGAGATTTGAAATGCCTCAATTACCCTGTATTCATTAGTAGAAGTGAGTAAGCAAAGGGTATTCTCTAACCCAAGAAGGAAATGCTTCCCCTCTAAGCAAATTTTCTGCCTTTTTTCCTGATGGTACTAGATCTGCTGTCTTTTCTCCAGCTGGGATTTTATACAACACCAGCCAAACAAGTGACTCTTGTTTTCTTTCCTCACCCTAGACTTCCATGCTCATTATAAAGAACAGGAACTATAATTGAATGAAATGAGTTGATTCTGTGAAGAGATCATTAGAATGACACTAGAAGCCTTTTTCCATCTTGTTTATTCCAGACCAGCCTTAACAGCATGATGAGCGTTTACAGTGAAACGGGAGACTATGGCAACGTGAAAGTCAGTGGTGAAATCCTTCTCCATATCAGCTACTGCTACAAAACTGGTGGGCTGTACATTTTTGTCAAGAATTGCAGAAATCTGGCCATAGGAGATGAAAAGAAACAGAGGACAGATGCGTAAGCACATAGCATGTTCCTCAGACTATTTCAGTCACTGCCTTTTTTGTCTGTATGTGTGTTTCCTTTTCAAAAGAGTCTTAGCATTCTTCTTGATTCAGTCTTCTCAGAGAGTTGATTGTCATGTTCCTCCTATACCACACTTTTAAATATTCTCTGAAGCAAATGTATACTGGTTGTGTCTTTGATTAACTGATTTTTAAAACATAATTCAGGATTGACATATTTGCAATTTACACAGAGGCAGCTCTTTGAAGTAGAATGCTGACATGTTGGCACACCCAGGATGTACAAAAGCATCTTGTCGATTTCTGTTCTGGGAAATCCTCCAGAGAAAATTACCAAACTGTTACCCAATTAAACAACTCAAAAGGGCAATTATGAGGCTCTCAGGATTCTAGAGATCAGCCTGGGAGGGCAGGTATGGACCATAGCACACTGGAGAGAAGCTAGATATAAAGGTGTGTCAGGGGTTCTCAAGACCACTGCCAGGTTCAGTGATTCACTAGGAGGACTTAGGACTCTGCACGCAGTTATAATCAGCAAAGAGGCACATGGGGCAAAGTCCAGGAGAGATCAGGCTCAAGCTTTGCAAGGGTCCTTTCCCAGTGGAGTCACATAGGATGCATTTAATTCCTCTGGCGATGAGTTCTGACAACATCTGTGAAATGTTGTCTGCCAAGGAAGCGTGTTAGAAACTCAGCTGGTCACATACCAAATTTCCAGTCTCTCAGGAGAAAAAGAACCCGTTCAGCATAAGCCATATTGTTTGTACAAACAATTTAGGAACAACGAGCCACTTTTATCAGTTCTGGGAATGGTGGGAATCCTGAAATCCAAGTTGCCAGATGCCACCCAAGGGCCAAATTTGTAAGCAGGCATTTAGAAGAATGGTAGTCTCAGGCCCACTATGTTAACTCTTTTCTGCACAATAGATGACCTAAGTCCAATAAATAACTCAGTGAACCTGGTTCCAAATCCCCTAAGATAGACAAATGAGTGGATTTTGACTACAGATTGGTCCACCTGCCTCCTCAGCTACATTTCAGAGGGCTACAGGACCAATGTAATTATTTTGACTGGCATGGAAAGGGGTCTTCTAAAACTCAACAGATATTCTGTAGAACTTTGGTAGCATCTTATACATTTCAGCTTTGTACACATCTTGTACATTTCTGAGTCTGCTGTGATACCCTGCTTCAAGAGGCTCCTGAGATAGCTCAAGCTAAAGTGTTGGGTAGAATTGCTATCACTACTTCAGGTTGTTATTTTTTATTTTGCCTTTTTCACTGTTTTCTTTTACTCACCCATTACCATTGACCCCACTCTCTGACATCAGAAGGCAAGACTAGTAATAGAGAAGCATCTAATCCCAGAAAAATTTGTGAGACCATTAATATTAATAGTGTATTACATGTATTGAGTAGTACAATATGGTAGCTCCTTGGATGTGTCAACTAATTTAATCCTCACAAGGCCATCAGTTAGACAGTGTTATTTTCCCAGTTTTACAGATGAAGAAACTGAGGCACAGAGTGGTTATTTAGTAAATTCTTGAGGTCACCAAATCTCTGAGGCATGGAGTGATTCAAAACCAGGTGGCTTGACTTCAGAACCCACACTCTTTTATCATTATACTTTACCACTTCTCTCTTACGGAAGGCCCAGTGTTCTATTTTAAGGTATCCTGTTATATAGACAAAATTCTCTTTGGTATTTCCGCTCATGCTCACTGGCCCTTTGCCCCTTTTATTCACAGCGAAGTCTTTGAACATTTCTTGCAAATAGATGTTTCACAATAATTACATTTATATTTTCTTATCTATAGTTATGTCAAGTCATATCTTCTTCCTGACAAGTCCCGGAACAACAAGCGTAAGACCAAAATCAGAACAGGCACCAATCCAGAATTCAATGAAACACTAAAGGTAAATAAATACGGTCTCATAGTAACTCATGTGGTACTGTTCACAACTTCAATGGTTTAGAAGTAACTACAGAGAATATTTTATTTGTGTGTCAAGGCTTGTATATGTTTTAGAAAATTAGAATTTGAATAAATTAACATAATAACCTTGACTTTTCTAACATCTTTTGAGAAAAAGAAAACACTCTTACTCTATTTAAGTCTACGCTGCTACTGAATTTGAACCTTGAGTAGAGAGGATCCAGCCAAACTGCATCGGTGCTGATGCTTCTTGCTAAAAAATCGGTTTTACCTTTGGGCAAACAGTGCTTTTTCTGACTTCCGTAAAAGAAGCTTGTCACAGTTTTGACACTACTTAATGAGTCACTTTGCACGCATTCATTGTTCTGCTAACATAGCATAGGTCTATACTGTTTGTTGTTAGGATTTCAGAATTTGACCAAATGTAGGTATGTGGTTAATGAATAGTGGAAATGCAGAGCCAGATTTGAGAAATCTCAGCAAAAGTAGCCTAGATAAAATATGGCCCAATCCAGGTCAATGATCCAGAAAATAGAAATCTCTTTCCAATGCGCTTTCACATAATTAACCCCTTCTCTTGCTATGGAACAATCTGGCCTGGTAAGAAACACCCAGGGAGGATGGAAAGCAGAAGTTATTGCCAATTCTATGGAAATTTATGGGCTTGTGCCCCAGAGTGATGGTGTCAGAGTCCACTTTAGGAGGAAATTGGTAAAGGCAGAAAGCCACAAGCCTGCATGTGTCAGTGGGAGCGTGTGTGGAAGCAGGAACTAATATTAAGACAGAACAAACTGAAAAATGAATAAATACAGGTAGAGAGTAAATTCAATGGCCATAACAGGATAGGAAAGATGAGCCCAAACACAGTGAGAGGGTAAATTTAGGAAGCAGGGAGCCAAGGTTAATTATGACAGTAACAGCAAAGACAAGAATAGGCACTAATCCAAGATCAGGAATCAGTCAGTGTGAAGTGTGTCCCAGATGGTGGTTGCATAGAACAAGCAGAAGGCTGGAGGGTGTGTGAGCATGTGGCCCTGGATGATGTTGTTACAAAAAACAAAAAAAATGCTAGCCCAGCAATATCTTCTTTCTGTTTAATATACATGTACACCTTTTCACCTCTGCACTTAGGCTGGACTTTATAAAATTTGGTGTTTGCGAGTTTCTCATTGTCAATCCTTTTCTGGATTTGGGGATTCTCATTATGAATAAAATAAGAGAGAAGGTGGAGAATGTATATATTAAACCTTGAGCTTACAAAGTAGGTATGAAAAAATAATTAAGGAAAATGAAAAACCAATAAAACTGGAAAGAGGATAAGCTTCATCACCTAACACTTTTTATGCAGTATATGGAGTTTATCTCTACCTCAGATAATTTGTTTATATATCTTTCAATGCAAAGTCTGGCACAAAATGAGTTTATGGCATAGAACTTCAATTGTAGCAGAAACAAAGAAAAACAAAGAGTTTTCTTTGTGTTTGTTTTGTTCATATTACTGATGCATATGATCTGAAAGATGTTGGAAGTAAATTTCGACCTCTCCTGGAATTGGATAGAGCCCTCCTTGTGGAGTGTAATGTTGTAAATCTCATTCGCAGTACACTATCAGCCATACCCAGCTGGAAACAAGAACTCTGCAGCTCTCAGTCTGGCACTATGATCGATTTGGACGTAATAGCTTCCTCGGGGAAGTAGAGATTCCTTTTGACTCATGGAACTTTGAAAATCCAACTGATGAGTGGTTTGTGCTTCAACCCAAGGTAGGAAATGCTCTCAGATTAGTCAGTTATGCAATGAGACAAGTTATGAGCGAAATTGATGTCACAGACCTAAAGAACTTGAAGACTTTCAAATTTCAAGTGATAATCTGCAAAAAATTAGTGCAGCAAATTTTGGAATAATATTATAAAAATGTTGTAAATCCACCGTTTTGGAAATTCTTTGTCAATATAGATCATCTGTATAATGAAAGCTACATAATCATTTTTTTGTTAAAAATTTTTATTATTTGACAGTCTCATTGGATAACTGAAAGCAACACATTATATGATCTTATTAGAGAGTCTTCATTTTCACATAGGCGAAACCAAATTCATACAGCATGAACAATCCCCAAACATTACCTTTATTTCTCATTCTCCACAATTTATACCACAAACAGGAGTGATCTTGCCTTTGCTTATATGAGGGAATAACCAGTAGCTAAAGTATCTGATTTTCTTACTTTCCTACTTTTGGGATTCATGACCCAGGCCTTGAGTTACATTCAGAAAAAAAATCTTAGAGCTGATAATTAAATGCCAATACTGTATAGCATGTTCTAATCTAGACCAACAGTACCTTGGATTCACTTTAAGTGACTGGAGTCTCTATGCATTTACAGTACTTTTTAAGCCAAAATGGAGGTGAGTAAAGGTCACATTTATGCAGCCAAAGATTATTGTTTATATACAGAAAGGCAAAAGCACATTATGATGAAGACAGTGGACTCAAATCAAACTTACTTGGTTCTATCCTGGCTTCATGACTGCCCATGTGACCTTGGGCAAATTATTTAACTTTTTATTCCTTAGTGTCCTCAGTTATAATATAATCGTGGGATGTAGCTTATAGGTCTGCGGTGAAGCTTGAATAAACATTCTACGCATGGCCGTCAGCATTTTATTGGGAACATTGTAAGCTCTCAATAAGTGCTAGATAGTATACGTGTTACTTGGGAGTCCTTGTACTGCAACAGACAGAAACTCCAGCTAATACTGCTCAAAAAATAGAGGGAGATTATTGGCCAGCAGTGATTAGGCATAGCTTGATCCAGATGTTCAAATCTTATCAAAGTCTTGGAATTTCTTGGTCTCTCTTCTTATCTTCATTGGCTTCATTTTCAGGTTCCATGCAGTGTTGCCCTCCCTGACTAGCTCCAAGCATGCCTCTCTAATGACTACAGTGGCTGCAAGCCTTTCATCTTTGCACCACACTGTTCAGAAGAGGAGAGTTCCTCCTCCTCCAACAGCCAAATCAGTGCATTGGGCCTGGTTCTCCTAATTATAATTCTGTCATTTGCCTATTCTAAGCTATTGACTGTGGCCAGGGAGGTGAGATGCATTAGCTGGCTTAAGACAATCAGAATATACCCTGGTTCTGAAGAAGGGAACAATAGCATCCTTCCAGTAAATTTCCTGGAAATAGTTGAAGGACTTTGCTGGAATGATATCTAAGCTCCCCTAGACCTCTCCTAGGCATCCTTTGTGCTTAGAAATCAACATTTTCCACAGTAATCACTTCCACATTGTCAATGAGTGGTTCACAGTCTATCATAAGAGGGAAGCATCTCTAAGTCTTTCTGAGTCTACTGAAGGTAGAAAAGTTCTGATTGCATTCACTGTGGAATACCATGGGTCCTCTGCCAGATACCCTTAGGTTCCTAACCATGTCTTTTAGGAGATTTGCCACAACAGCCTCCACCTGAGACTCTCTTTAGAAGACTTCCCTCGGGCTACTGTAGCTTTTTGCCTATGTAAGCAGAGAGCCAGAAGTCCTGGGAATTTTTATACCCGCTGCCACAAGACAACCCTTCATCAATAACTGATAGGTGGGGGAGTATGAAGGCCCACTTCCTTACTGAAGGTGGGAAAAACTCCAAAGTGTTACATATACTACCACATCAGGTGGAAGCTATCTTCCATGGAATTATGCCCAAGATTAGACTTGTCCCTATAGACTTGCTTCCCATACCTCTTTACTGGTCTCTCTGAGAGAACTTCCTTAATAAATCACTTCATAAGAATCTTCACCTTAGAGTCTATTTCTGAAGAACCCAACAGAAGTTAGTGTCTCTAATCTCTGCCATCTTCCTCTGCCCAGCTTCCTCTGTTCTATATAGAAGAAAAGCTGAAGACACAAACGTGCTTAGATATCATGTCTTCCATAAATGGGGAGGACAGGCATAAAGGCATGCTCTATCATGCTCTATATGCTGCCTTGTGCTTCATTAGTGGCTCATCCCCAGGCTGAGCTGGGCTCTGTGTGGTTGATTATCAGCCAGCTATGTGAAGTGGCACTTCAGTTTCAGTTTCCTGCCTCGGTCATTTCCATGCAATTGTCACTCCAGCAGCTGCAGATGTAGTATGAGCAGCCTTGGAGACTTGACGTTTCTCATAGATTATGCAGTCGAGAAGGTGAAACATGAGTTACACATACTGATTTCCCTAGTAATAGGGGATCAGAATTAATAATCCTTAATAATTTAGAAATACTGACATACTTCTGCACTAGGAGTTCCAGAACGGCATGGTGCCTTATTGCTTATTGACTCTATTAGTGAAGGTTCCTCAATATTTATCTTTGTATGGGTTAGATCCTACAGTGCTAAGCCAGTGAGGAGGCTGGTGCAGAGAAAGAACTCAAGATGCCAAACATACTGTAGTTTCACAGTATAACTTCCATTTTACTTCATGGCATGGGATTATTTATTAGCTGTAAAGCCTTCTGAAAGGCATGTCAGGTAGTTAGACAAGGTTTTATCAGTATGAATTGCCTTTCATGCCTTCCCAGAGTGTACTATTATAAAAACAAGGACATCTGAAAATCAACAGCAAGCTTACGTGGTTTTCCAAGGAAACGTTCTCTTATTCTGCCTTCAGGTAGAGAGTAAATGTATGTTCCTTTGGAATTATACCTAGATTAAAGGCTCTCTCTTTTTTTGGCAGACTTTTGTCTGTAATTCCTTACTCTGTGTTACACCTGTAAATGCACTGGGAGTCTCTTTCTCACTCCGATGGAAAGTGGACCTCTCTTTTTTTCAGAAAGCAGGAGGTGGTGGGTGTCATCTGCTTATTTCACATCCATGCTCAGATAGTCTCAGTGGTTCCCTACTACTTTTGGATATGGTTTGAATAAATACTAACCCTCACCCTGGCACTCAGTGTTCTGTTGAATGGCCCAGCCTACTGTAGCAGCCAAAGATGTTAGTTCTCTACCCATCCCCGTTTTCTTGCAAACAGGGCTCCCCACTTCTTTCACTCCCACCAGCCAACCCCTGCCAATCATTGTAGGAGGGGAGCCTTCGGGCTGCTAGAGAGGGCTTGGTTTGCAGGCCAGAAAAGCCAACATAGCCTGGGTATTTAAGTCTCCTGGGGGTGAGCAGAGCCTTGATCAATGACTGGTGGATTAAGGAACGTCAATACTCCCACGTTCTTGCCTCTGATTGGAACAGCTCTGAAGTGTGATCTGTCACATCTCCAGAGTACCCCTATGGGACTTAACAACAGTTACTCTCCATGGAACTTTGCCTGAAATCACATCCTTAAGCCTCCTTCACTTTTGGTCCCCCTTCCCCAGTACCCTTCCTAATAAAATACTATAACTTAAATAAGTGCCTTAGCATCTTCTGGGAAACCCTGAGTTGACACCTTATTTTCATCCTCCTTGCTACTACCTCCCTGTACACACTCCCCTGATCACATTTGACTTCCTGTCAGTCCCTAAACATATTCTACACAACCCCCATCATATTTTACTCATACTGCTTTCTCAACCTGGACTAACCTTCCCAATCCATCTTCATCTGTCATCATGTCTCCCATCCTTTAAGGACCAGGTAAGAGCCACCTCTTTATCCCAATCTGGATTAATCTTTCTCTTCCCATAGTAGTTTCTTTTTACTTGTGTTGGAATAACTGTCACCATTTATCTTACATTGAACTTTCTGTATAGTAGAAACCCTCTTGCCCCAGAAATTACAACCAGTAGTAGGTCAGTTAATAGACAAAGTCACAGAAATCACCCACATACAAACACACACAATATATTTCTTTTATTTTTAATTATTTTGAATTGACACATAAAAATTGTATATATTTATCATGTAAAATATGGTTTCTAAATATGTATATATTATGGAATGGCTACATCAATCTAGTTAACATATATATTACTTCACATAACATACTTTTTTGTGGTCAGAACACATAAAATTTACTCTCAGCAATTTTCAAGAATACAAAACATTGTTATTATTAATAACTATGGTCACCATGTTATAAAATAGATTCCTCAAATTTATTCCTCTTATCTAGCTGACATTTTATTTTGTTAGGCCAGCATCTACCCAGTTCTCCCCACCCCCAGCCCCTGATAACCACCACTCTACTCTCTGCTTCTATTAATTCAACTATTTTAGATTCCACTATTTTAGATTTATATCTATTTTAGATATAAGTGAGGTCATGCAGTGTTCATCTTTCTGTGCCTGGCTTATTTTAATTAACATAATATCCTCCAGATTTATCCATGTTGTTGCAAATGCAAATGACAAGATTTTATTTTTTAAGGCTGAATAGTATTCCATTGTGTATATATACCATATTTTCTTTATCACTTCATCCATTGATGGACAATTAGGTTGTTTCTATATGTTGGCTATTGTGAATCACGCTGCAATGAGCATGGGAGTGTAGAGATCTCTTTAAGATACTTATTTCAGGCCGGGCGCGGTGGCTCACGCCTGTAATCCCAGCACTTTGGGAGGCCGAGGCGGGCGGATCACGAGGTCAGGAGATCGAGACCATCCTGGGTAACACAGTGAAACCCCGTCTCTACTAAAAATACAAAAAATTAGCCGGGCGTGGTAGCGGGCGCCTGTAGTCCCAGCTACTCGGGAGGCTGAGGCAGGAGAATGGCGTGAACCCGGGAGGCGGAGCTTGCAGTGAGCCGAGATCGCGCCACTGCACTCCAGCCTGGGCGACAGAGCGAGACTCCGTCTCAAAAAAAAAAAAAAAAAAAAAAAAAAAGATACTTATTTCAATTCCTTTGGCTATATATCTTGTAGTGGGATTGCTAGGTCATAAATATGGTAGTTCTATAACACTTACTATATTTAGTCTTTTTGATATTAGCCATTCTAACAGGTATGAGGTAATAGCTCATTGCAATTTTAATTTGCATTTCCCTGGTGATTAGCGATGTTGAGCATTTTGTCACACACTTTTGGCCATTTGTATGTCTTCTTTTGAGAGATGTCTGTTAAGATCCTTTCCCCATTATTTAATTGGATTATTTGTTTTCTTACTATTGAATTGCTTGAGTTCCTCATGTATCTTCGATATTAAATGATTTAACTTAAACTATATCAGATGTATGATTTGCAACTATTTTCTCTCATTCTGCAGATTGTCTCTTCACTCTGTCGATTGTTTTCTTTGCTCTGCAGAAGTTCAGTTTGAGGCAGTCCTATTTGCCTATTTTTGCTTTTGTTTCCTGTGCTTTTAGGGTCATATTCAAAAAAAAATTTCCCAGACCTATGTTGTGGAGCTTTTCCCCTATGTTTTTCCTAGTCGTTTTACAGTTTCAGGTCTCATGCTTAAGTCTTTAATCCACTTTGAGTTGATTTTTGTATATGGTGTGAGACAAGGGTCCAATTTCATTCTTCTGCATGTGGATATTCAGTTGTCCCAATACTGTTTATTAAAGAGACTGTCCTTTCCCCATTGTGTATTTTTGGCACTTTTGTTGAAAATCAATTGACCATAAATTTATTTCTGGACTCTCTATTATGTTCCATTGGTGTTATGTATCTGTTCTTATGCCAGTACCATGCTGTTTTGATTACTATAGTTTCCCAATGCATTTCTTAAACATTTATTTTTAACTTAAACCAAATAAATGTACGTTCATTTGCAAGTCTTCTGATATAGAGGCAATTAATTTTGTTTGAATTTCGTTCAGTAAGTAAAATTCTGCCATATATTCCTTGCATAAATTCTCCTCCTAATGCATCATCATCAGAAGATTCTAATTTGAGCTTTTCTCAAATGAAACAAGAACATAAGAATACTTTCAAAGTAAACAAAATGCAAATTCTTCTAAAAAATGTATGATTTTTTCTAACCTTTGATAGATTCAAGCCCACATATAATCCAATAGCAACTTTGTTTTCAAATCTTTAGTTCTTCTATTCAACTGAATTGTTATAGTAGCAGCTGTCTTTTTGCACTCATCAATTTATGTGACTTTAAACTATATAATTAAAATCACAAATATGCCTGGCCTAAAGAGCTTAGGGGACTAACTAATGCAGCTGACTCTCAGTGTGCATACAATTGAACTGATGGGAGCAGATGCATGTTCTTTGCAGAAAGGATTCTGCTATTCACGAGGGATGAAGAACACTAATTAAACTGATGAGTCAGCAGT
Source organism: Homo sapiens (assembly GCF_000001405.40). Classification (NCBI taxonomy): domain Eukaryota; kingdom Metazoa; phylum Chordata; class Mammalia; order Primates; family Hominidae; genus Homo; species Homo sapiens. The sequence continues at coordinate 38,116,913 of NC_000023.11, forward strand.
TAACTAAGTGTGAATTAATAGATCCTGCTACTGCAAATATGTCTACTAGATAGACTGAAAACTCATTGAAAGCAGGGTCTGTCTTTTGTGTCCCCACAGCACTTAGCAAAATGCCTTATAAAAATGTAAGCATTCCATATGTGTTGGTAGAGTTGAATTGAATATGATTGGATTCTGCTAACTTTTTCTGAGTAATAGTGGGTTGGATAATGACAATGGTGGTATGCCAGGAGAGGGTGTTGCCTAGGAATTTCCTGGCAAAATATAAGTATCAAAAATACCCTAAGACATTAGACATGTGCAGGCTGCAATATGACTCCCCTGCTTTAATTTTTTATATGTGATTATAATGCTACAAGCTTCATCATTATTGTGTTTTCCTTTCATAAGACTTGAAGTCTATATTTATACGGGGTCTACAGTATATTTTAAGCTAAAAACCAATGGAACATTGGTAAGTCCCAATAATGCATGTTTTTGATCTCTGGTAGCACACTATATATTAGTATGTGATTCCTACACATATAACTTTTTCCTACTGGCGTATTTTCATACCCGAAGATCTCACTCAAAAAGCAAACACAGCCTGCTCTGGTTAACTATTGCTGTATGCCAAACTACCTTAAACCTTCGGGGCTTACAGCAAGAATTTATTCTCTCTCATGATTCTGTGGGTCGACTAGACTCATCTAGGTAGTTCTCACTTAGGGTTTCTGGCGCCACTGCAGCCAGATGGTTGACTGAGGCTGATGTCATCTGAAAGCTCAACTGCATTGATTGTTCGAGTTGGCTCACTTCCATGTCTTACACATGATGTTGACTGCTGGCTAGAAACTCAGCTAGGCCTGCCAGCTGGAGCACCTACATGCGGCTTCTCTCTGTGGCTTTAGCCTCTCTTAGTACGAGTTCCCAGAGGAAGCATTCGGAAATATCCATTCCAAGAAAGAAAAGTAGAAGCTGTCAATCTTAAGACCTGGACCCCAAAACTGGCACATTGTCACTTCTGCCATATTCTATAATACTAGTCAAAGCAATCACAGAGCCCACACAGACCCAAAGAGAGGTCACAAATACCCCATCTCTCATTGATGACGGTACCAAAAAAGTGGTAACCATCTTTAATCTGTCATAACATCCATTATAATTTTCTACTTATGATAGTCACCTAAACTAAAATTTACTGAGATTGTCAAAACAAAAAGAAGAGTCCAGTTACAAGGAACCTGATCTAAAATAATCAGATTAAATATTAGATGGATAGTCTATTTTACCATATAATCTCATTTTTGCCCCGGGTAAGAAGGTTGAATAAAATATTTCAAGCATTTTTCCCACCCTTACTAGTAAGTTTTACTACCACCAGCAGGAAAGAAAAGGGAAAGTCAGGCAAGGATTCCTTTTCTTTGTAACAGTCTCAGTATTTTTAATTTTTTTTTACTGTTTATTTGCTTATTTATGCCAAGTCTTGAACAGTCTCTGGCTTGGCTATGAATGAGCTAGGTTTCGGGACTCTCATTCTGCCCTCTCTGAGAGAGCAGTTCTCTGCTTTTGACTCAGAAGTCAGATCCCTAAAGGAAAAGCCTGACAAAGTATACTGCCTTTCCTGCTCTACCTGTGAAAGAACTCAAAGTTCAGTTGACTCAATGGCAAGTGGGAGACCTATAGAATAGAGGTTCTGGGTGCACGTGCACATTGACTTTCTTTAATTTAAACTTTATATTTTGAGATGATTATAAATCTACATGCAGTTACAAGAAATAATATGAAGAGATCCTATGTACCCAATACTTGATTTTCCCCAATGGTAACCTATAGCAAAGATGTACTATAATATCAAACCAGGTTTTGCTTATTTTTTTAGAGGCAGGGCCTCACTCTGTCATCCAGGCTGGAGTACTGTGGCACAATCATAGCTCATTATAATCTCAAATTTCTGGGCTCAAGCTATCCTCCCACCTCAGCCTCCCAAGTAGCTGGGACTACAGGTGCATGCCACCATGCCCAGCTAATATATATATATATATATATGTACGCATATACATATATATATATATATATATGTACGCATATACATATATATGTTGAGAGATAGGGTCTCACTGTGTTGCCCAGGCTGGTCTCAAACTCCTGGGCTCAAGCAATCCTCCCACCTAGGCCTCCCAAAATGCTGGGATTACAGGCATGAGCCACTACACCCAGCCACAACCAAGATATTGCCATTGATATGATTCACCAATTTTATTCAGAATTCCCAGTTTGGTACTCATTTGTGTGTGTGTGTGTGCACATGTGTGTGTATATTTCATCCTATGCAATTTTATCACCTTTATAGGTTTGTGTATCTACTACCACAGTCAAGGTACAGAACAGTTCTAATACCACATGTCCCTCAGGTTGACCTTTTATAACCACATCTAACTCCCTCCCACTACTCACATCCCTAACTTCTAGCAACCACTAATCTGTTCTCCATCTCTATAATTTTGTCATTTCAAGAATGTTACATAAATGAAATCATAAAGTATATGTCATTTTAAGACTGGCTTTTTTCACTCAGTATAATTCTCTAGAGATTCAACTTGTTGCATTTATCAATAGTCTATTCCATTTTTATTAATGGATAGTATTCCATCGTATGAATGTACCACAGTTTGTTTAACCATTCACCTGTTGAAGGAAATCCATGTGGTTTCCAGTTTTTACTATTACAAATAAAGCTGATACAAATATTCCTATACAAGTTTTGTGTGGATATAATGTTTTCATTTCTCTGGGATAAATGACCAAGAGTGCAATTTCTGGTTGGATGGTAGTTGCATGTTTAGTCTTACAAACAGTCTTACAAACTGTTTTCCAGAGTGACTCCACCATTCTACATTCCCACCAACAATGTTTGAGTGAACCACTTTCTCCATGTTGAATTTTGATTATATGAATTACCAACATTGCTTTTAACAGTTGATGGCTGGCAGCCCCATGTGAATCAAGCATTATTGCCTACTTTTCCATTCTTGATCACTTGGGAAAGACTTAAAAGACATCAAAGATGACAGGGAGAAGTAATTTCTGGAGGTATTTTCAGTGGCATTTTTATTCCTGCTTCTTCATATCCCAAACTATATATGTAAACTCAGTGATAGGTCCAGTCATCAATGCATCACAGGTGCTCAATATCTATTGACTGGCCAAATATAAGTTATATGTCTTCTTTCAAATTTCTTTTACTTAAATGTTAAAAGTTATATGCAAATGCCTTCATAGAGTTTTCCAGCCTTTGTTTTCTCTTACCTCAGTCATCTCTTAAACCAGTGAGAGCGAACAGAGTTGAAATGAGAATGGATTGTCACATTTATGCCACTAAGTAAATATTGCACATTCAAATGTGGACTACAATACTAAGCCAATCATCCATACTCTTTCAACTTACTTGTTTCTCCTTGGCCAGGTGGAGTTTGCTCCTGATATTGGCCTTCAATACAAAGGAGAGCTGACAGTTGTTTTACGTTACATTCCCCCAGAAGAGAACCTGATGCTTCCACCAGAACAACTCCAAGGTAGAGTAAAAATCAATGACTTTGATCAATGACATTCTGTTTCTAGAAGTGTGGTAGTGGGACTCAGGGATTGGTTGCATTATATTTCTTTCATATTACACAAACAAAACATAAAGGGTTTGGTGTCACTGTCTTTTGGGGAGAGTTGAGATGTGTATACCGTATATATAGAAGAATGCAGGACTCTTACAAGGAATCCTTGTAAGATTCATACTTAGAAACCAGCCTTGGTGGTCAGTTTTGTTTTATGTCCCAAAGATATAGGATCTTCCCCCAGGGTTGGGGGAAGGCAGGCTGCTGGAGGCAAGTATAGGAAACTGCTCCATGGATTTATGACATTCACAGCTATTCAGGGAGTCTTGAGGAAGAAGTTGATCTAGAACACAGGATTTAAAGGAAAAAATCAGATGGAATCAATTTATAAATCTCTCTTCCCCTTTGTATTAAGCTGTTTTTGCATTGCTATAAGAAATACCAAGACTAGGTAATGTATAAAGAAAAGAGGTTTAATTTGCTCATGGTTCTGCAGGCTATGTAGGAAGCATAAAACAGGCATCTGTGTCTGAGGAGGCCTCAGGAAGCTTACAATTATGGCAGAAGGTGAAGGTGGAGCAGGTGTCTCACATGACAGGAGCAGGAACAAGAGAAAGAGAGAAGGTGCCACATACTTTTAAACAACCAGCTCTCACAGGAATTCACTCACTATCATGAGGACAGCACCAAGGGGACGGTGCAAAACCACTCATGAGAAATCCACCCCATGATCCAATCACCTCGCACCAGGCCCCACCTCCAATAGTGGGGATTACATTTCAACATGGGATTTGGGTGAGGATAACATCCAAACTATCTTGCCCTTCTTTTACCATCAATTCTTGCAGGCAGCCTCCTCTGTCCTCCCATTCACTATTACTCTTTTCAGTGTGACCCTGTGCAAGTAACTCACTATCACCTGACCTCAATTTCCTCACTTCAAAGGGCTGTTGTGAAGAATAAACAGGTTCATATATGTAAGGTGCTTAAAACAATACTAAATAAAGGTGCTGGTTGTGATACTGGTTTATATCATTCATGTTGAATGTATTTCATAAGAAAAGAAAAGTGAGGTGGAAAAGAGATTTCTCTCACCCTAAAACGTAACTGTGTTTGGGCTGTAGCCTCTAGAGCTGGCTCTGACTAAAACTGACTATTTGTAAGACTAAAATATCAAAGGGAGTTATTGAATTTTCTCTTTTTGAGTTTTGGTGCATGTATATTGTCTTCATCATAGTTATTTCTCACTAAGAGCAGGAATGGTGCTCCGGGAAACTCTTAGGCATTCCATGCCTTTATACCCTGTGAAAAGATATGCTTTGTAAGGGAGTGTTTAAAGTTTTAAATTTATTTCTTCATTTGTTTCAACAAATACAAATGAAAGACCTATCTGGAAGGAATCCAATGGGGGCAAAAATGTTTAAATGAATAAAAATATACAATAATGTAAAGGCCCAAATTAGTCAGCAAATGAAATATATGTTTGTAGATGATCTTTGTAAATTTTGAAATGGAACTCATGATTTATCTATTTTTTTTTCTCTTTCTCCACCATTCCCTCATTTTGGTGGCTGACACAGGAAATAAGACTTTTAAAAAGGGAAAGAAGAAGGAGTCACCTGTAATCTCTGGAGGAATACTAGAAGTGTTCATCAAAGAGGCAAAGAATTTGACAGCAGTGAAGTCAGGAGGCACTTCTGATAGCTTTGTGAAGGGGTAACTTTGTTTTAGCTCTTTTTGGATGATACTTAATAGGAGATGAAAGGATCTGTGATCCACAAGCCACTGGTGGCTGTGAGCCTTCCGTGTTCTGTTTACTAGAAGTGTATGGGTGAGAACTACCCTTACATGCTGGCTCTTACATCTAAAATAACACAAGTGTTGAGGGAACTGCTGATTCTAGCTGTCACTCTGTTTCCAACATATTTCAGGAATTCCCATCACTCTTACTCTCAAGACAGTCAACTTTTTTCTGTAAGATTCATTTATCGAAAGTGGACAAAAGTATGATTTCCTATGTATAATGTATTTATATTGTTCTTTATTATCATTTTGTCCTGGCAATATGCAACAATCACCAAAATATCAGATCCTTGATATTTTTCTCTCTTGGGGGAAATTGTAAAAAGTAGAGATGTCAGAGCATCCTTGCTGGACTTATTCACTGTCGAGTGCTTTGGAGAGGCTCCAAGACCACCTGCTAGGCATTTGTGCCCAAGTTGTGGAGCAAAGGGCAGCTTCCTGAGGGAATGCAGCCTTAAAATGGATACTTTTGCCTAACTCTAGGCAACTCAAACATCAAATCCCTTTTGATTCCTGACTACTGGATATTTTTCTCTTGGAAATTGAGAAACTAAGACTGCAAGGTTATTTTTCAGTCATTCAAACAAACACAAAATGCACATGTGCCAAGCACCAGGTGCTATGCTTTCAAAAATAAATAACATATTATCCCTGCCCTCATGGAACTCCGTAAAGCACATAAGGTAAAACAAATTCCCATGATGCCAGACCATGAGGTTCATTCTTTGAGTCGGATGGCAATATTGTTCCTCTTCACATGCTGTATTGGAAAAGAGTATTTTTTCCTACAAGGAAATGGGTTGAGCTCACTCTCACATGTTATTTGTTGTTGTTGTTTGTTTTTGTTTTTGTTTTGAGACAGAGTTTCACTCTGTTGCCCAGGCTGGAGTGCAGTGGTGCCATCTCGGCTCACTGCAACCTCCGCTTCCCAGGTTCAAGTGATTCTCATATCTCAGTCTCCTGAGTAGCTGGGATTACAGGTATTTTTATTTTTATTTTTATTTTTAGTAGAGACAGGGTTTCACCACATTGGCCAGGCTGGTCTTGAACTCCTGACCTCAAGTGATCTGCCTGCCTCGGCCTCCCAAAGTGCTGGGATTACAGGCATGAGCCACCGTGCCTGGCCACATGTTCTAACTTTGGTAAAGCTAGTAGTGGGGAGAAGCAGTTCTGGGGCCTCCCCATTGGTGAGTGTGTATGCCTGAATCCTGGCACATCTTCCCTTCACTCTTCCTTGCAGTAGATTTAAGCATAGAAGAAATGCTTTCTTTGGATACTGCAGTTACAATTTGTGTCATTAGCCCTACCATCCAGTTTAAGCTTCTGCTGCTGGAATGAGGAGATGACTCCCAACCCGTGGCCACATTGTGACCTTGCAACGGTACTTGACATCTTCTGGAGCAGTATTCACTTTATCTTGTGGAAAATGTATAAAGCAGAAATAATAAAAGACAGTATTTTTGTTCTAGAAAGAAAAACAAAAGCCAATAACTTTCCGGTAAATTCTGTCTATAATAATACTTAAATATTAGGCTGATTCTAAAAAGACATGAGATTTTTTTAAAAGACAGTGAGGGAGCAAGAATAGACCCTCTGTAAAGTTTAATAATATAAAATATATCCATTAACATTAGGTCGGTCTGTGAGCCAAAAGAACAGTGGCTTAAACAAGACAAGTTTTTTTTCTCTCTTACATGTAAACAAAGACTGAAGGTAAGGTCCCCAGTGCAGGTATGGAAGCATCATGATTATCAGGGACCCAGGATTTTTCCATCTCGTTATGGTATCCACCTAATGGGTTAGGATAGCTGCTCCTGTTTCAGCTATCCCACACAAATTCCAGCTGACAGGACACTTTCCAGATGTAAGAAGTAGTTTTATCAGCACTACTTCTTATATCCCATTGGCCAGAACTCAGTCACATGGCTATTCCAGCTGCAAGGGAGGTTGGGAAATGTAGTCTTTATTCTGGGCAACACTGTGCTCAAATAAAAACACAGTTTTTTAGAGGAATATAAGGAGAGAATGGATATTAGGAGATAATAAGCAGTCTTTGCTTGGTACATGAAATTAAATCTTAAGTGACTTAATGTATCTTCTTTATTGTAAAGTCATTTGCTTGTAGCACTTTTCGTTTTTGTTCCATGTACTAATTCCATATGTACATATGTCTTCTTTTCTAAAGTATGCTCCCTGAAGGGGGAAAACAGCCATTTTTATCACATACCTAGAGCCTCATACAGTGTTTTGACCATAGTCGAGAAAACCTAGGATACAGGCGTTTTATTTGAAGACAAATTTCAGGAAACACCAGTGAGGAAGTGGAGAAAATGAAACAAGGAAGAAAGAGAAGTTGATTAAAACATATGTTAATGGGCAGGTTACCACTGTGGGCAACTGGAGCATGATTCCACTAGGGAAGCAGTGAGGAACTCTGTGGAATATACCTTAGGATTGTCACTTTGAGGGACAGGGAAGATGGGGAAATTATCCACCAATTTCTCAAACTCATCAGTTAAAAGTTGCCCCAGGGGTATTAAATTCCAAGTAATCCCAGAGTTTCCTACACATAAGCTGAGCCAGCTAACACAATATCAGATAAATTCCTTAATTAGAGGAATTTATTCCTTGTATCAAGAGACACAAGCACTTGAGGTGGGAAGCTGAAAGTATATCAGGAACTTCCCATCCTGGCTGCAAGTCAGCTCCAAGGAGGCCAAAAAGATTTGAAGCAAGGCATTCAATAGTGTCTATTACAGGAGGTATTTTCTTTTCAAGATGGAAGGAAGGACCTAAATAAGATTAGAAAGGAGAGTGAGGGCATTTTACTAATGTCCCACTGGGAAGAAATAATAAGTCAGTTCACTATATAAATCCAGATTTAAGCATATAGAAGCCTGGGAAGGAAAATCAAATAGACACATCACACTTGTGTACACGCTGACATTTTCTGTCTGCTGTCTTATTGATGATTTGATTGTTTTTTCTCATGCAGCTACCTGCTCCCTGATGATAGCAAAGCCACCAAGCACAAAACTCTGGTAATAAAAAAGAGTGTTAACCCTCAGTGGAATCATACATTCATGTTCAGTGGCATCCATCCCCAGGATATAAAGAATGTTTGCCTAGAACTTACTATCTGGGACAAGGAGGCCTTTTCCAGCAACATCTTTCTGGGAGGAGTTCGTTTGAATTCTGGAAGTGGTGAGGGATTTGGGGACCCACAGGGATGGTCTGTGACTAGGCCCAGGTGGGGGCGCTATTCTTGCAGATGTGATGTGCAGTGGATGTATATATATAGTTTCAGCTAAATCCTGAAATTACCACAAATACTTCATTCCTTTAGCTAAGGATCTATTCATTGTTAAAATACAAATATAACTACAGTAACTTTGTATCCTTAGGCTAGAAGATTGGAAGATATCATATTTATATTCAATCCTTTCATAGACTAGCATTTACACCTTAGTCTAAGTGAATTGTAAGTACTTTCTTGGGCCTTGCTTCATATTTTGCTCAGGGGATGATTACCAAGACAGCATAGGCTTCTGATGGGAGGAGAGCGACTTTCAAGACCAACATTACTTCATCATCTTCTCAGTTCTGTCCAGCACTTGCAGCTATTATTCATACTGGTTGAATTGAAAGGAAATCATTTTTTCATAAAAATAACACCAGTATTGTTAAAAACAGATCAAGGAAACCCACCACTGGTGCCACAAGACGCAACTGTAACAGGGTGAATTGGAAGAGGGATTACAGTAGTAGAGCACGTGCATTCCCCTAACTCTCATTATCCCATAGCCTAAGCCAGACATAGATGAGACCATCAGCATACACCATGGTAAACATTTCTGTTGAGGAAGGTCCTATCACTATGATAATTACTTATTTATAGATTAAGGGGAGCCAAAAATATCTATACCACTAAAAGGAAAACTCCCCAGGTCAGAAAAGTGCCCTTGTTAGAAAAAGAGAGCCAAATTCATCCCATTCTTCTGTCATGTTAGCACAGTCCAGATGAACCAGCTCTCTGCTAAAGTAGGGAGGAAGTGAGTCACCAGGGCCACCCCGATTTGCCTCATATGGCCTAGGCATTAGAGAATAGTGCAGGCTGAAATGATTGATTGATTCAATTCTAACACCACTCACTATATATACTAAGTGAGAACAAGCCAGTAAAAGGTACTCTGGTGAAAAGGCCTGCTCAGAAGTTGATAGATACCTTGCAGGAGAGCAAAGCATTTCATGTGTGACATAAAATTTTCCCGTTTCGCCTCTTCAGGTGTGAGCCATGGGAAGAACGTGGATTGGATGGACTCTCAGGGGGAAGAGCAGCGCCTTTGGCAGAAGATGGCCAACAACCCTGGAACTCCCTTTGAGGGTGTACTCATGCTTCGTTCCAGCATGGGAAAATGTAGGCTCTAAAGGGACCAGTTCTCCAAGAATGAGGCCACCAGGACCTATCTGGCTGTCTTTTCCTACCATTAGCAAACTGAGACCTGGGATTCTGCTTCCCTGCCATTTCTCACCTGACAGTGTTGGGACATGAGGGGAGAGATGTCAGTAGTATGAACATTTAGGGTCTTGCTGAGTGCCTAAAAAACATATATTTCCATCCAATCAAGGCCTTCTTGATTGGATGATAGAAAGTGTACTACTTGTCCTGTCAACAAGCAAATTGTGCAAAGGCTTATAGGGTTTATGCCATAAAAGAAATGGCACAAGCCTCCATTTGCTAATTATAAGTTACTTTAGATTTCCTCAAATCCTTTGAAGAGAAAGAGGACCACTGAGAAGGTAGATCACTTGAAAAGTCAGAAGAAAGGATACTGGCCAACTTTTACTCACCCTAGGAATCCACATGATCTCAAGAAGGCATGGTGGAGATGGTTGCTTGAGCAAGGGGATTGTCCTGTTATTGCAGCAAACTTGTGGATTAACCAAGTAGTATTTCAAGATGGATTGACAGGGCTTTCTATGATTACTATAGAATTTATCATCTAAATCAGTTTACTTTTTAGAACAAAGAGAGCTAAATAACTACATCAGAACGATTGATGTTGATTAGAATTGACCTGGGAAAATTGGGATGTAGGGTCACCCTACTGATGACCTAAGAGAGCTCTGTTTTAAACATTTATTTTATAAAATGTTCTAAGCCATTAACTAAAAGGAAATGAGATATAATGGTCAATTGATATACCTTTTCACATTGTGTTCACTGACGAGACTAGTTTAATGAAAAAGGAGGTACTCTACCTGCTATTTTACTTCTGTTCCTCTTCTGCCCTGTTATGGGAGAGAATCAAAGACTCCATCTGCTCTCTTCCCCCTTGTTTTCTCCTTCACTGAGTTTTTCTTATCTCCTTTTGCAGTGGTTAACTATTGTCACAATAATGCTGAATGAAAAAACACACCAAATGTCAGTGGCTTAAAATGACCATCCTTTTTCTCACAGTTATGAAGATTGGCTATGGCACCTCTGCTTCCTGCTATAGGCCTGAGGTTCTAGGGCTTCTTATGCCTCATCCTCTTTAAGCCAAAGGGATAGCCAGAGCATCTTGATGGCAGAAGTGCAATAAGATGAGCCCCACTGCTCGGGTACATTTTCAGCCCCTGGTTGTGTCATGTCTACTGATATCTCATTGGTCAAAGGAAGTCAGAGGGCCAAGATGAAGAGGCAGGGAAATATGCACTGCCCACAGTGAAGCCATGACAAGAGTGAGGATGCAGGAAGGCATGAAGAATTGGGGCCAACAGTTCAATCTACCATACCTTCTCTCACCTGGAATTCCAGATGCTTGAGCTACGAAACTTAGATGCAAAGAAAGTTAAAGCTAGAAGGAACCTCAGGCCCAGTTGCTCATTTTGCAGATTCCAAATGTGAATTTCAGAGAGCTGAGATAACTTGCCCAAGGCCATATAGAGGCTGTGACTAAATCTGGACTTAAATCCAGACTATCAATCTTAGGCCAGTGTTCTTTTTTCAATATAGTCCTTGGCATAATGCTATGCTTATTAGGTAGATAAAAGGGCTTATGTCAAGAAATTTGGAGCAGAGTCTGATTACTTGAGCATGAACATACCCGACCAAGGTATGTTCTGGAGTCATATTCTAGCCTCTGAGCTCATTTTTTCATGCGAGTTCATATAAAATCCTCGAAAGTTTAGAAACTAGGTTTTAGTAGTAACGGAGCTAGAATCATCTTCGGGCTTATTCCTGCTAGTTGTTCCATATTTCTAGATTTCATCTTGAATTTTGAAAACTGATTTAAGAATATATTTAGTATTATTATTAGTAAGGGAATACGCAATCCAGTTTCAATTTTATTCAGAAGTAGGTCACCTAATTCTAGAAAATGGTTATTAGTCTAGTGTCGCTTAGCAAGGTACTTAAAAGAAAATCTGCACATATCCTTGTGCTGCCCTTCTTAAAAACAGAAAACAAAAAGTGTAAGATCATCATTGCTTCCCACATAGGAAAAATAAAATGTCTTCAGACTTGATGTGACTCATTCTGTCTTCAGTTACATTTTTAGGGGAGGTAAGAGGGTGGTGATGGTGAAGTCTGGAAACATCTCTGGTATAGACACAACGAAGTGGATTTATTCATTAATAATAAATATGAAAAAATAATAAATTTTAAAATTTATAACTTGAACTCAAGAAGAGCATGAACTTTATGTGTTCAGATCTTTGCCACACGTAGAGCAACTCTCTGTATCATGGTTTCATAAAATCCAACATCTAACTAGGTATTCCCATAATGCAAAACTTAAGTATGCAAAAATCCATCAGAAACCTATTGGTGTTGCTCTTGGAAATAAAAGGCAAAAGTATGGTCTAGAACTACAAATAGTATTTTTAAATATAGGTAATGCATGTGAATAGCACAGAATTCAAATAGTTCAAAATTGTGAAAAGTTAAGTCTTCCTCTCTCCTCTTCCATATCAGAAAATATTGACTGTCTCATTCTTCTTTATGGCTACAAGATATTAAATTATAGGGATGTATCAAATTTATTTAACCAGTCCAACCCACTACCACATTAAATATGGTTAACCAAGCTATCTATATTTAATGGCTTTTCTAAGCAAACTTTTCCTTCAAAGAATAAACACTTTGAAATTCAAAATGAGGTATAAATCTTACCCAACCATTCCACTTCTGAGTATTTTTCTTACAGAGGTAAGTGCATATATGAGAAATGAGTACATACAAGGATATTTATTGAAAGAGATTGGAAACAATCCAAAAGCCCATCAATAAAGGCCTTGTATAATATCACATGACCCTGATTTTCTGCTTCACAAGTCACTGCTTCATCTTTGTCTTTACTCATTCTCTACAAAACTATTAAAAATTGGATTATTCAGTGCTCAGTTCTTTTCTCCTCACTTTATACAGCCTTCTAGGCATTATCATGTACTGTACTCTCAAGGTTTCATACACTTTTCACTTCCAACTCACATCTCTAACCCAGACCCTTCCTGTCAGCCCCAGACCCAGATCTAACTGCCCATATGACATCTCCACCAGGATACTTCATATTTTCAACATATTAAAAACTGTACCCTTCGTTTCAGTCTCCCTCGCACCCATGTCTTCCTGCACCAGCGTGCCCTATCTCTGTACCTGGTACCTTCATCCACCCAGTAACAGTAACCAGACACCTGGTATTGATCTTTGGTTTCTGCCTCTTTCTTATCCTGAGGCAAAAATCAATCAGGAAATCATATTGAGTCTGCCTCCTAAATATCTCTAGAGCCTGTCCAATTCTCACTGTCTCCACGGCACCATCCTAGTCCAAGCCACTATCACCCTTCTCCAAGATTATCGCAGCAGTCTCCTAGCTGCCGTCTATGCCACCAATTTTGTCCTCCCTCAATCCATTCCTCTTACTGTGGCCAGAGTGATTTGTCTCAGCATGTTATTTTAAAATGTTCAAATATACAGAAAAGTTGAAACTTTATAGTGAACACTCTTATATCCACCACCCAAATTCAGCTCTGCCATTCACATTTGACTATACTTGCTTACCATTATTGATCTATCTGTCCATCCCCAGAGCAATCTGTAAAACCCTCATGGCTTCCCATTGTCTTGAGAATAAAATATAAATTCCTGCTCATGGCCCTGCACAAGATGGTCACTGCCAGTTTCTCCCAGACCATGACTCCCCTCCCCTTCTCTTCAGCCACAGAATTCATTTTTCTACTTATCAATTGTGCCAGGCTCTATCCCACCTCATGGCCTTTGCCAGGAGTCTTCTTGGTCCATCTTTTCTTCAGCTTGATTCCCATTAGTCATCCAGGTCTAAAATGTTACCTCCTCAGGGAAACCCTCCCTGATCACTCTCTACTGAACTAGGTCACGGCAGCCTGCCTCTATTTCCCCTTCAGTGCACACATCACAATTATAATAAATTATTAACGTAATGAGTCCTTGAATGTCTGTGTCTGTTTCCTCCCTGTCATGTCCCTAGAATGTAAGATTCAGAAGGGCAGAGACAATATTTATATTTTTTACAGCCATAATCCCAGTCCTTAGCTCACAGTAGGTAATCAAAAAATATTTGTGGAACAAGCAAAAACAAACTAATGTAACATCATAGAATATTAGACTGTAGGCATCTTTAGAAACCACCATTTCTAACTCCCAATTAACAGATAAGGAAACTGGGGCCCACATAGATCAAGAAAAATGTCTGAATTCGTTTACTGATTGGTCTTTTAAAAGCCACCTTGCTATAGTCACCATGCTGTGCAATGACACAGCATAATGATTATACTTAAAAATAATGTATATTTCAAAACAGCTAAAAGAGAGGATTTCAAATGTTCTCATCACAAAGAAATGATAAATATTTGAGGTGATGGATATACCAATTAGCTTGGTTTGCTCATTCCACAGTGTATATGTGTATCAAAACACCACATTGTACTCCATAAATATATACAATTATTATTTATCAACTAAAAATAAAATTAATTTTTATAAAAGCAACCTTCCAACAAGTACTGTAGATACAACCCTAGACTGCTGGGCCCAGCTTGTCTCAGCATAGATCTAAGCACAAAGTATGCTTCCGGCCCCGCATGTCAGCTTATCAGAAGAAGAGGCCACAGCCTTGCATGGAACGTCCTACTCCTTCTTTGAAGATCTCAACTCTCATTTTTCCCTCAGATAAATCAAGTTGAAAAGGGACATGGACAAATCCAAAAGGCTGATTTTATCCATGCATACATAAATAACACATACAGGATGTGGTAGATTAATTCTGTTAATCAGCTCTCCTTTCATTTATGTTGTTATTGTCGCTGGACTCATCAGGATGTAGATTTTTCAGGTCACGAAAACACCATTAAAAAAGATATTTTGAAGTAACTTCATACTCTCGGCCTCTTTTTCCTTAAGAAATGTTCACAAATGTATAGCTAATAATCATTAAGTACTTAGGTAATTAATGAATGAATTGAGCCCACCTGATTCAGTCATATTAGTGTCATCACTACCTACTACTCCAAGGTTTAACTTTTTTTTTTTGAGACCGAGCCTCACTCTGTTGCCCAGGCTGGAGTGCAGTGGCATGATCTCGGCTCACTGCAAGCTCCACCTCCCGGGTTCACACCATTCTCCTGCCTCAGCCTCCCGAGTAGCTGGGACTACAGGCGCCCACCACCACGACCGGCTAATTAATTTTTTTGTATTTTTAGTAGAGACGGGGTTTCACCGTGTTAGCCAGGATGATCTCGATCTCCTGACCTCGTGATTCGCCCGTCTCGGCCTCCCAAAGTGCTGGGATTACAGGCATGAGCCACCGCGCCCAGCCCAAGGTTTACCTTTGGTGAGGGAGGAGAAAGCCATGGAAGTAATTAGAGTAAACCCCACCTTTAGAAGCAAAGTGTAATGAAATATCAAGTCCTAGAAGCATCTGAAAGTGAGAACTAGTGGCATTTTGGGCTGTGATCAATGTTTGTTTTTCTCCCATGTATACATTTCACATTAAAGTGAACATTGTCTCTAGAAGTTACCAGAAGGGTTTTACTCCTACGATAGTGTCATGTATGACCTCTGAAATTGTGGAAAAATAGGAGGGGAATGTTCATACAGGCAAAAGTACAACAAAAATTAGATTTGGAAAGGTTTGAACAATAGCCAGGAAAATTGCACTGCATCAAGGATTCCAAAGGACTATCTGAATCATCTGGAGAATGAATTGAATACATTTATTCCAGAGCATTGCTCCAAGCCTACTAAACAAAATCTCCAGCAATCCCAATCATTTTAATCAAGCTTCTTGGGTGAATCTAATACAAATGGATCAGAGTTTGAGAAACACTGCATTAGAGGACAAATTATATCAACTCTATTCTTCAAACCAACTCTACATCATGATGGCTTCTTGAATTTGATCTTGAAATAGTCGATCTTCTGTATACCCAGAGATCATTAATTGCAAGGCAACCATGAAGGGGTGGAAAGAGTCTAACCTTCAACTCAGAGAATACTAGTTCAAGTCTTGAATTGGGTACTTACCAACCATGAGACTTCAGTCAAGTTAATTACTCTTTATAGGCCATGGTCTATTTGCCTGTAAAATTGGAATAAATAGGCTACTTTGGAGTAACTGAAGATATCAAATAAGGTAATATATGTAAATATGCTTTGCAAATTCTAATCCATTGTTTTAAAAAGGTCATTATTGGTGAGCTAGTTCTATTACTCTGTGGTTCATAATTTCTTATGCCCCTCTTTTCCTACATGCTGGGTTAGGTCTTAAGCATTCTATGTACAATTAAGTGATCTCCAGTGTTTAGGTGTAGCAAACATTAAAAAACCTGTATTTTATGCTAGGTTACCCCTTGTGGGTGATAGTAATATATTTATTTTAGACTGAAATTTCACACTTCATTGGATTAGATAATAAATATTACAGAAAATGTTTAATATCATGGGGAGAAAAATTGGTCAGTTTCTTGGTCCACAGATTATGGAACCTGCAAGCAAACCATCTTTCCTCCCCTTTCTTCAACACTCTCTTCCAGTGTAATGACCATCGCTTTCTATGGCCCATTCCCTATACCCTATGTCAGGAAGATAAAACCTGCTAGCCTCACAATAATGTTGTGTAGAGTCATGTTCTTTATGTACAGAAGGAAATTTACCATGCTGTCAAAACAATTTCCATAGAAATGCAAACTGCTGTTGTCGCTATGAGTAATCAATTGTACCTCATTTACCTCACTAGAATTTATCCAAATTTTCTGGGGGAGGGTTTCTTTTATACTTGGAAAACTAAAGTAGAATATATGGTTAGTATTGCCTATAAATGCCAAAACACTCATATGGGGTAGTAGATCATACTTTTCTCTCAAGTATTTTGACACAAATAAAGATTTGTCTCTGATTTCCTTTTTCTCTGAAGGAGACAGAAATTAATACAGCACATAAATCAGATATTTTATTACAGTAATTGAAGCAAAAGTTTAAATAATTGGAATTTTCTAAAAGATGTCTTCTTATAGGAGGGCAAAGAACTAGATAGATATTTAAATCTAAATATTTTATTTTTACCTCTTTTTTTCTTTCTTTTTATTATTATTATTATTATACTTTATTGTGAGATACATTTACTTTGGGGAAGGATTCTGATTTCTCTTTCCAAACATTTTTTCTACTTAGTCAATAGTTCATTTTGTCTTTACAAACTTGAAGCTCGTTTGTGCAAATCCACAGGAATCCATAAGTCCCAATAAGTAGACTTATTTTTAAACCTTTCTCCTTTGGAAACAAGGAAGGAAGCCATTCCATCACAAAGCAGTCATGGCAATCAATTCAAGGTTGAACCCGTAGTTGAAATGATTGGGGATTGGGTATGTATATTTGTTTCCATCCTTTCTTAGTATTTATTATTCATAAATGGACATTTTAAAAGAGAGATCATTGGCTTTCAGTTGATTTGAAGAAAGAGATATCTGGACTTTTCCTTAGCCTTGATTTTTGAGCTTCCCCGCCACCTCCATTAATTTGTCTTCCATAATACCTAAATATCTTCTTACATTGTCCCTCTGGCTGATGGCATGCACACCAGAATCTTAAGAGATGTCCTTCATGCTTTTTTCCACATGGGCTTATGGAAATATTATTCTTCATTTTTAGCTCTTTCCTGTCACCTCAGAGCCCAGTTCTGTTAGAGTCACTTGCTTGCAAGGCATCTGAATGCACAGAGCCAGGCTGAGGAGTGGGCTGCTGGGGAGCTTCCCAGGGTGCCAAATTATAAAGGGTGCTAAACATCCCTGAAAATGTAATGAGGTGGAGAGCTCCTCTCAGGAAGAATATGGTATTAGCAGGAAGAAATAATGTCTGCTTGAATAGATAGATGGGGTGAGGAGCTCATGCATGAAGAGCAATTTATGGCTGATAAATTGCCTCCTAAGACAGATCTGTTTAGGTGTGGGGCCTTTGTTTTGCTGAATGGGGCATGCAACCTTGGACAACACAGGAATTGGGAAGGACATAGGGAAAAGGGACATTTGCCTTCACTGGGGACTTCTTTCAAATCTCTTCCACCAGGCAGGCCCACCTAAAAATATATGTTGTACAAATTCTTACAGAGCATCTGAGAATTGCACGACATAATCAGCCCAAGTATTGGCCCAGCTCTTTGAATGCACCAGGTCTCCATTCCTGGATTGAACATAATAGTCATGAGGAGACTTTTTCTCTGGGACCTGAAGATAAGTTCAGAGGTTTAGTGGGCTGGAGAAGGAAGACACATTTTCAATATCTAAGAACATCTAAAATCACTGGGTCGCTGAAACATTGGAATGGGGGCTCTTCTTTAAAAGGAATAAGGGATAATTTTCCAAACTGTGCCATAGGGTGGGTCACCTACATGTGAGTATGTTCATTTCTGCTTTGTCATGGCATTCACCTGCTTCAGCTGCCAATTTACTCTCCTACACTCTTGTTCTGATAGGACGTTGGTCTCTTTTCTTTGTTTGTTTTTAGTTAATAGAGTTTATTTCTCAGAGCAGTTTAGGTTTACAGAAAAGTTGAGCAGAAAGTATAAGAGTTCCCACATACTACCTTCCCTCTGAGTTTCTCCTATTAGTAACATATTGCATTGATGTGGTACATTTGTTACAATTGATGAGCCATATTGATACATTATTATTAACTAAATACCATACTTTACATTAGGATTCATTCTTTGTATTTTAGTTCTATTTGTTTTGACAAATTTATAATATCATATATGCACAATTACATTGTAACACAGAGTAGTTTCACTGCCCAAAACATCTCCTGTGATTTAAACCATGGCAAACACTAATCTTTTTACTGTCTCCATAGTTTTGCCTTTTTTCAGAATATCATATAGTTAGAATTATGCAATGTGTAACCTTTTTGGATTTGCTTCTTTTACTTTTCAATATGGCATTTAAGTTTCCTCCATCTCTTGTTGTGGCTTGATAGTTCATTTCTTTTTTATTGTGGTAAGAAGACTTAATGTGAAATCTACTCTCTTAAATTTTAAGTGTAAAATATAGTATTTTTATTTGTTTTTAAATAGAGAAAAAGACAGAAGAACTCTGAGGAAACAGTAACAATTTTTTTAATTGTTTATTTTTCTTTTATTTATTTATTTATTTATTTATCCTGCTAGATTTTTTTGTTATTATTGGCCACAAATAACTGTTCCTGTGTGCTTGCCTTGCCATATTTACTAACTGCTTGTCTTACCATGCTACTAATTGCAAAATTAGTAGTAACACTTAAATACTTAACATGCCTACTTCTAAGCTTCTGTATGTAACATGCATCCCAGACAAAAGCTTTGTGCCACCCTGAACTTGCTGCAAATTGGGATTTTTTCATTAAATTTACTTTCCTAATATCTCTAACATGTTCTGAGTTATTCCTGAGTTCTTTTTTAACTTTTATTTTACATTCAGGGGTACACGTGAAGGTTTGTTATATAGGTAAATTGCATGCCACAGGGTTGGTGTACAGATTATTTTGTCATCCCAGTAATAAGCATAGTATTTGACACGTGGTTTTCGATCCTCTCTCTTCTCCCACCCTCCACCCTCAAGTAGGCCCTGGTGTCTGTTGTTCCTTTCTTTGTGTCCATGTGCACTCAATGTTTAGCTCTCATTTATAAGTGAGAACATATGGTATTTGGTTTTCTTATTCCTGGGTTCTTGAAGATGGATTATATGTCACCTATCCCTCGTGTCTTTATATTTATTTGTCTTTGGAGGAAAGCACATTTGCTGAATTGACACACAGATTGGATGGGTGTCTGGTTGCTGTTTTTAAAAATAGAATGATGTTGAACAACTCTTCTTGGTGCTCAGCTATTGAATCTGCCTTCCCATTTCGGTTTTTGCTCACTTATCTTCCTGTAAGTCTAAACTCTGAAACAATTACTCCCTTTGCCCTCCCCTCAATAAATCAAGGGAAGGGATCAGAAATGACATTTATTGAGCATCTACTATGTGTCAAGTACTTTATGAATTGTTACGTAATTTAAGGCTGTTTTTTAAAAAGACCTAAGAGGCTCATAGAGGTTAAGTAACTTGCCCAAGTTCAAAGATAGTATGTAATACAGCCTCACCCAACATGGAGCTTCCCAGTTCAGATCCCAAAGCCCAATTTCTTTGCACTACACTAAACTGCAACCCAACTAGAAACCTTGTGTTTGTCATGAGCTGGAGACTTGCCTCTTACAGTGGGATTCATGAACCAACAGCATTACCAAAATCTGGGAGCTTGTTGGAAATGCACAATGTGGGGCCCCAGCCCACACCCACCGAATCACAATGCTCATTATAATAAGATCCTTAGTTGATTTGCAAGAATAATGAACTGTGGAATGCATTGGTGTACAGAAAATGGCAGAATTGATATTGACACTTAAGACTATCGCCTGTCAGTTGTAGTTGATGCCAACATTGTCCTAAGATCCTTCCATTTGCCAGTCTTTTCTTTGAGTCCTTTTTATTCCTTGATTTTTTTTTCTCGGCATACACACATGCTTGATTACTAACATCTTTGTGTGTGTGTGTGTGTGTGTGTGTGTGTGTGTGTGTGTGTGTGTGTGTGTTTTCTCCTGTGGTTATCCTGATGACATCCCTCAGCCAGGTAATTTGACTTTATTTCAGAGTCCTTGAAATGAAAGACCTAAATATTTTTTATTCTAGATGATTCTGATAACCTGCTAAATAGAATGAGGACCAACTGACTTTGGACACAGTCTCCCCTAAACTTGAGGAAATAGTCCCTGAAAGCTTTATTCCATAGTACTAATCAAACATCTTCTAGCTGGTATCTTCTATTTTCAATCAAGACTCAATATTTGTGTTGCTGCTGATGACGAACTGTAGAGAAAAGCATTTGGATACCAAGTTGGCTTAAGTCAGTGATAAATGTGAGGCTTAACCCAAAAGTACATTTTGGTTAACCCAAACTTGAAAGAGGATGATGTATTATAAAGAACACTGAGTTGATAGTTAAGAAACCTAGCTCCTTCTCCAAGCTGTGCTACTTGCTGTGGCTTTTGAGCAAGACAAGTTCTCTCACTGAACCTCAGTTTTCTCATCTATAAAATGGGAGACTTGAACTAAGTGATATTCAAAGTCTGCTCAAGCTCTAAAGTCCTATGACAACTTACATGTGCTAGAATTAATTTACTCTTTGACACCATTGATTGTAAGAGGCAGCCTTACTTTACATACCACAAAGGAAGAAACAAATGTTGTCAATTATAATTTTTTAAGATGTTGCTCTGGATATTCTACATCTGTTCCTGCATATTTTCTCTTTGCTCTTTTCACACTGTTTTATGCCCTAAGAGGTGAACCTTAATGATTTGCTTCAATGTGACTCTCTTACCTTCTGGATTTTGGTTGGGTTTGGACAAAGAAAGCCAGCAGTAGGAGATTGAATGGTGTGAGGAAAGTGAGACTGGTATAGTTACAAGCCTGGCTCCCTCCTGCTGGGTCACCAAGTGATAGTGGCTACCTCTATTCAGGGCTATAGTTCTTTTTAGGTTACCTTCTCCTGCAGCTAGAGCCACAGAGCCACTCCTGCCCTCCAATCTTTCAGGCCTACTAGTGGTAAAGGCTCCTAGCTGTTGCTAGTATCACCATCCCTTGTTGTTTTCCCTTGACCCTGACTGCACCTTTATAAATAATCCCTCTACTAATCTTTCCTCAGTGTTGCAGCCACAGTTTCAGTGTTCCATCTGTTTCCTGCTGAGACCCTAATTGATACAGTAATTGATATTAGGCTTGTTCTTTAGGAAGCAGCCTCTCAAAATAGAATTCCAAGATTGTATTGCTCACATATTTGAGAAGCATTCCCAGCACTTGGCACATTAATATGTGCATAGTACATGTTAACGTCTTTGAATAAAAAACAAACCAAAAAAATGTCTTCCAATCGTAGTGCCTCTGTTCACTGGAAGAAATATAAGGTAGCCAAAAATCAAGACAGTTTTTCTTATCACTTTTATTTCTAAGATATTATTTAGTCTAGGCTCAGAGTCTATAACTCACCAATCCTTTAGCAAAACTGCTAATCAGAATTGCGTGGGCTCTCGACTAGTAATGACTGAGACTACTCAGTCTGGAATAAAAGCTACTGTGCCTTTGAAAAACTCCATTGCATTTTCTTTCCTAATTTCTAATTTACTAATTGGTCTCTATAGAGACAAAGGAACAAGTGTCTCACCTCTGGCCCTCCTCTAGGGAAATGCTACTCAAGGTGCTGGCCCATGATAAGATAGGGAGCTTGCATCAGAATGTAAATCAGTGTGTGGCTTCCTTCATGGAAAGTTTTGCAATCAAAAACATCAGCTGAACTAAATAACAAATTTATTGACACTGTTGATTTCCAGTCTTGGGCAAACTCCTTATCTCCTTGTAAACCAGTAATAAATGGTGCAGGGACCAGCAACTAGTACAAGGACCACATTCTGAGGAGCATTGCTCTAGAGGGTCTTGGAACTCAGTCCCTTCACAAAGTTCATATATTTGTGCTATATTGCTGCCACTTGTTGAGAAATAAAAGTATTTCTTCTCTTTCTGGTTTTTCAAGAGAGAGAGAAGTAACTCCTCTTTTGAAGCCTGGAAGTTCATGCTTAGTCTCAGAAGGCATCAGAAATCCACTTATCCTGCCCAAGAGTCAAACGTAATTTCATGAAACTAAGCGACACATTGGAAGGTACTCAAGAGAGAAAGATTCAGATTTGATCTGTGACCAAACAATGGCATTTCAGTTCCATTTGAAGTCAATTTGTTAGTCTCACAGCACTGCTGCCTAAGCACAGCACCATCCTTCACAGAAACTTGTTCTGATGTAGAGAGAGACAATACAACATTTCAAACACGATGCAGAGAAATTAAATTTTCTTCAAGCTCCAATGCAGCCATAGAGCAAACAGAAAAACAAATCCTTAAGCTGTTGAGCATCTTCAGAAATGACACCATAGTAACAGAAATGCATCTGTACCCTGCACATTCATTAGTAAAATTGATTCTGATGAACAAAGCTAGGTGCTTTGCAACATTCCTGTGGCTTTGTCCTAAGGAGAAACAAGTGCCATATTTTAAATGAGTTAAACATAAGTTTAACTTTGTAATGCAAACACTAAAAACCTTGGCCAAAGGCAGAGAAGCAATAACAAGTGTTTCTCCAAAGGGGGAGGTGTATTCCCATCATTGGTTATAACTGCCATCTTTCTCACCTCGACCAAAACGGTGGTTCTCACCCTTGGCTTCACATGAGAATCCCCTTGGAAGCTTTTAAAATCCCTCAAGTCCTGTCTGCACCTAGACCAGTTATATCGTAATCTCTGGGTGTGGCACCAAATCATCAGTATTTTTTAAAGCTCCCCGAGTAATTTGAATGCATATCCAAGGTTAAGGCATAAAGTGTATTGAGAGGGCTGGTAGGCCAAGGTTGTCGTGCTTGCAGTCTTGCTGACAAAGACATCCCCCTTACTGCAGCAACCCTTAGGACACAGCTATACAAGAAGCCCTCAGTGTCCCTTCTTCAGTTACTGTAAGTCCCAGCTTTAAAGCTGTTAACAAGCAAGTAAAGCTGAGAGGAGATGAAATATTTGTGACTTCTTGTGAAGATTAAATGAGATCATTTGAACGCAGTGTTACAGTTTAGATTTTTTTAAATTTAATTTTAAGCTCTTGGATACATGTGCAGCATGTGCAGGTTTGTTACATAGGTAAACGTGTGCCATGATGGTTTGCTGCACCTATCAACCCGTCACCTAGGTATTAAGCCCCGCATGCATTAGCTATTATCCTGATGCTCTCCCTCCCTCACAGTTTAGAGTCTTGATGAACCAAAAGGGTCTGCTCATCCCTGCTCTTCATTTCTGATTAATTTAGCTAAGGATACAGAACCTACCAAAAGAAAGATAGCTGCAAAGAACAGGAGCAGATGCAGCACATGTGGAGAAATGTTCCCTTAAGTGTGGGGTCTCTACAAGGCACACAGCTATTAGGAACAGTCCCCACAAGACCTACCAGAGTTAAGAAAGATGCCAAATTTTGGGTTTTTTCCACTCCTTTCTATTCCAGATTCCATCACAATTCCAGAATTATATTAACAAACGGGGCTTTTCAGTTTAAGGCAGTACAATGTTTGGTCTTTGGACTCCTGGGTGTCCTAAAACTTCTTCAAGGGGTTAGCAAGGACAAAACTATCTTCCTTACTTGCTCTTTTCACTGTGCAAAACTGTAGCACTATGGCAGGAATCAAGGCAGTGCATATTTTTATCTTCATGCTTTCATAGTAAGAAAAGTAAAATACCAGTTTTATTTAAGAATATCCCTGATGAAGCAGTAAAAAATAGTCTTATTAAATCTTGACCCTAAATACATATGTTTTAAATATTTTCTGTGCATACCAAAGTATGATGCATTTTCAGCATTCTTTTTATTTTAAAGAACAAATAACGGGTTATTCAAGCTTGAGAATTTGGCAGACATTTTTTCAAAAACGAACAAAGTGAGCCTGTCACTTCAGGGAAAACAATTGGCAGTACTTGTTGCCAATGATAACATTAAAGCTTTGAAGCAAAAATTAGAATTTTTGAAAACTTGTATCTACCATTGTGACTGTGACAGCTTCCTAATACTTATACACTTTTCTGATAAGATTGGTGATGACATTAACTAATGTGATATTCTAATATTGTGTAACAAAATTTATCAATCTTTGGAAGAGCTACTTGATTCAGTGAACCAGTGTTTTCTAAATGATGGATGCATGAGTTACAAAATTGTGCATAGATAAAAGATACATTCAAAGCACAAGATAGACCAGTGGATTTTAATGCAACAGAGTACAAAGAGTTTTCATATCACCATTAATCTTTAAGGAACTACCACTTGTTGACTTTTGGTGAAGTGTCAAAAAAATATTCACAGTTATCTAAATAGGCTATTAAAATACTCCTCCCTTTTCCAAATACATATATGTGCGTGTGTGTATATATGTGTGTGTGTGTGTGTGTGTGTGTGTATCTGTGAAGCCAGATTTTCTTCTTATATTTCAATCAAAATAACATATTGCAAGAGACTGAATAGGAAAGCATATATGAGAAACTAGCTATCTTCTATTATGCCAGACTTGAAGAGACTTGCAAAAATGTAAAATAATGCTGCTCATCTTACTTTTTGGTTTTGCAAAACATACTTAGATTTTCTCAAAAATATGTTATCTACATCATCATGCAATAAATTTATTTTTTGAAATGCATCGAAATATAATTTTTAAAATTTCTCTGTTTTGATTTCTAACCTGGTAAATATTGAGAGATGTAACTCACACAAAGAAAAGTACTTTGGAATCCTTCAAAGGTTTGAGAACTGCTGGTTTAAGGAAATTTTTATAGACCTAGGCTGTTCACATTTTTGTTTTTGCAGACAGTTAAATTACTAATTCACCCAGCTTGGTGTTGTGGAAGCTTGATTTTAGGCTTTGTTAAGGAGGTCTACTTTGATTTAACTGAATCCTGAATCTTGTTCTTTACTTTTGAAGAGTAGTCCTGAATTTTCAGTGGAAGCTCAACCTGTTCACTGAGCTCCTTTAACTTGAAAGGATTTGACCTCCAAACTATCTCTCCAGCACAGATCAGCTGCTGAGATCACTGCTCAGCTCAGGTCTTTCCCTTCAGCTATTTTGTTTTCCTCCTGGACTTCTCGTAGCCTCACTCTGTGCATGCACAGCTCAGGGGTCAGTTAAAGATTTAAGGGCAATTTATATGCACATTTGGGTTCCCCCTCCCAAATCCCACCCACTGGCTTTCTCCTTTCACATATCTCCTCCATTTCCACACTCTCTGGTCATCCTGCCGTCATCCTCTGAATCCTCAGCCCAGTAAGAGTACAGCCTTCTGCTTGAGTTCCACATCCAGTACACTAGCAAATGGAAAAGTCCTCAAGGGAAAAGCCAACCAAATGTGCATGTTACCCAATGTGCTTACATTCTTTCAAGGTCATAGTTATTTCAGACTCTGCCTGCTTTTGGTTGAGTGCCAATGAGTTCCAGTAACTTCTCTTTCTTTATTTTGTCCAAAGTTATAATTGTTATCAGCAGGGAGGTTAGTATGATATGGGGTAGTCTGCCATTAAATGAAATTTAATTCCTGTGTCTTCCCATTTTGAACTAAGATTAGCAAGGCCAAGTTCTCATCTGTGGGGTGACAGCAGAGCCATACCAGACCCTTGAACAATATATCCTCCTTCATCTGTGCAGTGTTCTATAAAATCTATTTCCCCACAATCCACTCAGCAAGTCTGGTTTAATATCCTCTTGCCGGGGTGGTTCTGATGTTGGGCCAAAGGCCATCATAACATATCCAATTGTCTCACAATCTTTTTTTTTTTTTTTTTAGACAGGGTCTCATTCTGTCACCCAAGCTGGAATGCAGTGTCGTGGTCACAGCTCATTGCAGCCTCAGCCTCCCAGGCTCGAGTGATCCTCTCACCTCAGCCTTCCAAGTATCTGGGACCACAGGTGTATGCCTCCACACCCAGATAATTTGTAAACATTTTTTATAGAGACAGAGTCCTGCTATGTTGGCCCAGGCTGGTCTTGATTTCCTGGGCTCAAGCAATCCTCTCACCTTGACCTCCGAAAGTGCTGTGATTACAGGTGTGAGCCACCACACCTGGCCAATTGTCTTACAATCTAATAAAATCAGTGTGTTGAAGACATATCTGCACTCCCATGTTTATTGTGGCATTATTCACAATAGCCAAGATAAGGAATCAAACTAAGAGTCCATCAAAAGATGAAAGAATATTTTTAAAAATATTACCTCGGTTACCTCTGAAAATATTCTTGCCTTTTGACAACAGCAGCAGGCTCTTTTTGAATTTCCCTGCCCACACGTAGAGCCAAATACTCTCTAGGAAGTCCTGTCTCCTTGTGGAGTTGATGATGATTCCTGTGTAACCTGTGCTAGATACCTCAAGGCAGGAAGAACCAGGCCCAGCCTCCACCATAAGGTCAGTTCTGGTCATGGTAGGGGGCTGGACCTGACTCTTCCTGTCTCGGTTGTCTAAGATAGGTTACACAGGAATCACAAGGAATGTCAGTTCTGGCACTAAAACATTGTCCTCTGAAAATGGAAACCTCAAAGCCTATCAAGTTCATCCATGTCTCTGATGTCTATAATCCTCCAGTTACAGGCATGAGCTGTCTCCCTCACTGGTCTTGTTGTTGTCTCATTCTCATACTGCTCTGAGTGTCCCCTTGCCCAACTCTCTTCCAGACTTTGATGCCTCTGGACTATTGCCGTACACACACACACACACACACACACACACACACACACACACACACATTTCATAGTAAAGTGACCTTTTGCCTTAGTCCACTTGTGTTGCTATAAAGGAATAGCTGAGGCTGGGTAATTTATAAAGAAAAGAGGTTTACGTTTACTTGGTTCATGGTTCTGCAGGCTGTACAAGAAGCATAGAGCCAGCATCTGCTTCTGATGAGGGCCTCATACTGCTTCCACTTGTGGAGGAAGGTGAAGGGGACCTGGTATGTACAGAGAACACATGGCAAGACAGGAAACAAGGGAGAGGGGAGTGCAGTTGGAGGCTCTTTTTGATGACCAGTTCTCAGGAGAATTCTCACAGGAACTAACAGAGGAACAACTCACTCCTTACTGCCAGGATGGCACCAAGCCATTCAGGAGGGATGTGTCCCTATGACCCAAACATCTCGCATTAGACCCCACTTTCAACACTGGGAATCAAATTTCAACATGAGACTTAGAGGAGTCATATATCCAAACCATAGCACCTTCCTATAGCTTTAGTATCTTTTCAAAATATTCTTGAGTAAATTCTTGTTTTCCTCTTTGTCGCTTTTCTTACAGCAGGTTGCTCTTTCATACTTTAATATCACTTGGTTGAGAGGTAATGTCAACATCTGCTCAATTCCCCACAGCTCCTTCTTAATTGATCATTCTTTCCTAATCTGAGCAAAAGACCTTCTCTGAGAATCCTGCCATCTACCATATCACTTTCCATCATGCTCTCCTTACAGTCACCTATCTATACACAGTTATCTCCTCCACTCTATATATCCTTGGAATTTGACTCTCACTCATCTCCTTTGCCTTAACTCCTGCCAGTATCCACATCACCCATTTGGATAATTTATTCAACTTCCTAACATCACAATTTCAATGATATTTTCTTCATCTCTTCCAAATCTCTCATATCTTTATACTGATTATATTCACTCTTAAACCACATTAGGATCATTAGCCTTTCCCTATATTCTTTGAATAGGTCAGTGCCACTACTGTTTTTTGTTTTTGTTTTTGAGATGGAGTCTCGCTCTGTCGCCCAGGCTGGAGTGCAGTGCCGCGATCTTGGCTCACTGCAAGCTCCACCTCCCGGGTTCACGCCATTCTCCTGCCTCAGCCTCCCGAGTTTCTTTTTGGACTAACTCTTGTCCTTGTGTGTAATCACACAATCCATTTTCTCAATACTACAACCAACTCCCTCCCCTTGTCCTGCCACCATACCTTTGTCACAACCATCTACCCCCAGATTAGTCTTTCAGTATGCCTTCTCTCTTCCTCAACCTGTGTGACTAAGCATTGCTGAAGAAAAATGGTCAATTGTACTGAATGATTTTATCATGGCTTATAAGATATGTCTTCAAGAGATGCTTGATATCACTGTTAACTGTGGAATTGCAAGGAAGAGAAGTCCAAGAAATCCAGTGTTTCAAGACTACGCTTTTAATTTTACTGTCTGTATCATTAAGGACTTAATTACAGAGAATAGAGTCAACGCAAGCTAGTTCAAAGAGAAAGGATATTGTTCTTATCTAGAGTGGAAGGTTAAAAAAATAGACTTTATGCTGACCTTCCATAAAAAAGTCCCTAAACCACCTGGGACTGCCAAGGGAACTGCTAAGAAGTTGTAAAATTGGGAATTTTCCTACCAATTTGGGAAGCCACAATTATATTTGTTTATTCTAGAACTACTCCATGTTTTCTACCATAAAGAAGCCATGTCCCTCATTATTAAAACGTCAAAAAAATAAAAGATGTTGGCGAGGATGTGGAGAGAAGGGAATCCTTATACATTGTTGGTGGAATTGTAAATTAATCCAACCTGTATGGAAAACAATATAGAGATTTCTCAAAGAACTAAAAATAGAACTACCATTTGATCCAGCAATCCCACCCCTGTGTATATACCCAAAGGAAAAGAAATCATTATACAAAAAGACACTTGCACTTGTATGTTTACAGCTGCACTATTCACAAGAGCAAAGCTATGGAATCAATCTAAGTGTGCATCAAGAGATGATTGGATAGAGAAAATGTGATACACACACACACACACACACACACACAATGGAATACTACTCAGCCATAACAAAAAGAATGAAATCATGTCCTTTGCAACAACATGGATGGAACTGGAGGCCATTAAGTAAACTAACTCAGAAACTGAAAGTCAAATACTATATGTTCTCACTTATAAGTGGAAGCTAAATAATGTGTACACATGGACATAGAGTGTGGAGTAATAATAGAGTTTCAGAAGGGTAAGGGTGGGTGGGGATGAGAAATGAGAAATTACTTAATGGGTATAATGTGTACACTATTTGGGTGATAATGATACCAAAAGCCTAGACTTCACCACTATGCAACATATCCATGTCACAAAATTGCACTTGTACCCTCTAAATTTATGCCAATAAATAAATAAATTGCCATGTCCCCAGTTAAGAAGTTGTCAGCAGCTATGGGAACTGGCAGAAGCTAGCCTTCAAAATAGGCCCCAGTGATCTTTACCTCTTAGTATCCATCCTATTGTGTTGTCCTCTTCCCCATTGAATAGGGCTGATCTGTTGGACCAACAGGATACTGTGGAAGTAACAGTGTGTGCCTTTTGAGACTATGTCATAAAAGATATTGCCTCTTCCACTTTGCCCTTTCTTGGATCACTTCTACCAGAGGAAGCCAACTACCATGTTATGAGAACATTCATGCAACACTCTGTGGAGAAATCCATGTGGAGACAAATAGAGATCTCTTCCAACCATCAGCACCAACTTGCCAGTCATGTGAGTGAGCCACTGTGGAAGCGGATTCTCCAGCCCCAGTCAATCCTTTGACTGCAGTCCCAGCCAAGATATGACAGCAATCTCAAGAGAGACTCCAAGCCAGAATTGGCCAGCTAAGTTGCTCCCAAATCCCTGACCCACAGAAATTGTGAGAGATAATATGTTTGTTGTTTTAAGACACTGATTTTTGGGGTAATTTTTACTGCAGGAATAGTATAGGTATCAACATCCTGAGCATTAATCCTTGCTTCAATGTGCACTGCCTTTCCTCTCCTTCACTGCTCACTCCAATGATCTAAGCTCAAGAGTTGAGAGTTTGTAGAGGTAAATCTGCAGTTCTCTGTGAATGGACTGGACTCTTCCACCTTCTAGTTCATCCTTCACTACTAGATTTCTAATAATGGTTTCTATTGGACTAACCTCCCACAGACAACAACTATATCTGGATATATATACATATATATATATACATACACACATATATATATACATATATATATATACACACACACATATATATACACATATATATGTATATATATGTGTGTGTGTGTGTGTGTGTGTGTGTATACTACAACCTGCATACATGTGTAGAAGTTCTGCAGTACCAAATTGTAAGCAAGCAGAATTAGGAACTGTTTTTTTTTTTTTGTTTGTTTGTTTTTATTAGGTCCAAAAGGTACATAGAAAAGTTCTGCAAGATTTCCAGTGGGAAACCGGTTCTCTAGAGAGAGGCTATTAATTAATCTTTAGAAATGTCCCCAAATTTTGATGCAGGGTATTTACTTTTAAAATACCATAGTGGATTCATTGATCTTCAAATAGTCTGTTGATCTTGTTGGGAAAAGTGCTTGCAATATTCCAAGTCATCAGGTAAATTGGTTTGAAGGAATCCAAGTAGTTCCTTAAATGTCAGCTCATCTTCAAGGTTTGAACCTTTCAGGGTATGGGGCAAAGGGCACAGGCTGACTTGTCAAAGCAAGAGAGCTTTAACAAAGGTAGAGGCAGATATATGCTTGCTTAATTGTAACAAATGATCTCCTGAACTTTTCCTTTTTTCTTTTATTTCCATAAGTTTTTGGAGAACAGGTGGCTATTTGGTTACATGAGTAAGTTCTTTGGTGGTGATTTGTGAGATTTTGGTGCACCCATCACCTGAGCAGTGTACACTGAACCCAATTTGTAGTCTTTTATCCTTCACCCTCTTCCCACCCCTATTGAACTTTTCATGGTTTCCAGTTGGTCACTATTTGACATTCCTCTATGAGCCATGCCATTGACCTTTCTGATACATCTGAAGAAGACAGAAGTCAAAAACTGGCTTCTAGTATGCTCTGTGAACAAAATCATGTTTGTAAATAGAGTGTAAACCTATTGGCAGTTCAGCAATCGCCCTGCCTAATATTAAAAAAAAATGTTAAATCTGCTTTCTGTGTTAAATCTCTGTATGTTAGAATTTATCTATTGTTTCTATAAGGTCCAAAAGGTGCACAGAAAAGTTCTGCAAGATTTTCAGTGGGAAACCAGTGGGAAACATCATTCACTTAGTCATTTTATTTAGGAATAGATTGTGAACCAAACTGATATTCTAAAAATGGAGGAAAAATTTCAAGATTTGCATGGGAGAATTGAGGAGTCTGGCTACTGGTTAAAAACCAATGTGTGATTTTTCAGGCCTGATCATAGGCGATGACGAAGACTTTACCTGGCAGGCTTCACTGGGAAAGCTGCCCTCCACACACCAGACTTGGTGCACAGCCAGCGTATGGCAGTCTCTGTGGGGTGTTGCAGTCAAAGACTCAGACCCCCTGGCCAATCATGCTCTTTCACATATTTACATTCCTAGCCCTGTGCCTTCATTTCTAGGCCCTTTATCTGAGGCCTTGGGCAAGAGGTCTTCAGGTTCCTCTGCTGAGATCTTATGGGGTAAGGAAAAGGGAAAAAATTTGAAGATACTTTCCTTCACTCTGCCTCAGTGCCCAGGACTTTTCCACTCCTACCCCACCACATGACTCCAGGGTCCGTAAAACTGCCAGAGCCTTTTGTTCGGGACTCCCTCAATATAAAGATGACCCCACGTCTGTGCTGCTCCACTTGAATCTTGACCAGCGTGCTGTCCCACAGGGGAAAATGGAAGAGTGAAGTTGATGCTTCCTCTGGTTTTAGACTGTGACTGAAGGCTTAACTCTTTCATTTTCAGCTTGTGGCTTTAATTGGCTACTTGAACACCTGACAGCTCAGCTCTCTCCCAGCTCAGCAGAGCTCCTAAAAAGACTAATTAAATTTTTTCCATTCTTAAAACACCACTAAGAATCACAATCCTAAAACCACTGACCACACTGAACAAGTATGGCTGGTGCTTGACAAACAAAGTGAGTTCTACTAAATTTGCTCCAAAACATTTTGTTTTATTAATAAAAGTCTTACTTAAAAAACAAAATAGAAAAGAGTTAGGTGTCACATTGAATAACATGTTGATAGCCTGTGTATGGTTATGGGTTCTAATTTCTCTACAAAATCAAGCAGCCATGATGGAGTAAAGAAAGTTAGAAAGAGTAAATATGGTCATATAATTTTTTGAAACACTTCCAAGTACAAAAAGCAGCATGCTAATTTTTAAGTGCAAAGAAAGCTCATAATAAAATAGACTTTTAAAATTACAAATAAAATCTGTACATCAAGGATATTTTTAAGGCTTTCCCGTGTGCATGTCACTATGTAGACAATGAAGAGGAATTGCCAAGAGAGGAACCATCATGTCAGGTGTTACAGGTCTGGCTCATTTCGGCTTGTAGGACCATCTCTTCTTTTCTCAAGGGAAAAGTGTCAATCAGGTTGAACAGGGCCACAGGCATCACCAGGGAGACATAGCGCTCTTTGTCCATGCCATGCTTATCCACTAGCACCATACTGAAGGAGTAGAGTGGGATTCGCAGCAACAGCCTGTGGCAGACAAAGAAAAGAGGAGACTAAGTCAAACCATGACTCCCAAGGGTCCTGGTGGATCAACCAGAGCCTTACTGTGACAGTGTGCAGAGAAAGCTTTGATACAATGAAGGACTGAATCATCCTTTAGACCCTGTCTACTCCAACTGTGACCCTTGAACCAGCAGCATCACATGAGAACTTGCTAGAAATGGAGACTCTCATGCCCAACCCCAAACCTACTGAATTAGTGTCTGCATTACTATCAAGATCCCCAGATGACTGGTATGTACCTGAGAGGTTGAAAAGCACTGCTTTGGTTTTAGATTATAGTCAGGAAGACTTCAGGCGTACAATGGTGCCACATACCAACGTTTGGTACAAGGTGCATACAAGGCTAACAGATTTTTTTTATTAAATTGGAATCAATCCAAGTTTGGAATCAACCCAAAACCCACGTTTGCTGACTAGTGTTGCACGACCACATACACACTAGGACAAAGTCAGTGATTATGAACAGGGGTGATTTTGCTCCCCACCCCCAGGGGAAATTTGGCCATGTCTGGAGATATTTTTGGTTGTCACAGTGGAGAGTGAAGATGTGACCGGCATTTAGTGGGTAGAGGCCAGGAATGCTGCTAAACATCTTGCAATGCACAGCCAACTGTCCCCACCAAACAAAGAATTATCTGTTCCCACATAGCAATAGTGCCAAGGCTGAGAAACTCTGGGCTAGGTAAAGCTGATTGATATAATTTCCCAGCATGATAGTTCTGGCCTGTTCAGTGGCCAGCTCAGGACTGCAGAGTTATAAGGGATTGAGCTTGGTCTACAGCCCATGTATTCTGACTTGATTAATCATAATTTGTACCCCAAATAATTCCAAAAAAGAATATGAAGTGGTTTCAAGTGTCTGGTGTTCTTTCTGCTCTACCACACTAGAATTTAAACTAAAAAATATGATTTTTATATCAACACAAACATATTTAGATGGGAATAGCTAGAGAAAGCAAACAAACAGATAAGCTGAGCCCAATGAATAAATGAGCCCACTCAGTCTCTTCTCCAGATTTTTTTTTCAGTTTAGATATTTTGAGATTATGTATGAGGCAGAATATACACTGCCATCTGGATTTAAAGTAAAATATGTTTTCCTCATACAAACAGATCAAGGTTAAAAAATCATTACATAGAACACAAACTACTTTTTTCTGCCTTTTAAGAGGGAGTTTCGAGGAAGAAGGGAATAATTTGTATTTTATCCCAGTGGGGAGCTAAATTGCCAGTTCACTCCCAGTGACTAGAAATGAAATAAAGAGGACATGACAATACCTCTGCCAGGTTTCCTGCAGTGCTAAGAGGGGAGCTCAGAAGTAGATGACTGCAAAGTGCATTAATGAGTTCTGAACACGCGAATGTAGGCTGCAAAGGTGTGAATGAAGAGATAAAATGCTCTGCATCTTTAAGGGGAAGGATATTGAGTTTTCTTTTGGGAGCGTGGAGGAGTTCTGGTACAGGGAGCTCTCAGGAAACAGAGGAATAGGGAATGTGGTGGCTGAAGCCTGTGGGAAAGGGTGACCAATAAGAAATTGGAGCATTCATTTTTTTTATAGTGCTTGTGAGACTAGGATGGGAACCCCCACCACCACCACCACGGTGCCACCATCTGCTACCATACACATTCCTGTGTAAGTCTTGTGCCTTCATTGACACAGAATGTAAAGAGGGAAAACTGTCATGGGAAGAGCTGAGTGGTTGGATCAGCAGGCTAGCAGCAGCCACAGGAATGCATCCCACTAGGGCCGAAAGACCACAGAAATCTTGGGGATGAATGATCAAACACCACACAAAATCGGGGATGAGGTGTGATGCCGACAGTATGCCTGAGTTACATATGTGTCTGTCGTCAGATTGGAAGGAGTTCTTCCTGGAAAGTCTTCCAGGGAACACTGTAGACTCAAAGAATAATGTGGGTATAGAAACTATGGCTTTCTTGGTCCCTGTCTTCCTTGAGATTGCTGGAAAATTCCTCTGGAAAGCATGAATCAGATCATACCTCCAGATAAAAAAGAAATGAGGGTAAGAAAGAAGGTAGGCGGTGACCCTGCAACCCCAGGCACCCAGTCTCTTCTTTCTGTTGACTCCCTTCAAGGGTTTTATCACGGCCTTGGTGCTATTTGAAAATAGCCAGACAAGAGAATTTTTACATTATGCAGGCATTATGCTTTTCCTTCTCCTCTTTTGCTTCCCATTCTTTGCCTAAATCATCTTTTTTCCTCTGCACTAGACTCCAAGGTGTCTAAAAAACACCTTTCCAATTCAAAGGGAAAAAGTTCTGCCAAGCTCTTTGTTTCTCACTGATATGTTTGATAACACAGGCATGCCGGCCTGACACAGAATCCATTAGGTAATGCACCTGAGTGATCATTTCTGTATGACATTTACCTGGACTATCATCCAGCTGCAAAATAGTGATTGACCCTTTCCTTGAAGGCTGCTGGGCAAAAATTCTATTTCAAACTGTAAAGGCTTTGGTAAAAAACTAGGCCAGTGGTCCTCACCATGTGGTCTCTTGGGAGCTCACGAGAAATGCAAATTCTCGGGTACGACCAGAGACCTACTGAATCAGAAACACAGTTTAGAGCCTACAGTGTAGACTCCAGCAATACGTATTTTAACAAGCCCTCCAGGGGATTCTGATGGAGGTTAAAAATTTGAGAACCACGACATAATGTATTTAAAAATTATCTTCAGCCTATAGAAGTCTATGGTAGCCCCAATATATACAATCTGAATGACAAGTATTTTTTAATCACATTTTTCTGTTCTTCAAGTAGATTAAACAGTTTAAAATCACATCAAGATTTTATGAAGATGACATACACACACACATACACACACATTCAATCCAAAGACCATTCAGAAAATTCTGCAACAAGTTTTAAAAAATCATTGACACAGGATATGAGCAAGTAGTTCTAAATAAGCAACAGCTTCATAAAACCTACTTTGAAAATATTCACCATAAATATTTAGATATCAACACAACTCTCTGTCTTAAGTTTTGTACACTTCAACTTGAAGTATTTGTATACTAACTGTAGATATACAATATACTTTTAAAAGCTATTATCACCTCTGGAAATAGTAAGGCTGTTTCAATGAAATTTTGAGTCATTTACTCCACTTAGCGCCAACATGGTGCCAGGTACTGTGCTAGGTACTGAGTAGCCAATATTTGAAAGCTCTGCTACTGAAGTCGGTATGGGGAGGTGCTACATGCAAATGCAGTAAAATATAACAAAAACAAAAGCATATGAGTGTACCCAGCCTTCTCCATTCATCAGCCGACTAAAGAGAACTCATGAATCATCTTATTTTTCTTCCATCCTGGCCCTCTGAGTTTTTTCTTTCTTTCTTTCTTTCTTTTTTTTTTTTTTTTTTTTTTTTTACCTTGGTAGGAATGTGGCAGAATCTTTTTGGGTGGAAAGTGGTACAAATCAAACATGGGATGGGTCAAAGGCAGCTGGAAAACAGGGAAATTAGAGAAAGAAGCTATTGTGTCTATCTATAGCATCATTTGCTAAGGATATGTTTCTATCATATAACCTCTCAAGGAATTTCTGTGCCTTCTGAACAGGTGTGATAGGGTTTACCAAGTCCCATTTCATTTTCTTCTTTCTGGCAATACAGAAAGACTGCATTTCCCAGCCTCCCTTAAAAGTGAATTGCAATCATGTAACTAGTTCTGGCCAATGAACTAAGAGAGTGAGCAAGGTGTGGCACCTCCAACGTGAAGCATAAAGGAGTCAGTGTGAGTTTTTACTCTCTTTCCCCACTTTTGCAGAAGCCTGAAAGCCACGTGTTCGAGATGTTTGTAACTGCCTGAGGCCCTGAGAGACAGGGAGCAGCCTGGGACCCTGAAAACAGAGATCTGTACTCTCCCATGCAGTGTGTGAGAGAAAAGGCTGGGTGAGAAAGGAAGATTTTAAGGAGTTTTGCTTTAGCCTAATTATCGATTTCACAGTGGTCAAGAGATGCAAGTAGAAATTTGGGTTATTCTGAAATTACCTTTTGGTTGTTGAATTCTGCTTCTTTAATACATCATTATTCAGAGACTAAAATCCATGGCTCCAACTTTGTAAGGGTTATGAAACTAAAATATAATTGTTAAAATAAAGGTATGAACAAGTGTTCTGGAAGCATGGAGAAAAAAGAGACCAAGCCTGGGAAGTCTAATTGGATGCATGCTCTTCTAATAAGACCATGATTGCTTAAGTCTTTTCTTCAGGTGCTCCTCTCCTAACCATCCTTCCTCCACCAACCACACACACACATACACACACATGAAGCAAAAACGGTTGGTTGGAGGGAGTAAGAAAGAACACTGGTAATTACCCACTGCACAATTTATTTGAACAAACAGCAACATACTGATTAGTATGGTTATAACACTCCCAGAATAAAAGCAATTAAACATTGAAGGTTGCCTGAACTCAATCCTGAATAGAAAGAAACCAGGGAACCTAATCAGTTAAAAATGCATTCACAGGGGATAAGATTTAAGAACAGAACTTCCCCCTACCTGAGCTGCAGCGCTAGGGCTGGAGGCATAATCTTTGCTCCTATCCTGCCAATGAGAGTCGGGAACACACCCACCAGCTCCACCACGGTGATGTGTCGAAGATCAAGGCCACACTGTGCTTGCTGGGAAAAAGAAAACCCAACAGGGGAAGTATGAGCATGGCTAAAAAAGACATCCTTATCAAACTAGAAACCGACAGAAGCAGCACTGGCCTGTCTCTGGAAGTTTATTTGCTCACTCTGAACTGTCCTGAAAACAGATGAGAAATTGGGGTTAAGATAGTGGCTATAAAACCTAAATACCTTTGCTAGAGGAATCATTCAGATATGGCTTGACAGTGGGATTTTGAAAACCTAAGCAAAAGGGCAGTCTATGTATTTCCAGACAGGGTGAGACCTTGAGTGAGTCAAATTTCCTAAAAAGTATCCAAGACCACCCCAGAGGATTCTAATTTTTCTTTGCAAGGAGAGAAGACTATTTCCAGAGTCCACTTCTCTGCCCTGTTTCCACTCTCCACACTCCCCTGCCCTATGCCCTCCACACCCAATCCCAGGGGAAAAGAGGATAAAAGGTTCCAAGCCTCTAAGCTGGCTCTTGGCAAGAACCTTGGGAATGTGGCCCAGTCAACCACGAGGAGGGCTCATCAGGAATGGCAATGGCAATAAAAAAAAAAAAAGTAATGTAAGACAAATATGATGAATTTGGCTAAATGGGAAAAGAAATTTTGAAGTCTTGAAAGACGAAAACATCAAATATGTTTTACCAAAATTCCACTGAAACGTCCCTATATGAGGTTACAGAACTGGTTGAAAAGTTTAAAAAGTTAGAAATAGACTTTTGTATTACTCTCACTGAAATGCCTAAGTCAATCAAACCTTTCTTTGAAGGCTCTGGTTAAAATGCAAATGTAAGTATATTTGGAGGAGGAGGGCACACCAAAACATCTTGATATAAAATATCTTATCCAACCAGTTGTTAAGTTAGCAAGTGTCTGAAGGGATGGGACAGACTAGAGCAACGATGGCAATCTTTCTCTGTAAAGGGCCAGAGAGTACTTCAGGCTTGGCAAGGTTGGATTGCCTCTGTCCTAACCACTTCACCCATCATTGTAGTGCAAAAGCAGTTGTAGATCATGCACAAATGAATTAGTGTGGCTGTGTCCAATAAAAGTTAATTTACCGAAACTAGCCATGGGTCACCATAGTTTGCTGACACAGAGGAAAAGCAAGTTGTTTGGCTTAATTCATTTTCCTATGGAATAAGAAGAGATGAGGAAATGCATGATCATGGAATATAGCCTGCAATGCCAGTTTCCCACAAAAGACAGAGGTATAAGCTTGTGTTTTCTGAAGAGCAAGCCCCTGGCTTGGACAAGGAGATACAAGGGGAGGTAAGCTGGTGGGGACCAGGGGTAAAGATGCAATGAATTTGGTTCCTATCAAGGGAACTCACAAAAATTTTATATGGCTCTTCAGAGTTCATAGGCAATTCTTCAAGTACGTGGGAAGAGTGAAAAGAGACTTATTATTATCCATTTTATTAATGCTGATATGAGAAGTAAATTGTAGCCTTTGATTAAATCAATACTGTTCTAAGCACTTAGTTCTATCCACTGTAATAAATGAATAAAATAGTCTCAAAAAAATGTGCAGCACTGTATCCATGGCACAGCATACATCCTGCCTCTTTAGTATTCAGTGAAGTTGGCCACTCTTTTGCAAACCAGCCTCAGGACAAAAGCAAGCAATTTCTAGTTTGATCCTTACAGTTTCTAGTCAGCCTTCCCCACACACCCAAGATGTTGGTTGCCTCATTTAGTAGCTACAAAATTTACATAGCTGAGAAGGACACATTTCCCAGAAAAGTGACCCTCAAACTTTAGAGTGCTTAGGAATCACCTGGAGATTTTGTTAAAAGTGTAGATTCTGACACAGTAGGTCTGGGAGGGGCCCTGAGAATTGGCATGTCTATCAAGCTCCCAGGTGATGCTGATGCTTCTGGTCCGGTCCATGGATCACACGTTGAGAACCACTTTTCTAAGAAAAAATGGCTGTCACCCTCTGAGTCAAAGAAATTCCCTGGGGAAAAATGTGGGCAGGCAACCAATTGATTGCTTCCAGCCAGGCATATCCTGGACAGGTTTGGCAAAGACAATTGTTCTGTGGCTAGGCCTGGACAGCATGTCAATTAGACTTATTGGTGAAGACAGACAAACCTCATTAGTTGGAAAACGATTGGGTTAACTCTAAGGAGTCAATGTTAATCAGGTTATGGCCCAGAACCAGAAATGAATGGTGGTAGCTCTAAAGTGCCACTTCCTGAAACTCACTGTAAGTGCATTAGGCACTGAATCTGGCCTTTGCTTTTAGTGAAATGGCTGGGCCCTTCCTGTTAAAGGTCTCCCTCTCACCTTGGCCCTGCCTCGAGGACTCACCTGCAGCATTCCTAGCTGGAGCCGGTAAAGGAGGTTTCGGGCTGTGGGTGTGGACACAATGAGGAGTCTCCTTTTCTCATAAAACTGATCCAGAAGTGCAGCTGCCGTTCTGACACCCACATTGACGTTCATGGCTGTAATCAGAAATGGCCACATGGGTCAGAAACCTTCCACTTGTTCTGGCTCAACAGAGCCTATGATGACACACAGAACCATTTGTGTAAGAAGTAAACCCTGAGATAAGGATTCAAGTGTAAACAGTTTATTTGGGAGGCAGTCCCAAGAAGCGCCTGTGGAGGAGTACGGAAGTATATTCACTTCCTCTTGCTGCTGTAACAAATCACCATAAACTTAGTGACTTAACATAATACAAACTTATTCTTTTAGATACTGCAGGTCAGGATCTAAAAGATCCTGGTCTCATGGAGCTAAAATCAAGGTGTTGGCAGGGCTATGCTCCCATGGAGGTTCTAGGGGAGAATCTGATTTCTTGTCTTTTTCAGCATCGAGAGGCCACATTCATTCCTTGGCTAGTAGTCCCTTCCTCCATCTTCAAAGACAGCAGTGTAGCATCTTCAAATCTCTCTTCTCTCTGACCTCTCCTTCCATCGTCTCTTTCTATGACTCTGACATCAGTTCTGCCTCCTTTATATAAGAAGGCTTGTGATTACATTGGGCCCACTGGGTAA
Organism: Homo sapiens; assembly: GCF_000001405.40. NCBI lineage: Eukaryota > Metazoa > Chordata > Mammalia > Primates > Hominidae > Homo > Homo sapiens. Next base: position 38,157,585 of record NC_000023.11, read on the forward strand.
TTCAGGATACTCTTCCCATTTCAAAATCCTTAACTTATTACATCTGTAAAGTCCCTTTTTTCATGTAAGGTAACATATTCTCAGGTTCCAGGGACTAGGATGTGGACATCTTTGGTGGACCATTATTCTGTCTATGTCAGGAAGTGAGACAGTGAAGGAAAGAAAACAATACCAATTGGTTATCAAGCAAGTTTTTGCTGTGGGCATTTGGAACTCACTCCCACTGGGGAACTCTAGGAGATGATATACAACATACCTCCAGAATTAACCCACTGGAGGGAACTGGAGTATTTATACAATTGCTCCATCATTGCTGAGGGCTGCTTCTGGGGCACTAACTCTCCATCACTTCCAGCTGGCTCTGTGCATGGGCTGACAATGCTTTCATAGCCAGGAAAGAAATGCTCTCAGACAGACAGACCCAGTTAATTGCAGTAAGTAGCCTTTTGAACACAGATGGGAATGTGAAAGGCATATGGGCCAAGCACCATAGTATCTGCTGGGGAAAGGGGTGCAGAGAGGCAGAAGGGTAAGAGAATGGGCAGTGGCCAGGCTGGCTTTGGAATGGCTCAGAATCTCTGAAGTCTGCCTCCTTGGTGCAGAAGGGACAAAGCAATGTGGGGCACAAAGGCCACAGAGCAAACAACACAGGCAAACAGGACATGGGACAAGGCGGTTTTATAATAGGTCTTCCCTTTAAGCAAATAAATGACAACTAATTCCAGCTGTTCAAGGTCAATGAAGGATGTCGTATAGATAGGCAAGCAAAAGGCTTAGCCCCAGAGAAGAAATAATAAGAGAAAAACTAGTAGATGCCATGTATGATTTATAATCTTGGTTTTCATATTTCACATTTTAGGTTTGCATTGAAGTATTTGTTCATTCACACATTCATTCATTCAGCCATTATATACTGAGTGCCTGCCATGTGCCAAGCTCTATGCTAGGTACTAGGATGTCACACTGAGTGATACACAGTTCCTGCCCTCTTTCCTGCCCTCTTCCCTGCCCCAGGGACTCAGAGTCTAGGATAGCTCTGGTCAAGAGAAATACAATGTAAGCCACTATATTTAATCTTAAATTTTCTAGTTGCCTCATTAAAAAAGTGTAAAGAGACCGGGCGCAGTGTCTCACATCTGTAATCCCAGCACTTTGGGAGGCCGAGGCGTGCAGATCACGAGGTCAGGAGATCAAGACCATCCTGGCTAACATGGTGAAACCCCGTCTTTACTAAAAATACAAAAAATTAGCCAGGCGTGGTGGCAGGCACCTGTAGTCCCAGCTGCTCGGGAGGCTGGGGCAGGAGAATCACTGGAACCCGGGAGGCAGAGGTTGCAGTGAACCGAGATCGCGCCACTGCACTCTAGCCTGGGTGACAGAGAGAGACTACATCTCAAACAAACAAACAAACAAACAAATAAAAAATATAAAGAGATAGGTAGAAATGATTTTATGTTTTATCTAACCCAATATATCCAAAATATTTCATTTCAACATGTAATCAATATAAAAAATTAAGATACTTTATATTCTTTTTCACACTAAGATTTTGAAATTGGTATATATTTTACACTTATAGCATATCTCAATTCAGAATAGCCTCATAGGTGGTGGGCATGAAGTCCTTAGGTAGGGAGTCTATAATAGGTGTGTTCTTTCTACTTTAATACATGAAATTGAAGAATCTCAGGCATTTAGCTGATGGTATATATGTCTCTCTGTCACTTAACTCTAAATGGGGGCTTCAATTAAAAGAAAGTGATAAAGATGAAAGGGTGCCAGGAAATGAGAAAAAGAGAAGTCTATAAACAAGAGATACATACATAATTTTCTGGCTAGTCCAAGTTTCAGACTCATTACCCAGCCCAATTTTTCTTCATCAGGAATAAGAGCTGGCATAAGGCTTTGCCTGTACCAGGCACTGCTCTATTCCACTGTTCCACAGATGACCTCATTTAATCCTTACAACTCAAGAGGTAGATGAGGTATTATTTTCTTCATTTTACATAGGAGGAAAGATTCCAAATGCCCAAAGTCTATGTAACTTTCATGCCAGTGATGCAAAGCAGGTATGATATTGTCTCTACATGGCAATTTACTAGCTTTATAAATAAGATCCTTACATTTCTAGAACAAAGGAAACTAGAGCAAATTTTGCTGATTCATAATGTCACCAAAGGCTGGCCCTAGGTTCCTACCTTGAGCTTCTTCCTTAGAGGACATGAAAAGGAAATTAGAGGATAGGCAGGGGCAAGATGGATGGCAGATGAGATGAGCTGCAGCAGGGATCTAGGGACTATGTTCATCCACTCAGATAAAGAGGGATGGCCATGAACTTCTCAAAGTATATGAAGGGAAACCTCTCTTGCACTGGAATCAAGAACCAAGGGGTTTACAGGTTCTGCTGCAGGCTGGAGGGGCGGCATACCTACCTGCACAGGTGGGCTCCGTGCCAGACCAAGCCAGGTTGGATTGACATACTCGGGCAGGGCTACCCTGGAGCTCATAGCCGCCGATGCAGGAGAACTCACAGGTGGCTCCATAATTATCACCGTCGCTGGAGCACTTCATGTAACCATTCTCTGGGGCATTGAGTTTGCCACAGCGTTTGACTGTAGGGACACAAGTCCAGAGGGGTCTCAGTGCTGAGCTCCCATCCACAGAGTAAGCAGAAAAGGTGAGGATGCAGAGGCATCAGCTTTGCAATCAGGCTTCTACATCAGCCTGTGAAATGAGTGAGGGAGGAGGGATGACTATTTGGTCAGTGAGTGAGTCTTGCAATGGTCACCATCCATACCAATGAGACCACTGATATCAACTGGTTTCGCCCCTAGTGTTATAGATGAGGAAGTGAAGTCCAGAAGAGTAAGGAGTAAAGATGGTTAGCAATTAGTTGCCCAAACCATCAGGCATAAAATAATCCTTAAAAACATTTTCTTTCATACCAATGGTACTAGAACACTAAAAACATGTTCTCCTGGTGGCCCAAATTAGGGGGCTCCTATTCACCCTGGTTGTAGATGGACTCACAGGCTTCAGCTGGCCACCTAAGCTCAGGGATGGAAAAATTATTGAATAATATTCTTCTAGGACAGTCAGCTATGGGATCCTGTAAGACTAGTCCTGGGAACTCCTTAAATAATCTGGCAACACTGACGCCCATCCGGATGTGTATCGTGAAATTCAGGCATTAAGATAGGGCACTTCCCCAAGCCTTATTAGAGACTAATCTAAAGCTGGCAAGTCTCCCACCACAGTAGGCACTTGAGAGAGTTCTGGCTTGAGGACCTACTTCCCTTTGCTCTTCTAAAGAGAGGGGGAAACAAAACCAATAAGCAGTACTCTTACCTCTTACTTTAACTCGAAATTTGCAAGTGCCCTTATTCTCAGCTCTGTCATAGACTGTGTACTGGATCTTGTGGTCTCCTTCTGGAAAGTTGGAGCCTGGGGGGAGGCCTTTTAGAATGACACTTAGAGAAAAAAAATCAGAAACAGGAAAGATGACATTATGGACCTGACAAGCAAGTGACGATCCCCTACTCTTTACAGGACATGGAGAGACTGAGGGGCAACCATTAGACCAGTTTAAATAAAACAAAAATTTCTTGAAGAATAGAATCTCCTAAGCTTTAGTCTGTTTTAGAAGAGCAGTTTGTGACCAGAAAATGGAAGACCCAAACTACTGGGAAGCTTAGACTTTTTTCTTGCTGAAGGGTAGAATGGTAGGGAAGTGGGTAGAGGGGGGAGGGAGGATGAAAAATATAGGGCCCAAGTCTCCTCCTTCAATCTCACTCTTGTTCCAGGGGGGACCTGAATTGCCTCACTGTTGGGAAGACGAGGGAATTTTCTGTGAGGAAAATCATTAGAGAATATAGTCCAAGCAGTCACTGGCAATTTGGGCCTGCGGGGCGGGGGTGGGTGCTAGAACTTTCTCTGTTCTTTCTGTCTGGGACAGTGGAGACCTAAAGGCAAGTTCTCTGTGATTCCTTGGTTATCCTAATAACATAATAATAATGACAAAAAGTGTTCTTTGCACTTACATAAACCTTACATGTTAGGCATGGTTCTAGGCATTTTGCATATATTTACTTAATCCTCCTTATTTAATCCAACAACCCTATAAGGTAGGTAGTATTATCTCTGATTCACAGATGAGGAAACTGAGGCACAAAAAGGCTAAAGAACTTGCCCAAGGTCACACAGCTAGGGTGAGTTTATCTTTTTTCTTGGCTGCCTAATGAGGACACCAATAAGTATAGCAGGATCAAAATCCACGTTCTGTTTTTCAATATACATATAATTCCCCATCTCCCTACAGTTCTGGGAATGATGAGAATATTTGCTAATAATGAACACGTGGAATTATCATTGTCACCATTGAGGAAAGCCTTACATGTAGGTGGGTGAGGTGGCTGTTTACCAGGTATGAGAGAGGGGTCTTGGGAAAATGTCAGAAATCCCACTATTTTGAGACATGCTGCTGTTGGCTTTAGATGCTTTAAGGTCTTTAGAAAGCACAGTTTAAATTCAGATAAACCTGAGAGGAGTGATACTTCAAATATAAGTGGATGTAACCTTTCTGAGACTTTGTTTCACCTGTGACATGCAAATAACAGAAGGAGTAAATAAGGGAACTCACAAGAAGCACTTGTCTCAGAGCTTGACACTAGAACCTTCTCCCTCACAAGGGAGCGATAGAGCAGTAGCTTGGATAGGAAATGGTGGAAGGGGTCATAGGAGAAATGCCAGGGCAGCAAGGAGCCCTAGTGAGAGCGAAAAGGGAACAAGACAGCCTTCTCTGAACTCCTCATCCTGTTGGAGTGCATTCCCACCACATCCTGCTCTAAGCCTTTCTGGCCTCTGGGTTGTAGAACTCTGGAAGCAGACAGCTGCTCTGAACAAAGGGACAGGAGAATACTGAGATGCTGTTTTAAAATGTAACAATCCTGCCGGGTGCAGTGGCTCATGAATGTAATCCCAGCACTTTTGGAGGCTGAGGCAGGCAGATCACCTGAGGTCAGGAGTGCAAGACCAGCCTGGCCAACATGGCAAAAACCCATCTCTACTAAAAATACAAAAATTAGCAGGGCATGGTGGTGCACACCTGTAATCCCAGCTACTCAGGAGACTGAGTCAGGAGAATCACTTGAACCTGGGAGGCGGAGGTTGCTGTGAGCCAAGATCGTGCCACTGCACTCCAGCCTGGGCAACAGAGTGAGAATCTGTCTCAAAAAATAAAAAAATCAAATAAAATGTAACACTCCTAACCATATTACGCAAGTTACCCATAAAAAGAACAAGGTGAATATTCTCACAAAGCTTGTAGACAAATAGAGTCATCTGATGGCTTGATGTTTTGTGTTTATCACACAGGTTTTTTCAACAGCAGTCAGAGCTGCAAAAATCTAAAAACCTACTACGTGCTGGGGCTGGGCCAGACATTGTGCTAGACCCTGAAGAGTCAAAGGTAAATAAAACCCAATCCCTGATAACATCAACTTACTTTTCAATTCTGATTGCCTACATTTTCTCCAAAGGAATTTGTGGGATGTGTATGTGACAGCAAATAATTTTTTAATGGTCAAACTTTATCTTTGAGAAGTTACAATGGGAGAGCATAACTAGTAATACTACTTAAGCTAGATGAGGCACTGGGGGAAGATTATTGGAATGTAGGAACAAAATGTCCTGTCTCCTCTCACTAGAAACTGTACTGTTATTGCTAATCATTGTGTAAAAATGTTTTGTCATGCACAGCCTGGGTTGATAGGATTCTAGAAAGTCTTTTCCTGCTTTATGGATCACCAGGAGATAAGTTAGAGGTATCCTTTCATCTACAGATGAAAACTCAGTGGGGAACTCTAATATGCCCATAAACTTTAAGGCACAGATATGAATGTGCTAACATGAAGTAGTGGTCTCCAGGGAATATGAAGGCCAACCAAACAGTTGCAGGGGTACAGGCCCAAATGCTAGATTAGAACAACACATAGCTAACCCTCACAAAGGGATCCACCCATTTTTAAAAGCTTCTTAACAGTGCTTCTCATTGTGATTGGTAAAACAAACACACCAACAAAAAGCAACTCAGATACATGTCAAACTATGAATGAAATTGGTCCAGGAGAATGGGGTAGAGGTGGGGAAGAAAGCAGAAGATACCTTCTCTTTTTTTAAATAAGCATCTGTAAGTGTTTGATATGATCGGGAGTTTTAAAAATAAATTAAAAAGCTTTGAAAGAGATAAATACAGCCAAAAAACAAGGGGTGAAAAAGTTTTGCACTAAACTGTACTCACAGAGCACAAGAGCGGCAGCCTTTGGCACCACCTGGGAGACACAGATGGCTTCCCAGTGCAGGTAATGGCCTGGGGGCATGAGTAGGGTCTGCCTGGGCAGGCAATGGGGGTGGCTCTATTCTTAAATTAACCAACTGGCTTCCTCTTTCCCCTTCTGTTCCTCCTTCCCTTCTTCTCACCACCCCTTCTTTTACATTTTTTTTATTTTTAATTTTTGTGAGTATATGGTAGGTATATATATTTATGGGGTACATGAGATTTTTTTTTTTAATTTTTTTGAGATGGCGTCTCACTCTGTCACCCAGGCTGGAGCACGGTGGTGCAATCTTGGCTCACTGCAACCTCAGCCTCACAGGTTCAAGCGATTCTCATGCCTCAGCCTCCTGAGTAGCTGGGATTACAGGTGTGTGCCACCATGCCTGGCTAATTTTTGTATTTTTAGTAGAGATGGGGTTTCACCATGTTAGCCAGGCTGGTCTCAAACTTCTGACCTCAAGTGATCCGCCTGCCTCGTCCTCACAAAGTGCTGGGATTACAGGCATGAGCCACCGCACCCAGCCAAGATGTTTTGATACAGGCATGCAATGCATAATAATCACATCATTCACCACCCCTTATTTCTCCTTTTTCCTTCAGTAAGGATTTACTGAGTGCTAACTATGTGCCAGGCACAGTTCTGGGCATTAAGGACATAGCAGTGAACATATTATAATAGAGACAGGCAATCAACAAATACATAGGTGACATATATAGTATGTTAGGTAGTGACCAGGGGGACCACATCTGAAAGCATAAATAGACCAGCATATATACACTCCCCTACTCTGGGTAGTAAACATCTCACATAAAAGAGACAGCATCATTTTATCTGCCAAGTTTCACTTACTCAGTAAGAATTCCATCTGCTGTGTCTCTTCCTTCGGGTGTCTCCCAGGACACCCGGACTGTCAGTTTGTTGGGTTCTGCAATGCGTTCCTTCACACTTGGGCACTTGATTCTAGGAGGTTCCATATCTGAAAATATAACCAAAACATTCTCATCATCATCAAGAAATATCTAGTCAAACTGGGGTTCAACACCCACAGTTTAAAATACCAAAGCCTCTGGGTATTCTCCATTTTCAAAGAGTTTGTTCACCCTATATATTCCCCTTTTCTCCCTTCATAATGCTTTTACTCTCCTGCTAAGTTTTGAAGATTGTTTAAATACTCACATTTGCAGGGCTAAACCTGCAATCAACTGGCCTTGCAAGGTGTCCTGTGGGTAATTCATTAGTTACAGCCTTTCCTCCCCATGCTTCCAAACTCTGCCTACCGAAGGCCACATGGCAGTTACCCAGCTGAAACTAGAAGTCATTTGGCTTTAGTGAGTACTTCCTGCTTTGAACACAGCATCATGGAATATTACAGAAAGGCATTCTAGCTATCATCTAGTCAGATTCAATTCAAGGCAACAAATTTTTCATGAGTACCAATCTTATCCAAGGCTTCATTCCAACTGCTGGGGTTGGGGGTGCACAAAGGCAAGAGAATCATGTGCTCCTGACATTTCAGAGAATTTGCCATGTATTGGAGGGATTACATTATCACACATGAAATATAACATGAGGTAGAAAATGGCAATTGCCCCAGGCAAGGTAAAAGTGAATGCTATGGAGGTGTAGAGGAGCCGCCCAACTCTCTCATTTTACAGATGTGCAAACTGAGGCTCAAAGAACTTAAATGATTTATTTAAGACCACACATGTAGATAATGGCACTGTGAATTACAATCTAAGTCGGAGCACTTGCCACTGGAACAAGCTCTCTCTCTTCCTGCTATCTATTATCAACATATTGCTTAATATCTTAAAATAGGCAATGGTCTGTCTGGGTCCACTCTCCCCTTGAACTGCTACTGAACTACACTTATGGTTTTATGTTCTGGGACAGCAGTTTTACTGTGGCTCTGGACCTCCAAAAGCCTCCCAAATTTCTTCAAGTAGTTTCTCTACCTGGTAATAGGAGTTCTGCCTCGATAGTGATAACAAGGATGGGTGGTTAATGAGGGCTCAAAGTAAATGAGATGTCAACTCTACACTGGGTTGTATTTCATCTTATAGCTGAAGTGAAATCACAAGAGGAAGTTCACATTTCTGCAAATTCTACTTAATATTTCTGAACAGGTAGAGAATGTATTTAAAGAAGGCATAGCAAATTAAGGACATTCAGCTTCATGTTACTTTACATATCAACTGATAAGTATTAAGTGCTATTACTGCCTTAATGAAAGTTAAATGTCCTTTTGATTCTGAATGACAGATGTCTTTGAGAGACTAAATGCACCAAGTAAAATTCTTTATATACTTTCTCCTGTGTCTTGTCTAATAATTTCTCATTTTATTCAGGGTAAGAAGTTACGAATAACTTATTAAACAATTTTGCCTTCAGCTATCCAAATTCATTTTCATTCTATGTCGTGCTTCAGTGGAGTGTGAACTTAACAGCCTTAATGCACCAATCCTAAATTGAATAACCACCATATTTTGTTGAATCTAAGTCACTCCTAATTGTGAAATGCATCCCTATTTCAGGGATATTAAAAGGTAGAAATAATACGCTTCTCAGAATTGATAAAATAAAGTATACAAATACTATGATGAAATGGAAGATGCTTTAAATGCATTCAAGATGTCTATACTCAGCTGTTACGTTTTTAAAAACATTTAATTTTTTACTATGATAGGTGATAGAAGACAAACTTTTATAATTCAGATGAACATTTCACAGAAAGACAAGTATATAATGACTGCCCCCTGCTGGTCAAATATAGCTGGCAATTACATTATAGAAAGTATATTTATTAGCATACAGATTTCAATGTAAAATTACATTGTGTTACCATATTTTCTTGGTGCAGCATGGTCAGAGTGAAAAGCAACTTAGTCTCTGTCAGGTAAACTAAATGTCTGGATGATACATTGTTGTTTGTTTTCTGTATCAAGATGTACTAACAGTGTAAGCACACAGGCTCCAAGATAGGTTATCTGGGTGAAGAGTCTCAGAGTTTCCCAAAGCCAGCTTATCTCTAGCTAACAATGATCAGCTGAACTGGCCTAGCTTTTCAGAAACAGTGCTCTTCCAAAGAAGAAACAAGAAGAAATAAATCATTACAAATAATAACTAATATTGGAGGACTCCTTCCTACATGCCCACCCCATGCTAAGTACCCTCCCTATATTATTTTACTGAATTTGCACAACCACCCATTAGACTAAGCAGTGTTATTAGCATCCTCATTTATAGACTGGGAAGAAGCATTTCCTCTCTTTTGGAATTTCTTTGTGGTCTGGGATTTTTAAATGCCATTACATATTTTAAAGCTATTTTAATAAACCAAACCCTTTTGTGTATCTGCCTGCTGCTGACCTAGTGTTTTCCGCCAACCTTTGCACACATACTGTTTTGTGATGGTCTGTCATAGCTTCCCCATGAACCCTTGAAGAGCCTCTGCAGGACTTGATCCTGACACATCCTCAAGCAGCTGCCTTCTCTCTCGGCTGGTGAGACAAGCTGGTCTGCCCTTCAGCTGATGCTCCAGAGACCTAAGCCTGTTATTACCCAGACTTGGCCCCGATAGCATTTTATAAGTTATACATTTCCATGAATGAAAGGAACAAAGTTACTATAGAAACATAATTACTATCCCCTGTTGAATTAGGATGCCTGCAATTATATAAAAATCTTGAAACCTTCAGTGAAAATTCTGGCCTTTGCTCTCTGCCACATTCATTGGAGACATCTGACAAACTGTCTCCCTTCTCTGTGCTCTAGTTATCTCTGTGCATATAAAATATGAGATACAAATATATTGCATTGTATCAACTACTATTTATCTAAGAAGCTGAACTTTTTTTTCGAGACAGGCTCTCACTCTGTCACCCAGGCTGGAGTGCAGTGGCACAATATCGGCTCACTGCAGCCTTGACTTCCCAGACTCATGTGATCCTCCCACCTCAGCCTCCCAAGTAGCTGGGACTACAGGCATGCACCACCATGCCTAGCTGATTTTATTTATTCATTTATTTATTTATTTTTGTAGAGACAGGATTTTGCCATGTTGCCCAGGCTGGTCTCGAACTCCTGGGCTCAAGAAATCTGCCTGTCTTAGCCTCCCAAAGTGCTGGGATTACAGGTGTGAGCCACCAGCACCCAGCTGAAGCTGAACTATTTACTTGGAAATCCTTGACACATCTAACCCGGTAGGTAGTGGAAATAAGGAAGAAGCTCAAAAGGACAAAGTCTTGCCCAACAGATAACAATAAAATGCAAGGGAAGTGACCCTGTGCCAGTTCCAGACCTAGGCCCTCAAAGAATCTGGTGCCTTCTGCTTTCACTATGTTAAAAGCCAGCTGCCATCTAAAGAAGTCCAATTGACTGGAGAGGCCATGTAATCAGGATGAGAAATTATAAATGAGAGAGAGAGAGAGAAAGAGACTCAGCCAGACCCCAGTCAGTACAACTTTTCCCAACTGAGGTACCAGACCTGTGAGTGAAGCCATCTTGAATCCTCCAGCTCCACTTGGTCACCTCAACCATTACCACATACAGCAGAGATGAGCTGTCCCCACAGAGCTCTGCCCAACTTTCCAACCCATAGAATCTTTGAGCAATAACATAGTTGTTTGGAGCCACTAAGTTTTGTGTGGTCTATTGTGCAGCAACAGATCACTGATGCAAATATAAAATAGTTTGAGTTTGGTGATAGAGAAAGGAAGAGTTCTTTTCAAGGGGGCATAGGAAGTGAGTGACTGCCAAATGCAGAACAAACCTGGCCATTGAAAACTCATCCAGTTGTTTGCTTCCCCCAGCCAGAGCGTAATCTCTGTGGATGGCTCTGGGAAGTGGTTTCCTCTGTTTGGCACCATACAAAAATCCAGAGAACTTTCCAAAACAGACAAAAGAGGCAAGAAGGGAGGCAATGAAATCCACATTTAAAAGTCATGATCATAGCCGGGTGTGGTGGCTCATGCCTGTAGCCCCAGCTACTCAGGAGGCTGATGTGGGAGGATCACTTAAGCCTGGGAGTTCAAGACCAGCCTGGACGACATAGCAAGAGGCCAGCCTGGGCAACATAATGAGACCTCATCTCTAAAAGTCAACATCTTCACAAGAAAGAAGCCCAAATAAAAATTCATTGGTGATACATTTATATTAGAGAGAGCCACTAAAAGTTGACCTGTTCTGTTTGTACTAACAAATCATGTAAGGGAAAAAGTGAATCAGTATCTCAGTCAATCAAGTTGTTTTAACTGAAACTAGCCTCTGAAAGTTTGCAAAAGAATGTGTATTTGTCAACCCAGGAAGAATTTAGCACAATTTAACATCATTTGCAACAATGCATGGATACATTCATTCTTAGCCCTACTGATGTTTGCATCAACTGAATAATGCAATGCAGCCCAGCAATAATGCAATGATCCCATTCCTATGGGTCATTGGGTAAACCAGCTGTGAGACAGCTGGGACACAAGAAACGTATGCCATCAATTTCCATATATTACATCTCCAAAATGTTTTATTCCAGAATTTCATTTGTGTTAATAAATCTCCACCTATTCTACTCTGTAGAAAACAAAAAATAAGTGAGCAAAAAATAAAATATATTTATTTAAAAATATTTTTTCCTTGATAGATAATTAGAACTTAAATGTGTTGTCTGGTCACTTTATTACAATCCGTTCCACAGGGCAAAAAGGAAAGTTTGTACATTGTCTTTTGTTAAAGTAATTAAATGGATACTCTCTGAATGTCAAAAGACCTTTGCTGGTTTTTCATTGTCCGTGGTTTTTAAAGTATCTTTAATTTGTTTTCTTCCTGTTTTGGCCTAGGAAGAAGTGTTGGTCTAAAGGAGAGATCATGTGTCTACTCAAAATCTGGTCTTTACATGAGGACTTGTTGTGATTCCAACTGTTCATTGTTCTATCTAAATGCCAACATAACCAAAAATAACTAAAAATGGAAAGAAAGAAAAATATCCCCCGAAAACAATAGTGGTTACATTCTAAGGTTTATTTTCTTCCAGATCAATGGAGGTTGTGGCTCTTCAAAGACTTTTTACCCTCCTGCAATTTGCAGTATTTTTTTTCCTCCTACATTGACTTATTTTTATCTATATCTGTTTCTGAAATAACTATGAATTTCAGCTCATTGCCAGAGTATGGTCTGTGTAAGAGAATTAATTTTAACTTGTGGCACCTTCAAATTAGCCAGACCACAGAACTGACCACCTCAGAGTCCAAAGTAAGCCCAGTCTTCTCTCTTCCCTCACAGTCTAGAAGAGAACTGGGACAACTTTCTCACCACTCAGTACAGCTCTGGCCAAGACTGTTGAAGGTTGTGTGGAAATCTGGGAACTACTTAGCCACTATGTGTCACCTCCTAAAATAGGTTGAAGTTCTGAGTTACGCTCAAGGACCCCCTACCCCTGTCAACACAAAAACAAATTTATTAAACTATTTTAATACATTTAAAGCCAAAAAAGTAAATAATACCCCTGGAGTAAAATTCACTGGGGACAAACCTCAGCTTGTCTGTCGCGAAAATCAAAGAAAGAATTGCCTGCTTGCTTTGCCCATTTCTCTCTTTTTTCCTGGGAGCTCTAGGCTCTCTTGTGGATCGCTGTACCCCTTTTTGTCATCCCTAACTAATTGCATGTACAATCCTCCTTCTCCCAAATATGCCTGAACCTTGTTCTGACAAACTGTAATATGAATCTCCTGAATTTGGGGTTCATTCTCTCTTCCTCTGGGAAGGTTCCAGGCGCATCTGGTCCAGCTTAAGACATGCTGTTGGTTTTTGAGAACAATCAGCATTTTCTTTCCATTGTTGCACACAATCTGGAAATTTAAACAGTATGATCCCTAGAGTACTCTGCCAAAGCTTGCTTAGCAGAAAGATTTTTGAGCTTCTCTCCTCCCACCATCACCTCTGCCCCTTCCAATATGAGGGAGTAGATTCAATTTTCTTTTTGGTTTGTTTTGAAGAGCTATGCACATAGCTAATCACAGGGAGGATATTGAAAGCAACATCTGTGAGGTGCCCCCTGTGGGCAGTGTTACTGGCACTTAGTGAATAAAATCCAAGGATGCTGCTAAACATCCTGCAAACAAAAAAAACAGGGCTCCACAACAAAGAATTATTTGGCCCCAAATGTCCATCATGCTGAGGTTCAGAAACTTTGCCCTAAAGCATCGTTTAGCAGAATCCTAGGACCCACCGCAGACCTGCTGAATTTAAATCTGCATTTTTCCCAAGGTCCCTAGAGGACTTCGCTGCACAGTAAAGTTTGAGAAGCAGTGCCTTAGATCAGTAGCTCTCTATTTGAGTGCCTCACAATCCCTGGAATGCTCATTAAAAAACAAAATGCTGTGCCTGACCCCTAAAGTTTCTGACTCAGCAGGTGGTGGGGGTGGGTTGGTAAAAATTTGCATTCTTAGACCAGGAGATGCTACTGCTGCTTCTGCTCCCAGGACCACACCATGGGAACCACTCACTGCCCAACAAACCCAGAGTAAGGCAAAATATCCAAATCCCTTCCAGCTGAACAAATTGAGTGCTTGCTGACCACCAGAGTCAATGACAAAGAAGCTACATTGGGGCTGAAAGACACATAGATGTTCTCTACTGGACTGTCCCTATAGTGTCAATAACTTTGCTCAGGCCCCCGAACTAAAATCAGCAGGAGTATGCCACATCTCTGCCAGCCTGTAGTTGCCTCAATAGCAAACCAAGAAAAAGACAAAAGTCAGATGGAAGCCATCAGCTACGAAGTCAGCTCCAGGATAGACACTGAGGTTAGATCTAGGGCTGAGCCAGAGAACCAGTGATGCTACTGAGAGCAAAGTTGCATGCTTAGGCCTTACAGGAGGAATAGTGATGCTCCCTTTACAATCCACGATGTGAACACCCCCTGCTCCTCCCAAAGCAAGTGCCTCCTAAGGGCTGTGGCATTTTCTTACCCACACAGGAGGCTGGCCGGCCGCTCCAGGCCTTGTTGTCCATACATGTGACGGTCCGCTCCCCTTTCAACGTGTATCCTGGTGAACAATAATACTCACACCGGGAGTTAAAGTAGGCACCATCTACACACTTAAACCCTCCATTTGCTGGCATGGCAAGGGTAGGACATCGCTTTTCTGAAAATGAGAAAATCAGATATTCAGCATTTCTTAGTTTTTGTCTATAGAGTTTCATTTCAGAGTCTAGAAACTCTGAAAGCATGAGGTGAAAAGTTAATTTAAATATAAGAAGGCCAGGCGCAGTGGCTCACTCCTGTAATCCCAGCACTTTGGGAGGTCGAGGCAGGTGGATCACCTGACTTCGGGAGTTCGAGACCAGCCTGACCAACATGGAGAAACCCCATCTCTACTAAAAGTACAAAATTAGCCAGGCGTGGTGGCGCATGCCTGTAATCCCAGCTACTCGGGAGGCTACGGCAGGAGGATCGCTTGAACCCAGGAGGCAGAGGTTGCGGCGAGCTGAGATTGCGCCATTGCGCTCCAGCCTGGGCAACAAGAACACGACTTTGTATAAATAAATAAAACAAATGGAATTTAAGAAACAATGGATGGTTTTATGTCACACAGAAGACACAAAGTTTCCTGTCACACTGGCTTGGGTTGGCAACCCAGCTAAGCCACTATCTTAGGTTGAGCTCCCCAGAAGCAGATTCTGAGATACGGATTTATGTGCATGAGGTTTAGTAAGAAAGTGCTCCCAGGGAGACTAGTGAGGGGGTGAGGAAAGCAGAACAGGGAAGGGGAGAAATCCAGGCAAGATGAGATCTCAGGCAAAGTCAGCAGCAGCCTGATCCCATAGGGAAGCTCTGGAGTGTGAATGACAGCTCATTCTGTCCTGCCCCCAGGCAAGGAAGCTGGGCTTTCATAATTCTTTATCAGTCAGTCATTGGGCAGCTACAGGCTGCTCACAGGAGATGCTTTCTCTTGTGAAAAGAGAACGAGAGTGAGAGAGTGAGAGAGAGAGAGAGCGAGTGGGATCAGTCCTCTGAAGGAGCAGTCTTCTGAATAAGGTTGAAGTTCCAAGTCTTTAAGAGCAAAGTACTCAGAAGCTGGGTACTGGATACATACAACTAGTAAAAGGCATCGAGGAGATCTGGGTAGAGCAGATTGTCCACTACAGTCACCCAGTTGCAGAGTCTGCATAGTCTCGATGACATGGCTGCAGCCTTGAAACCTCAGTTTCCCTGACAATGAAGTTAACATAATGGCACCCATATTGATAGTGTTACTGTAAAAATCAAATGTATGTGAAATTCTTGGCAAACCATAAGCGCTCAAAAAGTGGTGGCTGTTTTGAATACCAAAGACATCTAAAATGTGCTTCAACAATGCTGTACCACTTGCAATTTTCCAAATGAGGTATGACTTGTCATGAAGCTAAAAGCCAGCCCCTGAAATGCTGCTCCTCTAAGCTTCTCCCTTGAGGCACACTCACTTTCATAAATAAGCATCACTTCTTCTGTGACTCTTTCCTGCCTCCCTAAGCCCCACTCCTTGGGAGAACACTTTTTTTTTCTTTTTTTTTAAGAGATGGAGTCTTGCTCTGTCACCCAGGTTGGAGTGCAGTGGCACAATCTCGGCTCACTACAACCTCCGCCTCCCGGGTTCTAGCAATTCTCCTGCCTCAGCCTCCTGAGTAGCTGGGATTACAGATGCACGCTGCCACACCCAGCTAATTTTTTGTATTTTAGTAGAGATGGGGTTTCACCGTGTTGCTCAGGCTGGTGTCGAACTCCTGAGCTCAGGCAACCCACCCGCCTCGGCCTCCCAAAGTGCTGGGATTACAGGCATGAGCCACTGCGCCCAGCCAGGAGAACTCTTCTTTAATCTGCTACCATATGTCCCTGACTTTGTACCCTTCTTGTACTTATCTCCCAGTTGACACCTCTGCCTTACTAAAGCCTCTTCATGGCAGGACCCATGTGCGTCTTATTTGTTTCTAAATCCCCAACACCTCTTCAGGATCCAGCACTAACTGAACAAATGTAACTCATTTTCTGAACAATGATCTTCTCTCCCCTTTTCTCAAACAGCTGATCATATCATTCTCTCTGAGAGGAGCCAACTCACTTCCACCATATCTTAGAATCCCCCTGGTGTCCCCCTGATCATAAGGAGAATTTTTCTCATCAATATTCAGTGAAAATCCTCAATCTCAGAGCAAAAGAACTTTGGCTCTGGTCATCCCTGAGGACCCAACACAGAGCTGGCCTACTCACGTTTGCAGATGACCTTGTCAGACCATCGTTTGTTTGACTGGCAGATCAGTAGGGAAGAGCCATGCAGCTCGTAGCCCTTCTGGCAGCGAATGTCGCACCTGGTTCCCAGGGCTGTTTTGTAGTATCCTCCTTGAGGGGCCCTGCAGTACACATCCCCATACTTCACCTTGATGGGGGAGCACCACGGGGTATCTACAAGTAGCAGAAACAAAAGAGGAGATAAATATGAAATGACACTTTCAGAAAATGTGTCCCCTTACTCTTACTGTCCCAGGCTGGCTACATTCCAAATTTTGGACCTTCAATTAGTGCCCCATGTTTTCTTAGGTGTCTCCGGGTAGGGAGGTTATGATCATGGGACTAAGTGTCAGATATATCTGAACATGAATCTGAGTTCCTCTATAACTGACTGTGTGATCTTAGACAAGTTAGCTAACCTCTCTGAGTCAATATCTATACTTATGCCATAGTGCTGTTACAAGGACGAAATAAAAATTGCATATCAAGCATCTAGCACAGTACCTAGCATATATGTTCAATAAATGCTTGTTCTTTTTAGTATTTCCCTTAACTAGATACATAAGATTTTTTATTTTTATTTTTTAGATAATTCTTTCAAGGGCAACTGATGTCATACATAGCGGTAGGGATTCAATAATTGGTTAATTTGGATTTCGTCTGAGCCGTATGCACATTCTCTCTAAAATGTTGTAATACTGGCATTAATCTAAATGATGCTACAATTTCCAGGTGTTTGTAACAAGATATAAATTTCGCTTAAAGTCACAGAACAATTGCTCTCCATAGAGAAGTGTCCCCAGTTATGCCCCATTTACGTAACAGGGTGACACCCTCCCCAGATGGCAAAGTTGCAGGTGTTTTGATTTTGGTCTCATAGTTGCCCAAAGCACAGCTGGGATGAAATGAATAAATCAGAACCTCCCTGCTGTGCTTTTGAAATGTTCTCTTTGAGATCCATAAAATATAAGGGCAACACTAGCTCCTTGGTGGATAAGTTCCTACAGCAGCCACTGCCCCATTGTCCCACAATTGATGGGGAACAGTGAGGAGTTCCCTAAAGCCTGCCGGGCTCTCAATGCCATGAATAGGAGCCACTTCCCTGCAACTGCCTGGCTCATCACTCCAACCCAGCACCTGAGCTGTCAGTGAGTGAGGTAAGACCGCCATCATGTGGCCAGGAAGGAGGACAGACCCTGTTTTACTTTCCCAGGAATTCTCTTCTGAGGATATGCCTCCAACTGCTTCTCAGTTACAAAAACCAACAGTTCTGGCCACGTCTTATGCATAGACCACTGTTTTAGTTTTGCCTTCACATTTCCTTCAGCTAATACTTTCTCTTTTTTTTTTCTTTTTTAGAAACAGGGTCTCACTCTGTCACCCAGGCTGGAGTGTAGTGGCATGATCATTGCTCACTGCAGTCTCGGCCTCCTAGGCTCAAGTGATCCTCCTGTCTCAGCTTCCCAAGTAGCTGGAACTACAGGCACGCACCACCGTCCCTGGTCTGGCTAATACTTTCGTCATATCATGTTTTGCAGACAGCTGCAAGTGAGCCCTAAACTCAAGACTCAAGTAATCTTCCCTGGACTTTCTAGGTAAAGGTGATGTCCTAAAGGCTTAACCTAGAGCTGATTAAATTTAACCATGTGGATATAAACGTGTAGGAGCTCACACAAGGCCTAAAGAACTTCCTTGAATAAATTTTCCTTCCTCTAAGGGTTTTAATATAATCTGTATGTACTACATATATTTGTGATATACAGTACTCCCCCTTTGCCCACGGGGGATATTGGATGCCTGAAGCCTTGGATAGTACCTAACGCTATATATACTGTTTGTTTCTTACACAAACATACCTATGATGAAGTTTAATTTATAAATTAGGCATGATAAAAGATTAACAACAACTAATAATAATATAGAACAATTATAACAATATACTGTAATGAAAGTTAGGTGAATGTACTGTCTCTCTCTCAAAATATCTAATATTTTGGGGCTGCGGTTGACTGAAGGTAAATGGAACCTTGGAAAGTGAAACCGCAGATAAGGGGGAACTAATGTATGTATATATATGACCTGCATACTCATACATCACAAACTCACTCAATTAATATGAATATATGATGGTATTCCAAGCAAAAGAATCAAAAGCCATGCTTGCCACATACCAGGAGCACCGTAAATGTTGGTTACATTTAATTTTCTTTCTTATTTTACTTTAATTCAAAAACACTTACTCTGTGCTGGACATTGTGCAGGGGCCTCAGGATCTAAAACTAAACCCTCACTTAATAATGGCTTGTCTCTAGCTTTTAAAATTAAAAAAACTTGGCCAGGTGCAGTGGCTCACGCCTGTAATCCCAGCACTTTGGGAGGCCAAGGTGGGTGGATCACCTGAGGTTAGGAGTTCGAGACCAGCCTGGCCAACATAGTGAAACCCCTGTCTGTACTAAAAATGCAACATTAGCTGGGTGTGGTGGCGTGTGCCTGTAGTCCCAGCTACCTGGGAGGCTAAGATAGGAGAATCGCTTGAACCTGGGAGGCGGATGTTACAGTGAGCCAAGATCACGCCACTGCACTACAGCCTGGGTGACAGGGTGAGACTCCATCTCAAAAAATAATAATAAAAATAAATAAAACTTAAATTTTATTGTATGAAGCGCACAACATGATGCTTTGATATACTTATACATACTGAAATGATTGCTACCAGTAAGCAATTTAACTGACAATAGAAACAATGCCCTAAGAAAATTTATTCTTAAACATTCAGGGTAAGTTCTAGGGCAAGCACACATTTTGGCCATCTGGTCTACCTGTCACATTTGCAATGCTGTGAGGTGAAGATGGATGTGAAGAACAAGGACCTGAGGGCACTAGGCAACCCCTGCTGTAGATGTGAAGGGTCATCTGTGCATGCATGTGTTTTAGGAAGATTTTTCAACAAGGGACTCAAAGAAAAAAAAATCTAAACCCATAAATAGTTAAGAAGTTTTGCGAATTAGAACCTTTCCTTACCCCAAGCATCTGATTAACGTATTTGTGCTTTGCTTGATTGGTTAATTCCTGAGGCTATGGAGATAGAAACTATAGGTAGGAATGAGTATTTGCATTCAGA
The DNA here is from genome assembly GCF_000001405.40 of Homo sapiens. NCBI lineage: Eukaryota > Metazoa > Chordata > Mammalia > Primates > Hominidae > Homo > Homo sapiens. The sequence continues at coordinate 38,177,299 of NC_000023.11, forward strand.
TCTCACAAAAAAATGTGGTATGTGATGGGAAGCACACCTGCACATAAGCACCAGGCACCAGTCATTATATTGGAAATATTGTTCACTTGTGTAGAAAACAACTGAAGGACATCTCCAGTCAAAAGTTGTCCAGTCCTACCCTGATTCTCCTGTATCTGAGACACATCACAACAAACAAGGGCCATGTCCTCATCCCAGGAATTAGGACAAATTTCCAGGGCAAAATGCCGCAGTGAAACTTTGTTAACCATTTTTTTTTTTTTTTCAAATTCTTCCTCCACTGTAAGAGGAACTAGATTCAGAGAGAAAGCATCTCTAAATTTACCTTCATTTCTCCCAGGTTTCCCTAAGCTTCAGAGAAATGTTTCACCAGTAGAAATATTTGTGGACATACTTACCTGAGTCTGGACAGAAGGTTCTTGTTTAGGCTTTTTATACGTGCTGGGGAGTGGATTGCTGGGAATATGTAGAGATGGAGTTCTTTATCATTAAGTTTCATTTGAGCAACATACTTTAACATACCGTTTCAGAAGCCATGCTGGGCTCAGAAAGAGCACGATGAAATGAGCTTATGAAAATCAAGTTTTCTCCTTCCCCATTCATCTTAGTACATTATCAGCACTTGGTCCAGATTTGACCTTAGGTGGTTTACTCTGGATGATTCTGGCTGTAATGTATGAATTAGGCTTGATTTTCACTTTCATCAGCTACAGCTGCCTTTGCAGAAGTGAGGACAGTAAAGAAACTTATGAGAATAAAATGACCATTGGGATGCTGAAAGACAGCATTTCAGAGATTTCCAATGCATTTTGCTTTATTTCCTTTTTTAAAAAAGGGAGTATATATATATATTTTTTTTTCCTTGATAGATAATTAGAACTTAAATGTGTTGTCTGGTCACTTTATTACAATCTGTTTCACAAGGCAAAAAGGAAAGTTCTCCTGGCACCAGCAGGTCCTCATTAGCACATAAGCAAAGCATTCACCTTTATATCTAGGGTGTGAATACCCGACTTCATCGTCTTCTAGTGGTGAGTCTCCCGATCCTACAATAAAAAAGAACAGAAACTGCAGCAAGAAAAGCCACATAGTATGGACGCATATTTCAAAGCATTCCTTTGCCACAGACCATGCAGGAGGTGCTATTAGAATGCAGAGCCAAGAGCAAAAGCTTCTGTGGCCATTCATGAAGGAACAAACAGGAGATCTCTCAGAGTGAAACCGGCTGAGCTGAGATTGCCAAAAACCAAGCAAAATGAGCCTCAAACTGTTTTGGAATCACCATATGCCAAGTGAAATTCTGGAATAGGGAAACAGAGAGAGTCAACTTCACTCTGAGAAGATGCCAATGTATATGAATCTCATGCCAGGGGAGATGCAATAAAATGTGTGCATCAGACACAGTCCACAGTTTCCCCAGCAGTCAAAGAAAACCCAGTAGAACTGGGTGTTTATGGTACCTGAAAACAGGTCCATCTTGTGAAATAAATTTAAATGCAAGATAAGGAGGTAAATCAAATGTCTTATCTTGACAAAAGAAACACAAAGTTGCTTCTATATACAGCATTTGTAGGAAATGAAGGCTGAAATAGACTATCTGTGTGCTTATTTAGAACCTCTCATGAACGTATGGCTCAAGTAAAATTTCTTTTTTTTTTTTTTTTTTTGAGACGGAGTCTCACTCTGTTGCTAGGCTGGAGTGCAATGGTGTGATTTTGGCTCACCGCAACCTCCGCCTCTTGGGTTCAAGGGATTCTCCTGCCTCGGCCTCCTGAATAGCTGGAATTACAGGCATGTGCCACCATGCCTGGCTAATTTTGTATTTTTAGTAGAGACGGGATTTCTCCATGTTGGTCAGGCTGGTCGCGAACTCCCGACCTCAGATGATCTGCCCGCCTCGGCCTCACAAAGTGCTGGGATTACAGGCGTGAGCCACCGTGCCCAGCCAGTAAAATTTCTTAATGAGCGTTGCTACCAATAAAAACCACGGCCTCAGAGAGAACGTCTGTGTATTATTTTAATTTAACTCATTTGCAAGCTGGAGCTGAATGGTTTTTAAAATATTAAATATTGAATTCCAGTGAGCAGTAAATCCTTAATCCTTGAAGTGGTAGCAGATGCCAAACTTCAAAACTGTAATCTTAAATTCAGAGAACTTCCCTCCAGACTTCACAGTCTAATTAATGACTCGAGTTAGCTCTGTCTTGGTCACGCATTTAGTTGTAGTTACTTGCCACCATAACAGACAAGAACATCCTCCACTGTGAGGTTATTCAAATCCCCATGCAGCTAATGAGTAATGGTCCCTGTTCCACTTGTGTTCTGGATGAGAGATGTAGAGTGTGGAAACTGAAAGTGGAGAGGAGATGAGGGCTGGACTGTGTTCATTAGGAAAAGACCCGCAACTACAGAAGCCCAATTCTGTATTTTCCTTTGCTGCAGATTTCCTCACCTTGTCTCTGCACACCCAGATGTGTACAAAATTACAAACTATTCATCATTGCATATAAAAAAATGAGCACTGGAACCAGACACAGTGGCTCATGCCTGTAATCTCAGAAACTAGGGAGGCTGAGTGGGAGAATTACTTGAGCCCAGGAGTTCAAAAAACAGCCTGGATAACATAGTGAGAACCCATCTCAAAAACAAAACAAAACAAAAAACAATGAAAACCAGGAAACCTACCTAACAACATGAATCAAAGGCCTATGCTCAAACCCTTTGATCAAGTCATTCCACTTCTAGGAATCTACCCAAGGAAACAGTTGAACTGCATGTCTGCATGTGAACCTTCAATCATCCAAATTAAAAAAAAATCCAGATACATGAGCAGCAAGCTTTCTCCCCCCGCCCAGCCCTCCAACACACATATACACACATACATATATTTTGCCCTCGGTTGTCATCCTGGTTAACTTGTCTACAGTATTTACAGCATTTAGTATGAATGACTACCCATTCATTTCATGAAGCTCTCTTCTGCAGTGGCTTCCAAATGACAACAGTTTCCCGATTTTCTTCCTCCTTTCTAAACAGACTCTCTGGACAGCACATCTAGATCAGCCTGCCATTTGGACATAAGTATTTCCCAGGAGTCCAGTATTGGTCCTTTACATATCTCCAGACTATTTTCCTGGGCCATCTCACTCCCATACTTGCCTCAAACCATTCCCCATGTACTGATGATAAATCCATTGTTTCTAGCCTTGAACTGTCTCCTAAGAGCCAAGCTAGAATCTTCAACTGTTGTCTGGATATCTCCACACTCACACTCAACCTGCTCAAAACCAGATTCCTTTTCTTATCACCAAATTTGTGCATCCCCCAGTGTTTCCCATTTCAGCAAATAACCATCTTCCAGCTACTCTGCCACATGGAAAATCTCAGCCTTTTTTTCTTCTATCTTCTTCATCTACCACATTCTAAGATAGGAATTAACTTAAATATCCAACTACAAGAAATGGTCAATCATATTATGATCCATTCATAACATAATAATGTTCATTTTGAAGAGGTTTCTTAACATGGGAAAATATTATAGAATGCTGAATGAATAAAGAAAGAAGCATAACCCCCAAAATGCAAAAATGCATTAAGATTTTAAAATATGGCAAAGCTCATGTGTGAGAACAACAATATGGATGAATAAAACTAAAATAATATTGTGAGCAAAGTTGGTCCCAGAAGACTATATACTATATATACGACTCCTTTTTTATAAAGTTCAAAAACTTCTAACACTAAATTGTTGGGAAATACAAAGATATGTACGGTAATTTTTAACAAAGCAAGGAGACCTCTTACCCTTTCCTAATCTTCTCTTCTTGAACAACTGAGTTCTAAGGCCTTTAGAGCAAGGCAGACATCTGTACCAGAAAGGACAGGGAGGCATGGTAGGCCAGAGCAGGATGTCAGAGCCCAAACAGGGCATAGAGGGAAAACAGGGGCAAAGAGAGAATGCACATGGGCAGATAGCCCAGCAGGGGAATCACAGATTAGTAAGATAAGGAGGGCTTTCACATGGGTAAGGCGGAAGAAAGCCTGGCATTGGGTTGAAAAGTACAGTTTCTAGATTCCCTTATCCCTAGGTTGTGAAAGGGTCTACTTTTAGTGATTTGGAAGGAATCAAAGGGAAGGAACTCTTTTCTACAGTTGTGCATGCAGAAAATAGGCTACAGCAGATGTGAGTGTTGTCAACTGTGTCCACTGTCCCCTCATCAGCTTTGTGTGGTAGGGAGGATAGTGACGTTGGCAGTGGTGATAATCACGGCAGCAACAGTTTCCTAGCCTGAGTGATAGGAGGAGTTTCTGGCATCTGGACTGAAGTCATGGTGCCATTTGACCTTTAATGCAGACTTCTTGACTTCCATTGCTCCAGCCCTTCCAATTTTGTGAGTACCTTATTTCCTGCATTAAATCATTTTTTGCATAAAATACCTAGAGAGGATTCTGTTTCCTATATTAAACCTAACAGATATTTAAGCAAACCAATTAAGAAATGAATATATGGTTTTATAGCTTTCTCTTAGTAACTGGACACTACCCTAACACAGGGCACACTGCTTTCTACCCACAAGTCTTTTGTAGATAAGAGAGGGGACTTTTATGTGAACATAGATGAGTAAGGAGGAAAAAAGAAAAAAAAAACCTACTGGAGTCAAACTTACTCTTTTTCCGAATTGGTCTATCTGCTAAGCTAAATGCAATCTGATTTCTGTGCAATTGAATTCACATGGGAAAGGAAATAACACACACTAAGTGCCTATGATATGTGTACTATGCTAGGCAATTTCTATGCACTATCTCATTAAATCTATACAATAACACTGGCCATTTGGTACTATTTTAGATTTATCATTAGGGAAACCAAGTCTCTAACGTCTTTACTTGTCCAAGGTTATGCAGCCAGTAAATGGTAAATCAGGGATTCGAATCCTGTCTGCCTGGCCTTCAAATCTATCATTCTTTTTTCACTAGGCCTTACTGCCTTCTGCGCCTACAATTTCAAAGAAATGAGATAGCTGGCTTTGGGATCACTGATAGGCAAACAGCAAATGGCTTCTTCAGTAGTGTGAGAACAAATATGCCAAGAGTGGGTCCCACAGAAGCAAAATGAAGAATCCATGTGTAGCAGAAGCTGCTGGTTGCCTGTCCAGCAGCCATTCTCCCCTTCCTTCTTACTAAAAGATCACAGGTTGTGTTCAGCAGCAATGTGTCCCTCCCCAAACGATGAACCATGATGACTCTTAAGTCAAAAAATTAATTCCCCTTTGCCAGGAATTGCTCCAGGGATAAGCATGTAACCCAATATTGGACAATGGCAAGTAAAATGAAGTCTGCTTAGGGGCAGGGGGAGGGAGCTTATGGGAAAGATTTTTCTCCCTGATAAAAGAGAAAACTGCGCAAGGAGAAGACTTTTCCCTCTTTTCTGCCTTTCAGCTTTGGAGGCTATTGTGTAAGGATAAACGTCTGAAGCTGGAGCAGCCATTTTGCAACCACAAGGTAAGATGTCACAGGACTAAAGATTTTCAGTTGAGGATGGCAAAGTGGATAGATAAAAAGAACCCAGGACCTTGGATGATGTCACCAGACTACAACATCAACCTTATACATCTTACCTCCACAATTCTTGTTAGGTCAACAATAAATATCCTTTCAATTTAAGCCACTGTGAATAGCACTGTTTGTTACATGCAACTGTATGCATATAAACTGATACACAAATGAATGAAAACTTTACTGCATATTCTTGATAGATTTTTTTTTTTTTTTTGAGACAGGGTCTCGCTCTGTTGCCCAGGAGGGAGTGTAGTGGTATGATCCCGGCTTACTGCAGCCTCCATCTCCTGGGTCCAAGAGATTCTCGTGCCTCAGCCTACTGAGTAGCTGGGATTACAAGCATGCACCACTACGCTCAGCTAATTTTTGTATTTTTACTAGAGACAGGGTTTCACCATGTTGGCCAGGCTGGTCTCGAACTAGTGACCTCAAGTGATCTGCCCGCCTGGGCCTCCCAAAGTGCTGGGATTACAGGCATGAGCCACTGCCCTCAGCCTTGATAGGTGTTTTTTAAGTGAAAAGAAAATAAATGGGTATTAGCTGCCACTCTCAGAAAATTTCCAGTTTATTTTCAGCCTGAGCTCATATATTAACTTCTATAAAAATATGATGACTAGTCTGCAAAATAGACACCCTGAAAGATACAATAAGCTCGAAGACAGACTCACTTATGTTCAGTAGACTGTACTTACTAAAGCAGCAGAGGAGCTTTATGTACATTGGGGAAAGATTTTCCCCACCATTAAAATTTTTCAAAAGGAAGAAAAATAGAGAAAGAAGTTGGGGAGGATGGGAGAAGGGAGGTTTCTTAGTAAACTTTCCTTTATTTATAAAAGGCTATCCCTCTAGAATTCTGCTAATTGAGGTTTTATTATGACATAACTATTAATCAGTCTACATATGGTTCAGATTACCACTCTGGAAAGAATGCTTCAGTGCTTCTTCCACACAAATACAAATTGTACGTTGGCTCAGAAATCAGAAACTCAGAGCCATGTAGGATTCTGTCTCTCAGCCATACCTGGAGCCAACTGCATTTATAATTTTGCTCTCCTTGCAAAAACTTTCTCTAATTCAACAGATTTTCAAAGAAATAGCCACTCTTTTTTTTTCCAAAGTTCAAATTAGGGTCTTCCTGGCCTATGGAACCCCACCCATTCATTCTGAATGTCCAGGTAGATAAGATCATCGAGGCACCAAAGTCACTCTTAAATAATACTTATTATATGTATTGAAATTACATCAGGAGACTAGATTTCTGAAGGCTAGTAGAGTGTTCCTGCTATCACGCCATAAGGTTTCTCACCGTAAGGTAGGGATGTGGTAGAGATTTAAGACTAATGGAAAACTTGGCAAATTTGCTAAAACTACATAGTTCTTTATTGATTATGATACCTGACCCAAATTGGTAGATTTGCTGGCTCTGTATTATATTTTTAGCTCAAAGTGTTGGGTTTATTTTTTAGTCATTTTGAAGACAGTTCTTCATTCTTTACATTTTGTTTCTCCCTTCATCATTATTCTAGACATAATTTTAATATTGTCAGAAAGAAGCATATTTAATAGTAAATTGCACCATCAATTTTATACTGAAAGTCAATGGGAAAATAAAATTTACTTTGCAGTAGGGATTCTTAACCTGAGGATCATGGCCTACTACAGAATTAATGAAAGGGCTTTGGAGGGCCCATGAACCCCTTGTAATTGAACATGTTTTTTGGTACATGCTTTTGATACATGCCTTTTGGTACTAGCATGCTTTTTCTAGGGGAAAAAGATGTTAGCTTTCAGTAGATTTTAATAAATTTTAAAAGCCATGGTCTTACAGCATTCTTTATTGTTAAGCATGTTAGAATATTTACTGAAGAAGCATGTAGTGTCCTTCTTTTTGATATTTAACTCATTTTAGTGTTGGGGAGAGAGAAGCAAATATGTTTTTAAAAAGGATAAATGCTTATCATACTGGTTTCTTCTAGATTAGTGCTGTCCAATGCAACTTTCTGCAATGATGGAAATATTCTTTATCTGTACTGTCAAATACGGCAGCCACTAGTCCTATGTGGTTATTAAGCATTTAAAATGTGGCTAGTAAAACAAGAGAAGTGAATGTTTTTATTTCATTTAATTTTAGTTAATTTAAATTTACATTTAAATAGCCACATGTGGTTAATAGCTACCATACTGGATAGCACAGGCCTAGACCTAACTTTTTAAAAGTATTCTATGGAGATAAATCATGTCTATAAATTGCTCAGGGGTGGGAACTATGTCTAATTTACCTTGTATACCCAGTATATGATTTGGAATTGGTAAAAATGTTGGAGAAAAAAGAGAAAAATCTGCCTTAAATTTCTTGTGACACATAAATTATGTCCTCATGCTTATAATTTTGGATGGTTTTATTCTAATCAGTCCAGCTTCCGTATATAAATTTAAACTGTGACAATACTGCAGATTTGGATGTTTACAAAAGGGTATTTTGTACTATTGGAAGCCATAGGGTGTTTATTTGTGGGAGCCAGATGATTTAGTGCTAACAAATGATCTGCCAATGGATTACAGAGCAGCTGTGGTACAGTATGAAGGACATTTGAATAGCTTCTGAACAAAGATCAAATCCAAGGCATTGCCAGAAAAACATGATTTAAAGATGAAGGCAAAATTACGGCTGTAAAATCCTTTGTTAAATCAAGGTAGTGCCTTAAAGTACCTTCAGTCTTACAAAAGGCCCCTTAGAGAGATTAAGGGTATCTCAAGTTCCTCTCAATCAAACAGAGAAGAGTCTATATCTATGAGATTTGTAAGGTGGCTAATAGGGTGAACTTTTGTCTAATAGAGTGAATTCTAAGAAGATTCACAGGAGACCCACAAAATTCTTAAAAGAGTTATATATGCTGAAATATCACTAGCTTGACTTAGGAAGGCAGAGACATTAAGGAATAAGGAGAGGTCTTTGATCCCCTACAATTATACTGTCAGAAAGCAGGCTCAGTGAGCTGCTTAGCTGTGAATAGATGCTATTTTTCTAAAAAAAAAAAAAAGGGGGGGGGGAGTGAGTATATTTTGCATGTTGGTGGGAAATAATCACTGGGTGCCAGAGGGTAGACTCTGATATGCAGCTTCTAAGATGGCCCCCAATTATCCCTGTCCCCTGGCATTCATAACCTTTTGTAACTCCTCACTTTAAGTGTGGAATGAATTTATTAACTTGCTTCTAATGAATAAATTTTGGCAGAAGGGACACCATATCTCTTTTGAAGTCAAGTTATAAAAAGACTGTGGTGTCCATCTTGAATACTGTCTCACACTCTCTCTCTTGGATCACTCATTCCGGGTCAAGTTAGCTGCCAAGTCATGAGGGCGCCCTGTGGAGTGGCCCATGTGTTGAGGGACCAAAAGCCTGCCAACAATAACATAAGTAAGGTTATAAGAAGATCTCCCCAGCTACACACACACATAACACCCACAAGTCGAGCCATCAGATGAAACTGCAGGCCAAGCCAATAACTTGCTTGCAACCTCATGAGAGACCTTGAGCCAGCTAAACCATGCCCAGATCCTGACTTATAAAAATTCTAACATAATAAACAGTATTTGTTTTTAAAACAAAAGGAGGAAAAGGTGTAGGAAGAGTAGAAAGTACAAAAGGAGGAAGGGAAAAAGAAAGGGCATTTGCCTTAAAGTCAGAAGATTCTGATGTACCTCTCAGCCTTGGTTTAATAGTCTTCTCTTAGGTCACTGCGGTAGATACTGCTTATTCCTCAATCAGATCCCCTTTACTCAGGCTGGTGTGCCCATCTCCTAGCTGCTGGGAGCCTTTGACTGCAAATAACTCACAGTTGCCCTCTTCTCCAGAGAATTGTCCTCAGCTGATAGGAGCCACTTCTTCCTCCCCACCTGTTTCCTGGAGGCAGCCAATGTTTGATTGATATGGAGGAACATGAAGCCAGACTTCTAGCCCCCAAAGGTGAGTGGAAGGACAACCTTGCAGTATTTATGTTTCTAAGAACCCTGTGGTGCTAGAATTTACCTGAGACTCTATCCTTGCTTAGCTCTTTCTTGCTTCCCTTCCTCAATTATAGGTTTTTTTCCTGAGAGTATTCCCTCAACAAACCATAAGCTTTGCTTCTAGGAAACCAAGCTAAGAGAGCCACTGAGTCTCTCTAAGCCTCAAATACCCCAATTAGGCATGCCTCAACAGGGTTGCCATAAATTAAATGGCATAATATATATGTTTTAGTTTTACAAGTTTCTAATTTGAGGGTTCATAATCACATTTTCTACTTAATTATGTGAGTATAAATTGAAGGCCTCCACATCCCTGAGCTGCTGTGTAAATGAGTTTCTTGAAAAAATGTAAAAATATGACAAACTTATATCTGGCATGATATACTTTTTAAAGTTTAAGCATGAAACATGGTCAAGAATCTCAGTGCTTCCAAAGTTTTCTGTGTGTTTTTTAAAATTCCTCTAACAATCCTGTATGATTTGTGATTTAGAAAATCTTTCATAAACATATGTATATGTATTCATCTTAATAACCACCAGGAAAAGCCATACAGTCAATCTTTTTCAGAAAAGTAAACTGTTGTCAAGTTTACTCTATGAGTTCAGATGATCCAGATAATAAAATTTGCTTTAGGAAAAAGTGATTTTTAGGCTCAAGACATTACCATAGTTTACACTTTGAGGTAGGAAAAACCCTGTGGTTCCCTATATGCCTTTATGACTTAAAAACATTTACAAAATGGGGACTCACCAAAAGTTATTTTATTGCTGAAAGGTGCTATTGCCGGGTCTCTTGTATTCTTGAAGCTCTTGTTAACACAGGTGAGTGTACAAACATTTCTAGTGACAGAAATGGGCTAACAAAGGGCCTGTCCATAGCTTGTGTGGACACAGGTACAGTGGTAACCCTTCTCTCCTCCATAGCTAAATCTGCAGAAGCTTCTCTTCTGGAAAGTCCTAATTTATGGGGGCTTTTGAAGAAGCCCAGAAGTCAGTTCCGTATGCCTGACTAGCAGGCAAGATCTATTCTGTTATATCTTGGCAAAGTTTCAACAGAGGAGAGATGTCCAGGAGTTGTGTGTAAAGGTGTATATGTTTGAAGGAGTAGAGCGAAAAAGAAACTTTAGCTTTTCAGAGCACCAGCTTCAACCCCAAGATGAAGGCTCAGAACAAGTACACAGAGAACCAGGATCTGTAAATGAGACATTCTTCCTTGGATTCCTTACATCCCTAAATAAGTGGCAGACTAATAGATAAAAGCGCAAGAGTAAGAAAAGAGGGGAAATACACAGAGGAAGATTCTTGTTCCAAATGGAACAAAGGGATCCAGAAAGATTAGTCTAAACCTTTTGCTAATCATGGGGAATGAACTGAAGAAAATGTTTATTACCAGTGCTTTTCTTGTGGCAGAAGATTCAACAGAATGTTCAGATGAAACAAGTTTATAGGACATATCAGACATTCAGCTTACCAAATCCCTGTCTTTACTACCATCATAAGTGCCTCAGCGATACCAACCATCAACTAAGAATAGTATGTTTCAAACTGTTGACCCCATTTAGTAGGTCATGACTAGTATTTTTGTAGTGAAATAGAATTGAAAATGTCAGGGTGCACTGCACATATAAAGAATAAACCTTACTTTGTACAATTTTTGTTTTTATATAGGTGTATGTGTGGTAGGGTATCCCCAGTTTGCATAGCACAGTCCCATTTTATGCCTGTTGTCCCAGCATTACTTTTTCAGCTTTACTGGGGTATAATGGGCAAAATTATATATATTTAAGGTTTACAACATGATGTTTTGAAATACGTATCCATTGTGATATAATCACCATAATCAAGCTAATTAACATATCCATCACCTCACATGGTTACCATCTAACATTATTATTAATAGCATTCTCTTTCACACTCAAAACCTTCCTGATTTGTACAATAAATAATATATTCACTCTAACAATAGGTCACAGTAGAATATATTTCTTCCTGTGGGTCTTGTCAAAAGTATTAGAAAAACAGTGATTTAAATACTTTGAAAACCTACATTTGTTAAGTTAATTCGGTTTCCTCCCTCAGAATGAAGGAATCTGAAAATCTGAGAAAGCCTTTGGGGGATCGGTGGTAGAAGTCTACTTTTATCTGATTTGTTCAGGGCATAGATGTTATATCCCATGAAACAGCAAGCAGACACTGAGTTTCCTCAACTGCTCATGGCCATCCTCTCTGGTAGGATGCAACTGAAAAAGCCCTGGGATTAAGTTCCAGTGCCATCCTGATTTGGGAAGCCACTTTTCTTTCCTGAGCCTCAGTTTGCTCATCTGTAAAATGGGACACCAGAAGTGTTTAGAAGGGCATAGTACCTGTTTTCAAATTATGTTACCCTAGAACACTCCCATCCTCAACCTCTAGCTGGGACAACAGCAGTCAAGCAAATCAAATTGCCCTCCTCCTTCTACACCTGGCAATAAACAAATTACCATGGCACATCATTTTAAAAATCTGCCTGGTCTTTCATTTCCATTGCCTCTTTAAGTCCTCAGTGCAACCTTATGAGGCAGGTATCATTCAGTGACTAGAATGTAAACCTGGGGAGGGCAACAACTCTTTGACACTTTGTTTATGATTGTATTCTCAGCTCAGAGAATGAAGTGATTATCAGTTATAGGAGAACAAGGATTGAACTTTTCTGATTCTAAATCTCATGCAATTTCACTCCTTGTTTCTGTCTTCATGACTCAGAAACCTACCTGAAAGCCCTTTCCCTCCTCTCAGTTCCTTTCTTGTGTTTAAAGCTATTTCAAAGCCTAGCTCCCCCAGTTTATCTTTCCTAACCATTCCATTCACATTGATGCACTCTGTTCACATTTTTAAATCAGCACTGATTTTATGTTGCGTTGGATTTTCAGAAGCCATTTCGAGTTTTTTCTTCCCAGCTAGACATCAAACTCTTCAGGGAATACGGTCAGGGTTTGTTTCCCCTTACTGCCCCTGTGAAACTAACAAAGGCTCTCAAAAGTTTTCTTCCCCTTGAGACTTTAGCCTACACATTACTGATATGCTCAAGCTGTTCCATCAATATCAGAATGAGACATCCATCTCCCTCAGTGAAGGCTGTACTTACAGAAACAGATACTGTATTTAAGGCACAAAAAGCTGCCCAAATAAAGCTGCGACTGGTACGTCGTTCTTGGCAGTAACCCAGCAGTATAACTTACAAAATTCTGGCACATCTTGGCAAAACTGAGAATAACTGAATTCAGAGAAGACAGAGTCTAAGAAAATAAAATAAAATCGCCACAGTGTGTACTGAGAATTGTAGGCAGCAAACTTTTAATTGCCAGCTGTAGATTGATATTTTAATATAGTACATTAAATGGCAGAGAGAGACAGAGAGAAGAGAGTGTGAAGAAAGATATTTCCAGAAAACAGCACTGAAACACTGAAATGAACATCATGAGAATGCCTGAAAGTGACAGGCTGCAGTCTGCTCAGCTGAAACCTAAGGCTTCTTCCTTATAAAACATTCTCCGGTTCCCCAACAGGGAATAGAACACGAGCACCCAAGAACAAAAACCTGGACTTTACTTGAAGTTTTTTACAGATGGCTATTTTATCCAGCTCTGCCTGTGTTGGGAGGTAGAATCATTTCTTTTCTGGGTAGCTTCTCTCTTGAAAGCACCGATTTCTCCATTCGGTGCCCTTGAACTGATAGTCACACAGTAGCTGTTGTCAGTTATTATTATCTTCACTGGGAGACTCAAGCTCTAGTGGGAAAGTGAAGGTGCAACTAAGCTGACGGCAATTCTAGTTTTCAAAATGATCATCTGCAGGCTTTTGGCAATACCTGTTGTGTGAGGCTACACCCCAGCACACAATGCCTGGTGCTAGCACTTCCTAGGTGTGATAGACATCTATTGTGTTCCTCTCAAAGAAAGAAGAGCCTTTCTTTTGGAAAACTGCATTATTCCTCATACCTATGTGGTTCTAGTAGAGGTGAGTTTATCCTATCCCTTGACTACAGGAGCAATCATATGAACCAATTACATGAACCAATGAGAATCTTGGAAGGATTTTTCTCTGGTGGTAAAATGAGGAAGATGTGAGCCCTGAAGCTGCCAACGACAAAGATTAAATCTCATACAGAATGCTAATTCGAGAGAATGAAGCCATCAAAGAAAAGCAAAAACAAAACAGAGAAAGAGAGAAAGAGAGATCCCACAATATTTGAGCCCTTGGTTCCAGTATTGCTTGGCCCCACAAGCATACCTCTGCCCTAACATAAGATGATAAGCCCATCCTTTCTTCAAAGCTTTTTCGAAACTGGTTTCTGTCATGTGCCATCAAGAGTCCTAACTTAAACAGTAGACCATCAATTTACATTTGAATGAAATAGATGACTAAAACATACAGCATGACATCTGGTTTGAGATAAGAAATCAATCTCAGTGTATCATTTCCAATTCCCTATTTCAAAACAATACTATAGCTCAGACTTAACACTTTAAAATTAAATTAAAACATTAGTGAGCCATTCCATAAATTTAGTGGGACCAGCTTTATTTGCAATAAAATACATTAGATTAGAATAGGGGAAAATAGCAGATACTTATAATATACCATACATAGTAAAAGTGAGCATTGTTTCATGACACTTTTGTTTCAATTATACACAGACACACACACACACACACACACACATATACCATATTTTATTGACTCTAAAACAACACTTTTTAACATTTTAATTTCCCTGAACCCAAGATGAGCTCTATAATCAATGGAATGGCATAGTTTAATTGGTATCATTTTTCTTTTTTAGTGATACCTAAAATAATGGTGACTGACGACTGACAGAGTTTTGGAGTTGATGGCATACTGTGTGCATGGTATGTGTGTGTTTTGGATTGTGATATAAAACATATTTCTTACTGCAGGTAGCAATCAAAAGAGTTTGAAAACAATTGTATTACACACCTTATCTAGAACTCCCAAGTTGATAATCAGAATAGTCTTTGCTGTACATATCAGCTAAGTCATTTATCCACTCTCATATTTACATAATGCCTTAACACACTAGTTTTTTACAGGGTTCCCCAAATGGCTTTCTTCTCATTGTGGAAACTTCCTGATCCTCATGGGGAAACCTCAGGCAGCAGAACAGGCAAGTGGAGATAATATGTTGCATGGATAGGCTTCTGGTGCTATCCAACGAATACCACATTTAGCCCACTGCCCAGCTAAAGAGAGCCCCACAAAGAGGCACAGCGTGGCTTGTAACCCTGCCAAAGTATCAGGGCACTGATGACAGGGGAGTCATGTGGCCTCTCACCTACAGATGGCAGCATCCCCAAAGTGCATTTATAAATCAGTTGCTTATAATTTGAAATTGGCTTTTCCTTGGAAACCACATTATCAGTGGTGATCAGGTCCCCTAGAGAGTCCATAAGAGCTGTTTTAAGCCATAATATAGTCAAACTCTAGATGTCCCTGGGGGGATGGCTCAGGGTCCACTAAATGGGGAGGCCATTCTCGTCCCTCTCATGCCCGCTGTCCCCTGCCCTGAAACACAGCATTCAGGTTCATTCTACTTCCTGTACAATCATCCTGCTACTTTTCAGTCTCGAGCTGCTGACCCAGACAGAGTTTAACAAAGAGGCTAATATGGATATGGATATTTATATGTGTGTCCTGTTTTCTGTTATTGAGAGTGCTGTGATCCAAGATTTTGAAGCTCAGAAATTCCAGATGCAAACACAAATTACCATTTTATTTCTTGGCTGCTCTTAAGGATGCTGCAACTTGTCAATACAGGAGCCTGCAGGCATGTTGGCCCCTTCCCAGTCCCTTGCTGGAGAAGGGCCTGCAGTGACAGGCTCCCTTTGTCCTTCCCCTAGGACCAAGGCAGGCTGTCTGCAGGGAAGGGACTGGAGGGGCTGGTGAAGTCCTCATTTGCAGCGATGAGGGCAGTTCTCAGAAACCATGGGCCAGTGAAAAAGGCAGTATGTGCCCTAAAGGGAACTTTGCCAAAAATTGAGTCTTTCTGAGCAATTTTCCAGCATCCTGGTGTGCAGATGAAAGTCCAGGGTAAGAAGGAAATAAAAGGTAAATTAAATGAAGTAGCAACTATTTCTCCAGCCTTTTACCATGCAGGAGCAGCTTTGTACAGCACCATCTTATCTGGTCTTACTGGCCAAGGTAGACACCAGTGAGTCCTAACACAGTCCTTACAGTCCTAGCTTGTAAGAGAGAAGAAATACCTACTATTTAGTTAACAGACACTACCTCAGGCACTGCCTTGGGTGATTTACATGAATTATTTAATTCAATCAAGGTACTCACATGAATTCACATGAAACCTATCCAAAAAAGAAAGGTGGGGAGGGGGGGAAATGCAAACACACTATTTTGCAGCCCTAACAAAACCTGTCAGTAATTGTTTTGTTAGTATGGGTCTTTTAATGTTCTTCTATGTGTAGTAGTCAAGTCACATTCAAATTTTACACAGCACAATCAAACTGGGTATGGGATCTTCATCATTGTTAAGGCTGCATTAGGGAAGTTAAGACAGGGCATTTTTAGAGCATGAATGCCAATGCTTCCTAGAAATTCCCCTCTTCAATGAAATTCTGAGCAAGGAATTATAAATGAAAAATTAAAGCAGGCAGCAAATGGGAAACACCCTAGGCAGTCTTTTTCTCTCCTCCCTTGATGAACACCCAAAAATTTTCCTCAAATGCTTGCAAATGGCAACTTTTTGTCTCATTGTAAAATCTTGAACAAGTGGTAGGTCAGCCATCTCCACTGAGAATTTTCTAGTTTGTAAATCTGAAGAGGATAATTTGAGGAGGTACATATGTCCTTCAAACATCAAATTACAGATTGCTCTGGCACAATATCATGAAATACATTTGAAAGTAACTAAAGGTTGAAAATGGAATCAATTTCAAAGTCAAGCAATTAGGATCCTATTTCAGGCAGTATGGTGAGCCATGTAGCCTGGCTGTGCTTACATGAAAATCAATGAAAAAAATCCACTTTTAGCTTGCAAGAAAGTAAGAAATACTGTGAAAGCAGGATCCTGATTAGGTACCAGATATTAAGGCTCACCTTTTATTCTGAGGATAACTGCCAAAACTGAGCTTTAATTTCCATGGACTGGTGAGACCTTGGATACAGAAGACAAACTCCAGAGACTATTCAAGGTCATCAGTTTTAGAGGAGACTGCCTACATCCCCTCACCCTCACCTCCTACATAAAGCTGATATACCAACAGCCTATACTCTCAGTGTAAAGAGTGAAATAAATCCATCCCATGTATAGGGACTACAAAGAAAAGTTCTCATCTTGTACCCCAGCAGTGAGTGAAAGAAGGAAAATCCTTCCCCTGAGAATTAATAACCATATTATTATTACTATTATATTATTACTAAAATACCACTAACAATAATTAAAACCACAGTCATACCATTTCTGACCCATTAGTTTGGAAGAACTCTAAAAATATAACAAGATCAAGTGTTAACAAGGATGTTGAGCAATGGAAATACACATTGGTGCTAGAAGTTTAGATTGGTATAACTTCCTTAGTAAATAATTTGGCATTATTGAACAAAGTCAAAGATATGTATGCATATTATCCAGCAATTCAACTCCTAGGTACTTAGTCTAGAGAAATTCCTGCACATTGTTCAAGGGAGATAGACAAGAATCTTCCCAATAGCACTGTTTACAAGAACATAAAACTAGCAACAACCCAAAATGCACATCAAGAGTAGCATGGATAAATGATGGCATATTTACACAATGGGATCTTACAAGATAACGTGAATGAAAAAATCACAACTGCATGTAACAACATGAGCAACTCTTAAGAATCTAATGTTAAGTGAAGAAAAGCAAGCAAGTTATAGAAGACTATATTCAGCATGTGTCCATTTATACACAAGTCAAAAGCATGCAAATGTAAATAATGTTTTTTGTTTGTTTGTTTTTGGTTTTTTTTTTTTTTTTTTTTTTTTTTTGAGATACAGTCTTGCTCTGTCACCCAGGCTGGAGTGCAGTGGCGCGATCTTGGCTCACTGCAACATCCACTTCCTCGGTTCAAGCAATTCTCCTGCCTCAGCCTCCCAAGTAGCTAGGATTACAGGCACGTGCCACCACGCCCAGCTAATTTTTGTATTTTTAGTAGAGATGGAGTTTCACCATGTTGACCAGGCTGTTCTTGAACTCCTGACTTCAGGTGATCTGCCTGCCTCGGCCTCCCAAAGTGCTGGGGTTACAGGCATGAGCCACTTTACCCGGCTGTAAATAATGTATTTTTAGAGATATAAACATATTCTATAAAGAAAATAATAGGAATGATAAATACAAAATTTAGGACATTGGTTACCTCTGAGGAGATAGCGAAAGGAAAAGAATCCAAAGGAAAGAATAGCAAGGACTACAGGGTAAAGTTTTTGCTCTTTTTTTGGTAAGTTCTTATTAAACTGGCTGGTAAGTAGAGGTGTTTGTGGTTTTTTTTTTTTTTTTTTTACCATACCCATATTATGTAAATATTCTTTTTTTCTACTCATTGTTTAATTTAAAATTTTTCAAGCAGAGCAATTAAAATATCTTTGATGCAAAGAGCTTGTTAGGTTTGTTTCTCATTTGTTTGCAATGATAAGAACATGTTTATCCAAGAAGTTCTTAAAAATTACCATTTGGGCCTCCAACTAAAAGATATGCTTTGCCAATAAAATTAGAGAGTCTTAGATCTGGAAATACTCTTGGAAGACAATCTGATGCACACGCCAGCCTCAAGTACTGAGAGAGTCCCAATGAAAACTCAAAAGTTTGGAGACAGCCTTCCCAGCCTACTCCCAAGCTGTTCTCAACATTTTACTTGTAGGAAAGTTGAAATTTCTTCCTTAAAGTCCACCTAAATATCTTTCTTGCTTTAATATTATATATGGGGAAAAGCCACAGATTAGGAAGAAGGGCTCAAGAGTAACGAGATCCCAGCTGGCAATTTTACCTGAGCTCAAATTTCCAGATCCAAGGAAACTACATCCCAGGGCCTTAAAGAATATAAAGGATGGACGTGAAATTATTCTTCATAATCACTGAAAAATTAAGGGAAACCAAAGAAGTGTCAAAGGCTGTGGATAGACAATTTTCAAATCAGTAAAAATATGGAGTATGGAAACCATAGACATGAAAAGTTTCAATTTTATCCTAAGCGTTATTTTAGAACAGATTATTAACAAAAAAAATAGGAAGAAATTTTTAGAATAGTGACAATTTGGAATCAGCGTTGGTTCAAAAATAGCAAATCAGGCCAAAGTAACCTCATTTCTTTGGTTTACCCAAGAGAATGCCTCCTCTAGTAAATCTAGTTTACATAAAGGTCCATTCAGAGAAATACTGATTTATGAATTGTATTCACAGAAAGCAATTACTTTTCACTTTTTTGAATACAATCCACAGAAAATGTTTCATCTTGTGACTCAGTACACACATACATTTATATGATCGAAAAATAAGTTTCATGGAACAATATTTAAGTATGATGCCCTCTCATATTTGCTATTCTATTACATTTGAGTGTTTAAAAAGTGCTAATCATGACCACTACAAGAATTTCACAACCCATTAACAGGTAACCTCCTCTCAGGAGATATGCTATAGGGCTCTGTGTCATTCTACCAGTGAAGGAAGAATTAAGAAGAACAAATCTGTAGAAGATAACCAAGCTGGGGAGGACAAGCTCTTAGTTTTCTTTCTCCCAAAGCAGAGTCTGAAACAAGGACTTGGGTGCTGTTGTTCATTTGGAAGGTGATCCCAGGAAGCACAGTGAGAAAGCAGGGGAAATGAGAAAGGAATAGGGGAAAAGCCCATAAAGATATGCTAATGAGCAGGTTACTTCTGGGGGCAACCTGGATTCATTCCCACTGAGGAGCCTCTGAGGAAACACAACCCAGGGACACGAAAGGTTGGGTATTTACCCACAGACTCCTGCCTTTTTTTTGGCTAAGAGCTGGCGGGGTGTTACATCTCCTACTCTTCCAGAAATTCTTGCTGAGCGAGCTCCCACAGGACTGGAGTAAATCTAAAGGCAAAGCCTCTAAGACATGTGGACATCTAAGGTGAGAAACTGTCAGCATGTTTGAGAACTGTCTACCTCAGCTGCAGATGAATCCAGAGATGGGCGGAGGGGAGATGGCACAGGGCATCAACAATGTTGGCTACAGATGGGCAAAACCAACAGATGATGAAACCATAGGCCATAGCTAGTTTGAAACCTACAAGGAGAAATTAAATAGAGATTATAAACATGAAGTCTTGTATTTCTCTCCCTACACTAAGCTGTACACCCAGCAAGGGGGAGAGCTTCCCTGGCAGGCTTGGGAAAGAGCAGCCAGCTAGTTGCCCACATTGTGAGCCAGCAGGTGAAATAGTTTCTTAAAAAAGAGAGAGCAACAGTGGCCTGCAAGAGGACAGAGGCTAAACCAAAGAAGTCTGGCTTATCCTAGACTGAAGCAACCACACTGGAATAACAGACCATTTGGGCCAATTCTTTTTTTTTCCTTTCTTTTTTTTGGACATGTTATAATTGTACATATTTATGGAATACAGAGTGATATTTTGATATATGCATACAATGCATAATGATTAAATTGGGGTAATTTACATATCTATCACCTCAAATATTTATCACTTGGGGCCACACTTTGAGAAGGACACAGACATGCCAGAAGATGCTAGAAAGAAAAAACAAAAAATGACCAACAGAGACTAGCTTTCATAGCAAATAAATAAGTAAACAAATAAATAAAAAGTTTGTTGAATGGTGAATAAACTTTAGATTTGTAGCCTGAAGAAAATGGGACTAAAAGGAAATAGAATCCCTGTGTTCTGATTTCTCAATGGTCATCCCATGGATAAAAATAGAGAGAAACTTACTTTGTGCAGTACCAAAAGTGAGAAATAAGGACAATGGCTAGATGTCATGTAGAGCTGATTTTAGCCCAGTGTGAGGCAGGGTATTCTAAGACTCCAAGACCATCTTGAGATTCCATCAAAGCTTACTGAAGCTGGAAGTGTTCCCATGAGGCCGAAGGATGCTGGCAAGAGGGGTGAGATGAGGGAAGTAGGGTGGGGCTCTACAGCCCTTTCCAAGGTTAAGATTATATGATTCTGTGAAATTGTAGTACCAAATAATGTCTTGCACACATACTCAGGATCAACTTTTACGCTATGAAAAAGCAACCTTTGGGGAGGGAGTGGTGTACAGAAAGGTGGAGGACAGGACGAAATAAGACTCTAAAGGTAAGAGAGAGAAATAATAAAAAGGCAGAGTGATGAATGCTCACAAAAGATCATTTCCTTAGCTCTGGAGAGGAGAAAAGGATCTACGGCTTTCAATCCACTACCAATCACAAACTTAGGTTTCTGCCTTTTCCCCTGCTGTAAAAGAAATGTGGGGAGGGAGAAGAGAGAAGCCTCAGAGAATACCAATTTCATGTGTCTCAGATTCAATTCAAAGAAAGAAAAACAGGAGGTTTCACTGCTGTCATTTAGAAAATAAGCTACAGGCTATTTATCACACATATTGTTGGAGCCTTGGAGCACAGAAAATGATAAATGATGAATCCAGATATGCCCTGGCTTATTAGGAACACTCACAGTGACTATCAAACAAGCAAGCACCCTGGGGTGGGGGCTAAGATCACTGCATGATTACCGCTATGATTCTGGGCTGTAGCAAATGCTTCTTTTGAAGTAGGATTCTACAACACTGATGGTACAAACATTAGGCAGGCGCTGGGAAGCAAAAGTATACTGGAGAGCAAAATAAAAAAATGTTAAGAGGAAAATTATTTTTTAAGCTGGATGAGAAAGGTGACTCGTTGCATAATAAAGGACATTACTAACATATTAAGTTCTGGGGCCCGAGCAACAATCAGGGATAATACCATAAGCCACTCGTAATAAATATTTTATTTTTTAAAAAGTGCACAATTCAATGAACTGTTATAAACTGAACACACCCATGTAAGAGAACTCAGATCAAGAAACAGAACATGGTCAGAAACCTGCCACTATCCTGACGTCTACAGGCTGGTGCAAAAGTAATTGAGGTTTTTTTTCATTGCCATTGGCAAAAACCGCAATTACTTTTGCACCAACCTAATGTCATCACAAGTTGGTTTTGGTTCATATACTTATAAGGTATTGAAAAACATTTGTGACTGAATTTAAAACTTTAGTGTGGGCTGGGCGCAGTAGCTCACGCCTGTAATCCCAGCACTTTGGGAGGCCGAGGCGGGTGGATCACGAGGTCAGGAGATCGAGACCATCCTGGCTAACACGGTGAAACCCCGTCTCTACTAAAAATACAAAAAATTAGCCAGGCGTGGTGGCGGGCGCCTGTAGTTCCAGCTACTCGGGAGGCTGAGGCAGGAGAATGGCGTGAACCCGGGAGGCGGAGCTTGCAGTGAGCCGAGATCGCGCCACTGCACTCCAGCCTGGGCGACAGAGCGAGACTCCATCTCAAAAAAATAATAATAATAATTAAAAAAAATAAAAAAAGTGTGATATTTCAGAGGTGAGACTCTGGGAACAGCACAGGGTCTTTCTAGAAGACTAGGGTAAAATAATGGAGTGAGGTGCTAAGAATCCTCATCTAGCTCTGCTACTAGCTAGCCATGTGACTTTGGCTAGCCCCATCACCTCTCAGGAGCCTTAGTTTCTTCCTGTTTAAACATGGAATTGGTATATTCTATTAACTACTTTTAAAATTAGAATGCAGGCATTGCATCTGAGGGAAAGACTTGATTCCTAGAGCGTGAGCAGGATACAGATGAGATTAGATTGACAAAATAACAGAGTGGCTGGAAAAAAAAAAAAAGGAGAAAAGGTCTCGTATACCAGATTTGGATGCTCTAATTGAAAGCAGAATGGCTTTTAGACTTCAATCCTGATTTATATTACTGAAGTGTTTTTATGAGTTAATGATGAATTACATGTCAACACTGTTTATTCAAAAGAGAAGTCTTCAAAAGAGCCTATTAATTTGGGGGATTTGGCTTTTGTTGATGTTTTGAACAGAATGTAGATGTTAACACAAATGTTTTCCAATCCTCAGTGTTATTGCAATTAAGCTGAAGTCAATTTCAGATGTCTGCTCAAAATAAGAATGTGTGGCTGGTTCATCTGTGATTAGAAATAGCTTGGATAGAATAGAAAGCTGAGCCAAACACCTGAGCTATGGCCACCTTTCATGTGACTTGTGTGGCTCATGGGTCTGCTGCAGAATGTGAAATCACTTGTCTCTACTGGGAAATAAGCCATATAATTTCTCACAATTCACTCTTTTATAGATGACTGGGTATCATTTCACTTTTTAAGACTGTTTAATGTTTGATGATACCAATACTAGGGCCAAAATAAAAGCAATTTAATGAAAAGTTTAACAATAGCCTCATCTGAAAGATCATCTTTTACTGAATCTCCCTCAACTCCACAATTTCCATTTCTCAGACTACAAGCAGGATTGCTTGTTCACTTTTGAAATAAGCTATCTAATAAAGCAGAAGAAGGACACTGTCTTAGTCCATTGTCTGTTGTTAAAATACCACAGACCAGGTAATTAATAAGGAGGAGAAGTCTATTCAGCTCACAGTTCTGGAGGCTGAGGAGCCCCAGAACAGGGCACTGGTATCTGGTGAGGCCTTAATGCGGCATCATCTCATGAAAGAAGGGCAGAAGGGAGTACATGAGACAGAAAGGGAAAGAGGAGGCAAACTCCTCCCTTTTATCAGGAACCCATTCTTGAGATAACTAACAACCCACTCCTGCTATAATGGCATTAATCTATTCATGAAGGCAGAGCCCTAATGGCCCAATCACCTCTTAAAGGTCCCCTGTTAATACTGTTACTACAGCAATTAAATCTCAACATGACTTTTGGAGGGGACAAACATTCAAACCACAGTAAACATACAGCATTTGATGCCTAATCATTCTGCATTGTTAGGTTCCTTTCATTATTAACATATTTATTGATATTAGCTCATTTTAAAAAGGCTTTCAAAAATGAGCTAATGTCAATAAATACGTTTTTGGATGGGACTGAATTTACTTAAAGGAACAAATGTAACATATTTGTTCCTGGTACAAATATATCATTCCTCTGAACTTTCACAGTGACTCTATAAGACTATTACTCCCCACTTTTTAGATCGTGATTTTTTCTTCTCTCATCCTAGTAGATATATCTTTAGAAAACAAAGTGTTTTCCAATGATAAACAATCCAATCCTTTCTCTAAATTGTAATAACTATAAAACCTCACACAAAAGACTTTTCACCATCTGCAACAGTCAAAAGTTATTTATCCAGGTCTAACAATATACTAGGCATCATAGTGAAGAAAAAGTAGAAAATAAAGAAAAGAAGAAACAAAGGGAGAAAGAAAGAAGGAAGGGAGGAAGAAAACCACCTGACTACCATGAAAAGGATAATGTAATGTTAAAAAAAAAAAGGTCACAATATTCCAATTCTGGGTAAGATGCAGTAATCGTACTTCACCCTGTCTTTCCTACTGAATGCAGCTGAAAAACCTGAACAAAGTGCATCTGAACAGCTCTTTGGTGATTCTGAAAAAGTAAACATTAGCAGGCAGACTAAGAATTTGGGGCCGGGCATGGTGGCTCACGCCTGTAATCCCAACACTTTGGGAGGCCGAGGTGGGCAGATCACGAGGTCAGGAGATCGAGACCACGGTGAAACCCCGTCTCTACTAAAAATACAAAAAATTAGCGAGGTGCGGTGGTGGGTGCCTATAGTCCCAGCTACTCGGGAGGCTGAGGCAGGAGAATGGTGTGAACCCAGGAGGCGGAGCTTGCAGTGAGCTGAGATCACGCCACTGCACTCCAGCCTGGGTGACAGAGCGAGACTCCGTCTCAAAAAAAAAAAAAAAAAAGAATTTGGGGTAACACTGAATTGGTGTTGCTCTGGTATCCCAGGACTAGACTAAAATCAGCCCAAACACAGAAGTAGACACTGGGTACAGAGAGAGTTCCAGGAGAAGCCCTCTATCTCTGACTCTAAGAGTGGAAAAGAAGAACTGTAATGCTTCAGAGAGAATGAAGAAAATTCCCTGGTTTTCTTTTATGTTCATTTTCTCCATTATTTCATGACCCAGCCCCCATATAACCCTGTGGTGACAGTGGGCAGGAGTGACAGCAGTGGCGACTACAGCAATTGTATAGCAAACTCTAGATACCTAAAACTCTGGGAATGGAGATTTTTTTCTCTGTAGAGAAGATGTGGTCTTAAGAGGGTAGGAAGACTCCTTGTGACTTTTTGTCTTTCTTGGTCTTCCCCTTGCTCAATAAACTTTTTTTTTCAATCTTCTTTTTAATCTTGGTTTTTTCAGGGAGCTGTGGGACAATATCCATATGTTTAACATTTCAGTCAATAGAGTTCAAAAAGGAGAGGAGAGAGAGTACAGTGAGTGGGATAAAACAGTTCTCAGAGGGGAATTTACAGCATCAGATGTTTATATTAGAAAAAGGAAAAGGCCTCAAAACAATACCTTAAGCTTCCACTTTAAGAAACTACAGAACAAAACAAACCCAAAGCATGCAGCAGGACATAATAAAAATAATAAAGGCAAAAGTAGAAATTAATGAAACAACACAATGGAAACAATCAAACCAAAAGCTGTTTTTTGAAAATATTCATATCATTGACAAAACTCAAGCAAGACTGACAAAGAAAAACAAAGAAAAGAAACAAATTACCAATATTAGGAATGAAACAGAGGGTATCACAGCAGATACTGTGTATAACTCTACACATAACTTTGACAGCTTAGATGAAATGAACCAATTCTTCAAAAAGCACGAACTATCAAAACTCACTCAAGATGAATAGATAATCTTCCTAAAAATAAATCTCCAGGCACAGTGATTTCACTGGTGAATTCTATCAAATATTTTTAAAAGAATTCTACAGAATGTCTTCCACAAAATTGAAGTGGAGAACACATGTCCCAACTCATTTTACAAGGCTAGCATTACTCTGATGCCAAAACCAGATAAGGACTTCACATCAAAATAAAACTACAGGACAATATCAGTCATGAACACAGATGCAAAAATCCCCAACAAAGTATTACCAAATAAAACACAACACTACATAAAAAGAATAATATGGTAACACCAAATGGTACGTATCCTGACAGTGGAAGCCTAGCTTAATATTCAAAAATCAATTAATCAATGCAACCCATGACATTAACAAACTAAAGAAGAAAATCCAGATGATCATATCAATTAATACAGAAAAGGAATTTAACGAAATTTAACATCCATTCGTGATTTAAAAAAAAAAATTACAGCAATCTAGGAAGAGAAGAGAATGTCTTCAACCTGATGAAGGGGATCTACAGAAAGCCCACAATTAACATTATACTTTACGATGAAAGACTGAGGTGCTTTCCCCCTAAGACTGGGAACAACACAACACTCAATTTCACTACCCTATTCAGCACTATACAGGTAATCCTAGCCAGTGCAATAAGACAAGAAAGAAAGAAAAGATACAAAGATTGGAAAGGAAGAAATAAACCTGTCTCTGGCCAGGCCCGGTAGCTCACGCCTGTAATCCCAGCACTTTGGGAGGCTGAGGCGAGTGGATCACCTGAGGTGAGGAGTTCAAGACCAGCCTGGCCAATGTGGTGAAACCACATCTCTACTAAAAATACAGAAATTAGCCAGGCATGGTGGTGCACACCTGTAGTTCCAGCTACTCAGGAGGCTGAGGTGGAAGAATCACTTGAACCTGGGAGGTGGAGGTTGCAGTGTGCCGAGATTGTGCCACTGCATTCCAGCCTGCGCAACAAAAGGAGAGAAGAAAGAAAGAAAGGAAGGAAGGCAGGAAGGAAGAAAGGAAAAACCTGTCCCTATTCACAGATGACATGATTGTCTATGTAGAAAATCTCAAAGAATCGACAAAATAACACTTGAGGTTAGCAATATCACAAGATACAAAGTCAAACCACAAAAATCAATTGTATTTCTATATACTTGCAATAAACTATTAGAGAGGAAAGTTAAGAAAATAAAAACATTTCCAGTAGCCCCATAAAATGAAATACTTATAAATCTAACAAAACATGTATGGGATCTGTATACTGAAAACTAAAAAATGTTTGTGAAAGAAATCAACTAATATCTAAATAAATGGAGAGATGTACCATATTCATGGATTGAAAGATTCAAATATTAAGGATATCAATTCTCCCCCAAACTGATCAGTAGGTGTGACATAATTGCCATCAGAATACTAGCAAGGTTTTGCAGATATAAACAAACTGATCCTAAAATTTATATGAAATTTATAGCCAAAACAATTTTGGAAAGAAGAATAAAGTTAGAGGAATCACACTACCCAATTTTAAGACATATTACAAAACTACAGTAATCAAGACAGTATTGGTATTAGTGAAGAAATAAGCACATAAACCAATGGATCAGAATAAAGAACCCAGAAACAGATCTGTACAAAAATTTCCAATTAATTTTTGAAAATGGTATGAAAGCAATTCAGTACAGTTTATTACATGGCAAGTACACCTCAAGTAAAAAGTCGTTTTTAAAAACCCTGTGTGTTCTTCTCACAATTTTTTTTATTCCAGAAATTTCAGGAATGTTCAATGCATGAAGAGGGGCCTTTGGGATTCACAAAAGTGGGAAATTATTTGGCGTTCATCCAAGCTTTTTTTTCCCCTAAATTTAGAAACTAGATGAAAACTGTTCTGTTACTTCTCATGTAATCAGTATCCTTATTAAGCACTCAGCATTGAATTTAACATTAGGTCTTGAGAAGAATAATATATGATAATATGAAGTAATACATTTCAAACTTTACCATTGCTTACAAATGAATTCAAAGAAAAACATCAAAGTCAAAGTACATTTCTTACATATCAATAGTACCAAAGAAGACTAAAAGCCCTCTGTTACAGGCTCAAATGATGCAAGTTCCTTGAAATGAAAGGACATCAGGACACTTGAGGGCAGAACAAGTAGGCAGTGGGAGATTTTTTTAGGGAGGCCTAAAAACCAGCCTGGTTTGGAAAAGCATGGTAGGAGACACCCACGTCCACTTGAGCTTACAGTAAATGATCTGCCTCAAATTGCCAGTGGCCAGTGGTTACTTAACGGCCATGGCTAGCAATTTGCGGGTGTCTGTCACATAAAGTCCAGTGAGAGAGACAGAGAAAATGGCTAGTCAGCCCTCTACAAGGAGCAGAAATGTGTGCAAGTTGTTTTGTGGGAGGTATAACCATACCTTACATTTGCACTGTATATTACAAATCACTTCCCTAAAAGAGCAGGTGGCTTTGTTCACAGTTGGCAGACGAAAGCAGAAGTTGCCTGAGTTTAATCCAGTTAGCAGGTGGATAATAATATTGAACATCTTTGGTTTAAGTATCTGTTCAAATATTTTGTCTGCTTTAAAAATTAGGTGGCTTTTTTTCTTGTTATTGAGTTTAGAGAGTTCTTTATATATTTCTTTTTACTCTCTTAGTGGGGTCTTTGGAAGAGAAGTTTTTAATTTGAATAAAGTAAAATTTATCAATTATACCTTTTATAGACCATGCTTTTGGTGTCATATTCAAGAAATCTCTGCCTAACTCAAGTTCACAAAGATTTTCTCCCATGTTGTCATCAAGAAGTTTCATATTTATAGGCTTTATATTTAGGTCTATGATCTATTTTGAGTTCATTTTTGTTTAATAAAGTCTTTGTCTTTGATAGTATCAATAACCATTGGAAAATGAGCCTTTGATATTCCCAGGGATGCTGATTTACTCACTTCTATGAACTTTCAATGAATCTGCATATGCCACATTCTGTAGCTAAACAGCCTAATACACTTGGCTAGCAACCTGAGGTCCAGCATCTAATCAGAAGGCACCCAGCAAACATCCTGGAAAATTAAACTCCCATCTCCAATATGCCGTCCCAAACCAGCTCTGTAGTGGATTGCCTGCACAGTGGCCACCGACAATTCCTCCCACCCTGCACATGCATATAAGAGGTAGACTCCATCCACTACCACCACCATCCCAAATATGGGCCTGCCTTGTGATTTTCTTTGACTAATAGAATGTAACAGAAGTGATGCTGTGACAATTCTGGATCTATGCCTTAAGTGTCCTGGTAGCTTTGGCTTTTGTCCACTGGGAGGCCAGCTGCATGTAATGCCAGCTTCCTGCTGGAGAGTAAGGCAACACGGGGAGATGGAAAAGAGCTAAACTATGCAGACTGCAGAGAGGCAGAGAGAGGGACCAGCCATCCCAGCGATTTCAGTCATCCCAGATGAAGTGTCAGACACAGACACATGAGTGGAACCATCCCGGATCCTCTAGACCCAGATGAGTCACCCCAGACAACACCATGTGAACCAGAGATGAGCCGTCCCCCAAAGTCCTGCCCAAACTGCGGGATCATGAGTAAATACATAGTTGTCACTTATTTAAACCACTAAGTTTTGGAGTGGTTTCTTATGCATCAAAAGATAAGTGAAACAACCTCCAAGTGTCCATCACAGAAGCCTTCTTTACAGTTCATTCAGTGACCTAGAGAGTTCTATTCAGCAGGAGTCAATTCAGCAGTACAAAGAACTCTGGACCAGAAACCAAAATCCTGGGTTAAGTTCCAGCTTAGCCATTGTCTGAGTTCCCCCAAAAGCACACTCTAAGACAAAGTACAAGTAGTTCATTTGGGAAGCAATCCCAGGAAGCATAGCGATGGACTAGAGCAGAGAGACAGCGAAGAGAAGAAAGACAATAAGGGTACTGCTCACTGGGCAACTGCTGTGAGTCACTGTTGTGGGCAATTGGGGCTCCATCCTGCTGGGGACTCTTCCTCCCTCTCTGGCATCCAAATACTACCGTTACATAACTTCTTTCCCCATTGAGGCTACACTTAAATGTTCATTTTAACTTTATTTCATCCAGAAATAAATGGCAGTAGAATGGCTGGCTGGTGAGAGAATGATCCCTGCCAGACATGAGCTCTCAGAGACAGCCTTGCTTCCACAGCTGTTTCATCAGAGGCAATATTAGACAATATTCCATCCTCTTATTCAAACTCTTCTATGCAGACCCCAAAAGGAAGACCCTAGGCAGAGTCCATGGCACCCATAATCCCCAGGCCCTCTGTCTTTCATTAGCAAAGACAATTAAAACAGCATGTGGCTTGTGAAATATCAATTGTGGTCCTACTTTACAGAGCCAACAAAAATAAACTTAAAAGAAAAGCTTTATAAATGAAGGCATTACTCTGGTCCAAGGGGAAAATAATATTTTTCCAATTTAGTCTCCTTCTATTGTTTAATACTACGAAGGGCCAAAGTGTGTCCCTGCCCATTGCCCAGAGATGGGAGAGAGGAGAAACAGAAAAAAGACAAACACCTAAATCTGAGGAGGTCAGCCCAAAGCAGGGGACCTCAATAAATGCCAAGTCCTGTTCTCACCAAGGGGCATTCACAAAGCTCTGTAGCCTGACTGTCCCCAGTCAACACAGACAGACAAAAAGAGGGCTAGCCTTTAAAGTAAAACCAGACAGTGGAACAAAAGCAATTTGTGATGTGGCATGTGGTCCTTCAAATGCTTAACTCTCCTCTATAGAGGTCAAATGGGACACAGAGAAAATCTAAGAAAGGAAAGGAGGATGCAGTAAGACTTTCAGCAGAAGACTCCAGACCAAGACACTGGCGGAGGCCACATGGCCTCAGAGAGCTATGAGCATGGGAGGGATACACTGAGCTGGAGAAGAGCTCTCTCTTGCATCAAGTTCACATTTGAGGGTTATCAAATTGCCTCTGTTCCCTGGCAAAGGAGATGATTCCACTCCTTTACAATTTGGTTCAGAAGGCAAAAACAAATCAAGAACCCATCCATCCACATCAGCTCTTGAGGCTTCAACTCCATTTAAACAAAGACAGAGTAAAGATCCAGGCAAGACTATTTCAAAGGCCTACCCCATGTTCTGAACACCTGCCCAATAGAACAGTCTGCAAACTTTTAAAACAGTGTTTTTCAATGTGGGCGCTATGGGCATTCTAAGGGAGCCAATTCTTTATTGTGTAGGCCTGGCCTTCTCTATCATTATGACAACCCAAATCACTACCATATATTTCCAAAGTTCCCATAGGCAATGGCATGGAAATTTAACAAAGACATCTTAAATCCATTTATGCCCCGCCCACACATACATTTGTGGGTATTTTTTTCTTTATAATTGAGGTAAACATATATAGTAAAGTGCACAAATCTTAAGTGTATACAGCTCAATACATTCTATGTATGTGCATACCCATGAGACCTCCCAACCCAGATCAAGATACAGAATACTGCTGGCACCCTTGAAGACCCCCTTGTGGCCCCTCCCAGTGGCTACCCCATAAAGACAACTGCTATTCTGACTTGTAACACCATGGACTAGTTTTGCACATTGTTGTTGAACTTTGTAGAAATGGAATTGCCATATGTACTCTTTTGTGTCTGGTTTATTTCACTGAACATTATGTATGAGATTCATCCCTGTTGTTACATGTAGCAATACATTCCTTTTTTACCTTTTTTGTTTAAGAATCGTAAGCACAGAAAAGTGTCCAGAAGTTTATATCAAACTACTGAGTGGCAATTTCAGAAAAAGAGAATGGAATCAAGAGGAAAATGAAGGGTGGGCCTGCTTTCAACTTTTTATGCCTCTATTTGAATATTTTCATAATGAGCATGTTTTACTTTTATAATTTTATTTTAAAGAAAGGGACTCACTCTATCACCCAGTCTGCAGTGCAGTGCATGATCATGGCTCACTGCAGCCTTGACCACCTGGGTTCAAGCGATCCTCCCACCTCAGCCCCTGAGTAGCCGGGACTACAGGTGAGTGCCAGCACACCTGACTAATTTCTTTTTTTTTTTTTTTTTTTTTAGAGATAGGGTCCCAAGATGTTGCCCAGGCTGGTCTCAAACTCCTGGGCTCAAGAGATTCTCTCGCCTAGGCCTCTCAAAGTGCTGGGATTACAGGTGTGAGCCACTGTGCTCAGCCTATATATATATATATTTTTTTTTTGCAAAAAATTTTGGAAAAAAAGTGGTCAGCCTACAATTTTTGAAAGCCTTGTTAAAGTACATTCATCAGAGGATACTTTCAGCTCATCTGCAATATCAGATGGGCCATTTTATAGATATGTGTAGCATTCAGACCACCAAGCCAAGAAAAGTAAACGATAATATCTATTTTCTGCCCACCAAAAACATAGAAATGGAAGTTGTCAGTTGTCTCATCTATTTTCACTGAAAATCAAGGTCTGCATGGCTTTCTCAACCCTCATTCCTCTCCTCAGCGGCCAGCCCATGGAGGAAGTAGAATAACTTAGTGCTTCCTCCCAACTCACCCTCAAGCCTCACTATCACTGAGAATTTCAAACTAAGTGACAACACAGCAGTTACATATCCTCACAGAGTAAACACTAAAAAGTGTTCACACACAGACCCATGGCTGTGACACCACTAGCCATGGAAGGCAAAGGAAGAAGGTCTGGAATGGGAGGGAGTGAGCTGAGCTTTGAGAAGGAAGACACAGCCTCCTCATGCTGAGAGCCATAGCTTCCCTCCTATCTGAATGTGTCCTGAGGCTTCCCATGGAGAAAAGGGTCACTCACTCAAATGAAAGCCATTTGGACTTGGCTGGCCTGAAAAGATGAGTTTGGAATTTGGATGAGGAAATTTTACAGAAGAAAGTATTCTGAAAGGAAGTAACGTGAAGAGGAGAGAGAAACACCCCAAGGGCTGTTCCCCAGCTTTCTTTACATTTGAATACACAAAAACACATTTTAAAGAACACATGTTGGCAACACCCAAAAGTTGGTGGCTTTCGTCTCAAAAAAACTTCCTTTAACCAAGACACAATTGCTAGAGAGACAGATGTGGGACAGATGATGCTACCCAAAGGTTGGGGTTTTTTTTCTTCCCCACTTCCACCTCCCCAAGCCTGCAGTGGTCACTGCCACCAGTAAATGCTTCAGGAAAAATTCAATGTCATGTTCCCAAATGTCCTGTCCTGAAACCAAAAACACAGTGTTCACTGAAATCAACAAATGTGAAACACTAGGCTAGTGAGATGTTCGGAGAAAACCATTTGGAAACGTCCACACCAGTGGTTCTCACACTTGAGTGTACATAAGAATCATTTGGAGGATCTGCTAAAATACAGATGGCTAGGCCCACTTCCCACATACCCAGCTTGTGATTCAGTAGCTCTGGGGTGTGGTCTGAGAATGTATATATCTACTAGGTTCCCAGGAGATGCTGCTGCTGTTGCTGCTGGTCTACAGACCCCACTTTGAGATTCTGTGGTCCTCACTATTCCTCCTTGTCCTCTCTCAGAGAGTAACAAGGTATACTGGCATATCAATGACCCTGAGCAGTCCTGCAATAAAGAAACCTATTTAACCCAGCCTTTTGCAACTAAATTACAGTGCATCCTGCTTCCCATATACCATTTCTGAATGTCTCTGGGAAGCAGTGCTTCATGGAAGGAAGTAGGAGACGGTGGAGAGCTATGGGCCATACTACATACCAAGATCCTGGCAGGGCAGCACATCTGGAGACTGCTGTCTAGAAATCCAGGAAGCATTAAGAAATATGTCAGCAGGTAGCAAAAGCCAGTCCACCTCCAGCCTCAGATTAGGACACTGGATCCTAGCCAAGAATTGGCAAGAATAAAACAGCAACCTAGTTTTTAGAGCATCTAAGATATCAGGAGGCTACCAAGCCTCAAACCTTGAGAATGAGACACCCAGTTATGTGTCAGATAAATTAACCGTATACAAGGCTAGTTATAGCATGCTGGCCTGGACCTCCAAGATGAGTCCTGAGCTGAGCCTCGTGGTGGGGAAGAAGTAGCCCCAAACACCCAGGAATCTTGTTAAAAGGTAGGTGCTTATTTCATATCTGTGATGGTGTTCAAGATTCTACATTTCTATAAAGCTCCCAGGTGAGGCTGGTTATCAAACCACACTTTGAGTAAGGCCTTGGATTAGGGGTTCGGCAAACATTTTCTGTAAAGGAAAATATTTCAGCTTTGCAGGCCATATGGACTCTGTCACAACTATTCAACTGCCATCGTATCACCAAGTAGCCATAGACAAATACCCAAAGGAATGAACATGGCTGTGTTCCAATAACATCAAAATTTGAATTTTATATCATTTTCATTTGTCACAAAACATTATTATTCTTTTGATTTTTTTTCAATCAGTTTAAAATGTTAAAACCATTCTTAGCTCAACTAATCATATAAAAACTGGCAGTGAGCCATCTTTGGCCTGCCTGGACTTTGTTTGCAGACCTTCACCCTAGATTACTGGTCCCTAACCTAGATCTACCAAATCAAAATACACAGAGGCGGAGCCAGGGAAACCATATTTCATCAGACTCCCCAGGTGATCCTTACTCAGCCTGTACAAATACCATTGCTGGCCAGACACGGTGGCTCACGCCTGTAATCCCAACACTTTGGGAGGCCGAGGAGGGCAGATCATGAGGTCAGGAGTTTGAGACCAGCCTGGCCAACATGGTGAAACCCCATCTATACTAAAAACACAAAAATTAGATAGGTGTGGTGGTACGCGCCTGTAATCCCAGCTACTCGGGAGGCTGAGGCAGGAGAATCTCTTGAACCTTGGAGGTGGAGGTTGCAGTGAGCCGAGATCATGTCACTGCATTCCAGCCTGGGTGACAGAGCAAGACTCGGTCAAAAAAAAAAGAGGAAAAGAACAGAGAAAAAAAATACCATTGCTGGGTTGGAAACTACTACTTACCCAACTCCCTGAAAAGGTGAGAGACCCTCTTTAAGTGCTGTTAACAGTTCAGTCTTCCTGACATCCCCAATTCATGGAGCTTGAGGGGCTTAATGTGAGGGGCTGTGTGTTTTCCTGACTAACCCACTGGTCTCACTCTCACTCATCTCCCAAGGTGCTGCCTCCCCGCTAACCCCAGTGTCATTGATTTCTGGTATGAAGATAAGAAGTCCCTGTGTCTTTAAGAGCTGATCAGTTCCAGGAATTCTCAGCCCCAGGAGTCTTGCCGGAGTGGCAGGAGCGGCCCTGATCACACTAGCCTGGTTTTCTTGACAGCTAAAGTTATTCATCAGGTATTAATACATCTTAGCTGCAGGAAAAAGCCATGCAAGGCCCCTGTTACCAATCAGCCTGAAGATGTGCTTTGCTGCTGCTCAAGGCTAAGCCAGGCAGGGGCTGTATTCCTGGCAGAAAGGCTTAAAAGGAGATGAAGCCAAGGGAGGTTGCATTTGTTTTTGAGTTAGAGAAGGGAGGAAAAACCTAACCTACAGGCTGTACATGCTTATCTCAGGAATGCTGGGGACTTAGGAAAGGAAGGTCAGAGGATTCAGTGATGAAGGCAAAGCCAACAGGAAAAGGGAGAGGAGGGGAAGTGAACCATTGTGTGTCAGTTATAAACAGGCAAGCCACTCTGTCTTGGCCAAGGGCTGAACTCATTCATCAGACCAGTACTTCCTAAATTTCATCATGTAGAAGAATCATTGGAAGGATCTTGTTAAAATGAAGATGCTGATTCAGTAGGTCTTGGGTTTGGGCCTGAGCTTCTGCAATTTTAACGTGCTCCCAGGTGACCCAAGAGTTCACCACAGATGCTGCTGGCATGCAAGCACAGCTTTCTGTTTTGTTATTTTACAGAGTCACAAGCTCTAAAAGAATATGGGGTCCATAGCTTGTCCACTTGGAGTTAAGCTACTGACATCCAGGACTACATAGATATAGTTCAGGGAGTTCCCTGCACTACAGCACCCACCGTCACACCCTCAAAAAGAGCAAGTGGGGTCTCAAATCAAGCCTGTCCTCCACTCTCCAAGTCTTGAATCCTTGGACTCAAGGCCTCAAGTCCTTGAGTCTTGGGCCTGCCTCTATCCTTTTCTTGCCCAAAGTCTGTCTCCTGACCAAGCCCTGTGTCCACAGATCTACATGTGGCCAGATGGGGGCCTCTTTTTCTAATTCACCCAAAGGTGCTTTATGCACCAGTGGTGGCCCTGCAGCCAGCATTGAGAGGTGGCCAGGCACCATTGGCTGACTCTGGCTAGTATCCTGCCACAGTTGAACCTTGAAAGCACTATACTAAGTGAAAGAAGCCAAACACAAAATGATAAATACTGTGTAATTCCATTTTTATGGAAGGTCAATTGTAGGCAAATCTATAGAGGCAGAAAATAGATTAGTGGTTGCCTAGGGATGGGGGATTAAGAAATGATGGCTAAGGTTTGGAGTTTATTTGGGGGGCAATGAAAACATTCTAAAATTGGTTGTGGTGATGAATGCACAACTCTGTGAATATTCTAAGACCATTGAATTGTACAGTTTAAATGAATGAGGTATGGTACATGAATTGTATCTCAATAAAACTGTTATGAATTTAATCACAAATCAGTTGGGGAGCTCAAAGCAAATGGTATAGAGAGGAAGCATTTGGGACTCTGACAACCTCAAAAGAGGGCAAGGACTGACACTGAGGCAGCAACTTCTCAGAACTCTTGAAAAACATCCAAACAGCTCTAGATATGAGATGCTGAGAGTACAGCCAAGTGTCAATATAAAGAATAGCCCTGAGATACACCCTGGACAGGGGCTCAGTGAACAATGCTGTATTCGTCCATTTTTGCACTGCTATGAAGAAATACTTGAGACTGGGTAATTTATAAAGAAAAGAGGTTTAACTGGATCACGGTTCTGCAGGTTGTACAGGAAGTATAGTAGCTTCTACCTCTGAGGAGGCCTCAGGAAACTTGCAATCAAGGCAGAAGGCGAAGGAGAAGCAGGCATGTCTTACATGGCCAGAGCAGGAGCGAGAGAGAGGAAGGAGGTGCTACAC
The DNA here is from genome assembly GCF_000001405.40 of Homo sapiens. Taxonomy (NCBI): domain Eukaryota; kingdom Metazoa; phylum Chordata; class Mammalia; order Primates; family Hominidae; genus Homo; species Homo sapiens. Next base: position 38,213,843 of record NC_000023.11, read on the forward strand.
ACTTTGAAAACAACCAGGTATTATGGTAACTTACTATTGCAAAAATAACACCAAAGGGGATGGTGCTAAACCATTCATGAGAAATCCGCCCCCCATGATCCAATCACCTCCAGCCAGGCCCACCTCCAGCACTGAAGATTACATTTCAACATGAGATTTGGGTGGGGACACAGATCCAAACCATATCAAATGCTCAGTGCCATTCATTCTTGCCTGCCTATCTCTGGTTCCCCACAGGATGCCTGACATGTAGGGATCACTCAAAAATTGAATTCAATGCATGCCTATGAAGTGAAAGGAATTCTATAGCCACTAGACTGAGGTCTACTCCCAACTCTGCATTTAACTCTCTGTGTGACCCCAGACAAATCCCTTCAACTTGCTAAGCCTCAGAGGCTCCTCCCTAAAATGCAGGGCAAGTTACCATCTCAGGCATCCTCCCAGTCTGAGGTTCCGTGGTTCCATGAATTAGGCAACCCATGCAAGGGAGCCTGGGTGTGGAACAGAGAAACTCCTGCAGAAATCTAGATAAAGACCAAGACACCCACCCAGAGGCTCAGAACTGGCCAGAGGCATGCCCCCCAGCACATGTCACTCCACAGATCCACTGAGAGCCTCCCAGAAGTCAGGCTCCCTGCTAGACCATGAGAATACAAAAATGAACAAGATCCCACAACCTACTCACGTGGCTGGGGGCATCAGCTCCGTGAATAGGTAATGGTGCAACACAATGACCCTACTCCTTGGAAAGCTGAATTAAAATCTAAGTGGAAACAAAATTTCAGTGTTGGGGATTGAAAGGAATTGGAGCCTTGATCTGACTAACACTGAGTCAGTACCAACATGTCTGTCAGAGTTCCTATAAGGAATTGCCACTTTGTGGGCAGAATCTCAGGAGGTGGAGGATGTAGCCGCTCCACCGCTTCCTCACCACTCCACAATGGGCCTGCCAAACCTTGGCTTAATTCTCACCCTGTGGCCCTAATTTAACCGTGTTTGCGAACAATCTTGGATCACTGGGATTGGCAGGGTCATTCAGCTCAGCCACCCACACAATAAGCGGCAGGCGAGCGTCATCCATTAGCAGATCATGGGGTGTAATCAGCATTGAGGAGATTCTCATTAAGTACTACTGGATGTACATTGCAAACAGCTAGTGATAGCAGGGGAAATGAGCTGCTAGTACATGTGACTACACTACAGGTCACTGTAAGAGTGGGACAGAAGAAATATTGCAATGATATTTCAAGGCCAAGGCAGAAAGTCTGTCCCCAGATTCTATGTTTGGATCTATTACTCAGAAGAAAGTTTGAAAATCATTATGCTCAATTTACAACCCCAAACCTCTGGGATAATCCAAGCCATTATGTCCAAACCCATTTATCTTCTCCCTGGAGAACAATGCATAAAGAAGCATCCATTGTGAGCTAAGGATTACGGGTGAGTGAATCATTCAGCTCGGGAATGAGTACTCCAGAGGTTTCTGAGGTCAGAATGTGCCAGACACCCGTAAGATCCAGGTGCTACCAATTATCATCTGGAAAACTTGGGAGCTTAGCAGTGCTACCAAGGACTTTTCTCTTGCACAAGCTTTTCCTCTAAATCTTTATCTGCACATCCTGCCCCCAGAACTCCCTTGAGTTTCTAAGTCTCTTAGAATGTCTTACGGTGATTTGACATCCAAGAGCCTTCGCAATTAACTATGCCCTGATTCGTTGCCTGTCCAAATGGACAAATTTCCTTTGACATTTAGCTATCTTGCAATCCGTTTTCTCAGGAAAGTGTCATCTTGGAAATTCTGGTTAAATCCTACAGGGGAGATTTGAAATGGAATACTTTGATTCACAATTACTTCAATCAATTAATCCACAAATACTGACTAAAGATCCTCCCCCAAGTCACACTGTGTACTAAGTGGGGCAGGGGGGTACAGCAAGTTACCAGCCCAGGCCTGAAGGCAATTACAATTTACGATTACATCTGTTTTGCTTGGTACTGCTTTTTAAATGAAAATAACTGGAAACTATACAGCTGGCTGTAACTGGAAAGGCCACCTGCTCACTGGTTCAATCAAAGTTTACCTACTGTGGTAATTTCATCTTACTCTGTATGTTGATTTTTCTGCCCATTAAGTGCATATTTTCTCATAGAATTCATGAAGGTGCTCTAGTAACTAGTGGTTTTGAATCGGGATAGAGCCGTCTCCCCAGAAAAAGGACACTCACACAGATTTTTGTCTCCAATTTCAAAACATTCTTAGAGAAGCCCACACATCCTCTACTTTCACTTTTCTTGGGCCTTTAGTGCCACCATCTCCGCACCAGCAAGTCTCAGCATCATTCTTCAATAACCAATTCCAGTGTTCCCACATAGCTCCTCTCTGTGCTCCCCGGGCCTGTCAATCCAATTGTATTATAACATTGACCACCTGAAATAACTATGTCTCTATTTCCCCACAAGACAGAAAGCTACGAGAGAGAAGAAATTGCATACCTTCTTCATCGTGGTCTCCCAAGCACATAAATGCTTCATCATTCAGTGTTCACTTTAAAAATAAGTCTCTGGGCAGAGCCCAGGATTTATTAGAAAAGGTAGAAACTGATTCTATTTCAGAACTAAACCCAAATTTCCCAGAGATTCAGGCTTAAAAGACCACCCTCCTAAAACAAATGGCCCATAAAAGTTAGCAGTTAAGACATCACACAGTCAAGAACTGAGGGGCTGGTTTGAGAAACTCCCTATGAATTGGAAGTTGGGAGAGGTTATTATTCACGCTGCTATTTTGGAAGCGAATCTCTAACCTGGGCATTAATCATAACTTGCCTGCTACAAATTTCATACTATGTTATAGCCTGGCAAAACTAAACCTTCTTCTGTTCAAATTCTCTCTTCACTTTCAATTACTAATTTCAGTTGTGTTCTCTGAAAGGGGAATTGACGTAGCACACATATTTGCGTTTACTAAGGAAACCATTCAACCACTTGGGAAAGGCACAGATCAAGGTGGCCAACAAAAATAATAAATGCAAACTCCAGCTTGCGGTTGCAGTCAGTCTCTCATCTTACAGCCCCCAACAGAGAAGGTTATTGCTTAAACAGAGAGTGTTCGTATATTTAAAAGGAACCTCTGTATCCAGTAAGCCATCGTTTCTATGTATGTAGATTCATGGTGGCACAAAGCCCTGTGTACCTGTGCACATGTTTCCCTCAGCTCCTTTCCTGTCCAATGGCCCATCACTGGAGTTACAGGCACTGTTAATCCATTACGCACAAATATCCATGTGGCACAAAGTGCTCTGCTAGGCACCGTGGGAAATACAAATAAGGGTAAGACATAGCACGGCCCCTGCCTCCAAGGTCTTAAAATCTACAAGAAGAAGAGTGCATAAATTATGATAATATACAGCATTATCAAATATGTGATATATGTGATAAATATAAGAGACATGAGTGAGACCATGGGTGTTAAAAGGAAGGCACGTTGCTTCCCATTGGAGCGATCAAGAAAAGGTCTCATCAAAGTGGGGGTGTTGCTGGATGATGGGCAGAATTTGGACAAATGGCAAGGGGGAAGGATTCCAGGTACAGAAAGCAGCATCTGCCAAGAAGGAAAATGTGACTCAGGTTCTATAAGGATAGGATTTTAGGAAACCAGGGGGAAAAGACTGGAAAATTAGGCTAGAAGCAAACTGTGTAGCCCCCTAAAAACAACTGAGAACTTTTTACTTGAGTGAGAACAGGGACCTGCTGCCCTAAGTTTTTGAGTAAGGGAGTGATGTGATAAAAAACAGTACTAAAGTCAATGGACTTAAAAGACCATTATCTAAAGTGAGAAAGTAAAATGAGCTAGAATTAGAGAGACCAAAAGTGAGAATGTTATAGCAATAATCTAAAAGAGAAAAGCAGCACTTTGGTTATGGTACGAGGACTGATGAGGTGGGAAGATGTGAAGACGCTGCTTTAACAATGGTTTCTGGTGTCTCATTCAGCTCCCAAATCTGCGAAATGAGTAGTAACTAACAAACAACATTGTACTGTACTGAAAGTGTTATCAATGAAGAAAATGCCAGAGGAAAATGACCTGCTCTCCCCAGCATATTTCCTTTTCATTGCAGAGTACTTTTGTCAGCTGATTACATGTTTTAAATCTAAATAGGAATTCCTAGCCTGTTCCCGGTGACACCTTAATTATATAACCTGAGCTAGGTGCTCCATTCCTAGTACTTATCTCCAAATGTGGTATTTCAAAAGACTGCTTCAGCTGATGTAGTCTGGTTTGGCTTTTAGCAAACCTCACTTGGTTTTCCTGACTAGTAAAACCACGCTACTTTACCAGTTTTCTCCAGATGTAAGATTCACGAAGCCTTTCTTAGAGGCCATGGTACTCATTCTCCATCTTCAGCCTTGTTTGCAGAAGGAGGCAGAGTGAACCACCACTATCTCACATGCAAATACAGCTCTAAGAATTATTTTAAGAACAGAATCTAAATTCTCATCTGTTATAAGCATACAAACACAGTCAAACACAAACAACTTTTCTACAAATTTTCCATACACTTCATGTAGGTTTTTATAGACACTGCATCTTTGCTAGGCTGCAAAAAATAGATCAGAGAGCCAGAAAAGCTGCATTAAATTCTAAGATGGAAGAACTCCAGAGACCTTCTAGGAGTGGGAATGAGAATGATTTACTCTCACTCTGACAGATGTGCTATTCACGTGCAGATAGTTACATAATCGACTTGCTGATGGAGCCCTAGATCTCCATCTTCTTTCAGAAGTTCCAGATTCAAGTCCTTCACTTTCTCTCTTACTGAAGATATGATGTCCACTTGCTAAGAGAGTGTCTCTGAAATGATCTTTAAAATTTGTCACCCAGCACTTAGAGTGAACTCAGCCTATGTGATTTGCTTTCAGACCCAAGGGCCTAGAGATTTTCCCCTCCCCAGCCTTCCAAAGCCTCTGGCTTGGACTGAAATCCCCTCCTCTGGATCTCACAACCTCAGCGGAGCACACTTCCCAAGAGACCCCATTGAGCCATGCCAAAAGGAGGCTCAAGAGGAGTGTTTATCAAGCAGCTCCAATCAGCTTCAGCTCATTTGTGGTCTGAGCAGAGCCGGAGGGCAGGTTAGGAGTCAGTGGAGGTGGTGGCAAGCAGGAACATGGTGGCTAAAAGTTGGGAGCAGCTTGCAGGCTGGCAGAGGGAGCCAGGAAAGCCAGGGATAGGTCCCAAAAGACAGGTGGTAGTGAATGCCCAAACTGGCGAACTCATGATTCTGTGGCTGGGCCCTGGTAGCAAGCTGTACTATATAAAGGTGGAAGATGAGAGAAAGGAGAGGGGAGGGCAGGGGAGGAGAACGGAGGGAGGTCGGATGGAAAAGGAGAAGGGGTCCCCAGCTTGAGAAAGGCTCAACTAAAAGTTGAGGTTCCCAGGCAGCTCACAGGCACCTCCCAACTCAGTGCGGAAAAGCTACCTCTAGCTTCTCACCTTATTTGCCCGCTCCCAGAAAGCTGCTTCTGGGACGCTTAATGACTTCCTCTTCCCCTACAGGTTCATTTTAACCTGATTCCTGCTAAAGGGGGTGGGAGAGGAGGTATTAACACACCATGGGAATAACAGTTGCCTGGCAGTAAGGATAAAATTTCCTTTCCACTTTACCCTGAATCAGTTCCTACAAAGCAGCTTAAAACTTAAGAGTCAGCTCAAAACACAAATGTTCCTGTTTATTAATTTACAAATTTGTTCTATTCATTCATTTATTTAGGTGCGTGCAGAGAATTTCCCGCAGCCATCCCTACATCTCCCAAGCACACTGCTAGAAAGATGGGCATCCTCTATCCTTCTACCAGAACTCAGTAGGTTCATTTCTCATACCCTAGATTTAAGCTGCCCACGGTGTTGAACGCAGAGCCAAATATTTGCACGCCCTATAGCCGACGTCACCCACTTTCCCATTAACACTAAATTAAAACGCATCCATGGATTTCCTCTCCATTCCGAGGCAACAGGAGTGCATGGCACATTGCCCTACTCCCCTGAAGCTCTTCGCTAACCTAAGACTCCAGGGTGAGGAAGTTAGCTGGAGCTTTTTAAAGTGCATCTCCAAAGAGAATTTTGCTCACACCATGAGAGCCCCCAAGAAACACCAGGGCCCCCTTAGATGCCGGAGACCACGCCCTCCAGGAATAAGCCGCACCCTCTGCCCAGCAGATCCTTGCGCGAGTAGCCCTCTTTCCCTGGGGCTAATCAAGTGCATGCCACATGTCACCACTCTCAGCTGGCAATTCTTCCTCAGAGGCGCAGACTTTCTCGGAATCCCCAGCAGGGGGGGTTAAGAGATTCAGGGGAGGCCCCGCCCGTGCCTTCCACAAAAGTCGCTTTACCGTGGCTCGTGTCCTGCGGCCCCAAGGGGGTAGCCTGGGACGTGTAGTGGGAGGGCATAGAGGCTCCTTCCAGGACAAGCTGCCAGCCTCCAGTGGGCAACCATGTGAGAGGCAAAATTCTGGGGGTGAGAAAGTAGCAAACTAGTCTGCGGCCAAACTTTCTCTGTGGAGCCTCCTACACCGAAAAGGGTTTGATTGGAACTCTGGAAGCCCGGACGCAGAAGGTGCTAGGGCTCCCGTCGCCGCGAGGGCGCCCCGCGCCTGGAGATGGGATGGTCAGTTCTTCCCGGCGCGTGCCCAGACACCAGCCCCGATCCGCATCATCCCCACCCTCGGGCTGCGAAAGAGGAGTTCTGCGCAAACAAAGGGCGCCCCCGGCACCTCCCTCTATCCCGAGCGAAGGGTCCCAACGGCGACTCCGGGGGTCTTTGGTGCCCAGCTGAGGAGGCAGCCACGCCTCCGATCCTACCTGGGAAGCTGCGGCTGGGCGGGACGCGCAGCAGCAGCAGCAGCAGCAGAGGCGGCAGCAGCAGCAGCAGCGCGGGCCGATGTGCGGGGCTCCCCATGGCGAGCGGGCGCTTAGCTCGCCTCGGCAGCGCAGCGCGCTTCCCGGGGGCGGCAGGAGACCGAAGAGACCAAGGGACTGCGTGCTAGCGGGCGGGCGAAGGCCGGGCTGGAAAACTCCTCCTCTCGCCTCTTTCCCTCCCTCCTTCCTGCCTGGGGCCTGCCCTCCTTTCTCCGCCCCCCCTGGAACACTGCGCGGTTCGGGGCTCTGACCCACCCACCTCCTCCTTTTGTGCCAGCGCTTTTTCTGGCCAGAGAGCGCTGGAGACAAGCCCCAGCAGAGCGAAATATCCTGAAGTAGCTTTCTTTGCCCCAATTTGCGCGCCCCCTCACCCGGAATACACACACGGTATTCAATACAACCGCCTCGAACATCCCAGACGTCTAGAAGGATACCATCTGTGCAGAAAGCTGCGTGAGTCACACGGAAACAGAAGGGGCAACCGAGGGGATTCAGAGTGGCCCACTGCGGCCGGATACTATGGCCATGTTCTCTGTTTTGATCCTCACGACCATGCCCCAAGTTCGCTATTACCATGTCCACTTTCTCCAATAAGACACCGACGCTTAGAAACTTGCCCAGATTCACCCCCGTTACTGGCAGAGCAGGGACTGGAACTTAGGTGTGTAGTTCTGCCGACGTCAAAGTCCATACTACAGATTTTTTGTTAGTTTGTTTCTCTTTTGCAAAGGAATAAATCAAGGACTGGACCGGGTGCGTGCCTGCTCTGCTGCGGTTTAGGATGGGGCTTGAGGTTCTCCTTCCAGGATCAGCTGATGGGAGAGCACAAGGCACAGAAAGTTCTCTGTCTCACCCACAGCCATGGGGATCCAGCTGTAGGTTCCTGCAGCCAGATTTCCTCATTTCCTGGGTTGTTCTCAACCACCCCAAAGATACCACGACCAGACTGGAGCCTCTTCCCTGTGGCTTGGCATCGCTGGATCCTGGCATCAGGACAGGGTTTCTAGGCTGCCCGCAGGACGGATCTGGTTTCTTTGAGGCATTTGAGTAAGCCTCTCATAGTTTTGTTTGTTTGTTTGTTGTTTTGGTTGTTTAGTTCTTGTTAAATCAGTAAGGCAATACGTTGCCCCTTTGCTGTCTCAGAAAGATCTTAGCTAAGGCAAATTTTAGTTGGAGTTGCTGCATTAGGTTGTGCAGTTTGGGCACTGTACAAAGGCATCCAGAGGAAGGGGCAAGTGGGAGCCAAAATCCAAATGCCTTTGGGTTCAGGGAGCTTTGCGTCTTGGCAGGGGCCACATCCACTAGAAGGGCATCTTTCTCTCTGCCACAGTAGTCTGGTCTGATAGCTAGGCTAAGAGCCCTGGGGGCACTCACCTAGAAGTTCTGAATTTGTTTATCCAGAAGGAGTGCCATTTCCCAATTCTCACAAAAGCCCCAGACTTGAACGTCCATCTTACCCTCTCTAGCACTTGGGGGGACTTCGCTCCATCTCCTGTGGGTTTCTCCACTGCTGCTACCTCTTCAGGGAACCAACAACCCTTAAATAACCCCCTAGTCGCAAGGAAATGGGGGAGGTCAGTCTATTCTGTGGCCTCCATCAGACCAGACTTTCCAGGGAGTCATTCTCAACCTTGTTTATGTGGGTCACCTGGGGAGCTTCATGAAAATACCATATCCAGGCTCTACCTCACACTAATAAAATCAGAATCTTTAGGAATGTGACCTGGAGTTTGACCAGATGCATATTTTTGTCTCTCCCCAATCCGCTAAGCTCCACGGTATAAGTTTTAGTATAGGATAAAAATTCTAGACCAGGAGTTTCTCAACTTGGGCACTATTGATATTTGGGGCTAGATGATTCTTTCTTGGGGAGGGGGACTGCCTTGCACGTTGAGAGATGCATCGATGGCCTCTATGCAACAGATACCACTAGCAATCCCCCTTTCCCCAGTTATGGCAGCCAAAAAAATGTCTCCAGACATTGCCAAATGTCCCCCAGGGGAAAAATGCCCCCAATAGAGAACTACTTCTTTAGGTCTGTAAACAAGGGTTAATGTGCACCCCAAATTCCAGGTCCAGGATAGCCTGGCCAGCAGCCTTCCTTTCCTATGTCACCTCTGAAGCAATGTGTCTTCACCACAACCAGTATACATTCTATTACTGGGCTGAGAAGGAACTTCTAGCTCACTTCTATCCACTGATTCTGGCTGGATTACAAGAAACACCACACTTACTGTTGACTTGCTCTCTGGCCTTTGAATGTCCTCACCACAAAGAAAGAAATCAGAAATGGATGAGGTGATGGTCACGCAAAATACTGACTTGACGCTTGGTGCAGTGGCTCATGATTGTAATCCCAGCACTTTGGGAGGCCAAGGTAGGCGGATCACTTGAGGTCAAGAGTTTGAGACCAGCCTGGCCAATATAGTGAAACCCCATCTCTACTAAAAATACAAAAATTAGCCGGGAGTGGTGGCACACACCTGTAGTCCCAGCTACTCGGGAGGCCAAGGCAGGAGAATCACTTGAACCTGGGAGGCAGAGGTTGTGCCACTGCACTCCAGACTGGGCAACAGAGCTAGACTCCATCTCAAAAAAAAAAATACTGACTTGATTTTTTCTTTTTCTTTTTCTTTTCTTTCTTTCTTTTTTTTTTTTTTCTTTGACAGGGTCTTATTCTGAATTTGAATTTGTTTATCCAGAAGGAGTGCTGTTTCCTGGCTGGAGTGCAGTGGCATGATCATAGCTCATTGCAGCCTCAAACACCTGTGCTCAAGCAATTCTCCTGCCTCAGCTTCCTGAGTAGCTAGGACTACAAGCATGTGCCACCATGGCCAGCTAAGTGTTTTTTGTAGATATGGGGGTCCCATAAATATGTACATTTACAATGTGTCCATTAAAAAAATAAACAAAAATAAAAGACTTGAAGAAACATCTCTATATAATGTTTACAGAGAAAAATAACATTTGTTGTTTTCATTGTGCAAGGATATCTTGAAGGACAGATCCAAGTTCAGTTGCCTCTTGTATCAATAAATCGAAATAACCCTTTCATTTTTACCTAACAAAGATAAAGGGGAGAGAACAAGGTGGTATTCTTACCTAGTGGGAATACTAAAAGGAATGCCATTGTTGTCAAAATGTATAAGGTATATAAATCACGTGGGTTAGAGTAATAGGGAACACAATTAGATATAATATTGGGAAACCATTATTTTTCCTTGACAAGCTTGAAGTATTCGATATAAACCCTTGGAAGAACTAATATGAACATGAAAAAATAAAATAAGAGCCTGGAATGAGGAAAAAAAGTCTCTTGCTCTCTTTTCTACCCTATAGAGAAAATTCCAATGGGACTTTTATTTTTCTTATTATTTTTATTCCAGTTTTCTCTCTGATAGAAGAGATGAGGGTAGAGGTAAGGTAGAGGAAGAGGTTGTCAATTCATCCCAATCCCACAATATCTTGGAAGACAATCAGATAGTTAAATAGATTCATAATCTGTCAAATAACTTAAGGGTTAATGAGTTGATGAAAACAAAGAGAAGTCACTCAGGGAGTGCCACAGAGCTATGACACCATTCCTATCCTGCTTGATGTTACTATTTATGAACTAGAAAAAGATATTTTTGGCAAAGGACATGAAGATAGGAGGGCAAGAAACAGATTCCAAACATCTCTCTAGGCAGGCATGCTGTATTGAAACATTAAAAGACAGCAAGGATAAATATGATGTCCTATGTTAGATCTCAAAAACCAATCACACATGAAGAATCTAAGAATCACTAGAAAGCCAAGTAGTCTCCCCACTGCATCAGGCTCATCTGTGCAAAGAAGTGTTTATAAGGTTTTATTCAGCATTGCTCATAGTAACAAAAGGTTGGTGACATTTTTGTAAATGTAAATATCCATTAATGGGGAATTATTTTATTAATTATGCATACCTATGTAACGAAATACTATGTGGCCATTAAAAAGAATGAACAAGATGCATATGCATCAGTAGGAAAGGTAGTCTCACATATTTTGTTTAATGAAATAACAAGCAAAATAATACACATATCTTGCTACCATTTGTGGTATGGGGAAGGCATGATACTGTATCAGGGTATGGGGAAGTCAGTAGGAGAAATAATTTTTTATTACTGTACAATCCTTTGTACTGTTTAAATATGTAAGCATGTAATGATATTTCTTATTTAAATTAAACAGATCATTGAAAATGTTTTCTTAAAAAAAAAAATCACACCGATACAGAGTAGGAGTTGCCAGTAGTGGCTTCACAGTACAACCTACGACAGTGCAATCTATTTGCCTATAAGCTAAGTCTCCAAGGCACCTCAGGTGCATGCAGACAGTGTCTGTCTTGTCATCTGAAGCATTCCTGAGTACTGGGCAAAGTACCAGAGGTGAGAAGAAGAGAACACAGACATCAAAGTCTGGCAGGAGGAGGGAGGTATCTTTCCACTCTGTGCAGTGTTGAGGAGGTTGTAGTCAACAAAACAGTCTTGTCCCCTGAGTCAGAGCAGAGTGAGCCCCAGGAGACAAGGAAGGAAAAGGATTCTCAAGAGTCACCTCCCTGCCCCCAACTTTCTTCCTTGAGCTTGTCGACTCAGAGACAGCATTGAAAGAGACCCTGGCAGCCATCTACGTACTGCAGGAGAGGTATTTTCTAAGAATCAAAGCCCCGTTATGCCCCTCCCATTTTCCCATGCCTCCTCATTCTCCCAGCCCTCTCAAGCTGTTGCCGGAAAAGGGATCCCCAAGAATGGGTTCTTGGATCTTCAGCAGGAAAGAGTTAAAAGGAAGTCGCAGAGTACAGTGAGAAGAGACAGTTTATAAAAAGCTACTCAGTTACAGATTAGGGTGTCCTCAGAAATCAAGAAGAGGAATGCCTCATCTTTGTTTTAAGTTTTTCTTGTTTAGGGGTCTTATCTATGTAAAAGCTAAGCTAAGTTATGTCTACATGTGGGTGGGCTGAAAGTATGACAAAATGTATTACTTCGCTGATTTAAATAAAACTATCCTTGGCACTTAGGATGCCAAGGATAAATACATCTTAAATAAATACATCATAATTGGCATAAATACACCAAAGCAATACTATAAATACATAAAAGCATAAATAAATAAATACATCATAATTGACATAAGTACATTAAAGCATAACTATAATGAACTTGAAATCATATACTGTTATGGATATTGGGACATAGGGATACTCTGTTGCTGTAGGAATATGTCCTTGCAGATATCATTAAGCTGTTTCTTTAAATATAAACATGACCATGGGTCATGACTGGCAAGGAATGTGCCTTGTTAGTCTCAAGATGGAGGTTAACTTAAAATGGCATTAGTCTGGCTTTCCTACTCTACTTCTGCTTCCCTAATAAACCCAGTTCTTTTCTTTCTGTATCCTTTCACAGTAAAGTGATGGAAGTTTAAGGGGAAATGTGGTGGCTCACTGTACCTTGGGAAATGGATTGCCAGTAGAGTAAAAGTCAAAGAGATATTTAGGAGTGCTTCATTCTAAGGCAGTTCTTCTCAAACTACCTGTGGCAAAGGACTTTTTTTTTTTTTAATGTCCAATCCATCATTGATCCATGCTTTGGTAAAATCAGTAAAGATGACTAAGTAGAAAAATAAAAGAGAAAACAAGCCAAAGACATACACAAAGCAAAAGTTCAAGGTTCTCTCATTAGATTCCACAAATCTATTATTTGTAAATAATAATAATAATTTGTAAAATTATTTCTTTCTTTCTTTTTTTTTTTTTTTTTTTGAGATGGAGTCTCGCTCTATTGCCCAGGCTGGAGTGCAGTGGTGCAGTCTCGGCTCACTGCAACCTCCGCCTCCCAGGTTCAAGTGATTCTCCTGCCTCAGCCCCCCAAGAAGCTGGGATTACAGGCACCCACCACCACGCCTGGCTATTTTTTGTATTTTTAGTAGAGACGGGGTTTCACCATGTTGGCCAGGCTGGTCTCAAACTCCTGACCTCAGGTGATCCACCCGCCTCGGCCTCCCAAAGTCCTGAGATTACAGGCGTGAGCCACCATGCCCAGCAGAAGTAAAATTATTTTATCAAATTGTTATCACAGTCTCTAAGGTCATACTCTCCATTTCTGTACGTATCTAATTGTGGACCAGTACAAAACAGTTCAGAAAGCAGCACCAGTCCAGGGAACACATTGTGAGTAGCACAGTTATCGTGGATTTACTCTTTCACATAATACGTCAGTACAAACTACAGTATGTATCAGACTTTTCAAGAATTCAAGAATAGAAGGGCAAGATGATTTGACCTGAGTCTATTGAAATCATGTGAAACGAATGCCAGACGAGTAGGGTGTGTTGGGTTGATGCTTGTGCTCATGCATATATATTAAAAATCTAGCTCTGAGAACGCATGGACACCGGGAGGGGAACATCACATACCAGGGTCTGTCGGGAGTAGGGGGCGGACAAGGGGAGGGAGAGAATTAGGACAAATACCTAATGCATGCGGGGCTTAAAACCTAGATGACAGGTTGATAGGTGCAGCAAACCACCATGGCACATGTATACCTATGTAACAAACCTGCAAGTTCTGCACATGTATTTCAGAAATTAAAATAGAAAATTAAAAAATGAAAAATCTAGCTCTGAGGGGGTTAAAGTAAGAATGTTCAAGGTCAAGATCAAAGAAGATAAAGACAGTATAAGAATAGTGTCTGTTTACAATCCTTTGGCTTAAAGAGATTTCTTCTTTTTCTAGCGTAAATATTCAGAAGGAAACAACACAAGCTCCTGGGGTTGAAAAACTTCTACAGCACAAGAAAAGGAATATTTTTACTAAAGGTTCAAAGCAAAACAGATCTCTATTATGAAAATAAACTACAAAAATGAAAAGCAATTTTAGAGAATATCTATTGGTGCTTTCAATAAAAGATTCATGAAAAATTCTTTTTTAAAGTAGGAATAGGTGGTCATAAAGAGAACTGAGAAATATAAGAATGCAGAAATAAAAATTAAAGTTAATGACTTTCTGTTTCACCTGCATGTGCTTACAAGCCATCATTCCTGCCCTTACAAGAAAAATCTGGACACACTGAAAATCAATGTCTTTTCTCTGACCCAACAGAGAACTGAGTTTTCAGGGCAAATTGCCACCATCATCATCTGGAAAGACAAAGAAGTCCAGAGAGTCACAGTCAAGCTCTGCTTACCTGGAGCAGAAGACATGCTGGAACCATAAACTTAAATGGCAGTTTGGAAAAATTGCTGGAGGCTGAGTGTCGACTAATATGACATTGAAAGACCCATGGGAGCTGAAGTCATAGCTGGGACCCCCACACTGTTGTGGGCTTTACCTCCAAGAACCCTGCCACGTTTTCATGATGAAGGTCCAAGAAAGACCCTTCCTGTGCTGGCAGCGGGAGGGGAAGATTAATCTAATCATTTGAAATATGCCCAGAGACTTCTCCATAAAAAAGGACTACTTTACTAAGGGGAATTACTTTACCAGAGGCTTATCCCACCTAACAGAAGTGCATTTCCTGTACTTCAGCCTCCTTAGCCTTCCTGTCTCACCTAAGAGGGGAAGTTTTAAAAAACTAAGAAATATCTGCGAAGGTCATAGCCGAAGGTCACATGCTCACTAAAAGGCTGAGATTTCATCATAATATTATAGAACACTTTTCCTCCCCACACCCTACTACGACACCAACAGGGCTCCAGCATAATGACAGTGAATTCCAGCTGAAAGAGCAGAAAGATCCAGATTCTCCCTGAGGGGGAGTATTAAGGAATCCCAAAGTCAAGCAGGGAGACAAAAAAAAAAAAAAAACAAAAAAACAAAAAACAAACAAAAAAAAACGCACTAGAGGAATGTGAGGTCTCTGGCACCAACTGTGATTAGCAGATTTAGTCTTTCACGTGATACATATAGCAAACATCAAATACAGCACAAATTCTAGCCTGCCAGGTCCTTGCAGTTATAAGACTGAAGTTCCGTTTTCTTAATGAATACTAGTCAGGGACTACTGTCAGCAATTAGATATCACTCCCAGGTCCCTTTGACCTGCAGATCCTTCCATGTTAGCAACAGAGAACCTCCCTTGCATCAAATCTCTCTCACACTTTGAATCTCTCTCTGACTTTTTCTTCTACCACCAGCTAGAGAAGACTTTACTTTAGAAGGACTAGTGATTAAGTTAGGCCCACCCAGAAATTTCTTTACCTTAGGGTCAAGACTAGTAACCTTAATACATCTAGAAATTTTCTCTTGCAATGCAACCTAATGTAATCATGGGAGTAGCATCAGGAAGTAATGGTCGTGGGGGCCATCTCAGAATTCTGCCTGCCACAGAGAGTTCAGTAAAGTATATAAATAGAAAATGTATGAAGATTAATAGCTTATTACCCAAAATAACTAGATAATAAAGGTTTAAGCTGTAAAACAAATGTATGATACACCACATGTACATATACACATATTCTAAAAATTGTAACTAAGAGCCATAGAGAAAATAATTAAATGGGAAGATATGCTATCTTCATGAATGAAGACAGTGAAGGCCATAAAGAGCTTAATCCTTCCAGGGGTAGACCTTGATTTGTTTTCCCAGAACATCATTTGGGGAACTAATATGGTTTTGGAGGGGGCCTAACAACCACAGATACCTCAAACTCTAGTAATGGGGTGTGGTTGCGTGAATGAGGCTGTGTCAGTAGTAGAACTTTACTCCCAAGACATTGCAATTAGAGGGACTGGCACAGGTCCCAGGCAGGCCAATAAGACACTTGCTTAGGGAATTTTAAGACAGAAGCTGATTGAGAGAATGCCTCTTATTTTCCTCTTTGGTTGGCCATTGTATGAATTTGACTTAAGAACTGCTAGTTTTGATTGGAGCCCAGAATAAGAGAAGGCTTTTGTCTAGGCTGCTGTGCGAACTGCTCTGCTACTTGGGACATATGACCCAGGAGCTCCAGTGGTGCTTAAAGTGTCAGTGACAGAGAAGGATGCATTTTGAAGTCTTTGGCAAGCCCCTATAAGTGACACAAAACTGGACCCTTAGAATTTTGGAGCTAACCACTGCCATACTCTGCAGATAACTGCTCTCTTTTTCAGAAACAACTTTTGCCTTGCTACTGAGCCTTTGTAGAGACTGGATGCTTAACCATGAGCCACTAACTCACCATGGAATCTGAGCTCCCCATCGTGAGTTTGAGGTTGTTCAACTAGATAAGCCATAAAGTTGTGTGTGCAAAGAAGCACTCCATTATCAAATGGAAGAGGTGTATATGTGATCAGACTTGATCAGGCCTTGAAGCCACAAGTAAGTTGCATGAAGAAGTAGCCCAGGCCAGGTGCGGTGGCTCACGCCTGTAATCCCAGCACTTTGGGAGGCCGAGGCGGGTGGATCATTTGAGGTCAGGAGTTCGAAACCAGCATGGCCAATGTGGTGAAACTCCGTCTCGACTAAAAATGCAAATATTAGCCGGGAGTGGGGGTGGGTGCCTGTAATCCCAGCTACTTGGAAGGCTGAGGCAGGAGAATGGTGTGAACCCCAGACGCAGAGCTTGCAGTGAGCCGAGATCGTGCCACTGCACTCCAGCCTGGGCGACAGAGCGAGACTCCATCTGAAAAAAAAAAAAAAAAGAAGTAGCCCAAATTCTCATGGCCCCTACTTCTGCTATATAATTTCACTTTTCCAACTTGTATCGATGGTCTGGTGGGGAGTTCCCTATGACAAGGGGAAGGAAGAAAAACCTCAGATTTGGTTTACTGGTGATGCTGCATGACATGAAGACACTACATGAAAGCAGATAGTGGCAGCATCTACAGTGTTGCTCAATAACAGCCTTGAAAGACAGGGATGAGGGGAAAATCATCCTCACAGTGGGCAGGATTTTGAGTAGTCTACCTGGGTACTTGAATGGACACTTATACTGGATATGGATTTACCTTCTCTGTCCACAAAGCTTCTTCCAAAACTACCATCCATAAACTTACCTTATCTACTATCATGATACTAGACTGCTTCCAAACAAGGAACCCACATCACGGCAAATGAAACATGGCAATGGGCCCGTGCTCACAGACTTTACTGGTCGTACCATGCTCCCCATCATCCTGAAGCAGCTGGCTTGATAGAAACAGAGTGGTCTTTTGAAAATGCTGTTATGGCCTTTTGAAAACACCTTGCAGGGTTGGGCAATGTCTTCCAGGATGCTTTGAGTCAGAGTCCACTATATGGTGCTGTTTCTCCCATAGTCAATATTCATAGATCTGCTGGGCGCGGTGGCTCACGCCTGTAATCCCAGCACTTTAGGAGAACGAGGCGGGTGGATCACAAGATCAGGAGATCGAGACCATCCTGGCTAACATGGTGAAACCCTATCTCTACTAAAAATACAAAAAATTAGCCAGGCGTGGTGGTGGGCACCTGTAGTCCCAGCTACATGGGAGGCTGAGGCAGGAGAATGGCATGAACCTGGGAGGCAGAGCTTGCAGTGAGCCGAGATCGCGCCACTGCACTCCAGCCTGGGCAACAAAGCAAGACTCATCTCAAAAAAAAAAAACAAAAAAACATATATATATATATATGGTCATACATTTAAAAAGCCAGCGGTGAAAATAGGAGTAGCAGCACTCACTATTACCTCTACTAATCCATTAACAAAATGTTGCTTCCTATCCCTATGTTGTAGGCTCTACTAGTCTAGAGATCGTAGTTCTAAGGGAGTAATACTTTCAAAAGGGGACCCAACATTAATTCCACTGAAATGGAAGATGAGACTGCTGCCTGTCTACTCTGGATACCTTATGCCATTGAATTAACAGGCAGAAAATGAGATTATTTTCTGGCTAGGGTGTTCAGTTCTATCAGGGAAAAATTGTGTGACCAGTAGCAACACAATTGTTACTAGTAACACAATAGAGTAACAATCATATATGGAATGCAGGAAATCTTCAAGAGTGCCTCTTAATACTTCCATGTCCTAGATTAAAGTCAACAAAAAACTGTAACAATTCAATTCAGGCAGGACTGCTAATACCCCAGAGCTTTCAAGAATGAAGTTTTGTGTCACTCCACCAAGCAAAGAACTATGACCAGCTGAGGTGCTTGCTGAGGGCAAAAAGAATAGCAATAGATAGAATATGGGAAAAAGGTAGTGATTGATATTAACTATGACCATATGACCCTTGCAGAAACAAGGACTATAAGAGTTGTAAGTATTTCTTCCTTATTTTAATATAAATATGTTTTTATATATTAACCAGACATTTTATTTTTTTTCGCTTTCATGGCCCCTTATCATCTAACACAAGTTGTCTTAATAATAGTTTACTTTATATCTTAGCACTTAAGTTACAAGCTATAAAATGATATATGTGAAGCAGCCTGGAAAATAATAAACGTCACCCAAGGACAAAAAAAGAAACTTGGGAAAAGGGTTAGCATTTTTTTTTTTCAGTTGTATGAGAGATAGTTATATCACACTAGGCAGAGGCATGCCTTTGGCATTATCATTATTCAGTGATTAAGTATACTTTAAGGAGATATATATGGATGCCAAGTTGTCTAGGGGTGGATTTTAATGGCTTTGTAATGTTATCAACTTGCCTAGGCTGAGCTACACTTCCCAGAATTCACTCTCTTGTTTGTTTCCAGTTAGGGTTGGCCACATGGGAGATTCTTGGGAGATTTGAAGGCTGGAAGAGAAACAGTGGCCATTATTTCAGCTCATACATGTTGTTGTCGATCTGCTGACTCACTTCGTTGGTTTGAGGCAACAGCTGGGCCTGTAACTGCTCTACTTTTGCCCTGATTGCCTTTTGGTTTCTGTGACTCTTAGGCCAGGTATGTGTATCTAGCTCTGTGACAAAAAGTCCCACTTCTGCTAGATACCCTTATCACCAAGGTCAGAGGCAACAAGAACTAACATGTATTCCAGTTCTTCTTCATGGGGTTCTAGCTTGTGCTTGTTGGTTCCAACCTGTTCTTGATCTCCCCACTTTACCTGTCTTTCTTTCCCTACTGCCTGCCCCATGGACTTCAAGCTCCATCATCAGAATCAGAAACAATAACCATACAGAGACTGCTTATCCAACTCTCACAATTCCATAAAGGCAATTCCCTGTAACAAATCCATATTGGCTGTATGCAATTCATATCCCCTACTGATTCTGCTTCTTTGATTGGTCTTGGACGGATACAGGTGAGGAGCCAGTGTGGAGAGAATTGAGTTTAAACATGTTAAGATTACAATGCAAGTGAAACAACAATGTAAAAATGTCTACAGGTAAGATAATTTGGAATTCAGTAGGAAAGATGAGGAGAGAATATAGATTTGAAATGCTTTCATGGAGGTAAACGCTGAAGTCACTACAGTGGATAAGATTCTTGGGAACATTGGTGAAAAAGGAAGAAAGGAAAAAAGACAATATACAATTAGAACAGAGGGGAGTGAAGGAAGCCATAGCAAACATCAGCTTCTGGATCTTGATAGAGGACATCCAAATCCCAAGGAGGAAAGGCCTTTATTTTTTGCCAGATAGGACCCGAGGGAATATACACAAGGGCACATGACCCAGGACTAGAAGCAGACTGAAAAATGGAACAACATGAGGACACATCAGTTACATTTTGTGGCTCAATCTTTTTCCTATGAGGATTGAGCTCCATAACCTTAAAGCCCTCACTGTGGGTTTTAATGGAGTTTGTGAAACTACCCTTTCTGCCTAACACAGCAACAGAGAAAAAGGAGGCCACAACACTTCTGAGGCAGGAATGCTTTAATGTGGTAGTGAGGAAACCCTCATTTGTATCCCCGAGGCAATGCATTTGAAAAGGAAACCCCCAATTTGTATCCCTGAGGCTATGTGTTTGAAAAGGAAAATAACTGGTGTAGGACTAGGACTTTTTAATATACAGAGACTATCCTCAGAGATAATGCTTCCATTCAACTATTATCATATTGATTCCCCCAACAAGACCCATTTTAGGCCCAATTGGGTCTGCTCCGGGTCCTGCACACATAGTTCTCACCCTTTTATCCTTTATTCTCAATAAGATTTTTGGACTGCCCACTTCAAAGATGGTGCAACTGCCCCCTTGCAGAAGGCTGCATTCATTGAACTGTCTCTCCCTACTCGCTTCTTAATCCTTACTGATTCTGTTGCTGCTTTGGCACATCCTGGGGCCTTGGTCTTTTAGAATGCTGATTCATCCAGCAAGCATCTGCTGGAGGTAACAGCCTTGTCACATGTTTCAAGTCAAAGAAGGATGTGTTGGAGGAGAGGGAAAGCTTTCATTTACTCTCTTGTAAGCAACCCAAAGGTCAGCATCACTGCCAGGACTTAGACTGGAAAATTTGTCCTGGAGGCTAGAGAAGGGTTTCCAGCTGCAAGAACAGCTAATGTACATCCCCTGTTGGACTCTGTCCTCTGTCCTCCCCACTCTCTCTATGTGTGTGCTCACTCTAAGCTGCCTCTCCCTGTGGTTGTGCCCATGCCCTTTCCCCTTCTTTTCCTAAAGACCTCTCCTGGATGGTGAGAGTTTCTGGCTCATTATGAGGTCCTCAGGGAGGCCAAAGCACATGCAGAAACCCTGCTGTTTGGCAAGAGCTCTTAAGGCTGGAGCCAAGTACAAAAAAAATGGCAAAGTTTAGAAACAATGAATTAGTAGTCCTTCCTGGGTTGCATCATTCTGTTAGTGATAACTAATCAAATGCTTCATTTAGTCAAATCCTGTTGGACTTTTTGTTCCAAGTGCTTTCCAAGGATCGGCCTTTCTCTGACCATGGTAAATAGCCAAAGAAAAGTCAATGCATGGAAAGGTTACAAGACTTGCACAGAGACCCATGAGAGTTGAACACGTCCACACTAAATGCAGATTCTGAGCTATCAGCATTGGGGTTCTATAGTAATATTTTTCATGCAGCTGTTTGAAGCTTTTCCTGCTTTCCTGCTCTGGTTCTTTTCTCTCTCTGCTGGAGTGGATTCAATTTGTGGTCATCTGGAACACATAAGTTATCAACACTTTCCCCCATTTGCCTCATGTTCCCTTCTCTCAAAAGGAGAACATGCAGTGATGTGTCTCTTGAGTATATGATCTGGTATATGAAATCCAATGTTTGGTATATCTTATTCTCAAATGGATGCCATTGCATGACGGTCATATTATATCGTTTCCTACAACTTTCTTCCTTTCAAAAATGTTGCCTAAACCTTCTATCTCCAATATCCTAGTCCAATCTGATGTCTGCCCACATGACTCCTCTGAAATAACTCTTGCTGTCATGACCTGCGTGTTATTGTCACCTACAGAAATATTTTAGTCCTCATCTTTGCACACCTCTCAGAAGCATTCAACACTAATAACCACTTATCACTTCTAGTAGCACTAACAACCTTTAGTTTCCAGGACATAATATTATCCTGCCTCCAACATCTCTGGATGCTTCTCAGTTTCTAGCTATCCATCTGCTTCTGGGCAACCATTGAATATTGGATTCCATGAGAATCTCTATACTCTCTCCCAAGATGATCTTATCCATACTTAACAGCTTTAATTGTCAGCTAAACACTGAGATCCCGTAAATCTGTATTTTTAGGTCCTTGTCTGTGTTCTTAACTCTATGTATCTTCTTTTCATTGTTCAAATGCATCCCCAACTCCAGGTCTACTGAATAAATTCAGGACCTCTACTCTGCAACCTAATTGTCTTATGTGTCTCTATAGTTGGCACCACTGTTCATCCTTGACACTTTTCTTCCACCATGCCCCACCCCACCCAACCCATCCGTAAGTGCTGTTGATTTTCCTGTTTATGGTGGTTGAATCCAGCCCTGTCTCTCCATCTTTATTGCCACCCACTTAGCCAGTGCTAGATCCCATCACTTGTCAATTGGGCTCCCAACAACAGCCTTGTAAGTAGTCCCATGCATCCACTCCTGTCCCTCCTGCAACCTCAGTTTATTCTCTACTTGCTGTACTAGGAACAAACTGTCACTCACCAGCTTAAAACTCTTTGATGAATTACTGGTGCTACAGACTAAAGAACAAGATTCTGACTACAGCCAAAAAGGCCCTGTTTGATCTGGATCCTGTCTACCTATCTAGCTTCAACTCTGTCCTCCATGCTTCCCCTCATTCCATATTGTGGCCACACTTCTTTCAGTCTGTGTACTGTTCCTTTCTGCCTCAGGGTTTTTACACATAATATTCCATTTGCTTGCATTTCCTACTCCTTATTCCAGGTAACAGCTCCATATTTTCAGATCTTATCTTAAGTGACTATTCTTCGGAGAAGTTCTCCCTGACTCCCTAGTAGATAAGTTTGCCTGCCTGTCTTATGTGCTGCATATTTTCCAAGATGGCTGTAACAATACCTTCCATCCATTATGCTCTTCTTAACAGTGTGACATTGACACTCCTCCTATGAAGGAAACTCCATATTTCTTCCTCTTAAGGTGGCTATGTGACTGTCAGAAGTGACACTGTGTGACTTCTAAAGCTAGGTCATAAAAGGTAATGTAGCTTTGGCCTGGTCTTTTCTTTGAGATGCTGACTATTGGAAGCCAGCAACCACACTGGGATGAAGCCACATGGAGGGGTCATTGAGATCTCAGTCAACAGCTAGCATCAACTGCTGACATGACAGTTAGGAAGCCTTCAAGGTTACTTCAACCCCAGTCACTGTTGAACTGCAAATACATGAAACACCCTAAGTGAGAAATGCCCAGCTGAGCCACGTTAACCTTAGACCTATGAGATATAATAAGAAATAATAGTTGTTGTTTTGAGCCAATAAATTTTGAGATGATTCATTATGAAGCAACAATAGATAACTGAAACATGTACTTTATAGCATGTATCTAGTTGAACAACTTGTTTGAAACCATATAACATTTGTCTATTTATGTAAAGTATTTGAATAATATATATATTCCCAGATAGACTTTAAATCTCTTTGACACAGGAACGGTGTCTGATTTGCTCATCACTGTATTTATAGCACTAGCAAAGAGCACATGGTGGGTACTCAAAAAACACTTTTTGAGTAAATTAATAAATGAATGAATTCCTATTGTTGGGACAAGTTTGTAAAACTTTCCCATATGAAAGTTTGAATTTTCCCATATGAAAGCTTGAATTAACACTTCAATTTATCTAATTGTGTAACCTCTTAAGGCTTATTTGATGTGACATTTCTCACTAAAAAATTAATGACTCAAAGCACAGTGAATGATGATTCTCATTAATTCATCAAACATTTGTTGACCATGTGCAAAGTCACTTTGGGAATACCAAGAGTTATCACAGGGTTTCTTCACTCCAGTTGCTCACACATGGAATGCTTCAAGAATTTACCAGAGACCATTGGCATTTAAGAATTCCACATTTTCTGTTGCTATGATCTGAATGTTTGTGTTCCCCCAAAATTCATATGTTGAAATCCTAACCTTTAAGGCGATGGTATTAAGGGATGAAGCCTTTTGTAGGTAATTTAGATCATGAGAGTGGAGCCCTCATGAATGAAATTAGTGGCCTTATAAAAGAGGCCCTGAAAGAGAACCCTTTCTTCTCTCACCATCTGAGAATGTAGCGAGAAGTTGCCATCTATGAATCAGAAACCAAGCCCTCACCAGACACAGAATCTGCTGGTGCCTTGATCCTGGACTTCCCCGCCTCCAGAGCTGTGAAAAATAAATTTCTGTTGTTTATAAAATATCCAGTTTATGGTATTTTGTTATAGCAGCCCTAATGGACTAAGACGTGTGTTTATTTTTGTGTGTATGAGAAATGACTGAGTAATTTTCTGTCTGTTCAGCGTTCTTAAAATGATTGAGCCTCTGTGTCTTCGTGGCAGTTGTAGTGTGGTCACATCCAGGAATCACTTGACTGTACTGAAATGTGATTAGAGAAAAGGCTGGGAATACATACAGAAATATCTACCTATGATGTCTTAGTAGTTTTGAAGGACTTTGTGAATGCCGGACATCATCTGTTGGCTGACACTATGGGTGGTATGGTAAATGAGAAGTTAAAGTGGACTGCAGGGCTCAGAAAAGCTATTATGGAGGTGGTGAGGCTTAAGGCAGGGTTTGAAGAATGAAAGCAGAGACAGCAATGTAAGATAGAGCAGAATGGTCATGTAGGAGAATAGTGAGAGAGGCAGCTGGAAAGAAAAATTGGAGCTAAGTTACCTGGATCTTTGATGATCAGGCTAAAATCTACTTGATTCTGAAGCCTAGAACCTATAGGTGAGTGATTCTCCAGGAGAATGCAATATGGCTTCCTGGGTTGTCAAAAACACATGCTTCTGGAGAGCCTAATTTGCACTGTCCTACCTGGGGTGCCCTTCTCCTTCTTTCCTGCTTTTCTAAGATCCCTTCTGTATTGAAATAGTAAGCAACACGCCCTTGTGACTGATGAGCATATGTTGTTTCTCTGGGTGGGTTATATCAAAAAGAAAATAAAACAAAAAGATTGAAATTATGTATAATATGATCTGTGGGTATCCACGGAGATTTTTTTAAAACATAAAAGCGATATGAGTAAAACAGTCTCTGGAGAAGATGACCATCGCAGTGGTTGCAATGAGCAAGAAGGAAAATCTTGAGGCAGGAAGTTGATGCCTCAGACAATGTTGGTTGTCAACCCAACATTCATTGCCTGCTTTTTCACTGCTAGCAGAGACCCAGTTTTGATCAGTTCCCCTCCTTGCTCTACAAGAATTAGGGGAGCTTGACTCCATTCCCAGCTCTAGGGGAAAAGCGGTACTTGGTGTAAGCCAATCATGACAGTCCTGTTCCTCCTACCAAGAATCAAATTAGGAGTGTGCATGTGGCACAGTAGGACACTGAGATGTAAGGGGGGCCTGTGAAAGGTATCTTCACTTCTTGTTGCATATCGGGTTCTCTGAAAAAACAGACTCTGAGAAGGCAATGAGCATGCGGGAATTTCATGAGGGAGTGCATTTGAGATTGATGCCTGTGGGAGGAAAGAGAAGACAGCAGGAGTGGGTGAGAGAGACTTTCAGCTGTGATGTAGTTTCAGTGAATGCCTCAGCCAGCCCAACAAAGAACTCTAAGGATGGTCCTGCGGAGTCGTTCTGAGCTGAGGTGAGGAAGCTGGACCTTTATGTACTGGTGACAAACAGTTATTGGATATTGGCTGCTCCCAGGAAGGGAAAGTGAATTTCAGCAAGGCAAGTATCTTCAGTAAAGGGCATTTCCAAAAAGGACTGACAGCTGCAGGCTCTCTGCTAAAAACACCTCCAGCAGCTGAGAGAATAGGTCCTTCAATCCTAAAGAGGAATATAGGTAGCACATTTCAGCATCCACTATACTCCTAAAATAATCATACAGACAAGAGAAAGTCCCTCTTGTTCCACTGACATTATGCATGAATGTATGCCTGGAATACAATAGCCATTTCACAACCAGACTGAGACTGGAGTCAACACAGGAAGATGAGGAGAATGAAGAGAACGACAAGAGAAATAGAACCAGAGCCTGTATCCATGTTGCCTGGAGCCTACCTGGGGTTCTGGACTCCTTCATATAGGTGGTAAAAATGTTGTTACTGTTTGCATCAGTTGAGTTAGGCTTTTCTCTTACTTGAACCCCAAGCATCCTAGCCAAGGATGGATACTTCAGGCAACAGACGATAAGGCTTGAAAAACATACAAAGAATGGGAAAGAAGGCACAGGTACAAGAAATATTGCAAAGAAAGCATCAGTAAAACCTAAGGCCTGGCACTATGAGGTACAATGGTGACTTCATTTTTATAATAGTCACAAACTTCCTTGTTTTTGGAATGGCCAAATGAATTAAATGATGGAATCAATATTCTGGCAAATATTTTAAGTGGTTGATGTGGTCTGTTTGTGTTTTGTGATAGCCCAGAACAAATCGTACCTCAATTTCTTTCTGGGGAACTACCTTTCCCTATTGTGAAAAATCTAGTGGAATGGGAAATCCAGATGTCTCCCCGTCCAACTATGAAAGCCCAAGAGTTTCAGGAAGTAGCATCCACCTGATTCTTCTTTATTTCCCTGATATAGTGTAAGGCAGGCACCTTTTCTTGGCCATCTTGACCTTGAATTAGAAGAAGAGACAGAATAAGTGACAAAATGGTTGTATTTTTAAAAATTTCAATAGCAGCACCCTGACTGTTCCTACAATGCCTATTTCCCAGTGCTCCACCCCTGCCCACTCAAAGCTGCCCCTCTTTTGCCTGCTTCCAAACCTTTTCTTCTGCCTTCCTGTCAACATTGCATACTCCTGAAATCCTGCTCACGTTTCACCAATATCCAGTCTCTCTTTAATAATACAACCCCTGAGCTTTAGCTAGGCACATGAATTCCCAGCTCAGGGTATTTCACCCTCCCTTGCAATTTGATATAGTCCTAAGACTAAGTTCTGTCACGGAATGTAAGTGGAAGTAATGTATGCTAACTTCCAAGTTGTTCCTTGATAATGGAAGGTTCACATGCTATCCTGAGCCTCTCCCTTTAATCTTGGCTAGGAGATGAAAACTGGGCAGCCATCTTGAACCATGAAATGGAAGCATGTTGAGGATTGCAGAGTGGCTTCACTAGTCTTGGATTGCACATTTCTGGACTGTGATCTGAGAAAGAAACATGTACCCTGAATCAGCCAATCTACAGTGGGTCTCTGTCACAGCATCTTGGCATCTACCCTGAATAATATAACTTCTAATAAGTTCTTAATTTTTGAACAAACTTATCTGACATGCCTAATCAATTAGTGTTAATAATATGAAAATATTAACAAAATTAAAACTTTAGGGGGTTTTGTAGTTCAAATATTGGCAGACATGAAATATTTAAATGATTCCGTAGCCAAGAGAAGCTGTGCAGACACTGGAATATTTATAGTGTAAGACAGTAAGAATCGTGGTATTTGTGTTTCCATAACACTGAGGAACCATTTCCACCTTGGATCCAATCTAGAAATTATTTTTTTCCTGCCAAAGCCTAACTTGGATAAAATCCTCTCCTTCACAAATGTGAAGCAGAAGCCATAGGAGGAGAAAACTGAGTTTCCATAGAACAGAGGACAGAGACACAGCACAGAGAATAAGATTTTATTTCCAGAGTTGTACAATAAAAGCAATGGGATTTTTGTAGAATGTTGGAGGAGATGAACTAGCCTAGTAATATAGTTGCTACATCTCAAAACTTTAAAGTAATTTTTGAGCAGTTACTCATGTAGACAGTTTTCTATACATTTTCAGAAAGACCCTACAGCGTAGACATTTACTGACCACCAAATACCTATGTGCTTCTCTACGTTTTCTAGCCTTCTTGCAATTAGGTAGAACCATATGGCTGGTTATGGCTGTGAAAAGTGTGATATATTGTTCCTAAGCTTAAGCATTTAAGAGCCAACATATGTAGTTAAAACCTCCCACAAAGAAAACCCCAGGCCCAGTTGACTTCACTAGTGAATTCTACCTAACATTTAAGGGAGAAATCATACCAATTCTCATAAAACCTTAGAGAAAATTGAAGAGGAGGGAATATGTTCCTATGTAGTCTATGAGGCCAGAATTACTCTGATAGCAAAACCAGACAAAGACTACAAAAAAAGAAAACTACAGCCCAATTTTCCTCTTGAACATAGATGTAAAAATTCTTTAAATTTTAGTAAATTGAATCAAGCAATATATAACACAAAAAGTATAATATATCACAACCAAGTAGAGTTTATCCTAGGAATACAAAGTAGTTTTAACATTCAAAATTCAATCAATGTAATTTATCACATTAACAGATCAAAAAAGAAAAATAATATTATCATCTTGATAGATGCAGAGAAAGCATTTGACAAAAATTCAACATCTATTCGTGGTAAAAGCTTTCCACAAACTAAGACTGGAAGGAAACTTCCTCAAACCATTAAAGAACGTTTCAAAATAACCGCAGTTAATATCATACTTAATGGTGAAGGTAGAATACTTTTCCCCTAAGGATGTGTGCTCTTGCCACTTCTATTCAATATTTTACTGGAAGTTCTAGTCAATGAAATCAGGCCAGAAGAGAAAATAAAATATATTCAGATTAGGAAGAAAAAAATGAAACTGTCTATTCAAAGATGGCATGATTGTCTATATAGGAAATCCAGGTTGGGTGCAGTGGCTCATGCCTATAATCCCAGCAGTTTTGGAGGCCAAGGCAGGAGGATCACTTGAGGCCAGGAGTCTGAGACCAGCCTGGGCAACATGGCGAGACCCTGTCTATTAAAAAAATCCAAATCCAATAGAATTTACAAAAAGTTGTTAGAACTAATAAGTAAGTTATATATACCATTTACTATACAAGCAATCAGAATTGAAATTTTTAAAGTAATGCTATTTGCAATAGCATTAAAAATATGAGAGATCTGTAGATAAATCTGGCAAAAGCTGTGCATGACCTGTATACTACAAACATTAAAATATTGAGAAAAATTAAATTTCATGGATCTGAAGACTCAATATTTTTAAGATGTCAAGTCTCCCTGAACTGATCTTTACATTCAACTCAGTCCAAATCAAAATCTCAGTAGACTTTTGTCATGGAAATTGACAGACAAATTCTAAAATGAATATTGAAATGCAAAGAACTAGAGCAGCAAAAACCACTTTGAAAAAGAAAAATAAATTTGGAGAAATAACACTCCCTGACTTCAAGATTTATTAAAAAGCTATGTTAATGAAGATAATGTGGTGTTGGCATAAAGGTAGACAAACAGATCAATGAAACAGAAGAGAAAGTCCAGAAATAGACCCATGCATATAAGATCAATTAAATTCTGACAAAGGTGCCAAGGCAATACAGTGGCAAAAAGATAGTATTATCAACAAATGATAATGTAACCATCACACATCTATATGCCAATAAAAAGAGCACTTTGATCCACGTCTAGAAGAAAACACAAGAAATCTTTGTGATCTTGGACTAGGCAAAGCTTTCCTAGATATGACACCAAAAGCACAATCTATAAAAGAGGAAAATAATGTGAAATGAACTTCATCAAAATGAAAAAGGTATGCTTCTCAAATGATGATGTTAACAAACTAAAAGACGAGCCACAGGTGAAGAGAAAATATTTGTAAATTATATGTTCAGAATATATGAAGAACTCCAAAATCAATCATAAGAAAATAAATAAGCACCCAAAATTTGGAATAGACACTTCACAAAAGTAGATATACGGATGACAAATAAGCACAAAAAGATGCTCAACATCATTAGGGAAATTCCAGTTAAAACCATAATGTGATATTACTACATACCTATGAGAATGGTTGAAATTTAAAAGGCTGGTTATATATACCAAATGTTGGGGAAAATATGAAGAAATTAAATTCTCATTCCCTGCTGGTAGGAATATCAAATGGTACAAAGACTTGGAAAATAGTTAGGCAGTTTATTTAAAAGTTAACCATACACCTATCATATGAGCCAAATCAGAATTATGCTGAATGAATGAAGGCAAAACAAAGGGTACCTACTGTTATTATTCGAATTCTATAAATTGTAGACAAATTAATGTATAGTGAGAAAACATTAGTGATAGCCTGGGGGAGGGGATGGAGAAGGGCGGAAAGAGAAGTTACAAGGGGGTATAAACAAACTTTGGGGGTGATGGATATGTTCATTATATTGAATGTGGTAATGGTATATATACATGTTAAAATTTGTCAAACTGTACACTTTAAATATATGCAGGTTATTGTATTTCAATTATACTTCAGTAAAACCATTTTGTCAAAAGTGCTGTAAGGTGAAGATCAGATTAAGGGTGTAGCCCTCAATAAAATCTCTTACTTGTACAAAATTACTCAGGAAAAAAAATGTAATTAAGATGATGGCCTTCTCTGCCCTCTTCTAGATTCTTTCATTATTAAATCAATAGAGAGAGAAAGATGTGGGATTTACAAAACAGCAAAAAGTGTGCCAGATCTGTTAATTATGTCCTCAAAAGAACTATGGGTGTGGCTGTTACATGGCATTGACTACAATCATATTTTAAGAAGTCTAATAAGGCTTTATTAAGTTTATTTTTAAAGTGTCAAATTCAGTGGTTTTAGTATAGTCACAAAGTTGTACAACCAATATCGCTAATTCCAGAGCAGTTTCATCAGCCCCAAAAGACACATCATACCTAATTAGCACTCACTTTTCATTCCTCCCTCCTGCTAACCCCTGGAAACTAGTCTACTTTCTGTCTCTATGGATTTGCCTATTTCGGATATTTCATGTAAATTGTATTATATAAAACATGGTCTTTCGCATTTGTCTTCTGTCATTTAGCATAATGTTTTTAAGGGTCATCCGTGTTGTAGCATGTGTCACTGCTTCATTCCTTTTTATGGATAAATAATATTCCATTACATAGGTGTGCCATTTTTATTAATCAGTTTACCCATTGTTCAGTCTAACAAGTTTTTAAGAGTCTTGTGGCTGGGCGCGGTGGCTCAGGCCTGTAATCCCATCATTTTGGAAGACAGAGGAGGGTGGATCATTTGAGGTCAGGAGTTCGAGCCCAGCCTAGCTAACATGGTGAAACCCTGTCTCTACTAAAAATACAAAAATTAGCCTAGAAGTAGTGGCACGAGCCTGTAATCCTACCTACTCGGGAGGCTGAGACAGGAGAATCGCTTGAGCCTGGGAGGTGGAGGTTGCGGTGAGCCCAGATCAGGCCACTGCACTCCAGTCTGGGCAAGAGAGTGAGACCCTGTCTCAAAAAAAAAAAAAAAAAAGTCTCGTACTGCTAGAGAAGCCACAAGTCTGGGCAATAACAAATGGAATAAAATAAGACGACTATTCAAGCCTTAAAATCCTCCAAGGACCTTGAGTATATACAACCTTTATTTAATCAATCAAATTTTTTTTTAATGAAATAAACCATCTTTGGGTCCCCAGTCTTCTAAGGGCAGCAGACAACACTAGATAGACTCAAGGAGGGCATATATGTTCTTCAATAACTACTTTAGTTATGGCAAGAAGCGGAATAGAAAAAGGAGAGCTGCTAGAGGGCAGGCCAGGGACCACCAAGAACAATGGACAAGAGAGTTTCTTCCAGAGAGAAAATCAGGGCCTGATTCAGAATGTTCTTCACTCTCAGGATAGGGGCCTCCACTCACACAGAGCAGTTTTGGAACTGCTACATCCAGTAACTGCTGTGTGTCTCTTTCTTTCCCTTTCCAAATGAGAATGTTTATTTCCACCATTATATGTTAGGTGTGTGTTGGAAGGGGAGGCCAGACAATTCGTTGTTTTCATTAGGCTTTTGGACCAAGAAGAACCAGGACTGGTCCAGAGGTGAAGGCTATCGTGCATTGCCCAGAGATGCAGAATTATAAGCTATATTAATAGATTACATGGGACTTTGGGTGGCCTCCCTTGGGGAATGGTGGAGGGTATTCTATACATGGGAATGTATTTAGATCAGGAGGAAATTTCCTTTTGGCTAAAGGCAACTTTCCAGAAGAGGAAGCAGCTGTGAGCCACTGGCCAACATTAACAGCAGCTGGGAGATGTGTGCACCTGCCTGGTGAAAGTCATCAAGGTGGGGGCACCAATAGCATCTACTACAGGGTGAATGGAAGCAAGGGGATATTTGGTAAACAGAAGTGTGGACCGTGGCAGAGGCATCTAGTGCACATTGAATATCCATGTGTTTCTCCACATTTCCAAGCCCTCTTTACAAATAAATGGGGTCATGTGGCCAAAGTGCTTGAAGAAGTAAAATTTGTCACTTTTGAGGCAAAGCATTTAAGAGTCTCCTAGTTCTTCTCTTTTCCTGCCTCAGCAATCATGAAGCTCAAATGTTAAGATATCAGTGTCGGCGTGGTGGCTCACGCCTGTAATCCCAGCACTTTGGGAGACCGAAGCGCGTGGATCACCTGAGGTCAGGAGTTCAAGACCAGCTTGGCTAATATGGCCAACCCTGGTCTCTACTAAAAATATAAAAATTAGCAAGGTACAGTGGAGCATGCCTGTAATCCCAGCTACTCAGGAGGCTGAGGCAGGAGAATCGCTTGAACCTGGGGAGTAGAGGTTGCAGTGTCGCCTGGGCGACAAAGCAAGACTCCATCTCAAAAAACAAACAAACAAACAAAAACAAAGATATCAGCGTCTCCATCAGCCTGTGTCGCTATGTGGAACAGAGCTACCCCCAAAGCTCACCTTGTTGGCTCACATTGAACTTATATCCTGAGCTCAGAATAAACCTTTGTTGTGTTAAGCCGCTTGTTTGCATGTTTATTTGTTATATTATGAATTGGTTTATCCATTCAAGTTTGATTAGGAAAGCAGAGATACTGTAAGTGATATGGAATTTTGAATTTATGATAAGGATTACTTTAAGATGTCAAGTCTCCCTGAACTGATCTTTACATTCAACTCAGTCCAAATCAAAATCTCAGTAGGCTTTTGTCATGGAAATTAACAGACAAATTCTAAAATGAATATTGAAATGCAAAGAACTAGAGCAGCAAAAACCACTTTGAAAAAGAAAATAAATGTGGAGAAATAACGCTCCCTGACTTCAAGATTTATTAAAAAGCTATGTTAATGAAGATAATGTGGTGTTGGCATAAAGGTAGACAAACAGATCAATGAAACAGAAGAGAAAGTCCAGAAATAGACCCACGCATATAAGATCAATTAATTTCTGACAAAGGAGTTGTGGAAGCTGGTGAGGAACCATATAGAAAGCTGTTGTCCATTGAGTACACAAAGAAGGAAACAATAGATACAGGGACCTCCTTGAGGGTGAAGGGTGGGAGGAGAGTGAGGGTTGAAAAACTACGTATCAGGTACTATTCTCACTACCTGGGTAACAAAATTATCTGTACACCAAACCCCCAACATGCAATTTACCCACGTAAAAAACCTGCAGTGTACCCCCTGAACCTAAAATAGAAATTGAAAATAAATACATTAATAACTAATAAATAAAATCATAGCCAAAAAAAAAGAGTTGTGGCCTCTGCATACAATGATGAGTGTGAAGTCACTGTAGGTAGCAGGGCCAGAAATCAGAAAGAAAAGTTGAATATAAAGTGGGAGAAAGCAAGGCCAAACTGGAGCCCATAAGGACAAACTGGAAACCATCCATTACTGACTGTCTCCAGTTTCAATGATGTGCGTGACCTGCAGAAGTTGACATCTTTTGCCACGGAGCTGCATATGCATCTGGCTCAGAACTTAAAGAAACTGAAGGAGGTCAGGAAGGAGGCAAAGAATCTGTGGGCCCAGCTCTTGTCCCATATCAACAAAGTGACCCAGCATATCTGCAGCAATATGTACAGCCTGCAGGATTGCCTGGCTCCTTACACTGAGCTGCAGAGAATAATGGGTACTACTTCACCTTTACCTTCTAAATTCTCTTGTGGCCCACCACAAAAGAGAACCACACAGGGAAAGAAATTCTGAGAAACACAGTTCCAAGTTAGCTAAGTTGACCTACAAAGCCACTACACGTAGCCTAACGTAATACAGACTCAGAAAAGTGATGGCAGGGTTATACCCAGAACTTGAGTAACACAACAAAGTAAGAAAAAATCAAAGTGAAGACAATTCTCTCAGCCACACTTGGCTAAAGATATTCATCAATTCATAGAGAAAAAATTAAAAAATAAATGTAGGAAATCAAATAATTATAGTTAATGCTGCACACAATTTAAAGTATAGTGATTAAGAGCACAGATTTTGTAAAGTCAAAAATCCACTTACAAGCTGTATGATCTTACACAGTTACTTTTTTTTCTCTGTGACTCATTTCTAAATCTATAAAATGGGGATAGTAAAACTTTTCTCATAGGGTTGTTGTGAAGATTAAAAGAGTTAATAAAAATAAAGCCCATGTAACTGTGTTTGGTGCATAAGTGTTTATTAAATGTTAATATTTTCACTATTATGTATAACCATGCTTTAACTTTATATAAGATACACACTTATAATGCTCGGTAAATTTCTAGGTTGTCTTTATGAAGTTCCAGGTGAAAAGTTTCCTCCATGTGTTATGGCAGATAGCTACTTGGAATGGGGACCCCTACCTGAGAGTTGTAGGCAAGATGCTGTTGTCCAGAATGGGGAAAACCAAGTCTGTAGTCTCTCTTGCAGAATACTTCCCTTGCAAAAAGATGTCTGATATAATCTATAGCTCAGTAACATGAATTATTATCACTTATATATTAAGTTGGTGCAAAAGTAACTGCGGTTTTGCCGTTAAAAGTAATTGCAAAGCCGCAATTACTTTTGCACTGACCTTATGTGCATATATGTTTACGTGTGTCATTGACATGGGACTTCTGACCTAGATCAATGATATATTCACATTCTGTGAATAATTAGAGAGAAAGCAGAGACCATCTACTTAAAAAAATAGACTTCTAAAATTTTTCCTGTGTCTTCTGTTAAGGCATCCTCTTAGGTAAATAAAGCCAAGGTATTCAAGCAAGTACAATTGTGGTTTATCAGACTCAATTCTAGATCTGGTGATAATTCTCACTAGAACATCTGTATGTATTTGTGTGTATGTGTCTGTGCATGAGAGGCTATTATCAAATCAGAGTTTGTATTAGTAGATGTTCACAGCCAATTTGGTTGATTGTATTTTGTTAACAGGTATGACTGGGCTTTTCCAATTTCTCTTATCAAAAAGAGAAAAGGTATTCAGTGACAAGTAAAAAAAATCATAGAGATGGTTAGGTGTAGTGGCTCACACCTGTAATCCCAGAACTTTGGGAGGCAGAGGCAGGAGGATCACTTGAGGCTAGGAGTTCAAGATCAGCCTGGGCAACATGGCAAGACTGCCGACTCTACAAAAAAAAAAAAAAAAAATTAGCAGTAGCTGTGACTATGGGAATGTGCCACCATGCTCAGTTTACTCAGCAGGAGGATTGCCTGAGCCCGGGAATTTGAAGCTGCAGTGATCTACGACTGCTTCTTTGCACTCTAGCCTGGGCAACACAGCAAAACCCGTCTCTTTAAAAAATCATAGAGTTGCATTCATTGAGACTTATGTCTGCGTTCTTTTCAAGGTCTCTAGGGTAGTGAGTGGGCTCTCCCTGATGGTCATGGTTGATTCCGTGCCATCAGCCTTCTTGTGTCTAGGGGACCCATATGGAAAAAAGTTACCCACATTCCTCTCTCTCTGACCATGCTGTTCAACTTAAACCAGATCAATGTAGATTTTTTTAAACTGAAGGATGTGTGGCAAATAATTCTGTTTAATAAGAGAATCCTGATTTTTAGCTAGGCATATTGCTTCTAAGAATAAAGGACTACATTTTCTGGCTTACCTTGTTGTAGAAATGTGATCAAGTTCTGGCCAATGGGATTAAGTGGAGGTGGTGTATGCAACCTTTGGGAAGGCTGTTTAAAGGAGCTAACTCAGTGGAGGGCTTTTTGCTTTTCTTCCCTGTTCTTTCCTAGGTGGAATACAGATATAATGGCTGAGCTCCAGCATTCACCCTGGGATGTGGGATGACCTAAAGGACAGAAGTTACATGGTAAGAATGGCTGGGCAAAAAGTTGGGATGATCATAGATTCCTGATGACTTTGTGAAGTTGTCATACCAATTGTCGTCTGTATACCTATGAGCTTGTTTTATGCAAGAGAATAAACTATTGTGTTTTTAGCCACTGTATTCAAGTCTCTGTTACAACTAGCTGAATACAATTATTAATACAATCAGGAAGTCCTGGAAGGTTTTTAGAAACATTTTTCTTTGCCAGAATGGTATCTCCTGTGGATCCTCCTTCAGTTCCAAATCTAGTTTCCCACCTCAGGTTGGTGACAACTGCCCAAATTCAAATGACCATTGAATTCTCCCCCATATGATTGCCTCATTCCTTTCTACAGGAGGAACTTCACCCTGGGGTTCCTTAAAGCATTAAGCAGTGTCTTTGATTTCAGCCAATAGGCCTGGACAGAGACTAGCTGGTGGCTCCAGCACAATCCTGGTTTTATAAATGATGATAATGTGCATCATCCATTCTAGTTTACACATCCTATCAGTGACAACTGCAGAGTTGATGGCCCATTTAACTATGACACCAACTGTGTCATGTCAGTTTAGGTCCTCTGGAAAGCAGATGCCAATATGGAGTTAGATGTACAGGAGATACATTAAGAGTAACACATGTAAATGATAAAGAGGAAGGTGAAATCCCATAGATTTTCCAGATATAAGTGGTGGACTTAGTTTGTTATAGATGGGGAAAACCCCAGCTTTGCTTGTTCCCCAAGGCTGAGGTCCTGGTTCGAGGTGAATGGTGATTACAGCCAGATATTTAACGGGAAGAGTCTGGAAGTCAGAGAACCATAGAAGTGCTGAGATAAGCTCTCTATACTTCCCTGGTGGATGGCCAAACTAAACACATGGGAGAGACCCAAAAGATCCTGGGGAAAAGTGAAAGCCAAGGGAAACATGAAAACTGGCTGCAACTTTGAATACATTTTTTAACCACACACAGTTCAATCAGCAGAGGGTAGAAGCCTTATAAGCTCAAACTGTTTCAACACAACCTCAGCCAAATTGATTGGCAATAACTAAGCTATTCAGAGATGGGGGCAATCTTTAGAAAGTTGGGCTGAAATGTTAAAATAAGAATTAAAAATGTGAGCAGAGACATCAGTGGCTGCATACTAGGAGTGAGGTGAGTGAAGCAGATTCTGCAGTTTAAGTTCAGAAAAGGTATTAAACACCAAACAAGCAAAATAAACAAAAAGGCTTCAGAAAAATAAAACAATCGAGAATTATTACAATATATTCTATAAAATGTTATCTGAAGTGTTCAATTTTCTTTTTTTCTCTCTTTTTTTTAAATACTGCTCCTTGCAGAGCAGGGTTACCCTATAGGCAGTGTGCCGAGAGTAGCCTGAAGTGTTCAATTCTCAACTAAAAATTGATAGACATATAAAGAAACTGGAAAGTGTAACCTAAACTCAGAGGGAAAAGTAGTCAATAGACACTGACTCTGATTGAACTCAAATGTTGGATTTAGCAGAGACTGCCTTCAAAGCAGGTATTATAAATTTGTCAAAGAAATTAAAGAAAACTATGTTTGATAAATTAAAAGGAAATATGTTAATAGTGAGTTAACAAATAGAGAATCTTAATAGTGAAATAAAAAAACTAATTCTAGAGTTAAAAAAGCACAATAACTGAAATGAAATTTTTTATTTTTTATTTTACTTTAATTTCTGGGATACATGTGCAGAATGTGCAGATTTGTTACACAGGTATACGTGTGCCATGGTGGTTTGCTGCATCTATCAACCCATTATCTAGGTTTTAAGCCCTGCATGAATTAGGTATTTGTCTTAATGCTCTCCTTCCCCCACCCCCCGACAGGCCCCTGTGCGTTTTGTTCCCCTCCCTGTGTCCATGTGTTCTCATTGTTCAACTCCCACTTATGAGTGAGAACATGCGGCATTTGGTTTTCTGTTCCTGTGTTAGTCTGCTGAGGATGATGGCTTCTGGCTTCATCCATGTCCCCGCAAAGGACAGGATCTCATTCCTTTTTATGGCTGAATAGTATTCCATGGTGTATATGTACCACATTTTCTTTATCCAGTCTATCATTGATGGGCATTTGGGTTGGTTCCATGTCTTTGCTCTTGTAAATAGTGCTGTAATAAACATACATGTGCATGTGTCTTTATAGTAGAATGATTTATATTCCTTTGGGTATATACCCAGTAATGGGATTGCTGGTATTTCTGGTTCTAGATCCTTGAGGAATCACCACTCTGTCTTCCACAATGTAAATTAAGCTAGTTTACATTCCCACCAACAGTGTAAAAGCATTCCTATTTCTCCACAGCCTCGCCAGCATCTATTGTTTCTTGACTTTTTAGTAATCACCATTCTGACTGGCATGAGATCGTGTCTCATTGTGGTTTTGATTTGCATTTCTCTAATGATCAGTGATGTTGAGCTTTTTTTCACATGTTTGTTGGCTGAATAAATGTCTTCTTTTGAGAAATGTCTGTTCATATCCTTTGCCCACTTTTTGATGGGTTTGTTTTTCTTGTAAATTTGTTTAAGTTCCTCATAGATTCTGGATATTAGACCTTTATCAAATGGGTAGATTGCAAAAATTTTCTCCCATTCTGTAGGTTGCCTGTTCATTCTGATGATAGTTTCTTTGCTGTGTAGAAGCTCTTTAGCTTAATTAGATCCCATTTGTCAATTTTAGCTTTTGTTGCAATTGCTTTTGGCATTTTCATCATGAAATCTCTGCCCACACCTATGTCCTGAATGATATTGCCTAGGCTTTCTTCTAGGGTTTTTATGGTTTGGGGTTTTACATTTAAGTCCTTAATCCATCTTGAGTTAATTTTTGTATAAGACATAAGGAAGGGGTCCAGTTTCAGTTTTCTGCATATGGCTAGCCAATTTTCCCAGTACCATTTATTAAATAGGGAATCCTTTCCCCATTGCATCTTTTTTGTTGGGTTTGTTGAAGATCAGATGATTGTAGATGTGTGGTGTTATTTCTGAGGTCTCTGTTCTGTTCCATTGGCCTATATGTCTGTTTTGGTTACTGCAGCCTTGTAGTATAGTTTGAAGTCAGGTAGTATGATGCCTCCAGTTTTGTTATTTTTACTTAGGATTGTCTTGGCTATGTGGGCTCTTTTTTGGTTCCATATGAAATTTAAAGTGGTTTTTTTCTAATTCTGTGAAGAATGTCAATGGTAGTTTGATGGGAATAGCATTGAATCTATAAATTGCTTTGGGCAGTATGGCCATTTACACAATATTGATTCTTCCTATCTACGAGGATGGAAAGTTTTTCCATTTGTTTGTGTCGTCTCTTATTTCCTTGAGCAGTGGTTTGTAGTTCTCCTTGAAGAGGTCCTTCACGTCACTTGTTAGCTGTAATACTAGGTATTTTATTATCTTTGTAGCAGTTGTGAATAGTTCATTCATTCGTGATTTGGCTCTCTGCTTGTCTGCTGTTGGTGTATAGGAATGCTTGTGATTTTTGCACATTGATTTTGTATCCTGAGACTTGGCTGAAGTTGCTTATCAGCTTAAGGATTTTTTGGGCTGAGACGATGGGATTTTCTAAATATAGAATCATGTTGTCTGCAAACAGAGACAATTTGACTTCCTCTATTCCTATTTGAATATCTTTTATTTCTTTCCCTGCCTCATTGTCCTGGCCAGAACTTCCAATACTATGTTGAATACGAGTGGTGAGAGAGGGCATTCTTGTAATGAAAATTTTAACAAAGCTGTTTAACATGTCAGTTTGGTCAATTTATTTGAGCCCCATTTTATTTTTTTGGCAGCTGTAAAGAGTAAATTACTTAATCAATGACACACTGTTGATCTCTGAAACAGAGACTATTCATAAAAGGCAGAGAAAATAATTATTTTCAAATGTTATTATGTTTCTGCTTCCTTTCTAAAAAGTTTTTTGTGGTTAACAACTAAGTGTTGAAACATGAGCCAGGTGCGGTGGCTCACCCCTGTAATCCCAGCACTTTGGGAGGCCGAGGCCAGTGGATCACCTGAGGTCAGGAGTTTGAGACCAGCTTGGCCAACATGGTGAAACCCCATCTCTACTAAAAATACAAAAAAAATTGCTGGGTGTGGTGGCAGTTGCCTGTAATCCCAGCTACTCAGGAGGCTGAGGCAGAAGAATCACTTGAACCTGGGAGGTGGAGGTTGCAGTGAGCCGAGATCAAGATGGTGCCATTGCACTCTAGTCTGGGCAAAAAGAGTGAAACTCTGTCTCAAAAAAAAGAAAAAGAAACATAAAAACTATTTGCCAACTCCATTGAGCCTTACACAAATACAAGAACAATGTTTCCTTCAGTTGTTTTTGGAAGGTCATATTTTTACTCTGGAATTATTATTGATAACATAATTCATATTATTTTCAGCTACTTGGTCATGGCAGGCAGTTGCTTTAAGCAAAGTGTACTATGCTTGCTTTAAAAAACCAAGTTTCTTCAGCTTTTTCAGCTGTGCTCAAATGCAAATAGTTCAGAGGGAGGTCCATGTTTCTCTGTGTTGTTTGGATTTCCATTTCTTTCAACCTTGGCCATTTCAATCCCTTCAAGGTCTCTTTTTAATGTGTCCTATGGTTTACTTGATGTCTAATTTCTCCCAACCCCTCACATTTCTCTTTTATGGTTATTTCCCTTGGTATCGGATACCAACCCTGAGGAAAGTGCTCTGCTAGGTCTCAAGAATGCAAAATTTACATCATGGGGGAATTTTAGAGAATAAGTAACATATAGGCATGTAAATTATACACCCACTGTCTAGTTGATATCAATTTTATCAGTTTACACATGTACCTTCTTACTCCTTTCCGCATTGCTTCACCCACACACTGTCTGAGCCCTGTGTCTTATATTTCAATCCTTGATGAAAGTAAACTTTGCTGGTTTTATAAATATGAAATCCTGTCACTAAGAAGTCATAATCTTATAGTCCTGACACTGACCCCATGCTGAAGACTGGGGTGTAGTCTTTTGGAGCATTTCTCTTCTGACTCCTGAAATCACTGACTTGGATATATTCGTGGCCAGAGTAATCCCTTTGCTAATGATTGTGAAAAATGACTAAAATATCACCCAAATATAATGCTCTATTCAGGTTCTCAGGAAGGAGGCATAAAATCTTTTGCAAGTCATCTAATCTTGGAAACAAAACTTGCTTTCAAATAAATTCAAACATAGTCTGTTACAGCCTTAGGGAACAAACAGAATGCATTGATTATTCCATTTATTTGATGTTTAGGCCCATCTAAGAAAATGGTGATAAATTCATGCCTTAGTAAATCGTAGACAATTTCCATTATTCTGTTTCCTCCTCTACCTATGCCTTCCCACACATACCCACTGCAAATGTTGCTGCCACCACTATCCTAACAGCCAAAGAATCATTTTTTGTAGCACTAAAGTGGAGCATGAAGAATGGGATAAAGGGTATTCCATGTGTGTGCCGTTTTCTTGGAGTAGCTCTGTGATACCCATCCCACTGCCCACATCCAATTTACTGTATGTGATAAGACTTGGAGTACACATGTTACGGTTAGGGATAATATTTGTACATACTGTAATAATGAATGTGCACTGCGTGGATTTTTTTGGAGTCCACACTATTATCAGTGTGGGAGGTGGAGAGAAAACACATGTGTTTGGATCTTCACTGTATACTCTGGAGAAGGGGAAGAGCTGATGAACAAAGTATGGAGAACAAAATCATTCACTCGGGTACAAGAGAAACAATCGGGGTGATGTTAGCAAGTCCTTGTGATCAGAAGCAAGAATGGAGAGGGAGGCTTCTAAAGCCCAAAAGATTTTAAAAAGAGAGTTATAGCTATGGCACCAGTCTTTGAATATACAGGAAGACCAAATCCTGGGCTATTAGAGGTCAAATGGAGGAAACTTACTGGGAATGAGAAGGGAAAGGGTCAAAGAGTCTTGCCAAGTTGTGTCATCATATGAAGCTAGAGTGTACTTATATTAGCGAAAGGGAATTTGGGACTCAGTTAAGCTCTTTTACATATTTTTCTAGTATTCTTAGGACTACACATGTAGTGAATTTTTATAATATGTTGTCTCAGCATCATTTTGAATATATTGGACTTTCTCATACCAGAAGCAGGGCTTAGTCACCCTTGACACAGTTTCCTGTTCTCCATCTCCTCCCTGTTCCTTAATGTGGTCGATCCAGATATCTACCTTATACAGTCACCTGCTGGTGACCACCTCCCTATGGGACAGCTAGATACAACCTACTTGACTGGCCCCACTGACCCCCCACACTCTACATGGGCCGCACGGATCTGCCACAGCGACCCCTTCTCAGTCACAGCGTGCCTCCATGGAACTCCTGCCTGCTGGCTTTCAACCCACCGATGAGAACTCCCCACGGGAAAGCGGCCTGGGAATGCCTGGACCCCGATAAAGGCCTAGGCCCACAGGTCCCTCACTCTCTATCTTGCTCCCCACCTGCTGGCTAAGCATGGATGGCCCAGAGGGTTCCTTCCTTCTTGCTGGCCCTGAGAGGAATCTGTAAAGAAGATGCTGCCTCTGGTATTTCACACGTTCTGTGGAGCTGCCTCTCTGTGTCTCACCCCACCCACACACCCGGACCTAACTTCTTTCCCGGTTGGCGTTCTCCTAGAGAGTGGCCCTCTTGGCAGGAATAGACTCGACACAGGTCAGACAAGAGCCACAAGGGCGCCTGCGACTATAAACAACTTTCCTGTGAGAGGGACACCTGGTCATGGGTTGAGCACTTAGGAATGAGGCTGTCTGCCAGGATAAAGAAGTGTCCCGAGGCCCCGTCCCCGCTTCCGGGGCGCTCGCGCTCCTCCTCTCCGCCCCCTCGCTGTGGGCTCGCGCAGTGAGGGTCATGGTGACCTGGGGGGCATGGGGCCGGCGAGCTCCGGGAGGTTCGCATCCTCGGGGACTGGGAGCCCAGTTATCGGACCCAGGCGAGGCCCCCAGCTTATGACCCGCCCCCATCGCCGTGATCCTCGGGGCCGGGGACCCCCGACTCCACGCGACCGTGACCACATCCAGGTCCCCCAAAAACACACACACGTCCCTTCTGACCTGATGATTCCACTCCCATCATCTCAGAGACTGTCCAGCGCCCCCCTCCCCCGGCTTGGGAGCTTGTCATGCCAGTGCAGCAGACAATCCATGTACACACGCACGTCTGGCCTGGGGACACCTGAGGTCACCTGACCACATAGAACCCCTCCCCATCTCTTCTGACCCGAGGATTCTCCCGCTCGCTCTCCCTGTGACAGTGTCTGGCGAGGGGTAGGGGGGTTGTCCCTTTTCCCCAACCTGGCAATGACCTTGGCATTGGGCTCAGCAGACCCGCCTTCCACATGCACCAGGCCCCCTCAAACCCCTGTGACCAGTTTCACTGCCACCATCTTGGTGAGTGTGTGTCTGACCTCTCCAGAAATGCACATCGACCCCCAGTCAGCCCGGCGACTTTGTCACCTGTGCTCAAGTGATGTCTCCCCTTCCCTTCACACCCACCTGACCTGGGGACATCTGAGGCCAATGTGACTCTATCTAGGCCTGCCCCCTAGCCCCCAGCACATGTACACCTGCTTTCTGATCAGTCCCACCATCTCGGTACCTACCTCCCTGACATCTTGTCATCCTAGATCAGCACCTCTCCCGCTCCACACACGCCTGGCCTGGCAACGCTGTGACCACATGTAGTCTCCTGGCTTTTTCCCTGAAGAGCCTGGTCTCTAAATCCTCTGGGCTGGAAGGAATCAGATTTTCAAACCCTGTGAACACCACCCCTGACCCACGATCCTTTTTGTGTCTTTCTTGACCCAGTAAAATGCTCTCATGTAAAAAAATAAAATAAAATAAAATAAAAAATAAAATAAAATAAAAAGTGGTGTCCCATGAAAAGCAGTTTGTAAGCTTCCCCGGGAGTTCTGTCAGGGCAGGGCTAAAATTTATAGCCACTCCCCAGAGAGATTCCTGAAGACTGAATTAGAGGAAAATCAAAACACATTTATGCTTTGGAGAAAACTTGACTGTTTTATGCTGTTTGAATTGTCTTCTAAAAATGAGTTTTAAATTATAAAAAGTATTAAAATAAATATGTCATATTCCTTCACTCAGTTAATTGTGAAAGCACATGGATTGACTCTTCACTGGCACATATAGTAGGTATATTCCATTGTGGTAGTTTCCTTGTTTTTCTGGGATCACAACTAGCCTACACTTTCCAGTTTCCCTTGTAGTAAGTTGGGCACATGTCATCGAACGCCAGTGGAATGTGAGCAGAGTGATACATGCCACTTTCAGGCCTGGAAAATGCCAAGGCTCAAGGAAAATGCTAAAGCCATCAGATGATAGATGCTAAGGTCCCTGAATGTGTGGAGCAAAGCCAACTACTCACCCTTAGTGTACTATCATGTGAACAAGAAATAAACATTTATCATGTTTAATAACTCATAATTGGAGTGTCTTTGTTATAGCAGTTAAACTCCCAGGCTAATACAGCCAGTGACTTTCAGAGAATATAACCTGGAAATTTCTGCTAATTATTACTAGAAGCTTATTTGTGACAAATAACATTCTGAAGGTGTATAGTAATTTGTAAGTTCAGATCAGTTATTCTCAATTCTTAGTGTTGTGTCAGAATTACCTAGGAAGCTATTTTAAAAGATACATATCCCAAAAGACTAGCCTTGACCTAGCGAATCAGAAGTAGATAAGACATAGGCAGTTATATTTGAAAAACTTCCTTGTGTTTTACATATACCCTTGGCTAGGAACCACTACTCTAAGATAACCCAAATTTTATCTTTAGATGAAGCCAGATTATCTGACCTCATTGTTTTGGGGCCATATAATTTATTTTCCTGGATTGGGTTGTTTTAAAGTATAGTTTGATTGTACTTAAAAAATTAACATGTAATAACACTGATCTTTTTGTGTAAACAGTTCTACAGTTTTATAAATTTTACACATTTAAAGTTTCATGCTTTATCACAAAAATTAGGACACAAACCATTCCATCATTTCAAAACACTACCTCATAATACCCATTTGAATTCACACCCTTAACCCCTTGAAACCACTGATCTGTTATCCATCATTAACAGTTTTGTGTTTTCGAGACTCTCATAGAAATGAAATCATACAGTAGGTAAACTGTTGAGACTGGTTTCTTTCACTCAGCATAGTGCTTTTGAGATTTATTCAAGTTGCTGCAGATATCAACAATTTATTTCTTTTAAGGCTAAGTAGCATTCCATTATACAGACCTAATACAGTTTGCTTTCCAATTACTATTGAAAGATATTTGTGTTGTTTCCAGGTGTTGGAGATTGTGAATAGAGCTTCTATAAAACATTTGAATACAAGTTTTTGTG
Source organism: Homo sapiens (assembly GCF_000001405.40). Taxonomy (NCBI): domain Eukaryota; kingdom Metazoa; phylum Chordata; class Mammalia; order Primates; family Hominidae; genus Homo; species Homo sapiens. The sequence goes on from NC_000023.11 coordinate 38,258,670, forward strand.
TGAACCTAAGTTTTCCTTTCTTGAGGGCAGGGCTTTTTAACTTCAGCATTATTAACACTTTGGAATGGAAAATTCGTTTTCAGGGTTATCCTGTGCATTGTAGGATATAGTATCGCTGGCCTCTACTCACTACATGCCAGTAGCATTCTCCTCGCCACCTCCCCACTCCAAGTTGTGACAACCAAATATGTCTCCAGACATTGTCAAACGTCCGCTGGGGTGGGGAGAGGGAAAATCTCCCTGGTTGAGGAATACTGCCTTAAAGGAATTGAAACATCTAATATTACTTTAGTGTGAGACTGCTAGTGACAAATATCACCTTTTGTCTTTAAAATTTTTATGATACATATTTGTACATATTTATGAGATACGTGTGGTATTTTATTACATGCCTAGAACGTGTAATGATCAAGTCAGATTTAGGGGATCTATCACCTTAAGTATTTATCATTTCTATGTGTTGGAAACATTTCAAGTCCTCCCTTCTAACGATACTGAAATATACAATACATTGTTGTTAATTATATAGTCACCCTACTCTACTATTGAATATTAGAACTTGTTCCTTCTATCTATATGTTTGTACATCTTATGTCTATATGTTTGTACCCATTAACCAACCTCTCTTCATCCTCGTTCCATGCACCTGTCCCAGCTTCTGGTAACAATCACTCGACTTTCTATCTCTATGAAATCAACACTTTTAGTTCCCACACGAGTGAGAATATGTGAAATTTGTCTTTCTGTGCCTAGCTTATTTCACTTAACATAATGACCTCCAGTTCTATCCATGTTGCTGCAAATAACAGGATCTCATCCTTTTTGGTGGATAAATAATATTACATTGTGTATATATACACCACATTTTATCTATTCATCTGTTAATAAACATTTAGGTTGATTTCATATCTTTGCTATTGTAAATAGTGCTGCAATAAACATGGGGGTGCAGGTATCCCTTTGAAATATCACCTTTTGTTTTAAAATGTCTCTGCTACCTACATTTCTGAAATAAATTTTCTCTGGATCCGAAATTCTAATTTGGCAGTTTTTTTTTTTTGACAGGGTCTCACTCTGTTGCCCAGGCTGGAGTACAGTGGCATGATCTTGGCTCACTGCAGCCTTGACCTCCCAGGCCCAAGCGATCCTCTCACTTCAGCCTCCCAAGTAGCTGGGACTACAAAAGCACACCACCACACCTGGCTAGTTTTTGTATTTTTTTTGTAGAGATGGGTTTTTGCCATGTTGCCCAGGCTGGTCTCGAACTCCTGGGCTCAAGTGATCCTCCTGCTTTGGCCTCCCAAAGTGTTAGGATTACAGGCATGAGCCACCACACATGGCCTGTTTTCTTTCATTACATTAAAAAATAATTACATTACCTTTTGGCTTTCACAGTTTCTGTTGAGAAGTCAGTTATGTCTTCATAGTGTTCCTTTAAATATGCCATTCTTCCTGACAGCTTTCAATATTTTTATGTTTGGTGGTGCTGTGGTCACCTCACAGAGGTGAAATGGATTTTCCCCCCAACACAAGATTTACTTATGATGATGTCACATACGCATCCAGAAGGTATGAAAATGTTTATTACATACATAATGAGTCTTACTGGGGAAAGCAGGCATGCACGCATCCTAAGCTGGTCGAAAAATGTCTTGAGAAAATAGAGAAGACTGGCTTGGGATTTTTATGGTAGTTGAGGGGTGGGGCTGGGATAAAGGTTCCCACATGCAGGCTGAGGCTTGAGTGTTTTGAACTTCCAGCTACTACCAAAGGAGGGAGCACCTGAGCTTTCTTGTTAGCTTGCCCAGATGTAGGGCAGAGGGAAACGGAGGAGTGGGCTTAAAAGTTGTCAACGAACATCACCAATGGAGTCACACTCTAGTACAGGTGTTAAGTAATTTTATTATGAATTAGTGTTGTTTTATATTTTTCTTGCTTGGGGTTTTTAGTGCCTCTTGAGTCTTTGGGCTGTGGCCTTTCATTCTGAAAAGTTCTCAGAAATTTTTCTTCAACTATTGCTTTTGTTCTATTCTCTCTTCTCTTTTTGGGATTCTAATTACACATATATTTGACCTTGTCATACTACTACAAATATCTCAACAACTATCTTTTGTATTTTGCATCATTTTGTCTCTCACATCATATTTTCTTCTGGACTCTTTCAGTTTACTTTCTTTCCATCAATGTATCAGTAAATCCACACACTGATGTCTTAATTTTACTGTTTGTATTTAGTTCTAGAATTTAAAATTCATTATTTTTTTCACAGCTTCCATTTTCTACTAAAATCCTCACTCTTTTGTATTAATTCCTTGAAAATATTAAACTTCAGAAACAACCAATACCTCTTGGTGAAAAACAGCCCCATGTGCCAAGCACATCTATTTGGGCTTCATTTCTCTCCCAAATTTTGACCTCATAATTCTTATTTTATTTATTTTTTTAGACAGAGTCTCGCTCTGTTGCTCAGGTTGGAGTGCAGTGGCTCGATCTCGGTTCACTGCAACCTCCGCCTCTCAGGTTCAGGCGATTCTCTTGCCTCAGCTTCCCAATTAGCTGGGATTGCAGGCGCATGCCACCACACTTGGCTAATTTTTTTGTATTTTTAATAGAGACGGGGTTTCACCATGTTGGCCAGACTGGTCTCGAACTCCTGACCTCAGGTGATCTGAACCTCATAATTCTTTACTGTCCTGATAGCATTCAGATACTTTCAAATTTGTTTTAATATATATACTTTAGTCCAAATTTTCTATCTGTTCCCAGTGGTAGGATGGTCTGAGTCACTTACTGGGAATTACTAGAAACCTAGACACTTGCTTTTAAATGCATGATTACATTTTACAAGACAACTGTCCCTGTTTGTAAAATGTCAATGCCATGAAAAAAATATGGGAAGAGCTCTTTTAGATTGAAAGAGACTTAAAAGACTAACAAACAAATGCAGGGCATGGACCTTGATTGATTTCCAGTTTAAATGAACCAGCTTGTAAAAGACATTTTGAGAAAAGCAAGGGAAATGTGAATATGAGATTGGGTAGCAGTTGACATTAGAAAATTATTGCTAAATTTGTTAGGCAAGATACGAGCACTGTGGTTACACAGGACAATGCACAAAATGTCATTTGTTGAAATGCATCCTGATATATTTAGGGTTGGAATGTCAGGATGTCTAGCTAAAACATGAAGCAAACATAGCAAAGTATGAGTGAAAGATCTATGTGATGGGTTCATGGGTATTTATTATATTATACTTTCTTGTATATTTGAAATATTTCAAAATAAAAAAGTTTTTAAAAACCACAACAGATTAATTTTAAATAAACAAGTTTCATATTTAGAGTAAATTTTCCAGCTTTCATTTCTAAAGTCTTATCTAGTAATTACTGAGGAAACCAACTTATACGTCTATCTTTTGCTTAAAGTTTTCTCCAATTGGTTTAAACTTTTATATTAATTTTCTAATTAATTGCTATATGCAGTAAATTAAATAATTGCAATAATTAAGGAGTTAATATAAATCTGATGGCAAGTTGTAACATATGTTACCTAAAAATATAAAATCAAATGTTCATATGCACAGAGTTTTAATGATTTTTAAGTAATTATAGGCTAAAAACAATACAATAGAAAACTTTGCTGTTGTAATAACCTTTGTGTCCACAGGGGAAATTCTGTAAAAACTTTAAAAGTAGTGTAATACTATTTTGACAGGTTCTGAACAAATTACTTGGACAGACTGCTTTTAAACCTCAAAAGATTTTCTAGAATATTAAAAAGGTGTTCACCTTGGGACAGATTTTTTTTTTTTTTTTTTTTGAGACGGAGTCTCGCTCTGTCAGCCAGGCTGGAGTGCAGTGGCGCGATCTCGGCTCACTGCAAGCTCTGCCTCCCAGGTTCACACCATTCTCCTGCCTCAGCCTCCTGAGTAGCTGGGACTACAGGTGCCTGCCACCACACTCAGCTAATTTTTTGTATTTTTAGTAGAGATGGGGTTTCACCATGTTAGCCAGGATGGGACAGATTTTTACCACTGAACCAGATAAGATCTTTCTTAAGTAAAAATAAAAAGTGTCTTATTGTCACTTACACATTCCTTAAAATTAGATACAGTTCTCTAGCCCACTGCTACTTAAGACATCTCATCTATTATAATATACATAGTATACATACCAGATGAAAATAGAAGCAAGTGGAACTATTTGGGAATGCAGCTTGCCGTGCCAGAGAAGTTTTCATGTTGTAGTTTTAGTGAATATTTTTAGGGTTAGGATAACATTTCCTGATGTTTTCGGTGATTAGTATTGTACAGTAACACTATGCCAAAGTAGTTCTCTGTCACAATTGTTAGAGGGACTGCTTATCAAGTCTGTCTGCTGTCTCTGAACTTTATTGTAGCTTCTTCCAACAGAAACATTCTACTTCACTGTTTAATACAGTTGCACTACCTCATGATCCTGACTCCCCACACTCAAAAGAAGGCTTAGTATGCATCTGTATGCAACAGGAAACTTCAATTACCTTAGTAGAATGATCACTTTTCTAGTCAATTCTTTAACTCTCATTTCATGCTTAAAATCTCAGATCAAATTAGGAAAGATTACAACTAAGATAAATCCAGGGCCTATTTCAACATGTTTTCCTTGTAAACTAGTTTCTCTTGCCAAAATAATGTACTTTGTTTAAAATAGAGGTCACAACTTGGCCCCTTGAGAGCCAAATTTAGCCTGCAGTTATGGCTTGGCCCTTTCTAAGTTTACACACACACACACACACGCGCGCGCGCGTGCATGCACACGTGTGTATGTGAATGAGTTATCCATATAAAAACCCAGATTTCCAGCTTCTTTTTAAAACAGCTGAGGGGCTGGCAATCAGAGCACAATACTGGGAAACAGAGCAATTGCCAGCTAGAACAGACTGGCAGCAGCTCCAATGTGCTTACCTGCCCAGCCACTGAAAACAATTTAGTTATGTGACTCCTGGTTTACATGCATTGTTTGTTCAATTCAATAAAGTATCTCCCTCATTCCTGAGATGAAGATTTTCCAACCTTTTGATTTGCCTCCTGTTTTTACTTGCTAGTTTCTTATTCTTACAAGGTAAAAAAGTAAAGCACATGTTAAAGTTCTGTCTAAAAAGATACTCTAAGCCTTTTTTTTTTTTTTTTTTTTTGAAACAGTCTGTCACTCAGGCTGGAGCGCAGTGGTGTGACTTTGGCTCACTACAATCTCTGCCTCCCAGGTTCAAGCAATTCTCCTGTCTCAGCTTCCTGAGTAGCTGGGATTACAGGCGAGCACCACCATGCCTAGCTAATTTTTGTACTTTTCATAGAGATGGAGTTTTGCCATGTTGGCCAGACTGGTCTCAAACTGCTGGGCTCAAGTAATTCACCCGCCTTGGCCTCCCAAAGTGCTGGGATTACAGGCGTGAGCCACCAAGCCTGGCCGGTACTCTAAGCTTTTTAAACAACTACTATCAGATGAGAAATCTTTAAATCACAGGCCCCGGCAAAAGGAAATATTAAGTATGGAAATACTTTCGATTTTGGTTGCCTCACAGAATCAAAGTGGGCAGAAAATCTCGGAATTCAAGTTGAGGAACGTAATACAGAAATCAGTATGGCTCTGTCCCATAATAATTATTCTGCATCTTATCTCTAATCCTGTTGCCACTTGGGTCTCCTGTGGGTAGAGGTCTATGACAATAACTTCTTTCTTGTTGCCAACCTTGATGATTATAATACTAGTTGACCAAATGTTCCCCTTTTGGATGCTTCTGACGGTGTTCTGTTGGAAGAGACAGGGTCTTCCCTGCTCATGGAAAGACTTTGTTTTCCCTTTATGGATTTATAATAGCATATGGGTAACAGAATTGTACTGCAATGAAGCATATGGCAAGTATTTTAAAAAATGGAGTTTAACCTTAAAGCATGTGCGTACAAATTTCTGAGAAACAAATCCTTGTCTGAACACTACAAGTGTAGATGTGATCATTTGTTTAGTCATCATTTAACATTTAATACTTGCTCATTGTGTCTAGGATACTGAAAAAGATAGCCCTGAAAATTCCTGCTTTGATGTAACTGGAGATACATTAAATGAAAGTTTTAACATCACAAAGAGCCTCCACTGGAGACATATCATTAAAAATCTAGGATTCAGCAAGAGTCTCTAGAGAAATAATTTAGGAGACTAGACACTATAAACAACTGAAGGGTTTTCTTGGTATGATGTGTAGCTGTCAAACTGAAGCACCGATACGGGCTGAATTTTGTTCCCCCAAAAAGATATGTTGAAGTCCTAACTCCCAGTGACTCAGAATGTAATCTTATTTGGAAACAGGGTCTTTAGAGAGGTAATCAAGTTAAAAGGAATACTTAGGGTGGGTTCTAACCCATTACGACTGGTGTCCTTATAAAAAGAGGAAATGTGGACACAATTACACACAGAAAGATGGTATGAAGACAAAGGACTCCAGTGATACATTTACAAGCCATGGAATGCCTGAGACTACCAGAAGTTAGGAGAGAGACCTGGGACAGATCCTTCCCAGGTCCCTTCAGAGGGAGCATGGCTCTGCCAACACCATGACTTCAGACTTCTGGCCTCCAGAACTGCGAGGCAACACATATCTGCTGTTTTAAGCCACCCAGTTTGTAGTACTTTGTTAAGGCAGCCCTGGGAAACTGATATTACATAAAAGCACCTTTCAAAACTACATTTTCTTATTATATAAGGAGGGTCTTTTTAAATGCCAAATTTTCTTTATCTTAAATGTTTTGACATGGATTTGCATGCTCTTTTATAAGACCTAAAAATCTTACCACTGCTGATATTTAAAAAATTAATACCTATTTAACATTTGATCCATAATATAAGTGAACAATGTCAATGACTCCCTAATGCTCAAGTCAATGGATTCTATTTTTCAGGTCCCATTAAGGTCAGTAAGAAAGCCTTACGTAGTATCATTATAGAGAGGAGAAAGGAATGAATAGGAAACATAACAAATATGAGTAGTTTGAGGATTAGAAGAAATCATTTAACTTTTTGTAAAGCTATAAAGTTATCAGTAAGGGCGGCCAGGAATGGTGGCTCACGCCTGTAATCCCAGCACTTTGGGAGGCCCAGGCAGACAGATGGCTTGAGCCCAGGAGTTCAAGACCATTCTGGGCAACATGGCGAAACCCCATCTCTACAAAAAAATACAAAAATTAGCTGCTCATGGTAGTGTGTGCCTGTAATCCCAGCTACTTCAGAGGCTGAGGTGGGAGGATCACTTGAGCCTGGGAGGTAGAGGTTGCAGTGAGCCGAGATCATGCCACTACACTCTAGCCTGAGTGACAGAGCAAGACCCTGTCTCAAATAAATAAATAAGTTATCAGTAAATGCAACTCCATTTATTTTTGAAACTAGTAAAATTGATCATTATATTCAATTCTATTGATTATCTCTTCTGTGTTTTTAAAGAGTTCTCAGATATTAGTTTGTTTTTCAAGTTTAGTGTCCATTAATCTCCTTTCCATTCACTTAGAAAATAGGTTTTAAAACTGCCATAATATCTCCTATTCATCATCAGAGTCACACCCCATTTTCTTCATTTTACTCACATGTAACTGTAACTGTGTTTTCTTAGTTTCTGGCATAACATCTGGCATATAGGAGGTACTTGGTAAGTATTTCTTCAATGTAAATGCCAGATAGGGAACCAAATTTAGAAAAGAAATATAATACAAGTATTCAAAGCCCAAGGGCAGATGGCTGGTATGTTTTTATAGAAGTATTTACCCTTATTATTAAAATTATCTCTTGGTGTTGATGATTTTCAACAAACCACCTTATTAAAAAGTATAAATTGTTTTGAGACCTCTAACAAAGCAGGGATACTTCATCTGCTTGGTAAGGTTTGTCTCATGCACCTCCTCCAAGTGTTTTGACTTAATCCTTTCTTTGGAAATAAGCTATTTGCCTAAAAGCTATTTGATTTCCTTGGTCTCTAAGCTGTCCCTTTCTCCTTTTGAATGACCGGCCCAATGATCAGTACAGTGGGGAGGTTCTGACGGTCTTTATGACCCTTGCCTTCTGGTATTCATGCCCTTGTGCTATCTCCTCACTTTACTTTGAGTGTGGGTGGGACCTGTGACTTGCTTCTAGCCAGCAGAATTTGGCAAAGATGGATGTCACTTTCATGATCATGTAACCTAAAATTATGACCTCTGTCTTGTTAGCAGACTCTATTGACTCTTCCTTGCTGGCTATGATGAAGGAAGCCACCATACAGACAGGTTCTTTCCCATAATACAAGTGCTATTAGTTTTTACTGCTGCACAATAAATTACCATAAATTTAGCAGACAAATACTACATGTATTTATTATCTCACAGTTTTTATGGATCAGTAGTCTGAGTACTGCTCAACTGGGTCCTCTGCTCAGGGTCTCGCAAAGTTGTAATCAAGGTGCCAGCCAGGGCTGTGGTCCAATCTGAGGATCAGGTTCCTCTTCCAGGCTCACTGGGTGCTAGCAGAATTAAATTTCTTGCAGTTGTAGGACTGAGGACTTCCGATCCTAAAGGCTGTCCACCACTCCCTGGCACATGGCCCTCTCCCTAAATATGGCAGCTGGCTTCTTCAAGCCCAACAGGAGAGCATCTCTGCTGTTTTGAATCTCTCTGACTTCTTCCATGTCAAACTTTTAGAGCCTCTTAGAAAGGGCTAATCTGATTAGGTCATGGCCACTTAGGACTATCTCTTATTTGCTTAACTTCAAGTCAACTAACAAGGAATTTTAATTACATCTGCAAAATCTTTTATCTTTTCCACATAATGTAACGAAGCAAAGACGTGACATGCCGTCATATTCACTGGTCCAACCCACACTCATGAGGAAGGGATTATTGAGAGCATGTGGCACCAGCAGGTGAGAAACTTGGGGTTCATCTTAGAATTCTGCCTACCACGACTGGCATATCTTACTACCACTTGTGAGCTTTACTTCCACTTGACTCTGATAGTTTATATTTTAGTATTTTTGCAATACTGTACTATCATTGCAACAGCCACTTTTTATTATATTTACCTTTAATAAAATTAAAATTCTACTAAATGTAACATTTACACAGAAGACTATTTTTTAAGATTTCAAAATCACATCTATTCTGAACTAACATCCTTACAACCCCTGTGCACGAAACGCAAAGATGAAGTTTCTTTTTCTTTGTTTAAATGGGGCAATGGTCACTGTGACTGAAGAATAAAGTGTTCTATTTACAAGCTAGAATGGGGAAAATGAAGATACTTTGCTTTGTTGAATAAGTAGTACCTGAGAGCATAAGCAAACAATGTTTCTATCAGAGTAGACTTGATAGGGTTTGGATGTTTGTTCCCTCTAAATCTCATCTTGAAATGTAATCCCCAGTGTTGGAGGTGGGGCCTGGTGGGAGGTATTTAGGTCATGGGAGCAGATTCCTCATGAATGCCTGGGTGCTTTCCTCTCCCATAATGACTGAGTTCTCACTCAGAGTTCATGTGACATCTGGTTGGTTAAAAGAATGTGGCACTTCCACCCTCTCCCTCTTGCTTCCTCTTTCGCCTTCCATGTGACGTGCCTGCTCCCGCTTTGCTTTCTGCCATGAGTAAAAGCTAACTGAAGCCTCACCAGAAGCTGAGCAGATGCCACTAAGCTCCCTGTAGAGCCTACAGAACCATGAGCCAATTAAACCTCTTTTCTTTATAAATTACCCAGCCTCAGGTAATTCCTTATAGCAACATAAAAATGGACTGACACAAGACTTAGCAGCTTTATCCTTCCTATTCTTTGTGGCAGAGCACTGTGTGACTGAACCAAATGTGGTTACCACTGTCAATGCCAGGAAAAGCTGAAATGAGCAAGCCTAGCTATGTTCACCTCTCCTATGGTGGTGATCGGTGGAATGGTCAAACACTCCAGATGATACCAAATAATCTGCAATGTTTTCATGGCAAGTCATTTCCCTAAGGAAAGGAGTAGGGGCTGGGCACGGTGGCTCACGCCTGTAATCCCAGCACTTTGGGAGGCCCAGGCAAGCAGATCCCGAGGTCAGGAGTTTGACACCAGCCTGGCCAATATGGTGAAACCTTGTTTCTACTAAAAATACAAAAATTAGCCGAGTGTGGTGGTGTGTGCCTGTAATCCCAGCTACTCGGGAGGCTGAGGCAGAAGAATTGCTTGAACCCGGAAGGCAGAGGTTGCAGTGAGCCGAGATTATGCCACTGCACTCCAGCCTGGGCAACAGAGAGAGCTTCCATCTCCAAAAAAAGAAAGGAGTGCTGGGAAGCAAAGAAACTTCTGCACTCAGTTTTCCACAGATGTACCATTTATACAGTTGCACTGAAATTTTCTTTACTCAGGGGTAAATGCATTTTGCATACTTCTATATTTTAAAATTATTTTTGCCCCCATTTTGTCAATTGCTAATGCCAAGTACCTCCTAATTTTATTAATACTTATCAATGTTAACAGTGGAACTGACCAGATATAGTTTATTAAAATATGTTCATTATAAACAATTTTACCTCAGTTTTGTAAAAATTGTAAATACATCAAAAACTGTTACAGTGTCGTAAGATTGCAAATATTGCCTTATAAAATTATAAAGAAGTAAAATTGTTTAGTAAAAACTAGGAAATATCTTATTTCAATTTTCCACATATAAAAATATATTTTTTATTGCAATACTGAACAGTTAAGGCCACAACACTTTAGGGAGAATTTGAGATACACATATTTTGAAATGACTTGTTAAAAATATTAGCATAAATAAATATCAAAACTGGTCACACTTATAGAAGCTGAATAAAACATATTAAGTCTTATATCTTTTAAAGACTACTATCAGAAACTTTACTTCATAAGTTATAACATTTTTCAAGTATACATTACAATACACTTGGTGACTGTGAAAACATAAATATATATTTATAGTATTGTACAGGATTTTGATCTTCTCTCTGTATTTGTTGGTGGGATATTCTGATGATTCTGACTCATGTGGTTCTGGTCGGCATCTTTATTATCACTTTTTAAAATGATCTGGTCTCCTATGGATTTTATCTCTGGGAGCGGCTCATTGTTATTCTTGACAATCTTTTGATTTATTGAGGGGACTCTTTTGAACAGAAAAATCTAGGAAAAAAACCACACACACAAATATTCATTTCCATAAGTGAAACATTCACTTAACAGTATTTAGGGGATATCATTTTCAACACGTAAGAACATGATTTTGTCATCTCTTTATGGGGCACCACATGTACTATGGTGCATTCTTAGCATCTGTTAGAGTTTTTCCTTTCACCAAAAGGCAGTCAGGATTCCACCCTAAAACAAGACCTCTCAGGGTCTAACATTCAACACCATCAACACCTTGGTGATATCTTTTTCTTCAAAGAACAAATTTAATGTTTCACTTTGTTAAGTTGTAAGAGAAAAAATATATAAAAACCTATTTAAAGTTACCTATTGTAACTTTTAAATGTATCCAGGAGGGGTCATTTTCAGGACATGTCTGTGATTCTCAGTGTATCGCAGCTACAGTGAATTTCTATTGTAATATTCTGAAGAAGGACGATGTACCTCCCCATTCCTGTAGATGAGAACTTCTGGCAAAAAAGTTAATGCTGCTTGGCCAGGCGCGGTAGCCCATGCCTGTAATCCCAGCACTTTGGGAGGCCGAGGCGGGCAGATCACAAGGTCAGGAGATCGAGACTGTTCTGGCTAACACAGTGAAACCCTGTCTCTACTACAAATACAAAAAAAAAAAAAAATTAGCCGGGCGTGGTGGCAGGCACCTGTAGTCCCAGCTACTTGGGAGGCTGAGGCAGGAGAATGGCGTGAACCCGGGAGGCGGAGCTTGCAGTGAGCCAAGATCGCGCCACTGCACTCCAGCTTGGGCGACAGAGCGAGACTCTGTCCCCAAAAAAAAAAAAAAAAAAGTCAGTGCTGCCAAATGATGGCTGTGTGAGCCCTGTGTGTGGGTCTGAGTAGGCAGTCAAATATACAGAGCTGCTGCTCAGGGGAGGCTGGGGCTGCAGATATGTAGAATATAGATAATAGCTGAGAGATGAAAGTAGCCCCGATAACCCAGAGATTCCAGGCAGGTAGAAAACAGAATATAAGAAAAGAGGCAAAAAGAGCAGAGTGAGAGGCAGGCAGAAGAGGAGCTAGAACTGAGGACCAAGGTTTGTAGGTGCAAAATTGGGAAAACTAGGCAGCTCAGAAGTCAGGAGAGAAAAATACATCAAGAAGGGAGTGGCCAACAGGGCATGTATGCAGAAGAGATGAAGGTGATAAAAGTTTCATTTGATTTAGGCCCTTTGAGAATGTAGCCAGGAAGAAAATAGGATTATTGAAGAGTGGTAACACAAATAATGGTTTTGACAAGATGCCAAAACAAAAAGCAGGAAACAAAAACCAGGTGAAAATTTGGCTCTTCCAGAAATAAAAATGGTGCTAATAATAATAGCTTACTTCTAGCTTTAAAGAGTGGAGAAACTAGGGTAAAAAGTGATAATCCAAAAAGTAAGAATCTAGAAAAAGGATCTATGGATTAAAATGGAAGAACTCCTGTTCCTGCTATGGTGAAGAAATACACAACTTCAAAAAGACTGCCACTATAAAATACCAAGAAATGCTGATTAAGTATAAAAAATATAATTTTATAATGTGCAGGTAATCTCCCCAAAAACTAAGGGAAATCCTTGTAGACCAAAAAAGAAAGAAGGAACAGGAAGCCTCAGAGGTCATTAAGAACTGAAATAGCATCTGCTGACTCATAACTTAGACTTTTAACTTTGAAACAATTTGATCTCACAAAATGAGGGGAACTGGAACTGAGACCCCTACATAATGTGAGGACCTTCTAAGTACTATGCCCTTAATATAAGTCTACCTACAAACATTGTGGTCTACCCTTAAATGAGAAATGAACTTAAAGTGGTCCTTCAGTCACTCCAGAGCTAATAAAGGCTAATGCAAACTCTCTATAGATAGACTTACTCTAACAGAGGCCTTAAAGGATTTCCACAAAAAAAGTACCAGTGAAACATGAACTCACAATACAAATTTCAAAACACATATGGAAACTAATCACCATTAGCAAGTCAGCCAAAGCAACACACATTTAGACTGCTAAGGATGACACTGGAATTACTAAATACAGAATGTAAACTAAGTGTGCTTAAATTAAAAGACTAGAATAAAAAAAGTAAGCATAAAACAAGATACTGATTTTAAAAGACCAGATTGATTTGAAAAAGAACAAAAATACAACTTCACTTAAAATGTGAAAGATGTTATCACTGAAATTAAAACTTTAAATAGGTAGGTTAAATAGCCAAGTAGTCTCAGCTGAAGAGAAACTATGAAATTGATGAAGGCCCTGAAATTACCCAGAATATCACTTACACATAGAAAACAAGAAGGTGATATTAAAAGACATGTACCCATAAAATAAAAAGTTTTATATCAGAATTTGAAAGAGGGGAGAGAAAATATTCAAATATATAATGGATGAGAATTTTAAAAAAATTGACAAATGACATGAATTCTCAGATTCAAGAGTCATAATAAATTCCAAGTAAGTTAAAATTAAAAATTCCATACCTGCTGGGCATGGTGGCTCACGCCTGTAATCCCAGCACTTTGGGAGGCCAAGACAGGCGGATCACCTGAGGTCAGGAGTTTGAGACCAGCCTGACCAACATGGAGAAACCCCGTCTCTACTAAAAGTACAAAATCAGCCAGGCATGGTGGCACATGCCTGTAATCTCAGCTACTTGGGAGGCTGAGGCAGGAGAATCGCTTGAACCTGGGAGGCAGGATTGTGGTGAGCCAAGATCGCGCCATTGCACTCCAGCCTGGGCAACAAGAGCGAAACTCCATCTCAAAAAAAAAAAAAAATCCATACTTAAGCATCTCATAGTGAACTGAAACACACCAAAGACAATCTAAAAAGCAGCCATAGAGAAATGGCAGGTTATATACAAAGTTATCAGCAATTATACTAAAGCAAAATTATAGACAGCAATAATGGGAGCAGATACTAAGAGAAAATAACTGTCAACGAGCCACACTATCATTCAAGAACTATGGTAAAATAAAGACATTTTCAAGTGAACAGAAACTAAAAGTTTTAACTGTCAACAGACATCTGTGATAGGAACTTCCAAAATATTTCTTCAGGAAGAATAAGAATTCCAGAGGGGACATCTGAGTAAAAAAGTAGTATAAAAAATACTAAAAACATACGATTTGTGATGTTAAAAAATTTTAAATACTGGGTACCATAACTTCTAAAATAAGAAAGAAGAGGTGATAGGCAAGAAAATTCTTCTAAGGTCCTGGCATTATTTGGGAAAAAGATAGGAACATTGATGAGCTTTAGATTTTAGGTATGCATGTTAAAAATGTCAAAGACAAAATCCAGCTGTATAGGCCATTTACAAGAGACACATCTAAAACATAAGCTAAAGTAAAAGGATGAAAAGAAGATCATCATTCAAATGCTAACCAAAGGAAAGGTAGTATATTAAAAATATGCGACATCACCTGAAATTCTTCAGGTTTTGGGGCCATGAAAACTCATATTAAGAGAGTTAAATTATGTGGATTGCCATATGAAAAGTAAAACAAACAATTGAATTCAAAAGGATCAAAAAAGACAATTCATTTCACTTACCTTCTTTGTTTTTTTCATGTCTTTGCTTGGTGTTGTTTCACTGTTTTCTAGGATTTCTAATGAACTGCTATCTGCATCATCAAGCATGTATCCTACAATTGGATCATTCAGAAATACTAGTTTTAACTAATAGGAAAAAGACAAGACCTGATGCTCTCAGTGAAACTCTATGAACCCTGAGTTGTGGGGTAATACGAAAAGAGCTCACCCCTGGAGTAGTGGACAACATCTACACTGCATATTTCCTGAAAAGTTGAGTTAAAGTGAAAAGCCCAGAATGACCTCACCAAAGTTGTAAATGTTTAGATGACCAGTATCCAAATATAGCTACAAAGGTAATAGTCAATGTTAGAGAAGACTTCTGTAAAATACAAATTACTTTAAAAATTAACCTAGTTATAATTACATTCTTTGTACTCAAATGGACATGCTATTTTTTGGTGTTTCAAATTAATCCACATGTTCTATATCTGAATAATTATCTTCAAAGTATACTTGTGAAGCATATGCATTGTTTTAATTTTATATTATCAACTACTTTTAAGCTTATATTTAATTTCTTTGTAGTGCTTTAGGCTATATGTTAAGAATACTTATAGGTGATACATTTTTTAACACTTGCCTAAAATATTCTAAAACTTACTACTCTTATGGCAGAAGTTAAAAGGAACAGGATTAAGGAAACTATTCATTCTTCAGCTTAAGTTTAGATCAGATATCCAGTATTACAGATAGTTATTTTTTTATGAGAACACAATCATACTGCCGTGTGATGGTGTGGAAACAATGTGGGAGTCATACTACAGAAACACAGATGATTTGTGTCTAGATTATGTAGATCTCAAGGGCAATCACAGTCTCCTCTATTCCACAGCACCTGCTCTCTGACACTGATAGGTAGGCTTGGGAAAGGACTTCTCTTCAGTATCTACGGTAAGACACTCAGGTCTGAGCCCTCGGGGGTAAATAACTGGGTGGCCATTGTGGCTTTAGGCCAGCCCAGTAGTCCCAACTTGGTTGGGCAATGGAGTCTAGCAGTGTGCACTAGAGATATAAATTGGAATTTGGGGCAAAAGCTTGATTTAATAATACTGATTTAATAGAGAGAAAAAAGGTAGTAAAAAGGCTACTTAAATTCCTTAACACCAGCCGGGTGTGGTGGCTCATGCCTGTAATCCCAGCACTTTGGGAGGCCGAGGCGGGAGGATCACCTGAGGTCAGGAGTTTGAGACTCGCCTGGACAATATGGCAAAACCACATCTCTACTAAAAATATAAAAATTAGCCAGGTGTAGTGGCACACGCCTGTAATCCCAGCTACTCGGGAGGCTGAGGCAGGAGAATCACTTGAACCTGGGAGGTGGAGATTGCAATGAGCTGAGATCGTGCCATTGCACTCCATCCTGGGCAACAAGAGCGAAACTCTGTCTCAAAAAAAAATAAAAAATTCCTTAACATTGACACATAAGTAGCCATGAATAATGCAATATTTGTATGTGAAGAAGCTGTGGTGGTTATATATAAGAACAGATAAGTCTGTATCACATATTTCATAGCTTGTTATGAGGATCATGTGACAGTAAAAATTATAGCATATATGTAAACTTATATGTAAGCTTATAATTACCCAATTATGGCATACATACACATATATATGTGTGTATGTATGTATGTATATATGTATGTTATCAAATGTGCTCATACCTTTTGGGTTTTCATTGTACTCACAAATGGCCCGTTCCTCTAGGTTGGCTTTTTCTTTCTATAAACAATAACAAAGCAATATAACAAAAAATATTTTTGTGCTGTTCTAGAAAACTTAAGTCTGAATCTTTAAGCAGGTTCTAGAGTCTGCCTCTAGCTAATGACATAAACATGTGACAATTACTTCACTTTGCTGAGCTCTTGTAAAGTGAGGGGCCTTAGATGCTGACTGATTGCAAATGTCCTCCTAGCTTAAAATTGTGTGATTAAAAAAACTGTATGACTCAAGAATTCTCCTCAAAGAAGATTCATGAACGCTAATTGGCATACAACTTGTCTCAACATTTTACAATGTCAAATTGGTATTTAATGATTTCTATGTTAAATAATCTTAAGGACCACCCTAACCTGAATTCATAAATGTTCCCTATAAACAGAATCATTTTCTCCTTCTGAAATAAAACAGTAACTGCTAGAATATTTTTTTTCTTAGTGAGAGAAAGGAGTCTTGGATAAAGAAGGAACCAAGCAAAAGAATGACCTTTACCACAATACCAATTTGTAAATTAAAAATGTATGCACACAAAACATGTTTCACAAGTACACATTCAAATAAAATGACAAATATGTTTCAGTGGTTGTCTATGTTAGGGAAAAAGGGGAAGGGGAATGGAGCTAAAAGAGAATACATTTACATGAGAAGAGCCTTGCAACAGACCAATGATGAGAGTGTTTCATACTAGAAGGTATGACTCAGTGTTCTGCATGAGAGGTTCAAAAAATGAAAATAAAGATGAATCAGTACAACGTCATTCACTTTGGGTTGCGGAATTCCATACTTCTGAAGTTAATCCAGAGTAGTGTTAGCAAACAAATGATTTCAAACCTACAAACTATCTCCTAGCAAGGTCACTCTCAGTCAAAACTGCCAATGGAAGAGATTATGTTTTGGGCTTCTCTAGCTCCACTTTCAGGGTGATTTTTGCTTCCTTAGTGATATCTTCTCCTATTCCTTCTATACATAATTTTGTCTAGACTGCACCTTTGAAGAACTGATCACAACTTCAAATACTGCTGTGACCAACTTTCAATCATTCACACATGTAAACATACACAGGTGTGTGTACACATACACACCCCATTTCTGCCACCAGTGCCAGGGCTCCTAACTTTGCACTTTCAGCATTTCAAGGACTGAGTGCTGAACTTCTTGGTTAATTTCCCAACGGTGTACTATCCTGGCCCATACCATTCTACTTCCACTCATGCGGGAGGCAGAATGCTACCAAGCAGCATTCTAGAAAGTGTGCTAGAGACAAAGTTTGCTTAGTTCACAAATAAGCCAAAGCCTTTCTCTTATGGCACATGAATTCATGTATTCATGTATTCATGGGAGTATTTCTGATCCCAAAGGCAACTGGAATCTGTCCTCTGCAGAAACTAGAGAACCCATATGTTTTCTCCCAGGATCTCAGGATTTAAGCATCTATCATCATACCTTTTCAATAGTTTCAGCTGAGCTATCATCATTGGTTCTTTCTGCTCCTTCTGTTTTACTGTGATAACCTGTAGGAACACTTTCATCATCTCCCACAGTTTTCTTCTTGCTTTCCACATTTTCAGCATTAATTTCCTCATCCACATCTTCTAGTTTTAGTTCCTCAGTTTTAGAAAATTCATGATCCTGTGACAAAATTGACCATCAGAGAAGAGTAAGATTTTCTTGTTAAAAAACGAGGGATTTGATATTGCTGTCATAAATAATTTGTGTCATCTAAAAAAACCAGGAAAATATTAATTCAAATATTGAAGCCGAAGAAAAAAATACTGTACAGTCCATGCTGAATATCAAGTTACTGTATTAACAAGGATTTTACGCATGCCACTCTATTTCAATGACTAGGATTTCCAAAATTCTTACTAGCACCCATGGCAAGGTTACAATGGAAAAAAAAAATAAATACTCTTTCTTGGTTGTCTCACAATGCTTTCAACCTTGAGAAAAGTTTAAAAAGCGTTCTGTCTACTGTAGCATTATAACATAATCATATCTATATATTATATTCATTTTCCAAAATATAGGGATTTAGAATCACTTCAGAAGTACGATTCACTGACAGTCATGAGGAAGATAAGTATAATTATTTACATTCCAGGAAAAAAGATAAAGGAACATAGACAGTTTAAATGGTTTGCTCATGGTTATTAAAAGCAGAAGGAAAACCAAACAGAGGCAGAACTTGTTCTGTCTGGCTACTGGCCAGCTAATCCAAACGATAAAAGAGGCTGTCTATGGATTTGATAGACTGATAGTAAATCATGGAATGCTTATTAAGTATAGGCAGAAAATATTAGTTTCAGCCTTTATTCTACACTGAGATTTCTTTTTTTTTTTTAACTTTCTAATTTTGGGTGAAATACTCTGATTGTCATTAAGATATTAGGTTTCTCATTAGATTCCCCCCCATACTTTTCATTTACACACTTCACTAAAGTTATAACTTTATAGTTTATTATAATTAAGTTTATTATAACTGCTTCTAAAATATGTGAAGCAGTTATCAGTGCCATTTACTCCTTCAAATAACATTTGTACAAAGTTCACCTTGGCAATATTTGCTTCAGACCATATCCCCTTCAACACTGTAATTAGCTTTTGATGGTCAGCTTTCTAGTAGCTGTCTGGCTAAGGATAAAGCCTGACTGATACTCAACAGAATCTTTAGTAGGTGGTTGGAAAATAATGCCTCTAAAATTTAACTCACCTTTCTTCTGGTAAAAATATAAAATGCGAGAGTCCAGGCTAGGAAGAGGATGTTTATACAGTACACCTTAATAGTAAACATTAGTGTCATCCTCAGGCCAATTGCAAAGGCGTGGCCTAATAGCATTCCCACTGAGGACAGGAAGCCCTAAGTAAATAAAGCTTTGAGATTTTAAAAAGAGTTTCAGAAGCTACTCAGGAAGAATTAGATTTAGGTTAATCCAAGGTCATGAGGCAATGTATGCAAGAGAGGAATGTGGGAGAAAGGAACATGGTACCAGGGCAGACAGCTATTTCAAATGATGATTGATTAGACTGGGTAGGGTTAACATGAGGTAGTTATCATTTACTTTTAAGCTTTGTTTTTGTCTGCATGATTCCAACCGCCTGTTTTTTGCTTTTGTTTGAGACAGGGTCTCACTCTGTCACCCAGGCTGGAGTGCAGTGGCACAATCTTGGCTCACTGCAACCTCCACCTCCCGGGTTGAAGCGATTCTCCTGCCTCAGCCTCCCGAGTAGCTGGGATTACAGGCACCCACCACCACACCCAGCTGATTTTTGTACTTTTAGTAAAGACGGGGTTTCGCCATGTTGGCCAGGCTGGCCTCAAACTCCTGACTTCAGGTGATCCTCCCGCCTTGGCCTCCCAAAGTGCTAGGATTACAAGCGTGAGCCACCACGCCCAGCCTGATTTCCCCTTTTGAGTGACTTATATTGTGTATCATGCCTAGCCAGGTATACATTATGGGTAGCTAAAATTATCAGAAACAACTTCACTTTGAAAGGGAATGGGAAGATTACTAGATTTAAGACTTATGACTGATAGTTGTCTGCATAAATATACATAAATGAAAGGTTAACTAAAAAGAACAGTGCTCCTGAGACAAGGAATTTCAGACTATGCCCCTCTTTTCACAGAGGGAGGGATCAGTGAGCTGTGTTCCCAGCATAATCCTCAATTACTTGGGAAGCTTGGCTAACCTAGCACCTGGGTCAACTCCAACTGGGCTTGTTAACTGAGGTATTCATGTAACCACAGGATAATGTCATGCTATTATAAAAAGACACGTGGGAGTTTTACCTTATTTTAGAAATAAGTAAAACACTCATAACAAACTACAATTTTACTCATTAACTTTAAACAATCTATAACAATGAAGAACTTTTGGAACTATATCATTTTCTAAATTTGAGAAAGCTATTAGAAAATGACATTTTCACTAGAAATCACATCATAGCACTCACAGACTAAGCACATTTAAAATTATTCTAAACACATCTGGACGACTACTTGAAGTCACAGAAAGCACTTACCTTTTAAACTGAAACAATTTGGGAGTGACTGGCAGAATACTGTCATTTTATAAAAAGAAAGAGTAAAGTTTAAGTACATTCTTGGCACTAGAACCATCTAAGAAGATGTAAACAGGTAGTCTGAAATGGTCAGTATATGTCTGTGTCTTGCGTTAGGATCACAGTAAAGAAGTGAATGGGCCTGACCTCTCACAAAAGGACCCTTTGTTTCATTGGTCAGGCATGGCACAGTCAGGTGCAGACTCTGGTCTGGCCCAAGGCAACACTTTTCATATTTCTTAAGGAACAGAACAAGAGAGCAAAGGTTCCTACTGAGGTTTCTGTTTACTTAAGAACACAATTACATCGCATGCTTTAAGGAGAATGCTGGGATGGGGGCTGGGGGGTGGGGCTGAGAGTGGGAAATGACTGAAAGGGGTTAAAGTGAAGCTTCTGAGGGAGCTGGTACTGTGTTTTTCCTTGATTTGGATGCTGATCAGTTTGTGATGGGTGTATTCACTTTGTGAAAAATATATTGAGGGACACATGTATGAGATAGGCACTTTTGTCCGTGGGTATTATAGTTTTTTAAAAGTAATAAAACAAACCAGAGCTATAAAGTATAAAATTTTGTGCTATAATTCAGAATTTCTGACATGCTTCAATGTCATGTAGGGTAGAAAATGTTTCCCAGATAGGTTAATATAGCATAAAACTTTGTATTTAAGTTATATCAGGTAGAAAAATCAAAATTTCAAGTATATATTTTTTTTTTGGACAGGAAAAGTTAACCTGTAAGTTCATGTTTTAACTACACTGAAAATCATGGAAACAGCAGTATGGGGTGGGAAGGGCATTAAATACAAAGCCCTAAGCACTGCTTTCCAAGCCTTAATCTAATCACTCATGGCCTGAGCATGGCACCCAGTGAATGTATTTTATAGTCTACCTGTAAAATGGAAAAATAACATTAGCAATACCTACCTCAGAGGGTTTGTGTAAAGATTAAAAAGATTATTTACAGAGAAAAATAACATGAGCATATACTATATATTTGTATATAAGTATAAATAATTTTGTAGAGGCCCCTCCATAAAAAGTAAGATAGAATTCTTAGTGTGCATTGAGGACTGTCGAAAAACAGTAAGTTTGGACTTTTTTTTCCCATAATGTCCCAGATCTTATCACTGGAAAATAGTTCATTTAAAACGTCCACTTATTTTTGTGTCCTCTATACATCCTTTTATTGTGAGCCAGGAGCCTAGCATCAAGGCCAGTGAGGGAAGGAGCCATGGGAACTGGGGAGAGGGGTGCCAGCCTCAGCTCAGCTTCAGGTCAGTGTTGCCACAGTGTGATGCTCCCAGACCCAGGCTTTCCAAAAGTCCAAGAAACATTATTATTATTTGAGACAGGGCCTCACTCTGTCACTCAAGCTGGAGTGCAGTGGCACAATCACAGCTTACTACAGCCTTGACCTTCAGGGCTCAAGCGATCTTCCCACTTCAGCCTCCTGAGTAGCTGGGACTACAGGGCGCACACCACCATGCCTAACTAATCTTTTAATTTTTTTGTAGAGACAGGTTTTTATCATCTTGCCCAGGCTGGTCTTGAACTCCTGGCCTCAAGCAATCCTCCAGCCTCAGCCTCCCAAAGTTCTGCGATTACAGGTGTGAGTCACCATGCCTGGCTGAGAAACTTTTTAAATGTAAAATCTCCTGACATTTCAATGTTGGCAACCAATATGATTTAAATAAAAAAAAACTGCACCAAACAAAATAAGTCTGCAGGCCAGACTGCACCCATGGGCTGCCAGTTGTGATCTCCAAATTCTTGGCTGATCATACTACTTTATAATCTCTTAAACTCTTCCTTCTTTCTAGGCACCACTCCCTTATGTCATTCCTAATCCTGTATTCTCACCACTGAATACATTCCAGTTTGATAGGCAGGCCTACAGAAATAAATGTTCAGAGTATAGAATATCTTGCTGGCGAGCATTTTTATTCTCATTTTCAGATTTATTCTTTACTATCTCTACTCTTTTTCCTTAGAAGATTTTCTTGTTGTCCATAAACAAATGCATGATCCACGACTATACCTTATGTGCTAATTATTTTTATTTATTTTGATAACAAGGTTAGGACACAGAGGGAAATGTTCAGTGACAGAAAACACACCTAAATTTTCGGCTAACCACATGAGTGTGATCAGCGTTTCAACACACTTTAAATATTTAGGGGCATTTATTGACTAATGTATGGTGTGTAATAGTTTCACTCCACCTTATACTTAAGCATGATCATTATTGCAATCTACTTTATTCCCACAGATCTATTTCTATAAGCCAATTTATATTTTGCTATTATGTTACATTTAAACAAAAGTCAGGTTCACATGACTAAACTCACGCACATCAGTCAGTGACCTGGAGATTCATGAGTGTAGCTTTGCACCTACCTTGGTGTGATCACAGAGTATAATTAGAGTGATACAGGTTACCATTTGCTGAGTGCCTATAACATGTTTCATGTGTTAGGTAATTTAATCGTCAAAAGTCCCTTCCTTTATCAAATGAGGGAAATAAGACTCAGAAAGGTCAAATAACAACCACCACCACCACCACCACCACAACTTTTCTAGGTGTCCACACAGCTCATCAGTGGAGGGCTGGGATTTTAACTCAGTTCTACTGGACTTTGGAGCCCATGTTTGTTTCCAAACCTGCTCATTTAATTTGAGGATAATAATGGCTGTTCTCACAGATGTTTTTTTTCTCCGCCTCACTAATGTTTAAAGCATTGCAGATTTTTCTTTTGGTTCATAAGCTCACATCAATAACACTCTATTCTTATGTATATATTAATTATGAACAAAATTTATCATCTTTTCCCCAGAAAACCAAAGTCTCTGGAGTACACATCTCCCTTCCTAAATTGAGAAATATGCTTAAAAAATTAAATATTTTAAAAATTAAATATCTATATCTGATATTTAATTTTCACAGTTCTGATTCTATTCCTCTGCAGAGCAGATTTCCCGGAGCTCATTCTTTCCTGGCAATGTGGGTTCTGCCCCTGGCCCTCTACTAGGCTGCCTCCTAGAGGCTCTCTCTGCAGCTACTACCACTCCTTCCTCTCTGAAACCCCTTCTTTGGCTTGGGTGGTATCTCTCTTTCCTAGTAAGTATGCTCCCACACCTCCTTCTCAGACTTCACTTTCTCAACCTCTCCCTTACCTACTGACATTTCTCTGAATTCTGTCTTCAACTCTCCTCCATTCACATTAGGAACACTTCCTTTCAGTCAAATCCAGTTTTAACTACATCTATGAGCTGGCGATACTCAGCAGTCTCCGTGAGCTCCAGATCCATACAGGTATCTGCCTCCTGAACATCTCCTACAATCTAAAATCAACAGTAAAAAACTGTCTCCCAAACATGCTTCTGCTCCCTTATTCTCGATCTTGCTGAATAGTACTCTTTCTACTCAGTTCTCCAGGTCAGAAACAAGAAAAGCTTGGCCTTTCCTTCTTCCATGGTCACATTTTATTTTTGCTATGTAAGTGTATAGCAAGTTTCTCTATAGTGAAATAATAGAAGACATTTCAGTTGCACTCACCTTGACTGCTGCTGTTCAGCAGCAGCAGCAGCAGCAGCAGCAGCAGTTTCTGTGGTAGGTAATCCTTTGCAGCTTACCTTAAAGTCTTTTTCAGCCAGAGTCCTCATTAGGAAATGTAACTCAATGGATTCTATATATACTACTCACACTTCCCTCAATAATGATCAGTAATAAACTACTATAAAAGCCTGAACAACCAGCAGATGGGAACAATAAAGAAGGAACCAGTTATTTTAATCTATATAACCAAGTGTTAATTCATGAGGGACAAAGTGGTCTCATTCTTAAGCTTCCTTTTTTTTCTCCTAAGATATATAAAATTTACAAACATGTAAATCACTTCTGTCGATGAAAGCCTGGATAGACCTGGGTCTTTTGTACCCCAACCCACCCCTAACCCACAATACACTCCTCTCCATAAACTTTTTGAGGGTACTAGACCTGCCACATGTGATTAAATAAATGTTCGCCCAACAGTGGGCACAGAAAGTTAGTGTGTGCTTAGTAGTTTAGGATAACTGTTTACTTTAGTATAACTACTAGTTAGTTTGAATGTGGGGTCGCTTTGGTGACGAGACTTAAGATTTTTTATTGAGGAAAAAGGAATTGCAGAAAATCTGGGTGTGACAGAGCTCTAGCTGGTAATGAACAACTGCTGTTCCTATAGAATCCCTTAGGTCACTCATTCTCATTCTATAATTTTCCAGATGAAGAAATTGAGGACTGCAAAGCTAAGAGACTAGCCCAAGTTCAGACAGCTCAAAAGTACAAAACCAGAAGAAGGGCTTTGGTCTCAAAGTGACTAGGGAGGCCAGTGTTCTCCACTAGAAAACAATGCTTGCATGAACTACCACTTCTAAAGAGCACAAAATGTTTTTGGCCAGGGAAATGTGAAGAAATGCTATTTAAACGTGGACATATAGACCAGGTTTAATACTGAGATGGGTGTATTTTAGAACGTTGTTTCTGTATTACTGGCTGATTATCTCTTCAGTAGAAGATGAATGCTCATAGCTATTACATTAATAACTTGAGTTTAAGAGTTTCTCATTTCCCTGGAGGTTTTTTTCTTTATGAATTCTGTGTCATCCATCTTAATTATTTTAAATCTACTTTTTAAATAATCATGTTCGGCACATATATTTTTATCATAGTATTAATTCTTTTCTACTATCCCTTAATGAATGTGGTCGAATTCGGTAAAGCAATGCAATGCCAAATCAGTACATTTGGTTAGTTAGGGGAAGCTGCCAGAGATCCTTGCAGCTAAGGCAAAACTTACAATTGCTCCTAGGAAATCCTTTACTTCATACGATTCTAGACTTTTTCCTCATATTCTTTCTCACTCAGAGAATCAACTGTGCAAAAGAACTCAACTACACAAAACTCACAGGAAGTTTCTCATCAAAATCCTCCTTAATAAAACTAAGTATAAGAAATCTCTCATGCCCAGGATATAAAAGGGACTATGAAAGGAAATTAGTTGAAAAAGGAGCCACAAATAAACTATCAGATAAATTAGCTGCATTATGTACACGGAAAATTTTAAGGGACAATTGAAATTACTCTAGTGGAAATCTAGCCTCTCTAAAATTCAGTATCTAATACTAGACAGTTTATCTTTTCATAAAGAATTTCTGACTATATACATTTAATTTTTTATTTTACTTGAAACATTCTGACAAGGAACAGACAAACTGAAATTACAGAACAGTCAGTGAATACATTGAGGGCATATAACACATACCAGAAATGAAGGCTCTGATAAAGTACAGTTAAAGCTTGGAAATGATAGGAGTTTAGAAATAAAAAATTACAGAAGACAAGAGACGTTAAAGCTGTCATAACTTTTCAAGAGTAAAGAAAACAACTGTATAGAAAACTAAATTAATTTTAAAGTGTAATTTTTCTCCCTAAAACGTTTCTTACATGAATAACAATAATGATAGAGTGAATCTGTGAGAATGAAAAGAATTTAAGAGTTAGAAGGGACTGCAGTTATCACATCATCTCATCCACTCCATTTTAGAGATGAAGAAACTGAGGCCCAATGAGTACCTTTGCCTGGACAAAAAATACTTCAAGTTTTACATATTTCCAGATTATACATTTAAATTAATCACCATTTCATTAGATATACTACCATCTGCCCAGATAGTAACTAAAAGAGATCACGTTTTTGGGATCTAAGCTCTGAACACAGCTGTCACTTTGTAGATTTTTGCAAAAAGAACACATAAAAGGTGAAAGACAATACTTTCTTTAAAATGTGAATGCCTCAATTGAGTTTTAGAATACCATCCATTATTAGAAAATTATTCTATACAGTAGGTAAACTGTAATCACTAACTTAAAAAAAGTGCTAACATATTTATAAGAAATTAGAAGTTTTTATAGCCCTTAAGCATCTGTGCCATTTAAAAATGGAATGATTTGTATACACAAACAAAACACTCTTGTAGTATATTCCTGTTTCCTAAAGCTGCCTTTAATGAATATATAATGTTAATAATCTGATATGACCTTTTAATATTTTCTAGTTATGTTTTTATAATTTGGGGGGGAAATACACGAAAATTTTAGTTTGAGAGAGGCCAAAATTTACCAGTGCCTCCTATTGTCTTTGGCTCCTTAACACAGCTGCATCAGTTGCTTTTTTTTTTACTACACATAAAATAATTGACATAAAATCAATTTAATAACACGTAATGAGTGCCCGTTATATGCAAGGCATTTAAATTGTCTGACTGGCCATAATCGGGTCACATTTAAGGTTTGTTACTTCAATTCCAAGTAATGTGGTAATACATTATTCCAGAACTTTTTGGAACCTGATGGCCCGTTTTTTAAAAGTCGTTTTGACTGGACTGGCATTTTGGACCTCTGCTCTTTCCCATTTCCCTGTGTGTTAGTAACTGACTTTTTTTGATATGTTTTATGTTTGCCATATTTCACAGATCCTTTTATTTTGCTCACTTTTTTGTACTCCTCTCCATCCTGCCTTTCATTCTCTTCTTCGCCTGTCTCCTGATACTTCCCCTCTTCTTCCTCCTCCTCTTCTCTGTTCCTCCTGTTTTCTTCTCCTTCCCCCTCCTTTTCCCTTTCTTCTCCTTCCTCCTCTCCTTCCTCTTCCTCTCCTTCCCCCTCTCCTTCCTCCCCTTCCACCTCCCCTTCCACTTCCCCTTCCTCTTCTTCCTCCCCTTCTCCCTCCCCTTCTTCCTCTCCCTCTCCTTCTTCCTCCCCTTCTTCTTCCCCTTCCTCCTCTTCCCCCTCCCCTTCTCCTTCCTCCTCTTCCCCCTCCCCTTCTCCTTCCTCCCCTTCCCCTTCTCCTTCCTCTTCCCCCTCCCCTTCTCCTTCCTCCTCTTCCCCCTCCCATTCTCCTTCCTCCTCTTCCCCCTCCCCTTCTCCATCCTCCCCTTCCCCTTCTCCTTCCTCCTCTTCCCCCTCCCCTTCTCCTTCCTCTCCTTCCTCCTCCCCTTTCCCTTCTCCTTCCTCCTCTTCTCCCTCCCCTTCTCCTTCCTCTTCTCCCTCCCCTTCTCCTTCCTCCTCTTCTCCCTCCCCTTCTCCTTCCTCTTCTCCCTCCCCTTCTCCTTCCTCCTCTTCCCCCTCCCCTTCTCCTTCCTCCCCTTCTTCCTCCCCTTCTCCTTCTTCCCCTTCTTCCTCCCCTTTCCCTTCTCCTTCCTCCTCTTCCCCCTCCCCTTCCTCCTCTTCCCCCTCCCCTTCCTCCTCTTCCCCCTCACCCTCCTCCTCTTCCTCTTCCCTCTCTCCTTTCCCCTCCTCTACTTCCCCTCCCTCTACTTCCCCTCCCTCCTCTTTTTCCTCCCCTCTCCCCTCTGTTTCCTCCTCTTCCCCCTCTCCTTGGTCTCCTTCTTCCTCTCCTTTCTCCTCCTTCCCCGCTCTTTCCTCCTTTTTCCTCTCTCCTTCCTCCTTTTCACGTTCTCCCTCCACTTCTTCCCCTTCTCCTTCCTCTTTCCCTTCTCCCTCCTTCTCTTCTTCCTCTTCTCTGTCTCCCTCCTCTTCTTCTCCTTCTCCATGCTCCTCCTCCCCTCCCTCCTCCATCTCTTGGTTTCTTTCCTTCTGATGGCCCTGCTCCCTCTCCTTTTGCTCCTGCTCTTCCCCATCCCTCTTCTTCCATTCTTCCTTCTCTGCTAGTTCCTTCTCTCCCTCTCCTGGCCTCTCCATTTCTCCTCTACCCTTGTCTTTCTCCCCCTTCTCCCTCTCCTCATCTTGCCAGTGTTCTGCTCCTGAACTACCTTCCTCACAGGTTCCATCCCCTCTACCTTCAGGCCCATCCTCTGCTTCTCCCACTGATTTTGCCTTGCCTTCACTCACCTCTGCTTTGTCTGTAAGGTCATCTGATAGGATCTCTGTTTTCTCCTTTCTTCCTCCATGCACCTTCACATTTTCCTCATTTGCTTCTACCTCTTGCTCCTCTATTCCATTTCCTTTTGAATCCTCTGCTCCTTCCTTCTCCTCTGGGATCTCTGACAAGCGATCACATTTAAAATCATACTTTGCCATGGATTTGGATATTATGGGTTTAGTCTCTTTTTCATTTCCTTGTTCAATCAATTTCCTGCCATACCGTATGTTTTGGTCAGTTTCCACTTCATCATCCTCTTTCTCTCCACTACTAAATTCTATTGCCTCAGGCTGCTGGAATCCATCAGCTATACCCTGTTGACTCTCACTTGCACCTTCCATGTAACTGTCTGGCTTTTCTACTGATTCTCTTTCACTGTCAAAGATCACATCTTGCTTGCAACTTTCCCTTTTCTTAACAAAATCTTTATTTTCTTCACTCTCAGTATTCATACCTCTATCTGGTAAGTTGCCAAAGAAAGGACTCATCTTTTTTGTACTCTTTTCCCTTTCTCTTAAATCCTTCATACCTGCTATTTCTGCCAGTTTAGTTTCCTTCTCACTGTCTATTTCTTCTGCTTCTGATTCCTTCTGACTGTGTCCTCCATCACTTTCCTTTTCTATTTCCTTAGCATCAAGTTGATCAACACCATTATTATTTTCATGTCTATATACCTCTTTTTGTAAACCCTCTCCATCAGTGTCAGCCTGAGGTCCCACCTGGCCTGTGTCATTACCTACTTCCTCATCTGAAAATGCTTCGATAGTCGTAGCTGGCTGCGTCATGAAAATCCCTTGTGACACATGTTGTTTACATGCTTTCCCTTCTTTCATTTCTGACATTTCTTCATATTCATCACTATCATCGTTTTCAGTAAGAGCTGTATCCTGCGTCAGTTCCCCAATTGTTTGTTGTTTCTGTAAATTTTTTGAAGTAATTATCATATGTCATACTACTATTAGTTGACAAGGACAACTTATCTACTTTAAATACTGCCAAGATTTTACATTTTTATAAGTTTAGGAGAATCAAAATAGCAAGTTTTACCAGATATTTTGCTAAAGTTTTGTTTTCTTTAAGGATCATTTGTGCCACTCTCTAGTCTGTGATACATCTAATTTTGATTTAGTAACATGTATCTGTGTTTAATTTTCGATTCTTACTACCTGCCATAATTTTGCCATTAATCACAATACCATCAATATTTACTCTCTGCCTCTTTTCTCAATCCGAATCAATCCTTACATAAAACTTCGAGATTAATTTTGCAAGATGCTATTTAAAAATGTACACTTCTTGGCCTGGCACAGTGGCTCACACCTGTAATCCCAGTACTTTAAGAGGCCGAGGCGGGTGGATTACCTAAGGTCAGGAGTTCAAGACTAGCCTGGCCAACCTGGTGAAAACCCGTCTCTACTAAAAGTACAAAAATTAGCCAGGAGTGGTGGCACATGCCTGTAATCCCAGCTACTCGGGAGGCTGAGGCAGGAGAATTGCTTGAACCCGGGAGGCAGAGGTTGCAGTGAGCCAAGATTGTGCCACTGCACTCCAGCCTGGGCAACAAGAGCGAAATTCCATTTCAAAGAAAAAAATGTACACTTTTCTTATACATAGTACAGCTTAGTATATTTTTCCCACTTTCCCGATCATCTTTAATTTTCAATTTTTTTTTCTTGAGACGGAGTTTCATTCTGTCACCTAGGCTGGAGCTCAGTGGCATGATCTCAGCTCACTGCAGCCTCTGCCTCCTGGGTTCCAGCGATTCTCCCACCTCAGCTTCCTGAGTAGCTGGGACTATGGGTGCATGCCACCACATCCAGCTAACTTTTTTATTTTTAGTAGAGATGAGGTTTCACCATGATGGCCAGGCTAGTCTCGAACTTCTGACCTCAAGTGATCTGCCCATCTTGGCCGCCCAAAGTGCTGGGATTACAGGCATGAGCCACCATGCCTGGCCTAATTTTCAAATTTTCATTTGTCTTTTGAGTCCACAAAATTCACAAAATAAATAAAAATGTAAAATTTGAAAAAAATGAATAGTCCACTCCTAGAACTGAAGAAACTGCACATGAGATGTTTTTTATCTATAAACTAAATAATAATGAATATATTTTTCTTTTCTAAACAAAATCTTCATGAGTTTTCAAATTTTTGACCTTCTTCCTTGCATTGATTATATTATTTAATTACAATAATTTCTATAAATGAAAGAACACTAAGGAAAGAATATTAAGTGTAAAATGTAAGATTTGTACAAAAACTATGAAATCAAACACTGACATTTGAATAATACATTAACAATACAAAATTAATTTCCTGCTGGACAAAATAAGGCAAAACCAAATTGTTGATCTAAATTCTACAAACAAGCTAATGGATGCAAATATCTAATGAATTTGGGTCTCTGGATAGTAAAACCTCACTAATTCAAATTTTATAAATTGTGATGAGTTAGGCCTAGGAAGAGGTTCCTATTGTGCCAAAGAAATTATTAAAACATGACAAGTTAAAAATTAACAAGTTAATACACAGAAATAGTATAATAAATCTTTTCTCATTTACTAAAGTAGGCCTGGTAGGGCCTAAACTTAAAAAGACTATAGAAAGTATAAAATATATGTCAGCTTAAAAGGAATTGCTTTCCGTTTCTGGCTGTTCTTGCTATTGCTCTTTAAAAAGTCATGATTCTTTTAAGAGCCCTAAGAGAGGAAGGCCCAGTTGCCAGAACTGATTTCTAAAGGCACATGCCTTTCTTTCCCTAGCACAATAAAGCAGCCCAGAAGAGGGAGAGCCTGGAGTCTAAGGGAAGAGGAAGGAAAGACACAAGAAAGGTGTCTGCTTGGAAGTATGGTCAGTCAAAAATCAGTCAATATTCATTGAGCTTCTACAACTGTGTTCGAACAGCTCTCCCATATTCAAAGGAATGCTGTTATTCACCATGCCTTTCAGTATTATAGATAGAACGAATGAGGACTAGCTCTAAATTTTAACAATTTAGTATGATTCTCTTGCACTTCAGTGACTTCAATTTTAAGAGTTTTAAACTTGAAAACATGTCAAAGACACTATAAATAGAAACTAAATATTTTTTATAGACTTCTTCCCTCAACTTACATTTCTCCAATTTACTTTCCTAATCCTCTAATCCCTCATTCATTCATTGCACTAGTCCTTAAAGCCAGGAAAAGCAAAGGATTTCAGGGCAGGCCTTTATCTCTCTATGGTTGTGAAAACCACAGCCTATTCCCTTCTTTTGCAATTTGTTATTCATTAAAAGTCTCTCTTTCCTACCCATGAACAGTCTCTAATTTCCAAATGTTTAATTTTATTTTTATGCTATCAATTTCTTGATAAATTAAAGCCCAACCAAATATTGGAAAAGGTTATCAAAGATTTTCACTAAAATCACAAAATTTTAAAACTAAAAAAGATATTAATATCATTCAGTAAAGTCAGCATAGTAATTAATTCAAAGTCATACTCAACCAAAGTCAGAGGGCCACTCTATCAATAAATGGTAGTCTTTTCCTATACATAAGAACTGCAATCATAACCTATGGCTTGACAGAAGGAAAAGTATGGCTATTATAACTTAAGTTAATGATCCCAAAGAGCAAATTTCAGCAATAAAATGCTTCCACTCTTGTTTCTTTACAGAAAATACATACCATCAGAACAAGGCAAAATGGAGGTTATCTACATTGTATCCCTCTGTCTTTTAAATTCTAAAGTAAGTAAATGCTTACGTTTCTTGTGTTCTTTCCAAAAACCATCCAAAAAATTAACTTAAACTGCTCTCACCAACAATAACGAAAATAAATCTTCATATTATACCTTTTGTTTCTGAACTGGTGATAATTTTAATGACTTTTCATTGGAATTCAGGCTCATGATGTGTGTCTGAAATAAATAAAAAATATATATTATAAAAAGAATACAGTATATATACTATATATTTGTATATAGTACAAATATATAGTATATTTTCAATTATATATATTTTTTTATATATATATATATATAAAATGAAGGGAAAACAGTTCAGATAGTAATAGAATCCGCTCTCAATTGCCATACTAATAATGTGAGGATCAAAACAAATTTTATTGTATGTGAATTATACCTCAATATAGTTGGTTAAAAAATAAAGTAAGAAACGAGAAAGACGCTTTCATGCATATAAGAGTATAGGAAGTATACACACATTCACATACACAATGAACTAAAATTCAAACTCATATTTAGATAAATAGATAGGAAATCATTACCATGTTTAAGATATCAGTAGTTTCTCCAAGGCTTTCTACAGTTGAAGAATTATC
Source organism: Homo sapiens (assembly GCF_000001405.40). Classification (NCBI taxonomy): domain Eukaryota; kingdom Metazoa; phylum Chordata; class Mammalia; order Primates; family Hominidae; genus Homo; species Homo sapiens. Next base: position 38,291,447 of record NC_000023.11, read on the forward strand.
TATCTCTGCTTCTTTGGTCATTTCATCTAGCAAATAATCTGAATGATTAAATGGGAAAAAGGAAATCCAGATTTCAACAGAAAAGTGAAAGGCAACTGGACAGAAAACAGAAATTATTCTATAATATAAAGTGTAGGTATAATTTTACTAAAAGTCCTTTAACCTCATGTCAGGGAAATTGAAAAGAATTCATTCACAATGACATAGGTTTTAAAATCTTTGTGAAAGTTTAAAAACATTGACACCAATTAGATTACAATTGTTTCATTCATATGAACAGGCAAACACTATTCCCTTGGGATAAATAACTACCCAGGTATCAAGCACTGTAATAGCTAGTCCTAAGAAGGGCCCCAATGACCTACAACGTCCTGGTGTTCATACTCTTGTGTAGTTCCCTTGCCCATTATACCAGGTTGGTCCGTATGTGCACAGCCAGTAAAATAAAGCAGATGTAATTGTGATAGCATTATGGCTTCTGTTTTGGTTATACACGTATGCGCACTTGTGCTCGCTCTGGCTCTCTTGCTCTCTCTCTCTCCCCCTCCACCCCCAGCTACACTCGTGCACTCCCTCTCTTTCTCTCTAATCACTTGCTCTGTAGGAGTCCATGTTGTGAGCATCTCAAGGAAGTGAGGCCTCCTGCCAATGGCCATGTGAATGAGCTTGGAAGTGGATCTTCCAGCCTCAGTCAAGCCTTCAGATAACTGCAGCCCCATCTGACAGTGTGACTGCAACCCTATGAAAGAACCTGGGCCAGAACCACCCAGCTAAGCTGCTGCTGGACTCCTGACTCTCAGAAACTGTGTGAAATAATAAATGCTTTTTGTTTTAACCTACTAAGTTTTAGGGTCATTTTTTAAATGTAGCAACAGATAACTAGTATAAGCACCTAGAACCTTTCACAGAAAACTGCAAGGTTATTACATCATAAAGTAGATAATTAAAAGTCATAGGCTCTACTTGACTTTACATTTTTCTCAGTTTCTCACTATGCCCTCATTGATCACCAATACATTTGGACGTAGCTCCTTAATGAAGTCTTCACTAAAAAATGACAGTCCACACTGATCCCTCCCCTTTAAATCCACTGAATTGAATGAGCAAATAACTATTTGGTATTTATTCCATGTGTGGTAATCTGCAGAATAGCAACATAAGTAATTGCTAATTCTTTTTTATTTTTTATCGTCTATATTTAAGGTATAAAACATGTTTGGGTATACATATACTAATAAGTTCATTAAGTATTAGCAATTGCAATTTTGTTGTTTGCTGTTAAAAAATTGTAATTGCTATTTCTTAATGAAGTTATAGTCTATGAGAAATTACATCCGTATGTTGGCAATCAGGAAAAGTTTCACTACAGAGGTACATAGAAAGATGAGTAGAATTAGAATTCTGAGGGGCAGAGATGGAGGTGTAAGGGGAAGACAATGAAGCCCATTCCTAATAAAGCAGCAGAACAGTAGTCTCAGCAAATGAGTAGAGGAAAGAAGCTTGTCTTGAAGGCTTACCAAATCCCAGAAACATATGCTTTTATATATGTTATATTGACCCTACGACAACAAGGAAGGTTAAGTATTATATCCTCATTTTGTAAATATAGAAATTAAGTTTCAGTGACCGTTGGTATCCAGTGTCAATCTTAGGTCTGTCTGACTCCACAGCTCTTGTTCTTTCCACTAAGTTAGACTGAAGAGATCAGTCTGATCAAAATTAAGAGTCAGCAAACTTTTTCTCTAAACGGCCATATAGTAAACATCTTAGGCTTCCTGGGCCATATGGTCTCTGTCCTAACTAACCTATGACATTGTAGCAGAAAGCAGCCACAGACAATACATAAAGGAATGGGTATGGCTGGGTTCCAATAAAACTTTATTTATAAAAACAGGTGGCCAGCTAGATTTGGCCCACGAGCCATTATTTGTAGACTACCATAATACATTACTACCATAATACTACCTATTACCAAATGAAGATTGTAAGGAAAAGACTACTGAGAGATAAAGCTAGAATTTGGAATTATATGGGAAAATTAACAATTATTTTCATAAATATTAGGAATTCACTGAAGACACTGGAGCACATGGAAACTGAATTGCACCTGAGGAAGATCAATGTGGAAAGTGTTATGCAGGATAGACTGGAGAAGGCAGAGAATATAGGTTTGGAAAATACATAGCAGATTATTTAAGCTGATGGCCTTGCCTCAGATTTGACTGAGAAAACAGAAGTGATCATATCCGATCCACTTGATCTTCTCACCAACAAACATACACAACTACCTATATTTGTACCCAAGTTCTCATTTGCCTGTTAAAATGTAGGATGTGTTTTTCCTGTTACCAAAGACCACTCTCTATGCCGGCCCCTCCTGTTTTGCAAGAGCTTTGCAACTTTCCTTATACTTTCTCTCTTCTGTGCTCTCTCTCCAGGACTACTGGCTCATTCATTACCATATAAATGTGCTCCAATATTTTCTATTGAGCCCACATCCCCCTCTAGCTGCCAGACCATTTCTCTGCTCCACTTTATCAGCAAATAGACAAAGGAATTATCTGCTCATCTTATCTCCTCTTCAATCCCTCATTCCCCATTCATAACTCAACTCTTAACACTCTGGCTTCTTCCCTGATCTTCCCCTAGAACTGCTCTTGTCGAGGTCACCAGTAAACTCCATTATACCAAATCCATTGGATACTTCTTTGAGCTATTTTCCCTTGATCTTTGAGCGGTACTTTGCATTCACGACACTACGCTGCCCTAATTTCCCACCTCCTGCCTTACTGGCTGAAAAAGCTGAGGAAGGCTTCTTTGCTGGCTCTTCCTTCTCTACCCCTCAAATGTTAGATGTTCTTAGGGATACATTCTGGGCCCTCTTCTCTTCTGACTCTACCCTCTAGCAGGTGATTTCACCAACATCCATGGATTTTATTATTATTTTAAATAGAGAGAGGGGGTCTTGCTGTGTTGCCCAGGCTGGTCTCAAACTCCTAGCTTCAAGCAATCCTCCTACCTCAGCCTCTCAAAATACTGGGATTATAGGCATAAGTTACCATGCCCATCTCTTTTAAATACCATCTCTATGTTGATGGCTTCCAAATTTATATTTCTAGTCCAGGGCTCTCTTCTAAACTTTAGGCTTGTGTTTCAACAATCAGCTTGATATTTCTACTTGGATGCCTCACAGATCTCAAATTTCTTCCTCAAACGTGTTCTTAGTTTGAGGCTTAGTTCTTAAATTTCTTCCTCAAATGTGTCAAGCTTCCTCTTGCTTAGGAATCATCCTTGATTCCTCACTTTAATTCACACGTATGTGTGGTGCATTAATAAGTTTAGCAAGTCCGGTTGGTTTTTATGTCTATAATGTATTTCACATCTTCCCTCTTTTCTTTTTCTTTTCTCCATCTCCACTGCAAACACCTTGGTCCATACACTATCATCTCCTGCAAAGGGCTCACAAGTATTCTTCCTATTTCTAGTCTGGCCTCTGTATAATCTATATGGAGGTAGAAGTGATCATAATCATCTCAAAGTAGAAATAGGATTGGAACACATCAGTCTACTGCTTAAAATCTTTTAATGACTTTCTATCTCACTTAAGAAAAACATTCATATCACGTAGGTCTCTCACGGCCTATAAAACCGTAAATAATTTTTCACCATCTCTTTCTCCAATACTGCTTTATCTTACCCTTTCCCTCACTTTCTAGCCCCACTGGTTGTCCTTTTCTTCTTAACTGCCTCCAAACCTTTGTCTATATTATTTTCTTTGCCTGAAATACATCTAGTCTCCCTGTGTAGCCATCTCTTTCTTATCCTTTAGCTTAAATGACAACTCCTTAGTAAGATATATCCTGATCCACTTTCCTCCATTATAAAGATTGAAGTCTGTGAATGATTTAGAAAAAGTTAAAGTATATGTTAGATACAACTTCCAAAATGTTTTCTTAAGAGAGTGTTAGCAGTCACAAAAAGACAAGAGATGGCATTTCCTTTTGATCTAGCTACAAAATCATGCATATTTTCACATTCAAATCTCTGGGACTGAGAAACAATTTTCCCTAAACCATAAATGTATTTTTTCCTTGTACACACTACATACTGCTTGCCAGAATCTACTACTTTTTCCATGTCCAGGGCTGAAGAGTACCATTAGACATTGATCTTATTTCAAAAGAAAACATACAAAAGTTGTGGGTCAGGTGCAAGAAATCAGCTCATTATCAAGGTCCTAGTTATATATAATATCCCATTCCCATGGCCCACAATTCTTACCTGAGTTCCCAATCCTTTATTACCTCAACCCTTTGCCTAGCTTCCTGATCTCAAAGATACACAAATTATCTGTTCCTAGTCCCTGATTCTTAGTCCCTGATGACAGGTTTATCTTCTTAATTTCAAATTTACTGCTTACTTTCTGATCTCCTGGTCCTGGTTTCTTGTCCTACCCCTATCAAATAGAGAAATATGTTGGCTATTACAAATAAAACTGCTATGAACCTTCAAAAAAAGAAATATGTTTTGAAACTTACAGTAATTTTCAGAAAAGAAATGTCTCCTTCAAAAATTATTTGCCATTGGCCGGGCGTGGTGGCTCATGCCTGTAATCCCAGCACTTTGGGAGGCCGAGGTGGGCAGATCACAAGGTCAGGAGATCGAGACCATCCTGGCTAACACGGTGAAACCGCATGTCTACAAAAAAAATACAAAAAATTAGCCGGGCATGGTGGCGGGCACCTGTAGTCCCAGCTACTCAGGAGACTGAGGCAGGAGAATGGCTTGAACCCAGGAGGCAGAGCTTGCAGTGAGCCCAGATTGCGCCACTGCACTCCAGCTTGGGCGACAAAGCGAGAATCCGTCTCAAAAAAAAAAATTATTTGCCATTTACTTTAAAAAATATATGTGTCATTGGAACAATAATTTTAAAACACAGGAGAATCCCTAAATTTAATTAAGAGAGAATATTCCCTCTCTAGATGTCCTGCAGTAACATACAGACACTCCTAAGATACACAAATATCTCTAAAGAAAATTACTTAGAATAGGTATAGAATAGTGAAAGAGCTGGGATTACAAATTAAAACATGAAATCTGTATCTAATAGGTAGTGACGCAAAGGTATTAATATTAATCATAACAACATTTACTGAGGTGTTTCTAGAGGTGCTGGGCTCAATGCTAATTATTTTATATGCCTGATCTCACTGAATCCTCACAATCACTTTCTGAAGTCAGTATTATTAAATAAATTTCAAAGACAAGGAAACTGAGGCTTAGAGAGGTTAAGTAACTTTCCCAAAGTCAGCCACACAGCTAGTAAATGTCAAAACTGGCTTTTGACCCCAGTTTAACTCCATAGTCCATGCTCTTAACCGCTATGTTATACTGCCTAAATACAGAATTTCACATAGATCCAGAAGACCTGTATTCAAATTCTGACCACTTCGTTTATAAGCTGAGTGACCTTGGGCAAGTCACTTGATCTCTTCAAGCCTTGCTTTTCTCATCTCTAAAATGAAGACTATAACTCCCTCCTAAGTTCATCAAGTGGTTTCAGGGTTTAAAGGGGATAAAGTTAAGGAATGTACTATAACTGTTATCCACTGCTCTATAAAGATATGCTGCTGTGGTTACATGGCAGTCTTAGGAGCACTGATGGTGCTTTCTACTTGTAAGGATATTCCCGGATTTGAGTTCAAATGAGTGATGTTAGGCTCTAACCAGGGAGAGAACAATTTAAATAACTGGAGAAAACATCTTAAGATAAACATAAAAACTACAGGAATAAAAGGCACATTTATCCTGAGAGCAGACAGAGTAGCAAATGTTACCTGGTTCCTCTGGCTGCATGAGGTCCTGTTCAGATAAGACACTCTCTTGGAGGTTTCTCTCAGAACATCGTGGAAAGACTGAATTGGGGAGAAAACAAGCAGAAAGGCCAAGAGTCCCTTCTATTGGAGGTAGTGTTCTCCTCATTGAAAAAGAATCTGGAGACCTCTCCTTTAAAATAAGCAGGTTAAACAAACTATTTCATGATGTTATATATTTAATATTGATATAAACTTTCCTAAAAGTTGCTAAAATATTTAAGAGAAAGTTCAAAGTATGCCAACACTCCACAACATTTACTTCTTAATAATCCCCAAAGGCTCAAAAACATTTTGCTCTGTTGTCTCTGTATCTTAGTTGCTCTAAATTTCAATTTGGAAGCTTTATTTTTCACATGACCAGGGAAAAGTGTGTGTGCATTTTCTCTACACTCCCTAAGAAACAAAAAATTACTTAGGAGATGTAAATTAACAACAACTACAAAACACTGATGGGGTATTTCTCAACTTTTCCATATATGCTTTTTCATAATAAAACACCAGATTTAACCTTTTTACTTCAAAAGAAATATGCTGGCTATTACAAATAAAACTGCTATGAACCTTCAAAAAAACATGTTTTGAAACTTATAGTAATTTTCAAAAAAGGAATGTTACCTTCAAAAATTATTTGCCATTTACTTTAAAAAACAGGTATGTCATTGGGGCCGGGCTTGGTGGCTCATGCCTGTAATCCCAGCAGGTTGGGAGGCCGAGGCTGGTGGATCACTTGAGGTCAGGAGTTCGAGACCAGCCTGGCCAGCATGGTGAAACCCCGTCTCTCCTAAAAATACAAAAAAATTAGCCGGGCATGGTGGTGCACGCCTGTAGTCCCAGCTACTTGGGAGGCTGAGGCAGGAGAATGGCTTGAACCCAGGAGGTGGAGGTTGCAGTGAGCCAAGATTGCGCCACTGCACCCCAGCCTGGGCAACAGAGTGAGACTCTGTCTCAAAAAAAAAAAAAACACATATATATATATGTCATTGGAACAATAATTTTAAAACACAGAAGGAAAATCTCTAAATTTAATTGAGAGAATATTTCCTCTCTCTAATTGAAGTCCTTATTCCTTTGTTTTCCCATTTCATTGTTTATAGTATATAAGCTCCCACTGCTCATGAGGCTTAACTGAAAGACAAAAGAATGTAGCATTATATAAGATAATTAAGTTCTACAGATTTCTGAACAACATAACATTGTGCCTATAGTCAACAATACCGTATTGCACACTTAAAAATCTGTTAAGGGGGTATATTTGTTGTATTTTTACTACCATAATAAAAAAAAGCATATAACAAAGTGAAAGTCAGTCCACATGCAGTTGAAAAAACAATTCAGCATTCAATGTGAGGTGATAAAATAGGACTATAAAAGGATGCTTTTATAGCACCATTGTCTATATGCAAAAGTTTTCTATAATTTAAATTTTCTAATTTGTGTCTTTAAAAAAAGCATTAAGCTTTTCTGAATTTTTCTGAATTAACTCTAAAAGTTTGTTAGCACTCAACTCTAATAATTTTATGTAGCAAATTTATCTGAGAAGACCCTTTGATTTAAAAAGAAAACAGATTTTTTTCTTCTAGTTTTCTTTGCAGTGCTAGATAATACTATTATACAGAATAGGCCACAATTGTACCCTCTCTCTTCGCCGCATACGTGCTGATAGAGTCCTCTGCAGTACATTTCCTGAGGTTAAACTGCTATACGGCAGAAAAGTCGCCACAGATAAGCAAGTATCATTTATTTCATCGAATTCAATTTCTTTTGCCACACCACGATGAGGAGCAGCAAAAACTACCATGTGACATCCACCACAAGCAACCTGCAGCATAAATCCACAGAAAAACTCATCAACATTGGCTTCAAACACAAATGAGTTTTTAACAGTTATCAGCTGTAAGACATTTATTTAGTGGTAGGCTTCCTAGACAGACTGGCTTGGTGAATCTCTCTGTCTATACGTATGTGTGTGCACAATGAGAATGTGTACACAATATGTATACAATAGGTACACAATTACCATACATATTCTTTAAACATTGTGATTGAAAATTAGAACAAGTTTAATCCACCATTTTACTTTCAATTTAAAATAATATAGAGAAAAAAATACTTGGCAAATTACATTTCTCCTTACAGTTAGAAAATGTTGTATTTTAATCTGGGAAGAACATTAAAAATGTGAAAAATTACTCAGAGAAGTTCTACTAGAAGATTTTTTTTAAAGTATAAATCAGTCTCTTGAGCTAATTATGTCTCTAAGCCTTCTTTATATGAACATTTTCTAAGTTTAATGCTTAAAAGTCCTTAGAGGAAAATAAATGCAAGTATGCGTGATTACTTGGGTGATGACAGAACAATAAAAAATGAAATCAGCATTCAAAGAATTTTGAGAAATAAATCATTTTCAAGAAAATGCTAAAAAAAAAACCCATAGTGCAGTATTTTCCGTACATAGGTTCTAGATACTTTATAATGTTCTATTTTTCCTTCATAATACTTTAAAATTTTAAATTTATATATATTTTTGTATATCCCTTTTAAAAATTATAAGACTGTAATGAATAAGTCCTCAATGAATGAGGTCCTGGTTATTTCGTTCATCACTGTATACAATACTTTGTATTTCTTTTTTTTCTTTTTTTTTGAGATGGAGTTTTACTCTTCTCGCCCAGGCTGGAGTGCAATGGCACAATCTCGGCTCACTGCAACCTCTGCCTCCCGGATTCAAGCAATTATTTTGCCTCAGGATCCCAAGAAGCTGGGATTACAGGCACCTGCCACCACGCCCAGCTAATTTTTGTATTTTTAGTAGAGATGGGGTTTCACCATGTTAGCCAGGCTGGTCTTGAACTCCTGACCTCAGTTGATCTGCACGCCTCGGCCTCCCAAAGTGCTAGGATTACAGGCGTGAGCCACCGCGCCCGACCAGTACTTTGTATTTCTTATACTTAGCACACTATCTTACCCATAGTAGGCTTTCATTAAATGACTGTCAAATCAATAAATCAAAGTGTTCCATATTATGAGACACTGAGTCTCTGGAGGACAAATTTCAGTATTATCATCAAGTAAATAGAATTTTCAAAAGTCTAAACTTAACTGGCAAAAATATTAAGAAACAATACAGGTATGATGCGTGATGGTGACGTGACACTGAAATAATACATCCTTAACCTAAGAAAATTTAGCCAAAAAACCGTATCTTCAAAACTCTTTATTTTTTATTTTTTTTGAGACAGAGTCTCACTGTCACCTGGGCTGGAGTGCAGTGACACGACCTCAGCTCACTGCAACCTCCACCTTCTGGGTTCAAGCAATTCTCGTGCCTCAGCCTCCCAAGTAGTTGGGATTACAGGCGTGTGCCATCATACCTGGCTAATTTTTGTATTTTCATTAGTGACAGGGTTTCACCATGTTGGCCAGGCTGTTCTTAAACTCCCGATCTCAGGTGATCCGCCCGCCTTGGCCTCCCAAAGTGCTGGGATTACAGGAGTGAGCCACCGTGCCCTGCCAAAACGCTTTGTTTATTATCAGACTTTCTGTTGTGCAGGATTTGAGAGTCTAACATTTAATTCAGCAAATATTTATTAAAGACTATTGTGAGCAAGGTACTCTGCTGGGTGCTACACAAGATACAAAGCCTGCGGGCATGGCACAGTCCCAGCTTTCAACAGATATATGAGAATGAAGCAGAAGAGACAAGATTTCAGCAAAAAGGAAGAGGCTAAAGGAGGAAAATTAGGAGCAACACATTTTCTGAATGGCATAATGTCTGACATTTGGCTTTTAGGAAACAAGTATATTTATTAGATATATATATGATACTCTTCCATACAAACATAAAATTACTTATTTTCTATGAAATACTGAAAGACTCAAATACAGTAATATGAAAATATAAACAGGGAAATGTGATGCCCTTACCAATTTAACTATAAACCTCAAAAAATTAGAGCACAAAGTAGGAATGAAGTGATTGGTAAAATTCTCCAGTCCAAGTCCTAATTTTCCGTGGCGACCATCTCCAAAAGTATACATAAGGCCGATATCTAAAATGCAAAAATAATGAAGAGAATTATAAAAGTGTTACTTGTATGGATCTATTTGTAAACAGATAAACATGTTAACTCATACTGCAATTATAATTATCCCCCTCAAATTCTGCCTTGAATTTACTCTATTGATCTTTCCACACTCTCTATGGTCTCTGTGGTCCTGCATGTAACATCAGGCAATAAATATTCTGAGAATAAATCAATTAACCTTGGTGGTTTGTGAAGTTGATGACCTGTCACGCAAGGCAGTGTGTGGAGCAGCAGCAATACAGAATGAGAATTTGAGATACACATCATATATTCCAAGGGAAGGAGAAGGAGATGCTTGTATTCTGACCCCTACATCCCAACACAGTCTATTTTCCTTTTCCCTGAGGTCACTGATAGATCAGAGTTTCTCAACCTTGGCATTATTGACATTTGGGGCCAGATAATTCATGGTCGTGTGGGTCTGTCCTGTGCACTGTAGGATGTTCAGCAGCATCCTTGGCCTCCACCCACTAAATGCCAGTAGGACAACTCCATTCTGCAGTCATGACCATTAAAAAATGTCTCCAAACGTTGTCATGTGACTTGGGGAGTGGGGGATGCACAAAATCTCTACTACTGGCTTAGCTTAACTAATCTGGCTCCTGGGCTGTGGAATACTGTTGAAGTAAATGCCATAAGCCAAAAATGCTAACTAATTCCTATACCAAAACCTGGGTCCCCTCTGAAACTGGGCCCACAATGATGATGAGTAATCTTGTCACTTCTCGCCAGTTAGTCCTTTTGCTTACTGCCATAGCAGCTATTACGAACCTTCACACTCCTTTCTTCAAGCCGCTCCATCTCAACTGGGGTAAGTGCCAGGGAAGCAGAAGTAAGGGGTGTTAATATGGTTCAAAGGAGGGGAATTTTCCTCTAGTCTGGGGATTAGGGAAGGCTTTCAAAGGGAAACCTAAAGGATGAGTAGGGCTTAGCTGCATGAAGAAGGGAGCAAAGAATCTTCCAGGCAGAGTCAGCAGTACATAGAAAGCCTCTGAATCAAGAGCAAACGTGGCTCGGGCAAGAAGCTGAAAGGCAACTAATACCCCTGAAGCACTAAGGGGAGAGTGGTAGGAGATGAGTCTGAAGAGGTGAAAAGGGACTACACAGAGTGTCCTATTAGTTCAGATGAAGGATTTTTGAAGTTTTATCTTAAGGACATTTAGAAGGAAAATGAATGGTTTTAAGCTGGGAAACAACTGGGTCACCTTTGGGGACTTCTGGTTTAAGACGGCAAAGTGACTGCATACTAAGCAAATCCAAGAGAACTGAAAAATCATCAGAAAGAATAATATAATTCAGTAAGGTGGCAAGTATAAAAATCGATTTACAAAAATAAGTAGATTCCCTGTAAATATGTAAGTAAGTGCTATTCAGTGTTTGGACTCTTTAGACTACCTTTTTTTTTTTTTCTTTTTTTTTTTGAGATGGGGTCTCGCTCTGTCACCCAGGCTGGAGTGCAGTGGTGCGATCTCAGCTCACTGCAACCTCTGCCTCCCGGGTTCAAGTGATTCTCCTGCCTCAGCCTCCTCAATAGCTGATATTACAGGCACGCGCTGCCATGCTGGCTAATTTTTGAATATAGTAGAGATGGGGTTTCACCATGTTGACCAAGCTGTAGACTCTTACAATTCTTACTATTAAGTATTTATGTCCTTCTTTTATATCTGCTCCTTATCACCTTTATCCCTTCTTCCTCCTTCTTTTCAACCTGATTTCTTTACCCAAATGTTTTTTAAGGTTTGCCTTTTAAATTTGATTGTCTTTTGCCTGAAAATATAAACCCTGATCCAAGCTGCCTGATGGCACTTTCAACCTCAGAGAGCTTTTAAAAATATGAGCCACTGGCTATAATGGGGAACTGGCAAGAGCTTGCAGATAACCCACTACATACTTCTCATTAGTCCTGGAGGAAAAAAAAAAAAAATTCCACACCACTTGCCCTCCAGGGACGATTGATGAACAAAAAGGCAAACAAAGTTAATGTTCAATTATTTGTGCTATAACTCTTTTTATCAGGAGTAAAGGTACTATGAAAATTTAACTAAATATTCGAATTGTATGTTAGATGACAGATTAAAAATAGTATGTATCTACTATTAGTGGAAGATTAGAGTTGATGAAAAATGACAGTAAGGACAGATAAAGTGACATTAGGACCCTATAGTTAAGGGATACACAACAACTCTTAGTGGATGATGAATGAATAATACTTTTCATATTCTATATAATGCTATTTCATGATACATTCTCAAGAACACTGATACTTGATCATGGGCAGGTCATCTTCTCTGAAAGCTTCTTTGGGGAAGAAGAAACAGTATATCTTGCATTTGCTGATTCCTAGTTTCCCTAGCCAGATACCATTAGATGAGCAGTAGTTTTTTCAGGAGCTTTTTCATAGCAGTAGCTTTTTCAAAAAGAAGGAAAAAAAGTAGAAATACTAGTACATGGATTACGTCAATACACTAGATGATTTCTGACTTTCCAATGCTTCACTTCATATTTAGACAGAAATAGTGAAATTATATACCCGTTTGTCACAAAGCATTGAAAACTGTGGACTATATCAATTACCTACATATATGTGACTGAATCATTTAGGGGAGAATCTTTACTGAGTCCTATATTATTAGCAGCACATAGTTTTGAGGCTGAGAAGTGGGCTCAAAGGAACATTTCCCTGCATGAAGGAGATACCACAGAGTGGAAGAAGGTATCCACTTAGTGGTCTCTGAGGGTCCCTTCTCTCTAACACGTAGAAAGAGAAGGAAAGGAGTCATTCCTGAAAACGCCTCCAGGTGGCAAAAACATAACAACTGACTCGGCCTGAATGCAGCTCTGTCAGACTGAATAGGAAGAATGTTTTAAAATAAGTTTTTGCTTGTGGGATTTTTCCTTTTGGCCTGAGTAGAATTAAGAGCCTTCAAAATGATATAATTTCAAAAAGATTCCTGTTTTCTGACAAAGAATAATACTATGGTCTAACTTCTGACATCATCGGCCTATTGTGAGGTTCTAAATCTTTGGATCATTTACATTTATTCTAAATTGAATTAAAATAATAAAAAGTTCACAACTTTATACTTTGGAATAGTAAACATGGAATTCCATTTTTCTCAGCCATTAATTCCTTTACTTAAGTTAGATACATTCATTTCACATATAATTTATTTTGTAATAAAATATACCCAGTTCTATAAATATATAACAGAAATTCTAATCCATACCTGTTATCAAAGCTGTGTGATTTTCTCCACAAGAAATATAACTTATTGTTTGATCCCTAATATTCTCAATGACTTTGGGTTCTGAAGTTTCAAAAAGAAAAGTGCCAAGACCCAGCTGACCAAATTGTCCCAGCCCAAAGGTATACACAGCATTCTCTGAAAGGAAAGGGGCAAATACAAGACAAGGATTATGGAAGCAGACACTGTTACCATCATATCTGGAAAAACTGTCACGTTCAACCTTTTATAGTGAAGGTTAAGTGCCTCTGGGGAAAAAAAAACATTTAAGAATACTTAATATTGAAGTATAAATCTTTCAATGATGAAGGAAGAGAAAAATGAAAAGGTACATCATTATAAAAATTATGACATGGGTATGATTTTATCTTTTATACATAACCATAGTTAGGTAAGTAACAGGTATGATACAAGGCACATAAGTCAGGGAACTACCTGAAATGTCCCCATAATTACGTCGGCTCAAAAAGTACCAACTGTTGGCCGGTCGCAACGGCTCACACCTGTAATCCCAGCACTTTGGGAGGACGAGGCGGGTGGACTGCTTGAGGCCAGGTTTGAGACTGGCCTGGCCAACATGGTGAAACCCCATCTCTACTAAAATTACAAAAATTAGTTGAGCATGATGGCATGCATCTGTAATTCCAGCTACATAGGGAGGCTGAGGCACAAGAATCGCTTGAACCCAGGTGGCAGAGGTTGCAGTGGGCCAAGATTGCACCACTGCACTCCAGCCTGGGTGACAGAGCGACACTCCATCTCAAAAAATAAAAAAGAACCAACTGTCATTAAGCTAACTCACTACGTCAAATAAAAAAGTGAATAGTGTCTCCTACAGAAAAACTTCTTCCTTTTAAAAGCAGTTTATGCATCACCTAAGGTCAGGAGTTGGAGAAGAGTCTGGCCAACGTGGTGAAACCCTGTCTCTACTAAAAATACAAAAATTAGCCAGGCATGGTGGCGTACACCTGTAATCCCAGCTACTAGGGAGGCTGAGGCAGGAGAATCGCTTGAACCCAGGAGGTGGAGGTTGCAGTGAGCCAAGATCACGCCACTGCACTCCAGCCTGGGCAACAGAGCAAGACTCCATCTCAAAAATAAAATAAAATAAAATAAAATAAAATAAAATAAAATAAAATAAAATAAAAGTAGTTTAATAATCTATCTTATAAAACCCAATTTCAGAGAATTGTCTTGAGAATTAAAACTGATAGGGCATATGCTAGATTTATTCACAAGTAAAGCTTCTTCACTAGGAAATGCAACTATAATAGGAGGGGAAAAGCTTTTCTTTATATTGATATTTTGAAGTGATTCCAAAGGACTTCCAGTAACTCAGTAAATACTACGTCATATGTTTTCTAGAAATGAAAAAGTACAAAAACAGGATACATGAGTGGTGATGAAAGGGTCCTTTTAGAGACATCATGCTCCTGGCTGCTGCATTAGGAAGCGCAGTGTCGATTATATTAGTCACTTCTCCTTAGTACACTGAGTTTTGTACTTTGAGTTTAGTACATTGAGTTTCTCCTATTACAGCAGGAAGGGCAAGAGCTTGTTATTCAGGCCAGAACCCAAACATTCATTATTACTAGCTGTGGCAAGCAGGTGAGTTACTTAGATTCTCTGATGTTATAATCCCTATCTAACAGAGGTGCTGACAGGATTAAAAGAGAAAACATTCAGGCAGATTTGAAAACATAATATGACATACTGTTGTAAAGAACATTTTTCTAAAAAGTATCTAATCAACTCATTCTATCAATGGGGGTTACAAATGAAAACATAACTGTCTATTGTCATGTGGTTTTACAATTTTTTCTAATAAAAATGTTTGCTTCATAAATAAGACATATAGATACTACTCCTTTAAGAAAATATGCTGTATCAAAGATATGAAGCCATATTGAGGCAATGGCAAAACAGATCTTTATTTTAATATTAAAAAACCATCTTAGTTTAAATAATAATCACATGGCATATTTCCAGTTCTAAATGTTCAGCTTAACAGTAGAATATTGGGTAAATTAAAGCAATTATCTATCTCTAGCTGACCAACAATTACTCTACATTTCTTAGGCTGTCTGATTTTAATTAGCCTGTGAAATGAGGCTGTTTAGGCAGTCTGAATCATGTTACAGAAGTTTTGTTCAGTATCCTGGTAGGTTCCCATTCAGGTGCTTGGATATTAGTGATGACAGCAGTTTCTATTTTATAAAAATGATTGAAGGCGCTCTTATTTAAGGACATTATATTTAACAACCAATAGAATTTTTGGCCATATCACCTTTGTGACATTTAACAACATAATTTAATGTTAATAAATAATATTACATTAGGAAAATAGATTTGATCAGTTAGCTTCAGATTAATATTACTGTAATTTCACAGAATATATTTGATTTCAGAACTAATAATTTGTTAACCTGTAGAAAACTTAGGTTTATCCAAACATAATCTGAGAAGTTAAGATAAATTCTCATTTGCCTCAGGACCCAGACTTCATTGTGAACCCCATCTCACAACTGGCCTTTCTTGTGTGTTGGTAACTGCTGTGGACGATTTACAAAACTACAAATATCACTCTGCCTCACTTAGTGTGTCCCAAGTTCCAGCCTCAGACTTTTTCCACAGTGGTCCATGGTTTCCCTGATCCCAAGGAGAAACTATAATCACCCTATCACTACAACCAGTTTTATTTTCTAATCTATCACGGTCATGTGCAAATATTATGTTTTAAATAAATTCATCAGAAATGAACTAAATTGTTTTTAAAATAGTTTAATGAATGATCCTCTAATAGATTTTTAAGATAAGAGTTATAGACTTTTGAAAAACAAGGCTGGGAAGGTCCTTCACAGAAACACCTAATCCAAGTGCTTTTCTTTAGTGAAAGAAATTGGAACAGGTGATTAGCTATTCTTTCCTTAAGGTCTTACAAAATATTCCATAACTCTCTTAGCAATCCAGTTTAGTATTTAGTCACACTGATGATCAATATACTCTTCAGGTCCATTTCTTCATCAGCTAGGACTAAATATTTTTAAAATTCTGCCTATACTGTGCTCCAGAACCAGGTTCCTCACCAGGGCTGGCTCATAATAAAGCTCTCACAGGTCCATGGAGAAATGTGAAAAACAGGCAAAGTAGTGAAATTTTCATACATATACATTTATACAGTTTAAGGAGGTGCCCTTTATTATATACAATTAAGAGTTTTTTATTTTGAAAATGTTCCTTATTTTATGATATGATAGTGCAGTCATGTTTTTCAATGCCCATATTTAAGCAAACGTGAATCAGAAGCTGACAACCATCTATTGGTTCTCATAATTTTTTAAACTCAAATTTTAGATTATTCTCTGGATTGTAACACAAGCTCTTCACTGTTTACAAAGTTATTTATGAACTGTAAAAATTATCTCTCCATGTTTTTTTCCCTGTATTACCAAGTTTTTCTCCTGTATTCCCCCATTCAATGTTGGCTGCCACAATCAGAAAGGAAATGCAAGGACACTTCTTTCTTGCATCTGTAGTAGAAATCTTAGTGGCAAAAAATAACTGTTCCAGGTCTGTCAAATAGATGCATCTCATAATTTAAAAAACTTTACTGGTGTGTGAGATCCGTAAGCTTGCAAAAATCTGGAGAGAGCAATCAATTTCTGGAAACATTATACTTAAGCTCAGAACAAAGTCCACAGAAAGTTAAATGTCTTTAAAACCACACGAAAATATCATCCTTAAGTGCATTTATTTTAAATTAAGAATTTAAAATTAAGAATTGAGCTTTCATTAAAAGTATCATAGATTATCTTGTTGCTCTTTATAGAAAAATGTTTTATAATGAATGGTTAAAGACACTATTATACAATCAACATTTGTATCTGTTAAAATAACCCTGAATGACCTATTAAATTAATTCTTTCTATAGTCTTTGTATAAACTAGAGAAAATATATAACACATAAAGTTGCATTTCTGCCTATAGAATGAATTTTCAGATAATGTGTAAAAATTAATTTCAAAGTTTAATTTTTAGAATATTTTCGAAATTATATAAAATTCACTTTTTCAGCAGGAATTCAAAAACATCTTAAACCTCAGAATTATTTCCAAATTTAGAGTATAAGTTTTGAAAAAAAATTATTTCTAACTTAGAAAAGATTCCATCTAGAAACTAAAGCTTAATAACCACGACTGGGGCTAGAACAGGAAGCTGAGGAAAAGTAACATCAGAGAAAAAAACATAAAGATAAAATATTATTCACTTACCTGGCAACATTAGGCATATCATCTTAGAATTGGATATTATTCAAAATTTGTCTACAACATTTCTAACTTTGGGCTACTAAAGATTAAGTGGTGACTTCACAAACTGTTAATTTTTTTGTGCAAAAAATATAATAATAATTCACTACCTAATTGTATTATGTACATTACTCATCTAAAATAAATCTAATGTTGAAAAAATTTGGAAGCATCAATTTAGTAAACATATTAGCAAGTAGTGAGTATATTTCAATACAGTGATTAGAATCCTGAGAAATGACATGTCATAACAAATATGAAATTCAGATCCCAAAAGTAACATTAAGGTCCTAACTTTCTTTTATTATCTGTAATTTAAAACCATACCACTTTTTAATGAATTACTATAACAGAACATACAACTACAAAGAAATCCCCAAGCTACACATTGTAAATGTCACAAAGAAAAGAATTATCAATGACATATAGAAAATAGCTTGAACAAAAAGCTTCTCCAAAAGAAGGCATTTCAGGAAAAATGTCAATTTTAGATAAATATAGAAAACATATACATGAGAAAAATTGTTTGTCCCTGAAAATGAGCTAAAAATAATGTAATATGTTGCCATTAAAAATGTTAAGGTCAGGCCAGGTGTGGTGGCTCACGCCTGTAATCCCAGCACTTTGGGAGGCCGAGGCTGGTGAATCACCTGAGGTCAGGAGTTTGAGACCAGCCTTGCCAACATGGCGAAACCCCATCACTACTAAAAATACAAAAATTAGCTGGGCATGGTAGTGGGCACCTGTAATCCCAGCTACTCAGGAGGCTGAGGCAGGAGAATCGCTTGAACTCAGGAGGCAGAGGCTGCAGTGAGCCAAGATCAGGCCATTGCACTGCAGCCTACATGACAAGAGCGAAACTCCGTCTCAAAAAAAAACAGTTAAGGTCATGAAAATGTAAATTATGTTAGCAGAAACAATTCAACAAGATTCATTTTTTTTCTACTTAAAAAAAATATTCCATAGACCAGAAATGTATATTAAGTACAGGAATAAAGGGTGAGAATCTTTTTTTTGTTTGTTTTTCTTTTTGTTTTGAGACGAGGTCTTGCTCTGTTGCCCAGGCTTGAGTGCAGTGGGACAATCACAGCTCACCTCAAGCTCAACCTCCCCTGGCTCAGGTGATCCTCCCACCTCAGCCTCCTGAATACCTGAGACCACACCTGGCTAATATTAGTAAAGATGGGGTTTCGTCATGTTGCTCAGGCTGGTCTCGAACTCCTGGGCTCAAGAGATCTCCTGGCCTCCCAAAATGCTAGGATTACAGGTGTCAGCCATTGCACCAGGTCCAAAAAGTGAGAATCTTAATGGAAAGAGATGCAAAGGCCACCTGACACGAGGTATCTAAGAGTCAAACTCATAGAGGCTAATAATAAAATGGTGGTCGCCAGGAATTGAGGGGAGGCCGGAAAGACGAGTTGCCGTACAGTGGGCGTGAAGTTTCAGTTACTCAAGATAAGTTTCAGAGATCTGCTGTACAATGGTCGTGCCTATACATAAAAATACTTTATTATACTCTTAAAAATCTATTAAGAAGGTAGTTCTCATAGTATTCTTACCACAATAAAAAAATGAACATAAAAAAAATGAACATTAAAAAAATTTCATTAGCCACCACAGAACGCAGGGAACAGAACAGTGGACTCCACACATACCCGTGAGAACCACAGTATGCTCTCCACCACAGGCTACTTGGATCACCTTCTCCGGAATTTCAGACACCAGCTGGGGTGTTCTGTGATTGCCCAGGAGCTGATTGGGAAGACCTAACTTCCCATTCTCAGGTTCTCCAAACACATATAGCTCACCATCTGCTATTGAAGGAAAAGTATAGTGATTAGTGATGACATACATATGAACAAAAAGCTGGTCTTACCGTCAAAAAAAAGTTTTGACAAGGATCACTTAATACATTTGACCTTTCTTGAGATATTTTTACTGTATGATAAAGAAATAAAGCTAGATTTTCTTTTCCCCTTGATTATTTTAATCCAATCATTTTCATGAAAAATTCATGACTACCACTACTAATAAACAACTAGAAAATTACTTTAGTGCTTTCACAAAAGTGAAGAATATCTTGTGTCTTTTACTTACTTAAAGCTCCCATAAAAACATGAATTTTGTCTTGCTCCCTATGGTATCCCCAAAACCTAGCAGTGTCTAGAACAAGCACTTAATATTTGTGGAATAAATGAATGAATAATTGCTTTATATGAAACTGGTTTTAGAAAACTCACTTATGTGTGCAGTAAATATGTTAAGTAAATCTTAAGATAGCAGATTTTACCCATTTAGATGGCACTTCCTCCAAAGACTCTTACCAAGGAGTTCCTGACACTTAATCACTGCCCTGTCCATACTAACGCTATTAATTTGCTTCTTTATTACATTTATCACACTGTATTATGACTGTGAACTTCTTGAAAGCAAGAACTTTCTTATTCATTTCTATGCAATTAACTGAGTTCTATAAAGTAGAATTTAAAAACCTTGTGTAAGTATATGATCCAATCTGAAGAATGACATGGAACATATCACCATTGGTATAAGCAAAGAGACAACAGAGCAGATCTGCTTGCTTATTCTTTGCAAGTCTCTGAGAGAACCATGATTGATCCTTGCCCAACCCCTGAGAAGGTGGCCCCTGGAGTGTTCTTTATGTGAATGATTAATGATTTTGTTATATATACCAGAGCAATGAACTATGCCAGATTAGGTTTGTCAGGGCTGCTTGCACAAACATCAACATTGATGATGTGCACCTGGCTTCATTATTGAGGGTCCTGAGTTTCAGCTGCTGTGGCCAGTTGCTAGCAGGAGGTGCCTACATGACCAGCCCCCTAAATCCCCTAGAAGCAACAGAATGGGCTTCCCTGGGCAGAGACATTCCACACATGTCCCTGTAGTTCACTGCTAAGAAAACATGCCCTGTGTGGTTTCCTAAGAGAAAGTACTAGGAAGCCCAAGCTTGACTTCTCTGGACTCCACTGCAGATGCTTATCTTTTTCCCACTTTTTCTTTTTGCTTTGTATCCTTTGCTGTAATAAATCTTATTCGTAAGTATAATCGCTATTGAAGACTGTGAGTCCTTCTAGAAAATCACAGAACTTCAGGAAGGTGTGGGACAGCCAATGCACAAGATATGCACCACTTAGAACTTGCTCAAATACTGTAAACACAGCTATATTGATTTTCTGAATTGATCTGCACAGAAAATGAAGTTTTATGGACCACAGTTTTCTATGAAGTATTTAGCAAACACTGGCACAAAAGTGGTGCCCAGTAAGTTAGCACCCTTCCATTTTCCCATGCTTGTTGCCTCCCATAGGAAACTGGTTCCTAAGTCCTGATGAGTCTCTCTCCATTTCTGTCTATAGATTCCTGATTCCCTTTACACCTTAACATGAATTTTCACCTGGATCAAGTTTTCCAAATGTCTTTCCTACCTCTAGTCTAACATACCCACACAATATCAGATGCATCTTCCAAAAACAAGGCTCTAATTATGACACTTCCAAATAAAAAAAAAATACATGTATCAAGTACAAACTGCAGACTGTTACAAGAGACCTTCCATATTAGGTTCCCGGACTACTAACCAGTCATATTTCTATCTACTCCCCAACCTGGTGACTCTCTTTTGAGTCACATCCTCCCTTGGGAATTTGATGACAGCTCTATAAAAAAAGTACACATCCCAGCAGGGTGTGATGGCTCATGCCTGTAATCCCAGCAGTTTGGGAGGCCGAGGCTGGTGGATGGCTTGAGTCTAGGAGTTTGAAACCAGT
Source organism: Homo sapiens (assembly GCF_000001405.40). Taxonomy (NCBI): domain Eukaryota; kingdom Metazoa; phylum Chordata; class Mammalia; order Primates; family Hominidae; genus Homo; species Homo sapiens. The sequence goes on from NC_000023.11 coordinate 38,312,751, forward strand.
CTGGGCAACATGGTGAAACCCAGTCTCTACAAAGAATACAAAAATTAGCCGAGTGTGGTGGCACGCATCTTTGTCCTAGCTACTCGGAGGAATGAGGTGGGAGGATCACTTGAGCCCAGAAGGTCTAGGCTACAGTGAGCCGTGATTATGCCACTGCACTCCAGCCTGGGCAACAGAGTGAGACCTAGCTCAAAAAAAAAAATGCACCTACCAAATTTAGCATATCATTTCAGGGGTTTACATTCCTTTAGGATCCATGATCCCTAACCTCTAAACAAACAACCTCTAAACAAACTCAACTATGCAATAATCTCCAAATACATGATTTACTTTTCTGTCTCTATATCTCTGCACATGTTTTTGTCTCTGCCTGGATTGTTCTTCCCTCATCTCTGTCTCTCTCAGAGTTGTTTCCATCTTTCATGGTTAATCTCAAATACCACCCTTTCTCTGAAATATGTCCTGACGCCCCTAACAAGAAATAATATTTTTTCTTTCTTGTTCTCACGTAAGACTCTGCTATCAAATGTCTTACGTTACCAATCATGGTCTGCTGTATATTGCAGTTATTGGTCTAGCACAGTAGCAAAAAGTATGTGCTACAGAGTCAGACTGCCTTGTTTGCATGTGGATTCTGCCACTTACTGAGTCATACTGAGCAAGTTGTTCAATCACTGGGCCTGTAACATGGGGATAAAAGTGCCTATGTGATAGGGTTGTTTCATAGGAATAACCGAATTAATGCATTCAAAGGCACATAGAACACATAATCAGTGCCTGGTCATTATTAGTTGCTACCACATCCTCCTCTTCCTCTTGTATATGGAGAGAAACTGCATGTCAGTAGAAATTGTTCAGGCTTTTAGAACTGGAAGACTGGAGTTCGAATTCTGATTCTGCAACTCAATCGCAGCATCACCTTGAATAAAACTGTGTTCTAAACCTGCCTGCATATATGGAATCTCAGATACCACCACCTCTCTCCCAGAGTGGTTGGGAGATTAAATGAAATATATTCGTACTTGAAAATGCTTTGTACATGGAAAAACTATACATCCTATAGTTTGACTGTAAACTTCAGAAGGGTAGGTACTACATTTTAATCAACTTGGTATTGTAAGAAATATCATTTAAAATGACTTTTACATAGTAAGTTGATGAAGTTTCTCACAGTGTCGACTTTTTAAAGTAAAATGTTTTACCTATAAAGCAGGGGTGTCCAATCTTTTGGCTTCCCTGGGCCACACTGGAAGAATTGTCTTTGGTCACACATAAAATACACTAATACTAACGATAGCTGATGAGCTAAAAAAAGAAAAGGTCTGTGCATAAATCTCATGTTTTAAGAAGGTTTACAATTTGTGATGGGCGGCATTCTAAGCCATCCTAGGCTGCGGGTTGGACGAGCTTGCTGTAAAGGGTTAGAAAAGATATTTCCTGTAGCTATCAGTAGGACCTTCCTTAAAGGGGAAGGTGAGTGCTTTTAATCCATATAAAATGTTTTATTTAATTCCAAGGTATTTTTCTTATTTATATATAAAAAATAAAATAACATTTATCACAAAGAATAAATAGGTCATTTCATATCAATTATATCTACTTCACTTAGGCCTATTAATTTTTATAAAATCTGGATTCCTCAAACTCTCTACCTGGCTCTGACAGCTACCTTCCCCAGGATTCTGATCTTAAGCACACTGCCAAGTCTCTATTCTCCAGTATCTGAAGATTGCTCCACAAATTCCTGCCCCCAGTTCCCATAACCCCAACTCATTTACTTATATCCCCTATTGTACTACACCTAATTCAGTGAATCACTGGTTAAAATGCTCAGACCCAACCATTAACATATCAGATGAAAAGACACAGCAATCAGGGATAATACCTGAAAACTCCATAGATTTTATTTATCTATAAGATCTAAAAATTGAATATTTTATATAATTTATAATATGAACTTGAATTGAGAACATGAATTTAAAACACGAACATGAGCATTTAAACATATTAGTAGGTGAAAAATCTGTAGGAAGTCTTAAACATAACTATCTTAGTAATATGTTCTGTATTTTTATTAGGAAATAAACTATTCTGTTTGGAGGTTCCTCAAAAAACTAAAAACAGAGTTACCATATGATCCAGCAATCCCACTGCTGGGTATATACCCAAAAGAAGAGAAACCAGTATATCAAAGAGATATCTGCACTCCCATGTTTGTTGCAGCACTGTTCACAATAGCCAAGATTTGGAAGCAACCTAAGTGTTCATCAATAGATGACTGAATAAAGAAAATGTGGGGCCAGACGCGGTGGCTCACACCTGTAATCCCAGCACTTTGGGAGGCCAAGGAGGGTAGATTACCTGAGGTCAGAAGTTCAAGACCAGCCTGACCAACATGGTGAAACCCTGTCGCTATTAAAAATACAAAAAAAATAGCTGGGCATGATGGTGGGCGCCTGTAATTCCAGCTACTCAGGAGGCTGAGGCAAGAGAATCGCTTGAACCTGGGAGGCAGAGGTTGCAGTGAGCCGGGACTATACTACTGTACTCCAGCCTGGGCAACAGAGCAAGACTCTGTCTCAAAAAACAAGAAAAAATGTGGTACTTATGCACAATAGAGTACTATTCAGCCATGAAAAAGAATGAGATCCGGTCATTTGCAATAACGTGGATGGAACTGGAAGTCATTACGTTAAATGAAATAAAACAGGCACAGAAAGACATACACTGCGTGTTCTCACTTATTTGTGGGATGTAAAAATCAAAAGAAACTCATGGAAATAAAGAGTAGAAGGATTGTTACCAAAGGCTAGAAAGGGTAGTGGGGTGTGTGTAGGAGGGAGGTTAATGGGTCCAAAAATTAGAAATAATAATTTCTAGTATTTGATAGCACAACAGGATGATTACAATCAAAATAATTGTACATTTTAAAATAACTAAGACAGTATCATTGGATTGTTTATAACACAAAGGATAAATGCTTGAGGGGATGGATACCCCATTCTCCATGATGTGATTATTGCCCATCACATGCCTGCATAAAAACATCTCAGGTATTCCATATATATACATATATATATATATATATAGAGAGAGAGAGAGAGAGAGAGTACCCACTAAACATATATCTGTAGTACCCACTATATATATATTATGTACCCACAAATATTAAAAATTAAAAATAATCCATTTTTTCTGATCTACAAATTCAACATACAAAGAGAAAAAAATAATGCTTTTCTATACAACATTTTCCTCTATCATGAAATACATATTAAGTAAAACCCCTTATACTTGAGTTATTTCCAAAATTTATAAAAAGTTGCTTTAAGTGATTAAAGTCATAAAATAATGGCTAGTGTGAAAATTACTGACAGTTCATATCAGCTGATGTAAATGAATCTCAGCAAAATGCTTAGTATAAAAGTTCATTTTATGTACAAACCTGTGAATATGCTAAAAGACATTCCATTGTACACCTTAAATGGGTGAATTGTAGGGTATGTGAATTATATCTCAATAAAGCTGAGCTTTTTTTAATTAAAAAAAGGCATAAAAACAAACCAAAAAAAAGCTCAATGTAATGCCTGTTGGTTAAGATGAACTATTCCACTTGTTCACCTAACGGCTAATGCAGAGTTCATTCACACAATTCATTCAGGCAGTTTTCTTAAAGCCCAAATATGATACAATGCTTTTACTTGGTATTTTTGTTGTTTGGTTGGCTTATTTTCCCATTTGTGTTTTTGTTTCATGAACAAAGCGAGTACAGACTATACCAACCCCAGGAGCCAAAAGTTGCCAATAAGTTGGTAGGTAGTGTTGCCTCAAGGAATGCAATCAATTCATCATTTATTCACTTTCTCCCTCATTCAATAATATTTATTGATTATCAGTTTGTTCAAGACACCAGGGATGCAGTGGTGAAAAATACTGACAAAGTCAGGTTTACTCTCTCTTGGTATCATGCTGCTACCAATTCATTGGTAACTTTAGGGGGCAGTGAAATGGGTGAATTACCACTTTCTAACCCTGAGCCTGTGGTATATGGAATAAAGAGTAAATGTATAAAATAAATATTTAAAGATTTGTCTAAGAGGGTCCATAAACTATTTCCTCTAGGTGTTTTTACTGTTGAAAAATCCCATCAATTAGATGGAAAGTCATAATCACACTTCCTCTATTATTACTAGTGTAGATAGATATAGACTATAACAGCTAGAGCCCAACATTTCCAATATTTTAACTAAGACAGAAAAGGTTGCCAGTGGGTCCAGGAAAGGGAGAAGTTGGGAATGCTGAGAAAGTCCCACCAAAGGAAACTATATCCCATGCTGAGCTCTCTATATTCACCTAAAAAGTGATCATGTCAGACAGAGTTTGAAATTATGAACTCTTATTATATAAATGGGGAAATACTGTGACCTAAAACAGACCAAAATAATTTCATTACATGGACAACCATGGCATTATTTCTATAGAACCAGAGACTATATCATTTCATTATTAATTTAATAACAACATAGAAGTGGGAGATAACATGATGACTTCAAAATGTGTCTTACTTGTTACAAAAGCTGAATGGTAATATCCACAAGAGATCCAGGAGACAGGTTTCCCAATGGTCACTTGCTGAGGGACACAGACATTACTTACATTTTTTAAACCAATTTGCCCTTCGGAATTGTCACCCCACATAAAAAGTCTTCCATCCTCTATAAAGAAAAATAAAAGGGGGAGAAAAGGTTTTAAAAGGTAGCCAGGCTCTGAAGCTATTATACTTCCAAAAGACCATTTATTTTATTAGTTCATAAAAATTATGTATCTTAACAATAAAGTACTACTAAGACATTTACACCAGCTAGCTACTTAAGAGTTCAATTTATATTGTGAAATGCTTCTATAATGATAAAGAACACAGAACAGCCTGATTGTAAATCACTTAAGTCCTGACCATATTTTTATCTCGATAGCAAAGACAGAATGCCCTTTCCTACAATCACCCTTTCCCATTCTGATGTTTCTAAACAGAAATGTTCTCCTCCTTCCAAGCAGCCTACCTGCAACTGAACTGAAAGACAGCACAGGTCACATTAGACACCTGCAGGTCAAAAAAGCCTGGAAGACCTTGCTCTTGGGAGCACTGTGGAAATGATGTTTTGAAAAAAGAACAGAAGAAACGTATTTCACTACATTTTTTTTCCTTATAATTTAAACCTGAAAACACAGAATCTAGCCTCAGAGAATGAAGATACAATAGCATGTACAGCATCTCAAAAATAGGTAACATATAATTTCTGATAAGGGTTTTGATGTCAGAAAAAGTTAATCTAGGAAAAATATTTTAGAAAGGAATTATTAAGACTTATTTATTTATATATTTTAAATAATTTACATTTTTGAAGTATTTTAATAATGCAAAACAAATAAATGAAAATAAGAACTGAAAGAAGGATGTCAAAATGCTAACTTAAGGGCTGACAAAATCTAAAGGACTGAGCCTCAGAGACAACTCTGACTTTCCTGATAGAGTAACACCGGATGTTACACAGTCTCCTGCTTGAAACAAAGCAGCTAACCAGCAGCTTCAGTAAGATCAAGCTGATCTTGGCTCCAAATTTTAAAGAAATGTCTCATATGGGCTTTTGGTAGGGAGGGCAGAGAGGTACAATGACCGTTGCAAACCACATTTTAACAACATATGCTGCAACAGATTTCTGTGGATGTTTCTGACAGCAACTTCAGTTAAAACTGCAAGTATAACTTTAAGAGCACACAACAAAAATAATATTTAAGAATATCTAAAGGAGTAGACAGACGGCATAGCTTAGAGCTTATTTGCCAATTACTTTTTAAATGTATATTTAAATAAGCACAAATAAGCATAAAATAAGCATAAATAAGCATAAAATTGCAGTATGTCAAGATTTAAAGTTATATTTTAAATGTTTTCTGAAAGCACATAGATAGTCGATGAAAGAAAACTAAACAGCAATGCTCCCTTCGGTTTACTGAGTTGGCATATATTGATCTACAGGAAAGGAATGTGTCCCAGACTGAAAAAGAAACAAGTCTCACCAGTTAGGGCAGCTGAAGTATTAGATCCAGCAGACAGCTGCTTAATCTTATGCTCGGATGTAAAAAAGCTAATTACATGAAAAGTGTTTCTTTCTTCGGTGTCACCAAGCCCCAACTGTCCTTCATTATTTCCACCAGTTGCATATACATTGCCTCCTTCTGCACATGGAAAAGAAAACGTCAATAGACTATAGAGTCCCCCTTTTTATGAGACAGGTCAGTGTATAGCAGCGATTTCCTCTATTAACAGTGAAGAAAGTTGAAAGCTATCACTATCCTATTATTTGGGAGACAACTTCATTTCATCGTCAAAATAAAGCAAAACAAGCAAGGCCACATATTTTTGTGAGATTTTAGAAATCAATCTAGAATGTAACTAGCAACTGAAATGAACAGAATGCATGGAACGTATTTATTTCTTGCTAATATAGCACTTTATTAATTCAGAGTAAAAACAAGGAAAGTAACTTCCAAACTAGTTTAAAATGCAAATCTATTTTAAAAGAGATGTGTCCATTAATTTTAACTTCTGTAACCATTAAAGCTAAGATATAATAGTACAAATAAGTAAAACAAGGCAAATCCAAGAAGAATCTAATTAGAAACATGATAATTCTTTGTATTTATTTTAACTTCCTAGCTAAATAGGAAGGCACTATAGCACTCTGTTTAGCAGGAAAGACTCCAGAGCCAGACTGCTTGGGTGCAAATTCTGGCTTACCACTTACCAAAGCTGTGGGACCTTGGGCAAGCCATAACCTCTGTGTGCCTCATTTTCCTCATCTATAAAATGAGGATAATAATAGTACCTACTTCATAGAGTTGTTATGAAGATTGAATTAGTTGAGATTTGTAAAATTCTTAGAACAGCATTTGGCTCATTTAAAGTATGTAAAAATGTTTGTTAATTACTCTGTTAATTAAATAAAAAGTACATCATGCCTAGATTATAAACATTTCCAGTAAGTTGTAAATTAATGAAGATTTGTAACACATAAATTAGTTATGTCATAAATATATAAATGAAGTTAAAGCCTTGCTAAATTATAAGGTGAAATGAGGGCAAAATCAGCCTGAGTTAGTAAAAATTTTAAAGTTATTGTTATTTTTATTTTTTGTTTTTAGGAAAAGACGAAACCTAATTGGGGAAACAAGACTAGCTTTCAAATGGAAAATACAAGGTCACATGCAATTGGAGTGCACAATTTCACACACATGGAGCAAACCAGAGTTGGTGAGATGCTGAAATAATTCAAACAAATAAATGAACACACAGTCACAAAATGTTCCATGAAAGAAGTTAACACTTAATGGGATCTCAAGAAATAATCTTAAAAGGCTAAGAGAAAGAGAAAAGACACTTCAGAAAGGGAAAGGTATGGAGAGGTGGAGAGGAGCTGAGGCAGTGAAAACATCCTGAAGACAGAATAAGTGGTGGTGGGGGAGGGGCGGGGCAAGGGGCAGGGGCAGGGGGAAGGTGGTAGGAAGTACTGCTCAGTGGTCAGGTCCTGGAGGTCTAAATGTTACAGCAGCATTTGCTGAAGATACTATCCTTTCTCTATTGAATTTCCTTGGCATCTTTGCCAAAAATCAAGTGGGCATATACATATGGGTCTAATTGTAGACTCTATTCTGTTTCATTAATCTTTGTCTATCTTTTTGCCAATACCTCAGTCTTGATTACAGTAGCTTTACAGCGAGTCTTGAAACCAGGTAGTGCCAGTCCTCTGTTATTTTTCAAAATTGTTTTGGCTCTTCTACGTCATTTGCTTTTCCATATAAATTTCAGAAGCACTTTGTTAATTTCTACAAACACACACACACACACACAAAAGCTCATATGGATTTTGATGGGAATTATGCTCACTCACATCAACAGCCTTCTGGGTGCCTTCCACTCACCCTTAGTAAGGAAGAGAGAAGAGCAAGAACAGGAATAACCAGCCCTTAAGGTGGACACACAGGTTAGGAGATGCTGTCCCATGATAGAATCCAAGAAAAGAAGCTTTTTCTTCAGCCATTTGACATTTACGTGTATATTTGCAAAGGCAAACGTGTACTAGCCATTGACATTTTAAAAAACCCTAATTTTACTGTTGCCAAAGTATAATCTCTATTAATTTTACAAAGCCACGTTACTGGAATGAGACCTCAGTTCTCAAAGTCAGGCAGGAAATCATACAGGTTGAGCACTATACCTGTTGACACCAGGGTGTGGTTCCTTCCACAGGCAGCTAATTTCACTTTTTCAGGTTTTAGAGCTAAAAATATTTAAAATGGGACAATTATTTTATAGCAATGAAAATGAACAGTAGTCCAGGACAAATGGTAACTAAGTGATAGAACCGAGATTTAATAGCGGGCTTGTCTGATTCCAAAGTCAATGTTCTTAACGAGCAAACCAGAGGTTTTCAGAACTGGTTGTGTACCATCATAACAAGTGGAGCTTTGAATACAATATAGATATCTTAGCCCCACCCCTATGGAATCTGAGTCAGTGGGTCTGAAGCAGCGGCTAGGCATTTATATATATAATTATAAACTCCACAGGTAGGCCGGGTGTGGTGGCTCCCCAGCACTTTGGGAGGCCAGGACAGGCAGATGGCTTGAGCTCAGGAGTTCCAGACCAACCTGGGCAACATGGTGAAACCCCTTCTCTACAAAAAAATACAAAAATTAGCTGGGTGTGGTGATGCATGCCTGTAGTTGCAGCTATTCGGGGAGGGGGTGCTGAGGTGGGAGAATGGCTGGAGCCCAGGAGGTCGAGGCTGCAGTAAGCAGAGATCACACCACTGCACTCCAGCTTGGGTGACAGAGCAAGACCCTGTCTCAAAAAAAAAAAAACAACAACTTCACAGGTAATTAATATGTGCTGAGACCCACTGTATTCTATTATGCTGCCTCCTCACCAATCTGATCCATTACCTAACCTGCCATCACCATTATCAAGCTCACCTTCTACCACATTCAATGAAAAACCGAAGACCAATATTGATAGGCATACACCTATCAGTCAAAGTTGTTCATTCATTCATCTACATATTCAAAAAACATTTAAAGAACATCTCCTACGTGCTTGGCATAGGGGCTGCAAAAAGATGACTAAGATAGAATCCCTGGTCTCAAGGATCCCATAGTCTAAACAATCCTGTTAGCTTGTCTATTAGATAAGATATTTGAGAGTAAGGGTCATGGTCACTGTGACTATCCTCAGGTGTTTAGACTATGCTCAATAAATACTTTTTGAACACATGGAATACTTTAAAAGTTCCATAACAATTCCCATAAACAGCATGAATATGATAAGCTACACTGAAATTTTGAGCTGAAATTAAAATTTAGCCAGGAAGATAAAAAATACTGCTCTTATTGCTTCTCAAGGAATCTCCATCATCCTTTCAAGTTTAGCTGATGTTCACAGGTTATACCCAAACAGAGGTTTTGCATATAACATCCAGAAAGCTTTGTAAGGGTATTATATATCTAATATTTTCTGGAACACTCCTGATTTCAAATATTTTGTCCTGTTGTTCTTTTACACTAGTACTAATCAATCCCTAGTCTCGATGTTTCGTTTACTTCACCTAGTCACTATATAAAGCAGGATAAGTATGTTTTATAAAACCAGCAACCAAATAGAAGCATAATGTCCACAACTGTATTAAATGAGAAAAGCTCAAAATTCTAACATATGTTTGTTCTCTGTATATACAATAACAGTAATATGTAAGTAGTTTTACAAACTAACAAACAAACAAAAAAAGATGGGGGATATTCAAATGCAATACTGTAAAATCATTACTTCCTTTGTGGTCCCTGGATTTAAAATCAATCTGATTTTTAGACCCTAACATATAAAAGCAGTTCTGAATATCATATAAAAGATAAGTTAAATGCTAATAATATTCAAGCAAATGTCAGAAAATAAAGAACTAAAAGCTTTATTATTTATGACATTAAAGAACTACACAGTCAACATAAAAATACTTTATACAGTTTGTGAAAAGATAAAAAGATCCCAAACCTTTGACACATGTTGGCTTGCTGATGGCTGACTTTGATCCTAATCCTAACTGACCCCAGTTGTTACTGCCAAACATGTAAAGTTTATTATTTCCTGGTAGGAGGGAAAAAGAAATAATCAATTGAAGCATTTTTCACATAATGTAAGATGAGGTCACCACAAAGCAATAAAAAGCTATACTTTTAAAATGTCACTGCTTTTCTGTGTTGAAATAAGTTACCTTGTTCATCTATGTATAACCAGTTTCTATTAGGTGGAAAAGAGTTTCTAAAATTATACGGTAACAGGTTTTTTTAAAAAATTATATTGAAATAGATTCATTCCAAGAAAGTTGTGTGTATAGAAAATCATACTTAAATATACTAAGGAAACTTAAAATTTAAAAGATGCTCTTGATGACTTATTTTGTGAAGAATTCTCCAGCAAAGTAAAAAACAACACTTTTGATAATATTTTCAACATGTTTAAAACACAGCAGCATATCTATAACAAAATATTTAGAATTTTCTAAGTATTACTGTCCTTATTCAGGATTGTAATACTAACCGGTAACAACAGCAGAATGTTCATCTCCACATGAAAGATGTACAGGGACATCATTTTTAAACCAGAATTTACCGGGATTATTTTCAGCAAATTTACTTTTCCCAAATGTAAACACAGCACCCGAATCTGCAAATATAAGACGGTCTTTATTTTATAACTTTTACTATGTTGCCTGTTATTAAAATAACTTTTGAGTAATTTATCCATACAAACCCCTTGTCTCATGACAGCTTTGCCCCCACTCTGGCAATGTTTAAGCCTTCCTTCTTCCACCTTAATTCAGTCTTTCTTATTCCTCAGACTCCATTCTAGTTTTATCTATGAAATCTACTAAATTGAACATGTATTACTCATATACTGGTATAAAGTAAGAAATATACTATCACAAGGAAGGCAGTCATCTATTACTAATAGTTCTGCTGTCACCAAGTAGATGTCTATTCCCTGGAATGAAATGGCACAATCTGTGCTATTCTTGTTCTAGTTAACACCTCATGGTCTGGCCTCTGACTGAGAGCTTTTCTCCACACACAGAAACAGGACAGTATTTCGTTTCCTCATTAACATCATCAGGCTATCCATGGGGAGAGTCTCTATCAGTCAATTTGGATTTTCTTTGGTCCAGTTTTTCCAAGGAACCTCCAGTGTTCTCATGTAAGGGAAACAATGTTAGCCCAAATGGTGAACTCTTTTTATTTTTGTTGAGACAGGGTCTCACTCTGTCACCCAGCTTGAAGCGCAGTGGCACAATCACGGCTAACTGCTGCCTCGACCTCCTGGGCCCAAGCAATCCTCCCGCCTCAGCCTCTGGAGTAGCTAGGACTATAGGCGTGTGCCACCATGTCCAGCTAAATTTTGTAATTTTTGCACAGACTGGGTTTTAGCATGTTGTTCAGGCTGGTCTCAAACTCCTGGTCTCAGGCTCAGGTCTCAAACTCCTGGGCTCCTGCCTCGGCCTCCCTAAGTGCTGGGATTGCAGGCGTGAACCATGACACCCGGCCAAAATGGTGAACTCTTAATTTCTCTGTTGGTAATCCCAATGAATACCCATAAAACCGGAGACAGCACAGAGAGAAACAAATTACTCCACCACTATCTCTTTCATTCGAACTAAGGGAAAGCAGCTAGAAAAAAAACCATAGGCTTTAAAGGCAATTAGGTATTCAAAGGTTGTTGTAAGGATTAAATGAGATGACATGTATAAAGAACTTAGCCCAGAGCCTAGCATCCTCAAAGTGTTAGCTCAATAGCTACCTCTGTAAACTCTTCCTCTACCATAAGAGTTGGAAATGATCACTGGCTTCTCTGAACTACGTGATCTGTAGAATTTATATGGCAAATAATTGTGCTACCTAGCAATCTCTCTAATCAAACTGTTACACAAATCAGCAAGATTTGTGTAACAGTTTGATTAGAGAGATTGGTAGGTAGCACAATATGTAAGATGAGGTCATCACAAAGCAATAAAAAGCTATACTTTAAAAATGTCGGCCGGGAGTGGTGGCTCACGCCTGTAATCACAGCACTTTGGGAGGCCGAGGCAGGTGGATCATTTGAGGTCAGGAGTTCGAGACCAGCCTGGCCAACGTGGTGAAACCCCGTGTCGACTAAAAATGCAAAAATTAGCCGGGCGTGGTGGTGGGCGCCTGTAATCCCAGCTACTCGGGGGGCTGAGGCAGGACAATTGCATGAACCCCAGAGGCGGAGGTTGCAGTGAGCCAAGATAGCATCATTGCACTCAAGCCTGGGCGACAGTGTGACTGTGACTCCGTCTCAAAAAAAAAAAAAAAAAAAGTCACTGCTTTTCTGTGTTGAAACACAGAGTTCACCATTTGTTACCCCAAATGTTGTTTTTTTCCAACTATTTTCTAAGGTTACAGAGGGTATGCACTACCCATATTGCCTAGCACAAAGTAGCCCTTGTGTGTTCTACTTTTCACACAGAAAAGGTCCCCCTTACACACATGTATATTCGTAACTGTTGAATGTTTTGTTTACCAATTCATCATAATGGAGAGTTTGTAGTCAAATATAACTTTCAACATTGTTAATATAAAAGACAGGTTACCAAGTCGTCAACAAAGGAGCACTTTAGCTTTTCCTGATTTCTGAGAATTCAGAATGTTTAGGGATCCAGTTATAAAATGAAAAGATCCTCTCAACACAGCTACTCAGGAAGTTTCTAATTCTCATCTTACTCATGCACTATAGTTAGTTATAGAGATGTCTTTTTCTCTTTCCAGAAACAGTACATGGGAAAGGACGGTTTATCTTTCCCCCCAAAACATCATCACAAAATGCCACGGTCCTAGGAGATTGGGAGAGGAGTACATGGGGATGTTGAGATTTTAACATTCTTACATCAAGTCATTACCTGATCTGAGTAGTATTCACAAACTGTTGTGGCACAGCGTCATTTTGAAGAAAGACTAAAAACCCCTACCATTTCCCAATAACCATTTAAACACACACATACACCAAATAGTAGGCCAGGTCCAGCTTTTGGGGAAATCCCAAGGTGGGTGATCACACATAAACTAATTCGTACCAGAAAGGAAAACATAGCGAATATAAGTATTAATAATAAATATTAATACGCAAGAGACTAGCCACTGTGGACAACTTTTTGAGAACCACTGTGAGGCATCTCAGTTCCAACTAATAATTGAGTTGGGAGACTAGGATCTAGAACAGACTCTGAGTTTCCCCAGAATGAATTACTTTAACATTTTAACTGTTTTGTCTTGGCTCCCCTGGCTTCCCTGATACCCTCATCCCAAGCCAAGGTTTGGTGGCTCTGCTCTGGCCCTGTAATATCTACTGTCAATTTATATGGTCATTTTGTTTACTTTCCTGTATGTCTCACTAAATTGTGAACTGCAGGCCAGGAATGTCAGTTCCGGCCAGGAGCATGGAAGAAAACATACATATTTCAGTGAAGGTATGATTCTGCTCAAACCCAGTGTTTTTTCAAAATGGTCGTGACCTATTAGTGGGCCAGAAAATCAATTCAGTGGATCACGATCAGCATTTTAAAAGAATGCATTATCAAAAAGGTGTGTGTGGAATCTAAGTGGATAGAACAAGGACTGCTTCACCAGACATCTATTTCTGTTACACGGTATATATGGAGTATCGGGTCACAATGTCAAAAGTATTTCTAACTATGGAGCTCAGGAAAAAAAAGGCTAAAAAACACTCGCTAAAGGGTCCCTCTTCTCCCTCTTTGTCCAATTTATTTCCTGTATCCCCTTTTACCCCACAGCCCTGATCACTCACTCTTTACTGCATTCAATACATAACCGGGAGCTCAGGACCTCCAAAGTGCACAAGTCTGGAGTCCGCACTTTGGGGAGTTTACAGAAAGTGTCCCTCCCTGGCCGGGCGCGGTGGCTCACGACTGTAATCCCAGCAATTTGGGAGGCCGAGGTGGGCTGATCACCTGAGGTCGGGAGTTCGAGATCAGCCTGACCAACATGGAGGAACCCCGTCTCTACTAAAAATATAAAATTAGCCGGGCGTGGTGGCGCATGCCTGTAATCGCAGCTACTCGGAGGCTAAGGCAGGAGAATCGCCTGAACCCGGGATGCGGAGGTTGCGGTGAGCCGAGATTGCGCCATTGCACTCCAGCCTGGGCAACAAGAGTGAAACTCCGTCTCATAAAAAAAAAAAAAAAGTGTCCCTGCCTTCAAGAAGCTCATCAAGAGCTTATTTAAAAAGCATACGAAAGACAGGCACCCTCTTTCCCGTTCTCCCCCATCCTGTTCTTCCCGTCCGGTCCTCTGCCCTCAGTCATTCGCGGGAGCGCAACCAGCGATCCCGCCCCAGTCCGGCTGCCAAGCCTGGGGCCTGTCCCCCTACAGGGCCGATCCGGAGGCGGGGCCCGGCCGCCCGCGGACCCTCCCTCCCGGCCTTCCGCCACCGGCGCGGGCGCAACTCACCGGGCATCAGCTCTTCCGGCTCCCTCATGCCACGGGCAGTACGGGCAGCCTGCGCCGGGGCCAGGAGGCTGTAGAGGACGGTTTGGTCGGGGCTAAAGCAGCTACTCCGCACCGACGCGGGCCGCGAAAGCCCCCAAGTTCCGCATGGCGAAACTCCGGAGATCAACTACAACCGCGCTCCCGGAAGTCAACAAACAGCCGCTACGGGCAACGGGGGCGGAGCTTGGGAATGCAAGGCGGGACAGGCGCCGTTGGGGAGGGGAACGGAGGCCGGGTGGCTGGTAAGGGGCAGGCTCAGGCACAGCGGAGGGGCAGTAGAGACCACGCGCCCTCTGGCGGCCTGGAGCAGAGAGGCGGCCACGCCGCGCAGTGATGCTGTGGAGTCCGCGCCCTTGTGCCGTTGGAGGTCCAGGCGCCGCAGGGACCCTGCCCATGAGTGGCAAACGTCACAAATCCCATACTCCGTGACATAAGCAAGCATCGACACACAATTATGACACTACTAGTAATAGTGACCAGCTGGAACATTAAAGGAGGTAAGCACTCTGCTAAAGATATCCCCAGCATCTAAACCAACATCTGGCCTATACTGAATGCTCATTACGTATTTATTGGACAAATGAGTACTATTACAACCCTGTAAAGTGGTTAATGTTACCTCTGTTTAAGCATGTGGGCAGCTAGTCCAGCTAGTCCAGCCTGTAGTCAACAAAAGTAAAAGCTGAGGTGTATATGGTCCACTACTCACAGAACATACACAAAGGGGTAGCCCAACATCATTGCTCTAGAATTTGCTCAGCGATGTTATATGATGCAGGGTTTCCCATGCATCAACATTTGGCTATCATGAAATAAAGAAGCAAAAAGCCATCTTCCAGAATGAGCAGATTTACGTACGTTTGGTAGTTGTGGACATGGGCCCTAGAATCAGACACAATTGGATTCAGGGATCCCTGAATTACTCTTGTGTGTTACCAACACTTTCTCAGGAAGTTTGCATTAACATGAAGAGGGGACATTAAACTATTAGTTACACAAATAATCATTTACTTACAAAGCAAAGTGGAGGTTACTAAGGAAGTGGTTAACAAGAAGCGTTGACCTGGTGTAGGAGGTTAAGAAAGGCTTATCTGAAGAAAGAACATTAAATCTAAGAACTGGAGAAAGATAAGCCAGGAGGGGGAGAGAGCTCTTGGCAGAGAGTAAATTGTGTATAAAGGTTTGTAAGGAGCTTGACTCTTTCCAGGAACACCAAGAGGCGAGGCTGGTTCCTAGCGAGGTGGCAAGGTCTTGGGCCTATTAAGGATCTGAGATTTTATCCTAAAGACAATGTGAAACCACTGAGAAGTTTTAGGCAGTAGAACAACAGGACAGGATCAGTTATGTGTGTCCCTGAAATCATTCTGCCTGGTCTAGATGCTTTGTAGAGAATAAACTGGAGCAGTGAGAAGGGTTCAGAGGCTATTGCAGAATTTCAGACATGTGGTCAGGATGGCTTGGAGTACAGTTCATTGGTGCCAGAGAGGAGCAGGCAGATTTGAAAATATTTTAGGTCTTAGAATCAACAGGAAATGGTTTCTGACTATTGACTCCTAGACAGTGCTGGACTACCAAATAGTTCTTAGAGCAACAGCAAAGATAGGGCCCTAAATTATTTTGAAAAGGATTTGATATTCATTTTTAGAGTATCATAATTGTTACTACGGGCAAATGAGAATTTTTAAAGATTTACTTTTTAATATGCAGTCATTTGTTTTTATTTCAAAATACAGTAAGGCACATTTTGGTGCTAAGCATCCCAGAAGATATTGATGCAGCCCTACTCCAAGGTTTCCAACATAAGCAAATAGCAGGAGGGGGGCACCATTTACTGAGATGGGGAACACTGAGGAAAGAGCTGGCGACATTGGAGTTAGGTAAATGGGGCAAGAAGAGCATAATGAGTTCATCCTTGAGCACACTAAGACATCAAATTGGAGGTGCTGAGCAGGTAATTGGTGAGCAGAAGCCCCAGAAGGAGGCACGTATTTGAGGAATGACTGGGTCTATATAGTGAAAGCAGGCTTGAGATACTTGCAACACTGGAAAGTGACTGTAGAATTGAGGCAGTAGAATAGGGTCGGGAGGCAGGAAAGCTAAGGCCAATTCATGCTGACTTCCTAGAACTAAATCAAAAGGAAACCCCAACTTTCCATACCTAAGTAACAAAAGAACCAGAGGCTACTCCCTTTGCAACCCCCACCCCCTTTTTCTGCGTGGCAGACGGAAAATTGAAAGTATCTCTGATTAGTTGCTTTTTGCAACCAATCAGACATTTGCATGGGAGTGTAACTTTGTAACTTCACTTTAGCCTCTGATTGGTTGCTTTCCACAACCAATCAGATGTTTGAATAGGGTGTAACCTTTGTAAGTACACTTCAGCCTCTGATTGGTTGCAAGGCCACTAGTTCATTTACATAGTAACCAATGGGAAATATACCAATGGTTACTTGGGAATGGCACCAAGTAACCAGTGGGAAACCTCTAGAGGGTAATAAAATCCCAGAAAATTCTGTAAAGGGGCTCTTGAGCCCCTGTGCTAGGGCCTGCTCCCACCCTGTACTTTAGTTTTCAATAATGCCATCATCTCCGGCATCTGTGAGTCTATTGCTTTACATGGCAAAAGGGACTTTGCAGTTGTGAGATGCTGGATTCAGGACCTTGAGATGGAGAAATTATTCTAGATTAACCAGGTAAGCCCAATTAAATCCTATGAAATCTTAAAAGTGAAGAGCCTTTCCAGGCTGTGGTCACAAAAAGATGTGAAGATGCAGGAGTGGTCAGAGAGATACAACAGCGCTGGCTGTGAAGATGAAGGTAAGGGCCATGAGCGGAGGAATGCAAGCAGCCTCTGAAAGCCGGGAAAGGCAAGGAAGTGGATGCTCCCCAAGAGTCTCCAGAAGGGAATGCAACTCTACTGACACCTTGATTTTAGTCCAGTGAGACCCGTTTCACACTTCAGAACTACAATAGTGTACGATAATAAATGGGTATTGTTTAAGCCACCACCAAGTTGATGGTAATTTGTGACAACAGCAAGAGAAAACTAGCACACCATAGTTGATCTCATCAAATCTTCACAGGAACCCTAAATGAAGTACTAACTTCAGTCTCATTTTTGGGAAGAAGAATCTGAGGTTGAGATCACATAATTTTGCAAGGTCCCATATTTATCAAGTGGTAGATGCAGGATTGAACCGTCAGTTCCAGAGCCACATTTGTACTGCAAATTCACATGAGCTCTACAGTATGAAAGTGTGTGGACCCTTGAGGGTCCCCTACAAGTCCATGCAGCAATGCACACACATCTTCAAGGATGCTCTTGCCTCCTCCAAAGAGCCCCCTAGCAATCTCTGCTTCATCATCATTCAATTCTGAGGCTGTGTTGTGTTTTTTTGGGAGCCCTCTCCAAATTTGCAATGAGGCCACATGACCCCTTCATGCATCAAGGACGTTCACATGCCTCATCACAGCACTTATTATACAGTGTGATGTGATTTTGTGGCTGTCTTTCCACTAGACTGAGTTCTTTCATTTCCTGCATTGCAAGCACTACCTCTCTTTGGCCAGAACATAGCACTATGTCTGGTACATAGCTTACTAAAATGCAAGTTCTATGAGGGCAGGGAGGTTTGTCCATTGTTGTACTCCAGTGCCAGACTATTACCTGGCCCATAATAGCTACACAATAAATATCTGTTGAATGGCAGAATTAATGAATAGCAAGTTCTCAAATACGCAGAGGCTGAGGGTCAATAAACCTATAAAAATAATAATTTAAGCCAGGAGGAGGTGTCATCCTGACCCCATGTAGAGGGGCTGGCCTTAGCTAGGAGGAGATACATTTCTAGCATAACAGGATATAAATGTTATCTATATAGTATTTTTTTTTTGAGACAGAGTTTCCCTCTGTTGCCCAGGCTGGAGTGCAGGGGCATGATCTCGGCTCACTGCAACCTCTGCCTCCCGGGTTCAAGCAATTCTCCTGCCTCAGCCTCCTGAGTAGCTGGGATTACAGGCACCCGCCACTACACCCAGCTAATTTTTTTTTTGTTTTTTTTTTGTTTTTTTTTTTTGTTTGTTTTTTTAGAGATGGAGTTTCATGATATTGGTCAGGCTGGTCTAGAACTCCCGACCTCAGGTGATCCGCCCACGTCGGCCTCCCAAAGTGCTGGGATTATAGGCGTGAGCCACCACGCCTGTCCTATATACTATTTTTTTTGAGACAGGGTCTCACTCTGTCACCCAGGCTGAAGTGCAGTGGCGCAATCTCAGCTCACTGCAACCTCTGCCTCCCGGGCTCAACCAGTCCTCCCATCTCAGCCTCCCGAATAGCTGGAACCACAGGTACACACCACCACACCCAGATAATTTTTGTATTTTTGTAGAGATGGGGTTTGGCCACATTGCCCAGGCTGGTCTTGAACTTCTGAGCTCAAGCAATCCGCCTACCTCAGCCTCCTAAACTGCTGGGATTACAGGTATGAACCACTGTGCCTGGCCATCTATACTATTGATATATATGATCCAGAGCTATATAATATATATCGCAACCCCAGGCCACGAATTTGTACTGGTTCATGGCCTGTTAGGAACAGGGCTGCAGAGCAAGTGAAACTTCATCTGTATATACAGTCACTCCCCACCACCCAAGCTCCACCCCCTGTCAGATCAGTGGCAGCATTAGATTCTTGTAGGAGTGTGAACCCTGTTGTGAACTGCACATGGGAGGGATCTAGATTGTGTGCTCTTTGTGATAATCTAATGCCTGATGATCTGTCATTGTTTCCCATCACCCCCAGATGGGAACCCTCTAGTTGCAGGAAAACAAGCTCAGGGCTCCCACTGATTCTACACTATGTTGTATATTTGTATATAACATAATGTATACCAACATAAATTTGTATATTTAGTTATATATTACAATGTAATAATAATAGAAATAAAGTGCACAATGAATGTAATGTGCTTGAATCATCCCAAAAACATCCCCACCCTTCCCCTCACCCCCCATCCCCTGTCAGTGGAAAACTTGTCTTCCACAAAACTGGTCTCTGGTGTCAAAAAGGTTGTGGACCACTGATATATATGATGTGTATATATAGCTATGCTGTAGCCCTAGATTTTATATATATATATATATATATATATATATCATATAACATAATACTATAGTCTATTCCAGAAGGTGGTTGTGAAATATTAGGTAATGCATGCAAAACTTATAGCTTGGTGCCTGGAATAGTGGAGCACTCAACAGTGTTAGCTATTAATAAGGCAAAGGCAGCTCACTGTATTAGTCAGCATAACCCATGCTATGCTGCAGCTCAAACAACACCCAAATCTCAGTGGCTTAACACAAAGAAGTTTCTTTCTCACTAATGCTACATTTCCAGTGTGGGTCAGTCAGTTGGAGGATCTGCTCTACCTGCTCAAGCAGGGGCTTAGGCTACATATGGAAGTTCAACTACCTTGTAGCAACATCATATACAACACATGACCTCTTTGGTTGCTGTAGCAGGGCAAGAGAGAGAGGAAGTTAGAAATGAAATGTTTCAGGCTGGGCGCAGTGGCTTATGCCGTAATCCCAGAACTTTGGGAGGCTGAGGCGGGTGGATAGAGGTCAGGAGTTCAAGACCAGCCTGGGCAACATGGTGAAACCCTGTCTCTACTAAAAATACAAAAAATTAGCCAGGCGTGGTGGTGGGTGCCTGTAATCCCAGCTGCTTGGGAGGCTGAGGCAGGAGAATCACTTGAACTCGGGAGGCGGAGGTTGGAGTGAGCCGAGATCGCACCACTGCACTCCAGCCTGGGCAACAAGGAGAAAACTCTGTCTCAAAAAAAAAAAAAAAAAAAGATATAAACGGAAATGTTTCAGGCCACAAGTAACATGTTTTTCCTTCTCACAACCCATTGGCTGGATTTAGTGTCATGTGCCTCTGTGCACTGCAGAGAGGCTGGGAAATGTGGGAGAGCCAGTGGACATTCAGTGAGTAGTAAACAGCTCTGCCACAATCCCTGCAGTCAGATGGTTTAAGCCTGTGGAGCCACCTCCCTCATGTTGGAGAAGGCAGGTATAATTTTATATCTCTCAACAGTCACGCATGCTTTCGGTGTCGCCTTCATACACAGCCAAATATTCCTCTGCTCCTTAGGAAATCATGTTGATACACAGAAGCCATGACACGTCTGACAACGTGCACAAGTCTTAGCAGTTGCCTCTATTAATTCAAGTTGTTATTCATTTCTGGAGCATTGTATGTCAACTAGAAATAGAGGCATGTATGAACAAGGAAGACGTTTGATGGATTATGCTTCCTAGCTGTATTTGTTTCTTTCTCGACAGCATTCAACAAAACGTCCAAGGCTTGCAATTTTAAGTAGCATTACAATGCAGCTGCCATCGCTGTTTGTTTCTCTATATGGAATCAGATAAACAGGTGTGTCTCTACAAACTCCGCTGGGAAATCCCATAAGCATATACATTTACAAAACAGATTCTAATTACTTCTTTGATTTCTAAACTTTTTTAGTGCAGTTCTAGGATATATGATTTGAGGACTCATAGGTCCAAAGCCAGGGAGTTTTATTCATGAACAAGAAACAGAAGGCAGGTACAGTCTACTGCACATTTTATTACGCCAGAGAAGAAATTTTGCACTTTCCTTCCTCAGGGTAGAGTTTCAAAAGAAGAATTTTGAGGTGTCTGTGACAGCAGTTGTATGAATAGGTAATGTCCTGAATGACTACTTTGAAGGATCATGTACTATGATGATAATGGCTTAGGTTAATATCTCTTATTACTGCTAGATATTGTTCTAAGCACTCTATGTATTAACTCTTTAAATTCCCGTATTACAGAAGAGAAAAAGTTAAGTTGCCCATGGTCTCTCAGCGAAAACATGGTGGGGGCTGGGATTTGAACACAGGAAGCCTGGTTCCAGAATCTATGTTCCTAGTAACTACACTCTACTGCTTCTTGAAAGAGCACAGAACAGCAGTCTTCAGACTTTTTAGCTTACACATCTTCATTTATAATCAACCAAAAGCCAGAAGACATGAGAGCTCATTAATGTAGCCCATGCAAGTCAGCTTTCCTGGGTAGATATCTAGCACTAGAGGCGATCAGCTGGTGCACAGACTCAAGTCAGAAGATTGAGGAATGAGGCTGAGAAAAAAAGCCAGAGATCAAGGAAGATTACTCAGCAGAAGCAATACATGTGTATTTATATATTTGTATGCATGTGCTACTGTACTACTATATTGTGTATATTGTAAAGCATACACAAAAAACAAAAGATTTTAAAGGGTGAGATAAACATAATTAAAAGTTATATTATTTGTTTTGTTCCACCAAGATGGATTGTCTTGAGCATTCCCTAGGGCAGGGGTCCCCAACCCCTGGGGCTGCAGACCTCTACCGGTCTGGTCCATGGTCTCTTAGAAACCGGGCCACACGGCAGGAGGTGAGCAGCGGTAGAGCATTACCGCCTGAGCTTCACCTCCTGTCAGATGAATGAAGGCATTAGACTCTCATAGGAGCACAAACCCCATAGTGAACTGTGCATGTGAGGGATCTGGGTTGCCCGTTCGTTATGAGACTCTAACTAATGCTTGATGATCTGAGGTGGAACAGCTTCATCCCAAAACCAGCCCCATCCTCCCAACATTCCCCACCCTCTGGTCCATGGAAAAATTGTATTCCAGGAAACTGATCCCTGGTGCCAAAAAGGCTGGGGGCCACTGCCCTAGGGGACATGCACCCCAGTTTAGAGAATAGGCTTGGGATAGCACAGTTTTGACTACAGGCTTTATCACTTACTACTTTAGTAATCTGGGCAAGCTGCTTACTCTCTGTCTCTGATTCTTCTTCTGGTAAATCAGGATAACACCTCCTAATTTGCAGGATTGTTGTGTGGTTTAAATGATATGATGTGTACAAAACCTGCAGTGTCTGGTTTTCAGCAAGCTCTTTACTTATTACTTATTTTCTCCCAGAGTTTTAATTCCTATTATTTGTGTTTCATGGGCTGTGTTTTTAAAATTTCATTGCTTCCTACCCACTCCTGTAATTAAGCTGCAGGCAGCCCTGCAGTTAGACATGGTGCATCTAGATGGAGCCAGATTAATAGCTTTTTCATGCTGCATTATTGCAAATATGGCACAGCTGTGTCTCTGACAGAAAAAATTGAGGAGGAGACATCTGGAAAAACCTATGTGCATTTTACTTTGTGCAAAGCACTATAGGAATTGGGAGGGAGGAAGAAAGGGAGGACTAACTGACTGTCAGACACTTAAAAATGAATGGCCCAACTGTTCAGCAATTGTATATCTGTGAACAGAAGCTCCCTTTTACATCAGCTGTTAGTCACTGCCCTTTGTGATTGGGAATCAGGCTTGAAAATTCTGAGTGTATTTTGAGCCATTTTTATCTATGCCTTTCTGTGGGCGACTTTTTCCTAACAGGGTCCCTTGAAAAAATTCAGTCTCATTTACTACCATTCACTAAAAATTTCACCTTTGATCCCAACTCTGAGTTTTTTTTTTCCTTCTTTAACCCCCTTTTAGAGTGTTAAGTCTGTTGGGTTTCTTTGGCACAAAGTTAACCAGAAAAGAAATGTCCTTGAAGGCATATCAACCAGGTTTCCAACTAACAGATTACACCCTCTTGTTAGGATAATTTGAGAAGGATTTATTTATAAAAGAACTAATTTTGAGGGGTTGGAAGGAGATTGGGGCAACCATGAGGCATTGTGCAGAAGATCCAGGGATAACAGCATTAGACCTGTTACTATTCTTTGGCCCAAAGAGAGAAAGGAATGGAGAGTTTATTAGAACTTGGAAGGAAAGAGAGTTGTGTAGAGCAGTATATCTTGAGAGAAACAGTGAATTTCTATTAAGGAGCAAGCCAACCCAAGATGTCCTTACAGAAAGGGGAGAATAAAAATTCTGACTTTACTCTACTCCCTCCCTCCATTCTCCTGCTGTGATTTCATTGGCCAAACCCAACCAGAAGCTAGAAGATATGAGAGCTCATTGATGTAGCCATGCAAATGAGCTTTCAAATCAGCTTTCATACATAGGTATCTAGTATTTGAGGCTGTCAGCTGGTGCACACAATCAGTGGGAAATGAAGCTCAAAAATAAAAAAAATAAAAATAAAAAAAAGAGAGAGATCAAGAAAAGCTACCCAGCAGGAGCAATCTGGCTAGGACACCACTGCTGGATGCAGGTACCGCTTTCACCATACTTTTAATTTTATTGTCCCTTTATTTTTCAGTCATAGTCTCCAGAGCAAAGTCCTAGGTGGGAGTATTCAATTGGCCGAGGCTAGTTCACCTGCCCGCACCCTGTTTGCCAAGGGGTGGGAAGAAAGAATATTGCTTGCCTTTGCCCTCCCTGGTAGGAATTGCACTTCTGCTTTTTTTCAAGACTCACACAATTAGAGATTTGTAGATATTAAGAAACAGCTCAGAAACAAGGTAGTTCTCTCTCCTCTAAAAAAAGATCAGTCTCCACTAACAGTGACCTCCTAAATCTTTATTAATCTGCAACAGGAAACTAGCAGACAAGAGTACAGAGATCTGTGTTTTTATTTCCAGTTCTCTATCTTTTCTCCCTCATTTCCTTCCTTCCTCCATTTCCTGATCGTTGGAAAGCCCCTTTATCTCTCCAGATCTTTGTATGAGAGAGCAGCATTAAGATCACCAAATCTAGTTGTAAGTTCAAATGCTGGGCCGTCAAAAAAACACATACAGGCCCACCAAATAGCATGCCTTAGTCAACATTTTCCTGGTAGAAACCTCTTGGTTTGTTGATACCTAACCTTCATTGAAGATGCATGTCTCTCAATACAATGTTGTGTTTTCCTTGGCTGCTCTTTATGTAGGAAACATTTATATTGTATTTATATCCTTAAAATGCAATGTAACATTTTTTAACAGAGTAAAAGATGAGACACACATAAGAGACTCCTCTGCACTGTGTGCCTTCTGATATGCATTCACAAGGGACAACAAATATTCTCACTCTCTGAAAAGTCCATCTACATTTTTCTCCAAATTTCCTTGCCTCCAGTCTCTAATCTTGTTCCTTCCATGTCCCTAAATATCTGGCCAAACCATTAACCCCTGATCATGATTTGGTATAGGTCTATGCCTCTGGTCTTCTCTCCCTCCACGTAAAATGCAGTGAGAGGCACTGCTTGAAGGTTTGCTCACTGGGAGCGTTTGCCGTATTCACCGCTTGGATTCGGTATAGATGCTCGACCTACAGTGAATCTTGAATTGTTGGATCCAGACCAATCTATAATTACATTTCTCAACCTTCATCAATCATCCTTACACTCTATTCCCATACACAATTCCCTGAATTTTTTCCATTATAAACTAGAAATCTGGAAGCTCTTTGGCCTTGTCTGGCTTTTGACTTTGTTATTGCTACCGTCCTCCAAGGGCCATGCTGAAATCTGACAATCTTGGGAAATGATAGAGAAGACAGGAGGATGATGAGAACTGGCTTTCTCTTGCAAGTAACTCCCTCAGGTTAAAAAAAAAAGCATCTTCAATCAAGGGAAGAACAGTTTCATCAGACAAAGCAAGAGAGATTTCTGAAGCTGGCAAAAGAGATTTAATGAGAATTAAGGGTTTGGCATTCATGGGGTCTTCTAAATCCTCTCATGTATTTCCATGTCAATTTTCCAGCTTTCAATCTAACTCAGATAATGCCACAATATCCACCTAAGAAACCTGTCAGGGCTGTGAGTACTACTGACATTGTAATTGATCAGCATGCAGGATCAAACCAAAGTCTGAATTTATCTTTGACCATCTCAGATCTGCTGAGGCAAATGACTTTTTTCACCATTAAGCTATTTGTTATAAGAAATAGCCACCTCATCAGCTGTCATTGAACTCCTCATGCCCTTTATACTATTCTTGAATCA
Source organism: Homo sapiens (assembly GCF_000001405.40). NCBI lineage: Eukaryota > Metazoa > Chordata > Mammalia > Primates > Hominidae > Homo > Homo sapiens. Next base: position 38,338,324 of record NC_000023.11, read on the forward strand.
TACTCTCAATGGGCATTCCAGGTGACCATAGGCAACTGTTTAAGTTGTTTTGCAGCTGTGTTTCTAAAGTTCAGTTTACTGTCAGTCAACCAGTCCTGATTTTTAATTTTCCCTGAGAGTCAGTTGCCTGTGGCTTGTTTTGTGACACCGGTTTCTGAATCCGTCAGAGTTCTTGAGAAATAAAAAGGATTTAGTGGGATCACTTTAAGTTGACCAAATTGTTTCTTCTAAATAAATAATACATCCACACTTTGCCCCCTTCCTTTTTTTGTTTGTTTTTTGCAAACAAGATCAACCATGTTTATTTTTAAACAAGAGAAATTATAAACCAGGATATTCTTTGAAAAATTAGGTAGAAGGCAAAAAACCATCAGGGAATGCATAGAATTTACGGAAAGTCTAGAGAGAAATACTTGGGCAAAGGTGAGAAACTAGGGAAGAGAGGCAGCAGGAAATTGGGTTAGGATGTTGCTGCTGACTTTGCTGAAGTCCACAACCACTGCTGGACCTAAACACCATGGCAAGGCCTTGCTAGCCACGGGACACAGTCAGCATTATTGGTTGGTAAATCTCATCTCACTGCCTCTTTTACTTTAGTCCTTCAAGATCCAAAGCCCCAGGTGGGGAGCATTCCAGACTGGATCATGTGCCCATGACCTGGCTTAGCAGCGGGTGGAGAAAGGGAGTAATACTTTACACTAAGACTCACACAAGGGGAACTAGTTGGGGGGTGGGTTCGGATGCCAGGCAATGAAAACTTATTTTGTCTGAATCAGTAGTAGAAAGTGCTTTCATTAGGAGTCCAGAAGTTGTTTTCTATTTCTCACTTCAACACTTGCTTTCTTTCTGTTTCTCCCACCTTTACCTAATCTTAAGGAAATCACTGTACCTTTCTGGTCCTCTGGAGGAGAGAGTTAAACTAAGATATTCAGGGCCCATCTGTATCTAATCCATCTATGTCTAATGCTCTGTCATCTTAGACCTCTCACAAATCTAGTAAGGAAGGTACTATGCTTACATGAGGAGTTTAATAAATGCATACATAGTCCAAGATCGTTCCCTTTATCTAAGTGGTAGCTTTTTTTAAATGCTTATTTTAGGTTCAGAGGTACATGTTCAGGTTTGTTATATGGGTAAACTCCTGTCACAGGGGTTCGTTGTACAAATTATTTCACCACCTAGGTACTAAGCCTAGTACCCAATAGTTTTTTTTTTTTTTTTTGCTCCTCTCCCTCCTCCTACTAATGGGTAGTTTTAAATGATCATTTTGACCCAGTTTCTTATTGAATATGAAACTTTTACATATGTTAGATTCTACATATTTATGGAATTCCCCTATAATAGTTGATATTAAAGCATTTTTACCTTACTTACCCTTTAACGTTTTATGTTTATTTTAATGGACCCCTCAGTAACCACTCCACCCCAGTCCACAAAAGTTAAAATGCATATAAAAATCAAGGTGAACCTTAGGGAGAATGGTGATAAAGGAAGTTGATATTCTAGGAGACCTTAGGGTCTTATCAAGGTTGATGCATCAGTTTTACTTTACATTTCTTATCTATCTAATTATTTCACCAGTTTGATTAAATGAAGCTAAAATTGGTATTGATGAAAAGAGAAAGCACAATCAAAAAAGCAGATAAGCAAATAATTGAACGCAAATAACTTTTAATTATACTCACTTAATAAAGTTAAGGAATAGTGTCAGGTGCCAACATCACTTTGTCAAATCAAAGGGCAGTGTTGGGATGAAAAAGAAGAAAATAGTACAGAATGTGTTGAAAATTGTGGTAAATTTCAAAATTGTGAAACACTATTGTATGAATTTGGTTGAAAATAACCCTGAATCCTAGGTCGAGAATATGTTCAGACCCTCCAATGAAAACCCCACTTTTTGCATCCCTCCACACATCTTATTACTTGTAGAATTCTACTAAAGTCCCCAAGCTTCCCCAGACCCAGAGAAATAAGTGGGTTTCCAGGAATGGCAGTTACATCTGGCAGGTTTAAAATGCTTTTCCACTTGAAATTATAATGGGAATATTAGCAAATAGCTTTAACTTTAAGTTGATCAAATAGTTTCTTCTAAACTAAAGAATACAGTCACAGTTTGCTCCCTTCATTGTTTTTTTGTTTTTTTTTTTTTGTTTTTTTTTTTTTTTGCAAACAAGATCAAGCATGTTTCTTTTTAAACAAGAGAAATTATAAACCAGGATATTCTTTTTAAAATTAGGTAGAAGGCAAAAATGCTTATTTCCTACCCCCCATAGTATTTAATTTTTTGGTAGAATAATAACATATGTAAAACATTATGAAACAAATAAGAAGAATCAAAGTTATAATATGCAGATAATATGGTTCTTTAAAGTAAAAGTAAGGCCTCCTTTGTGCCCTCTTAATGAACGTTCCATTATAAATCTAACCACTCTTGTATCCTCTTATCACCATAGATTGGTTTTGTCAGTTTCTGATTTTTTTTTTCTTTTTTGAGACAGTGTCTTGCTCTGTCACCCAAGCTAGAGTACAGTGGCACGATCTCGACTCACTGCATCCTCTGCCTCCCGGGTTCAAGCAATTTTCCTGCCTCAGCCTTCTGAGTAGCTGGGATTACAGGCGCCTGCTACCATGCCCCACTAATTTTTTGTATTTTTAGTAGAGACAGGGTTTTACCATGTTGGCCAGGCAGGTTTTGAACTCCTGACCTCAAGTGATCCGCCTGCCTCGGCCTCCCAAAGTGCTAGAACTACAGGTGTGAACCACTGCGCCCAGCCAGTTTCTGAATTTTCTGTAAATGAAAAACACACTTTTTTATATCCAGTTTTTTCACTCAATGTTATGTCTGTGAAATTGTTCATATTGTTTTGCTCCCTTCCTAACCCAAAATTATCTGGATTATTTATTCTCTCTGTCTAGTTTCCTATTGCCATGATGCACATAAGAAAAAATACCTCGTAGTAATATAAACTAACCAATACATACAGAAGATGATATGTGAACAACATATACATTGGATAAAAAGAATATGGGGGTGGGGAGGTTTCAGTGACATTATTAGACACTGAAGATGATGTGTTATTTTCATATGGATTTTGAAAAATGTATCACTGATGTCTCTAGAGTCATTCTGTGTTCAAGTGATTGGGGGAACCTACTTTAGAAAATGACTGAGTTGTTTCCATGTCCCCTGTTGCTTTGAATAAACAGACTGTAATTGTAAATTTTAACTGGCAAAAAGAGTAGTGGCCATGGTAGCGAAGGGATTTTATGATCCATTTTTATTATGCATCTTCATTACACCGGAAGGCAATAATCACTCTTGGCATTTAGAGTCTTTTGTATTTTTGAAGTACTTAACAGTCATTTATTGTTTTATCTTATTTTCATCTTAAATGGGATAGGTTGGTTAGCATAACAGGGTCACAGAAGGACAATAAAAGATTAGAAACTTGTAACGTTAGACAGTTGTACTGAGGGAGAACAAAGTTCCTGGCTTTCACATTATTTAGGCAAAAAGAGAAAAGAAGAAAGAAGAAAACACATCATAGGTCTTCAGTAAGAAGCACTGTTTCCTTTTTATTTTCCACTAGTTTAGACGACAAGAGTGTGATTTCTTTGTTTGTTGTTTTTTGTCTTTTTTTATTCTTTATTTTATTTTATTTAAATTTATTATTTTCTTAAATTTCACTTTTTTTTTTTTTTTTTTTTTTAATGGAGATGGTGTCTCGCTCTGTCGCCCAGGCTAGAGAGCAGTGGCACTATCTCGGCTCACTGCAACCTCCGCCTCCCGGGTTCAAGCAATTCTCCTGCCTCAGCCTCTCGATGCATAGCTGGGATTACAGGTGTCCGCCACCATGCCTGGCTAATTTTTGTATTTTTAGTAGAGCCGGGGTTTCACCACGTTGGTCAGGCTAGTCTCGAACTCCTGACCTCGTGATCCGCCCGCCTCAAAGTGCTGGGATTACAGGCGTGAGCCACCATGCCCAGCCTGAATTTCACTTTTAATACAGCTCTGGAGTGGGGTGGGGGTATGAAAGAAAGACGGACACCTCAACACTTTTATTTGTAGGAAAGTGATTAGAATAAGCCAAGAACTGAGCCAGGGATGGGGCCTCTCACCACATGTGCCAATGGTAGTAGTTAACAAAAGCTAACATTTATTGAACACTGAGCTAGGTACTGTGCTACAGTACTCTCTATTCATTATTACATTTCATACTCACAACAAAGCTATGAGTAGGAGCTGCTAGTACTGCTTGCCAGATGATTCGCTTACTTCTTAATGGTAATACATTGCATAACAATGAAGGTGACCTGGAAATCCATGAACTCCTTGGTTCCCTGGAAGAAATGGTGAACTCCAGTTGAAAAATTCTGGAGGAATAAATCAATAATGGTGAATATGTAGCACCTATGACCTAGGCTCCAAACACTCAACAAAGCCCCATGAAAAGGGCTTGTTTCTCTTGAATCTTGAAGACAGGATTCCCATGGTCTATCTTCCAGACCCTAAATAGGTCCCATCTTTACAGGCCACAGAGTTGTTACCAGTGGAGCAGCCTTGAGAGAAGAAGGCTGTGTTTAATCATTAGCTTAAGGTGAGGGCAGAGCCCCTGCTTAGTAGATATAGCCCAATAAAGCAATCAATAGCAGGTCAAGAGCACCTCCCAAGTAGGGTCTGAAGAGAGGCACCAACTACAAAGATGGTTTCAAGTTTCACCAAAAAGTAGAAATGGGCAGAGAAGGCATTCACCAAGCAGTGACTTTTGAAGCCATCCAAGACATGTTTCCTGGGCTCAAGGGGAGAATATTGCCATGAAAATTATTACTGGGACAGTGCTCCTAGACCAAACCCTGGTCAGTAGAAAGCAATGAAAATGATCTCATGGGATCCCCATCACTCAGGTCCTGGGAGTGTCTGGTAGTCACAGGGAGCATTAGGGCTGATTGTTGAGACACTGGTGAACTTTGAACCTCTGTGATTTCCCTGTTTGCTCTGTGCCTGATAGCTTTCAGTCTGCTAACAAATCTCCTTTATGCAGTTTAACCTCTGTACTTCCAATGGGGAGGAATTGGAATCAGCCTATGGGAGAAGAGATAGCTCTAGGATTCTGTGTGGGAACTTGAAGAGATAAAAGGGCATCCTTGAAAGAGAACCTCGTGCTTTGCATCTCAACTGCCTCTGACACAAGGTTGGGTCATTAACCATATTTATTTACCCCTTTCTTACTTCATAAATTGTGTTGTGCATTTCCTAATCTTGTCTTCTGTGCAGAAATTTACCAGATCACAAAATAAAAAGAACCAGGTATGGAAACTTGAGACTTTTGTCCATATCTAAGCTCAAAAAATTCTGGATTCTGCTTAAAATCAATAACTTCCAGGGCAAATGATTAACAGAATAATGATTTCAATGGAAATGTGGTCTATATGACAAGAGAGAAGCGAGATTATACTTGAATTTGATGATTGGCATTTCACACTCTGTTCAGAATTTTAGCCTTTATGAAGGACCCTGTCTACCTTCTTCAAATGCCTCAATTGAAAGGGTATGGCAGGAAAAGGGATGGAGAGGGGGTCAGAGATAATCCTCACTGATTTCACAATTTCCCCTAGGGCCCACCTGTTTGAATAAATACCTAGTGGTGATGTAGCAAGAAAACACCCCTGAATCAATATTTTTAGACAAACTACCATTACCATTACCATCTGTTAATTAGAAAGTAACTCTCAGATCGCTTGAACCCAGGAGGCAGAGGTTGCCATGAGCCGAGGTTGTGCCACTGCATTCCAGCCTGGGTGACAGAGCGAGACTCTGTCTCAAACAAACAAACAAACAAAAAACATAAAAAATAAAAAATAAAGTAATTCTCAGATTCTCTGTAAATCAGGAGCTCTTTTGGTGATATATATATATACACACACACACACACACACACACACACACACACACACGTGGAGAGAAAAAAAGGAGCCAGCTAATGGGTGATTTCCTTTACTATAATAATTCTAATTTATTTCTTATTGCCAGTTTCCACACAGGTCCAAGCCGCAAAACAATACCGTCTCACAACAGAGCAGAGCTTTACAGCTTATAAAACATTCTGGGAATATTAGAATATTAACACATGAAGATTTTTGGGTCCTTCAGCACGTTAGATATGACCTGGGACATAGAGGACTCTTAAGAAAAGAGAAATTGGGCATCCACATGTGGAAAAAAAAACTCAATCTCAACCTCAAGCCTTAGACAAAACTCACAGTGGATCACAGATCTGAATGGAAAATGTAAGGCTACAACACTTTCAGAAGACATAGGGAGAGAATCTTTGTTACCCTGGGTTATGCAAAGAGTTCAACAGCATGATCCAGAGAAAGGAAACAAATGGTAAATTGAACTTGATCAAAATTTAAAAATTTTGCTTTGTGAAAAACATAGTCAGGAGACTGAAAAGACAAGCAACAGACTGGGAAAACACATTTGCAAGTTACATATCCAATAAAAGTGTTGTATCCAGAATATATATGTAGAACATTCAAAACTAAACATTAAGAAAATAAACAATTCAAGTAAAAAAAAAAAAAGAAGAAGAATAGGGGTCAGGCAAGCTCAGTGGCTCACGCTTGTAATCCCAGTGCTTTGGGAGTCTAAGGCTGGAGGACTGTTCAAGACCAGGAATGTGAGACAAGCCTGGGCAACATAGTGAGACTCTATACCTACCAAAAAATTTAGTTTGGTGTGGTGGCACACACCTATACTCCTAGCTATTTGGGAGGCTGAGGTTGGAGGATCGCTTGAGCCCAGGAGGTCAAGGTTACAGTGATCTATGATCACACTATTGTGAAACCGCCTTTGCAAAATTATGACAGACAGTGAAAGAAATCTAACTTAACCGAATCCATCTTGCTTCTAACCTTCAAGCTGTCCTTGTTCATTGCTGGGCATAGGCTGAACTAATTTTGGGAGAAACTTAGTTTATAGTTTATGGTTTAAACAAAGACGGTAACACCCCTTTCCCAAAGTGACCTCCTTCCTGCCTGGGGACTAGACTTCCTTTGTAGGACTAACATTAGCCACAAGATCAGATGAGCCAGTTTATTGATCTGGTGGTGCCAGCTGATCCATCAAGTGCAGTACTGATACCCCAAGCACTGATTTTAGGAGCAGTTTAGGGAGGGTCAGAATTTTGTAGCCTCCAGCTGCATAACTCCTAAACCATATTTTTTTTTTTTTTGAGGCGAAGTCTTTTTCTGTCACTCAGGCTGGAGTGCAGTGGTGAGAACTCAGCTCACTGCAACCTCCGCCTCCTGGGTTCCAGTGATTCTCCTGCCTCAGCCTCCCGAGTAGCTGGGATTACAGGTATGTGCCACAACACCTGGCTAATTTTTGTATCCTTAGTAGAGACAGAGTTTCACCATGTTGGCCAGGCTGGTCTCGAACTCCTGACCTTAAGTGATCTTCCCACCTTGGCCTCCCAAAGTGCTGGGATTACAGGCATGAGCCACCGTGCCCGACCCTAAACCGTAATTTCTACTACAAAGGCAATCTAGTCCCCAAGCAGGAAGGAGGTCTGCTTTGGGAAAGGGCCATTATCGTCTTTGTTTAAACCATAAACTGTGAACTAAGTTTCTCCCAAAGTTAGTTCAGCCTCTGCCCAGGAATGAACAAAGACAGCTTGGAGGTTAGAAGCAAGATGGACTCGGTTAAGTTAGATCTCTTTCACTGTCTCAGTCATAATTTTGCAAAGGTGGTTTCAATTGCATTCTAGCATGGGTGACATAGTAAGACTCTATCTTCAAAAGAAAAAAAAGGTAGGTAAAATATTTAACAGATATTTTACCAAGAAAGATAAATGGACGGCAAATAAGGACACAAAAAGATGCTCAGCATCATTAGCCTTTAGGGAAATGCAAATTAAAACCACAATTTGTACTACATAACTGTTGGGGTGACAATGAAAAATATTTGCAATACCAAATGCTGGAAAGGTTGTGGAACAAACGGACCTCTCATGCATTACTGCTGAGATTGCAAAATGGTATATTAACTCTGCAAAACCGCGTGACAGTTTCTTCAACAGTTAAACATAACATATAACTACCAGATATACAGCTATTCTACTCCTAGATAGTTACCCTAGATAAATAAAACTTATGTTGACACAAAAACCTATATGCAAATGTTTGTAGTAGCTCTATTTACAAACTCCTCAAGCGGGAAACAACTCAATTGTCCTTTAATGGGGGAATGGATAAATAAACTGTGATATAACGATACAATGGAATACTACTCAACAATAAAATGGAACATATTAGTGATACACACAACATGGGTAAATCTCAAAGACATTATGCTAAGGAGCAAGTCCAAAAATACTACACAGTGTATGGTTCCAATTATGTCACATTCTGGAAGAGGCAAAACTATAAGGGAGAGAGGAGAAGATCAATATACCAGGGATTAGAAAAGAAGAGGATGTGATTACAAAGGAATTTAAAAGGGAGTTTTCTGGAGTGATACAACCATTGCGTATTCTGATTGTGGTGGTGGTTATACAAATCTACACATGTGTTACAACTCATAGCACTGTAGGCTAAAAAATGTTAAGTTTATTACATACTGATGTAAGCATTTTTTAAATAATAAAACATATCAAGTACATTCATTTAACAAAAGAAAAATTGTAAGAGAGTATTGATTTCCATTTGCAGATAAGGAAACTGACTTCCCCAAGGTTATTCAACCAATAAATAGGTTCTGAACTAGAATCCACTTCTAGAATATTATTTTTTTCCTGTTGTTATATAAGAAACAAACCTTCAAACACCTAAGCCAAATTGTGTATTAGTTAGCATGCATTTGATTGCAAGTAATGAAAACCCCAATCCAGAGGGATTGTTCTTCTATGAGGACATTTGCTATTTCACATAATGAAGTGGCAAGTGGTAGGGAGACTCATGAGGCTGGTTGATTTTGCAACTCAGTGATGTCCTAAATGACTAAGATTCCTTCCTTCTTCCACTCAGCCAACCACAGCTTCCTTATAAGGCTACTTCCTCTCATTGTCACAGGGTGGCTACTGGTCTCAGACAAAGATACAAGCTTCTTTGTCCATATCCAGTGGAAAATAGCTCACCAGCAACAGTCCCACAGAACTCGGAAGACTTAACTAGTGTGTACTGCATGCAAATGCTGCGGCTTCTTAGGATCTTAAAGATTCTAGGCAACCAGCTATAAAAATTATTTATGTAACTAGTAACACTCTGAAACAAATCAGAGCTTCGCACTGCAGTAATCGCCATCTGTCTTGTTTGTATGGATCTCAAATTTGCAGTATTTTTTTGATAATAGCTATCTATGCCCGGGCTCTTAGACACTATACCTCATGTTTGATTAGCATGTTAAAATTTCCACAGCACCATAATAACTCATTTTATTTAGTTGGACAGGTGAGGACTCTGAGGGTACCGAATGACTTAGCCAAATTCACCAGGAGTGAGTGACTGAGCCAGAGGTCACATTTGATCTTCAAACATCATTCTCATCATTCTTTCCTTTATATCACATTGATTCCCTCTTCAATGCTTGGATTTCACTAGGGAAGCACACTGGCAATTTCAAAGAAATATTTCAAGTTTATACAGATACTTAAAAGCTCAAAATGTCAGAGAACTAACATTCTTTATATCCCCAATAGCAACATTTGGCTATTTGGAATTTTATTCTCAGTAATAGGATAAATGTGAAATCCTAGCATCTCATTAACTTCTTCGTCTCCCTTCTTTCAACATCCAATCAATTTTCATGATAGGCGAATTCTAATTTCTAAATCGCTCTTGCATCCATCTCCTGTTTTCTATTTCCACAGCCCTAATATGTATTCAGGCCTCATATTTGTCACACAATAACCTCTTTGTCTCTTTGCCTCTATTTTCTTCACATTGTACTTCTCACACAATGGCCCCAGGTTAATGGTTTCAAAACCCAATGCAAATAATGACATATGTCTTCTTGTCTGCCCCAGCTCCAAAACTTTAATAATCTTCCTTTGACTACCGATTAAATTCTCAACTCTATAATCTGGCTTTCAAGGCCCTCAGCAATCTGGCTTCAATATTTCTTTCCAAACCTTGAGAAAATCCTCCTTTCTGGGTGGGAGTAGTAGACAGTGGTATACTGGAGCCAGCTCACAGTAGCTTGCAGGAACTTTTTTTTTCTTTTTTTTTTTTTGAGATGGAGTCTTGCTCAGTCGCTCAGGATGGAGTGCAGTGGCGCAATCTCGGCTCACTGCAAGCTCCGCCTCCTGGGTTCACGCCATTCTCCTGCCTCAGCCTCCCAAGTAGCTGGGACTACAGGCACCCGCCACCACACCCAGCTAATTTTTTTGTATTTTTAGTAGAGATGGGGTTTCACCATGTTAGCCAGGATGGTCTCGATCTCCTAAGAACTATTTTTATACCTCTCTTCATCTCTGTGTTCAGTGATGTCACATTAGTAGCTTGAAATTGGCTGTGATGGGAATATTTACACCTTACAAGTCAGACTGCTACAATTCAGAGCTTTTGTTTTGAAGAGCTAGTTATTAAACATTTACCAGCATACCACTATTTACAGAATAACTGGGACTAAACTTGAGAGTGAGGGTGCAATATGGTATTGGGGACCAAGTTGTTGACACAGAAAGCTCAGGTACCAACTCAAAGATAGGAGGGCCAGGGGGAAAAGAAGAAGAAGCTGTGTTGCAAAACTGTTGAGAAGGTAGATCTGGGCAAAAGTTGAGTTTCCATAGAAGCAGACATCGAGAAAGGGGTTTGGGTTCAAGTAGTTGATTTGGGAGGTAGTCCCAGGAAGCACTGGCAGGGTAGTGAGGGAAATGAGACAGGGAAGGGAAGGTGGCTAATACAGGGTAGATTGATGAGCAGGTTATTACTGTGGGCAATTGAGGTTCAATTCCACTGGGGACCTTTTGGGGAGCATGTAGAATGTGCTTCATAGTTGCCACTGCTATGGTTTGAATGTCAACTGAAAAGCTTATGTTGAAATTTAAGTGGCATTGTGATGGTAGTAAGAGGTGGGACTGTTAAGAGATGTTTAGAACATGAAGGCTCTGTCCTCATGAATAGATTAATGTGGTTATCACAGGAGTGGGTTTGTTATCAAGAGAATAGGTTGTTATAAAAGCAAGTTCAATCCTCTCTGTCTCTCACTCTCACCCTCTCTTGCCCTTTACCTTCTGCCATGGAATGGCAATGCACAAAGGTCCTCTGCAGATGCCGGAACCATTCTGTTGGACTTCCCAGCTCCAGAACTGTAAGCCAAATCAACTTTTCTTTATAAATTACCCAGTCTGTGGTATTCTGTTACAGCAACACAAAATGGACAAAGCCACCCACACAAAGAGTGAGGAATATGAGAAGTTTATCCTCAAGAAGACAGCAGTGGGTATTTGCATTAAGAAGTGGCAGGTATGTAGGGGAAGACCGAATGCCAAGGGGATATAAACAAGACACAGATACTCGTAGTTTTTTGTTTTCATAGCGTGCTTGGTGGTGGTGGGGCTTCATTTCAATGGCCAATGATGGAATGTATTTTTCCAGTTATATATCATTTGTTTTTACCCTACACACTCTATTTGTTCCTTCCTTTAGGTCTACTCACAGGTTCCTTTTTTTGCTACAATATCCTTTGTAGCTCCCTCCAGTTTTGACTATTTTCTGATTCTTGCAATTCATCAAAAATCAGTGCCACCTTTTTCAGGAACCCCATCTAATCCCCACCCCCTGATGATAGAAGTTAGGAGAGGGTCACGTCAAGCTGGAGGTCTCCTGTGGCTTGAAGCAAGGGAGCAGGTAACAAGCCCCTCCACCTGGTTAAGATGTTTGGGGTCAGAGAGCAGAGACAGAAATTGTATTCTGGAGTCATTCCAAATGGTGAATATTGGAAGGAACTCATCATTCCTGTTTTATCACTCTGTCTCTCAGAACCCACACAGCACAGAGGATTGGCTTATGATGGCTGCACAATTGTTGATGGTGGCAGAGAAAAATGGATGAATGAAAGGCTAGGTGAACAAAGAGAACTAGATAGGTAGTGAAACAAGAAAGTTAAAATTGAATTAGAGGAATCATGGGGTCAACAAGAGCCCCTGGATGAATTCTGAGGATGAACATCAAAGCCTGTAAAGTAAAACAGACTCCACATGTGACATAATCAGCAGAAGCTGGGTAGTTGAAATCTACCCCTCAACAAGTTCATTGAGATGCCCTGCCTTTTGAGATTCAGTGAAATTGCTTTTAACTTCATCCCACTTGTGATGCAGCTCCCCTTTTCCAATCCCTCTGGGAGTTATTGGTATCTTAACTTTTTTTTAGTTCCCTCTGGCTTTGAGCTCCTGCATCTGTAGCATTAGGAGGGTTTGTGAGTTGCTTTGGCATCTCAGAAATGCTGCCTGTACTCTCTAGCATGGAACTGCAGACACTTCTTGATTTCTCCCCAAGCATTACCAATATGAGTTGTGTGTATGGCTAGCACAGTTCAGTGAAGATATGGGGTCAAGCTATGGGCTTTATATTAGCCTGTGGTTTGGCCTCATCTCCCTCAGGCTCCATGCAAACGTTCAATTTCACTCCTGTATTATGTGGAGCGCTTTTGCTCTCTGAAACCTATTCAATAACTGGCCTTGTTTGCCTCTTCAAAGATGCTTTATTATGTTTTTTAAATTCACTCTCTCCCTTCTCACCTCTGTACCTTTGCAAGCAGTTGCTTCTGCCTGGAATATCCTTTCCAGAATGGAAGATTTGGTAGAGGTTGGGAAATGTCAGTCTTTCCCCTCACTTTATCTCACATCATTCTCTGTAAGTAGAAGGAAATGGTGACAATATTTATTTCTCTACTAGTATTAATTATGACATCACAAACATCTCGGCTCCTGAGGTGGCCATAGTTGGTCTTTAAATAACACTTTTTGGTATTCCACAAACTTCTGGAAAATATTTACTTGGGTTTGCTAAAGTCATATAAATTGACCAGAAGAGGCAGCCCTACCCCTGCCCCTCCTCTCCTTCCTCCTACCCTTCCTACCTTAGAGGGCTCCCGCTTCTTCGAAGCCAGACAACTTTGTCTGGACCTCTCCTATGGGCTTGTATTATGGATATTTGTTTATAAATCATACCACCTTTACTGAACTGTGAACTCTGCAAAGATGATGTCATCTTCCCTCTCTGAAACTTCAGTGCAGCTCGGTATCTGATACAGAATTGACTTTGAATCACCTGATTTCTAACTGAGGATAAATGAATAAATGTGAAGTTGCAGATGGCCCCTTAGTGATCTGAATAGGCTGCTAGGGGAAGAGCATATGGTATCCCCACTTCCCACTTGTACTGACTGTCAGGTGCTGTTAGAATCAATAGGCAACTATTTCTTTTCTTTTTCTTTCTTTCTTTCTTTTTTTTGAGACAGTGTCTCTCTCTGTCACCCAGGCTGGAGTACAGTGGTGCAATCTGGGCTCACTGCAACCTCTGTCTCCCGGGTTCAAGCGACTCTCATGCCTCAGCCTCCCAAATAGCTGGGATTACAGGTGTGCACCACCACGTCTAGCTAATTTTTGTATTTTTAGTGGAGACGGGGATTCACCATGTTGGCCAGGCTGGTCTCGAACTCCTGGGCTCAAGTGATCCGCCCGCCTCAGCCTCCCAAAGTGCTGGGATTACAGGCGTGAGCCACCGTGCCCGGCCAGCAATTATTTCTTTATTGAAGACTTATGTGCAAGGCACAAAGGGAGCTCCAGGACTGAGATATTTTTACTATACCTTCTCTATCATCTTGCACCCCCAAAATAGCTTCCAGGGCACTTCTTTCTATTTGTTTTTGTGGAAAGACTGGCAATTAGAGGTAGAAAAGTGAAATAAATGGAAATAGTACTACTCAGGACTGTCACATCTACATCTGTGTTTTTGCAGTGCCAATTTGCATTTTCTGAGTGAGTTACTTCTACTCACCTTCACAGCAGCCGGTACCGCAGTGCCTTGCATATATTATATCCTCAATGAGTACTTGTCAATTGATTTTGTACATGCGTGTGACAGTATAAATATATTATGAAAAATGAGGAGGCCAGGCAATAAAAGAGTCAGGATTTCTTCCAAAAAAAATACACAGCGGTGGAGCTTGGCATAAAGTTCAAATGCTCCTACACCCTGCCCTGCAGTATCTCTAACCAGGGGACTTTGATAAGGAAGCTGAAGGGTGATATTACCTTTGCTCCCTCACTGCAACTGAACACATTTCTTAGTTTTTAGGTGGCCCCCGCTGGCTAACTTGCTGTGGAGTTTTCAAGGGCATAGAATCGTCCTTTACACAATTAAAAGAAGATGCTGTTTAATCTGAGGATCCTGTTAAACAATGCAGCTTTTAGAAATGGTCACAACTTCATGGTTCGAAATTTTCGGTAAGTGATGGTCAGAGACTTGGGTTTGATTTAGGAATCATGGTGATGCATAAAACTATATTCTGCAGTAAGGCCTCTTTCTGCAGAATGTAGTGCCACGCTCTGCTTTACTCTTATTTGAGACAGCTGCCTCTAATTCCAGCAAAGCTTTCATTTCTCAGTCCTTCTGTAATCAGATTTCACCGTGTGCTGTAGGGGAAGCCACCCATGGCAGGTATAACAGACTAAACGTTCTTGACATCTTTCGTTTGTGTACATTCTAAACGAGCAAGTGGCTGAAGGAAATTAGGGGAAGTAATTTACACAGGGCCTTCAGCTTATATTTGGGCTTGCTATAAAACAATATATCACTCTAAGATGTTGAGACTAATCAGTTCTTTTGAAAAAACAGACTCCAAGTAGCAACTAATAAATACTGACAAAGCTGCTGCAAAGACGCCTTATATGTGATGGGGATAACGACATTTTTAAATAAAATACAAGTTTGAAAACCATCCCTGAAATTCTTGCTGGCATGTGCAAAGCAGGCTGTCTCCAATGAATTCATTATAAAAGTTTACATCCTGCTTACAACCATTGTGCATGTGGTTGAAGATGGCATGGAGTGTGTCTGTGGGGAAGGGAAAGGGGAAGGGGAAGGGAACAGGGGAGATGAGTTAGCTGGGTAAACAAGGCCATCAGGTGGAGACATCACTACCAGAAAGCTTCTAGAACAGTTTCATGTTAATAATGAGACAGAATTTCTTCAGAGCCTCTTTATAACCTAAAGCAACCTTCCCGACTTCCTTAAGGAAGAAGCTTTTGGTCTGAAGTTTTCTTTTATTATTAGTAAGTGGACCTGTGATAGTGGCCCTGGGCATCCCTTCTCTGGAGCAGCTGACAGTTCTAGGTTCTCTGGACTCCACCATTAGCACTACTTCTTTAGTGAATATAAGGCTCTCAGAAGTCAGAATGATACCGTAAATAATATTGTAAATTAAGCCCATAATATTAGACCTAGTTGAGACCTCAGAGCCATGAAATAATGCCTTCTCTTATTTTATTTTGGGAGGAAATGTGATTTTTATTTCTTAAACAGCTCAAATATTCAATTGAAATTGTTTCACTTCTCTTATTTCAAGTATAAGGTAAAAAAAGCCCAGAATGACTGTGGGGTTTACCAATTAGTGCCAGAGTTAGATCAGATAACAACCTGGAGAAAAGTTTAAAGAACTAGGTTCAAGGCCTAGCACCACCCTTGCTGGCTATATGACCTTGAACAAGTCACTAAACTTTTCTGCAATGTTGTTTCACCTATAAAATGGAAAAAAGGATAATACCTGTTCTGCCTACATTACAGGGTGGTTCAATCATTCCTTCAACAAATATTAATTGAACATCTACTTTGTGCCATGCCCTATCAAGGAGTTGGAGATACGGTGGTAAATAACGTAAAAATATACTTCACTCCAGCTACATGAATTCATAGTCTAGTGATAATCAGTGAGATAATGTATATGAAACCTAAAAAGTGACAGACCAATGTTCATTATTTATTTTAGTATTCCATTACACTGAGTTACATCAGATAAAAATGTGATGAAATTTTATTCTATAGCTTTTAACAAGGAATCATCACTGAGTTGAAAACACCCAACTGAATGAATAATCAAAGCCTGGAACTTAAACTTATACTGTTCTTTGAAAACTACAATGATAATTGATTTTTAAAATAATTATTACGGATTAAATTTTGCAAGTAAAACCTCCTCCAAACAGTTGAACTTTTTTTTTTTGTATTTACTAATACACTACTGTCTATATCCAGTAGCCAGACTACATTTCTGAAAATCCTGGTGAGCTATTTCTCACAGTGAATGGGGGCTGGCACAAAAGTATGGCTAAATCGGCCCAAATCCAAACTTTCTATTTGAAAGTGTGAAAGCCTCGAGTCACCCATGTTGTTAGAAACTCAATAGTGTGAATCTCTATTGAAAAATGAGATAATGTTGAAATGGTTTCGACATGCATTCTCACGTGGCATAGGTATTTTTCTTTCCTACTGTATTGGTTAGTTGCACTACCTGTCAGCTAGATAAATTCAGAATTTCTGGTCTCCAATAAGACTTACAACCTTTGACAAAGCCCTCAACAACAGAGAAAAACTCCCTGTCAACTCTGCCTGTTCTATATTTTTGCTTTGATTTTCAGCCTTTCACAGGGATTCGAGTTATTTTTTTCTCCCACATCTCTTGGGAAAGGTGGAGGGCCCTTGTTATGTAACATACCACGTGAGTTTACTACTCCAGAATAATAGGAAATATGTGGTTAGAATTTGATGGTGCCACAAAATAGGAATCGCAGTTTTGAAGTGAGCGGTCATATCGCCATGGACATGATAAAATAATAGCTTAAGTGAGGCTGAAGCCATCCACACAGCCCCTGGATCAATCACTTTTAGTCAGTTAAATTTTTTTTTAACAAGATCGATAGGATCAGAAACCAAGACTGCTGAAAACACCCAATTCACAGGCTTTCCATGTCATAAACAAGGCTCTAAAGCCTTGCTGTGTTTGGATAATAGAGAATATCCTATGATTTGTTGCCTATTAGGGAAACCACTTAAAGCTTTTTAAGAAACCACTAAAAAAAAAATCTCTTTCTTTATCAGAAAAGACCAATTTGTAAGTGCAGTTCAATTTCATCTCACAAATAGAAATTTCTTCAGAGAATATTGAGCTAAGCTACTCAATTCTGTGGAGGTTATGGATTGGAGCCAGAGGTGACTAGTTTTCAGGTGTTTCATTCCAGACCTCTGTAAGGGCTCACATAACTCATTATGCTCCCTTCGTCTCTCACACATGCCCATCCATACACACGTGGACATCCAGACAACGTGATTATAAGACGTTCATGTTCTTGCATAGAGGAGAGAAACCAGTGCACTTTGATTATTCACAATGTCGAAACTTAAAATGAATGCCTTTTAAAAACATCACTTCAGCTGGGTGCAGTGGCTCATGCTTGTAATCCCTGCACTTTGGGAGGCCGAGGTGGGTGGATCACCTGAGGTCAGGAGTTCCAGACCAGTTTGGCCAGCATGGCAAAACCCTGTCCCTGTTAAAAATACAAAAAAAGAAAAAGAATTAGCTGGGCCTGGTGGCATGCACCTGTAGTCCCAGCTACTCAGGAGGCTGAGGCAGAAGAATTGCTTGAACCTGGGAGGCGGAGGTTGCAGTGAGCCGAGATCGCGCCAATGCACTCCAGCCACCTGGGTGACAGAGCGAGACTCTGTCTCAAAAAAAAAAAAAAAAAAAAAAAAATCACTTCACTTCAGAAAACCATACAAGAGATGGGACCAAAAGTTGAATGGGGTCATGATGTTTTCCTTGGCCAACAGTGGAATTTGTTTCCTAGTTTATTTTTAGTAATTGAGTAACGTAACTTAGATAAAATAAGCCACTGATTTTTGAGTTTCAGGTTTCCAGATCTTTAATAGTAGGTCTGCAGAAAGCTAGCCTTCATCTGAATTCTTCAATTTTCAGATGAGAAGTTTCACAATTTTAGAATATTAATGATCTAAGGTATCTTAGAAACTACTAGTCACTCAGTGCTCAATAATAATGTTGTAGAAAAAACTGAGTTCTTTTCACATGACCAGGAAAGTTTAGGCTCACAGACACTTTGAAGGGTGAGGGGGAGCGGAATTTATTGAGTGAAAAGGAAAAAAACTCAGCAAAGCCAGAGGGGTTCCTGTTAACAGGCCCCCATCTCACAGACTGAATGCCAGGTTACCACACAGGAACAGGAGAGGCCTAGCTCCTCCCCACTCCAAAAGGTGCAGTGCGAACTTCCCCAAGGCCCCACCCTGTCCTCCCAGTGTGCAGGTGGGCATTATTCAGAAAGAATCAGTCAGGGGAGTGTGGGGAAAGGGCGGGCCTCATCCGGGACAGGCAGTCCTGTTCATCAGCCTACAGGCTGTTTTAGGCTTGAACGTGGGGTTTCGCTGGGGGTCGCGGGTTTGGGGGCCCTTGGCTGCCCCTTGTCTCTATCAATAATTTATATCACATATGGGTATGTGGCAACAGTGAGGAGGGTTTCAAGTAAACTTTTATTAATACATTATTATTGTTATTGTTAATAAGCATAAATTTGGAAAACATTTGTGAGTTTTTTTCACATCAGTGGGATCACTGCAAAGTTTTTTTTTGTGAAAATACAGCTCCTTTCTTTTGCATGCATTCTAATATGCCTTTTTGAGAAGGAAAGAAAGGGATAGAATTAAAGTTAGGCCACTGAAAATTCATGTGGCTCCAGTTTACAAACTTCATGAGTGTGGGGGAAGACATAGACAAAGAGAATCGCTAATTTCGTTCACTTTATTAAATTTTCAGGTGAAGAATTGAGGCTCGAGATGGCAAATAACCTTCCCAAGGCCATTGTTTATTCTTAAATCTGGGCTGAACTAGGACTACAATTCAAATATTTAAAGGCACTGCTCTTCTCATTTCATTGCTTGTATTACTTTGATCCCTTCCAATTGATCAAGCTGGCCAATCTACCTTTGCCTAATATCCTTTTTTAGGTACAGCCAGAATATCTCAGTAAAGAAAAAAAACATACACAAGAAAATATGCCTTAGCTCTTGCATTAATGCAAGGTTAAAGAAACATAAAAATCTCAGCCATAAGGCCCATTGGCCCCCTCTTATGTCTCCAGAAGTTAAAGTCTTTATCTCAAATTGTCCATGGGGATCAGAGTATCATTTAACACTGAATTTTTTCCTACTCTGGCAAAATCAGTTTCTGACTGACCACATTTTACTCAAATCAAGCACTTTCTCTTCCAATAAAATACAATTATACCAGGAATACATCCAAGTCTCTCCCACCCCCCAGTTTACCAGAGTTGGAAAATGCAGACACTAGCAATGAAAGGCTTCATTCTGCAAGTAGCAAATACTCTTCCATTTTGTAGCTAGGAAGATATTTGGGTAAAGTTAATACAAGGATCTCTTATTACCTTGGCTTAGCTTCTTAGCATTCAGTGATTTGGGGTTAAGAAATCTCTGTAATTATTTTTTCAAGGAATAAAATGAATATAAGGAACTAGACTTGCCTTTTTCAAGGGCTCTGGCTCTGACCAGACTGCAGTGACAGTTTTGATGGAGTATTTGTACGTGCTTCTCATTGTTTCCCACAACATTGTATCCTCCCTCTTATGTGCAGCCTGAATAATAATAATGTGGTTTGTGTCTGGTGTACCAAGGAGATTTCTTGTTTACTCTGATTTACTTCTTGTACACTTTGGTACAAGAAAAGCAAGCATTTTACAGGAGACTCGAATAATGCATTTGGCCCTGGTTCTGGTGCTTGTGAACCAGAGCAGGCTGCCTCCTATTGAAGAATGAGGTCTCTAGGGGGAACTTAATAGCCATTGATGCCAGCAGTCTTACCTGGCTAATTCAAGCGTGGCTTTATCACCCAAAAGCAAGAAAATGCTTGCTACAGACCAGAAAAAAAAAAAGGAGGCCTGTGTCAGAACTGTTTTAATGTGGTACAATTGTGGAACTCTTCTAATTTTTATGTAGCTTAGGAAAGAGGTGTGGCAACTCCATTTTGGAGCCAAGGGGAGGTCTGTGAGGAGACAGTAAACAGGATAGGAATTTAAACTGGGACCATTGTATTTGCTTTCCTTCCAGTGATAAATTTCCCTGGTTAGTTCTCGATATCTATGAAAAACAGCTCTTTTTCCCAAGCTAACATTTCCTGCCCCACCTCCTGGATGGAATTGAGAAAGGTGGTGACTACTCTAATGATTTTTCAGTGGTATAAACAGCATAACCCCCCCTCACTAGCTGTGGTGGAATTTTTTTTTTTTTTTTTTTGAGATGAAGTCTTGCTCTGTCACCCAGGCTGGAGTGCAACGGCGCGATCTCAGCTCACCACAACCTCTGCTTCCAGAGTTCAAGTGATTCTCCTGCCTCAGCCTCCCGAGTAGCTGGGATTACAGACGTCTGCCACCATGCCCAGCTAATTTTTGCATTTTTAGTAGAGATGAGGTTTCACCATGTTGGTCAGGCTGGTCTCAAACTCCTGACCTCAGGTGATCCAGCTGCCTCAGCCTCCCAAAATGCTGGGATTACAAGCATGAGCCACCGCACCCGGCCAGCTGTGGTGCAATTTTAAAAGAAATTCTAGTTAATCACTCAAGCCCTCAGATGCTGGTATGACCAGATATATAGCATCTACCTCTCTACCGCTTTTGTCCCCAAGAACCCTGACAACTTATTCTGTCCAAAAGGAGTTTGTGGCAAGAAAGAACCAAAGTATCAGTGTAGTCCACTATTACTGTACTTCCATTTCAGCCTTCATGGTGGTATGAGCAAACATTGGCCCTATAAGGTATACTTGCCAGTTTTCCAGGTTTTGGCCCTTGACTCATAGTGCTGTGCTTAGGATCCAAGATTAGTCCACTCTTGTTTCACATACATATGTCCAGTCATTGTTCCCAGTAGTGCAAATACTATACCAGAGTGGTGGGGTTCTAGGGGATTTCAGCTTTAGCAACACACTAGGCCACAGTCAATTATCCTCCATGATTTTCAGGCCTTGTGTTCAGCCTGGGCCATACCCTATATTTGCTCTTCCCTCAACATAAATTTTGTCTTTTTTTTTTTTTTCTGAGATGGAGTTTCCCTCTTGTTGCCCAGGCTGGAGTGCAATGGCACCATCTTGGCTCACTGCAACCTCTGCCTCCCAGGTTCAAGTGATTCTCCTGCCTCAGCCTCCCGAATAGCTGGGATTACAGGCCCTCACCACCATGCCCAGCTAATTTTTTGTATTTTTAGTAGAGACGGGGTTTCATCATATTGGTCAGGCTGGTCTCGAACTCCTGACGTCAGGTGATCTGCCCGCCTCAGCCTCCCAAAGTGCTGGGATTACAGGCATGAGCCACCGCACCCGGCTGAAGTGATGTTTTTTAAAAGGCATTCATTTTAAGTTTTGACATTGTGAATAATCAAAGTGCACTGTTTTCTCTCCTCCGTGCCTGGCCTATGTCTTTTCTTATCATCAGAACTTGGTCAGGATGTTGAAAATCCATCATGACAAATCTTTCAATATTCATCCCAGAAATCTGCTGGGAATTAATTCTTTCTTTCTTTTTTTTTTTTTTGTTTTTGAGGCAGAGTTTCGCTCTTGTCACCCAGGCTAGAGTGCAATGGTGCGATCTCAGCTTACTGCAACCTCTGCCTCCCGGGTTTCAGCGATTCTCCTGCCCCAGCCTCCCAAGGAGTAGCTGGGATTACAGGTGCCTGCCACCACGCCCGGCTAATTTTTATATTTTTAGTAGAGACGGGGTTTCACCATGTTGGCCAGGCTGGTCTAGAACTCCTGACCTCAAGTGATCCGCCCGCCTCGTCCTCCCAAAGTGCTGGGATTACAGGTGTGAGCCACTATGCCGTGCCTGAATTCTTTCTTATACAAATTGATTTACTTTTGCCCTAATGACCTACTATCATTTATTCATTTACTTAAGAAATATTTATTGAATGACTACTACATTCCAAGCACTGTACTAAGCACCGGGTATATATTAGTGAATAAAATAGGAAAGGTCCCTGCTATTTGTGGATCATATGTAATCCAGTGAGAAGAGTAAAAGTAGCAATAAATAAACACATAAATATATATTAAAATTGTGATAATTATTACAAACAAAATGAAGGTAAAGTGAAGACTACTTAGACAGTAGAGTCAGGAAAGGAATCTCTTAGGAAGTGATATTTAAGCTTACAGCCTGAGAATGAGAAGGAGCCAGCTTTGAGAGTTGAGGGGAGAGTGTTCTGGACAAAGGGAATGGTATATCCGAGTCCTGTGATGGGAAAGCTTTTGGAGTACAGGCAGCCCCTCCTTTGCGATATCCCAATGTGCACAAATTTCAATTACCACAGTTTAGTTAATAACACTAGGCCACTACGAACACAGTTCAAATTTCAGTCAACATGGCATATTAATTATGAGTAATTCATAAAGCAAAACTTCATTGCTAACTCTTCAGTCTACAAATCACCATGTAAATAACACATACACAGTACCTCATGGTCAGTGACCAATTACATCACTTCTTTCAAAGTCTGTTGGTGATTGGTCACTGTGCATCTGTCATTCAGTTTGCATACAGACAGCAAAGAGTATATAGCTGTGCTGCCTCCTTTTCTCCCAGTGATAAACCCATGGGCATTTTACAAAAATGGATAATGACAGTGCAGTACATGAAAGTGCAGCAGAGAAATAAAAAGTGCCTTTGGGAGGCTGAGGCGGGTGGATCACCTGAGGTCAGGAGTTCAAGACCAGCCTGGTCAACATGGTGAAACTCCATTTCTACTAAAAAACACAAAAATTAGCCAGGCGTGGTGGCAGACGCTTGTAATCCCAGCTACTCAGGAGGCTTAGGCAGGAGAATCGCTTGAACCTGGGAGACAGATGTTGCAGTGAGCTGAGATTGCGCCGCTGCGCTCCAGCCTGGGCGACAGAGCGAGACTCCGTTAAAAAAAAAAAATACTGATAGCAGTGGAAGTTAAATTTGGATTGAATGTAAATCGAGTTATGGAAGAAACAGCTGACTATGTGATTGTTACCCTGCTGCTGTTTGAGAGGCTGTAGATATACAGCCAGAGGAACTTAGTGAAGACAAAGTTATTGACATAACTGCAGAAAGTGGTTGTGACAAAAAGGATGAAGATGTCCCAGGGGAAGTAACACCAGCAAAACACTTCACATTAAAGGAACTCTCACAGATATTACACAGCGTTCAAAGTGCAAAGGAAAATGTTGAAAGTTTATCCAAACTTAGAAAGAATTATGACAGTTTACCAAAACATAGAAAAGATGCTTGCTCTATATCATAGGTTCTAAGATGAGAAAGCAAGCACTGTTCAAATTACTCTTGATAGAGTTTTTACAAGGAAATAAAGCACTATAATTCTCAATGCTTCTAATGTTTTAAATTACATTGTACTAAAAAATACATCAGTTTTACTATTTTTCACTTCCCTACACATTTACAACTGACAATAAAAGTTTTTAATGTTCTGACAATTTTTTAAAAGTCACAGAACGATTACAATTTTCCCACTAAATATTAAGGTTACTTTACATGGCTTCAGATTTAATGGCTATTCACAGTCCCACACACTACCATGCAAATTAAAAACTGCCTGTGTTTAAAAAAAAAACAGTTTTGGAGGACATTATGCTAAGTGACATAAGCCATGAAGGACAAATACTATATGATTTCACTTATATAAGAATCAAAAATAGCCAAACTCATAGATTCTAATTTAAAACATCAGACAATACTGGTTGTCAGAAGTTGGGAGTGGGGGAAAAGGGGAGTTTTTCTATGGATCTAAACTTTCGATTATTCTAGATGAATAAATTCTAGAGATCTGCTGTGCAACATAGTGCCTATAGTTAACAATATGGTGTCGTGCAGTTCAAAATTTGTTAGGAGACTAGATCTCATGTTAAGTGATCTTACTGCAAAACCAAACAGCAAACAAAAACACAAAGGGGCACAAGGAAACTCTGGGGTGGGGGAAGGTTATCTGCTAACATTTATTGGAGATGTGATTCAAGGGCAGCAAGAGTGAGGGCAGCATTATCAGCTGCTGCCATGGAAAGTCTAGAGTCAGAAAGGGAGATTTTTCCAATCACTTGTAGTCCAAGGGAAAAATATTGAAATAAAGTTTCTGTTCTATATACATTTGAAAATCAAAGGCCTTGACAAAAAGGAAAGCTTCAAGCAGGATGTTTGTGTGTTCTTTCTACCTTTATATTCAAATCTTCTGTCAGTGGAGAAATAGAAACAGCAGCATCTCACAATGCAAACCCACAGCAGAACATTAACCCTAACCCTAACTACAAGCTTAATTTCACTTCCAACTTAGAAACTTCTAAGTATGTAGGACAAAAGCTGAGGAAGCCCCAGAAACTTGTTACTTTCTCCAGTCTGTCTTCTATTGGGGATAATAAGAACTGGAAGCTGGAGCTTTTGGAGTAGTAAAAGGTAAGGTATTGTTGGTCCTCCTCTTTCCTGTTTCCTTTTATGGAAATTGGGGAGAAAAAATTTAGTCCTTTGCAAAATTTTCATTTCCACTTCTATTTCTCTGAGATTCAACAAGAACAACACAATTCTAAGATCTATGACATTCTCTTAAATAAAGCCTGTAGCCTTGTGAGCATTCAGAAGTAAGAGGATACAACAAAATCCCGCAGAGGCTGAGAATAGGGGATGATATTGAATCCTTTAAGTATAGCAGTTTGGAGACTCAGCTTTTGTGGGCTCCAAAATAACCAGGAGTCTGAGCTTGAACTCAAGACAAAAAATTGAGGGCCTCAAAATTAGTTCATGAGTGGTTTTTCCTGTGGTTGATGGATGTGAGTTCAACAGCTATAGTGATGTTTCTCAAATTCCTTGAAACAGAGGGAGTGGGGTTTTCCAGCAAAGTATTCTTCCCCTTTTAAAATAATATTAGAGGAAGTCTTAAGCCAAGGAATATCAATGTGTTATTGTAAGACATGTAGTCAAGAAGGTTTATCTTCTGTAATTTTATGTTGCTTGGATCTTATTCCAGAAGAAAAATATTTTCAAATCTGCCCCAACTGTGAATTGAGAAAGATTAAGCTGCCGTGCCTTCATTTCAGGCCACATATGCAAATCTGTTTTATAATCCCCAGAAGAAGATTTCAGTTGACCCTGAAAAATGCATGACTGTTAGTCAGTGCTTACTCCTTAACATTATCAGTACTTAGTATTCCAAGTGTTGCTTAATATTATCACTAATTAATATTATCAGAAGAAAACACATAACCAAAATTTGTACGTAAATACAAATTTTCTGTCTAAATGCCTTGCTTCCAAAGTTATCAAATTGCTGACTATGATGGAGATATTGGGCACAGTTGTGTAAGCATTTTACTAGGATTTCAGTAGAAGGAAGAAAATGAAGGGCTGTCTAGAAACTGCTTTAGCCAGCAAAATGTCTTTGTATATCTACAAACTTATTTTTAAAATATTTGGTTCTTTGCCGGGCGTGGTGGCTCACGTGCTGTAATTCCAGCAGGTTGGGAGGCTGAGGTGGTTGGATCACCTCAGGTCAGGAGTTCAAGACCAGCCTGGCCAACATGGTGAAACCCTGTCTCTACCAAAAATACAAAAATTAGCTGGGCGTGGTGGCA
Source organism: Homo sapiens (assembly GCF_000001405.40). Taxonomy (NCBI): domain Eukaryota; kingdom Metazoa; phylum Chordata; class Mammalia; order Primates; family Hominidae; genus Homo; species Homo sapiens. The sequence continues at coordinate 38,363,996 of NC_000023.11, forward strand.
CATGCCTGTAGTCCCAGCTACTCGGGAGGCTGAGGCAGGAAAATGTCCTGAAACTGGGAGGCAGAGGTTGCAGTGAGCCGAGATCACACCACTGCACTCCAGCCTGGGTGACAGAGTGAAACTCCATCTGAAAAAATAAATAAATAAATAAATATAATAAAATATTTGGTTCTTCTTAGTCTAAACCTTTTAAATTTTTATTTTCGTGTATGTTTTGTTATGTACATAATCTATTAGTATAGCAGCACATATAAACAAATAAAACATACATTATGAATCCATGTTTAAAAGTTTTTACTGTTAGAGGTACGTAATAAAAAGTTGAGGACCACTGCTTTAAAGAAATTTCCATTTGGAGAGCCCATGACTCACATATTTTTAAAAGTCAAAGACAATAATACATCTTTGAAATAGCAATGTTAACTAAAATTTTGTTTCTACATATAAGCTGAAAACAGTAATTTCTATTTGTAGTTGAATATGTCATCAATGTCTTAGATTAAATCAGTCAATTGGCTGGGTGCAGTGGCTCACACCTGTAATCCCAGCACTTTGGGAGGTTGAGGTGGGCAGATCACTTGTGCTCAGGAGTTCGAGATCAGCATGGCCAACATGATGAAACCCCGTCTCTACTAAAAATACAAAAATTAGCCAGGTGTGGTGGCAGGTGCCTGTAATCCCAGCTACTCAGGAGGCTGAGGCACAAGAATTGCTTCAACCCAGGAGGTGGAGGCTGCAATGAGCCGAGATCACGTCACTGTACTCCAGCCTGGGCAACAGAGCAAGACTCCATCTCAAAAAAAAAAAAATCAGTCAATCAACCAATTAGCCAACCAACTGACAAACTCTTAATCCTTATGGAAATTCTCTTCCCTACTAACTAGACCTCTGAAGGGCTCAGTCTCACAAAATGTCTACCAAAAAATATCTATTCACCCACTGAACATTAAATGAACCAATCAACTCTGCAAGAAACATATGTAGTGCAATATTCACTTGTCTAAGTTACTGACATCATGCAGTGGAAACAACAAATTGAGTGAATTTGTGCTTTTCCCACCTATAAGCTTATCACCATTGCAAAAAGACCTCCATAAATCCCAACAGATGATTAACTCTTCATCCCAAGTAGCACAGGCTCTCTTGTTAGGTTAGAATTAAAGCATGATCATTTTGTGACAGTTATTTTACTTCTAGTAAAATTAATGTTTAGTACACGTGGTGAACCACAATTTGCCTTTGGCTGTTTATAATTTCGAATGGTAGAAAATACCAATTATTGTTAAACACAGATAACACTAGGAATGATGAGAGAAAGATGATGTCCATTTTATAGAATGATTACCGCAAATAACAATTATTGTCATCACAATATAACAAAATGTTAAAATTGATCTTTTTCGGTTTTGGTTTCTGTCCAGGCCCAGTAGGTACTGATTCTTCCCTCATTCTAAAGAGATGCTAGACCACTAAAAATGGAATTGCAAAGGAAATAGACAAAATTCAGTTTGGAATCCCTTAGTTACCACCTTCAGCTTATAAAATGTGTTGCAGAAACCAAGAGAGGGGTTGGAAATTAGAAGATAATTTATAGAGAGTGTTTCTATTGTGTATCATGTGCCTCCTCCCCCATGAAGGGGATACTCTTCCTTCACTTCAAGCCCAACAAAATGGCTCCACTAGGGCCCACAGTAAACTGATGTCAGGATGATACCTGAGAAATTTAAAGTAGGAAAGACAGGCTAGTTAGCTGTTCTGATAGCAGAACAAGATGGAGTCTATACCAGGATGGACCTGACACTTGTTAGAGCAAAGAACATGGAGAACTTCCCATGAAGCAATAGGGAATGAGATAAAAAAGACCTAGCATGGTATTGTTTCAGATCATGACCAAGAGACCTCCTGGAGGGGTGGGGGAAATCTCAGCAAAATAGAGGCTGGATGTGTTCCCTTGGATGCCAGAGGAAATGTAATTGTCTGTATCAAAGACTGCTATGAGAAATTCCTAATGATAAGCGGGGGTTCTCCAAAGGACCTCCAAAAACACATCACAAGAGAGTCAGGTGTTGGAGACACGTGCACCAATGCTAGATTGCTAGAGCAGAACCAGGCTTTTGCTGGCTCTTAACTCCTCACCTTCCCTTGGCTTCACTTAGAGGAACTGAAAGTAAGGAAACGAGGAAATAGCACATTGGCCCCTCTTTCCCCATAGAGGAGGCCAGCTTTAATCAGGCATAAGCTGGAAGGGAAAAGGTGTTAACCTGCAGCAAATTTCTTAAGGTTTTTTTAAAATCACTATTATTATTATTATATTTTTGTTACATGTTATTTTACTGAGACTCTTTGAGGTAGTAAAATAAGCAGAGGGCTTTTTGTATTTTTCTGAGTTAGTAGAAAAGTTACAGCGTCCATTGTATTTTCATCCAGGGATAAAAAGAACAAGCTCCAAGAACAGATTTGAAGGGCAGTAGGGGGAAAATACGAAATTATTTTCTATTGTGCATTACAAATGCTGCTTGTACAGCCCAATGATTTTAATAATAATAGCTAAAAGTTATCAAATACTTATTATATTCCAGACAATGTCTGCTTTACATGTATTAAATAATTTTATGCTCACAACAACTCTATAAGATTATTATAGTAATTTTCTAGGTGTGAAATTTAGAAGCAGAGAGTGGGTAAATAAACTGCCCTAGGTTGTGTGACTAGTAAGTGACAAAGCCACTCATGTGGCTATTTCAAGCAAATAAAAATTCAATCTCTTTTCACAAATTCTTTTTTTTTCTGTCAAACATCCAAAATACTGGACATACAAAATATAAACCAAGGCCATATCAAATTTCAACGCATTAACACTTTGCAGAGACACATGAGGTTATATGTGATTTGCTGTGCTTTATCAAGAATAAGAAGATAAAGCATTTGCTGTGCTTTATCAAGAGGCCGAGGCAGGCGGATCACTTGAGCTCAGGAGTTCGAGACCAGCCTGGTCACCATGGAGAAACCCCGTCTCTAGTAAAAATACAAAAATTAGCCAGGCTTGGTGGCATGTGCTTGTAGTTTCAGCTACTTGGGTGGCTGAAGCAGGAGAATCGCTTGAACCTGGGAGGCAGAGGCTGCAGTGAACTGAGATTGTGCCACACTCCAGCCTGGGCCACAGAGTGAGAACCTGTCTCAAAAAAAAAAAAAAGAAAAGAAAAGAATGCCTTATCAACAGTAAAACAATGAATCACCATAGTACATGGGTCTTTTCTGAAATACATATTTCTCCCTTTTAAATCTCTTTTTACAGGTGTGGACAACCACTACAAAATAAAGTGCAGCTGAAGGGCCGTGACCTTCTCACTCTAAAAAACTTTACCGGAGAAGAAATTAAATATATGCTATGGCTATCAGCAGATCTGAAATTTAGGATAAAACAGAAAGGAGAGGTATGTAACATTTTCTTTTTACGTTCCATTACTACCAGTCCCCTTTTTTTAAAGGCAGCCTTCCCAAAGAAAGAGGGAAAAAAATACATTAAAATTCTTAAACAGTAGCTAAGTAATGAAACCTCACAGTCAAGGTAATTGATTATCATGGAGCATACAGGCATACAAAAAAGCATAAAAATCAGTTATTGAATGACAAGTCATTGCACTTTTTTCACGTGGAATGCTGAAATTCATTATTAACTGGATCGAACCTAAGAAATCATTTGTCTGAAAAGCATTTATTTATTTATTTATTTATTTATTGAGATGGAGTCTTGCTCTGTTGCCCAGGCTGGAGTGCATTGGCGTGATCTTGGCTCACTGCAACTTCTGCCTCCCAGGTTCAAGGAATTCTCCCGCCTCAGCCTCCCAAGTAGCTGGGATTACAGGTGCATACCACCACACCTGGCTAATTTTTGTATTTTTAGTAGAGATGGAGTTTTACCATATTGGCCAGGCTGGTCTCAAACTCTTGACCTCAAGTGATCCGCCCACCTTGGCATCCCAAAGTGCTGGGATCACAGGAGTGAGCCACCGTGCCCGGCCAAGATTTTATTTTTATACCCCTTTTCTTTTCTCTGTGTATTTTCTATCAAGTCAAAAATGAAGGCCAGGCGCAGTGGCTCATGCCTGTAATCCCAGCACTTAGGGAGGCCAGGCAGGCAAATCACCTGAGGTCGGGAGTTCGAGACCAGCCCGACCAACATGAAGAAACCCCGTCTCTACTAAAAATAAAAAATTAGCCGGGCATGGTGGCACATGCCTGCAATTCCAGCTACTAGGGAGGCTGAGGCAGGAGAATTGCTTGAACCCAGGAGGCGGAGGTTGCAGTGAGCCAAGATCGTGCCATTGCTGTCCAGCCTGGGCAATAAGAGTGAAACTCCATCTGCAAAAAAAGAAGATGATCCTTTTTTTCCAAGTGACAAATTTTAATTTTGGATGCATATCAGATATAGAATCATTAGGATAATGTCAAAAAATTCACAATGATGTGACAGCGTTTTAAAAAGCATTTAGATTAGCAAAGAAACAATTAATGGTATCCAGGTAGGAGAAGAGATGGGATATGGTTCTTAGCTATAAGCATAATTCTGCATTTTGAGCAATTTATCTTCGAAAGACAATTAATACAGTAGCTTCATTTGGACTGCTTAATTGTGAAAGCATTTTTGTATTCCAAGCTTGTTCAGCCTTTTTAAAGAGTTGGTTTCAGGTTGAGAAAGTTTGACACGGTTTTGATTTTATCTAGTAGGCTGGCTCTCCAAGCTCCTAAGAAAAACTGAGGACAGGAGTGACCGCAACTGCTATGGGTTGATGTTCCTATAAAACACCTGAAATAAGAGAAAAGGTCTCCCCAGGCCCAGGCCTATGTTCTTGACACTTTGTGGATGAGGGAGGTTAGCTGGCAGGAATCTATTTGTTCCAGAATTCCTTCTATCAGGAAGCCCATCTACAGAAGAGGAAGGAGGAAGCGCCCCACCCCACATTCAGACTCTCCAGATTGTTTTCAAATGACTTCCAGAAGCAAAGTCTTTGTATTCCCATGAGGATGCATGATGAATGTGTAGCTAAAACACTAGGGCTTCATCATTGATCTAAGTGAAAGTTGTAGTGCCCCATGTTGTAACAGAGTAGCATTTTCCCAGCTGAGAAAACACCTCCAAACCAAACACCTTCGAGGTCATTGAAAACTGAATGGGGATTTCAATAGAGTTAAGTAAGAAGGTGGTTCCAGTATGAAATACTAATATATTTTGGAAAAAATTCACATGTTGAACCCAGAACAATTAATACTGCTTTCTAATTACATGTCAATAAGCTGTGGGAGTTACTGTTCTCTTCCCCCATTTGTATAGTACATAAAAAAACATTTTAAATTCACTTTTTTTTTTTTGAGATGGAATATTGCTCTGTTGCCCAGGCTGGAGTGCAGTGGCAAGATCTTGGCTCACTGCAACCTCCATCTCCCAGGTTCAAGCAATTCTCCTGCCTCAGCCTCTCTAGTAGCTGGGATTATAGGCACCCACCACCACTCCAGGCTAATTTTTTTTTTTTTTTTTGGTATTTTGAGTAGAGATGGGGTTTTGCCATGTTGGCCAGGCTGGTCTCGAACTCCTGACCTCAGGTGATCCACCTGCCTTGGCCTCCCAAAGTGCTGGGATTAAGGCATGAACCACCACACCTGGCCTAAATTCACTTTTTAAACAATATTTTAAACACTTATTTGGGGGTAGTTATTACTTATTTTCTAATAAAGAATATGTTTTAAAACATAATTTATATATAAGATATATTTTAATTCTATTCTTGTCCTTGATTTATAGTATTTGCCTTTATTGCAAGGGAAGTCCTTAGGCATGATTTTTGAGAAAAGAAGTACTCGAACAAGATTGTCTACAGAAACAGGTAAGTCCACTGCCAAATTCACACTTGTGTTGAAGAGAGGGATTGAAGGTGAAGACTTTGGAGGGGTAACCCAGTGCGGGGATTTGTCTGCCTCTAGCAACCACAAAGAAAAAATCATTTTTACTGGGAGCAGCAATGCAAGCCTGTGAATGAGATTTCCAGTTCTCATAAAAGCTGCAAGCAGAAAAATTAGCTTCATCTATAAGAATTCCATAAGGAACTGAGTAGAAGTTCCATATAACTCTTCATGTTCAGAAAAGAAATATAGGTGGGCACACATTTTCAGGCCTTGAACTCACGTGGGTAAGAAATATGTCTATTTTTCTAGCATGCAAAGAACATTTCCTTGTGTGTCTCAATTCTGCTAGATGGTGGAAATTTAATCTTTGCGATGTTAGGCAATCCTCAGTTGTTTTATGGTTTATTTTGTCCATTTTGGGTCTCCTCTCCATTTCCCCACAGTCAGGTTAAATCATGGAGAGTATCTGAATGTCAAGACATGTAGGGGTATGGGGATCTGGTCCTTGGTCATTAGAACATCATCATCAAATATCCATGCTAGGTTCTGTTGGGACTTCTATATTCCCATTGGATCTTGGCTGTCTCCCACTTACTGCAAGGTTTGCTTCACTCTCATTGAAAGAACTCATATTGAGACAACCAAGTATAAAGGGGTCACTGGAGAACCTCCAACCGGCCTGAACATTGGGAGGAATGCACACGGGGCTGAAGCCTCAGGAAGTTCACACCATTTGCGCGGGGAAGAGCTGGCCTCTCCTGTTCCGAGGTGGAAACTGGGATTCAATCTGAGAGGCGGGAAGACAACTAGCAGGACTCTTGCTCTGCTGAGAGTCCCTGTTTTCCTTTTTTTTCTTTTCACCCGATAAACCCTGCTCTTCTCACCCTTCAAAGTGTCTGTGAGCCTAATATTTCACGGTTTTGTGACAAGGACCCCATTACAACAATATATCTCTTGGTTTCATTCTCTCAACCTCTTAGCAGCTCTCCAAGACACATTAGGCACAGAGGTACTACAAGGCTGCCTCTACTCTATTGTTCCTTCCTCATGCTGGGTGCCATGGAGCTCTATAACATTTACTGCCTTCTAGAGGTCTGTCTTAAAAGCAAGACAGGTTGTCCTCAGTTCTGGGATTCTCCAAACTCATGGAGCTTTCCAGCATGCCCCCCCATCCTTCAGAAGTTGACTTGGGGAACACATAGCAGAGTACAGTATCAAAGGTCCATCAGTTTTTATTTCTGTTGCTTCTCCTCTCTTGCTTCTCTTCTTCCCCTTTCAGTTCCCAGTATTGGAGGCCAGGAAATAAAGCAGGAGGAAAAACTGGCTCTGACTATCCATGGACTCTTCCAAATTGTGCCTGGAATTCTAGGCTGTTAAGGATATTTTTTTTCCTCAAGCTATTATCTCTGCAGTTTCAAAATGGACACTTTGAAACTCGTAAGCCACAAATTGCCTCTTTTCTTTCTCTCTGCATTTCTGCTCTACCAGACCTCACTTGAATCAATAATATGACTGCCCAAATGAGCAATCAGACAGGGTCAAGGAGGAAGTACCGCAAACAAAAACATATTGGTTGATATTTCAAATAGATTATTCTACCTTACGAGTGTCAGAGCTTTCTAGGGCTTAGAAGCAAACAACTATTACATGTGATTTTTACCTTGCAATGATTAATAATGAAGCTTACCAAATAGATATCAAAAAGAAAGTTCAGGGGGATTAAGCGACTTGCCAAATTCACTCAATTAATACAGATAGCACCAAGATTCAGATCTGAAGCCCACTATTCTTACTAATGCACACTCCTTCCCCCTAAAGAGAAGGAAGGAGGACGAGGGAAATATATAAGGTGCTAATCTTTAAAGCCCTAGGAAGAAAACAGATAAGAACATTTTGCTCTTTAAAGCTGGCTGCTGTAAGAGATCATGTTGATATCTGACAGATGGTAGGGAAAAAATGAATAAACCAGTCAGCAATTCTCAAATTCTGCTCCCTTTCAACACTAGTATTCCATGAGTTGGGTAGAATTTTATTTTATTTCATTTTATCTTGTGTGTATATATTTTTGTTTTTACCGTTAGTACTTAAGAGAATTGTTCTTTTTTGAAGTCACCAAAATAATTGTTTAATACATAGAAATTTCTCAAATTTAAGTTTTTTTAAAAGGGATTTTGCTGAGTTCATGGCATTTCTATGACTTTTCCCTGTTCAAATGTTATGTTTGAAACCAGAATATTTCTGAATAAATGATTGGTTTCACCATTTATAATAATGTGGTAGTTAATCTATTAATAAAAATGAGAGTGACAATTTAATAAGTTTTTGGAGGCAGACCCTGTGCCAGGTGTTCTACATTAATTATGTGTGTTATCTCACTCAATCCTCATGGCAACTCTGTGAGAGCAAGACCATTCAGGAAAACAGGCTGAAATGGGGCCAGCAAATGGCTCAAAGGCACGTACCTAATAAATGGCAGACCCAGGATTGGAAGCTATTACTATATATATTTTTAAATACCTAATTTAATAAACTAAATCTATTGATTTAATTTAATTATATGGCATGTAATAGTCATGTTTTCTTCTAGTAAAATTGTTTCTACTGGTGGCATTAAGCATTTTGTTAAATGATGGTTTTCTATAAAGAAATCCTTAGAAACCTGCCCCAAATCGTAAATAATAACAACAAATAAATGAAGCAAGGAGAGTATGACTGTTAAAACTTATAGTTCATGGAGCATTTGTCATTATCCTCAATAATTGCATATGGCATCCTGCCAAACTCAACAGTAGAATCACTGAAAGCGAGTAGCTGTCTTAATTGTTTACAGAAACAGTAAACCCCAATCAAAATCATGACAGAACATTCCTATTGTGAGTATGTGCATCTTAACAGTTGTCCTTTGGTACAATTTTTCAACAAGTACCACCTGTTACTTTGGTGCTTAGAATTAAAATAGGTGTAATTATAACTGTTACTGCCCCAAATCTGTGCCAGCCCCTGACATGATCCTCACAGGACAGTCCTTGGCAATTCTGTTCCAAGCCTGAGTTTCAGAGCTACGTTCACATTCCTACTTATCTCAGGAGACAGAATCAAATTCTCCACCCAACTCTGACCATAGTAATTGTTTATGTAACATGTTTATTAAAGTGTAACACACAAACAGAAAAGTGCACAAATCATTAAGCGTATAGATCGATGAATTCTTACAGTGAGCAAACCATTGTAACTAACACCCAGATAGAGAAACAGAATGGTAGTAGCACCCAGAAGCTTCCCACTACCCTTCATTTCCTTCCAGTCACTACTCCTCATTCACCCAAGGGTAACTATTATCCTGGCTTCTAACATCACAGATTCATTTTGCCTATTTTTGAACTTTATATTAATGGGATCATTCAGCATGCGCTCTTTTGTGTCTGACTTCGTTCGCTTAACATTATGAGATGTATCGATGTAGCTGTGTGTAGTTGTAGATCATTCATGCCTCATCCACTCTTTGTGTGTGCCTGCCTGGCAAACCAGACAATTCTCCTATGAGTCTACCAATGATAATATTCTTTTATAGCAAATGAATTGAGCTGATAGACAGATACATTTATTAATCTCAGTAAATGCAGTAGCTGATAAAAGATGCAAAAGGCATTCTAAGAGATGGTTCTTTTCATTATTTAACATTGGTATTTCACTTTCAAGGTGAAATAGAAACTGGTGTTTTAACGGCTGTTTCAAAATCATCGTCTGTACAAAGATGCCAATGTAAAAATTGTGATACTATTGTGCAATTATAAAAGCCAAGCACAGAGAGGTTAATAACTGCCTTAGTTCTACCAGCAAAGGTACTCGGATCCCTTATATTTCCAAGGAATGAATTCTATTTATACTCTTTTTACCAAAGCAGGCAGGGATCTATGGGGAAGTAAAAGAGCAAAATAAGATTTACTTTTATTTTCCCAAACAGAAATTAAGAAATTAGCAGAAGAGGCCGGGCACGGTGGCTCATGCCTGTAATCCCAGCACTTTGGGAGTCCGAGGCAGGTGGATCACGAGGTCAGGATGTCGAGACCATCCTGGCTAACACAGTGAAACCCCATCTCTACTAAAAATACAAAAAATTAGCCAGACGTGGTGGCGGGCGCCTGTAGTCCCAGCCAATCGGGAGGCTGAGGCAGGAGAATGGCGTGAACCCGGGAGGCGGAGCTTGCAGTGAGCCGAGAACGCGCCACTGCTTCCAGCCTGGGCTACAGAGCAAGACTCCATCTCAAAAAAAAGAAAAAAAGATAAAAAGAAGAAGAAATTAACAGAAGAAACGCTATGTTCAAAAATAGCTGATGTGAAAGCATAAACAAATGAAACAGGTAAAAGCAGGCTTCTCTGGATAAAGGGTGGAGAAAGAGTGGAAGCCCATCTCTCTGTCCTCTTCTCCTTGGCAATGGCAGCTTCTAGTGGCTGCTCAAAACCTCTGATGCCCCTCATAAGCACGTATTACCATCCAGACCTGGTAAACCGGCAAATTCTTGACTTGTGCTTTTGGGCTGGGATCTGAGGCTTCTTTTTGATCTGTGACAAAAATTGCAAAGGCAATTTCTTCTCAGAGGTAGTATTTCCTCCCCATTTAATCTTTTTCATGAACTGCTGAAGTCTTTGGCTCCTGCCTGTACACACTTTCTGTTACTCTTCTTCCTACCCCTATTTCATAAGTCCAAGCACCGTATCGATCTTCTGTATAGCACAAACAGGGAAGTAGAAGGACAGCAGATTAATCCTGAGTTGCTATAGCAAAATGACTTATCATCAAAGAAAGAGTGTGACTTGGAATAGACCTACCAGGAGGTCCGAAACTTTGTTTGAAGTCTTCATCCATAGTCCTCAACCCTCAATGGTACTCATACTTGTACTAGGCACTTAGTAGGTGCACAATAAATAATTTTTTGACGAATGTGCGGTATTTATGTGTATTTAGGTGACGTTGCATGTTTATAAAGAAATTAAGTACTCAAGAGTGATTAGTGATTATAATCACCACTAAACTTCATTACGTTGCTTCATAGATAATAGAAATTTCTCTTCTTTCTGTTAGCAAAATGAGAGGCTGTTCACAAATGAGAAGAATGGGTCCTTTCTTCAGAGTCAAATTCCTCCTTTATTCATTCAATGAGAATTCATTAAGCACTTACTATTTGCCAGGTTTTATTCTAGGTGCTCGGGAGTGATACCTCAGTAGACAAAACAGATGAAAATCCATGCCTTCATGGGGCTTACATTCTAGTGGGTACACAGACAATAAACAACAGACATAATAAATAAGTGGATGATACAGTATGTTGGAAGATGATAAGTACTCTCAGCAAGGAGAAGAATGTGTCTGGAACTGAGGGAAAAACAAGTGCACCAATATTGGGACTTTGGCTTTTTGGGGAATCGTTGGATGATCTTGAACAAAGGAGGGACATGATCTACTTGCATTTTAAAAGGATCCCTCTGACTGAGAATAAACTGTGGAATAGACTGTGGGGAGCCCAGGGTGAAAGCAAGGTAGAAGTAGTGAAGCCTGTCAATAGATAGCTATCAATTATAGAAGCTGGGGTTGTGGTGGCAGCAGTGGAGAGGGTAAGAGTAACAGATCCTAGGTATGTTTTGAAGAGAGAGACAACAAGATTACTGATGTATTGGGTAAGAGAGAGATGTCAAGGATGACTTTAAGATTTCTGCCTGAGCAAATGTGAAGGCTGGTGATGGAACAAATGGAAAGGGGAAGGTTGGGAATTCGGTCTTAGATATATTGAGTTTGAAGTGTCTATTAGACATATAAGCAAAGATGTTAAAAAAAAGCAGTTGCACATGAGTCTGGAATTTGGGAGTGAAATCTGGCCTAGAGATATTTGAGTGTCACCAGCATATAGATGATATTTAAGGCCATGGGACTGGATACAATTATAAAGAGAGTAAGTGTAGATTGAAGGATGAGAGGAGAACCAAGGGCTAGTCCTGGGGCACACCAACATTCAGAAGTCAAGAAAAATAGAAGGAACCAACAATGGTGACTGAGAAGGAGCAACTACCAAGGTAGATGCAAAGGCAAACAGGTGTGATGTCCTAGACACTGTGTGAAGAAAGCTTATCAAGTAGAAAATGAAGATCAACTTTGTTGAATACTGCTAAGTGAAGGAAGAGGGCTCAGAAATGGCCACTAGATGGAGTAACGTGAAGGTCACTGATAACTTTGGTGAGAGGAGTTTTGGTGCAGCAGTGGTAGGGGACAAAGCCTTATAGGTTTGATGGAAATGAGAAGAGAGGAACTAGAAAAAGAAAGAAGAACAAAGAGCTTTGCTGCAAAGGGGAGCAAACAATTAAAGGAATACTTGTCAGGGAAATTAGGACAAAGAGAAATCTGTATCTGTTTTTAAATAATGTGTGAAAAATGAGAACAACCCATTCAAGATGTTGGTGACATAAGGGAGAAAGGGAGGAATTGCTAGAGCAATGTCTTTGAGTAGGCAAGGGGAGTGGCTTCTAGTGCACGAGTGAAGGCATTACATGGGGCATGGAAAATTCATCTATGCTTAATAGAAAGGAAAGCAGAGTATATGAGTACAGATGCTGACTAGTCGGGAAATGGAGTAGAGTCTGGAAGTTCTCCTCTTATTCCTGTAATTTTTTCAGTGAGGTAGAAAGCAAGGTGAACAGTTGAGAAGCTCACTTCACCTCTAAAGACATGCATCCACTGATAATGAAGGGATGGCAAAAGATATTCCATGCAAATGGAAACTACAAAAGAGCAGGAGTAGCTATACTTATATCAGGTAAAATAGATTTCAAGACAAAAACTGGATAAAAAGACAAGGCCATTATGTAATGATAAAGGGGCCAATTCAGCAAGAGAATATAACAACAATAAATATATATGAACCCAATGCTAGAGCACCCAGATATATAAAGCAAGTATTACTAGAGCTAAAAAGTTAAATAGAACCTAATGCAATAATAGCTGAGGACTTCAACGCTCCACCTTCAGCATTGGACAAATAATCCAGACTGAAAATCAACAAAGAAACATTAGACTTAATCTGCACTGTAGACCAAGTGGACATAATAGATATTTACAGAACATTTCACCCAACAGGTGCAGAGTACACATTCTTTTCCTTAGCACATGGAACATTATCAAGGATACAAAACAAGTACCCCAAATTTAAAAATACTTATATTAAATATATTTTCTGACCACAATGGAATAAAACTAGAAATCAATAACAAGAAGAATTTTGGAAAAAATATAAACGCGTGGAAATTTAAAAATGTGCTCCTGAATGACCATTAAGTCACTGACAAAATTAAGAAGAAAATTTAAATAGTTCTTGAAACAAATGAAAATGGAAGCACAGCATATTAAAACTTGTGGGATACAGCAAAAGCAGTACTAAGAGGGACATGTACATCAATAAATGCCTACATCAAAAAAATAGAAAAACTTCAAATAACCTAATGATGCATCTTAAAGAACTGGAAAAGCAAGAGCAAACCAAACCCAAAATTTGTAGAAGAAAAGAAATAATACAGATCAAAACAGAAATATACAAAACAGAGACTAAAAAAAATAAAAGATCAATGAAATAAAAAGTTGGTTTTTTGAAAAGATACACTTTCAAAACATAGGAAGAAGCCAACCATTTTCTCAACACGTTAGCTGCTACCACCTTGTTCCAGCCTATCAACTCTCACCCAGATTTTCGCAACAGTCTCCTGACTTGTCTCCCTGCTTTTGCCCTGCTACAGATGTCCAATTAAAATGTAAGTCAAATCATGTCCCTCCTCTGCTCCAAGCCTTAAAAGGCTTCCCATTTTATCCAGACAAAAGTCAAAGTTGTTGCCTTCTCCCCAGCTTCCTTCTGCAGCCTCACCTCTGCACCGTCCACACTACCTTCTTGTTGTCTCTCTCTCTCTCTTTCTTTTTTTTAGACGAAGTCTCACTCTCTCGCCCTGGCTGCAGTGCAGTGGTGCAGCTTGGCTCACTGCAACCTTCACCTCCCGAGTTCAAGTGATCCTCCTGCCTCAGCCTCCCGAGTAGCTGGGATTACAGGCGCCCGCCACCATGCCAGGCTAATTTTTGTATTTTTAGTAGAGATGGGTTTCCCCATGTTGGCCAGACTGGTCACAAACTCCTGACCTCAGGTGATCCGCCCACCTTGGCCTCCCAAAGTGCTAGGATTACAGGCGTGAGCCACCGCACCCGGCCTCTTGTTGTCTCTTGAACCCACCAATCATGACCTTCACACAGGAACTTTGCACATGCTCTTCCCACTATCTCGTATGTTTTCTATGGTTCACCTATCCATCTTCCTCAGGTCTTTACTCAAAAGTCCCACAATCATTGTGGCTTCCTTGACCATACTACTTAAAATTGCAACTTGGGTCCTGTAAATTTCCTATTCTCCTTCCCTGCTCTGTATTTCTTATAGCACTTATCAGTATCTAACATACAATATATTTAATTTACTCATTCAGTTTGTACTCTGTCTCTCCCCATTTGAAAGACAAAAACTGGAAAAAAAAGACAAGGCCATTATGTAATGATAAAGGGGCCAATTCAGCAAGAGAATATAACAACAATAAATATATATGAACCCAATGCTAGAGCAACCAGATATATAAAGCAAGTATTATTAGAGCTAATAAGTAGTCAAAGACTTGTATCTTGTTTACAATGCTTTCTTCAGTGCCTAGAACAGCACCAGGCACATATTTTCAGAATGAATGAATTTCAGAATCATACAGTGAGGCCAGGACTTGTTGTGTTGTGTAGTTACTCCACAGACATGAGATGTGCCATCCACCTAAAATTTGGTTTGGTTGCTGACAGTGAGAATATCTCACATGCACCAGGAAGATATGAAAAAGTTTATTACTCACATCATGTGGCTTTCTGGGGATAGTAGGTCTGGTTTCCAAGCAGGTCTGAAAGTAGCCCCAGAGAGCAGAGAAACGATATGGAGTTCTAGTGTGATTTGGCGATGGGGCTGGGATGAGGATTCCCATGCGCAAGGTAGGGCTTGTGCAGTTTGAACCTCCTGCTAGTGCCAAAGGAGTGAGCACCTGAACTTTCTTATCAGCTTTCCCAGATGTAGGGCTGAAGGGTCAGGCAGGGAGAGGTGGACAGTCAAACATCAGAAATGGGGTCAGAATGTTCATTACAGGTCCCATAGCAAGTAGGACTGTTTGGGCATTTCATATTCTTTGATCCTACCTGGCACCTAGCACATAAGATTTGCAAGGGATCTTACAACTCTAGGCAAACTGTCTTCTTTTTCAGATGAAGAAGACTGAGTCCAGTCCCACTATGTCATTCTGTCTCTGTAGATCACACTTTGAGCTGACTCAATAGCTGGCTTCCCTATGGCAAGGCCTAGGGCTGTGGAGACTTAAAAACAATCTTGCGCAATTTTTTAGACTCTGACTCTCAGAACCCTTTTCTATAAAATTCTTGTAATATCTACTGTACACTTTGTCAGACTAAGGGATTCAATGAAAGAATGTTAATAATGTGCCATCATATGATTATGCTCTGTGAAGAGTCATTGCTAGGGTCAGAACATGGTGGTCTCTAGTTAAAGACCATTTGGTCTAGGCATATTTAAGAGAACACTTTTGAGTATAAAATAGGTAGACTATAATTATTTAATTTTATATACAGTAACAGAAATGAGGACCATTGCTTTGTGTGGGTTTGATTTTTAATATTTTTTTTTCTTTTTGGAGATGGAGTCTTGCTCTGTCACCCAGGGTGGAGTGCAGTGGCGCGATCTCACTGCAAGCTCTGCCTCCCAGGTTCATGCCATCCTCCTGCCTCAGCCTCCCGAGTAGCTGGGACTACAGGCGCCCACCACCACGCCTGGCTAATTTTTTGTATTTTTAGTAGAGATGGGATTTCACCATGTTAGCCAGGATGGTCTCGATTTCCTGACCTCGTGATCCACCTGCCTCTGATTTTTACTTTTTATAGTGAAACTTTCAAATAAACAGAAAAGTAAAAAGATTAGCATAATGAGCATACCAATACCCTTTACATCAGTCTAACAATTGTTAATATGTTGCCTTCTTCGTCTACTTGTTTTGGTTGTTGAACTAAAGTAAATTAAAGTTACAATGATATTTTACCCCAAAATACATCAGTTTGTATCCCCAAAAAATAAGGATATTGTCCTATATGGCTATGATGTCATGATCACACTGAACAAAAATAATGATTCCTTAATATCATTTAATATCAGTCCATATTCAAACTGTGTTAAGGCTTCAGTAGGATGTTTCATGAGATTTTGAGTCAAATTCTCCTTTGTGGATCTGAAACTCCTCATTCCCCAATTCACCGTGCAATTAATGATTTCTTCCCTGTTTATGGGAAACAGATGGGATTAGCAAATTGTGACTGTTGCTTATTTCCCAAAAGATAAATCAGGCACATCATAATAAGGAGGGGAAAAGTAATGTTTGTAAAATTCCTTGGACAAATCTCTATCTTGCAATTATGTGTATTTGCCTTTATGTATTGGAGAAATTCTGAGCATTAAACCAGTCTCAAATGAGACAGTAAAGTTCTGATTGGATGTCACCATCTCCCATAATTTTCCCCAGAATGTGTGATGAAAGGGCTCCAGCCTGGGTGACAGGGAAGACTGTGTCAAAAAATAAATAAATAAAAATGAAAGGCTTGAAAATAAAAGAAAGTAAGCATTGAGATAGTGGTTTCAAGTCACTAAGAGTAAAAAAAGTAAAAGGGCCACTTTACTGTTTTCCTTATCTTCCAATCAAGACAGCGTCATATATTTTATTTTATTTTTTATTTTTTTCAGACAGAGTCTTGCTCTGTTGCTCAGGCTGGAGTGCAGTGGCATGATCTCGGCTCACTACAACCCCTGCCTCCCAGATTCAAGCGATTCTCCTGCCTCAGCCTCCCGACTAGCTGGGATTACAGGCGCCTGCCACCACGTCCGGCTAATTTTTGTATTTTTAGTAGAGACAGGGTTTTGCCATGTTGGCCAGGCTGGTCTTGAACTTCTGACCTCAGGAGATCCACCTGCCTCAGCCTCCCAAAGTGCTGGGATTATAGGTATGAGCCACTGCACACAGCCAGCTTTATATATTTTAGAGAACCAAAACCAGGCATAGCCCCAAAGAGGGAATGATGCCTCGTTATTGCCAGGTCTTGAATAAGAGGGTGGAGAAATGGGCACACATGTGAAGGAGAGTTAATTACTTGAGCACAAAATTTTATCTACTTCCCTCAATTCCTCATTTTGCTTTGCATGGGAATTCTGTATCAGAGAAGTTGGAGAGCTTTAAAGATTTTGACTTTTCAGTTGAGATGATGCCAATTCTTTGTAATTTTGTTTTCCACTTTAGTTGTTTTTTCAAAATGATTTTTTTCTTTTTTTTTTATTGTAGGCTTTGCACTTCTGGGAGGACATCCTTGTTTTCTTACCACACAAGATATTCATTTGGGTGTGAATGAAAGTCTCACGGACACGGCCCGGTTTGTAAATATTTTCTTCTCTCCAAAGCTGATTTCAGAATCTGATGGATAAATTTCAAAAATAAAACATAATTCTCTTTAAATAATGGTTTTCCCTCTAATTGTTCTGTTCTCCATTTTCCCTCTTTCCCTGATATTCTGAATACCTCTCCCTCATCCTGTGGCCACTTTCCATCGGTTGAAATAATTTTTCTTGGCAATTTTTTGAAGAAGCTTCTGATCATAAAATTTCAAACTTATGGAAATTTTGAGTTCATCAAGTATGACTCTTAGATTTAACAGTTGAGGAGGAAATGAAGGTCCAGGGAAACTGACATTCAGTGGCTCATAACTAGTTACTATCAGACTAGGTAATAATATTAATAACTACTAATAACACTTATTGAGCATTTATTGTGTGCTAGGTATTTTTCTGACTTGTTTAATCCTTATAACAACCCAGATTGTCATAAAGAAGTGAAACAACTTAATTAGGCACAGACTAGCTGCTATAACACAAAATCTCAAATGTCAATATGCTAACATAGTGCAGATGTTCCTGATTGGTAAAAGGGAAGAACAGGTTATTAATTTATGTGGGTTATTCAGGGACACTGGCTGAGAGTGATTCTACCATCTTCAACATGTGACCTCCAAGGTCAGTTTGGGTGTTAACATCCAGCCAGGACCAAGGAGAATAGAGCATGGAGAAGGCATACTTGTTTCAAAGCCACCTTAGCAGGGAAGCAGTACAAACAATTCCACTTATATTTCATTAGGAAGTACTAGTAGCTCACTCCCATCTAGATGAAGGGAGAGACGGGGAAAGGCTCTTCCCCACTATATTATAATGAAACTGAAGCATAGGCCTCCTGACTCCTCATGCAATGCTCATACCACTACATCATGTCTGGCTAAAAAATCCAGAGCAAATGTCTTTGTTAAAAGTTTTGCCCTCAAAAGAGAAGACTAATGATTCTTTTCCTGAAAATGATACGCCATGAAGTTATTTCTTGCAGATAACGTCTGCTTTTTATGGCAACCACCCTAGTATAAAGAATTCACCTCATTTGACTTGCTGAAGAGATTTCAAATAACTCTTCTTTAAACCTTTTAGTTATGTTATTTCAGATGGGACAATGAAAGTATTAAGAAGTGTGATTAGCTTCTGGATTCTAGGGACAAAAGGAATCAAGGAACATAAATTTTTTCTTCCAAATAATCTGCCTCTGACTTGGATTATATTTGTCTGATAATTCTGCTTCCACAAAAGTGAAAATATACTTTATTCAAAAGCAAATATTACAAGCTGATCAAGGGATGAAGCCAGAGACATACCCAAGCAAAGTTTCAGTGAGGATCCTCTATATAGGACCAGGTGAAAGATGGTGAATGAGTCATATGTAAAGCACTGGTTGGAAGAGGGTTCAGTGGGAGGAACAGCTGAGCATCCAAAAAAGGAGTTGAGCAGTGCAGGTTGGCAGTCAGAAAGAGGTCAGGATCCAGAAATCAGTGCAGTGGGCAGGATCCCAAGATCAAGAGACAAACAGCCAAGCATGGGCTGAAAATTGAGGATGGGTATAAACGTGCTCTTTTCTGGGCTTGCTCTCCACACAATTCTCACTGCAAGTCCTTAGTTAGAGGAGCTCTACATAGATGCTGAGCAAAACAGTCTGCTTACAGTTTTTTTTTTTTGTTACAAGTTCCAAAATGATTGGGACATTTTGAGTCCATATAATTATTATAGTTCCATTGCTACATGAATACATGGGTCCATGAAATGGAGTCCATATAATTCATTTTGACCATTTTGTCTTATCCAAAACACTGAAAATAATAGCTACTCCTTAAAGATTGTCTGCCGTGGACCTCTTGTGCTATTATCTCTAAATCTTTTTTAAAATCTTGCAAAGTAAGTATTATTGGCCTGGTTTTATAGATGAGGAAAGCATGGCTCAGAGAAGTTAATGGAGCTTAGAAGCTGACTAAGTCAGGGTTTAAATCAAGCTGTCTTTATTTTCTAAGGCCGTGTTGTTTTGATTACCCCATAATGCTGCTTCTATTCAGCCCACGAGAGGGGCAGCGAAACAAGTTATAGAAAATATTGGGCTGGGCGTGGTGGCTCATGCCTATAATCCCAGCACTTTGGGAGGCCGAGGCGGGTGGATCACCTGAGTTTGGGAGTTTGAGACCAGCCTGACCAACATGGAGAAACCCCGTCTCTACTAAAAATACAAAAATTAGCCGGGCGTGGTGGCGCATGCCTGTAATCCCAGCTACTCAGGAGGCTGAGGCAGGAGAGTTGCTTAAACTCGGGAGGCGGAGGTTGCAGTGAGCCGAGATAGCGCCATTGCACTCCAGCCTGGGCAAGAAGAGCAAAACTCCATCTCAAAAGAAAAGAAAAGACAAAAAAAAAAAAAAGAAAAGAAAACATTGACAACATTGACTTGCACGTCAAGAGGTCCCCAGGACAACCCAGAGGTTTGATGATTCACTAGGAGGGCTCACAGGACTGAGCATATAGTCATACTCATAGTTATGATTTATTACAATGAAAGTATACCAAGCACAATCAATGAAGGGAAAAGGCAGAAGCAGGAAAATGAAAGGAGTTTCTGCTTTGTGGAGAAAATGACAGATTAGGCACTGAACATATTGCATTAAAGTTTGAACCTCTGAGTGCAAATGTTCACAAGTCATTGGAGATAAAGACCTTGAGTGAAGTTGAGAGCTGAAGAAATATAAATATAAGCTCGGTGGTAAAAATTACCTCCATGGTCTCAATGTGGGAGAATTGCAGAAGGCTGTGCCATGAGAACAGGTGCAATTAAGGAGGGGGAGGAGGAAATCCTCAGGGCACAAAGAGAACAAGCATAGTACAATATCAGAAGAGGCTGGCATGGGAGATGGGGGATGTCAGAAAAAGGAGTAGAGTAGCTATTGTAGAAATCTGACTTTCTTTTGTGTACGTCATTACTGCTTAATCTGCCAAAATATCTGACAAACAAGATATGCTGGGACTCAGAAATTCAATAAAGCTAAATTGAAGAAGACAAGATAAATCTACCACCTTCCACAGATGCAATTGAATAGGAGATGTAAGGAAGCAAATCTTAATGACATCTACCTTGCTGATATGCACCTTGTAACCCTCAGCAATCGCTTCCTTTGCTTTTTGTAGAAGTTTAACATTTTAAGGTGCAAAGGGATTGGAGGATGATTAAATGACATTGCTGGCCCTTTCAAATCAAAAGAATCATGCATGCCTGACACTGATTGACGGTGTTGCTTCTTCATTGCTGGTCCAGCTGCTTTGGGGGCCTGGTCGAATAAAAAGTGCCTGCACATTGTTGAAAGAAGAGCCTGAGGGAGAATATAGTGAGTGTAGCAACCAAAAGAAAAAAAAAGAAAGAAAGAAAACCGGGCCAGTCTCTTGAAAGCTGTTAAATGCAATTTCCATAGTGCCACTTATTTGTTCAAATGATTTAATTGTTCATTTATTCAGAAATAGTTATTGAATGCCTCATTTTTCTTCCAGACATTGTTTTAGCACTGAGAATAAAATGCTGATCAAGGCTGGGTGCGGTGGCTCACGTCTGTAATCCTAGCACTTTGGGAAGCCGAGGGGCTGGGGGAATGGGGGTGGGTCACCTGAGGTCAGGACCAGCCTGGCCAACATGGCGAAACCCCATCTCTACTAAAAATACAAAAATTAGCTGGGTGTGGTGGCGGGCACCTGTAATCCCAGCTACTCAGGAGGTTGAGGCAGGAGAATCACTTGAACCCGGGAGGTGGAGGTGGCAGTGAGCTGAGATTGTGCCACTGCACTCCAGCCTGGGCGACAGAGCGGGACTCTGTCTCAAATAAATAAATAAAATAAAATGCTGATCAAGTCAAACAAGTTTCTTGTTAGAGTGGAAATTGCATTCTGGAGCGAGGAGGCTTTTGCTAAACAAATGAACAAAGCATGAATAGAAGAGCAGGTTGAAATAAGTGCTATGATGAAGCTAAAGCCGGGTTATTTGTTGGTGGGGTGGCGGCTGCCTTAGATTGGGTGGTCAGGGAAGGCCTCTCTGAGGAGGTGAAAGTTAAGAGCTCAATAAAATGACAGAGCCAGGTACGCAATGCTGTAGGAAGAGTGTCACAGAAAGAACTGCTGATGCATAAGCCTAAGGCAGCAACAAGCTGGATGTGTTCAGGAACAGAAGGGAAGCCATTAATGTTCTAAAATCTTCAAACAAATACATTTTGAACCTGATTTTTTTTTAAAAAAGCACCTTACAGATTGGTCCTCAGTCTCACCCACCAAAGAAAGGAAAGATAAAATCAGAACAAGGAATAAAAATCCTAAATACACATTCAAAATCCAATGTATTGTACAGCAGATCTTTAGAACTTATTTATGGCCGGGTGTGTTGGCTCACGCCTGTAATCCCAGCACTTTGAGAGGCCGAGGCAGACAGATCACCTGAGGTCAGGAGTTTGAGACCAGCCTGGCCAACATGGTGAAACCCCATCTCTACTAAAAATAAAATAAAAAAAATTCCGCACACCTGTAGTCCCAGCTACTAGGGAGGCTGAGGCAGGAGAATTGCTTGAGCCCAGGAGGCAGAGGTTGCAGTGAGCCCAGATCCTGCCACTGCACTCCAGCCTGGGCAACAGAGCAAGGCTCTGTTAAAAAAAAAGGCCGATGCAGTGGCTCATGCCTGTAATCCCAGCACCTTGGGAGGCCAAGGTGGGCAGATCGCGAGGTCAGGAGTTTGAGACCAGCCTGACCAACATGGTGAAATCCCGTCTCTACTAAAAATACAAAAATTAGCCAGGCGTGGTGGCGTGTGCCTGTAATCCCAGCTACTCAGGAGGCAGAGGCAGGAGAATCGCTTGAACCCAGGAGGTGGAGGTTGTAGTGAGCTGAGGTCACAGCACTGCACCCCAGCCTGGGTGACAGAGTGAGACTCCATCTCAAAAAAAAAAAAAAATATATATATATATATGTAACTTATTCATTCATCTTCTATAACTGAAATAATTGTTGAACAGCAATGCTCATTGCCCCCCACCTCCAACCCCTGGCAACCACCATTCTACTTTCTCCTTTTATGTATTTGACTATTTTAATACTTCACATAGGTGGACTCATGCAATATTTGTCCTTCTGTGACTGACTTATCTCACTTAGCATAATGTTCTCCGCGTTCGTTCGTGATATTGCATATGCCGGGATTTCCTTCTTTGTAAGGCTGAATGATATTTCATTGTGAATATGTACCACATTTTCTTTATCCATTCATCTGTTGATGAATACTTAGGTTGTTTCCACTTATTGGCTATTGTGAATAGTGCTGCAAGGAACACAATAATACAAATATCTCTTTGAGTTTCTGATTTCAATTACTTTGGCTAAATACCCAGAAGTGGGCTAAATCATATGATAATTCTATGTTCAATTTTTCAAGGAACTTCCACACTGTTTTTCATAGTGGTGGCACCATTTTACATCACCACCAATGGTGTGGAAGAATTCCAATTTTCCACATCCTTGTCAACACTTGTTATCTTTTGTCATTTTGATAATAGTCATCCTAACAGGTGTGAAGTGATATTGCACTGTGGTTTTAATTTGCATTTCCCTAATTATTAGTAATATTGAGCACATTTTCATATACCTTTTAGCCACTCGTATGCCTTTTGTGCAGAAATATCTATTCAAATCTTTTGCCTATTTTTTTAATTTTGACTTTTATTTTTTTGCTGTTAAATTGTAGGCATTCCTTATATTTTGGACATTAACCCCTTGTGAGACACAGGTGTGCAAATATTTTCTCCCATTCCATAGGTTGCCTTTTCACTCTGTTGATTGTTTCTTTTGCTATGCAGAAGCTTTTTAGATCTCATTTGAAGTATTATTACAATAAAAAAGTCTTACATTTAGAGTTAGTAAGATTTTAAAAATTAGATCATAATAAACAAGTATCCCAAAGAAGATCTGACAATTAAGGAGAGAAAAAACTGTATTGTTCTTTTCTTCCTTGTTACAATAATAAAACCTATTCACTATACAGAATATTGTGGCTGAAATCTCGTTAGCTTGGTCTGAGTTGCATTTTGTATAATCTAGAGGTGACTGAAGGGGAGCACTGAGGTGGAGCTGTCCACTGATATTTTGGAGGAGCTGATATGTTGGAGTCTCTAACACCACACTCAGGTTTGATCATTTATTGGAAGGACTCACAGGGATCAGCATACAGTGATACTCATGGCTAAGATTTATCACAACAAAAGAAACAAAGCAACATCAGCCAAGAAAAAAGGTGCATGAGGTAAAGTCTAGGGGAGACTAGGCACAAGCTTCCACAAGTCCCCTCCCAGTGGTGTCACACAGGATGTGCTTAATTTCCCCAGCAAACCAGTTCCCAAGGCTTTTACTGGGGACTGGTACAAAAGTGCCCTCTGCCTAGTGTGATCCCAAATTCCAGACACCCAGAAGGAAAGCAGGTGTTCAGCATAAAACATAGTGCATATCCAAACAGTTTGGGCACAGTGGACCACCCTTCTCATTTCTGGGAATGGTGGGAACCCTCCTAAAGTCCAAGTTCCTAGATGCTAGCCAAGGGTCAGCCTTGTAAGCAGCCCTTTGAAGGACAGCCACCTCAAGGCGCTATGTTAGCTTTTTTCTGCATAATCAGGCTCTCATCTCTCTTCTGAATTTTGCTCAATTTCTTTTACCTAGATGTACTGTAACTGGTAAGGGAGTGTATGTTATATCCATGGGAAGACAGCCTTAAGATTTGAGTTGTTTTCTTGCTTCAGCATGGATCCCTGGAGGCCTAGGTTCCCCTGGATAGAATCAGTCCTATTGCTCACTTCCCTTTATTGAAGAGTCTCTCTTAGGAGCTCCTTCTCACCCCCTAACATATCAGAAAACACAAAACATACACATAGATATTCAGTTAAGTTTACTTCAGATGTGAGGGTATTTTCAGATTTTGTCATTTACCAGGTGCTCTACTGGGGTTATGAACTGGATATTCTTTTTTTTTTTTTCCTTGTTCTGGGCTTGTCCTTTTAGATGTGACACCAGAAGTGACCACCTTCGCGTGACTCAGATCACTGATTTTTTAGAAGATTTAAATCATATGGAATTTAGCAACAGCAAGTGGGGCATTATCACTCCAGTTTCAAGGCTTTCTGTTTCTTCTGTAATGACAGCTTTTCATGCCTAATGCTCAGCGTACTACTGAAAAGTGCATAATAGCTTCCCAGTCATTTGTCTTCTAATATAGTACTTAGTAATGCAGCTTCAGGAACCACGTGTATGAAAGGCTCCATATAAAACCAAATAATGTAACACTGTTCTACTCTAATTTCTTTCCCTATAGATGTAATTTACTTATGGTAGTGATTGCTAAAATGTGTTCAGCTAATTTGTAAAACCAGTAGAAAAGAAAATGAATGTAGACCACTATATTAGTTTCCTATGGCCACCACAACAAATTACCACAAACATGGTGGCTTAGAACAACAGAAATTTATTTTCCCACAGTTCTGGAGGCTAGAAGTCCAAAATCAGTGTGTCAACAGGACCACAATTCCCTTTCCAGTGGCTTTCAGTCATCCTTGGCATTCCTTGGCATCACCCCAAACTCTGCCTCCATCTTTGCCTGGGCTTCTCTGTGTATCTTCTCCTCTTCTTATAAGAATATCTGTCATTGAATTTAGGACCTACCCTACTCCATATGACTTCATCTTAACTAATTACATCTGCAAATATCCTACTTCTGAAAAAGCTCACACTTTGAGTTTCTAGGTAGACATGAATTTTGGGGAAATGCCATTCAACCCACTATAACCACATATCCACATGTCCCTATGACACCATAAAAGGGGTTTCCAATCATTGCTATTCTCAAATAATGAAAGTTATAGAGGGATTTGTGGATGAGGCCCAATCCTCAAGAGGAGTGAACCATTGTCATATTAAAAGGAATATTTATAAAAAAAAAAGCTGGAATACTGTTATTCAGGTATTTATACCAATTATGTCCAGACTAAAAATGTTAAAGGTTTTACGATTTTTGGTAAAATGTTTTAAAATATTGGTACCTAATGGGAAATATATATCTCATGAGGTAGTAATAAATTGGTACCTAATGGGAAATATGATACTTCCATGAATCTTTACAGAGAACACCAAGAACCCAGCAGGTATGAAAATTCTATATTTTTGGGAAAAATGATTACAAAAGACAGTCTCTCACACCATGAACAATGATATATTCTCTTAGAGGCAGTGTACCAGAGCGTCAAGGACAGGGGCTTCAAAGCAGAGTCACAGTTTGGTTCAATTCAGAGCTCTACCACATGCTAGCCCTCATGGTTTGGGCCAGATGCTTCTGAGTCTCAGTTTCCTCAGTTGCAAAATGGAGATACTTATACTTATCTTAATGCATTATATGAGGGTAAATGAGATCGTGCTTGTAAAGGACACACGCACAGAAGAAATTCAAGTAATGTTGGTTGAATCAAGTTATGATCTAACCCAATCTCAAGACAAGCACTGACTCAATTTTGGCTATCTCTGTGGTTTTCCTAAACAGGTTACACTGACCCACTGAACTTCCATTAGCATATTTTGAAGAAGTTATTCTAAATGCCATTATACCCCATTCATTTTTCTCTAAGGTCTTCAAACTTGGGATCTAACATTTAAATCAAAACAACCTGGCCATTATAGATCCTTCATTAATAAATTGAATATGGCAATTTTATTCAACATCTCTGGCTTCTTCCAACACCAGCCCATTTGACAAGAACCCATCTAGGTTTGCTGAGAGTATTATCTATCTTATTTCCTCATCATTCTTATGTTGATATAACTAAAATCATCTGGGTAGAGATGCCAGAGGGCTAGAATATTCTGTTTCCCAGAGGGAGATTCAGAGAGTTTATCTCATAATCAATTTACATTGGGGATAGAGATTAAGTCTGCTTAAGTCTCCTTTTGGGACTTGGCTGAATTTGACAAAAAATAAAATCAGAAACATCCATTTTTAAGTGATTACAGGGTTCTCAAGGATGTAATATGCACAACCAAAACATCCTTCCTCTATCTCCCAGTCAGCTGTTCAACTGGTAAGAGTTGTCAGTGAAAGAAACTGGAGTTTAGAGGGCATGCAGTCTGATTCAAACAAGGCAGGATGGAGACAAAAGAGAAAATGGATAACAGGACCCTATGAGAATACAACCTCTGTTTGCCTTTGGCTTTTGAGACACTTGCACCATGTTCCAATACTTTAGGAACAACTGAACTCCTTTTAAGAGCACCAGGATTGCTGTATGATTGTCCATCTCATCAACATCCATGTTTGCTCATCAACATCCATGTTTGATCTGGCCCAGCACACTACTTGTTTTTTATTTTTTAGTGTTTGTTCACCCAACCACACTAACTCTGCACCAGGTTTTCCTGGGGTCATGAGAGGCTTTGTTTATTGTCTTTTTTTGTTTCATTTTGCTTTGTTTTGTTTCAGCCTTCAGGGTGTTTTCATTAATTCCTAAATAAGTTTCAAACTTATACCAAAAGAAAAAACACCAAGCAACAACAGAAACTAAGGGTTGGAAAGGATTTATTTATAGCAACCATCCTTTTCATGGAGAGAGTGACCATCACTCTCTCAAAATGGTCATTGAGCCCTGCATAAATCATCCCATCATTCTCAGCAAACTATTGCAAGGACAAAAAACCAAACACCGCATGTTCTCATTCATAGGTGGGAATTGAACAATGAGAACACATGGACACAGGAAGGGGAACATCACACACCAGAGCCTGTTGTGGGGTGGGGGAAGGGGGGAGGGATAGTATTAGGAGATATACCTAATGTTAAATGACGAGTTGATGGGTGCAGCACACCAACATGGCACATGTATACATATGTAACTAACCTGCATGTTGTGCACATGTACCCTAAAACTTAAACTATAAAAAAAGTACCCAGTACTAAGGCACTCTTTATATACTCAGCTATTTTGTCTGATATCTATGTAGTCTGACTGTTCTCATCAAAAGTTTATACAATCTGACTGAGAATTATCTTTGAAATTGAGTTAGAATTGGTCTTGCTATGATTCTTCTCATTGTTCTCCCATTTTATTAGTATCTTTATAAACTCATTGGATGCTAATACATTTGAAGGTTTCAATTTATTATAATTATTATTCTTATTAATTATCAAATTGTCCCATATTTGGTCAATGTCATCTTTGTTCAAGTTGGGTCATTTTGACCTAACTCCATCAGTCTTCGATAACTCTCTTGCTTTGTGGTGTGACAAGATGTTCCAGGCTCATCTTGTACATTTCTTTATTAAGACCAAGAATTAGCCATTGCTCTAAGAAGACTTGGGGCATTTTCAATTACTTTCAAAGTCACACTTGGGAGAAATTTCCTTTCTTGAATGATATTTTGTCTGATTATTAAAATAATATTCCTTTTGATAGAATATACTAAAGAAGATTAAAAAAATAGAGCCACTGATACCACCATCATCCAGAAATAATGGATGTTAACATTTTATCTCTGGAACCATCTTTCCACTTAAAGTTTCATGCCGTGCCTTTCCTTTTTCTAAACAGTAGGAAAAGAGATGATGAATGAAACTAGACATTTTAAATATTTAGACAAAATAGGTTGAACACATGTTTTAACTTGTTAATCATTTTTGAAAAATCCTAATATTGGCCATTAAACTTCCAGGGCAAGCTGGTATATGTGGGAAACTTTAAATTTGAGTAATTTGGATTTTGCAAAAGTCTTTTTGCTACCATTGTTGGCTAATGCCAAAGATTGTCTGCAGAGCTGTAAGAATGCACTGGAAGGCAAACAGTACTGTATATATTAATAGAAATGAAAAGAGGGTAAAATGAAAAGTCATTATAGAACCAGAGAGTATTTTTTTAACTTATCAACTTTTCATGTGTAGCATGTATAATAAAGCTCTTACAATGTTTAAAGCTGGGGTTTTAGATTGATGGAGAGCTCTATAAATCCCAGATTACTATTAATGTGCTTGTAGTCCAGCTCTAGTTACAGGGTTGTCATTGTTTCCAGTGAAAAGGTTTGTTTTTATTTTTTAAAGATCTTTAGTAGCCTGGAAGAATTAAAATGGTGATTTCTAGCAATTTTAAGCATGAAGTAGATACCAATGTCATTCACAAAATAATATGAACTAATTGTCTAGTTAAGTGTCTTTAATATCTTTGTTCCCCTAAGTGAGTCCAACATGAAAGCAACCTAGGAGCTGCTCCCTCTCCACCCCCATATCATTGGATTCCACCTTACTCGAAGCTCCTGTGGCTGAAAGAGGACTAAAGTGGCATTTTCTGCCAGGCTTTGTCACGCTCCCTTTTGCCCACAGGTGCTTTAACCTCCAAGGGGCTTTTTGTGCCTACAGGGATATTCCGCACTCTTTGTCCTTTGTTTACAGTCCAATTTCATAACCTTATGAATTTGTCAAACATTTAGCATTTTTTAAACCTAAAATAATAAACGTTCCTCAAAGCACAGCTACCAAGTCAACGGCGTAAATAGCCCTTGGGAGCTTTTCAGAAATGCAAATTCTCAGGCCTCAACCCAGACCTCCTGAATCAGAAGCAGCTGGCTGTATTTTACCAAGTCCTCCTGGTAATTCTGATGCATATTCAAATTTTCATTGCTTTAAATATTCACACACTACTTATACAACCAATAAATCAAATGTATATTAAGTGAACAAAACGAATCTACTCAACCATTTACACATTGATTGCAAACTTAATGAAATGCTTTTAAACATTTAACTTAATCACAAGCCTAACATTTCAGATTTCCCTGCATTAAACATCTTACAAAGGAAAAAATACACGTAAAATACCACGTTGTTTACATAGCCGATTATTATTTTGACAACAAAACTGGGCACAAAGCTATTAATATCATAGATTTAATTTTGTTTTTTTATTCTTAAATCTCCTTTTATTTTTACTTTTGTATGGTCCTGGAATTTAAACTTCTGTACATTGCTGGATTGTTGGGAATTCTACAAGAGACTCTTTATACTTTCTCAGGGTTTATGTAATTTTTCCAGACTGGAAAGAACAAACATATCACCTCGGGAAGTCAGGGATACAGGTTAAGTGGATTACTGGCCACTTAATTTTGGTTGGTTAGTGGGAACGGGTTGCTAAATTCAAGGTGACTTAAACTCAAGTTGCTGGCCACTAGACAATAATTTTTTATCACATAGTTTTTGTTTTTTGTCATGGAATCTATATTGTTTTCTCATTGCTGCTTTAACAAATTACCACATACTTAGTGGCTTAAAACAATACAAATATATTATCTTACAGTTCTGGAGGGCAGAAGTCTAACATGAGTGTACAGGGCTGTGTTCCTTCTGGAGGCTCCAGAGGAGAATCCAATTCCTTGTCCATTCCAGCTTTCAAGGGCTGCCTGTATCCTTGGGCTTGAGGCCCCCTTTTTCCATCTTCAAACCTAGTGTCTTCATAGCTTCTCCTCTCATTTCTAACCTCCTGCCTCTCTCTTATTCTCTAGTGTTATATTGGGCCCACCCAGGGTAATCTCCCCATCTCAAGATCACTAACTTATGAATATGAATCTTCAAAATTCCTTTTGTCAAGTAAAGCAATACATTCATTGGTTCTGTGGGTTAGGACATGGACATCTTTGGGGACCATTATTTTGTCTACCACATGACACTTTTTGTCAATGTATTTCACATTTTTACTGTGCATACACATATACACAATGTATTTTTTAATTAGGCTTTACAATATATAATTTTATTGCCCGGTTTACAACTAAATATATTGTGAACATTTTCTTTTCTTTTATAACAGTTAAAATAATTGCATAGTTTGGAGAAAACATAATTTACTAAGCAATCTTGTTGGGGAAATTTAGGTATAATTTTTTTCCAAGGAGATTTCATTCTTTTACAATGCTGTTAGAAAAAAGGAGAGTCTGTCTTATATAACTTTCTATAGATGATGGAAACTTGCCCTTCAATTTAGCCTTTTAACTTGCTTCTCTACATCCACCTAATCATCAGTCAAGTAATTCATTTTCTTTTTTCGTGTCCATCTCTCCCATTTGCTTCCTCTTTTTTACCCCATCTCCCTGGCACACATGCAGACAGATTTCTATTACTACCCCAGCGCTTTCTGATCCTTCCCTCCATGGCCTCCCTTTAATGAGGCTTTCTTTCATTTTAAAGAGACCATTTTAATTGATTTTGATCAACTCTACTCAAAACTTTATCCTCAGTTTCGCATTAGGATTAGCCTTTAATAATCTGAAGATATAATTCAATTGTTTAAAAGACCGTGTTAATAAGACCTTGGTAGAGTTACATGTATCAAGAAACATAGGACTTGGGCACAATGTACATACGGCTGACTTTCTTTTGAAAAAGGAAAGTAGTTTCTGGGGGGGGGCAGGGCAGAGGTAAGAAGTAATTGGTACGTGAAGGAAGTGAGGAAGTGTTAGGGACCATTATGGAAATGTATTCTTTTTTTGTTTTTTGAGACGAAATCTCACTCTGTCACCCAGGCTAGAGTGTAGTGGCATGGTCTTGGCTCACTGCAATCTCCACCTCCCTGGTTCAAGTGATTCTCCTGCCTCGGCCTCCTGAGTAGCTGAGACTACAGTCGCATGCCACCACAACCGGCTAATTTTTGTATTTTTAGTAGAGACGGGGTTTCACTATGTTGGCCAGGCTGGTCTCGAACTCCTGACCTTGTGATCTGCCTGCCTCAGACTCCCAAAACTGTATTCATTATTTTAAGGCAACTAACAAATGATCTTCTTTCAGTTAGGACATTGGAGCAGCAGACTTTACTGGTCATGAAATTTGCATGATATCTAAAGTTGTTATTTCTGGAAATAGGTAAATGTCAGTTCATAGTAACTTTGTATGGAAAGGCATGTGCCAGCTAGCATAAAAGTGGTACATGCAGATGGTAGTTTTCCAGAGTCCTGGGAGCCATGAGGTGCTCAAACATCACAAGGCCATCACAACCAGGTAGAAATGCCTCAGGAAAGCAGAGGGGTTGGCCATGCCAGCATTTACACATAAAACGCTTCTTGGGCAGCCAGATGACATGGTGCACAGACCCACAGTTCTCTCTGCACACAACATGCTCACAGTTCCATCCATAGGAGGAAGGGAAGACACAAAAGCACCCCAGCGTGCAGGTTCCCCCATTTGGACAGCAGGTTCTGTTTTGTTCCTTACTGTCCTGTGTCCCCATGGATGGCACAAACTCTGAAATAAGGATGAATTGCAGGCTCCTCCTGGGGCTGAGTGCTGTCCCCTCTGAAAGCCAAGTCTTCCTGAGATAGACATGCAAGTTATGGTGGCCCAACCCAACCTGGCCAACTAATTCTAGTTCAAATGCTTTTGAAATGGCCATGATCAAAATTACACTCCGTCATTGTCCCCTGAACGTTTAGGCAGGCCAGAGGATGAGAGAGAGCAGCCGTATTTTTATCTTTTAAATTGATTCTGTTTTTTTTTTTTTGAGATGGAGTTTTGCTCTTGTTGCCCAAGCTGGAGTGCAATGCAGCCTCTGCCTCCCGGATTCAAGTGATTCTCCTGCCTCAGCCTCCTGAGTAGCTGGGATTATAGGCACATGCCACCACGCCCGGCTAATTTTTTTTTTTTTTGTATTTTTAGTAGAAATGGGGTTTCACCATGTTAGCCAAGCTGGTCTCGAACTCCTGACCTCAGGTGATCCGCCTGCCTCAGCTTCCCAAAGTGCTGGGATTACAGGCATGAGCCACTGCACCCTGCCATGGATTCTGATTTTTAAAGAAATTTAGAAGATTTAAGTTTTGTTTGTTTTTAATCTCTGGCAGCACATGACTCATTGCAATATTTAATAATATATTAACCTGGCCTGGTTTCAATATTTAAAAACATTCATCTTTCTTATTGGCATTGTGTTGTAATTAATTAGTTAAATCATCAAAAGTTTTCATTTCCAGAGAAACAGAAAAGTGAATCTTAAAATTTAGACTTCTTAGCCAAGTGCGGTGGCTCACGCCTGTAATCCCAGCACTTTGAGAGTCTGAGACGGGTGATCACCTGAGGTCAGGAGTTTGAAACCAGCCAGGCCAACATGGTGAAACCTCGTCTTTACTAATAACACAAAAATTAGCCGGGCGTAGTGGCGCATGCCTCTAATCCAAGCTACTTGGTAGACTGAGGCCGGATAATTGCTTGAACCTGGGAGGGAGAGGTTGCAGTGAGCCGAGATCATGCCACTGCACTCCAGCCTGGGCGACAGAGCGAGACTCCGTCTGAAAAAAAAAAAATTTAGACTACTTTTTATGGACATTTAACTAAGTTAGTATTTTGGAGTAAATGGTTATTATCGTTTTCCTCATTGGAAATTGCATATGCGACTGGTGCTAGCCAACCGCTGGACTCCTTTTCTAGTTCACTTATATATGAGACCACAAATGCTGCTGAGGCCTGTTTATTCATGGTACAGTTTCTACTATTTCTAGGACTGTTTGGCTTACAAATTATGTTAGTAATTTGTGGCTTATGCAGATAAAAACAATACATATCTATACTATATGAACAGAAATATACTTAACAAAAACCCACAAATATCTATCTATAGTTATATATAAACACTTTCCTACTTATGTAAGTAAATAAATTTACATGTACATAATATTCACTCTTCTTTGATATTACTATTATAATTTTGTACATTTTATTTACATTAACTTTTTTCTTATGTACATCATGTCCCTTTAGAAGCATAATTTATTTCATTTCATGATCTTTATTACTACAAATGATCACAACTTGAAAAATGGGAGCTCCTTTAAGCTGACTGTTTTTCTTTCAGCAGTGCCTCTGCCATTTAAAAAACAAATCACTCTTGTTTCCTGGCAAGAACAAAATGTTACAGACCTATTCTGATTTTATTCTGCCCAATAACGTGAAACTGACTATCCTCTAATGGTTTCTGGTTCTTTTTTTAAAAATAGAACAATATTAGAGACAAAAATCTGGTCACTAGGGATGTTTACAAGTGTCAAGTGGGGAAAGACTACAGCTACTGCTGCTGCCTTGGGACTTCTCTTGCTAGCGACTGAGCTTAAAGAAAATACGTCTTTTATAAGTGTGTAAAATCTTGTTCTTTCCAGTATAGCTTATCATATCGTTATCCCTTACTTTTCTTATTGTATGAGATTTCAGCAATTACTAAGAGTTTCTTCCTCTACATTGATCCACTGTGTCACCCAGTGGCACAGTAGCCCACTTTCCTCCCACCTCCTCTCTCACTCCGTTTTCTAGGACAATGGTTCTCAGCCTAGTCTTCATACTGGATTAGCTTGGGGAGCTTTAAAAATGTTGATATGGGTCTCACTATCATAGCTTCTGATTTAACCTTCCAAAAAGCAGAATATGGCATCAGGATTTTGTAAAAGCTCCATAGGTGATACTAATGTGCAGCCAAAGTAAAGAACCTCTGTTCTAGAAAAGTGTTGCAACCTGAATAAAGCCAACCAGGCATACTCCCATGAAATTACACCACAGAGGTTCCAGGGATACCAGCTTGACATTATAAACAGAAAAATTAAATGCATGCTTATCTTTTGACTGCTTTGCTTCAGGAGTTTTGGGGATGGGGACTTGCTAAAGAGAGAAAAACACACCTGCCTTTTTTTCAGTCTTCTTGAAAGACTCATGTGTACAGGTCGTTGACTTCTCCAATTGTTCTGCTAGCATTTCTGTCTTTCAGTCTCATCTTCCTCACTCCTTCCTAACCTTGCTCTAATTACTTCAAGGTTTTAAAAGGCCTTGATTTCTTCATCTTTGAGGTTAAGATAATGTCTGCATGTGACACACACTAAATCTAGCAAAATTCAACAACATACTGTAAAGTTCGAGAAAACCATAACAGGTTGGCAGCCTAAGGTCCTAGCTGCCTAAAATGATTTGAGAGGCTATAATAGAAGTCAAATCTGCTTTTCTGGCTATGAGATTCCAGAAGGTCAACTGCAGTGTTAATCCAGACTTTTTTTATTTGTCTGTACACACTTTAGGGAGTGCTACATGTTTAAAGAAGTCTGAAGTATGACCTCTAGGATTAAACACCCCTCTGCCCCCACCCTCTCCTTCTCTCTCTCTCTTTCTTGGGGTTTTAGACATCATAAAATTAACCAATTCATCTGATATAGGGAATTGATAGTTGATTATAATTATATACCTTATTGACATATCTACCTCCACTTAAGTTACTTTTCCATGACAGAAGCTTGCATTCTTATAGTATGAAAAACAGAATGTCTGTTTTAGTAAGAGGACAAAGGCCTAGGACCTACTCTATTTCTGTGTAATCTATTAGTATTAGTTCTTCACTTAGTTCCGATACACACCCAAGTCTGGGAACCATTGTCTTAGGGCATCAAATAAGTAAGGGTAGTTGCTTCTCTAACGAGAAGGGCCTTAACAGAAGGTGGTGAACTATTCTTTGCTCAGAGGAGTTTAGCTGCCTTTTTCCCTCAATTCCCTCCCTGCCAAGGATATTATAGACAGAGTCTTCTGTTTTTGTGGGCTGCCATCTCAGAAGCTTTGTCTAGTCTTGATATATTGCCTGGTTAGGATTTTAAGAAAATAATAGATGATGCTTTCAAAAATATGGCAGTCTCAATTCCCTCTTTCTTAGGAGTCTCAAACTTTAATATGCAAATGAATCACCTGGAAACCTTGTTAAAATGCAGATTCTGCTTCAGTAAATCTGGGTGGGGCCTGAAATTCTGAAGATCTAATATGCTCTCAGATGATGCTGATGTTGCTACTCTGAGGGGCAAGGTGCTAGCTTTGGTTCTCAACTTTGGCAGCACGTTACAATATAGTAAGAATATTTTTAAAAATAATGATCCCTAGGTCCCACTCCTAGAGATTTTGATTTTTCTGATTTAATTGATAGAGAATATGGCCTGGGCATCAAGAGTTTAAAAAA
Source organism: Homo sapiens (assembly GCF_000001405.40). Lineage (NCBI taxonomy): Eukaryota > Metazoa > Chordata > Mammalia > Primates > Hominidae > Homo > Homo sapiens. The sequence continues at coordinate 38,399,457 of NC_000023.11, forward strand.
CTCTCCAAGTTGCCAGGTGCGGTGGCTCACGCCTGTAATCCCAGCACTTTGGGGGGCCGAGGTGGGCGGATCACCTGAGGTCAGGAGTTTGAGACCAGCCTGGCCAACATGACAAAACCCTGTCTCTACTAAAAATACAAAAATTAGCTGGGTGTGGTGGCGAGCCTGTAATCCTAGCTACTTGGGAGGCTAAGGTGAGAGAATCGATTGTACCTGGGAGGAGGGGGTTGCAGTGAGTTGAGATCACGCCACTGCCCTCCAGCCAGGGAGACAGAGCAAGACTCCAACTCAAAAAAAACAAACAAACATTCTCCAAGTGACTTTCATGTGCAGCAAAATTTGAAAACCCCTTGTCTTAGTCCACCATCAAAAGTTAACCAATATCACATTTTTTTAAAAATGGCTCTTTTATTCACTTCTCATGCTATAAAATATAGCGCGCTTAGATAGTTCAAAGCAGTGGTTTACAAATCTCTATCCCCACTGACCCTGGTGTGGAGAAGCTTCCATCAGAAGTGGTAGAATAAGAAAAATAAGGATAAGAATTATATAGTAAATTTCATAAAGCTCAAATAATTCATTTCAAGGATTCTTCTTTGAAATTGTCTTTCACACCTTTTTGATGTTAAAATATCCTTTTTAAATTAAATTAAGGTAGTAACATTATACCTGTTTATTTGCTTTTCTCATGCTCTTAATTTGGTAAATAAAGAGTTGCAAATCTTATGTTGATCTCCACATATTTTTGGAAATCTTGCTGGTTCATGAAATTTGAAAATCTGGGAGCCATGGGCATGATAAATCCATTAAAAATTAGAAAAAATCTGATCTTTAAGTCTAGAAAAATATTGTTATAGGAATATAGTTTTTAATCTTTGATTCTCTAATCCCTGGGGCCAAGCAGTCCTTGAATTTTGTAAGCACCAGAGTTTATTGCTTTCTGTGTCAGTTCAGGTCCACTAAGCAGATTTCAAGAAGGAATTAGACTTGCAAGAGATTTATTGAGGGAACCACCAAGAAACATAAAGAGAGAGGCAGCAGGAGTGGGCAAGAGGGCCTTCAGACAGGGAGGCAGGTCTGACCCCTGTGGGAAAGAAGGATGCGTGGGTAGGGAGAGAGCCTCAGCCAGTAGCGCAGCTCTGAGAAAGTCTCAGCCAGGCTGGTGGGGAGCCCCAGAGCACAGACTGTCTATCAGAGAGGTCCCTGTCACGCAGGAATGGCCCAGCGCTATTCTCCCCACTGTGTTCTGTCATCAGGTTGGAACAGCCTGGGGAGGGTGGCCTTGGCAGGAATGCTGCAGGGCATCCGAAGGTGTAGCAGCTAGAGTGTCAGCCAATGGCTCTCCTCACAGCAAGTTCTCTTCTGTAGGGCGATCTGTGTGTGCACTTCCATGGCTGCCACACTGGGACTTGCAATTCCACAGTGAAAATGTATCTTTTTTCTGTTGGATGATGTGAAAGAAAATTAGCCATATGGCAGGTCATTAATGTTTCTCCGTATATCTTGCTTTTGGTCTTGTCCCTTTTAACCAATGGCCATTTATTAATTATAACTCATCATTATGTCTGCTGGGCCCACAATTATCTCCATAAAAAATGTAAAATCGCTGGTCACTGGATAAGTCGTGGGAGGTAGAACATCTGGCTTATGTAATGAATACATGTTTAATATTACCTTTTAAACCTGTAATGTTGGTAGGTTTTCATGTAGTAAAAATTCTATTTATTAGTATTTCTTGTTATTATTTCTGATCTTATATTAAATAAGGCATTATTAAGCATAATTATCTTAGATTATCTTTTTCTTGGTTTGCCACAGTGTATTGTCTAGCATGGCAGATGCAGTATTGGCTCGAGTGTATAAACAATCAGATTTGGACACCCTGGCTAAAGAAGCATCCATCCCAATTATCAATGGGCTGTCAGATTTGTACCATCCTATCCAGATCCTGGCTGATTACCTCACGCTCCAGGTTGGTTTATTTATTTGTCTTACAAAAGAGCAAAATCAAATAATTCCTGACTTGCTTTAAGTGAAACAGTTTACTTAAATCATGGTATTGGTGTTTTATTTTCAAATACCAGCTTGACAAAGAATTACAGCTTGTGTGTGCATTTTCTGGGGAAAACAGGACATTGTTAAAAACAGACTCTAAGATCGCTCTGCACTCAACCCTATTCCCAAACCCTTTTAGCCCATATCTCATCTTATGTTCTGTCAATCCCTTTGATTTTTCGGTGCCATATTTAACACAATGAATGAATAGAGAACACTGGAGCATACAAAATGGACAAGCCATATGTGATTCTATAGACATCAGGTCTGTGGCTTGGGAGTGAAGACTGGTGGAGTGTGCTTTGAATATTCAAAAAGGTTAGTTACTAAGTCACTCTGGAAGAGGGGGACACTTTCTATCATTTTAATAAACTGGTTATTTAAAGTAGGGTTAAGAATATGCAGAATTTATAGAATTGGGGCTCAAATTTAGCCATTCTAGTCCTCCCAAATTAGGAACTTGAATAACTTTGAAAGATTCCTCTTGTTTGGTTTGCCACAGCCAATCTACATTATATTGCCCCTGGAAATCCTAACAGCCATGGTTTCTATGTCTATGGATAACTCTGAGGAGACAAGATAAACTGGATAGGCCCATCTTCTTCCACATTTGAATAAACTACACACATTTAAATGTGAGGTTAAGCTCAAAATAAAACACTTTGGACATGAGGATGAGATCCATGCAGAGAAGATGATATAATTATGTCAGATACCAAAGTGGCTGTCTGTGGGTGTGGCTTTACATATACACCAGATAATTTAATGCTTCCCCCTGGGGCTTTATCATTACTAGATTATAAATTCATTGAGGGAAAATGAGCTGTCCTATTCATCATAATGTCCCCTGCAGGACCTTGTGCAATGCCTTCATATAGGAGACACTTAAAGTAGGAGCTGAATGAATAAATAGCAGCTTGTTAAGAGCATGGAATCTAAATCAGATGGATCTGGAATTAAATTCTAGCTTAGCCAACTAGTAGTTCTGTGATCTCCAAATTGCTTAGCCTTTCTCTTTTTTAATCTTTTTAAATATATAAAATATATGAAACCTACAGACACTTCAAGAAAATAAAACAAACATTCATGTGTTCACACAGTTTTGTCAATTCTTAACATGATGTTGATACTTTATAATTCTTTGCTGTTTTTCAATAAAACATTAAAGATAGAGTTGAAGCCCACCATGTAACTCTGCCTAATCTTATTTTCTTCCTTTCCACAAATATGTTATTATCCTGATGTTAGTATCTTTACACATATCTATAGCCATAAACAACCAACAGTATTATTATTATTATTTTTGTTATTATTATTATTTGAGACAGAGTCTCACTCTGTCACCCAGACTGGAGTGCAGTGGCATGATCTCAACTCACTGCAACCTCCGCCTCCCGGGTTCAAGCGATTCTTGTGCCTCAGCCTCCGGAGTAGCTGGGATTACAAGTGTGTGCCACGCCTGGCTAATTTTTGTGTTTTTAGTAGACATGGGGTTTCATCATGTTGACCAGGCTGGTCTCGAACTTCTGACCTCAGGTGATCCGCCCACCTTGGTCTCCCAAAGTGCTGGGATTACAGGAATGAGCCACTGCACCTGGCCAACTAACAGTATTATTGAGCATCTTTGTCAACTTCGTATAATGGGAACATGCTCTGAGCCACTATGCTACACTGTTCCAGGTATTCTGTATTTCCCCTTTCTCATACCAAAGAATTTCAGCTCCATAAAAGCAGTGATTTTTGTCTCCTTTGTTTATTGTATCTCCAGGGCCAAGGACAGTGTCTCAGTGTCTGGATGTTAATGGTGCTCATTTGTATCCAATGAGTGAATACAACTAAGACTCAGATTTGAAATGTATGAAACTCTTAGTCTCTGTTCAAGTTCATATGGTGTCTTGGTTTAAGATATTAAGACATTTTACCACGTTTTTGGGATTGTACATTCATATTATTGAGTTGCTCTGTGTAATGCAAAAAAATTGGGAATTCATTCCTTCTAACAAGGCACTAATACTGAGATTAAGACTATTTATTTTAACCTTAGTAATTGCTACACATAAGCGAATTTACGCCTGGATTTCATCTCCTTCATCCCGTGCCTTTTAGGAACACTATAGCTCTCTGAAAGGTCTTACCCTCAGCTGGATCGGGGATGGGAACAATATCCTGCACTCCATCATGATGAGCGCAGCGAAATTCGGAATGCACCTTCAGGCAGCTACTCCAAAGGTAGGGAAACTTTTTGCCTTGAAACTAACCCCTCTCTTAAATCATCCTCAGATGCAATTACCCAGTGACAAAAAAAGCTCTCTTCCATTTAAGTATAGCACAGGTGAGGCCACAGAATTTAGGTTACGTTACCAGCCCTACTATTAAATAGCTATCTGGCCTCTTGAGAGTCCAATTTCCCATCTCTACAATAAGAGATAGTCTTGGCTGATGCCTTTTATTCTATGAGTTAGTGTTAAAAGCATGTCTGAATTATTCCTTTGAATACCCTGCTGTAGGCCATTATGATGACTGGCATTGTGCATTACCACCACAAAGGCTGAAGAAAGCAATAAAATCCAGGCAGCATAGAATTCTCAACCCATGGGAATGATACTGTCATTTTTCTAACACTGCAATTTGGTAGAAAAATGTGAATCCAATGTGAGGATCACAGTGATGGCATCTACACCAGCTTAGTATTTCAAAACTCAACTCTGGGGACCTTTTGGCTTAGAAAATTTGAGCCCCACATGGCTATGAAAATGACCCCTGCATACTTCCTACCTTGCTGCTCTCTCACAGCATGTATGGAATACATGACTTCTTTCATAGGCCCAATGTAAACCTTTTGATACACAAGAAACTGGTAATAATTGTTGCCTCTGAGGAGAGGAACTGGGAGGTTTGAGGATAGAGGTAGGAGGGACACTTTATTTTGACCATACAGTCATGTGTGGCTTCATAACAGGGATATGTTCTGAGAAATGGGTCCTTCGATGACTTTGTTGTTGTGGGAACATCATACCGTGTACTTACACAAACGTAGATGGTATATATTTTTATTTATATATATTCTTTCACATGGAAAAATAAATGTTCCAGCACCATTACTAAATATCAACCTTAGGCCAGGCACACCACCACAGGCACACCACCGTGGGGATTTGTGTACAGGTGATTTATTAAGGAAGTACTGCCAAGGGAGATCCCTAAGGGATTAGGGGGAGCAGGACAGGGAAAGGGAAGAATCTAAGCAAGGATGCCATTTACAGTGACCAACCATCCTGATTTGCTCAAGATCAAGAGATTTCTGGGGACATGGGGTTTGGGGTGCTAAAATTGAGAGTCCGGGCAAACCAAGGTGATTTGGTCACCCTAGTCCCATGTCGTGCACAGTCCCACAGAAAGTAGCTTCAGCCTGATCTCACAGGTGAGCTCTGGAGTGTAAGTTATGCCCTAAAGTTATCCCAGCATTGGTCAAGGGCAGCAGAAGAGGTGGAGTGGTAAATCCCCTGGCACTTTTGATGGGAAAAGCAGCCTGGTAGCCAGAGAGCTGTCCCCTGAAGACAAACTGCACGCACTAGGTGTTAAAAACACTGAAACTGGGGAAGGGAGCAGAAGCCATGAAAAGGGATCCCCCGGGGGCCTCTGAGTAGATCACCAACATCATCTGCTGCATCCAGCCAAAACAAAACTAACCACCACCAAATGCTTCACCAGGTGTTTTTATCTTGCTGTCTTGGATTCTTAGGGCTGCCATAACAAATTACTACAAACTACACAGCTTAAAACAATACAAATTTACTCTTTCACAGTTTTGGAGACTAGAAGTTTGAAATCAAGGTGTTGACAGGCCACACTCCCTCGGAAGCCTCTCAGGGAGGATCCTTTTTTGCCTCTTCCTGCTTCTGGTAGCCCCAGGCATTCCCATTTTCCCTCTGTGTCTGTGTCTCTCTGTACAAATCCCCCTCTTCTTATAGGGACACCAGACATATTAAATTTAGGCCCACTCTAATCCAGTATGAACTCATCTTAACTAATTACATCTGGAAAGACTCTATTTCCACATAAGGTCACATTCTGAGTTTCTGGGTGGGAGTGAATTTTGAAGAACACTATTCAACCAAGTACACCTGCCATAGAAAAAATGTACTGCATGCAGTGGAAGTCATCCTATTATAGTAAATTTGAGGGACTCAGAGAGATGACCCTTACAACAGATAATTCTCCTCTTTTATTCAGCGTGAACTGAAATAAGGGTCAGATCCGATATGTGCTTAAAGCGGCTTTTATTCACTTTATGGGAAGGGTGAGTACACTCTCTATACAAAGCTAGTTTGAAGAAAGGCTCTGTATTAATGCAAACTCTTATTGCATTTGGTTCCCACAGATGAAACATACATTAACAATAATTGCTCCCTGCTATGAAGATCTTTTGGAAGGCTTTATTCTGTTGAAGAAATATATGGTTTAAACATTTTATTGCATGCCAAAGATGTTTTATTAACATCAAAGGAAAAAATTCTAATATTACAGAGTAATTGCAGTATTGTTCTTAAGGAGAAACTCATTTAAATGATAAAGAGTACTAAAACCTGGTTAAACCTTGGTGGGAGTAAGAGTTTTGCAAAGTCTTCTGGAAAGTCTGATAGTGCAAAAGTCATTCCATCAATTTGTAAGTCTTCAGTTGTTAGTAGACCTGTTTCCTTTAAAGATAAAGCTAGGAGATTTATTGTAAATTTTAGAAACACTGAAACGTTTCCAAGGCCATGATTAATCTATTTCCCCATTCTTTAACCAAGAATAACTTACATGTTCAAGAAAAAATAATTTTGTCCATGATTGTAAAATTGCTCCATAAACTATCAATAGTAATGATTTTAACATTGTTCTAAGTGAATACTTAGAGTGAACTGGGTGTGTTAATCACCTTCTTTGTCTGGTTTTAAAATTTATGTAAAGGCTAGTGAGTGATTTAGTATTGAAAGCTGAGATGTGAGTAAAGAATTCCTCTCTGTATTCTAAGTCATGCCTCAGTGCATGCAAGGTTGGGTGATTTTCTAATTTCCAGACCTCTCTGTTGGTTCTCTAAGTACTTATTGATTCCTTTTCTAAGAATTATTGTACTTAGGGAGTATAAAACCTACTCTCCAAAGGGAAGGCTAAATTTTCAGGGTAGGAGGCACCTGGGGGAATATCCAAGTCTCTTCATTTATGTTTACCAGTATGGCTGTTCACAACATTAGTTGCTAAATTAGCTAGCCTTTATTAATTACTTTCCCCAAATCTCTATAAACAAGGCTCCAGAATTCATGGCTATATGAGGGTGGTAAAGCTGCTAAAATGTCTGCAGGCATCTTCATCAACATCTGAGTAGTTTCTTCTTTCAAGAATGCTTTAATAGAAGAAGAAACTATGGTAGACAATCATGTGCAAATAAACACAATTTCACAAATAAACCTAGACATGCCTGTCACAGGTTGGGTTTCTTGGGAAGCAGACTCAGAGTTTAGTGTGCAGGACAGGCAGGATGCTTATTAGCATGTGCCCTTGAAATCAACAACTGTGGAAAGGAAGGGAAGGAAGCAGGAGTAAGAGGGAGAAGCTGAGTTGCGATGCAGACCCAACAACAGCCTTGGCTGATCTTATGGAAAGTTCTGGATCTGAGATGTCCATTCATCTGTCTGGAGTTGGGCAGAGGAGGGTCAGGTTTTCATACCCTCCTGTCAATCAGCCATTGAATGTGGGTTGCCCCAAAAGGGTGTGTGACCTTGGGTGCGGCTGCTCTCTGCAGCAGAGGCAGTGCCCAAAGGGGGCTGACAGCTGAAAGCCGTCTTCTGGCAGCACTCCCAGCAGCTGGGGGAATAAGTCCTTTATTCATGATTATTCCTGGAGGGGGATCTCGGGAGCATACCACAGCGTTCACCACAATGCTTCAGTGAAAAGTGATAAAAATCAACTCATAATCAATGCTAAGAACTTGGGAAAATGAGAAGGATAGAGGAAGGTGAGGATAATTACAGTGTTTGAACTGACAAGACTTCCATATGGAGGGTCTTGGAGGTGAGGCTGGGCTAGAGTTTTGAGGAGCTGACACATTGTGATGAAGAAGCCCAGGAGGGGACAAGAGAGGAGGTGTTCAAGGGTGAAAGGCTGTGATGGCAGAAAAGGGCAAGATGTGTACAGGGATGACAATAAGATTGGCTTTCCTGCAGCAAGATGTTGAGAAGAATTAAAAGAGACAGAAGCAGAGGATGGAGGTGGGGAGCCTTGATGCTCTTAATCAGCTTTGACTTAAGAAACAAGTAGTAAACATCAGAGGCTTCAGAGAAAACAGTTCTTGCTGCTGTGTACAGAATAGGTTGGAGAGTGAGGGTAGAGGCAGGGAGGCTGCCTGTGGGAATCTGGGATACCTTGGGGAGCTTTAGCTGTTCCCATGATGTCTCCTCACCCAGAGTAGGAACTAGGCTGAGCAAGCGAGGCACCTAGGGTGCAGAATTTGTGCATGCATGACCCTGAGAATGTGTGTTTCTTTACATTTTTTCTAGCGCCTCCTTAAATGTTTTGCCCTAGGCACCTCGCTTGCCTCTCCAGAGTCTGACTCTGCCCTCACCAAACCATCCCGGACAAATATATAATCTTAGCAAAAACAATGTATTTGTTCTGTCAATGCCTTTCAAAACAAGCACCCTGCCCTCAAAAGGCTTGCTGGGGAATGCAAAAGAATGAGAGGTGTGTAATGGGGGAGGGGGAGCTGTTAGTATTTAGCTGGGATGGTCAGGGAAGGTTTTTCTGAGGAGGGGACATTTCAACTGAGACCTGAAAAAGTTATCCACATGGAATGGGTGGAAGAAAGAATTTCAGACAAGAAAGGATAGCATGTGCAAAGATAGACAAACATGCATTCATTTGCACACTTCTGAATATAATCCTCTTAAGCCATTATGGAAACCGGAAGAGGTGCTTCCAAGAGTTAGAAAGCACCATGCCTTATGTTTGCCTTTATGATTAAAGAAGTCGGAGATAGTGAAAGCTGGGGCAATTGGTTGTCTCTTTAAATTCCAAAAGGCACTATTGAGTTTTGGAATTCTAGATGTAAAAATCATATTCTACTGAACATGGTGGGACCACATCTTGAAAAAGGGAAGGAGACGCGATATTGAAAAGAAAATAATATATATTTAAGAAAACATGTATAATAAAATTACCTAAATAAGATTTAAATTCTTCCTCCTTTAGGGTTATGAGCCGGATGCTAGTGTAACCAAGTTGGCAGAGCAGTATGCCAAAGAGGTATGCTCTTTACATGTAAAGCTATTATTGCCTTTTACTGTCCCATGAAGTTATTTAACCAGCGTGTTTATGTATGCTAGAATGGTACCAAGCTGTTGCTGACAAATGATCCATTGGAAGCAGCGCATGGAGGCAATGTATTAATTACAGACACTTGGATAAGCATGGGACAAGAAGAGGAGAAGAAAAAGCGGCTCCAGGCTTTCCAAGGTTACCAGGTTACAATGAAGGTACAAATTGATGCCTCTCTGAAGGTTCATTAATTCCATTCATGAAGGCCAGAACCATCTAATCACTTATTCACTTTAGGGGGAGCAGACTGTCCTTTCATTCCCTATAAAAGGACTCACTGACTGTATCCCCTAGGGACTTCTCTCCTTCCAAAGATTAGCTGTGTCCTTTGGAAAGGCATTTTTGTGCTGGATGAAGGAATTTGAAACCCACTGAGAAGAGAGGAGCAGGCTTTTCCCTCTCACAAGAATCGAGGCATTGCAGTGTTTTACTCTTTGTGTGTTTAGAGAAATTAGGTTACTTCTGATGCATGCAGTTTCTTATGATTTCTCCCCTAAGAAAAGCCCCTTAACTATGCTCCTCAGGCTAGTCCTTGCCTCTATTTTCCAAGGACCTCTAAATCCAGTTTAGTTTTGCTAATGCCCTCCAGGGCATTCCCAGGGGACTCATCTGTTTGGCTGTCTTCCAGTAAGATCTGGAACAATGCTTCTCAGTCTTGAGCAGGTATTAGCATCACCAGAGGAGTTGTTAATACACAGCTGGCTGGGTCCCACCCCCAGGGTTTCTGATTCAGTAGGTCAGGGTGAAACCTGAGAATCTGCATTTCTACCAAGTTCCCAGGTGATGCAGTGCTGCTGCCTCCAGGGCCACACTTTGAGAAGCAATGTTCTGGAGGAATACCCTGAAAGCCAAATGCACAGGGGTTTTGTCAGCAAAGCAACAAATCTACTTTGGTGGAGAAAGGGATTAAGCAAGTACAATTAATATTATATTGATAAAGTAATACATAAATACAAGTTCTTTATTGTTATATATAAAATAGAACAGAAGTTTGAAAAATAAAAAGTAAAAATGTCTTTCTCCCATCTCTTTAACAGAGACTATTCCTAGAGGTAGCCTCTGTTTAATAATTTGATGTGTCTCTTTGCAGACCTTTTCTGTGCATTTACATATGTATGCCTCAATACACACATAACTATTGATTTTTTTGTAAATGATATTTTAGACATTACTTATTTATTTATTATTATTCTTACTTTTTCCACTTAACAAATCTTAGATTTTCTTGCTCACTCATTTAGATATTTTTTATTCTTTTTAGTTGCTGCATAGAATTCCAAAGGATAAGTGGAACCATAATTTACTTAAAATGTTTCCTATTGATAAATTAGGCTATTTCTGAGAATGCCGATTACAAAAATGCTGCAATGAACTTGCTTATCCATATTTCTTTGTGCAAATATTACTGGAGAATAAGATCCTGAGGAGAGGAATTTTGGGGTGAAGTGGTATAAATTTTTTAAAATATGAGAGTGCTGCTAAATTGCTTACCCAAAGAAGATTAAAAATGTATACTGCTGCAGCTGTATATTATAGTTATTTTTCCATATCCTCTCCATGTTTAGCTTTTATTTACATTTTTAATTTTTCTAAATCTGGAGGAAAAATGGCACCTCATCTTTGTTAAAATTTGCAATTCCTTGATTACTAATGAAGTTAAGCATCTTTTTATGTTTATTGGGCATTGCCCTTTTTTCTATAAATTGCTATTACATTTTTTGCCCATTTTCTATTTTTTTGCCTTTTCTATTATTGGTTATAGGAGCTCTTTATATATTATGGCTAATCCCTTATCATGTGGAATATATTTTCATGGAGATATTTTAAATTATATAAATTGCTTCATACTTACACTTGCTTGGCCAATCTTATATGTGTTGCTGGTGCTGGAACTGTAGGATTGAAGAACAGTCATTTTGTTGATGTATGGCATTTATAAATGTTACTTTTTTCCATGTAATTTTGCTGGTATTTTAGAAACTCAAAATGTCCTGAACCTAGAGCTTGGGTGGGAGGTAAAACAAAATTGTAGTACAAAGGCAGTAATTTTGAGGTAAGAAAGTATGAAGGAATGTAGTTTTGAATCTGTATGTGAACAATAGAAATATATAGGGAAATGTAACTTTCAGCAATTAACTGTTGGAGAAAATTAAAACTGCTAGTACATTTGCATTAAGAATGAAAAATCTAATGCATAGTGCTTATAATCCTGTTTAATTCACCCCTACCTCATTACCTTTATCTAAATTGTTTTAACTAGTGATGGAGTATGCTTCAAGTGCTAAAAATAATAATTTGGAGATCAGCTCCAAATATAATATTATCACACCAAAGCAACTTTTTAAATATAGTGGACTATAATTGGTGACTTTTGCTATCAGCCACATATTACATTAGTAGAGTTCTTTACTGAAAGGTCTACTGTTCCACTAAATAGAATAACAGAAAACTGAGTTACTGGTGTAACTTGAAGTGGTACTCTCTTAAATTTAAAAAGAAAAAAAAAAAAAAAAGACTTGCCAGACACGGTGGCTCATGCCTGTAATCCCAGCACTTTGAGAGGCGAGGCGGGCGGATCATTTGAGGTCAGGAGTTTAAAACCAGCCTGGCCAATATGGTGAAATCCCGTCTCTACTAAAAATACAAAAATTCACTGGGCATGGTGGCACATGCCTGTAGTCCCAGCTACTCAGGAAGCTGAGGCAGGAGAATTGCTTGAGCTCTGGAGGCGGAGGTTGCAGTCAGCCGAGATTTTGCCACTGCACTCCAGCCTGGGTGACAGAGCGAGACTCTGTCTCAAAAAAAAAAAAAAATTTGAAAGTACCATGTACATTTCTCCTAGGTGTCTTGAGATAAAACCATCACTCTGCTCCTTTGTCTCTCCCTTTGCATTGATGTCTGACTACTGGCCATGTGTGTTTTTAGATACTGAAGAAAACAAATATGACTGCCACATATAATAGTCAAAAAGTGGTCTTATCCCCATCTCTTTAGACTGCTAAAGTTGCTGCCTCTGACTGGACATTTTTACACTGCTTGCCCAGAAAGCCAGAAGAAGTGGATGATGAAGTCTTTTATTCTCCTCGATCACTAGTGTTCCCAGAGGCAGAAAACAGAAAGTGGACAATCATGGTAAGCAAGAAACAAGGAATGGAGGATAAGTTCTTTGTGTGGTTCCAACTTGGTCATTCATGCCTTTGGGGAAATAATAAGCAAGTGAGATTATCCAACTACATTACTTGCTCATGTAACATCTATTTTTTTCCAGAAACTTTATAATACATCATTAGTGCTTATTAGCATTTATAGTGTATTTGCATGGAGTGAGATTAATCTCCTTTCAAATAAATCCATTTTAACCAAAATTCTTACCACCCTTGATCCGCCTGAGCACCAGCCACCAGTTTGCCAACCATTATAAGTCATATAATTCTTATTTTAGAATCTCTTTGTTCATGTTTAGAGAAGCCCCTAATTCAGTTCCTGTATAAAATGGGCATTCAAAACATCTTACTTTTTCCCTTCTCTTTTTCCTCATTCCATGCCTTACTTTATGACTGGACTAGATACTTGTTTTCGTTCTTTGAGTTTGGCCATAGGGATATATGTGTTTTTAGGTATAGAACATTTCCAAATTTCATGGCAAAACTTATCTTAAAAATTAATGGTTCCTTTCAGATAAAGCCACTAGTTTCATCTTCATCACTGTCATTCTAGGAAATATTAACCATATGTCTACTTTACAATATCCCAAATGTCACCTGCTCTGGAAAATAGTACTGACATGTCTAACTTAGCTCCACCATTTTTTTAGCTTTTAGTGACTTAACTGGTCTCAATTACTGTATCAGCCAGGATCTTACTTGCAAACGGGAGTCCACTCTAGGTAGATAAATGGAAAGTAATGTATTAAGAGACATTAAGCGGCTCCCAGAATCTTTTGGGAAAGGAAGTGCAGTGAATAATTCTTGGACACCATATAGCCAGGGACAACACAGGCAGAAAAATTGCCCAATGACACTGTGGTTCTTTTGTAGCCAGAACACCACTGACACAGCCTGGTACCTGAGGCTCTTGAAACCAGATGTCAGATACTCCATTATAGCCACCACAGCTGAAATAGATTTCTCTACCTGCATATGTAGCAGAAGATCCAATCTCTCCGAAGACGGCTTCCACTGCATGTTGTTTGCTTCTGCACCCAAGTCTGGAGTAGATGCAGCTGAGTGGGATGCCTGTACCCTAGCTGCAAGGGAGTTTGGGAAAGGCAGTTTTTAGCTTTCAGCCTCTGGAGTAGAGAAAAGCAAGCTGGAAAGGACTAGCTTCTAATTATTTATCTAATCTATAAATTGGAATAGGTTTATTGTGAACATTAAAGTAATATGTGTAAAGCTTTTAGTATAGTACATAACACATAACACATGGTAAATATTGTTATCATAATTATTACCCTCATTATCATCATCTTCACTATTGATCTGATACAGACCCTATAAAATAAGCAGGGGTTCAAGCTCAACTATGGCTGCTTGGCAGCCAACCGTGACTCCCTTTTCAATAGAAGTTTGTATATTAGGCCTAAATTTGTCATATCTAATAACAGGGATGATTTTTTTTCACTGCATCTTTCCAGCTTGCCACCTCAGGACACTAACTTTGGCCAAAATGTCAATTGCCTTGTTATCTAGGCCAGTACTTCTGAAGCCTTAATGTGCATTTAAATTACCTAGGGGGTCTTGTTAAGGTGCAGATTTGAATTCTGTAGGTCTAAGATGGAGCTTGAGATTTGGCACATCTATTTTTTTTTTTTGTTTTTTTTTGAGATAGAGTCTCGCTCTGTTGCCCAGGCTGGAGTGCAGTGGTGTGATCTCGGCTCACTGCAACCTCTGCCTCCCGGGTTCAAGCAATTTTGCTACCTCAGCCTCACAAGTAGCTGGGATTACAGGCAGGTGACACCATGCATAGCTAATTTTTGTATTTTTAGTGGCGGGTAGGGGGGTTTCATCATGTTGCCCAGGCTGGTCTCGAACTCCTGACCTCAAATGATCCACCCACCTCAGCCTCGAAAAGCACTGGGATTACAGGCGTGAGCCACCGTGCCAGGCCGGCACTTCTAATAAGGACCCAGTTATTGCAGGTGCCACCATCCTGCAGACCACATTTTGAGTAGCAAAGATCTAGATGACAAAGAAAATGTGAGCTCTCCAACCACATACCTCAGGAAGAGACACAGCAAAACATTTTCCTTGAGCTCTGTTTTTCATCAGAAGACAATTGAAGTTACAAAGATATATCAAGTAAATCCATCAAAGTAGATCCTTTGTAGAAATTCAGTAGGGAAAACTAAAAGGAAACTTTCCAAAACATCAATTATGGAGATGCTCTGAACTTCTTATCTTTTAAAGAGCTTATTAAACAACGTCTTTAAAACCAATTTACTTGAAAAATTAAATACGTAATGTATTCACATGGTTGAAATATTTATGGTGAAATCTTACATCCACCCATTTTTCCATCCATCTAGATCTTACCGCCATCTCCCCATTCCCCATACCCCTGAGTTACCCACTATTATTAGAGGAAAATATTTTAAAGAAACCAAGAGACAGAATCGTGTTAAAATGAAAGTAGAGAGTCTAAAGTAGAAAGAATGCTCACCTGGGAGTGATGAGACTTGACTTCTGTAACTGGCCTTAATACTAGTCAGCTGTGCCATCTTAGCGTCTAAGTATTAACTCTCTAGGTCCCAGTGTCCTCTCCCATGAAATAAGCAGATTGAGCCATAGAGATGGCAAATGAGTTTTAATTCTTAGATCCCTAATCTCATCAACAGGCTACAGGAATTCTGTTGAGAAGGATTTTGAGCCTGCCTATGGTGTGAGACAGAAAGAGTGGCATAACTGATTAGCGTGCCTTACACGGACGCTAGAAAGGAGGTGGTGATACATGTGTTGCGCTCTTTATGTCTCTGAGCTAGATGATTTGGAGGTCCCTTTGAGTTCAGTTCATTTCAGCAGCCATATAGTGAGCATCTACTCTATGCCAGGTCCTCTGCCAGGCATTGGAGATTGAAAAAAAGAGAATAGTATGCAGCCACCACACAGCCTGTACAGTTCATAGAAGCATAACATTTTCAAGTGGGATGAGACCTTAGAGACTATCCACGCTAAATTCCTATTCTATAGGCAAATAAATTATTATTATTATTTTATTATTATTTTTATTTTTTGAGACAGAGTCTCGCTCTGTCACCCAGGTTGGAGTACAATGGCACGATCTCGGCTCACTGCAACCTCCGCCTCCTGGGTTCAAGTGATTCTCCTGCCTCAGCCTCCCAAGTAGCTGGGATTACAGGTGCCCGCCACTGTGCCCGGCTAATTTTTGTATTTTTAGTAGAGGCAGGGCTTCACCATATTGGCCAGGCTGGTCTCGAACTCCTGACCTCAGGAGATCCACCTGCCTCGGCCTCCCAAAGTGCTGGGATTATAGGTGTGAGCCACCACAGCCGGCCGCAAATAAATTATTCTTATACAGCTTATTTAGAATGGCCTTTAGGTTCAGCACTGCCGTGATACATTTTTCTAAGATGTTCTAATACTTGTCTTCCTCCAGACTACCCTATCCAATACAGTAGCCAGTAGGCACATATGGCTTTTTAAATTTAAATCTAAGCTAATTAAAATTTTACAAAATTGAAGATTCAGGCCAGGCGCACTGGCTCATGCCTATAATCCCAGCACTTTGGGAGGCTGAGACAGGGGGATTACTTGAGGTCAGGAGTTTGAGACCAGCCTGGCCAACATGGTAAAACTCTGTCTCTACTAAAAATACAAAAATATTAGCCTGGCATGGTGGCGCACATCTGTAATCCCAGCTACTCAGGAGGCTGAGGCAGGAGAATTGCTTGAACCTGGGAGGCAGAGGTTGCAGTGAGCCAAGATCGTGCCACTGCACTCCAGCCTGGGCGACAGAGCAAGACTCCGTCTCAAAACAAACAAACAAGCAAACAAACAAAAAAAGAGAAGATTCAGTTCCTCAGTTATACTAACCAAGTTGTTGAATGCTCAATAGCCACATGTGGCTGGTGGCTACACTATTGGTATTGGACAGCACAGACATCGAACACTTCCATCACTGCCGAGAGCTCTATTGGACAGCACTACTCTAGGGAATAATTTCCACGCATGCAACTTGATTTAAAATGAGGATGAAATAAGAAAGGAAAGCCACAATGTCGCCCTCCAGTTCTGAGATGCCTGTAATGACTGATGTAAGGTATACACTAAAATAGGATGAAGGGCTTTTTCTTTAATGGTGTAGCATTTTTTAAAGCAGAAGTGTCCTCTTTCAGCACTCAGAGTAGCTTTTTAAGGCCTCCATGCTAAGAGATTTCCAGTAGTGCTGTTCAGAACGCTTCACTAATCGCATCATTCTCTTCATAGTGCACAGGTCTTTGGACCCCTTTGTTTAGAAACAAAAATCACACTTTTCCTCCCCATGAAGCTTGCTTTTGTATTTTTCAGTGATTAATAAGGCAGTAGGACTCACAAAAAGTAGATAGATGTTTTCCCTCTGCCTATAAATTTTACACTGGAGCTAAAATAACCTAAAGGGACCCTGAAAAAAAGAAAAAATGCTGACACTTCAAAGCACTGTTATCCACATATGACTCTTAAGTCCAAAACACCATTGCAAATGTAATTCACAATATTTTATAGTCATTTACTTCTCCCCAAGTTAGAGTTGCCAGATAAAATAGAGGACACCCAGTTAAATTTGAATTTTGGATAAACAATGAATAATTTTTAGTCTAAGTATGTCTCATGTACTATTTAGAACATACAGTAAAATATATATTTGTTGTTATCTGAAATTCTTATTTAACTGTTTGTCCGTGTTTATTTAACTGAATCTGACAATCCTAATCCAAGTTGAATTTGTAAGTTTTTATTTGGAAATAAGGTTGACACAATCCATAGACAATTAAAAACAAAGCAAAAATGAGAGGGGCTCCCAGGAACCCATTAAGAAGTTTACAGTGTCTTTTACCTGGTAGACATTCTTATGCCAAAGTTTGCCCTGGCTAAACTAGTTCCTTCTTGTCATTCAGACATCACCTTAAATGTTACTGTTGAGCAAGATCTTCCCACACCACCCACTCTTAAGTGGTTCCCAAGGCTCCTTTATCTCCTTTTTACATTTTATTTTCTAATGGCACTACTTGATATTTTTATATTTTTTTGTCTGTTTGTTGCCTGTCCCCCTACTATAATGAAAACTTCTTTATGAAGGCAGTAAACCTGTCTGTAACGTTCTTTATTATACCTAGAAGTTTGCCTGACACATACTTTAAATATGGACTCAATACATTTTTGCAGCCTAAAGGCAATATAGGGAATTGGTTTTAGAACATAAGTTTTGGAAATCAGGTTAAAATTCTGGCTCTCTCTGTGATCTTGGGCTCCTAATCAACTTAGGCAAGTACCTTAACTTCACTAAGACCAGTTTATTCATATGAAAAATGAGGATAAAAAATAGAACCAACCTCTTAAGGTTATGAGGATTCAATGAGATCAGAGTCATGTGAGCATTGTAGTCAGGACCCAGGGACAGGTAGGTGCAGATCCACCTCTCACCATCACCACTCAGGAAACTTCCTACATCTCAGTTTCTCGATCTGTATTTTACATCTCTTACCATCTCATACAGTAGGAAAGGATATTAAATGGTATGATGTACATACAGCACTCAGCACCGGGCCTGGCATGTGATAACTTTGATAAGTATATTCAGTTAACACTTTTGAAATATAAGACCTGCACTTTTGATATAGGCTAGGAACACATGTACAGTGTGGTTGAAGTGTAAGAACAAGGACCTGAGAGACCACAAAACTACCTTTTAAGAGTAGAGTCATCCAGATTCACCCATGTTGTCACAAATGACAGGATTTCCTTTTTTAAGGCTGAATACTATTCCATTGGATATATACACCACATTTTCTCTATCCATTCATCCATTGATGGACACTTAGGTTGATTCCATATCTTAGCTATTGTAAATAATGCTGCAGTGAACATGGAAGTGCAGATATCCCTGCACCAGATTGGTTTCAGTTCCTTTGGATACATACTAGGAAATGGGACTGCTGGATCATATGGGAGTTCTAGTTTTAGTTTTTTGAGGAATCTCTATATCATTTTTTATAAAGGCTGTACTAATTTAGATTCCCACCAACAATGCACAGGAGATCCCCCCCTCTCTGCATTCCTGTCAACACTTATCTTTCATTTTTTTAAAAATAAAAGCCACTCTAATAGGTGTGTGGTGATATCTCATTGTGGTTTAATTTGCATTGCCCTAATGATTAATGATACTCAGCATTTTTTCATGAACTTGATGATTTGTATGTCTTCTTTGGAAAAATGCCTGTTCAGGTCCTTTGCCCATTTTTTAATCAGGTTGTTTTCTTTCTCTTTAGTTGTTTGAGTTCCTTATATATTTTGGATATTAATCCCTTAACAGATGTATGGTTTACAAATATTTTGTCCCATTCTGTGGATTGTCTCTTCACTTTATTAATTGTTTCTTTTGCTGTGCAGAAGCTTTGATGCAATTTGATTTGTCTATGTTTGTTTCTATCACTTGTGTTTTCAGGGTCATATGTGAACAATTACAAGACTCATGTCATAGAGCTTGATATGGTTTGGCTGTGTCCCCACCCAAATCTCATATTGGATTGTAGCTCCCATAATTCCCACATGTTGTGGGAGGGACTGGTGGGAGATAATTGAATCACAGGGGCAGTTTCCCCCATACTGTTCTTATGGTACTGAATAAGTCTCACGAGATCTGATGGTTTTATAAGGGAAAAGCCCTGTTGCTTGGTTCTCATTCTCTCTCTTGCCTGCCACCATGTGAGGCATGCCTTTTGCCTTGTGCAATGATTGTGAGGCCTCCCTAGCCATTGGAACTGTGAGTCCATTAAACCTCTTTTTCTTTATAAATTTCCCAGTCTCGGGTATGTCTTTATCAGCAGCGTGAAAAAGGACTAAGACAGAGCTTTTTCCCTATGTTTTCTTTTAGTAGTGTTACAGCTTCAGAGCTTATATTTAAGTCTTTAATCCATTTTGAGTTGATTTTTATATGGTGTGAGACAAGGGTCCAATTTTATTTTTCTGCATGTGGATATCCAGTTTTCTCAACACCATTTGCTGAAGAGACTGTCCTTTCCCCATTATGTGTTCTTGGCACCTCTGTCAAAAAGCAATTGACCATAAATGCATGGGTTCATTTCTGGGCTTTCCTTACTGTTTTGTTGGTTAATGTGTCTGTTTTTATGACAGTACCGTGTGGTTTTTATTAAAATGTCTTTATAATATGTTTTAAAATCAAGGAGTGTGATGCTGCCAGCTTTCTTCCTTTTGTTCAAGATTGCTTTATCTATGTGGGTTCTTTGTGGTTCCCTACAAACTTAAGGATTGTATTTTTGATTTATGTGAAAAATGACATTGGAATTTTGATAGGGGTTGCATTGAATCTGTAGATCACTTTGGGTGGTGTGGACATTTTTACATTAATTCTTTCAATCCATGAACATGGGATATCATTCCATTTATTTGTGTCTTCTTTATTTTCTTTCATCAGTGTTTTATAGTTTTCAGTAAACAGGTCTTTTACCTTCTTGATACAATTTATACCTAAGTAATTTTTTGTTGCTGTTGCAAATGTGATTATTTTCTTAATTTTCTTTTCAGATAGTTCATTATTAGTATATTAGAAATGTTACTGATTTATGTATGTCGATTTCATTTTCTGCAATTTTACTGAATTCCCTTACCAGTTCTAACAGTTTTTTGGTGGACATTATGCTAAGTAAAATAACCCAGGCACAGAAAGACAAATACTACATGATCTCACTTATATGTGGACTCTAAAAAAGTTGAACTCATAGAAGTAGAGAGTAGAATGATGATTACCAGAGGATGGGGGATGGGAAGGAAGGCAATGGGGAGTTGTTGATCAAAGGGTACAAAGTTTCAGGTAGACAGGGAGAATAGGTTTTGAGATCTATTATACAGCAGAATGATTATAGTCAATAATAATATATATCTCAAAATAACTTAGAGAAGAAATGTCAAATGTCTCTCCATAAAAAAGATAGGTAAGTAAGGTGATGGATATGTTCATTAGCTTGATTTAATCATTGCACATTGTATACATATATCAAAACATCATGCTGTACTCCATAAATGTATACAATTATAATTTATCAATCAAAAATAATAATTTTTAAAAAGAGTAGAGTCAGAGAAAACCAGGGTTCCAACCCAGTTCTGCACTATCTGTCATCTCAAGGATTGATTTCCTCAACTATAAATGATAATAATAAAAGCTACCTTAGAATTTTGTTGTATTAAATGAGATAATGCATGAACATTTTCCTCTAGCTCACCAAAGCTCCTGGCACAGTGCTTGAAAAATATTTCTTGACCAATACATGATATGGTACTTAGTATTCTATCTAATACCTAGTAAGCACTCAGTTAACATTCACCATAGTTTCTGATATTATTATTGTCATTCTTGTGGAGATTGAGAAAAGTAAAAGTGAAAATTACCATTTGTGATTGACAGATCAAGGGGAAGCGGTATACTCTTGGCTATAGAGATAATACTCTTTCAGGAATACCCAGCTTCAGAGAGCAGACATTGCTCAGATTACTCTACATCTGATTCATCCTAAACTTCTCTAGGCTGCGAGAGATCAAACCACGGTATAAACACAAGGATCTGGAATAGGAGAGATGATATTTCTCTAAAACTAGCCAATACTATACTTATGACTGGAAAATTCAGTCGTGGCTACCACTGTAGCATCTCATTTCAACTCTGTGACCCACTAGTCCTGGAATGAGGCCTAATTATGCAGTGTTTGTGTGTCTAGATCAGTCTGATCTCTGTTGACTTTCATTTATACCCTCCTCCAATAAATAAATAAATATTAGTTCAGAACTGTTCTCTTACCATTTTCTTGAGAAAACACATTTTAACTGTAACCCTGCAAAGCTGAAACCTAATTCACCTTCTCTAGGTCCCTAAGCAGACTGTCGCTAATGTTTATCCATTTCTTTCTTTCTTTGTTGTGTCATCAGGCTGTCATGGTGTCCCTGCTGACAGATTACTCACCTCAGCTCCAGAAGCCTAAAT
This sequence comes from Homo sapiens, assembly GCF_000001405.40. Taxonomy (NCBI): domain Eukaryota; kingdom Metazoa; phylum Chordata; class Mammalia; order Primates; family Hominidae; genus Homo; species Homo sapiens. The sequence goes on from NC_000023.11 coordinate 38,421,078, forward strand.
TTTGATGTTGTGTTACTTGTCAAGAAAGAAGCAATGTTCTTCAGTAACAGAATGAGTTGGTTTATGGGGAAAAGAGAAGAGAATCTAAAAAATAAACAAATCCCTAACACGTGGTATGGGTGAACCGTATGATATGCTTTGCCATTGTGAAACTTTCCTTAAGCCTTTAATTTAAGTGCTGATGCACTGTAATACGTGCTTAACTTTGCTTAAACTCTCTAATTCCCAATTTCTGAGTTACATTTAGATATCATATTAATTATCATATACATTTACTTCAACATAAAATACTGTGTTCATAATGTATAATGTCTAAGCCATTAAGTGTAATCTATGCTTATTACCTAAATAAATTATCACCCATGCTAATTTATAAGTAAACATTTACCAGGCAGTCAGCTACTGGTAAATCTGTGGGCTGTGTTCCTGTCCCCCAGGACCAACTAGAAAGCCAAATGATTCATCTTGCAGATGTGGTACAATTTTCAGGCCAATGAGGTAGACAGGCATTCATTTATGGAGGCAAATAACGAAATTCTTAAAATATAGCTATTACTGTGCCCAAACTCCAAAGTTTTTTCCAATAACTTGTGAGAATGTGGTAGTGGGGAATCCTCCAAGAGCATGTATCTCTTCTCTGTAATGAGTACTTACTGTTACAAGCCATAAGAAGCTTTTGTTAGCAAGTGGTAAAAGCATGGATACCTAGAGTAGCATTTTCTTAGGTTCAAATTCTCCAACAAGAATAATTTAATTTTTTTCACATCTGTGCTTATCATGCATCTACTCACACCATATGCTGAATATTTCCATAAATCTACTACTTGCAACATTTTAGCCAATCTTTTTCCTCTAATTTTTCTTTGGGGTAATAAAAATTTACATTATTGAATTATTATAATGTAATTACAACTAGATTTCTCTTGCGGGTGACTAACATTTGTATTGTTGAATTATTATGATATAATTTGAATTTTTTAGTTAAAATGTTAAATAACATAAGTGAAGTTTTTTTAAAAAATTATACATTTTACAGAAGACAAAATAATGTAATTTCCTTTACATTCTACATTTACTATTAGAAAAATGTTTCCAGGCTGGTTGACTGATATTCTTCAGCACACAGCTCTGACTTAAATGAGTAAGCAAGGGATGAATTACAAATTAGATTTGCAATGAAGGTGCAATAAAACATTTTTTGTGGGGGAAAGAGGCTCATAATGTTACAGAAAAAAACATCAAATTTTCCAGTAAATGTCAAAGGTGACTTTTGTGTCCATAGTAATTTATTGGAAGCACTTAGAAAGAGAGTGGAGTTTAGTGGAATATCTTTCAGCAGAGAGTAGAACAAGGTGTCATATGGATTGTGGAAGGCTCACCCTCAAATTGCCTACATAGAAAGAAGTGTTCTTCCACTTGCCAAATGGTCTGCCATAGTAACGAGCTCCCATCTCATTCCTGGTTATTCTTTGAACTAAATGGATGGTATAGTCTTCTTCCCTCACTTGGAAAGAACTTGTAATAATTTTCTTGCCAAAATATAGTCATTTTTTCCTCAAAAAGCTCTATAGCTTTCTTTATTGTGTACATACAATTTAACCTCATTCTCAGCCCAATTCTGTAGGAATGTATTTGCTTTCTTAACTTTTCATCTTAATCAGACATTATTTATATTGTCAGGAAAAAAGAAAATAGGGGAGGAAAATTCACCCTTAACTTTTGCAAAGCTGTTTTCATCTCCTCTTTCTTCTTACCCCTTTTCCTATATAGCTATTACAACTCCGAAGTTTAACGAAAATTCTAGAAATGACGCTTGCATCTTTGGTGTACATAATAAATCCTGTCACCTAATATAACTAGCCAAAGAGCTCTTTTCTTCCAGGATTTCTCCACAATAACATTGGGAGTAGACACCACAAGTGATTACACTGCAATGATTTCAATGTCATCAGTTTTTGTTTTTGTTTTCAGTGATAAGTTTCCAGGTACTTTAGAAAAGTAATTCAGTGTCTGGGCTGGGCATGGTGGCTCATGCCTGTAATTCTGGCACTTTGGGAGCCCGAGGTGGGCAGATCACCCGAGGTCAGGAGTTCAAGACCACCCTGGCCAACATGGTGAAACTCCCCGTCTCTACTAAAAAAGTACCAAAATTAGCTGGGTGTGGTGGTGGGCACCTGTAATCCCAGCTACTCGGGAGGCTGAGGTGGGAGAATTGCTTGAACCCCAGAGGCGAAAGCTGCAGTGAGCTGAGATCACACCACTGCCCTCCAGCCTAGGTGACAGAGCGAGACTCCGTCAAAAGAAAAAAAAAATTAATGTCAGATATTTCTCATTTTTTCTTTTCTTTCTTTTTTTTTTTTTTGAAACAGGGTCTCACTTTGTCACCCAGGCTGGAGTGCAGTGGTATGTTCTCAGCTCACTGCAGCCTCTGCCTCCCGAGTTCAAAGAATTCTCCTGCCTCAGCCTCCCGAGTAGCTGGGACTACAGGCCCGCACCACCATGCCCAGCTAATTTTTGTATTTTTAGTAGAGACAGGGTTTCACCATGTTAGCCAAGCTGGTCTCAAACTCCTGAGCTCAAGTGATCCACTCACCTCGACCTCCCAAAGTGCTTGGGATTACAGGCGTGGGCCACCATAACTGGCCTCAATATCAGATATTTCTATCTGGATATTGTGCTAATTACTTGACTTTGGTAATGTCCCTGGGTAGAAAGATCTCCACAGAGAATCAGCATGGCAATGCCATTGTAGATCTCCTATACAAGTGACCCTAGAACCTCAGTTAAAATGTCAGAGGCCCCTTGGTCCAGTGCCAAAGTTCCATAGCAAGTCTTCTCATGTGATAAAGATGAGTGAGGACTGCATATGAAAAAAGTATTCAGAACACATTCCTTTTGAGCCTTTTTGTCTTGGAAGCTCTCATCGATGTCTTACATGGAGATGATTGAGGCATATCTGAGACATGGTACCGCTCGGCAATTTTGTAGGGTTGATATCCTTTGACAAATATAAAGGACATATTAAATAACAGAAAACCACTCAAGTCACAATGATCAGACTCCTATAACCAAGAATGCCACATACTGCCTTGCAGGTTGTGGTTTGTGTAAAGGTCTCAGGTGAAAGAAATGAATAAAGGTTGAGACCCAGTCTGCACTTCAGTTACCAAGTCTTGTGTAGCCAGGAGGAAGGAAAACCTTTTTTGTATGTTGTCCATGGAGAGGGGGCACTTTTTAGTATTTCATATACCCGAATAGGTGCTTTGCTTTAAACCATACAAAGGATCAGTGTCTAGTAGGGGAGACCCTGCCATCAACAACTTACATTTCAGTATCACCTTGTACTTGAGGGCAATGAGACACATGCAATGCACTGATAGTTTTGGTGTCTTGCCTCAGTTTCTGCTAGGTTCCTTAAGATGCCATAGTGAAAATGATAGTGTCTGTCCATTTTGTGTGGCAAACACGTGACACGAATCATTGAAACAAGTATTTGAGAATCAACCCTGTAGTTATTTAATATTTTAAAGAAATTCTTCCCTAATAATTATTCAGAAAAATTAAAATCATTCATTGATAAAAGAATCATGGTCAGATAAAATGGAATTGAATTCCCTGACATGTGCTAAAACATTTCACAGTCTTATTAATGCCTCACTTATGTCCATGACAGTAGACTTAGTCTCTAATACACACTTTTGTGAAACTCATCCCCAGAGAAAATGCAAGCACGACTGCCTTCTGGAGCAAAATCATTAGGCAAATGAATTTTCAAACTGGAACAGAGTTTTAAAAAATCCAGTCTATCCCTTCATTTCACAAGAGAAAAAAAACTAGGAAATAACAACAGTGTTCCTAGTATAGAAATATATTCAATAGAGAGGGATAATTCATGTGTTAAATGCCCCTCTGCAAATGATCTGGGATCCTACACATATAGCTGCTTGATTTGATTTACCCATAGGCTGAATGGGGAACGGGAAGCTGGCTGGTCCAGGGATATGGCTCTATAAGGCCGAGGGATAGAGAGGAAAATTCACACCTTAGGCAGAGGTGGACACTGATATCCAGAGATACAAACAGAAACCTAAAATTACATCCATGTAGTAGATGCTGGTGATGCCCCATCCAGATGCCTTTCACCTGGGTTCGTCCATCCCCCAGCTGCTGACAGGGTTGCGTGCTGATGTCTCACAGCTGCCTCTTTCTTTGAAGTGCTGCTCTCAGCCACCAGGAACTACTGTTAGCCCAGGATGTCAGACTCTCACCCTAACCTGGCCACTAGTAGCCTACAGTCAATGAGTGACTGATATAGGGATATAAAAACTTGGCTCCCTTCCCTCCAGGCAGGACCAGGTGTGTGGGTGAAATTTCAGCCCCAGAACTCCACGTGGGTGGGATCAGGCTGAAACTAGTAACCATTTGAGACCACGTCCTTGCTTAGCTTCCCTCCACACACCCGCCCCACCCCTCTCTGACACCTCAACCTGATTCCCTTCTGCTGAGAGTGTGTCCTCAATAAATCACTGGCACAAGAATCCCCATCTCAGGCTACGTTTTAGGGAATAAAATCTAAGATGATCCATGAATAAGATTTTTTGTGGGTCTGTACTGCTCATCCTTCAGGCGTCAAGGAGGAGTAGAGAGCTAAGAGGCTATTAGACAAATGTGGAAGAGCTCATGTTCAGCAAGCAAAAACTTTTCCAGTTACCAGGATCAACCTTTTGTAGAAGACAGCAGAATATTAAAAATAACAAATACTATTTTTCTGTCACATACTCAAATTCAAAACAGGAAATTTATTACCTGCATGGAATAGGAATGAGACCAATTTACTTTCCCCAGAGAAGAGGAGATTTAAGTTAACTGCCACAATATTTCTGATTAATTTCTGTGGCATTTTAGTACCCTTATAGATTGGCAACCCCAGTAGCTGTTCAGTTGGTCTGCTCCTTGCCCTAGCTTCCTGAGGCTGTGTTGGCATACTTTAGTGCAAGAGTGTCCAATCTTTTGGCTTCTCTGGGCCACATTGGAAGAATTATCTTGGGCCACACATAAAATACACTAATACTAATGGTAACTGAGGAGCTAACAATAAAAAATTGCAAAAAAATCTCATAATGTTTTAAGAAAGTTTACGAATTTGTGTTGGGCTGCATTCAAAGCTGTCCTGGGCCGCATGCAGCCCATGGGCCACGGGTTGGACAAGCACAAGCTTGTTTTCGTGGTTCTCCAACTTAAGTGTGCATCAGAATCCCCTGGAGGGCTTGATAATACACAGATTACTGGGCCCCACCTGCAAAGTATCTGATTTAGCAGATTTGAAGTGAGGCCTAAGAATCTGTACTTTAACAAGTTCTTGGGGATGCTGATGCTGCTGGTCCAGGGACCACACTGAGATCACTGGTCTGAGACAATTCTGAAGGCTTATATGAAGGGTTTTCACCCCCATATCTGTAAAATACCACTATAAAGTATGTGACACAACCCAGATTGTCTGACTATTGCTCTTTCTTTGGAGTCACTGAGGCCTGAGTTTCATCCTTCCTCTACTGTGTAACAGTTATCCAACCCTGCTCTTCTGATCTGTAAAATGAGAGTAATGCTCATCTCATGGAGTTGTTGGGAGAATTAAATGCAGTGACATATATAATAGTATTTGGCTTAGAGCAAATGCTCAACAAATATTAGCCCCCTTTTATTTTTTCAATTGTTTTTAACACTATTTTTTCTTTAGCCCTTTGTAAAAATTTATATCCCATCATCAGAAAGATATTGAGTGGAATATTTGGTATAAAAAAAGTACAAGGAATGAGCTTGTCTTCTGAAATTGGCAGAGCCCAGCAGCTGACACTTTATTTAGTCATTTCTGTCTAGGAGCTGGTTTGTAAATATGCAACTCAGGGGAGTGACTTGGCTCATTGCCAAATGGAATCATGGAGGCCAACAAGTCTGAAAATCCAATCAAGGTGACTAAATTCTGCTTAGAAAGGCATCACAGGAATATATATTTATGTGAAATAAATCAGGGGCATTTAGTAATTGCTGGACTTGAGGTCTAGCTGGCAAAAGAGGAAAAAGATTAGGAAGGACTCATCAAGGTTTATTATCCATCTTTGTCTGAGAATAGCACTGCTCAAAAGAGGAAGTTTTCACACTGTTCTTAAGGCAGCAGTTCTCAAAAGTTTTGGACTCAGAAACTCTTTATGCTCTTATAAATTATGAAGATCTTAAAAAGCTTTTATTTATGTGGGATATATCGGTATAAGCCACACTAGAAAGTAAAACAGAAATTTTAGAAATATTTATTTATTGATTCATTTATTATAACAATAATAAACATATTACAGGTTAACATAAGGAACATATTTTATGAGAAATAACTACATTTTCCACAACAAAATTAAGTTAATCAATGGAGTGGCCAACCTTGTTTTATATCTCACCTTACATTATATGTTTTTGGAAAAAATGACTATTTTAATAGTCTTTGCAGCTAATTGTGGATATCTTTTGTTGTTACACTAAAACTCCACAACTGATTATAACTCCTTAAAGATTAGTTGCAATGTGGAATCTGAAACCATATAAATTAACTTTTCTACACCGTTACATTCAATTTCATGTCTATCTTGCCCTTTGAATGGACCTTTTACTCACACATGATTCCACATTGATCATTTGGAAAATATTAGTTCACTGAGTTATACAGATCTTCCAAATATTGGCACATTTCATTATATAAAATCAGAAAATCATATTTGTTAATAGCACTGCTGATCTCATTAGAAAAATCTTTAAGCATTGAGAAGTAGATACACATTTTACACAATTCTAGTTTTCTCTTGAATGCTCAAATTTTGTCTTTGACAAGAAATAATGCCAACTGCTTTCCTTAAAGTGACAGCTACACTTTGTTCATTTTCAAGATGTCTGCCAAATATCCAAGTTTCAATGACCATTTTGTCAGTTGCTTTTTTCCCAAGTAAAACTGGTGTCCCATGTAAAAGGTGGCTAGTTAAAGCACAATTCAAAGAATTGCAAAAGTGCTTTTCTTCAAGACAACCATCATACTTCATTATGCCACAGAAGGACTTAATGCTCACCTCCCATTTCATCACACAGAATATTAAAAAGATGTGTCCTCATGAAATTCAATATTAACAATTTTTACTGTTTCATCAAATACTTTTTTTTTTTTTTGAGACAGAGTCTCGCTCTGTCACCCAGGCTGGAGTGCAGTGGTGTGATCTCAGCTCACTGCAGCCTCTGCCTCCCAGGTTCAAGTGATTCTCATGCCACAGCCTCCCGAGTAGCTGGGATTACAGGCACCCGCCACCATGCCCAGCTAATTTTTGTATTTTTAGTAGAGACGAGGTTTCACCATGTTGGCCAGACTGGTCCCGAACTCCTGGCCTCAAGTGACTGGACTGATTTGGCCTCCCAAAGTGCTGGGATTACAGGCGTGAGCCACTGCCCCTGGCCATTGAAGACATTCTTAAGTGAACTTGGCTTTTTTGTTAAGTGCCTCTGTGCGATAGTGAAGAACACAATGATTTTTGGTTCTACTGCTTTGATTTGTGCTAAGGTGTCAGCAATTTTTCTCACCATTTCTTTTGCATCATCTGCTGATGCTGCTGTTCCAGGGAACACCCTTTGTAAAGCATGGCCCTATACTGCCTTCAGAGATCTAAGAGAGGCCAAGAAGGCAGAACTCTGGCTTCCATTTTTGGAACAACCATTTTTGATTAAACAAGAACAAACGTTTTTGATTAAACAAGAACAACTGACCCCATTCTGATTTTTTTTTTTTTTTTGAGACGGAGTCTTGCTCCGTCTCCCAGACAGGAGTGCAGTGGTGTGATTTTGGCTCACTACAATGTCTGCCTCCCTGGTTCAAGTGATTCTCCTGCCTCAGCCTCCTGAGTAGCTGGGATTACAGGTGCCTGCCGCCACGCCTGGCTAATTTTTGCATTTTTAGTAGAGACAGGGTTTTGCCATGTTGGCCAGACTGGTCTCGAACTCCTGACCTCAAGTAATCCACCTGCTTCAGTCTCCCAAAGTGCTGGGATTACAAGCGTGAGCCACCAGGCCCAGCTCTCATTCTGGTTTTATCTGTAATATTTATTAGCATTCCCTCAAAAAGATTCTGGTAGAAAATAAAAAGTTTATGATTTACTATTATAAAACAAGTCTTGACTGTACTATGAATACAATTTACATTGAAGTTTTTAAAAAAAATTCTATGCATACAAAGCTGTCTATTTTTAGAGCCCCAAGTGTGTGCCAAGCATTGTGTTAAGTTCTGGGGATACAGTAATTGACAAGAAAGACATGATCACTGCCCTCATGGTGCTTATAGTTTAGTAGGGGAGACTGACAACCACATGTAAATAGATATTGTGATAAGAGCTGTGTGGGAAACAAATTGGATGCTATAATAGAAAATAAAGGGATGAAAGGAAGGATAAACATTTGGATTGGTAGTTCTCAAACTTTTATGGGTGTCAGAATTAACTGGAGAGCTAATAAAGAATACAATTGTCCTGGCTTAATCAAAGTAAGGAAAGCCTGGGCCTCTGTATTTTTACCAAATGATTTTCCAAATTTCAAGTAGTACTGCTTTAAATATAGTTCCCAGAGCAAGCCTCTCAAAGAAGGTGACCTTAAACTGAGTCCTGACTGATGAGAATAATTGGGAAAAACAGGCTTTTCATTGGATTTGGATCAGATTTGTCTGAGGTGATGCCAGTGCTTCAGCTGTAGGGCTGAGAAGTTTATTTATATCTTAATTAACCCCTTTCTATTTCTTATTACAAATACATTTGATCACTTAAGTGAATGACTAGAGGGATTCCTATAACAAACGTGTTTTATGAGCAAGAGTGGTTACACTAGATATTTTGTATTTACTAACCATGTCATGGAACATCTCTCTGAAAGACTTATCCCATTAACAAGGGACAGATCACATATCCTTACCTTTAAAACCTTTCACTGCAATTGGCTCTTTTTCTGACAATGTCGTTTTACATAGTCACTGAACGATAAATTCTGAGTTCTCTGAAACTCTCTTCGTTGTCTTGCTGAGAAGTTAACAACCAGCATGACACTTTGAATTAATTCTCAAAGTGCTTATGCTAATAAGATTGTCTCCCCTCAAGGCTTTTCATTAAATATAATTGTAAAAATTACATTTCTTTAAGGCCAGTAAAAGAAATCAAGGTATTTAATTTCTGATTTCCACATAATTAAGTGAATAATGGAGGGGAAGAATATTTCAGCTAGAGGGAATAGTACATAGGTTGGCCCTGAGATGAAAGAGGGCTTGTCTTCTTCATGGGACTGGAAGAAGAGAGTATAGCTACAGTATGGTGAGCAAGAGAGAGAGGAGCACAAGACACATCTGAAAAGTTCAGCAGGGATCAGTCCATATTGGCCTTTGAGGCTAAGATAAGAAGTTTGGTTTTTATTTTATGTTCAATGGGAAGCCACTGACACAACGTATCCATCAAAAGTGTTCTGTGAAGACAACCTTGAGTTTGTACAACACATCTGTTTATAAAATAGGTACCTGGGAGGACAATCAATATTGGCAGAACTAGCTCCAGGATTCTGAGCTCCATTTTACCGGTTCATGCTTCACTCTATCTCTTCATTTCTCCATTGTTAATTGTTGCCTTCCTCTGCTTCTCTGTATTCACCTCCCTATTAGTCTTTCAATGCATTCCATCCTCCTAGTCTTTTTTTCTCCTGGAAGAATTGGAACTTGGGATCCCATCTTAAGTGCAGGATGACCTTGAGAAGGAAAAGAAACTTTTTGTCTGACGAATGCAAGCCCTCTTCAATTATCAGGCCCAGAGAGGTGTTAAAATGCAACAGCAGTGAAATCTCACTCCCACTTGAGCTAAATAATTACATCTTGAGGGCACTTGCTATATGGGCTCTAGACTAACTGAAGCCAAGTAGCTATGAAATGCCATATGCTAGACACCATAATTCATAGCCATAGTTTAGCAATGCATAACCAACCTCTAACCAATCTTGTTCCGGTAAACCAGTGAGAATTCCTGTCAAACAACTTTGTATCAGAAAACTCTTTGTCCCCTTTTGCCTTTAAAAATCTTGTAACAAAAAGGCCCAAATGGAGCATTCCCCAAGGCAACTTGGAAGTGTGTCCTGGGCTGCAATCCTCAATCTTTGCCCAAATAAACTCTCTATGTTAATTTTGTCTCCTTTTCTTTTTTTAGTTTGATTAGCCTGAAGGATGAGAATATCAGCTATTCCAATCCTACTGGTCCTCTTAGCTGGATGACCTTGGCTGAGTCCTATAGCCTCAGACTTCTCATCTGTAAACAGAGGATAGTAATAATGACTACTTATAGAAATGTATGTGCAAGTCCAGGGAAATATTTAGAGTATGGCCTGCTACATAGCACGTGCTCAAAAATGTTAGTGACATATCTCGTATTTCCTATTCAAACTTTCCATTTTTACTGTTATCTCACATTTTGGGCACTTTCTGTTCAAGGAGTATATCATTTATTTTCAAATTTACCATATCACCTTGCATTCTGTTGCCACTCTGTAAATATTTGTTCTGTTTTATACAATTATGAAATGCCAAAAGACCTAAGAGGAGTGAGAAAATGCCACCTGCAAGACTGATAAGGAACCCCTTCAGGTCAGTGGATGGATGTAACTTGATCATTGAAGGACTGGCAACATTTGGATGGGCAAAGAAAAAGAAGGGCATTCCAGTTGGCATGACTGTTAGTAAATGTGTGAGATGAGGATGTTGATGGTCAGTGAGTAGTCCACATGATTTGAAGTGGAGGATTTGTTTGTGGAAGTCTTTAGTATGTTAGCACGAAAGTGAGGAGCACCTTCATTAATAAGGTACTAAGTTTGGAATTTTTCCTGCAGGCACTGGGGAACATTGAACATTTTGACATTAAAGAGGGATATAATGAAAGCAGTGCTTCCTCAAGATTAATCTGGTGGTGTTGTGTAGATTTACTTAGGAAACTAGTCTCCTGGCTAGTTTGTTCCCTGAACAAGGGCAGTAGTCATGAAAACGGAAGATTTGAGCCAAGAGAAAACTGTCAGGACTTGGCAGTTGAATCTAAAAGTCAAAGAAAAGAATAATCAATTTGAACTTGAAATTATCGTGGTAGGCTGCAGTGGCTCATCCTGTAATCCCAGCATTTTGGGAGGCCTAGGCGGGAGGATTGCTTGAGAGCAGGAGTTCAAGACCAGCCTGAGCAACATAGCAACAACAACAACAACAAAAAGCCAGTAGTTGTGGCATGTGCCTGTAGTCCTAGCTACTCAGGAGACTAAGGTGGAAGGATGGCTTGAGCCCAGGAAGTTGGAGCTGCAGTGAGCCATGGTTGTGCCACTGCACTCCAGCCTATGTGACAGAGTGAGGCCCCAGGTCTGAAAAAAAATTATCATGAGATGTATAAAAGCAGGCCACTTGGCCTCTTTCCCTTAATAGTTCTATCTTTAAAGCAGAGTTAATAAAATATAACATCTTAGCTTCACAGAGATGAGAAGAACTTAAGCAAGATACTTACTGTGAAGTATCAATATGATAATAGATGCAAGAGTTCCTAGCCCCTTGCCTAGCATAAGGAAAGCAATTAATAAATGTTTGTTCATTTTATTTTTGTACTTTTGGAAATAGAACGCTCATAGACAAATCAAGGCAGTTTGATAGGGGGAGAGTAGCTAAGGGAAAGAAAGGATTAAAGAAGATACTGAATCTATACTTCTTGTCTTCAAATTTGATTTACATTCTAAGACATCAAACAAACCTATTTGCTGCTCATGAGTCTGAGAGTAGAATGAAGAAGAGTAACTACTTAGTTACGATTATTTATGGCTTCCCTCTCCTTCCCCTTTTATTAGGAAAATCTCAGCTGAAACTTACGGCTATAAACATCTGTTTTGCTGACCCAACACAACCCAAGTTCTTTGATAATTAAATTATTTAAATGCCTTGGGAAGAAGTTATACATGTTTAAGTAAGAGCAGACAGTTATTTACAATAATAAAATACACAGCCCATTCTTTTCTCTGGACCTGACCCCTTCTCTGGTCTCTGAAGAGGCCATGTCCCTCCTCATACCACTTCAATTTTGGCCATAGATACAACTTCCAGTTTCCAGGAATCACTTCCAGTGTTTTTTTTCTGAGGGCCTTTGTAGTGTTAAAGCCATACCCCCTCCTTTTTTTGGTTATTTCTATAAGCTCTCTTCCAAAGAACTGAGAATACTTTAACATGTAGTCAATAAAATGAATCCACATCACAACTCTGTGTATCTAGCAGGATAAAACAATCCCAAGCTTTCTAAGAGGCTCTCAGAGTGATATAGAGTGATAGTAGCTCAGTTAGTCTCACTTAAAAGTGGGAAATCCCCACCAGAATTGCTAAAATGTAAAGGCATTGCAGTTCCTAGTGTATGTAAGGATAAGATATGGAACAGCTAAAATTCTTTTTTTTTTTTTTTTTTTTTGAAACAGAGTCTCGCTCTGTTACCCAGGCTGGAGTGCAGTGGCGCTGATCTCTGCTCACTGCAAGCTCCGCCTCCCAGGTTCACGCCATTCTCCCACCTCAGCCTCCCAAGTAGCTGGGACCACAATCGCCTGCCACCACACCCGGCTAATTTTTTTTTGTATTTTTAGTAGAGATGGGGTTTCACCATGTTAGCTAGGATGGTCTCGATCTCCTGACCTCATGATCCGCCCGCCTCAGCCTCCCAAAATGCTGGGATTACAGGCTTGAGCCCCGTGCCTGGCCCTAAAATTCTTATACCTTGCTGGTGGGACTATAAACTGGTACAACCACATTGTAGAACTATTTAGCAGTATCTAGCAAAGCTAACATCCATATGTCCTATGACCCAGTAATTTAACTTGATCTGGTTGGTGGTTACATAACTGTTTGTAAGGATGTATTGAGCTGTTGCCTTAGTATTTGTGCAGTGGGGAGTATTTAAATTTTATCTCAATTAAAATTATAAGTAAATAAATAACTGTATATTTGTAAACATTAAGAAAGGTAAGGAAATCCAAAGCAAAGGAAATAAATGAGTTGCCCAAGATCATCTTTAGTCTGGATTTGGAAATGTATTCTACTGCATCGCTTCAACTGAACTGCCTATCAAAGAGGAATTACATTTTTAAATCATCGTATTTGATTAAAGAAATTGGGCACCTTCTTTATTAGAATGAGGGTCTGAACCTTCTGCAATTGGTAGATTCACCAAATTTCTGCTCTGCCAAACTACGAGAAAAGAGAGGGGTTCAAGATTGAAAGACCAGGGGAAAGATGGGGAAAGGAGGAAAACAAGAGATTGAAAAGACATTGCTACTTCTCACTCCTACTGCTAAAGCTATCTCTAACATGGGATAATTTTGGCTAGTATCTTTATTTGATACCCATTTGACAAATTCAGATTATCTACAATTCATACAGTACTTTACATTATATTAAGAGTATATGGTCCCTTTTTATAAATGAAGAGGCTATATATCTCCTCAAGAAGTTGTCTTTGTTTATTCTTGCTGCTGTAACAAAATATCAGAGACTGGGTAATTTGTAAATAACAGAAATTTATTTCTCACAGTTCTGGAAGCAGGAAGTCCAGTAACAAAGTGCCAGCAGATTCAGTGTCTGGTGAAGGCTTTGTCTCTGCTTTCAAGATGGTGCTTTGTTGCTATGTACTCACTTGGCAGAAGGCAGAAGGGCAAAAGGGGATGAACGCTGTGTAAAGCCTCTTTAAAAAGGCATTAATCCCATTCACAATGAAGAAGCCCTCATGACCTAATGACTGCCTAAAGTCCCCACCTTCTAAAACCATCACTTTGGGGTTTAAGTTCCAACACATGAATTTTGGAGGGACACACACATTCAAATCATAGCAGCAATTTATAGTGATTTTTGATGTGTTGCATATCCTTCAGATAAAAGCTCACAGAAATCTATTCTTGCTAAGTGAGATCAACAATGAACTCTGAAAACAGGTTTTCTTAACCACCCATGAGAGGCAATGAATATACCTGAGTGGATCAATTAACTGCATAAAATTATACACAGCATTTTATGTGTATATTAGTATTTTTTTCTGTGATGGGAATCAGAGCTTTTTGGGAAGCCATGAATATGCACCTCTCAGATCTACTGCCAAGAGCATATTGACTGATGGCTCCAGCACTGTGAAATCCATTACTGAGTTGATGCCAAGGCCACACTTCCCACAGCTTGCTCCAAGACAATGACGCAGGACTCCTCTGATGGCAACTCTGGCTCAAGGGCTCCCTGATAGCCTTGCTGAACTCCCTCAGAACTGTACTTCAGTCTAAGATGCATCCACTCAACCTTCCTCTCATCCTTCCTTCCTCCCTTCTCTCTGTCCTTCACCCAGGGTCAGATCTGCTTTGAGCCTTCCCTGGTTCCCTCCCAATTTTCCCTCACAGGCACTGTCCTTAATACATCTCTTCCATGACTAATCCCATGTGGTATCTACTTCTTGGTGGAGCTGGACTATACAAGTGGTACCAGGAGTTGTCCTGGTTAACAGGTGGGGTTTAGTTAGTCCCTAGCACAAAGTGGTAGCTCTATTGCTAAAGATTTCGCTGGTAGTGACCTGGGAAAATGTCCCAATAGAGGAGTTCAGTGGTCAGAATCATGCTTGGATACAACTTTTAAAGTAAACCACAGTGCTGTATCTTACATGCGCTACTGTAGAGAACGAAGTCCAGCACCTGGTAGGTCTCTTTGGGTTCTAGAAGCAGCACATTCCACCCCTATGAATATTCCTCTAGCCTGTATACAAGGTGGCATGCAAGGCTGCTGGCTTTGAGTAGGATCCTGAGCAGGAATATAATCTGCAGCAGATCCAGGTTATGGTACAGGCAATCTTGCCACTTGGGCCATACAATCCAGCAAACCATATGATATTACAGGTGTTAGTGGTGGAAAAAGATACCATGTGGAGTTTATGGCAAGCTCCAGTGGGAGCAAAACAATGTAGGTCCTAGGAGTCTGGAGCAAGGACCTGCCATCCACAGCAAAAAACATTATGCCTTTTGAAAAACAGGTCCCGGCATGTTACTGGGCCCCAATAAAGACAAAACACTTGACCATGGGTGTCAAGTGGCCATGCAGCCAGAACTACTCATTATGAGTTGGGTTCTTTCTGACCCACCCAAGTCATAAAGTCGGATAGACCTACCATCAATCCATCATACTATGGAAATGGTACATCTAGGAAGGAGTCCAAGCAAGACTCAAGAACACAAGTAAATTGCATGAGCAGGTAGCTCAGACCCCCATGTCATCCATAAATGATGCACCAGTTCTCCTTCCCTGGTTTGCACCTGTAGCCATATGAAGGAGAGTTCATATATAAATAGCTGAAGGAGAATAAACCTCTTTCTTGGTTTACAGATGAGTCTGCTTTTTATGTGACTGAAAGCTAAACATGAACGATGGCTTCATTGCAACCACATTCAGGAGTGGCCCTGAAAGACAGTGAGAGGGAAAATCTACTAATGGGAAGCTGAAGTGGTACATCTGGTCATCTACTTTCTGTGGAAGGAGAAGTAGCCTGAAATAATAATATATACGGATTCACAGGCAGTGGCCAATGGTCTGTCCACCTAGTCAGAAGCCTAGAAATGAAGACTAGATCAGAGACCAGGGATGCTTGGGTAGGGGTATGTAGATGGACATATGGGAGTGGGTACAAAGTATGAAGATCTTTGTATCACACATAAATATCCACCAGAATATATCTGCCACACAAGCAGACAAAATGACTCAGCCAGTTGATATTAGCCAGCCTTTCTCATCATCCAGCCCAGAATTGGCACCATGGCATCTACATGGAGGGGTCATTTTGGCAGAGATGTAGGCCAACAACACGGAATCCCATTTACCAAGATTGATCTAGTTAATGCTGCCTCTGAACATCCAACCTGTCAACAAGAGACCCATACTGAGCTCCCAGATATGACACTATCCCTTGGTCAGTTGTCAAGTCAAAAACACTGGGCGCCTTCCATTCTGCAAGGGCCAGCAGTTTGTCCTCACAGGGATAGATAACCATTCTAGGCATAGGTTTGCTGTTCCTTCCTGCAGAATCTCAGCCAGCATCACTATCGAGGGATTATGAAAGTCCTGATTCATAAGCATGGAATCCCATGCCACATAACATCTGACCAGAAGACTCATGTTACTGCAAAGGAGGGGTGAGAATGACCCCATGATAATGAGATTCACTGGTCATATCAGGTACCACAGTGTCCAGAGGCAGCTGGCCTCAACCAATGCTGGAATGGTCTTTGAAAGGGGTAACTAAATTGTTGCTTTGAAAGCAACACTCTGAAAGAAGGAGGCATCATCCTTCAGGACACAGTGTATGTATTAAATATGAGACTTTTATCTGGTGCTGTGTTCGCAGTAGGAAAAAATACATAGATCCAGAGGACAAAGGGTGGAAGCATGAGTGGCCTCACTTACCATTGGAGGACTTTGTGCTTCCTGTCCCATCAACTCTGGGTTCTGCAGAGTTGGTGGTTATGTTCCTCAAAGAGGGCACATTCTTGCCAAGGGATGTAGGAAGGGTCCCATGGAACTCTAAGCTATGGCTGCCACCAGGACACTTAGAACTACTTGTGTCCAGGGGCCAGAAGGCAAGAAGAGGGGTCACAATTATGGCAATAATTGATGCCAATCATCAGGAGGAAGTAGGGCTGTTTTTATACAATGGGAGCATGGAGGAATGTGTGTGTGTTGCCCAGATAATACACTTTTGTGCCTCCAGGTACTCTCTTGCCCATTTATGACTTTGAATGGGCAAGTGTGGTGACTGCAACTTCAGAAGCGTATGATTCCCAAGGGCTCAGACATCTCAGGAAAGAAGATTTGGATTAAACCATCAGGGAAAGCCAGTAAAACCTGCACAGGTGACAGTTGAGGAAGAGGCAGCCCCAAGACCTGCTGCAGAACAGGGGTTGTAATTCGTCTTATTAACCTTCGTTTACTAAGTTTTTTCCTCAGAAAAAGAGGTTCATGGAAACCATGAAGGATCTGCTCCCTGACCTTGTGTGGCAAAGTAGATCTGTGCAGTGCAAGGAGACTGTGCCAGCCATGAGAATGTCCCTCTCAGACCCGACTATCAGGATTATAATTGACCTACTGCTGCTCTGAAATCCGTCAGCTCATTGAAGCCATGCCCCCCACCAGCTGCTCTCAGCCGTGAGTAAGTGCGGCAGGGACACTAGGGCAGGTGCCTCAATGGGAGATGCAGGACTCCTCTGACCTGCCCCTGTGGCCTGAGGACTCCTTATCAGCTTTGCCAAAAGTTTCTTAGACATGCATTAAAGTCTAAGGCACTTCCACCTAGCCTACCTTCATTTCATCTCTCCTCCACCGGGGGTCAGAATCTCCTTCTCAGTCTGATGGCACTCCTAGCCTACCCTAAGAATCGGATGGCACTCCTAACCACCTCTCTCTCACCATTTTCCGTCACAGGTCTTTCCCTCAATGACTCTCTTGCACAGTTAATCCCATCTCAGAGGACCTGGATCAACACAGCTTTCATCAGATATTCAAAAGGTTTATGACCTAAAAAAGGTTGTATACAACCCATTTGCCAGATGCTGAGTTTGCATTCCTGCCTTAGAAAAACCAGAAACACGATATGGAGCCATTCTTGACCCAGATCAATGCTTTCTTTCTTGCAGTATCCTTGATCTAGGTAAGTAAGATTGTGCTGAAGCATCTGAGAAAATAAATCAATGATGGCAGTAAGTTTAGGCCAAAAAGCGATTTATCTTCCCTCTGGCCAGGCAGGCAGGTCACCCTTCCAACAGAGTCAGCCTTATTATATAAACTAGGAAGACTCAGTGGAATTTCACAAAGGCAATTAAGTTGGAGAAATAGTCTGCCTTAAATTTACTTATTAAAATAATACATTAACAATACTAAATGTCCTACCTGAATCATCCAAGAATGCAGTGCTATTAGTCACTCCAAGAACTTGAAGTGTACCACAAACACAAAGGCATGAGCTTTCTCTATCCTGAAAAATGCAGTGACAAGGGAAGATGATTGCAAACCATTTCTGGAGAAAATTAAATACATACATTTCAGGTTTTAGACAGTTAGGCTTTTTAAAAATAAAATGTGTGCTTCCTAATCATCCTTGAGCTTTTCCCATGATATTAATCGTGTTCTGCCAGCAGGGAGAGGGACGATATCTACCTAATAGATCTGTTGCCCATGGGGAAGTATTTCAGAGCCTGGCAACTTCCCCTTCTCTGATTAGTGACAGGACTGATTCAGAGTGCTCCTCCTTGACCCATTTATTCATGGGTATGCCATCAAGAATAGTTCCAAGCTTTCTATTTCATGGCATAATAAAAAATAAACTCAAGCAAAATTCATACTCTGTCCTCTTTCTGTCCCATTTTTGTCCTGGTAATATTTCCTGGGTCTTTTCCCCTCAAAACATACTGTATAGAATAAAAATTTTATTTATAAAAATGCATTGTCCCAAATCCCCCCAGTTGTGAGTCCAACTTAAAGTAGTGAAGAGTATGACATTTCTTGGGTAATATGTGAGCAGAGGAGAAGCTGGAGGTGGGGGTCTGGGATATAGGTGGAGTGAAGCCTTGTTCAAAGCGCAAAAAGTCCCAAATGATCCTTCTTCAAGAGTAATGTCTCTGTGGAGCATGCTGGTGTTCATGGCAGGATATTAGGATGAGGAGCCTGCTGGAACATCAGTAGCTGATTGAAGCTTCTCTTCATTCTTGTCTGTAGCTGTTCCAATTGTCAAAATCATCTAGACATTCTCTTTGGGACAAAAAGTTCTGTGAGTCCATGCCAGTTTTGTAATTTAATTTATCAGGAGACCCAATTCACCAAGTGACTCTAGATCAAGTATCTAATCTCTTGCATCTAAATTTATCTGTTTGTAAAACTGAGATTATATTGATTATCTCTTCCTCATTTCATAGGTTCTTATAAAGGGGAAAATGCCCAAATTTTAATTGAGTCAATATTATAAGAGCCAAAAATAGTGTTAAAATCTATGACTC
Organism: Homo sapiens; assembly: GCF_000001405.40. NCBI lineage: Eukaryota > Metazoa > Chordata > Mammalia > Primates > Hominidae > Homo > Homo sapiens. The sequence continues at coordinate 38,440,191 of NC_000023.11, forward strand.
ATGGGATTCTTTCAGCATTATCCATGTTGGTTTTGCATTCATCAAAAAAAAAGTAGCTCTGACAGATTTTGAAGATCTAGCTTCAAACATTGAGTACTTTGAGGGAGGAAAACGACAAGGTAAAACGTTGCTAGTTAATGTTACTAGTTTAAAGGCAACAATATTACTGTTATAAAACCATCCCTCACATAGTGTTATCTTTCAAAGGAGTACATTTCACATAACTAAAATTGAAGTTGACATCAGCAACCCATGCTTGCATGGATCTAGGCAAATCAGGATTCCATGCAACTCTTGATCACACACCCTGCTTCACCATTTTCTTCTGATTCTCCAGCATAGAAGCTCTCAAACAAGTCTGTCATCAGAAGTCCCTCCTTGCTGGGCAGAAAAAGAAATAGCAAGAAAACAGTCCATTTTCGAGGGAATGGGGAGGGGGAATTGCCAGAAACTTTCATGTCAAGAAGTTTGACTCCATCGCACTATAATCTGGCTCTCATCTACCATATTATATATTAATAAATCTAAAAATATTTCCTAAATTGTTTTGCTACTAGCATATGGAGAGTAATGGTTCTCACTGGAGACAGAAGCAAGCCATTTGACATGGAAATAACAATAGCTTCTGTCTCTAGTTGGTCAACCGCAGCTCCAGCAGTAATTGAGTTGGATGTTTTCCAAGTCTTCATTCACAAAGAGGTGTTCATAATGATGTCTATGAGAGTACTTTTTCCTCTTAAATTTCACAGAGCACCTTTCAAAACAAAAATGATGGTAAAAAATTATTTTATATATATGTATAATTCTGATACACACACATACATCTTATTATCAAATACAAAGTTTTAATAATGGCTGATACGCATTAAATAATTTATTTGAAATTTTGTAAATGGCATATGCCATTCCAGACAGGTAAATTAGGTTTGGGAAAAATATGTTCATGTACTTTGAGTGCTATGAGCTAGCTTTTGTATTAGAGCACCCATTGTATTCTACCTTGTATTATTGCTCTTTGTTAACAAGTTCATCTCCATTAGCTTACAAACCTTTTGAATACAATGGCAGTATCTTTTATTTCTTTGTATTTTCTAAAGCAGTGAAATGTGGTTCATGGGGAGGAGCTGGTCTGGGAACAGTTGGTTGCCAGTTTGCAACAAGATAAGAACACACATTAACAGTAAATATTTAAGATCTTTTATAGAAATGTACTATTACCATACTGTCTAAGTGCATGATGAGTATGCTCGTCTAGTAGAACAAGGCATAGGCCAGATTGAGTGTTGTTGAACTGGCTAGAATGACTTGCATGTGGTGTGAACTGTATACTTGCCCTGGGCAGCAGAACCATGTATTGGTCTGGCTTGCAATTAATTAGGAATAAAAAGAACAACAAAACTGGTGCTTTAATGCAGATAGTTTGAGAAGCACCGCTGTAAATCAGGAGTTGGCAAACTATGGCTTGTTAGTCACATCTTACTGGTCACCTACCTGTTGTTGTATATAAAGTTTTACGGGAACACAGTCATGCCCATTCATTTATTATATATGCTGTTTTCACACTACAGAGGCAGAGTTGAGTAGCTCCAACAGAGACTGTATGGTTCTCAAAGCCTCAAATATTTACTATCTGGCCCTTTACAGAAAAGGCTTTTTGATCCCTGTTCTAAAGCAACTTTTTTTGTTTTTTTGCTTGTTTGTTTGTTTTTGTTTGTTTTGAGACGGAGTCTCGCTCGTCACCCAGGCTGGAGTGCAGTGGCGCAATCTTGGCTCACTGCAAGCTCCGCCTCCCGGGTTCACGCCATTCTCCTGCCTCAGCCTCCCGAGTAGCTGGGACTATAGGCGCCCGGCACCACGCCCGGCTAATTTTTTGTATTTTTAGTAGAGACGGGGTTTCACCGTGTTAGCCAGGATGGTCTCGATCTCCTGAACTCGTGATCCGCCCGCCTCGGCCTCCCAAAGTGCTGGGATTACAGGCATGAGCCACGGCGCCCGGCCAGCAGAGTTTTTTTAAAAAAACTTTATTTGTCTGTAATTGACAGTAAGAAATGCATTTTACTTAGCAAACAAGTAGATACATACATATATCTATCTAAAAGTTTTACAAAAAAAATTTACTCATACTACGTGTGATGCACTTTGATATTTCTCTTCTATTCTGCTTTAATTGTATTAAGAAATAATATTGAACACAACATAGTAAATTTATATTACAACCAATTAGATTTTTACCCATAATTTGAAAATTATTGCTCTAGCACATTGCTTTGCACATAGGAAACATTTATTGAATAATTTATTAATATATATTAATATCAGAGTTATTTACCTTCTATGTCACATAGGGTTTACTGATATTCATTATTATCCACACCTTCTAAGTTCTCTCTTGTACCACAAGGACTGAAAGCCTGGAAATTATATTTCCCAGATTCTTTTGCCATCATAGTTCCAGTTAGAGTTTGATATGAGAGACATTGAAAGTGGAATGAAGGAGGAGCTATTATTCCACAATGGAAGGCAATGGGCATCAGCAGACAAAGACAAAAAGCATGGGGTTTTGCCACACACTTCCAGGCATCTGCCTTAGCATTCCTCTCTTCAGTGCTGCAGGCAGCTGATATCATTGGTGGTAGCTTCCCTGTAATTCAACATATTTGGTGAGATCTAGATCATTCATCACATTTTGTCATGGTTATGTTTGGGATATTTGGGGCTTCCTAGTCAATTCCACTTGAGAAGAAGTGTTCAAAAAAGGAATTAACTAGAGAAAGAAATTAATTCCATTTTCTAGGCAGTATATGGGATAATCAATGACTTGAGGAAAGACCCCTCCAACTGGTGAAAAATTTGAGGGGAGAATTACAGAAAGGAAGAGTTATAGTCAGTAGTGTGCTGGTAAATGTTTAGCAACTGGCTCTCCCAGGGGGAAAAAATCCATGATTTACAGGGTTTGACTATTTCCATGGTGTAAATAATCCCACAATGGCCAATATCAAGCTAGCAATGTGGAATCAATGAATGTGAAGTTGGAAAGGGGTGCCCACAATCAGTTCTGCAGGTTAGTGGGAGCTGGCTACAACACATTAGATATAATCTTACTAGTGGGGTGTCCAGGGCAGCCGCAGCTTGTATCTGTTGTCCATACCAGCCATCTTTCACTTCCCAGAGTATTTTATTTAATAGAGTCTATTCTTTTTATGCACAGTAGTTATGTTCTATAAATTCACTGCAAACACCAAATTGGTGAATACTGAACTATCACTCCTAGGGAAAACATAAGGTCAGGTTCCTGCAAGGCTCTGGTAACATTTTTATCAACCAATCAATACATTACCTTGTTTTCTGTGTGTTCTTGTTTAAAGACACCTTATTTAATGTATATTGTTGGTTCATTATACATTAACATATAGTTATAGATTATACACTGAGCTCACGGCCAACAGCACTATCTCACGCCTGAAGGAGACTTATCTGACATATACATTTTCTTTTTAAGAAATATTATAGGCCGGGTTCGGTGGCTCACACCTGTAATCCCAGCACTTTGGGAGGCCAAGGCGGGTGGATCACTAGGTCAGGATATCGAGACCATCCTGGCTAACATGTTGAAACCCCGTCTCTAGTAAAAATACAAAAAAATAGCCGGGTGTGGTGGTGGGCGCCTGTAGTCCTAGCTACTCAGGAGGCTGAGGCAGAAGAATGGTGTGAACCCGGGAGGCGGAGCTTGAAGTGAGCAGAGATCGGCGCCACTGCACTCCAGCCTGGGCGGCAGAGCAAGACTCCATCTCAAAAAAAAAAAAAAAAGAAGAAAAAAAGAAAAAAAAAAGAAATATTATAGCCTTCTTGTGTTTATGAGCAATAGGCAGCACTTCAGCACTATATATAGGGGCCACTTTAAACAGCAAAATCATTAAGTAAAAGCACAAAAATGAGGAAAATGTGGCACTAAACAGACCATGAAAAGAACACTTGTTTACAGTGTAAGAGCTGAAACAAATAGGCAGGGTGTCACCTTGTTCAACCTAAGCAAGGAGAATGCATGTTGAGTGGGTAAAATTTTTTGTCACTCTGAGCATGTCTATGAACAATGGCAAAAGCACCACAAGTATAGATTTTGGTGTTATGAATACATTTTAGCAAGCAAGCAAATCTGTAAATACAGTATCCATGAATAATGAAAATTGACTGTATATTATGATTACCCTAGTTATTTTTTAAAGATTTTTATTGATACATAATAACTGTACATATTTATGGGGTACATGTGATATTTTGATACATGCATACAATGCGTAGTGATCAAATCAGGGTAATTAAGATATCCATCACTTCAAACATTTATCATTTCTTTGTGTTGGAACATTTCGAATCTCCAACTATTTTGAAATATATAGTAAATTACTGTTAACTATAGTCACCCCACTGTGCTATTGAACACTAGAACTTATTCCTTCTTATCTAACTGTATTTTTATATCCAGTAGTCAACCACTCTTCATCCTCCCTTCCCCATTACCCTTCTCAGCTTCTGGCAACCATCATTCTACTTTCTACTTCTATGAGATCAACTTTTTTAGCTCGCACATGGGTGAGAACACACAATATTCATCTTTCTGTGCCTGGCTTATTCCACTTAATATAATGTATTCCAGTTCCATTCATGTTGCTGAAAATGACAGAATTTCATTCTTTTTTGACCAAATAATATTCCATTGTGTATATATACCACATTTTAAAAATAAGTTCAACTCTTATATTGGATTCAGGAGGTACATGTGCAGGTTTGTGAACTGAATATATTGCATGATGCTGAGGTTTGGGATACAATTGATCCCATCACCCGGGTACTGAGCATAGTACCCAATAGGTAGTTTTTCAACCCCTGCTCCCCTCCTACCTCCTCCCCAGTAGTCTTCAGTGTCTATTGTCCACAAATACCCATTGTTCATCTCCCACTTATAAGCAAGAACATGTGGTATTTGGTGTTCTGTTCCTGTGTTAGCTCACTTAGAGTAATGGCCTCCGGCTGCATCCATGTTGCTGCAAAGGAAATGACTCCGTTGTATCTGATAGCTTCATTGTATTTCATGGTGTATATGAACCACATTTTCTTTATCCAATCCACGCTGATGGGTTGATTCCATGTCTTTGCTATTGTGGATAGTGGTGTGATGAGCATATGAGTGCATTAGTCTTTTGGTAAAACGATGTATTTCTTTTGCGTATATATCCAGCCAATGTGATTGCTGGGTCAAATGGCAATTCTCTTTTATTTTTAAGTTCTTTGAAACATCTCCAAACTGCTTTCCACAGTGGCTGAACTAACATTTCCTTGAACAGCATATAAGCATTCCCTTTTCTCTGCAACCTCGCCAGCATCTGCTATTTTTTGACTTTTTAATAATAGCGGCTCTGATTGGTATGAGATGGTATCCCACTGTGGTTTTGATTTGCATTTCTCTGATGATTAGTGATGCTGATAATTTTTTCATATGTTTGCTGGCCATTTGTATGTCTTCTTTTGAGAAGTGTCTGGTCATGTCTTTTGTCCATTTTTCAGTGGGGTTGTTTTTTGCTTGTTCAATTGTATAATTTCCTTATAGATTCTGGATATTAGACCTTTGTCAGATGCAGATGCACAGTTTGCAAATATTTTCTCCCACTCTGTAGGTTGTTTACTCTGTTGATAGTTTCTTTTGCTGTGCACAAGCTCTTTAGTTTAATTAGGTCCCACTTTTCAATTTTTGTTTTTGTCGCAATTGCTTTTTTTTTTTCTTTTTTTGAGACAGTTTCATTCTTGCTGCCCAGGCCGGAGTACAATGGCACGATCTTGGCTCACTGCAGCCTCCACCTCCCGGGTTCAAGCGATTCTCCTGCCTCAGCCTCCCAAGTAGCTGGGATTACAGGAATGCGCTACCACACCCGGCTAATTTTGTATTTTTTCTTTAGTAGAGACAGGCTTTCACCATGTTGGTCAGGCTGGTCTTGAACACCTGACCTCAAGTGATCCACCCACCTCGGCCTCCCAAAATGCTGGGATTACAGGCCACCGCACCCAGCCTGCAATGGTTTTTAAGGATGTGGTCATAAATTCTTTCCCAAGGCTGATATCCAGAAAGGTATTTGCTAGGTTTTGTTCTAGGATTATTAAAGTTTGAAGCCTTACACTTAAATCTTTAATTCTTCTTGAGTTAATTTTTGTATATGGTAAAAGGTAGGGGGCCAGTTTCATTCTTCTGCATATGACTAGCCAGCTATCCCAGCACCATTTGTTGAATATGGAATCCTTTCCCCATTGCTTATTGTTGTTGACTTTGTCAAAGATCAGTTGGCTACAGTTGTATGGCTTTATTTCTGGGTCCTCTATGACATTCTATTGGTCTATGTGTCTGTTTTTGTACCAGTACCATGCTGTTTTGGTTACTGAAGACTTGTAGTATAGTTTGAAGTTGAGTAATGAGACAACTTCAGTTTTCTTCTTTTCCTTAGTACTGCTTTGGCTATTAGAGCTCCTTTTTGGTTCCATATGAATTTTAGGATAGTTTTTTTTTTTTAATTTCTGTGAGAAATGACATGGGTAGCTTGAAAGGAATATCATTGAATCCGTGGACTGCTTTAAGCAATATGGCCATTTTAACTACATTGATCCTTGCAATTCATGATCATGGAATGTTTTTGCGTTTGTTTGTGTTATCTAGGATTTCTTTACCGATTTGGCTCTCAGCTTGAATCTTATTGAATACCATACTTTATTTATTCACCCTTTGATGGACACTTAAGTTGATTCCATGTCTTGGCTATTATGAACAGTGCTGCAACAAACATGGGAGTGCAGATATCTCTTTGCTAAATTGACTTCCTTTCTTTTGGATATATACCCAGGAGTCAGATATGTGAATCATATGGTAGTTCTAAGTTTTTTGAGGAAACTCCATACTGTTTTCCATAGTGACTGTACTAATTAACATTCCCACCAACAGTGTAAAAGCATTACCTTTTCTCCACATCCTCATCAGCATCTGTTATTGTTTGTCTTTTTGGTAATAGCCATTTAACTGAAGTAAGATAAGATCTCATGGTGGTTTTGATTTGCATTTTTCTGATAATGAGTGATATCAAACAATTTTTCATATGCTTCTTGGCCATTTGTATGTCTTCTTTTGAGAAATGTCTATTCAGATCATTTGCCCATTTTTAATTGGATTATTTTTGTTTTCTGTTTTTGCTATTGAGTTGTTTGAGTTTCTTACAAATTCTGGTTATTAACCCCTTGCGAAATGGATAGCTTGAAAATATTTTCTTCCATTCTGTAAGTTTTCTCTTCAGTCTGTTGATCGTTTTCCATGCTGTGCAGAAGCTTTTTAGTTTGATGTAATTCCATTAGTCTATTTTTGCTTTTGTTATCTGTGCTTTTATGGTCTTGCCCCAAAATCTTTACTCAGATCAATTTCCAGAAGTGTTTCTCTAATGTTTTCTTCTAGTAGTTTCATAGTTTCAGGTCTTACATTTAAGTCAATCTATTTTAAGTTGATTTTTTTTTTTTTTGAGACAGCGTCTTGCTCTGTCACCCAGGCTGGAGTGCAGTGGCATGATCATGGCTCACTGCATCCTACCTCAGCCTCCCAAGTAGCTGGGACTACAAGCACATGCCACCATGCCTGGATAACACTTTAATTTTGTGTGTGTTTGTATGTAGAGACAGGATCTCCCTATATTACTCAGGGTGGTCTCAATCTCCTGGACTCAAGTAATGCTTCCACCTAGGCCTCCTAAAGTGCTGTCATTATAGGCATGAGCCACCGCACCTGACTTAAGTTGATTTTTGTATATGATGAGAAACAGAGGTCTAGTTTCATTCTTTTGCATATGGATATCCAGTTTTCCCTGCATCATTTTTTGAAGGGACTGTTTTTTTTTTCCCAAATATAAGTTTTTGGTGCCTTTGCAGGAAATGAGTTAGCTGTAAATACATGGATTTATTTCCGGGTTCTCTACTCTGTTCTATTGGTCTATGTATCTGTTTTTATGTCAGTACAATGCTGTTTTGATTACCATTGCTTTGTAGTACATTTTTAAGTCAAATGGTGTTATGCCCCAGCTTTGTTCTTTCTGCTAAGAATTGCTTCAGCTATTCACAGTCTCTTGTGGTTTCATACAGATTTCAGGATGTTTTTTCCATTTATATTAAGAATGTCATTGGTATTTTGATAGGAATTGCATTGGATCTACAGATCACTTTGGATAGTATGGACATTTTAATAATATTAATTCTACCAATCCATGAGAATGGGATATCTTTTTTTTCTTTGTTTCCTCTTTGACCTCTTTCATCAGTGTTTTGTAGTTTTCATTATAGATATATTTCACTTCTTTGGTTAACTTTATTTCTAGGTATTTTTTTGTAGCTATTATAAATGGGAATGCTTTCTTGATTTCTTTTTCAGATTTTTTTGCTGTTGGTATGTAGAAATGCTACTGATATTTGTATGGCGATTCTGTATCCTGCTATGTCATTGAATTCAATTATCAGTTTTAACAGGGTTTTTTTTTTTTTTGGTAGAGTATTTAGTTTTCCTAATATAGGATTATGTCATCTGTGAACAAGGCTAATTTTACTTTTTCCTTTCCAATTTGGATGCCCTTTATTTCTTTCTCTTGCCTAATTGCTCTGGCTAGGACTTCCAGTTCCATGTTAAGTAACAGTGGTAAAAGCACCACCCTTGTTTTGTTTCAGATCTTAGAGGAAAGACCTTCAATTTTTCCTCATTCAATATGATGTTGACTGTGGATTTGTCATATATGGCCTTTAGTGATTTTAGGTATATTCCTTCTATACCTAGTTTGTTGAGAGTTCACCCTAGTTATCAAGTGACAAAAGTCATTAGGTTTTTTTCATGGGTAGAAAGGATAGGAACTCTGAAATAATTAGTTAGAGAGGAAGAAAGATTTAAAATTTTGCCAAGATTTTGTTGAAGATAATTTTATGTTTAAAATCAACTTAAAGGAGCTGCAAGGGGCCAGACAGATTGAATTTGTTACAAGTTTTATCCTTTTCTGGAGTTCCTGAAGCTCAGAATTCTAACCAAATCTTGCATCTCACTGTGGGTGTTTTAGTGTGCCAGCTGGAAAATGGGATGAACAAATAGGGTCCCTATGGCCTCTATCCTGAGGACTCTGTTGGAATTGATGGCAACATCAGCCTGCTTCTTATTGGTTTTCAAAGTGAGGGAAGAATTCAAAAATCCTAAATGCTGGGAGCATCCTTATGAAGTCTGGTCTTTTGGTTGGGTCTATTGAAGATTCAGACTGGTACTGAAAGGATTTATCGCTTGCATGTCAGATATGTTTTTCCTATTTATACTCTTCACTCCTCTCTACCATGCTCTTTGCCCCAGGAGCTGACTTTTATAGATTGCATCAACAGAATACTTTGTCTTCTGATTCCTGGCTGTCTAACGGTAGACACATGTAGATCATTGCATGGGAATGGAGTGAAGTCAGAGTATTTATTCCCTTGGTTTCTTCTCTTCTGAGTTGCCACAGGTTGGCAGTGGTTGTATTTCTCCACCAAAGGCCACAACTCCCATTGCTTGGCCTTCTCTTATAGCTACAGTTGTCTCTCTATGTTCCAGTAATTGCTCCCTTTACCTCTTCAAGCTCTGGGTTAGTGGCATCCTTCTCCACTACACTTTGTCTTAGCCAAAAGGTCGAGAAGCAATAATGGCATCCTTGTGGGACTCCTAGGGTACCTCATTATTCCTTGTTGGTTTTCCTTAAACACTTCCATACCATGATAAGCAGTCTTTTTATTAAACTGTCCTCAACTGTCTTATTTGGCTGTGCCATATTGTTTCCTTCTGTGACCTGACTGATGACATTGGGTTCAGGTGTTGTAAGTCTGTTTCTTCCATTATAAAGGTCCCCATTGACATCCACCTAATGATGTTAATAGGTTTTGATGATTGCTGCTAGAAATGCCAAGCACCAATTATGTCATTACCTAAAGTATAGCTTGTACAAGAAATAGAATAAATGTTTGATTATGTCTCTTTATTGATTTTTCAGAAGAGTTGATGTTCTAGTAACCTCCAAAGAAGCCTCCCTTTTTTCAAATAATATTGTGAATTCATAAATATGTACATATCTGGTGTGCTTCGTTATTTCTTTTGATGCTCAAATTGTCCCATCTTTCACCAGCAGTAGCCCCCTCATGCTGTTGCCTTTTTGTCATGACCTCAATAGGCTTCAATAGCTTCCTTGCTCTGTGGAACAATGTGATGTCTCAGATTCTTTTTATATATTTCTGCTCCAGACGTGGAACCAAACATTACTCTAAGGAGCCCTGATTCCTTTTTGTGGCAAATGCTATTTAGAGACCATAATTGGGACATTAGGGATTCTAGTTTCTACAGGATTTTCATTGCTTCTACATTTTTTCAGTGAAGAGAATTACAAAATGTGTACATTTTTAGAAAGTGAAAAGCAAATCATGAGTTTATACTGTTAGTTCCAAGGAAAAATTTAAGATTACTGGGTTTTTAACTTATTTTAGATGTGTATCCCTTTTCTCTTAAATGGAAAATATCCTAATAATATTAACATATTAATAACTGATCATTTGATTTTCCTGCTTTATATGTCATAGTCTCAAAAATAACAATATTATTATTAAAAACAAGACTATTGAGTGTAGTGTAAGATTTCTTTGAGGTTATTTGGTCTTTAGGATATATTCCTCAAAGAATTTAAGGGGGTTAAAAGGGTTTCATTTAAAAATCACTTGAAATAGTACTTCTGTGGTTGTGCCACCAAACTGAACTATAATTAGATTTCATCACTACAATCTAATTTAATTTTGGTTTTGTGTAAAAATTATTCTATGATTCTGAAGTCAAAATTATAGAATAAGGTACATTCAGAGAGTCCTAACTTCCTTCATTGTTCTTGTTCACATATCCCCACATATTTCCTTCCCCCTCCTCTAAGTAATATTTCTTTATTAATTTTTTCCTTCCATTGTTTCTTATTGAAGCAAGTGTGTGTGTGTGTGTGTGTGTGTGTGTGTGTGTCCCAAGACCTTTTTTGTGCCAAAGGTGGCAAGCTATACGTATTTTACTTCACCTTGCTTTTTTTGGTTTTAACAGTATATCTTGGAGATTACCTACAATGGTATAAAGAGATCGTCCTCATTCTTTTCAACATAAACTAGTCCTTCATTGATTAGATGTAGCATAGTTTATTCAACCAGTCTCCTTGAGGGTCGTTTGGGTTATTTCCAAGCTTGTGCTACTACAAATAGTGGTGAAGTGAAGTTTTTGGTATATGTCATCTTGAATTTTTCCTAGACTTCTAGAAATGAAATTGCTGGTCAAAGGATAAATACATATGTAATTTTTTTAATGTTACAAATTCTTCTCCAGAAACATTGCACTTCCAATGAGAATGCCTGTTTCCTCACAACATCACCAATGGAGTATGTTGTCAAACCTTGAGATTCGTTTTGCCCCTGAATGGGTGAGAAATAGTATCTCTGTGTAGTTTAAATTTGGATGTGTTTATCTTACCATGATTAAGTAGAGCATCCTTGCATGTGCTTGAGGTTCATTTGTATATCTATTTTTATAGACAGTCTGTCTCTTTAAGACAGAAGAGATTTAAATGCTCTTCAAATTATGTAACATGAATGTCTTAGTTTCAGTGCCCCAGAGGCTGACCGTAAGACAAGGATTCATGTGATCATGAATTATTAGCAGGTATTTCCACGAAAAGGCAGTATACTAAATGAAAAATGGGACAAGAAAAAGAAGGAGGCTAAGCCAGGGTGTGACAGCAAACAAGGTTCCAGAGAATATTGCTCTGGGTCAATCTCATAGGGGAGTTATGGAGACCATGTGAAACACATCTCAGAATTGTCCCCTACAGGTGGCAAGGGGGGTAGAATATTTTTTTCTTTTCACTGTCTGTCACTGATTGGTTAAGGGCTGCTCTCAGGGGACACAGGCCCCCAGGCATTTCCAGCTCTTTATATCGCTGGGCAAATCAGGCTTCAACTGCCTGAGAGCAGTCATCCAACTAAGAAATGTAGATATTGGAAATGAAAGCCTTCAGGGAGCTAGAAAGCATGAACATGGCGAAGAGATTGAAGAGGTTATGGGTAGAGCACTGGCGGCAACTACTTTAATGAGTGACTACCCATTCCACACTCACAGGAGGTCAGCACCGTACAAAAGAGACATGTATCAGGGATGATTTCAATATAAATATCCATGTCCATGATAGATGAGACAATATTATTGGCATCTTATGTACTTGATCTGACTTTATAACGATTTGCTAATCACATGTGTTAAAAGAAAATTATGATGTATTATGTACACCCAGTTTTCCCTAGTCACACAGTGTTGAGTCAAATGTCTCCTTTGAGGGTACCTTAGAATTTTCACTGATGCATAGGGTAATCCCTTTGTGTGAAATCAACACCCAGACCTATGTTGGAATTAAACCAGAGTTCCCCTGACACTAGCAAGAGGAATAAACAGAGCTTTGTTTTCTCAGCTAATGAGAGCAAACAGTTCTATCCCAGGTGGCCTTCCTTGGAGGTTTTTCAACTATAAGATAATCACACACAGGCCAGAGGTACAGCTCAACAATCCTGAATGAGAAACCAGGAAAGGAATAGAACAGAATACCTTGCTTGAAACTATCAAATATTTTAGCCAGTGGCAAGAAGTTTACTGACAAAGCAGGTTTTATCTCTTAGGCCTTTGACCCTGGTTTTCATGTTTTGATTTATAGGAGGACCTAAAGAGCTCTCAGATTTCAACATCACAGAGAGCAGAAAGCTGTTCCTCATTTCATTTATTTTATTATTACTTAAAATTAGTGAGTGGAAACAGGCTACAGGAGAAGAGCTAACATGAATGGAAATTGACCAGGATGTAATTTCTCCACATCCGTATTTTTTTCCTCCTCAATTCTAAACTTGAATTTTGATCAATTCTGGGGTGACCGTCTTATCTGGATTTGCCTGGGATTTTCCCAATTTTAGCACTGAAAGTTTCAGACATAGGGCACACTGGAATGGTTGTTTAGCCATTTTGTGAATAATTCTGGTTATATTACTGGTTTAGGACGGGGCTTCTCATGGTAAACTGCATTCAAATTCCACGAATTTCCTGTTAACATGCAGATTCTGATTCAACAGGGCTGGGGTGGGGCCTGAGAGTCTACATTTCTAGTTTTCAGGTGATATTGATGCTTCTGGTCCATCTGTGGACCACACTTGAAGTAGCAAGGGTCAACGGTAGGGATAATATTGATCCTAAGTTTTGTTGCACATTTCAACATTTGAAATTTAATTTTAGTTTATAACTACCTTTTTGTTTTTTTTTTTTTTTTTTTGAGACGGAGTCTCACTCTGTCGCCCAGGCTGGGGTGCAGTGGCATGATCTCGGCTCACTGCAACCTCCACCTCTCAGGTTCAAGTGATTCTCCTGCCTCAGCCTCCCGAGTAGCTGGGATTACAGGGGTATGCCATGACTCCCGGCTAATTTTTGCATTTTTAGTAGAGACAGGGTTTTGCCATGTTGACCAGGCTGGCCTCGAACTCTTGAGCTCATGTGATCCATCCGCCTCAGCCTCCCAAAGTGCTGGGATTACAGGCGTGAGCCCAGCTAAAATTAACCCAGCTAAAATTAGCCCGACCCTAGTTTATTGAACTTTGAACTTAAGGAAAGAAAAGCCTTGGCCTCCCAAAGTGCTGGGATTACAGGCGTGAGCCACCATGCCTGGCCCTAGTTTATTGAACTTTGAACGTAAGGAAAGAAAAGTGTTTATGTGATAATCATATTTCTTTATGACTATTCATGGTGAAGGAAAGAGAAATTAATGTACTTGCCAATAGAGCATTTATGTTTATGAAAAAGTTAAAGGAAAGGTATTCAACATACAAAAAATTAGCATTTTAATTGATGCAAAAATTGTAGATTGCAGTTGTTGCTATATGTTTTATATTGTATCATTTGTTTAGTTTCCTTTTTTGGATTTTGAACAAATTTTGAACTTGATATTTTCTTAGATAATTTTAATTTTATTAACATGTCTGCACTGCCAATTGCTAGCTCAGTCACACACAGGCACCATCTGTACCTTCAAATAGAATTGTATGTTTTTTATCCTTATTACAAGGACATATTTCTATATATTTCATATATAAGATATGAAAGTACTTAATAAGGGTTCTTCCTAAATTTGTTCCCTCAATTCCATATCTGAAACTTTATTTATTTACTTTTCTTTGGGCATTCTTCCCAGCAGCAAATCTCCTTTAAACAACACATTTCATTGGTGTCATGAGATAGCTTTGATTCCAGGAAAGAGCAGGGCTTATTGTTACTCACTTCCATTGCTACTAGTAACATGAAAAGCGACATCTAAATCCATACTATGTTTTTCTAATGAGTTTTTTTAGAGTTATTTTTTGCCAAGTTTCTCAACTACAGGGTGTCCACTGTTAATCCTATTTGATCAGTTTCTATTTTAGGAGAAGACTCATAGAACACAGCAAATATTTCATTTATTGAACCTCTCACAGTTATGAACTATCTTCCCAAATCCACCAACTTCATTGGATTTCTAAATCTATTAATGGTTAGTAATTGTGTTTGTGTATGTGAGATGCATGCTGTATTATATATACAAATATAGATATATATACATGCATACATATACATACAGTTAGTTAAAAATACACATTGCTCTTGGCTATAATTTTTAAAAACCCAAATAAGTTTATTTTATTTTATTTAAAAAATTTATACTCTACCTTGTACTTCTAGTACATATAGCTTGTATGGCTGCATGTCATCCTAAAAAATAGAAAGCATTAGATGAAAGAAAATTAAATAAATCAGAGGATAATGTGAAGCTAAGAGTAAACATAGAAGTAGAAACAATAATAACATTCGCATCTAGAGTGTAAGCTTTAGAAGTAGATATGATAGTGTCTAGGAGATAACAGCAGACCAACTGATCAATATATTGAATAGGAGTATTTCAATGTAATATTTCATCTTGTTCCACTGGCATCAGTGCCAAGAACAAACTAGTATTTGTCCAGTTTGGAAAGAACTGAAAGAAAACTTTTCAAAGCCCAAAGTTTCTCTCCCACTCTCTTCCCATACCTTTCTTTCTTTGGAAAGAAAATGAAACTTTTTAATCAATGAAATTGACATGTAGTTTATATACACTAAAATGCACCTATTTTAAGTGTATATTTTGATTAGTTTTGACAAATGTATAAACTTGTGTAAGCGTTAACAGTTAAGATGCAAAACATTTCCCAAACCCCTAAGTACACCCCCATTCTAGTCAATACTCCCCACCTCTAGCCCCAGGAAACCACTAATCTTCCTTCTGATACCATGGATTCGATTTATCTTTTCTCAAATGTCATATAAATGGAATCACAGGGTGTATGGTTTTTTTCTTGCCCGGATTCTTTCCTTCAGCATAATGGTTTTGAGATTCAGATATGTTATGTGTATCAAAAGTTCATTTAGTTTTTTACTAGTGAGTAATATTCCATTGTGTGGATATACCACAATTTGTTCATTCACCAATTGATGGGAAAGTGGTTGTAAGAGAAGGAAATTTGGGTAAAAGATCATGTAAATCTATTAGCTTGGCTTTATGAATAACAGAAGATGTGAAGAGAGTGAGATTCTTGCTAAAATATTCTTTAACTCAGCAACTAAATCTCTGTCTTCTTTTCTGTCTCTGGGCCTGTTGCTTCTTTTGTTAATTAGTAATAATTTTATTATATAAACTTAAAGTACTTTAGATTTAGTTAAATTCTCATTGGCAAATCAAAGCATGCCATATTTATCATCTTTGGCTCAAATATCATCCCTGAGTGGCAGGCAGATGGCAGACTGTGTTATCCTCTATCAGTTGAAAAGGAAACCCCTGGAAGTAAGTTAATATTTTGGGCTTTAGCAGAAAGCTGGGACTGAAACTAGGAACACAACATACATTTTCAAAGCCCAAAGTTTCTCTCCCACTCTCTTCCTATACCTTTATTCTGAAAGAGGGGGAGTGAACAGAATAGCCAAAGTACTGCCTCCTTCCCCTCGTCCCCACCCCAATTTCCTCTTCCCACTTCAACCCAAGCAGCAGGTCTTTAACCTATTTTATATATTGAGCTTCTAAGTAAAATTTCATTTGCTGAAATATTTCTCAGGTTAAGAAAACTATTGAAAACCCATTGAACCAAATCTCATAGGAAAATTAGGATTATTTGTTTTAAAACACAAACTTCAGTGATATAATAATGTCTTTCACTTACATGGCACTTTCTACTTCTTTAAAGAGCTCTCACAGACATTTCATTTAGCCAGAAGAATAAAGCTAATCAATAAATGTAATTAATTAAGACTATACATTCACAAATGTCTTAAGTCCAATTAACATTTAATTATCCTTGTTAATGGGAAATGGACTGAGTTTGTGTGTGCAAGATCCACACACAAGCTAAAAACTTAATTACAGCAAGTGGTTTCTAACTTCTGTCTCATTTAACTTTGGCTGGAGGTACTAAAAAGTACCCATAGTGGTTAAAAAATTTTTTAAGGCAATGTATATAGGTTGCATTTCCTATCTCTTCTACAAGAGAAAGGTGGTGAAGTAAAATAAGAATATTGAGAACATGCATCTTTTAAACACACAAAAAATAACTTTCCAAAAAATGACTGCTAGAATTTGATATGATGGTGACACATAGTTTTAAAAGTGACTTAAAAGTCTTCCAATGGGCAAATACTAAAACATCAACAACAGTATAGCTTACCTTTGGGCAACTATTGAGATCAAGAAGACAGGCAAGCCATGTACCTAAGCATGGCAACAACTGGTCCCAAGTTGCCTGGACAGTTATAGTTAATTTTTGTTCTGGCATAATTGTTAATAGCTCCTTCTTTAACTCTCAGAAGTGTCCTGATTTGGATGATAAATTATATGGTCATCCTGGCTATAAGGAAACAGCACTGAACCATGACTAAGATGAAAAAAATATTACTTTTTCCCATTTTTCCTTCCTCAAAATTTGAGCATCTGCTCAAACTGGCTTTTTTTGTTTTTGTTTTTTGAGACAGAGTTTCATTCTTGTTGCCCAGGCTGGAGTGCAGTGGCGCAATCTTGGCTCACTGCAAACTCCGCCTCCCGGGTTCAAGCGATTCTCCTGCCTCAGCCTACTAAGTAGCTGGGATCACAGGCGCACATCACCATGCCCAGCTAATTTTTTTATTTTTTATTTTAGGAGAGACAGGGTTTCACCATGTTGGCCAGGCTGGTCTCGAACTCCTGACCTCAGATGATCTGCCTGCCTCGGCCTCCCAATGTGCTGGGATTACAGGCGTGAGCCACTGCACCCGGCCCCAGACTGGCTTCTTTCATTATCTAAACTATAGATATAATGAGGTTTCCTCTCCTTTCTACTAATTTCAATCAGTGGTTTGAAAACGTGGGCATTAATCAGAATCACTGAGAAGCTTAAAAATACCAATGTCTGAGAAGAATCTTGGAACAGTTAAGTCAGCGTCTCTGGAGGTGGGACGTAATCATTGCTACTGATTAAAAGATTCCCAGATAATTCTAATATGCAGCCAGGGTTGAGAATCATTGATTCTGACAGTCACTAAATAATTATTTCTATTACAAAATACCTGGTATTGTGAGTGATGTATGAAGTTTAAGATCTCCTTGGGGAAAAAGAATGTCCCTGCCCACCATACTTGACCATGGCATACCTTTGGCTCCATCCTCTGGGTAGCCAAAGGGGCTGCTCATTCCTGTTATCTTCGGATCACACAAAGAGTAATAATTCTATTTTTTCTTCCAAAATCTTCATTGTCTGCAACGATAATACAGCAAAGCCAAATGAAGACCTCCTTTGGCCTGGGATAAAGGCACTTTAAGTGACAGTGATAGAGGCATTTGAAGGGACCTTCAAGTTGGCCACTCATTATCTAATGGAAGCTCTGACATTCTGAAAGCTTAGGCAATTGAAGCTAGGTGGCAGTCCTGCTTAGCAATTAAAGGAGACACCATAAAGAGAACTATAAAGATTCACACAGAAGAAAA
Source organism: Homo sapiens (assembly GCF_000001405.40). Taxonomy (NCBI): domain Eukaryota; kingdom Metazoa; phylum Chordata; class Mammalia; order Primates; family Hominidae; genus Homo; species Homo sapiens. The sequence goes on from NC_000023.11 coordinate 38,458,331, forward strand.
CCAAAAATGACTTGCCACTGATTTAACACCAACATAGGATCAACAGGGCAAAACTAACTTGCTGTGTTGTGCCTTTAGATACAGTCTTCCTCATTAAAGCTCAGGAATTTCCTTAAAATTATAGGCAACTCTTAAAGTCTGATGCTTCTAAATAGGCTCCATGACCTCTTTACATTCTAGTTTACCGGAAGTTAACCCTACTCCCTTATGCAAATGTCTGCAAATAGACACTGGTGAATCTTTAATCTTCTATAAAATGAAAGAATATGAGGAAGTTATGGAGAATATTGAGAAGCATCTGAAATGGTAATGCTTGTGATACACAAAACCATGACAAACTGTGATTCTTTTAAAATTTGTCTATAAAGATGTTTACCAAAATATTCACAGTGTTCACCTCCAGGTCAGATGATTTGTGGGGATTTTTATGTTCTTTCTAATACTTTTCTGTTTTATTTAACTTGTTTTACAAAAAGCGTATGCCATCTTATTTAAAAATTTTACTGTTTTTATGAGTGTCAAAATGCTGTTTAACTCACTGAAGTCCATTAGTGATTAGATAATTAGCAGATCATGACTGTTTTCTGTGATGTCTATTCTCAGCCCAAGGCTTGCTATACTTTAATTGATGATTCCTCTAATTAACATTGTTAATGGATGACGCTAGTGTGTGTGCATCCCAGACAATCAATAGATTGTGCTTATACTTGCTCTAATTTGAAAAGCTCACCAGAAGTAGATGTTTTTGTTTATTTGCTGCTGTTTTAGGGAATACCCAAGATGAAGATAGGGTCTGTTGAGTTGCATAGATTTCATACATTTTAAAGTGTTTAACAAACTATCCCTTAGATAGAATTTTAGAAATTATAAAAGAAATTGCTATATCAGAACTAAGAGCTCAGAAAGATTTAATAATTCTTCTAAACACATGTTCATTAAATTATTTGAGTTAAGCACAGTATATTAAGGAGTGAAGTTAGGAATACAACTGACAGTAACAGTTGAGTATCCCAATGGTTGAGCAACTTCTCTCAAAAATAATGTGTGATTAGATATTGAGTGAGATTTTTCTGTTTCCCTGGAATTAAAGTTAAGGCCTAAAGCTGATAATAAAAGACTAAATAGTACCCTAAATCTAAGTTTAGATAGCCATCTAGAGTTGAGGCCAGCTGCTCCACTGCAAAGAATATGAACTGGAAATTAAAAAAAAAAAACAGACCCTACCCTTCCCTTCTCTTAGTATATACTATGGGAGAACTCAGGGAGAGTCCGTGACTCTATATCTGTAAAGTAAGCCGTTGTGACCCTTCACCATTACCATCAACCTTTCTCTGATTGCCCTCGGGGTGAGGGTACTTCCCTTTGTCAAAACCAAGATGGGAGTTTCAAGAGAATCACTCATGAAGTTATAGCCTGTTAGAAAAGGAGACTGGAATTTCACTCTCTCATTGGATGTCTCCTTAGGCCAGACTACTTGCTGGACTGTCCCTGGAGGAGGGAAATGAGAATTGGGAGGACGTGGCAAGGTAGATGACTACGAAACAGAGAGGGTGCCAGGAACAAACTCCACTTAAATTCATGTTTCCTGAGAGGGCCATAAGACAGGGCCCACATTAACAAAAAGAAAGTGCAACTGGGAGCCTCGGTCCTGCAGCACCGCTGCAGTATGGGAAGCAAGAGGCTGAGTCACAGAGGAATGTGTTGTGATAGCACGAGCTGGGAGATCTAAAGAGATAATCTAGAATGTAGCCCAGAGATGGGAGATAAAATCTATTAAAGAAAAGGTTAAAAGACATGGTGGAACACAACTATTCAAAGAGATAATGGATAAGAATTTTCCCGAATTGTTGACAGGCCCAAACCTCATTATAAAATTCTTATAAATCCCAAACAGGAAAAATAAGAAAAATCCACATCTTCATATATCTTGGTGAAACTGTGAATTAACAAAGACAGAAAATATCCAAAGCAACCAGAGAGGAAAAGACTAACAAACACTTATAAAAGTATGAATGTCAGACCAATAGCCACCATTGAAGCCAGAAGGCAGTGGAATATCTTTAATATTCTGAGATTAAGTAACTGTCAAATTGGAATTTCATACCCACGGAAACTATATTTCAAGAACAAAAATGAAAAAAACTTTTTTTAGACAAAGAAAAATAAAAGGCTTTTATCAGTAGATCATCATTAAATTCTAAAGGATTGTCATTCAAGCAGGAGAAAATAATGGCAGACATAAGGTCTGAAATGCAAAAAGGAATAATAATGGATAAAATCCAAATTGAGAATATAAAAAAAGTGAATATAAAGATAATAACATCTAATCTTTAAACTTAAAAATAAGATACAATTAAAATACGGGACAACTATGTAAGTACACAGGATGATCATCAGAGATAATACCTGCAGGAAACAGCTACCATTCCAAAGACGGGGTGGGAGGGGTGGGAACAAATGGAAGTAATTATCAGGACCTAGAAGCTTGGAGGCAGGAACCCCAGCCTTCTAGGAAGGGGTGCTGCCTGGCTGGTGCTAGCATTTCAGGAGCTTGAAGAGGCCCTGCAGAGCTGATCCTCAGACCTCTGAAGAATGTGTACTCTTGGCTGCTGCTGTTGTCTCTCAAGGGGCAAGAACAGTCAGTTGTGAGAATGCCAAAGAAACTGGAGATAGGAACCAACAAATTGATGTTGCTGGGGCAATGTTGCCAGGAGCATTATGCAAAAATGAGAAAGAATGGTCTCTTCTCCTGCCTTACAATATCCCTATAGGGCCCCTGACTTAGTCTGTGTAGTGTTGCTATGAAGGAATGCCTGAAGGGGAGTAATTTATAAAGAAAAGAGGTGTTTTTGCCTCACAGTTAAGTAGGATGTAAAAGGAGCATGGTGCCAGCATCTGCTTCTGATGAGAACTTCAGGCTGCTTCCATTCATGGCAGAAGGGAAAGAGGAGCCATGATGTGCAGAGATCACATGGCAAGAGAGGAAGCAAGAGAGAGGGGAGGGAGGTGCCAGGCTCTATTTAACAACCAGCTCTCATGGGAACTAGTATAAGGAGAACTCACTCATTGCCATGAGGATGGCACCAAGACATTCATGAGAGATCTACTCCCATGACCCAAACACCTCCTACTAGGCCCTACCTCCAACACTGGGGATTGTCTTTCAACATGAAATTTGGAGGGGACACACATCCAAACCATATCATTCAACCCCATTCCCACATATTCATGTCCTTCTCAAATTGCAAAATATAATCATCCTTTCCCAATAGTCCCCCCAAATCCCATTCCAGCATCAACTCAAAAGTCCAAAATCTCGTCTGAGACTCAAGGCAAGTTCCTTGCACCTATGAGTCTGTAAAGTCAAAAACAAGTTATTTGCTTCCAAGATACAATGGTAATACAGGCATTGGGTAAACATTCCCATTCCAAAATGAACAAATCAGCCAAAAGGAAAAGGTAACAGACCCCATACAATCTGAAACCCAACAGTGCAGACATTACATCTTAAAGCTCTAAAGTAATTTTTGACTCCATGTCCTACATCTAGGGCACACTGGTGTGAGAGGTGAGCTCCCAAGGTCTCAGGCAGCCTGACTCCATGACTTTGCCAGGCTCAGCCCATATAGCTGCTCTCACTGGTTGGAGTTGAATGTTTGTGGCTTTTCTAGTCTGAGGTTGCATGCTGATGGTGGCTCTATTAATCTGGGTTCTGGAGGGTAGGGTCCTGCTCCTGTGGTTCTACTAGGCAATGCTCTAGTGGGGACTCTCTGTGGGAGCTCCAAGCCCACATTTCCCCTTGGTATCACCTTAGTAGAGTCTCTCTGTGGGGGCTTCACAGCTGTGGCAGGCTTCTTCCTGGGAGCCCAAGCTTTCCAATACATTCTCTGAAATCTAAGTGGAAGGCACCAAGCCTCCTTTACTCTTGCATTCTGGGAGCCTTCAGGTTTAGCACTAGGTGAAAGCTGCCAAGGCTTATGGATTGTACCCTCCAGAAGGCCAAGTGGCCTGAGCAGTATCTGGGGCCCTTTAAGCTGTGGGTGGAGCCAAAGCAGCTGGGATGTGAGGAGCAGTATCTCAAGGTGGTACAAGGTAGCAGTGCCCCAGGCTTGTCCCCTAAAACCATTCTGTCCTCCTAGGTCTCTGGGCCTGTGATGGGAGGGGCTGAGTCAAAGAATTCTGACATGCCTTTGGGACCTTTTTCCCATTGTTCTGACTATTATCACTTGGCTCCCTTTTAGTCATGCTGACCTCTTTAGCAAGTTGATGCACCATAGCACCCTTAAATTCCTCTCCTGAAAATGCTCTTCCCTTCTCTACCACATGGCCAGGCTGCTAATTTTCCAAATTTATATGTTCTGCTTCCATTTCAATTATAAATTTCAACTTTAGATTACTTCTTTGCTGCCATATCTGTTTGTAAGCTGCTAAGAGTAGTCATGCCACTTCTTGAATGCTTTATTGTTGGAGATATACTTAATGCTAAATGACGAGTTAATGGGTGCAGCACACCAACATGGCACATGTATACATATGCAACAAACCTGCACGTTGTGCACATCTACCCTAAAACTTAAAGTACAATAATAATAAAATTAAAAAAAAAAGAAAAAGGGGTCAGTTATGTAGTCTTCATCCCTTTTATATTTTTCTGTGACTCTTTGAAAGGACTAGCAGACATTTCTGTAAAGGGCCCTATATTCAAAACTGTAGGCTTTGAGGGCCATAAGATCTCTGTTGCAATAAATCCACTCCTCCCTTGCAGGTGAAAACAGCACTAGACAATATGTAAGTATAGATAATATATAAGTGAATGTAAGGGCTGTAAGTGAATGAGACCCACTGTATTCCAATAAAATTTTATTTACAACAACAACAACAAAAAAGAAATTTCTTCTGCCAGATACCCTAAGTCATCACTCTTAAGTATGGCTTTCCACAAAGCCCTGGGACATGGGCACAATTCAGCCAAGTTCTTTGCTACAGGGTAACAAGGGCTGCTTTTGCTCCAGTTCCCAATCAGCTCCTCATTTCCATCTGAGACTTTGTCAGCCTGGCCTTTACTATCTATATTTCTGCCAGCATTTTGATCACATCCATTTAACCAATATTTAAGAAGTTCCAAATTTCCCCTTGTCTTTCTGTCTTCTTCTGAGCCCTCCAAACTCTTCAACCTCTGCCCGTTACACAGTTTCAAAGCTGCTTCTACATATTCAGGTATCTTTATAGCAACACCCTGCTACTTGGTACCAATTTTCTGTATTAGTCAGGGTCCTCCAAGAGGACCAGAACTAATAGGACATATATAAAACATTAAAATGTATACCATATATGTATATATACACACATACATACATACATGAAAGGGAATTTATTAGGGAGAATTAGCTCACACAATTACAAGGTGGTGTCCCATAACAGGCTCTCTGCCAGGGGGAGAAAGATAGAAGCTGGTAGCATGGCCCCTAGGGAAGCTGGTAGCATGGCTCAGTCCAAGTCTGTAAGGCCCCAAACCTGGAAACCTGATAGTGCATCCCAATTCTAAGGCCAAAGGCCTCAGAGCCCTGGGGTGGCTGCTGGTTCAAGTTCCAGAGTCCAAGGCTGAAGAACCTGGAGTCTGATGTCCAAGGGCATGGGGAGGAAAGGGTATACTGCTCTGAGAGACAGAGAGCGAGCAAAAGAAAGAAGAGCAAGCAAGCTGAATACCCCCTTCTTCTTCCTGCTTTGTTCTATCAACACTGGCAGCCCATTGGATGGTGCCTACTCACACTGAGTGGGCAGTCTTCCTCTCTCAGTCCACTGACTCACATGTCAGTCTCCTCTGGAAACAGCCTTACAGACATGCTCAGGAACAATGCTTTACCAGCCATCAAGGCATCCCTCAATGGAGTCAAATTGACACAATGTTAATCATCACATCCCCTCTTTGGCAGGTCCTAACAAGGAGCCAGTTGGCTGATGAAAAATGTAATTTGCAGGTCCCAGCCCCAGCATCACCAAGTGGAATATAGAAGGGTAGGTTTGGAGCTGAGCTATTAATAACTGGAATGTGCATTCAGTACCAGTTTTTCCTGAGTACACCATTTTAATCTGTATATTCAAGGCTCCTTTGATTTCAGCAGTGTTTTCTTGATTTACATCTATGAATTTTTTTTAATTCCATTGTTTGGCCCTTAGTTGTTTTTTTTTCATGTGGGCTATAGATTGGTGAAAAGAAACCACTCCATGTACACACCATATGGCGAAATTAACTTCCAGTTTGTTTAACATGGCATATATAAACCTAACAGTAGGAAGGTGGCTACACAGTATAGCTTGGCTCTGAATTGGTTTCAGAGGTCCTAACTCCCACCACTAAACTCTTAACAGGGGCTGCCATTGCCCCTTTCTGTACAAGTTGGGGTCCTGGTGGATCTAAGAAGCTCAATTTCATGTTTGTAATCCAGGGTAATACTCTGGGAAAATACTAATAATGTCGTAAAGATAGCTGTATTTTCCTCATTCCAGGCCTAATTTAGAATCCCAAATCCCTTCTCCTAGTGTCTGAGAAAAGAAATCCAAATAAAAACAAAACATATTGAAGATGAAAAACAATACAGTGACTAGTTTTAAGATCCTTCTATTTCTGGTTCTATTTAGAGCCCTTGACTAACAAACTTGTCCCCTGATCTTTACCTTTACAGATATCAAGAGTGACTGGGCACATGAAGTCCAATTGAAGGTTGTTTTGTCTGTATGCTGATGCAAACTTTAGTTCACAGAAACCTTTTGGTCTGTAAATTGCATTTTGTTTTAGGGTTTTTGCTTCCCTCCATACTGATGAGTGTTGTGGGTGGATTTGTGAGCTCTCACTGCTAGTTAAGCATCTGCTATTCATCATCCTGATATAGTCATCTTTTGCATTTTACTTTTCAAATGGCAAGCTTCATCAGAAATTAAGCACTTTTTACTAGAGACACTATTTGACTCACAATCTGACAGATTCTAAGCTTAAAGGGAATCGCGGGGGGGGGGAGCTGATAATAACATCAGCTACAGGAAGCTGTCATGAATGGGTTTACTAACTCAACTGGAGCCCAAAATGAAAGGAAGAATATGAATATTCTCTTGACCTCACTGTCTTCTGGTGACACTTTAGAGCTGGCTCCATCAATTTATATTTTCAATTACACCTGCTTTACTGGTCCTTCCCCTCACTTATATTTTTACGTCTATCCTATATTAAAAATAATTATATCCTGCCTCCCACGAGCTGCCAAACTCACTGCACTCAAACTTCTTGAAAGAATTCTCATAATCTTCTCACCATTTATCCCCTTGAAATGTGGATTTCATTTCTGCCACCTTTCTGAAACCACTCACCAGTGTCACAGATAACCTACTAATTCTAAATCCAATTGCTATATCCTTCTTTCTATTCCTCTCCACCTCTCTCCCTCTTTTGATGTTCTTAAGCCTCTCTTCTCCTGACTTTTATGACACTGAAGCCTCTTTGTTCTCCTAATTCTGGATACTCCTTCTCTGACTCTTGCACTGATTTTCTTCCTCCTCTTGCTTCTAAAGGCTCTCCAAGACTCTGTCCTTGGTTCTTATTTTTTCTCTCTCTTGAACTTTGATGAATTAATCAAAGTCCATTGTTTTACCTACGAAACCTATTTCTCTTAATTTAGTTATTTCTTCAAGCTCTATTCATATGTTTACAACTTCCTGATGGACATTACTCCCTGAATAATCCAACAGCATATCAAACTCAACAGGTCCAAAGGTAAATTCATTATGTCCTCTCACAAATTATCTCCTTTTCCCAAAAGCTCAAAGCCTATCTTTGCTCTTCCCAGTATCTAATCAATTGCCAAATTTGTAAGCTCTCTGCCTTTGCAACATTTTCATCTGCCCCCTTATTCCATTCTCACTACCACTACCCTACTCCCAATCCTCACAATCATTCATATTGTCTTTTCTAATAACCTTGCAATTTATCTTTCCCTTTCCCTCATTCCTTTCCTACTCCAACCCATCATACCCAACAAAGTCAAATTAATTTCCTGAAGGAGTGCAATGATTACTCACCTGCTCAAAAACCTTAGTAGCTCCTACTTCTTTTTAGTTAAGTGAAAATTTACCATCCCTCTGTTTAAGTTCCTCTGTAATCTATCCCAGTCCATCTATGCTTGGCTTCTACCATACCCTACAAGAAAACGGAATTATTTATTGTTCCTTAGACCTGTCCCCAGATTGTCTACTTCCATGCCTTTTTTTTCATGCCACTACCTTCATCTCCGCTTGTTAAAACCCTGACCAATATTCAGTATAATTTGGACATCTTCTCTTCTGTCTTCTCTTGTAAAGACCCGGTTGAAACTTCTGCCAAGAGCCCAGCTGAAACTCCCATCACAGAAAGTATTATATTGTGTATTTGATTATAGTTTTCTGTGAACTTGTTTTATGTCACTACTCAGACTGGAACCTTTATGTTTTATTGAGTAATACACTGAACAGTGTCAGTGCTCCAGATAGGTTCCTTCAGATTTCTTTGCCATTTTACTATATGTGTCCTTCCTCCACTGATTTCAATGTTCTTTGAATTGCCACCTTTCAGTGGGCTCTTCTTTGAAAGCTGCCCTCAGGCTATTGGAGCTATTTTGCCCACAGGTCAGAGGATTAGTTCTGAGAGTTTTCATCCCTCACCTCTACCTGGTGGTGACTGTTAACCAATGGCTATAGAATGTGGGACTTTGAAAGCACAACTGTTTGACTTCAGGATGATACAACTTGGAGGCCTCACACTGCAGAATTTCCTGGCAGGATCAGGCTGAAGTTACCTCTTGCAGAATGGCTGCCGAAATTTTGCCCTTTCTTCCTCTCCTCTGTTCATCTCATCTTCATAGGAAGATGAGATAGGAATCCATCTTTCTGTCTCTCAGGGTCTGCTGCTTGGGAAACGTGACTAGGACAAGTCATGTTTTTGAGTACTTGCCATGTGTCAGGCACCATGCTAAATGTCCACATATGTAATTTCCCTTAATTTAATCCTCTTAACCGCCTGGAGAGCTAATTATTACTCTGATTAATAGATGAGTGAACTGGACTTTGAAGAGATTAAGTAACTTTTTTCAAGGCTATATAGCTAATAAGTGGCAATGCCAAGAGTCCAAACAAGGCTTCAGAGGCAGCTCAGTCAACCAGTTTGCTATACTCCTTCTGAAACTACTTCATGGAAAGGAGACTTCTAATATGGCCCCGCATGAGCCCTGTCTCCTGGTATTCACATCCATGTACAATTCTCTCCCCTTGGGTGTGAGCTGGACCTAGTAATTTGCCCCTAACAAATAGAATGTGGCTAAAGTGATTTCACTTCCATGATTAGTTATACAAGACTGGCTTCTATCTTGCTAGCAGAACATTTTGCTGCCTTTGATTCATCAAGTTGCTCTGTTGGAGAGGCCCATGTGACAGGGAATTGAGAGTGGCTTCCACTCAAGAGCTAATGAGGAACTGAGGCCCTGAAACCTGCCAGCAACCACATAAGTGAGCTTGGAAGTGAGTCCTTCCCTGCTGGAGCCTTGAGATGAGGCTGCAGCCATAGTCAACATCCTGATTGTAGCACATGAGAGACTCTGTGCCAGGGGGCTCAGATAAGCTGTGCCTGGATTTCTGACCCAGAAAAAATAAGAGATAATAAATTATATATATATTTCATATATATAAAATATCACACACACACACACATATATATATTTGAGACAGGGTCTCACTCTGTCACCTAGGTTGCAACCACCCCCTCTGGGGTTCAAGCTATTTTCATGCCTCAGCCTCCCGTGTAGCTGGGACTACAGGCATGCCATACCGGCTAATTTTTGTATTTTTAGTAGAGATGGGATTTCACCATGTTGCCCAGGCTGGTCTCGAACTCCTGGCCTCAAGCTATCCACCCGTCTCTGCCTCCCAAAGTGCTGGGATTACAGGCATGAGCCACCACGCCCAAACAGAGTGTGGTATTTTTTAAAAGCCTGCTGCTTGGAAAACAGAGAGTCAACCTTGTTATTCAGTGTAACACTTGAAACCTCCAGCTCAGTGACTTACCAATAGATGCTAACTAATAATCTATCACCTCTGGTGGTTTTATGGTCCAATAAACTTAGCTAGGATGGTGGTGATAAACTGCTTGAAAAGCATTAACTTTCCAATGTGATAGGTACTTGATAACCTTGGAACCAAGTAAACAACAAATAAATTACCAGCGAGGATTGGGTAAAGATATTATTTTAACGCATCCAAAATAAGCCTTTGGTTTTGTGCTTGTTTCAATTAATTAATCAATCGATAAGGGACAGTACAAATTGGGCACCAGCTGGCTTGTTGCTCAACCATAAGCAAAGCTGTGTTCAGTACCTCCCAGTCAACTGCATGTTTCCCAACGTGTGCCTCTCTCTGCCCCTGCATACTCACCCACATACAGCACATTGTCATGTAAATGGAAATCAACCAAAGATGTTTTTCCAATTCTTTATTCCTCTGGTTGCCATGGGATTACAGATCAGAAGTCAGAGAAGACAGATGTAAAATAGAAAAAGATGCAGCCCTCCAACTACCCCAGCTGCCTGAAAGCATCCTTTGAGTAGGCAAGAAAAGGTAATAATGAGATGGATGACATTGAGCGACAGTCTGTCACTATGATGGTAGGAGTAGAAGAAAGCTAGAAGATAAAGGCAAATGTATAATGTCCCTTGACCCACAGAGAAACCTGCCCACCTTCCGCATCTTTTTCAAACAGTGGTTGGCAACAACTTGGGCAACCAACTGTCCTGATTTGTTGGAAACTGTCCTCATTTTAGCACTGAAAGTCCTGTGTTCCTGGAAATAGCTCAATCCCAGATAAACCAGAATGGTTGGTCACCCTAGCAACAATCACTAACTCCCAAAGGGCTCAGCTCCCATTGATATTTGCTTTTTAATTGGAAGAGTCAATAAAAAGATATCTTCTTAAACTTTTCTCTTTGAAAGCTGTAATTATCCTATTGGCAGAATTTATTTTTTAAGGTAGTGCCATAAATTCTATTCCTCCCACTAAAAAGTGAAAAAAATACATTAGAAGGTTTTACTAATTTTATTCAGATGTTATATTTGAGCTGAAAGGTGGGGGAAGGAGACAGGAGAGTGAGTTTGGAGGACAGAAAGCTGTCAAAAATATGGACTAAGGGCATATTTAAATTTGCTGGTACATTATTAATTGAAGAAATCATTTGTCTGAATTCAAAGGCACAAGTTAAATATGTCAGTAGTCACTCTTTAAACTCTAAAGATCTGGACCCTACAATCTGCAAATTTTACAGCTAGAAGACACCTTGGAGGTAATCTAACCCAAACTCCTGCTTTTTAGACAGCATTCAAAGAAGCTCAAACTTTCATTTTGCTGTCTGTTACAGAACACAGCTTTGGGGAGCTCTTAATAGTTGTTACATGATAAAAAAGTTTCCTTGGTCACATAAGTTTAGGAAATATCAAGGTAAGCAATGTTAAACAAGTTTCTTGACTGCAGAAATTTTCTAGGCATTTTATATGCTTGCAATCAGTGACTCTCATTCAATGTACATTAGAATCACCTGGGGGAACTTTTAAAAGCTATAATTGACTAGGCCCCACCAAGATCTAGGAAACAGAAAATAATCCCTCTCTGGATATTGCCGATGTTCACCCTGATTAAGAATCACCAGCTATATTCCTGAGCTCTCTATTCTGTTCCGTTGGTGTATGTATCTGTTTTTTATGGCAATACCACACTGTTTAGTTACTACAGCTTTATAACGTATTTTGAAGTTAGGTAATGTGATAATCCAGTTTGTTCTTTTTGCTTAGAATTTCTTTGAATATTTGGGGTCCTTGTGGTTCAGTATGAATTAGGGGTTGTTTTTTTCTATTTCTGTGAAAAAAAAATCATTGAAATTTTGGTGGAGATTGCATTCAATCTGTAGATTGCTTTGGATAGTATGGACATTTTAACAATACTAGTTCTTCCAATCCATGAACACAGGATATCTTTCAATTTATTTGTGTCTTCTTCAATTTCATTCAGCAATGTTTTATAGTTTTCAGTGCACACGCATGCCACTTTCTTGGTTAAGCTGATTTTAGACAAAGGTGCCAAGACACACAATGGGAAAAGAACAGTCTCTTCAATAAACGATGTTGGAACCACCGGATCTCCACTTGCAGAAGAATGAAATCAGACCCTTATCTCACACCATACACAAAAATAAACTTAAAATGGATTAAAGACTTAAACATACCTAAAATTGTAAACTACTAAAAGAAAAACAGAGGAAAACCTCCATAACATTGGTCTAGGCAATGATTTTTTTATATCACTCCAAAAGCAAAAATAGACAAATGAAATTATATCACACAAAAAACTACACAGCAAAGGAAACAATCAACTGAGTGAAGAAACAATCTACAGAATGGGAGAATATATTTGCAAACCATACATCTAATAAGAAGTTAATATCAAAAATCTATAACACACTCAAACAACTCAATAGCAAGAAAACAAACTGATTTAAAAAAATAAACAAAGGGCTTGAATAGACATTTCCCCCCAAAAAAGACATATAAATGGCCAACAGGTATATGAAAAAGATGCTTAACATCACTAATCATTAGGGAAATGCAAATTAAAACCACAATGAACTATCACCTCACACCTGTTAGAATGACTATTATCAAAAACATTAAATATAAGTGTTGGAGAAGATGTGGGATAAAGGGTACACTTACACAGTGTAGGTGGGAATATAAATTAGTACAGCCATTGTGGAAAACAGTATGGAGGTTCCCCAAAAAACAAAAATAAGGCCAAGCACGGTGGCTCACGTCTGTAATCCCAGCACTTTGGGAGGCCGAGGCAGGTGGATCACGAGGTCAAGAGATCGAGATCATGCTGGCCAACATGGTGAAACCACATCTCTACTAAAAAAATACAAAAATTAGCTGGGCATGGTGGCGTGCGCCTGTAGGCCCAGCTACTCGGGAGGCTGAAGCAGGAGAACTGCTTGAACCCAGGAGGCGGAGGTTGCAGAAAGCCGAGATCGCACCACTGCACTCCAGCCTGCTGACAGAGCAAGACTCTGTCTCAAAAACAACAACAACAAAAACCAAAAAAAAACAAAAATAGAACTACCATATGATCCAGAAATCCCACTACTTGATATATATCCCAAGGATGTGAAATCAGTATGTCAAGAAGATGGCTGCACTCCCATGTTCATTGCAACATTATTCACAATAGCCAAGGTATGGAATCAACCTAAGTGTCAACAGATGGATGAATAAAGACAATGTGGTATATATTGGAATGGAAAAGAATTAAATCTTGTCATTTGCAACAACATGGATGAACCTGGAGGACATTATGTTAAGTGAAATAACCCAGGCACAGAAAGGCAAATATCACATGTTCTCATTCATATTTGAAAGCTAAAAAAGTGAACTCATAGAAGTAGAGAATAGAACAGTGATTACCAAGGGGGTGGGGTGAGGGTAGGGGAAAGACTGGGGAGAAGTTGGTCAAAGGAGACAGCATTTCAGTTAGACAGGAGGCATACGTTCATGACATTTATTGTAAAACATGGTGACTATAGTTATTAATGTATTGTATTCTTGAAAATTGCTGAGGGTAGATTTTATGTTCTCACCACAAAAAAGCTATGTGAGGTAATGAATATGTTAATCAGCTCAATTTAACTATTCTACATTTGCATCCATATTTCGAAACAACATTTGTACATGAAAAAATATATACGATTTTTGTCAATTAAAAAATAAAATTGGCCAGGCATGGTGGCTCATGTCTATAATCCTAGCACTTTGGGAGGCCAAGGTGGGTGGATGGCTTGAGCCCAGGAGTTCAAGATCAGCCTGGGCAACATGGCGAAACTTTGTCTCTACAAAAAATACAAAAATTAGCTGAGTGTGGTGGCACGTGCCTGTAGTCCCAGCTACTTGGGAGGCTGAGGTGGAAGGATGGCTTGAGCCTGGGAGGCAGACATTGCAGTGAGCCGACCTTGTGCCACTGCACTCCAGCTTGGGTAATAGAGCGAGACTGTCACACACAAAAAAATTAAAATTAATCAATTTTACAAAGAACTACTGGCTAATATGTACTGTGAATCTATGAGAGTAAAAAAAAACAGTCTGCAATATTTTCTAACCTTATTTGACAATACATATTTTTCTTCCTTCCTTTGTTTCTTCCTTCCTTCCTTCTTCTCTTTCTTCCACCCCCTTTCTTTCTTTTTGTTTTGGCTTTGGAAGATACTGGTTTATATTTGAGGTTTTGTTTGTTTGGTCAACAAGAAGAGAAATAGAAAATTATTAATTATGTCTCTAAATATACTTTATTTAAAAACAGATTATGCTTTATTTAAATTTTTAATATAAAAAAATTTAAATCATATGGAGAACTAAGGAGAGTAGAATAATAAACTCTTTTGTACTATCACTTAGTTTCAACAGTTATAAATGCATGACCATCTTGATTCACCTATATTCTCACCTACATCCCCCCTTTCCCCACCACTGAATTCTTTTGAAGCAAACCCCAGATAACTATATTATTTTATTCATAAATACTTGAAGATCTATCTGTAAAAGATTAAACACTTTAAAATATAATTGTACTATATCACATAAAAATTAATAATTCTTTAATACTGTTAAATATTCAGTCAGTATGCAAATTTATAAGAATTGACACCTTCATGATAATGAATCTTCCTAACCTAGAACATGGTATGTCTTTTGATTTGTTCATGGGCATTTTCATGTATTTCAGAAATGTGAATACATTAGTTTTTCTCATGTAGGTTTTGAAACTTTTTAAAGTAAGTTTTCACCTAGTTATTGTATTTTACTTATTTTGGTTTATCCTTTGCCATTTAAATGACGTCTTCTCTTCCATTGTGTTTTCTAACTTCATTGTTTGTATATGTGAATTTTAATCAGCTTTATTAAGGTCTAATCTACACGCAACAACATGCACAGATTTTAAGTACACAGTTCAATGAGTTTTAGTAAAAATATATACCCATTTAATCACTATCCTCACAGTTCAATGAGTTTTAGTAAAAATATATACCCATTTAATCACCATCCTCACTGATTTTTAAATGTTGATTTCATAACCTGCTAACTTACTCAATTTCACGTTTTAATATATACTCTCAAAGTTCTTACTAGCTTTGGCCAATTATTAAAAGGTATCACATTCCAATTTCTGTTTTTGGTTTTGCTTCTTACTCGATCCCACCATGCCAAAAAGATTTTTTCCAGTCCATGTTGTAATAGAAATAAATTAAATGTCAAATTGTGACTGATCCTAGAGATTTAAATTGCTATTACAGACATAAAGAAACATGATCCTCTTTGCAACAGGTGTCATGCTAAATACAAGTTTAGTGATGTAAGCAGCTAATAATAATTAGAATGTAAGCTGACTCAAGAATGGATATCCGGCTCATTAATATTTGCTTCATAGAAATAGGCTCAAATGTTCTTCTCGAGTCTGAGTAGGTACATTCCCTGGATGCTTAGAGGAATAAATTTATGTCCAAGCCCAGCACTAAGGCTATCATTACTCACAGAACTCCATGTGACCCCTAGCTGGAAAAATGTGTTTACCAAGCCCCAGCTGTTGTATTTATGAATGTTTAGGAAGCTGAAATGACTGGCATTGGTCTCAGTGCCCCTAAAATGTGACGAGTTTTTTGAAAGTTGCAAGGCAGCCAACTCACTCACCTAGATGAGACTGAAGAAAAGCAGTAGCTTTTCATGGGAGTAGAGGCTTTCCAGGCTGAGTATCCTCTGGGGTCATCAACACCCTGAGGATAGTCTGGTACCTACCTAGGGGCAAGATAATGAGCAATATATAGAGCAAAGGTGGTGGGGGCAAAAGGGTGAGGCATGCTGGTTGGAAGAAAAAAAATGGGTTATTCCAGAAGTTCTTAGAGCCGATAGAGACTGTAAAACATAATTTAATACTTGACTCTTGTCTTTGTATGAGGTTTGGAAAAAGTGGGCCTTGAGCAAGGATTTGACTGCAATTCGTTTATTGGAAGAGGGGGTATAATCTTAGGAAGCATGGCAAAAGAAAAGAAGGAAAATCAATATACTGGGTGTAAATGAAAGGGTTACTACTGTGGACAACTGGGGCTCAATGTCACTGGCCACCTTCTGAGATATTGGGTAAAATATGCCTCAGAAATATCCTGCTGATTGCTGAGGATGCTCAGATATGTATCCACTCATTTCCATCCCTAATCAGTTTAGGGTCACTATTAGGGACGGGGTGGAAGTTAACACTTGACACTTCTGTCCTACCCTACTGGCAAACCAAGCATGCTCCCATGGCCAGAGAGCGCCCTCTGGCAAATAACCGTATGGGTATGGGACTTATTTACAGGAAATTTCTAGGGTAGAGCAAGAGGATAAGAGAACTACAATTTTATATTGCTTATGTTGCTCTCTGGTTGTTTTTTATGTGTGAGTTTTATCTCACCAACAACAATGAAAACTCTTTGAGTGTAGGGGCTACAGCTTATATTTGTGTTGATTCCTCCCATAAATTCTGGTGAGCTCCTTACAACTGCAAGATTAAATCCATTAAGCCCTTCATGATTGGGGGGCCCTGCCTTCCTCTCCAGACTTTTCTTTACCATCCACTTTCTCATCCCAGGCATCCCAGCCATTCCTCAAGTGCCTTCTCTCTGCATAGAATACCCCTTCCTCCCGTGTCCAATGGGTCAACACTGATAATCTGTCAGGATCAGCTAAGTAGCTCTTCTTTCTTAAAGTATTCCAAGTTTTCCCCAAGTAATCATGCCCTCTTTTGCAAACCACTACCTGGTTCTTACTTCTACTGTACAATTTATCATACTGTACTGAAGTCCTGCCTATCAGAACATGAGCTCATTAAGAAAGTAATGTGTCTTTATCCAAAGCACCCAGTTCAGTGCCTGCTATGGACTCAATGCTCAATAAATACTTTTGGAATGAATTAATGAACGTTACCAATAGATACTTTCTGATTAAATAAAACAAGGAGTTGGACATACCCTCTTTGGATACCCTAAAATTCCCCTCAAATATTTGATTGAATGTGTGGTCAGGAAGAATATTCCCCAGAATAGTGTGCCAATGCTCTTCAGCCAAGGATGACCAGGAACATGGCTATAATTCAACAACATGGGTTTTTACTCATTGCAGTGAGGAAACACACATCATGGGGGACCTTACAGTGTCTCAGTAAGAGTGTGTTAGAAAGAAACTATTATAAAATTGGGGCTTTGGATGAATGTTGGGGAGGGGAACAAAGAAGCAGGGATTTGCTCTCGATCAGATGCTGTCAGAAGTGGGGTCAATCCTATGATTGGGCCTGTTGTGAAAGGCACAGTGGCTCGGATTTTGTCTGTGCTTAGACAAAATTATGAAGTGACCTTGTTTTGTTTCATTTTCTAATGGTCTCAGGTTATCTTTATCTGTGTTTGGTATTCTGTGAGGTTGTTTATGTCCCACAGGAAAAAAAAATGGCCTGGCTGTGAGCATTTGGTCAGCCTGTAATAATACTGAGGTGTAACTGTGAACATCGGAGAAGTTCTGAACATCAGGAGATGCTTTTTTTGAGGTGACGAGAGAAAGGCCCAAAAGAATAAGATTATATGTACAGGTACTGATAGCAGTCGCAAGGGTGAAATGAGAGCTGAATAGAAGAGACTAAAACCGAAAAGCAAACTCGATCTTCCATCATGCTCTGTGACCTTTCAGGTTGAGAAGAATATTAAATCCTGAAGCTCTGCTTAGTCCTAAATGTATATAATGGCTAAAATAAATAGATTTTTTCAACAGAAAAGCAAGAAGCACAGATCCTCCTTTGAAGATATAAACCATAAGCCCTGAAAAATTAAAATACTTAATCCAGCAGCAATATCACTTGTGTAGCAATAAAATAATAGGATTTCCTTTGCCTCCTTGTTTTGGTTATTCTCTCTTCTAAAAAATTGTTGACATACTTTTGGGTGATAAGAGTTAGATAACAAATCTGAAAGTATGTAGTTTGTATTTTGGAATAAAAAAGGAATATAGAATTTTCTGTTGGTTAAATTGTTTATGAAGCCCTGCGACTGGAAATCTAATTCCAAATGGTCACTTAAAAGCCATTACACTGTTTATTCAACAAATTGTTTTAGAACACTTAGTATAAGTTAGGTACCACGGTAGATGCAGGAGTTATGAAGATGAATAAAACAAATTCTTGTACTAGAAGAGCTTACAGTCCATCAGAGGAGACAAACAATCACTGACATAAAACAAACCTACTAACTCCCTGTCAGAGTTTCCACCCCTGGCAAAGGAAGTGACAGAACAGTTGCCAGACATAGAGAAAGTATAGCCTTGAGCAACTGGGTCCCAATAAATAGTCAGTCTGATTTAAATTATCTGAGATTGATTTTTCAGGGACAACTTTTTATTTAAATATAATTTCAAACTTACAGAAAAGTTGCAATAATAGTACAAGAACTCTGGTTTACCTTTCATCCAGATTTACCAATTGCTTTCCTAACCATTTGCAAGCAAGTTAGAGATATTGCGCCCAGCAATACTAAATACTTGAGTGCATGTTTTCTTTCTTTAAATTTTTTTTTAATTCCATAGGTTTTTAGGGAACAGGTGGTATTTGGTTACACAAGGAAGTTCTTTAGTAGTAATTTGTGAGATTTTGGTGCACCCATCACCAGAGTAGTATACACTGAACCCAATTTGCAGTCTTTTATCCCTCGCCCCCTCCCACCCTTTCCCCTGTGTCCCCAAAGTCCATTCTATCATTCTTATGCCTTTGCATCCTCATAGCTTAGCTCCCATTTATGAGTGAGAACAGACAATGCTTGGTTTTCCATTCCTGAGTTACTTCACTTAGAATAATAGTCTCCAGTTCCATCCACGTTGCTGCAAATGCCATTAATTTGCTCCTTTCTAGGGCTGAGTAGTATATATATATATATACAATTTCTTTATCCATTCATTTATTGATGGGCATTTGGGCTGGTTCCATATTTTTGCAATTGCAAATTGTGCTGCTATAAACATGCGTGTGCAAGTATCTTTTTCGTAATGTGTGTTTTCAAAAAGCAAGAAAATTTCCCTATCTAACCACCATGCAATTATTCAAGTCAGGAAGTTTATCACTGATACAAGACCATTATCCACTCCATGGTCCATTTTTTTTTGTCATTCTTTTTTTTTTTAAGTCTTTGTTAACCTAGGGTAATTCCACAGTCTTTCTTGACCCTAACACTGAGAATTCCAGGCCAGTTATTTTGTAGAATGCCCCTCAATTTGGATGTATGTGATATTTCTCATTAGGATATTCAGGGTACAAATTTTTAGCAGGAATAAGTGGTTGATTTAAAATCTCAGAATAGCTGCTTCTACCCACATCTCCCTCACTTTGACCTGACATTGTGCGCAATTGGGAAGCTTTTGAGGTTTTCTGGTGAAATCCAGACTTTTCTCTGCTTTCTCCTATGATCTCTAATTTAGCCATCAGAATTGCTAAAATCCTGAGGAGAATATTTGCTTCTTGGGGAGTTTACACTAAGCAGAAAGCTTACATTAATTCAAAACTCATTCCTAATGTGTGTCCCCACCCCAATCCCCCAGGGATTAGTACCTGCTTTATTATTATTGCAATGAATAAATTATTCATCAGGGTGGCTAAACGGCTTACAGAGATAAATAACACTACATGAGTGTAATAAAGATATTTCCCTTTTCTAAATAAGTAGCACTTGTAACTCAACCTGTAAGACTGTGCTTCTTTCCAGAGAGGAAGAGTCCTCTAAATGGTACCTGAAGAGCAAGAGCTTTAAACAGGCCCTAGTGCAAAAGAGTTCAAGGCCTCAGTGATGCCTAGAATTCTGATTGTGCCAATTCAGTCCCTGCTCCCTCACTCTGGTATATCCAAGGCTACCACAAAGTGGAAGGAGGAGGATGTGTGGGCGAAGAGTGGGTGGAGAAGACTTCCAAGAATTGGAAACTATGCAGACTAGCAGCCGGTAGTTAATTAGTTTTACTTCTGAAACGACCCCTTTGTGCAGCTTGTCCTTCCTGAGAAAGAGGTTAAAATGCTGCCATGGCTGCTTTTTAGCAGTATAGTGATTAAAACAATCCCAGGGCCTAAATAAGATGACTCTACTTGTTTGGTTGAGGAGAGAGTGGTCCTCCTTCATTTTCTTTTTCTCCCCTCCTACTCACTGAACATCACATCAAAAAATGAGCAAATTCCTACACTTTACTTCCTATTCCTATAGGAGCTATTTAGAGGGAGGAATGCTCATTAAAGGAGATTCTAGAATCTAAAGTTGCCTGTTTTACTGAAACTGGGAAGCAAACTGGAGATGTTACTAGCACAGCTAGGACACAGTTGATAAAAGTAGCTAACATCTATTGTGCATTTAGCATATGCTGGGCCATCGCTTAAGGGCTTTTCATGGTTTATCTCATTTAATCATCACTACGATCTATGAGTTGGGTAGTGTTATGATTATGAGCATATATGTCCAGTTTTTCAGATGAATAAGCTGGGGCTGAGAAAGGTGAAGGGACTGGGCCAAGGTGAGTTAGAATGGAGGCAGGATTTAACCACAGTAGTCTGGCCCAGAGCCCATTGCTCAACCACTGTGCTACCTGCCTTCCAGCTTCCATTTGCCTATAGTCTAGTGGGAGTCATAAAAGAACTAAGAGAAGAAGATGAATCCAGACTGGAAGTGGATGGGCTCCTGGCTAGGCCAGGAGCCTCACCAGTCAGAGACCCTGGACCCCCTGGCCAAGCTCACCGCGGGTGAAGAAAAAAATCCACCCCTGCTCAGCCTGGAGCGAGAAGGTGACCAAGGAGGAAATGGTGGCAGCCAAGCTCAGCATGACCGTCACTCACAGCAATGAGAAGCATGACCTTCACGTTACCCTGCAGCAGGTCCAGCGGTGAACCAATTGCCCAAGACCTGACCCAGGTTGTTGGAGAGGCCACAGGGGTTCCACTGTCTTTTCAGAAACTCATATTTAAGGGAACATCTCTGAAGGAAATGGAGATACCTTTGTCAGCATGTGGAATACAAAATGGTTGCCAAGTCATGTTAATTGGGAAAAAGAACAGTCCAGAGGAAGAGGTTGAACTGGAGAAATTGAAAGAGTTGGTGAAGCCTGTGGAGAAGAAAGCTGACGAACTTTAAGAGTTGAATAAACAGCTTACTGGACTCCAGCAAGGTTTTCTGGCCAAGGATTTGCCAGCTGAAGCTCTCTGCAAACTTGGTAGGAGAGGAAAAGCCACAACCAAACAGTTTATGAAGATCTTGGAAGAGATCGACACACTGATCCTGCCAGAAAATTTCAAAGACAATAGATCAAAAAAGAAAGGTTTGGTAAAAAAAAAAAAAAAAAAAGTCAGACGTTCGTAGCTGAGTGTGGCACAGTGGAGCAGAACATCTGCCGGGAGACCCAGCAGCTGCAGTCTACAAACTTGGCCCTGGCTGAGTAAGGTGTGGCAGAAAGAGGCTGTGCTGCCCTGAAGAACAGCACCACCAGCTCTGCCCTCTCTGGAGCAGAATTTACCTGATTTATTCTAGGGACAACTGGCCTATTGCCAATTTTCCTATTCCTAGCCCAGTTCTCAGTGAAAAACTGTTGTCCTTGTGATCTTGAGTAGGGCGCTTGTCTGTTTTCTCATTGTGTCTCTGTGGCTGTGTGGTCCAGCAGCCTACTTTTTCTGGAGAGGGCCTCCCCTGCCCAGGTTTTCCCAGCTATTTGACCTTCTGGTGCTTTCTTTGGGCTGGTGAGATCTCTCCTTTGTCCTGAGCTAGTTCTAGGTTTATAGGCCACCCTGGTCTTCAGATACATGAGAGCTTTTTTGCTCTTGTGATCACACAGTCCCATAGATGTAAAACCAGAATCACTAGGAGGTTGCATTTATAATCAGGAATGTTGAGAATGGCTTAGAACAGGTGTTCGGCACATAGTAGTCCAAGTGTCCCTCATTGTGACTTAATTCCAGAACATCAGGCTGGGTTATTGGTTTATAGGCATTGTTCTTACCTTTTAGTGACCTGACTAGCCTCAAGACATGAAATATCAGGGGGCCATTCCTGGAATGAAGCGTATGGTTGATGCATGGACTTCCTCGTCCCCAGTAAAATCTTCAGAACCCAGTGTTGACTGAGTCCGTGCTTGAAACCAGGCATAGCAATGGCTTAGGCGGGGCAAAGAGGGGGAGCCACAATGAATAAAGCAGGCTGGTGGTGAAGCCAACCATAAATTTCCCAGGAATGACATGTGCTTCCTTCAAGGGCATTTCTGTTAAAAATACCCTTCTGAGATCTGTATTTCCTTCAAGGCCATTCTTGTCCATTTTGTGGATTCTCTTGCAGAATCACTGTTATTGAAAAAGTTTGAGCACAGGTATGGTGGCACATTCCTGTAGTCCCAGCTGCTTTTGGAGGCTGAGGCAGGAGGATCGCTTGAGCCCAGGAGTTTGCATGTAGCCTGGGCAACATGGTGAGACGCCATCTCTAAAAAATTAAAAAGTTAACGAATAAATAAATAAAACAGTTTGAATGCCCATCATCAAGCAGAAGAATGTTTTCTTTTTGTTTTGGTTAGTGAGAAAAACCATTCTGTGGTTCTAGGCATAATTTATGTTTAACAGAGTAGCCACAACGTTTAATAAGAAGTTACTGTGTCTTGGACATTGTTCTAAGTTTTTAAATATGTATTCACCATTTAATCCTCACATAACCTAAGAAGTAGACAGGTATTAGCCCCGTTTTGGAGATCAGGAAACTGAGAACACTTAGGTAATCTGCTGAAGGTCAGACAGTACATGGCAAAACCAGGGCACAAAGCTGGGCAGTTTGGTTTCAGAGCCACTGTTTTTACGCTCTACCGTACTACCTCTCGACCAACATAGGGTTACATGCTCCCATTCTCTATATCCTCTCCCTATACTTTTGTCTTCCATGTTAGTCTTTCCACTTTCTCTCTGGCCCTCTCTAGTTCATTCTCCCCAGAGCACTCTGAGTGATTATAAAATACAAATCTTATCATATCAGTCCCCTGCTCAGAAACCTCCAATAGCTCACTACTTCTCTTAGGATAAAAGCCAAAGTCCTTACCTACACCTTCTCCCATCTCATCTCGAGCCCCTCTCCTGTTTGCTCTCTGCTGTCAGCCACTCTGGTCTTCTTTCAGGTCCTCAGATGCACTGTGCCCTCTCTTACCTGGGGGTCTTTGCACATGCTGCTACTTCTGCTTGGACAGCTCCTCACCATCCTTCCTCCACCCCCATCCCTTGTGTACATAACTCTTATTCATCCTTCAGAATGTAACCCAAAGTCTCTTCCATGGAGACCTCACCTACTCTCTTGAGACCATATCAGGCCCCCAGATGTGATCCTCTCATGGCTACCCATAACTTTTCTTTCACAGCATTCACCATAGTCCATGATAGCTTATTGGTGGAATTATCTGGTTAGTATTTGCCTTTAACACTAGACTGCATGTTCCTTAGGTTAAGGAGCTTCTTTGTCTTGTTAACAGCATTATTTCAAGTACATTGTCTTGTATATAGTAGGACCTCAATAAATATTTGGAGAACAAAACAAACAAACAAACAAGGTGAACCCATGCCAGATGACTGGGTTGAGTTGGTCAGGGAAAATTTCACAGAAGGCAGATTGGAACTAGGCTGAAAAGCAGGCTGGGTTTGATTTAATGAAGTGGGCTATGAAGAGCATTCCAGGTGAGGGGAACCAAAGGAGCTTTACACGTCCTGGGACCAGCAAACTGAGCAGTTTGGCTATGGCAGAGAGCTCTTGCAGTCATTTGCAGGAGACCTTTATCACACTTCTAATCCATGAGAAGTAGCAGGGTGAATGTGAAGAACTCTCAGAGCCCAGTGACTATTGGTGCATATTAGCCAGGGCACAGCGGCACTGCAATGACAAGGCGATGGGCCTGCCAAGCCCTCCCCACTTCCTTTGGGCTGCCAGCATTCCTCTGAGTCTCCATGAGGTTTGTTTAATTCAGGGGGTGGCAGTAGGAAGCCCTCACACATTCTCCAATTTGGCTTTACCATCAGCAAAGCTATTTTGATTCCAATCTGGCTTCTTGGATGCAAGGAAAGATGAGCAATTGGCACCCCCAAAACTTCAACAATGGGAAAGTAATAGAAAATTCAGTTTAAAAGGTATTAATAAATTATACAGGGTAGACTAAGAAGAGTCTTGAAGGCTGGTATAAGGAACTTGGTCATACAAGAATTATTATAATTCTCTGTGCAAGTACACACACACACACACACACACACACACACAATGTTTATCCATAGAGGAAATCACTGTGGGACTTGTTTACAAATTAATCTCTTGAAATTTAATGTCATCAAATTCCCATCTTCCACAAATAAATTTGCTGAGAACTTTAAGTCATTAGCAAGTAAGTGTTTTCCAAGAATTATTTGATGACCAAAGAACAGTTTAACCTACTTGGGAGACTTTAATAAAGCTTTCTTCTACAGCCCCATTCTTGACATTAAAAAACATAATAAGTAATGGTTTGACAAATATTATGTATTATTTGGAAATACATTTTCTCATCCTTCTTCACAAACATTTTACCTCAAATTACAGCCTTTCAATTGGTCTCATAGGATTAGGTGATTTTTTTTCTCATTCAGATTTATGTGTCTATATTTGTGTGCTAATTTGAAAATTAAGTACATATTTTAAGTACAGAGATACGAGTTTTCAATCCAAATCTGAAGACAATTGTTAACTGCTTCTGAACATCTCTTACTGCCAACAACCAGCAAATGGGAAAAACTTTCTCTAGGGAAACAGTTCCCAGTATATTCTTTTTTATTATCAAAATACTTTGCACAAAAACAGGAAGATACAGTTTTCTCCTTAACTAAGCAAAATAGTTGTCCCAATCTCTGCAAAATATTCTTCCTATGACTCTGATCCTTCCATGATAAAAGAAATGATAGCATGCCTTTGGTCTTCCTGCTTCAGGAAGCAAAGGAACTGTAGGAAAAGAATTAATTTTTCTTCTCACTTTTGAGGTTTGAGACAAAGTTGTAACTCCAGCTTTTCAAAGTGCAAAGAAAACAATTCACACTTATTACTATCTGTGGGACACAAATGTATGGATTTAGGAGGAAATAGCTGGCCAGAAAAATGAAACGCATTTTAAACAAAATGCTACACTTGCTGCTTCTCCTCTCTTGGCTTCTATAATTTAGCCTCCATCTGACCCACCTCCATTGTAATTGCTTTGGCTCTCTTAGTGTTCCTTAAAATTATCTTCCCTTTTCTCTAAAATGAACTGCAGAGCCATTTTTTTAATCTGCATTTTAAAAATTTACTTTATTTATCTACTTAAAACACAGCCTTGTTCCAGGGGGGGTTTAAGGTGGCTTCAAAGGATCCATAACATACACCAAGAAATGAATAACAAATGGGACAAGAATGAAGCTTATACTAAAATGCTTATACAATTCTACTCATTTACTCTGGGTAGACTACAAATTTGTTTCTAAGCTTTCTAGCAGGCAGTCTAGAAAAGGAAACTTAATTAGTTACATCACTTACAGTGTCTGTAAAACAAAAACAAACCAATTATCCAAGTGAAGTGCTAGTATTCCTAATACTAAGACCAGAACAAAATTTCTCTTGAGAGGCTTCATAAAAAGGTCAGCATGTGATGTAACTGCCAGCGTTCTCTGTAGCAACCAAATGGGAGATGCAATGATGAATTTCACAGGGTTCGTACTGCATTTCTCTGAAAAGGTAGATGGCATCGCATTAACTTGAAAAATCAGGAAAAGCAATTTTATCATGAGTTTAGGGGTTTGAGGGGGAGGGATACAATATGATATATTCTAGATACTCACCTCTCTGCTCTGCTGGGCAAAACCAAGGATAACAGAACAATCCAGTACCCAGAATGGCCTCAGGGAAATTATTAAACCACTAAAACTGTATGCAACATTTTGTGAATAGGAAACTGTATTTTTCCTGACAGACAAAATGCAGTTTTATCAGATCCTTAAAATACACACGTGACTCACAAAAGAACAATTTCTTAAAAACTCTAGAGTTTTAAACCGACTGCAGATCCTGCGTGCTACTCTGCAAACATTTTTTTCCCTCTCAGCCTAGCATTTTTTAAAAAAAAATTTGCAAAAAGAACCTTTTATTGTTTCCATTTGGTCCACGGCTTGGTGAGTACTTCTGGATGTTGAGAAGCTCAGGCCGAAATCCCGAAGCCAGAAGAATGCAGAGGGGCACCTCAAAGGTTGCTGGGCTCTGGAAGCTCCCAGTCGTCCTTGAGCCTTCTGAAGAGATACTCCACCAGCCCGGCCTGGCGGCTGGCCAGCCTGCAGAGGTTGGTCAAGTAGTTGCCCATCTTCTTGATGAGTTTCACCTCTCGGTCTAGGAAGTGCTTTTCCAGAAAATCACAGAAATTGGGATCTGTGTTGGCAGAACCTAGGGCATGCAGATCCAAAAAGGCCTGGTTCAGGCTCTTCTCCAGGGCCAGGGCGGCTTCCATGGCGGCCAGGCTGCCACTCCACTCATCTCAGAGCAGCTTCTGCTCATCTTGGAAGAGGCCGCAGCTGCTGGGCTGGTTCTGCATCAAAAGATGCTTGGCACCCTCGCATTTCTCTTCAGCCAGCTTGCGAAAGAAGTGGCCCACGCCCTTGAGAGCCACTTCGTCGCCTTCGAAATAGCTCAGAGAGAGGTTGGTGTAGGAGGCCTGCAGATGCATGTTGATCAGGCGGTCAATAGCGGCCTCCACGCCAGAGGTATACTTTTGGCGGCTCCGGGTGCTCATGGTTGGTTGGCGGGCAACCAGGAGCTAACCACAAAAGCTTGTTAGCTGGTCCCAGAAGCGAGAGATAATTGAGCAGATAGTCACGGAAGTTGTGAGTGGAGAGGCAGGGTTAGAGGGTGGGGAGAGGCAGCATGGGGAGAGGCAGATTGGGGAAGGTGGGGAGAGGCGGGGTGGGGAAGGTGGGGAGAGGCGGGGTGGGGAGGGTGGGGAGAGGCGGGGTGGGGAGGGTGGGGAGAGGTGGGGTGGGGAGGGTGGGGAAAAGCCGGGTGGGGAGGGTGGGAAGAGGCAGAGTGCGGAGGGTGGGGAGAGGGGGGTGGGGACGGTGGGGCTTGGTGGGGTTGGGCGGGATCACAGGGCACAGAATCTCTCAGCCTAGCTTTTCTTTTTTTTTTTTTTTCTTGCATGTAAGATTTATTTTGATGATATCATTCAGCCAGGACCCTGGTTTATTAGTAACATTGTACATATTCAAATTTCTTAAAGAAATTTAATTTTTTAAATAGATTAAGGGGCTACAAATGTGCTTTTGTTACATGGGTATATTGCATAGTGGTTAAGTCTGGGATTTTAGGATACCCATCACCTGGATAGTGAACTTTGTTCCCAATAGGTAATTTTTCAACCCTCACCACCCTCCTTTCCCACTTGGGAGTTCCAAGTGTCTATTGTTTCGCTCTATATGTCCATGTGTATCCATTGTTTAGCTTCCACTTATAAGTGAGAACATGTGGTATTTGATTTTCTATCTCTGAGTTACTCAGGATAATTGTCTCTAGGGCCATCCATGTTGCTGGGAAAGACATGATTTCTTTTTATGTCTATGTGGTATTCCATGGTGTAGATATATCACATTTTCTTTTTCTAACCATCCATTGATGGACACTTAGGTTGATTCCATGACTTTGCTATTGTGAATAATGCTGTGATAAACATAGGAGTGCAGGTGTTTTTTTGATATCACAATTTATTTTTCTTTGGGTAGACACCTAGTAATGGAATTGCTGGATCTTAGTAGTTCTATTTTTAGCTTTTCAGAAATCTCCAATCTGTTTTCCATAGATGTTGTACTAATTTACATGTCCACAAACAGTGTATGAGAGTTCCCTTTTCTCTGCATCCTCTCTAACATCTCTCGTTTTTCTGACTTTTTAGTAATAGCCATTCTGACTGGTGTGCGAGGGCATCTCAACGTGGTTTAAATTTGCATTGCTCTGATGATAAGTGATGTTGAGCATTTTCATATATTTGTTGGCTGCTTGTATGTTTTTTATTGAGAAATATCTGTTCATATTATTTGCCCACTTTTAATGGGGTTATTTGGTTCTTTTCTTTTTGAATTTTTGGAGTTCCATGTACATTCTGGGTATTAGTCCTTTGTTGGAAGCATAGTTCACAAATATATTTCTCTCATTCTGCAGGTTGCCTGTTTACTCCATTGATTATTTTTTGCTGTGCAGAAGCATTTTAGTTTAATTAAATTCCATTTTTCTATTTTTGTTTTTGCTGCATTTGCTTTTGAGGTCTTAGTCATAAATTCTTCGACTTGGGCAATATCCAGAAGAGTTTTTCCTAGATTTTCTTGCAGGATTTTTATAGTTTCAGGTCTTACATCTAAGTGTTTAATCCATCTTGAGTTAATTTTTGTATATGGTGAGAGATATGGGTCCAGTTTCATTCTTCTACATATGGCTATCCAATTTTTCCAGCACCATGTATTGAATATAGTGTCCTTTCCCTAGTGTATATTTTTGTCGACCTGGCAAAGATCAGTTGATTGTAGGTATGTGGCTTTATTTCTGGGTTCTCAATTCTGTTTCATTGATCTGTGTGTCTATTTTTGTACCAGTATCATGCTGTTTTGGTTACTATAGTCTTGTAGTATAATTAGAAGTCAGGTAATATGATACCTATAGCTTTGTTCTTTTTGCTTGACTGCTTTGGCTGTTTGGGCTCTTTTTTTTTTTTGGTTCCATGTAAATTTTAGGATTGCTTTTTTCTAATTCTTTGAAAAATGACACTGATAATTTGATAGGGGATACATTAAATCTGTATATTGCTTTGAGTAGTATGGTCATTTTAACAGTATGGATTTTTCCATTCCATGAGCACGTGTTTTTCTATTTTTTGTGTTTGACTTCTATGATTTCTTTTACCGGTGTTTTATAGTTCTCCTTGTAGCTTTTGATAACAATTTAATTCCTCTTTCTTTCCTAATTGTTAGAAAGGAGTCTTTATTTGTCATTTGGCTCATTTTTTACCATAATTCTAAGATGAGGTAAGAACATCAAAAGTACTCATAGTGAAATCCCTCTAAATCTTCATTTGTGAGTTAAAACTCCCTTGTTTTTAAATTTAGAGGCTTATGTACATATTTTTTTCCTGCTCCTAATCCCTCATTGGGAGTGACCATTAGTTACAGTTTGTCCAAAGTGGTCCTGTTGTCTTGGTATAATGATTAATAGCACCCCTTTCCCTCTCAAAAGGGTCCTTGTTTGGAATATATATTACATGGTCACCTTACCCATTGAGAAGGAAAAGAAAACCTATACTATGAATAGAGTTTGTAAAACATTGAACTTGACCATGATTTGTTTCCATTTTATTACTTAATCATACCAGTAAGAACCCTATCATAAATTTTCTATTCATCACTTTATATTTTTTATTCATTGACCTAATTATTTCTTCTAGAAAGTTCTATTGAATGGCATATGTACCAGGTGTTTTGTTAGGTACTGGTGGCTTCTTAGGGTTCAGGACCTTGCTCCATTAACTGAAACATCATGTGAATGAGTGCAAAAGACAAAAAATACAGATTTATAAATCCTACCAAAATAGAAAATAATCCATATAAGTTGAATGAGTTGGCCATTTCCTGTTGGAAGATGTTCTCACAGGGTATCCTCCGGCTTTGTGAGTCCATGCTTAGTATTTTATTTTCCTAAATACCACTTTCCTGGTGCTGTTTCACAATTAGAACACTTTTGTATGTTTTCTAACAAACAAGAAGGCATATTCTATTCAGGGTAAACAAGATTTGAACCCCAGAGAAGAGAGTTTTGCTTTGAACTTTGGACTTCGGACTAAATAAAAATAAAAATTCATTTTTTTCAGCAGCTTTCAATTTGTATTTTCTCTGTTGCTGAAAACTGACATCTTAAAATTTCAAAAAGAAGCCTGGAGTCTTCCTTTACTGCTTAAGGTAAAATATGAACACATATCCTTTATCTAAATACAGGATATATTGTCATTTTTAATTTCATGGATGGTTGTAGTCCAAAAGTATTCTCATATTGCATTTGAAATTTGCAAAAACTGTTAATATTCAGAAATAGTCACATTTTTCAATCTTGGGGGGAATTAACTGGATAAAACATGAGTGCATAGTTCTGCAGTCTTCCTGGCCTTGGTTCTAGGGCAGAAAAGAGGCTGGCAGTGTAGAGGAGGAGGAAAAACAAAAATTCAAACCCAAGAACAACCCTAGCAGGTAACTAAATAAGAGATAAATTAAACCAGATGCAATGCTCTCCAAATGACTGCAAAGAAAATGATTGTTTTCTACCTTGTACATAAACAATTAATC
Organism: Homo sapiens; assembly: GCF_000001405.40. Taxonomy (NCBI): domain Eukaryota; kingdom Metazoa; phylum Chordata; class Mammalia; order Primates; family Hominidae; genus Homo; species Homo sapiens. Next base: position 38,488,848 of record NC_000023.11, read on the forward strand.
ATCATATTGACCTTATAATAAGGAAATGCTAAGCTTAGAGAAAACTTCACCATATAAAATATTACCTGCATTGCAGCATGTCAGGGTCATTTAATATATTTCAATTTCCTATACATTTACTTATTCCTCTTGGAAGAGAATAATGTCTATATAAACCTTTCCAGATGAGATAGTTTTCTGCCTTGTGCAAATGTTGACAAATCTTTCCGTCATTACTTTAGAAAAAAAAAAGAGCCAATATCAGAGCCATACTCTGGAGGTAGTTAAGCACACAGCCGTTAGAATCAGACCAAGGTAGGCTCAAAACCCAGCTTCGTCACTGTGAGTGTGAACTTAGGCAGGTAATATAACTTCTATTAGCCTCAGCTTTCTTGCTTATAAAATGGAGATGTTAATATCTCACAAGTATGCTACAAAGGTTAAGTGATAAAATGCACAAGAAAATGCTGCCAAACAAGTAGAAAGAACTCAAAAAATGGTGCTATATGATCGATCAGTTTTGGAATAAAATTTCAGAGATCCTCTCAAACCCCAGTAAGTATCAGAAGCAGATCCCAATATGTTTTTGATCCAAGTTTTCTCACTGCTAGACCTCTTTTGCTGAATCACCCTCTGTGGGTGGCTACACCCTTTCAAGCACGAAAGCACATAGGTACAGCTTTGAGTGTTCAAGATCAAGGCATTTAGAACACAAGCAAAGGCAGCTCCTCTTACTTCCCTTGGCTGAGCAAGCATCAACAATGCCTCCCGAGGCATTGATCGTTGTGGAAGCAGGAGGAGCAGTGCAAAGGTGGCAGAAGTATGTTTTCTCAGTTCTCCAGACCAAGATAATTATCCATTACAGAAAAAAAAAAAAAAAAAAGAATGAGTGCCTATTTTGTAGGATAGGGTAAGATTCTGAAACATTACACGTGAGTGGTAAAATTCACCTTCCCTTTCACTCAAATATAAACCTTGGGATGCCTTGAGAATCTTTGATCAGATTCCCCAGAAGTAGTCCCTGATATGAGGATTCCTGTGCAAGTGATTTATGGGGAAGGTGCTCCCACAGGGAGACCAAAACAAAGTGGGGAAAGCAGGACAGAGAAAGAAGCCAATAAACAAAGCTTCAATGTCAGGAAATATCACAGCTTAGTCATGATCTCAAGGTGGAGCTCTGGGGTGCAAATCACACCTAGAGTTTATTTCAACATGAGACAAGGGAACTGGGCTTTTATATTCTTGCCCAATGGTCGTGGGCCTCCCCAGGGTAATAAAAAACTCCCAGGGTACATGGGAGGTATGTACAAGTGAAGCAACTCCATTAGTCCAAGAGAAAGCCGCCAAAGAAGGTCACAGGTGCTAGTAACTAGCAGAAAAGCACCCTGAAATTGGGTGCTGAGCATATCAAACAGGGAGAAGGGAATTTGGGTAGGGCGTGTACAGTATCCAGCACCAGCTTGCTACCCTGCTTGACCTTGGAAGGTATCAGAATTCAGTGGTAATGAGGAACCCCAATCAGAACCTTTTTTTTTTTAACCAGGAATCTAATAGATAAGATGAAGACTGTCTTATAGGTATTAACCTATATTTATTCTTCCTTGCTACTTCCATTTACAGGGAATACAGCGGTTTTGGAACCTACATCTGTAGTCTCCTTTACCATCCCTGAAACTCCGTCACTCTCATCAGGGGTCCTCATTTGTAAACATACCAGCCAAATCAGGTCCAAAGCTCTAGCTAAGAAAGCATTGCATCTTTTTTCTGACCCTCTACTCCGTTTGACAGCATTCCCCATATTGGAACCACATATTGATTTTTTTAAATAGCTTCACACAACTACTTAAAAGTCAAAATATCCCTGGCAACCGAAAAACTGACAGGCCGTGAAATAGCTGCTTAAGGACCTGTCATCCAAACTGAACTCACCTGAAAACTGAAAACTGATTTTACACAAACAGTAAAATGGTTTCTGTGTATTTGTCATTTTTCTAAAAGAGACTGTAAGGGGTACTGAGTTTAGTTCTGAGCTGTTCTGCTTTAGACAAGGGACCACCTTGCACCAGGCAGTTATGAAATAAGAGTTGTTTCATTTTCTTCTCCCAAAACACACACACTCAGTCTCCTCCTCACCCCACCTGTGCCCTCCACTAAAATCACTGAGAAGCTTGCCCATGGCCCACCCTAACAGGTTTGCTTCCCCAAATCCTACCTTCCCTGTGCTTCCCACAGGTACCTCAAGCAAGCAGCACTTCTCAACTGGGGCTGATTTTGTCCCCTGGAAGACATTTGGCAATATCTGAAGATATTTTTGGTTGTCACAGCTGGGGAGAGGGCACAACTGGTATCTACTGTGTAGAGAAGCATTTTTGGCCTCTACATCAGTTTTTTAAAAATCAGTATTTAAGGGGAGACACTGTTCTGTGCACTGTCTCTCCCCCGCATCAGACAAACAAATACATCTGTATATGTACAAATGTAAATAGCTTCACACAAGTACTTAGAAGTCAAAATATCCCTCGCAACCCAAACTGATGTTACACAAACAGTAAAATGGTTTATGTGTATTTGTCATTTTGTACATCTCCAGCCCCAAATGAATGTCAATAGTGCTGAGGTTGAGAAACCCTGTATATGTTGGTGTCTTAGTGTAGGTTTCGTCAAAAACAGACCCTGAGACAAGGATTTGAGTGCAACTAGTTTATTTAGAAGGTGATCCCTGGAAGCACTAGTAGGGAAGAGGGTAAATGAGAGAGTGAAGGGATAAACAAAATAATAATAAAATGAGAGAGTGAGGGGGTAACAGCAAGTTACCCCTATGGGGACCTAGGACTCATTCCTGCTGAGGAACTCTGGGAGATTGTGTGGAACATGCCTTAGAGTTATCCCAAACAAGGCCATGGAAGCTGGAATAGTTATCTTCTAATTCCCCTCTGTCATTAGCTGAGGACTACTTCCAAAGATGTTAACTTTCTGGCACTTCCGGCCTGCCCTTGAAGAACCAAAAGCAAGCCCTGAGATAGAGAGTTGTAGGTGTTTGCAGAAGAACCTTCATGGGCATATATGGGCATGGTGAGTGCTGAGGGGTTATGAATGCCATACCAACAATGTCTGCTGGAGTTGGTCCTCCAAGAGAACATGTATGGGGATTTATCTTCAGTTTCTTTTTCTGAGGATGATGCCTTAGCCAAAAATAAAATTCTAATCATGCCCCCAGTAGGTGTCTTGAAGACAAGCAAGAGTGGCATGTTTTAGAGGGACCTTGTTAGAACATGCAGTTAGAAAGGCCCTTAGAAACCATGTGTTCCAGCTCTATACCAATGCACAAATCCCTTGAAGAACATCCCCAACAAATAACCATCTAGTCTTTTCTTGAATGCACTGAGGTACCCAGGAACACGTTAACTCAGGAAGCTCACCCATACCATTTTTAGAGGGTGTGATGTAGGGGAGCCAAACAAATGTGAATTTAAACTTGGTTCTGCCACTTAACGGCTATGCAACCTTGTGCAAGTTACTGAACTTTTTTGAATCTTACTCTCCTTAGCTATAAAATACCAGCAATATTATCTACCTCTTAAGATTACTATGAAGATTAAATAAGATAATACAAGGAATTTAGCTCAACTTCTGACACATAGTAGGTGCTCAATAAATATTAGCTGTCTTCACCCCTTTTTCTTCTCCACCTTCCCAAATCTCATGTGTCAGCTCTGTACCTCATAATACTTTTGATCTTTTCATTTCGGTTCTAGCTTCCAGAAGAATAAAAAATAAGTCCAGCCCATCTTTCCACTAAACTAAGACTTCCCCCTTCTCCACGGAAGCATACCTGGCTTACTCCACCATTCCTTACATGGCCTGGCTCTGTGGGCCTCTATTCTCTGGTCTCTCCCCAGAAGGTTTTAGAATCCCCTCAAGGAGACAGCTGCAATCTCATCCTGACCTGAGGCAAAATACACTTGTAGATCACGTCCATTTAATTTTGATGCACATAGATCAAAATGAGTTTTGTATGAATAGTCTTCTCTTTTAACATAAAGAAAAATCTAAAATATGGTTTAAACTTCTTATAGTCAGAAAAGAGGGCAGGAAGTGATTCTCTCTTTCTTTACCATGCTCTATTTTAACTCTTGAAAATGTTTCTTCCATGCTGTATTTGCCTCTCTCCCTCCATGATGAACAGTGCTTTCTGTTACTTTTTTCAAAGGAAAAATGTAATGTTTCATAGAAAGAAACAAGATTCATATCCTGAATAGAGGTGGCCTCATATCTCAGAAGAGCTGGCAAGTCTGTCCTTGGCAGTTGCCAAGAGGTGGGTTGGACAGATACAGCTTGAGCTGGAAACAACATCCAGCCTTGAAATTTGAAGTGGCAAATTTGCAATGCCACTCTCTCTTTCCCTGCTTGAAGCCCCCGATTGTACTTTCTGGTCATACTGAAATCTGGTTGGAAAAGGAAATCACCTGACAGGAGATTTTGCTTTTCCTTACTATAGCATGATCCAATTTTTAAAAATGTATGTGTGTGTGTATAAGTGTATATATATATATATATATATATATATGTATATATGTGTATATATATGTATATATATCTGTGTGTGTATATATATATATGATGTGTGTGTGTGTCTGTGTGTGTGTATAAAGATGTGTATACTAAAATATTAACAGTCGTCTCTATCTGTGTGTGACCAAGTGTTTACTTTCTACTTTTCTGTATTATCTGATTTTGGGGGCAATAAGCATGTATTTAACATTGCTGCAGGAAATCAGGGGGAAAAAGACCTGTTTCTATTTTCAAAGAAAAGGGGGAAACTTGCTGTCCTTTCTCAAGTAGGTCATATGATTTTTGCCCACAAAGCAATGAACAGGGCTCAGTGTTTGTCTCCTGAAGCCAGAGCTAGCTTGCTGAAAGGCATCCTTTAGCCTCATGGGCACCAAGCTATTTTGCATGAAAAAATTAAAATTCAGGAACATAGAGGGCTTTCTCATCCATTCTTCCTCCCTTACTCCTCTGGGACTTCACTGGCAACCCTTCTACTCCCTACCAGCCACCAACAACTTGAGGTTCAGTCTGAGGACTGAGAAGAAAAGAGAATCCCTCCTGGGACTGAGTTGGCCTCTAGGACAGGAATGTTGCTTTATACTTCTTCCATATTCCCTGCTGGGTCTGGCACCATGATTGACAGAAAAAATAACTGATGCTCAGAGTAATGGAACCTCAAAGGTCATCAGTGCTTAATAATTTCCTAATGAACAGATTAAATGTGGCTACTGGTCACTTTACCTGCTTAAGAGGTTTAAGCCACAGAGTCAGGTGCCTCAATTCATCCAGAGACCATCCCCAGCCAGTTCCCATTCTCAGTGTCAAGGAATACAAAGACATGACTGAGCATTTATGCCTCTATGAGTGGGACAGGAGAAGGGGCCATGACCCATGGTGGGACTAGCACCAACAGGTCTGTTTTACAGCATTCAGGGCTGATGATAGCTGCATGCCTGGCATTCATACAAATCTGCCCTCCCACAGTGTTCTTGCCCCTTCCTTGGGGTGTATGGACATGGCTGCCGGCCAAAACACAGCTCTGTTCACCAATTCAAGATAAGGAAATATCTATCTGGGCCTGACTTTCTATATAAGTACCAGATGGTAATGATTAAAATTAATTTAAATTAATGTTTGACAGTCCATGAAGGGCATAAATTGCATAGTGTGCTGCTTGTCCAATCTGTCATCTTGTTTCCCTCGGCTCAGGTCAACAAACAACAGCTGAAAGCGCCATCTCTGAGTCAAACAGTAGCTTATTTCTCTGCTGTGGAAATGGCTGCTCAGTTTACTAAGTTGAAGGCTTCCATGCTGCCAAAATTGTGATTAAGATGCCTTAAAAGGCAGAGAATTCTATCTTTTTGCCACAATCTCCAGCAATCATCTCCCAAACACAGTAATAGCAATTACTGGTTAGAGTTCAGAAACTGGGAAATCTGAACCTGGCCTAAGAGTGAAACATTGCCAAAATCACAATGCAATTTTCAGCTCTAATGACAGCCTTCTTCATTCACATGGTTTCTAGAATGTGTGGGCAGTGCTGATGTGTTATCAAGTTGCAAAAGAATTCATGGCATCACATTTTAAAATCATCCATCTGCCAAGTACTCCCTTCCTAAAAACTTTTCAGATTTAGATTTTTGCTCCTTTCCCCTGTGTTGTTCAGGAATCAGTGTCCAATATTTACTTTTTAGTACTTAAACCCCAAATAACGTTTCAACTTTTGCCCTTTTACACAAGAACTTTGATGAAATTTTCAAAATGTCCAGCATAACTTCTTTGGTGGGAAAGATTGGATTCTTCAGGAGCAAGCCAAATAGTAGAACAAGCTACTGAAGACAGGCACAGGGTGCTGGAAGTTGTACCACCCAGATTGCCCTTCAGGAATGAAACACTTCTTTCCCCAGCTGCTAGGAGAGCTGCAGGGGTATGGCCATCCACTGTCAGCTCCCTTTGGAGATTGCCTCCACTGAAGAAAACTGCCCTACCCAAGATTTCTTCTCCTTCTAAAGGCAGCCCACATCACTCAACTTGGGGCAACTCTGAAGGGCCATCCCTGCCTTTCTGGTTATTTTCTCTACCCGGGCTTGTCTCCCAGATTACTGCCTGAATTCCTCCCAACTTCATTCAGGTCTCTGCTCAAATGTTGCCTCATCAGAAAGGCTTTTTCCTCATCTCTTTTTTTAAAATAACACACACTCAGCCCTTTCCCATAGCCCCAGCTCCAGGGCTCCCTGTGCTCTTACCCTGCCTTCATTTCTCTTACCACTACCTGCCATTATTTACACATTTATCAATTATTTTGTTTAGTGCCTGTCTCCCCACTAGCATATAAGCTATATGATGGTTGAGAATTTGGCTGTTTTGTTCATTGCTTTATCTCTACTACCCAGAAAAATGCTTAGCACATATGTAGAGATTCTCGATAAATATTTGTGAATGAGTACATGAATGAGTGATTAGTTGCCTACTATCTTAGGTACTTCCTACTGCTTAGGCTGCCTAGCTCTCTCACTGCACATCCTGGGAATCAGAGTCCTGCCAAGGTAGCATAATAGTCAAGAACATAGGCTATGGAGTTCGACTGGCCTATTCACTTAGTTCATAAACAATTATATAGTTCTTAAGTTGTGCTAGGCATTGCTCTTGGCTCTTATGCTATTAATACATTTAATGTGCATAACAGCCGTAAGAGGTAGGTGTTATTCCCATTTTAAAGGTGAAGAAACTGAGGAACAGAGGCGTTAAGTAATTTGCTCCATGTCATACATCTAGTAAGCGACAGAATTCAAATGCAGGCAGTCTGCCTCCAGAATCTCTGCCACTTACCAGCTGTATAATTTTGAGTAATCTCCTCTCTGAACTGGTTTATTTGCCCATACACATGAAAATAATAATACATACTACACAAAATTGTAAGCAGTTTTAAATGAGATGGTATGTGTAAAATACTTAGCAGGGATCCTTATCTACACAAGCACTTAACAAGGGGCAGTTGCTATCATTTGTATCCCAGTGCTTTGCCTTCCCCTACATCCCAATAGACTGCATGGACTTCCAACTATTACCCCATGTTTCATATTAGATGCCCTGTCTTGACTGCTTGACACTTTCTGAAGGCCTTGAATGGCAAACCCACCCACCATTCTGATGTTCCATGCACAACCCAGCCTTGTGTCACCTCCACTCTTGACTCCAATCTAGCTTTGCCCTACCGCTGTAGACAGAGCTGGGGCCAGGTCAAGAACTCTTCAAGTCTGCCGTTCCCTGTCAGGTCTTGAAATAAAATGTATCTTAGAGGCATAAGCAACAAAATTCAAGTGACATGACTTGCCTTTGATAACTAGCGCTGCAGTTCCTAGTTCCCATTACCCAGCATAATCACTCAGATAAGCCACAGCCCAAATTTTACCAGGTGTTCTGGCCACTCTGGTGCACTGTCCAGATCCCTCTTCAATGAGGTTCTTGTTGTCTCCGGTGCTAGGAGCACTGATGGCAGACAGCCCTTAGCTCTAAGCTTCTTCAGGGATTGCCTCAGCTGAAGTGAACCACTGTGACCAAGAGGTAGTTTCCTTGATAACCTTCTGGGGTTGTCCATATCCAATGACCTACCAATGCAGGAATAGAAATTCCCAGCCACCTTGCTGCTGGGATAATTGGCAAGCCACATGTAGGAGAATGAAACTGGATCCTCGTCTCTCACCTTATACAAAAATCAACTCAAGATAGATCAAGGACTTAGATCTGAGACCTGAAACTATAAAAATTCTGGAAGATAACATTATAAAAACCCTTCTAGACATTGGTTTAGGCAAGTATTTCATGACCAAGAACCCAAAAGCAAATGCAATAAAAACAAAGATAAATAGCTGGGACTTAATTAAACTAAAGAGCTTTTTCATGGCAAAAGAAAAAGTCAGCAAAGTAAACAGAGAATGCACAGAGCGGTAGAAAATCTTCACCATCTATACATCTGACAAAGGACTAATATCTAGAATCTACAATGAACTCAAACAAATTAGCAAGAATAAAACAAAAAATCCCATCAAAAAGTGGGCTAAGGACATGAATAGAGAGTTCTCCACAGAAGATATACACATGGTCAACAAACATGAAAAAATGCTCAACATCACTAATAATCAGGGAAATGCAAATCAAAATCACCATGCAATACCACCTTACTCCTGCAAGAATGGCCATAATCAAAAAATCAAAAAATATTAGATGTTGATGTGGATGTGGTGAAAAGGGAAGACTTCTACACTGCTGGTGGGAATGTAAACTAGTACAATCACTATGGAAAACAGTGTGGAGATTCCTTAACTAAAAATAGAACTACCATTCGATCCAGTGATCCCACTATTGGGTATCTACCCAGGGGAAAATTAGTCATTTTCGGAAAAAGACACTTGCACACGCATGTTTACAGCAGCACAATTTGCAATTGCAAAAATGTGGAACCAGCCCAAATGCCCATCAATCAACGAGTGGATAAAGAAAATTATATATATATATATATATATATATATATATATATATATATATATGATGGAATACTACTCAGCCATGAAATGGAATGAATTAATGGCATTTTCAGCAACCTGGATGGGATTGGAGACTATTATTCTAAGTGAAGTAACTGAGGAATGGAAAACCAAACATTGCATGTTCTCACTCATAAGTGGGAGCTAAGCTGCGAGGATACAAAGGCAAAAGAATGACACAATGGACTTTGGGGACTTAGGGGGAAAGAGTGGGAAGGGAGTGAGGAATAAAAGGCCAGAAATTGGAGGGCTGGGCGCAGGGGCTCACGCCTGTAATCCCAACACTTTGGGAGACCGAGGTGGGCAGATCACTTAAGGTCAGGAGTTCGAGACCACCCTGGCCAACACGGTGAAACCCAATCTCTACTAAAAATACAAAAATTAGCCAGGTGTGGCTGGTGGCAAGCTACCTGGGAGGCTGAGGCAGGAGAATTGCTTGAACCCAGGAGGCGGAGGTTGCAGTGAGCTGAGATCATGCCACTGCACTCCAGCCTGGGTGACAGAGCAAGACTCAGTCTCAAAAAAAAAAAAAAAAAAAGACTACAAAGTGGGTTCAGTGTATACTGCTCAGGTGATGGGTGCACCAAAATCTCAGAGATCACCACTAAAGGACTTACTCATGTAACCAAATACCACCTGTTCCCCAAAAACCTATAGAAATAAAAAATTAAAAAAAAAATTCCCAGCCACCTTGGCCCAACTGAGGGCAATTCTGAAAGGCCATTTTAACTTCAGAGCTACCTTGGGGGTCTGCCTAGGCTGTTGTTGGGCCTGCATCACAGTTTATCTTCTCCCTCTACCTGCTTCTGCTTTTTTCCCCTCCTTTCCCCAGATATTGGTCCCAAGGGTGCACCCTAATGAACATCCTGTCTCCTATGCTCCATCTCAGAGTGGACTTCCCAGAATAAAAGCCTAGCCTATAACACGTGGTCCAGCCCAATTCACTGACACTTGTTGCAAGGTCGCAGGATTCCTCTAGAAACTACTAAGCCCAGGTGACAAAATGGCTTCCCAGGATTATGACTCCCTGGTTGCTTCCCCAATTCATCCTGTCATTTTTTACCCCTTCTCAGAGGCATGACTAGTCTAGCCTAGCTGCTTACACAAAGCAGCCAGAAAAAAATGATGCCTATTAATCAGTTCTTGCCTCCTGCTGATCACCTCAGCTCAGGGCTTCTCTTTCCTCAAGGAAGTAAGACAGATGATCATGGGTTGCCACAAAATGCTGGTTCTTTACTTTGACCTCCTCAGTCCTGGGAGGATTTATCAGCCAACAACAAGCTCATTTAACTACACGTCAGAAGCAGACGAAGAGTCACTCATTAAGTGACTATAAACAACTAGGTGCTTCACACGTTTGGTAAAGGCCCATATATTTATAAATATGCCTTTGGGCATATTTATATGCCCAAAGCCTCAGTGATACTCACTTTGGGAATAACAAATCCCAAACCACTTATTTGTTATGAAAATAAATGACATTTTGATCTCAGTAATCATTTAAAATTCTGTCCTTTTAATGGCCCATAAAATCTTAACATACTCCCTTGCATGTCAGATTTCCTAAACTACAGCTGGATCAACCTCATAACTTCCACTTGGTCATCAAGAATAGATAAAATGGCTGGGCGCAGCAGCTCACACCTGTAATCCCAACACTTTGGGAGGCCGAGGTGGGCGGATCACCTGAGGTCAGGAGTTTGAGACCAGCCTGGCCAACATGGTGAAACCCCATCTCTACTAAAAATACAAAAAAAAAAAAATTAGCTGGGCGTGGTGGTGGGCACCTGTAATCCCAGCTACTAGGGAAGCTGAGGCAAGAGAATTGTTTGAACCCGGGAGGCGGAGTTTGCAGTGAGCAAACATGGTGCCACTGCCCTCCAGCCTGGGCAACAGAGTGGGACTCCATCTCAAAATAAATAAATAAATAAATAAATAAATAAATAAATAAATAATTGCCTTATTTAAGTGTGCAGTACTGTGTGCTGGATAAACTAATAAAATCTTAGAAGATAAAAATGCAGCAGAGCATAACTGCTTATTTTTCAGATTTACTAAGGAAAGATACTTTATCTAATTAAGTAGATCTTCTTAAGCAAATCCTTTGCTGTCACAGCATGTAGCCTAGTTCTTATAAAGGAATGAAAGGAACACTTGATAGTCTATTGGTTTCTCATATTCGTTTTAGTTTTTTTAATGTACTTTTAGAAATACTGTTTCATTTCTGATCTTAGATTGTCTGGCTACCCAAATTGGAGCTGGTATTGTTAGGCAGGCCTGAGTCCTGATCAATATTCCATTCTTTATAGTGAAAGATGATATAATTGATGCGGATCCCAATCTGAATGGACAATCACAGCTGTGAAAACAGATGCTAGACTCCCAGGCCCATCCCAGCCATACATTTCTATTCATGGTGCAGGGCACTTGGCAGAGATGGGCATTTTGTGTCAGTAAGCCTCTGATACCCCTGGGCTGTCTGAAGATTATTTTTAAAAAGTTATGATTCACTGCTGATAGGGCTAGCTGCCTCCTAGGATTCTACAACTCCTATGGCACCTGTTTGAGAGTTTTCATCTGTGCTTCAGATACCTACAGTCACCTCATTTCAGGCCCCCTATGTTACTTGGATCACAGGAACAATGAATCGATAAGGGCTTCATTAAAATATTCTGTATAAAACATTTTATGGTTGTGAACATCACAATAGGGGAAATTACCGCAGTTTAACATCTGCCCATAGGAGCTTCAGACTTAGTTGAGGAAACACAATTAAAGCAGAATAACGTTTGCCATCATTGAAATAGGTTGTATGACCACCTCCATAATCTCAAAGTGAATCACAGGGGTCCTTGTTAAAATGCAGCTCTCATAGCCCATCTACTGAATAAGAATCTCTGGATTGGTGATGGAATCTGCATCTTTAACAAGCTCCCTAAGTAATTCTCATGCACACTTAATGTTCAAAATCATTACCCTAGAGGCTGATTATTTCAGCGCAGGCATGGTTCCTGCAATGCCACAACTAGTTAGTGATTCTCTCTGTGTTTTGGAAGGAAATAGCAGCATTCAGTGACGATCACCACTGAAATGTGTGATTAGTCATTATAATGATGGTGTTGATGCCTCACCCAGAGCATCCATCCCCAGCTGCTTACACCATCTTACCCAGCACTGTGACTAGCTCTATTTATTTTATATTTAGTAGCTATGAGTGTTGGCTGCTAACAGCTCACAGCTGCACTGTTCTCTTGAGAATTACTCTCAGCTGATGGGAACTTCACCCAGAGATGCCTAAGAGGTTATGTACCCACCAGCACAGTCAATGACAAACTGGTATGTAGGAGCAAAAATCCAGTCCCTTTGCCTCCAAGGAGACAACTGTGTGGTGCCGTCTTTGCTCTAGAACTTCCTGTGGGATCAGGCTGATGCTAGACCTCTGCTGAAACCATATCTTTGCTTAGCCTCTTCCCCTGCCTTTCCTGCTTCCCTCACTTCCTTCCTTACAGGTTTCTCCTGAGAACATTTCAAAAAATAAGTGTTGGAGAGGATGTGGAGAAAGACGTTCACTTACACACTGTTGGTGGAAAAATAAATTGGTATAGCTATTATGGAAAACAGTATGGAGGTTTCTCTGAAAACTACAAATATAGAACTACCATATGATCCAGCAATCCCACTTCTGGGTAGACATCCAAAGGAAATGAAATCAGCACATTAAAGAGATCCTGCATGCACATGTTCATTGCAGCATTATTCACAATATCCAAGGTATGGAACCAACCTAAGTGTCCATCAGTGGATGAATAGATAAATACACACACACACACACACACACACACACACACACACAAACACACACAATGGAATACTATTCAGACTTGAAAAAGAAGATCTTGCCTTTTGTGACAACGTGGACATGGATGAATATGGAGAACATCATGCTAAGTGAAATAAGCCAGGCATAGAAAGAAAAATACTGTGTGATCTCACTTGCATATGGAATCTTAAAAAAGTCAAATCCTGTTCATAGAAACAAAGAGTAGAACAGTGGTTACCAGGGCATAGGAGGGTGGGAAATAGGGAGATGTCGGTCAAGGATACAAAGATGTAGTTTTGTAGGATTAATAAGTCTCGAGATCTAATGTACAGCATGAAGACTATACTTAATATTGTATAATGGAAATTTGTTAAGAAAGTAGATTTTAGGTGCTCTTACCATTAAAAAAATGGTAACTGTGAGATAATGGATATGTTGACTTGATAGATATATTAACCATTTCATTATGTGTATTTATAGCAAAACATCGTGTTTTAGAGGCTTTTTCTAGGGGGAATGTGTTATAAAAATAACAAAAGTAACTGTGATAAATACAGAGATATATTTGTAGCAGGATATAAAAGAAATAGGAGGTTCTGGTTCCATGTAAAATGGGGGTAACTCCACCCTGTTTCTCCCACTCAATGCAGCTACAAAACCTGGACAGAATGCACGGGGCAGCTATTTGAGGACTCCAAAAATTAAACAGTAGTGGGCAGACTAGGAGAGAAGACAGGCCAGAATCTGAAGTACTACCAAATTGACACTGAGTTTATCACTTATTTTTCTTCTGTTGTCCCCGACCTAGAATCAAGGCATCCTGAAACATAGAAATGGGTACTCAGGCACCGACAGAAAAGCTCTCTAATTCTGTCTTGAAGAGCAAGAAAGAGATCTCCTGATGCTCAGAGAGAGGGTGGTTGGGGGAAGTTCTCTGAGATGTTTCCCTTTTCTCTGTGCTTCTGCACTCCAGGACATCCTGCAGTAACTACAGTAGCAGTAGAGACAGCAGCAGCACTGGGGGCCTACGGATGCCTAAAATTCTGAGGGAGGAGAACCACTGTTTCTGATCAGGATAGTTATGTTCCAAAAGGGTGGGGTGAATCCCCATTGCCTTTTTTCTTTCTATCTGCCCTCCTGCTGTTTCAGTTCAGGACTGACATAGGTTCAGTTGTTGGAAGTGCACAGCACAGCATAGTTATATAAAGCCCCATCTTTCTTAGACTGTAAGAGGGTCACAGCCTGTAAGTTGAGCCCCAGGGAAGAAAAAGTAATGGGGACATTTTGGAAAGTATGAGGAAAACAACCCCATAAAATTGTGAAGTCCTAGGCTCCCTCCCTAGTTATGCATGTATGGATCTCACACAAAACAATATACCAAAGATTTTGAGAATGAAATTATGGGACAGGACACTGCTTAGGTTCTAAATTGGCTGTGGGTTTCACGCATATGAGACAGACCTGAATAGCACTGCAAAAGCTTTGGAAACTGAACTGACATTGGAACCACAATTCAAAGAAGGCTGGTTGGAATGTACAGCCTGAACCCAATCAAGTTGATTGCCTATCACAGCAAAATGAACTACATTCCCTACAGGATGAAAGACACAGAGTCTCATAACCTAGAGTCTTCCAAAATGTCCAGGATAAAATCCAAAATTACTCAGCATAGAGAGAACCACAAAAAAAGCTCAACTCTCATGGGAAAAACAACCAACAGAAACAAACGCCAAGATGACACAGACACTGGAATTATCAGAGACTTTAAAGCACTAATAATTAAAGAGTATAATTGGTTTGTTTGTAACAAAAAGAAAGGATAAATGCTTGAGGTGATGGATACCCCATTTACCCAGATAGAATTGTTACACATTGTATGCCTGTATCAAAATATCTCATGTACCCTATAAATATATATACCTACTGTGTACCCACAAACATTTTTTAAAAATTTAAAAAGAAGAGAAAATACTCTCAAAATAAATGAGAAGACAGAAAGTCTCAGCAAAGAAATAAAGGATATAAAGAGGAATAAAATGAAAAATTTAGAAATGAAAAATACAATGATCAAAATAAAAACTCACAAGATGGGCTCAATACAAAAACAGAGATAACAGAGGAAATAGTGAACTTGTTGGGAGATCAATAGAAATGATCCTATCCAAATAATAGAGACGAAAAAATATTTTTATAAATAACAAACAGAGCCTCAGGGTCCTGTAGGACAATACTAAAAGAGCTAACATTTGTGTCATTGGAGCCTCAAAAGAAAATGAGAAAGAATATGCTGCAGAAAAAATACGTAAGAAAGTAATGGCTGAAAACCTCCCAAATTTGGCAAAAGACATAAACCTACAGACTTCAGAAGCTCAGCAAATTTCAAATAGGATAACCCTGAAAAAAATCTGTGCCTAGAAACACCATAATCAAACATCTGAAAACTAAAGACAAAGAAAAAATCTTGAGAGCCACCAGAGAAAATGACACATGACTTACATGATAATAACAATTTGAATATCAGCAAATTTCTCATCAGAAACCATGGAAACCAGAAGGAAGTGAAATGCCTTTTTTTTGAAGTGCTGAAAGAAAAGAATTGTCAATCCAGTCCTTCAGTAATGAGGGTAAAATAAAGACATTATCAGATTAACTAAAACCAAGAAAATTTATTGCCAGGAGATGTTTTCTGAAAGAATTGTTAAAGAAAATTCTTCAGACAGATGGGAAATGTCACCAGAGAGAAAGTTGCAACATCAGGAATGAAAGAAAAGCAATAGAAATGGTAGACATCTGGGTAAATGGAATATTATTTCCTCTTGAGTTCTTTAAAATATGCCTGATGATTGAAAGCCAAACATAACATTTTGTGATAGGGTTTTCAATATATGTAGAGGTACTACATAAAAGGCATTTACAGTATAAAGGGGGTAGGGGAAAGGGACCTATATGGTGGTAATTTTTTTCACTTGAAATAGTAAAATATCGATTTAGAGTAGACTCAGAAAAGTTCAGTGCATATATTATAATCCCTAGAAAAAACACAAAAAAATAGTGTTTGTAGTGTTTTCCTTTTCTCTGATCAGTAAAAAACAAACACAATAAAAGTAAAAATAAATAAATAAAAAGGCAGTAAAAATACAATAGACAAATTAAAATGGAATATTAAAATATGTCCAAATAATCCAAAAAGGGAAGAAAAAGAAAAACAAAGAAATGAAAAATAGAACAATCACAAAATAAATAATAAAATAGTAAGTATAAATCTAAACATATCAATAATCACATTAAATGGAAACGTAAAAGTCAAAAATTGTCAGAATGGATTTTTTTGAAAAAGACCCAATTATACACTGTCTATAAGAGACTGACTTCAAATATAATGATATAGGTATGTTAAAGGGATGAAAAAAGATATATTAATACCATGCCAATACTAATAAAAACAAAGCTGGAGTGACTATATTTAAAGAACAGATACTGGCAAAGTGGCATGCTGCTGAATCTAAGCTACATGTCACCAATAATTACTTAATAACTCTTTTATTTACATTCTTTCCCAGAAAAGTTTTACCTCATCTCACTTATAGACCTTCCAGACATCCAGATACTAAAAAGCTTCCTAGCACTAGCTAGACAATTTTTTGTGAAATGTTCACAGGTTTTGAATTAGAATCTTCCAGACTATTCTATCTAATGGCTTACCTTAAGAACATAAGACATAACATCCTTCTCAACTCTGTTAGGTGAGCGACAGTTTTCCAGGTAGATTTCTGTTTCCTATAAAAAAAAATGTTATTTTCTCATTTTCATTTTACAATGATAATTACACCTACCTGATATGGCTGTACATACTAAAATGAGATACCTTATGATACATGTTTAGCACAGTGCTTGCCACATAGTGGGTACACAATGAACATAGTTTCATTCCTCTTCATTTGCATGCCTTAGAGTTATGTTTGCTAAGTAAATTGAGAGTAAGGTCTGAAGTCTCAGATAAGGTTTTATAATGGGTATGTAATGATCTTGGCCTCGAGGAGAAGCCAAGGATTGGATGGAAAGTAAAAAAGAAGAAAGACCTCCCAGGCAGGCCCTAGTAATAAGATAGCATGAAGGTAATCTTTGAAGTCCCAGGCAGCCAAAGGTAGGATTAATGAGTAAAGAACACTTGACAAGTAGTAGGGATATTGATTTGGAATGTAGCCTTAAGGAAACACAATGAAAAAAGTCTTACATTTGTGGATTTGAGTTGACTTCAGGCTAGCCCATGGCCACATGGAGAAATACGCAATATTTTTCTTTGGTGCTTTTCCATTACTTATTTTTGCTGTCATTTCTATCCTTTCAGCATCTCTTTCAAGGACTCTAGTGTACTACTTATGCTCACTTATTTGGGAGGAAAGTGGGATGAAAAATATCTAATTTATACTAAGGAGTTTTTGACCTAATGGATTAACCCTTCTAAATCATCATCAGTTTAAAAGAGAACCTTGGTTTGCCTTGTGATTAATCAAGAGAAAAGACTCTTCAGTGATTCAATTTCCAGCACTTCTAAGTAAGGAAGATTTTTTTTTTATCAGAAAGGCTATCAACTCAAATCATAACAAAAAGAAAACTACCCACTTCATTTATGGGTGGGAAGAACCCAAATTTATAGATCTAGACATGCACAGTCCAGATATAATCATGCTTTAGTGTCAACATTTTAAATGAGGCTTTGGAAGACTTTGCCTCAATTCCTCCTATACAGGTGTTACTGCTGAGCAATAGGGAGAAGCACTTCAGGGATTCCTGGCTGATACAAAGAAATGGAGAAGTAGGCAAATGAGGAAAGTCAACACCCAAGATAACAGTACCGTATTAAATTCAAAGGGCCAGAGGCATGATTGCCAACCATCCTTCATGTTTGAACTTAGGAGAAGATGAAGTTCAAACTAAGAAATTGTTAGGAGCAACTGTTAAGTCCAAGGTGGTTATGGTGACCAGTCCATCCATGACATCTGCAGCTTATGTTTCCTCAGTGACTGCCAGTTGTAACTAGCTTCAAAGGTTAAAAAAAGAGCAAGTGTAGCAAATGCAGCAATAGACTTCTGATGCTATAGGGAAAGTTTAAATAAATATTAGAGCAGAATTGGTAGCTATTAGAACACTGAAGTTATGAAGCTAGTAGAATACAGAAGTTATGACACATGCTACCACAGGAGGTAGTAAAATCACTATTTAAAGACTCATTAGACACTCATTTTTAAGACAGGATTTAAGAAAAATAATGAGATCTATCTTGTGGTAGTCCTGAGATATGAGCTAAATAACCCACGAGAGGTCCCTTCAAATCCAAGCAATTCTGTTTAAACGTTAAAACCCATCTGCTAGAATGGAAATTAAATCCGATAAGCATTTTCCTTAGAAAAACATTGCTTTGTATGAGCAATGGTCTGTTTGCTCTTCTCTTTCTCTCTTTTCATCCCTTCCAAATTAAAAACTGGCTCAAACCTATCTCAAAAGTAATTTTCTTGATATTAACCCCTAACAATAGGATTCATATCATAATATACCAAGAATGTCCAATAGGCTACATCTTGATAAAGGATTCCTGAACTTTGTATTGGGAAATATTCTGAAGCTGCATTTAGAGAGCTATGGCTTATTAGCAATGCCTGCCCTGTGCAGGAAGGGGGATTAGAGCATGCTTACCAGGTGTTTGTTACTCTGCCTATATAACAAACAACCCAAGGAGTATTGATAATTAAAAGCAATAAACAGTCAATCTAATATTTTAATATTCTGAGGCATATATGATCTCATGGGCATCAATGAGATTTGATGCATGGTATAATGGACTCCTTCTGAGAATATGGAAATAAGAGGCTAGTCATTGTTTAAAACAAAGAGATTCAATAGAAGAGGAAAAGATGTAACACTGGTACACTAGGAATAGATAAACCTTTTTTGCAAGTCTACTATTCTAAGGTTGGAACCCTAAGGAAAACGTTTAGGTATAATTTAAAGGAGAAAGGAAACAGAACTCATATTGCTATTGCCATATACTACACTGCACGGCCTAATGGAGGACACATGGTATTCTTCTAATATTGATTACAAAACTGATTTTAAAGGCATAGATAGAGCTGAACTTGAATCATCATCCATTTGAAAAGCCATGCCATTAACCACAAAGCTATACTGCCTAAACCTTAGCTGGGACTCTGACCTCTCAATGCTTAATAACTTTTATTTCTTTTGATAGCCTGGTCTACACAGATATCTAAAGGCCTTCAAGGTTCACAAGGTAAATCTTGCTGATAAAATCACATTGGTTTCCTGAAAAAGTTTTTCAGGGGATTCAACCCAGAATGTCTCAAGCCTGGAGTCAGCAACGATATCTTCGCTCTTCCATTTAAAGTTGTGAAGATCTATTTTGTGGTTCTGGTGGTTGTGGTAATGTGGAAGACCCTAGTAGAGCACACTCCTCCAGCCTCCTATCTGCTTTATCTGAGACAAGTCAAGTGTGTGTGGCAGTTGGGGATGAAGTGAGGAGAGTTGAGGGGATGTTGCCTGACATGTTGTTGGAACTCAAAAATTTATCAAAAGAATAAATAGTTGAATGAATGAGTGGAAGTATTGAGACCACCTTAAATAGTGGAAAGAAACGTGCCTGCTGGCCGTAGAACAATAGACATGACAAGCCAGAAAAACAGAAGCAGGCTAGTGTAGATAAGATTAGTACTTTCCTACTTTACTATCAGCAACCATCCTCCTAAGACCAGAAAACTGGGACAGTTTTGCTTAGGAGGCATGTATGTCTGTGGGATAATGCCAAGACAGAAAGGCTAACCCTTCAAATTAGTAGAGGGCAGTTTATGTGGGCATGATGACATTTGGCAGCACTTAATTTCGGCATTCTCTAGCATGTACAGCATGGAATAAGAGGGTCATATAGAAGACCATTTAAGTGTACAGTTTGTTCTAACTGTGAATCTGGGCTTGGACAAATAGACTTTCTTCTTTTTAATAATACACTGGTATGTTTGGAGATAAACAACATCTAAAACTTATGAACCTTTAACAATTTTATTGGAGGAAACAATTGTGGTTAGTTTTAGTGATCAAAGAAAAACTTGAAATCATTTTGGAATAAGAAATTGATTTTGTTTTTAATTGGCTATTTTCTGAATTTCTCATTTTGGATTTTAAGCTGTGCTGCTGTTCTTTTAAAGAAAGAAAGTGCTTGATGGTGTTTGAACATCTAAGTAAATTAGGGTATAAGGCTGTATGAATTTGGGTATGTTTAAGCTTCATTTTAAAAGTGGCTGTGCAAAAACAAAAATTGACAAATGGGACTTAATTAAACTAAACAGCTTCTGCACAGCAAAAGAAACTATGAACAGAGCAAACAGACAACATACAGAATAAGAGAAAATATTTGCAAACTATGCATCTAACAAAGGTCTAATATCCTCAACCTATAAGGAACTTAAATTTAAAAGCAAAAAACAACCCCATTCAAAAGTGGGCAAAGGACATAAACAGGCCCTTCTGAAAAGAAGACATACACGTGGCCAACAAACATATTTTAAAAATGCTTAATGTCACTAATCATTAGAGAAATGCAAATCAAAACCACAATGGGATACCATCTCACACCAGTCAGAATGGCTATTATTAAAAAGTCAAAAAAGAACAGACTGCTGAGGTTGTGGAGGAAAGAGAATGCTTATACACTGCTAGTCGGAATGTAAGTTAGTTCAATTGTTGTGGAAAGCAGTTTGGCAATTTCTCAAAGGATGTAGAACTACCATTTCACCCAGCAATCCCATTATTGGGTATATACCCAGAGGAATATAAATTGTTCTACCATAAAGTCACATGCACACATATATTCATTGCAGCACTATCTACAATAGCAAATACAGGGAATCAACCTAAATGCTCATCAATGGTACACTGGATAAAGAAAATGTACATATACACCATGGAATACTATGCAGCCATAAAAAAGAATCAGGTCATGTCCTTTGTAGCAACATGGATGGAGCTGAAGGCCATTATCCTAAGCGAACTAATACAGGAACAGAAAACCAAATACCACATGTTCTCATTTATAAATGGGATCTAAACAATGAGCACATATGGTCACAAAGAAGGGAACATTAGACACCAGAGCCTACTTGAGGGTGGAGGGTAGGAGGAGGATAAGAATAAAAAAACTACCTATTGGGTACTATGCTTATTACCTGGGTGATGAAATAATCTGTACCCTAAACCCCAGCAATAAGCAATATACCTATATAACAAACCTGCATATGCACCCCTGAACCTAAAAGTTAAAAAAAATAAATGAATTAGTAAAAGAAAGTGGCTGCACAGAGGATATACAGTCTTGGGAATGACTGGTGTCTAGAATCTGCTACCAGAATAAGTTTTGCCTCGGTGAATACTGATTTTGCTTTGCATTTATTTAGACAATGCTTCTGCCTTTTATGTTTTATCGTTTTCAGTTATTCACAAGCATAATATTATGAAATTAAATCTATAACAATAATCTCCATTTGGGTTTTGATATCATTCTAATTGAAATAGCTCACTATCCACTTGGTGAAGTTATGCAGAAGATAAAGACATTCTCAGCTCCAACTTACTCATTATCATGGATTGTTGTTGATTAAGAAAAGGTACTTTATACTACCAGCCATCCTTCACAGAGGCTCTATATAACTTGTTATACTGCTTAATTCAATCCATAATTGAGAAATAGGCAGAAATATTTAATTCACTCTGTGGTCTTGGGCCCAGAATACAACTGAGTTTTCTCGGGAATTAGAAAAACTAGGAATTTGTAAAATGCATGTTTTCATGTTTAATTAGGGGAAATATGTAATTATGTCTTTTTGAGCTGAGAATGAATTTTCATAGAACTCATAATTCCTGGGTATTCTCCATTTATGGCAAGGCAGACTATTAAGTGCTGGGAAATTAAAGCTGTCCAAGAGCAGCCCTCCTCCAATGAGGGATGAAAATTGATTGGATAAGTACCCCAGCTCTCAAGCTCCTCAGATGGGATAACTCTAAGGTGCATGTTCTACATTACAGGACAGCAAACTATTTCTGTTAGGGGACAGATACTAAATATTTTAGGCCTTGCTAGTGACATCATCTCTATTACAATTACTCAACTCTGCTGTACAGAGATTACAGCAATGTACAGAGTTGTAATTTTGTACAACAAAACTAGCCATAAATGATTTGTAAATAAATGAGCATGGCTGCATTTCAACAAAACTTTATTTATGAATACTAAAATTTGATTTTTTGGAGGTAATTTACATATCACAAATTTCTTCTTTTGATATTCTTTAACCATTAAAACCATAAAAATCATTCTTAGCTTACAAGCTATACAAAACGAGGCTAGATTTGGCCCATGGATTGTAGTTTGCCAACCCGTGTTCTATATTATCTCTTGAAGTTTCTCTGGAGATTATACAGTGGTATCTTCAGTGGTATCTTGCTGGAGAACTTGGTATTGTTTTCCTTTTTTTTTTTTTTTTTTTTTTTGAGACAAGGTCTTGCTCTGCCACCCAGGCTGGACTGCAGTGGCATGATCATGGCTCACTATAGCCTTGACTTCCCAGGCTCAGGTGATTCTCCCACCCCAGCCTCCCGAGTAGCTGGGATTATAGGCACGTGCCAGCACACCTGGCTAATTTTTGTATTTTTTGTAGAGACAGGGTTTTGCCATGTCGCCCAGGCTGGTCTATAACTCCTGGGCTCAAGTGATCCACCTGCCTTGGTCTCCCTAAGTACTGAGATTACAGGCATGAACCACCAAACCCAGCCCATTTTCCTCTTCTTACCTGTCTCACTTCCCCATTCACCTAACAGTGTTCCCTGGAATCACCTCCCAAACAAGCTACATGCATTTGAATACTTGTCTTGCGGTTTCCTTCTTGGGGAAACAAAACTAAGAACTGGGCTGATTAATCACTGAATTGAATATTTGTTGCTCGGCATCATGAAGACCACAGGAAAGAGTCCTAGAATTCTAAGAACAGATGCAATTAAAGGCTCTTTCCAGTACAGTCATGAGTGGCTTAATGATGGGGATACGTTCTGAGAAATGCAGTGTCAGTAGATTTTGTCCTTGTGTGAACATCATAGAGTGTTCTTACACAAACCTAGATGACATAGCCTACTACACACGAGGCCATGTGATATGGCCTATGGCTTCTAGGCTACAAACCTGTACAGCATGTGACTGTACTGAATACTGTAGGCAACTATAACACAAAGGTAAGTATTTATGTATCTACACATAGGAAAGGTACAACAAAAATATGGTATAAAAATGGTACACCTGTATAGGATACTTAACCATAAACGGAGCTTACAGGACTGGACATTGCTCTGGGTGAGTCAGTGAGTGAGTAGTGAGTGAATGTGAAGGCCTAGGACATTACTGTGCATTACTGTAGATATTATAAACACTGTACACTTAGACTGCAACAAATTTATAAAAATATTTTTCTTTCTTCAATAATAAATTAACCTTAGCTTACCGTAACCTTTTTACTTTATAAACTTAAAAAATTTTTAATTTTTTTACTGTTTTGTAATAACAGTGTAAGATACACTTTATATAGCTGTACAAAGATAACTTTCTTTATATCCTTATTCTATAAGCTTTTTTCTATTTCTAAAATTATTTCTTTTTTTACTTTTTAAACTTTTTGTTAAAAACAAAAATACAATCACACACATTAGCCAAGGCTTACATAGGGTCAGGATCATCAATGTTCCCATCTTCCACCTCCACATCTTGTCCCACTGGAAGGTCTTCAGGGGCAAAAACATGCACAGAGCTGTCATCTCCTATGATAACAATGCCTTCTGGAATACCTCCTGAAGGACCTGCCTGAGGCTGTCTTACAGTTAACTTTTTTTTTTATCAGTAGTAGGAGTACATTCTAAAATAAAGATAAAAGTACAGTACAGTAAATATATAAACCAGTTACAGTGATTTATTATCATATTTAAGTATTATGTACCCTACATAATTGTATGTGCTATACTTTTATATGACTGGCAGTACAGTAGGTTGTCTAAACCAGCATCACCACAATGATGTAATGCATTGTACTATGACATTATGATGGCTACAATGTCACTAGGCACACATCATAGGAATTTTTCAGCTCCTTTATAATCTTATGGGACCACTGTCATATATGTGGTCCATGGTTGACTGAAAGATAATTTCAAGAGTCAGTGACATAATTGCCCATTGAAGTTATGTGGTCCATGACTTATATTCTCAGACTCGTTGTGTAGTGGGTTAAAGGAATAACCTTTATCATTGCAATCTTCTGACTTGCACCTGAGGTAAAACTGGGAGTGTTAATACCTGCAATGAGCCCAAGGCAGCCATTTCATCTTCTTGGATCCATCACTCCCGACTCTCATGCTGGGTTTATCAGCAGTGAGGACCTAAAGGTTCCTCACAGCAGCAGGTGCCGGTGACTCAGAGTCAACAGAGTCGTGTAACAGTCTGCAGGAATCCAGGGGCATTAGGCATGATGATAACTATTGCAGCAATCTCTGTAGCCACAGGGATTTATGAAATGTGTTTTCTTCCCAAAGCTCCCTGCAAATAACCAAAGCATTGAATTATCTCTAGATCAAGAACAGCAGGTGGTTAGACAGGACATTCATTTTTTGGTTCCATCTCACTCATTTTATGTAGTAATTGCTTTCTCTGCAAATTGAAAAAGCTTTCCTCGCCCCGTTCTCTGCTGTTCCAGATGGCTGTACCCTCTCAACCTGGCAGGTGCCTGCCTGCCTGTTGGCAGTGAGGCTGTGAACTTACTAAGTGCAGCATTTTCCAATCTCCAGACACAAATGAAGTGATGTTGATTCTCTACTAATGTCAGGCTTCTCTGAGGAAAGGATAGGCCATGACATGTGGACTACAAGAAATTATGAAGCTATTTCAGGCTCTAAAGTACTAGAGACTTGTGCATGGTTTAATAAAAACCGATTTCCTCTAGTCCTACTTATTATTCAACATACAACAAAAACATAATTGTAAACTTAAAAGTAAAAAAAGCTGACAACCCAGAACCAGCTCTGGGGTATTTACAAGTTCTAACAAAATCCCTCCAAAATGTGTTTTAATTGGGCTTCTATTAGCAAGTCTAATCCACTGGGACTCCCTAATTACTAAGGTAAGTCTTAACTCCCTTTCATCATTATTCTCTCTTTCAGTCCAAAATAGAAAGAAATAAATCCTTCTTAAGATCAAATTTTAACTTGAATTTGAGTCCAGCAAAGTAAGCTATCACTGGTTGTTTTTGAGCCTAACCCTCTAGAGAGCTTCATTTTAAAATTCAAATACAAGGAGATTATTTATCAGTGTGGTTCTGGCAGTGACATAATTGCCCCTTGAAGTAAACAAGTTGGCAGCCTTGCAAAAGAGGAAGTGATTGTTATTTATTTATTTATTTTGTATGGGAATTAGGTTCTGCAAACAAATCCCTTTGACTACTGAGGCTTAAAAAATGCTGTATGGTGTTCAAGTGAAAAAGCAACATGAAGCCAGTGAATGGCCATGGTCACAGGGTGGGAAGTGAAGCCATAGTAATAAAAACCAAAGTGCCAGGAAGTGGCAAACCAATGCCCAGAGCTATAAGCCTGCTGAAATTTCTAGTCTAGGTTCCACATTCCTTCTTGAAAAATACCTTCCTCTTGATCAGACACACAAAGGTCTGTGTTTCTGTGGTGTTATAGCATGCAGCTGGGATAGAGTAGGGTGAGAACTGGCTCAGGCATGGGACATCCAGGTTATCTTCCTGCCTGTAATAGTCTCTGGGACCATATGCTGCAAGCTGAGGCAGAGGAGAGAGAAGAGCTATTTCTTACCATCATTTAGCTGCCAAGTCCTGGCATGCTTTCACCAAATTACATAACTAGAGACAGCAGGTGTGTTTCAGAAGCACATGGACCATCACCCCACCTCCCCAACACACACACACACACACACACACATACACCCCTCACCTAGATCTCTCTCCAGGTCCACCCCATCAACTATGTTCCCATCTGCTTATTAATGCTGGAAAATTCACAGCTAGTGTTTCATTCCTTGGATGTAAGCCTCTGGTTTTTAGTAATGTGCATATAATCCTGGGATATATGACATCTGAATCCCTTCACTTTTTAATTCAAACAAACCGACAATGTTTGCTGTAAATAACTCATTCAAAATGCTCACAAAATTAAAGGGATAAGCTCTATTAATCACATCTACTTTACTGTATACATGTCGAGGGAGGGTGAGGCAAAGAATGATGCAGGAAGAGGAGGCTGTGTGATCTACCTAATGATCAGGTTGACAGAAATAAAAACTACCATTATTTTAGCCAACTCAACCTCTAATTGCCATAAACAAGATTCTACACAGGTGTTCATTCTTTATACTTTCCAAGCCTTACTCTTTTCTATGAATGATATGTATAATAGAATAAAATTTTAAAATGAAATTCAGATCAAATACCCTGTTTGGGGACCTGGAAATAAAATTCATCAGAAAACTCTATGTGATTGTATCTGTTTGGCCAACAGAGATATTGTTATATGGCATTTCTCCAAGTTCCCACTCTTATTTATATCACTTTCCTATCCTCATAACATCTGTGCTTTTAGGAGTGTAGTAATATACTTAACTGAATACATTTCTGCTTAGCCAGGAGGAGATGCATAAAGATGTGGAAATACAGAAATTGCGATATCATGATAGCATAGGGAAAGAGGAACACTCATAAACAGAGCAAAAGTTGGTGGAAAAATGTGGCCATTTTATCAAAATGTATTATGTGATATAATTTAATGTAGTAGTACTTTTCCCAGAAACTTCATTGTATAAAAGCACCTTAACAAACAAGTGGACTGAGGTACAAGATATATACAAGATACAAAAATATTCATTGTAACATTGCAAATGTGGCAAATGCTGGAAACATCCTAAGTGCTCATTAGTAGGTTAAATAAATTATGATTTATTTACATGATGGAATCTAAAGCCACTAAAATATTTAAATAAGTGGATAAAATACCTAAGATATTTTATTAACTGTATGTGTATGGTCATACATAATTTTTTTACAAGTAAAAATGGGCATGCACATTTTCCTGTGATTACCTGTAAGAAGAGGGATGTTGGCAGGGGAAAAAACTTACTTTTAATTTCACGGTCTTCTGAACCTTTAAATTTTCTTGTTGCAAGTGATCATTCATTACTTATATGAGATAATAATAAGAAAATAAAGAAAAACAAAAAATGGGAAAAGGAGAAAAGCAAATTGCCCTTCTGGAAGCATATCTAGGTGTCATTTTGGCCTACATTCTCTCTTGGAGAGTGGCAATACTGGGTTAGAAGAGATCAGCACTGTCTTCCCTGATGTGCCCTGAACATCACTGTCCCTGCATGTTTTATATATTCGTCACCATAAACTAATATCTATCTTATTTGGATCAATGTAAACAGCTCATAGTACCTCTTGGGGTAACAAATTTCATAAGTTTATCACCCTGACTTCACAGCTATCAGTGTGCAGAGAAGACTATGACTCTAAACTTAGTCCCTTCAATCTTTAAGAGCTGTTTTCCAGGTGCAGGATTATAAAGGCTTGATGAGTAAGTCAGTGATCATCCCTCTATGTCTTTCAGAAATGTGTAGTCTTTGACTCTGTTACTCAGCTTTGCTTTTCCAAGCAGAAGTATCACAAATCTTCCATCTGCCTTCAAAGAGAGAGATCACCAGTTTGTCCAATCTATTAGCTGCCCTTCTCTGGGAACTTTCCACCTCCAATATGAATTTTTTTAGAGATTTTAGAATCAGAATTGCAAATGTTTTTCCCAGCATAGTTGGGCAGGGATTTTATACAATGTTCGCTGTTTTGTTTCCACTGCCTTTTTTCTTGACAAGTCCAACTGCTTGGCCAGCTTTTTGGAACAAGTTATCCAACTCCTTTTAGCCATTCTTTTCCCTCTGCAAGACACCAAAACCTCCAGATAAAAATGAAAAATGTTCAGATGTGTCTAAATCATTGAATCCCAGAATAGAACTCAAAGGGTCATTAGATATAATCTAGTCCAAACCTCCTATTTTATAAATGGGAGAAACTGGCTGGGTGCTCATGCCAGCCAAGGTGGGAGGGTCACTTGAGGCCAAGAGCTCAAGACTGGCCTGGGCAACATAGCAAAACTCTGTCTTTACTAAAAAAAATTTTTTAATTAGCTGGGCATGGTGTTGTGTCCCCTGTAGTCCCAGCTACTCAGGAGGATGAGGTGGGAGGATTGCTTGAGCCCAGGAGATTGAAGCTGCAGTGAGCTATGATCATTGCCATCAGCCTGGGTGACACAGCAAGACCCTGTCTCTAAAAAATATATATTCTTTTTCTTTTTCTTTTCTTTTTTCTTTTTCTTTTCTTTTTTTCTTTTTTTTTGTTGGCAGAGTCTTGCTCTGTCGCCTGGGCTAGAGTGCAGTGGCACAATCTTGGCTCATTGCCCCTCCACCTCCTGGGTTCAAGCAATTCTCAAACCTCAGCCTCCCAAGTAGCTGGGATTACAGGCATGGGCCACCACGCCCAGCTTATTTTTGTATTTTTAGTAGAGACAGGGTTTCACCATGTTGTCCGGGATGGTCTCGAATTCCTGGCCTCAAGTGATCTGCCTGCCTCAGTCTCCCAAAGTGCTGGGATTACAGGTGTGAGCCACCACACCCAGCCAAATAATTTTTTAAATAAATAAGTAAATGGGAGAAACTGAGGTTCAGAGAGGTCATATTAGTCCATTTTCCCGCTGCTGATAAAGACATACCTGAGACTGGGAAGAAAAAGAGGTTTAATTGGGCTTACACTTCCACATGGCTGGGGAGGCCTGAGAATCATGGAGGGAGGCAAAAGGTACTTCTTACATGGTGGCAGCAAGAGAAACTGAGGAGGAGGCAAAAACAGAAACCCCTGATAAGCCCATCAGATCTCGTGAGACTTATTCACTATCACGAGATTAGCACAAGAAAGACCAGCACCCATGATTCAATTACCTCACTCTGGGTCCTGCCCACAACATGTGGGAATTCTGGGAGATACAATTCAAGTTGAAATTTGAATGGAGACAGAGTCAAACCATATCAGAGGTTAATCAAGGACTCTAACTTAAATCTCCCAACTTCCATGCCAGCCCCTTCTCCACCACATTTGTGTACAAGAGATAGCCAAAATATTTAATACCTGTATATGGCACAGGCACTGGACTGAAGACCCACCTGAGTATCGGGGCAGGGTCCTGAAGGCAGCCCAATGTGGTGGGCAATAGCTCTTTATTTTCTGGGTCAAAGAGTGTTCTGTGGGGTCCTGGGGGAGGAGCAGAGGTGGTTTCAGTGCCAGGTGGAGGGAGAGTGTTGTGGAGCTCGGTGCAACGTCTCTTGACCAACAAGTATGGAAGTATTTAAATATATTAACAACTGGGACAGTCGTCCTAGTGTGTCCCAGGTGTGCAGCAGTTGCATTGGTCTAATTTAGATAAAACTTAGGTGTACATTTTTTCTTCATTTGTATACTTTGATGTGTGAAGACTCAGAAGCTCTGGCCAAGTGATGTGCTTTAAATCTTTCAATATTTAGACATCATAAAAATGCTAAGTGCTCTGGACATTACACATAATTAAACAAAGTCCTAGGGGTCTTACAGGCTTTTAATATCAGTCATGAAAATGAACTCTTTTTTTTTTTTTTTTGAGATGGAGTCTCGCTCTGTTACCTGGGCTGGAGTGCAGTGGCATGATATCGGCTTACCATAATTTCCACCTCCCCGGTTCAAGCAATTCTCCTGTCTCAGCCTCCCAAGTAGCTGGGGCCTCCCAAGTAGATGGGACTACAGGCGTGCACCACCATGCCCAGCTAATTTTTGTATTTTTAGTAGAGATGGGGTTTCACCATGTTAGCCAGGCTGGTCTCGAACTCCTGACCTCAAGTAATCCCCCCGCCTTGGCCTCCCAAAGTGCTGGGATTACAGGCGTGAGCCACTGTGCCCAGCCGAAAATGAAATCTTTAAATTGCAAAATAGATGTAGCTACACAGAAATATGAACTCTCTAAAAATGCATGAGCTGCTGCTTATCCATCTTCAAGGAAAAATGAGTCACAGTAATGTTTCCCTCTGTGAAACAGATTTTAAATTGTGATTTATGCAGTTTAAAAGCAGCTAAGTAGCCTGTGTCAGTAAGACTATCATGAGATGGTTTGATGGAGACTATTTTGGATAAATTACCAAATCAACTCAATTCCCCTTCCTCAGAGCCAAAGAGTAAAGAATACCCAGGAATGGCTGTGTGTGTGTGTGTGTGTGTGTGTGTGTGTGTGTGGGTGGGTGTGTGTGTGTGGGTGTGTGTGAAGAGGTTCTTTGTTCTCTTGTTGTTTTCCTCTCTCCAGCCCCTCAGGAGGTGCTACAAAGACACAGCATACGTGAAAGCTAAACAACAGCATGTACATAAATATTCCTCCTCCTCCCCTGCCTAAAACCAAAACATCTATCTCACAGCTTGAAATCCCAGCATTTCATCTGGCCTTTAAAAGTCCCCAAATAAAACAAAATTATTCCTGAAAAGTCTTGAATACTTGAATCTCTTTTCCACCACAGAAAAATGGGGTTTAGTTTCCCACAAAAAAATATTTTCTCATCTATTTATTTAACAGATCTTTCAAAAATATCAAAAGTTAAATCACACTTTGTCCCACTTTTAAAGAAATTGCCTTATTGAAAATAAAGACTATATAATAGAGATATAGAAGAGGCTTAAATATATATTGAATGTGGGATGAATGAAAAAATTAATCAATATGTATGTATACCAATTAGACCTCAGTAAACCTGCTTAAAATTAATTCACAGGAAGTTTAATACTTGACCTGGGGACTTCTGATGCCATCTGTATCATATAGAGTTCAATCAGAGAAAGAAAACCACTACATACACACGTACACACGCACAAACAGATTTAACCTTACACAATTGTGGAAGTTGGTTAAGTAGTCTCGGTAAGGTTGTCTTTGCCGCCTGTGACGCTGGAGCTTAAAGTCCACAGGGCAGGCAGTTAGGGAAGGGAAGATGGCTATGAAATGAGGGAAAGCAACAATAAGCTGGAACCCACAAGCACAAGCTGAAGACAAGGATGGGCTGAAACCTGTGACAGTTCTTGTTGATTCTGACCTTAGCATTGAAAGAAATGGCAAAAAACTGCAATTACCTTTGCACGGACCTAATAGTATGATTGTTCTGTGGAAGCTGGGGAGCCTTCATCACAGAGCTAAACCCACATACCTTACACAGGAGTAGAAGCATTGGAAAGAGGAGTCAGGGGAGAGTGGAGCAGTTAAAGCCCAGCTGCTGACTCTCTCCAACGAGGACAGTTAGCAGATCAGTGACAATGTGTGAGTTACAAAATGGCTGTTGTTCTCTTCTGCTATCCAAATCTTACATAAGAATTTATCTTCTGGCCCACTTTAACCAGAAACATATAGGAAGGGGATATCTTAAAAATGTAGTTGAGCCTTGCCAAGTTGACACATTCCAAAGCCGTCATAATAGTCAATATATTGTAGGGAGAGAAGTGTTAACATATTTCTGAGAACCAGGTTTTCAAAATGTGGAACTGAAGGTATTTACTCAGCAGGGTAAAGAAGAGGGCAAGGGTGGTGCAAAAAGAGGTAACAAAGCATATACTTATTTAGTCACTCTCTCTCTCCTTTCATTTATTAAAATTGTGTATTATTTATTCTGTGTCGGTCCTGTACTAAATTGTATTTGCCAAAAATGGCCACAATATATTCCTTCCAGCACAATCACCTTACATTGTGATGTTAACACTCCTGTATCAAGAGATGTGGTCTACGTTTACTCCCCTTAAATGTGGACAGGACTGAGACTATGGCAGAAGTGACACTGCATGACTTCCGAGGCTAGCTCATAAATATGATTAATTTCCACTGGGCTCTCTATCTTTCTGGAGACTCTCATCATTTACCCCATGTTACGAGGAAGCCTAACCTATATGGAGAGGTCACATGGAGATGTCCCAGTTGACATTTCCAACCATGATCTCAGCATAAATCAGCCAGCATCGATCACTAAACATGTAAGTGAGTGAGTTTTCAGATGATTTCTGCCCCCAGTCTTTAGGCATCCCTTCCCCTCCAAAATAAAGAAAACAAACAATGCCATATGGAGCAGAGAGATGAGCCATTCCACTGAGTCTTGCTCAAATTACGAATTTCTGAGCAAAATTAATGTTGTCATTATTTCAAGCTACCAAGTTTTGGGGTAATTTGTTACACAGCCATAGTAACTGAAACAGGCTCTTTGCCAGACCAATAAAGTATATAATGGACAATATATATTATGTTATTAAATTGTACATAATTACCTAAATCCTTTTGCTTTAATATTGGTTAAATTGGCTTGAAGTTAAGATTTTAATCAATACTTTTGTGTAGTGGGTTTTTTTAACTTTTTTTTATTATTATACTTTAAGTTTTAGGGTACATGTGCACAATATGCAGATTAGTTACATATGTATACATGTGACATGGTGGTGTGCTGCACCCACTAACTCATCATCTAGCATTAGGTATATCTCCCAGTGCTATCCCTCCCCCCTCCCCCCATCCCACAACAGTCCCCAGAGTGTGATGTTCCCCTTCCTGTGCCCATGTGTTCTCATTGTTCAATTCCCACCTATGAGTGAGAATATGCGGTGTTTGGTTTTTTGTTCTTGCGATAGTTTACTGAGAATGATGATTTCCAATTTCATCCATGTCCCTACAAAGGACATGAACTCATCATTTTTTATGGCTGCATAGTATTCCATGGTGTATATGTGCCACATTTTCTTAATCCAGTCTATCATTGTTGGACATTTGGGTTGGTTCCAAGTCTTTGCTATTGTGAATAGTGCCGCAATAAACATACGTGTGCATGTGTCTTTATAGCAGCATGATTTACAATCCTTTGGGTATATACCCAGTAATGGGATGGCTGGGTCAAATGGTATTTCTAGTTCTAGATCCCTTAGGAATCGCCACACTGACTTCCACAATGGTTGAACTAGTTTACAGTCCCACCAACAGTGTAAAAGTGTTCCTATTTCTCTACATCCTCTCCGGCACCTGTTGTTTCCTGACTTTTAAATGATTGCCATTCTAACTGGTGTGAGATGATACCTCATTGTGATTTTGATTTGCATTTCTCTGATGGCCAGTGATGGTGAGCATTTTTTCATGTGTTTTTTGGCTGCATAAATGTCTTCTTTTGAGAAGTGTCTGCACATCTCCTTCGCCCACTTTTTGATGGGGTTAAATGGAACAGAACAGAGCCCTCAGAAATAACACCGCATATCTACAACTATCTGATCTTTGACAAACCTGAGAAAAACAAGCAATGGGGAAAGGATTCCCTATTTAATAAACGGTGCTGGGAAAACTGGATAGCCATATGGAGAAAGCTGAAACTGGATCCCTTCCTTACACCTTATACAAAAATCAATTCAAGATGGATTAAAGACTTAAACGTTAGACCTAAAACCATAAAAACTCTAGAAGAAAACCTAGGCATTACCATTCAGGGGACAGGCACGGGCAAGGACTTCATGTCTGAAACACCAAAAGCAATGGCAACAAAAGCCAAAATTGATGAATGGGATCTAATTAAACTAAAGAGCTTCTGCACAGCAAAAGAAACTACCATCAGAGTGAACAGGCAACCCACAAAATAAGAGAAAATTTTCGCAACCTACTCATCTGACAAAGGGCTAATATCCAGAATCTACAATGAACTCAAACAATTTTTTTAACTTTTTATCTTGAGATAAATGTAGATTTGCATGCAGGTTTAAGAAGTAATACAGAGAGGAAGATCCCGTTTACTGTTTACCTAGTTTCCCTTAATAGTAACATCTTTCCTAACTATAGTACAATATCACAGCCAGGAAATTGATGTTGATACAGTCTACCAAACTTATTCAGATCTCACCAGTTATACAT
This sequence comes from Homo sapiens, assembly GCF_000001405.40. Lineage (NCBI taxonomy): Eukaryota > Metazoa > Chordata > Mammalia > Primates > Hominidae > Homo > Homo sapiens. The sequence goes on from NC_000023.11 coordinate 38,522,832, forward strand.
GCAGTCATGTGTGTGTATTTAGTTCTATGCAGTTTTATCACATTTGTAGCGTTATGTGATCACCACTATAGTCAAGATAGAGAATAGCTGGGTGTGGTGGCCCATGCCTATAGTCCCACATAGGAGGCTGAGGCAGGAGGATTGCTTGAGCCCAAAAGTTTGAGTCCAGCCTGGGCAACATAGTGCGATCCTGTCTCTACAATAATATTAATAATAATGAAATTTAAAAAATACAGAACAGTCCCATTACAAGGAACTCCTTATGCACCCTTTATAGCCACAGCCACCTCCCTTCTGCCACCACCACCCGCCAATCCCTAGCAACCATTAATCTGGTTTCCACAACTATGATTTTGTCATTTCAAGAATGTTATATAAAATTCATTCATTATGGACTGAATAAAATCATGTGGTATGTAAACTTTTGAGATTACCTTTTTTTACTCAGCATAATTCCCTGGAGATCCGTCTAGGTTGTTATGCATATTGATAGCATGTTCCTTTTTACAGCTGAGTAGTATTTCATGGTATGGATATACCACAGTTAAGTGTTCACTCCTTAAAGAGCATTTGGGTCATTTCCAGTTTTTGAATATTATAACATCCACGTACTTTTTTTGTGTGTGAACATACATTTTCATTTCTCTGCGATAAATGCTCAAGAGTGAAATTGCTGTGTTGTATGATAAACATGTGTTTAGTTTGTAAGAAACTGTCATGTTCTTTTTCAGAGTAGCCATACCATTTTCCATTCCCTTTAGCAATGTATGAGTGGTCCAGTGTCTCTACATTATCATTTCAATACGTGTGTAGTGATATAGCAACTTTTTTTTGTAATATGATCTGACTAGATATGTGTAAACTCTGTTCCTTCTTGTTTTCACCAGGGATCTTATTTTCTTCAGAGCTTCTAGGCCTAGGGCCTGCTGAGAAATTTCACACCTATGTCAAATGGTGAGGGGATCTTTTGTTTTCTTAACACCACCTCGTTCCCCTTGACCATCCTTCATGAGATGGAGAAGAAAATGAGTTATGTGGGCTCCATAGCTAATGGCTGGCTTTCCTTTTTTAAAGAAACTACTCCTAATAGATATGCAGAGGCTTTGTTCCAAAAAAAATTTAAATACATTTTCTGCAAGATATTTTAAGTAAAAAAAATTCAAGATAAAGAATGATAAGGTTAGGGACAAGAGTAAATATAAGGTTTAATATATAAAATGCATGAGGTCTCTTGCAATTGAGTCACAAATTTTCCTGTACATTCGTAGAGTTAAGAGAGAAATGTGGTGAATTATCTATTTCACAACACTCATAGGGAAATAATAAACCAGTTTCTCACAGAAACCCAGCCTGGTTCTGTGACCAGAGTGGAAATTCCCCCATGTCTACGGAGGCCACGTAGGTAATGTAAGTCAGTGAAACAGATTGGGAATAAGACAATAGGGAGTAGGGGCTGGGGCTGAGTCAAACTGGAAAGCACATGCACAGTCTAAGGGCAGCTACTACTACTCAGCCTCAGCCAATATTCCAGAGGGAAGCATAAGCCCTGTGTTGCCAGATTTATTTTGACTTTTAATATATTAGCAACTATATCAGTGAAAATAATAACTGAACAAAATGCTTCTGTAGTCCAGAGCTGGTCAATCGCTGCCAGTTTAAAACCTCTGGCCTTGAAGAGTAGGCAGAAACATCTAATGCAAGACAATCCTTATAAATATGACCTCTTTCAGCCTAGCTTTGGGTAACTATTGAATGTCACTGAGTCGGTGATTAAGCTTTCTGACATGCACTTAGAATGAAGATTGTATGGATGGTCAGGTATGGTGTCATACACTTTCATAGTCAGCCAACAATAGTAAAAATATGAACAAAAGACTTGAACAGGTGCTTCACGAAAGAAGATATCCAAATTGCCAATAAATATATTAAAAGCGCTCAATGTTATTAGTCATGAGGAAAATACAAATTAAAACCACAGTGAGATAAAACTACATACTCACTAAAATGATAAATATAAAAAACACCCACTCAAGTGTGGGTGAAGATGTGGAGTAATTGGAATGCTCGTACATTGCTGATAGGAATGTAAACTTGTACATCCTTGTCATTTCTAATGAAATTTAAGACATTCCTTCCTCATCGCCTAGCAATTTCTTTTTTTCAGGTCATATCCAAATGTTTATTTAACTCATAACCTCCATAACACATTAAGTTGAACTTACAGAAACGAAAGTAAAGCATTGGAAAATTGATCTGTGGATACAGGATATTTCTATAGGAAACAAATGTAAAACATGAGACTCAATGAGTTTGATGGTGATAATAATTAATGCTTAGGATTCAACTTATATTCTAATTAATCTAATTGGGTTAACTACAATCATGAAATATTCCATATTTTCCTCTTATGACTTTGTTTTTGTTTGTTTTTTTAAACTTTTATTTTAGGTTTAGGGGTACATGTGCAGGTTTGTTATATAGGTAAACTCATGTCATGGGAGGTTGTTGTACAGATTTTGTCACCCAGGTACTAAGCCTAGTATCCAACAGTTAGGTTTTTTGTTTTTTTGTTTGTTTTTCTCCTCTCCCTCCTCCCATCCGCCACCCTTGGGTAGGCCCCAGTGTCTGTTATTCTCCTCTATGTGTCCATGTGTTCCTATCATTTAGCTCCCGCTTGTAAGTGAGAACATGTGGTACTTGGTTTTCTGTTCCTGCATTAGGTTTTTTTTTTTTAATTTTTAGTTTTTTTATTTCAATAGGCTTTTGGGGGAACAGGTGGTGTTTGGTTACATGAATAAGTTCTTTAATGGTGATTTCTGAGATTTTGGTACACCCATCACCTGATCAGTGTACACTGTGCCCAATGTGTAGTATTTTATCCCTCGCCACCCCCACCCTTTCCTCCCAAGTCCTCAAAGTCCAATGTATCATTCTTATGCCTTTGTGCCCTCATAGCTTAGCTCCCACATATGAGTGAGAACATACAATGCTTGGTTTTCCATTCTTGAGTTACTTCACTTAGAATAATAGTGTCTAATTCCATCCAGGTTGCTGTGAATGCCATTATTTCATTCCTTTTTATGGCTGAGTAGTATTCCATGGTATATACACCACATTTTCTTTATCCACTCATTGATTGATGGGCATTTGGGCTGGTTCCATATTTTTGCAATTACAAATTGTGCTGCTATAAACATGCATGTGCAAGTATCTTTTTCGTATAATGACTTCTTTTCCTCTGGGTAGATACCTAGTAGTGGGGTTGCTTGATCAAACAGTAGATCTACTTGTAGTTTCTTAAGGAATCTCCACGCTGCTTTCCATGTAGGTTATACTAGTTTACATTCCCACCAACAGTGTAAAAGTGTTCCCTTTTCACCACATCCATGCCAACATCTATTTTTTTTTATTTTTTGATTATGGCCATTCTTGCAGGAGTGAGGTGGCATCGCATTGTGATTTTGATTTACATTTCCCTGATAATTAGTGATGTTGAGCATTTCTTTCATATGCTTGTTGGCCATTTGTATAGAGAAAATCTTCACAGTCTATACATCTGACAAAGGACTAATATCCAAAATCTACAAAGAACTCAAATAAATCAGCAAGCAAAAAACAATCCCAAAACTTCTAAGTATATACTAACCAAAAGAAATGCATGTATATATCCATAGAAAGACTTGGACAAGAATGTTCAGAGCAGTTTTATTCAGACTAGCCGTTAACTGAAAACATCCCAAATGTCCATCAACAAGAAAATGAGTAAACAAAAAACTTTGGGGTATATTCATACAGTGAATGAGCAATAGAAAGAACTAATTGGGATGCATCCAACAGCATGGATTAATCTCAAAAACATTAGGTTGGGTGAAAGAAGCCCTACACAAAAGAGTATACACTGTATGATTCCGTTTATATAAGGTTCAAAAACAGGCTGGGCATGGTGGCTTGTAACTATAATTCCAGAACTTTGGGAGGCCAAGGCTGGAGGATCATTTGAGCAAAGGAGTTCAAGACCAGCATGGGTAACATGGTGAGACCCTGTCTCTACAAAATAAATAAATAAATAAATAAATAAATAAATAAATAAAATTAGCCAGTCATGGTGGCTTGCACCTGTAGTCCTAGCTACTAGGGAAGCTGAGGCAGGAGGATCACTTGAGCCCAGGAGGTCCAGGCTGCAGTGAGTCATGTTTGTGCCACTGCACTCCTACCTGGGTGACAGAATGGGAACCTGTCTTACAAAAAAAGGATTTAAAGTTCAAAAACAAGCACAACTTGTTGTAATTTTAAAACTGGTTGCCTCTGTGGGTGGGGGAACTGACTTTAATTCTGAGAGATGGGAATGTTCTATATCTTGAGTTGGGTGGTTACATGTTGTATATTTTTGCTAAAATTTTCCAAACTGTACTCATAAAATTTGCACATTTTACTATATGTAAATTATACCTCATTAATCTACTAAAATAATAGTTGGGTCCTGGAAAAAAAAAAGCAACTGGACAAGGACACTGCTAGCCTGGCCCAACCAAACTATCCAGCTTCACACAGGGAAGAAATGTCAGCCTCCATGTTGGCATGTTGTACTTGAGTGCATGTGTTGGGCTAGTTCCCACACAGAAATGGCAAAACATGCTTATAGAGTGCCCGAGAGAGAAAATCCTTCTTTCCCCAGAAGTTTCCTACCATACAGAGAGGCAGTACATGCTAATGGCTAAGAAAATGACTTTGGAGTCAAATAACATAGATTCAAATTTTGTCTTTCCCAAATATTAGCTTGATGACTTTGAGGAAATTGTTACTGTTCCAAGCCTCTCATTGCTCATCTATAAAATGAGTATGATAATACCTTCTTCAAAGTATCATCATGGAGATTGTCTGCAAAGTGCTCACTTAGCACAGTAACACCCATATGGTATTCAATAAATTGTAGCATTTCATTCTATATTCATATAGGGACCAAATGTCTGAACATCTACCTTTCAAAGCTTATCTAACATCTTCTCCTTAAAGAACTTTCCACTATTCTAAGACTCCTAGGAAGAGTAACATACTGAGTTCTTAAGGCCTTAGTGCACATTACTTTTAGAAAAATATGACTTCCCTCAGAGAGAAGCAAGGTGGGTAGGTCATAGGGTAATTTACTTGACATAGATGTAAGGGAAAGCACTGCTAAAGGAAGAGGTGTCATTTAGGATTCCTGTTTGCAAGTAATTGAAATGATCTTTGGCTTAACAGAAGGCAGAGGCTGGAAAATCAGGCCTAGGCTTACAGAAACCAAGGTCACTCTGTAGGCCTAGGCCACACAATTCATACCAACTAACTTAAAGTAGGAAGTAACCAATAAACGCATGACCTACATTTGTTTCATTGCATCAATTCCTCAAGATCCAAAGTTTGGGGAAAGAGTATCAGAGTTGTCTACTTTGCAGCCCCAACAGTGTGAAAGTGTTCCTATTTCTCCACATCCTCTCCAGCACCTGTTGTTTCCTGACTTTTTAATGATCGCCATTCTAACTGGTGTGAGATGATATCTCATTGTGGTTTTGATTTGCATTTCTCTGATGGCCAGTGATGATGAGCATTTTTTCATGTGTCTGTTGGCTGCATAAATGTATTCTTTTGAGAAGTGCCTGTTCTTATCCTTCGCCCACTTTTTGATGGGGTTGTTTGATTTTTTCTTGTAAATTTGTTTAAGTTCTTTGTAGATTCAGGATATTAGCCCTTTGTGAGACGGGTAGATTGCAAAAATTTTCTCCCATTCTGTAGGTTGCCTGTTCACTCTGATGGTAGTTTCTTTTGCCGTGCAGAAGCTCTTCAGTTTAATTAGATCCCATTTGTCTATTTTGGCTTTTGTTGCCGTTGCTTTTTGTGTTTTAGTCATGAAGTCCTTGCTGTAAACTAGTTCAACCATTGTGAAAGACAGTGTGGCGATTCCTCAAGGATCTAGAACTAGAAATACCATTTGACCCAGCCATCCCATTACTGGGTATTTACCCAAAGGATTATAAATCATGCTGCTATAAAGACACATGCACACGTATGTTTATTGTGGCACTATTCACAATAGCAAACACTTGGAACCAACCCAAATGTCCATCAATGATAGACTGGATTAAGAAATGTGGCACATATACACCATGGAATACTATGCAGCCATAAAAAAGGATGAGTTCATGTCCTTTGTAGGGACATGGATGAAGCTGGAAACTATCATTCTGAGCAAACTATCGCTAGGACAGAAAACCAAACACTACATGTTCTCACTCATAGGTGGGAATTGAAGAATGAGAACACCTGGACACAGGATGGGGAACGTCACACACCAGGGCCTGTTGTGGGGTGGGGGGAGGGGGGAGGGATAGCATTAGGAGATATACCTAATGTAAATGATGAGTTAATGGGTGCAGCACACCAACATGGCACAGGTATACATATGTAACAAACCTGCACATTGTGCACATGTACCCTAGAACTTAAAGTACAATAATAAAAAAAAAGAGTTTTTATTATTAAAATTGTATGCTCTCACAGGGCAGAAACTATAGCTATTCTTCATTTAAAAAAAAAAAGAGTATCAGATTTGTGGAGCTCAGACCAACTTCTCTTTCCTGGCTCTCAAACTAGGCAAGGCTAGGAAAGACTGGATGTCTTCGGCTTCCAAAGGGTGGGGCAGGAACCTGGAATTACCTTACACCAAGACTACCCTAATCAGGGAGAGATATTCGCCAAAAGAAAATTGGGGTGCCCTGGGAAGTGGCAGTGGATACTGGGCAGCTGGAAAGTAACAAATATCTACAGGAACACAGGGCACAGTAGTGGAGGGCCAGAAAATACCATTTCCCCCTTCTTAGTGGGTTCTTAAGAGACCTTGTATTTGGAGCTCAACAGCTTTTTGGTGATCCTATTATTAAATTAATCTCAACAACAGCTCTGAGCAGTAGAGAGGGACTATCAATTTATTTCCTTATTAGTGACCTGTTCTGTCTCATTGTATTTATTTCTTAACAGTTCAATTGCTTTCTGTGGAGGTTAGCAGGAAGCCCAGAGCAAATATTTAAGAGCATCATTTGTTATATGTTACATATATTATATATTATATATACTATATTTTTACACATATAAAAGTTAAAAGATTAGGGTGACTTCTTGCACAAATCTTAGTAAAACAACTGTACTAGCTAGTAAGTTATATGCAGTAGTCATTAAAATGTTGAAATATAGGGAAATGTAAATTTTAGCTCATTTAAATATTTCCAGAAAAAATATTTTATTTTCATAGAAATGTTACTTTGGTGTTGCCTACTACAACCTTTTTGGGAAGAAGGAGGCCAAAATATAAATTTGAAAATTGTACTTAAAATTTATTTTAATTTTTAAATTTCCCTCAGACTTTCTTATATACATTTTTCCTCAGCTTGAGAGAAATCATGTGCTGCCATACTACATTTTTTAATTCAATATGAACTTTATTAGAAAATATTTTTACTTCAGTTAATCTTTCTGTGTGTGTCAGTGTGTGTGTGTGTGTGTGTGTGTGCACATGCACGCGCTTATAAAGCCTTGGTAAATTTTGACAACTGCCTTTTCTGAGTGGTATAATATCATAGCTCTTTTGCAATCATTTTGAATTACGTGTACATGTCAACCAATTCAAGTACACTTCTGCTCTATAGGCAACTTCATTTAGTTTAAAAAAAAACCTTGTTTTTACCATAACACTGTGCTTCACAAAAAATGATAATAACTTTCATATTATATCACAAAACAAATAACTGAATCCTCAATGTTGAACTTTTAAAATGAATTTTCAATAGAATTCAAAACAATATCATATTTTCCCTTTGACAGAATGAACTTCTAAAACTTTTACTTTGATACAACGAATTGGGTGATAAAAATTTAGCCATCATTGGAATTAACGGATTGTTTTATTTGAAGCATTCAATATCACTGATATAAAACTGACCTCACTTAATTCTTTGCAAAACTCTGCTAATGAAGTGAACACAATAACATCTATCAGTTCATTTTTAATATATGCACATGAACACTTGGAATAGAAATGAATGGCATTAATTTAGGAAAATGATGATTTGATCCAAATTAAAAGTCATGCTTTACTGAGTGATATGTAAATACACCTTCTGAAGTCGTATTAATACGTGTTAAATGGCCATCTTCGGGCCCAGGCTTCTTAAATTAACTATGAAGTTTTGAAACTACGAAGTTTTCTAAGTGCAGCAAACCACCATGGCACATGTATACCTATGTAACAAACCTGCACCTTCTGCACATGTATCCCGGAACTTAAAGTAAAATAAATTAAAAAAGGAAACTACGAAATTTTGAAATAAATGTTTATGTATCTTTCACAGATCTACCTCCTCAGATTTTATATAGCCAGTCAATATTATTTTGGCTCCCAGGGTGGCTGGTAAATGGCTCCTAAACTTTTATGCAAATTACATGTCCATGATCAACTTTCTTGAGAAACGGAAAGTCAGTAGTTCGGTTGTTATTAATAATCATGTGCTTCATTTTTTTTTCAGAATGAAGCATCTTGTTTACGGCTTAATATATATGCATATAAAACACACTTCTGTCCACTCCCCCATAAGCGGGTCCAGGCAGCTCCTTCCTACAGAGGGTAGGGAAGAGGGCCATCAGGGCAGTGCCTATTTTCTCAAAGGCACTTACCCTCCCCTCCCGAAATGCTCCATGCCTCCAGTTCCAATACCGGGGGCCAGGCAGGAAGCCCCTCTGAAAAAGAAAGGGCCCCCCCAAAACTCCCACCCCACCTTGGTTTGAGCTGCAGTTGTGGAGGACCTTGCTGAACTCTTTGGCACCCCTCATTTCTGCTCCCTGTTACATCATCCAAGCCAGAAGCACAAGTCACAGGTAGGTGGGGTGGGGGGAACTGGTCTGGTGTTGGCTCAGTCAGGTGGTTGCTCTCCCTGGAGGACTCCCCAGGGCTGATGTCTCTGAGGCTGTAGAATCCTGATTTGGACTCCTCCAGCCCCATATTCCCACCATATTTTGTGAGGTGAGCTCCTGGGCTCTCACTGGCTGCCTGAGGGTGGGGCTGATCTCAGTTGGAGTCAGAATCTGAGGAGTCCCTTGAAGAGGAAGAGCTGGTGGATTCATTATCTTCATCCTCACTGCCATCCTCCTCATCATCTTTATCCTTGTCATCCTCCTTATTCTTGTCCCTATCTTTGATCTCATCCTCAATGCTGGACTTGGAGGAGTCCCCACCATCAGAGGAGTCACTAGTCTCATCATCTTCCTCTTCTTCCTCTTCATCCTTGCTGTCCTTCTCCTCAGACTTCTAATTGGACTTCAGGGTAGTCCAGCTGGACTTGGAGTTCAGGTCTCAAAGCTTAGTCATGCTCTTATGTTCATTGGAGATGTACTCTTTGTAAATTACATGGTCCTGGGGAGACAGACTCTTGATGCAGAGGCCCAGGTGTACCTTGCACACTTCTGCTGCTTCTTGGCCAGCTTTTTGTAGTGCTCCTTCTGGCTCTGGGAGATGTGCTGCCAGCGGCTGCCATTCTCCACCATGCGCTCCTTCAGTGGCAGGTGGTTCAGCTCCCCATTGGACAGCAGCTCCTGGGAACTGTTCATGGGAGGCTTCTTGGTTTCTCCCAGGAATTTTATCTTCCTGGAAGAGTTTCTAGCAACCAGAGGTGCCTGCATCTCACTCGGCTCTCTCTTGTATCACTTTTGGTGTTTAGCTGCCTTCTTAATCCATAGCAGTTTCTCCTTCTTCTTTATGTTATTCCAGGTCATCTCCATGGCTTTTGAGGCCTTCACCCAGTTGTTCTTCAATTGGGCCATGTAGTCACTAATGATGCTCTGTTACCAGATCTTCTCTGCTGTCTTGGGTGACTCTGGCAGCTTGCCCTGTGCCTGGTGCTCCCCCCTGGGCCTTGTTCTTGGCCTTCTTCTTCCCAGATCATTCCACATTTGGGCCAGCAGGTAGGTCCACTCACTCCCAGGGAGCTCAGGCTGCTCCTCCCACAGCTGCTACCACTTCTCCTCAAAAAAAAAAAAAAAAAAAGAAAAAAAAGAAATGAACACATCCAATATGGGCCACTTAGGCTTCTCTGAGCTGTCCTCACCCCCATCTTGGGGTGGCTTCTTGGAGGCCAGGCTGGTGGCTTGCTTCTTGTTGCTATTCAACATCTTCTCCTTCCCCAGGACCCACTACTGCTCCTCCCTGGGGAAGTCTCTCAAGTAAATGGAGGAGCTCCACCTCATAATGTTTCTTTTTCTGAATGCACTTCATGTGATAGGCATCCTTCTCCTTGTGGGAGAGGAGCTTCCACTGTTGGTTGCACAGCACCATGTACTCTCTGCTGGGTGTGTCCTTCATGTCAGCCATGAGCTCTTCTCAGTACGGCAAGTAGCTGTTGGGAAGTGGCTTGGTGGGTCATCCATCAAACTTGTCCTTGAGCTGCCATTCTCAGCCTTGGTGAAGGTGAACTTGGTGATGCCGACCCCACTGATATTCGGCTCAAGGTGCTTCTGGATATAGTCCCACATGGTCTCCTCATATTTCTTCTGCTGATCCAGGGCCTTACTAATCCATTTCAGCCTCTTGTTGTCCCAGAGCTGAGACCACTGCTTCTTAGGAAGTCCTTCACCTTCTTACCTGCTTCGTAGTGGCATCTGGGCTCACTTTGAAATACACCTTCTTCTCATGAGTGTACCACAGTTGCTGGGGAATTTGGGGCTTCTTGGGGATATCTGACTTCTTGTCATTCTGGATTGGGTCAGAGTGATCCTCTTTGAATTGGGTCAGGTTTCTACAGACTTTTGTTTCTCCTTATGGAAGCCCTGCATATATTTTATCTTCTTCTCCGGAAGCTGCTTGGATTTCTTGGATATAATCTTGGTCAGGTCCAGATTGCTCATCTCAAGGGGAGTTTCACATACTTGTTGTGCTTCTCCATGAAGAAGGGAAATAAGGAAGCAGGGAATTCCTTGGGAAATCTGCAGGGTTTTTTTGTTTGTTTGTTTGTTTGTTTGTTTGTTTGTTTGTTTGCCTTTGTAAGGATTTGTAACATGTTTCTGAGCATTGAGGATCAATTCTGTCAATGTATGGAACTTCCTGGCCTTGTTAGAAATCTCTACCCATTCAAGCTTACACATGTCTACAGAAAAGTCCTTAAATGCTACATTTTCCCACTCCGTATGTGACTTGGTAGTTTTGAACTTGGAGCTGTCATTGACTGTAAAGTAATTTTTCAAGCATTGTGGCAAAGTCATCATGTCTTCCTGGTACCAGCAGTCTTGGCCTTTGGGGATGGCCATTTTCAGGTCTGTGGGGCAGTCAGTTTTTCTCTTTATCCTCCAGGTGTCCAGCTACCTCTTCCATGGTGCTGGCTGGCAACCCAGGATCAAAGCCACCTCACCCTTTAGAAGACATACCAATTCCCACTCAGGCAGGCTGAGAGGTGAGGGACTTTCTATCCCTCTCCCCTCTCAAAGAGGAGGTGGGCACAGGTCCCACACTCTCAGAGATAACCAGCCAAGACCCTAATAGACTTAATGGGTTGGTAGATGTGGGAGCATGCTCCTCCCCTTCTTCCTAACCTCTCCCCTATCCCCTGCAGCCTGGCTCCGTGGTGTGCACACTCCCCTGCCCACTGGAAACTGCTTTCTGCTTCCATGTGCAGTGAGCACCCACCCTCTACCTTCCTTCCCCAACCCTGGCCAACAAAAACCTCCTCCTCCTTGGAGCACCCACCGAAGGGAGGCTCCAGGCTACAGGGCCTGCACTTCACTTTTAAAAACTCATTGTAACTAAAAGGGTTTGTTGAAAAGTAAATGCCCCTTGTAAGTTGGATTCCTAAGTATTTTATTCTCTTTGAAGCAATTGTGAATGGAAGTTCACTCATGATTTGGCTCTCTGTTTGTCTGTTATCGGTATATAAGAATGCTTGAGATTTTTGCACATTGATTTTGTATCCTGAGACTTTGCTGAAGTTGCTTATCAGCTTAAGGAGATTTTGGGCTGAGACAATGGGGTTTTCTAGATATACAATCATGTCGTCTGCAAACAGGGACAATTTGATTTCCTTTTTTCCTAATTGAATACCCTTTATTTCCTTCTCCTGCCTAATTGCCCTGGCCAGAACTTCCAACACTACGTTGAATAGGAGTGGTGAGAGAGGGCATCCCTGTCCTGTGCCAGTTTTCAAAGGGAATGCTTCCAGTTTTTGCCCATTCAGTATGATATTGGCTGTGGGTTTGTCATAGATAGCTCTTATTATTTTGAGATACATCCCATCAATACCTAATTTATTGAGAGTTTTTAGCACGAAGTGTTGTGGAATTTTGTCAAAGGCCTTTTCTGCATCTATTGAGATAATCATGTGGTTTTTGTCTTTGGTTCTGTTTATATGCTGGATTACATTTATTGATTTGTGTACATTGAACCAGCCTTGCATCCTAGGGATGAAGCCCACTTGATCATGGTGGATAAGCTTTTTGATGTGCTGCTGGATTCGGTTTGCCAGTATTTTATTGAGGATTTTTGCATCAATGTTCATCAAGGATATTGGTCTAAAATTCTCTTTTTTGGTTGTGTCTCTGCCTGGCTTTGGTATCAGGATGATGCTGGCCTCATAAAATGAGTTAGGGAGGATTCCCTCTTTTTCTATTGATTGGAATAGTTTCAGAAGGAATGGTACCAGTTCCTCCTTGTACCTCTGGTAGAATTCGGCTGTGAATCCATCTGGTCCTGGACTCTTTTTGGTTGTTAAGCTATTGATTATTGCCACAATTTCAGATCCTGTTATTGGTCTATTCAGAGATTCAACTTCTTCCTGGTTTAGTCTTGGGAGAGTGTATGTGTTGAGGAATTTATCCATTTCTTCTAGATTTTCTAGTTTATTTGCGTAGAGGTGTTTGTAGTATTCTCTGATGGTAGTTTGTATTTCTGTGGGATTGGTGGTGATATGCCCTTTATCATTTTTTATTGCATCTATTTGATTCTTCTCTCTTTTTTTCTTTATTAGTCTTGCTAGTGGTCTGTCAATTTTGTTGATCCTTTCAAAAAACCAGCTCCTGGATTCATTAATTTTCTGAAGGGTTTTTTTTGTCTCTATTTCCTTCAGTTCTGCTCTGATTTTAGTTATTTCTTGCCTTCTGCTAGCTGCTGAATGTGTTTGCTCTTGCTTTTCTAGGACGTGAAGGACGTCTTCAAGGAGAACTACAAACCACTGCTCAATGAAATAAAAGAGGATACAAACAAATGGAAGAACATTCCATGCTCATGGGTAGGAAGAATCAATATCGTGAAAATGGCCATACTGCTCAAGGTAATTTATAGATGCAATGCCATCCCCATCAAGCTACCAATGACTTTCTTCACAGAATTGGAAAAAAACTACTTTAAAGTTCATATGGAACCAAAAAAGAGCCCGCATCGCCAAGTCAATCCTAAGCCAAAAGAACAAAGCTGGAGGCATCACGCTACCTGACTTCAAACTATACTACAAGGCTACAGTAACCAAAACAGCATGGTACTAGTACCAAAACAGAGATATAGATCAATGGAACAGAACAGAGCCCTCAGAAATAACGCCGCATATCTACAACTATCTGATCTTTGACAAACCTGAGAAAAACAAGCAATGGGGAAAGGATTCCCTATTTAATAAATGGTGCTGGGAAAACTGGCTAGCCATATGTAGAAAGCTGAAACTGGATCCCTTCCTTACACCTTATACAAAAATTAATTCAAGATGGATTAAAGACTTAAACGTTAGACCTAAAACCATAAAAACTCTAGAAGAAAACCTAGGCATTACCATTCAGGACATAGGAATGGACAAAGACTTCATGTCTAAAACACCAAAAGCAATGGCAACAAAAGCCAAAACTGACAAATGGGATCTAATTAAACTCAAGAGCTTCTGCACAGCAAAAGAAACTACCATCAGAGTGAACAGGCAACCTACAAAATGGGAGAAAATTTTCACAACCTACTCATCTGACAAAGGGCTAATATCCAGAATCTACAATGAACTCCAACAAATTTACAAGAAAAAAACAAACAACCCCATCAAAAAGTGGGCAAAGGATATGAACAGACACTTCTCAAAAGAAGACATTTATGCAGCCAAAAGACACATGAAAAAATGCTCATCATCACTGGCCATCAGAGAAATGCAAATCAAAACCACAATGAGATACCATCTCACACCAGTTAGAATGGCAATCATTAAAAAGTCAGGAAACAACAGGTGCCGGAGAGGATGTGGAGAAATAGGAACACTTTTACACTGTTGGTGGGACTGGAAACTAGTTCAACCATTGTGGAAGTCAGTGTGGCGATTCCTCAGGGATCTAGAACTAGAAATACCATTTGACCCAGCCATCCCATTACTGGGTATATACCCAAAGGACTATAAATCATGCTGCTATAAAGGCACATGCACACTTATGTTTACTGTGGCACTATTCACAATAGCAAAGACTTGGAACCAACCCAAATGTCCAACAATGATAGACTGGATTAAGAAAATGTGGCACATATACACCATGGAATACTATGCAGCCATAAAAAATGATGAGTTCATGTCATTTGTAGGGACATGGATGAAATTGGAAATCATCATTCTCAGTAAACTGTCGCAAGGACAAAAAACCAAACACTGCATGTTCTCACTCATAGGTGGGAATTGAACAATGAGAACACATGGACACAGGAAGGGGAACATCACACTCTGGGGACTGTTGTGGGGTGGGGAGAGGGGGGAGGGATAGCATTAGGCGATATACCTAATGCTAAATGACGAGTTAATGGGTGCAGCACACAAGCATGTCACATGTATACATATGTAACTAACCTGCACATTGTGCACATGTACCCTAAAACTTAAAGTATAATAATAATTTTTAAAAAATAAATGCATCATCAAACAATAAAATTATTGTAGATTAGCATCATACAATAAAGAAAAAAATACTGTAGTAAGAGCATTCAGGCTAATCTCTATATCAAGGGTCAGGCCAGATCTAACCTATAACCTGTTTCTGTAAATAAAGTTTTATTGGAACACAGGTGCTCTCATTTATGAGTATTGTCTATGGTTGCAACAGAGATCTTATGACTCACAATGCCTAAAATATTTACCATCTGGCACTTTAAAAAAATGTATGCTGACCCCTACTCTATATGTAACATGGCAGGGATGGTCAGCCTCTATTTCCAATACATATTTTACATACACCTAATCCAGGGTTTCCCAACCTTGGCACTATTGATGTTTTGGGTTGCATAATTCTTCGTTGTGGGGGGTACTGTCCTGTGCATCATGGGATGTTTAACAGCATTTGTGATCTCCAGTCACTAGGTGTCAGTTAGCACCCTCCCACTTTTGACAGTCAGAAATGTCTGTAGACATTGCCAAATATCCTCTAGTGGGCAAAATTACTCACAGTTGAAAATCACTGACCTAACTTGTAATTTTGTACTGATCTCACAAATTGGGACATGGCAGTGTCATGCAACTTGAGGCTGTAACTTAATACATAGCACAACTGGCTGCTACTTCAAGTGGCCAGTGGAAGCAAAGCAATGTGGAATACTTTTCCCACTACCTTCCAAGGCCATGAAACATTAGCTATCTCTAGTCACAAATCGAGTGCCCTGCATTCTGTCTTTAGAAAGAATGTATGAGTTTCTTTGTGTTTGAAAAAGGTCAGGAAATGAGTAACGGGTTATTGTTAATCATTTTTTAGATTTAACTATGTGTTAGGGCGAGAACTTGGTTCACTACCTATGTATATTACACACTGCTACAAAAGATTATGACAGAATCTTCAAGTATAAAGTGGAGGTCTACTAAATCTATCAAACAATGTGAGCTGAATGAGTAAATAAGTAATGCATAATAAATCCACTACAAAATTTCTAAGTCTTTGGATTCCTTCACCTATATCATACTGAGAAACTTTTAACATCTCAACTTCCTTTACTCTGGCCCCCTTATTGAGTTCAACTAAACAAACAACTGGAACTACTCCCAGCATCTTAACCTAACACAATGGAATCAGAATCTCCTGGTAAGTGCTTCTTAAACAATGAACTCAGCCTTATCTAGTATTTTGTCCTTCCTTCATTGGTATAGCACCCACTGAACCTATTATGATTCTTGCCAATATACATTAGTAAATTTGCAATTTGGCAACTGGAGACTGCCATGACCTGATTTTAGTTTAGGTGTTGCAATAATTAGAGGTAGTGGGCTAAATAGAATTTTCTCCCCTTTTCAAGGTAACACTCTCAGCAAGGTTGTTACAGGGTCTTCAAAGAATGGCGGAACAGCCTCATAAACCAGGAGAGAAAGGAAGATTCTATGGTTTGGGGTACTGAGTTATATGAGTCTTGCCATATGTCCCCATTTCAGTTCTTGGGATCTCACTCTCTCCTAATCCAAATATAACTTTTATGTAAAATATCTGGTAAATCAAAGTTTTTATGCAGCAGCCCAAGAATCAAAATTTGAGTTTTGTTTTCAACTATCTCGCTCCAGTGGCTGCAAGTGATAAGAGATTCTTTGAGAAAAATCATAGAAGTTCCACAATTTTTTGGATTTGTCTTGATATAAGACATTAAGGCTTTGAGGTTGCTTTTCTTTTCTTTAAGCTGCCAAGTTCAGCTAGAAGCAGCGCTATACTATGCCTTTCATATTATTCTATTCCAACTACCACTAGATCCTTCAGAGTCTTGCCCAAAATGAGCACATTATTACTAATGAGCATAGATAATAATTAGCTATTTCTTTGATTTGAGCATGTCTTGGACTACTGGTTGAGTCTTTAGAGATATCAACAACAATTAGAAGAGGTAATAAATCTGAGATTTCCCCTTATTTTCCTGAGGATCTGTTGCTTGCCACCTCTTTTGGTACCAATTTCTCAATCAGGTTGGTTATTAAGTAGAAAAGTCATTCATTAATAGTTCTCACAATTGCTCAGAGCCCTGGTAAATTGAGCTTGAAGCCAAACTTCCAGGAATAGATCTGAAACCATGCCTCAAAACAGACTTGATAAACTACTGCCACTGATTGCTAGAGGAAGCCTGCATTGCCACTATCCTTACGCCACATCTATGGCAGGAACTCAACTTTGCAATCACCAGAAAGCTGCTGTCATTGTACCAGTAGATGCTAGGCACATCTCCAGGAGAAATGGAAGCACCAAAGATTGTTGCCTTATAAACCACAATCTCACATGGATGCATTTGATTGCTGGGTCTAGGTCACATCTATGTACAGTAGTTGCAAGTGGGGCTGTGAATTTGAGTTTATACTCTTATGTTGGAGTCCAAAGGCCAGGGAGCCTGGAGTTGTTTTCCAAGGACAGGAGAGGAATAGTGTGTCCCAGCTTTAGCAGATCCACACATTCATCTTTTCTCTGCTTTGTTCTTTCTGGACCCCCAATAGATTGGATGGTACCTGCCCACATAGAGGGTAGATCTTCTCCACCAAGTCTATTTTGACTCACAGCTAAACTCTTCTGAAAACACCCTCACGGACACACTCCAAAATAATGCTTTACCAGGTTTCTAAGTATTCTTTAATCTCATCAAGTTGACACCTAAAATTAACCATAACACACACACCATCCCAAAATTTAATGTTTTAAAGCAACATTTATTTTGTTCACAAATGTGAAATTTGGGCAAGAAACAATCTGTTTCATTCAGTGTAAGCTTGGGGATAGAATCACATGAAATCTCAGTCACTCACATGTCTAGCGACTGATGATGGCTTTCAGGTTGAGACTTTAACTGAGGCCATTGGCCAGACACCTACATGTGGCCTGTCCACGAAGAACCAAACTGTCTACCCCCACACAGCTTACTGTCTACATTAACCTGACTTTACTATTCCATTGTCTTTGTTAGTATAACTTTGGTATTCCAGTAGACTATTGCCCAGAAAGACAAAAGTTGCAAGTAAAATTATTGTTCTTTACAGGAGTTTCTGAAAGTTGTATCATTCTTCAGTAGAAGAGTTTACATCGTAAGATTATTTGAGCCTCTAGCCTCAAAACGCTTACCTTGTAGTATCCACCAATCCTAAGATCCTTATCCTATTCTAATCAAGCTCCTGTGTTGAAAGACTCTCATAAACCAAACTCCCAGCTCTCAATATAGCATCAGACTTTGTTCTCCTGTTCTGAGACTCTCTCAGATTCCATGAAGTATCACTTTAAGCAATATATTCAACTTAGTCTTTTCAATGTGTTGTTCTGGTGATATTTGGGAAGCCAGCATTTGACACCATGTGGCCTGGGCTTCTTTACAACATGGTGGCTAAGTTTCAAGAGTGAGTATTCCAAAAGAAAGCTATGTAGAAGTGATATAGTCTTTTTAAAGATAAGATCAGAAATCACACAGCATCATTTCCACTACATTCCAGCCATGGAGGTAACCACAAATGTTCACCCAGGTTCAAGGAAAAGGGGATTAGACAACACCATTTGATGGGAGGAATCAAGAATTTTCAGACAGATCTCTAAACCATCACATCCCCTAAACTCAATTAACATTGTCTACAGGTTCTTGGAAACTGCAATTTTAGGTACAATGCCTAAGGAAGCCAACTTTTCCATAGGCTAATTGATATAAACAAGAGTGATGAGATTGATATAAACACGAGTGATATAAACAAGAGTTCCTATGGCATACTTCTGGTCACAAAAACATCACCAAACTTCTAAATAAAAACCAAAACACATCTAATATTAAATATATTGTCGTGGGGTGGGGGGATGGGGAGGGATAGCATTAGGAGAAATACCTAATGTAAATGACGAGTTAATGGGTACAGCAAACCAACACAGCACATGTATACACATGTAACAAACCTGCACGTTGTGCACATGTACCCTAGAACTTAAAGTATAAAAAAAGTATAATTATCACCAATTATTTGATTTTGTTCGTAGAACCATACCAAATTTGAAGAAAAATGAAATCAATGAGAAGCTTTGTTTCTAAGGTTTAAAGTTAAAAGGGCAATTGCAGTTGTCCAATAACTAAAGATAATTTAATTACTTGTTGAAAATTATTTTGCCTTGATTATCTAGGAATTGGTAATCAAAACATAAGAGCATATTTTTGAAACTGATAAACTGAGTTGTTTTCTTTTTTTCTTTTTTTTTTTTTTTTTTGAGATGGAGTTTCACTTTTGTTGCCCAGGCTGGAGTGCAATGGCACGATCTCGGCTCACCGCAACCTCCGCCTCCCGGGTTCAAGCGATTCTCCTGCCTCAGCCTTCCAAGTAGCTGGGATTACAGGCATGTGCCACTATGCCCGGCTAATTTTGTAATTTTAGTAGAGACAGGGTTTCTCTATGTTGACCAGGCTGGTGTCGAACTCCCATCCTCAGGTGATCCACCCGCCTCGGCCTCCCAAATTGCTGGTATTACAGGCAGGAGCCACCATGCCCGGCCATGAGGTTTTTTAACATAAGCATTTCTTATTTCAAAAGGAAGGTAGTAGTTCTAAATTTTAATTCTACACCTCAAATGTAATTCATTTTAACATTTTATCTGCATCTGACTGATTTCATCAATGTAAAATAAAGCAGGTGGCCCAATTCAGGCAAACATGTACTGAGCATCTGTTGAATGAGGCCTTGTGCTAGGTGTGGCAAAGAATATAGAGACAAGAATAAATGCTCATTTGTGGTTTACTAAACAAGAGAACCAATAACTTCAGTGGTGAGATGTCCGGGAAAATTTTATAAGAGTTGCTACTGATAAGCTCAATTCCACTTTCTGCTAGGGAAGAGAGAAATTGCATAAGAGGATAAAATAATAAAACTCGGTTTTGGCTGAGTTCCCAAAGGTGGAGGAAAACCAGTAAATTCCAAATACATTCACATGCCAGAGTGAGGCATCGGACTTGCAAAGAGGATGGAGCAAAAGCAATAGTTTTCAATCCTTAAGATATCATCTATCTTGAAGTTACATCATTGGCTTCAAGATGGCCACTCAGCTTCACATATGCCTCTGAAGCTTGGGAGACTGATGTCTAACACTCTCAGAGATAAATCCAAAAGAAAGTGAATATGGCTGATGCTGACCCTGCCTGATAACACATTGAGAGAGTACTGCATTAGAAGTGAGATGCACTTTCGCTTTCAAGCAACAGTGGGGCAAGGGTGCTTGAATTTTCCCATGGGCCAATGGAAGGGTGGAATTGGAATTCTGCCCACGAGGATTCAATCCTATTCTGCTTTTCTATTCCAGAGCCTTTCCACACTTACTCCCACAGGCTGAGCAAAGCGCCTGCATTGTTTCAAGTTTTTCCCTCCATGTAGACAATGGATGGATGCTTTATTTCTCCAGTGCTCATGGGCCTAATGATTCATGACTGTGTTAGCCCCTTTTACCATTTTCAGGGCTTGCAGGAAAAATAATCCTAGGAGATTCATACTTAGAGCAGAATGCGGCCCAAACACCTGGCAATCATGTTCATCATTCTCATTTTTTACCTAGATCATCCTTGATGCCAGAGCAAGGTTTACTCAATCTGATGGACATGCCTTTTATTTCTCTTGGCATCACCCACCTCTAGATAGTCATAAAGGATAGCGGATGGCTTATTATGTCAAGTATTTCTCTCATAACTAAATAAATTATATAGATAATGCAGTGTCTGTAAGTACTTGAGGAGACTTGGAAACCTTTTACGGTCATCAAAATGAATATTTTTCTATTCATCAGCATTCACAACTATTGAATCTTTATCTGTTTGTATGGTTTATACTGGGGCTTTCCACCCCTGCCCCCCCGCCATTATTATTTCTCCACTTGGCCATTCCTATTCAGAGCCTTTCACCTTTTATCTCTGACATAGCTTGGTTCAAGAGCTTAATTTTTTTTAAGGTACCATGACCAAGTCAATTTATATCCTGAAGAAGGGATTACATGATTATTCAAATTTGGCATTGCTACACATAGAAGATATCTGTGTGATTTACTTACATTTACATATTGACTTTCATGATATCTAGCTTAAATCTTGACAGATGAAGGAACACAACAGCAGACTTTGGGAAACATTTTTTCAATTAATAGTACATTTCGTTATACTGAGGGAAGGATTGAACATATACATTTATTATTTTAGCTCAGTTTTGAGATGGTGTACATTTTTTGCTTGTTTTATGTTTATACTGCCAGTGTTTGAAAATAAATATTCATAATTCCTCCTTTTTTACACAAAAGTTACATAGGCACTATATTGTAACTTGGCATTTTTAGTTAATGATATATTTTAGAGTTTGTAGTATATCAGGACATAAAAAGCATCATCAATCTTTTTATAGTTGCATAGCATTTTACTGTGTGGATGTATCATAATTTCTTTCTTTCTTTTTTTCTTTTTTTTTGAGACAAAGTCTCAAAAGCCTGTCGCCCAGGCTGGAGTGCAGTGGCGCAATCTCGGCTCACTGCAACGTCCGCCTCCTGGGTTCAAGTGATTCTCCTGCCTCAGCCTCCCAAGTAGCTGGGACTACAGGTATGTGCCACCAAGTCTGGCTAATTTTTGTATTTTTTTTTTTTTTTTTTAGTAGAGACGAGGTTTCGCCATATTGGCCAGGCTGGTCTCGAACTCCTGACCTCGTGATCCACCTGCCTCAGCCTCCCAAAGTGCTGGGGTTATAGGCATGAGCCACCGCGCCTGGCCATGTATGGTAATTTCTTAGACAAATCCCCAATTGTTGGACACTGGGTAGCTTCCAAACTTTCACTATTACCAAGAAAACCTAGCTACAACAAACAACCTTGCCTATACGTTTTCTTATATATGTGTGTGCATACATGTATGCACATATACCTATCCAGAGGTAGAATTCCTGAGTCCAAACTGCATGAGTAATTTTGATGAATATTGCCAAATTGCCTTTAACAGGAGATGTACTATTTTCCACTGGAAATATATATGGGTGCTTGTTTCTTTACAGAGAGGGCCGTAGTTTTTAATGAACTCAGTTTTTTTTTTTAACTAAAAACAAAACCAAAACAAAAAAAACAAACAAAAAAACTCCCATTTTAGAGTCCCTTAGCCAGAATCAGGCTTTACTTTCTCTGTGTGGAGCCAAGTTCATTATTTCAATTCACAGACAGGGTAACTCATGGGCAAATAGGTTTTTTTCTAAACATAGGTCTTAAGTTATTACATTTTGAAACATTTTTTTTGATTTCTGCTAAATTTCTATTTACATGATACATTTTATTTTAACTAGTACTTCTTAAAAATTTGATATATTTGAACCATCAGGACAGAGTGGTGGTAGCTTCACATGGAAAGATAGGCTTATGTTTATACATACCATAAAATTTTTCCACTTCTTTACTCAAAAAATAAGGGTCCCTTGAGGGCTAAGGATTATCACAGTTGACCTCACTGTCAGAAATATTACCAGTTTGTGAGATACAAAGAACAAATTACCCTTATACATTTATAATTTATCATTTTGTTTTATTACATAACTAAAAACTACTGAAAATATAAAATAACTCATTTAGGAACAAGTTTTTAGATAATTCATCCATAAAGAAAATTCATTTGGTTTTTCAAAGAAAAAGAGGAAAACAAGATTGGTGATACCATTAACATATTTTGCTTTTAAATAACGACATGATGTTGGTCAAAAATTTATAATGTTTTAATATATAACCCCATATGACCACCAGAATTTGGGGTCTTCCTTAGGTGTAGTGTCATAACAATAACTACAATAACTCACATTTTTGTGGTACTTATGGTTTACAAAGTACTTCCATGTACCTGATAATAATTTCAGCTGTCATTAGTTGTATATGATACACACTAGAAGATATTAATCTCTTTTCACCAAAAATGAGAGAAATAAAAATGCATTATTTACTTAAAGTCGAAAAGCCAGTAAGTGGTAAATCATAGAGACAGAATGGTGGTTGTCAGTGGACGTGGGGAGAGGGGAATGGGGAGTTATTGTTTCATGGGTACAGAGGTTCAGTTTTTGTTTTGTTTTGTTTTGTTTTTGAGATGGAATCTCACTCTGTCCCTAGACGGGAGCGCAGTGGCACGATCTCAGCTCACTGCAACCTTTGCCTCCCAGGTTCAAGTGATTCTGCTGCCTCAGCCTCCTGAGTAGCTGGGATTACAGGCATGCGCCACCATGCCAGACTACTTTTTTTTTTTTTTGTATTTTTAGTAGAGAAGGGGTTTCATCATGTTGGTCAGGTTGGTCTTGAACTCCTGACCTCATGATCTGCCCCCCTCGGCCTCCCAAAGTGCTGGGATTACAGGCGTGAGCCACCACACTTGGCCAGAGTTTGTTTTACAAGATAAGAGTTCTGGAGATGGATGTTGGTGATAGTTGCACAACAATATAAATGTACTTAACACCACTGAACTGTACAGTTAAAATGGTTAGGATAGTTTTATGTTACGTGTATTTCACCACAAGAAAAAAAAAAGCTAGTGAATGATGAGCTTGTGTTTGATATCTGTCCAACCTTTTCTTTCTACTCAAAGCAGTTATTATCCCGGTGTTACAGATGAAGGGACTAAGGCCTAGAGGGACTGAACTGACTTACGTCATGTAACTATCAAGTGGCAGAGTTGGAGTTTAATATAATGTAAGTGATTTTACATGCAGAGGCTTAGCATAGGAAGTAAAAATAAAACCAAGGGATCAATTAACCACTAAGGACTGGGTAATCCTGGGTTAATCACTTCATCTGTTTGGGCCTCAGTTTACTCAGTTGTAAAATAAAGGGACTGATATAAATCGGAGGTTTTTTTAAAGTCAATGTTTTTGACCATGACTAAAAGTAAGAAATGTTTTATATTGACCAGTACACAGACACACACACCACCACCACCACCACCACCACCACTGCCAGCATACCTTGTCCTAGGTTGGGTTTCCCAGATGTAGATCTTGAAATAGGGATTTGAGTACAATTTATTAAGGATATGCTCCCAGGAGAAACTGGTACTGGAATAGAAGAAATAGAGGAAAGAGGAGGAAAAGGGTAGAAATCAACCAAGTGTGAGATTTCAGGTGAAGTCCTGGCCTCAGCCTTATTCCACAGGGAGCCGTAGAGCATAAAATACTTCATATAATTTGATCAGCCTTGAGGCAAGAGAGTGAGGCTTTCATACTTCATCACCAGTCAATCACTGGTTACAGGCTACCCCAATACCATGTAACATCCCAGGCATTGCAGCTCATGGTACTTGTGGTAGCCAGTCCCCCAAAGGTGGCCCCCAGTGATCACTAGCTCATGGTATTCACACCTTCATATAGTTCCCTCCTACACTACACCATTGTTGGTCTGTGTGACCAATAAAATACAGCAGAAATGGTGGTATGTTGGGATGAGAAGGAGGGGGAAAAAAGAAAAATAAATAAATAAATAAAAAGAAATGATGGTATGCCACTTCTGAGATTAAAATGTAAAAAGCTGTGGGATCCATCTTGGATTCTCTTTTTCTTGGGTCACTGGCTCTGGGGGAAGCAAGGTCTCATTTTCTGAGTAGTCCAATGAAGAGGCCCATGACACGGACTCTCATGACAAGGAACTGAGGCTTCTAGCCAACAGCCAGCAAGGAACCAAGGCCTGCAACAATGACTTGAGTTTGAAGGCAGATTTTCCAACCTAAATCAAGCCTTGAGATGATTGTAGCTCCAGCTGACAGCTTGAGTGAAATCTTTTGAGAGACCCTGAGCCAGAACCACCCAGTTATGTTGCTCTCAGTTTTCTGACCCTCAGAAACCATGTGAGATAATAAATGTTTGGTGTTTTAAGTCACTAGGTTTTTGAAAAAATTGTTGTGCAGCAATAGATAAACAATATCATACACTGGGTTGATGTGGCTCCAATAGCTGAAGGGTAGTTCTCTGAAGAGCTTGAGGGGATATCGTGTAGGAGAGTAGCACAAAGACGCTGGGGAATAGGCAGAACCAGTAGAAGAGACCTGAGTGACATAAGCAGAGCATCCATCATATCTGCTATTCCCCCAAAAGCAAACATTTCATGAAACGACACTTATTATATGTGATATACTCTGATATTTTTTATTCTTTTTATTAAATGATAAAAGAGAGCCCTCAAATTGATTTCATAATACACTAACAGATGTGACGTCCAGTTGAAAACAGTGAACATAATCATCTTTAAGGCCCCTTATAGATCTAAACTGCTGTAATTAGGAGGTGGCACAGTTGTTATAATGATAACTAACATTTAATAAGCATTCACTATTCCAGAATTGTTCTAAACACTTCACATAGACTGTCTTACGTGAAGACAATAAGGTAGGTACTATTACTATCCTCATTTTACAGATGTGGAAACTTGTAAATGTCAGAGGCCAGGAGGGAATCCAGGCATTCTGACTCCAAAACCTATTGTCAAGAGTGTAGGCTTCTATATTAGACTGTTTGGGTTCAAATTCTGATTCCAATGGTTGATCAATAAATGTTTTCAGTTATGATGATGATGTACCCAATTATTAGAAATTCACTGATGTGGATAATTCTCCCTATTGTCAAGAGTGCAGGTTCCTGTATCAGACCGTTTGGGTCTAAATCCTGATGCCAATGGTTGATCAATGTCTTTTCAGTTATGACGATGACATACTCAGTGATTAGAAATTCACTAATGGGGATAATTCTCACAAAAGGAAGTTTAGGGCCAGGGTTATGTACATCAACATTGACTGAATTCAGCAGTTCAACGCATTGATAATAAGTTCAATGTTCTGCTCCGCTTCAGCCACACTGACCCAGTCTTCACTTTAAATGCAGCCACTCATGCATTTCAATAAGAAGGGGCCCTGGCCTAGGTTACATAACGTCTGCATGCTTTAACAGCTAAAGTACACTTCACTGTAACCAAATAGGATAGAAGGAATTTCAACATATTCATTTTTATGTATTGGGTTCATTAAAGTGCACTCAAAGATAATTCTCTAACAAACAAACCTAACTAAAAATACACTAGTCACCATCATGTAGAAAGTATTCCTACTAAATTCAGTGAACATTAATTAACCTTTGGATTTCAAAAATGGGATCAATAAACACGGTACAATTGACTAAAAGGGGTAAAAATTATTTGCAGAACCTGGACACCTGGAACTATCATCTTTTTGGTTAAATTCCTCTGAGCCAAGTCTCTATCAATTATATCTTTCCTTTCACAGGAATAAAGTATTTATCACAGGTATTAGAGTCAGTGTAAAAGCACAACATCCTTTTAATAAAACATTCTCAGTAATCAAAAATTCATATACCTCCAGAATGAATTATTTAGAGCTGGACACATATAGGGGAAATGTGTCAGGAGGATATTTCAGCAGCTGCTGTGTTGTAAGGTGACATGGAAGCTTTAGAAAGAGGGCAGAAAGAAAAAAAGGTTTAAGTCCTACTTTAGATGCTATTGGATGATTATGGATTATAAGGAACAAGACTGGTTGCAACCTTGCTTAGAATACCGCTAGCAGGGGTAAGACAGTTTTCTCACGTTACCTATTTTTTGGAAAAAAAAATCATTTCTAATATGTTGCTAAAAAGGGATTTACAGAGGATGTCATATTTCTCAAACCAAATATCAATCTCGATGACCTAAAAATTAACAATTCAAAATAAAACTTTTTCTAATTATAAAAGAAGTCACGCTTTTACAGAACATTTAATAAATGTAGAAAATGTAAAGAAAAAACACAAAGTGATGAGATATTGGCTCACGAAGTAATAATTATTTATATGTATGTATAGATACACATCTCCAAATTGTGTGTGTGTGTGTGTGTGTGTGTGTGTGTGTGTGTGTATCTCCAACTTGGCATCACACTGTAAGTTCATTTTGCAATTTTACTTTTTACTTTTTAAATTTTTATTGACCATCCCCACTCCCTCCTCCCAACTACCTTTCCCAGCTTCTGGTAACCATCATTCTACTCTCTATCTCTGTGAGTTCAATTGTTTTAACTTTTAGCTCCCACAAATAAACGCAAAGTTTTTCTTTTTGTGTCTGGCTTATTTCACTTAACATAATGACCTCCAGTTCCATCCATGTTGTGGCAAATGACAGTATCTCATTCTTTTTTATGGCTGAATAGTACTCCATTGTGTATATGTGCCACATTTTCTTCATTCATTCGTCTGTTGATGGACACTTAGGTTGTTTCCAAATCTTGGCTATTGTGAATAGTGCTGCAACAAACATGGGAGTGCAGATATCTCCTTAGTATACTGATTTCCTTTCTTTTGGGTATATACCCAGCAGTGCAATTGCTGGATCATATAGTAGCTCTATTTTTAGTTTCTTAAGGAACCTCCAAACTGTTCTCCACAGTGGCTGTATTAATTTACATTCCCACCAGTAGTGTACAAGGGTTCCCTTTCCTCCATATTCTTGCCAGCATTTGTTATTGCCTTCTTTTGGATAAAAGCCATTTAAACTTGGGTGAAATGATACCTCATTGTAGTTTTGATTTGCATTTCTCTGATGATCAATGATGTTGACTACTTTTTCATATACCTGTTTGCCATTTGGGTATCTTCTTTTGAGAAATATCTATTCAGGTCTTTCACCCATTTTTGATCAGATCATTATATTTTTTTCCTATAGTTGTTAGAGCTCCTTATATATTCTGGCTATTAATTCCTTGGCAGATGAGTAGTTTAGAAATATTTTCTCTCATTCTGTGCGATGTCTCTTCACTTTGTTGATTGTATCCTTTGTTGTGCAGAAACTTTTAAACTCGATGTGATCCCATTTGTCCATTTTTGCTTTGGTGGCCTGTGCTTGTGAGGTATTATTCAAGAAATCTTTGCCCAATCCAGTGTCTTAGAGAGTTTCCCCAATGTCTTCTTTTAGTAGTTTCACAGTTCGAGGTCTTAGATGTGACTCTTTAATCCATTTTGATTTGATTTTTTTATATGGTATGAGAGAGGGGTCTAGTTTCATTCTTCTGCATAGGGATATCCAGTTTTCCCAGCACCAATTATTGAAGAGACTGTCCTTTCCCCAGTGTATGTTCTTGGGAACTTTGTTGAAAATTAGTTCACTGTAGATGTATGGATTTGCCTCTGGGTTCTCTATTTGGTTGCATTGGTCTATGTGTCTGTTTTTATGCCAGTACCATGCTGTTTTGTTTACTATAGTTCTATAGAATGATTTGAAGTCAGGTAATGTGATTCCTCCAGTTTTATTCTTTTTGCTCAAGATAGCTTTGGCTATTCTAAGTCTTTTGTGATTCCATATAAATTTTAGGATTGTTTTTCTATCTCTGTGAAGAATGTCATTGGTGCTTTCATTGTAATTTTATTTTTTTTTTACTTTAAAAATATTGTGGGAATTTCCTTGTGTCAAATTATTCTGCTTCAATATTAATTTCATAGCTGTATAGAATTCCATTCTATGAACATAGTACTTGTAATTCAGTTATCTAGTCAGGCAAGCAGAAACTACTCTGTATATCTAATGCAGAAAAGGACTCAATGTCTTCCGTTTAGTTTCTCAATTCATACAAAACCACATCCAGGCCATCACCAATCATTCTATATGACAAATGCTCTTTTTAACAACCCCACAATATCGCCCCTTACCACAAAATCTTCCTTCAGCTTAACCTTTCCCACTCTAGGTTCCCACACCACCCCTAATCCCGCTTGAAGCAGCCCTGAGAAACATTGCCCATTATCTCTCCATACCACCCCACCAAAATTTTCACTGCCCGAACACTTCAACACTATTTTATGTTTTCTTATTAATGTAAGAAGACAGGAATGTCAGGCATCTGAGCCCAAGGTAAGCGATCATATCCCCTGTGGCCTGCACGTATACATCCAGATGGCCTGAAGTAACTGAAGAATCACAAAAGAAGTGAAAATGGCCTGCTCCTGCCTTAACTGATGACATTACCTTGTGAAATTCCTTCTCCTGGCTCAGAAGCTCCCCCACTGAGCACCTTGTGACCCCTGCCCCTGCCTGCAAGAGAAAAACCCCCTTTGACTGTAATTTTCCACTACCCACCCAAATCCTATAAAATGGCCCCACCCCTATCTCCTTTTGCTGACTCTTTTCGGACTCAGCCCACCTGCACCCAGGTGAAATAAACAGCCTTGTTGCTCACAAAAAAAAAAAAGTAATTTGCTATAAGGTACAAAAAGTACTGAAAAAACACAAAGGACAAAGGTGTGTATCAGTTAGCTATTGCTGTGTGACAAACCACCTTAAACTTACTGGTTTTATTTTAAAAACAATTCTGTGGTCAGCAATTTAGGCTGGGCTCATCTGGGTAGTTCTCTGGTCTCAGCTGAACTCCTTCCTGCTGGTTTTGGGTTGACTTTGCAGATTGTGGCTGGGCTCCCTTACATATTTGAGTTATCAGTGGAGACAAGAGGGCTGGCTAGACTCTGATGCACATGGTTTCTCATTCTCTAGCAGGTTAATCTGGGATTATTCCCATGGCAATCATAGGGTTCCAAAAGAGTGAGGAGAAGATGGTGAGTCCCCTTGAGGCCTAAGCTTAGCACTATCACAACGTCATTTTCACTGTTTTCTATTGTTCAAAGTAAGGAATAAAGCCAGCCTAGATTCGGAGAGAGAAGAAATAAATTTTACTTTTTATGGGAAGAGCTGCAAAGTCACATTGAAAAAGGTCATGGAAAGGGAGAGAAAGAATTTTGGCTAGTTTTACAATTCATTACAGTATGTTTTACCTAGAGACCAGAAAGCTCTACTACTCCTGAGCTGGGACCCACAACCCATCACTTAATGCTGATCTGTGAGTGATGCTAACACTGCTGCTTTTGGGGGTGCTGCTCCCACTGAGTAGGAATACAGGATGCCATAGCTTTACTAATGCTGTTAAAACTGCCACAGATGTTTTGGAAAGAAATGGCTGCTATAGTCACTGTTGCTGCTGCTATTACTGCTGGAGGGATTTCCAGAGACAGAAAAAAGAAGCTTATTTTTCTCCTCACCTCATAGTCTCTCCACCAGTGCTTCCCAATAGCAAACCTAACAGGAGGCTAATTAGGAAAGGAATCTGAAAAATGTAGTTTGTGGGTTTCTAGCTCCCTGTGATACAGAGAGAACATTGAAAGTATAACTGGGAGCCAAGTGAAAAATTGCTGCACAACAATATAATGTTTTAAACTGATCTCCTGTGTGGAGACACAACATAAGCGTGGAAAGCAAAGCCATCAGTGGGACAGTTTCTGAATCCAGTGGACAATGATATTTAATTTCTAGGAGAGGTATTTAAGAAGGGATATGTTCTCCTTCAGCTCAGTGAGAAAAAGGTAATACATAAAACAGAGCACCTCTAAGTAACTTTGTTCTAGACATCCAAGAGCAGATTTGTGTTCATTATAAAGGGAAGAACACTGGAGTTCTGTGCATGAGGAGCAACAATTATATAGTTGACCTCAAAAATTGTTTTCTTCACATTATATTCCCATTTGGTTGAGATCTGCAGATTATTCTTAAGTTATAATTTTTGTACCTTGAAATACACAAAAATTTTACTTGCATTGCTCTATATAACAGTAGTCACAGAATAACTATAAGGTCCTGAAAATACTTTTTCAAAATGTGTTTTTAGGGTGTAGCCTCTATACACAACATTTTAGAAATGTTTTAATTTTTATTATAAAAATAATTCTTGTATAAAATCAAGTGAGCGCCTGCAGAGGTAGAATTTCTTCTTAATACCATACAGAGATGGTCATGTATGTTTATCCTGATTTTTTCCCATAAACACTCTAATGTATTTTGTGATTATAATCACTGAAGTAGGATATTATAATTCTCTTCTCTAACTTAGAAGTTAAAAATTATGTATAATGTGTTTTGCCTTGTAGATCTTGAGTTTTAATACAGTTAAATGTATCTACTATTTTAAAATTGCGTCATTGAATTCTATAGCATGGATATACTGAAATTTATTTTATCGTTTGTCTTCCCATGTAGAGTACAAACTCCCTTAGGACAAGGGCCTTGTTTTTTTGGCTCACAGCTATATCCCCAGTGCTAAGAAAAGTGTCTGGCAAATAGTAGGTACTTAAAAAATTTGTAGAATGAACGAATATATGGCAAAACATTATTGATGAATATTTAGATATTTTCCATTTTCACTATTCCAATAATGAATTTTGCAATTAGTATTCTTGCAGATATATTTTATACATGTATTTATCTTTCTAGGGCAATTCATAGAGAAGGAATTACTGGGTCAAGGAACAAAACCAAATTAAAGAACTCTAACCCCTCTCAAATTCGTCCCATGTTCAGGAAGTACCCAATGTGAAGGGAGGTGGCACTTATATTTACAAACCCAGTCTCCCTAGCTATCACTTGAGTGCTACCACTGAAAATCTCACGAATGTAGTCCTGTTACTAAGTGGCATTGGCTTTTTAATTTGTTCTGTTTTGGGGAAGTTGTCTGAGTCTCTTATGTTTCTACCTCATGTTCTGATCCATTCAACTGTCATTCTGTTGAAATGAGAACAGTACCTTTTGTCCCTGCTATTTTTTGTTAAGCAAGCTATATTGGCTACAAAACTTTGTGCTCCCAATATCTTTATGAACTTTTTTTCTAATCTGGCTTTGTTAAAATCATCCCATTAACCCCCAAGGCTCAGGGTAAATCCCTATGGAGGAAAGGTAAGGGCTCACATCATTCATTTTATGCCAATATTGGGCTATCCTCAGAACAGTTCTAATCCTCTGACGCTAACCAAGGCTCCTTGAACCAAGTTTTCAAAGCTCAGTTCTTTCCCATCTTCAGTCGAGTGACTTGCAAACATACCCTTGACAGGTCTAGTCTCAGTCCTGTAGATGTTTCTGAATCCCAGGGTAAAATGTCATTTGGGCTGCTCAGGTAGGGATCCTAGAAATACTCAGATATATTCATAAATATAGAAACAGATGAACAGGGGTATGTTCAAATTTCATATCAGCAAGTTTTCAAGATAGTTCAGGGTTCCCCCCCTTAAATCCTAAAACTTTAATATTTTAATCTTTGGGGTAGAAGGCTTCCTTTATAGAATATTCTTTTCTGATTACAAATGTAATATATGATCATTTAGAAATGTTCAGAAATAGAGGAAATATAAAATAGAGAAAATAAAATCACCTATAACCTCCTTCCCAGAGGCACCACTGTGAAAATTTTATACACATTTTCATCCAAACTCTTTTCTATATGTTTTTACATAGTTAAAGTCATATTGCATATACTTTTTTGTTGTTGTTTGCCCTTTTCTTCATAACAAAACTTTTCCTTTTTGACTACAAATGCTCTTCATATACATACTTTCTAATAATTGTATATTAGTCCACTGTTTGGATATACCACATATTATCAGGGTTGTGTGTTTTAAAAGCTGTCTTGCAAGTTTACTCAGAATAAAAAGTCAGTCATATTTTCTTTCCTCACCCAGATCCACTCAGTCCTGAGTGCTGTCTATTCTATTTCCAAACAGTTTATCTGTCCCAGAGGTTTTAATCCAAGCTGGAACATCTGGGAAGCTTTTAAAAAATACTGATTGTTGGGGTCCTGCCACAGACTGATTCAGTCAGAATCCCTGAGGGATAGACCTCAGGTATTCACATACCTAAAATCTCCCCAGTGGATTTTCATATAGCCAGAGTTGAGATGAAGTGGTCAGGCCAGCCCCTTCTCTCCAGCCCCACTGCCACATCCCTAGGTGGAGCCCTCCCTCAACTCCCAATTAGGCAAGTGCAATTACCTCCTAACTCTTTTCCTGTTTCTCGTCTCTTTCTCTGGCAACGTCTCATCCTTCATACTCCTTCCCAAGTTACTTTCCTAAAACACAGGTCAGATCACATAGCTCCCCTATTGAGAGACCTTCCACTGCTCCCTACTGCCTACACTGGTGAGTCTAATTTGGCCTGAGCAAGGCCTTCTACCACCACAGCCCAACCTATATTTCCATATTTTTTCCTCCTCTAGGTCCTTGTATTAGTTTGTTTTATTTTGCTGATAATAGAATACCTGACACTGAGTAATTTATAAAGAAAAGGAATTTATTTCTTACAGTTATGGAGGCCGAGAAGTCCAAGGTTGCAGAGCTGTATCTAATAAGGGCCTTCTTGCTGATGGGGACTCTGCAGAGTCCTGAGGCAGTGCAGGACATCACATGGGGAGGGGGCTGAGCATGCTAATGTGCTAGCTTAGGTCTCTCTTCCTCTTCTTATAAAGCCACCAGCTCCCCTCTCATTATAACTCATTAATCCATTAACCCATTAATTCATTAATCTATAAATGGATTAATCCCTTCATGACTGCAGAGCCCTCATGACCCAATCACTTCTTAGAGGCCACATTTCTCAATACTGCTACATTGGGGAATACGTTTCAGCATGATTTTGATGGGGGCATTGAAACCATAGCAGTGTTCTAGTGTGCCTTGCCACTTTTCTTAGCGAGCTTTCTGCTTTTGTTCAAACTGCCTTTTTTCACACTGTTCCTAACCTGTAATGATCTCCTTCTCCAATCCTCAAAGAACACCATCATAGTATTCATACTTCAAGGCCCATTTCTAATATCATATCCCTATTCAACTAGTCAACAATCATCTATTGAGGGACTACTGTGCACCATTCATTAGTTCAACAAGTTTTTGAGTTCTACTGTATCTAGGTGCTAAGGAGATAAGAGTGAACAAAACAGACAGAAATACCTTTCCCCGTAGAACTTACATTTTAGTAGGAGACACAGGAAAGAAAAAAACACCTAAGCACATTTTCATAAATAAGAAAATGTTAGATAAGTGCTATGCAGAGAATTAGAACGTATAGTGACTGGGTGGCTATTTTGGTTTGAAATAGCCTCTCTGAGGAGGTGACATTTATACCGAGATCTGAATGACAGGAAGGAAGGGACCAATCATTCAAAGTTTAGGGGGCAAAGCATTCCAAAGAGAGGATCAGCCAATGTGAAGGCTCTGAGGTGGAATGAAGCCTACTTGTTTGAAGAACAGAAAGAAGGCCAGAGCAGCTGAAGCACAGATCCAAAGGGGGAGTAGTGGCAGAGAGAGTCAGAGCCAGCTTATATACGCTTTTGTGGTTGTTGTTGTTTTGTTTGTTTTGAGACAGAGTCTCACTCTGTCGCCCAAGCTGGAGTGCAATGGTGTGATCTTGGCTCACTGCAACCTCTGCCTCCTGGGTTCAAGCAATTCTCCTGCCTCAGCCTCCTGAGTAGCTAGGATTATAGGCACATGCCCCCACACCCAGCTAATTTTTGTATTTTTAGTAGAGACAGGGTTTTGCCATGTCGGCCAGGCTCATCTCGAACTCCTGAGCTCAAGAAATCCACCCGCCTCAGCCTCCCAAAATGCTGGGATTACAGGCGTGAGCCACCACGCCTGGCCTCATATATGCTTTCTAAGTCAGGGCAAAGAGTTAAAATTTGATTCCAAGTGCAACGATGAGAAGCCACTAGATAATTTTAAGCCATAGAGTGATATGAAATGGTTTGTGTTTGAACAAGATCACTCTGGTTGTTGTGTGAACAAGAGATAGAGGGGGTAACAGTAGGAGGAGGGACCAGGTAGATGCTTTGGTAGCAGTCCAGTTTTCCTTGAACTACTTGCTGAATTTGAAGCAAATAAAAAGCAAACACTTCTCTTACTCTTAGGCAAAAGATTAAAATTCTTAATGTCACCTAAAAAGACCTGGATGGGCTGGCCTCTCTCCAGCCTTCTCTATACCTTCATTGCCTCCTGCTATTGAGCCTTGCTGACCTTCCTTCAGCTCCGCAACCTACATCATTCCTTCAGGCCACAGGACACTTGGACTTGCTGTGGTTACATATTATTTCTGTGTGTTATAAAATACACATAACATGCAATTTACCACTTTACCTATTTTAAGGTGTACAATTCAACATTAAGTACATTCCCACTGTTGCACAACCATCACCACTATCTAGCTCCAGGACTTATTCGTCACCACAAGAATAAACCCCATATCCATTAAACGGTGACTCTCCATTAGGGTTAGCCCTTGGCAACCACTAATCTGCCTATGGATTTGACTATTACGGACAGTTCATATAAATAGAATTATACATATGCATCCTTCTGCATCTGGCTTTCGCTCAGCATAATGTTTTCAAGGTTCATCCAAGTTGTATCATGCATCAGTACTTCATCTCTTTTTATGGCTGAATAATATTCCCTAGTGTAGATATGCCACAAAATAGATTTCATTAATCTACTTGTCACTGGACATTTATTTAGGTTGTTTTCATATTTTGGCTATTGTAAATGGTGCTACTGTGAGTTGCTTGGTGATATGGCAGCTGTGATTATATATTGATGCATTATAGATCAGTGAATCTTAGACACGTGATAGTTTCCTACAGCTGCTGTAACAAAGTACCACAAGCTGGGTGGCTTTAAAAAAAACAGAAATGTATTATCTCACAGTTCTAGAGGCTAGGAGTCTGACATCAAAGTGTCAGCAGGGCCATCCTCTCTCTGAGACTCTGGGTAGAATCCTTCCTTGCCTCCTCCTAGCTTCTGGAGGTGACCATCAATCCTTGGCAGTCTTTGGCTTGTAGCTGCATCACTCTGATCTCTACTTCTGTTGTCACAATGGCCTTCTCCCTGTGTGTCTTTGTGTTTTCCTATGGCCCTCTCCCTGTGTCTCTTCTTTTAAGGATATGAGCCCTTAAAAGTGCTTGGATTATGGGCCCCCACTACTCCAGTATGACCTTGTCTTAATTATATTTGCAACAACCCTATTTCCAAATAAGATCACATTCTGAGGTACTGGGGTTAGGACTTCAGCCGCACCTAGCCTGGACTTCAATATATCTTTTGGGAGGACACAATTCAATCCATAATACATGACAGACATTACTGTGCATCTGACTCCCCTGGAGATCTTGTTAACATGGGCTTGGAGTGGGGCTTGAGGTTCTGCATGTTCAAACAGCTCTTCCAGTGGATGTCAATGCTGCCAGCTCAGGGTTAGTGTGACTAATATGTTCTGGTTTGCGCAAGGCCTTCCTGGTTTTAGCAATGAAAATCCTGAATGCAGGGAAACCCCTCAGTCCTGGGCAAACTGGGATGGCTTGTCACCCTATATATATGTCATGGGCCACAATTGGAGAGCAAGGATCTAGCTACAAGCTATGTTAATTTATCTACTAATTACATTACTGAATATTCATATTTATCTTTATATTTAAATGGTTTATTTTTGCTAGAACAGTCCAAGTTTTCAAGAATCTGGACCTAAGAGATATTCCAAAAATGCTCCAAACTGTGAGACGGTGAGTTAGCTTAAACTGATGGGTGTCTTCTGTGAATGTCATATATTAACTCACCAAATTATCTATGATGCTTAGCAGTGTCACTGTTGGGCTGAACATTGAGATTTCTGACCTCTTTACAAAATAATTATACATGGCCAAGATCTTTTGATGCTAAGGATACCCACTGGGCTTGAAGTCTTCAGTATCCTTTCCCTGCTGCTGCAGCAGTTGGAATCAGCCTGGAGTCTGTAAGAATGAAAGAGAAAGCTCCTCTCTGAAGTTGGGTTTAAGTTCATTGCAGTATGGGGCAATGCCCCTCAACTCTTGCTTAATATTCAGACCACCTGAAGAGCTTCTAAAACGCGGAGCTTTCACCCCACACCAAATGACTCCAAATAGCTGGGATTGGGCACAGGCATTCATAATTGTTTTAAAACACCAGGTGATGCAAATGAGCACCCAGCATCGAGAATCAGTGTGCCAAGACCCCTTTATAACAGACACCTTGCTCAACCTGTCCCTTCTTTCACCTGCACCTATATTCCACCCTTGTATGCCCACATACCTTTTTGTTATAGTTGACAATTTCCTTAAACAGGTTCTCCTCTTCCTCATATTTTTGTCCTGTTCATACAGTTACCTTATTGACCTGAGACCACATATAACTGGATAGAGGTAATAATTACTCCTGTAACAACTGACCTTAGCAGGCTTTTCCCAAGCCTTATTGACTCTGTTTTTCACTCTTTCACAAATATGTATCCTTAACATCATCATCCACGATTGAGTTAACCTGTGATAGTGTTGCTGTTTTTGACTAGTCTCTTAGCAATCAAGCTAAATCTCCCACTGAATCTGTGTGTTCCTCTACAAACCATATCTGGGTGGAATGTACGTTTTTATTGTGATATAATTAATATATCATAAAAGTCATCCTCTTAAAGTATACAACTCAGTGGTTTTTAGTAATTCACAGTATTGTGCAACCATCATCACTATGTAATTCTAGAACATTCTCATTACTCTAAAAAGAAGCCGCTTACCCATTAAAAGTCACCTCATTCCTGCCTCCCACTCGCTGCAACCACTAATCTCTTTTGTCTCTATGGATTTGTCTATTTTGGATATTTCCTATACATGAATCATTCAATATGTGGTCTTTTGTGTCTGGCGTCTTTCGCTTAGCATATTTTCAAGGTTCATCCACGTTGCAGCATTTACCAGTAGTACTTCATTCTTTTTTGTGGCCGAATAATTTTCCGTTGTATGGAGGCACCGAATTTTGGTCATCCACTCATCAGCTGACGGATATTTGAGTTGTTTCCAATTTTTGGCTATTGTGAATAATGCCGCTATAAACATTCATGTATATGGTTTTGTGTGGGCATATATTTTCATTTCTCTTGGGTAAATACCCAGGAATGGAGTTGCTAGATCATATGCAAACTCTGTTCAACTTTTTGAGGAACTCCAAATTGGTTGTGAACATTATTTTTTGACCTCAATGCAGCTTTCCTTTACAGGAGGGAGGTGGACTGTACTTGTTAGCGCGCTGCAAATGATTCTCAGGCATATTAAACATTTTTCTGTATTCTGTTAAACATTGTATGCGCAGCAAGAATGACGCCTCATACAGACCTTTCTTGTCATTTCGTTTTATTATTTCAAAATGTAAGACAAATCTGAAAAATGGAGGAGCCTGCAGATACCTGTGGTGGCGAGGATTTGGGGTCTGTCTGAGCTCCGGCGTTCCTGCCCATCCCTCCAGCTGTATCTCTGGCCACCTGTCTGTTCCTGGCACAAACAAGGCCTGCTGGTTGCCAAGGACATGACTACGGGGCCATTTCCATGTGAGAAGGCCCTGGGGGGTGTCAAAATGCAGAAACGTGACTGATGGGCAGCGGGGCACCCATAAACTTCCCATAGCCAGGTGCAGGCATAC
The DNA here is from genome assembly GCF_000001405.40 of Homo sapiens. Classification (NCBI taxonomy): domain Eukaryota; kingdom Metazoa; phylum Chordata; class Mammalia; order Primates; family Hominidae; genus Homo; species Homo sapiens. Next base: position 38,561,114 of record NC_000023.11, read on the forward strand.
CTGCAAATGTAACGCCCAACTGTGTACAAAGCAGAAATCTAAATGCCAGGGCGGACTGGGAGAGGTTCCCGTGACCTCTGACCCGGCCTCTAAATTCTCCCATTCCCTCCCCACTGTCCTGCCGCGCCCCGTGTCGCCTCGCCTGGCCTCGCCTGGCCTCGCCTCCCTCCTCCGCTGGGGGTCTAAGCCTGCGCAGTATTGCGAACGCGGGCGGCGTTTCCCGCATGCGCAGTCACTGCCCGGCCCGGCTTTTTCAGTAGGAGCCCCGCGCGGTGCGCGCTCACGCACGCGCACGGCCTCGCCTGCGCGCTCACGAGGCCTCTCGCGGCACGCGCCCCCGCCCCGCGCCGCCCCGCCCCGCCCCGCCTCTTCCCCCTCCCGCGCGCCCGCCCGCCGCCTGCCGCCGCCGCCGCCGCCGCCGGAGCTCTGTAGTATGGCATCGAGGAGAATGGAGACCAAACCTGTGATAACCTGTCTCAAAACCCTCCTCATCATCTACTCCTTCGTCTTCTGGGTAAGTGCCCACGCCGGGCCGGTGGCCGAGTCGCTGTCCATCGGTCCGTATGATGATGCTCTGAGAAAAGAAGTGGGGAGGAAAACCCAAACCAAAAATCAAATCTGGGACCCCTCTTTAAGGAGACAGGCGCGGGGTGCTGGGTCGGGGCTGCAGGATGGCAGGGTGCGGGTCGGGGCTGCTGGAACCCTAGACCTCGCTCCGCGCAGGCTGCAAGGGGCTGCGGAGTGTCGGTGACTGCAGGTTGTCGACCTTCCAAAAAAAAAATGTTAATGCATTAGTTTCTTTTATAATCTCCCGGGATAGGGTCAGCTCCTGGGGAAAGTTGCGGGTTTATTCGTCTGTTTTCCTCGCTGTACACCTTTCTCTCCCTTCCCCTACCAGCCGGTTCGCGGCGCCTCTTGGAGCTAACCTGTGGCGGGCTAGGAGAGGACACGGGAGCGTGGGGTTTAATCTCAGATTCCCAGTTATTCCTGACCCCACGGGGCTGCGGGAGGGAGGCACCAGAAGCACCGTGCCTGCCTGGCTGGGCAAGGGCGACCGAAGTCTCCCAAGCGCACGATGGGGAGCAGGCGTTGTCACCGCGTGGAGGCGCACGAAAGGGAGAGGGTCTTACATAAGCCGGGGGCATCTTTGAGGTTTCTTGGTGACCCAAGAGATGAGTCTTTGGATTCCTTTCCCACCTCCCTGCATCCTTACACTCCCTATCTGGTGGTTCTGTCACTGCATGAGCACAATCCGCAGCGCCCTGGCAGAGGGTCCCCTCCACTTGGTGATAGAGATAGCGCCCCAACTCTACTCCCCATCTATCCAGTGCTGCCGCCGGTCCTTGAAGCTCAATGCAGAAGGGTGACGTCACCCCTCAGCCAGGGCCGCGGGGGGCTGCGTGGTGCACCTCGCGGAGGGATGCGCCTTTCTGCGCGGGGGAGGGGGGAGGAGGAGGAGGGGGAGGAGGAGGAGGAGGAGGGGGCTCCAGGCTTGTGCCTTACCTCATCCTGTTTGGCAAATCATGGAATCAGTGCAGGGCTGACACTGCAGTGATTCACTGAGAGAGGTGCGTGGTACTTAAAGACCATTCCCTGTTATTTCTCTTTTCATGTCGGTGACCCCGTCTTCCCTAGTTCCTTACGCCCATAATCAAGCTACAGCTACCCCGCAGGGGAATGAATATCGACCCTCTTCCCCCCTTGTCCCCCAAATCTGGGTCATTTTAGCTTCTACGGCAGTCATTTTGAAATCTGAGGCTCTGTAGGAAAAGCCAGTTCAACCTTTGCTTGTTTTCTTCTTGCACCCCTCACCCCCGCCCCTCACCCACCACCATATATTAGCCCTATTTTTGCTTTGAAACTGGAGCACAGTGCTGTATGAGGTACCGAGAATCAGCTAGATGGCAAACCGGACTGTTTGCAATGGTCAAGGAAGAAGCAGAGATTTATTGAGGATCAAAAATATTCCTAATGCACCCGGACATTTCCTTATCGCTGGCGTTGGTGGTTCTTCAAGTCAGGGAAGGTATGGACTCCCCAGACCACACATACCAGGAGCTCTGCAATGAGCTAGGATAGATTAACTGGCATATTGCACAAGGCAAACACAGAAACGGACTTTATTTGGACTGACAACGACACAGGTTGAAATGTCTCAGTAGTGGAATTGTGAGCTATGCACAGATCATATCATCTTATGCTCTGCCTGTAAAAAGCAGTAACACATGCTGATTGCTGAAACTTCCCAGTAGCCATTCCTGGGAACTGGTTTAGCTTTTTATGTGTTTCCTTAAATCTCTTTTTGTTTGGCCCTTTATCATTTACTTGACTTCCTATTTGTTACTGGAGTGAATCATATTGGGAGGGGGGAGGTATTTTTATCTTCCTTAAAAATAAGGTTAACAGTGCACATGAAGAAATATTGTTCTTTCAGAATCACTGCAAGCTGGTAAAGAAGGGGGTCTTCCAGGCTGAGGCTTTTCATATGAGCACTTTAACTCTCCTTGCTTACATTCCACCCCTATGAATCTAATTACTTAATGCCCCCAATACATCTTAAACAATCACTGCATTTTATGTCCTCCGGAAGTTCCTTGATGCCTTCATTTTAATTTTTTCTACTTTCAAGATTTTCATAGTCTTAAATGTTAACCTGGAACATTTTCAATAGTTTAAATACCAAAGCCAGTTCTGGCTTTGGTTGTTGTAATCATTTCATACTTACAACCAAAAGAATAAGATCTCTTCGGATGTGTGAGGATATTTTAAACAAGACGTTATTTTTAAGTAGCCTTATTGAGGCATGATTCATATGCCATAAAAGCCACCTATTTAAAGTATACGATTCAGTGAGTTTTAGTATAAGTAGCACATATTTTAGTATATAAGTGGTATATATTTCTGTATATTTAGTATATTCATAGATATGTGCAACCATCACCCCAGTCAATTTTAGAACATTGCATCATTTCACAAGAAACCTGTTTCTTTAGCTGTTATCCCGTTTACCCCCCAATTTCAACTTCCCACCCTCATGCCCACCCCCTGCCAGCCCTAAGCAACCACTACTTTCTGTCTCTAGAGATTTCCATATTGCAGGCATTTCATATAAATGTAATCATACAATAGTTGCCCTTTTGTGACTGTTTTTTTCACTCAGCATAATTACTTCAAGGTTCATCCATGTTGTAGTGTATATCAGTACTTCATTCCTTTTTATGGTTGAATAATATTCCATTGAATGATTATAGCACATTTTGTTTATCCATTTGTCTGTTGGGGGACATTTGAGTTGATTGGGTCATTTAGCTATCATGGATAATGGTGCTATAAACATTCATGTACAGATTTTTGTGTGAACATGTCTTCATTTCTATTGGGTATGTACCTGGGAGTTGAATTGCTAGGTCACATGGTAATTCTAAGTTTAATTGTTTGAAGAACTGCCAGCCTGTTTCACAAAGCAAAGCACTCCTTCCCTTTGACCATGAGGATTCCAATTTCTCCACATCCTTGCCAACATTTGTTATTGCCTGACTTTTTTATTATAGCCTTAGTAGGTGTGAAGGTGGTATCTCACTGTGGTTCTGGTATGAATTTCCCTGATGTGTAATGATGCTGAGTGTCTTTTTTATGTGCTTGTTGGTCATTTGTGTATCTTTCTTGAAGAAATATTTATTCATATCTTTTGACCATCTTAAGATGTGGGGTTTTTTTATATTAAGTAGTAAGAGCCCTTTATATATTCTGAGTACAAGTCCCTCATCAGATACATGATTTACAAGTGTTTTCTCCTATTTTGTGGGTTATCTTTAGATGGTGTCCTTTGAAGTACAAAAGTTTATTTTTATGAAGTCCAGCTTACCTATTTTTTCTTTTTTTTTGTTTATGCTTTTGGTGTCATATTTGAGAATCCTTTGCCAAAACCAAGGTCACAAATATTTACCTGTTAAATGTTTATAAGAATTATCTCTCAGTTCAGTAAATGCAGTTGGTAAATCTTTCTTCAGCACTTAGAACTATGTCTGGCACATAGTAGGTACTCAAATATTTGTCAAAACTTCTGGGATTATGCTAGGTAGTTTACAAAAAGATGACCTTACTGGTCTTGTTTGTTTGTTTGTTTGTTTGTTCGAGGCAGAGTCTCGCTGTGTTGCCCAGGCTGGAGTGCAGTGGTGTGACCTCAGCTCACTGCAACCTCCGCCTCCTGGATTCAAGTGATTCTCCTGCCTCAGCCTGCCGAGTAGCTGGGACTACAGGTGTGTGCCACCACGCCCGGCTAATTTTTGTATTTTTAGTAGAGACGGGGTTTCACCATGTGGGCCAGGATGGTCTCGATCCCTTGACCTCGTGATCTGCCCGCCTCAGCCTCCCAAAGTGCTGGGATTACAGGCGTGAGCCACCACACCCAGCCGACCTTGGTGTTCTTTAAAGTGGAAGGTGGAGGAAAGATTAGACAGAATTATTTCCTTTGTGTTCGTGAGTTGTTTTAATAGGAATTTTTCCCTTTCATTACCTTAATTTAGATTTAGAACTAGAAGGCATTTGAACTTAAAATGGTGGTAGAGCAGTAGCATCATAAAGGTTGACATACTTGAGCATATGTTAAACCAGAAGTCTACACTTTTGAAAGAGAGATTATTGTTTTATCTGGCTTTCTCTCCTGTCTATAATCACACTCTCTCTCTGAGGTGTTTCTCTAAAGTGGTGGTTCTCAAAAGGGGGCAGTTTTGCCCCCCTCCCATATTTGGCAATGTCTGGAGACATTTTTGGCCATAGCTGGAGGGGAGGATGATACTGGCCTTTCGTGGGTAGAGGCCACAGATGCTGCTAAACATCCTACAGTACATGAGACAACCCCTCACAACAAAGAATTGCCTTGCTCAAAATGTCAACAGTGTAACCAACCTCTGCACTACTGGACTTACATAGCAGTAAGTCCTGTGAAGAAAAAATGGAGCGTTATGCAAAACTGTATATTTATTGGTGTTTGGAACCACCGTAGCAGAGCATGCGCAACACAATCACGTGAGAAGAAAAACATTCTCTATTGTGTACTATATAATTATTTGAAGACAAAAGGTAGGTACCTCTTTATATAATTGTGTTTGAATGGATGGGATGATTTGTCTTTTGGTTAAATAATATCACCTGAATGCTGTGTAAACTGATCCTTCATTTCTCCTGATTTGTATGTTTTATTTTCAGGTCTATAGAAGAGGAGGGAAAAACACACCTAGGAGTAAGTTATCCTGTGCTTTAAAGACTAGCAAACAATGTCAGGCTTATAGTAGGTTTACTCACTAAATACTTATTTCCTTAATGAATGAATGAATTAATGAATAAATGAAATTTTATTGACTACTCTTGGGCTCAGTTATTTATTTCAACTCACCTCAATGGGAAAGTTTTTTTAAAACAATGTTATTTCTAGTCTACCTGTAGTGATTTAAATGTGCTCCTCCAATAAATATGTGAAAAGATGGAATAGCAGATTTCACAAGGACTTGCTTATCCTAATGATAGTTCAATCATTATATTTTTGTGATCAGTTAGTTTGTCAGACATTTTGGTTATTTAAATTTTTAATTAGAATTTTTTAAGCATGAATAAAAAAGATCTTGCCCTATATATATATAACAAAATATCCTTTCTTCACAACCAATGTAACTGTTTCAAGATCAAGCAAAGAAATGTAATAAATATTTTGCTTACCAGGTGAATTTTTGTTTTATTTATACATTTTTAATGTATTTTAAATACTCATCTGAGTTCTAAGCTAAGATTTAAATCCACCATGTGTGAAGAGAAGTTCCCCTTGCTTAATTCAAGTGTATATTGGGCCTGATTTCTTGATTATCTAAGGAGGTAATTAGCTTATCAATAGTGCTATCAAATTCTTCTATGATAAAATATCAGCGATTTGTTTTTCATTTGAGAAACATCACTAATCTTTTCTGGAAAAATAATTTAAAACAATTTTTTTTTTTGTCCAGAAAGTTTAGGTACTTGGGATATAAATAGAGGGAAAAGTCTTAAAGAGCAACTCCTAACATTTTAAAGAGTGTTTGAATTTGGGCACTGTATTAGTCTGTTCTTAAGCTGCTAATAAAGACATACATGAGACTGTAATTTATAAAGGAAAGGGGTTTAATTGACTCACAGTTCCACATGGCTGGGGAGGCCCCAAAATCATGGCTGAAGGCGAATGAGCAGCAAAGTTACATCTTACATGGTGGTAGGCAGGAAAGCTTGTGCAGAGGAACTCCCATTTATAAAACCATCAGATCTTGTGAGACTTATTCACTATCAGGAGAACAGCATGGGAAAAACCTACCTTCATGATTCAATTATCTCCCACTGGGTCCCTCCCACAACAAGTGGGAATTATGGGAGCTACAATTCAAAATGAGATTTGAGTGGGGACACAGCCAAACCATATCAGGCACATACTTTAGTTTATAGTTATTCTTTTGCACATCAATACAATTCAGTCATTCACTGAATGTCTATTACATGTCAGGTATTGAGTAGTCAATAGAATGTGTACCAACGTTTACTAGCTGCTGCTTTTGGCATTTTACCTGCATTTTAAAATAACACATGTATTCTATTTCTCAACTTTTCAGTTTTAGATGTTATGTACTGTCTTCCCACTATGGAAGATGAAGATTTAGCTCTCTTGCCCTTTTCTCCCATACTTGTATCTTCCCTATATTGTAGTAGACCCTAATATATCATTTTATCATTGTCATATTTTGGTTAGAGTGGTCGTCAGTGATTTCATTATGTTAATGACTAGGTAAACCTAGTCACAGCTGAGCCATGTAGTGTGTATATTATGATTACTTGCATAGCTTTTTGTTTTCTCTACAGTTAAGAATTGCCTTGTTTGGTCCTTTGCTTTTTAGTTGCGTGCTCACTCCTAATTTATCCCTGTACTTTCCCCAAGATCTGTTTCTTCACTCAGTCTGTTCAAACACTTCATGTGTCATATCAGATTCTTGTTCTCAGAGGCATTTCTCCCAAAGCTTTCTGATCTTCAATCTGGACTAGTATTTTCTGGGCCTTTGAAACAGTGGACATCAATATAGTCTCCCTTCACCATCATCCTGGTGAATCCTGTCTCCTTTTACGTTGGATCCTCGGTTTTTGAGATGTCATGTCTTTCTCTTCCTTGGTGTTTTTTTTTTTTTCATTTTGGTAGAGCAAGTTTAATAATTTTCTGGAAAAAATGATGTATTGGGGGTTAATTTTTTGAGCTCTTACAGGTATGAAAATCTTATTTTTCTCTTGCACTTAATTTGATCATTTGGCTTAGTGTAGAATTGTAGTTTGGAAATCATTTATCCTCAGAATTTTTCTGTTTCTCCCTATTCCAAGTCTTGTTCTTGTTGTTGGTGTTGAGAAATCAGATGTTATTCTGATTCTTCTTGAATCCTGCTTTTCTTCTCTGAAAGTTCTTATGATCTCTTGCTTGCTCTGAAATTTCACAACAATATGCTCTGGTATATGTCTATTTTAAACTATTTCCTGGGTACCCTTTCAATCTGGAAATTTTCTGTATACCTTTCAATCTGGTCCTTGAGTTTGGGGAAATTTTCTTTTGTTTTTTGTTTTCTTTACCTTCATTTTTTTCTGTCCTATTTGGATGTTGGACCTCCTAGACTAATCCTCTAATTTTCTCCCCTTCTATTTTCTACCTCTTTTTCTTCTTGTTCTATTTCTGGGAGATCACTTCCACTTTATCTTGCTGCTATTGCATTTTTCATTTGTTTCATATGTTAATTTCTAGAAGCTTCTTTTTGAGGTCTGAATGTTCTTTTTTTCTAGCATCCTGTTTTTGTTTCATGAGTGTAATATAGTTTTAATATCTCTCTGAAAATATTAGTAATTTTTTTGAGTTTGCTTCTTCCTGCATAGTTTCCTTCAGACTGTTCTGTTTTCTGGCATATTACAGGCTTACCTCAAATTTCTGGTCATGTTTTGCTCTTTTTTCTGTACGTGTTTAAGAGGGGGCACTACGAAGCTGATTGGAAGCTCTTAGCCTGAAGTACGTGTTTATCAATTGTAATTTGGGTGATTTGGCTGGGCAGTTGAGTTTTAGGACCAAGGTCAATATCTTTAGGTCTCTTCTTTTGGTCTCATCAGATATCCTACAGAAGAATCTTCTAATTGCTCTCTGAGTAAAGAAGGTGAGAATATAGAAGTCTCTATATACAGTATATAAACCTTTGCTTAAGCTCCTGTTTCCAGTGTAGAATCCATGTCCACTGTGCTTATATTCCCCAGTTCAGGGACCATCTCTTTCACCCTCCAAAGAATAAATATCTGAACCTATAGTAGAATGAGTAGAGGCCAGAGACAGGAAGTTGGTGGCGGGGGTGGGGGTGGGGAATCTAATTGTTTTTCGAAAAACTCTTACTGGAACCTACTTATTTTAGCTCCCCTTTCCTCCCTACTTCCAGGTGTGCATGGAGCTGCTAACCCCTGAGTCTTTTGGGGATGTTTGGGTGCAAATATTTTATTTTGTGCTTCTCTCACAGCTGCCATAAGATTTTGCTTTTTCTCAGCTTTGAAGAGATCATTGTGGTTGTCTCCTCTCTTTGTTATTGTAGGTTAAAAACATTCTTTTAGTGTCATTTCAGTGGAGTTTTGGGAGATAGCCAGGGTAAATGGATGTGTTCAATCCGTCATCTTTAACTGGAAGTCCTTTATATCTTTATCTCTACATCAGATGGTACTAATTAAATACCCAGTTGATTGTGAGTGATTGAATAGAGCATCTAAAACAGCAATAGTCGGGCTATTCTAATAAATATTGGTACCCAGTTTTCAATTTTTAAAAAGCTTTTGGATTTCAAGGGAAGTGTTCTAAGTTGGAACAGACTTACTAAGACACATCCTCTGTAAGGTCGTCTGGTCATCAGCGACTGGACAAATGGAAATGAAGCTCTGAAGGTTGCTGCTGCTTTTTCTGCCCCTCTTATTTCTTCCCACCAGATGAAGTCCCATGTGTCTTCTGACCTAATTCGGACCTTGCTGGATTAATTTAGTGTTTATAGTGTGGTGTGTGTGTTGGGGAGAGGACCTTGATGTTAAACTGATTATTGCTTGGCTGTTTTTCTTTTACTACAGTGATAACCCTTCATGGTTATTATGGGACTTGTACATTATAATCTGGAGTTTTTTCTTATTTTATCAACTTAATTTACTATACGCAATATACAGTTAGGATGTGTGAACTACCTTTTATAACATTTGGGGAACATTAAGTCTTTTTCACTTAGTCGTTGCTTAGAAATTAGCTGAATTTTGGTCTAAATAGAATGAAATACTCTTCTCCATTCTAATCACAACTAGAGTTCTTGATTTGACCTTATTGTGAGTTGCATTACTTATTCAGTGATTGTTCTTTATATACTGCTTTAAGTAAGTACCTCAGAAGGTGCTGAAAATTGAAAGTCATTGTGACTGTGTTTCTTTGTTTAAACATGTTAAACTCTTGACATAGATGACTAATGCACTGCTAAACCCATTTGAAACACACTTTAAAAATATATTCTTATGTATTTTTCTCCTTTAGTTCCATTACAGCAGCTTCCAATCTGAGTTACCTCCTCATTGCAAGCAGATTTTTGGAATGCTGCTCTTAAATTTCTTATTTTGGCTGTTATTCCCCTTGCCATGACAGAATGATTTTCATTCTTGGCTGAACATTTTTTTCATCTTACTGCAGAACCCCACTATTCATCAAGAAAAGGATGTAGAGGAAAAAGGAGAGGGTTTTCTTTGTTTTGTTTTTCCTTTTGGTTATTTGATCAGTTAAACAGGTAAGCATTTTATTTATTTGTTTATTGCCTTTTGAAACATTTATTATTTTATAGATTTAGGGAATACAAGTGCAGTTTTGTTACATATATATATTGCATAGTGGTGAAGTCTGGGCTTTTAGTGTAAAGCATTTAAAATAGTTTAAACATCACATTTTGACTCTGGAAGATTTTCTTTGGTGCTTTCTGCAAGATATAGTGGGATTTTCCCATCATCATCTGTTTCTAGGAGAAATTCCAGGTGCCTTATACTAGAGGATGATGAGATGAGTCAGACACAGGTACTGGTGAACAGACATAGGTACTAGATCAGTGATTCTCACCCTGTTTGCCCATAGAATTGCCTAAGGGGCCCTAAAGAAGATACTTAGACCCCATCCTAAGAGATTCTGATTCAACTGGTCTGGACAGAGTGCCAGAATTGATATGCTAAAATATGCTCCCAGGTGATTCAGCTGTGCAATTAGGATTGAGAAACATTGATCCAGGGAGAACTCAGTAGATAATAGTAGGCTTGGTTCACTTGAGCCTCCTGGATCTGCAGGTAGCTACGGAGTATCTAACCTAGTACTGGCAATATTAATTTGGTCTTCGTTGCCTGAGAGTCTGGAACCAGGCCTGCAGTGTCTTTCAGTAAACCAAAATGGCCTTGCACTCTTAGGAGACCATGCTAATCATTCCTGACTAAAGCAATGTGTATCAGAATCACCAAGGACATTTAAAAACACAGATTCTCAGCCCTATCTCATAGAGTTTAAGTTTTAATTGATATGAAGAGAAACCTGGGTGTGTGAGTTAAAAAAAAAAAATCCCAAGGTGATTCTGATTCCTGGGATGTAGCTCTATGGGGCTGTGATGCCATTTGATATAAATGAGTTCTTACCTCATGAATGCTTTCCTATGATATGATCTGTGGTACCATAAAGCTGAATTGAGGAGAGTATTCCAGAAAACAAGATGTAGTCAATGTAGCATTTTTCTTACCCACTTAATTGGTCTTTGGCAAGGGTCTTCAAGTGAACTCTTGGAGTTTGGAGTAGTTTCCATTCCTTAGGGGGAATCTATTTTTTTTCACAGTTATTCTGAGAAGTTAGGGAAAAGTCTTGGTTTGTCAAAGACAAACCTCTGTCAAAGAGAGACCATAATCCAACATGTAAAACAAAACCCAGAATTCATTACTTACCAAAGTAAGAGACAGCTGTGTTAAGCATAGTCTGTGAGTGAAGCAGATTACTGATCTTTTTGGGAAACATAGTGGTGTTTTGGTTACAGAGGCATGAGTGGTTGAACTTGACCTTAGAAGCATGGCTATTTGAGTGAGACTGTTGTTGATTGAGAAGCATGTTCACTGCAGTGTGTCTGCTGCTGATTTGCTGACCTTGAATCGTGTGAAGCTCATTGTAATTGGCTTCCAGAAGTGTGTTCCTGAAGCAAGTTGAGTTGTCATTGATGATTAGTCTGAGGTGAATTGCCCTCAATCAAACAGGTTTAAAAGTTGGTGCTGGTGGTTACTAGTTACCATGGCTATTGAATAATCAATCTTTTTCTCACCAGTAATACAGAGACTTTTATTCTTACCTCAGACTGCTATTCTTCTTAGTGAAATGAAGTTGCTTCTGCACCTCAATTCCCATTCATTCTTCAAACATCATCATGATGATGTGTAGAACTCCTGGATCAGTTCATTGTTCTAATCACTCCATAAATACTTGATTGTTTATGATTTCCAGGGATTAGACTAGGACTTCCCAAAGGTAGACCCCTTTGGGGTTGAAAAGGAACCCAAAGCTTGATAAGACTGTGGAAAATGTTGCTAAACATCCCTTCTACATCCCCATCTCTATTTGAGTTAAAGTTCTGTTTCTGGTGAAGCTTTTGCGGACTTCTAGCTCCTCCAGATTTCTGTTTCATATTTTGAACTGTATCACTCACTTGATATTCTTTTAACCATTGCATTCTATTGCAGAGGATTTAAAATTAGACTTAATGTGAAGTCTCGGCTAGTACCTTTGCTGTGTGACCTTAGGCAAATCACTTATTCTCTCTGAGCCCCAGTTTCCTCTTTAGAATTGAGGATATCTATGATTACCCACCTCAGTCAAGTGTTGAGGGTCAAATAACATTCAAGTGCATTATAAACTAAAGTGTGATACATATATATTTTGGAAACATTATTCCTTAGGGTGTAAAGTGTTTCTTTCCTAGTTTCTTGTACATGGGAGGTACTGTATCAATACTTGTTAAATGAATAAATTGGTCAGAATATGCCCTATCCTGGAAATTAAGAATGATTCACTTTCAGGGTTTTATAGTTTGCTACCAAAGAGAGCTGAGTTAACAGAGTGGTTTGAACAGGAACCAAAAATAGGACTCACTGAGTTTGGTCCTGTCATTGGGATAAAGGTATTCCTATTTAGGATGAATAAATATAAGTCTGACACTTACAGTCAAATGAGGAATTGGTGACTTCCATTATTCTTTTTAAAATAAGCTTTTCTTTTTGGAACAGCTTTAAGTTTACAGAAAAATTATAGAGATAGTGCATAGAGTTCCCATATATCATACCACCATTTTTCCCTATTACTAACAGCTTACATTAATATGATACATTTGTTATAGTTAATCAGTATTGATAAATTTTTATTATCAGAAGTCCATACTTCATTCCTATTTCATTAGTTTTTACCTAATATCCTTTTTCTATTACAGGCTACCCCATATTACATTTAGTAGTCATGTCTCCTTAGGCTCCCCTTGGCTGTGACAATTTCTCAGACTTTTCTTGTTTTTGACTGTTAATAGTTTTGAGGACTACTGCTGATGCATTTTGTAGAATGTCCCTCAATTTGGATTTGCCTGATGTTTTTTTCATGATTACAATGTAGTTATGTGCTCTGGGGAAGAAGACCACAGAGGTAAAGTGCTATTTCAATCATATCATATTAAGGATACATACCACCAACATTATTTATCACTGTTGATATTGACTTTGATCACCGGGGTGAGATAATTTGTCAGGTTTCTCCACCGTAAAGTTGCTCTTTCCTCGCTTCTCATACGGTACTCTTTCAAAGAAAATCACAATGCACAGTTCACACTTATGTGAAGAGTTATGTTCTACCTCCTTAAGGGTGGAGTATCTACCGTTATCTTTATTAACAAAGATGATTTTCATTCAACAAATGTTAAAACCAACAGTAAGTATTTGTTTAAACAAGTAGTAAAATACTAAAATTATTTGAGCCGATCAGAAACTGGACAGAGATTCTTGTTTACCATTATTATTTATGACTTGGTTTATCTAGCAAATGCAGTAAGAAAAAATTAACATTGGAGAAAGAGATAAAATTATCTTTTTACAGATGTAGTTGTTGTAAACTAAATAACCCAAGAGATGTTAGGAAAAAACTACTAAGAGAATTTGATAAGATGGATGGATGTAAGAGAAATATACAATAATTAATTTCTTTTTATTATTTTAGCATAAGCCTTAGGAAAGAGAGGAAGGCATTTCATTCACAGCAGCAACAGAAATCATAATTACTTCAGAATAAAGTTAATAAGAAAGGCAAGGCTCTTATATGAAGAACAATAAAATCCTATCTTGGGTCATAAAATGAGATCTGAACAGATTAAATGATACCAGATGTTCTTGGGTGGGGAGATTTAGTATCATAAAAATATCAGTTTTCTAAAAATGTTTTTAATGTATTTCCCAATAGAATACTGACAGGATTTGGGGGAGGGGGAGGAGATGGTACTTGATAAAACTGTATTGTTTACGTAGAAGAAAAAATACCTGAGAAATCAAGAGATATTTTCGGGAGGGAAAGGAAGTATATGCCTTATTATCAGAATATACTATTGTGGCAGGTAGACTATAAGATGTCCCCCATAATCTCACCTCCTGATATTCATGCCCTTGTTTAATCCCCTCTGCTTGGGTGTGGGTGAGACCTGAGACTGTCGTCTAATTAATAGAATATAATGAAGTGATCACATGCATATGACTATGTGTGCATGATTTTATTACATAAGATTGTAAAGTCTATCTTGCTGAAAGACTCTGTTCCTTTCTGGCTTTGAAGAATCAAACTTTTATGTTATGAACTGCCCTGTAGAGAGGGCCACATGACAAGGAACTCAGGGCAATCTCTGGCTGACAGCTACCAAGAAACTAAGGCCCTCAGTAACCAGCAAGCAACTGAATGCTGCCAATAGTCAAATGATCTGGGAGGCAGATTCTTCCCCATTTGTACCTCAGATGAGACTACAGCCCTGTCTGATGCTTTGATCGAAGCTTTGCAAGGCCCTGAAACAGAAGACTCAGCTAAGCTGTGCCCAGATTTTTGACCCACAGAAACTATGAGATAATAAATGTGTTTTGTTTTGAGCTTCTACATTTGTGGTAATATTGTTATGGAGCAATACAAAATTAATACAACTCTAAAATCAATTCAATATGATGTTTGCTTAGAAATACATAGGTCGGTGGAACAATAAAGAATCCAGAAATAAATTCTAGTGAATATGATTTAATAAATGAAAAGGAGCATTCATTTCAGTGAGAGAAACTAGATTTAAACGATCCTGATACTACGGGATATCTATATGTGAGAAAATAAAATTGGAGCCCTCACTTAGATGATATGAAAACTTCCAATTAGTTTAAATGCTCAAATATAAAAATAAAATCCTATGAGAAAATGTACATACCATATGTACAAATTAGGAGAGAGACTGCCTTATGTAAGCTGGAAATTTGGAAGCAATTAAATAAAAAATAAATGTGGTTATAAAATTTTTAAAAATTATGTGACAAAAGGTACAATAAAGTCAAACAGTTGTAGTGGGATAAAAAGCTTGTCAGACTATTAATTAATATACTGCTTCCTTCATTCAGAAAGCTTTGTTTAAAAAAAAGTCTGTTTACTTTCTGGTACAAACTTCTTCTCAATGTGGACTGACAACAGTTTGCTGACCAGACACTGGTTTGTCCACTAACCACACTTTGGGAATTATTGCTCTAGAGAAGTGGTAGGCAAACGTTTTCTGTAAAGGGCCAGATAGCAAATATTTTATTTTATTTATATTGTGGGCCATATAGTCTCTGTTGCAACTAGTCACCTTTGCCATTGTAGTGTGAAAGCAGCATAGACAATATGTAAATGAATGAGTAAGGCTATAGTCCAATAAAACTTTATTTGCAGCCAGATTTGACCCATGGGCTACAATTTGCTGATTCCTGTTCTAGGGGATACAACTAGAAGGAAAGTCCGATCCTTACCCTCAAGAATTAAAATCTAAAGTTTAATATGGGCCTATTGGAGTGGGAATGAAGAAAGGCTCATGATTTTTATCTTGAAAGAGCTGGTAACGCACTGTCTAATAAATTAACCGCCTGAGCACTTCAAATGTGGATAGTCCAAACTTGGGATGTCTCTATGTGTAAATACCAGACTTTAAAGAGTTAGTATGAACACTGTAAAATATCTCATTTTTTACATTAATTGCATGTTGAAATGGTAATATTTTGGATATAGTGGTTTAAATATACTAGTAAGATTAATTTCACCAGTTTCTTTTTACTTTGAATGTGATTTTTGATTGAAGCTTTGTAATATGCTAATTTAAAGTTAGATATGTGCCTCTTGGACAGCAATGAACTGTAAGAGAGAGAGCTTGTGGGGCTGGGGAATTTGGAAAGGTCACGTGGACAGAGTTCACTTGGAGAATGACAGGATTTTGACAAGTGGTTCTTGGAGAGGATAATGAAGGCTATCAGCAGAATGGTTTCTGTGTTTAGGACAGGAATAAGTTTAGCTGTAATAAAAAGTGAGGCATGCAGCAAGTCTAGGTAAGTAGACATAAGCCTTATTGTGGGTTGATTGCATGAGTTAGGGTTTTGGGCCTGCTTTGGCCAGTAGGTGAAGACTAGTCCATACTTTTGAGCAGGGAGCAGTAACTTTGGGAGCTACACTTTGCAGGCCTTATCTGGAAGTAGTAAGTTGGTTGGGTTGAAATAGGAAAAGCAAGAAGTGGTGAAACCAGGTTAACTAGGTAAGAATGAAGGTCTAATATAGGGTGACAATGGGAATGAAGAATGGAGGACAGGGGACAGCTACTTCATGATGTGGCAAGAATATTTGTGAGAGAGAACCCCAGTATTCTGTGCTTAAAGAGCATGGATGATGGTGATACTCTCATGAAAATGCAGACCTTAGAAAAAGCGGGTTTGAGACTAATATGATGTGTTCCATTTTGCATGTGTTTAGTTTGAGACAAAGGTAGATTTAAAAGATAGGCTGGTTCTCAGAAGCTTGTTTGCCTATATTTTTCATTGATAGAGGTGGCCCTAGGAAATTATTTATTTTTGACCATCTCTATACTTCCTCACCCTCCCCACCATCTGCCATGGTCACAGTTGATTGACCTGGAGAGCAGATCTGACCTTTAAATATTTGTTTGTTGGGTGTTCAGTGGAACTTGAGATAATCAGCCTTGTAAGATGTGAATGGAGAAGTTCTTTTTTAGGCATTCAAACTCAAGATATTCATGTCCTTTGTAGGGACATGGATGAAGCTGGAAACCATCATTCTCAGCAAACTATCGCAAGGACAAAAAACCAAACACCGCATGCTCTCACTCATAGGTGGGAATTGAACAATGAGAACAATGGACATAGGAAGGGGAACATCACACACCGGGGCCTGTTGTGGGGTGGGGGGAGGGGGGAGGGATAGCATTAGGAGATATACCTAATGCTAAATGATGAGTTAATGGGTGCAGCACACTAACATGGCACATGTATACATATGTAACAAACCTGCACGTTGTGCACATGTACCCTAAAACTTAAAGTATAAAAAAAAAAAAGAGACGTGGTTGGTGTAGGGGCAGAAGGAGAAAGTGACCCAGAGAAGTAGCAGAGACATGTGAGCGGTGAACAGCTGGAGTTGGACCAGTGAACTCCTGGTCACTAGACTGTGTAGGCCCCTGGACAGCTCTACTGTAGCCCATGCTTTTCCCTTCTGGCCTGAAGAGTGGCTTTTCATAGTTGGGATGAGGCCTGGCTGAGTGGGTATGATTCCTAGCCACCTCATTTCCTCCTCTCTTAAACCCCCTTGGCTAACCAAAATGGGTGATCAGGTAGATGTTTGAAGTGGCTAGAAAGGCAGGATTGGAATTAAAGGAGGGGGTTGGGGTGGAGATACAAAGTTGTGAAAGGCCATATGTTCATTTAAGAGGCATAAGATAGTAAATGGTATTCTTTTCAACTGCACAGTAAGCCCAGAGTTCTAAATGCAGTTAATGCTGAGTTGCTTGCTGATAATAGGTGTAATAGGTACAGCAAAGCATTTGGCCGGCAGCATTAATGGATGCCTACGATTCCAGTAGAGACTTGTCTAAGGGATAAAGGTTCTCCTACAGGGTAAGAGCAAGTTACTTATTAATCTCCTTAACAGCTGCTGCTGTATTTGGGAAGGGAGGCTGCAGGTTGTTTTAGTTTATATCCTTCAGAGATGTTTTGAGGACAAACAAGTAACTGCTTGGTATGTTGTGTTTTTCAAAAGATAGCCCTGGTATACAGAGGTGGTAGCTAGCCTGAGGGTTATGTAAATGACTTAGAACAGGCCGCTCTTTGAGTGGTGCCTCAATGAGCACTTTGGGGGGCTTTTTTCTCATCTAGATGACAAATGGAGGAAAGGTACACTTCTCCACATCACTGGAAATTCAGTCTTTTAAACTAAGATGTTAGAAGTGAACTCTGAGATATAGCATGCTAATAATTTTGAGAGAAAAAAATACAGGAAAAGAAAGGTACATAAGTGAATATTGTACTAAAAACGCTGTTCAAATGAGCTATCTACAAATTACATATATAAGCATATGTGTACATGTATACATATACACATATGTATGGGTGTACATATGTGTATATGTATTATGTACATATATGTATACATATGTGGGTGTATATGTACACACATATACATAAATATATGGCAAGCCATTTTTGTAAAGAAAACAATGCATGTAACAAATCCTGAGGGGGATCCACATCAAATGTTAACAGCTGTGGTTGGGTGATAAGACAATTAATATACTACTTCTTTCTGTGTGCTTTTCTTTTCCAAGGTGTTTTCCTTCTTTTATATATAACATGAACTACTTTCATAATGAAGAGAACCGTTAATTCTTTTTTAAAAAATCAGAATTACTCTGGACATTTTCTAGTATATAATTTTATGTCTCAAAGGTAGAGTGCCTTTATTTTTTACCACATCATCTCATTTGTAATGTAGTTCATTAACCCAGTGCATTTTATGGATTTGATTAAATTAATGCAAGGCCGGGCATGGTGGCTCACACCTGTAATCCCAGCACTTTGGGAGGCTGAGGCGGGCAGATCACATGAGGTCAGGAGTTTGAGACCAGCCTGGCCAACATGGTAAAACCCCGTCTCTACTAAAAAAAAAAATACAAATATTAGCCAGGTGTGGTAGCATGCGCCTATAATCCCAGCTACTCAGGAGGCTGAGGCAGGAGAATCACTTGAACCTTGGAGGCAGAGGTTGCAGTGAGCCAAGATTGTGCCAGCCTGGGTGACAGAGCGAGACTGTGTCTCAAAAAATAATAATAATAATAATGCAAAGCAAAAATGCATTAACTTGATTTTTAAGCCTTGTCTCTTCAAAATAAAGAATTTTATTTTGTTCCTATTAGGCATTTAAATTTTTTGGTGATGTATTTCAAATGTAATCCTAAAACAGAGAACGATATGATAATTTTCTGTGTATCTACTAACTAAATTGTGTATCTACTACTACACCTACTAGATAGTAGATTTTGGCATTATGCCTTATTTGCCTCAGGTATTCAGTTTTTAAAGAAATATGAAAAATTTACAGTTGATGCCCCTACATCTCCTCCTCTCTGTCATAAATTCAGAGTTTATCAGTTGGGCTTATTTTTATACACATATTAACATTTACATATCTATAATGATTATACAGTATTTTCATATTTTAAAACTATAAATGAATCATGCCATGCATATTGTTTTGAAACTTACATTTTTGCTCAACATTGTTTAATATGTTTCCATGTCGACAGACCTGGCTTTAGTTTAGAGGCTGGCAAACTTTGGCCTGTGAGCTAAATCTAGCCAGCCACCTCTTTTTGTAAATAAACTTTATGTATTGTCTATGGCTGCTTTCACACCAAAACAGCAGAGTTGAATAGCTACAACAGAGACTGTATGACCCAGAAAGCCTAAAATATTTACTATCTGGCCCTTTGCAGAAGAAGTTTGCCAACCCCTAGTCTAGTTCATTCTTTGTGAGAGGGTCTCCAGTGTAGCCTATTGAACATTAAACAATTTGGCTTTTATATATTTTGTCCCCGTTTTCCATACTTAGCAAAAAAATAAATAAACTTAAGGCAGCTATGGGCTCTGTTCCTAGATGTTTTATTTAGTGGTTTTGGAGAGAGAAGATACTTTTATTCTTGATTTAGTTTTTCTCAAAGTGGATTATTATTGCTTGAAGAGAGAAAAGGGCTGTGTGGTCCATGTGGAGCAAAATGAGAGTTATGAATTTTTCTGTCAGCAACAAAGGAGTAACCACTGCATGCAGTTAACTGTCTTAGGTTATTGTGATGTTGTTACTACAATTAATAGCTACTACTATGATCACTGAGCATTTAGTAAAGGTCAAGGATAGTACTAAGCACTCCACATGCATTATCTTGTTTATTCCTTGTAACAGTCTATTGAGGAAGTAATTACTCCTCATTTTGAGAGGAGGCAGCTGAGGTCCAGAGTGTGCCCCAAGGTCGTGTTTAAAGTGAGGTTTCAACTTGGACCTCTCCAGCCCCACTGAGCCCAGTGCACGATTCCAGGAGTACAGTTCTCTGGGGTAAACCTTTGAAGAGATGGGTTAGAGGGTACTCTGAGAATCCCTGCTGCCCCAAGGGATAAATTCTCACTGACTCCAGCCTTGGCTTCTAAAATCTGGCCAAGGCTTGATGCACAAGGGAGAAGCCTCTGTTTTCCGCAAAGGTCAAAGTTTACAACTGTAGTGGGGATAGTTATTCCACATGGCTCCTTTGTAGAAAACTTAGGCCAGGTCCATCTTGTCACATTTTTTGCTATCGTCCCAGCTCAAAACTTTAGTTTCTCAAGGTTTACATATAGTGGATGCTGGAGATGGTCCAAGGGACCTTAATGTCAGGCCCAGTGCTCTTGCGAGCAACTTAGCAACTGCTCATTCACTTTCAAAGGTTTGACTCTTGTGTTAGTCGGTTCTCACACTGCTAATAAAGACATACCCGAGACTGGGTAATTTATGAAGAAAAAGATGTTTAATGGACTCACGGTTCCACATGGCTGGGGAAGCCTCACAATCATGGCGGAAGGCAAAAGAGGAGAAAGACACATCTTACATGCGGCAGGCAAGAGAGAGAGCATGTGTAGGAGAACTCCCTTTATAAAACCATCAGATCTTGTGAGACTTATTCACTATCACAAGAACAGCACGGGAAAGACCCCCCCCTCATGATTCAATTACCTCCCACTGGGTCCCTCCCACGACAAGTGGGAATTATAGGAGCTACAATTCAAGATTTGGGTGGGGACATGGCCAAACCATATCAAATCTATAAATATTTCTTCTCCCCTTTAGTTTATGGCTGCTGTGGGTAAGACATAAGAAATCTTGAAGACTTTCATGGGGATAGATAGTCTTTTCACTCTGTCATTTAAAACAAAATTACCTTGTGCCTAAAACTCTCCAAATTGCTGGCTCAGACACCTGGGTATTATTTCTCCTGCTGCTGTGAAATATAGTAAGAATGTGAACTTGCCTCCTATGGCTATAAGCCCCCAACCACTTTGAACAAGACAGAAGCCAAGGCATTAAAAGCTGCTGGAGATGCAGGGTTTACTTTTGCTTTGCTTTAAAGAAACAAAGCTGAAAGCAATGGGAATCTTCAGGCATTTTCCCATGAGCTGACACTAGCTAGACACAGTAATCTGCACACGGACACACAGGTAAGGCTCATTGGCACATGGCCAAGTAAAAGTTTGTCAGCTGGGATGATCTTGCCTCCTCTACCTGAACCTGCTTTCAGAAAATAATTTGACCAGTCACGTATACTGCCTATGAATGGTAACAGGAATTCCTGCCTGTATCAGGATAATTAGCTATATTACCTCTGGTGAGAATTTAAGGTATTAGCATTGGAGAAAGTCTCGTTTTAAAAAAGAAATTCCTCCCAGGCTGTTAAAATTACATCCTATAGATGGACCTCTTTTTCTGCTTGTAAGACCAGCTACACGCCAACATCAATGACAATAATTTATCATATGTTACAAATACAAAGCTCAACACAAAATGTTTCTTAAGTTATATTAGTTAATGCACATGTATTCTACTTCTATTACTACCATCACACCAAACTGAGATACCATTCTCCTGTCCCAGATCTATCAAGTGGCAGAAGGAAGTGTTATAGACCCTGGGGTCTAACTTTAACAGACCTGGCTTAAATCGAGTGTTCATTTGTAACCATGTCAATATTTTTCCAACCCTGCTTTGGGGCCTCTGACCTCCCTTTGCACGAGGTCTCTATGATTGTAAAGGTTTGACTAATAAGGATTTTGGAGGATTTGTATTTTAAAAACAATCTATTTGTAAGATGGGGCATTGATCAGATAGACTGAGAAAGCTGCATTCAGATTAAGTCTAAATTTAGCAGAATGTGTAAAGTTGTGTTACCTTTTGTGTGAAAAGTAACCCCCTACACCTGCTCCAGCAATTAAAGAATGGAGTTTGTCTTTCTTCTCTCACTCCTGCCTCTCACAAATCTTTTCTTGTGTCTATTGTATCCAGTTGCCTCAACTATAAATCCTAGGTTTTTTCTTTCAGCCTCATTGACATCCCATGAATCACCAAGCCGTGGTGAATTTCATTCTTAGATTAAATTAGTAGCTCTTGCATCCCTTTCCTTCTTTTCATCTCACCACTGTTTTTTCATTCACTTGGACCTTTACAGCAGTTTCCTGGTTTTCCTACCTCTAGCCTCATTTTATCCCATCCATTCTGTTGAAATAGTTATTTTAAAACAATCTCATAAAGCCAGTGTGATAAAATTGGTAGTTTCATGTTATCTACAAGACTAAGTTCAAAATTCCATGCATGTGCTGATAAAAGACCCATTATGGTCCTCACTGTACTTCCTCCCCATTTTTTAGCTTTCATTCTGGTCACCAGCTCTAGTTCCTCTGCTTAGCGAATCTCGCTTGTCTTCAAGATTTCATTCAAATGTCACATTTTGTGGGAAGCCTTGCCTTTTTTGACACGCTCTCCCTGCCACTCTAGAGTCATTTTCTTTCCTTTATACCTTCTTTGAACTTTGCCCATCCATCATAGTACTCATGTTGTATCGTAATCATTTGCTTACCTGTCAGCCTTCCTCAATTACTCATCGCATTTATTCAAGAAATATGCTAGAAATATTGAGTGCCTGTTCAAATCCAGATGCTGAGATTTAATTGTGAATAAAATGAACAAGATGATCTGTCAGGAAGGGAGGAAAATAGACAATAAACAAGAAAATAAATATGTTAACTTCAAGCATTGATAAGTGTTCCAAAGGAAAGAGTTCACGAGGTGCTGGTGTGGGAGCCTACTTGATAGAGTCATCACAGAAGGCCTCTCTGAGGAGTTGACATTTGAGCTGAGTACTGAAGGATAAGAAGGTCCATAATCTACAATTCAGATGATGCAGAATTCAGTGTTTTTTGCTATTTGCTGACCATTGTTAACCTGATCGTTCTAGTTATTGATATCTGCTGAAGCACGTAACTTAGAAGTCAGTTTATGGTTTTGGTTTGCTGTCACTCTCCCTGCGTTGACAGCATCGCCAGATTTACCTTTCTAATCAATTATTTTAGCATGAAGAAACATAAACCTGATTTTTTTTTCTTTTTTTTCTTTTCTTTTTTTTTTTTTTTTTTTTTTGAGATAGAGTCTTGCTCTGTCGCCCAGGCTGGAGTGCAGTGGCACAATCTCATCTCACTGCAAGCTCCACCTCCCGGATTCATGCCATTCTCCTGCCTCAGCCTTCTGAGTAGCTGGGACTACAGGCGCCCACCCCCATGCCCAGCTAATTTTTTGTATTTTTAGTAGAGACGGGGTTTCACCGTGTTAGCCAGGATGGTCTCGATTTCCTGACCTCATGATCCACTCGCCTCGGCCTCCCAAAGTGCTAGGATTATGGGCATGAGCCACAGCGCCTGGCAAACCTGATTTTTTTTAAGGGAGATATATAAATAATGTAGTAGAAATGGAAAAGGACTGTTTTAGATAACGTCCACATGGGCATTATTAAAAGATGGCCATGATTTAAAGCACTTCATTGTTGATGCAATTGTGATTGGGATGAACTAATGAAATTAGGGTGGGCCATTCTGCCATTTCCTGAAACTCACATGATCCTTTATTTCTCTCTTCTTTTTCCTTATATCTAAACTTGAAAATTTCTCCACTCATTTCTCTTATCCAAATTGATCTCTCAAATCATCTCAAACGTGTGGAGTTCTGCTTTTCCTAGTTAATGTTATTCAGGTGTGGACTTGCATATGTATAAATGGTTGTGTGTCTTTTTTGTGTTTGAAAGACTCTTTATGTTGTGAGAGATGTGTAAAAGGCTGCAAAAATATTTATGTACAGTTTAGAGAATAATTTAATTAAAAATCACATACTCACACAGTTAATCTCCCAGGTTAAGAAAGAGAACATTGTCAGTACTCCCAGAAGCCACTTCAGTTCCCCTCTCCCTCTCTATCATGTTCTCCTCATTCCCCTCTTCCCTTTCCTGAGAAACTCCATACAAACTTATTTACCATCTCCTTGATTTTCTTTATAGTTGTACCACCTATGAATGAACTCTTAAGTGGCCAAATTCTTTTCTCTTTTTTGGTGTATTTTTGAACATTATATAAATTGAATAATACTCTTTGTATTTTGTAACTTCTTTCACTTAACGTTGTTTGAGATCCATCCATGTTGCTGCTTGGAGGTATATTTATTCTTTTTCATTGCTGTAGAGTATTTAGTTATATGACTATACCATAAATTATCTGTTCCATTATCGGACATTTGGGTGGTCCTCAATTTGCTTTTATGAATAATGCTGCTACGAGCACTCTTTTCTTTCCTGTTGAACGTGTGTGAAGATATAGATGCATCTTTAACTTAATATGTAACTGTTAAACTGGTTTTTTAAATGGTTGTATATTGGTGATAATTCTAGTTGTCTGCATCTTCTTCAGCACTTCCTCTTATTAAACTTCTCAATATTTTTCCAATCTGGTAGATGTGCTTTCAATTTGCATTCTCTGGGTAATAATGAGGAAGTACATATTTTTGTTTGTTGCCCATTCTTATATCAGTTTCTGGGCCATATTTCATTTTCCCATAAGAGGCATCTTATTTTTCCCCTAACTTCTATAAGTTGAAAGATTTTTGATTAATAAATTACATTTTTAAGAAAATTTTTTATTTCTATAATTCTTGGAATTTTTATATAATATGTATAAAATATTTGTATACAGATAATAATTTTAATACAATACAAAATATGTAATTATTCAATGGATGTGATATAGTTTGGAGATTTTTCCCCTCCAAGCTTCATGTTGAATATGATTCCTCATGTTGGAGGTGGGATGTAGTGGGAGGTGTTTCGATCACGGAGGCAGATCCCTCATTAATGGCTTGGTGCCATCCTGGTAATGAGTAAGTTCTTGCTCTGTTAGGTTCCTGAGAGTTCCTGCAAGAACTGGTGAAAAAAGCGTGGAACCTTTCTCCCCTCTCTGTTGCTCCCTCTTCTTGCTATGTGACATGGGGGCTCCCCACTGCCTTCCACCATGTGTGGAAGTAGCCTGAGTCCCTCACCAGAAGCAGATGCTGGTACCATGTGGTACCATGTACAGCCTGCAGAACCGTGAGCCAAATAAACCTCTTTATAAATCACAGAGTCTTAGGTATTCCTTTATAGCAATGCAATGCAAATGAATGAATACAGGATCACTCATAGTGTTCTGACTGATCTTGTTTCTTTGCTTCTCTGAATCTTGCAGCTTATCACCACCAACTGGAATCTTGGCCTAGGCATTTTCTTTTAAGTCCTAAAAATGCCCAGTGAGCCTTCTTTACTACCTTCAAGTCCCCTCAGTGGCTCAGAGACCTGGCATTGGACTAGATGGATTACTCAGATTTCTTTCAACCATCATTTATGTGTCTGATAAAGTATTGTGTCTTTTGCTTCACCTCAGTTTGCAGAATTGGGAGTTTTTCAATATTTGATATCAGGAAGGCTTTGAATATTTTTCATCTAATTTCTTTTGGGGGTTATTTCCTTGGAATATATTCCCAAATGTGGAATTATAAAACAATGTATTTCTTTTAACCTGGTATGTCATATGTTAGGAGATGAAAAGATTAAATGACCTATTTGCCCAGAGTCTGTCCCACACAGGGGCTTATTTAAACTGCATTTTGTTAGTTTAATGAGTAGTATAGATTTTTCTTTTAATTTGACTAAATGTTGAACTCAGGGACTTGAATTTTTAAAAAGCCGATTTCTTGAAAAATCATTTATTGAAAGTCTAATGCATATTTTCATTATGTCCTCAGAGTATATGATCAATTCTTTAATTCTTCTGTGTTCTACTGGAACAAATGACCAATTTATGAAGTTGTTGAGAGACTTGGTCAATGGCAATGATTTATGGCTACAAAACTTGAGACATGAGTATAATGATGACTCCTGGAAAAATGTACTTGAGATGTTTCCAGATTAGCATGTGCTCTTTAGCTATGGAGGAAGGCATTGATCATATTGATTACCTATATTTGAAAGTGTCCTAAATAACCCCTCAGCCATGAATATTCTTCATTTTTTCCCTCTCTGCCAGTTTGTTACCTTTCACCACCAGCCTTAGCTGACTTTACATAATAGGTTTTGTAATAAGTGTCTAATGCAAAAGTTTTCAACTGGGGGTGGTTTTCCCTTCCCCACAGGGGATATTTGACAATGTCTGGAAAGATCTTTGGATGTCACAACTGAAGAGGAAAGGTGCAACTGGCATCTAGTGGGTAAAAGCCAGGGATGTTGGTTAAGTATCCTACAATGCTCAGGATGGCCCTGCACGACAAAGAATTATGTGGCCCAAAATGTCAGTAGGGCTGAGACTGAGAAACCCTGTTTTAGTGGAAATAAGTTTTTATCTTTCCTTACATTTTCTCCCCATTCACTGTTATTTTCATGTTTTGTCAGTGAATTATCAGTTCACATTTATGATCTGTGGAGCTCTAATATGATTGTTTAATCTGCTTTGTTGTGGAGAGTCTATATATGTACACATATACACAATAAAATTTGCCAATTTTAAGTGTATAATTTGATGAGTGTTGACAAATGCATACAGTTGTGTGACCACCATCATAACAGTGTTTGATATGTTTAAATTTCATGTAGTTTCCAATATGCATTCATTAAATAATATTATATTCTAGGACAGAAGGAAACCTGAAGTAATTCAGGTACTGACAGGTAGCTTGTGACTGATAGGTAGAATATACATGGTAATTAATGAAGGATAACACCCTTGAACTGACTTCTGAATTTTACCATATTTTAATATTAATCTAAAGATTCTTAATTTTACTTGGACATGATTTGACCCCTGGATGATTGGCTGAGAGGAGTTTCTATATTGTGAAACAGGAAATCTATATTAACATCTCTCATAAAATACTGAGTTTTATGTCCACAAATTCCTAGATTCTCTTTGCATCTTCTAGGTCTTTTTTATTCCTGCAGGTATAAAACAAGACTGAGTGTTTGAAGGGAAAAACAGAATATATACTTCTTTCCTAAAGGATAATTTCCAGAATGTTGGTTGCTTTGGTAGTTGAATTTAACCTTGGTAAGTAGTAGCAGTTGTCTGCAGTAAAGTGGATGGAAACCCTTGATTCCATTGCTGAACCACCTTCTTAGAGTGAGAGGTTTGTCTTGACCACTAATTGCTATAATTGGAGCTTGAGAGATGGTTTGAGATGAGTCTTGAAATGATAAGTGTGTCTATCTGCTTGGCAGGTGTTTTCTCTTTCCTTTTAATTCCCTTTCCAAATCAAGGTGGTATTTGTAGTCAAGGTTTCATAGGGAGTTTGCTAATGCGTCTCTAGGAGAAACATAGAAAAGCTAGATAGAAGGGTGGTCTAACTTGATTTGTGTCCTCATCATTGTGGTGTAATGAGAATATACCAATTTTTGCATGATGGCAAAAAATGAGGTAAGCACTGGAGCACTGAAACATTTAGAGGTATTTAACTACATCTTAATACTATAGGCTATGGCTCAGAATAACCATAGGAATCTTGCTGTTTTTATTTGTGGGTTTATTTTAGGCAAACTATCAACAGTGCTGAAATGATACTCTGTGAAAAGGAAGAAAGAATGTACCCACAAATTTAAAATGCTGTGCTTGCTGGTTTTCTTCTCTTAGCCTTATCCATCAATCAAGAATTGTTGGAGAAAAGTCACGTTGAATAATTCTGCCAGTTCCACTATGTAATCTTGGGATGAATTGTGTCGCTCTGCATGGTAACCTCAGTATTTCATAACTGAGGATGAAAATGGTTTTTCAACTTGAGAAAAATCAGGACTCTTTTGGAACAATATTTCAAATTCCAATAAAAGACTATTTTTTGTTTGGATGTTCATCCTCTGTCCCTTCTTCCTTAGCCTCTTAGCCCAAGGTGCTATTTTTATGTACTGGCAGTCGAGTTCCAGAAGTGAGTGTCTTATCCTGAAGTGCTATTTTGAAATGGCCTTATTCTATTTTTTGAAAGAAATGACTAATAAAATGATCCCAGTTTATCATTGTAATGGACTAGAATATGAACAAAAACCTCAGGCATTTAAATTCCCATTTGTCTCTACTCTTCTTCACTGCGTACTCTTCTACTGTTTACTTTCAGCATGCTTCTTGACATGGAAGCCATTTTGCTAATGGATCTGTGGCTATTTCACCCCAGGTCGCAGCCAGGTTAGCATTAGAAGGATGGATTGGATTTTCTGAGTTCAGAATTTCTATTTGGTATTGCTCAAGCCTTTAGTTGCTTAGCCACTTCAGGCCACAATTTGGTGAAAGAGCTTAAAGAGCAGTGCAAAACTTTCAAAACCTGGGGTGTGAGACAGATTTGGAATCTTGCTGTACCAGATTTGTGTCCTGATATTTATTCGATCAGAATTTTCTCGTGTCTTTAAAAATCCTTTAACAATACCATTAAATGGCCATGTATTTTTTCATCCTGAGGTTCATTTATTTAGCAATTTCCCTACTGTTGCATATGTAGGTGTTTCCACTTTTTTACTAATATAAGATTATGATTAGTAGCACTTAAATCTTTGTCTTCGCATTTCATTATGTGTTTAAACTAATTTCCTTGTGGTAGAATTAAGCATGAATATTTTTAAATATTGAAAATTTTTGCTAGAAGAGCTTTCTCAAAGGATGCTTACCAATATGCCCATTAATTGTATAAGAAAATGTGAATCACAACACACTCTTGCCATTGACAAAGATTTTTAAAAATTTGGAATGTATAGATTTAAAGATGGTAAATGATATATACCTTTTATATTATAAGGTGAAACTTAAATATTTGTATTTTATGAATTTTCTGTTCTTTTGCTCTTTTTCTACCTTCTGTTAGTGGTATTTGATTGTTTCATTAGAATGTTTATACATTAAAGCTACCAATCCATTGTTTTTGTTGCAGAAAACCAGATTTATCATTCCCCCCTTAATTTATGAGGTAGACGCTAAATACATTATGCGTTTGATAAAACATAAATTCATATATAGCTATGATGCTATAGAGTAGGTTGACGTTAATTTCCATTTACTTCTCTATAAAGACCTAACTGGTGATAATTCTAAGGTATTGTGACTACAAATTTCTGGTCTGATCTGGATTCTACTTTTCTCCAACATTCTTATGACATAACCCCTTGCATTTCTGCAAAATAATATTTGGTCATAATGTATTATCCTTTTTATGTTGTTGGATTCGATTTGCTAAAAATTTTTTTTGTGACTTTTTTTTGTGACATTCTGTTGCCCAGGCTGGAGTACAGTGGCATGATCATGGCTTACTGCAGCCCTGACCTCCTAGGCTCAGGCAGTCCTTCCACCTCAGCCTCCTGACTAGCTGGGAGTACAGGTGTGCACTACTATGCCTGGCTAATTTTTTATTTTTTGTAGAGATGGAGTCTCATTGTGTTGCCCAAACTGGTAATTTTGCTAAAATTTTAATTAGAATTTATGCATCAATTTTCATGGGGGTTGTTGGTGCATAGTTTTCTTATAATGTTGTTGCTTTTTGTAATAACAGAATGCTGGCCTCATAAACTGAATTGGTAAGTGTTCCTTTTTATTCTGTTTTCTGGAAGTGATTACATAGAATTGGTACTGGTCTTCCTTAAATGTTTCAGAGATTTCACCAGTGAAGCCATCTGGGCCTGGAGTTTTCTTTGTGGGAAAGTTTTTATCTATGATTTCAACTTCTTTAGTAGATATAGATCAATTCAGGTTGTCTGGGGTTTTTTGAGGGAGCTGTGGTAGTTTGTGTCTTTCAAGGAATCAGTCCATTTCATCTAGGTTATTAAATTTTTTCAGCTTTTGTATATCTGAAAAAATTTTTACCTTTGTTTTTGAAAGCTATCTTTTGCTAGTATAGATTCTAGGTTGATAGTTGTTTTCATTTTTGTATTTTGTATTAAATGTATTGGCATAACATTTTTAATAATATTCTTTGATTATGCTTACAGTATCTGTAGAAGCTGTAGTGTTGTTACCTTTCTCAGTACTTACATTGGTAATTCATGTCTTCCCTCTGCTTTTTCAAATCAGTCCAACTAGAGATTTATCAAGTTTGATTTTCTCAATAAGCAAGTTTTTTATTTCATTAATTTTTCTTTCTTGTTCTTTCATTGTCTTATTGTATTGATTTTAGCTCTGATCTCATTTTGTTCCTTCTACTTGCTTTGGAATCAGTTTTCTCTTTTTTTTCTGATTTCTGAAGGTAGAAGCTGAAGTCATTGATTGGAGACCTTTCTTCTTTTCCCATATAGCCATTCAATGCTATAAATTTTTCCCTAAGTACTGTTTTAGCTGCATCCCAAAATTTTTGATATGTTGTCTTTTCATTTTCCTTCAGTTCAAAATTATTTTTAATTTCTCTTTTGATTTTTTTCTTTAATCCGTGGATGACTTGGAAGTGTATTATTTCATTTTCAAATGGAGATTTTTCCAGAGATCTTTCTTTTATTAATTTCTAAATTAATTTATTTGTGGGAAGAACATACTTTGTATGACTTGAATCCTTTACAGATTTATTGGGTTTTGTTTAATAGCCAAGAATGTAGCCTATCTTGGCAGATATTCCATTTGTGCTAGAAAAGATTGTGTATTCTACTGTTGTTGGGTGGAATGTCATGTCAACATTGATAATGTTTAAACCTTTCATATCCTTAACTAATTTTCTCAATACTTGTTCTATCAATAAAGAGAGTCTTTTTGAAATCTCCAGTTATAATTGCGGATATGTCTGTTTCTCCTGACAGTTCTGTAAGTTTTGCTTTATGTGTTTTGAAGCTGTTCTGAAGCATAATGTTTAAATGTTTAGGATTGTTATGTCCTTGTGATAAATGGAGCCCTTTATCATTATGAAATAAGCTTCTTTATCCATGTTAATATTCTTTCCTCTGAAATGTATTTTGTCTGATATTAACATAACAACATAACCACTCCAGTTCTTTTTTGAATAGTGTTAGTATGTGTATTAATCTGTTATCGCACTGCTATAAAGAACTACCTGAGACTGAGTAATTGATAAAGAAAAGAGGTTTAATTAGCTCATGTTTCCACAGGCTGCATAGGAAGCATGGCTGGCGGAGGCCTCAGGAAACTTACAAGCATGGTGGAAGGCAAAGGGGAAGCCAGCATGTTCTACATGGCTGGAGCAGGAGGAAGAGAGTGAAGGGGGAAGTGCTACACACTTTTAAACAACCAGATCTCATGAGAACTCACTCGCTATCATGAGAACAGCAAGGGGGAAATCCGCCTTATGATCCAGTCACCCCCTGTCAGGCCCCTCCCACAACACTGGAGATTACAATTCAACATGAGATTTGGGTGGGGACACAGAGCCAAACCATATCTCTTCCCACTCCAAATTTAAACCTATTTGTACCTTTATATGTAAAGTGTCTTTCTTGTAGCCAGCATGTAGTTGACCCTTGCTTTTTAATTTAATCTGACAATCTCTGCCTTTTAATTGGGATGTTTAGTCTACTTACACTTAATATAATTGTTTATATTTTTAGGTTCAGATCTATTATCTTGCCATGTTTTCTATTTGTCCCATCACTTCTTTATTTCCTTTATCTCCTTTATTTTTTATTTTTATGATTCTATTTTATCTTACCTGTTAGCTTATTAGCTATAATTCTTTATTTTGTGCTTTT
Source organism: Homo sapiens (assembly GCF_000001405.40). Classification (NCBI taxonomy): domain Eukaryota; kingdom Metazoa; phylum Chordata; class Mammalia; order Primates; family Hominidae; genus Homo; species Homo sapiens. The sequence continues at coordinate 38,592,553 of NC_000023.11, forward strand.
ATTTGTTGCTTTATGGTTCATAGTATACATATTTAACTTATCAAAGTCTACCTTCAAGTGATAGTATACCACCTTGCTTATAGTCTATGAACCCTGTGATAGTATAAAATACAGCCATTTCTCCATTCCTAGCCTTTTTTTCTATTGTTTAATACATTTTATTTTTATTTCTTTTTAATTTTTGTGGGTACATTGTAGGTGTATGTACTTATGGGGTACCACCACACTCCATTGTTATTTTTGTGTAGTCAGTTATATTTTAGATATTTAAATAAGAAAAAATAATTTTATATTTTCCCAAGCAGTTATTTCAGTGCCCTTCATTCCTTTACATAGACCCATATTTATATCTAATATCATTTTCTTTCTTCTTGAACAACTTATTTTAACATATTTTATGATTCACTGATAATTTTTTCAGCTTTTATATATCTGAAAAAATCTTTACCTTTGTTTTTGAAAGATATTTTTGCTAGTATAGATTCTAGGTTGATAGTTGTTTTTATTTTTGTATTTTAAAGATGTTTCTCCTAGATTTTTTTGCTTATATTGTTTCTAATGAGAAGTATGTCATCCTTATCTTTGTTCTTCCATATGTAACTTTTTTTCCCCTCTGGTGGTTTTTAATTTTTTTTCTTAATGATTTTTAGCAATTTTTTAATAATATATCTTGGTATAGTTCATGTTTTGCTTGGGGTTTGTTGAGCTTCTTGAATATGTGGGCTTATTGTTTGCATAAAATTTAGAAAATTCTGACCATTAATTCTATAAATATTTTTTCTATCCCACCCTTTTGTGGTTCCTTTTATGGAAGGATGGTATTTAGAAACTAGGGGCTGGGTGCTAGGTATGTTTGTTGCCACTGGAGTGTCATTGCTTCTTGGCCCTAGCAACAGCTAGGAAATATACTTGAGTGTAATAACTGTGCAAACACACGTCTATATTTATCTGCTATGTTTTAAAAGTTTGTCCCCTCCGAAACTCATGTTGAAATTTAATTGTCATTCAGTATTAAGAAGTGGGACCCTTAAGAGGTGATTAGGCTATGAGAGCTCTGCCCCCATAAATGGATTAATGCTGTTATTGCAAGAATGGGTTTGTTATTTCAAAAGTGGGTTTCTTACAAGAGGATGGGTGTTGCTTCCTTTTGGCTCTCTCTTGCCTTCTCTTTGCCCTTTGCCATGGGATGACACAGCAAGAAGGCCCTTGCCAGATTCCAGCACCTTAATCTTGGATTTCCCAGCCTCCAGAAATGTGAGAAAATAAGTTTATGTTTTTTATAAATTATACAGTCTCAGGTTTTCTGCTATAGCAGCACAAAATGAACTAAAACATTTTCTGAGTTTCTCTTTTTCTATCCATCTATTTATCTGTCCATCTATTCATTCATCTATAAAAACTATGAGTTCATACTGAAACCTCTGATTCTAATCTAATACCACATGGTTCATTATAGCCTTCTTTCTCTGATAGTGAGAAACCTGGTTTTCATTATCTACAATATATGTAAACATGTGTCTGTATTTCTTTAATCCTTGTAGACATGGAGTATTTTCAGAACTGCTAACCTGTACCCTTGTAAGAAACACATTTACTAACTAGAGTAGTTCTGGGTACTGTTTTTTTGTTTGTTTGTTTTTTGTTTTTTTGTTTTTGTTTTTGTCTTAAAATGCAGTAGCCAGTAGCCAGTCATGATGCTGTTTTATACAGTTAATAAGGTTAGTTCTTTTCTTCCCCACTCTCTTCATTATGGTTACATTATTCACTTGTGATATAATTAGGTTCTTTGTTAGTGTTTATATTCCATTTTGTCCCCTTCCCCCAAACACACTGGGTGATTTTATTACTGACTTATATTTTCAGTACATTAAACATGACAATGCTTCTCAGAGTCAGGGCTATACAAAACAGTATACACAGAAGTGACATTTCCTTTTTGTTCTTAGCACCCCTTCCCATCCCCTTGCTTTTTCATCCCTTTCTCTATTGCCTTAGATACCAATATCTTTAGTTTCTGGTTTATTCTTAATGTATTTATTTTGCACAAATGAGAAGATACATGAATGTTTTCATTCTTAAATGAAGGGTAGCATACTACAGATACTTTTTTGCACTTTGCTTTTTAAAAATGTTTACACATTTATAGAAATACAATAAAATTTGTTTTTATGCAAGTAAAAATTGTCTATATTCGAAGCAAACAATGTGATGATTTCATATCTGTGTCATTGTATAATGATTGCCATGGTCAAATTAATTAACATATCCATTATCGCTCAGAGTTACCATTTTGTGCATGCATGGAGTGGGTGGCGGTGAGGACACTTAAAGTCTGTATTTTGCCTTTTTTACTTCTAACAGTTTATCCTACAAATCATTTCATATCAGTTTATAGAGATCTTCCTCTTCCTTTTTTTTATAGCAGCTTGGTACTCCATCATGTAACTGTATCATAGTTAACCATTCTCCTATTTATGGACATTTAGGTTGCTTCCAATATTTTGTAATTGCAAACTATTTTTAACGAATAATCTTGTACATATGTATTTTTTTATTGGGGGTGCTTTCTTAGTGCAGATTCCTAAAAGTGGGATTCCTGGGACAAATAGTTCTTTTTGTCCCTCCATTTGCTTGAAGAATTTCTGATGTGTATCAGAAAATAACAACTTTTCTTTGCATTTCTTTTCTCCTATGGTTTTGAGCAAAGCAAAAACAAATTTGTACAGGAATATAGATGAGGACATTTTCCAATGTGTCTATTGTTTCAAGTACACTCCTCCTAATATCTAACTTTTATCCCTTGAGCATTACATTTTTACTATCATCTCTGCTCTTTCTTTAATCATTTCTTTTCATATAACTCATTACATATGTTCTGAAATGTTCTCAATTCATAGCTTGAGCTAAGATGTGATGTCCTCATTTGAAGTATAATTATCTGCATTTTGCCTTTTTGTTGTCAGATTTAAAAATACAACAAAAACAAGGTTACATTAGTGAGAAGAAGTCAAATGAAGACAGTTATTTTTTCTCCTTAATTGCAACTGGTACCATGTGTACTGAAATAAAATTGGTATAAGGAAAATAAAACAGCTATGAACAGTCCTCAAGTAGCATGGAAAATCAGACTTGCTCAAGTGGTGAAGAACCCTATGTTTGGTTTCAAATGGAACTTTGAATTGTTAAATTTAAATTATTAAACACAAACTATCAAGTTGGAATCAGTGGCCTGAAAGAATCAGTCTTGAGTGTCCCAGAGGCCTTTCTTACTTTCTGCCTTCTACAATTGTCTGCCCCTCTGCAGTAGTAGTGAACACAGTCTTCTTTTTATCTGGTTTGTGGTTATTTTTGTAGCTCTACAAATCTTTGTGGGAGACTAACGTTCCTCTGAATTATATCTTAAAAATCAAATTTCCACTGGGGCATTTGCATCAAACTGCTCTTCTTGCTGGCTCTTTAGTGCCAGATTTCCTTCCAAAATGACAGGTTGTGTGATCTGTGCTTCTACTGCCCTTTATTTCACAAAGTAGTCTTTGATGTATTCTGTGTATCTGGGGGTAAGAGCATAGAGGCAATGAGAAGCAAATGCCTTTATCTGCAGATAACAGCTTCCCTTATCTGCATGTTAAAATGGACAAGTGGTACTTTGCCCACTTGTGTGTCAGTTGCCTGCAAGTGAAGCATTCTGTATCTTTCAGATGACTGTTTCTTTACTTCCTTAATGCTGCTAATGGTCAGTTGAGAGAAGAGAAAAATACTCCCAAACCTGAGATTCTATTTGGAAAGCAGTATTGAGATCCTAATTACTTTGTTTTATTTTCCATACAACACTAATAGACTTAGGCAGTAAAATCAATGGCATTGTCACTTCTAGACTGCTTTATATGTGGAACTGTTGATATTCTGAAAGTTTACTTACTTTTTAGTATCTAATATATAACCTTAAACTGAAGTGCTTTTTAAAATCTAAGTAATTATCATCTATTGGACGTAGGTCTATATTGAGGCTGATAAATTTCTTGGGGGAGCTTGTGATCTACACCCTTGCTACCCGAAGTCTGTGCAACATCAGCATCATCTGGGTGCTAGTTAGAAATGCAGAATCCTCAGGTCTCACCTCAGACCTTCTGAACCAGAAGTTACATTATTCACAAGTTCCCAGGGGATTCACGGGCACACTAAAGTTTGAGAAGCACTACCACAGAAGATGGGACATTTGTTTAGGTGTTTAGGAATCAGGCCATCTAGAATTCATTCCTGGTCCTTTTCATTCTTTTTTTCTGAAATAAGAACTTGCTGCTCAATTTTTCAAAGCTTTGGTCTTCTTATATTTAAAACCTGATTTAAAACTGAGCTTTTTCCAGGCTCATGGAAGATGAGCAAAGGGGTCATCTTGATATGAAGTCTGAGAGACACTTTTGAACTCATTCTGGAAAAGAACATAACTAAAAGTTTGGCATTGTTACTGACTTTCTCTGTCCACCTACGAAAGTGCTTTTTGAGGCCTCAAGGTAGGACATGATCTCTTGGAAATATAGTCAATTCTCATAATTTGTGGATTCTATATTTGCAAATTTGCTGACTTGCTAGAATCTATTACTATTTGTAACCCCCAAATCGGTACTTCTGGTGCTTTTGCTGTCACTCACAGACATGCACAGAGAAGTGAAAAAATTTGAGTCACCTGACATGCACATTCCCTGTTAAAGTCAAACAAGGCAATGCTCTACTTTCTTATTTCAGCTCTCATACTATAAACAAGTATTTTTTTTTGTAATCTATTTAGTGCTGTGTTTTTCCTGATTTTTGTGCTTTATGTTGTTGATTTTGGTGTTTAAGGTGGTCTTTAACTATAGTGCTGAAGGGCTGTTCAGTGTTCCTAAGCACAAGAAGCCTGCGATGTGCCTTACAGAGAAAATTTGTGTATTAGATGAGCTTCCTTTGGGTATGAGTTAGAGCAGTGTTGGCTGCGAGTTAATGATAATGAACCAAAAATATATGTTAAGTACAGTGTCTTTAAACAAACACATATAAAACAAGGTTATGTATTGATTAGGTAACAAAAATGTTGTGACCAGAGGCTTGTAGGAACTTACTCCTGTATTTCCCCTAGGAGCAATGGTTCAGTATTTGTTAATTCAGTCTTTGTGGTGACTTCATAAAACATAAGTGCTGTGAATATTGAGAATGAACTATATGTTTAAAACACAATTAGACTAAGATTTCAACTGGGTGTCACATTTTCTCTTCTGTGGGTGATAACAAGATTAGCTTGTTATAAGAAATTTTGGGGTTGTATTCTGTGAGTATAATTTCAAATAATAATAACTGGTAATTTATGAAAACATACTTCAGTATTTGGAAGGTTTCTTGGGATGGAAGCGATATTCCAGAGAGGCTTTTCTCTTCCTATGGGCAACTTTTTATTCTTTTAGGCATGGCACTTGAAACAATTGTACTGCAGTTACTTTTAGACCACCAATGTGTATGTTAAGCTCATTTTTTGTTGAGTCTGTGTCTTCTTTTTGGTCAACTTTGCTGCATAAATATCACAGAAATCTGTGTCCTCCTCTCCTGTATCCATGATCCATGCAGCTGCTTCAGTCCAGGTCCACATCACGTATTGCTTGGATCATAGACTAGTATTCTAACTGTTCTTACCCATAGCCCACTCTCTAGTGCCACCCATTTTGTAGTATAGTAAATCTGATCCTATCCCTCCTCTCTGTGAAATCTCTATGTGGCTCCCTGGGATAAAGTTGCTTTGGGACAAAGTTCAAGATGCTCTAAGTTTTAACTCTTGATTTTCTTACCACCGTGCTTGGAGACCTCTGATCACTTGATAACTCTCCCACCTCTGTGCCTTTGCATAATGTCCCTCTGTTTAGTATACCCTTTTTTTCTTCTTCTTCTACCAGGAAGTTGATTCCTGGGCTAAGACTCTGCAATTACCTCTTGTATTATTGTAGATTTTTAAAATTATTATTTCCCCCCTCCATTAGGCAGTGAGAACTTTGAGGAAAAGGAATGGTTTTGTTCAGCTTGGTGTCACTAATGCCTTATATCTTTTATAGGAGTTTCTGGCCATGAGATCACTGGAAATGTTGAATAAATTAGAATTTGGGGGTGAGTCTAATTTGACTACTGTTATAACAAACTGACTTTGGATTGGCAGCCCTAATCTGCACCAGTTCTAATATCACTAATCTTTAAGAAAACCCAGTATAGAACCCATAATGAGCATTCAATTTTGGAAAATATGAAAAAAGGAAAGTGAAGAAATTAGTTATAAAGTACAATAAACACAGTAGCAACTTGTTATATATGGTCAATTGTTTTAAAACAAGTGATGCTTCATATAACATTTGTCTGCTTAAGAAGTAACAAAGGTAAAATAAATTAATGCAATGAAGTATTCATACTCTAAATTTTACTTTCTGCTTTCCCTGATTCATACAATGAGTAGTATACAGCAGTAGAAATGAATGAATTATTGCAATACACAACACTGCGGATGAATCTTATTAAGTTAAAGTAAGTCACCCAGGATTGCATGACAGGAATATATCAAAGATCAACACAACACATGGTTCTTAATAGTGGCTATCCTGGGATGAGGGAGGCAGGGGAAGGAAATGGAGATCACTACATAGGGAGATGTAAGTTATTATCCATGTTCTAGTCTCTTTTGGGTAGTGGGTTCATGTGTGTATGTGCATATTAATATAATAAACACAAGAATGCCATGATGAGTCCTCATGAATCAAGGATTTTGATTAATAGGATTTATCTAATTCTCTTCACCCAAGTTCCACACTTATTTAAAAAAAAATCTTATTTGGAAATTTTAGGGGAGCCTCCACCCCTTTATCCTCTCTTGAATGTGAATTAAGCACATATGTAAGAATTGTACATATTTTGTATGGGAAAGAAGGGGAACAAAATGACCAAATATAAAATGTAATATTAATGGTGAATTCAAAGACAATAGGCATTATGAAAATGAGAAAATAATGGGAAAATCACACAAATAGCCAGCCTTTTTTGAGTCAATCAAGTACTGGGGATGTGGAGATGAATTGCAATCAGGTTTAATGGAGTCCCCCATTTTGCAGTGCTTGTATTAGCTTGCCCTACATTTTCTTGGCAGCAGGAAGCAAGCAAAGGGCATTATTCAAAGAAAAGCAACTGTGCGAGACTTGTGAGAAAAATATGCATCCTGTTTCTTCCATGTTGCATATCATAGAAAGAAAGCTTTGCCTTCCAATTTTGTGAGAAATACCCTTCATTTGAAAATGATTTTGTTTTACATTTCTCCCAATAGCACTCCCATGCTCAATTTCTTGTCAATCCTCTCTTTTCTGCTAGAATCCTTGAAATCTCTTTCTAGTAGCAGTTGGTGCAAGACAATGTGCATTTATTTTGGTGGCAGCATTTTCTAGTTTTCCTGCCAGAATGTCTGCCTTCACAATGAACTAGTTTTAAGGCACTTTAGATTTCAGCTGATTCCCAGTATCAGATGTGAACAGACAAAATTCTATCTGAGAAGAAAATCTCTTTTTAGGCAGAAACTTTAGTTACCCTCTTGGCAGAGTCCAGAGAGAGGAATCAAGGGTTGCTTGGATTCTCAAGTCATTTTAAAAACCATATCATGAGTATCTTCCTGTCTCCTTGGTGATATGTGACCGTTTTCCTCCTGGAAGAGCTGTTCCATATATTTTTAGTAACAGCAGGAGAGGATAGATATTTGGGTGAGCTGTGTACCCAGCTGGAAAGCCTAAACATACAAAGGGTCTTAAGTTTCCCTTGATCTTGTTTTTCTCCCCAACCCCCTACATTCTTTTTTTGTAAAGCACAGAAATGGAAGGCCCACTTGTGAAAAGCATCTCACTTCGGGCTTACTGACTGCCATTCACTTCTTTGGCCCTTTGTTCTGTTTCTTCTATCAGCAAGGGAAGCACGTAAGCTCTGCCAGCTGTTTGTCACTTCCAGAGATATGCTGTTTCTGTCTCATCTGTCCAGCCCAGCTAAGAGTGGAATCTTACAATTTGACAACCTATAAATAGGAGGGATGAGAGGGTATAATTTAGCAATGTTTTTTGTTTTCCAAGCCTCATTTCTCTTGCCTACATAGCTAGCAAGTGTCATAGACTTATTGCTTGATTGAATTTGGGCAGTTTCTAACAAAAAGTGATGTTCTTTTCTTCCAATAAGCAGGAAGGCTGCTTTATATTCTTTCTAATAGCAATGGGCATTACATTAGCACCTCTCTTTCAAAATCACATACCCAGGGCTTTGAATGAACTGTGGCTTTAGAACAAGATTTTTTGAGAAGGTGGGAGTGGTGTTTTCATGAAATAGGCTAATTTGTCTGTTTAAGCCAAACTGTGACCTCATGAACACCATCATCCAAGGAATCAGCCAGCATTATGTACACATTAGATTGAATTCTATAAATTTCCCTTCATATAGGGAAGTCCCTTGAGTAGACGTTGGTCTGCCCTTCCCAAGTCTCTTTTGCAGAAGGTATCCCTTCATGAATACCTCAGCACAGGGATCAATACTACAAGGTAGAGTATAGAAGACCATGATATTCTGAAACAGGCGTGGAAACTGGATGTGAAAATATGCAGTTGTTAATTAGTAAGCAGGGATACTTCGCTTTCTGGAAGTACATATCATGTAGGGTATATCATACAGATAGGATGATATTATTTTGAGACTTAGATAATCACATAAAACTGCTCAAACAAGAGTCAAGGGAGTAATTTCTAAGAACACAATGGTAGAGACTGTGGTCCCTGCCATGGGGTAAGTATAGTTGTGGGAGAAGACCCAGAATAGATACTCTACAGATGGATCTTAAAGGCTGTTTTACTAAAAGAATTTCCATTTAAAACCTTGTAAAATTTACATGAAATAAATATAAATGCAATCAGTAATTATGGAAATTGGCATAAACCATCTACCATTTAATTTATCCCCATTGACACAAATATTTATCCTCCATGTTTTTCCTCTAACCCAGCATAAAAATGTTTTATGTTTTTGTGTGTGTTTTGAAAGATATACTGGCCACATAGCACTTCATTGAACTGAATTATAAGATACATCTACTGGTAAGGGAATGATTAGCTATTGTTGTATAAAAATCCATCCCCAAACTTCGCAGCTGAAGACAATAATTTATTTGTTCACAATTAGGCAAGTTGGTAGTATGGGCTTGACTCAGCTGGGATGGCCCATCTCTGTTCCACATGGTGTCATCTAGCCCTCCTCATGCATTTGGACCTTAGCTGGGGTGGCACACTACATTCTCTCCCATCTTCCAGGAGGCCAGCCTAAGCTTTTCACATCATAGCAGATGAGTTCTCAGGAATAATGAACAAGCAGTCTTGATGCTTCTGTCTACATAACATTGGCCCATGTCTCACTGACCAAAGCAAGTCACATCACCAAGCCCAGTGTCATTGTGGGAGGGAAGACTACACAAGGGCTTAGATATGGGGAAGTGTGACTTACTGGGGTTGTTAATGTAGTCATCTCCCACAGTGGACCTTTTAGTTGCTAAATGCTTTTAATATAATGAAAGCAACTCTACTAGTTGCTGTGATGAGGTATGAGAGCTGAGCATGAAGGAAAACCAAGTTTCTGCAGTAGTATGATGTATGTGCTTTCTGAATGAGAAATCATAGGGCAGTATGACAAAGGGATTGTTATGATAAGTGTTTTAAGTATAATACCTAATCACTTTTTTTATTCCTGGAAAAAGAATGCATCAAAGGCAATGAATAAATATAAATAGACTAGTCTCCATAAAAATGAACTCTCATATGGCAAACAGCATGAATAAACAAGGAAAACACAAGCTGGGAAAATTATTGATAATAGACAAAGGCATAGTATTCCTAACAATTAACAAGAAAGACAAATATGCCAATAGAAAAATCAACAAAGGTCATGAATGGGATATTTACAAAGAAGAAATATAAATATGCACATGGCTGCCAATAAACATCCAAGAAAACATTCAATTTAACCAGTAGTCAAAGAAAGGCAAACAAAAGTTTCTGACAAATCTCAATTCTTGATATATTTTCTTTGCACTTACATAATATAAAAGCAGGGTAAGAGAATGGAGAGGTGGGCGGGAGGAGTTGCAATTTTAGAGAAAACGGGCAGGGAAGGTCTCTCAAAGGTGGTAACATTGAAGCAAGGCTTCAATGCAGTGAGAGCACAGGCCATGTGCTCCAGAAGTGTTCCAGGCTGAGGGAAGAGTAATGACAAGGTCCTTAGGTGGGACTAAGCAGTGAGAAAGCCAGCTAGTGTGTGACTGCAACCCCTTGAGCTGAGTATTCGGGAATAAGTGGATATTCTGTACTACCGAACTATTCAGACAGACACATTCTGTGTGATAAGCAAAAAAGTGGATGTTACAACCCACAAAATGGGAAAAACTTTTGCAAATCATATATCTGAAAAGGGGCTTGTATCAACAATATATGAAGAATTCTTACAAGTCAATATTTAAAAGGCAAATAATTAAAAAATGGGCAAAGAATCTAAATAGACATTTCTCTAAAGCAAGTATACAAAAGGTCAATAAACACATGAAAAACGCATGATATTAACCATTAGGAAAATGCAAATCAAAACTACAATGAAATACCACTTAATGCTCACTAGAATGTCTATAATAAAAAAGAAGTGTTGGCAAGGATGTAGAAAAGTTGGAACCCTAATACATCGCTGGTGGGAATGTAAAATGCTGCAGACACTTTGGGAAACAGTCTGACATTTCCTTAAGTGGTTAAACATAGAGTTACCATGTGATCCAGTAATTTCACTCCTAAGTATATACCCAATAGAGTTGAAAACATATTTCCTTACAAACACTTGTGTATAAATGGGCATTTAGGCACATTATTCATAATAGCTCAGAAGTGGAAACAACCCAAATGTCCATCAACTGATAAATGGATAAATAAAATGTGATATATCCATACAATGGAATATTATTTGGAAATTAAAAGGGATGAAGTACTGATTCATGCTATATCATGGATGAGCCAGTCACAAAAGATCACATATTATATGATTCCATTTGTATAAAATGATCCAGAATAAGCAAATCTGTAGAGCCAGAAAGTAAATTAGTATTTGCCTAGGACTGGAGGATATGGAGTGATTTGGGAGCAACAGTTAAGGTATGTAGGGTTTCTTTAATGTTACATAAAAATAGTGTCTTATGAATTTAATATTTTATTTATTTTTTTGTTGTTTTTCTTTTGTATTTTTATTTATTTATTTATTTATTTTTTATTTTATTATTATTATACTTTAAGTTTTAGGGTACATGTGCACAATTTGCGGGTTAGTTACATATGTATACCTGTGCCATGCTGGTGTGCTGCACCCATTAACTCGTCATTTAGCATTAGGTATATCTCCTAATGCTATCCCTCCCCCCTCCCCCCACCCCACAACAGTCCCCAGAGTGTGATGTTCCCCTTCCTGTGTCCATGTGTTCTCATTGTTCAATTCCCACCTATGAGTGAGAATATGCGGTGTTTGGTTTTTTGTTCTTGCGATAGTTTACTAAGAATGATGATTTCCAATTTCATCCATGTCCCTACAAAGGACATGAACTCATCATTTTTTATGGCTGCATAGTATTCCATGGTGTATATGTGCCACATTTTCTTAATCCAGTCTATCATTGTTGGACATTTGGGTTGGTTCCAAGTCTTTGCTATTGTGAATAGTGCTGCAATAAACATACGTGTGCATGTGTCTTTATAGCAGCATGATATATAGTCCTTTGGGTATATACCCAGTAATGGGATGGCTGGGTCAAATGGTATTTCTAGTTCTAGATCCCTGAGGAATCGCCACACTGACTTCCACAAGGGTTGAACTAGTTTACAGTCCCACCAACAGTGTAAAAGTGTTCCTATTTCTCCACATCCTCTCTAGCACCTGTTTCCTGACTTTTTAATGATTGCCATTCTAACTGGTGTGAGATGGTATCTCATTGTGGTTTTGATTTGCATTTCTCTGATGGCCAGTGATGGTGAGCATTTTTTCATGTGTTTTTTGGCTGCGTAAATGGATACTGGCAAACCGAATCCAGCAGCACATCAAAAAGCTTATCCACCATGATCAAGTGGGCTTCATCCCTGGGATGCAAGGCTGGTTCAATATACACAAATCAATAAATGTAATCCAGCATATAAACAGAACCAAAGACAAAAACCACATGATTATCTCAATAGATGCAGAAAAGGCCTTTGACAAAATTCAACAACCCTTCATGCTAAAAATTCTCAATAAATTAGGTATTGATGGGACGTATCTCAAAATAATAAGAGCTATCTATGACAAACCCGCAGCCAATATCATACTGAATGGGCAAAAACTGGATGCATTCCCTTTGAAAACTGGCACAAGACAAGGATGCCCTCTCTCACCACTCCTATTCAACATAGTGTTGGAAGTTCTGGCCGGGGCAATTAGGCAGGAGAAGGAAATAAAGGGTATTCAATTAGGAAAAGAGGAAGTCAAATTGTCCCTGTTTGCAGACGACATGATTGTATATCTAGAAAACCCCATTGTCTCAGCCCAAAATCTCCTTAAGCTGATAAGCAACTTCAGCAAAGTCTCAGGATACAAAATCAATGTGCAAAAATCACAAGCATTCTTATACACCGATAACAGACAAACAGAGAGCCAAATCATGAGTGAACTCCCATTCACAATTGCTTCAAAGAGAATAAAATACCTAGGAATCCAACTTACAAGGGATGTGAAGGACCTCTTCAAGGAGAACTACAAACCACTGCTCAAGGAAGTAAAAGAGGATACAAACAAATGGAAGAACATTATATGCTCATGTGTAGGAAGAATCAATATCGTGAAAATGGCCATACTGCCCAAGGTAATTTATAGATTCAATGCCATCCCCATCAAGCTACCAATGACTTTCTTCACAGAATTGGAAAAAACTACTTTAAAGTTCATATGGAACCAAAAAAGAGCCCGCATCGCCAAGTCAATCCTAAGCCAAAAGAACAAAGCTGGAGGCATCACACTACCTGACTTCAAACTATACTACAAGGCTACAGTAACCAAAACAGCATGGTACTAGTACCAAAACAGAGATATAGATCAATGGAACAGAACAGAGCCCTCAGAAATAACGCCGCATATCTACAACTATCTGATCTTTGACAAACCTGACAAAAACAAGCAATGTGGAAAGGATTCCCTATTTAATAAATGGTGCTGGGAAAACTGGCTAGCCATATGTAGAAAGCTGAAACTGGATCCCTTCCTTACACCTTATACAAAAATTAATTCAAGATGGATTAAAGACTTAAACGTTAGACCTAAAACCATAAAAACCCTAGAAGAAAACCTAGGCATTACCATTCAGGACATAGGCATGGGCAAGGACTTCATGTCTAAAACACCAAAAGCAATGGCAACAAAAGCCAAAATTGACAAAAGGGATCTAATTAAACTAAAGAGCTTCTGCACAGCAAAAGAAACTACCATCAGAGTGAACAGGCAACCTACAAAATGGGAGAAAATTTTCACAACCTACTCATCTGACAAAGGGCTAATATCCAGAATCTACAATGAACTCCAACAAATTTACAAGAAAAAAACAAACAACCCCATCAAAAAGTGGGCAAAGGACATGAACAGACACTTCTTAAATGAATTTAATATTTTAAAAGGGAGTAGAAATTAGACTAATTCCTTTGAAAAATATTAAATTCTTAAGACATTAATATATTTTATGTAACATTAAGTGGAGACTAGAGTTACAAAGAGGCAGGACCTAGCCCAACTTGGGGGGTGAAAGAGTTGGAAAATGTAAAAGATAATAAAAACAAGACATCAGTTGACTTTGGTCTTGGTGCCCAGACGAGCCAGAGCTACAGCCTTCTTTAAGGTATTAGGTCAGAGTTTTCTAGGATAGTAGCTGATGTAGTAAGTGTGATCTTTTTGTCTTGGGATCCTGAATCTTAAGTCCATAATATTGGTGATTTACAACCTGGAAGTGATGAATGCAACACCAGACACCCACCCCCAACATTTCTGCATCACCAGAAGCTACTGCTGTGATCCCCATGCCTAATGGGGCCCCCTTTGTGAAGTTACACCTAAATTGGAGCTTGAACTTTTTTCCAGAGGAAGTATTTTTAAATGATTAGATTTTTTATAATGCCAATTTCATTGTAAATCTATTTTGATTGGACATTTAAGACCACTTATAACATTGTTTAATGAGGAAATGTGTCCAGCTTTCAAACAAAGGATTTAGAAATGATCTTTTGGAAATGTAAATTATTTTGTGAGCTAGAACTCCCTACATTTCAGAGCTCCTCTCTGAGTCTTGGTGTGGATGTGGAGAAGGACAGCCTGAGAAAATAAGATAAGGGACTCTAGTTCTTCTTTTACATTAATATATAGTCAAGTTCCTATTCTGGCATTTGCTGCTCTGATTTTCTGGGAACTACTTTAGAAGTCTGCGCTTAGCTTGTTAGATATGATTTGCATGCAGTCGACACCCCAGAACTCGCATGTATGATGAATTTCATTAATCTAGTGATTTGTAAAAAGAGTTTGAATTAAATGCTCCTTCATGCTCCAGAGACTGCACTGGGCTGCTCTGTAATGGTTGCCACAGTTTCTCCAAGGGTAGTGATGTAAAAACGAAAAGACAACTAGAAATGAAAGATAATCCAGAGACCTGCAGGTACAGCATTGCAGATCTTGAAACAGAAAAATAGTGTAGCTTTATTTAGATGTCTCACTGCTTTTTTTTCCTCTCTCTCGTTTTGTGAAGATAAATGATACTCTCACTGTGCTTCAGCTTCTTACTCTATAATAGTAGTTTTCACTTAGGTGAGCCTCAAGCACCTGGAGAGCTAGTAAACATGCAGGTACCCGGACCCCACACGCAGAGCTGCTGATTGAGTGGACTTGTGGTGGGACTGGAGAATCTGCAATTCTAACAAGCACCCAAGCAGTACTGCTGCTGGTAGACCAGTGAGCACACTTTTCGTAGCATTCATCTATAATATTTAGAAAGCCACTTTCAACTCTAATTTTCTATAATTCTGTGATTTCATATTCTGACATCTGAGGCATCTGTGTGAGACCAAAGGTGAGCACTGACGATTGAACTTGCCCAACCATTTTTAGGACTCACCTTCTTCCTGATTCTGCAGAAACCAAAACATGGCTATGTTTAGTGTCTGCAGAAAGACTGGTCTCGGGTCTAGTTTTAGCCTTGAGGAAAAAAAAAAAAAAAAGGTGGGAAAGAGAAGAAACAATTCTGAGTTAGAATTAAGATTACCAAATGAGTATTGAATGGCTTCAAAGCTGTTTCCCGGGCACCCCCAAACCCTAGATTCCCTTGAATCTTTCCTGATTCAGCCTGGTCCCTGGTAGGGAAGGACCCCAGCCTTTAGGAAATATGGGAGAACTGGAGAAATAAAGCAAAGGGGAGGGCGGTGGCAGTGTGGTAAGAAATAAGTCGAAGTAAATTGGGGACACTTAAGCTTTCAGTTCCTTTAAACATCTGTTTCCTTTGGGCAATTCACACTTCCAGAAGAGTTCTTGAGATGCCGTTTAAAGATAAAAAAAAGTAATGTTACAGCTCTTTTAGAATTTGTCTAGCAGGCTTTCCGGTTTTTACCAGAAAGCCCCCCCACCAAAAAATATATATATATATTTTTAAAGAAAAATGGTGAGGTAACTGAACTGTTAGCATGTGCCAAAGTTAGGGTCTTGAGAACCTAAAGTTTTAAAACACTTGACTGCTGACTCCAATCCAATATGGGTAGCCCTCACTTCAGAAGACAGTATTTGGTTTTAAAATGTTCAGTTCCACTGCCTTTGTTTTCTGGCCATTTCTTAGTGGATAAGAACTATGTGGTAACTTGGTGCCATTACTGAACTTATTTTAGACAACTCTTGAGAAATATGGGAAAGTTGAAAAGTGGTCTGTTCCCCTTCTTTATTTTATATACATAGTATTATTTAATATATCTTTATTACATTTTATTTTTAAAATTGTAGCTATTTTATTCATTTTATTGTGCCAGCCATACATAATTGAATAATTAAAAATTACTGCCTGAAAGAAAATGTCCCACAATCCCATTAATCAAAGATAACTTCCTTTAACATTTTGCTGTGCATCATTCCATACATTTTTTCAGTGATTAATATCCTTATTTCCCACAAAAATGGAGTCCTGCTATCCAAATAACTTAACCACCTTTTCCTGATAACATTATCGCAGATATTTTCCCATTTCACTCAATATTTTGCTATGCTACAGGACCCCATTGTATGAATATACCACCCTCTAGGTAATCAGTGCTCTTTTTTGCTATTAAGCAATGTTATGATGACCTTTCTTGCACGTGCATTTTTCACATGAGTGTCCATTACTTCCTAAGGATAAATCCGTGTTAGAGGATAAACACTGTAAATGCTTTTAATATGCAGTACCAAATTGCCCTGTAGAAATGAGCCTGTTTACACACTCTCTCAGCAGTGTCTGATGAGTAATCTGCATGTTTCAAAATGAGCTTTCATTATTTTTAAGAAGCGATTTTGTGGCATTAGAGAATTTAAGTGTTGGTTTTTGAATGAAAGCATTGGCAAGCTGAATGAATTTGAAGTGGTGTTGGGCAATATTATTTGGAGCTGTCTCTCTTCACACAACCTTTCTGCAGCATTTTTGCACTGCCTTGATAATAAATCAGTTCTATTATTAGTGGAAGACAGAGAGACTCTGAAATGTTTACCATCAGCCTTCCTCTGTGTTTAGGAGCTACGTGTATGAAACTATTTTTCCTCAAATACTATTTTATATTTATCTGTGTAGTTGAAAAGCTTGTGCAGCCAAGTGTCTGTTCTCACATTTTAGGACTGCATTCAGTTTTGATCTCCTGTTTTAAATATTTTTTGAATCAATAAATTTCTGTGCATGGTGCTTGGCATGCAGCATATATACATATACATATGTATATGTGTATATACATGTGTGTGTGTATATATATACATATATATATGTATATAATTAAAGTAAGAAAAATCCAAGGACCTCTATCTCCTACAAGGCTACAGAGAACTCTTTGAAAAAATACTCCTTTATCTTCTAGGTGAGACAGTTACATACTCATTTGAAAATAAAAAACTTGGAATTCTAAAGCCGTTCTTGCCAATTCCTGCAAATATAGTGCTCAGATTTCACACCAGGTTATTAACAATGACATGGATGTCTGAAATGCTGGAGAGAGGGTTGGACCCAGCAATAAAGAAATGTCGCTAGGTTATGTTAAATTTTCCTCTTGGACCTCAAAAAATGCCCCTTTGGCCAGAGCTGGATAAAGTTCCATTATAAAAATAAGAGGTAGTACAAAAAATCTGAGAGATTTTTGTACTAAAAATGTACGATTGGCATTCCAAAGAAAGTCGTATCTGATTCTGTATTATTTGGGGTTCTTGACAGAAACTGGCTTGACAGTTTATCCAGCAAACATTACTAAGACATGTTCTGTGTCATATCCATTGTTTTAAGCATTCTATAAATATCAACTAATTAAATACCATTTTGTGATCTATGGGTATTCATATTAACCCATTTCACAGATAAGGAAACTGAGGCACAGAGCAGTTATATAAGTTGTCCAAGATCACTCAGCCAGTGAGTGGCAAAGCCAGCAGTCAAACCCAGGTAGCCTAACTCAAGATTCTGTGCTCTTAATTACTTAGCTATGCTGCATGGCATATGTAAACATACACACTGTTAAAGCAGTGATGGTTTTTAGGAAATGTTAGCTTATATTTTCGACAGGAGGAAACTGGTCACTATTATTCTCTAATAGACCATATTTCTTACCTTTGACTGCGCATTAGAATCACCTGGGGAGCTTTCCAAACTCAACCCAGACCACATCCCTGACCTAGTAGCTCATTCTTGGAAGGTGAGACCCAAGCACCAGTAGTTTTTAAAGCTCCCCAGGTGATTCCAGTGTGCAGCCATGGTTGAGAAGCTCTAATCTGGGAGAAGAGTCATTATTGATGGCCAATATTTTATCAGAAACATCTGATGAAAAAGAGTACTGTGGCCATGTCTTGATACACTTCACTGAGTTTTCTCAGAGGTGAGCCTATTCACAATGGAGCAATCTTCTTCAAGTGGAGGCAGTTTAAGTCTGAGAAAAATTATTCTTTCTGAAGATGCTGTTTCCAGTGATATTTTAGAAAAGTCAAGGTATAAATCCATTGGTGTTAATGTAACGTAGCCAGCTGTTTCACTTTATTAGTCAGGTGAGTGGAATATAATGCTCTTACTCAAATCAGTGCCCAGTTGCTTTCGATTGTCTGCCTCTGAATTTTGAGTTGAATTCCAAAAGAGGTAAGAGAAAATCGGTGGGTAGGGAAGGCAGGCCGCATCTCAGCCAGATGGCTAAACAGCATGAGACTTGGGCTGCATCTTCAGTCCTCTGTGAATGCTGTAGAATGACTTCTTTCTTTCTTTGACTACACACGTAAGGAAAATATTCAGCACATGAGAATTTGGAAAGAGTTTTTCTGTTGGAGCAGCTTAGTGAAATCGAATAGCAAGATGCCTTTCAAGAAAAGTGACTTTTAGTCATGGTGGTATGCGCATAGCATACATAGTGTTTAAGGAAATTGACCAAACATGGGTCAGTAGTTAACAATAAACATTTCTGCTGCTTCATCTGAATCATGCTGGGAAAGTGAACCTGTTGTCTGGGGTATTTATTTTGGAATTGCCAGTTTGTTCAAACAAGACTAAGTCACGTTGGGGAAATGGTGAGAACAATCTCTTTTGGCTAGACACTTCGGTTTCAGAAGCCTGTCAGCTTGCAGGAATCCCCACTAGTTGAGGTGCATTAGGGCATTTCTCATGGCTGTATATGAAAGCTAATTACAGAGGGTCTTGTTTCTGTTTGTTCCTGCCATAAAGTGTCTTCTAGAATTGCTGTTCTGTGACTGCTGTCTTGGGCCATATTAAAGGATCGTGATGGTGGGAACAGACTGTCCACTGCTGTTATGGGGAACAACAGAGACAAATGGTATAGATTCTTGTACTCTTTGTAACATAATCTGTGACCCAAATCATCTTATAAATTGCAAAATGTATTGTAAATACAAAAGAATGTTTAGTAGATATAGGTACAATATAAAGAATAATTTTAAAATTCTAACGGGCCCACACCCCCAGTTTAAGAAATGGGAAAATAGCAGCTCCTTAAAGACCTTTCCTCTGTTCCCTTTCCCAGTTGCATAACCTCCAGAGATAACCACTACCCTGACTTGTCACTCATTTTCTTCCTTATCTTTTTAGCATCCAGAGTTATGTATGTATCCCTAAACAATATATTGTATGGTTTTGAAAACCAAGCAGCAAGCACAAACCTAGCTGTGCAAGGAAAGAGAGACATTGGTTTTGTTTGATGAAAGCCCACCAAGTCTCTGGGAGAAATCTGGCTTCTGCTTTCAGAGCTTATTGTGGGGAAGTTGGTGGGTAAAGCCTTGAGTGAATCTGAGGAAAAATGGGTCTCCTGATAGGCAGGACATTTGACAACACTTAGTGTGGAACTGGTACTGAGCGCCCAGCAGGAATGTGGTGGGGGCACAGGCTGCTCTGCGTTTCCTACTCTTCAGCTCTTTGATGCCTGCCTCCAGTTCTCAGAAGCCTGCCTTGGAGTGAAATGAGAGTCCTTTGCTGGTTCAGGCAGTGGAGAAGAACAGGAATCTCCTCAGCCCACGCCAGGAAAAGCAAAACAGAAGAAGCCTCATCCAGCTCACCCCATCATTGTTTTCAGGTTTAACGGCAGCAGGCATCTTGTGATGAAAGTTCTCAGTGTGCCCCTCTCTTGAGTCACATTGCACCAATCTGGACTGGTTGTCTTCTTTTAGTACACAGCTGTCATCCGGAGCTTCCCTTGGCCTCTCTCCTGAGTCAGAGCTTCTTTTCTTTTTATATCTTCTGTTTTGCTTGCTGGTTTTAGTGGAGCACTTCCAGTAACTTTGTGAGAAAGGGTACAAGGGAGGTAAGTTTTTCGAGGCCTTGCATACCTGAAAATGTCTATTCTACTATCATACGTGGTGGGAGTTTGGGAGTAGAATTCAAAGCTCTAAAGGAAAATTAATACGTTGATCTGTTGTCTTCTGTTTCTACTATTGCTGTAGAGAAGTATGAAGCCATTCTGATTCCTGACAGGATACTTAGGACCTGATTTCTTTTTCTCTCTGCAAGTTTATAAAGTCTTTTTGTCCCCAAGGATCTGAAATGTCACACTAATGGGCCATGACATGGGTTTGTTTTCATCCACTATGCTGGGCATTCTATGACATACTATGTGCCATTTCATTCTGACACCTCAATTCTTCAGTTTTGGGAAATTATTTTTGAAACATTTATTCTCCATTTTTCTTTTCATTCTGCAACTAACACTCAGGAGCTGGAATCTCCATAACAGTTATCTGATTTTCTGTTTTCTCCTATTTTTCGTCTCTTCGTATTTGCTCTAATTTTGGAGTAATATCTTCTAACACTTCTCTTATTTTTGATTTCTCATAATAATTTTCAATTCCAAAAGTGTTTGTTTCGGTTCTTTAGTTTCCTGGGTTAAAAAAATCATTTTCTTATTTTATGGATGTAGTATCTTATGTCTCCAAGGATATCATTGGTATATATTTGCTTAATTTTTCTCCTAGGTGTATAGTTTCTGTTCCCAGTGCTCTTTTGTTTGCTTATTTTGATCTGTCTTCCTTGGTAGAGGCTTTTCTCAGATGTCTGGTAATCCTTGGTTTCTTGGGAACTAGAAAGCTGCTCTGAAGCTAAGCAGGTTGGTGGAGCTTGTTGAATTTTTTTTCACTATAGAGTGATCTGGGTTGGGCATTTGTTGGGAAATACCTATGACAATATATCTTTAGATCTTTCACCTTGGGTTATTAGATGCCCTAGAGAAGCCTTCAAGTCTCCTGCAGGAAGGGTAGGTCTAGTGCTTAGTCTGGGAGCTTCTTGGGGAAAGAGGACTTGAGGGCAGTCTCTCTGCATTCAGGCTTCAGTGTGTATTTGGTCACTTAATGACCCTATTTTCATTAGAATACTCATGACCTGACTATGCCTCCCAGGATAGGTACCCTATGTTTTACCCTCTTTAGGAAATAATCCTTTGGATATTTTCCTGGCTGGGGAAAGTGCAGTCCCTCTGTGGAATGGAAAGGGGAGCTAGACATAACAGCTTCTCAGATGCCTTCCTTTCCAGCCTCTGCACGTTTGAGACCCCCTTATCCCCCAGTTTCAGAGGAGCCCTGTGCCCATTTTCAGCTTTGGTCACTGCTGGTTTGAGGTTTTTTTTTTTTCTTTTTTTTTTTCATCTTTTTCCCTTGCCTGCTGAGTTGGTTACCACTCATCTGTCTGCTTTGGAGCTTCCAAAATGTTGTTCCTATTGTCCCATCTCCTGTTCTCCTGAGTTTGTCTTTTAAAAAACAATTCCTTTACGTGTTTTTTATGGGGTTTCAAGAGAGTGAAATTAGATGCATGTATTTCCACCGACTTAACCTGAAGGGTAGAACTGTTGTTTCTTTTTTACATTATTGAATCCAGTACATTTTTGACTATCCAAAGCCCAAGGCTTCTGACCATTTATGGAACACCTTTGTGCCAGGTACTGTTGTTGAGTTCTTTTCATGTGTAGAGATGCAAGTAAGAATGGATATTATCCTTAGTTTACAAAAGACAAATTGAAACTCAGATTAAGCAGTGCATCCAAGGTCACTGCTAAAAAGTGGCAGTACTGGGATCTGAATGCAGTCCAAGATTTGTGTTTTGAAACCCTGTGAAGGTTTTTACCAAGTCCAGTTCTTCCCATACACCAGGGGCCGAGTTGAAATAATGCTTGTGAATCCTATTAAGATCTCTATGAGTTAACTGGACTTTGAAGGAGAAAACTATTCTGACATGTTTTGAGTTGTGTAACCTTGATTTACAAAGTGAATGGGGCACCCACAAAGTGTGAGAAGCACCTGCTTTCCCCAGCTGCAGGGACTCTTGCCTCCCTGCTAGCTTGATGTGTGGCTGAAGGTCATTCATGGGCACTGTTGTGCCGTCTATCTGGAGAACAAAGCATGCATGGTTTTCTGGCCCACCCAGTAGAATGTGTGTCTTATGGGTGATATTGTGCAGTAATGAAGGACTTATTTTCTATATGGCCACAAGGCTAGGTAACTCATTACCCATTCAGTGTCATGAGCACCAGCATCACATTTCCCTATTGAGAGTTTTGCTTTTTTTGCAACTGTATGGAGTCACTGATTTGCAAAATGAATACAGCCATAAATGGGAGCTGTAGAGTCTTTACAGATTTATTCTTTTTTTTTTTGTAAACCTTTGTCAAACCAAATTGTTCAGACCAAATTATGTATCAAAAACTGTTTGTTTTCAGCACTAAAGAGCTGCCTATAGCCTTAAGTATGGACTGGGTGGATTTGAATATTAGAGTATTAGAAATATTGCTAAACAATGAAATCTTTTTTCCCCTCGAGTGTTGAGGGGTGTTATCATTCTTGTAACAGGTTTCAGCTTCAGTGAGCTTTCTAAGCATGGCTGCTTAGTTAAGTACAAGATTCTGTTTATATTCTTTTTCATAACTATAGCTAGCCCTTTTCCTATAAGAATGTAATATAAAATACTGACACATAGCTGAAAATAAGCTTTTTTTTCCCCCAATGCAAAGTAATATCAACCTGCCTCTGCCTATGAAACCTTGAAATGAGCTGGGGTTCCATTTTCATACAGTGTGTCAAGCCAAATTATTTTTAGTTTATTTAGAGAGAACCCTTTTCATTTAAAGGGATTGAAAGAGCACTGGACCAATTTCAGCTGCTTTAAAATGTGCATTCGGGGTCTTTTAATGTCCTCTCCAGTTTTTTGTTTTTTGTTTTTAAAAGAACATTACAAGGACACTCTATAAACTGCATTACTGTATTGGTTTTCAAATTTAACTAGACCTTTTACCTAGAGAAGAAAATGATGGGTAACATATCCCATGAGTATTTTATTTGAGAGGAATAAAATGCTTAAAGTATTAAAATATTTTATTTTTAACACTTTTTCATCATGGGGATATCATCTCTTCCATTCTTGCCTAAAGAGAAATATTTAGGTGTCTCATTGTAGAAAAATCTGCTATTCCAAAGCCAGATTTCAAATCCCGTGAGAAATGTAGAAGACCTTGTGAAGGCAGACTTGTGATTTTGGGGTCACCATCACTCTAGACAACCTCGCACAAGGGAGAATGACTGGAAAGAAAACTGGACTTCAGAGTCAGATCTAGGTTTCAATCCTGTCTCTACCTTGCATTCTTGGAAAAGTCATTTGACCTCTCTGGGCCTGTTTCTGCATCATTAAATGGGGATAATTTGCAGCTTGAGTAGCTATTGTAAGGTTTAGAGAGAATGTACATCAGAGGCCTACTGTGGCAACTGGTGTGTAATTGTGGGTTCTGATCATAGTCATAGCCCTAATTGACAGCGTTTAGTACTTGTTAGCTTCTGTTCTAAGAGTTTTATGTGTATTAACTCACCAAAGCCTCACAACAACTCTGTAAGGTAGGTACTATATTAATATCTCCACTTTACAGATGAGAAAACTGAGGCACAGAGAGTCTTCCCAGGGTTATACAGCTAGTAAGTGGTGGAGCTGGGCTTTAAACCCACAAAGACTGGCTCCAGAGCCTCTCTCTCAACGGCTATACCTTAACCACTATACAGGGATGGCTGATAATGATGTTCTGAATCGTGGTCATCTGCAGGGCAGAGTTCCTGCCTCATTCATCTATGGCAGGGGTGTCCAAGGGCAAGAATACAGTCATGGATTCTTAGTTTCTGTTTTGGTTGGCCAGCAAAGCCCCTTCCTCATCCCTCTTTTCCGCTTATTACTAAAGACAGAAACTTAAAAACCATGGCTTCAGGCTGCTAAAAGCCTAAAAACAAAACAGAACAACAACAAAATAAGGTGGGTTGGACAAGCTTGATCTATGGAGTACCCGTTGCCTGCTATAGGTGGTGGTAGATTCTCCATAAGTGCTTGCTGAATGGATGTATGAAGCACTTTCCATAGCTTACTGAGGTGGGCTACTCTTGCTACACAAAGTGTATTTTTCCTCAGAGCCACTCTATGCAATTTCCTTGAGCCCCTATGAACCTCCTCTCACCTTTGAGTGCTGGTACCATACTCAGTGTCAGTATTTTCACTGAGCTTTCCATGGCATGGCCAGCCTGTCCACAATCACCTTCCAGTGACTCTAAAAGATTTCCTTGATAAATATCGACTTTGAAAGCTATTCCACTAAAGCAGGGGTTGGCAGAATTTTTCTTTAAAGGACCAGATAGTATTTTAGGTTTTGCAGGGCACAGGGTCTCTGTCACAACTACTCCACTGCGGCTCAAAAGCAGCCACAGTGTCCGTGGCTGTGTTCCAAGAAAACTTTATCTACAAAGAGCCTGGCTGGTTGCATTCGGCCCGAGAGTGCTGGTTTTCCCACTTTCTCGTGCTGAAGAATCATCTTTTTCAAGTAGAGATTCCTGGGCCTACCTCTGTTAAAAGATAATATTCAGAAAAGGCAAAATCATTACTTTCATACAGATAAGGATGAACATGTTTTAAAGATTTCATTTTACCCACATGAGGGAGCCTGGCAGAAGTTATAAGCAGTTCAAAGGGAAAAAGTCAAAAAGCACAAATTTATATTGAGTAAAGGAATAGAATTGCAAATGGAAGCAAAACTGATTTTTTCCCCTAAAGGGGGAGGGAAGTCAGGCAAAACCAGACAACGACAGAGTTTTTAATATTTTCCAGTTGCCTGCAACTTATGAAGTTGCAAAATAGCTCAAACTCAGTGAGAGCTTAGAACCTGATAACCTAGAGGGATGTGCTCTATAGACAATACAGAGTTTTGCATTTTATGCACCCTGGAGAGACTGGTTCGGTAGGTCTCATGTTGTACTTAGAAATCTGCATTTTGAACAGACTCCCAAAGCATTGGTCAGGCAGGAAGACTTCATGCCACACTTTGAGCAACACTGGTTCATTATTTGTATGCTATTCTCTTTATTTAGAATACTCCTTCTGCTCTGTGAGCCTCTCTTCTGATTTAGGGAAATCAGCCCTCATCTTGTGAGGCTTACCCATCCATTTGATCAGATGGGTGATAGTTTTCTTTGTTGTGGGGATTGGAAGGGACAGGGAAAGATTGACTACTGGGAAAAACAGCCTCATCTTACATTTTTACTATTTGTTTGTTCACATCGGAGAGAAGGACAAAATGATGGAGACTTAAGCGATACGATGATTTAAAAATATTTTGGGTGGATTAAGGAAGGTGTTTGTAATGGAGGAAGAATGAACCTTGGAAGTCGTTGGTGCAGTGAACATCAGGAAGGTGGAGGAAGGAAGATGGAGAGAATCAGGCCATCACTGGGAAGGACCATAGGGTGGTACAGACTAGGAGAACAGGAAGCATGAATTCTAAATAATCAGGAGTACAGAGACTTCAATAAGCATGTTAGGGAAGTCAGAACTCGTTAAGTTCACAATCCATTGTACATTTACTTTCTTACTGATCTTTAACTGTCAGCCACTGTTCATCTCCATCAAATGCTGTTCCTCTCTGGATAGAACAGCAGACCTGGCTTGTGCATTTCCGGAGAATGGGGAAGTTCAGAAAGCCCCCAGACTGTCAGCCAGCTGACTTCCTTTTTACTGGGCTTTTTCTCTGTGCGAATAAGCAAAGGAATCACACACGGACAGATGGTTGGGTGGGTGTTCTTGATAGCGTGTATTTGGAAGTTACTGTCAAGTCAGGGTGCATGAGGCATAATTCCCCCTCTGATTTGCTTTCCAGTGGGAACTTTTGTGTCTGAGAGAGAGTGGGAGAGTAAGGAGGGTTCATTTCCCCACAAATCTTTTACTCAAACTGTCTGGCTTCTCAGACTATACCTCTAGTCGCTGAGCTACCTTGAGAGTGGTACCATTTCATACTAGCTAGGAGAGTCTTCATGTTAATTCCTTTGCTCAGTGAGTTCAGCAGTTTACAGGGCAGACATTTTCCTTCATTTGATTCTCTGTGAGATGCTGTGTTAGGTCTAGGGGCTTCATTGGACAATGGGCACAAATCCTGGCTGTATGGGGTTGGGAGTTGGTGGTCTCTCTGCGGGTGGTGGTAGGTGGTAGGTGGGGAGGCATCTGGGTGGCACAGACTGTGGAACAAAGTAGTTGTGTTATAGTGGAAGCTGGGTGGCTTTTCTTCTTGGCGGTGAAACTGTGTCTTTGAAGACATTGCACTTTGGCACCTGTGCCTTGCTAAGGATTTCATCCCTATCTTGTCTTTGTCCTGAGATTATATCTCAGGACCTGCCAATTTTGCCAGAAATGTCAAGTTACCATGCACTGAAAAATCTCAGACAGCCAAGAAATGTACTATTTTTGCTAGCATCAAGAGCCTAAGTGATAAGAGTGTCCAGGTGGTGGCCACTGCTGCCCCTGGGATATCTCAGGCCTCCTGCTTGACTGGGAGGCAGCAGCCACGCCAGCTGTTTGGGCCCCACTCACACCAGGGCCCCCATTGCATTGGAGTCTGCCCTACTGTGGAATTTGGGATGCTGCCCTTGTTGCATTCGCTCTGCTTTGAGTACTTGGTGCTTCCTAAAAGAGCACAGCAAGTGTTCTTTGCAGGTGATATTGTTCATGCCCTCACCTTGTTTAGACTCTAAATGGTACCTGAAATGGCATAGGTTATCAGTGTTTATTAGCTAAGGCATGGCTCAGCCTTGAGTCCCTCTCAAGAGCTACAGGAAAGGCCTTTGCATTGTCTCTAAATGATCCTTTGCTGCTTATTTTAATCACAGAAGCCTTAAGGGGACTGATAGTTGTATGAAGGGTAGGAGCTTGTTTAGCAGGCAGGACATATTGTCATTTTAGATTCATAACCCTTCATTCCTAAATTAGATTGAAAATCTGAGCAGCTCTGTGACATCTACAGTATTGACATTCTCGGTTTTGTGTTCATGGGTTGCCAACACAGAGCATACTCCGACAAAACTGTAAAATTGTATATAACTTAAGAATGAATTTTTATGATTGGAGGCTCTCCTGTATTGTACAAGTCATCTTATTTTGGGGTTGCAGATAGTAATAAATACAGAAGTTTTATAAACTTACATTTGGAAATTAAATAAAGAAAAATCACTAAGGAAGTATATGCTTCAAACCAAAAATGAAGCTACTCAGATTTTCCTAATTTAAACATAATGTATTTTCCCATTCTTTTCCCTAAGACAATGGTATCTATCCCCTGTGCTAGAGAAAGTAGTGTGATGTGGTTATTGTTATTTAGACCCACTTGGAAGTTCCTGAGGGACATGGCGAGGGTGGATGGACTTGTCTGCCTGTGTAGCAGTGTGGAAGCCATGTTTTAGGAAAGAAGTGGTGGGACATGGAGAGAAAGCAGGTAAGAGAGTTGTGAATGGGGTAGGGTGACTTCTACAAGTACACAGTTCTGACGTTCTCCTTGCCTTTCAGTTGCAACTCTAACTCATCAGTGATGATAGGCCGTCAGGAAAATCCTCTTTGTGGATGTTATAAACCCTAAATACCACCCTGTAAAGAATTCGCCTCCTCATGGGAGCAGATGGGATGGCCATACCTAACACTTGTCTCTTATTGTTAAGCAAAGCCCCATCTTGGTCTTTAAATCATTTCCTGTGAGATAGGCTCTGAACATGTGGCTTTTGAAAATCCCTTTCTTAGGGCCCTTGGTTTAGAAATTGCTTGCCTTTTCTGTTTGAGATTGGGAGCCAGGTTTATCTTAATTCATTCTGTGTCACAAATGAGACAGAGGACTTGTTACTGCAGACCTACAATTTTTGTCTGGAGAAAAGGTATGAAAGGGATCAGAATCTCCCCTCCTCAACTCCAGCAGTGGCCTGATCTGGCCCCTAGAGACCTGACTACAAGGTGTGGACAGTTCCTCTGTTGTCTACTGTCCACCTTCAAGGGATCAAACCCAGTTCTGAAACCCACAACCTGTCAGAGCAGAGAAGAACCCACCATCAGGCAAAAGGACTAGACATAGGGCAGGTGGAATCTAAGAATATCTTGGCACTACATTGGGTGAGGAATATAGAATGTGGGGAGACTTCTGATTGGTCTCTGCCCCTTGGCACGCTGAAATTCCTGACTCATGAAGGGCAGGACATGTGTTTTTCCTCACTCTGTTCCCAACGTTTAGCACAATGCCTGGCACATAGCAGAAGCCCAGTAAATATGTACTTAAAGCCCGTTAGAATTAGTGGTGCTTTCCGTTCTGAATAGATTGGGACAGCCTATGGATCTTGAAAGGCATAAGCAACCAAGGGTGTTAGACTCTGTAGCTATTAATTACCAAACAAAATTATAGTCTTGTACTCTAAGAAGCAGCCATGTCTTGAGTGAGAAGGCTTAGGATATGAGGACTAGATATCAGCAAGGATACCATAGGTTTGGAAAGACATTTTAATTTACCCTTAGAATACACAACTTTACTGATTTTTAAGGATGATCAGCCCATCATATAGCACTTTATTTTTTCTTTTAAAGACAATCCTGTTTCATTTACCTTCACTTGACACAGGAGTTTGAGAAGTCCTGGGCAGGTATACCTGGTTATTTTGTCATTGGTAGTCTTTTTAACTTTTAGAAAATAATCCTAGTAAACTAAACCTGAGCCTCTGAATAAGATGTTGTCTGCCTTTGTAGCTATATGAGAAGAGTGGCAGACCACAGCTTTTGACGGGGATTTTTGAATAAAATAACTAAAACCAACAATACAGCAAAAGCTCATCTGGGAAAAGGACAAAGAGTAAACTAGTAAAATGTAAGGCTGTAAGGAAAGGGGTAGAAGATCAGAGGAATTCTCATCAAAATATTGCAAATTATCCCCTGAACACAAACTGGTAACGGTGGTTTGCTTAAGGGAAGGAAATTCGGAGATTAGGGATACTGGGTGAAAGGCAGATTCTTTTTTTTACCATATATTCCTTTGTATCTTTTAAATTTTGTATTACATTCGTGATCTTTCAGAAATAAATAAATAAAAATGCAGTAGCTTCCTGATCAGAAAGAGGGAATAATTGCTGTCACTTGCGTTTCAGAAACATAGCATCCAAACTGATGTGATTATGGTGACCTGTCCCACTTAGTTTTGCTGATGTACTATAATTACTTTCTCCAGTGAGGCTGACTTCAGAAACAGTTGCAGATGCAGAATTTTAATCCAGGGTATGCTGTATATAAGTAACTTTTGCATTTACAATCTACCATTTGGCGTTTTATGGCTAATAATCCACAAATATCTAAACTAATTTATAAAGGCAAAAACTACTGATTTAATGTAGTACTCTGCTTCTGTATCCCCGAGGTGAGTCAGAAAAATTTCAAGTTGCCACGCCTTGGCCAGACCCCACAGTATATTGGTTATTGGTCCTGAAGTTAGTTCTTTAAAATAACTTGAAATGTTTCATGCTTAGTTCTAGGATCTATACTTTCTTTGATTTGACTGGGACTGAAAGGCTCAGAATAACTGAATATCCTTGGCTCTAAATAAGAAGCTGTAACTTTGGGCCAGGTGCAGTGCCTCATGCCTTTGGGAGGCCAAGGCAGGAAGGTAGCTTGAAGTCAGGAATTTAAGACAGTCTGGGCAACATAGTGAGACCCCCATCTCTATAAATGCTTTTTAAAAGTAGCAGGGCATGGTGGCATGTGCCTGCAATCTCAGCTACTTGGATGGGTGAGTTGGGAGCGTCGCTTGAGCCCAGGAGTTCTGAGCTGCAGTGAGCTGTGGTTGCACTACTGAGCTGTGATTGCACTCAAGGCTGGGCCACAGGGTGAGACCCTGTATTTAAAGAAAAGAAAAAAGAAAAGAAAAGAAGCTGTAACTTTAGTTAGGATTCTGACTGGTATGTGATGTCTTGCATTAGATCAGAATTGGGTCCTACTTGGGAAGGTGGAGAGATTGAGTGCCATGTTGGCAGTTTACCTTCAGTAGAATGTAAAGTAAGCCCATGGTGAGGCAAAGAAAAGCAGTCCTAGTTCTCATGCCTGTCTTTAATCTTGGTTTCTATGACTTGTTTAGTCCAGACTTGGTTCTTTCCCCTCTTTTTCTGATGTTGATCACGCACTAGTGTGATCTGCAAAATGATATGCAAATATTAGTTGTGTGTATATTTCTGTTTGTTTGGGATAGCCTTGCCTACTGAAGAGAATAAGAAGCTGGGTTTCTCCTCATTTACATAACAAGTAATATGGTATGGAAGATGGAACCGAAGATTTGAGGTCAGAAGACCTAAGTTCTATGGCTTTTCTACAACCTAGATGGTAGGTCTTAAATCTTGGTTGATTTGTAGTTTGTTGTTTTATCTGTACAGTTGAAGCTAACCCTTCTCACCTCACAGGGAAGTTGTGGAGATCCAAGAGAGCCCATGTGAGGCAGCACTTTGTAAACCCTGAAGTGTGATCATTGTCAGATTTATTTACTCCTATTTGTAAGCATTACTAGCAGACCCTTCGGTTTCTGAGAAATTTGGCTTTCTTTTTGAATGATGAGGCAAGCACTGAAGTTAATGCCATGTGGTAAGATCAAAGACCTTCCTGGAACTCAGCTTCCATTCCTCCCAATAATCATGAAGAGGATTCAACTTCAATCACTGAGAAGTTGAAAGCTCACTGTGTTCTGGGAGTTTCTCTTCACCTGGCTTCCAAAGCACCACCTTCTCTTGGCTATCCTTCTATCTCACTGGTTGCTCTTTCTCAGCGTCCTTTACAAGTTCTTGTTCTCTCCCCATTCCCTTAATGCAGGGTGGGTTCCAGGTCTCAGTCTGTGGCTCTTTCCTCTATACTCATTTGGTGACCTCATGCCATCTCATGACTTTATACATTATTAGGTTGGTGCAAAAGTGAGTGAGGGTTTTTTTTGCCATTAAAGTAATGGCAAGAACTTCACTCACTTTTGCACCAACCTAATAGCTCAATCCTGAAAACTCGTAGACTTTCTCCTGAAATCTGGACTCATATTCCATAGCATCTCTATATTGATATCCCAAACTCAATGTGTCCCCAAACTGAACAGATTTTTCTTCCCTCAAAACAAAACGAAAACCAGTTCTGCCCACAGCTGTACCCTTCCTTAAACCCCCACTTCTTTATTTCCTAAATTATGCTCTAGATACTTCTCCATGGACCCCACCCCCCACCCCTCAGTGCCTTTGGTAGAGTCACAAGGAGGAGAAATAAGTGTATCTCAGTGTTAGAACTGAAACACAACCCACATTGTCATCCACTGTGCTTATTTTAAGGATGAGGAAACAGACCCAAGGTCACACTTGGGATGCATGGATTCTTATTCTCTTGGCAGACAACTCTGAGAGCTTTTGAGTGTTTTTTTGTTTTGTTTTCATTTGTTTCAGATCCATACAGTGTAGTCATTTATAAAGATGGATAGCCTAGGCTGGCTCCAGGCAAGAGGCACAACCAAATAATGTATGAGACATAATTTGCCTTTCAGCATTGCTGTTATATACCTAGTAAGCTATGGCCCCCCCACCAGCCATCAAAATGTTGTTATTTAAAGCTTCACATTGTAAAGCTGTATTATGCCTACCAGCTGGAGGAAATATTGCTGCCAGATTGGTTCTGACCACACACATCTCTTGAGACCCTGAAAACCAGGTTCATGATGAAAGGTACTATGCAAGGACAATTATTGTATTTATTTTTAGGTTGTTAAATTATTTATGTTAACAGTCGAGAGACTTCTCTGTTTTTTAACTAATGAATGTTGACTTCTCTAAGTAAGGTTAGTAGTGCTCAGTAACCTTACAGGTCACTGAAGAAATAGGTTTCAGTTATTAATGTTCTCTAAGCTAAGAAACATTGCCTAGAAATAGTAACTAGAGCCTAAAGATTTAAGTCAAGAAGAAACAAATAATCAAGGCAGAATTGTCTCGCCCAATTATAAGTAGTGTTTTTAATCTTTCTGTATCTTGCTCCCTTGAATTAGAAAGCAAAAAGACAATATTGAATATTCCTTCCTCTAAAGTGGTAGTTCTCAAACTTGGCTGTACGTTGGTATCACCTGGGTTTTAAGGAATATTCATGCCTGGGTTTCACCCCCAGATAATCTAATTTAGTTGGTTTGGGGTGTGTCCCAGGAATCAGGATTTTTTAAAGCTCCCCAGATGATTTTTAATATACAACTAAGGTTTGAGAGTTTCTACAATGAAGTCTTGAAAGCAGTTTGCAGAGGTCTGTCCTAATTTTTTGTTTTCTGGAAGAGACCAGACACCCTTGGAATTTTCCATATCTTTTACTCATTTATGGAAGATATAAAGATGAAAAATAGTTCCCCCTTGCCTGTAAACAGTATACTTTTCCAGACCCCTGAGAACTAGCAACATGTATCTAGCCAGTTACCAAGGCATGGAGCAGATACATTTCCCACCCTGTTGAGCTTAGGAGATTCTTATTATTGTCTCCCTTAATCTGTCTAAATCCTAAGATCAGCTCACCACCACCCACCGAGTAATTGCAGGCCTGAGATTTGAACCCTGGTCTTTCTGAATTTAAAACCCCTTTTCTTAACTACTGAGGCAAAGTCTAGTAGGATTCACCAAATCCCATTCCATCTTCTTCCTAGGCACACAGCTAGACTACCTTTCTCAGCCTCCCTCAGAGTTAGGTGTGGTCAGGTGGCTGGGTTCTAGTTGATAATGAAAGCAGAAGTAACGTATGCCACCTCCAAGCCTTGCCTCCCCAGGTGATCTTCCATTCTTTCCTCATCTGTCGGCTACAACTGAGGACCATCTTTGGATGGCTCCCTTCCAAATACTCACAGTGCAATTCTATGTGAACAAGAAAAATATGTTAAGGGAGAGACTTGAGGGTTTATCTGTTTGAGCAGCTAGTCCTACCTGAAGATAACTACTGTGTAGTAATGACCCAATGGAGAGGGGAAAATAATAGAGTAGAGATCCCAGGAGATGAGATCCAGAGCACAGGTGAAAGCATTAGTTTTGAACAGGACACATCTTTGATTTTGAGAATTGGGAAGGAGGATGAAGCAAGTGTGGATACATGAAAATTTTAGACGTATGAGGCAATTTTCTTTCTGATAGCTTCAATTTTCTTTGTGATGTATAAGATATAAGTCATCTGTGGGAACTTCGTGGGACCAAGTAGGTAGTCTGAGGAGATAGTGTTTTGGAAAACATTA
This sequence comes from Homo sapiens, assembly GCF_000001405.40. NCBI lineage: Eukaryota > Metazoa > Chordata > Mammalia > Primates > Hominidae > Homo > Homo sapiens. The sequence continues at coordinate 38,625,927 of NC_000023.11, forward strand.
TCTTATGGAGAGTGGAAAAGAGATCCAAAGGAGAAAATTGCAGACAGTGTCAGGAATCTGTTGAGGATGGGAATCACGTGAATTTGTCACCGTAAAGACTGTTTCTTGTTCACTGCTATTTCTTCAGTGCTTGGCATTGTGCCTGGGACAGGGCAAGCTTTGAATAAATGATTGAAAAATAAATATAGTGGTACTAAAGAAGTGAGAGCTGGAAAAATGAGAGGGCTGTGGTCAGAGAGTGGGATTTTAAATGTACTATTCTGGAGGTACTTTCAGGTTCTGACAAATTTTATGTTTCTGGCTATGGGAGTAGGTGGCAGACATGGAATGAAGGTGAAGATCATTGCCATTGGGAATACTTCAGGACTGAGATGCTAAAGGCAAGAAGTCACCCTGGATGATAGGGCATGGAATAAAGTATAACCATCAACCAGCTGTTAATCTTTAAAAATATAAAAAGATTGGTACTTGACATTAATAGGAAGTGATAGAGTGTGGTATATGGTATAGCCAGATGGTCTGAGCATCAGGAGAGCAGGATGACTATTCGGGAGTGAAAGTGCAGTGATCCGGAAGTTGCACTGGGGCATGAGAAAGATGTTAACCGTGCCTCCTGGCAATGAGTGTGTTGGGTGTAGGAGAAAGGGCCACAAAAGATGCAGTACGCTCAGAGGAGATCTAGGTTCCAGAGAGGGCTGGGAAGTGAAAGGCACATTCAGAAGAGAGGAGTTTATTTCTCAACAAAATAACTGAGTAACAATGGGAAGACTTTGGGTAGGTGTGTAGGGGTGCTGCAGTGAGTACCAGTTATCCCTTGCCACATTAATGCTGCATAGCAACCATAAATCCTAGAGAGCATTCAATAATTACTTTATTTTGCATGTTTCTGGAGTCAGATTTGGTGGGGGGGTGCCTAGGTGGCTCTAATGGTCTTGGTTGAACTTACATGTCTGGGAGTTACCTAGCTGTCAGCTAATCTATACTGGCTTTGGCTGGGGTAATTTGGCTCTGCTTCGTGTGTATCTCATCTTTCTTCTGGGATCAATGGACTAGCCTGGGTATGGCCTTATCATAGTAAAGACAGAGACAAGAATGAAAGCAAGCAGAATTGCTTAAGTGCTCTTCAAGCTTCTGCTTGAGTCGCCTTTGCTAACATCTAATTAGTCCAAGAAAGTCACATAGCTAAGTTTCAAAGTCACAAAATTATGTAGCAAAGGGTAGGGATGTAAGAAGAGGTGCAGAATTGGGGCATTTTTTGCAATTTATCACACATTGGGAAAGTGGGTAAAGAGAGAAATTGAAGAGACTATGGCTGGAAGAATTTGCACTGAGGGATGAGCAAGGATGACTTGTAAGTTAAGCCAGTGTGATGGTTGGCTGGCAGAAGCATTAGGTTCCAGTAGGCATCTGATGGATTGGCAGTGGGCACTCCGAGCCTCCTCAGAGGAAACTGATCCACTTACCCTCTTGGCCTTAGTTTCTGCATATGTAAATGGAGATGCTAACACTTTTCAGATTGTTACGTCAGTGAGGTAATACTTTCTAAAGCATTTTGTAAACAACTTAAAATATGGGGGTAGGTGTGAATGTGTGTACTAGTCCAATACCCTTTTCCAGCATAGATAAACTGCCAGGTAGCTAGTCCCCAGGCATGTGAGTAAGCCCAGTCAAGATCATGAGAGCCACAGTGAGGAATGTTGGGGCCAGATTACCATGTAAAGTCTGTGTAGTTGTCTCAAACCCCTGCCAAAGCTAAAGTGACTCAAACCCTATGGTTTAAAAAAAAGTCTCTTAAAAATTATTTTATCTCTAGTATACTTTCAAACTGAGTGGTTTTTGCCCCTTGTGGGGGGATGGCACAGATATACATATGTATCTGGCATATGATGGCACAGAGTACAGACACTAAACTGGTAATAATGCATGCTTCCTCTAGAGGGCAGTGCCCTCCACCCAGCCCTTGCTAAGTCCTCTGGTGGCCACAGTAGGACTCTATAGCTCTTTCTTTCAGATCACCTGCTGAGAGCCCTCTGGACTTGAATATGGGAAGCAAGTCTGCCTAACTTCAAGTGGCTTGCACTGGGCTGTCTCTCTGAACTCCCTTGGATGAAGGTGAACTTCCCTACTGTCTAGAACAGGCTTTTCAGATGCAGAGTTCTAGATCCTATTGTTTTCTCCTGAGCAATGTCCAGAAATAGGGGTCCATTGGCATTAATGCCAAGTACTCTTTTTATACCCCCCTCCACAATGCCCGCTGTGGGGCATGGGAGCTGTGTTGGTAAGTGGACTCCCAGGAGCATCCTGTAAGTCCCAAGCAAGGTATGCAAATGACTCCGGGAGTGATCCTGGTCACATCTATGAATGAGGACCTATTTATGGATGTGGCTTTGGAAAGACTTTGGCAAATATGTTTTTTTTTGTTTTTGTTTTTGTTTTGTTTTTTGTCTTAGGAACACTTACGGTGGCAATTCTGTTAAAAATAAAAAGAGAAAAAAACAACTCCAGTCCTCTTTTACTGAGCAGGGAAAGAGTCCTTACCGGTGCATAGTGGGCAGAGTATAGTACCCCTCTGTGGAGGCTTTCAAATGAATGTCGTGCATTTTGACTTAAGTAGCACAATAAATATCTCTGCATGCAAGATTGTACTATCTGCCTTATTCTTCTGTTTCATCTCAGGTCAATATTGGAGTTGAATGTCAAAGCTCCTTATGTTATATTCAGCTGTCAACTAGGTATTCTGATGGTTTTTAACACCTCTGACCTCTTGACCATTCCTTGGTGGATTTGGAAAACTGAGTTATTTATCAATTTATTTACTTGATTCTCATTTCACATTTACCAGGTATTTGTTTTTGGGGGATTTGATGACATCATCATTAAAAGGAATGCCATTCACTGGAGTATATTAAGGTTTGTGCAATGCAGGTGGCTTTGCATTTTTATAGCTATTTTTAATGGCCAGTAAGTTTTAGGCCTTGGATGGTCTTTGGGCCTGTCCTAAGTAACACAGATATAATCAAGAACCATGTTGTGTATTTCAAATGTTTTTCTCCCTTGATATTTTTGTTTTCTTTTTAAAGAAAATCTATGGCAGTTTTGTTCAATAGAAACAATATGTGAGCCTTGTGAGTGATTTTAAATTATCTAGTACCCACATTAAAAAGTAAAAAGAAATAAGTAATATGCATGAAATGTTCTGTATTCTTTGTTTTTCATATTCTTTGCAATCTGGTGTGGATTTCACACTTAGAGCACATCTCAGTTTGCACTAGCCACGTTTCGAGTGCTCAGTAGCCACTGGCTAGTGCAATGAATCACACAGACCTGTAGCATTAAGACGGTGATGTGATACAATGTGGAGAATCTTCCACCACGGTTTGTGTACTTTGTTGTTGTTGTAAGCAGCAGCATCTTGATTAAATTTGGGACAATACACTTGAATTACTTAAATTGCATCCCTAATTATCACACGGTTCACTTGATTACCCTTTAGCACCTTGTTGCTTTTTGAGTAGCACTGGAAGAAAACGTGTTGAGAACCACTATACTGTTTCCGAAAAAGCTTTAGAATAGCAAAGCTAAGCAGAAATATTGAGCCTAGCTGCTCTGAGAGACAGTATTTATGTGGATGCATACACACGATAAAAGACTCACCACTTTAGAGCACTCCTCTTAGGAAAAAGGGACGGGAGGTGTGATGCTTAGGACCAAATATCTAAGAGCACTACAGCTTGTTCCACCTTAATGTTCCACTGACCTGAGGGCCTCCAGTGCTCCTTAAGTATGGCTAACATTGCATGTATATGTAGGACTTACAGGCATTTGGCCTTCTCCTGGGCTTTTTAGAAAAAAAGTCTGGGGAAACTCAGACTTGTATCAATTTAAGTCTCTGCTCAATTTAGTATTTCCTGTTCTACAATGATAGAGTGCCTTTAGAATCTTGTCTATAGACTCTGGAAACCAGTCCATTCTCATTTAAAAGGTATTGACTTTTATTTTTTTCCTTTGGGCTCTAAAATTGGCCTAATTGTATAGTTGCAGCCAGAATGAGTTTGGCTTCCAGTTTACAATCTTGTACTATGGAAGGTTTAGGATTCTTATGGTTATGCTTGAGAAGAATGAGATGTTTTCAAAATTTAGAATGTTGTTAAGGAGAAATGAACAAAAGGGGATAACTTAAATTTCCCCATTTTAATTTAGCTATTTTATGCCAAGTTTCAATCCAAAATGTCCAGATCAGTTTAGAAAATGATTGTGTCCTTCATGTAGTCTAAAAAGTGTTACCATGCCCTGTTAAGTTTATGATTTTGATTTATTGCCAAATGTGTAATTGTTTCTAGAAGAAAATATATAATGGATATATTGCTCTGTTCTGTAGCCATCTTTATATTCATGATTTTTAGAAATCAACAACCCACATGCTTAAAGGGTGGTAAATACACAGATATTTCCTAACAAATATTAATCTAAAAGGTTTTTTTTAGTTTGTTTCTACCTCTTATAGTAGGACTGAATTTACCTCCATCTAACCTCAAAGTTAGGCCTGATGGTGGGGACTATGTCACATTGGTAAGTCCAGGTAAAGACTGTTTATGAGTATAGCAGTATCCTCAGTATAATGTAATTTTAAATCCACACATACAAATGGGGACCAAATACGTGTAATATGGTAGTTATGTATACATCTCTACTATTCTGATGTAATGATTATGTCATGTTCACGGTATACCTTTAGGCCATTTGGGGAGCCAGCATGTCTTTTTAAATCCCTCTCATTTTTTCTTTTAACCTTTAGAACTCTCTTTTTAATGTGATCTGGGATAGATCCAGATGATCTCTTTGTACTCCCAAGTTGCCTTGAGAAGATCCCAGTGATCAGCACCACAATTGGTCAGAAATACCCCATCTGTGATGACAAGTGAACAGTGCTCATTTCTACCTCTGCGCTATGTGAGAACAGAAATACAGCACCAAGAACTAGATAAATCTTGAATACTAACCTTTTCATCTGTGCTGTCCATTTATACATTTCTTTGAGTCAAAGAGGGATGGATATATTTTTCCCCTTTAAATTGGATAGCAAATGATCAGTGGGCTAGAATTCTTCATTATTCATAGATGTAATAATTTAAAAAATACAAGTGGCTTATTTTCTTAATTTTTGAAAACTCCAAACATGAAAGTAAATATTTACCATCTGAGTCTTTAAACATTGTTTATAAATGTTTTAATTCTGGCATTTTTATAGTGGTGGTCTCGGTGCATTTTATGGCAGGAAGTTTGAGAAAAATGTAAAGAACTGGTGAGGATTGGGGTGGATGTGTTTTTGAATTGCCACAGTTCTTTTGAGAATTTCAGTGCCCCATCAATTTGCATAGACACCATTTGAATAAACATGGCCTCTGCCAACAAATACACTGAAAATAATTTTCTTTTTTAAAAAAAGGAAAGAGAAAATTCCAGTGAACAGTTTGCAAACTTGAGAAATGCAGCCTTCGGTATAAAACAAAGGTGTGCTCAGATAGAACAAAAAGAGGAGTTGTCTTTTATATAGAAAGTTCCCACTCTGATCCTCTTATGCAAATTAGGAATGCAAACTTGCTTACTTCTGATTGGTTGATGCAGGCCACAGACTATTGGTTAATTCAAACAATGTAAACAGAAACAGACAGCTATGGAAGTCCCAGAATTAAGTGAATTTAGGGGTTTTCTGGGAATGCACATGTATGATGTGCCTCTATTTTGGATTTAGGTCGTTAGCCACTCAGGATCCATCTTGAAGGATTGGCTCTTTCAGGATTCACATTTCATTCCTTGTTTTGATGTTTTTCCAGAATCCCAGGTTTAAATGGAGTAATTGCTACACTTTCAAGACATCTGTCTGTTGCTTTCCTAATGTGAGGGATGTGGATTAAAGAAACAGCAGTTGCTTCTTGCTATATGATCCATTGTACCTTATGCAAAGTTAAACATACCTAAACTCTTGGCTTTCATATTGTGACCATACCCCACTAGGACAATGCTTTCAATAGGTGTAAAACTTCCAAAGGCTTTTTCAGCTCTGGCACATCTTTGATATATCTTTTGCAATTTTTTTTTTAGGTCTGATGACTGTGTTAAACTATGGAGAAGACACATCATTTAGAGAACATTCTCTAGTGGATTGATTCTAAAATTAGACTTGTCTTAATTGGCGTAAACTCTCACCTTCTAATTATGCTAATGCCATTAAGATTTCAACAGCACAGCATCCTGAAGTTGCTGCAGACAATTGATCTGTGTTTTCTACCAGTAGCAATGATGACGCTAATTGGTAAAATTCTCCTGGACAATATTATAGGATTCTGAACTAGTATATTATTCATTTAGTTTGCATAAAACTCTCCTTCTACACTCAAATGCTCCAAAATCAGTGGCTTTTTACCCTTTATACAAAATTTTATTTCTAAGCAACACTGTTATAAGATATTCTAAAAAATTGAATCACTAAAATGCTAAGTTTGAGCTGGGGGCATAGAGAATCGTGTTAACAAGAACCACCAGAGTTAATTTCAGCTACTAATTCTGTTGAGCTACTTTCACTTTACAAGTTCACTTCTGTTTGCCTGCCGGCAGCCAGAAAGGAAGATTTGAAATGGTTGTCCTTATGACATCGAATTAATCTTGGAAAAAGTTGAAATCTGGTTCAATTTCATAATTTAATGTTTTAACATTCATTGACTTTCATTTGCCACCATTATACTGTCAGGAAGATGTCTCTACCAAGTGTTACACATGTGTATATCTACAAAATGGCTGTTACCAGGAGGGAACACTATAAGGCTTCAGTATTACTTGTTGTCATCACTATTAGTGAGATTTTTTTGCTTCAGTACTCAAGAATACAAACCAGATCATTAACTGATAGAGAGGAAGAAAGATAATCTGTAGGAGGATAAATTGGAGGAGGATATTTAACCATACAATGATAGAAGACCAGAGGTTATCTGGTCCAGTTCATGAACTACAGAAGTCTCTTCTGCCATTTCCTGGATCAAGGAGCATCCAAGCTCCAGAGATGGGGAGCATACGACCTCACCCAGTAGTCTGAGGCAGTGTGTGCCATAGGTTTACTTACTGGGAATTTTTCTTAAGTATGTCTTGTTGAAACTTCTTTTTGGTCTTGGTTTTGTTTTAGGTAACAAAGCAGAATAAATCTATTTGTACTTGCATGTGATAGATTTTTAGGATATTTAAAGATATCCATAATACTTTTGTGATGCTGAAGCCAACTCAATTTAAACTATTTCTCAGAGAGAAGATTTATTTTAGTTTTTCTATTAAGGAGCTGATTCTCCTAATTGATTTAGCCGTCAAGTAGTTGTTGAGCACATACTTTGATTAAGGCCTTACAAAGTTAAGTAATGCCTAAATTTGGCCTTAAGGGAGCTTGTCCAATAATAGAAGCTATATACACAAATGAAGGTTACAAACTGGGCCAATACTCTTATATACATGATGATATAAAGACATCCTTAATTGATTATTTTAGCAAAATAAATGTTAGGTTTAAAAATTTTATGTTAACTATTTAGTGTATTTATAACACTGAGTGTGATAGTAATATAGCTACTTCTCCAAGTAAATCTAACTAGTTAACTTAACTATGAGCATTTTCTTCAACATACACATGACAAAGCAAGCACTTATTTTGACCTTCCATCTTTTTTTGTAGAATTTGAAATTTTGATACTTTATTCATGTCAACATGGACTTCTTATCGGGTTTCACAGCTAACTGAGCATTTCTTATTTATAGATTAGTGTCATTTGGTTTCTTAAATTTTTTTCTGTTTACATTTGCAAGTCCTTTGTCAATTTGAATAAAGTAGACCATAAAAGGAATAATATTTTAATACCTATAGATTATATTGCTGCTTGTCTAAGAAAATGCTTAAGCGACCTCTTATACTGTGTTCTTAGATGATATTCACTAACTTGTTTATTCTTGCTAAAATTTTCTTTAAGATTTTGTTAAGTACAGCCTTCAAATTTATACATGAGATGATTGCTAGATGCCTGTCAGAACTATTTCATTCATATTAGTAAAAGATTGATGTAAGATAGCACTGTTATTCTAGTTCATGGTGGCTGGTGCTTGAAAGGATGTAAATAAAAATTTTTAGGACCAGTCATTGTCACTTTTAATTCGAATCGGAATAATTAAATTGGAATTAATTTAAATATGTATACAGATGGTCTTAGTGCAAAGAAATAACTGACAAGAAAGTCCTTGAAGTTGGGTGCCTGATAGGAGAGACTACTGAGGTATTCGAAGATTTGGGGGAGAGGAAAAGTCAAATTGGAACACATCCTTAAGAATCTAAAATCTCCAGTAGACCTGCATAAGGCTTTAAAAGGTAAACACCATCAAGTACTTATTCCTGTATCATTCCACAACTCATGCATATATGTGAAGAATTGCAGAATTTTGTAAAACGTTTGTCCATATCCTGTTAGAGATCTGTCCTGCAGCTAATTTAAAACTGAACCATGTTCCTCGTTTCTGGGACTTGGCACTTGACTCATTCTCCTGTTAGGACTGTGACCTTGCTGGTCTGTGTTTCACCCCACAGATCTACATCCAGTTGTTTTGGCTAGGCCCCTGATTCTACCTCATCTGTCTCTGAGATGGGCTGAGTTTTATAAGTGGGCTGGAGAAAACCACCATGGTAGCAGCAGACCAATTTCTCCATCTACTTAGGGACTTTATTCCCAGCATCCAGATTTTCTTTTCCTTCTTGCTCCTTTTCCTTCATGAGGGACCTCACATTTATTGATACAACTCTCTGCAGCCTCCAGGGGTCCTCATAAAACTTCTTTCCAGCCTCTCAGGGGTATGAGAAAATTGAGACTCAAGAGGTGCAAGGATGAGCACTTGAACCTCAGCCAGATGGTATTTCTGAACTACTGCCGCTCATGTGCATAACCTGATAAGAAGCCATGGTCAGGAGGGATCCAGGAAGTGAGCCCCTCCCCCAAGCACAAGCATGAAGACATTTATCTAGGGCAAAGGCCACAAGGGGAGAAGGATGTGGCCCCTGGGTCGGGGTGGGAGAACAAGCATAGCCCTGGTTCTGACTCCATGGTGATCTTCCAGGCAGTGAACTTGAATACCTGCTGCCTGGACTCTTGCTGTCTCTTCAGATTATCCTTCCTCTCTCTCTCTCTCTTTAATCTGCCTTATATAGATGTGTACTTGGGAATACTTCTATGACATAACTTCCTTCCATGAAAATAAATTATACCTTTACTTGGAACCCTGAAGTTTGGAAGAGAAAGGAGCTAATTAGTCCAGTCAATTAAGTCAATTTTAAGTTAATTTTAAATGAAACACACCCCTAGATCTAGTTTGAATTTTTTACCTTGGGTGCAAGGATTTTCTAGTTGAGGCCAAGATGCCCTCAAAGGTAGAAAAATACTATGAAATACCTCTTCTGTTAGGCTTTGGCAAGACTTTTGGGGGCAGAGGTGGTGTCATAAAGGGATCTTCTATACTATTTCCATTTCCTGAGGAAGATGATGTAGGTCTCTGGTTACATTTCTTAAGAAATTCACACCATTTCCCATCTCAGTTGATGAAAATTAATGCTCTTTTGTTCTTAGAAACATCCTTGCCGGAAAGAGAGGAAAAGTAAATTCTGGAATAATCTAAAATGATGATGATGATACTTAATGTCTATTGAACACTTACTATATGCCCCATGCTATGTGTTAACCTCATTCAGTCCTTAGTATAACCTTGTGAAAAAAGTATGAATATTATCTTCATTTGTAGATGAGGAAATTGAAGCAGAAATAACTTGTCCCAAGTTCTACAGCAATAAATTGCAGAGTAGGACTCAAACGCAACTCTGTCTCACCCCAAAGCCCATTTTCTAAAACACTGTTACCACTAGCTATGTGGGCCCTTCCAGTTGAGGTAGGCCATGGTTCTGAGTGGCCCTGTGCTGTGCAGGCCTTTATGAGTAGTACCCCATGAAGTTCATCACAAACTTCCCATTTCTGGCAAAGGATTCTATTATTCATTTTCAGGTGAAACTTTTAAAAGTCCTTCTTTGTAGCCCCATTAATTTTATGCATTTGCTAATTAGGGTTTTTTTTCATTTTGTTATTTATTTATTTATTTATTTATTTATTTATTTTGCAAAACATAAGGGGGCTATACCCCAGAATCAGGCCACATTTGAGTGCAATAAACCTCTCACTGTTGATCAGAACAGCTAAGTATACCTGCCCTGTCCACTGTTTAATAAGTCAACCTACTTAACAGCAGGACAGAAGCCATTTTCTTTTATTGTTTTCTTTTCCCTTGCTCATACAAAATTCTTTCATAACTATCACCCTGACTTTGAGTGAATAACCGTTACTCATTCTCTTCTCGTAGAGAAACATTTAAAATTGCAAGTTACTTTCTGTTCAAACAGTTGTCCCTGTTCAAAATCAAATTTCTTGCACTTAGGATCAGTGAGACTGCTAAGCAAATCCCCAAGATAAGTTTTGGATGAGAATGAACTCAAAGATCAGAGCATCATGGAAAATGGTGGAACTCCAGCCCCAAGGCTATCATATTGAGCAGAAGTGAAAGACAACACCAGCAGTAGAGGACAGTGCTGAGTCACCTGGTGGGAGGCAGGCCCACAGAGGCCAAGACTGTATACCCTGTGACAGAATCAGCATGAGGGGTAGGGCAGGGATTTCTTTCTTTCTTTTTTCTTTTTTTTTTAGTCAGACAGAGTCTCACTCTGTCACCCAGGCTGGAGTGCAATCGCGCGATCTTGGCTCACTGCAACCTCCGCCTCCCGGGTTCAAGCAATTCTCCTGCCTCAGCCTCCGGAGTAGCTGGGATTACAGGCATCTGCCACCACTCCCAGCTGATTTTTGTATTTTTAGTACAAAAAGGAGGTCTCGAACTCCTGACCTCAGGTGATCCGCCAGCCGTGGGCTCCCAAAGTGCTGGGATTATAGGCGTGAGCCACCACGCCTGGCCGGATTTCTTTTTGTCCATAATTTCTCTAATAAAACTACAGTCCTGTTGAAGAAACATCACGGGACAAATAGCCAAGATGTTACAAAGCACACGACTATGTAAGAAATAACCCCTTCATAATTGAGGCTCATTGTTACATCCTGACTTTCTGGGAGGTGTTTCCTTAGCTAGCAACCCTGGAAGTTCCTGTGTCCTGGTTAGGATTTCAGCTTACTGCTGCTGTTGGTGTCTTGCAAATTGGCCTTTGGGTATTCTAGTGGGCAGATTTCCTTCCTGTAAAATTCCAAAAATACTGTTTTTAATTCATATGACCTGTATGTTCCCATGAATACAGTTATTCTGATGTTGCTTTAACCTTGTGCACCATGGCAAATATTTGCTTCCTCTAAAACTCCCTCCCCAGTTTGCTTCCGTTTTACACGCTCAAGGCCAGTCTATTCTAAAAGAGATATATAATCTTGTGTCCTTGCTCCTAGACTTAGAAATGTCATGGCTATCATTGCTTCAGTTCAACCCCAGATCCCTTGGGTGGCCCAGCTCAGCAGAGCTTGTTTTCCTTCATGTGCTGCTTAGTTATTGTTGAGGCTGCTGAACTCACTTTTTCCTTCCCAGTGCCTCTTGAAACCCAGCCATCTTTCCCCACAGGAGAGTAAGCCCCTGCTGATAGGAATCTTCCCATGTGCCACATGCACACAGCAGTTTGCCAACGTGGATGGCTGCCAATGGTTTTCTCCTAGTTGCAAGTTTATTTTCCCTGGATGGCAGTGCTGTGCCACACGGGTGGTCCGTGACACACTAGGCTTCCCATTGATAGAAGCTTCTTTGTGGAGAAGTGCCTCTGGTGTACTTGGGGTTCCCACAGACATATGTGACAGTTGAATAAGTGAAAAAATATTTTCATATTTTAGTGATTTTTAGCTTATTTTGCAGCAGAAGGATGTGTCAATATTAGTGTACGCTATAGGCCCCTCAAGAGGTAACAGATTGCTCCAGCCCCGGGGGACTTCACTGACTGTTACATCAGACCTGGAGCCACCAGAGAGCACCCTATAGGCAGCCACCCATGATTGGCCTATTAATGAAAGTGTTAAGGATTCCACACTATGTACCCCTACTTTGTAGGGCATGGCATGGGTCCCTGGCTAACTCTGCAAAGCAGGGAGAATGAGCACCTTCCTACAACTGCACGTTAGGGAGCTATACCTCTCTCCCCGCTAACTTCCCACTTCTGGTAAAATGCTACAGTCTTTAATCTTCTGCCCATTTTTAAAAAATTGAAATTGTATTGACTTACCTCCTTCACCCTATGTGACTTTCTCTCTCCAAAATCACAGGGCAGGCCCCCTATGGTACAATCTGAGTGCTACCTATAAAAAGGTTTTTCACACTGTGGGTTACAAAGATCATCTTAGTGAGTCATGATCAACATTTTAAAATATTGAATACAATGGAGTAGAAAATAGAATACATGCTCATAGTGAGGGTAAGTATTGTTTTGAGAAAGCCATGTTTAAGCTGTATATGTGTACGTATATGGATATTCAGCATAAATCTGATTTTTTATGTAGATCGTGGTCAAGTCTGGAAGCCCCTGATTGTAGAGCCCTATCTTCTACCTTAGTCTCAAAGTACCTACCATTCCCATCAGCTTGCCTTTAAAGTTGGGCCAGCTCCTGCTCTGCAAAGCCTCAATTGTGTGGAACCTTCCTTAATTATATGGGCCTTGGGCACTCCAGGTCTTAAATCATTAAAGACAGATTAAATTATGGCCACACTGCATGTTCTAAGGCAAGGGGTGTACTCATGGGCTTCAGATTTTTTTGAATTAAGACAAATTGGTCTTCTATTAATTCTTGGTTAATAAGAAAATTCAATTTAGCCCAGTATGATGCTCTGTAAGCATTTTGGATATTCAAGGCTTTTCTCTGGAATGCAGGGGTTTAAGACATACAGCAAGCAGGGACTTTGCTGGGGAAAGACGAAGTGTCTTTTCTTTTCATGCTTTAATAGGTAGAAAGAAGCCTCCTAGTGTACATGGAGAAATATATTTAGCTATCTTTACGACACCCTTTGCCTCTGACTGATTATATGGATAAGGAATTGTTTTAGCAAGCTCTCCCCAGCCACATCTAGAAAGTCTCCTCAAAGGCATGTTTATTTAGTCTTTAGAAGGGACTTCTCGTGTGATAATGAGATAAGAATAGCAGCAACTCTGGGTTATTGGGCATTTAGTGTTAGTCACAGACCTAAGTGATTTACTTTACATTATTTCATCTGATCCTTGTAACAGCCCCCCTGAGGTGTCTGTTGTCATCCCCCTTTTACAGAGAAAAAAAATAAACTGGGTACTAAGGAAGTTATGTAACTTGTCCAAGGTCACATACCTGTGAGTGGTGGAGAGGGGATTCCACTGAGCGTAGCACACAAGTCCAGCATTCATATGCCATGTGAGATGGCCACTTTACATCGTCTGATTTGGTTCTTATATTTTCCCTTCTGCCTGGAATATTCTCTCTTGTTCATCCCCAGCCATCAGAATCCATTCTATCTCGTAGGCCCTAGTTTGAATCCCACCTTTTGTGAAATCTTTTTTTGCTTTTCCTGGTGAGAAGTGATTTCCTGCTCTCTGTACTCTTGTGGCACATGGTTGTCTCTCTCTTGGCACATCACATTCTGCCACATACTGGGTTACTGTTAGATGTAAATATGACCCGTTCTTGGGTTGCGGTTCTTATGGGATGGTTCTATTGCTTCTTCTTTGGTTTGGGTGAGAATGTATGCACTGTCTTCATCAGTGGGGTCTGCTTTGGCAACTTCAAGTTCAGGCTTAGTCTTTCCCTCATCTCTGAGCAATGATTCATGTCCTAAAGGGATGAGAGTATTTTTTTTCTCACTTTCATTGTAATTGCCACATTTCATATGAGGACCACTTATTTTCTAATTGTGATTCTATTTACCAGAATTCTTCTAGATTTTTCTAGATTCTTCTTTCTGGATTCTTCTAGAAAACTCAGCCATGAATGAGATAGGATTTTAAAAAATATATACCCAAGTAAAAATGGACAGTTTTGTACTACAATGGATCTGTCCCATATTTTACTGTCATGTGCCTTCATGGGTTTTGAAATGGAGCAAGGAGGATGCCAGGAGAAGGAGAAGTAGGTTTAAAACATGATGGTGTGAAAACTGAATTTTCATTGCATTTTAGAAGCCTGAAGGTAATTGAAATTTAGTTTTTCAGGATTGAATGTTTAGGGTGCCTTTCTTTTAGGGGAAGGGAAACTACCATTTCTTTAGCCCCTTCTCTGTGCTGGACTCCACATTTAACATGTTTCTGCTTCTCCTGGCTTCTTCCTCACCCGCTTTCAAAACTCATAAATAGCATAATAGCGAAATATGAGAACAAAAGGGCAACTCCCAAGATTGCATCTTATTGTGTTTACAGATATGGAAACTGAGGCTCAGTGAGATTGTACTCAAATCAGCTAGGTACTTATTACCTATCTGATAAAGCCTGAAATGGAACCCAGGCCAACTTTACCCCAAAGCTCTTTGTCCACAGCATTTACTGTTCAAGGAGAAGCCTGGAAATTTTCTGTTTGTGATGAGAGAGAGACTTTCAGTGGACATCTCCTCAACAAGCAAGCCCTTCCTTCCCTTGCCAAAGCTGACTTGATTAAATCACATATTCTTTAAGAAGAGTCACTATTTTATTGCCTTTTAAAGGTATTTTCTCTCTTAAAATGCTAACATTTAACTACAGAATATGCATTTAAAATTAAATTATAAGAAGTCTGGCATTTACTGTGTAGGAAGGAAAGATTGGAGAAAGATCTATCTCACACTTCTCAAATCACATTAAGTAGGAGACATCTTCCTAAGAGCTGAGGCTGATTCTGCTTTGGAGGTTGAATAACAGTGGTTAGAAGTACATTTCTTAAGCACTTGTATGTTTCAGGCACAATACTAAGCACTTTAGCTATATTTCATTTAATACCCACTATACCTCTGTGAGATTGGTTATCCTCATTTACATGAGGTAAGGGAGGCTTTGCCCAAGGTCATCTGTTAGGTATTCATGGGAGCTGGGTTTTGTGCCTGGTCAGATTAAAAGCCAAAGCGTGTGCTCAGTCTTTCTGCTAGAGGATTTGTGTGTAGAATCTTGGCCTTGGATACTTGGTACACAACCTCCCAGTGGGAGATCTCAAGTATGTTTGCAGCATGATTAATGCCCAGAGTGCAGCCCCCTCTCCAAGAATTTCTACTGTCTGCAGTTCTGAAGAGAGGCTTTGAACTTTCACAAGTGAAGGTTTTCTCTTCCAGGTGTGTGTTTGTAGTTGAAGAACAAAGAAAACTGTGCGATACTAGTAATGCAAGTTCCCTTGGGAAGGCATGTATGTTGTTCTTAACTGCTGAACCTATTATTGCTTATCTTTACCTTCAGGGTGGCGTTGACAGAGTTAACTATGACGAAAGGAGTCCAAACCCCTCTCTGAAGGAAGTAGCTGTCCTCTGACCATCTCTACCCGATAGCGGAGTTCTCTCTGTGATGCCCTTCTCTGGTATACCCTAAAACTGAAATCTTAGAAAAGAACTATGTGCCTCTTTCCTCCTCCTTCCTTTCACTCTCCCCTCTTAATTCACCTTCTGATCCTTTCTTTAAATTTTGTTCATGTACTCCTTCAAACTCTCACCAACAATAAGGTCTGAATTTTGTCTGATGGTATGTAATTTTCACGGTGCTTTCCCATTTTGTCCCCATGATGCAGACATTATCTTCATTTTGCAGATTGGAGGTTGAGGCTCGGAGGTCTTAGCCAAGATCACAGCAAAGGTAGGATGAAAGAGAGAGTAAATAGGTACCGGAAAAGGAAAGAAGAAATGCTTTTCTCCTGGAATTTCCTCCTTCTAGTCTTTTGGAAAGTCCTCTTACCATTTTTTCTCAGGCCTTATGAAGCCTTTCTCCACTAGCTGATGCCTCATGCTGCTACTGCCTCTTCATTTTCATTACAAAGTATAAAATCATTATTTCACTTAGGTACAAAGAGCTCTCCTCCTTTTACAGTAGATACTTGTCATGTTTCTCCTGAAAGCCATTAACAATTTCTGTTTTTCTGTTTCCGGCATGCTCTGGGGTGTGCGTTTGTGTTGCCAGAGTGAATGTGCAGCTTCTCTTCAACCCTGTCTGCAGTGGTTCCCAGAGATTAAAGGGAGCACACCTTGAGGTTATTTGTATGATTAAATTGAGCAGCTGTGGCTAGGACATTTCAAGATTGGACTGGGGATTCAGGGTGACTGTGACTAATTGAAAAACTCAACAAAATGATGTTGAATAAGGACAAGTGGACAATACCATCATGAGAGGAAAAAAGCCACCCAATCTCCCAGTGGGTATTTATAGGACAATTATGCTTTGCTCATTATTGTGCTGAGTACTGAGGTTGACTCAGAAAAAGCTGAGAGGTTGTCTCTACTCTCCAAGAGTTTAAAATCTAGTTGGAGAGCAAAGACCTAAACACACGAAACAAATAAGGAAGGAATAAATGGCTATAAACAGTGGCCTTTGTAATCTATGGTGCTCAGAGAAATAGACTTAAATGCCGCAAAATCCAGAGGATGAAAGATTCAATAAGAAACAACCTCTGACCAAACCAAGGCTCCTGCTACTGAGAAGGTGCACATGTAAATGATTAAGATAGAGTGTAATCACATAATACAAACAACTACAAGAGTAAGCAGCTGGAGGGCAGTGGTTAAAAGCATAGACTGCAGTGATGCTGCTTGGGTTCAAATCCTGTCCCTGGCATTTCCTGATCATGTAATCTTGGGCAGTTTATTTAACCACTCCTTACCTCCATTTCCTCATCTGTAAAATGGGGAGTAATAATCCTACCTCCCATGAGGTAGGATTATTATAAGGGTTGAATAAGTTGATACATGCTTCTGAGAGTTCCTAGCCCATGGCAGTGCTTTGTATGCTGTGGTGATAGTGATGATGATGATGTCAGTGACCAGCAGCCCAGAAAGGGGAGAGAACCTCTGCTGGGGAAGAATGGGATGGAGAGTGGGGAAACTTGCACAATGGGTCCTTAGCAAAGTTTCTTAAATGTCCAGGCAGATGATGAGGAAAGACACAAAATTACATGATAGGTTGGTAAGGGGGCTGCAGCTTGTTGGGTATTGTTGCAGCGTCAGGTTTGAGTATAAGGGATTCAAATCCTGGGAGAAGATATAACCCACATTGGGCTATAAAGGATGGGTAGAACATTAGTAGTGGAGGAGGAGGGCTTTTCAGTATGAACAAAGGTATACAGTTGGGCTGTTTGTTCAAATAAATATAAAAAAGGATGTGTAAATAAAGCAAAAAAAGCCACAAGGGGGGGAATGTGTCTGCAATGTGGTTGGTAGCTAAGACTCAGCAGAAAGTACTTAATACTGAAACATCACATTGAGATTTAGCCTATATTAAACTAAAATCTCCCCAATTTTACTAAGAAAAGCAAAATTGTTAGAATGGAAGCTGGGTGTGACAGGAAAAAGATCAGTTCCAAAGGGACAAAGTATAGGTTAAGGAGTGAAATTTTAAAAAATTTAAACCAGGGCCGGGCACGGTGGCTCATGCCTGTAATCCCAGCACTTTGGGAGGCTAAGGCAGGTGGATCATGAGGTCAGGAGATCAAGACCATCCTGGCTAACACAATGAAACCCCGTCTCTACCAAAAAAAAAAAAAAAAAAAAAAATTAGCCAGATGTGGTGGCGGGTGCCTGTAGTCCCAGCTACTCAGGAGGCTGAGGCAGGAGAATGGCGTGAACCCAGGAGGCGGAACTTGCAGTGAGCCGAGATCGCGCCACTGCACTCCAGCCTGGGCGACAGAGCGAGACTCCGTCTCAAAAAATAAAATAAAATAATAAAACAAAATAAAAATAAACCAGTTTTTGCTTTGGTGGTAATGAATGAGAGATAATGGGAAGGAGGGGCAGAAAGGGTGGTATCTTGCCTGTAAAAGACCAACAAGGTAAATCTCTGGGGTTTGTGGAATCCTGACAATGCCCTGTGCTTCTCTCACTCTGACACTATGAATGTTGCTTTCAGTGCAGGATAGATGGCTCCAGTGGGTATAATAAAATTAACGGGGCCCAAACTCCCTCTTCTTCTCAAACTGTGCTGACCTCAGTAAACTATGCACAGGAGAGAGGTTTTGTTTCAGTAGGGTGATGTATAGGCTAAAATTATTCTGAGTCACCTGTTTGGGGGAACATTTTGCTGAGAAGTGCTGATGCTTCTGACCTTGAGCTTAAGGAATAGCTGCACTGTTGTTCTGGTGACATTCTATGATGTTAAATCTTTATTTCAACCTTGTGTGACCAGACAGTTTACTGGGAATGAGGAGAAAGCACACTAGTATCAAAATAAATCTTCATATAGTCTATCATAGCTTGTTTTTTCAGATAATGAGTGTCCCTTTCGATTTATATCTTTTGCATTTCCTTAATGAATTTTGATTTTCAGAATAAATTAAGTATTGTCACTATATACAGTCCTGATAAGGCTGACCTTGTTCCCCAGAGACTCTTTTACACTGCCCTCAACCCCCGTCTGTAATAGAAGTTGTTTAGAGGCCTTTAAAGGTGACATTTTGAAGCAATCTGTAGGGATGAATAAATGACGTGGATTCTAGTCCTGGCTCTGCCTCCAACTCACTGTGTGATCTTAGGCAAATATTTTGCCTCTCCAAGCCTCAATCTTCTCATTTGTAAAATTGTGAGGGTTGGACTAGAGATGATATTGATGAAGATAGTAGCTAACATTGATTGAATGCTTCTGATGTACAAGGTGTTATTCCAAGCACTTTATAAATATCAATTTGTTTAATCCTCCCATCAGCCTTGTCAGGCAGGTACTCGATCATCATTGACTCCCTCTTACAGATGAGGGAATGCACACACACAGGTCACTTGCCAAAGGTCTCCCGGCCGGTAAGTGGTGTGGAACAGGATTATTCTAACCCAGGAAGACAACCCCTAAGCCTGCTCTCATGGCCACTGTGGCCTCCTGCCCCTCACTGTCTTGCTGCTGACAGTGATGTCTAATGTGGTATCCAGTGAGGGTTTAGAAAATGTCATGACATCCGTATTTGCAGTGAAGTCACCCCACCCATCTGCACTCATACACCAACACCAGTTTGATCCTACTCAGGCTGCTCATTGCTACTGTGATGTTTGGCATCACTTCAGTTGGCTGGAGTAGGGACAGGGGCAGCCTTGGAGCCCTTGCTAATTCCCAGGAGCTTCTAATTCTGCTGCTCTGTGAGCCCATTGCTTCCTGGATGGGTCTGTCCACCTTGACAGGGTCCCCACAGTAATCCTATGGTAGACCTGCAAACAAAGGAGTTGACAAATTTTATGCCTCTTCCAAGAGCTCAATTTAAAACAGCTGCTATTGCTGATTTGCAAATGAATGACAAAGCTGTGCACCTGTAGTCCCAGCTACTTGGAAGGCTGAGATGGGAAGATGGCGAGCTCAAGCCCAGCCTGGGCAAAATAGCAAGACTCCCGTCTCCAAATTAATTAAACTTGTATTCAAGGGATGATTTGAAGGAAAAAAAAAAAAGAAAATGAATGACAGCAAACTTTCTCTTGAACAGTGAGCATAGGAGGGGCTGTGCAGAAAGTAAGGAGATGACTATTTTCTAGCTGCAAAACAACGCTTATTTTTCCCAAAAGCCAGAGCAAACCTCTGGATTTATAACTGTCTAGAAGCTTAACAGAATGAAAGATTCTCTCAGGAGGCAATTCAGAACATAAAAGGATTCTGGACGGTACAGATTCTTGGTAGCGTGCATGGCTGTGGAAATACTTGGAAGCACTCAATAATAACATAAATAATAATAAAAATAGCAATGGGAAAATTACTGCTTTTGTTTGACATTTCCTGTTTACCAGACCTGAATGCCTGGTTAGTATATTAGAGAAATTATCTGTTTAAACCTTTCATCAGCACAACAGTTTACATATGAAGAACCTGAAAGTATAGGGTTGTTTTTTGGGTGCCTGCACAATTTATGTTTAAGTTAAGGTACTTCTTGTCAATTACCTGGCAGTGAATTACTGACCTGATAAATTCCAGACTTATTGGTCAAACAGACTTAAAACTCTGGTTTTTAAACTAGTAATAGTTGGTGTACTTTCTATAAAAAAAAAACCTGTAAATACATTAAAACTCTGGAAAAAGTAATCTGGCAAAAAGTATAGATCCAATACCATAGAGCTTTTCTATAATATCTTTTGTATTACATGTTCATAAAAGAAAGAAAAGGCTGCAGGATTTTGTGGCAGACAGGATGTGGCTATGGCTTTGGTAAGTAAATTTTGTTGCAGGGTTGGCTCCTACAAATATTAATGTGTGTAGCTGTGGGATTTTGTGAAGGTAGTGTTTGTTTTTACTCTCCCTGAAGTGGCAGTGGAATAGAGTAGAAATATTAGGAGCAGTGAATGCACGTAAAACAGGGGTTCTTAGCAGGGGCATGTCAGAAACCAAAGGAGGGAGGTGTATGTAGTTGGAGAAAGTGCGTTCGCAATTACCATTGCTTGGAAGAACTTGTGAAATGCCAGATAATCTTAAAGGAGGGCATCAGGTATTTTATGCTTACCAAAAGTTGAGAAGCTCTAATTACTTCCTTGTTCAAGTGAATGATGATGTGTAATTTACATGCTGTAATTATATGCATTCATGTGGAGTGGAATGTCCCCAAATTTCAAAAATTGCATTAAGGTGATAGAATTTGGGGATAATATTTATTTTAAAATTCTGCCTTTAAGAACGAGAATGTGCAAGCACAGGTGCAATTATGTACTTCATTGCTTTTATCTGTACTTCTGGGACATTTGTGTCTTCATATTGCCAGAGACCAGTGGCCACGGGAAAACAGATTGTCTCAGTTCACGGTCCCTCACTGAGGTCAGAGCTTAAATTTCCCAGTGTTCCACTTAGGAAGAACAGTGCTAATGTGTATCTTTTAAGATAACTCAGCCTGAAAGCCATCTGACTTTCAGTGAGAATGAGGGGTACACTAGGGGAGAAAATAGGCATCAAAGTTTGGAGAGGGCTGTGCTGCCTATAGATTTTCTTCTAATTACATTCACCCAGAAATGCATACTTTAAAAAAATTATGCTTACTACTCTTTTAACACAGAAGCTTCTACTGGTTGGTTTTGCTAGTTAAAATCCTTCAGTTAAGCTCTGTAAAATTATTCCCCCACTTGGATTAAAGGGATAGAACACATGCAGTTAATACATAAACCCTCATGGTACATTTGTCCTGAGTTTTACTGAAATATTTTTGGTAGAGATGGGGCTTTACCATGTTGGCCAGGCTGGTCTCGAACTCCTGACCTCAGGTCATCCGCCTGCCTCGGCCTCCCAAAGTCCTGGGATTACAGGCATAAGCCACCGTGCCCAGCCTTGTCTGTGATACAAAATTTTGTGTCACAGAATTCTATTTTTAACACTATTACTTTCTAGAAGGTACCAAACATACTATAAAATAAGCATTTATTGAGTGTGTACTAAATTTAGGACACCATATTGGGTGCTCCTGGAAATGTAAAACACAATGATTTGGTCCCTAACCTCAATTGTTTGCATGCTATTAAGAGGACAAGATGGACATTTGTGAAGTTTCAAGACAAATTGAAACTGTAATCTGCAAAGCAACATAATTGTGGCAGCATTGACTGAACAGGCTTTCTTTTAGCCCTTTGATGTTTAGTCCTTATTCTCATGGTTTGATTATGGAAGAGTCCAAGATGCTGAATGTTAGTCACAGATTGAGTCCTGTGGTTCCGGCAGCTTGTCAACTCTGGTTGCTATACGTTTGGATAATGTTAATAAATTCATTGTTCAGGGGAGCTTACAGTGTAGAGAACCAGGTTGAGCACAAGTCAGATACACAAAATACAATTAACTATACCAAGTAACCAAGAAAACTAACTTATAAAAGTTCCTGGCATGGTGTAGTCAAAATGACTTGGCCTATGATTAAGGACATTGGGTTTTTGCTTTGTCTTGGTCCCTAACAGACTGTGGGACATGGGGCACTACTTAGCTTTCTCTGAGCCTGCATTCTTATCTTGAAATGGGTATGCTGATTATGTGAGCCTCATGGGATTATTATGAATACTAAATGGAATTTTATGAATGAATATACTTTATAAACTGTAAAGCAGCTTACAAATGTTAGAGGATATTTTAATTTCACTTGTTGCATAAAATCCAAGAGCCATTTTTCTTCCTCCTACTGTCTCTAATGATTATATAATAACATTTTTTCACTTATTCTTTTTCTGCTTGTGTTTTGAGGTTCTCCCTCACAATACACTCCAATCAAAATAAAGATTATTTGCATCACTACATGTGTCCCCTCCTATTATTCCTGACCCCTTCATGGACAGTCACTTTTAGGATTTCTATTGCTGTAGCTTAGTTGAGCCATTTACATTTTATTTATTACTTATAGTTGGGATCTTGCTCTGTTGCCCAGGCTGGAGTGCCATGGCACAATTATGGCTCACTGTAGCCTCAAACTCCTGGGCTCAAGTGATTCTCCTGCCTCACCCTTGGAGTAGCTAGGACTACAGGTGTGGGCCACCATGCCTGGCTAATTTTTTAAATTTTTGTCATCGTGACAGGGTCTCGCTGTGTTGTCCAGGCTGGTCTCAAACTCCTGGCCTTAAACAGTCCTCCCACCTCAACCTCCCAAAGTGCTGGGATTACAGGCGGGAGTCACCACACCCAGCCAGGCATCTGCATTTTAACTTTAGCCAGGCATGGTGGCATAAGCCTGTAATCCCAGCTACTCTGGAGGATGAGGCAGGAGACTCACTTGAGCCCGGGAGGTGGAGGTTGCAGTAAGCTGAGATCACACCATTGTACTCCAGCCTGGGCAAGAGCAAAACTCTGTCTCAAAAAAAAAAAAAAAAAGAAGTAACAGATGCCAATATTATGTTATTCCTGTTAGGTAAGGAGGGTCCCTGGTGTAATCCCAAATGTGCTTGCTTTTTTATTTACTATATTATTTACTTTTTAAACATTTATTTTTATTATACCCTCTAGCATTTTGGAAGGCACTTATTTTATATATGCTTGGTCCTTAGGCCCTTTCTTCACCCCAAATGAGTATGTTAACAGATTGTGACACAGTGTGACACCTCTTCGTATGCTGTATTGTCCACACTGACACATTTCTGATGACCGCCAAGCCCTCATTCTTGCATGGGAAGAGTCCCTGCTGCAGTAATGTTAGCCACTTGCTGAGCTCACAAGTCAGAAGGGGGGTGGTGGTTCAAGAGGTGTGGTGAGAGGCTCAGTGATGGTGAAAGGATATCCAAAGGATCCTGCCAATGCCATTGGATCATTTAAGAGAGACCTACTTTGAATGGTCCATAGAGTATGGTGAGTTTGGCAACAAGCCAATTCCTTCAAGATAGTGTCTTCATTTATTTGAAGTCACTTGGCATGTAGCCTTATGTGGTCAAGGACCTAAGCCACACTTTTGGGAGGAGCTGAGGGAAGGGCCTGGCCTCCTGAGAATTGCCAGTATTGCACCCTCCTTGTAGGCCCCCTGGTTAGCCAACCAGGGATTCTGTTCTCTCGCTGGTACAGGCTGCTTGTGGCTACCCGAGTTGGGTTTCCCCAGGGTCCGTTCAGGGCAAAGGGTTGTGCTGTTAATAGGTCTATCACCACAGTTTTCTGATGCTGTACAGGATGCAGTGTTTAAAGTCAGGCTGAACACATAGGCTGCTTCACAGTCCCTATCCTTTATTTCAGGAGGAAAGGGATAGCCAAGTCTCGCAGTGACAGGCATGTTAATCTGTGGGTTGCCCGGCTCACAGCCTTTTCTGACCATCTGTTCTCCTAGCACTTGCTGATAAGATGGGGCATTGGGACATGGCCTTGCCCTCATCACAGCTGATGGCTTCCGGGAGGTCACCTGACCTGAGACAGGCCCCTCAGATTCTCTCTTCCATGAATTTGAAATTTGTGTTCAAGGCTGCTCATCAGTCTCTGTTGGATGTTTGAATTGGGAATGCTCTAATGGGAGGCTTTTGGACAGAGAGAGCCAGTGTGCATAGATAGAGAAGAATGCAGCTGATGTGCAAGAGAAGTACATCCCAGAGCCCTGACTATAGGGAAGGGTAGCTCCTTTGGCTTCCTGTCCCAGGAAGTGCCAGCGGCTTGTGCTTCCCTACAGGATGCCCATGGCCCTCAGGAAGCCCCTTGCTCAAGGTGGCTTGTATCATCTCTTGCTAGTAGCCACATGATTTGTGGTTAAGATACTTTACGTTTGAATAATGCGAGGCAAAATGAGTTGAGAGAATGGTTTACTAAAAATAATATCAATTGATGTAAGAGGTCAGAATATAGCCATGGTGCCTGCTGGTCCATCCTGCCAGCAAGCCAGTGCAGTCCTTGGTCACAGTCACTCACAGTGTGTGCCAGGGCTTCAGACAGCCCTTGGCTGTGAGTGAAGACATGTGGTAAGAGCCAGGGGCTTTCCTGTGCCCAGGAAAGCATGTCCTTGGCCATAACTTGTGTGGAGCACAGGTAGGACTCAACCATTCTGGCCCTTCAATGCAGCTTTAAAGAGTGGTCACTGGGCCAGTCACTTTCAGCTGACACTGTCAAAGGGGAAGGATTTCTGCTTCTTGCTGAGAAGCCTTAGCTTTCTAAAATAAGTTGTTTTGGTGACTCTTGGGGAAGGAAGAGGCTTATATCACTGGTCTTTGAGTTGAGGGACCTGATTACCAGGTTATACTTTTCTGGACTTCTCATTTGTCTAAGACCACAACAGTCATATTTATTTCTAAGCACAACATGGAAGGAATGCAACAGCTTCTGATGCTGTTTCCAGACTTGACTATTGCATCTCTCTAGCCGTTTTTACATGTAAGGATCCCTGCCCAACCTCTCCCATCTCATGCCCTCTTAGCAACCTCAGAAACCAAAGAAAAATGCCCTGTTAATGTGTCCTTGATGAGAGCTATTTGCAAACAAAGCACTCTTTCTAGTCATATTTCATTATCAGAAATGTGATTACATATATATATATATATATATATAGTTAATAACAATCCCATGAGGGACTCATCTCTTTTTCAGGGAGCAGATGACTGGGGATGCAGATAAGGTGTACCCAAAGTCTTAGAATACAAGGTAAAAATGTCAGTAATGGCCGGATGCGGTGGCTCACGCCTGTAATCCCAGCACTTTGGGAGGCCGAGGCGGGTGGATCATGAGGTCAGG
This sequence comes from Homo sapiens, assembly GCF_000001405.40. Classification (NCBI taxonomy): domain Eukaryota; kingdom Metazoa; phylum Chordata; class Mammalia; order Primates; family Hominidae; genus Homo; species Homo sapiens. The sequence goes on from NC_000023.11 coordinate 38,651,257, forward strand.
AGATCGAGACCGGCCTGGCCAACATGGTGAAACTCCGTCTCTACTAAAAATACAAAAAATTAGCCGGGCGTGGTGGCGGGCGCCTATAATCCCAGCTACTCGGGAGGCTGAGGCAGGAGAATGGCATGAACCCGGGAGCCGAAGCTTGCAGTGAGCTGAGATCACACCACTGCACTCCAGCCTGGGCGACAGAGCGAGACTCCATCCCCCCAAAAAGAAGTCAGTCATAAGAGGTATGTGGAAAATCTTAAGCACATTTAGAAGAGGATGAAATGATTATTGTCTTTGAGTGTCAGGAAAGGCCTCTTGGTGAAAGGACATCTTCGTTGTGCTTTGAAAGGCAGGTAGGACCTGGCTGAGCAGCGATGGGGCAGGAGGGCTGAGCAGGTAGAGCCCTGCATGTATCCTGCAGGAGCAAGCTTGATGGTTGTGTTGCCTCAGGGTCCAAAGTGTAGTTGTATTTGCCCCCATAGCCATGTAACGAGCTATGTAATTTTCTATAGGAATAGATCTCTGGTGCAATATACCATTACTAATAGCACCTTATTAGATACTTCCTCTTTTTAGTTCCAATATATGTCAGGTTTTTGACAGAATCCTTGTCTATATGTGAAAAGTATGAAGGTTGCAACTATAGTTTTTGTAAATTTATCTTTAACCAGCTTCACTGATTCTTAAAGTCATCCAGGATTTCTGACTCTAAGTGATGTAGAGTGTATTTGCTTATGGAAAATAGAAGAATTAAAATAATAAGGCAAATACTCCTTCCAGTGCCATATCCTCTTTTAAAGAACACAGCTCATTTTCATTGCAGCCCCATTACACTGAACAGGCTTTTCTCTTGCTCTTAATGTGTCAAAATTGTATGACCTATCGCTTCCTTTGAAGATCAAAGGAAATGAAACTCCAGATCTGGGAAAATGGTTTCCCCAATTCCTGTGCTGTTAATGCTCCTATTCATCCATGTATGAAAATCCAGGGAGATAATTGGCTAGCAAAGGCTAGCCAATTAGCTAGCACAAGTCTTCTGGGACAATAGTCAGAATGAGAACAGGTTTTGAGAAACAGTGTAACTTAGGCCTTCCTGCTGGGTTCCCAGTCATAGGACTTCTGTCCCATGGTTGCATCCAGAGTCTCTATGGGGCTGCCCAGAAAGCTGTTTACCTTCTGTTGTAACACCTCCCAAGGCAACCCACTCCATTTTGGGCAGTGCCTATTATTAGAAAGTTCTTCCTTGTAATGAGCCAAAAATCTGTTTCCCTATAACTTTCCCTAATACTGGCTTAAATATAGATTTTTGAGGACTGGCCTAGAAACAAGCCACCAGGTATAACATGGTTTCTCAAAGAAAATACATTTTGAGTTTCAAACAAGTAATGTATAAATAATCCAGAACACAGCCCAGTTCATAAAATGGAGTATGCCCAATAAGGGGCACGGGAGGCCCGTCCCAGGAAAGGAGAAGGGAAAAGGCCAGTGCCCCCAGGGTCAGTCTGTAGAGTCCGTTTCTTCCCACTCTGCGTTTACCCATGTTTCCTGGCTATTGACAATTAGAAACTGCCCAAGAAACCTCGCTGTGGAAATTGGTTCAGGGTACTGGTTTCCTCACAGCTCACTCGTAGGAAGCCCTTAGGCAGTATAAAGAAAACCAGGCTTCTCTTTAGCGTTCACCTACCTAGACGAGAGGGTCAGTGACTGGGTAATATTGGACAGAGGAACTCAGCCCTTGGCCTTGACTGCTGTTACTTACACTGCCGCAAGAGGCAGAATATAATAATGGCCAAGAAAACTGCCTTCGAGTTGGACAGAAATTGATTGGACTCCGGGCTATACCACTTATTTGCTTTGTGACTTTGAGCACGTTGCTGAAAGTCAACAACCGAAAGCCTCAGGTTTTCATCTGCAAAACAGAGATTAAGAATAAATGTGATGAAGCGTATAAGGAGCACGGTACTGCTCAATAAATGTCGTTTATCACACACATACATGGTTAACTCTGTTTCCAGACTGTGCCCTTCGTTCATGAACAGCCAATCAAATCCCCCTCCCAGGCTGTGGGGTGAGCAGATACGATGCGGTTGCCTTATCTCGTGACTCAGCCCATCACTTTTGGTTAGAGCTACTTTGAAAGGCAATTCCACAGTTTCAGAGTGGGTTCTTCTCATATATGTTGCACCTGTGGCCTCTTGTTTCTCTTCTCAGGGCCAAAACCAGAGTACTTAAGTTTCTTAAGCTTTCGTTCTAGAATGTGCTTGGTGGAAAACCAATACTCAAGACACTACAGTTTTCCATGTGTTTGTCAAGCTTTATTGATTCTTCAGATCAGTCCTCCCATAGGTTTGTTCCTGGTGCTAATGATATTGAACATTTCTGGTTCACGTCGACATACACATGAAGATATTTATTTCCCATACTGGCTTTTAAAGTATCAAACTATAGCTTGGAGTGGAACATGCTTTCATTTCTATAGATTTACCTGCTTGAAGGAGGGGAATAATGCATAGCCTTTTATTATTTTTTTTATTATACTTTAAGTTCTAGGGTACATGTGCACAACGTGCAGGTTTGTTACATATGTATACATGTGCCATGTTGGTGTGCTGCACCCATTAACTCGTCATTTACATTAGGTATATCTCCTAATGCTAATGGATAGCCTTTTAAAATAAATGAATTATTGGCCATGCCTATAGATCTTATTTATTTTTAATTATGGCAGCCAAATTCTCAGGGTTGATTCAAGGAAAAATCAGTGCCAGGATGGACGATGCTGGCTTATGAACTCCTCTTATGGAAGAGTTAGGAGTAAAGGGTTGAGGAGAAAGAACCTTCTACAGACAGGCTAAAGAGGACATTAAAGGAAAGCAGTAGTGGAGGGTCAGGGCTTTGAGTAACTGTTCTGCCATTTAGTGGCGATGACCTTGGGCACGTTTCATAGGGTTATTAAGAAGATTGAGCCAGATAAAGCATTAAAGCACTTAGCATAGTACAGGGCACACAGATAGTAAGCACCTCAGTTGTACATTTTTTAAGAGACAGGGAAATCTTACTTAAATGCTGTTCATTATCTTGGCTCCTAACCATCAGCTACAGACCTCATAGAGTTATAGGATATTAGAGCTTCAAATTACTTTTCTATTAGTGGTGATGGATTAGAAGGAACTATTCCCATGCTTTCTCATTTAGTCCCCCTTGTGGCCAAAAGCAGACATTTATGAAGCAATGTGCTGGATTAGAAGCAATTGGCTAAAGCACAGGTTTTTATCTGAGTGCAACTGCCAGGGCCTTACAGTAGTCAGGCCCACCATTTAGCCTCCTTGATGCAGTGCTAGTGAGAATAGACTTTATGCCTCCAAAGCTCATACTTACTTACCTGCCTGCTGTCTTGTATTTGGTCAGTTAGCAAATATTTAACTAAGCCCCTCCTGTGAGCCGGCATTTGTATTGGCCCTGGGGATACACCCATGAATAGGATGAATAGGACAAAAATCCTGCCCTCACAGAACTTAACATTCATTTTGGTAGACAGACAAAGTGAGTAAGGTAAATAGTATACAAAGGTGATAGGTGCAGTGGCGAAAGATAAAGCAGGAGCCCCGTGGGGGAGTGGAATTCTGGTTTCAAATACGGTCATCAGGGAAGGGCTCATGGAGGAGCAGAGACCTGAAATGAGAGATCTTGGAATTCCAGGCAGAAGGAAGAGCAAGTGTGAAATCTCTGAGGCAAGAGCATGCCAAGAGTTTTGAGGGTGAACACAGAGGCCTGTGAGGCTGCAGCAGAGTGAACCAGTGGGGGCTGCAGGTCAAGTAGGACCTTGCAGGCCAGGATAAGAACATTGACTTTCTCTCTGAGAGATGAAATGTTGTGGGAGGATTTTGAGCAAAGTCACGTATTATTGGACTTAGGTTTCAGCAGGATCATCTCAACTGCTGTGTTGAATAGAGAATGGGGGCAAGGGTGGATGCAAGGGGAGATGGAGGCTTGGCCTAGGGTGGTAGTGGTAGAAGTGGTGAAGTGTCCTCTTTGTGCTTTTCCAAAATGTCTGATTTTTAGGGGGGCCAAAAACATATTACTATTACCTTAAAGTTATTTTTTTCATAGTACTCTGTCAATATTAGACATCTGAATTTTCCCTGTACATTGCATTTAGTAGCAGTACCATATATATATATGCAGTGTGGACATATGAGTGTTGAAAGGAAAGCTAATTAAGTCACTAATACCAGTTTTTAAGTTTTTTTTTTCCTTAAATCACCTCAGGAGAAAGTTAGGATCATTGAAAGGAGAATCCTACCTTACTATTTATATGAGAATCTTGCTCTTGAACACTGCATACATGCTTTCTTTTCCAGGTTTTTCCACATTTAATAGTAGGTCCTCTTCTAACATTATGTCTTATTGGCTCCAGTTTCACCTGAAAGGAGGCATGAGTTCTTCAGACCAACCCACCTCATCACACCCCATCAATGCATAGCCACATAAAGCGTGGGAATTCAGTGACTTTTTTGCCATCTGAGTTCTAGCTTCTTCCTGTGTATAAAGTATTTATTAGGACTATGGTTTTGGTTTCAGTATTTTGAAGATGATAATCCTATATATAAATTATGCAAAGAAGATTCTCCCTTTTGAAAATAATGGAACTCCAGGAAAGCCAAATAGGTTCAACATAATTATGAGAAAGAAGTGTGCCACTGTCAGATTGGCATTTATGGAAAAATTGTTACGATTCGTTTTTCCAGATTCATTCCCATCCAAAATTCACGAGGACACAGCCAATAAAAGGGAGCTGAATTTGAAGAAGAGCTCGTCACTAAGATTCATTCTGTATTTATTGAGCTGATTCTGTTTGATGGATATTAGGACAGAATATTTGAACAGCATGTTGTCTTGGAAAATCAGGTACGAGGTATGGCTGAGGCTTTGGTGGATATAAAGGAGGAAAGGATTTATTCCTTCCCCACATGACTCTTAAAATCTTGATGTATTAATACAATTAATACAGGGCAGAACAAATGTGTAGTCAGTACAAACATTCTGTCAACACACATTAATATGTGGCTCTTGTTTATAAGCTTATTCTGACATGATCTTTTTAAAAAGTATCTTATTAGTGTAGAATTTGATCCGTCTTTTCACAGTGCTGGTTACCTGAGGAATGGAAGCAAGGGAAGGGGTTTCTTGCCGTAACTCTTCTTTCACTGGTGGTTGGCTATCTGCTAATGGCGCTAAGACTGTTAGTGCTCCTGGCACTCACACGGCCTTAGTGTGTATTCAACTGTGCCAAAAGATAAAGGAGGTGGGGCATACAGGGAATCCCCCAAACATTAAGCTTCTGTCACTTTAGCCACTACAGCTGGTGCAGATTTCTAAGTACATAAATCTCCTGGTAAGTGGCTTTGCTGGCCCCAATTCCTAATAGGCATTTACCTATATGATGTCTATTTATATATCTGGGTCATCATGAAACCAGAGGTATGAGCTATATTCATATAGTCTTAACCTCTGGTTTGCTTGCTTCTTCCTTTCACATGCTCTTGGACTCTCAAAGTTGAAATAAGACCTTCACTATTAGTATAGATCAAAAACCTAAGTCCTGTTTTAAACATTTGCTAGGAGAACTCAACAATGCTTATAAAGAAAAAATAATGCCAAGAGGCTCAGAATAAGCTACCCTTAACATTCTTCTCTGATGTAATAGAACATTTCTCAATGTACGGATATGTGTGCAGTTAAATTCTTTCTTTTCTTTTTGCTTCTGGGCCTTTTTGGGGAATTTAGTTTTTAAGGGAGAAGAAACCTAAGTCTGTAAGCTTTTAGGGTAATATAAAAGAAATGAGAAACCAATTCAATAGGGCTGACCATTTTTTTCTCTTTTCCCAGTGTGATATACAGAGTACCTAATAACATGTTCAGGAATTTTCTGTGACTCTATTTGTTGAATAATGGAATTAAGTATAAGGTAGAGCTGTGTGGGCCTCATTTGAAGGAGTTTAGTTATTCAAGTAGTAAAAGGCTCTCTTAACAAGGTGGCATTTATTATTATTTTAGCAGCTGTATAGCCCTGATTTTCTGTGACAGGCCAATTTCAAAGATCTTTACCGTGTTCAGATTCTGTTTTTAATTCTGAAAATACTGTCACCATATGGGTCCATTTTTACCACTTCATGGGCCCACAGGACATTAGAGAGTATTCAGTCTCTAGCCAGCCACCTCCTTGAGCCACCCTCCAGCTAAACTCCCCAGGATGAGTACAGAGCCCAGCAGGTGCAGCCCCTTGGTGAATGCTGTTGACCAGTCTTTGGCATCTGAGCTAACAGTTGAATTTGATATTTGCCCCTCTGAGGACCACTGGGCAATTCAAAGAAACAAGTAACTCTAGCACTGGAAGGGCCCTGGGGCTAGTCCTGCCACTTTGTAGATGATGAACTAAGACACAGATATGCAACATGACTGGTGTAAGCTAGTGGTTGCAACTTAGAGAAGGAAGTATTGTTTGCTGGACTTACAGCATGCCTGGAGCCATTTCCTATGAAATGATTAGTTGTTTCACTACACATATGAAGAGACTGTAATAGACCCACAGTCAAAGCTAGAATTTCTGACTTTTCATAGTGCTATTCAAAGCCATTTTCATATTTTCAAAAGCATCTGTGATTTGTTATACCTTGTTAGACAATCTGCATTTTAGACTCTGGCTATCTGATCCCTGATAAAATCCAAATAGAAGCTAGAGTTTGTGACAAATCACTCTAGCTTCATGACCTAGCTCCTGAAACTTGAAGTCTATGAATTGGATCTAGGATGTAATAATATTAAAATACAAAATGTAATCTCAGTGGGCTGTACTGGGTACAAAAATAAAGAGTACCCTGTCTGGTCATTAGTGTATGCAGGATCAATGAATTGTGCTGGTGTTTTGTTTCCCATAAGTCTTTTTTTAAAAAAATAAGATCTTGCTCTGTCACCCAGGCTGGAGTGTGGTGGTACAATCTTAGCTCACTGCAGCCTCGACCTCCTGGGCTCAGGTGATCCTCCCACCTCAGCCTCCCAAGTAGCTGGGACTACAGGCATGTGCTGACACACCTGGCTAATTTTTTTTTTTTTTTAGAGATGGGGTCTCACTATGTTGCCCAGGCTGGTCTTGAACTCCTGGCCTCAAGTGATCCTCCCGCCTTGGCCTCCCAAAGTGCTGGGATTATAGGCACAAGCCACTGTGCTTGGCCTTGTTTCCAATAAATCTTTAAAGGAGAAAATGTCTCTTTCTTCCATGTCCTACTTCTCATATTGGCAGCCACCTTTATAGACTTGTCCACTCTGTTTTGCGTCTCTTTGCTGTCCCCTGTCTTCCAGCATTGTCCTCTCATGTTCTAGTGACAGTCTTCCTCAAGCCTTAGTCCTTGAACTTCCCACCATCTTCTGCTTCTGTTTCCCAAGATTCGTTGTTCCCGCTTAGCTGTCACTTCTGGCCTCAGCCCTCACCTGCAGCTCTGACTTACTCCTAAATTCAAGCCCCACATTCACAACTGCCTTCTGAACATGTTGCCTCTGTGACCTTTGGTCACCCCAAACCCAATAGAAAACAGAGCCTGGACCAGACGGTCTCTGGATTTCTTATTGGTTCTCAGATTCAATTTTAACAAGTCAGCACTTAAGATTATCTCACTCCTCTCCCGCTTCTTAACTTCCCTGTCTCCTTTTAATGATACCACCAACCTGTCAGCCATATAACATGTATTATCTTCCATACACACACACACACACACACACACACACACACACACACCCACAGACGTACACATGTATACATGTACACGAGACAAAAATGGAGTAAAAAGGTTGAATTGGTCAAAATACTTGCCTAGAGAGAGTTCAAAGCACATGTCTTGATAACAGTGGGATCTTCTTATAAAAAGTAAAGCTTTTGTTATGCTAGTGAGCTTATAAATTTTTGCGTGTCTGTGTAAAACTACAAACGCATGTCCTGCTGGGCATTCTTCCTACCCTTTCTTACCCAGGAGCCTCTCGCCACCTGGGAAAGCTGACAGAACAGTGGGCTTCAGGTCCAGAAATGAGCCAACTTTCCTACCCCTGCTGCTGGTGGTTTATCAGATACAGGGAGAATCTTAGAAACTCTCTTTTGTTTGCTTAAAGGCACAGCTATAAATATATTTCAGCGTGACTGAGTGTGTCAAGTTTGAGATTCTGATTTGTTGTATCAGAATGTTAGAGCTGGGAGGGAAGCACTGGCAATCAGGTTTCTCTACTTCCTGATTTTATTGAAGAGTGAGCTGAGGCCCAGAAATATCAGGTGATCTGCCCAAAGTCACACAGCTCATTAATGACAAAACTACAACTGAAGCCCTGGTCTTCTAAACCCCAGCCAAGAGCTCTAACATTTTTAATTCTAATTTTTTTTTTTTTTTGAGATGGAGGTCTTGCTATGCTGCCAAGTCTGGCCTCGAACTCCTGGGCTCAAGTGATCCTCCTGTCTCAGTCTCCTGAGCAGCTGGGATTACAGGCGTGAGCCACCACATTCAGCTAACATTCTTTTTTTCTTTTTCTTTTTCTTTTTTTTTTTTTTTTTTTTTGAGACAGAGTAAAGCTCTGTCACCCAGGCTGGAGTACAGTGGCATGATCTTGGCTCACTGCAACCTCTGCCCTGTGGGTTCAAGTGATTCTCCCGCCTCAGCCTCCCAAGTAGCTGGGATTACAGGCACGCACCACCACAGCCGGCTAATTTTTGTATTTTTAGTAGAGATGGGGTTTCACCATGTTGGCCAGGCTGGTCTCGAACTCCTGGCCTCAAGTGATCCGCCCACCTCTGCCTCTGCCTTCCAAAGTGCTAGGATTACAGGCATGAGTCACCACGTCTGGCCCCAGCTAATGTTCTTTTAAATATATTGAGTCCCTTTCTGCCACTCATCTGGAATGGGTTCTCAAGCCCAGTGAGGAATCCCAATAAATTCTGGTTCTTAGTCTATTTTAAAAACACTAAGTATACATACAATTTGTAATAAAATTTTAAGTTATAAATATAATGGATGCACACTGTTACTTCTTAAAATAAGACCATAACATTATACAAGCTGCTGGTTTCTTTGCTTTTCTGGTCACTTTCTCCACCTCTACCTAATCAGGTCCCAACATTGTGCAAAGACTTCTCCTCCTCTTTGTCCCCTTGGCACACACACTCACATAAGAATCAGCTAAGAGAATAGTTTGTCAGGTACTTTTCCTCTTAAAACCTAACATCTGAGGAACGTGGATTTTAATTATTGATGATGTGTGTGGAGTTTCAGTGTCACGCATTTTCTTCTGAGTTACAGAATCCTCTGGGGGATATTTCACAATACCTTTGTGTGTAGTTGCTATGAAGGAATTAACCTGTAAACCTCTGGGATGATTGAATTGTGGGTCAACTAAAATGCAATCTAGCTAAGACTTCTGCCTACGATCTCGCCTGTGTGTTTCTTTTTGTTGGTTTTTAGATACAGTGCTTTCTATTCCATATGGCTATTTAGTAAGCAGTCTCTTTTTGATAGCTTGTACCTCTGTGATTCAATTTCTGTTGTCTTTTTTTTCTTTAATTGAATGATATAGTAAATATGAACTTGTGCCATCATTAGAATAATGTGCATATATTCACATAGAAGGTGGGGCTTATGAACCTTGTATTAAGGATTTAGTGAGAGGAAATAAGGACTTTGCCCTCTCAGACCTGGCACAGCAGCTGCAGCAGTTTCATCATAAGGTCTGTGGTCTGCACGCACAAAACAGCGTGGGCTCAAGTAAAATGCCTCTGGACAGGTGAGAAGGATGGAAGCCTCTATTTCTGGCACCTCTCTGAAGATCAGGATGCTACAAGATCCACAGAGAGACTTATCAGTATTAGCCAGGTTGACCTGGCAAGAGCAAGGGGAATTGTTTATGTTGGCTACTCGTTCCCCTAATGGCCATTTTAGGATGAAAATAAACCTTAGTAAGTCTGTTTCAGAGCATTTTGGATACCCCTTGGCATATTGCCAAACCTATCTGTAAGTTTTCTTTGAGTATAATTTTAAAGTAATATGTATCATCACACAGAAGCCTTTTCAGTTCTGATCTAACTTTTCTGATGCCATGATTATAGCTTTACTCTGTCTCATCACCAAGCCTAAATTAATAGTAGCTAGTGGTACTTTGCTACCCATAAAATTTGAGCTGTGTTGTAAGCACACAGAAAATGAGATGCCAGGAATAAGCAAGAAAGGGAGAGCCTCAGCCTGGTTACTTCTGATGGAAGGCTGGGCCTGCCATCCTGGCTTGTGGTTGATTTGGGAGCATATAAGGTGGTGCTGGTCCTTCACCAGGCCAGTCATGTAGTTTATCCACGGTCTCCTATCTCTCTCCTCCCCGAACCACAGCGTTGGCTGCTTGCTGGTCAATTCTTCTGAGAAAGAAGCAAAACCTCCATGAGAAAGGTAACATATGCTGATGATTGATTTAGGGATTTGAGGTCTCTGAGGAGCTCAGACACACAATTGCTTTGGTGAACTCCGAACTTACTCATTGCACCTCACAGCAGGAGAGAGATGTTTTAAAAAAAAAAGTCCCTTGCTTTTCAGTTCGAAAGTCATGTTTGAGACATGACTTTCCTGTGGGTGCTTGCAAAAGTACATGTGTGGAGTGAATGTGTGTTGATGAGAGCCAAGAAAAAATTTATACATATGATAGTGGCTTTTGTCTTGGGCTTATCTTTGTATGGTTTTTATCCTTAGTGAGAAACATTTTTATAGCAAGAAGAATGTGATAAAATGCCAGTTAGAGTGTTTTATGGATCTTTAGCCCTTTGCTTGTAGGTGAGTTTTTTCCTTCAACTACCTGGCAATTTCTTTGAACACCCGCCGCACGTCCACCACCAACCACTACTACCACCACATATGGTCTTAGTCACCTAAGGGTATGCCGCAGCCTAACCATTTTCTCCCTTGTCTGTTTAATCTTTTCTTCTTTGTCTTTAGCCTTGTTATTTCCCCAGATTACTGGCCCTTTCTGGTCCAGAGTGGCATTCTTATCATTTCTGATAGTTCTTCACAGAGGTTCAGAGGGTATAGCAAATAGATGGCTAACATGAAACTTCTTCTCCTTTCTTAACTCTACAATTGGTTGCTTATTCATTTGTTAAATGGACAGGTACAGAACATTGACTGTGTGCAAGGTACACAGCTCCCACCCTCAAGAGGTTGTGCTCCTGGATATGCACAGGAGGATGGGTAGGGTACAGAAGGACCATGGTATACTGCAGAGTGACTTTGAGGAGGCTGAGAGGAGTGAGTACAGTGTGTACCATAAGAATTTAGGATATAGAGTGATAGGATGGATAGGTAAGAAGATAGGATGGATAGAATTCTAGGTAAGAGGATCATCATGAACAAAGGTTGGGAACTGCCCAGAGAATAGCTGTTTTCCTGGAACCATATAGAGTGGAGTTCAAGCTTCTGAACAGAGCTGGTTCATCAGGAGTGTTTGAGTATGACAATAGCAATATTGGAGAAGGCCTTCCTCTTCTGGTTATTCTTAGATTCCTAGCACATGAGTGCTGGAAGGGGCGTGTCTAACCCAGTTTCCACGTTATTGAGAGGAACATGAGTCCCTCTAAGGCTTAACCTTGACTTGGTCAAGGTTAGAATGTTGGATGTTTTCTCTCCCATGCAATATGGTGTTCATAGTATTGTGTTTGTTTGCACCCACTGGCAAACTTATAAAGACCACCAAGGTCTTTATAAGGAGTCTTTCTCTGAGAAGTCATTATACAAAAAAGAAACACGTTTATAGCAGCACGATTCGCAATTGCAAAAATATAGAACCAGTCCAAATGCCCATCAATCAATGAGTGGATAAAGAAAATGTGGTGTATACACACACACACACACACACACACACACAGACACACACACACACACACCATGGAATGCTACTAAGCCATAAAAAGGAATGAAGTAATGGCATTTGCAGCAACCTGGATGGAATTGGAGACCATTATTCTAAGTGAAGTAACTCAGAAATGGAAAACCAAACATCGTATGTTCTCACTCATAAGTGGGAGCTAATCTGTGAGAATGCAAAAAGCATAGGAATGATACAATGCACTTTGGGGACTGGGGAGAAAGGATGGGAGCAGGATGAGTGATAAAAGACTACACATTGGGTACAGTGTACACTGCTCAGGTGATGAGTGCACCAAAATCTCAGAAATCACCGCTAAAGAATTTATTCATCTAACCAAACACCACTTGTTCCCCAAAAACCTATTGAAATTAAAAAGTCTTTTTCTGAAAATGGAGTATTTGTGTAATTTACATTTTATGACCATTTTAACAAACTGGTATAGGTTTTGCACTTACATGAGGAGAGGGTTCATATACAAAGCAATGATTGCATTAGGATAAATTATGTTATGAAAGAAAAGGCATTAAAATGATCTTGGTACTGTTTGCCTTAAAATCAGGATTTGTGTTAACTTTGACATACTGCATGTAAGATTTGTTCTGGTAGTAACTGAACTTCATGAAATCACTGGTCACAGAAATGTAAGTTATCAGACTCTCATACTTGATTAGCAGTATACATTTTCATTAAAGCAATCACATTCCAATAAGGACCAGCAATAGCAGTTCACGGAATGCAGCTGCTCAGTTTGTATTTGAAGTGTTCGTGTATCTTTGGGAGCAATACCATGAAGTCACAAGTTTCCGAATGAGGCATATATTCAGCCTAAACACCGACTAGCTTAACTGAATTTTTGCTTTTGTTCAATACATTTACATTGTGATGTTTACAGCTTAGGCTGATAATGCTACAGTGGAAAGTATGGGGGAAATTTCTCTTTGGTCCCATTTTAAATCACCTCGCAGTATTTACCAGATGTAGAAGTTGTGTACGTATGTGGTATCTGATAAGCTCTGTTTTATAAAATACAGGTTCTAAGACCCAGAGAAATGAAAAAAATATATTTTTTTTCTCAATGGAATAGTAAGCATTTACTCTGTGCCTGGCACTGTGCTAGGCATTAGTAAAAGATGGCACAGGCACTGTCCTTTTCTACATAGTGTCCATTGCATTTTTACCCCTAATGACTTGACAGTTGATTCTTAAAATTTGATTTTAGCAGGTAAAAGGCATTTTATGTTTCCGTGTTGGGGAGTATGGCAGAAGAGGCTGCTCAAGGAAAGTACTTTTTTAAACAACCACCGGGTGTCAGCAGAGGACTTAGAACTCTTGGCAACATCTGTGTTCTTGGTTTTCTTGGATTTAATTTGCTAGGCCATCTCCATTGGAATTTTTGAAAGGCAGTCAACCTCCACGGGGCCACTTTCTCCCAAATATTAGTGTCAAACACTTTCACCGCAACACTGCATCACGATTGTTTATCTTTGCCTAATAAAACTAGCACTAGTTCCTCAATCTTTTTCTGATTTAAAACCTTTAATTCTGTCTTTCATGGTGAAGGTTCTACAAAGTAGACAGGCTGCCAGGGTGGGGAAGTGTCACCAAACTCTAGTTGTTTTTACTGACCTCTCCCCCCATACAGGTAAAGCTCACACTTACCTTATGCAGTGAAAAGTACAGGGACCATTCTTCGTCCTGCACACACACACAAAAATCTGATAATGGAGCTTGATGGTTCCAAATTACAGAAAGTATTTTCAGAGTATAAAGGAGAGAGGTCTAAGCATCTTCACTGGCCCAGCCATTTGGTTCATGGTATAGCATATATTTGGTGGTGGTCACAGATATTAGGAACTGTGTATTGATTGACAAGGGAAACCTTGGCAAGGTGGGTATGGATTTGTATCATGCCAATTCTCTCCAGTTTTCTCACCTTGACTCCTCACTTGAGTGAGCAAACTAGACAGGGATCCAAGGCATTTGGTATGAGACATTAGGCTCTAGGGTGGGGCCAAACTGGAGATGGTCTTTCTTGGACACCCAGGTTTCTTTCAAGCTTCATGCGGTATCAGAAGTGGTAGCAGTTACAAGGCTGTCAGTTTGAGTTGCTAAGCTATTGGTGACCTGAAAGACCAGCTTGGGAGATGGTTAGAGACATAAAGCAACCCCAGTGGCTTTAGCAGCTAAAGCTGCCAGGGCGTGTGGCCTGCAGGGGGTGGGGTGTTAGGCATAGTATGCACCCTGGAATCTATCCCATAAAGTAAAGGCCTGATTGATGCAGGGTTCTAGTTTAGACATGCTATAGGGATTTCCTTTGGACTGATCAGTGGGATTTGGCAAATCGCATTACAGCTAATTCCAGGAACTATGCAGATTCTTCTGTTGTTTTATATTGAATAAAATATTAAGACAACACATCAATAGGGATTCAAAAATATTTGGAATATTTTGTTTTTGTGGAAATTTCTGCAATAATAGTCAAAGGGAATCACTGTGTTCCTGAAAACATTGTGCAGGATGTCCATAAAATATACTGTGTACACACATGCCATCAAAGAGGGCAGCTGTCATTCTTCATGGGGTTATACCCAGCTTGGTGTCAGGCAGCAGCTGGGGGAAGGCTCTCAGACCTGTCGTATGATGTGCTTTGTAAACTGCTTTTTAAAAAAGAAGTTCTTTATTGTTGGCTTGACTTCTAATTAACACAATAATTGCATATGGGATTGTGTAAGGGGCACGTTTATTGGGGAAAATAAATGAAGTGTCTTTATGATGATTTTAGTTAACACTCTCTGACATTTCTCGTTGCTCAGGGAATCCTACAGCAAGTACCGTCTTATTCACGGAAACTTGAGTCTTCAAATTTGGCCACATTGCTCTGTGCTGATTCTCACCTCTCTTGGCAATAGCTTCACACTCTCCTCTCCCTCTTTCAGATCACTGGGGTGATCCTGCTGGCTGTTGGAGTCTGGGGCAAACTTACTCTGGGCACCTATATCTCCCTTATTGCCGAGAACTCCACAAATGCTCCCTATGTGCTCATCGGAACTGGCACCACTATTGTTGTCTTTGGCCTGTTTGGATGCTTTGCTACATGTCGTGGTAGCCCATGGATGCTGAAACTGGTGAGTATGTCACAACATAATACTGCTTTCTCAACTATATTTTTGTAAAAATATAAATTACATGGAGGTGAAGTGGTTCGTCTTGAGGTCACAGACAAGACCTTAACAATTTCAGTCCAGACTCTTTCCTAATCCATCCTTTAATCCCCTAGAGGTAAAAACAACCCCAAACACAGCCTGGCACACTAAATCTAGTCCCAGTCCCTCTGGGTAGATGATGACAAAGCAGTGGCCAGTGATTGCAGTAGTCCATTTGTATCCTCATGACAAGATGCCCTGTTTCTTTTCTTTTTTTTTTTTTTCTTTTGAGATGGAGTCTCGCTCTGTTGCCCAGGCTGGAGTTCAATGGCGCAATCTCTGCTCACTGCAAGCTCCACCCCCTGGGTTCATGCCATTCTCCTGCCTCAGCCTCCCAAGTAGCTGGGACTACAGGCGCCCGCCACCACGCCCAGCTAATTTTTTTTGTATTTTTAGTAGAGACGGGGTTTCACCATGTTGGCCAGGATGGTCTTGATCTCCTGACCTCGTGATCCACCTGCCTCGGCCTCCCAAAGTGCTGGGATTACAGGCTTGAGCCATCGTGCCCGGCCTCGCCCTGTTTCAATTTTGAACTATATCTTAGAAGTCTCCTTAAGCATGTGATATGCAGCTTTGGTGGCAAGGCAGCATCCTGAACATAAGCAGACTTTCACCTCCAAGTTCCTATTGGAGAAATACTTTCCACCTCCTTGAGCCTGGCCATGCATGGATGCATGTGTGTGGTCTTCTCTGAACCTGTACTCCCTGTCTCAGTGCTATGAGAGTTGAGCTAAGCCAGAGCCTGCCACCCAGAGGACTTATGCAGTGTCAAGTGTTGGCTACCAGGACCAGTGCAGGGTGCATACTCTCATGGGACAGATAAAGCAGTGATGCTTCCCAGATGATAAGGGCAGACTATTGAAAGGCTATTACTGTGATTTTTAACTTTTAGGTACAGCAGTTAACTAATTCTCTATTCACTGTTCATGTTCTTCACTGATGGGGATTAATGGTAAAGGATTTTATAGATAAAAATTAGCAAGGACCTGTCCTCAAAATAAAATTTTGTTTAAAAATATTTATTTCAGGCATCTTACTCCGTGAAGGGAGAAGCAAAGATTCCATCAGGGCCATGTTGCCTGTCCCTGTGTAGCCCTAGGTTGTAGTAACATTTAATACCATCTAGTGATATATGTGGGTGTGAGAGTGGTTCATTCCAAAGGAACCATCTTCCCAACTGGCACTGGGCAGTCAGTCTCTGTTGTCAACCTCATAGAAGTGGTGCTTGACTTTGCCATTTTCTATCCTGCAGACCATACAGGAGGCTGATGCCTCAGCCGCCACTGATTCTTCAGGTTGATGGGCAAGCCATAATGAGGCCCATCCTGATTATGGGCCAGGCTTCTGCTGCTGTCACCTGGCACTCTATTCTAACACCCTGAGTCTACCTTCTAGTACTTCTCATAAACACTAGGGTTTCTTTTGGTCTAGTGCCATAGTCCTCAACTCCAGATACATGATTAAATCACCTGGGAAGCCATTTGCAAAAACCTTTGCCAGCATCCCACCACTAGCTGGTTGAAGTAGACTCCTCAGTGGTGGTGAGGCCCTGGCATCTTATTTTCTAAAAAGCTCTCCAGAGGATTCAATCTTGTAGCCAGTATTGAGAACCTTTTGTTTAGCACAATGAGTAGCAAGGGGAGAATTAACTTCAAAAGCAGAGAAAAGAAAAAATTCTAAAAAACCATCCATTCAAACAAGAAGGGAAGTGATGTGGTGTTGAGACCTGACTGATTCCAACTAACTGTTTAAAGTCTTTAGCGGCAAGGATGTAACCTCCTTGGACCTTTGTCTCCAATTGTAACAAAATAGAATTGGACTAAATCACCAAAGTTTCTCCCGGCCCAAATACTATGACTGGAGAGGGGTGGGAGAGGTGATATTTTTATGTTCTAATTCTCAATTTGCTTGTGGGGCAGAAGTATCCCATAGCTGAGTATAATGTCATAAAATAGGATATGTGTATAAACAATGGAATAGTTAGTTCTGGCCTCTTCTGGAGGTGGCTTCACACCACACTACCATTTTCTTCTCCTAACACAAGTTCACTGGCAGGTGAGCATTTTGGGAAGTAGAGAAGTTTTTTGGTTTGGGGCTTAATTTGGGTCTTTAAAAATGTCTTTTAGATCAAATTTTAGATTCTACATATGTGTAAGATCAGGCAGTTATTAGTCTTTTCTTTCCCTGACTTATTTCACTTAATCCTCTAGATTCATTCATGTTGTCGCAAGTGACAGGATTTCATTCTTGTTTATGGCCAAATAGTATTCCATTGTGTATAGACACATTGTGTCCAGTGTGTATGGACACTTAGGTTGGCTATTGTCAATAGTGCTGCAATATACATGGGGGCGTGGCTATCTCCTCAACATATTGATTTCATTTTCTTTGGGTATATACCCCGCAGTAGGATTGCTGGATCATATGGTAGTTCTACTTTTAATTTTTTGAGGAACCTCTACTCTGTTATCCATAGTGGTTGTACTAATTTACATTCCAATCAGCAGTGTATAAGAGTTCTCCCTTTTCCACATCCTCATCAGCATTTATTTTTTTTTTTGTCTAGAGACAGGGGAGGAGGGAGAAGCAGAGGTTGGCCAATGGGTACAAAGTCACAGCTAGATAGGAGGAATTATCTGGTGTTTTATTGCATAGTAGGGTAACTATAGTTAATGTATTACATATTTAGCAATAGCTAGAAGAGAGGATTTAGAATGTTCCCACCACAAAGAAATATTTTAGGTAATGGATATGCTAACTACTCTGATTTGATCATTACACAGAGTATGCATGTATCAAAACATCATACTGTACCCCATAAATATGTACAATTATTATATGTTAGTTAAAAACAATAAAATTTTTAAAATATGATTTGGTCCTTTTATGTGATAGAGGCTATACTGGGTGCGTATGATATTTTATTTTTCTCCTCACTACCACCATGCAGTGTAGGTTATATTTTCATATAATGTGATAGGAACTTGGGGGTTTAGATAACCCACCCAAATTCACACAGCTAATGTATGGAAGGCTGGGATTTGAACCCTTGTATGTTTCCTTCCAAAGCTAGGACTATTTCAACTCCAATGTTTACATTTGGGAAAAAAGCTCTAACCCCTACTGACCTGTATTTAGTACAAGCTCGTCCCAATAGGCTTTTGGCAAATGCTTTCTGTAGGTAAAACGGCCACTCTCTGAAAGCTCCTAGAGGCAGGAAACTTGCCAGACACAGAAAACTGCTGATTCGGCTGATGAGAGCGGAAGTCACTTGATTAACTGTCAGTCTAGAATTTTGCAGTCCTTATATAACCTCATTAATTGCAAAACAACTGAAAATAACTATGTCTACTTTATGGAAGCCCAGAGAGGCTGCCTCCTTTCTAAGAGGTAGTTCATAACAAGATAGGATTCAAACCTAGGAGGACTTCTGACTACAGAGATAAATGCCCTTTCTTCCACCTGCCTGCTAACAGTTATTTTCCCACCCAACTTTCTGGAAGAGTCTAGGCTTATCCCATCAGCAAAATGGGAGAGTCTCACATCAAACTCTGCTTTGAATTGCATTTTGTATGAAGTTGGGAAAGAAGTCATGTACATGGGGCATTCTCATAACTACATGTTTAGTATTTGAGTGGCTGTGCTTTCTAGAGAATTTTGTTAATATTTAGAAAGAAATTAATATTTTAAGCCAACATTTCCTTTTTCGATATATGTGCCACTAGATGAGAAAAAAAAATTATGACTCAGCATACATATGTATACTTTATGAGACATGTGTATACTTTACAGGTAAGTAATGTGGCCACATGCAATCTATCCAAATTCCACAGCATTGTTTAGGGCCATTGCAAATGTTCAAAACCATTATATTTCATTTTGAAATAAGAAGCAGATTGTAAGACATGTGCCTTGTAGGTAAGGAATCAATTCTTGTTTTTATCTGCCTTTCAAAGTTATCCTTAATGTTTCGTAAATACCATGTACTACCCTTGAATTTAGGCGTGCTTGCATGTGCATGCACATGCAAAAAACTTGAGAAGTATCAGCAGCATGAGATGAAAAGCACTAAAGGCGTTAGATGCTTGCAAATGTCATTAGTAGTATAGTGCATTTACTTTTTGAAAGGCTTTAAACTCCACGCAGCATCCCGAACAAGAAAGGCAGGCAACTCCACAGGAAAGCTGCAGTGGCTACTGTGTCCAGTGATGACCACCAATCTGAAGAGGAACATCATCTTGCACACGTTTGGCTTCTTGGGCCCAGATGGGAGGGATACAATTCCAAATGAAGCAGTTTTGTAACTGTTTCATCTGAGATGTGGTTGAGACTACTGGAGGCGTTTGCCTAGGCAGCAGGTTCTCATCCTGGCCGTGTTCACAAACATGATGGGCTAGCGTTAGAGAAAAGACATTGGGCTGGTTCTTATTTCTTCTGAAAGCAGCACCAATGCCAGTGAGTGGAAGTTAGAAGTAGGCAGACTTGTGGCCAAAGGGAAAGGAAGTCTTTCCAACAATTGGAACAGTTTCAAAATGGAATGGGCCGCAGGGAATTGGCTTGCAGACCGTCGTGAGGAAGTTGGTAAAAAAGGACCCCCAGACAGGGCAGAATGTGTCCTGTGACCTTCAGAGCAGTTTGGTTTTTTTCTAGCTCAAAGATTCTAGTGTAACAAATAGTGGATACCTTAGTTGTGAAAGTTCCTTCCAGATTTCTCCAGGTGAGCCAAGCTGATAGGCACAATGCCAGTCTCTCAGTGAATTCTCCCCAGCCTGTGTACTCCAAAATGCATATGCATATTAAACACACATTCCTAGATTGAGGCTTATGTGGGTAAATTTAGAGACGAATGTTTTATATTTTTTTCTAAACTTTGTCTAGGGAGTGTGAGGACTTGTCTAATTCCCGCTGATTGAAAGTAACCTACCCTGAAGAAGCCCTCTTCTTAATCCTGATGTATCTGACTTTGTCTTTGTGTGCTTAATTTTCAGTATGCCATGTTTCTGTCCCTGGTGTTCCTGGCTGAGCTCGTAGCTGGCATTTCAGGGTTTGTGTTTCGTCATGAGGTGAGTATACACAAAATGCAGAACTCAGTTAAGGGGTGTTTGGGAGGAGGATTCTTGAAACCTCTTGAAATGTGTAAAGGGTGCATATAGGCTAGCTGTTTTCCTCAGTGGTGTTGTTGTTTTCCAAAGATCATGTCATATGACCTGAAATTTTCATGAAATTCTAAATGTGGGAATTCCACCAAGCTTGAAACCTTCATTGTTGATCTTCACTGTTTCTCTGTGTAGCCATTGCATAAAATGATTCTCTCCCGTTATAAAGCAGTGACCTTCAATATGGATTTCATACTCCTTAAAAATAGCTGCTTCAGGCTGGGCATGGTGGCTCATATCTGCAATACCAGAGCTTTGCAAGGCCTGGGGCAGGAGGATCTCTTGAGGCCAGAAGTTCAAGAGCAGCCTGGGCAACATAGTGAGAACCCCATCTCTAAAAAATAAAAAAAATAAATTAGCTGGGTGTGGTGGCTTGCTTCTATAGTCCCAGCTACTTAGGAGGCTGAGGAGGGAGGATCACTTGAGCTTGGGAGGTCGAGGCTGCAGTGAGCTAATATCACACTGCTGTACTCCAGCCTGGGCAAGAGAGTGAGATCCTGTCTCTATTTTTTGTTTTTAAAAATAGCTGCTTCAGTAAGGCACAAGTGTATATCTGTATAACAAGATTTCTAAGACTATAAAGGCAAGCCAAACTAATTGTCTTGCTGCCTCAAAATTTTATCATTGACTCTCCATAAATAATAGTAAAGCCAGAAGTAGATACACATGTGTTAAAAAGAAAAAGAAAAAAAATATATACAGGTGGAAAACAGAGAGTGTTACTGTGGGTCTCGAAAGGCTGGCATCATCTGTTCCCAGGCCCTGTTTTTTTTTTTAATTTTTTTAAAAAATTTTTCATTAACCCATCTTGCTGCACACTTAAAGATCCCACTATTGTGCTTGGCCAAGTTCAGTTCCCCCTGAGCTTGACTGTATGCTCTCTGCTCCCCTACTGCCTTGTTTTTCCCCTTTACCAAAGACAGTATCCCAGATGCCAAAGCTGATTCCCAGAACCCAGTTTGTATGGGTGCTGCATTTGGAATTAGAACCCCATTCATAGTCTCTAGTGAAGTGAGACCTGATGAAGTTTCAGCCTCAACAGCCCTAATAAGTGCCCCTCGTGCATGTATGAACACCAGGAGCAGCCTGGCTTGTTCCTACCTGAGCCTCTTGTTTGTTGCTGGGAGTGCGCTCTGTGGAGAGGTTTTTCTCTTAATGGTGCTTGCTGCCTAGGGCCTGGAAATCCTCATGTACCTAATCTCTTTTGGCTGAAACCCTGAGGGCTGTTGTGGGAGGAAGGTACAATGCCACTCTGACCACCAGCGCTGGTCTTGAGTTTGGCTAGTCAAACTCACATGATGACAATAGGTCTCATTTAGTGCCATTTAACAAAAGCAGAAAGATATAACAAAGGAAGCACAGTTTGCCTGCTAGGCAGTAGTGGGCTTGTTTCTCCACCATGAGTCCTCAAAATAGTCTAGTGCCTATTCTGTGTACAGTCCCCCATCCTAAGAGACAGCTTAAGTGTAGCGAAATGAGATGACACAGCTGGGTGTGGTAGCCACCTTAGCTTAGAAGCTGCATGTAACTGGTATCTCTATCTCTTGTAACTGTCCCATGGACATAGTTTACAGCATTTTAGCAAAGAATATGCCTAGTTAGGAGAGTCACCATACTTAGCCCTAAGCTTCCCACCAAGTAGTTATTGTCATTTGCTGTCCTCCCAATCTGGAGGCATTTTACCAATTGGGGGTCAGTTTTATCAATAAACTCAGTGGCCTGGTAACACATTCGACATTCCACCTTCATCAGGTTTCCAGGGAAACAGAGCTTGAAAGTTACCCCAAAGTCAAATGTGGTAACAGAAAAGGTTTTGTTAACTTTTTTTTTTTTTTTTTTTTTGAGACAGAGCCTTGCTCTGTTGCCAAGGCTGGAGTGCTGTGGCACAATCTCTGCTTACTGCAACCTCTGCCTCCTGGGTTCAAGCGATTCTCTTGACTCAGCCACCCAAGTAGCTGGGATTACTGGCGCCTGCCACCATGCCTGACTAATTTTTTTTTTGTATTTTTAGTAGAGACTGGGTTTTGCCATCTTGGCCAGGCTGGTCTTGAACTCCTGACCTCAAGTTATCTGCCCATGTCGGCCTCCCAAAGCACTGGGATTACAGGCATGAGCCACTGCACCTAGCCAACCTTTTTAAGTTCTTGTCCTTTATTATCTTTTTTTTTTAATTTGCCTCAATAAAGACAGGTAAGTGAAAGTTGGTTTTGCCTCACTCCTATGGTAAAACAGGGATCAGTTTTTGACCAAAACATCAGTCATCCTGTCCACCCAAGTGGTTTGTCTTTTATGAGCCTCCTGTGTAAGGGCAGAGAAAGTTATAGAAAGATGGGTATTAATCAATTCAAAGAAAATAAGTAGAAAGCTCATGCCTGAGGTTTGGCAGCTCACCATCACAGGCCTTTCAGAAATGGACAGGCCCCTCCAGTAGGTCATTCAGCAGGTCAGGCTTTCTCTGGATTGAGGCTGAGGGGAACAATTTTTTAAATTCCGGAGCTTAAAAACCCCCTGGTGAATTTTCTGAGCTTTTCCATCTCAGAAAATGGGGCATTGCCTCCCTGGCCTACATTTATACAGAGACTTTCAGAAGAGGCTATGTTAGGGTAGAATTTGGTAAGAATTGGAGTCAGTTTGGGCTGTGGTGGACTGCAATCACATCCCTCCTTGTCTTCCATAGATCAAGGACACCTTCCTGAGGACTTACACGGACGCTATGCAGACTTACAATGGCAATGATGAGAGGAGCCGGGCAGTGGACCATGTGCAGCGCAGCGTAAGTTCCAGAGGAGATGAGGGTGTGAACTAACTATGAAGTCTAGGCTTAGACTTATGGACTGCCTGTAGGTTGGCCCAGTAGTTGCTATTTGTTCCCGTTCTTCAACTCTTAGTCCAGTTCCATTGCCAAGAGTTGACACCCAGTCCTTGTCCAGGCTCCAGTTATTCAGGTAATTAATGTCAAGGAGGACCACTCCCTTGAGTGTGCCTTGTATCAGTAAGGGTTGCAAGTATGGCAAGGACAGCTCATTTGCTCTTCAGATCTGAACCCTTGTGAAGGAGTTAGGCAGTGAGTGTGTGACAACCTTGCTTAGAGTTGGCTCCCGGAGGCTGGCTTTCTGGAATCGATGTCTTCAGGCTGGGTGGAGAGCTCAGGCGAGCTGCATTCACTGGCTGGGGCAGTGGAGTGGGCATAGAGTGGACCTAGAAGAAACTGAGGCTCTGTTAGGTATGTGAAGGTGGTGAGCTGCCTGATGCTTTGCGGAGGATATGGGGGAAATAGAAGAGAGATTTCCTGTCTGGGTGGCAAGTGCTGGCACTCAAGCATAACTGCCCATCAGGAATCACTAAGGGGGATTTTGCTTTGGTTTTTCTTGGTTTTGTTTACTTCAGAAGAAGTCTTTTTTCTAATTTATTTTGATAAAAGTTCCAACATATACAGAAAAGTCTCAGGAATACTACAAGGAACTGTATACTCAGATTTACCAATTAATTATATTTTTGCCCCGTTTGCTTTAATATTCTCTACATTGGGGTTGGCAAACTTCTTCTGTAAAGGATCAAATAGTAAATATTTTAGGCTTTGAGGGCCATAAACTCTGTCACAACTACTCATCTCTGCCACTGTAGCACAAAAGCAGCCACAGACAGTATGTGAACACATAGTTGTGGCTGTGTCCCAGTAAAACTTTATTTACAAAAACAGGTAGCTCCTGGGCTATAGATTACCAGCTTTGGCTCTCCCTTTCTGTATGTGCATCTTTTTTTCTTAAGAACTATTTATTTACTTATTAGTAGATATCCCAGGGGAGAGTTTTTTGAAACCATATTTGCCTCAACTCACCAATCAATAGTCCTGATTTAGTGGATGAGTACATCTATATCAATAGGTGATTGTGAGTTGGACACAGACGCACTGCTTTGCTTTGTGGAGGTAATAAGAAAGCCAATGTGATATATAATTTAGAACTTCCTTCTTGGAGATCAAACAAGCATCAATATGGGTATAATTGTTATTGGAGCTTCCATTCATCTTGACTCACCAAAGCTGCACATGTTGTCTTAGGGCTTTTGCCTGTGTTTCTCTTATAAAAGTCACAAGGCAGTGATTGAGGAGACCACATTTGATCTGCCATTTTTTTATTCTTTTCCTTTCCCTGTTAATAGCTGAGCTGCTGTGGTGTGCAGAACTACACCAACTGGAGCACCAGCCCCTACTTCCTGGAGCATGGCATCCCCCCCAGCTGCTGCATGAACGAAACTGATTGTAATCCCCAGGATCTACACAATCTGACTGTGGCCGCCACCAAAGTTAACCAGAAGGTACCCGCTTTCTCCTGGCCCAGATGGGACCAGTGGTGAATGTTTGGGGGGGCTTTTTTATTTCCATGAAATTATGACAAATAGATTTGAAATAGTAGTCAAGGGAAAGAGAATCTTACTTTGTGGTTCCTTGATTGCCTGGGAGAGGCACTTGAGGCTGCTCACTTCTAAAAGAGAAAGCTGTGACTCAGATCAGCCTTGTCTTTCTCTCCCACAGCAAGGATCTACCAGGCATAGTTAGGAAGGTTTAGCAAGCAGTTCCTGTTAACCCTGATGCTTATGTCAGACAGCGAGTGTTGGCTTTCTTCTTTTGGGGTGTCCGTCTTCTGCTTAATATACCATCTAAACATGAAATTGTTTGCAGCTGGGTGTCAGTTTTTGACAGCAAGAGGGGAGTAGAGTTGACAGACAGCATCTGCTTCTGCTAGGAGGGTGGCCTTTATTTTAGGGAGTTTACTGCCATAGGAAAAGAAATCAGCAACTCTGATTCAACTCACTGTCAACCTCCCGACTCCCAAAGAAATTAGAGAGGGGAAAAAAGAGGACTAAACGAAATTTAAAAGTTAGTACATAGTGAAAATGAGGGAAATGAAGTTTTAGTAGTCAGAGAAGAGGAAAATCAATTCTGCATTCCATTTTACAGAGAATACGATGAAGACATGATATAACTGCATGTGAAGATTATCTACATCTTAAATGTTTAGAGAAATACCATATATAACATATATTTTGGTAAACAAAAGGGAGGAAAAAACCTACTATTGTGTTTACTTCCTGTTATTCAGTCAAGGGGTAAATCTTTTCTTGCTAAGGTAAAATTCTGTTCATATGATGCCTTCAAAATTCTATGTGATCTGGACCAGCTACTGAATAATTCAGAGAAAAAAAGATAGTTCAGTAAGATTCAGTACTGACTGCTTCTTGTCTAAGTTAAAAGGACATCTGTTTCTATTTGAATTTTCTTATGAACCCAAACATTGAGGCTTCCTTCATCTCTTATTAGTTAATAAGGTAACTTCTGGCTTCCTCATGGACATCCCCACTGAGTACCCATACGTGTCATTATGCTTCCATTTTATGAAGTGCTAAGCATACCTGGCATGTGGTAGATACTCCAATTTATGGAAGGCAAGAAGTACTCTATGGCAGTGAGATATTTGATATAACAGAGCTTCAGAAGGTTGTTCATGAAAGCAGTACCCAAGTCTTTTTTTTCCCCCCACTCAAGCTTCCTCTTCTTTTGTGAAAATTGAGGATCCAGAAGTCAGGAGCACAGGGTCTAGTGTCAGGCTCCAGTAGAAATTCTGACTGAGCCACTTGTTGGTTATGTGATCTCGGTCAAGTTACTTAACTTTGTCAGTCTTGCTTTTCTTGTCTGTAAAATGCGGATAATAATAGTACATGTTCCTTGTGCTTGATTTGAAGATTTAATGAGATAAAGTGTCAAAAGCACAGTGCCTGGCACAGATTATGACACAGATGTGATACATGTTAACTGTAATACAAATGATGATGGTGAAATTTGTCTTCTGTATCACATGGAGTCTTTTATTAAAAATGATGCAGCAGTTTCTTATAGGGAGGATCTTTTGTTAGTATGTAAAAACAAGTTTGGAGACGTATCTTATAGTGCATCTATAATCCTTACAATTATTTCCAGAAAGAGAGATGGGGTCACATTTTTTCATTTCATTGATAAACCTACACATTGACCTCACTTTCCACCTTCCCACTATAATCCAACTTTATATTTTCCTGGCCACCTCAAATACTTAGAAGATCTGCTTAACTTCTCTCTTACTTACCTTATAGCCTCCAACCTGGCTCCCTCAGAGGAGAAAAAGTGAATGAAAACTAAAATTTGTCTAGCAAGTTTCCTTAGACATTCTTATTTAATGCCCACCTGAACTTATGAGACAAATTACTTTTCCTGACTCAATGTCAGACACCTAATCTATACAAGGTGGAAGATTGGAATGGGGTAATAGTAGATGCTCATAAATGTTACCCTTCCTCCCAGTGACTCCTTCCCCTAGGAAGCTTAACTACTGCCACATTCTAGTTATATGGAATCCTATGATTTAGAACAAGTGGATCATCCCTGTAGATCCTGTGGTGTCTTGGACCCTGTACTTACTCTGATAGCACAGAAAGATGATTCTTGGCTCTTACCAGGAAGCTTGAGAAACCTGTCTTGTACAGATAACTGGGAGAGAACAGGAGGAAAATATGAACAGTTAAATAGGATATTTATTGTTTGGATTTGGGGACAGGTTTTATTTTGATTTTACTAGCAGGATGATGAAATGTCTGCACGTTCAGTTGGCTAATAGCATTGGCTGAAATCCTACTTCATAGGGATTCTTTGACAGTTCGTAAGGGCAAGAGGAACATAGTTACTTTGCTTGGCAGTTACAGAGATACCTCTTCCCATAACCTGTCTGGAACTAGCTTTCTACTTCTAGTAGTTAAAGTCGGTCACTTGCAGATGTTTTCCATTGGTGACTATTGATTTAGACGTGCTGAGAGAGTGAGCAAATGAACTGTTCTGAGTGTTTCCTAGGATACTTAGCAGGTCTGTGTAGATTTATCTCACACCTGACAACCGACTTTCATATTAGGAAATTGAGAGAGATTGTTGTGAGTAGATAAGATCATAGTTTAGGGGAAAATTTAAGGTTGAATGTAAACATGGCCTGTGGTTGCAGTATTAAATCAGCTCTTGCAGTATGTGGATCTGTGCTGAGACATGGAAAATGAACTTCGGGGTTCATGCAGTAAATAACGGAAAAATCCAGAGATGGAAAACATTTATTTTGACATTGGTCTCTTATTGTTTAAAAACAAAAAAACTAAGTCACTTATATCTTCTCATTTTAATTAATCCTATTACTGATATGATTCATTAACTTGCTTTCTTATTTGGAGTAAAAAATAATGAGAAAACATTTCTTATAGAAGAGTGCTTCTCACCTTTTAATGGGCATATGAAGTGTCGGGAGATCTGGTTAAAATTCATTAAAAATATGTCAAAAGCAATAACCCATGGATTTGGCAGATTCTGATTCAGTAGGTCTGGGGTGGAGCCTCCAATTCTGCATTTCTAACAAGCTCCTAGGTGAAGAAATACTGCTCATTCAAGATCCATACATTGAGGAACAAGGTTTAGAGAGAACTATTTCGGCTCAGTTGTACTAATGCCAGGCAGCTATTTCCTTTTTCTGGTTTCTCCTACTGGTTGGAGTGGCCTTACCAAAAATAATGTGACCAAGTCTAAAATCTTCTAGAATGAAGTAGAAATCATACTTTAGAAAATATATTCAGCTTAAGTGTAGAATTGAAGTGCCCAGAAAAAAATCTATGCCAAACTGTTTTGCAGAATAAGAAAATAGCTCATTCTGCTTCTCTCTCAGTTGTATTATCAGGCTTGTGTTTCCAAATTTTGAGCTTACATAACACTGGTGCTGATCTGGACCTCATTCTTTAGCCCCATCATCACTGCAGGGAGAAGATATAGTAATGATGGCCAGCCTGGTAAACTGCTGTCTTAGCTGCTACCTTTTGGGAAAGTGTTAGAATATCCACATCTCTTCTCATTTTGTCTTCTTTCTAACACAAATTCTTCTCTCTTCTACTACCTTTTGAAAAATAGTGTGAGGCTGGGCACGGTGGCTCATGCCTGTAATCCCAGCACTTTGGGAAGCCGAAGTGGGTGGATCACCTGAGGTCAGGAGTTTGAGACTAACCTGGCCAACATGGTGAAACCCCATCTGTACTAAAAATACAAAAATTAGCCAGGCATGGTGGCACACACCTGTAATCCCAGCTACAGCCTGAGTGACAGAGTAAGACTCTGTCTCAAAAAAAAAAGAGAAAAGAAAAGAAAAAATGAAAAAAAAATGTGTGATATATAGTCTCACTAGTAAAAGTGAAATCAGTAAGCTTCTACTATGGGGAATCAAATTTCAAAACTCCCCATGAGTGATAATGTATTTCCTTTCCCACTCCTACCCTGGCCTTCAAATTTGCATCAGATAACTAAGGAGTATAGTTTGTCAATTGCATTGAAAACATGTGTCACACAAAGGGACCAACACACACTGGGGCCTATAGGAGGGTAGAGGGTGGGAGGAGGAAGAAGATCAGGAAAAACAACTATGGGTACTAGCCTTAATACTTGGGTGACAAAGTTATCTGTACAACAAACCCCGACGACACAAGTTTACCTATATAACAAACTTGCACATGTACCCCTGAACTTAAAAAACGAAAGAAAACATGTCTCAAAGCACTACTGGTAAGTTAATGCACCATTTTTTTTTCCTGCACACAGACTACAAATGTATATAGATACCACTTAATAGAAGACACAGCATTGCCAGAATATTTTACAAGCTATAAGAAATGTTAAATTGTTAAATTTGAACTTAAAAAGGGAAAACATGGCTGGTTTTTTTTTTTCTTCAAATGTTATTAAAACTTAGTGTGCCATTCTTGGTAAACAAGAACCAGCTTTAATCTGTTTATTAAATTAATGTCTTTATTTTTCGCAGACTTTATACATTTTAGTTGAAGCCCTTTTCCAGAAAACTGGAAAAAGACCATGTCTTCCTAGCTGAATAAGTCAGTTCAGGACTCTAGGTTGATTTGGCCAGTTTCAAATAAATATACTTACAAATTCTCTCTCTCTCTCTCTCTCTCTCTCTCTCTCTCTCTCTCTCTCTGGAAAAGATGACCCTAGAACATAGGTTTTCCCTATTTAAAAAATCCTAATGGTCTCATTAGGAAGAACCCTAAAACTCCATAAAGTTGGCAGATATTCAAACACTTCCCTCTAGCCAGATGATTTCGGTTTGTTTATTCAAGATTTCATCATTCATTGTCAAAATGCTAGTAACTATGTTTATGATCCTGAGATTTCCTGTTCAAGGATGCGGAATGTCTTTTCAAGTCTACTTCTTTGTCTCTATAGTGTTTGCTTCATAGATCTTACAGATTTCTTGCTAAACTTAATCCTACTACAGAAACATTTGTCAATGAAATTGTGTCTGGGATTGGCTTTAAATAGGATGGGATTTGGGGAGGTTCCAATGAAGCAAGATTGACCAAATGTTAATTTGTGATGTTAGGGGAAGGGTCATGTGTCTCTGTATTTTTGTGTATGTTTGAAACCTTTTCTTATTGTTTTAAGTTTGAAAAGAATGCTAATAAATCCCTAGAGTGAGTTGCAATTGTATTTGCTGAATTAAGGTTGAAGTGTATGTTGGGAGTGTTTCGAGTACACATAGCCCAGCTTGGCCTGAGTGAAAACATGTCTCCAAGACAGTGTCTTTCTCTTTCCAGGGTTGTTATGATCTGGTAACTAGTTTCATGGAGACTAACATGGGAATCATCGCTGGAGTGGCGTTTGGAATCGCATTCTCCCAGGTAGCCTACATAATTGTGCAGAACCTGGTCTAACCTTTCCTCTGCCTCCCTCCCTGGCCTCCAGATTCTCTGCCTGCCTTCCTGTGCTTTGGGAAAAGCTGATAGATGGGGTCAAAGCTCCTTGCTCATTAGTCCTCAGGTGATCTGTTTATTGATTTTTCTTTTTCAACTCAAATGAAGTTTTGTCATCAAGGGAATATCAGTTACAGTTAAACTAATGACTAGCTCCAGAAAAACAACTGGCTACTTCTGTAGGTCAAATGGAGGTTAACTGAAGAACGTGCTGGCATAATTGGATCATAAACAACTCAAAACATCAAATGGCTGATCTGGATTTGGGGGAAGCTTTTTTCCTGATTGACCTAACCCTTTTTTGCTCTCTCTTAGTTCCTATGTATTACAGATGAGATCTCTCCCTTTAAAGAAAGCCTAAATTTAGCAAACTTCAACTTGTGATCATTATTTTAATTTCTAAGTTTGGCTATTCGTAACAGGTTTGACTATTCTTATGTGGTTTCTTAAGAGGAAATCAAATTTTGTGTATTAAATTTTATATCCCTTTATCTGTACCTACCCTCAAAAAAAACAATGGGAGAAGTACTATGCCAATTAAGTAAACCACACACACTGGAGGATAGAATAAGATTAAGCTAAATCTAAAATGTAGCCCACGTCCACCAGGCAGGGCATGGTTCCACAGGCTTCTGATCTCTCAGACAAATGATACATCCTTGCTATAATGTTGCTTTGGGTAGAAGAATCAACATGTATAGTTAACAAGCAAGAGCAAACTTTGTTTATGTTTAACTCAGACTTTGTTCAGACCAACAGATCATGTTTCAAACAAAGCTCGATTAATGTTGTCTGAGTAATGTCTCCACAGCTCTCATTTTTTATTATTTTTTTATTTCTTTTTATTTAGGACCTGGTGTCTACAACAAACCACAACTCTAATTTCTACATAGGCTATCTCAGACTCTAATTACTTTTTCCCTAGCCATCTGTATCTCTGGCCCTCCTGCTTAGCAATGCAGATGCACTTTAATTTTATTCCAGTTTGTTCCTAAAACTTTCTAATTGAAATGTGGAATATACAGAAAGGTGCATAAATTATGTTTACAGCTTAATAAGTTACCACAAAATGAACATAGCTGTGTAACCCTCGCTAAGATTAAGGAATAGAACTTTAGCCTGATGGTTTGTTTTTTACTAGACAGCCTTAGAGAAGTAGAAGAGCTTTTCTTCTTAAGCAGTTACAAAACCTGTGAGACATTTTATCTCACAAGAGAACGTGGGCTCAGCCAACACAAATATGTTTCTTGTTGCAATTTCAAAACTATCTTTTACCATGCTTTGTTATTTTTTGTTTTTGTTTTGCAGCTCATGAAGTGAATTAAACCCTCAACCCTCCAACACATAGACAAACCAGAGTGGGGTCACAAACAATGCAAATTAACTCAGTCTCCAGAGACATTTGAAAAGTCATTGCTACTCTGAAATTTCTTCTAGTTGCTATAATATTTCAATAATAATACTCAGCAACATCACTCTAATGACTGAGGGACATTTTAGAGGATCCCCAAACCCTGGTGACTGATGCAAATGTGCAAGATGCACTTGACAGCCTTGAACATCCTGTTTACTTAACATATGTATGTGTAGCATCATATTGTTAACATCAAAAGGGCGTCTTGTGTTTGGCATTTGAGGAGACCTGTCCCATTGGAGGAAAAAAAAATATTGCTGAAGTCTCCCCTAATAGCTATCCTAGAACCATAAAGGGAGATTATGCTGATACTGTACATTAGGAGAAGAGAGCCTCAAAGAACCTGGAATCTCATGAATGAAACACCTTATCATCCAAGAATATTCCCATGTGGCCATGAGCATGAGTGTGTGTGTGGTATTAAGAGGATCCTATTTTCATTAATGAGATGAATCAAATCAAATGGATCCTTCTCCAAGTAATGAACCTGATTAATACCTCTCTTCCACTCTTCTCTCACACATCCCAATGAAGAAATGTATGATTAGACAAATAATTATCTGGCCTGATTAATCTCTCTGTGCTACCTTAAAGAAATCTGTGATTTGTGAATTGTTGAATATGCACTGTGACCCTCTAGGCCAGTAAGAGAGCGGCTTTGGCCTTAAGGAACCCCAACTCTGAAACTCTCTGCAGTGAGTTTAAGTCTCATCAAGGTGCCACATAGTTGTTGGGGTGATAAAACACAAAGCCCAGTGGCATCATACCATGGTGCCCATACTGCTCACCCATGTGGCCAGGCAGGTCCAGCAGGGCAGAGACTTGAGACCTGCTCCCAGGTTCAGGCAGGAAGAGAAATGGCTATGGCTGGCTTCTGCCAGCCAGATGCACCAGGAACTGCAGCTATTTATGGTGCTGTCAGCCTCAGGGGTCCTGAAAGCTGAAGTTGGCTTCCAGACGTCCATAGATCCAGGGCATCCCTGGGACAATGGTGGCCACTTACCAGATGCCTGTTCACAAAGAACCAGCCCTACTGATTCTGGTCAGTGACCTGGAACCAGACCTTTGGCTACATGTGTTCAGAAATTTTAGAGCCAATGTCATAGTAAAATTTAGCAAATGTTGGCTGATATTGATGAACCAGTTGTGTTGGCCTATGCCTTAGCCTTCCTATAATAAAGAAGGCTCTACTAAGTTAGAGGCCACAGAGAGGACAAAGTAGGTAGGAAAGAACAGAGCTCGCTCTCTCTCTTCCTCCCTCCCACTTTTGCTCTCCTGCCCTCGACCTTTTTCTTGCCCTTTGCTTTGCTTGCTCTTGTGACCTCCGTGCTATCATCTTTTGGAAGAAACTGGCCATGCACATCTATTGTCTCAAAGATTAAAGGTGGTATAAAGTATTAGGAAAACTAAGCTGGGTCTAGCCTTTTAATAGACTGGGCAAGAACTTTGTCCCCTGTTAGCTAACTTAGCTAATTGAAAGCTCCTGAGTGCTGTTTTTGAACAGCAGCAGGGTTGTGTCAAGCATTAAACACTTCTCTCTACAAACGTCCATTACCTTTGCCCTCTCAAGGTAAACCTCATTTGTCTGGACTTGATGGGCAGGGTCTGCTGCCCTATAAATTTA
Source organism: Homo sapiens (assembly GCF_000001405.40). Taxonomy (NCBI): domain Eukaryota; kingdom Metazoa; phylum Chordata; class Mammalia; order Primates; family Hominidae; genus Homo; species Homo sapiens. The sequence continues at coordinate 38,684,398 of NC_000023.11, forward strand.
TAGCAGAAGGTTGAGTGTGTTTAGTAGGGTACCTCTTCGCTGCATCTTTGGCAACTGCTCTTTCACTCGAGGGCTTGTGGGGAGAGTGAGAGATGGAGCATGCACGCACATCACCCCTGTCCTATCCCCACCCCCAAAATGGCCTGGAAGACAAGAGCCATGGGATGTCTGGGCATGGACATGTTTATTGTTCAATTTGTGACATTGTGTATATGTACATATGCATGTGTGTCTGTGGTGGGGTGGTGGGGTGTCCTCTGGGCTTCTGTATTTAGTACTTCTGTGTCTAAATAGACCCAGGGCTTTGCTAGACTTGGAACCTGTTAGGCTGGATTAATTCCCCATATCACGTAATATTATAGTCCTGAGTAAAGACAGTAGAGCTGTTTTCCAGAAGGGGAGGGTTGAGTGACTCGCTTGAAGTTGGGCAGCTACTATAGATCCAGGATTATAATTCTGACCTCTTCACCTGGCTTGCTGTATTAACTTTTAAGGCCAGAGATCACCCTTGTTCCTGCCACTGATAGCACCTGAAGGGAATTCATTTTGTGCTTTTATAACAAAAAGACTTCAGTCTGTGAAATTCAAAAGGAAAAGGTACTCATAAGAAAACACAGACCCTATTACTACCCATCCATTTTCTAACCCTCACCCTCCTGTCTGGCCTCCTCCAGGGTCTAAATGCTGCTAAGGTGATTCATTATGTGCTGGTCATTCTTTTCTTTTGGGGGGCCCTTGAGAAGACCTGTTTACCTTTTCTATGTAGAGGGCAGGACAGAGCTGGGGCTATTCTTAGATAGGACAAGAGGGTACAACCTTAAGCTCTGAGAATTACCTGTGTAGCTTGGGGTGTATTCTTTAACCTCTCATAACCCTCAGTTTTCTTATCTGGAAAACTGAGATTGTAATATTGTACAGGTTGTGGTAAATATTCAGTACAGGCTAGGTACAGTGGCTCATGCCTGTAATCCCAGCACTTTGGGAGGCTGAGGCAGGCACATCACTTGAGCCCAGGAGTTCAAGACCAGCCCGGTCAACATGGCAAAACCCCATCTCTACTAAAAATACAAAAATTAGCTGAATGTGGTGGCGCACAAATGTAATCCCAGCTACTCAGGAGGCTGAGGCAGGAGAATCACTTCAACCTGGAAGGTGGAGGTTGTAGTGAGCCGAGATTGCACCACTGCACTCCAGCCTGGATATTCAATATAGTCATCACTCCGTATCTGCAGGTTCTGTATCCATGGATTCAACCAACTATGGATTGAAAATAACAGTACAACAAAAAATAATGCAAATAAAAGCAATATAGTATAGCAACTATTTACACAGCATTTACATTGTATTAGGTATTATGAGTAATCTTGAGATGACTTAAAATATAAAGGAGGATGTGCATGGGTTATATGCAAATATTACACCATTTTGTATCAAGGACTTGAGCATCCTAGGATTTTGCTATCCTTGGGAAGTCCTGGAACCAATCTCCAACAGATACTAAGGGATGACTGTAATCTGTTCTACCTGAATGTGTTATATACCTCTGACACTTATTTGATTTTTGACATTATCAAGTGTGTTCTGGTGTTTGTTGGTTCTGGAAAATGGAAGTTCTAATAAAAAAGACAAGCTATAAGGTTCAAGGTCGTTACACTCATATTTTAGTTTCTCATTTGGCAGAATATTCTAAAGGTTACAGCCATGGTATCTTCAGCCACTTGGCAGTAAGTGCATGCGACTATGTATTTTATGGCACCAAATGATGTTGGCCAGAGCCTTGGTAGGAGATAGAACGAGTCCAATAAGATGATGATGCCTCCTTACCTGAAAGCGGTTATAGTTTGCATATTTCACAGCACAATTTTAATTTGAAAAAGGAAGATAAGAGATGAGAACTGGAACCTGCATGGATAGGTTAAGAGCCAGGAGAATGGAGTTCAGGTGTTGCCCTGACCAACAGTGGGACCTGAAGTGGCAGCAGGTGTTTCACCTATAAGATAAGGGTGACTAGGTGGACTGGATGAGCAGTTCCCTGCCCTGGAAGACTTGTTAAAACACCAGTTACTGGGCCCCACCCCCCAGCATATCTGATTCAGCAGGTCTGGGGCGAGATCTGAGAATGTGCATTTCTAAAAAGATCCCAGGCGATCGTGATGCTCTTGGTCCTGGGGTCACACTTCTAGTGAAACAGTTTATTCCCACCTCTGATCCAGTAAAACATGCCCAGTTATCTAAGGAGGAGGGACTACATTGGCCAAGAGAAAGCAGCCTGTAGACTCAAGTGCACAATTGGGCTCCTCTCTAAAGAATGCTGATCCTCCAGATTCATGAATGGAAATTTTCTTTTCTAATGAACAGAACAAGATGTGCTTAAGGGTGTCTTGAGAGTATCACAGTCATCTTTATTAGATTCACTTGTGCCACAGTTTAGATCAAGGCACAAAGACAAGTGGAGGACTAGAATCTTCTGAGGAGGTGGAGGTACTACATCACTGGTGGTCCTGAGGCCCCTAAAAAAACTGGGAGGTGGGCCCTGGGTGTAGATGAGCCCACTTAGGCCTAAGATATCTACATGGCCGAGAGACAGAATATAAAGCCCCACTTTCCCCTAGCCCCTCCTACCTTTTCATAAGCCTTGGCTTTCTTACCTCACTGGTGAATGTGCCTGATCAAGAATAGTGTCTCTATTCTTGCCTCAAGGAAAGAACTATTATTTTGTCAGCTGGGTATGGCTGAGACATCATAGTATGCTGAGAAATCTTCCAAATGCATGTGCTATAGATGTGAATTAAATTTTAGCCTTCTAGTTAATATATCACTAAATTCTGTGTTCCTTAATTTTTTTATTACTCTCATAACATGAACAAATTTTAATACTCCTTAAGTGTCAAAAGTTGTTCTTAAATGGCCAGAGTGAGCTACAGCTGCAACATGATGGCCAGTTTGAGAACTTCCAGTTGGCTCTGCAGTTAGACTCCCAACAGCTGAGATCCCATGGTTGAAATCTGGTTTTATCTTTTGCTCTAGTGCCCTTTCCCCATTTACATACAGAAACACTTGGTTGTTAAAAAATTATGTCTAGTGATACGCATATGTCAAAAATCACATACCCCATAAATATATAAAATTATTAATTAAATATTAAAAGGGTGTGGTTCGGTGACTTGAGATTCTCATTTTCGTTTTTCTCCCTGGCAACAGTTAATTGGCATGCTGCTGGCCTGCTGTCTGTCCCGGTTCATCACGGCCAATCAGTATGAGATGGTGTAAGGAGAAGGTAGGTGACAGTGGGGAGTGTTTAATTTTGAGGGGTCCCCTTTGGGACACTTACTACCCTTCAAATGTGCAGGAGTACTCCCTGGCCATTGAGCTACCTGATCTTGGTGGCACTTGTCCATGTTCAGAAATCTCATTTCTGTGGTTCTGGGAAGGAAGTATAATTGGTTCTTTTGTGGAAAATGTGGAAATGCTTTTTTCAGCTTGTTATCTTTCAAGTCCTTATTACTGGTGAATCACTCACATGTTCTCATTTCTCTCTTAGTCTTTCAAGAATGACGGAATAAGAGACCTGTTTTAAAAAGGAACTGCAGCAATCTTTGAAAGACTTCCAAAGAATGTTAGAGCACAGTACATAATACACTTGCCCTGCTCCCTCTCCCCCTTACCCCACAACGTGCAACTGACACTCCCACCCAGTCTCTGCTCCACCTTTCAGCCCACGTCACGTGTAGTGTCCATTTTGTGAAGCCCTGTTGTGCCACAGAGTGTAGCCAGGTCCCCCTGCAGCTAGTCCTAGTGAACCTCACCCCGAGGCCCTGCATGGGCCAGCCCCTCCATCTGTACTTGGTCCAACTGCAACTCATCATCGGTGACTGGTTATCACACCATCGCTGGCCCCTTTGGGCCCTGCATGTAGTGTGGGAGGCTCCTGTTAGCTCCTCACTGTGGTAAATGCCACACACCTTTAAGTAGATAAGCAGACGATAGTTATCTGTTCTTTTGACTTAATCTCATTTGGTTTGATTTTCCCTCTACTAAGGCTTTCCTACCTTCTTCAGGCTGCCTAAGACATGTAACGAAACACTTCAATAATTGTCCATGAGGAGAAAAAAAGCATGTGTCATGCATGAAGGAAACTGAACTTGAGGTGGCCTCCTTGCTTGTTACATACCTGGGTATGTGTAGGCAGTTTAGTGCATCTTTGCCTCTCGGTTGAAACCTGTATAACCCTGTTACAAAGCTGTGTTGTTGCTTCTTGTGAAGGCCATGATATTTTGTTTTTCCCCAATTAATTGCTATTGTGTTATTTTACTACTTCTCTCTGTATTTTTTCTTGCATTGACATTATAGACATTGAGGACCTCATCCAAACAATTTAAAAATGAGTGTGAAGGGGGAACAAGTCAAAATATTTTTAAAAGATCTTCAAAAGTAATGCCTCTGTCTAGCATGCCAACAAGAATGCATTGATATTGTGAACATTTGTGATATATGTATTAATAAATAGAGCAATTACAAGCAGCTGTGTTCTGGTTCTGTTCTTTGGTTCTTATGAAAGTTTTAAAACACATTTCTTTTCCATCTTGCTCTTCAGGACATCGCAGGCAGGTGGACCATCTCACACACTGACACACCTCTCCATGTGTGCTCCCACCCCACTAAAATAGCATCAGCAGCAGAGAAGCTAAAGGGTTAGGTTTTTTTAATTATTGTTATGGACACTTCAGAAACTTTAACCATTTATCATGAACAGAATACATTGTTGTCTGTGGAAATAGAGCCTTCATATCATTTCAGGCCTCTGAAATCCTTGGGCCTGAAATCCGTGAAATAAATACAAAGATTTCAGCTGAGTTTTTAAAGTCTGGATTTCATTTTGTTAAAAAGGAAATGAGCCTCTATTCTTTCCTTCATCGCTTCTAATGAGCATGAATTCTCCTCTTTCCTCTTTCTTTTCTGTGTTGGATTGAAAAAACACGATCTAGAGAAGAGATTACATCCTACGATTCAGCCATCCCAATGTCCCAGTTTGTACTGAAGTATGGAATGCTTACACTTGATTTAAAGAGCATTTTACCAATAGGTGCAGTGTATTATTTGCAATCCATTTCTTCTTGATGAGTCATCCAAAAAACAAAAACCTAGTAAAAGCATAAATTGATCTGTTACCAAAATGAGTGGATCTAAAAGGCTCCCTCTTCTCTATAGCACAGACTGTAATTAGAATAGAGATGACTTTCTAACTGTATGCATTTATTAGCCTGATCTCTGCATAGAGTAAACCCTACTACAACATTGACAAAGGACACTGCTTAAACCTTTAGTATACCCTCTTCAAAAGGTCAGCATTTTTAGTGAATTAAGGAGAGCTCTTCTATGGAAATATATGTAGCTCAAAATTTTTTCACATTTCTGTTTGTAATTTCTATTTCATTATATATCGAAATGAGGCTTTTCTGTAAAATCCTAAATAGAGCCCAACCCATGGTTTATCTTTTTGCAAACTATGTGCTTATTGGTATACTTTGGTAAGTAAGAAATCTATATACTTTCTAAATTAAATTCAGATCTCAGAATAACATACTTTTAATGTGAAACATTTGGACCAAGGTTGATTTTACTTTAAAACTATCAAGTGTTCATGTTTCAACTCTGAGTGACTTGTGTGTAATGTCCTTTCTTCTTTCAAAGGAAACTTAAAAGACACAAATTGAAATACTTTCTTGTTTTCTTTTATTATCTTCCCCTGCCCTTTTTTTGAAATATAACATTTACTTATGGTAAAAAACACAAAATGTGAAGTGTGCAACTTGAACTTGCACATGTGTACAAACCAGTGTAAACAACTGCCCAGATTATATACAGAGTATTTCAGCACCCTCGAAGGTTCCCTGGTGTCCCTTTTCAGTCAGTAACCGCAGCCCTCTCACATCCCCTCGACCCTGCCCAGGAGTACCACTAATCTGAATTATATTCCCATAGATTAGTTTTGTCTCTTCTTCAACTTCATATAAATAGAATCACACAGTGTGGACTGTTTCGTGTACCTTCTTTCACTCAACATTGTGTCTGCAAGAGTTAGTTACATGGTGCATGTAAACATAGTCTTGTCTTCATTGTGGTATAGGATTACATTATACAAATATAGCACAGTTTACCCATTCTTCTGGACATTTGGGTTGTTTTTTAGGTTTGGGCTACTATGATAGAGCTGCAATGAGCATTATGGTATATGCTTTTTGGTGGACATAAATAAACGTGTAAGATTGCTTGAAAATAAGGTATGTTTAGCTTTAGAAAGTACTACCTAACATTTTCCTAAAGTGGTTATACTAATTTATACTTCCATCAGCAATGTAAAAAAGGTCTAGTTGTTCCACATCCTCACCAACACTTGCTATTCTCAGTCTGTTTTATTTTAGCCATTCTATAGATATATAGTGTTATCTAGATTTAATTTGCCTCACACTTTCACTTTTTCATTGACATTGACTATTTCATTGTATTCTGTTCATGATAAATAGTTAAAGTTTCTGAAGTGTCCATAACAATAATTTTAAACATCTAACCCTTTGGCTTCCCTGCTGCCTGATGTTATTTTGGTGGGGTGGGAGCACACATGGAGATTTGATTTCTTCTTTTGTAAGATGTTCAAGTATTTTGTGTATTTTAAAATCAGTTGTCTTTATTGATTTGTAGGAATTCTTTCTATATTCTGGACACAGGTCCTTTCTTGGATGTATGTATTGCAAATCTTTTCTCCCAGCCTGGGACTTGCCTTTTCAAGAAAAGTGAGTTCTGGATTAACAATACATCTGGTTAGATGTAGAAGCAATGACACAAATAATTCAAAATATTAAAAGTCCTTTCTTCCTAGCAAGAGCAATGTTTGATTCCACAATGCCTCCACTATTTGTTGGTTGACTTTAGAAAGAGCTTTGCCTTTTATTTGTGTTGTGCTTATGCTAATGTAATTAGTTTACATTTTCTACAAATAAAAAGATTTGCAGTTGGGAGGAGGAAATAATTAAAACGTGTCATTTGAAAATGTCAGGAGCCAGGCCCAGTGTCTCATGCCTGTAATCCGAGCTACTCAGAAGGCTAAGGCAGGAGGAACACTTTGGCCCAGGAGTTTGAGGCTGCAGTGAGCAATGATCGTGCCACTGTACTCCAGCCTGGGCAGCAGAGCAAGATCCTGTCTCTAAAAATAAAATAAATAAAATGAAATAAAATATTGGGGCATCCCCTAGCAATCAGACTCAGAAAAAAATATTGGGGGACAGGCTAAGGAATTTAGGTTTAAAGTAACAAAATACACAAAACAAAGGTTTTCTTGTTTGCACACATTTAATTGTCAATGTTAAAAGCCTTTGAACAAAACTTAGGTAATAGATTTTTGAGATTATAAATCATAGCCCAGCGCAGAGATTGTTGAGGTTTGGCCTGAGCTTTTTCTTTGTTAAAACTCCCCAGTTGATTAGAATGTTCAGGCAGAGTGGGAAACGCTGTACTAGAATACGGCTTCAGCTTACGTTTTTCACCTTGTGCTCCGTGTCTGTCCCATTTACTTGAGATTCTTTTATCCCATGCTTTCATTCTCCCTGTTTGGCATGCCTTCTCCCGAAGCTTCCCATCTTCAAACACCATCTTATCTGTGATGTTCTTTTGGTAACTGCAGTCCTAGCCTACTGTGGCAACTGTCTTCTATGCCCCACATTTTAAATCAAGTATTAATATTTTTCAGAATGTTGTCCATTTTTCCTGCTTTCAAGTTTATAAAGTTGTTATAGTAATGTCTTATTTTTGAAATTTTAATGACACCTACTTTTGTTCCCTTTTTCATTCCTAGCATTATTTCTTTCTTTCCTTTTTTCCATTCATGCTGAAAATTTGTCTATTTTATGTATTTTCAAAAAACCAGCCTTTCGGTTTCATCCTTTCTATTGTTTGGTTTTTATTTCATTAATATCTATTCTTCCTTCTGTTTTCTTTGGGTTTCCCTGGATTTTCTCTTTTGTCAATTCTTAGCTCATTAATATTTTTAACCATCTTTTCTAATAATTTCATGAAAGGCTGTAAATTCTCATGTAAGTACTACTTTAACTGCATTTCAGTTTTAATTTGAAATTTTTGTTGTCTTTCAGTTCTAGACATCTTGCAGTTTCCATTAGAATTTATGCATTGAACTATACAATGAGAATTTTTTTTTAAAGTTTCCAAACATGGATTTTAGGGCTTTTTTGTTCAAAAAACTTGGTTTGTATAATAAAGATTCTTCATTTGTTGAGACTTGCTTTGTGCTTGGGTATGTGGGCAGTGTTTGTTCTGTGTGTACTTGAAAGTATGTATCTTCTCTAATTGTTGGGTGCAGGATTAGGACAAGCCTTTGAATATATTCAAATGGTAAATTTTATGAATATTAGTAAAATCATCTGTTCTTATGAATATTTTATCTGTTTTTCAGTTTTTAAGAATGATGCATTAAAATCCCCCACTATGACTGTAGATTCTTTCAGTTTTTGCTTTATATATTTTTAAGCTTTATTGTTAGGGACATGCAAGTTTAAGATTATGTCTCACAGATGAATCATTTCCTTTGTCATTATGGACTTTCTTTTCCCTCAATTATGATTTTTTTCTTTAACATTCATTTTGTCTGATATTATAGTTACAATTATTTTTTCTTTTGATGAGTATTTGCCAAGAGTATTATTCTATATCTCTCTGGTTTCAGTCTGTAATATTTTTGAGTTAGACATGTCTAGACATGTGTGTTTCACAACACATAACTGCATTATGTTTTCTTATTCAGTCCAGTCTGAGAAAGCTTTAACAATTAAGTGTTATTACTGATGTTTTGGTTTTATTTCTACCATATTATTTTTTCTGTCTACTATTCATTTCTTTCCTATTTTGCTTCTTTTCTGTCTTCTCTTGAATCAGATATATATATATTTCTTCTTTGGAAATTATAGATTATATTTTTATTGTTTTAGAGGTTAACATTAATCTCTTAACATGAATATTTGCATGTAAAATTAATCAGAACAAGGATTCTTGAGAAAGATAGGGCTCTTTCTCCAAAATAACAAAAAGACCTTGGATTGTTTTAATTCTAGTCACCACTCACTTAACTTCTATATTTTTGTTGCCTGACATTTTATTTCTACCATCTCCCCAAATGAATATTAACTATTAGTGGCTTTACAGTTTATTTAGACTTACCTAAATGTGTACCTAAATTTTGTTTTTGCCCCATTGCTTCTTGCCTCTTAATCCTTCTGGGTTCAGAGATCTATATGTGGTAAACTCAATTTGCAACAGTAAAGTATCATCAAAAGACAAAATTATAACAAGTTAAGTTTAAAGATCTTCATTGGCTTTATTTGTGATTCCAGAATTGGGCAACACTTCATTCCGTGAAACAGAATCAGTGTTTTAATGAGATGAGCAGAAGGAATTGGCTTTATCGACAGAGAAAGTCTGAAGAAAGCAGAAGCAAAGAACAAAGAGCATAGTAGTCCTTTCAAATCTACTTTTCTTGTAAAGCAGGACAAGGAAACAGGGCAACAGAAAAATAATAGTTAACATCAGGTTACTTGGGGACACTTTTTTGTGTAAGAATTAAAGCAGAGGGAACTTCATTATCAAGCCTATTGAAGATTATAAACTGGCCTGCTAGGGAAATTAGCTGTTTCTCCTTGCAATGTCAGAAAACAACTTAGTTCAGGTTTAGTAGTGACTTTAGGATAGGTGACTTCATTTGGATTTTTAGTCTGGTCTGTTGGGGCCTAGAACAGAAGCTTGGTCCAAAACAATGGCCTCCTGTAAATTTCATTTAGCAGTGTATATTTATTTCCTAAACATATTTTTAATCCACTATTAGACGTTTTGCCTAATGTATCTAGGTCCATTTATTTCCAGTTTGCCATGTTGCCAGGATGTATATTATATTATTTGCAGTGTATTATATGCTGCCTTCTAGTTCTCTAATTATTTTACATGTAAGTAATTTTATTCACAGTTGATTAGGATCTTTTAATAGTGTTCTTGAGGGCAAGGATGATGTCAGTACTGTCTTTGTATCCCCCCCAGTGACTGGCACAGAAGTAAGCACTTTCCAGGTTCTCAAATTACTTTATGAGTAACGAATGAATGAACTCCAAGTCCTTAAACTGTGTGCCAGAGCTTATCCGGTCTTACACGAATATATTTTTTTAGGTTATTTCAGTTGTTCCTTACGTCCTATTTGCGGTTTTATCTCTAGAATTCTGTGGCATTCCTTTTTTGCCTCATGTCTTCTTTTCTACCAGTTAATGCATCACTATTTTTGTCTCATAGTTATGTCATAATTTTTCCCAATGCCCTCAAAATAACTATGTGTCTTGAGTAGAACTGGTATGATCCAACCTTGATTCTCACGTAGACTTATAGCCAGAATCCCCAGAATTATGTTCCTTGGAGGAGGAAAAATGGTTGTCTTTGTTTCCTAATAGAACCTAAAGCATGTAAAAATATGTTAATAAACACTAAAAGGGTCCAGGAACAGATAAATGAACTCCTCCTGGCCCTGTTAGCTCTCTGCAACAAACAGTACTGGATGATATATATGCACAGAACTTTTGACCTAGTGTGTGGCATTTCCAGGGAGTGATATAATTTAATTTAAAAAATGATTATTTGAAGACCTACTGGATTTAGACCATGAGACGTGAAGAAGAATAAGAAAATGCTTTCAAGCAGTGTTGATTAATTTCCATATATATAGCAGAAGAATAAGAAAATGCTTTCAAGCAGTGTTGATTAATTTCCATATATATAGCAGATCTTGTAATCTAGTAGTCTACTATAATAATTCAGGTTTGTACAGTTGATTGTGAAAGGCCAATGTGATATCTATGACTATAACTGTCTTATCTATTGCTTTATAACACATAACCCCATCACTTAGCAGTTTAGAATAACAAACATTTATTATCACAGGTTTTTGTGCATCAGGAATCCAAGTGTGGCTTAGCTCGATGCCCCTGGCTTTCACGTTCTCTCATGAGGTTATGGTCAAGCTATTGGTCGGGGCTGTAGTCTCCCGTGAAGGCTCAACTTGGGGGAAAGGAATCAGCTTCTGAACTCATTCAGTTGACTGTTGCCAGGCCTTGGGTCCCTTTCCACATGAGCCTCTCCACAAGACTGTCTCAGCACCTGGTAGTTGGCTTGTCCCAAGATGAGCAATCAAAGAGAGAGTGTTCAGGACAGAAGTCACTATTTTATAACCTAACACGCTACCACTTCTGTAATAGTCTATTTGTTAGAAGTCAATGAGTTAATCTAGGACACAGGAGGATGACACAAGGGTGTGAATATTAAGAAACTGGGACCACTGGTGGCTGTCTTGCAGGCAACCTGCCACAACTATACTTTATTCACTTCCCTTTGGGATTTATTGAGTGACTCTCACAGTTAACAAAGAATAGCAACTAAACTAAGGAAGAGAACCATTTTACAAGTTAATACTCTACTCTCATTGATCTTGATGTTTTTCATTTTTTGTTTGTTTGTTTGTTTTTTGAGATGGAGTCTTGCTTTGTCACCCAGGCTAGAGTGTAGAGGTGTGATCTTGGCTCACTGCAATCTCCACCTCCCGGGTTCAAGCAATTCTCCTGCCTCAGCCTCCCGAATAGCTGGGATTACAGGTGCTCGCCACCACGCCCAGCTAATTTTTGTATTTTCAGTAGAGGCAGGGTTTCACCATCTTGGCCAAGCTGGTCTCGAACTCCTGACCTCGTAATCCACCCACCTCAGCCTCCCAAAGTGCCGGGATTACAGGCGTGAGCCACCACGCCTGGCCAATGTTTTTCATTTCTTTCATGACCAGCCAAGACTTTTTTGGCATCACCTCCTCAAATATTTCTCTTTAGGGGGTAGTTCTTTTTTTTATTACTTGTATTTGTTTTTGTTTGTTTGTTTTCTTTTTTATGAAGGTGGAAGTTCTGATAGTCAACAAAATCAAACTGAAATTTTTCAAAATGTCAAAGCTATTTTTCCATTATCTTGGGAGATTTTCTAATTTCTGGATATCAACTTCTTGTAAAAAAAATAGTAATTATCTCAATTCTGTATTACCACACATCTCTTGGTAAAATCGCTCTTAAAAATCATTAAAAATAACTTGGTATTTGATTTTACCCATTCTTCCATTACCTTTATTTACTTCATGAGGATTCTTTTAAGTTATGGTTGATACTGTTAAGGAAATGGAGTGGTAGCGTTGTTTTATTTGTAATTGCTTTGGTAGCCAAAATATTACATTTTTAAGCAGACACTGATAAACTGATAAATGACTGTGTCCAACATACCCTCCAGAATAGTAAGGGTCTAGAAATTAGGATACAGTTGAAGAAATTTGTGATAATCTGGTTGTACAGGTTTGTATATATGGTGGTGGGGCGTATTAGGGAGGTACAGCAAAGCGTAGGAAACCATTTTCTTTAAAGATTGAGTACCTGAGTCTCAAACCCAGTCTGTCTTCTCTGTGCTCTCCTCCTGGACAATTTCATCCATCTGTGTTGCTTCAATTACCATGTTGATGGTAGTGACTTCTGTCTTCAAATATCTAGCTCACACTCTTCTTTGGAGCTACAAATGTGTACAGTTCCACTATCAATAACCATAGGGCTGAAAGTAGGATGGAAACCCAGAATGGTGGTAATGGTGAGACCAACTTGGACTCAAATGGCGGGAAGGTCCAAATCAGTCTGGTTTGGATTAAAAGAAGTGGGAATGTTGATGGCTGATGTGATACTTCAGTTCTTCTTGGCTTAAAAGAATTTAAACAAGAGACACACAGCAAAGGAGGTATGGCATACAGTAATTTATTGCTAAAGAAAAAGAATATTGTGAAAGTTAGGTGCAGAATAAACAGTACACCCTGAGAGAGGGAATTCAGGGCAGGCTGTTCATTAGGATGAGACAGCAAAGACTGGCACTAGGGAGACTCCCTTTATGGAGTCTTCCATAATTATTCATAAGGAGTTGGAAAGAGGTGTTACTAGTTAGTATGTTCTGGGTGGTCTTCCGGGTGCACGTGAGCAGTACCTGTACACACTTGTTCATATATTGCATGTCTCATTAGCATCTTAAATCTCCACCCCAAGGGTGTATTTTTTTACTATTATGATGAGCAAAGGGTCAGTTTGAGGACAGATAAAATCAAAATGTGCATGCTGTCTAGAAGGGAAAGTCCCTACTGAAGATAGCTTTGCTTGAATGAACTCAATTACAATGCAAATGTTGCAGCTTATTGTGTTGACTGGTCACGATGGTTGCTGCAGTTGCTCAGTCAAGAGAACATGGTCACCTATCCTGCCTTGGGAATTTTTGGTGATGTTTCTTTGAGCAATTGTTCCATAGATATTTATCAAACACCTACTATATATTAGGCACTATTCTGATTGTGGGGCTACAGTGGTGACAAGACAGAGAAGGTACCAGAGAAGGTTGCCATGATGGCAACATCATGGAACTTACATTTTCATAGAAACAGGCAGATAATGTGTGAATGAATAAAGTTAGTGATGGGCCTTAGAATGAAAATGAGTGACACTGGTGATGTTACTTTAACAGCTTAACTTTGAACTATGTGTTTGAATGAGTTCATAAACCTGAGCAGTCAGGCTCTGACATCTCATTTGAGTTAATTTAAAGATGGGCTGAAGTCAGATTTATATATACCTGAGGCTTTGGGTGGGGCACTGTTGCCACAGGTGACTGCGTGGATACCAGCCATTTATGGTTATGCAAACAAGGCTAAAAACCTTTTGCAAATTAGGACCCTAACGAAACTTTTCAGAAATTCAATTAATCACTAATTATAGATATTCCCTTCCAAGGGAGAGTTAACATCAGGCAGAAGGGCATAACAGTGTCCATGGTATGTACATTAACAAGGAACATACATGCTGTAATCATGGTTGATTTAGCTTTGTGGACCAGCTCTGGCACTTCACTATTGGAAGCACCCCAGTTCTACCTGTTGTATATATGAGGCTTTGTTGTCAGGTTGGATTTGAAGAAATGATTTCATAGTGTCAATCTTAAATAATGAATTCAGAAGATATAATTAAGTATAGAGTTTATTCGAGCTCAGAGTTAGAGGATAGCCACCCTAGACCACAGCTTTAAATTGCTGTGAATGTATACTCTAATTAGCAGCAGTTACAAGTGTTTTTGTTTGTTTGACACAAGATATCCCTATGTCACCCAGGCTGGAGTGCAGTGGCACAATCAGGGGTCACTGTAGCCTCGACCTCCCGGGCTCAAGTGATCCTCCCACCTCAGCTCATGCCTCCTCCCCCAGTAGCTGGGACTACAGGCATGTGCCACCACGCCCGGCTAATTTTCTTGAATTTTAGTACAGACAAGGTCTCACTATATTGTCCAGGCTGGTCTCGAACTTCTAGGCTCAAGGGATCCTCCCACCTCGGCCTCCCAAAGTGCTGGGATTACAGGCAAGAGCCACCATGCTCGGCCTACAAGTGGATTTTTAAGGAAAAAAAGAGGCAGGTTCCTAAATTGCTTACCAAGAATTTACATTAAAATAACATAAATTATAGGTTGACTATACATTGTTCTTTGTATCACAAATTCGAGGAGCATAAGCATAATGAAGGAGGTAGGTAGACAGGTACAAATGACTTTAAACCAGTGTCCCCCAGCATGGTTGTGGGGTGTGGGATGACTGATGTCCCATACTAACGTCTCTGTGAGCCTGCTAAACTTTGCACATACTCAGACTGCTTGAGCTATTTTTCTTTTTTCAAAAGCTTTAAGAAAAAAGTTGGAAAATCACTGAGTTAGATTATGACACTAATGAGAGGAATCAGAGCTGCACAAAATGTAGTCTGAATCAGCAGTGTGGGCACCACCCGGGAGCTTGTTATAACTGCAGAATCTCAACCCAGAGATTCTGTCCCACCCAGAATCTGAATCTGCATTTTAACAAGCCCTCCTGGGGATTCGTAGTCACAAAAATTTGAGAAGTACTGGTTTAGGATTTAGGCCACTGGTTTCCAAACTTAGCTGTACTTTGGAATCACCTGGGAGTTGGGGAATAGGCTGGGCATTGGGATTTTTAAAGGCTCCCCAGAGGATTCTGATGTGCAGCCAAGGTTGAAAACACTGATTTAGGCCACAGCCTGAGCCCTAATATGATTGTTGTCCTAAAAATATGGGCTGTTTTGCCATTAGAGAACCAGGTTTATAGTATAAGTCAATCAGCTAGGACCCTATACCACTAAGGAAAGGTGACAGCAGCCCACCCAACATCCTCCTAGCATATGAAAGCTAGTACATAGTGAATGGAGAATGGTTATTCTGGGAAGTGGGTGGGGCAAGTGTCAAGGGCATTGAGAATTCCTTTCCAGCAGATGGTATCACTTATCAACTGGTTTAGGACAGCAATGAGATCTCATTTATATGCAGCAATTTTCCTCTTCACCAGGGATTAACTCCATAGAAACACTCAGACTAGCCTGCCTGCTACTCACCCTGTTCAATTTAAATTTATTTTATGTAATTGTATGCAATAATTTATCTGTGAAATTCCTCTAGGGGAGGAAGCCACGTGGATAGCTCAAACTGCTGAAGGCAGTAAATAGAATGGCCTCATGCATTCATTAAGTTATAAAGCAAACAGCAGGGGATTGTGGGGGAAAAGAAGAGGTGACTGAATACTCAAAAGAGGACACCTTTGGGGGAACCCCCCACCATCTTCTTCCACTCCTCTGTCTCCCAGAAATGTGGTTCAGAAAACCCAATCTGCACAGTTCAATTTTTTTTTAATGAAAACTAAATTATGGAAATAGGCAAGTATAGACTTCACTTTTAAAATTGCAGTGTTGGCCAGGCATGGTGGCTCATACCTGCAGTCCCAGCACTTTGGGAGGCCCAGGCAGGCGGATCGCTTGAGCCCAGGAGTTCGAGACCAGCCTGGGCAACATGGCAAGATCCCGTCTCTACAAAAAATACAAAAAAAAAAGGGCTGCGCATGCTGGTGCACACCTGTAACCACAACAACTCGGGAGGTGGGAGGATCACTTAACCAGGGGAGGTCGAAGCTGCAGTGAGCTGTGATGGTGCCACTGCACTCCAGCTTGGCTGACAGAGTGAGATCCTGTATCAAATAAATAAAAAATTGCAATGTTAAGTTCTCCATGGTCCCAAAGTCACTTTAACTGAGACTCAAAGAGAATTGAGCTAGGAGAAAGTATGTGTGAAGTTCTATCTTCTTGCTCAAAAAGCTGGCTGCAGTGAGATTTTGGTATGATTCATGCATGCATGGCTATAATAATAACAAGAAATCAAAGCTGGTACCCTGAGAGGGTAGGTATTCTTTTTATTCCTTAGATGAAGGGACTAAAACTTCCTGGAGTTGTGATCTTTAAAATTCAGTGTCTGTGACAGCTGAAAATGCCAAAATATGCTTAAATTGCAGAGCTGCAGTAAATTCTATTTCACACGAATTAACTATGAAAATACCATTGCTTGTCGACCACTGCGTATGTGATCAATGGGCAAATGTAGAGTGGTCAATCCACTTGTAAATAAGTTATGACAACAGAGAAATATAAATAAAATCCTAAGCCCCCCAACTGATTGAATGGACTCCCTCTTGGCCAAGGGGACCTCAGAGTAACCTTGAAAACTGAGCTCTTGGTCCTGACAGGATGGGAGGTCAGACACACCTTGTAATACCTCTTCCCTTGCTAACCACCATTAGCCTTTCTTTCCTCAAGGCTAAACAGAAACCAGCCTTTTTGAAAGACTCCACCACTGGTATGGACCAACCACCTCCCACTGCCCCTCCCTTTTGGCATAACAACTGACCAGCATTCCTTCCTGATAAGAGACCACCAACCACGGCTCTGGCCAGTCTACAGAGAATGCAGCAGTGAGGGTTTTCATGTCCTCTGCTTCACTTTTTAACATCAGAGGGCTGAAAACTGCACCACTGGATCATGCTAACACTGCCATTTTTGAACATGGGTCCCATAGAAGGGCATGAAGCTCAATTGTACATGCTCATGTTTCCCCTTTCATAAGTATTCATGACTCCTCCTATAGCTTATTGAATATGTACATTTGACCACCTCGCTCAGCCGGAATTCCCATCTTATTCTCCCCTCCCTCAAAGTATCTGTTTCTGGCTTCTGGTTGGAGGCTGTGCTTCTGAGCCTGTCAAAACGGCCACCCTGCAGGCTGCAACCTTTTATGAAAAATAAAGCTCTCCTTTACAAATTTATGAACCTCATCATTCCTCAGTTGACACAAGTGATTCTATATCCACCCAGTTCCTTTGAAATAATAGCATTTCATTTCAAAAGAGACTCTACTGGTTGGCTATGGTTATGTTTAAAAGAAAGAGAGACCTGCCTTTCTCTGTGGAGGTATGTGCTGGTCTTATAAGCAAGACACAGGAAATTTAAAACCTGGCTGTTTGTCACAAAATAACCCTTAATCAAATTGTTTTGAATTAAGAATTTTAATCTTCCCAGCAACCTTTATTCTTATTTAACTCCTTCTAAACTAATCTGTACACCGTAATATTCTTGTTATTCAAGAAATGGTGAACTGGTTTGAAGATTTTCCAATTTTTAAAAATCTTCCTGATTCTAGTGTGTTCATACTTTCACTGTTATAAGGAAAATGTGCTCTCATAGGAACGAAATGGGGTAGAAGGAGGGGAGAGAATAACACCATTGCTTTTGTATCAACTAAAAGATTCAGATATCAATAGAGTTTGTTACAATACCCCCCAAATAATTTTATGTTAATGACATAGATCTTTGGAAGTAATCATTATTAATCTTCCAAGTATTCACTTCTTAATTCTGAATGCAAGAATTGAGAAGATTTTTTTTGTGAGGGCAGGGGAAATGCTTTGGAGGTGGAGGAACTGACCACAAAGGTAGGTTTAAGGCTAGGCCATCTCTAGCTTCGTTCAAATTTTAACTTTAAACATAAATTGTAAGCAATTTTTGAAACCTTTAAAACAAAGATGGCTTAATGTAACCATTTTCCTGGGATGGATTATGTTGAATAAATGTAGAGGAAATATAAAGCCAAAGGAGTAGGTAGCAGTGCCAATGGAAAATCTACCAAAACTGAAGTCACATGGCTCTGAAATCATAAGTCAATGAGAGAATATGATTTTTTTTAAGTTGCCTTTACATAGTACCTTCTAGGAGCACATGTTCCAGGCCACCGATAGCTTTTCCTAGTGAGCCTTAGATAAGTAAAGGTCCTGCTAGCAGCCTTAAAGATGTGTTTGTGCCATTAGGACATATGAGAGACAATATTCCAGGGGCCAGGGCATTTCTCTGAACTGACAATCAGTTGTGCCTAGTTTCTAGGTCACAACTGAAACATGATGATGAAGTCTGAGCTGTTAGCCCAAAGGCTAGTAGTAGTGATTTATTTCTACTTCAACATCAACACTATCTTATTGTAGTTATCTATGTAGACTCCTAAAAATGAGGTTCTAAAGAAAACTATAGTTCAACAAAGAAAGCCCAAGGGTGACACACCACATTTATTCCAAACTTATTCATGGCCCACCTCCTAACTTCAAACCAGCAGCCTAGCAGAGACTAACCCCAAAACAGTTTTATGAGAAAAGACAAAGGGTCATTAATAACTTCCCAGGCAGGGATTGGACAATGAGGATATATGTCCTCTTTCCCAGAGAGTTCTATGAGATTTGGGGAAGCTATTATTTAAAGTTCAAAAAACTACATATTAAGATTCATCTAGATAGGCAAGAAGGTGAGACTCAGTTACAGCTGTTGTCCTTCAGGCAAACAACTTGCCGCTTTTTCATATGACAGTAAAGTTATTGTGAAAGTTACTGGCTATAACAGGGATAATTATCCTAATTCAGTACTATCTTCTGCCTAGTGCCTGATGAATAAAGGCATCACGCAAAGTGAAATGGACCCAGCAACTATAGAGCCAGCCCCTGGGTGTTTCATATCTTCAACTAGAAAAACAATCGTAACGATGTGGCCAAAGTTCCTTAAGTCCCACTACCTACCTTGACAAGGTGCTGTCTCTTTAGAGAGAAAGGAATTACTTTGATGGTTTCTTCCTTTTTGCCCAATTTGGTGTTTAATAATTACTTCTGCTGAAGGAAATCAAATATTCCATTTTTCATTTTTTTCCCTGAGGGCAAGTCTGCTTTTTCCCCTGGCATGCTCTCAGGATTCCCTGCTATCATCAACCCCACTAAGGGGAAAGACAACCAGGGCTCCATTCAAAATCATCCAAGGGAGCTATGGGGCATGTGCAAGGGTTCCTCTGCTGCCAGCTATCCTAATTCTTGATGGCTTTGCAGGAGAAGTGACTCTCTTTGGGGAAGAAGAAAAGAAGGTCAGGAATAGTATCCTCTGTTTGGTGGTAGCTAGAGTAACACCTTGGGAATTAGAAGGGCAATTGGATATGTAAAATTAATCATCAACAGTGTTACAATATAGGTATTAAGAGCCTTCAGATATAGTTCATAATATGGTATTCCTAGGCATATAGTTCAGAACACTGAGTGCATATCTTCACCAAAAGACTCCTACAAAAATATCGACAGCAGCTTTATTCACAATAGTCCAAAACCAGAATCAACTCAAGTGTCTGTCAACAGGACAATGGATAAACTATGGTATATTCACAGAATAAAAATACTACTTAGCAATCAAAGAAAACAAATGTGTTTCACACAATAATGTGGATGAATCTCTTAAAATGTTGAGTGAAAGAGTATGAAAAAGAGTAGACATTATTATATTATTCCATTAATATGAAATTCAAGGACAGATAAAACTAATCAATAGTCATAGAAGTTACAGTAGTAATTACAAGGGGCAGGTATTGACTTGGAAGGGGCATGAGTAAGCTTTCTGGAAGGCTTCCTGGAATCCCCTTTGTCTTAATCTGGGTGATGGTTACACAGATGTGTAAATAGTAAAAATTCATCAAACTGAACTAACATTTGTACACTTTGTGTATTTTAAATCTCAATAAAACTTGAAGGGTGTGAGGTGATATTATCAATAATTTAATAACAATTGTTGTCAAGGATGTGGAGAAAAGGAAACCCTTGTACCCCGTTGGTGGGAATGTAAAGTAGTACAGCCATTATGAAAAACAGCATGGAGTTTCCTCGAAAAACTATAAGTAGAACTACCACATGATTCAGAAGTTTCACTTCTGGGTATATACTCAAAGGAAATGAAATAAGTATCTTAAAGAGATCTCTATACTCTCATGCTCATTGCAGCATGATTCACAATAGCCAAGATATGGAAACAACCTGATTGTCCCTCAACAGATGAATGGATAAAGAAAATGTAGTGTGTATGTGTGTATATATGTATATACACACAATGGACTTTTAAGCCTTAAAAAAGAATCTTAATATTTGTGACAATATGAATGGACTAAGTGCAGTAAGCCATACACCAAAAGACAACTACTGATTGCATGATCTTACTTTCTGTGGAATCTGAAGAAGGCAAACTCATAGAAATAAAGCATGGGGCTGGGCACAGTGGCTCACGCCTGTAATCCCAGCTCTTTGGGAAGCTGAAGCGGGTGGATCGCTTGAGCTCAGGAGTTTGGAACCAGCCTGGGCAACACGGTGAAACCTCGTCTCCACCAAAAATAGAAAACTTAGCCGGTGCACAGTGGTCCCAGCTACTTGGGAGGCTGAGGAGGGAGGATCACTTGAACTCAGGGGGTGTAGGTTGCAGTGAGCCAAGATTGTGCCACTGCACTCCAGCCTGGGCAACTTAGTGAGACCCCATCTCAAAAAAAAAAAAAAAGCATGGAATGCCAGTAGTTGGCAGGTTGGGAAAACGAGGCGATCTGGGTAAAAGGGTACAAACTTTCACTTTATGAGTAAGTCCTGGAGACCTAATGTACAGCATGGTGAATATAGTTAATAAGAATGTATTGAGGCAGGGCTGTGACCCATGCCTGTAATCCCAGCACTTTGGGAGGCCAAGGCAGGAGGATCATTTGAGCCCCAAGAGTTTGAGACCAGCCTGGGCAACATAAGGAGACCCTGTCTCTACAAAATAATAATAATGTATTGTGTACTTGAAATTTGCTAAGACAGTAGATCTTAGTGTTCTGAGTACACACACACAAAATGGTAACTATGTGAAGTGATAGATATCTTCAGTACATTAATTGTGGTAATCATTTCACAGTGTATGTGTATATCAAAAGATCATGTTCTATACCTTAAATATATACAACTTTTATTTGTCAAGTATACCTCATTAATCTAGGGTGATAAAAGGAAGAGTGAAAAGAAAGCATCTTGAGAACTTCTAGTTTCCAAAGTAAATGTCTGTGGGATATTACAAACTCATTTTTCATCAATGACTAATTTTCTAGACTGCTTTGGTATCAAGAAGTGCCTCATTCTTCCATCCTTGGATTAGGAATACCGATCCCAGTCCCCAATGTTTAAATTGCTCACAAGCAAGAAGTAGGGTGACATTAAGAAGGAGGATGAATTGAACATCAATTAGCAAAAATGGTGTTTCAGAAATGCCCCATGGGTGCTAATGTTACCACTGCATTAATATGGTCATATCTGTGAGCAGGGGCTGTGGTGCCATATAGTGGAAACACTCTCAAGATGTGAGTCCAGAAACCTAAAAGTCTCAGCTTAGATCTCAGAACTTCCTGGGAAACTTGTGTGAGTCTCTTAAAAGCTGTACACTTCTATTTCCTCATTTACAAAATGGTGAGGGTGGGATGAGATGTTTCTAAATACCCACAAAACCACTTTGACATAGCTGAATAATTGGTCAGTCAATGGCCACCCAAATCCTTTGAGGATTCTTCAGAGTTAAGACAGTTGAGAACCAAGCCAGGCCTCCCCAGTTAGGGACAATCCCACTGGTGAAGACCCAGTCTCCAGCCCCTTCCCTACCAATATCTACACAGTGTCTCTGGGATCACACACACACACACACACACACACACACACACGCCATTGTGGGCAGAATTTGTGGAAGATCACCTTTCTACAGCAAAAGTTATCTTCTAGATTTGAATTTTTGCCTTTTTCCATGATTCACTGTGATGGGTGACTCGTGAAATTTTGAAAGCATTAATTAAAATGCAGACTATATTACTTATAAATTCACAGAATTAAGAATAACAGCAGCAAAAATAAAATAGAACAACTTCATATTGAAAAAAGTCTTCTACCAGTGAAGGATTAACTGGAAAGAAATTATTTCAGTTTTAAAAGAGGTATATATAAGGGACTATCAATTCCAGCTAATTTAGAGTACAAGAGGCCAGATTTACCCTCCTGCCTGAAACAACCAAATACCAGGAAAAATATATGAAACAACAGTTTTCAAGACACTAGAACCAGTCAAAGAGGAACAGTGATCCCTGAGAGAGAGAGAACAAAGGAGAAGAGCACTGTGTGTGCCCCAGTTAACTGCCTTGAGAGAGTTTCAAAGTTATGATGTAGGAAGAAGAAACTCCCTGAGCCAGAATCTCTAAGAATAGACAGAGCTGAGAATCCCAGCAGACTCAAGCAGCTAGAGCAGGGGTGTCCAATCTTTTGGCTTCCCTGGGCAACATTGGAAGAAGAATAATTGTCTTGGGCCGCACTTAAAATACACTAACACTAATAATAGCTGATGAGCTAAAAAATATATCGCAAAAAAATTCTCAAAATGTTTTAAGAAAGTTTACGAATTTGTATTGGTCCACATTCAAAGCCATCCTGGACCACATGCAGCCTGTGAGCTGCAGGTTGGTAAAGCTTGAGCTAGAGTTTGCAGGACAGAATACTGGAGAGGAGATAGCTGGGCAAAGAGAGAACTCTAGAAATCTACAGAGGGACCCAATTGAATATTCAGTAAAGTAGAGATCAGTGCATATATGTGGAAAAACTACCAAGGGCTGGGGAAATTATTACCCAGAGGATTAGAGGGAACAGTACTTGGGGCTCAAACAGGTCCAGGAATAGTGCCCCTTCCCACCAGCCAGACTAGAAAAACTCATAATTCACAAAGCATTGAGTAGAGAGTACTCAAAGGCTTTTGGCTCAGTTGTGGGGAATAATTAGCTGTAGAATAAACATGGCTCTGTTCCCCTTAACAAATCTTGAAAGACATGGGCCAGGTGTGGTGGCTTACAAATGTAATCCCAGCAACCTGGGAGGCTGAGGTGGGAGGATCACCTGAGGCCAGGAGTTTGAGACCAGCCTGTGCAAGATAGTGAGACCCCATCTTTAAAAAAATTAAAAACAATTAGCTAGGCCTGTACTTCCAGCTACTCAGGAGGCTGAGGTGGGAGGATCACTTAAGTCCGGGAGTTTGAGACTGCAGTGAGCCATGAATGTGCCACTGTACTCCAGCTTGGGCAATAGAGCAAGATTCTAACTCAAAAAAAAAAAAAGGAAAGAAAAAGAAAGAAAGAAGAAAGAAAGACTTGAAAAGATGAGATCGTTTTGAAGTAGCTGAGCTGTGTCTCAGAACAAAGCTTAAGAATATTTACAGGAATACACAAATATCTAGGACTCAACAAGGTAAAATTCAAAATGCCTGGCACTCAATAAAAATTTACCAATATGCAAAGAAGTGTGAAAATAAACCCATAATGAGGAAAAAAGCAATCAATGAAAAATAACTCAGAACGAAAATACTAGTTAGACTTAGCAGATAATGACATTAAAATAATTACTATAACTGTATTTGAAGAAATATGGCTAGAATTGCCCTCTTTTTATTTTTAGAAGCAGGGGTCTCACTATGCTTCCCAGGCTGGAGTGCAGTGGCTATTCACAGATGCCATCATGGCACACTGCAGCCCCAAATTGCTAGGTTCGAGTGATCCTCCTGCCTCAGCCTCCAGAGTAGCTGGAACTACAGGTGCATACCACTGAGCCTGGCCAGAGTTGCCCAAATTTGATAAAAACTATGAACCTACAGATCCAAGAAGCTCAACAAACCCCAAGTACAAGAAAAATGAAGAAAATTACATTAAGGCACATCATAAACAAATTGCCCAAAACCAGTGATAAAGAGGAAATCTTTAAAGCCACCAGAGGACAAATAGGTTATGTACAGAAAAACAAAGAAAAGGATGACAATTGACTTTTCTTTGAGAAAAAAGTGTGAGAAGAGAGTGGAACAATATTTTTTAAAGTATTGAAAGGAAAAAAACCCTCATCCTAGAATTCTATACTCAGCAAAAATATCTTTTAAGGCAAAAGTGAAATAAAGACTTTTTCAGACATAAAGTTGAAAGAATTAATCACCAGCAAATTCACACTATAAAATATATTGAGAGGTCCTTTAAGCAGACAGAAAAATGACACTAAATGAAAATATATGTCTACACAAAGGAATGAAGAGTGCCAAAAATGATAACTACTTGGGTAAATAAAATCTTTTCTATTATTTAAATATCTTTAAAAGATAATTATTTAAACAAAAATAATAGCAATGTAGTGTAAGTTTTATAATATATGTAAGAATAAAATGTGTAACAGCAATAGCACACAGACTGGGAGGGGAGAAATGGAAGTATACTTTTATAAGGTTCTTTTACTATATGTGAAGTGGTATAATATCACCTGAAGATAGACTGTGATTAGTTAGGATGTATACTAAAAATTCTAAACCAACAAATAAAAAAGTTATGATTAACAAGGCAATAGATGAGATAAATAGAATTTTTTAAATATTCAATCTAAAAGAAGATAGAAAAAAGGAAAAAAGAGAATAAAGCACAAAAAGAACACATGTAGCAAGATGATAAACTTAAACCTAAGCTGGGCATAGTGGCATACATGCATGGTACCAGCTACTCAGGAGGCTGAGGCAGGCAGATTTCTTGAGCCCATGAGTTCAGGGCTATAGTATGCTACAATCACACCTGTGAATAGCCACTGTACTCCAACTTGGGCAACATAGTGAGACCTCATTTCCAATAAAAACAAATATGAACCAAACCATGTCAATAATCACATTAAATATAAATGATCTAAATACCCCAATTAGTAAGTAGAGATTGTCATATTGGATAAAAAGCAAGAGTCAACTAATATGTTGTCTATAAAAACACACTTTAACTATTAAGACACAAGTAAGTTAAAAGTAAAATAAATGGAAAAGTTATTCCATACTAACACTAATAGAAAGCTGGAGTGACTATATCACTATTAGACAAATTAGATTACAGAGCAAAGAATATTACCAGGGTTCGATAAGATCATTTCATAATGATAAAGGGATCAGTTTACCAGGAAGAAATAACTATCTTGAAAGTTTATACAACTAATAAATAAATTAAGTAAAAAATGATAGAGGTACAAGGAGAGATCAACACATCTACAATTATAGAGACTTCAATGTCCCTCTCTCAACAATATATAAATAAATTTTTAAAAATCAGCAAGAATATAATAGACTTAAACAACAAAATCAACCAACTTGACCCAAGTGACATTTTTGGCACATTCCACCCAGCGACCGCAAAATATATATTTTTTATTTTTTTGAGATAGGGTGTCACTTTGTTCCCCAGGCTGGAGTGCAGTGGTGTGATCATGGCTCACTGCAGCCTCAACCTTCCCAGGCTCAGGTGGTCCTCCCACTTCAGCCTCCCAAGTAGCTGGGACGACAGGCATGCAACACCATGCCTAGCTAATTTTTGTGGGTTTTTTGTTTTTTTTTTGGTAGAGATGGGGTTTTTCCATGTTGCTCTGGCGGTCTCGAATTCCTGGGCTCAAGTGATCTGACTGCCTCGGACTCCCAAAGTGTTGGGATTACAGGCGTTAGCCACCGGGCCTGGCCACATTTTTTTTTTTCAAGTGCACATAGAACATTTACCAAGATAGACCATATTATGGGTCACAGAAAAAGTCTCAATAAAGTTAAAATGATTCGAACTCATACACAGTATATTCTCTGATCTCAATGGAATTAAAGTAGGAATTGATAACAAAAAGATCTCTGGAAATTCCCCAAATATTTCAAAACTAAACATACTTATTAAAAGCTCGTGATTGAAAGAAGAAATCCAAAGGCAATTAGAAAGCATTTTGAATTTAATAAAATTAAAAGATGACATATTAAAATTTATGAGATACCACAAAAGCAACACTTAGGAGGAAATCTATAGCACTGAATGCCTATATTAGAAAATAATCAAATCTTATTCCCTAGCCAGTGATAGCAATTTCTACCTGAAGGAACTAGAAAGAGGAAATTACACTCAAAATAAGCAGAAGAAAGGAAATAATAAAGATCAGATAGACAATCAATGAAGCAGAAAAATAGGAAACAGTAAACAGATCAGTTTAATCAATAGTTCATTCTTGAAGAATGAAATTGATAAATCTATAGTCAGAATGATCAGAAGAAAAATGAGACACAACTTACTAATATATCAGAAATGAGTAAAATGACATCAGTACAAATTCTGCAGATATTGAAAGGTTAACAATGAAATCTTTAGAACTACATTATTATTAGTATTAGTATTTTGAGACAAAACCTCGCTCTGTCACTCAGGCTGGAGTGCAGTGGCATGATCTTGGCTCACTGCAACCTCTGCCTCCCAGGTTCAAGTGATTCTTCTGCCTCAGCCTCCCAGGTAGCTGGGATTACAGGCGTGCACCACTACGCCTGGCTAATTTTTGTATTTTTAGTAGAGACAGGGTTTCACCATATTGGCCAGACTAATTTTGACCTACTTTAGGTCAATAGATCTGACAACTTAGATGGCTGAAAATTTCTTGAAGAACAGAAAGTAGTAAAGTTCACTCAAGAAGATAAATTTAATGTACACAGCCCTTTTATAGAAATCAAAAGTGTAGTTTAAAATCATCCCACAAAGAAAATCCAGGTCCAGATGACTTCACTGGTAAATTTTACCAAACAGTTAAGAATGAAATAATACCAATTCCACACAAATTATTCCAGAAAACTGAGAAAGAGGGGATAATTCTCTCTTTATGAGGATAATTCTTTCTTAAAGAGGGGATAATTCTAATTCTTTGTGAGGAAAGCATTACTCCAACACCAAAACCTGAAAAAGACATTAAAGAAAACTACAGAACAATATCCCTCATAAACATGAGTTGAAAAATTGTAAACAAAATTTTAGCAAATTGAATCCAACAATATATAAAAACAATAATACACTATGACAAAGAGTCAGCATTTATTTATCCCAGAAATCAGCACTTCTCTTCTACCTTTTACTGGAAGTTCTAGGCAGGACAATCAGATAAGAAAAAGAAATAGAAGGCAACTAGATTGGAAAGAAAGTAATAAAAGTCTTTATTGAAAGAAAATATAATTTTCTATGTAAGAAATATAATGCAATCTCAAAAACTTAAAAACAAGTGAATTAGCAATGAATATTCAGAAGTTGAAATTCTTAAAATACCATTCACAGCGCATTGAAAATATTAAATACTTGGTGACACATTTGACAAAAGGTATACGAGAGCTATATATTGAAAACTAAAAAATATTGCTAACAGAAATTAGAGAAGACCCAAATAAATGAAGAGATATATCTTGTTAATTGTTCACAAGACTCAAAATTGAACAGATGTCACTTCCTCTGAATTGATAAATTCAATACAATGCCAATCAAAATCCTGGCAGCCTTTTTTTTTTTTTTTTAAGAAACGGACATGCTCACTCCAAAATTCACATGGAAATGCAAAAGGACTTAGAATAGTCAAAATAACTCTGAAAAAGAAACCATCATCCTCAGCAAACTAACACAGGAACAGAAAACCAAACACTGCATGTTCTCACTCATAAGTGGGAGATGAACAATGAGAACACATGGACAAGGGAGGGGAACATCACACACCAGAGCCTGTTGTGGGGTGGGGGCCAAGGTGAGGGAGAGCATTAGGGCAAACACCTAATGCATGTGGGGATTAAAATATAGATGATGGGTTGATAGGTGCAGCAAACCACCATGGCACATGTATACTTATGTAACAAACCTGCACATGCAGCACATGTATCCCAGAACTTAAAGTAAAATAAAATTTAAAAAAAGAGTAACAAAATGGAAAGGCTAACACTACTGGATTTCAAGAATTAAATAAAACATCAGTAGTCAAAAGAGTGTGGTATTGGAGTCAGATCAGCAAAGAGATCAATGGAGAATAGAAGTCCAGAAATAGATTCACACACATATGGACAACTGATTTTTCACAAAGTTTCAAAAGCAACAGAGTGGATAAAAATAGCCTTTTCCTCAAATGGTGCTGGAACATTTGGATATTCACATGCAAAAAAAAAATGAATTTATAGCCACACCTTGCATAGAAAAATGAATATGAATCACAGAACTAATGTCAAACCTAAAACTATAAAACTTCTAGGAAAAAAAAGGAGAAAATATTCACCTTTGGTTTCACAAAGATTTTTTAGATAAGACACTAAGAATAAAAAGACAAGCTACCGACTGGAAGAAAATGTTTACAAAGCATGAATCTGATAAATAATTTGTCTCTCTAATATATTAAAAAATCTCAAAACTCAATAAGAAAACAATGCAGTAAAAATGGAAAAAATAGTTGAACAGACATTTCACCAAAGAAGATACACAGATGGGAAGTAATTAAATAAAAACACACTTAATATCATTAGTCACTAGGGAAATGAACATTAAAACCACAATAACATATCACTACTCACCTATTAGAATGCCTAAAATTGAAGTGATTTTACCATACCAGGTGTTGATTTACCACAACAACTGGAAAGCTCCTACACTGCAGGCTGGAATGTGAAATGATCCAACTACTTTGGAAAACATTTTGGCAATTTCTTAAAATGTTAAAGAAAAACCTACATATGATCTAGCCATTCCACTCCTAGGTAGCTAAGCGAAATAAAAACATGGTCCATACAAAAATTTGTACACAGCTGTTCATGGCAGCTTTATTTGAAATAGCCAAAAATTGTAAACAACACAAATGTCTGTTAACAGGTGAATAGATAAACAAATGCTAGTATATTTATAGAATGGATAATAAGAAATGAACTAATGATATGCATAAGAACATGGATAAATCCCAAAATGCTGGCTGAAAGAAACCAGACAAAAGAGTATGTACTGTGTGATTCCATCTAAATAAAATTATGGAAAGTACAAACTCCTCCATAGTGACAGAAATCGTATCAGTGGTTGCCTGGGGGCAGGTCTAGGATAGCGAGGGGCAAAAAGGCATGAGAAATTTTTGGAGTGGGGCTGATAGATATGTTTATGATCACGATTGTGGTGATGATTTCATGTGTGTACACACGTCAAAACTTATCAAATTATACACTTTAAATGGTGCACTTTAATTTATGTCAAATATGTGTGTCAAGACCCAGCAATTTCACTCAGGTATATATACAGTCAAGAGAAATGAAACCATCTGTTCATGGAAAAGCTTGTACTCAGAGGTTTACAGCAGCATCGCTCATAATAGCCCAAAAGCAGAAACAACCCAAATGTCTATTTACTGATGAACTGATAAATAAAAGGTGGTATGTCCATACAACGAAATACAGATGATCCTGACTTATGATGTTTTGACATAAATTTTTTTGAATTTATGATGGTGTGAAAGCCATACACATTCAGTACAAAGCGTACTTCAAGTGCCCATACAAGCATTCTGTTTTTCACTTTCAGTACGGTATTCAAAAAATTACGAGACATTCAACATTTTATTATAAAATAGGCTTCGTGTTAGATGATTTTGCTCAATTGTAGGCTAATGTAAGTGTTCTGAGCATGCTTAAGAACAGCTAGGCTGAGCTATATTTGGTAGGTTAGGTCCATTAAATGCAGTTATTTTTTTTAATACTTGAAGTTCTAGGGTACATGTGCACAACGTGCAGGTTTGTTACACATGTATACATGTGCCATGTTGGTGTGCTGCACCCATTAACTTGTCATTTACATTAGGTATCTCTCCTAATGCTATCCCTCCCCCCTCCCCCCACCCCACGACAGGCCCCATGTGTGATGTTCCCCTTCCTGTGTCCAAGTGTTCTCATTGTTCAATTCCCACCTATGAGTGAGAACATGTGGTGTTTGGTTTTTTGTCCTTGCGATAGTTTGCTGAGAATGATGGTTTCCAGCTTCATCCATGTCCATACAAAGGACATGAACTTATCCTTTTGTGTGGCTGCATAGTATTCCATGGTGTATATGTGCCACCTTTTCTTAATCCAGTCTATCATTGATGGACATTTGGGTTGGTTCCAAGTCTTTGCTATTGTTAATAGTGCCTCAATGAACACATGTGTGCATGTGTCTTTATAGCAGCATGATTTATAATCCTTTGGGTATATACCCAGTAATGGGATGGCGGGGTCAAATGGTATTTCTAGTTCTAGATCCTTGAGGAATGGCCACACTGTCTTCCACAATGGTTGAACTAGTTAACAGTCCCACCAACAGTGTAAAAGTGTTCCTATTTCTCCACATCCTCTCCAGCACCTGTTGTTTCCTGACTTTTTAATGATCGCCATTCTAACTGGTGTGAGATGGTATCTCATTGTGGTTTTGATTTGCATTTCTCTGATGGCCAGTGATGATGAACATTTTTTCACGTGTCTGTTGGCTGCATAGATGTCTTCTTTTGAGAAGTGTCTGTTCATATCCTTCACCCACTTTTTGATGGGGTTGTTTGTTTTTTTCTTGTAAATTTGTTTGTTTTGTTTTGTTTTGTTTGTTGAGATGGAGTCTCACTCCATCACCCAGGCTGGAGTGCAGTGGTACTGCAACCTTCGCCTCCTGGATTCAAGCAACTCTTTTGCCTCAGCCTCCTGAGTAGCTGGGATAACAGGCGCATACCACCATGTCTGGCTAATTTTCCTATTTTTAGTAGAGATGGGTTTCACCATGTCCAGGCTCACCTCGAACTCCTGACCTCAAATGATCCACCCACCTTGGCCTCCCAAAGTGCTGGGATTACAGGCGTGAGCCACAGCACCCAGCTAAATGCAGTTTTAACTTATGATATTTTCAATGTACAATGAGTTCGTCAGCACATAATCCCATCATAAGTCGAGGCATGTCTGTATTATTGGGCTGTAAAGAAGAATGTAGTACAGGTGTATGCTACAACATGGATGAACTTCAAAAACATTAAGCTAAATAAAAGAAACCAGTCACAAAAGGACAAAGATTATACAATTCCATTTATATAAGCTATAAATAATATTTATAGAGAAAGAAAGTAGATTAGTGGTTACCTAGGGCTGGGGGTGGATAGATGTTGTGGAGAAATGGAGAATGATTGCTAAAGGGTACAGGGTTTCTTTTTAGGGTGATGAAAATGGTCTACAATTGATTGTGGTAATAGTTGCACAATTCTGTGAATATAAGTGTACACTTTAAATGGTTGAATTCTATGGTAAGCGGAGTACATCTCAGTAAAGCTGTTATAAAAATATGTATGTCGATTATGAATTGTTAATTACTTTTAAAAGGTATACTTTGTGTTACCGAATTCTTCTGAGTCTTACCCTAAGGGTGGTTGTTTTTAAAAAAGTGAATAAAATTCTTGTACAGGTTAGTAAGTATTCTATCTCCATTGCACTGTGTCATATTTTCTTAAGTTTATTCAGGTTGTAACAATATATGAAGGATGTTTGAATTCCTTTAATTCTTAGCACACCTGCTTGCCTCTGAATAGTCATTTCCATATATGTAAATATTTTTAAAAATTGTTTCTATAAGCAGTTGTGTGCTTTTTCTGGCTATGTGATAGCAAGTGCAAATCAGCAAAGGAAGGAAGTATCTTTGTTTTAAAACTTTTCATCGAGGCAAAACACATACAGAAAGTACTTATATAACACGCTCTTTTTGGATGGATTTTCACAAAATAAGTGCATTAATATCACTAGCACCCACATCAAGATACAGACCATTCCCAGCATCCCAGAAACTCCCTCACCTTTAGTAAAATATGTCTTTTAAAAAATATTGTAGTAAAAACCACATAGCATAATTTTACCACCTTAACCATTGTTAAGTATACTGTTCAGTAGTGTTAAGTATATTCACATAGTTGTGAAAAAGAGCTTGAGAACTTTTTCATTCTGCAAACCTGAAACTCTATACCCATTAAACAACTCTCCATTCTTCTTTCACCCCAATCCCCTGGTAACCAGCATCCTACTTTCTGTTTTTATGATGTTGACTACTTTAGATATCTCATACAAGTATAGTTATACAGTAATTGTCTTCTATGGCTGGCTTATTTCACTTGGCTTAATGTCCCCCAGGTTCACCCATGCCATCACAAATTGCAGAATTTCCTTCTTTTTCAAGGCTGAATAATATTCCATTATATGTATATACGACATTTTGTTTCTCCATGGACATTTGGGTTGCTTCTACCTCTTGGCTATTGTGAATAATGTTGTTATGAATATGAGTGTGCAAATCTGAGAATGTCTTTTAATACTAAGAATAGCTAACACTGTTGGCATTAATGTTTGGAACTGTTCTAAAGATTTTGTATGCACTATTATCTCATTTAATTTTCACAATGATATGAATTGGGGAGTGCTCTTGTCATCTCCGTTTTACAGATTACTAAGCTGAAAAACAAGGAGGTTAAGCAACTTTCCAGAAGGTCACACCAGTGAAGTTGGAATTCTCAATGAATCAGTAGACTGGCAACAGGGCTATGCTGTTAACCACCATGCTATACTGCCCCTTCTTTATTTTCTATAACGATGCTACAAAGTGTCTCCTATGAAGCATTGCCCATGTGTGCACTCATAAAATGTTCAGGTCACCCAATTACAGTTCTGTTAATTAAAAACATGAGCATTCCCTCATGGAGCCCCACATTTCTTTCAATTTTGACTCATTTACAAACTGCAGCATCATAAATCATATTTATTAAGCACCCGATCTTCTAAAGTTCCTTTTCCTGTTCTGGCCAAGCATTTCAGAAGAGCTGTACATTGGAATGAAGAAATCAAAATTAGCTTCAGTACTTAATTCTATAAATTAGTACAGACTTAAGGGGGGAGGGGAGTAATTAGCCCTCTTGCCCTGAAAATTAATGGGTCCTTTTCATTATACGCCTAAGGGGTATTTTACCCAATAACATTCCATTTCAGATTAATATAAAATGAAGACTATGTTATTTGAGAATGCTGGCTACATAACGATTACAAACCACAAATCTCACAAAGATTAGCCGAGAAGGAAGATTAAGCAGAACAACGAACTAGTAATAATTCTAGACGGGATGAAGGTAATAAAATCAATGTGTCAATCATTCTACCAGAATCAAGAAGACACAATATTTTTTGAAGGCATGGCCAGGCTTGTGTAAAATAAGAGTTGATGTAGTTCTGTATAGGTTAAACTAGGCTTTCAGGAGTGGGTAGTTACTGGGTAGTTACAAAAGAAATTAAATATACTCCATAAATTTCAATTTTAAGATGCTAGGGTCTATACAAAAAGACACTCTCTTTTCTACATTTCTAGGGAAAATCCTCTTCCCTTTCCTGAACAAAAAGGCCAAAAATGGCTCAAAACATCACAGATTGAGTGTCAGCTACTCCAGATGAACCACTAGGGGGCAGATGCAGACAGAAACTGACCAACAGGTTACCAGAGAACCCATTCACACTCAGCGACTTGAGATAGACTGCTGATAATTGCTTCCTATATGTCAAGTTGAACTTACATTTATCTTATTTCCTTACTAAGAACCAGAAACCAAAATAAAGCTGCCCATTTTTTTCTTTTGTCTTTATTATGATGCTTAAGTAACCATTTGTAAGGAATACTGACCCAGGGGCCGTGATAGCAGCTACGTGAATGCAAGGGCAATACAGTTTTATTTCTATTCCTCTCCAACTCCAGTTTTACAGTCCTTTACATCTTGACAGGCACTGGGTGCATTCTGGCTTACCCTTGTGGTTCCCCTCATCACTGGATGACTTGTGGTCTGATTCCAGAAGCAATATCCCCAAACAAATCTGACTTTATAAGGCAGCCCATTGCCACACACATTTAACCTACACCACAGTCATTTCATAATAGGCAAGAGTTCACTCCTCCCACTACATAATGCTGTGCTGAAGCTTAGCCAGGAAAAGTTACAAAAGATAGAAAAACTAAGTGTCAGACCTATGCAGTAAATCGTGTAATTCCTGCCAATTTCTGAAACCTTCATCCTACATAAGCCCATGAAGAAATAACTTTCCATAAGGTGGTCAAAGCTGGATTGTGAAGTACTCCCAATCTCATCCATATATCACTGCAATTGTTGTCTATATGCTGAGGAATAAAAATGGATGGTTTTTCATTCAGCAAACTGGACACTTAATATGTGCCAGACTAAAGATGTAAAAAATACGAGCCCTGTCCTCATGGAGCTTGCAGTCAAGTAGAAAGCCAGATATAGAAAAGAAGGAATATTATAAATAAATAGGATATTACGTTTTATGTAAAATCAGTGATTTGGACAGGGTGTTGCTTAGCTGGGAGTAGGGGAGGGAGATGAGAGGGATCAGATATCAGATAATGCTTTGCTTCCTGAGGAAGGGGACCCTGAGTTCAGTGTTAAAGGGTGAATTGAGATGGCCAGGTAAGGCTGGGTGTGGTGGCTTACGCCTGGAATCCCAGCAGTTTGGTGTCACGGGTGGGTCTTATGTTCTTAGAGCTCTCCAGATGGTGGTGGGCCACTCCCAGGATGGTGGTGGCCGCTCCCAAGGTGGCAGCAAGCCTTTTGTTCTCTGACCTGGGGTTCTTGGCCTCACAGATTCCAGGGAATGGAACCTTGGGCCATGCGGTGAGTGTTATAGCCCTATTCGAAGCTGTGGGTCATGGAAGAGAACTGTGGAACCCAGTGACTACTGTTCAGCTCGATTAGGACGAACCCAGGCACTTAGCCATGCAGGAACAATGGCAAGCCTTTAGCCTGATTGGGAGCGGCACTGAGCGCGTCACTGGATCAGAAGTGCAGCATATACCCTGCTGGATCTGGAGGGTTGGAAGTCAATGGTGGGTCTGCAATGGCGGCGAACAGCAGTGGTGGACGGTGAGCGAAAGCTCAGCTCGAGCGCGAAGAAACATGGGCCAGAAGAGTGTGCAGTTGCAAGATTTAATAGAGTGAAAACAGAGCTCCCATACAATGGGAGGGGACCCAAAGAGGGTTGCCCACTTCCAGCTCAAATGCTTGGGGTTTATATATCCCAATCATTATCCCTCCCCCTGTGCTCTCGGATGATAGATGATTTGACTATTTCTTTACCTCCTGCTTTTGGCCTAATTGGTATTTTAGTGAGCCCTCTTTACTACCTGATTGGTCAGGTGTGAGCTGAGTTACAAGCCCCGTGTTTAAAGGTGGGTGCGGTCACCTTCCCCAGCTAGGCTTAGGAATTCTTAGTTGGCCTAGGAAATCCAGCTAGTCCTGTCTCTCATTGGGAGGCCGAGGCGGGGGGATCACGAGGTCATGAGTTCGAGACCAGCCTGGCCAACATGGTGAAACCCCGTCTCTACTAAAAAAAAAAAAAAAAAAAAAAAATTAGCCGGGCGTTGTGGCAGGCACTACTTGGGAGGCTGAGGCAGAAGAATCGCTTGAAACCAGAAGGCAGAGGTTGCAGGGAGCTGAGATTGCA
Organism: Homo sapiens; assembly: GCF_000001405.40. Taxonomy (NCBI): domain Eukaryota; kingdom Metazoa; phylum Chordata; class Mammalia; order Primates; family Hominidae; genus Homo; species Homo sapiens. Next base: position 38,720,115 of record NC_000023.11, read on the forward strand.
CCACTGCACTCCAGCCTGGGCAACAAGAGCAAAACTCCATCTCGGAAAAAAAAAAAAAAAAAAAAGAGATGGCCAGGTAAAGAGAAGGTGGAAGAGCATTAGAGCCAAGGCAGACATTTGTAGTAAGAGGCAAGGCAAGAATAAGATGGGTGTGATGGTGGTGGTGGGGTGGGTAGATACCACATAAGTTCTATGTTGCTGCTGTGTTCACTGGGAGTTGTGAGAGACAAAGCAGGAGTAGACAAGGACAGAGCTCTATGGGCCTTATACACCAGGTGGAGGGTCAGGGACTGCAACGTTTAGTCAACAAAGAGCTGGGAGCTGTTTTGAGTAGAGGAAATTGATTGCTCTGGAAGGATTTGAGGGGCATGAGATTAAGATCAGAGAGACTAGTTAGGAAGTGGTACAATTATCCAGAAATGAGGCAAGCCTGAGCTAAGGCACTGATACTTGGGGTCAAAAGGGGTGACATCTTGGGATTCAGATTGGCAGGGCTTGGTCATTTGTTGGATATGTGGATGGGGTGAAGGTGAAAGAGTAATGAGGAATGACTCAGATTTCTAGTTTGGATGGCTGGAAGGGTGGTGGGGCCACCATTGGAGATGGTGAACTCAGGAACAGGAGCAGAATTAGGGGACAACAATGAGTTGGATTTTAGGTAATTTGAGAGTTTGAGGTATTTCAGAGATATCTAGGTGCCGATATCTGGCAGGCATGTAAATATCAGCCAGGTGGACCTAAAAGTATGGCTCCAGAGATCGTTTAGGCTGCAAAATTTTTTTTTTTTGAGACGGAGTCTCGCTCTGTCACCCAGGCTGGAGTGCAATGGCATGATCTCGGCTCATAGCAACCTCTGCTTCCCGGGTTCAAGTGATTCTCCTGCCTCAGCCTCCTGAATAGCTGGGATTATAGACACCCGCCACCACACCCGGCTAATTTTTGTATTTTCAGTAGAGATGGGGTTTCACGAAGTTGGCCTAGGCTGCAATCTTAAGTCACCAGAAGCAGAAAAGATGGAGTGGATGAAATTTTTCCAGAGAATGAGTAGAGCAAAAGGACAAGAAGAAACCCTCAGAGAACCCCAGCATTGAAGGGATAGGTGGAAGATGTGGGTCACCAGGCTGGAGCAGAGAAGGAACAGTCAGAAGCGGACATCTTGTGGCAGAAAGTGCCAAGAAGAACCTCAGATGATAGGCTAAAAGTATCCAAACATCCTACTCATGTCATTATCATTTAGTAAATATTTGAGTATTTAGTACTATGAAAGTCATTATAGGAGGAGAGGGGATCCTAAGAAATCTACCACAGGACCCTTGATCTCAAGAGCCCTCTAATCTAGTGGGAGAAACAAACCACACTCATAAAAGAGGTCAAATGAAAGCCCAGAGAAGAGCCAAACAGCTGGGGAGAGTGAGATCTGGAGGACTCTGTGGGAGTAAGGGAGCCAAGAAGATTTTAAAGAGAAGCAGAAGTTGGCTGACCTTGAGGGCCAAATGGGCCATAGGTGGAGGATGCACCAACACAGGAGAACATGATACAAAGGCCAAGAGGAGGACAATGTAGTATTTACTGTGGATGGGACAGCCACTTCACATTGGAGAATCGAGACGGATCCTACTGGAGAGGTAGCTCAAACCCAGGTGTTTAAAGGCATGTGTGCCTGCCTTGGGGAATTCAGATGCTGCATAAGTGGAAATGGAAAGTTCAGGAAAAGGACTATCTTTATCAGCAAACCGTGACCACGTGTGTATCCTCCAAAGAGGAGTAAGAAGAAATGTTCCTGCCCTTCAGAGACAAATCAAAGGAGCATTTCAGAGAAATTAATACAACAGTGGTGTATCTTTTATTATGTATTTTTGAAATAGTCTGACAAATTCAGTTTTTGTTTCATTTTCAGACGATATAATTTATCTGCTCTCTTTGTTGCCAAATTTCCTGGTTACTGTTATTTTCTGCTTAACCCTCAAACTTCAACAACAACAAAATATAATAAGACACTATCTCAGTGAGACTTAGCCCATTAGAGTTTATAAACTTCATGCTTTAATAGTAGCTTTTCTACTTCACAGTGCCTCAGAGAAACCTATGCCTAGATTCTTCAGAAATCACTAAAATATGAGCACATTAGGCAAGTGGATGATAAACTGTAATATCAATTTGGTACTTTAAAGCAAAAGAACTTTCTAAAATGCGATTGTATCCCACTCCTATTTAAAATCCCGAAGACTTACAATTCAATAAAAGAAAGGCTAACAAGTTAGTGGAAAAATGGGCAAAGGCCATAAAGAGGCATTTCAAAGAAAAAGAATTGCGTATGGCAATAAGCACATGAAAAACGTTTCCTTTCACTCTTATACTTCACTAACATTTAAAGAAGTGCATATAAAAAAGCCAGGTTGCTGCTTTCACATCTGAAAATGTTTGCTATCATCCATTGTTGGTAAGGGTGTAGGGACTCTTATCCAATGTTAATGGGAGTGTAAATTGGTGTGTCTTCCAGGAGGGAAATTCAGTACTCACTTTCATATTGTAAATGCATACACTCCTTGACCCAGCAATTTTACTCCTAGAAATTTCTCCTACAAATATTCTTGCTCAAGTGCTTCAAGATGTGTGTAAAAGGATATCCACTGCCATATTTTTTATTGTAGATTTTTCTTTTTCCTTTTTTAAAAACAAAATCTAGCTCATCCAGTAAGAGGGGGCTGAGTAGAGTCACTGTGGTGGCTACATACGCTGGTCAATGGGAAATCGCAAACAAAATCTTGTAGATTGAGGTGTGCTGGTGTGGCCTTGTCCATGATCTACATCCCTAGAGAACCTCTACATCCTCTTTTAAAGACTCTTATTTGTTCCCGAAAACCTTGCCACTATGCGAAGAGCTGTTTCCTGAAAAATTGCCTACATTAGTCTTACTGGAAAAAATTGTACTGTGCTCTAACCCAACCCAAATACCCCAAAATGTTTCGCAGACAGAAAAAAAAATCAATTTGAACTATGAAAACAAATTTGTGTAAGTAATAAACACCAATTTGCAAGCATGTACAAAATGAAGGTCCACTGTTCTTGCCCAAAAAAGACTTGACAGTGGATGGTGGCGGTGAAGTGGCATGCAAGGAAGTCGTTCCTTGGAAGGGGAATTTGGCTTCTGTGTGTTTTCTTCATCATGATATGGGCTCATGATTATCCTGTGCTGAAACTCTTCTTAAAAAGAAAGTTAGCTGGCCAGGCGCGGTGGCTCATGCCTGTAATCCCAGGGCTTTGGGAGGCTGAGGTGGGCAGATCACTTGAGGTCAGGAGTTCGATACTAGCCTGGCCACCATGGTGAAACCCTGTCTCTACTAAAAATACAAAAATTAGCCTGGTGTGGTGGCACGTGTCTGTAATCTCAGGTACTCAGGAGGCTGAGGCAGGAGAATTGCTTGAACTTGGGAGGTGGAGGTTGTAGTGAGCCAAGATCACGCCACTGCACTCCAGCCTGGGCGACAGAGTGAGACTCCGTCTCAATAAATAAATAAATAAATAAATAAATACACAAATAAATAAAAATAAAGTTAGCTATGTGGTGGCCCATGCCTGTAATCCCAGCTACTTGGGAGGCTAAGGTGGGAGGATCACTTGAGCCCAGGAATTTGAGACTGGCCTGGGCAACATAGTGAGACCCCTGTCTCTAATATAATAATAATAATAAAGTTATAACATAGAAAAACATTTTTGGGGCAGAGTAAAGGCTAAACATGGAGTGTTTTGATCATGTTGAAATAACACATATGAACAACAGACTGAAAATATGTGGGAGATGCACCACTTCACCCCTCTCACTTGGTCTGTGTATGCAAAGCAAAACATTTTGGCTTAACCCATGCATTGTGCACAGTTCCAATTAGTTCCTTATAAGAATCTCTGACTAGAAACCATTATTCAGGTAAACTGGTGAATGCATCTTTGCCTGAAACCATAATATAAAAATTCCACTTATTATAATGCATTTATTTAGTATGTTTTGTGGAAGAAACAGTATGCCAATTTTTTAAAAAAAGTTATCCCCCATGCCAGGCGCAATGGCTCATGCCTGTAATCCCAGCACTTTGGGATGCCGAGGCGGGCGGATCACCTGAGGTCGGGACTTTGAGACCAGCCTGACCAACATGGAGAAACCCTGTCACTACTAAAAATACCAAATTATCCAGGCGTGTGGCACATGCCTGTAATCCCAGCTACTCGGGAGGCTGAGGCAGGAAAATCACTTGAACCCGGGAGGTGGAGGTTGTGGTGAGCCAAGATTGCGCCATTGCACTTCAGCCTGGGCAACAAGAGTGAAACTCCATCTCAAAAAAAAAAAAAAATTATCCCCCAAATGGTGCAACTTTTCAAAAGCAGTTATAGCAAAGGAAAGATTAGTAATTAAGTGAAAAAAAGAGGCAAGTTGCAGAACAACATAGCGCAATCTCCTTTTTAAAATGGCACATATACACCATGGAATACTATGCAGCCATAAAAAAGGATGAGTTCATGTCCTTTGTAGGGACATGGATGAAGCTAGAAACCATCATTCTCAGCAAACTATCGCAAGGAAAAAAACCAAACACCGCATGTTCTCACTCATAGGTGGGAATTGAACAATGAGAACACATGGACACAGGAAGGGGAACATCACACACCGGGGACTGTTGTGGGGTGGGGGGAGGGGGGAGGGATAGCATTAGGAGATATACCTAATGCTAAATGACAAGTTAATGAGTGCAGCATACCAACATGGCACATGTATACATATGTAACAAACCTGCACATTGTGCACATGTACCCTAAAACTTCAAGTATAATAATAATAAAAAATAAAGTAAAGCATCTTAAAAAAAATGACATATACCCATAATATGTGTTTCTGGAAAGAAAATCCTGAAAAGACATCTAAGAAATAGTAACAGTGTTTTTTTTTGGGGGGGGTGGGGGGCAAGAAAGACATGTGTGCTGTTTAAATTTTTACTATGTGAAAGTAAGATTTTTATAATACAAAACAGGCTGAATGAAGAATACTTTGGGGATCAGTGATTTTGTAGACTAGAGAAAAGGGTTAGAGTTAGTGTTCAGGTGTTAACATGGAGAACACCGCAGGATCTGTCTGTCCACATAGGCACTACCCACAGCCCGGAGTGCCTCATTACAGCCCCACCAAACTACTTGCTATTCCCAAAATGCACTATGCAACCCTGAACCTCTGTGCCTTTGTGCTGTTTCCTTTCTCTGGAATGCCCTCTCTAAACTCATCTATCAGGAAACTTCTCATCCTTTAAGATCTAGTTCAAGTGGACCTTCCTATCGGATGTCCTTCCTGACTTTTGCAAACCCTAGTCCCTCCCCAGGCAAATGGGCTTTTTCTGGGATGGATACTTGCGGCTCAGCTTATGTGCTGTGAATGACTCCTCTTGGGCCATGCCTAGCTGCTTGGGCTACCATTTTCCAGCCTGAGAAAGGGGTAGCTGAAGGTAGGGTAGGAGAGCATGCAATACCTGCCCCAGTCTGGGTGCAGGGTTTACTCACAAATATCATGGCATCTCTCCCCACTTTCATCTATCAGAGCCAAACAGCTGCTTTCTGTACCTCTTCCCTTAAGGCTGTTGGACCAGAAGCCAAAGCCTTAGCTCTTATTGGCTTAGTCCATGCTAGGATTTGGGAAGATCTGTCTCCGACTACTTGGGCTTACCTACTTGATTTTACTGAATGAGATAAGTTAATTCTTCAGAGCATGCTTCTTCTGGGTTATGTTGGCCAATGCAGAGTTGGCCTTAGAGTCACAAGAAAAGTCTTCATTTAAACTTAGTGAGACAGCCAGGTGGAAGGGGGTCCCTGGAGAAACTCCAACCGGCCTGCCCAATGAGGTGCAGCCTTGGGAAGTTCACGATGTTTGCAGCAGGGAGGAGCCTGGAGCCTAAATTTCTGTGGCCGTGGGATGGACAAGCACCCCATCTTTAGCTGAACTAAGGAAAAGTCCTGCAACATTTTTGGCAATGTGGGGCTCAAGAAGCGGTGAATGAAATAGGGATTCAAAACCTCTCACTGTAGTTTCTAAGCCTTTTCATCCTGAGACTTCTGAGGGTGGGGAAAACACCCCCCCACCCCCCATTCCTCCCGGGTCTTTTCAAGACCTTTTCCTTCCTTTTTCAGGACCCATCGGTGAGCAGCAGCTCCCCGCCGCTCCCCACTCCCTGCCAGGGCTGGGATGCATGGCCCAAGGATCCAGTACAGCCGCTGGCTGTTTCCCAGCCACAAGCCATGGTGGTAGCTTTCCTCTTCCCCAGCCAAAGGGTTGTACTCCACTGGACAGTAATTAAGCTTAATCTTTTCTCTCTGATGAAGGAACCAGTTGCATAAGAATAAGAGGTTCTTCCCCAGGCATTTAAAAATTTTTTCTTTCCTCTTCTCCACCCTGTCAGCAGTTAACGTTTAAAGTTTATTTTTTTCCCCTTGACTAGGCCAGACCCCCCAACTATCACTGTTTATACTTCCTGTAAAAGTTTAATTGTGGAAAAGGATTTGTGGGGCTAGTCTTGGGTTGTGGCCAATCTGATGTGCTTTGCATGTGTGCATGGTTTGTGCTGCAAGCCTCCATCTTGTTTCACATCCTGGGGGCATGGCCTGTAACTGTTTGGCAAGGCTTTGTTTAGCAATCCTGCCTTAGGGAATACGTTTCTTTCCGAATTGATGTCTGCATGTTTTCCTAGCCCTGTCTTTTAAAGGGCCCCACCCAATGACTGGGTTTTCTTCTGCATGTCTGTGTGTGTACTGTGTGCAATGTCTGTCCAAAAAAGCTCTAATTAATTTGGCCCAAAGAAAGACAAGTGCTTGAATCAAATATTTTTAATGGGAATGTAAAATCTGTGATACCTTTCAGTTCACATGACTTTAATCTTTAAGAAATGAAAACAGACTTCAAGCTTATTGGTAAAATGCAGGTCAGATGCAAGGTTTGCTAAATGTTTTAAGGTTACAAACTGCTTGTGGGGTTTTGAGAACTATTTGACTTGCTGGCTTCACAATTGGTAAGGCCTGGGAACATGTGGAACTAACCGGGCTCTTACCTAAGACGGCAAACCTTGGCTGCAGTTAGCACACAATTAAAGCAACTTACCAAGTTTTACCTTAAAGTTAAAAATTGCCAGGAGTTACGATTATAACATGTAATTGAAACTACTGAAAATAAATTTACATGCAAGGGGTATAAGAATAGTAAAATGTGTTTTTATGTAAAAGGTTATAAGAAGGCATGGAAATGTCAACTTTTTTTTTTTTTTTTTGGAGACCGAGTCTCACTCTGTCGCCCAGGCTGGAGTGCAGTGGCACAATCTCGGCTCACGGCAACCTCCACCTCCCAGGTTCAAGCAATTCTCCTGTCTCAGCCTCCCAAGTAGCTGGGATTACAGGCACGTGCCACCATGCCCAGCTAATTTTTGTATTTTTAGCAGAGACGGGGTTTCACCAGGTTGGCCAGGCTGGTCTTGAACTCCTGACCTCGTGATCCGCCTGCCTCGGCCTCCCAAAGTGCTGGGATTACAGGTGTGAGCCACTGCACCCAGCCCGGAAATGTAAACTTTTGCCTAAGGTTAAACGATTCTTTTGAGTTAGATAGGGAAAGCTGAAGGTTCAAACAAGTGGTGGAAAAGTGGAAATCAATCTTGCAGAAGAGATTCTCTGTGTGAACATATTAACTAAGTTCAAAAGGGTTATGAAAGGTTTTTGCTTCTTTAAAATGTCTGAGTCATCATTTTGGGAAAATAAATAGTTTATGGTAACCTGGGACTCTATTTCATAATATGAAGTGCTTTAAATGTATTTAAAAGGCTTCCCAAAATCAAACTTACGTTTTTAGAACTGTCTTTCCTGACACCTGGCTTTTCAAATATTTCAGAGGGCCCCTGAAACATCCAGAAAAAAGAAGTAAACAAGATTATGTGATATGTGTAGGTACATGGGATTGCCAAAATGATCTTCAGTCTTCTTCAGATTATACTTTTGTGAATAATACTAACATATGTTCCAAAACTGTATGGGATTTCTAAAATTCTAATGTCTGAATATATGCTATGAATCATAATTAAGGTTGCTATGTTAAGTTATTGTAAACCACGGAGATAACCAAACTTCTTTGTCAATTGTGTTTCTAACTGTAACCACCCTGGATATTTTGCTGTTCACAGACAATTGTCCTGTTTTCTTTCTTTTCAAAAGATGGTTTATAATAAGCTATAAAACTGTAACAGGTGCTCTCAAATACAGGCTTCTGATAACTTTGGAAATTGTAACATTGGAATAAAGGAAAACGCACAGGACTCATGAAGAGCTGAAATGTTCACGAATATCAAGCAAAACAAAAGTTAACTAAATGGACTGAACTCAGAAAGCTGAAGCAAACTTTTTGACTTTTGGTTGTAATATTGCTGATCCTTGTTTGGTTTTTCATAGTCAAAGAAACTTATTTAAAACTATTTACAGCCTTTAATAATTGAGTAAGGTATACTCCTATGAACAAAATTTGGAGCATGTTTGTTTCTCTCTGCTTGGTTCCTCTAGAGTTTGGAAACTCTCTGTGAGTATTCTTAACTTATGGCAATATAGTTATTTGCATCAGTGCACTAAGAAAAATTCATTTTTCTTTTGCAACAGGACACAATTGGAGAAAATGGTTATTTTGCCAAGGCTTTGACTAGAAGGATATGCTTCCCTTTAAGGAGTCAAGCTCGACTTGGAGAGCCATTAAAAGCCCCGTGGGGAAACTGGCCTCATACCCCTGCCTACACAGTTCCTGGACAGGGTTCCTGACCCATGGTCAGTAAAGAATGTCACCTTCTAACAGGTCTAGGAGCTCCAAGTTTATCTTGGGACCTTAAGAGGAGAGGATCACCCAACTCACAGGTATTTGAGGATACAAACCCATGGTTGGGCTTGGCTTTAAAAGGTCCTATCTGAGATTCCTTGTGGAACAGAATTCCATCAAAGCCAATCCAAAAGGCATATGTAGAAATAATTATTCTTGCTGTACTTTATGCAAATAATCAGGCCAAATATAAAACTAAACTCTATTTTGCAAACCACTCAGTCCTATGATGATTTGTTTTTTAACAAACATGAGGACTGGAGAGAGAGAAATCATGTTTCAAAACTTATGTTTGTCATTAAATTCTAAACTCACTAGTTGTTTTTAAGTTTTTGCTTACATTTTAGACTAACCCTGCTTGTTCCTGTGAACCAACCAGTAATTTCTGGCTGCAGTTCAGAAAGAACAAAAAGGATGGGTAATGTAGAAATCTGGATCAATATTCTAGTTCTGAGCAATTATCCTGCCAATCCTGCCAGGTGATGGGAATAAGTAGGATGCCCATCACCCGGAAGTTTCCTTTAGGGAAAGTAGGACCAAAAAAGAGCTAACCAAAGACAAACGCCATGTGCCCAAATCCTAGCAAGCATAACTACAGCCACCAGTTATCTGGGTTTGTCACAAAACATCCTTTCCCCTCCATCTTTGGAGGAGGACTCAGTTCCACAGTTTTAACTTAGCATTCAGCTTATGATAAGGTGTCTATGCAACCCCCCGAGACATATTTTTGTCCAAAACTGAATCCCAAGTTTCATGTCAAAGCCCTAGGAAGGAAAACTGGATCTGAGGGATCCAGAGGCAAATGACAACAGAGGTTAAAAGGCACAGCGCAGGTGAGCATGGCTGATTCCTGCTTATTAAGCCAAGCCCAAGCTTTCTGTTTCATGGATAAAGGCCACGTTAATATCCATGGCATAAATGAGTTCTAGGGAACTCCAAGGCTACTGACAGCAGGTGGGAAAGAGACATAATTGAGAGCAGATAATTCCTATTCTTTAGCCCCCCCGCCGCCCCGCTTCATTGGTACAAGCCACTTTGGCACTCATGGCAGGACCTGCCAAGGAAGCCGGGACTCGGGGATGCAAGGATGAAAGATGGAAAGAGGACGCTCTTCCCTTTCTTCCTCATGTACCATGAGTATCTGCTAGCAAGAGAAGGGAAACAGGGATGCCTGCTCTCCTTTTTGTAGATGGGTAGTCACTCATCTCCAGTCTGTACCCCTTTCAAATGCATCCTGAACCCCTGGGACTCCTTTAAAAGTTGCCCTCTCTTTTTCCTTTCTTCTCCTTGGGCCTCTCTTCACTGATAGGTAATTGTGTCTCTGTACTATGGGACACTCCCCTCAGATGCATCCTCCAACCTGAAAAGAGTTAATTTTCCAAACTTTAAACTGGTTGGCTTAGGATTGGACTCGGGGGAAGGGAACCCAGAAGCCCAACATGCCAGCAAAAGGGTAAAGTTTATTACCTGCCTCTCTCTGTGTAAACTGGTAAAAGCCCTCGGGATTTTTGAGCTGTCTTTACCCCTCCCCTTGTTTCATTTTGATACATGTTTTCTAATAACCCAGTTTGTCTGTTCTTGCCTTCAGGCCATCAGACTCCAAACAGTCATGCAACCAAAGCCTCTGACAATGGCCCCTTCTGCTGGGAACCCTTAGGCCTCTGAGGGAGATCTGACTGCCGCTTCCCCAAAACAGCGCCCCTGTCAACCGGAAGCAGTTAAGATTGGTCTTCATCCTTCTCCTTAATCTAATGGCAGTTAGATGTACTTCTTTAGAGTGGGGGATGAGACAGCCAGGTGGGAGGGGGTCCCTAGAGAAACTCCAACCAGCCTGCCCACTGACATGGAGACTCGGGAAGTTCACAGGGACTTTGTGGAACCCAGGATCCGCAGGGCCTGGTGGGAAGCGCTCTAGCATAGGGACTCTGGCCTTGCAAGAGTCCCTGTTTCCCACTTTTTCCCCCTTTTCACCCGATAAAACCCTGCTTTACTCACCCTCTAAACCATCTGCAAGCCTAAATTTTCATGGCCATGGGACAGACAAGGACTCCATCTTTAGCTGAACTGAGGAAAAGTCCTGCAACATTAGAAAGTTCATTCAGAGTCGGTTTCAATTTTTTTTAATAAGAGAAGAAAAATTATCTAGAATGAAGTTCCTATAACATATGTAGAAGTCTGTTTTGTTCTTTGTGTCCTTACACCCAAGATTAAATGATCACAAAGAGAACTACAAGACATTCACTAGAAAGATAAGCTAGAGAAGTTAGTGAAGTTCCGAAAAAGAAAAACAATGTGAGGACACTAACCCTACCAAAAATTCAAATCTGCAGTGATGTATGTCTCAGCAATTGGAAAAGTGGGTGAATAAAGAATGAGGCCAATGAGAGAGAATAGAAAGTCCAAAAATTGAACCAGGTACATGATGTTACTACATGACAAAAATAGCATCTCTAAGTTTAGTCTAAAATAGGAATTAGAATGAAGAGCTTGTAGTAATGTGGTAGAAGCTAATAATAAGCAAACAAACACACTCAGTGACGAGGTATACTATATTTCGTCAGTTCTAAGATGCACATTTATTCACACATTGACGTCTGTGAATTTGGGATTTAATATCTCGGAACTCAATGGTACCTCACAATCTCACAATTATTTGTCACTTCTATACCTAAATAGGCCTAAAAGAACTCTGTCAGTGTATATAAAATAAAAAGTTAAGTGATGAAAAAAATAGCATCTCTAATCAGTAGGCTCATAAGGACTTTGGATTACTGGGTTGTGATCTAAAAACAAAAGTTGGATCCATACCTCAATATATCTCATATGACTGTATGCTAGAACAAGCTTTAAGTGATTCATAGATTTAAATGTAAAAATAACAAGTAGAAAAAAAAAAGAAACCATAAAAGCATTTCAAGAAATATGAGTGAATAGACCAAGAATATAGATGAATAACAAAAGAACTAATATAAATGGCTTCTAAAACCTGTAAAAATATGCCTAATCTCAGTTATTATTATAGAAATACAAATGAAAATTAAATCACATTGAGGTATTATTTCTCACCTCTAAGACTGACAAAAATCTAAACGTGTAACAATACATTCTATTGATGAGGTTATGAGCAACAAGTATCAGATATTACAGGTGGAAATGCAAATTGACACTATCAGAATTACAAATGTGTTTACGTTTTGAACTCATTCTACAGATGCACCTGCACATATAAGAAGTGATACATGTTTATAATTATTCACTGAAGTACTGTTTGTAATAGCAAAAGACTGGGCACAATCCAACTCTCACAATAGCGAACTGGTTAAATAAACTTTGCCACATCCACACAATGGAATACCATGTGGCTACTGAAATAGAACAGACACTCTACTCTATGCACTGTTATGGAAAAACACTGGAACACAGAAACTAGTATGATTGGTTACCTAAAGGGAGCAGTAGAGAAAGGGGTGGATGGGGAGGGTGGTAGAGGGAATTATGCCTTAATATATGTCTTTCTGTATCACTTTAACGTTCTACTATTGTGAATGCATTTCCTTTTCAAAAAATTTAAATAAAAATTTTAAATATATATTACAGAAATCTAAGTTGAATGTATTTCATTGTATTAACAAGACAAGCCTGTTAACAAACTTTGCCTCCTTATTAGGATCTATTGTGATCCTTTGCTTGTTGTGATGATCCTGTCATATGTCATATTAAATTGTAATTGTTAAAAGGAGAAGTCCAGAGAATGCTAATTACACCTATTAGGTCCATAGATTAGAAGAAAGATATACATAGATAACAGTTACAACATATATTTCCATCAGTTATTCATTGAGAATTCATATGATGGAGGATGTTTGGGTATTTTGTGGGTATTCAAAAATGTGATCCTTGGCTTCAGGAAAATGATATTTGATCGTCAAAAAGAGATTTGACACATCAGCTCCTAGTGGGAACTTACAGCAGGTTTCCTCACTAAGATTAAGTCATTAAACATCATGATTGTTAGAGAAACATACCTTGGAATCTTGTTCAGCCTATGTGGCCTGGAGGCTGATTTTATCTCCACTGTACCAACCCCAGAAGGTTTTACCATGGTGCTGGATCAGAGGAATGTCATGATTCAAGCTTTCCTTTTCACAACTCCATCAACATGTTTTTCTTCATCTCCAGCATTGGGGCTTCCTCTGTCCTCTCTCTACCTTTCTGCCAGCACAGCTTTCTCTTCCCCTTCTTTTTGATGCTGTTCAGTCACCTAGAAAGATGTGCAGTGGCATTCACAGTCAATGATTGGCATCAGATTTTCCTCATTATTCTGCCATAGAGTCAGCATTGAAATTGATGGGAAACCAAGTGCAATCACATGAAATTGATTGCCATTTGGGTCCTATTGATTATCCTGCCAAATCTAAGACAAGAAGAATAGCTATGCTGGATGGCAAAAAGGCAGTGACTACACATATTTCAGTTGTCATTTAGGGTTGGCTGAAATGGCATCTGCCCATTGATCTAGACCAGAAAATATGAAGGAGTTGCCCTTACAAAAAAGCATGCCAGTGGGGGGAAACACTCATTCTTGCCCACTAACGGTGACCTCTTAAACTTACCTTCTATTTAATTAGGAATTCACTAATTCTCCCTTTTCTAACCTACAAAACTGAGAACTGAGGACTTCTGGGACTGTGGTGGACTGAGTTACTATAAATAATCCTCCTACTGCAAACACACAGAGGTGCTGGATGAAATACATCACCAATAACTTTTAAATATATAGTTTAGATCAAATAAAGGAAGGGGAATCCCTGCAAGTACAAAAATAAGAGGAAATCAAAAGCAAAGCCCCATGGGTTTGGGATGGGGGCAGGGTGCAGTGTCAGGCCCAGATGGAGGTCTTCATGGCCAGGCGTTAGGATTAAAGGTCCATATAGGAGCAGAAGACATGGCCTTGGATCCATAAATAATGAGTTGGAACTTATTTCATTTTACAAAGCAAGGACTCCAGTAAAGTTGTCTCCTCAATGAAGGTGGACTAGAAAAACTCTACTGATTGGCCCAAGAATTTAACAAGGGAGGTTGTCATTGCCCAAAACTCTAAACGGATTTTTTAAAAAAAGTTTCCTGGAAGAAAATGAACCCCGAGGTATGTGCCACAAGTGGGTATGGAATATAAATTTTTACTACCCATACAGTATGAAAGTCTAAAAAAATTAAAATAAAAACTGGTGTTAGACCAACAAAATCTCTGAGCCATCTGGCCGAGAGAAATAGAAAAACAATTTTGGAGGAATCCTACAATACAGGGTATAGGGGATGTCAGAGATGTTTTAAAAACATTGGCCAAAATATTTTTTATATTCCACTGAGAGTTGGGGTCTATGTTCCTTCTACTTAAAACCAGGCAGGCTCCTACTAGGACCCTGAAAGAAGCAAGAAAAAATAAAAAACGAAAATAAAGATAAATAAATCCAAGCAAGCTTGTGACCGCTTTGACAAACGGAACACAGCAGAAGTGATGCTACCTAATTTCTGAGGCTAAGCTTTAAGAAGTCTTGAACCTACCATCTTGTTTGCTGAAAAAAAAAAAAATTCACCATCAGAAGACTGCCATGCTGGAGAGTCCACATGTAGGTGTTCCCACCTACAGTGTCAGATGAGCACTTGGCTCACAGCTAGAATCAGTTTCCAGCCCTGTGAGTAAACCATCTTGGACGTGTAACCCAGTCAATCCTTCAGTTGACTATAGGCCCAGCTGGCATCTGACTACAACAGCATGAAAGAATCCAAGCAAGAACTGCCTAGTCAAGCCTTCCCTGAATTTCTGACCCACAAATGTGAGCAACATAAAATAGTTATTTTAAGCCTCTATGTTTTGGGAGAATTTGTAGAAACAGACAAACAGAACAAAGGGGAAGAAAAAGTATCTGCTGAAGAGATGCTCATTAACACAAATTATAAACATGAAAAGAAATGGCCCACAATGAAGGAGAAGTCCACAGAAATAGAAAGATATTGAGAACTGGCAACAATGTAACCATCTGAAGGATACTATACATCAGGTATGTTAAAAATGATTAAAGAAGTTTGCCAACACACTCTGCTAATGAGAGTGTGGTGAATCGGGCACTTTCATGCATTGTTAGTGGGAACACAAGTTTCTAACTCCTAACAAAATGTTACCTTTGGAGAACAATTGGGTTATATCTATCAAAATTATAAATGCAGGTACCCTTTGCCCAGTAATCACCCTCTGTGACTCTATTCCACAGATACACCTGAGCACACATAAAATAATAACAAACACACGCACAAGTTATTTACTGCAGTATTATCTGTAAGAGCAAATGGCTGGAAACAACCCATGTATCTAGCAATAGGATACTGGTTAAACTATGGTATGGCCACACAATGGAATACTATGTCATTGCAAAAAATGAATGAGGTCATGACTTTATGTGCAAAAAGTAAGATACAATACCATCTATATAATATATAATACTACTTTAAGGTAAGAAAGAGAAAAATCAGGCTGGGCATGGTGGCTCATGCCTGTAATCCCAGCATTTTGGGAGGCTGAGGTGGGCAGATCGCTTGAGGCCAGGAGTTGGAGACCAACTGGGTCAACACGGTGAAACCCCGTCTCTACCGAAAATAAAAAATTAGCCAGGCATGATGGTGAAGGCCTGTAATCCCAGCTGGTCGGGAGGCTGAGGCATGAGAATTGCTTGAGCCCGGGAGGCAGAGGCTGCAGTGAGCTGAGATCATGCCACTGCACTCCAGGCTGGGTGAGAGAGTGAGACTCCATCTCAAAAAAAAAACAAAAAAAAAAGGGAAAAATCAGAATATAAATTCAAAAATCCTTATATTTGCACAAAGAAACACTGGGAGGGTACACAGGAAACTAATAAAGGAAGTTACTGCAGGGAGGAATACGTCATTTTGATTTTTAAGCTACATGAATAAAATGAGACATTTTAAACATGATAAAAGAAGGAGTCAAAACTACAATAAAAGGAAAAGACTGAAAAAAGAGAAATATTTGAAAAGGGAATATGAAAAATAGAGTCATTAGAATGAAAAATTGAATTAGTAGATTAGACACAGCTGAGAACCAACCTAAGAAAATTACTTATAATTCAGCAAAGAGAAATGAATAGATAGAAAATACGTCAAAGAGATTAGGAAACATGAAGGTGAGAACTGAAAGGTCCAACATACATCTAATAAGAGTTCCAAAAGGTGAAATTAGAGAAAATGAGGTAGAGACAATATTTGAAGAAATAATGAATGGGAAATTTCCGTAACTGACGAAAGATGTTAATCATCTCTTTCAAAAATAGGAAATTTAAAAAAATCCTAATACAGAAACATCACAATGAAATTGAAAAATACTGAAAACATATAGAAAATCGTAATCAGAGAAAAAAGACCAAGGAACAAAAATTAGACTCAAAACAGACTTAGTGGCTGCAGCAGCAATAGTGCCAGAATACAATTGAATATTATCTTTGTTAACCTCAATTCTATTCTCAGCCAGATTTGCATTCAATATTGAGACAAAACAGACATTCTTAGACAAAGAATGACAGCACTGACCACTCATAGACCTTTGCTGGAAAAAAAAAAAACAACTTTAAAGGATACACTTCAATAACAAGGGTACTGAACCCAGAAGGAAGAAGTGGAATACAAGAGACAATGTGAGCTAGGTCATTGCTCAACATGGAGTTAAAATCTAAATACACATTAACTATAAAAACAATAGCAACGATGACGAGTAATAGGATGTTAAAAACAGGGGACAACTAAATACTGGGCAACAAAAACGTGGAAGGTGGGAGGATCGTGCTTGGAGTTTGTGCTCCAAGGTCTTATCTTGTTCAAGAGTAAGGTGGAGATACTAACTTTTCATGTCAAGCATGCATGTTCAGCATTTAAGAATCAGCACTAGCCGGGCGCGGTGGCTCACGCCTGTAATCCCAGCACTTTGGGAGGCCGAGGCGGGCGGATCACGAGGTCAGGAGATCGAGACCAACCTGGTTAACACGATGAAACCCCGTCTCTACTAAAAATACAAAAAAATTAGCCGGGCGTGATGGTGGGCCCCTGTAGTCCCAGCTACTCGGGAGGCTGAGGCAGGAGAATGGCGTGAACCCGGGAGGCGGAGTTTTCAGTGAGCCGAGATCGCACCACGGCACTCCAGCCTGGGTGACAGAGAGAGACTCCGTCTCAAAAAAAAAAAAAAAGAAAAAAAAAAAAAGAAATGAAAAGAAAAGAAAAAAGATTCAGCGCTAAAGTAATGGAATCATAACTTCTAAACCAGAAAAGAAAGAAAGAGAAAGCAGTAAAAAAAAAAAAATAGGAGCAATTCAAGAAAACAAGAAAAGGTATGATACAAAGGAAATGCAAAATAAAATGTTAGAAATAAATAAAAATATATTAGGAACCACAATAATACATGTGAATTAAACTCAAAAGTTATAAAATAGTTTCTAACTTTAGATTTTTTTAATCCAGAAAAACTCCTTAAACATAATGACACAAAAATATTGAAAGTAAAGGGATGAAGAAGATATACAAACCAAAGAATAACAAAATAGTCAGATATGGCAATATTTATGTTAAACAAAATATACTTCAAAATAAAAAGCATTATGTGATATTAAGTTGTTCACTACACAGTTATAAAAAGAAAAATATAACAGTCATGAATTAGCTTGCATTTAACAATAGATTTTCAATATATATAAAGCAAAAATCAATAATATTGCATAGAAAAATTAAAAACTGTACAATTAGTGGGGAGTTTTAACACATCTCTTTCAGAAATATATAGATTAAGAGGGTAAAATCCTAATAAGGATATAGAGGATTCATACAATACAATTAATAAGTTTTACTTAATGGTCATGCATATGTCTGAGTCCAACAATTTGCAAATAGGTATTTTTCTCAAGAATACCTAAGAATACATACAAAAATTGACTATATACGTGATCATAAATATGTCTCAACAATGTCAAATATCTCACTACTAAGCAAAATTACTGCATAGGAATAATTGTACTACTCTACATCATGTGTCATTTGACTTATTTAAATATGTTTATGTGTGTGTGTGCCCACACCACAGGCACGTATCTGGAGGGATGGAGGGAGAGTAGGGGTTTTCTAAAAAGAAAATAGATTTGATGTAAATTATTTGGAAAGATTATTTCTCCAATATCTTTCTTTCTTTTTAGAAACAGGGTCTCATTCTGTCATCCAGGCTGGAATGCAGTGGCATTATCATAGCTCACTGCAGCCTTGAACTCCTGGGCTCAGGCAATCCTCCCACCTCAGCCTCCAGAGAAGTTGGAACTACAGGTGTGAGCCATCATGCCGACTTGTTTCTCAGTTTCTTGAATTATTGTAACGTATGATTTCATCATCTACGTGTTGCTATTTTCATTGCATTATAGAGCTGTAAATCATAAGAGTGGTGTTTAATTGACAACAACATTTGTTCTAAACATCTATGAATGAAGCATTTCAGTTTGACCTCTATATGAGGTTTTGGTGGCAAGAACGAAATGTAGGGTAATAGATGAAAGAAAAGATCTTTAAAATATCTTGGTTTCTTTCTTGTCAACCTATTTAAACATTCTTATTAGCTTTGTAGTCCTACAAGAAAATAGCTGAAATATGGAGAAACTCATTGCTTTATTAAACATTCCTGTGATCTTATTCCTGCGAACTTCACAGCATAAGAGAACCTGTATCGCCGAATGGTGGCAAACAAATAATGAATTGAATCTGACCTCTTTATTACAGGCTGAGGTGCCCCACTTATGTTTTTGTTTTTGTTACTTTTTACATCAAGCACAGTACAAAATTCTATGGCTCTCAAGCCTATAATTACTGCCTTGCATATATGACGAGATTAAGAATTAGGCTTGTCTTTTTGACAAAGTTTCAGTTGTCAGATTTTCCAAACAGTATTCTAATCATAGATCACTGAGGCATGGGATGAAAGATCTTGTCTATGTGATAGAAAGCTAAAGACTTAGTTTCCAAGTCCATCCCATAACTGCAGAAACTTTGCGGACACTCACCCAACTTCAGTATGTCAATGTGAATCTTATAGCATCTGTTGGGACTTCCAAACTTATTATATTGGGCTGAGTTCAGAGTATATCAAGAAGAATGCAAAACCATAAATGCACATAAAATTCATGTATAGAAAAATTGGCTGATCTGATATTTTTATTTCATAAATACCTATTAAACCATCGAGGTAGATAGAGAAATTTAATCATAATCAGTTAAAATAATGATTATAGGATATAATGGGTGAAATATTTGGGTTAAAATAATGACTGTGAATTGCAAGATCTTAACATCATTTCTGAATCATCAAAAAGGATGTGTTCAATGCCCTTCAATGTTGATTATATTTTGTTGTATCATCAATCTTGGAAAAATTATCGATCCTTGCATGGGATGAAAAGAGCAGAATAAAAATGACATTGTTTCTTAACTGCCTACTATGTGCTGGCACTGGACTAATGCCTTTGCAGGAGTTATCTCATCAAATCCTCAAGATAGTCTAGTGCAGTAGGGTGTAATTGTCCCTGTTAAGCAGACATGAGACAGACTGAGTGATGCTTTCTCATTTCCAGGGTTACCTAGCTGGTGGATGACATCTCAGCATCAGACTCTAGGTGTTTCTTATTCCAAAGTTTATGTTCTTCCCACCACGTGTTGCCACTATATGCTCTACAAGCCGTATATTTTGAACTGTTTAATTCACAAGAAGATACATTTTTGAACCAGATATGTATCCACTTTGCAAAAGAAAGCCAATATGGTTGCATCATTTAAGTCTCTGAAGCAGCTCTGTTTTCCTGTATTTTGAAGGATGCATAACCAGTTGTATCAATTTCGTGTAGCAAACCATCACAAGAAAAACAAATATTATGTTTAATTTGCAAAATTGAGTTCTACAACTTCATTTATTCATTTGTTTGTTCTCTTCTTTAACAAGCATTTATTAAATGTTTATTATGTGCCCAGTATCACATTAGATATCAGAGAAGATAAAAAGCAATAGAATACCATAGAAAACCTCATAATCCGGCTGGAGAAAAGCAATGTACAAATATACAATTAAAAGCAAAACAACTGTAGAATGATTCTAAAATAAAATGTAGACAAATATAAGACAATATGTTTCGAGCTTCAGAATTCAAAGAAAGGTAAATGTCACTATAAAGTATCATTAATGAGGCAAGGCTTAGCTGATGAATAGAATTGTAAAGACTTAAAAAAGAGTGTGATTTGGTTCAGCTAGGAGGGATACTTGGCTTTAGAAAATAGCAGAAACAAAACAGAGTATGGGACTGAGTCCTCTCTGATCTCCTAATCTGACTTAGGCTTTCCTCTTCTGCTCCCTCTTTGAGCACTCGTCACATTTTTCTGAGAATTTATGAAGCTACCTGCCTAGTTCCTGTAAGCAAGGGCTCTGTCCTTTCATTTAAACATCTCTGGCACATGGGAGTTTCACATATAGGTGGTGAATGAATGAATGAATAAATGACAGGTGACCTTTGGTTGAGAAAGGACTTTGGTGGGTGGTCCATGATTAGAATCATAGACTTCCCCAGCTCTATTCAGCTTAAATAAATAGTGCTGCATATATTGAGTAAAAATTATGTATGACTGGCTCATTTTATTTACAATATAAATGAATTATTTAAATAACAATGGTGTGTCTTTTGCTAGGTGTTGATTGGGCAAATCTTGTCTGCTTTAGTTGTTCCAAATTAAAACATTATTTTACCATTTCATGCTTAAATGAGATCACATGTGCCCTGCCAATTAGAATTATATCACGTCTCTTCCTATTTTATATTTCAGTCTCTTGGATGATATGTGCCTGGGTAAGACTGTTACAGAAAGCAGTCTTTGAAAATCTGGTGAATCATTCCACCTTGTTTACATATATCAAAACATCACATTGTACTACATAAATGTATACATTTACGATTTGTCAATTAAAAATAATATTAGTTTTTTTAAAAAAGAAAATATGATGCAGTAACTAGTTAATGATTAATGATTCTGTAGTAAGGGCATCAAAACCAAAAATTATTTTTTCCACATCATGTATTATTTTTTTTCCAACTTTTATTTTAGGTTCCAGGGTCCATGTGCAGGTTTGTTACATGGGTATTTATAAATTGCATGTTGCAGGGGATTGATGTGCAGATTATTTTATCACCCAGGTAATGAGCATAGTACCCAATAGGTAGTCTTTTCTTTTCTCCTCTCCTCTCCTCTCCTCTCCTCTCTTCTCCTCTTTCTTTTTCTTTCTTTCTTTCTTTTTCTTTCTTTCTTTTTCTTTCCCTCCCTCCCTCCCTTCCCTCCTTCCTTCCTTCCCTCCCTCCCTCCCTCTCTCTCTTTCTTCTTTTCTTTTCTTTCTTTTTCTTAGAGGGAGTCCCACTTTGTCACCCAGGCTGAAGTGCAGTTTCGGCTCACTACAACCTCTGCCTCCTAGGCTCAAGTGATCCTCCTACCTCAGCCTGCCAAGTAGCTGGGACCACAGATGCACACTACCATACCTGGCTAATTTTTTGTGTTTTTGGTAGAGACAGAGTTTCACCATGTTGCTCAGGCTGGTCTCAAACTCTTGAGGTCAAGTGATCCACCCCCCTCTGTCTCCCATAGTGCATGATTACGGGTGTGAGGCACCGTGCCTGGCCTCCAGTAGGTAGTTTTTTGATCCTGACCCTCCTGCCACTCTCCACTCTTGAGTAGACCTTGGTGTCTATTGTTCTCTTCTTTGTGTCTGCGTGTATTCAATGTTTTGCTCCCACTTATAAGACAGAACATACACTACTTGGTTTTCTGTTCCTGTGTTAATTTGCTTAGGATAATAGCCTCCAGCTCCATCCATGTTGCTGCAAAGGATATAATTTTATTCTTTTTTATGGTTGCATAGTATCCCATGGTGTATATTTACCACATTTTCTTTATCCAATCTGCCATTGATGGGCATTTAGGTTGATGTTATGTCTTTGCTATTGTGAATAGCGCTGCAAATAACATACATATGCATGTGTTTTTATGGTAAAACAATTTCTATTCCTTTGGGTATATACCCAGTAATGGGATTGCTAGGTTGAATGGCAGTTCCATTTTAAGTTCTTTGAGAAATCTCCAAACTGCTTTCCACAGTGGCTGGACCAATTTACATTCCCACCAGCAGTGTATAAGCATTCCCTTTTCTGCACAACCTTGCTAGCATCTGTTATTTTTTCACTTTTTAATAATAGCCATTCTGACTGGTGTGAGATGGTCTCTCATTGTGGTTTTTATTTGCATTTCTCTAATGACTAGTGATGTTGAGCATTTTTTCATATGTCTATTGGCCATGTGCATGTCTTCTTTCAAGAAATGTCTGATCATGTCCTTTGCCCATTTTTAAACGGGGTTGTTTGTTTTTTTGCTTGCCAATTTGTTTAAGTTCCTTATAGATTCTGGATATTTGACTTTTGTCAAATGCGTAGTTTGCAAATATTTTCTCCCGTTCTGTAGGTTGTCTGTTTACCCTGTTGATATTTTCTTTTGCTGTGTAGAAGCTCTTTAGTTTAATTAGGTCCCACTTGTCAATTTTGTTTTTGTTTTTATTGCAAAATTTTGGCATTTTGGTCATGAAATCTTTGCCAGGGCCTGTGTCGAGAATGGCATTTCCTAGGTTTTCTTCTAGGGTTTTTATAGCTTCATGTCTTATATTTAAGACTTTAATGCATCTTCAGTTTATTTTTGTATAAGGTGAAAGAAAGGAGTCGAGTTTCAACCTTCTGCATATGGCTAGCCAGTTATCCCAGCACCATTTATTGAATAGGAAGTTCTTTCCCCATTGCTTATAATTGTGAACTTTGTCAAAGATCAGCTGTTTGTAGGTCTGCAACTTTATTTCTGGGTTCTCTAGCCTGTTCTATTGCTTTATATGTCTCTCTTTGTATCAGTACCATGCTTTTTTGTTACTGTAGCTTTGTAGTATAGTTTGAAGTCAGGTAATGTGATGCCTCTGGCTTTGTTCCTTTTGCTTCAGATTGCTTTGGCTACTCAGACTCTTTTTTGGTTTCATATGAATTTTAGAATTTTTTCTAATTCTGTGAAAGATGTCATTGGTAGTTTGATAGGAATACATTGAGTCCGGAAATTGCTTTGAGCAGTATGGCCATTTTAACTATATTGATTCTTCCTAGACATGAGCATGGAATAAAAAACCTACCATCCAGAAAGTGCCATAGAACATATGGATTCACAGCTAACTTCTATCAGATGTATAAAGAAGAGCTGGTACCAGTCCTACTGAAACTATTCCAAAAATTGAGTAGAGGCTCCTCCCTAACTCATCTTATGTGGCCGGCATTTTTCCGATACCAAAACCTGGTAGAGACATGACAAAAAAAGAAAACTTCATGCCAATATCCCTGATGAACATAGATGCAAAAGTCTTCAACAAAAGCCTAATCCTGTAGCACATCAAAAGGCCAACCTACCACAGTTAAGTAGGCTTTATCCCTGGGATGCAAGGTTGGCTCAACATATGCAAATCAATAAATGTGGTTAATCACATAAACAGAACTAAAGACAGAAACCACATGATTATCTCAATAGATGCAGAAAATGCTTTCAATAAAATTTATCACTTCACTTTAAAAACCCTCAACAAACTAAGCACTGAAGGAACATACCTCAAAATAATAAGAGCCATCTGTGAAAAACCCATAGCCAACATCATACTGAATGGGCAAAAGATGGAAGCATTCTCCTTGAGAACTGGAACAAGACAAGGATGCCCACTTTCACCACTCCTATTCAACATAGTAGTAGAAGTCCTTACCAGAGCAATCAGGCAAAAGAAAGAAGTAAAGGGCATCCAAGTAGAAAGAGGGGATGTCAAACAATCTCTCTTCAGAGATGATATGATTCTATATCTAGAAAACGCCATAGTCTCTGTCCAAAGGCTCCACCTTCATGACCTCATTACCTCCCATAGGCCCCACCACCTAATACTATCACACTGGGGGTTAGGATTTCAGCATATGAATTTGGGGGAGACACAAACATTCTGTCCGTAACAGTAGCTCTCGTTTGCTTACTTCCTACTCAAGGTCCCTGTCCTTAAAACCCACCTCATTTAAACATGAACCACAGAAAAAGATTGTGATCAAACCCCTTACAAAAATATAACAAGTAAAAAGAGGGATTGAAGCAAATGACATATCAGCAGATAATGAAGACACTGGAGACAAAAATACAACCAAAAGACAAATGAAACCTATTATGTAATATTACAAAATGAAGTTCAAAGAAAATAAGAAAACTATAAAGCTACAAAAAAGCAGCGTATATTTGGAGATTTCTCAAAGAACTTAGAACAGACCTACCATTTGACCCAGCAATCCCATTACTAGGTATGTACCCCCACAAAAATAAATTATTCTATCAAAAAGATATACGCATTCATATGTTCATTGCTGCACTATTCACAATAGCAAAGACATGAAATTAACCCAGATGCCCATCAGCTGTGGATTGGATAAGGAAAATGTGGTACATATACACCAAGGAATACTATTCAGCCATAAAAAAGAATTAAATCATGTCCTTTGCAGCAACATGGATGCAGCCAGAGGCCATTATCTTAAGCAAACTAATGCAGGGACAGAAAACCAAATACTGCATGTTCTCACTTATAAGTGAGAGCTAAGCATTGAGTCCACATGGACATAAATACAGGAACAATAGACACCATGGACTACTAGGGAGGGAGGCAGTTAAAAAAACTACCTATCAGGTACTATGCTTACTACCAGGGTGATGGAATCCTTACTCCAAACCTTAGCATCATGCAATATTCCCATGTAACAAATCTGTACGTACATGTACTCCCTGTATCTAAAATAAAAGTTGAAATTTAAAACAGTGAAAAGAAACAGCAGCATAGACCAGAAATGAAAAAGTTCTGAAATGCTATAACTAACCAACAAGAGTGTGTGAAAAGAGCTTTCAGGATTGGGTGTGGCAGCTCACACCTGTAATCCCAGCACTTTGGGAGGCCAAGGAGGGAGGATCACCTGAGCCCAGGAGTTTGAGACCAGCCAGGGTAACATAGTGAAACCCCATCTTCCAAAAAATAAAAAACAATTAGGCAGGGCTGGTGGTGTGCACCCGTAGTCCCAGCTACTTGGAAGGCTGAGGCAGGAGGATTGTTTGAGCCCAGGATTTTGAGGCTGCTTTGAGCCATGATCACACTACTGCACTCTAGCCGGAGGAACAGAGTAAGTCCTTGTATCACACAAAAAAAGAAATTTTATGTCTTAAAACAGAGTCAGTGTATTAGTCAGGGTTCCCTAGAAGGACAGAACTAATAGGATATATATAAATTAGAGTGAGCTGAAAGTGATATATATAATACATATGTATCAAGGGGAGTTTATTATTATCATTATTATTTTGAGATGGAGTCTTGCTCTGTCACCCAGGCTGGAGTGCAGTGGTGCGATCTGTGCTCACAGCAAGCTCCGCCTCCCAGGTTAGCGCCATTCTCCTGCCTCAGCCTCCGGAGTAGCTGGGACTACAGGCGCCTGCCACCACGCCTGGTTAATTTTTGTATTTTTAGTAGAGATGGGGTTTCATCGTGTTAGCCAGGATGGTCTCGATCTCCTGACCTCGTGATCCGCCCACCTCGGCCTCCCAAAGTGCTGGGATTACAGGCATGAGCCACCGCGCCCGGCCGGGAGTTTATTTTAACTTACACAATCACAAGGTCCCACAATAGGCTGTCTGCAAGCTTGAGGAGCAAGGAAAGCCAGTCCTAGTCTCAAAACTGAAGAACTTGGAGTCTGATGTTTGAGGGGAGGAAGCATCCAGCATGGGAGAAAGATGTAAGCTAGGAGGCTATGACAGGGGTGGCTGGGGAAAGAGGCTGAGTGGTGTCCACAGAACGAGTCATCTTATCACCTTGATTATTAAACTCCTCCTCTGCTGAGGTCACCCACTGGTGAGCACTCACGTGGGATACAAATATCTTCACAGTTTTTGACCACTCAGAGAGGTCCATCCACATACCTCTTCCCCAAATTTCTTCGTCACCAATTTTCCTATTATGCTTCTTTCAAGTCCCTGACAACCAGCCAAACCAGTGGCTACAGCCCATTAATCAGTATATAATCGCACATCTGGCCATTTCTCCTTCCATGCAAAGTCCACAACCATGTGCACTTCTCAAATTTCTGCCCACTGGGAAGATTTCCTTTTAAAGGGATGTCCTAGAAAGGGCTGTAGTGCTATTGCTGTCCACTTTTGGGTGGTGCCTGCATATCATGCAGAACCATCTGTGAACCAGGCCCTAGTCTTCTCTTCCTCTATCAACTGATCATAGGGAACTCCACATGAAGCCACTGGTGCAGGCTGGGGGACAGAAGGCAGGGCGGCAGGAGTGGAGACCATGGGCATTTGAGCCACTTCGTCATGTAACTTACTTGTGCTTTCAGGACCTGCTTGAGCCCGATCACTTATATACCACTTCCATTTGATGATGGAATGCTGCTGTGCATGACCCACTTTGTGGCTAGATGGGTCAGAAAGCACCCAGTTCATGATAGGCAGTTCAGGTCTCATGGTGACTTGATGACCCATAGTCAAACGTTCAGTTTCCACCAAATCCCAGTAACAGGCCAAGAACTGTCTCTCAAAAGGAGAGTAGTTATTTGCAGAAGATGGCAGGGCCTTGCTCCAAAATCCTAGAGACCTCCGCTGTGATTCACCTATGGGAGCCTGCCAAAGGCTCCAAACAGCAACCCTATCTGCCACTGACACCTCAAGCACCATTGGATCTACTGGGTCATATGGCCCAAGTGGCAGAGCAGCTTGCACAGCAGCCTGGACCTGTTGCAGAGCCTTCTCCTGTTCTGGACCCCACTCAAAACTGGTAGCCTTTCAGCTCACTTGATAAATGGACTGGAGTAACACAGTCAGCAAACAAAGAAAAAATCATTTCAGAAACAAAGATTCAGAGTAACACAAGAATGAATATAAACCATGTAAAGTACAGTAAGGGAAAGAGAAGATAGGAAAAAATGAAACAAACAGAAATAAAATTCCTCTGTGAAAAAGCAAATTTCCTCATCTCCATCCTCTTGAATCTTGCTTGACGACAAAACCTACAATGTTTATTTTTCTAAGTTATTTGTTGAAGTTTGATTAATCTTACTCAAAGAGGTTATAGTTAATTAATTTTTAAAATATCCAGTTTCGAATAGATATTCCTGAAACCAATTTTGCATCCATATCCTTCTCAATTCATTTGATAATTTGAAAACATTAACAAAAACATTTTTAATCTGGTTTTCAAAGGGAACATCTGTGCATTATTGTTTGTGACAGTGGCTTTGTTACAGCAAGTGAAACATCTGGAGAGACTTGATTACTTGTCGACAGAAACTTCAATGCAATACATAGGTGAATGATAATGTATTCCCACTGGGTTCAAATGAATAAGCCCAGCCGATGGGGTCAACCTAAACTAATATTCTGGAGCACCACAGTATTTGAACCCTTTTATTCTGAGACATTCCTTGTGGTGAGTCTGTATCTGCAGCCATTTTGGGTACTACCTAACTTAAAAGAAGAATTAAGACCTTTTCCCTGTGGCTTTTACACTAAGTATCAGATGTGGCCCATTCACTCTCATTCTTAGGTTAATTCTCTGCTAGAAACAAAGAAAATTGAAGTCTCAATAATCCAGACTGTTTGAACCCATATTAATAGCATTTTTCAGTCCTTCTTTTCAATACAGAGTTTCAGTTCCCTTGGTTGTTAGAGTTAGTCGGATAGTTAGTTGGGTAGCTGTTATTTGCCAAGGAACAACTTTAGGGCTGCAGAGATCAATAGGTGAACAACTAGCTTCTAAGACCATAGAAGATAATTCATTGACCATTCTAACTTTATTACAGCTTAATTAGGTAAAAAGTGTAATGTCTGTGAGTGCCTAACAAAGTGCTAGACATGTGCTAAGAATACAATAAAAATTGAATCTAAGTGTGGCAGACACTACTGGTTATACGCACAAAGGCTATTTCCTCCTCCTTTCTTGAAGGCAGAGAACCTCTCTTCCCAGAGATTGAAAATACTAACTTCTCACTTAACAGGCTCTCTTGCAGCTAAGGCATGGACATGTGACCCAATTCTGGCCAATGAGAACTGAGGAGGGGAGCTCCTGGGAAGACTTCTTCCCCAATAAGAAATCCCTCACGAGTGCAGACATCTCTTTTCTTCAGTTGGGCATTGTTGTGTTTCCATTCAATGCCTAAACCCATGGCAGCCATTTTGCAACCATGAAGGGACAAGCCTAGGTAGCCATAAATACCCTGAGGAGGTCAGGGCAGAAAGATGGAAGAAGCCTGGGTACTTGGTGCCAGTGTGGAACCACCAAACCAACTCTGACACCACCCACCTCCAGATATCTTGGTATATTAAAAATGAGAAGTATCCTTAATGATGAAACTATTTTAGCTGGGTATTTAGATACATGCAGCCAAAAGCATTAAAACCAATACACTAAAGGAGTGCTCTCATTTTCAAATATCTCAATAAAACTCAAAATCAGTTTGCCCTTAATGTACCCCACAAAATGTTGAACAATAAGCCGCCACTGGAGAAGTGGGTCCTCACCAAACGCTGAGTCCATTTCCATATTCACCACTGCTTGTCCTCAAATATTCCACATCCACAAAATGAAGATGGTTTTTGTTTTTCAACTCATTTAGAGTTTATGATAACTGGTGACCTAATTGATTTGTGGTCCCCAAATTAAAGACACTAGAAAAGATTTTTTTAAATGGTGGTTTTCCATGTAAGCTCTGCCCAGGCTTTGCTGTAATTTATGAATGTGCTAACAGACTAAAGGACAAAGTGATACGTATCACCAGCAGAGTTCTGAGAGCCTGCATAATGTACATTACTCCCCATCATTACATAAGTAATAACCATCAAACACACTGGTGAGCAATGAGTGACTCCCTTGCTTCTGAGCTTGTACCCTGCATTGTACCCTGGTGCCCAATAATCTTTGAGGATGACATCCCAAAGAAATCAGAGGCCCAAACAAGAGCAGAACAAACCAGCACAGTGCCTCAAAGAATCCAGCCCAGATTTAAAAGCAATGAACAATTACAGGATATCTGATTAATATTTAATGAAGATGTAAATGATGAGAGTCAATACTGAATTGTTGGTGAAATCTATTACAGCAAGAGAAAGCAGCAGTGGTCTGTAGAAGGAGTGGGAACTGTCTTTCTTATTAGCCATTGTTCTTTAACTTCTCCCCAGCTCTAGCTGAGGCCTGGGCTCAGATTCCCCAAACAGCTGACAATTGCAGCAAGAGTGAAATCAATCTTATAATCCTCCTAGCCATTTTATTCCTAATTTCCCTCTTTGTATGCCCTTTTTCTATTTCAGACTGCACTCAGACACAAACTCCACATAGGGTTTCTGACATCAGACTTGCCTATTGCCAACATTCTGTCTGTCCCTCTGTCAGCTGGGTGTCTGCACTGACGAGAGAGGCATGATGACTCCAAGGCAATTCATCACCTCTGCGATGTGGGGAGAGCCGCTGAGCTCACTTGTGTCAGAAGAAGCTGCCAATTCCTCAGTCAGAGCTTGGGGGCGCATCTGAAGGTGCTGGTCCATGAAATAACACAGGAGAAAGGGAGAAGCCGCCAGAAGTAGTGGAGAGAGAATCGAGGGCTACAGGGTGTCAGTGAAGAATGATGGCTGACTGTTCAGGACACTCAGCCTTTAAGGGGCCAAAAGATGCCAGGGGCCTGTCTTTATTGCTCGGCCTACTCTTGGTCCCCCACCCAGAAGAGGCAATAACAGTGTTGAGGGCTGGGAGCAAAAGAAGAAAAAGAAAAAAAAGAGCTTTCTAGGAAAACATCTTCCCCAGCAAACAGCCCTTCCTCCCAACCAAGGTAGGAATTGAAAGATGCGAAATCAAGCCCAAAGGCTTCTTTTCTGTTTTCCCAGTTGGTCTAGAAAAGAGCAGCTTATTTGTCCAACTGGCGGAGAAGGATGCATCGACTTTCCTGGAGCACCAGTCTGCAGAGAACAGCAGCCTGTGGGAACTGGTTCCTCACGTTGGGGGCTTAAGTCCATTCCCAGAGCAGCCAGGCCATCGGCATAAGCAGCATGAAGCCCCCCAGTCAAGCTACCCAAGTGCCAGAGGATTGGGCTTTGCCTTCTATCATGATGATCACGTCCTCCCCTTGCACATCCCTCTGACCTCTCCTCAGCCTGCTGTAGCCTCAGTGAGACTCTGCATAGGGGAATCCCAAGGATGGCTGCTCACACACCTTCTCTCCCTGCTCCAGAATGCTCACCTCAGAGTGGGATGGTGAGAAGAGCTGCTCAGTCACTCTGTCATCACCTTTCAGAGCTGTTGCTTTGCTATCTGGTAGCTCAGCGGGTGCTTTCCTGTCTTAGTCTATTTTATTTGCAAAGACTGATTCAAGGATCTACAGAACTCTCAGTCCCACACTAATTTTTTTCTTTCTCTAAACAGACTTGTGAAGGCTCAAGTGAGGCTACATGTCATCAAAGATGAAATGTTTTGCCTTGCTATGTTAGATACAGAAACCACTCTAGGTATTTCATACAGACTGGGGATACTACCAGAAGCTTGTTGCATAGGTCCTAGAAGAGTGAGAAGTGAAACAGGGACCCATAAGGCAACACAAAGATTTGCCACAGCAGTAAGTTGCTACCACCCTTAGGACTGGGGCAACGTGGGAGGCAGTGGTGTTACCAGAGATCAGAAGTTAGGGCCATAGGGCAGAAGCCAGAGATGTAGTGAAGGCTGCCAGGTGGGTGCTGGGACTGTGGGAAGTAGAGCTACCAGATGGGGATTGTACTTGTCTATTGCTGCAAAACAAATGATCCCCAAACTTAACCACTGTAAACAACAAACTTACTACCTTACAGTTTCTATGGGTAAGGAATCTGGGAGCTTAGCTGATGGTTCTAGCTCAGGGCCTCTCATGAAGCTGTAATCAAGGTGTCAGTGGGGCTGCAGTTATCTTAAGGTTCAACTAAGGGAGGGTCTGCTTTCAGGCTCACTCACATGGATGCTGGCCTGCCTCAAGCCTTTGTTGGCTATTGGTTGAAGACATAAGTTCCTTGTTGTGTGGCCCTTTCCACAGGGCTAAACTAGAACAGTATGACAGCTTTCTTCCTCTACAGCGTGAAATCGAGAGAGAGAGAGAGAGCAAGAGAGAGAGAGCATGTGAGAAAGGAAGAGCAAGATGGAAGTAACAGTTGTTTTGTAATCTAATCTTGGAAGTGATATCCCAGTACTTCAGCTATATTGTTAGAAGAAAGCTATTAGGTCCAGCCCGAACAAAAGGCATGGATACTAGGAGGCCAGGATCACAGGGGGCTGGATACATAGAAGTGGAAGCAGCTTCAGGTTTTGGGGGCCTGAAACACCATCTGGGGAACGCTTTTTAAGAAAAATAATGAAAATTACAGATACAAAATTATACACAGGTCTATCGATCGGTGAATGTTTAAACAAAATGAGGACTATCCAGACAATAAAATATTATTCGTCAATATAAAGGAATGAAGCATCAGTATATGCTACAATGTGGATGAACCTCAAATACATCCGGCTCAGTGAAGAAAACCAGTCACAAAAGACCACGTTCACTTACATGAAGTGTCGAGAATAGGCAAATCCACAGAGACAGAAAGTAGATTAGTGGTTCCCGGGGCCTGGGGTTGGGAGCCAGAATTGACTGAAAACAGACACGAGAGAACTTCTGGGGGTGATGGAAATGTTCTAAAACGGGATTGTGGTGATGGTGATGCAACTCGATAAATTTACTAAAAACCATTGAACCACATCCACTTACAATGGGTGAATTTTATGGTATGTAAATTATATTTCAATAAAGCTGTTAAAAAATGATACACACAGGGCATTGGAAGAGGTCTGCGCAAGTGAGGGGCCCTGGAGCTTCAGCTTCATTAACTTTTCAGGAAATTTGTCTCTGTGGAGGAGACACAGCTATTGCAGAGATGCTGCCTGAGGCAGTGAGAGGGTGGGGAGATCACCTGGCTTCTTCCCTCTTTTCTCCCTCCAGTCTTCTGCCTGTGTTTTCTACTGGCTCAACCTTCCCGGAAGCCAGGGAAATGGAGTGCCTTGTGATACAGAGTGGAGGATACAAAAGGGTGGGTATAGGTCTGAGAGTAGAGGTGAATGACAGGCTCATGGACCAAACTCTGCAGTGATAGCTCCACACCCACATGCTAAGACAGCTTGGAATGACTCTACCTTTTGGTGTGAGAGATGTCTTGAGAAGAACTCCAGATGAGGCCTGTGTTGAATGAAGACCTAATCTGTTGATTGTTTGTTATCAAACATTATAGGATGCTGGATTTGTCAGTTAGCTTGTCACTCATTGGTCACCTGAAGGCTCAAAATCATTTAGTCATACGTATGTATGAATGAAGGGATGGAGAGCAGGCTTTGAGTGGGTAAGAGGTGAGGGATGATGAAATAACTCATGAAAGAAGAATATATTGAAGATGTTAAATATTCAATATTGAATGTATTGTCTTGGCTGCTTTTCTCACTTATCTCTTAGAAACAATGGGTACTAAAGGCAAGGCAATGGGCACAGCTGGCTCAGGGTACAGGCAAGAGGAGGACACATTTTTCTGTGAAGAAACTACAAACAACACTAAAACCAACCACAAATTGGTCTCTATTTTCTTGTTAGCATGTCTAAGCAATTCTAAACAACGTCAATGATAAAATACTCCTCCTTCACCTCCAAAATATCTTTTTGGATCAAGTTCTACAATTGCAGAGGTTAGCGCTGAGTTTTAAAGAACATATGTAAGTTTCAAATTGGCATATTTTCATGACTTACCCTTTTAATAAAGTGTTTTCTGCATGGACAATAATGCGAGAACCCCCACTCACACAGCAGGCTGCTGACCTACGTGGACTCAGCTACAATCCATTTGATTCTAGAGTAAGTTCATGTTGGTTCAGAATCACTTGAACTCACTTCAGATGCAATTTGCCTCTCCATTTGCTGTGGTACTTACATATTCCTACATTTAAACGGTAGCTTTGAAATCACAATGAGAGGACCGTGGCTGAAAAAAAAAAAGAACTTGAGATGCTTCAATCTGTCATTCGGTGTGCACATCACTCGCGGAATCTTGTGGTGTTCAATGAATTGGACATGTTTCTTCATGTGGGTTCCCCCTCCTTTAAATACATTACTATAAATAAAAATATTAATTCAGTTTATTTTTCCTTTTTGGTACTGTAATATTTATTTTTGTTTTGCTTTTTTCCTGGTGTGAAAATTTAATAAAAAATATTTTCACTATCTGTGTTTCTCTGGGACTGTTACAATTATTACTTTCATTTCGTGAATGTTACTGAAAATGATTTTGTTATATGAGGAAGGGAGTGTAAAAATAATCTACTCTGGATGTCAAATATGCTAGGTATGCTACTGCTTATAATAAAAATAAATCTGTCTCCACAAATAAGGAAACTGAGGCTCAAAGATGTTAAGAAAATTGCTTAAAATTACACAAGTAGTAAGTTATAGACCAGCCATTCTAACAAAGATTGTACAGTCAATATACAGCACGTAGGCTTAATACATAGGAACTCATTTAATACTAACAGCCATACGAATGGAGAACATCCCCATTTTGCAAGTGAGGGAATTAAAGTACAGAGAGGCTAAATGAACTTGCCCAAGTTCCCACAGCTAGTACTATGGCAGAACGAGGATTTGAACACTGGTAGAATGCTCCGGATACTACCTGTGTAATCTTCACACTGGGCTTCCTCATCAACCAGGGTCCACTTTGAAGGCCGTGCTCAGCTCTCCTGTCAGCTGCAGCTGAGCAACTTAGACCTACTTGCAGCTGCTCTGTCCTCTTCCACCATCCTCTCCCATGTTTAAGGATATCACCCAGCAGATGCATGTGGGGGATTTCTAAGAGCAAAAATTGCAATATGCTCTGAATTCAGTTCAGCTTGGTTGTTTTCCAAAGACTTTGAGAAGGGAAGAATGGAAAAGAAGACTGACTTTTTCGAAATAGGATCCATGGCATTCTAAGATATATTTAACTCCTGTAGGCATCTTTGTGCGCTTTAATAAAGTCTGAAGAAAACTGCTTATTGGTGCCACCACAGGTAATACTGACCCACAACACTAGATGGCAAAGTGGTGCTACGTTACTGTGTCGTGATCTGAAAAAGCCTGGTGTAAGTCTTCCAAAAAAATCCAAATCTACTGGGCTTTTTTTTTCTTTTTCATTTCTAAATTTATTTTAGGAAAACAAAGTTCTATGTGAAGTTAACAACTTACTTTAAAAAAATCATTGTTTAGAAATGCCCTATTTTGAATTGTCCAAGTCTTTCAGGCTCTCTCAAGTAGGTAAATATATGTCTTCTTGCCTAATGACCATCTGGTCAAAAGCTACTATCTAATTGATCAGATAAAAAAGGGAGGATAACAGAAGATAATAGAGATAGTATGAAATGTACTTTCAAAAGCTGCATGTTAACATAAATGTGACAAATGTATATGGTGCAGATGTCATCTGGCATGGCCTCTTCTGTTTAAATAAACTTAGAAGCAAATAACAAATTGGACACACCGCTGTTCATTTCATTCATTCAAAAATAAGCGGCTTTTATGTACAAGGCAATCGTAAGCAGCACATAACACAAAGAGTTCTACTCTGACATTTAAGAAATCTGTGTTCTAGATGGGGACAAAAGACAAATGCAGCAATACTGTTAACATTCAGCGCCTGAATCATTCTTTCTCCAGAGCCTCGTGGTGAGAGCTGCTGATTTCCCCCTCCTTTCTTCCTCGCAAGCCTTGGGACCACCCAAGATCCTGACCAGGGCAGACAGTATATCAACATATTAAGACTGGGCTCCACGCAGCAAGAGCTCAGGGCTGGGTTTCTATTGCTTTCTGAATTGTCTTGGCAACTCAAATCTAGCATATTGCCTGCATTATCAGAGGTGCCGAATAACTGTTAGCAAGAGACAGGAATCAGTGTGCGTAGCCACCAAAGAAGATAATTTGTCTAGGATGTTTTCTCGAACTTTGCCACTGGCAATGAAGAGAGGGTGGATATTACTGGCATAGAGTATCAACAGCAAAGGCACAGAGGCAGAGAACTCTGTTCTGGCTGGGGAAGCCTGCCATGGTTAGAGCAGTGATCCTTAAAGGGTGAGAGTGTTGCTCTCCCCAGCAGTATCAGCATCTCCAGAAACTTGTTAGAAATGCAAATTTTAGGCTTTGCCTCAGACCTAGGAAATGAAAAAGTACTGGGGGAGGGGACCTGGCCATCTCTGTGTTAACAAGCCCTCTATGTGATTCTGATACAAGCCCAAGGTCAGAACCACTGGGTTAGGGTATAGGCCCTGCCAGGGAGGGTTGATAAACAAGGTGAAGTACACAGGTGTTAGACCTTGAAGGGTCTTGTGCTAAGGAGATTTTTTTTTTTCTGTTTGTTTTATCTTGTAGGCAATATGGAAGCCATTGAGAGTCTCTAAGCAGGAAGGTGACCAGAACAGGTCTTCACTTCAAAACAGTTGTTCTGGTGATGGCATCGAGGAGGATGTGGAAGGAGGGAAGATATCCTCCTTCTGGGCAATTCTAGCTTCTCTTCTCTCTTCACCTCAAAGCTCAGCCCTTGGATCTCTTCTCTTCTCTTTCTATAGCCTTATCTTCTGGTGACCTCACCTACTCTTCTGGTGTCAGCCACCCGCCTCCGCAGTTGATTTCCAAATCTCTTCTACCTCTATAATCTTTCTTTCGCCAAGTGGACTGACTGGCTCAACTTCCTGGATGTCCAGCTGTCATTTTACCCAAAACACAGCCAAGTATTAACTCATCATCCACTAACTAGAGTTTCTCCTCCTGGTTTCTTGACTTCTGTTAATGCCTTGACTGTCTACATTGCCATTTAGGCTATAACTGCCTGTGGGATCACCCCCAAAGCTTCTTCAAGCACCAGGCTCAATTAACCACTTCCTATTCACCATCCCAGGAGTCCTAGGCACATTCTTTTATCCCAACATATTAACATGTTGTCAGTGTTTGAGGGTAAACATCTTAAGGGAGAAAATGAGCTTCATTTATATTTGCATCACATTGGCATCCATCAGAGATAGGGTAGACAATGGATGTTTAAAGGAGTAAATTCTTCCCCTTAAAGCTGAGGGAGAAAAACACATCGGAGAAGAGTAGAGAGATGCCTGCAATGCCAATGGACACAGGGGTTGCAAACCCCATCGATGCCATAGATGGTCCCTGGCAAACCCTTAAGGCCAGGTGGAGATTGGTTATGAAGAAATAGAATTAGGTTACAAGGAATTATCAGAGATAATAGGTATTAAGGCAGAGAGAACAGGTGTATATTAAGCTTTCTAGAAGCCTGGGGAAGATAGGAAGGGAGATGGACTAGTATTTCATAGAGGGAAAGTAAAGGAAATTTTGGGGGGTGATATTTTGGGAGTATTATTTGTTCTTAAAGATAGAGGAAATGTGAATATGCAATTCAAGAAAAAGAAAAAAATCAGCAGAGTGAGAATGACTTAGGATGACAGGGAAGTGTCCAGGGAGAGCTCAAGCATCACAAAGAGGAAGAAGTAGATGAGATCATGGACACAGAAGAAGGGCTGGCCTAGGAGTAGGAGATTTGGCTAACAGACATTAGTAGGTGTGCTGCATTTGCAGTTTGTGAGCATGTCTTCTCTGATATCAGTGAGGAGAAGGTGGATAAAGATCCAGAGATATTGAGGCTGTGAGGATGAAAAGTCAGCAAGTTCACGTGGATGCCTGTGTTGGTGAAGACAGACAAATGAAGGCAGGAAGAAGTTGGTGGCCTTGGGGAGAGTGGAAAATGTTTAGAACAAACATCTAGAATTTGATAGACAATGAGCAACAGGCCCCAAACACAAGCTTGCAAGCCTTTTGATTTTTTTTTTTTTTTTTTGCCTACCTCCAAGATATTCCAGCTGAGAGATGGGGAGGCTGGGCTACCCATACCCCACACCCGGCAGTCATTGATTATTTCCTCTGTCCCCAGGGATCAACCCTCTCTCATGGGCCAAGCACAGGGGATTCCAACAGCCTGATGACAATCCCCTCATAAAGATGTAGGTACTGATCATTGGAAATGAGGCTGAGGTGCATGGAAATGTTTTATGGATCAGATAGGTTATGGGCCAAGCACCAGTGGCATGTGCTACACAGTCATTGCACTTCCTGGCTTGACTTTGTAAGTGGTATTGAAAAGTTTCCATGGGATCTGGGATTTTCCTTTGGAAAACTGGAAGAAACAATGGAGCAGAAGCATCTGGAGAGGCCTGGAATGACACTTCTTAGTGTACCCTAGCAGTTTTCAAGCTTTGCCCACACTGGTCCCACTGCCTGTCTGACCTTTGCTCCTTCCCCTGCCTGTTGAAAGCCTTCCCATATTCAAGCCCCAGGTTAAAAGTCACTTTCTCTCTGAAATCTTCCTTGACCACCACCTTCACCCTTCCCTAAGCACAACTGTTTCCCAAAATAAGAACATTTATGTAGTGCTTTACAGTTTAAAAGCAATTGCACAACTCTTTTTTTATATACATTATGTTAATTAGCCCCCCTCTCCTCTGCAGTTCTTTGGCATTCTGTTCATTACAGGAATGCAATGCTTTATTGATTTATATTGTAAGAAAAAAAAACCCTAGATCTTCATTTCGTCTACCAGACAGTGAATTTATTAAAAACCAGAGTCACATCCAACCCACCTTCATATCCCATATCTCTAGTACAGCACTGAGTCCATATTAGAAACGTAAAGGCATAAATTGAATTAAACGAATGAATCTTTATTTAAAATATATGCTTACAAGAAGCCGCAGTCTTCAAGACCCAGTTCGATGACAATTTGTTCTTATCCCCCACTAGTAGTATCTTCTCCAGATTAAATAAACATAGTTCCTTCTACAGTCAACCCAGAAAAATCTTTTCGTTCTTTAGGATTCAAAGTGACTTTGTTCGGACTTCTCAAAATTATTCATGTATCTTTAAAGCTAGGGATTCAGAAATGGCCCTGGTGAATTCTGAACTATCAATACTTCTAGGTACATCAATACTTCCTGGTGAATGATTGTGAACCAATTATTCTTGGTTTGGCACAGGTTTGGGGTGGGTTTTGGATTGATTTTATTTCTGTTTAGTAAAATATATTAATAGTTACAACAAAGTTCTTGCCCCTAAATTCAGTTAGCATTATTCTTCACTGTTAAATAGTGAGGGCTTCTGTCTTGAATGGCATAGTAGAAGACCACCTTTTTTCTTAGGATCAGCCAGAGTAAATTATAAATAAGCAGTTTAGTTTTAAGTACATGCCAGTGTTTTTGATGTGTAGCCAACTCAGAATCCTCTGTTTAACCCACAGCATCCACATGGGAAAGAAAACAAACAGAATGACCTCCTCAAGTCTAGAAATATGTGGCCAGGTTGCCCCAATCCAAACTTCACCTACAGTTTCCTTCAATTTGTGGGACTCCCAGCAAGAAGAATGTGGTAGAAACCATGTTTTAGCACCGTGAATACCACTTCACTATGGCTGCTGATATGGTTTGGCTCTG
This sequence comes from Homo sapiens, assembly GCF_000001405.40. Taxonomy (NCBI): domain Eukaryota; kingdom Metazoa; phylum Chordata; class Mammalia; order Primates; family Hominidae; genus Homo; species Homo sapiens. The sequence goes on from NC_000023.11 coordinate 38,758,751, forward strand.
TCCCCAGCCAAATCTCATCTTGAATTGTAGTTCCCATAATCCCTACATGTCGTGGGAGGAACCCAGTGGGAGGTAATTGAGTAATGAGGGTGGTTACCTCCATGCCGTTCTTGTGATAGTGAGTGAGTTCTCACGAGATTTGATGGTTTTATAAGGGGTTTTTCCCCCTTTGCTCAGCACTTCTCCTTCCTGCAGTCATGTGAAGAAGGATGTGTTTGCTTTCCCTTCCGCCATGATTGTAAGTTTCCTGAGGCCTCCACAGCCATATTGAACTATGAGTCAATTAAACCTCTTTCCTTTATAAATTACCCAGTCTCGGGTGTGTCTTTATTAGCAGCATGAGAACAGACTAATACAGCGGCCATGTTCTGAAAGCCATTTCTAGCTCTCCTTCTCACTGTTGAGATCTGCTGGGAAATAGAAATTGTGGTGAAAGGGTGCAGTGTTTCCTAAACTGAGCTACACATGAGAATAACTGTATGTATTAAAAGTATGGATTTCCTGGACCTCACTCCCCTCAGATACTGATTCAGTTGACCTGAGGTTGGACCAGAGAATATATACATTGATTATCCATTTAAAGTTTTTCCATATATATATGAAATATATATTTCATGGTGTGTGTGTGTGTATATATATATATACATAAAAAATATGTGTGTGTATATATACATAAAAATATGTATATATATATAAAATATGTATATATATGTGTGACTAAGTTACAAGTCAAGTAACACTATGTCAATCAAGTCCCCTCTCCTCCATTTGATATTTGACCACCTAACACACAGACACACACACACACACACATACACTATGAAATATATGTATCATATATACAATATATCATATATCACCATGATATTTATATATGTGTGTGTGTATATATATGTGTGTGTGTGTGTGTGTAGATATAAGACTAAGATTGGACTCTCTCAGAAGCAGACCCTGAGGCAAGAATGTGAGAGCATGCAGTTTATTTGGGAGGTAATGCTGGGAAGCACTGATAGGGGAGTGAGGAAGGGGAGAAAGCCAATAAAGCATTCACTCAAGATTTTCACCTCAGGATACAGGTAAGATGGGATATTTGTCAACTTCCATTGTTGACTCTCCGGCATTTCCAGGTTGACAAACAGGTGAACTAAGGGGTCTCTGGCAACCAAAGAAAGTCCAAAGACAAAGAGTTGCAGCTGTGTTCAGTTGAGGGCCATCTGGTTGGCTTGCACAGAGATCGTGAATGTCCAGTTGGGGCACTAACAGTGTCTGCTACAACAAGCATCCCTGATGTTTTGGATATAACCAAGGCTCAAAGTAGACCAGATTTGAGTAATCTCACTAGGATTTTATGCAAAAACCCAATAGTTTTATTTGCTTTTTTTTTCATGATCTTGCTGATCAAACTCCCTCTTCTCAACAACCATCAACAAAGATAACAACTCCTGCCTTTTACATTGAAATGGATTTCAATTCACTCTGAAATTTAAGCTGCAACATTTACTACCAAACAACTTGTGTGAGCAATGCATAGCTGACTTGAAATGGCTTGGATTAGAAAAAAAGAAAAAAGCACAGGGTCTTATCATTTGCAAGAGAGGAAGAAGAGAAGAATCATAGTCCACAGTGAGGTGTTTAAATTGTTTCAGTAGTTATGAAATGAAGAACATTGATATTGTCTATGCATCAAGACTGCTTGAGATCCCCTCCAGCTGCAGCATTGGGACCTTAATAAACGAGGCATATTATGTTTATACTTTACTGTTTAAGTAATGCTATTTCACTCTGTGTAAAGCCACTTAAAACACCAGTGGAAACACATGCATGGACCATGAAACAACTTTAAATGGATAATCAATTTTTATCACATATTGAGGGTTAGACTGGTATATCTGAGTGAATTATGAAAGCCTGTATGTGCTCTGGCTAGGAGTGTTTGCATACCAGATCTTTGTCTTTGTTACAAAACCAATCTATTGTGAGGTAGTTGGGAGTTTCCAAAATCTAACACTGAAAAACTCTTTTCTTTATGAAAGAATTTTTCAGAACTTTAAATACACAGGTGTATTTTAGATGTAAAAAACTTAATTCCTTTGTATGACAATGCATGGGATGTGATCAACACCCAAGACATCAAGAAGGTATGACCAGGGTGAACATGAACTTACTGATGAAAGTCTAGAATGCACAGTCTACCCTAAAACTACAGGGTATGGTTTTGGAAGAAACATGAAGAAATTGTCTATGCAGTAACTATTAAACACATGGAACTCATTATACTCACTAAGCTGGGCAGGATGAGAAGGTAAATGTGGTCAAGGCAAATTTAGATAAATTCATTGATAACAGAATCATAACTGTTCACTGAGGGGAAATTAGGCAGGTTCAGGTTACTTCCCTAGCCTCTGAGGATGATGTCGTGGATACAAATTGCCACATTCTTAGAAAGCATTGGTGTCACCTTCAGAGATAGCACAAGGTTGGTGGACCACACAGCTGACAAATTGTGACATTATTTATATTCACTAGAGGATGTTGAAAATGTCATAAAACCTGAGTGCCTTTAACCACCAAAAAGCCATCAGTTCTTTGATTTCCCTACTTCCTTGAAATACTTGCCCCTGCTTTTCTGGTCCCAAAGCTGAATGAGGTGAAGAATGTGCCCTGCCACCATTACCCTCCACTACACATCCCACAAAGTACACACCAACTGTGACTAAGACTTCCTAAAGCACCTTCCAAATCAATATTACCCTCTATTGGTAAGTAAGGATCCAGAATTATAAGGCAATAGGCCAATCTTAACTCTTTAATAAAGTGGTTCATGCCTCATCCAAATATTCATTAATTCAGCACATTCAACCATGTTCTAAGCACTAAGCTAGAGTCAAGATAAAAACTCCTGCCACCGGGCGTGGTGGTTCACGCCTGTAATCCCAGCGCTTCGGGAGGCCAAGGTGGGCAGATCACGAGGTCAGAAGATCGAGACCATCCTGGCTAACACGGTGAAACCCCGTCTCTACTAAAAATACAAAAAATTAGCGGGGCGTGGTGGTGGGCGCCTGTAGTCCCAGCTACTCGGGAGGCTGAGGCAGGAGAACGGCGTGAACCCGGGAGGTGGAGCTTGCAGTGAGCCGAGATCGCGCCACTGCACTCCAGCCTGGGCAACAGAGCGAGACCCTGTCTCCAAAAAAAAAAAAAAAAACTCCTGCCAACATATTCTAATCATCAGTTTGTTTCACTTTTAAAACCCAGCATTATGTGCAGCGTGACTAAGTGACAAGTCAAGTAACACTATGTCAGTCAAGTCCCGTCTCCTCCATTTGATATTTGACCACCTAACACACTCATACACTCAGGCACAACCACAGGGGATACACATATTCCTTAAATCTGAATCTTCATATCATGACAAGTTTAATCAAGAGTTCTGATGCTATAAAATATGATATTGCACATGTGACAATTTTATCCTGTATTAATTGATTCCATTAAGTCTTGGATTTTTTTAAACCAGTCTGTGTGCTGAAATGAATAAACACATGTATTAATGTAAAATACTCTTACACGAGAAAGAACATTCTGGTTTTGTTTTGCGTCATCATTCATACAGATCCTTTCTAACCTATGTTATTTTTCAAGGTGTTCATAACTCTCTGAGAATTTATTTCTATTACTTGTGCCCCCTTATGGCTTTCAGGTGAAGTAGAAGAAGGAGGAGGAGAAAGAGGAGGAAGGGGAGGGTAAGAAGAAATTTGAAGAGATTGAATTGGGAGGCTGAGGCAGGTGGATCACCTGAGGTCAGGAGTTCCAGACCAGCCTGGCCAACATGGTGAAACCCCGTCTCTACTAAAATACAAAAATTAGCCGGGCATGGTGGCGGGCACCTGTAATCCCAGCTACTCTGGAGGCTGAGGCAGGAGAATTGTTTGAACCCGGGAGGCGGAGGTTGCAGTGAGCCAAGATTGTGCCACTGCACTCCAGCCTGGGCAACAGAGGGAGACTCCATCTCAAAAAAAATAAAATAAAATAAAATAAAATAAAATAAAATAAAATAAAATAAAATAAACAAAAAATAGAAAGATTGAATTTATCATCAAAGACTAAATGACTTGTGCATAACAAATCAACAAATGTCTTAGGCCAAAACTCCATTTTCAATGATAAACATATCAAGCTCATTTAAGAAGTTAATGATGAAAGCATTTATTTAATTCATATTAAATTCATTACAAATACATTATAGGTTTTGGTTTAGGAGAAAAATAATTAGAAACTCTCCACTTAAAAAAGTTGCTACCAGATGCTGGAATCTGGGATACGTTATAAAACTCCTGGTTAAATCAAGAAATACTTTGAGGACAAAAATAATATATGAAAAGTGTTTTAAAAATTAAAATTAAGATAGCTCCTTCCTGCTCTGTAAATGTCATAGCAAAGGAGCAAAATTATATTTCACTTACTTTCAGTAAAACCTGGAACACCTGCCTTTGATGCAAAATTGGCATAGATTATAAAAAATATGCAAAGAAATGAAAAAAATGTGAAAATATAAAAATGATTGGCTGTAAAGTATAACTTTCTAAAGGTTTTTATATTCCTGCATCAGATTCTTAAACTCTAGCTGAATTTACTAAGATATCTCAAAAGTAAATAATGGCAAATAAATAAATTCATTCATTTGCTTAAAAGCAATTTTAAGTACCTAAATATCTTATGTATTAAGTAGTTTATGAGAGTAGTTGAAGGAAGGTAACGAAAGAAGTTACAAAGTATTTTTAAGTTGTAATTAAACTGGGAAGCAAAACATACAAAACAATCAGAAAATTATAAAATAATACATTAATAAGGAAAAAATAAATAATATAACAAAATTTGTATACATAAATGCAGAAAGAACATAGATAAAAGTGTCTGTTTCAGTTTAGAAAAATAATTTATGTACCACAGTAACTAGTCAAAGAAAAAATGTATTACATATCCATATACTCTAAATACACGCAAACATAGACACATACACATAATTAAACATTTCTATTACTTCCAGATTATAGTGGTAATCAGGTATTTTTCTAGTTTATATTGTATCCACTGTAGCTTTTATTTTTTTAATTCTCTAGTTCGAGTTTGATAGTAATATTGAGTAGTAATCCATAAATCGTGACTGGGCATGGTAGCTTTTGCCTGTAGTCCTAGCTACTTGGAAGGCTGAGGCGGGAGGATAACTTGAGCCCAGAAGTTTGAGGCTGCAGTGAGCTATGATCACGCCACTGCACTCCAATCTGGGCAACAGAGCAAGACCCTGTCTCAAATAAACAAACAAAAACCCAAACAAATAGTAAATTAAGAGAAAATAGCAAATAATCTTCCTAATGGTGAAATCCCCATATATCCTTGAAATGAACTTTGGCTCTGTCTAATTCATATAAAATTCCTTACATATGTGTTTCCAATTATTCTACATTAGGTAAAATATGCAATATTGCTATGTTCTACCCAAATATTCTTCTTCCTCGTGTATCTAAATCCTAACACATCTATAACACTCGTTTGATGAATACTAACATTTCAGTGCACTGGGTAATACATATGTTTTTTATTTGCCACAAAGAACTGTGTTTCCTCAACTGATTTATGTACCACCTGGACAAAATTATTTTTATTATGGTTTATTTCATTTTCTTCAGCATCCAAAACTGAAAAATACTTGTAAACTGCCAATGACACAATGACAATGGTAAAAAAAATAATAAAAATAAAAAAGAAAAGTCTTAGAATTCAAAAGCAAAACTCCACATTTCTTCAGAGACACCCAAAGAAAAATGTAGCTGCAACATTTTTAAACTAGTAAATTCAAAGTAAAACCAAACAGCAGCCCGGGTAATTTATGAATGTCCTTATGGATACAAATAGCTAACCAACTTACAAATAACTTTGTAGGTTGCCTTAAGAGTCTTTTCTTTTTCTTTTTTTTTATTTATTTTTATTTATTTATTTATTTATTATTATTATTATACTTTAAGTTTTAGGGTACATGTGCACAATGTGCAGGTTAGTTACACATGTATACATGTGCCATGCTGGTGCGCTGCACCCACTAACTCGTCATTTAACATTAGGTATATCTCCTAATGCTATCCCTCCCCCCTCCCCCCACCCCACAACAGTCCCCAGAGTGTGATGTTCCCCTTCCTGTGTCCATGTGTTCTCATTGTTCAATTCCCATCTATGAGTGAGAACATGTGGTGTTTTAGGCAGGGCATGGTGGGTCATGACTGTAATCCCAGGACTTTGGGAGGCCAAGGCAGGTGGATTGCTTGAGCCCAGGAGTTCCAGACCAGCCTGGGCAACATAGGGAAACTCCATCGCTACTAAAAATACAAAAAATTAGCCAGGCCTGGTGGGCCACACCTGTAGTCCCAGCTACTTGGGTAGCTGAGGCACGAGAATTGCTTGAACCCGGGAGGTGGAGGTTGCAGTCAGCCGAGATTGCGCCACTGCACTCCAGCCTGGGTGACAAGAGCGAGATTCTCTAATGCCCAGTTTTATTCTCTCCTCTGACCAATCCATAGACTTTGTGGAGGGGAAGGTGAGGTGTTCTGAATTATACCAAATAACATACACATTTGTAAATTGTGGATTTACAAAGTAATCTGCAAAGCAATTACACATTATGCCCACCCCTATGCACACATACACTCATATACATGCTCACAGAGTCATGGCTCTATGTGTGATCTCTATAAACACTCACATGCAGACAGAATGTCTCCATGTGCATTATGAATTACCTACTAGCTTCTAGAGCAGGGGCGTCCAATCTTTTGGTTTCCCTGGGTCACACTGGAAGAAGAAAAATTGTCTTGGGCCACACATAAAATACACTAATACTAATGACAGCTGATGAGAAAAAAAAAAGTCGCAAAAACATCTCATAATGTTGTAAGATAATTTACAAATTTATGTTGGGCCACATTCAAAGCCATCCTGGGCCGCATGTGGCCTGTGGGCCGCAGGTAGAAAAATCTTGTTCTAGAGGCTTCCAGATATATTTCACAAAACTGATTTGGAACCAGCAGTATAGAGTAACTTGTATAATCTAGTTGGGAGCTGCAAGCTAGTTCCCAGAATTGCGTAGCCTAACCCACATAACAGCCAGTAAACTCTGCTGGATGGGTTGAGTTATTTCTCAGCATCCCCATAACAAACAGTGGCTTTTTTCCTGTGGACAAGTCAAACAGAAAATTCTCATTTCTCTACCGAAGAATGAATTTATTTTACATTTATTGAGAACTCACTGTGCTCAAAGCTGTGTTGCTTATGAACAAAGAGGACACACACACACACACACACACACACACACACACACTACAAGACCAAGGTGAATATAGTAGCTGCTATCAGGAAGGTCCAAATGGAAATGAGAATGCAGAGGCAGGAGATATTACCTTTGACCAAGGAGTTCAAGGGTGATTTCATGAAGGAAGTCTTGGTTTGGCTATTCCTTAAAAGATAGGTGTGAATTCAATGGGTGGGAATGGGGTTAGAGAAGGGAGTGGGCATAGAAGTGGAAAAAGTAAAAAAGTCACTGAAGAGTACAATATGATCTGAGCACGGTGTCATGATAGAGAGATGATGAAGCCAGACAAGACCAGTAGCTGGGAGCAGACAAAGGGAGCTCCAATTAATACAGTGAAGAACTGGGTGGGCAATAAAGATCCATAAGAAGGTTTTCATTATTTGTTTTTAAACTGTTTTTTTATTGTGAAATATACCACAAATTCAGGGAAGTATATAAATCAAAAGTGTTCAGCTAAAGAAATTGCATCAAACAAACAAACAGGTCAAGAAATAGAACATTGCTAGCACCTCAGGGGCACCCTCTTCAGGTGTTCTTCTAATCACTTCATCACTCCCTCAAAGGTAACCACTAATCTGATTTTTACGATAATGACATCTTCACTTTTCTTTATAGTTTTACCACCTAGGCATGCATTCCTCAAACATAGTTTAATTTTGCTGGTTTTGCAAACTTTGTGTAAGTGCAATTATGTAGTATATATTATTTTGCATCTGGTTTCTTACATTCAGTGTTGTATTTGTGAGCTTCATCCGTGATGTTGTGGGAGCTGTAGTTCTTTTTATTTTTTATTTTATTTTTTTGCTGTAGGGCAAGTTTGTTCAACCCGCAGCCCATGGGCCACATATGGCCCAGGATGGCTTTTAATGTGGCCCAACACAAATTCGTAAACTTTCTTAAAACATGAGATTCTTTTGAGATTTTCTTTCAGCTCATCAGCTATTGTTAGTATATTTTATGTGTGGCCCAAGACAATCCTTTTTCTTCCAATGTGGCCAAGGGAAGCCAAAAGATTGGACATCCCTGCTGTAGAGTATTCCTTTTTGTGAATATACCACATTGATCCATTCTACTGTTGGCAGATATTGGGATTGTTTCTAGTTTGGGGCTACCATGAATAGTGTTGCCTTCTTGTACCTGTCTCTTGATGCATGTATCGTCTCCTGATGAGAGGAGTGCTGCACTTTAGGCCAATCAGCGTCACAGTAACACGTAAAGATAGAGTAGCCTACAGAGAGACTTGTGACCAGGAAACTCCTTTGGAGATCAGGAAACTAGGTAGGCATCCCCTAACTAGCCTTGAGGATCCAACTTGGATTGTTGCCTCAGTTGGCAAAACTCACTAGGCTGAAAGTCTTCAGTTTCCAATATTCAAATCAAAGTAGGAGTAGTTTCTCTGGATTTTTTTTTCTTTTAGCATTTAGCAGGAGTAAGGAGTTGGTCCATGATTAACTCCATCACTGGTCTATTTATGACCTACTTTAATTTTTCGTTCTATTTATTTGGTTAGTTTGAATACTGTAATAGGCAACTGCAAATCCACAGCCCCAAACAAAAGACAGGACCTTGGTAATGACCACAGCTAACTGTATGTTTCCCTCATCGTTCCATCTTCTGGCCTCTCCCTACCTCGTGCAGAGGTATTTTTGAACATTACATAAAACCCTCAAAAAGGACTATCGACCCCAAGTAAGTATGAATTTGTGCTAGGCAAGTAGAAAAGAATATTGATTTCATTCTCTTTATGTCCTATTACTTCCAGGGAGGCAGACAAATGTTAAAACGATAAGTTGTGTGAATCATGTGAATATACATTCTTCTGGGACAAAGCAATTGCAGAGTCTTTATAGTTTTTTCATATGTAACTACTCATTCCCTTTAGAAGGATTTCTAGCAAAAATATAGCTTATGCAACAACAGACTTCAAGATGATCCAGGCTATCTGAGAAACCTATTCCTTGATGATAAAATCGAATGGTAACACAAAGTTTAAATGCCTCTTCAGTATGTTTTGCTACAAAAATCGCTTAGTTTTCAATTTAACCATGCATTTAATCCTTTGGTGAACTGAGTAATGCCAGGACAGAGTGTAAAGGAACTGGAACATCATGAGTTTGAGAAAAGGACAATAAATCCAATATTGCAAAATTACAGTAGATGGTGCTAGATGGGTGCAAAAGACTCCAACAGCCATCTGGGCCACCTTCAAGATTTCTCCTGAGCTTAGCAGTTTAGAAAATGTGCAATTTAGATTTATCAATTCAGGAGAGGCACTCAGATAAAACAGTTGAATTAGTGAGATCAATGAATGCAGAACCCTATAATTAGACAATGTTAAGGTTTTTATGGAAATTAACAATGAAGACAACTTTAAAGCCGTGGTCAAATCGTTGATCTTTCTGGGGTGTTGGTGCCAATGTTAAATTACTAAAAGAATGATTTTCCATTCATCTAAAATAACGTCATCTGTAAAGTTAATTTTTAAACTAATTTGCTCTTGGTATTAGTTATCATTTATACAGTATTTGTACACTTTGTAGGTTAGCTTTGAGATTTAAATGTCCTATATAATGTATGCAAAGTGATTTACAAAGCATTACCTAGTATAAATTATTCTACACATGTGAAGTATTATTATTTTTATTATTATTACCTAAAGTGCTTATTAAATATTTGTATTCATTACTTTTTTACAGCCACTTTGTCCTGGATATTCTTCTTATTATTCTTTTAGCTTTTCAGGTGAAACAACTGAGACATAAGATAATGAAGTGAACAATTTCAAACATGTATATATTCCCCTTGCAGCAGCAGTACAAAATGACTTTCAATCAATGAACCAGAGATCAGGCAAGCACCTGTCCTTAATGAGAGGGTTATCTGGGGTTAACCCTAGATACAATGAAAATTAACAATGGGAGCGATTCCAAACCATCTCACTGTTGTGTCTCTATAACAGATGCTTCCCTCCCATGATCTGCTGAGCACTCGGTGGATGCATTGGTCCTTAGCTTCCTTGGAGAAAGGAGCAACATGACAGCACTAAACACACTCAGGATGTGACTTATCAGAATCTGTCAGTGACTGCAGGAAAATGTTGGATCTGACGTTAAGTAACCCTTTTTCTCTCCCCAGAGCCACATACGGTTGAGGTTCATGTGTCGGACAGGGCGTGGAAGAAATTCCTTTTCTGGAAGTTAACCTCTATTGTCCAGCATCTGATATGTCCAGCCTAAAATATTCTCTTAAGTGCATATTAGCAAATCCTTGGAACTCCAAAGGCTTTTTCAGAGGCTGAAAGGTCAGATGTTTAAGTGAATTCTCTGTATTTATGAATCATTATGGCCTATTGATTGAATGTGTGAGATGTAGTTCTAATGTCTGTCTGCTTTACGTAAAAAGTTCTATGGACAGGGATATTATCCACAATGAGGGGGTCTTAATGGTGTTTTGATTTTTACAGGACCTAGCACCTAAATCGTTAAATAAATATAATTAATATTACTATTTGTATTTAAAAATAAGTCAAGTGAATATTTCTTTTATTTATTTTCCAATACATGTTTAGTATTTATTGTCCCCAGAAAAATGTGCCTCGTCCTTGCTGTGATCAATAGTCACAGTAGTCATGGTGGAGATGTCTTCTCCAATCACACTGACAATATATGCAGAAACTAGTATGCAATAGGTCTGTCCAGTAAGTATGAGAGGAAAAGTCTATCTATATTTTTACTTTGATTATTTATTTATTTTGAGATGGAGTCTTACTCTGTTACCCAGGCTGGAGTGCAATGGTGCGATCTCAGCTCACTTCAACCTCTGCCTCCGGGGTTCAAGTAATTCTCCTGCCTCAGCCTCCCTAGTAGCTGGGATTACAGGCTCCCGCCACCACGCCCGGCCAATTTTTGTATTTTTAGTAGAGATGAGGTTTCACCATGTTGACTAGGCTGGTCTCAAACTCCCGACCTCAAGCAATCCACCTACCTCGGCCTCCCATTGTGCTGGGATTACAGGCTTGAGCCACCGCGCCTGGCCTAAAAATCTATATTTTCTAATGTCATAGAAGCTATTGCTGTAGTTGCCCAGCATCCGACTTTCAAATGTTAATAATTAGGCTGTGGGCCAGGCCTATTGCTCAGCAGCTAATGCACTGCGCATGCTACCGCACAGGAGACCTCGGTCTGGTGCTAGCCGGAAGCTCTCCTATCTTCCAGCAGGAGCGAGGAGCCCTGTGGAGGTGACACTGGGCGCCTTAGAGGAGAGAGCTGCGTGATGTATCACCACTCACCAGCCCTTGCCGGAGACCTGTTTAGAGTGAGATTACAGTCTCAGCAGAGCCTCTCATTTCTCCTGGTCACGGGGTTACAGAGCACTTTACAACTTGTGCTACAGGAAGGCAGGGAGGGATTTAAATGAGAGACTGGAAGAGACCCTCCATAAACCTCAGCCAGAGCAGCCCTGACTCACAGTAAGTTTCTGCTTCCGCTGGCTTACAGATAGCCAGATCAATGTTTTTAGAAAAATGTAAGCTTTAAACATGGAATGGAATATGAATTGACCATATTTCATCTGATCACAAATTTACCAGACAACTTGGAAAGCCTCTGAAATTCTGGCACTAAAATGGTTCTTTCTCAGAATTGGGGTATCTTTACTATTTATCTCTATGGAGCACCTACTAACACTAATGGGAGAACAACCCTAATAAGGTCAACAAAAATGTTCTTGTAATAGTGTTCATTAACAGCGCTGCTAGATGACTGCTTAAAATCGTTTCTGCTATAGTCTCTCCCGTAGATGAAATCATTTGCTTCATTTTTAACCGTTGCTTGGAATTCTGTGCTTTCCAAATCTTCATCTGTGTTCCTTACCTTTAAGACGTGACCGAACAATTTTAATTCTCAATTTCTGGGGCCAGGTTCAGTGCTTTTTGAACACTAATCTGCCAAAACATGAGATAATATTCCTTTCTTGAAATTGCTATCAGTATTACCATCCAAGGGCCCCCATCAGCTGCCCAGGTTCCTAACCTCATCACTTTGTTTTTCTCCTCTCCTTTTCCTCCCACATACAATTTACCACAAAGCCAAGCTGTTTAGTTTTTTTTCTCCACAATATCTCCAATATGTATTTGTTAATCTCATAAATATTTATGAAGTACTAGGAACAATGCTACAAATGGGAGTTCTGTGCTAGGGCTACGCATGGGCTCTATTTATTTTCATGGTCATCACCTTGGACCATGTCCCTGGTTGACTAAAGACGGCCTCAAATTTTGACAGCTCTCTCATTGAGAAATTTTATACATTTAATGAGATTATAAACCTTTTAAGGTATAGACCCTATGATCTATACATGAATTGAATATATGACCCAGCACAGCTAACATTTGTTAACCCATCAAAAATATTCATGTCAATTAGAACTTGACAGAATCCTGTCAGTGTTGATGTGATTCCTGGGAGTCTTCCCAAAAGTTTGAAAAGGCTTTTATCTCTAGAATCAGAAACTTTATTTATTTATTTATTTATTGAGACAGGGTCTCACTTTGTTGCCCAGGGTTGGTGTGCAGTGGTGGGATCTCAGCTCACTGCAGCCTTAAATTCCTGGGCTCAAATGATCTTCCCACCTTAGCCCCCCGAGTAGCTGGGACTACAGGCACCTGCCACCATGCCCAGCTAGTTTTTTGTATTTTTTGTGGAGACAAAATTTCACCATGTTGCTCAGGCTGGTCGCGAACCCCTGAGCTCAAGCGATTCTCTTGCCTCAGCCTCCCAAAGTGCTGGTATCACAGGCATGAGCCACTGCGCCAGGCTGAGAATCAGAAACTTCGTATTGAATTGTCTAAATTTCCCTTGAAATAGCTTATTACAACTTTTTCGTACGATGATTTATAAAAATTGTGATTTTTTTCCTATAACAGAAAGAAGTAAATATTTCCAAAGATTTTCTAGTGTATTTTAACAGATCAGATCTGTACACCTGGTAGAGACCCCATAAATAGTTTGAATCTGCCATGTAAATTTCACTGGGCAGTGATAATTCATGTCCTTAGATTTATTTTTTTGGCTTTATTGGGGTATAATTGCTGTACCAAAAATACATACATGTAATATATGCATCTATGCATCTTGAGTTTGGTTATGTCCTTAAATTTAAATGCTGATTTTAAGTTATCAATAAAACACTTAAACTCTACAAGTGCTTTGCAGTCATTCTGGATGGAATCTAACTAGCTTAATTTGAAATTTAGTGTAGCTGACAAAAAGCTATTAAGAGTAAAGTTGATGGGTCAAAGCATGGTAAGTTTAAAACTACATAAATATGCTGCACAAACAAAAATAACGACCTTCCATTGTTCAGAGAATTCTTATTTCTTCAGCAATTGCTTTAGGCCTTCACCTACCACTTAGTTGAGTAAAACAAAGCAAGTAAAAGGATGAGTGACATTCATTTTTTTTTGACATGGGGTCTCACTCTGTCACCCAGGCTGGAGTGTAGTGGGGTGATCTCAGCTCACTGCAACCTCTGTCTCCTGGGCTCAAACGATCCTCCCACCTCAGCATCCTGAGTAGCTGGAACCACAGGTACACACCACCGTGGCTGGCTAAGTTTTTGTATTTTTGATAGAGATGGGGGTTTCACCATGTTGCCCAGGCTGTTCTCAAATTCCTGAGCTCAAGCGATCCACCCATCTCGACCTCCCAAAGTGCTGGGATTACAGGTGTGAGCCACCATGCCCGCCCAACATTCATTTGTTTCTCAAAGCCATAAGCAATGTTGACCCTGGTTATTATGTGTGCTTTATTTTTACAGACATTTAATAAAAACAAACAATTCAAGGAATATACATTGATCACTTTACCATGTAAAAGCTCTGTGCAGAAATTGTTTTTCCGTGATCTACTGGGGTGGAGGGGGGAGAAATATACCTAAATAACCAGAAAATACTGCAAGATGTAAGTTGCAAAAATGAAATATAAAAATACAAGCATGATACTTTAGGAAGACCAAGGTGGAAGAGACTAATTTTACTTAGGGGAAGGTGTGGATGGGGACAGGACTCAGAAAAGGAGTCCTGAAGGAAATTACTTTTCTTCTAGGCATTGAGGAATAATTTCAATCAACATGGAGGGCAGAGATGGAAGGGGAGGGGCTGAAAGGAAGAATAATTCTGGTTGAGGGAACTGCATGAGCGATATACAGGGTAAATTTGAGGAATGGAGAAGGCAGGTTCCACTGTGACTGCCACACAAAATACAAGGTGGATGGGGGAGAAAAAAAAATGTGAAAAGGCAGATTGGGATGGACTTTAAAAGACCTTCTAAGGCATTTGGATTTTGCAAGTGATAGAAAGCCAGCGTTTTTTGAGCAGGAGAGTGACACTGCTACCAAATTTATTTTTTATTAAATTAGGTGTCAATAAAAGTATTTGAAATAACCCAAATGTTCAATACAGAAGATTGGTTGGAAATAGAATAGTATATTCCCATAATGGAGTATTATGCCACCATAAAAAAGAACAAAGGTGATTTCTGTACATAAATGCATCTCCAGGATATGCCATTAAGAAAAAAGATACAACGTAACATATTTAGCATGCTATCTTATATTTAAGAAAGGGAGAAAATACTAATAAATACATACAGGCACACATTTTGCTTGTATTTGCCAAAAATGAAAAAAATCACTTAAGGACAAATGAAGAACTAATGAAAATATTTACCTATAGAGGAGAGGGGGAAAGCAGGGTGGAGGGCACAGAAATTGAAGTGAAATTTTTCTAAACATAACTCGTTATATTACTTTGACTGGAAATATAGATCCATTTTCTATAATTAAAAATAATTTAAACAGGAAAAATTTGGTGGCAAATATAGCAGGGAGACTGGAAGCAAGGATGATGCTTAGAAGGCCATTGCAAACAAGTTCAGTCAAGGAACGAGAAGTTTTCTGAACTACATTACTGGTGGAAGGTGGTGGAGGAGAGGTGGAGACACTGGTGGTGGCAAAGGTATCGCTTCTAAATGCTGCTTGTCCAGGTCTATTGGAACTGACTGCCTGATTAAGGAGAATTCATGCAATTTTAGAGTTCACCCACAGGACAGCAGAAAGTAGTGGATGAGCCCCTACAGCTGTATGAAGTAAGTAGTCTGGGAAGTTAAACTCACATTTTATTAAATATTGATTAATCCTTACTTGCCCAGCGCACACCGACCAGGAGTGTGGACAGACAGGGGTGTGGATAAAAATTGCCTGGATAATGGAAAGAGCTTTGGCACTGAGCTCCCTAAACCTCACAGAGTTGCTAAAACCTCAAAGTTCATTCACTTCCCCCAGAATGACTCAGAGCCACTCAATTAGGTAGCAAATCAAACTTATCTCCTCTCCTTAGCTACTTAAGTTTTCCTGCTGCCACTACAGGTGCTGTCACTGGCTATGCCGTCATCCTTACCTTGTCCACCTAGAGTGTTCATCACGAGCTGTTTTTGCCCACTTATCCCCCAGTCACTGCCCACTTTGATACCACTGCTCCTAAGGCCACTAAAGCTGCCTCACTGCGTGACCTTGCTCTGATTTCTCCAACTTCTCTTGGTGCGGAAGTTTCCTGAGAAGGACATACCTGAGAAGCATCCACCAGAACTGTACTCACACCACCCAACTGATCTGGACCTTCTGGAGAGGCAAAGGGCCTGCTCTAACCTGAGAAGTGGAGGAGATTTTGTCTTCTTTACACTGAGGAGTTTTAATCCTAGAGCCAATGTTATTTAATTCCAGTTGTGATCACTTCTATGAAGGCTATTTTGAGGACCTGTCACAGGCAAGTGTGTGTGCCTTAAACGGGGTGTTGGGTTATTTTTGTTCTTTGTATCATGATTCTCTATACTTACATATAAGTTATAATTATTTTTTTGCCATCTATTCAATACTTAATCAATGTTTTAAAAATACTCAATTGACACTTCAGGAGAGTTTTTAAGTGTTATTCATGTGGGTTCAGGTTCAGCTCTAGCACTTAGCAGCTGTGTGATTTTGGGCAAGTTACTTAACCTCCCTAAGCCTTGATTTTCTTATCCGTGAAATGGGAATGTCAAAACATTTACCTCATGGATGGTTGTGAGGATTAAATGAGAAAATGCATGTAAACTGCTTATCCAAGTAGTACTGTGTACAGAGTAAGTGCTTATTAATGTTCACTATAACTTAAAATATGATGATGGGAAATGATAGCATGGGAAAATACTCACGATTTGACATATGTATACATTATGTAATGATTACCACAGTCAGATTAACACATCCATCACCACCCATGCTGTACATTAGATCCCCTGAACTTGTCATCTTATAGATTGTACCCTGTGACTAACATGTCCCCATTCCCCCAACCTCGTACTCTGGTAACCACCATTCTACTCTTTGCCTCTATGTGTTTGACTTCTTTAGAGTCCACATGTAAGTTGAGACCATGCAGTATTTGTCTTTCTATGTCTGATTATTTCACTTATCATAATGTCTTCCAGGTTCATCCATGTTGTTGCAAATGGCAGGATTTCATTCTTTTTTATGGCTGAATAATATAAATATGATATATAAATATGAATATATGCTATATACACAATGGAATATCTATACACATACACATATATCAATCACATTTTCTTTATTCATTTGTCAATGGACACTTAGGTTGTTTCCATATATTGACTATCATGAATAATGCTGCAATGAACACAGGGGTGCAGATGCCTGTTTGAGATACCAATTTCATCTCCTTTGGATATATACCCAGAAGTGGGATTACTAGATTTTATGGTGGTTCCATGTTTAATTTTTTGAAGAACCAGCATACTTTTTTCCATAATGGCTGTATTAATTTACATTCCTACCAACAGTATGCTAGGGTTTCCTTTTCTCCACATTCTCACCAACATTTGTTATATCTTGTCTTTTTTGGTATCCTAACAGCATAAGCTGATATACCACTTTGGTTTTGATTTGCATTTCCCTAATCATTAGTGATGTTGCACACCTTTACATATATATATGTGTAGGTCATTTGTGTGTTTTCTTTGGAAAAAATGTCTATTCAGGTTCTTAGCCCATTCGTGAATAAGGTTTTTTGTCTTTTTGCTATTGAATTATCCTTTTATGATAAAAACTCTCAACAAATTAGGCATAGAAGGAATGTGCCTCAACATAATAAAGGCAATATATGGCAAACCCACAGCTAACATCATACTCAGTGGTGAAAAGCTGAAAGCTTTTCTTCTAAGATCAGAAACAATACAAGGGTGCTCACTTTCACTACTACTATCCAACATAGTACTGGAAGTCCTAGCCAGAGAAGCTAGGCTAAATAAATAAATGGCATTCAAATTTGAAAGGAAGAAATAAAATTGTCTGTTTGCAGATGACATGATCTTATATATAGAAAACCCTAAAGACTCAATTAAAAAACTATTAGAACTAATAAATTCAATAAAGTTGCCGGATACAACATACAGAAATCAGCTGTGTTTCTATATACTAACAATGAACTATCCAAAAAAGAAATTAAGAAAAATGATCCCTTTATAATAATATCAAAAAGAATAAAATACTTAGGAATAAATTTAATCAAGGAGGCAAAAGATCTGTATGCTGAAAACTATACAGCACTGATGTGAAGGAAATTATAGAAGACACAAATAAATGGAAACATATCTCATGTTCATGAATTGAAAGAACTAATATTGATAAATTTTCTCACTACCCAAAGTGATCTTTGAAAATACAGAGTCAATGCAATCCCTATCAAAATTAAAATGGCATTTTTCATAGAAATAGTAAAAACAATTCTAATATTTGTATGGAATCCCAAAAGACCTAGAGTAGCCAAAACACTGTTTGGAAAGAAGAACAAAACTGGAGATATCACATTCTCTAATTTCAAACTATATTACAAGACTCTAGTAATCAAAAGAGTATGGTTCTGATATAAGAACAGACACATAGATCAATGGGGCAGAATAGAGAGACCAGAAATAAACCCACATATAAAATAAGCTTTAACAAGGGTGGCAAGGATTGACATTGGAGAAAGGAAAGTTTCTTCAACAGTGTTGGGGAAACTGGATATTCACATGCAAAAGAATAAAATTGGACCCTTGTCTGATATGATATACAAAAATTAACTTGAATCGGATTAAAGTTGTCAATGTAAAATCTGAAACTGTAAAACTCCTTGAAGAAGACAGGAAAAAAGCTCCTTGACATTGATTGGCAAGCACTGGCAAGAATTTCTTGGCTATGAAACCAAAAGTGCTGGCAACAAAAGCAAAAAATAAACAGTGGGACTACAACAAATTAAAAAGCTTTTGCACAGCAAAGAAAACAATCAACAGAGTGAAGAGACCACCTATGTAATGGGAGAAAATATTTGCAAACCATATGTATGATAAGGTGCTAATATCCAAAATATTTGGGAAACTCATGCAACTCAATAGTAAAAAAAACAAATAGGTGATTTTTATTTATCTTTTTATACTGATATATATTTTCCAAGTCTCCACCAGTGTATATAGTTACTTTCGTAATTTGAAAAGAAACATTAAATGTTATCTTAAAGAATAAAAGAAGGTGAGAAAGAATGAAGCATCTAGATTTGGCAAGTGAGAAGCAAGATGAGACTGGAGAGCTAAATAAAGCCAGATCATGTAGAGCATTGGAAGCTACCTTAGGGCTTTGAGATTGGATCTTTGAATAGCCGTGAAAGCCCAGTCAAAGGCTTTGACCGTGGATGGAGCAGGGCCAAGTCTGGATTTCTAAAACCTCACACTAGATTCAGGGTTTCCACAAAAGATGGTGAAGTAAAGGAATTTTTGTTACACTCTTTTGCTCCAACACCACAGACTTGAACAAAGGAAAATTCCATCCACAATGAAACTAAGAAATGAATACTACTACCCAAATAGTGATGAATATTTGCTAAGTATAGTGAAACTTGGACAAAGTGATGGGTTAATGCTGGGGGCTAACAAATAGCTTTCCAGATCTAAAGGAAACTGTAAATATCTATGCACATAAGCAAAGGCATGCCTTTAGATATAATGTTGTAGGTGGGCTATGGGAGTGAGTGGGCCATGGTGAAACAGGGATTATCACTGTGCAGACCTTTTCCACCCTGAAGAAGTACAGGGGAATCAATGTTGAAGAAAAGACACCATGGATATGCCATTTTTGTTTTCTCCAGCCCAGATAAACTTCCTCTAGATGAGACAGGGATGACAAAAGCTTGCCATTAAAACTGCTGTTTACCAGAGTCAGAGAGCAAAGAAAAACAAAATGAAACAAGACAAAAACCCATAAGTCCATGAAAGAAAAAAGTTCAGTAAGCTCAAAAGTTGAGCCAATAGATCTTCCAGGTGAATGATGCCCTCCCCTTAAGAGATGTGCCAAGAGCTGATGAAGATGTGTATCACTCCCACGGAAGAGACCTAGATTTTGGCATAGAATTTTCTAAGCCATCATACCGGATTTAAAACCAAAGGCTACCATGGGATGCTCCCTTTTCTCTTCCTCGGTGTTACTTTTGTTTGTTTGTATTAAGTAAAATTTACCTGTAATAAAAGGTACAAATCTTGTGTACAGTTCAATAAATCATAGCAAATGTATACACCTCTGTAACCACTATCCCAATCGAGAACATAATAGAATATTTCTATCACCCAAGAAAGCCTTTCTGTGTGCCCTTGCAGTCAATCTCTAACTTCCCTTTTCTGCTTTCCTGCTATAGGCAATCACTGTTCTGATTTCTATCCCCACCAAATAGTTTTGTCTTTTTTGAACTTCCTATCAACATAATCATAGAGTATATACTCTTTCCTGTTTGGCTTCTTTTGCTCAACGTAATGTCTCTGAGATTCTATATATATGCAATTCATTGCTTTTTATTGCTGACTGGTATTTCATTATGTGAATATACCACAGTTTATTTATCCAGACTTCTATTAATAGACATTTGTTTGGTCTCCAGTTTTTGGTAATTATGGGTAAAAGTGCTGTGAACATTCTTTTAAAATTCCTTTTGTGGACATAGGTTTCCATTTCTCTTGAGTAAACTGAAGTGGAGTTAATGGTTATAGTATAGGTTTATAGTTTACTTTCTGAGAAACTGACAGTTTTTCAAAGTGGTGGTACCATTTCACACTTCCACATCAATGCTGAATTTCAGTTACTCCCCATCCTCACCGAACTTTAGTGTTATTAGACTTAAATTTTGGCTATTTTAGTGGGTGTGACGTGGTATCATATTGTGGTTTTAATTTGTATTTCTCTGATAACTGATGAAGTTGAACCCCTTTTCATGTGCTTGTCGGTCATATATTTTCTTTCATGAAGTGTCTTTTTATTCATTTGTTCATTCATTTATTTACTTTAAATTGACAGATAAAATTTTATGCCTTTACTTTGTACAACATATTGTTTTGAAGTATATATGCATTGTGGAATGACTAAATATAGCAAATTAACACATGCATTACCTCACATCGTTTTCATTTGTATGGTGAGAACACTTTACATCCATTCTCCTAGCATTTTTCAAAAATACAATATATTGCTAACTACAGTCACCAGATTGTAAAATAGATCTCTTGAACTTATCCCTCCTATTCAACCAAATTTTATGTCCTTTGACCAACATTTCCCCAACCCCCTGTCAACCACCCCAGCCCCTGGTAACCATGATTCTTTTCAAGTATTTTATGCATTTTTAAATTGGAATTTTTGTCATTTTATTATTGAAAGCATTCTTTAAGAATTCTGGATACAAGTCTCTTGTGAGACATATGTGTCGTGGATATTTTCTCCCAGTTTTATAGCTGTTTATGGTGAGAAGGAAAGTTCATTTCCAGTTACTCTGTCATGGCGGGAATCAGAGATCCTCCTCACATTATCTATGTAGTGACTCTCTCCAGAACTTCCACCCTTTAAAGACGGGCAAAATGAAGAAAGGGCCCTGCATGGCTTGTATAGCGATATTAGCACCATCACCCCACGTGCCACCTGCAAAAAGAGAAAAAGAGAAGAAAATAAACATGTCAAAGGAAGAATGTACATCAGAAGAATCATCCTTGGAAACAAGCAAATGTCAGGAACTATAGGTCAGCACTGTTACACAACCAAACTTTCTGCAATGATGGAAGTGTTCAACTTCTAAGTTGTTCAGCTTAGGAACTACCAGCCACATATGGCTACTGAGCACTTGAGATGTGACCAGTGCAACTAAGGAACTGAAATTTTAATTGTATTTAATTTTAATTAATTTAAATATATTTAATTTTAATTAATTTAATTTGGGCTAGTGGCTACCAACTGGATAGTGCCGCTCTGTACTCTCATTTTATACTGTCACATGGACTCCTTGGGGGATCAAAAAGGAGACATTCAGAAAATCAAGTCAGAGAGGGGACTTGATTTTTCCTGAGCATCAGAACATACCAAAAAGCCACTTTTATCAAATCAATATGATATTGACATAAGAAAAGACAAAGTAATCAGTGGAAAAGAGTAGAGAATCAAGAATTATATCCCAGTATATATGAGAAATTAATAAGTGACAAATGTCATAGTTCAAACCCATTTTGGGGAAAAGTAAGAATTTGTTAAAATAACTGGTATGTTGCAATTGGATGTCCATCTTGAAAAACATAAAAATGGACTCCATCTTCCATGAAATAAAATATTAATTTTAGAAGATATAAAAAGGCAAATGTAAAATTAAACAACTAGAATCTTTAGAGAAAATTAGGAGACTATGTACAATATAGGGTCAGGGGAACCCTCTTAACCAAGGTTAAAAACACAGAAGCTATAAAGGAAAAGATAGGCATATTTGGCTATACATGTGCAAAAATGTACATAGGTTGTAAGGACACTTGTTGATGGTGGAGGTGGATTACTCTATTCTGTCTGGGACAGGAACCTCAGTGGTGGGGGCCTTTAGAATGAGGCTTTCCACTGAGGGGCTAGTAGATTCTATGACCATTTTTTCCCTTTTGAAATGGTCTATACTATGCCATTCTCACCATTGTACAGTCATGCGTCACTTAACAATGAGAATACATTCGGAGAAATGCGGTTTTAGGCAATTTCGTCATTGTGCAAATATCATGGAGTGTACTTAACCAAACCTAGTTGGTATAGCCTACTACACACCTAGGCTATATGCTGTAGCCTGTTGCTCCTAAGCTACAAATCTCTACAGCATGTTACTGTACTGAATACTGTAGGCAGTTGTAACCCAATGGTAAGCATTTATGTATCTAAACATATAAAAGGTATAGTAAATATATGGTATAAAAGATTTAAAAAATGGTACACCTGTATAGGGCGCTTACCATGAATGGAGCTTGCAGGACTGGAAGCTGCTCTGTGTGAGTGGTGAGTCAATGTGAAGGCCTAGGACATTACTGGACACTACTGTAGAGTTTATAAATCCTGTCCACTTAGGCCACACTAAATTTATTTTTGAAATGTTTCTTTCTTCAATAATAAGTTAACATTAGGCCGGGCACGATAGCTCACACCTGTAATTCCAGCACTTCGGGAGGCTGAGGTGGGCGGATCACCTAAGGTCGGGAGTCTGAGACCAGCCTAACCAACATGGAGAAACCCTGTCTCTACTAAAAATACAAAATTAGCCAGGTGTGGTGGCGCATGCCTGTAATCCCAGCTACTCGGGAAATTGAGGCAGGAGAATCGCTTGAACCCAGGAGCCAGAGGTTGCGGTGAGCCGAGATCACACCGTTGGACTCCAGCCTGGGCAACAAGAGTGAAACTCTGTCTCAAAAAATAAATAAATAAATAAATAAAAATAAGTTAACATTAGCTTACTGTAACTTTTTTACCTTATAAACGTTTTAATTTTTTAACTTTTGGACTATTTTATAATAACCCAGCTTAAAACACAAACACACTGTATGGCTGTACAAACATACTTTCTCCCTTTATATCCTTATTCTGTGTTTCTATTTTAAAATTATTTTTTTTCTACTTTTAAAGCTTTTTCATTAAAAATGAAGACACTCGCACATACATTAGCCTAGGCCTACACAGGGTCAGGACCATGAATATCACTGTCTTCCGCTTCTACATCTTGTCCCACTGAAAGGTCTTCAGGGGCAATAACATGCATGGAGCTGTTATCTCCTATGATAACAATGCCTTCTTTTGGAATACCTCCTGAAGGACCTGCCTGAGGATGTTTTACGGTTAACTTTTTTTTTTTTAATCAGTAAAAGGAATACACTTTAAAATAACAATAAAAAGTATAGTACAGTAAAAACTGTACTAACCAGTAACATAGTTGTGAATTATCTTTATCACGTATTATGTACTGTACATAATTGTATGTGCTAGACTTTTATATGACTGGCAGTGCAGTACGTTTATTTATACCAGCATCACCACAAACGTGGTGCTATGACGTTATGATGGCTATGAAGTCACTAGGCAATAGGAATTTTTTAGCTTCATTATAATTTTGAGACCATCATCGTATATGTGGCTATTTATTGACTGAAACATTGTTATGCAGCACATGACTGTATTTAAGAAGCAGGTAACTTGTTTTCTAGTTTCACAGGTCCGTAGATAAAGAGGAATTTTGCCCCAGGATAGGCCATACCAATTCTTACACCTGATTTAGATAATGAGATTTAGAACTTTTTGAGATTTTGAAGCTTTTGAGTTGATTAAATTTTGGATTTAGAGTTAAGGCTGGAATGGGGTAAGACTTTAGGGGAGGTATTCTGCATGTAGAATGAATGCAGATTTTTTTTGAGGGGGTGGACAGAGGACAGACTGTAGTGGCTTGAATAGTGTTCCTGAAAAATTGGTCTATCCAGAACCGCAGACTATTACCTTATTTGGGAAACAGCACCTTTGCAGTTGTAATTTGTTAAGTTAAGATGATGTCATAATGGATTAGGGTGGGCCCTAAATGGAATAACTGGTGTCCTTATAAGAAGTCCATATGAAGACATACAGGGAAGGGGCTGGGCACGGTGGCTCAAGCCTCTTAATCCCAGCACTTTGGGAGGCTGAGGCGGGCGGATCATTTGAAATCAGACCAGCCTCGACAACAAAGTGAGACCCTATCTCTACAAAAACATAAAAAAATTAGCCAGGTGTGGTGGCACACATCTATGGTCCCAGCTATTAAGGAGCCTGAGACAGGAGGATCACTTGAGCCCAGGAGGCCGAGGCAGCAGTGAGCTGTGATCGTGCCACTGCACTCCAGACTGGGCATCAGAGTGAGACTGTTTCAAGCAACAACAACAACAACAAAGACACACAGAGAAGGCCATGAGACGATGGCGGCAGAGACTGGAATGATGTATCTAGAAACTGAGGAAACCATGCATTGTCAGCAACTACCAGAAGCTAGCAAAGAGGCATAAGATAGATTCTCTATTAGAGCCTCCCAAAAAAGCGAACCTTACTGACACCTTGATTTCATACCTCTGACCTTTAGAACTGTGAGACAGTAAGTTACTGTTGTTTTAAAACACCAAGTTTGTAATAATTTCTTACAATGGTTCAGCTTCTCTTTTAGTCCTAGTTAACCCAAAAGTAGGATTTCTTCTGTTAGATGACAATTGTTGGGGCCTCATTCACATGACCTTTACCTGTGACTTCTCAGTTCTTTCTTTCCTTTTTCCATTTTGTTGAGGTATAATTGAAACATCCTATTTTAGTTCTCTTTTGCATGCACTGAGAATTTGGAGGAAGCTCCAGGCAGTGTCAAGAGATGACCCTCCCTTTCCCACTCAACCTCCTAATGATTACATTGGCTAAGCTGCAGTACAGGTATTTTTAGAACTATTTAATTCAGTAAATAGTTAAACAGTAACAACAGCCACAGACAAAACTTTTACATTACAAAGGACACCATAAACAAATTCATTAAACAAAGACCTGGAAAAATACACCCAGAAGGCAACCACAGGTTTAATACCAATAATATAAAGAGCTATTACAAATTGACAAGAAAATTAAAAACAACTCAGTAAAAAACTGAGAAAAGGATATACACAGACTAGTAACAGACTTGCAAATTCAAATGGCCAATTACATGAAAAGATGCTCAAATCTGTGAGTAGAGAAATGAAAAGTGAAAAAGCAATGTAATATTACTTTATATACAACAGAGTAGAAAAGATTAATAAGAAAAATGCCATCTCTCCTGGGCAGCAATGTAGGAAAGAGTATCATAAATTGCTGGGAAAAGTGAAGCATTGCAGCCTTATCTGAAAAGCATCCTGGTCTTTTCTGTTAAAATTAACAATATACACACTTTTTGGCCCAGGAAATCTATTCCTGGGAAATTACCTTAAAGAGATAAAAGTCCCTGTATGTAAGGATATTCAAGAATCTTTTTCCTGTACTGTTTGAAGTGGCAAAAAAAAAAAAAAAAAAGAATGCCCATCAAGAGAAAAATGGCTAAATAATTATAGTAAATTCATAAGATGGAATAACATGCAGCCATTTAACAATTGAATTAGAGATAAATAAGATGACTTAGAAGTATTTCCATAAGGTGTTGTTGAGAAAAGCAAGATGCAAACAAATAACATAATAGGATCTTATTTCTGTAAAGCAAACATTGATCAGATGAAAGCATATGTGTTTGTTTATCATATCTGCCCATGAGACAGATTGAATTAATGCCCTAATTTTGTACCACTTCCTGTATTCATGCCCTTGCAATGTAACGTCACAGTTTCTTCCATCAAGAGATGAAATACAGTTCCCCACCCATTGATTATGATTTTAGCCAATAGGATGTTAGCTGTCACATAAACAGACACTTTAAAAAGTGCTTATGTGATTGGACTTGCCTGCTTGCACTTCCTCTGTCTCCATGAGGTAGGAAAATCTTGGTCTAGCCCACTGATCCAAGGAGGAGGATGAGAGAGAAGTGAAGCCACACTATGTTACCCCTGACAGATCCTACCTAGAGCAGAGGCCCCAGTCGATCCTGTAATGCGTGAGGAAGCTCAGCCAACAGTGACCAAATTCCAATCTCATGATTTATGAACTATAATAATAAGTAATAGCCATATTAAGTCACTGAGTTTGGGGGTAGTTCATTATGCAGAATAACTAACTGATACCGTGTATGTGTGTGTGTTTATCTGCTTATGCACATACTGTCTGTATAGGATTAGATGTTTGTGCACAAAATTGAAAAGATACACAGTAGGTTAGTCTGGATTATGGGGTGGTATGATGTAGGTTGGAGTGGGAAGACAGGAATAAAGCAAAAAATTAAGCATAAATAAACACATAAATAAAAGAAGCACTCTAAAATAAAAATGCATGTATGCCAGCCCTTTTATGTATGTTTAAAATTTCATACTGTACAGTTTGTTGAACAGCACCCCAGCTCTCCCCCCAGAAAAAAATATATCCAGAATCTCAGAATGTGAACTTATTTGGAATAAGGGTCTTTGCAGATGTAATTAAGGTAAGAATCTTGAGATGAGATGATCCTGGATTAGAGTAAGGCTTTAAATCCAATGACTGGCATCCTTATAAGTGACAGAAAAGGACAAGGAACAGAGAGAAACAAAGGGGAAGGTCATGTAAAGCCAGAAGCAATGATTAGAGTGATGCGTATACGAGCCAAGGAAAGCTAAAGATTGCTGGCAGCCACCAGAAGCCAGGAGTGAAATACAGAACGGAATCTCCCTCAGAGCCTCCAGAAGACAGCAACACTGAAACCTTGATTTTGGATTTTTGGCCTCCAGAACAATGAGATAATATAATTCTTTTGTTTCAAACCACCAAGTTTATGGTACTTTGTTATGGCATCCCTAGGGAACAAATATGTACTGTGTACGTAGTGTCCATCAGTCAAGATGGTGTTCAGCTGTATCAGAGAACTGACTACTGGCTTAAATAAATAGAGACTCATTTTTCTCATGTAACAAGAAGTATGCAGATAGACAGTTCATGGCTGGTACAGCAGCTTGTACATATAATCTACACCCAGGTTTCTTATAGATTCATGCTTTATTATTAATATGTGTTGCTATCTTTCTTATATGATAAATGGATGCTGTACCTGAGGTATCTAGCTGCTTTTCTGACAGTAAAAAAAGAAGAACAAATATTATAGAAGAAAGCAGAAGACACATACCAGTGTTGACTGTCCTTTTATATAAAGTTTTTCCAGACGGCCACAGAGAAATTTTTTCTTTCATGTCATTGGCCAGAACTGACCTCTCCTAGTTGCAAGGGGGCAGGCATAAAATATGATCATATTCAGGAGATATTTTGAAAATCGAGCCACTGTGATTTCAGTATGATGGGTTAGATATTGAATCAGAAGAGATATAAAGGAGCCAAAATGAGCAAGCGGAAAAAGGTAGCTTTCCCCAATTGAGAGGAAATGTACAATTACAAACAAATTACACGGAAAGGTTGTTTTTAAGGAGGAACAGGAAAATGCCTCAGTGATGAGATAGTAAGTGATGATAAGATGCAGAGAAAGAGCTATAAGATGTGCTGGCAGAACTCAGGAAATATGGATAAAAACAAAACAATTATTAAAAATAAAAACCGTATTTGTAATGTAAACTATGGACTTTGGGTGATAATGATGTGTCAGTGTAGGTTCATCAATAGTAACAAATGCACCACTCTGGTGCAGGATGTTGATAGTAACAAATGCACCACTCTGGTGCAGGATGTTGATAGTCCGGTAGGCTATGCATGTGTGGGGTTATGGTGTATATGGGAAATCTTTGTACATTTCACTCCATTGTGCTGTGAACTTAAAACTGCTTTTTAAAATATATTTTTTTAGCCAAGTGTGGTGACTCACACCTGTAATCTTTGGAACCTTGGGAGGCTGACATGGTTGGATCGCTTGAGTCCAGGAGTTTGAAACCAGCCTGGGCAGCATGATGAAACCCCATCTCTACAAAAAATACAAAAAAATTAGCCAGGCGTGGTGGCACCTGTCTGTAGTCCCAGCTACTCTGGAGGCTGAGGTGGAAGGATCACCTGAGCCCAGGGAAGTTGAGGCTGCAGTGAGCTGTGATCATGCCACTGCATTCCAGCCTAGGTGACAGAGTAAGATGCCATCTCAAAAAACTAAATAAAATAAAATAAAGTAAATTGTTTTCTTAAAATCAAGTAAACAGAAAAACATGGAAAATAATAAAACAAACAACCCATGTACCCACAACCCAGTTTTATCAAATGTTGGCATATTTGTCATGATTTTTAAAAAAATCTTTTTAAAAATAAAGTATTTCAGATTGTTGAAAAAATACAGTGCCTTTGAAAGACAAAAAGTTGAAAAGACACTACTAAGATCAAAAGCATATAATGCAGAAATAGGTTTAAAATTATGCAATATGAATTGGAAAAGGACAAATAAATGAAAGTAAATAGGAAAAATAAGAGACAGCTATGGAAGAGGGACAAAAGAATGCAAATAAACTCCAGAAAAAAAAACAGGAAGCCTAACTAAGAAAAAAATATTCAATGACAAAATTTTAAAATACTTTCTGGAAATGAAGGTAGACATGAATCTGTGGATTGAAAGAGTACACCAAATTCAAGGAAAAAGTTGATTTAGCCTGGTAAATAGACAAATACTGGAGAAGTTGCTGAACTTCAATGAATACATTGAATCTTATGGGCATCCATAAAACAAAACCAGAATAAATCAGGTGGACTTCACACTTCTCCACAGCATTATTCACACTTAGAAAACAGTAGAGCAATGTGTTCAGATTTCAGTGGTGAAAAAATGAGCTGGTAATATTATAGTCAATCTAGCTGTTGTCCAGATATTAAAAAAAATCAGAAAGCTATTTTTAAAGTGTAATAATTGGGAGACTACTGCATCCACAAGCTCTTCTTGGGAAAAGAAGAAATCACCTGATGACAAAATCCAGCCAATCAAGAGATGAATCAAAGTAAAAGACCCAAAGAATGTCAGAGCTGGTGGCTAAGCTCAGTGGCTCACACCTGTAATCTCAGCGCTTTGGGAGGCCGGGGCGGGTGGATCACCTGAGGTCAGGAGTTCGAGACCAAACTGGCCACCATGGTGAAACCCTGTCTCTACCAAAATTAGAAAAATTAGCTGGGCATGGTGGAACACACCTGTAGTCCCAGCTTACTAGGGAGACTGAGGCAGGAGAATCGCTTGAACCCGGGAGGTGGAGGTTGCAATGAGCCGAGATCATGCCACTGAACTCCAGCCTGGGTGACAGAGCAAGACTCCATCTAAAATAATAATAATAATAATAATAATAGAATGTAGGAGCTGGTAAAATCCAATTACCACAAAAACAGTTTGATATACAGAGATTTAAATTAAAACAGTGATCAAAAACATATCAGGCAAGTGGAAGCAAAGTGAAAAATAAGGCACCAAAATTAATATCTGATAAGGTTGAATTTTTAAAAATACATTAAAATGGCAAAAAGAATCAATTTTCAATGATAAAAGATACAATTCAAGTAGAGACTTAACACATTTATGCATCAAATAACATATAATCAAAATACATACATTAAAAGCCAAAAGGAACTACCATGAGAAGTTGATAATGTGCTCAAAAGTGGGAAATTTGGACTTACTCTGCAGTAAGACACATCAAGTATACCACCAACTTCCCATCTACTACCATCATCGAAATCTAAGTAAGTATGTAATAAAGGATTTACCTCACATAATTAGGAGAATCAATTGAATAGATAAATATATATTGAACTCTGTTGCTATGGACTGAATGTTTGTGTCTCCTCCAAATTCATATGTTGAAATCTTAATCTCCAAAGTGATAGTATTTGGAGATGGGACCTTTGGAATTTAATGAGATCATGAAGGTGAAGCCCTCATGATGGATTAGTGCCTGTATAAGAAGAGAAAGAGAAAGCTTCCTTTTTTTTTTTCTCTGTTCCCTACAGGATGAGGATATAGCAAGAAGATGGTCATCTGCAAACCAGGAGGAGGATCCTCACCAGAACCCAACCCTGCTGGTACCTTGATCTTGAACTTCTCAGCCTCCATAACAGTGAGACATAAATTTCTGTTGTTTAAGCAATTCAGTTTATAATAATTTGTTGTAGCAGCCCCAACTAACTAAGTCATCTATACTCTGAAAACAGAATACGTCTTCTTTTTTATGTATCCATAAAGCAAAACAAATAAACAAACAAACAATAACTTTAATTCCAAGATATCATCCACAATAAGATACACTAATGAACCAACAGGAGATGCAGGGGAAAAAAAACCTAACAGTAGTCAACTTTCTTTTAATAGAGGGTGTGAAATATGTTACCATTTTAGAATGATTTAAATAAAACGTATTCATTAAATTTAAGATGCCATCAGATTGCAAGGCCTAACATTATCTTATGTTGCACTAAGAAAGTAAAAACGCTGCCAATTACAACTGTAAAATGTCATTAATTATAGATAAGGTGCCACATTTCAGAGACATTCATGTGTCTTACCAGAATCAATAAAATGGGCAGTAAAATAAGGTATGTATTAGAATTGATACCATAAGGCATAAACAAAGATAATGTTAATAAATTCCTAAAGGTAAAAATCATGCAGATTATATTTGCTGACCACAAAATAATGAAATCTAAGTTAAGAACAAACATAGAAACTAAAATAACTTAACTATATAGAACTTGTAAAACTATCTCTAAAACAATTCTTGGGCCAAAGATACTAAAGTCAGAAATAGAGTTTATCTAAAGAAAAATAATTAAAACAACTAAAGCAATAATCAAAGAAAAGGTCACACCCTTAAACACTTTTATGACTTAAACAGGAAAGATGAAAACAAATGAATTGAATAATCAACCTAAGAAGCTAAAAATAGAGCAGTGAAAACCAGCAAGGAAAGCTGAAGGAAAAAAAATCATAAGACAAATGAAAAACAAATTAGAAAAAATGGCAAGTTCATAAACAAATTCAAGAACAGTTGTGCTTTTTCAGAAGGAAAACGAAAAATCAGATAGACTAAACAAGAAAAAAGAAAGAATATGAGAACAAATACAAAAATCTACATATGAGATTAGGATTATCATCATAGAAACAGAGAAACTTGAAAGAGCTAGATGAAAATATTTGGCACATCTCTGTGGATGAAGTGGTTAATTTTCTAGGAAGATAAAAAGTATTAAAATTGTCCGGGCGCGCTGGCTCACGCCTGTAGTCCCAGCACTTTGGGAGGCAGAGGTGGGTGGATCACCTGAGGTCGGGAATTCGAGACCAGCCTGACCAACATGGATAAACCCCATCTCTACTAAAAATTCAAAATTAGCCAGGCGTGGTGGCACTTGCCTGTAATCCCAGCTACTCGGGAGACTGAGGCAGGAGAATTGCTTGAACCCGGGAGGCAAAGGTTGTGGTGAGTCGAGATCGCGCCATCGCACTCCAGCCTGGGTAACAAGAGCAAAACTCCATCTTGACTTAAGAAGAGATTTTAAAAAACTGAACGGACTAATAACCAAAGTTGTGTTATTAAGTGTTTTTTCAAGTAAATAGAAACGACTTCAGTATTTCAATAGGAAGGTTTTAACATGGGGAATTGATTATATAGGCTTTGGAGGGGTGAAAGAACACAAAGGAGAAATTGAGGTAATGCAGAGATACTTGTTGTAAAAAGCAGCTACCACCCCTACGCAGGGCTGGAGAAACAAGAAGGAAGAGGCTGGTATTACCAAAATCTAAGAGCTCAGAGAAGAGGCCCTGGGAAGTTGACGCTCAGATTTGTGAAGAAGGACCCTGCCCAGCTGCTGCTATTGTCTCTGTGCTCAGAACTGGGACTCAGACTTCTGAGGAAGGGCATTACCCTGTTACTGCTGCTAGGTCTTAGGGGATACCATGAGGCTGTTTCTTAGAGAACCAAAGAAGCTGCAGGTTGAAACCACCTGCTGCTGCTGGAGTGAACTGCTAGTGCTAACAGGAATAGCAGAAAACGTAAAGAAAGTCCATCTTCTCTCTGCTCACATTCCAATTTCTCTCTAGTTCCTCCTGTTACCAGGACTTAACCAGGGGCTGGCTGGCAAAGGAGTCTGGAAAATGCAGTTTGCAAAATTCCAGCCCCAACATTTTTTTACTCTTGGGAAGTTTAAGTTTTAATGTATTGGCAGATTCTATTATCTACGTGTATGTGTGTGAATGTATATATATTTAGGATTTTTACATCAATATTCATTACTGTAACTGGGCTATAGTGGTGTTTTAAGCATCTCTGTGAGGTTTATGTATCAGTGTCATATTGGTTTGAGAAACAGAATCCACCAATACATGGAAAAAATAATATTCAACAACCAAACAATGTTTAATCTAGAAATTTAAGAATGGTTTAATATTAGCTAGTCTATTAATAAAATTGGCCACACAAACTGGTCAAAAGGTAAAAACTGTAAAATCGTCTCAATAGCGGCTATCAAGTCATTTGACTAAAATCATTCCTGATTTTCAAACCTGTTATTATATTATAGAACATATCTGCTTATCAGCATCAAATTACACTTAATGCAGAAACACATCATTCATTCCTCCTACCAAAATTTACTAAGTGTCTAGTGTATCAGGCCTTATACTATAAATAGATGTTGGGTATATAGCAATTAATAAAACAGACAAGGTGCTTATCTTCGTATATTCTAGTTGGGGAAAGACAATAAACAAATAGGCAAATTAATAATCACTGACTATGGTAAATTCTATGCAGGCTATCAACAGGGTAATGGAGTATGGAGTCACGCCGATGGAGATTTGTCTTAGATAGTATGATTAGGGAAGACCCTTCTGAATTGAGACCTAAAGGACAAGAATGAGCTGCCCACAAACAAAACAAGAAGAGGATACCAGACAAAGGCAAGGGGGTTGAAGGTGACAGTTTTGAGATGGGTTTTGGGCTTGATGACTAACTGGATATGAAAAATGGAGAGAGAAGTGTCAAGGATGGCTTCCAAGTTTCTGGCATGAGGAACTGGCTGGATAGTGGTCCTATTTCATGAGAAAGGCAGTAGTGAAGGAGAGTAGGTTTGTCAGGGTGAAAGTATTGTTTTGGATGTGTTGACTCTGAATGTGCGGTGGGGGAGGGGGTTGGGGTGGTTGGTGGGTGGAGAAATAGAATAGATAGACCAGAGGCTAAGAAGAAGGATTTTGGCTAGAGACACATATTTTGAGTCAACCATATATGGATAGTACCTGACACCATGGATGGATGATATTGCCCAGAGCAAAAGTAAAAACTGAGAAGAGAACAGGGTCTAAGAGTTTTTAGAATCCTTAGGAGCTCCAACATTTAAAGATTGGGTACAGAAGGATAAATTCACAATGGAGACTGAGAAAGAGAAAAAGGAGGAAAACTAGAAGAGCATAGGGACATGGACGCTAAGGAAATGGCACATTTCAATGGAGATAAGGTTAATAGTGTCAAATGCTGGCAATGTCAAGTATGATGAGAATCGAAAGGTGGATTTGCAACATGAACAATGGCTAGTAACATCAGCAGGAGCAATTTCTATGGAGCAATGGCACTGGAAGCCAGAATGGGGTGGGTTAAAGAATGCACAGAAGGTGGACAGAGATTGTAGACAACTCTGGGAGAAGGCAGGCTATGAAGGCGAAGAGAGAGATGATGAAGCTGGCGAGGAGACCGGGGATATTTATTGTTGGTGGTGGATTTTTTATAATAAAAACCCTTTTTGGTCCTTTGAATGCTACGGGCACTAGAATTTAGGGCAGCACCTTTAAAATACTATGATTCAGATGCTATATCTGAACACCTAGGCAGTGTCTGTACTTGATGTCTAATAAATATCTCAAAATTAACATGCTTAAAAGTGAATTCTGGATCTTCTCACACAAACATGCTATGCTATCTGTCTTTCCCAGCTCAGTGTTAACTATCTTTTGGTTGCTTGGGTAAAAAACTTACTTCATTGAATCCGTTTTTTTCACATCTAAATAAAATGCCAGCAAAGTGTACTGGCTCAACTTTCGAAATATGCACAGAACACAACCACTTCTCACTGATGCTACCTTTGGCTAAGCCACTTCAATCTCTCCTGGATTATTGCAGTAGCCTCCAAACTACTCATCGATCTCCTATCCTTACTCCTCTAAAGTCCATTCTCAACTCAGATAATAACACAGGTCCCCTTTTAAAATGTAAAGGAAATCATGTCATGCTTTTGCTTGAAATATTTCAATGGTGCCATCTCCCCCAGTAAAACCCCAAGTCTTTAAAATAGCTTACAAGTTCCTATGTGATCTGACCTCATCACCTAACACTCTCCCCCTCACTCTGTTCTGGCCCCAGAGCATGCCTCTGCCTCAGGAGCTTTGCAGTGGCTATTCCCGCTGCCTGGCCTGCTCTTTCCCCAGATAATCTTCATGGCTCATGTTCTCTCCTCCAATTTATAAATTCTTTCTAAATGACTTGTTCTTCAAATGCCACTTTTATCAGCCTATATAGTCTGAGAGATTTAGGCTACAAGTGTTACAAATGTTCAGATTATGTATAATTAGAAATTTGTGGATTATTTAAGAATGTGTGCTGACATATAAAGTTTCCAAGAGGCTACAGTGAGGGCCTCATAAAGAAAGGGAAAGGAAGAAAGGAAGAAAGAAAGACAAAGGAAGCAAGGCAGGCAGGCAGGAAGGAAGGGAGGGAGAGAGGAAGAAAGAAAGAAAGAAAAGAAGAAAGGAAGGAAGGAAAGAAGGAAGGAAGGGAGGGAGGGAGGGAGGAAGGAAGGAAAGACAGACAAAGGAAGGAAGGCAGGCTGTACCTCATGTATCCCCAAGTGGAAAAGTGAAAGTAGAAAAGATTCAAGGTCCCAATCATGATTCCACACTACAAAAGATAGATGAGCTGCAAAAATATATAGATATTTATTTTCAATCACAGTTCTCATAAACAGCATCATGATGCATATTAATACAATATACATTAAAAACTTATCCCAGCCAGGCAACATATTAATATTTACTGCTTACCATGCACCTGATATTCTACAAGAAGCACACCTCATCTTCAATTTTTCCATAAACTCTGCAAGGTGAAGACACTGAGGCTTGCAGAGTACATGTCTTCTCTGAGCTCACAAGTTAGGAAGTGGAAGAGAGGTAATTTACATGGGGGTGAAGGGTATGGGGGATGGGTCTGACTCCAGACATTTTGCTTTTTTAATTACACTACGTGGGCTGCCACCCCATCCTCTCAAATAAGTAGAATGTCTGTTAGAGATGATTTACTTCTACCTAATTTTGATATTTTAACACAAATCTACTCAGATGTTTTATGGCCTTTATATGAATGCAGTCATAATTCTAGAATTAGTCACTTACTTTGGTGGGTCCGTTTATTAATTTTTTTGTTAATTTATTATATTGCCTTAGACAGTATCTTGTAGGTGAACTTGACCTCCTTGTACATCTTGCTTTTTTGAGTAGATTACAGAGCATTCCAAAATAATTAGGGGCTTGGGAGTGCATTATCTTCCCATTCCTCCCATTTCAACTTTTGGCCTTTTTGATGGGGAAAGAGAGGGGAGAAGCAAGGAAAACTGTTTCAGGAAGGTAGATTGAAGGTCATATTCTAGAAGGAAGGCAAATAAATACATCGTGCTTGAATAAATAAAAAATAGAATTTTGAATGAACGTGACATTAGATATTAAAAACCCAAGCCTTCTGTTTTTCTGTCATGGAGAAATTACACAAATGGTACACAGAAGTGTGAAGCACTTGAACCAATT
This sequence comes from Homo sapiens, assembly GCF_000001405.40. Lineage (NCBI taxonomy): Eukaryota > Metazoa > Chordata > Mammalia > Primates > Hominidae > Homo > Homo sapiens. The sequence continues at coordinate 38,794,918 of NC_000023.11, forward strand.
GTTTGAACACATTAAAATTATGGTCCCTACAGTAGGTAAAAAACAACATTTATAAAAGCAGCTGAACTGACCATTTTTAATGGCATCCAATTTGCTTCAACCTGGATATAACAGGCAAGAACAACATTTATAAAAGCAGCTGAACTGACCATTTTTAATGGCATCTAATTTGCTTCAACCTGGATATAACAAAGCTGAATGTGCTGTCTGAAACTAATTTAATTTTTTAATTTAATATTTCATAAACTCCCAAGAATCATCAATTTGGAATATTCTGGATTCTTCCTCCAATGATTTAGATAATCTCCTTCTAGTTGGGGAGACTAAATGAGAGTGATGTGTTTTAATACCTGGCTATGCTGCTCTTTTTCTCTTTTACTTATCAGACTTTCTTTTTCTGCTTCATATGATCTGCAGGAATAGACTTTTTGTTAAGTAAATCATGGTTGTTCTTTCTAAAACCCAAGATCTAATTACTATGTGAATCACCTCAGCATTCGTATTTACATTTACTAATAGTTTAGATCAAGATTGGAAAGATATTTGAGTCTCTTCTATAGAAACTAATGAGGTCATTTTGATAGACACCATGTAGCCTCAAATAAACATTTATGACAAATATTACTGACTGAACCCTATGCCACAAACAAGCACCTTATACTTCCGGCCAAGGTAATCACCCACTTTGCGCAAAATAAAATTATACAAGACACCCTGTGCCTTAGAGATGGAAAATATATGTTTCCTTGTTTAATATATTTTCTAGAAAGAAAATGATAGTTATAATAAAGTTCAAGGTGTCTATTAATGGCACACCCATAAATTTATTTCCAAATTTCTATTAATTGTGAAACCATTTAGGAAACAAGGAAATTAATCATGTGCCCCATTTGAATTTTGGACTGCCCAGGATTAATGCTGATCTAAAGTCCAATCTTTGCAGGCCAAATTGTTAAAGCTAATCTTTGTACAGTAGTGTGGTTAAAAGAATATACACTATAGATAAGCAAGTATACCTCTGACCAGACTTAGGGTATAGATGAGGGCACAGGGAGACTCCTACAACTCCACTAACATGATTTTTTCTACCTTTAGTAAAGAGCTACTACAGACTTCGTAGAAAGTAGAGTAGATATAAGTTTTCCAGATATTTTGAATCATCAGCTATAGATCATAATAACAAAGGTGAATAGCCATCTATATATGTGCTATGCAAATATACTTTTAGAAACAATATTTAGGGGGGTTACAGAAAAACATTGTTTTAATAGAATTTCCTCTCCAAGACTAAAGCTTGGAAGCTCCCAACACTGGATTTCTTAAACTGCAGTTGACAGGAGCAGAGAGCAAAAACAATGGTTTCTGCCCCAAGGGTCCAAAATTTGGAGAGCTTACTACTTTCCTATTCCCATTTAAGTTGGGTTCACAAACGTTTTTATGCAAAAATTACTGAGAGCATTTAATTCCAAACCAGGTCACTGCCTCAGACTGTTGACTCTCTCACCCCCTCTCTTCACACCCCCTAGAATTTTATGTGAATGGAATTTCAAAAAATTTATTTAAGTATAAGATATATGCAAAAAAGTTCAAACATAAGTGTCAGCTCAACAATTTTTCACAAGATGAGCACACCTGTGTAACTAGCGCCTTGCACCCAGATGAAGAAAAAGAACATTATCATACCTACTACTTTAAATGAAATGTTAAAATTAATTTTACTTGAAATTACACTGAAAGAAATACTGAACTTTAGAAAACAGACTCTTTGCTATGGAATGTATTAGTTCCTAAAAGATCTCTTTAAATTGAGAAAAAATATTTTGTAAAGTTTTAAGATGTTTGTGTCTTTAGTTTTTAAATGGCACAATTTGGTTTTAGGCATCATTGATTGACCTGCTGCAATGAAAGTTGGTTAGCTCTGCTATTTTTCATTCCCCCATCTTCCAGTTTTGTTGCTTGCATTATTTTTTCATCTTCAGGGTTTAAAATATTTACGTTATATTCTGCAACCAGTATCCACACTGTTTTACCTTACTTCTGCATTTAAATTGATTCAAACTCACTATGAATCTCTTCATCAGGGTTTCTCCATTCCTGGATTACTCATTTAAATTAATTTTTTTTGTTGTTGGCAGGCTTCTACCAGTAAGTTTCTCAAGAAAAATCCTGAGTTCATGTTTGAGAATGTCTGCTTATTGTTTTTTGCTTGAGTAATATAATACTTTTGAATCATACATTCTTTCTTCCAGCTCCACTGTCTCCTGTAGTGGAATGTTTTTGTAAAGCTGGTTGGATTCTCTCCTCCCCTGAGACCACCATCTTTTTGGTGACTTCTTTTCCTGCTTGGACACTTGAAGGCTTTTTTTCTTCTTCTTTGAAGTTGAAAAATACAACTAGCTTGTTTTTCAACTGTTCTGCATAATTTTATCTGGTATATAGTATGCTTATTAAATCTGCAGATGAATGCATCTTGTCAAGGAAAATTTTCTATGTTACAACTGAATTTCTTCTATTTCACATGTTGAGGTCTCTTTGGAAACATCAGTTAAGCTTATATTGTGTGTGTGTGTGTGTGTGTGTGTGTGTGTGTGTGTGTGTGTATGTGTGTGTGTGTTTTGAGACGGGGTCTCACTCTGTTGCCCAGGCTGGAGTGCAGTGGCATGATCTCGGCTCACTGCAACTTCCGCCCCCTGGGTTCAAGTGATTCTCCTGCCTCAGCCTCCCAAGTAGCTGGGATTACAGGCATGCACAACCATGCCCAGCTAAATTTTTTTGTATTTTTAGTAGAGATGGGGTTTCACTATGTTGGCCAGGCTGGTCTCAAACTCCTGACCTCAAGTGATCTACCCACCTCAGCCTCCCAAAGTGCTGGGATTACAGGTGTGAGCCACTGCGCCTGGCCTATATTATGTTGTCTTTGTCTTCTCTATCCAACATTTCCTCTCCATTTTCTTTCACTCTTTTGTGTCTTTTCATTGGGATTACCTGAACCTTTTGCCCTATGCCAGTAACTGAATTTTCTGGCATGCCTGTTTTGTTCCTTGTTTGGAATTACATTTATTGACTCTCTAGTGATGTGTTTGGTTCAAATTTTGTTTCTTTTGCTCTGCAATATCCTTTTTCAAATCTTCCTAATTGTTTATTATTTTTCTATTCTTATCAAGGTCTTCTATAGCTGGAAGGACTTGTAGGTTGTATTTGCTTCTAGATTTACATCTTTTGTGTACTAACTCTGTCCAGACTGTCTAATATGATGTAGGTGAATTCGCCTTGACTTCATTGTACCTTGTCTAGGTCTAGTTTTTTTATTATTAAGGTTGGAAGAGTAAATTATGGAAGACTTGGGCGTGTAACTGTTGAACCCGTCCATTGGATAATGTATTTATGACACTGTAGCTTCAACAAAATGAAGCTACAACCCATATGTATATGTATATATGTGGATTTGTAATTAGGACTTGAACATATGAAATATTGATAATTATGTGTTTTCTCCCTAATTTGGTGTTATAATTTGTAAACTTTGAATCTAATTTCAGAATTTAAACTAACCAAGCTGACACATTTTAACAGGATAGAGTGAAGAAAGAACATTCTCATTCTTCCTTCTATGCTGATGGTACAAGAAAGTCCTGGAATCCTAAGGATCTAGGAAAAATCAACTTGAGAAGTTTCTATGTGGTAAGAAAAGCTATGATGTGTCTTGCCCTTTTCTCATCTACCATATTGAAATTGAATGTACAGTTCTGTATACGGTTCAGAGTTCTTAAAGATGTAGAAATGATGAGAACATAACAAAAGGTATTCTTTAGTATTCTCAACTTTCCCTGTGCTCTACTTCTTCCAAACGCAAGGCTAAAGACGCTTTAAAAAATGAGATTGTGACAAAATGCTAACTACGACATATTCAGACATTCCAAAACCTGAAAGTGGATCTGAAGCCAGCAGATTCACTACTCACTGTTCTTAGGTTTTGGCATTTTTCTGTCTACCTTCTCTCAACTAAACCTTCATGACGGTTTTTCCTGTAAGGACAATTACAATAAGATACACTCCCTTCCCCATCTTAACTCAGATTATTATGATGCTATTTCTGCATTTTTGTATCATGTGATGGTGGTTTCTTTGTGGTATATGACAAAAATGCCCTTCTTCTTGACTCCACAGGAAGAAAACTGGCTATTAGCTTGGGACTTCAGCAAGGCACTTAGCAAGGTCTCTCATAATATCCTGTGGTCAAGAAGAAAAATATAGGCTGGATGACTGTACAATTAACATGATTCATAGCTGGCTGGAACAACTTATGCCAAAAAGTGCCAATTAATGGACGGATATCAAACTGAAGGAGCTCTCCAGATGTTCTACAGCAATTTGCCTCTTGCCCAGTGGTGCCTGGTACCTATTATCAATAACTTGGATAAATATATAGAATAGTTATCAAATATATGGGTAAGATCCAAGTGCATTACAGCACAGAATCAGGACCCAAAATAATAAAACAGGCTGAACTAATGGGCCAAATCCAATGAGATAAAGTTTAAGTAGGATAATATAAAGTTCTGTACTTTGGTCCAAAAAATCCCCACTACTCAAGTATAGGGTACACAAAATTTTGTTATATAGATGGCAGCATATAGATGTAGCTGTTAAAATAAGTCCATTAAATGTTAGGCAGCATTATAAGCAGTAGCTATCTATTGAGTAGTAGAAAGAACATTGGATTTGGCATTAGAAAACTGGGTCAAATCCCAGTTCTGACAGTTTGGCCCTTAAACTCTTTGATCCTTGCTTTCTTCTCAGGGTGGTTGTGAAGTTAAAATGAGTTAACATGTCTTTTGAGTTAACAAGTCTAATTTCCAAGCACTTGTGCTCAATAAATATGACCTAGAAAAATTACCATTCACAATAATATAAGTGGCTGTGCCACTCCATTTTGTCCTAGAAAAGATGGTACTTGGAATGAGAGGGGCCACACTCAAAAGCAAACCAGAGCTACTTCTAAAGTTAGTGACTAGGATGGATGAGCGACTCAAAAGAGAACATGAAGAATGGCTACAGGAACTGGGGATAACTGACTTGAAGAACAGTAGACTTAAGGAGACCATATCTACCTTCAAACATCTGATGGTGTGCTTCATGGCCTTCTGTAGAGCTCCAAAAGATAGAAGAACACTGGAGAACGGAAAATAGAAGAATGTAGGCAAGGGCGACCACTTGGTGGGGATGTTGTGAGCGATTTCAGCACAAGTGGATGGTTGGACTACATGGCCTTTAACACGAGAGTCTGACTGTCATATTTCTAGGACATTTTTCATGAAATGGATCCTTCTAAGTCTGTCTCAAAATAATCCAGGATCTCTGCTATCTTGGGTTGGGCTGGCTTCTTGCCTTAAAATATCATCTTTCTTCCAGTTCTAGGCCAGATCTCTTCTTTATCCAGTCTGACTTTCTTGCACCAGTTTACTCTTGCTGACTACTTTGTTCAGGAATTTCTGGTCACTTTTAAAATGTCATTCCCCCCCCCCAAAAAAAAACTATCCAAGGGACACAGTACAAGGATAATTTGTGGACATTTTTGGGGAGATGAGCCAGCAAAGCATGCTTTCCAGGTTGCTTAATTAAAAGAGTGGGAATTAAGAACCAGAATTTAAGAGTTCCGGCAGGGCGCTGGTGGCTTACGCCTGTAATCCCAGCACTTTGGGAGGCCGAGGCGGGCGGATCAAGAGGTCAAGAGATCGAGACCATCCTGGCCAACATGGTGAAACCCCGTCTCTACTAAAAATATAAAAATTAGCTGGGCGTGGTGGTGCGCGCCTGTAGTCCAAGCTACTGGAGAGGCTGAGGCAGGAGAATCACTTGAACCCGGGAGGCAGAGGTTGAAGTGAGCCGAGATTGCTCCACTGCACTCCAGCCTGGCGACAGTGCGAGACTCCGTCTCAAAAAAAAACAAAACAAAAAAAAAGAGATCCAGAATTCCAGAATTGCAACTGTGAACCAAGAAGTGGGGATGGGTACCTCAGACAAGGCTTTTACCGGAAATTTAGCATATAGGATAGAAAGCAGAGACCAAAGACCTCTTGCTTTGAGGCTGTTGGCGTGCTACAAGGACTCGAAAGTTATTTGTTCAACGGATGACTTCTGTTTTCTGGAGGCAAACTGAATTCCGGGCAGGTGGCTCAGCACCTCCAGCCTGTTCCAGATCGGGACAGGGAAGGTGCCTGGGGCAATCAGTGAGGTTTCCAACCTTCCTTAGGCCTGGGCCAGCCCGCTCCCCTCCCATGTGACCCCAGGCAACCATTTTAATTTTTTTACAGCCAAGCGTAGTGGAGAACTGGCTGCGCGCCGGTTGCCAGGGACGCGGCAGCCAGCTTGGCGGGGCTGGGGTGAAAGAGGACGCTGCGTGGGGGAGGGCTCCGCGGCTTCTGACTGGCTGGAGCATCAGGATTCATTTGCATAATATTTTCTGACGGCTTCTGATTGGCTGAAGCCAGAGGGGCGGTGGTGGGGTGATTCCAAGGGCCCAGAGCTCTGGCCGGCGGACCTTTTCCTTCTGGAGTTTCCCCGGCGGGTGTGAGTTGTTGCGGGGTCTGGGGGAGCTGGGAGGCCCGGTTTGGGAAGTTTTGCAGGCAGGTGCATGAGCCATCTTTCTCTGAAAGTGTTTAAGAAATGTTCAAGAACAGCGGCCAGAGTCAAGAAACTGGGGGATGAAGGGTTATCTCGAGACTAGACGGAAGGAAACGTATCAGGGGAGGGGTGGAGGCCAGAAGGAAGGAGTTAGGTAGGGGCCCTCTCCCAAGCTGGCGTTTTTGCTGGGTGGAATCCTTTTGCTAGATCCCTTGGATTTCCGTTTTCCGTGTGTTATCACACTGTTGGAACTGGGAAGAAGAGAAAAAGAGGCAAGATTTTGGCATTTAGTAAGTTAAGTCTGAATACCGAGTTTTCATCCGGGTGCATACGTACTTAAAATACCAAATGGGTCCAGGAAGGGGGACAAAGTACGCTTTAATTTATGAGAAGATCAGCTACTAGAAACTGTATATCTGTTTTTCTCGAGTTTTCTTCTTGCAGTGCTCTTTCAATCTCATTGGACATATTTTATATTATTTTCCTGCTTAAGCACTGGGGGTTGGGTGGAAGGATCTGTGGCTCATCATAGGCAATTTCCACACTTTTAAGGTTTCTGACTCTTCACATAAACACCTCTCACTATGATGAGGTCCTGTATCAAGTACAATTAATCTTTGTACTTTACAATTTACATAGTGATTTTTATTTACATTATCATATTTAAACTTAATCAAAGTCCTTGGCACGGCCCATGGAACAAGCTCCATTTTTTTGATAAAGAAACTGAGGCTAGAAAAGTTTCTATGTGTGCAGAGAAGGAAGGTGAAATTATTTTAATGCTTCAAAGTTATATAATGCTTCCTGCCTCCCTGTATTTTTCTTTCCATTGATCTTCCTTCAAAACCCTGATAGGTCTATCCCAGTTTTGCAAGTAAGAAAACATGGGCTGTGATGTAGAGCTAATACGTTTTGGGGTAGTGGGTCCTCAGACTTAGGTCTGTCTCCAAGGGTCACTGACTTTGTTTTGTTTTGTTTGTTTTTTGTCAACAGATTAGTCCTTGTGGCACCAAGTCAGAATTTCATTCAAAAGACAATTAGGAAGATGGTTTTCTATGGAAAATATTTAAGTGTAGGTCTTAATGTGAAAGAAAGAGGGAGAGAAAGAAACCCCTTTATTATGTTCTCCCTTCCTTAGGCATTTTTTGTCCCGTGGGAAAAAACTGTACTAGGGACAGAGACCTCTGTTAAGTTTTAGAGAAAAGGGATCTTTTTTTTTTTTATTTGAGACAGAGTCTTGCTCTGTCGCCCAGGCTGGAGTGCAGTGGCACGATCTCGGCTCACTGCAACTCCGCCTCCTGGGTTCAAGCAATTCTCCTGCTTCATCCTCCCGAGTAGCTGGGATTACAGGCGCTGGCCACCACGCCCGGCTAATTTTTGTATTTTTAGTAGAGACCGGGTTTCACCATGTTGGCCAGGCTAGTCTGGAACCCCTGACTTTGTGATCCGCCCGCCTCGGCCTCCCAAAGTGCTGGGATTACAGGCGTGAGCCACCGTTTCAGGCCGAGAAAAGGGATTTAAAATGAGAAGCTTGAATCTTATTGAACATAATTGTAGGACTGCCAGAGAGGACTGGTGGATGAGGAATATGGCAAGGGACATGAGATGGGAAAAATTAAATAGGCTGTGGTTTGGAAGTCTCAAAGTGAAATTCAAGGTGCAAGGCTCTTAAAAGTTAAATCCAGCGATTCGGTACATAGCTTAGGCCCTATTAAATGACCCAGTGCTTTAAGAACTATCTTTTGAAAGGAACACTTCACACAAGCACCCTCAAAAATAATTAGACACCTCCCCATTTCTCTGTTAAATGGTGAAAGACACCCAAGACTAGACCTAACTACTGTCACCCTCTCCTGGCCTCTTGGCAGCCAAAAGGCCACATGGCCCAGGCTCTCCAGCATCACTGTGTAGCCGACTTGGACAAAAATGGACTTCTCCCCATTGCCACTTGCAGATCTCTTCAAAGAATCAGCAGATCTGATAGTGTGCCCCTCTTCATCCCCGGCAACCACTGTTAAAGGAAAGATTGGGAAAGATCCCACCCCGCCAGGAGGGAGGCAAAAGCCTCTGACGCTCCCCTCCCCCCATAGCTGACCAAGGCCAGGGCCACTGCGGGAGCACCGCGCGTCCACGTGCACCCAGCATGCCCGGTCACCCTTTATTACGTAAGAGTCCCAGGATGGAGTTGTACCTGCTGCCGGCCCCTCTTCCCCGACGGCTAATAATAAACCCGGGTTCCTGTTTCCCGGCCGCGGCCACTCCAGATTCGGGGCTGAGGGGCTCACTCTGCAACCAAGGCACGTGCATTCTGGTCATCCCACGCGGGGAGCGCGCGCAAGGCCCGCCCAGCCCCCACATGCCAGCCCCACCCTCCAGTCGGTCCGGACGCCGACGCCTTTTTGACCCTCGCTGTGCCCGGCCCTCCTCATCTGGCCTGCCCAGGGCTTGGTGCTGGCGGGGTCCAGCTGCTCCAATCCCTCCTCCTCTGCTCTGCCCTGCCCTGCCCTGGCCTGCCCCGGCGCCCTCCCTCAGCCCGGGTATCAGGCGAGAGGCGGAGCTGGCCCGGCGCGCCCCGCCCCCGCTGTAGAAAGGGCCGGGCGAGTGTTACTCGCGGTCATCCCGGCCTGGGCCTTTTATCTCGGTGCTGCCGGGGGAGGCGGGAGGAGGAGACACCAGGGGTGGCCCTGAGCGCCGGCGACACCTTTCCTGGACTATAAATTGAGCACCTGGGATGGGTAGGGGGCCAACGCAGTCACCGCCGTCCGCAGTCACAGTCCAGCCACTGACCGCAGCAGCGCCCTTGCGTAGCAGCCGCTTGCAGCGAGAACACTGAATTGCCAACGAGCAGGAGAGTCTCAAGGCGCAAGAGGAGGTGGGTGCCCACGCCCCATCGCTGCCCCGGCCAGCTTGGTTGCTTGAGCTCAGGCTTTTCGGAGGGAGAAGTTGTGGTGGTGGGGGGACACCCTTCTCCCCGCGGCCGTAGGTGGGCGAGGAGGTGGGACTGCCCAGCCGCGGGGAGCCACCCAGGCGCCGTCCCGGACGAGCTGTAGCCAGAGAAGGGGGTGCGCGCGGGCAAGGGCGCCAGGCCCCCTAGCAGGGTGAATAATCTAATCTGTTCTTTCGTCTCCGTGTATCAAACAGGCCAGGGCTCGACCCACAGAGCACCCTCAGCCATCGCGAGTTTCCGGGCGCCAAAGCCAGGAGAAGCCGCCCATCCCGCAGGGCCGGTCTGCCAGCGAGACGAGAGTTGGCGAGGGCGGAGGAGTGCCGGGAATCCCGCCACACCGGCTATAGCCAGGCCCCCAGCGCGGGCCTTGGAGAGCGCGTGAAGGCGGGCATCCCCTTGACCCGGCCGACCATCCCCGTGCCCCTGCGTCCCTGCGCTCCAACGTCCGCGCGGCCACCATGATGCAAATCTGCGACACCTACAACCAGAAGCACTCGCTCTTTAACGCCATGAATCGCTTCATTGGCGCCGTGAACAACATGGACCAGACGGTGATGGTGCCCAGCTTGCTGCGCGACGTGCCCCTGGCTGACCCCGGGTTAGACAACGATGTTGGCGTGGAGGTAGGCGGCAGTGGCGGCTGCCTGGAGGAGCGCACGCCCCCAGTCCCCGACTCGGGAAGCGCCAATGGCAGCTTTTTCGCGCCCTCTCGGGACATGTACAGCCACTACGTGCTTCTCAAGTCCATCCGCAACGACATCGAGTGGGGGGTCCTGCACCAGCCGCCTCCACCGGCTGGGAGCGAGGAGGGCAGTGCCTGGAAGTCCAAGGACATCCTGGTGGACCTGGGCCACTTGGAGGGTGCGGACGCCGGCGAAGAAGACCTGGAACAGCAGTTCCACTACCACCTGCGCGGGCTGCACACTGTGCTCTCGAAACTCACGCGCAAAGCCAACATCCTCACTAACAGATACAAGCAGGAGATCGGCTTCGGCAATTGGGGCCACTGAGGCGTGGCGCCCGTGGCTGCCCAGCACCTTCTTCGACCCATCTCACCCTCTCTCATTCCTCAAAGCTTTTTTTTTTTTTCCTGGCTGGGGGGCGGGAAGGGCAGACTGCAAACTGGGGGGCTGCGTACGTGCAGGAGGCGCGGTGGGGCTGCGTGGAGGAGGGGGCCACGTGTGAGAGAGAAGAAAATGGTGGCCGGAGATGGGAGGGCCCAAGGAACCTCCTGGGAGGGGGCCTGCATTCTATGTTGGTGGGAATGGGACTGGGCTGACGCCCTGCATTCAGCCTGTGCCTTTCCTGGGGTTTCTTTTCTGTTCTTTTCGGAGGAGAGGGCCCGAGAAGGGGCCATACCAGGGCGCGGCGCTGGGTTGCCACACTTGGGAAAGCAGCCCGGAGCTGGGTGCTGGGGAAGGCGGGGCGCGTAGCCTCCCGCCGCCCTGCGGTTGGGCCGGTGGAGGCCCAGGCGTTGCTAGGATTGCATCAGTTTTCCTGTTTGCACTATTTCTTTTTGTAACATTGGCCCTGTGTGAAGTATTTCGAATCTCCTCCTTGCTCTGAAACTTCAGCGATTCCATTGTGATAAGCGCACAAACAGCACTGTCTGTCGGTAATCGGTACTACTTTATTAATGATTTTCTGTTACACTGTATAGTAGTCCTATGGCACCCCCACCCCATCCCTTTCGTGCCACTCCCGTCCCCACCCCCACCCCAGTGTGTATAAGCTGGCATTTCGCCAGCTTGTACGTAGCTTGCCACTCAGTGAAAATAATAACATTATTATGAGAAAGTGGACTTAACCGAAATGGAACCAACTGACATTCTATCGTGTTGTACATAGAATGATGAAGGGTTCCACTGTTGTTGTATGTCTTAAATTTATTTAAAACTTTTTTTAATCCAGATGTAGACTATATTCTAAAAAATAAAAAAGCAAATGTGTCAACTAAATTGGACAAGCGTCTGGTCCTCATTAATCTGCCAATGAATGGTTTCGTCATTAAATAAAAATCAATTTAATTGATTTACTAGCAAAAGTAAATTTTGTGTTCTCTCTGGTATTTCATGGTGGTGGATATTCATCTGTGCAAGTATTTAGCTTTGTTTGGGAACTAGGTACTGACAAAATTTACTTCCAAACTTTATTTCTAATTCAGTACCAAGATAAGACCATACATCTCAACAAAAAGTTCAGAAATATTTAAAATATTTGGGAAGGTACATATATTGTATCTTTCAACCAATTTGGCTAACTTATTGGAGTGCGTAATTAACATTTTGAATTTTTTAAGAAGCTCAAGCACAAGCTAAAGTGTTTTGAGGCATAAAAACAAGGCTGAAATTTCACTTGGTTACTGAGAAGTGAAAATTAGAAGGGAAGACCAGCTAATCCTAGTGCACACACCTTACAGGTTTTTATGTTTATCTGAGTAGACATTTAAATGCATTACAACATGATCGATGACTTCTTTCACTAGTTCCAAAAAGGGCTAAGCTTTGTTGAGCGGCGTCCAGTAATGCTTCCAGTTTTTCAGTGAGCCAGTCTGCAATTGTGGACAGCAGTTCTGATCAAGGCTGCTGTGGAGCCCTTGGGAATGCTTAGGTGCCATTATGATGCTCTGCTGGGATGGTGGGAAAGGTAAAAGAATGTGCTCTGCATATTCTTTATTTCATTATTTGTTTTGGGGTATAAATGTCAGATCAACTTGTTGAAGTCATGAGGCATTCTCTAAGCTCGTAGGGCTTGAATTTAAAATACATATAAGTTAGCGGTCTTAAAAAACAAGCAAAATGTTTTGTGGTGCTGGCGGGCAGGGGCAGTTCAAGTCTATCAGCTTTTAGCAGCAGTGAAAAAAAATGTGGAAGTGTCAAGATGGGTGCTTGCCAGTTGCCAGAGAAAGTTAATCTTTAATTTGTATAAAGATAAGCTAGGCAGCACCAAAAGTAAGGCATACAGCCTCTTGTCTCGTGTCCCCTTTAAAATATCAAAGTGCAAGCAAAAAATAAAGGAAACTGAAAAAAAGAAAAAAGCTGCATGGTAGAAACACAAAGACTTTCAAAGACTTTGGAGCCAGAAACTGTGCAAATCCTCTTGCTACTAATTGTGTGCATTTAACTTCATGCCTGTTGCCACATTAGTAATCAGGCATAAAAATAACTACACTGCTTCATGGAGTTGCAGTGAGAATTAAATGAGATTATATATAAAGTGTTTGAGGCTTAAAATTTTCTTTAGGCACTGCTGAAATGCTTTACAAGTTTCTCTCTTTTTTGATGTTTACAGTGATTACATTTATCTAAGCAACTTTCATACATGTTCAGTTTTAACATATTGACTACTCTGACAAATATGCTTAAAAAAAGCAATAACATTATAGAGTTAATGCAGAGTCCTAAGGATAGTCTAGTAGCCACTAAGTTTTTTCTTAAGTCTTCACTTTAGATGCTGTTATTTCTAGCACAAGCAAGCAGAGTCTTTCATATGCTTACACCCTGGAGTCTTTGGTTGCTACCATTATCAGCTGGCTTGCAAACCAGAAGCCAACCATTTTAGGAATGCTTTAAGTGAACAACATGCAAACCCCAGGGATGGAAAAAACCCTAAGAATGCCCAATTATGAGCATTTACAACCATCACAACTGTGGCTGAAGACTATGCCCTTCTGAAATGAGATCTTAAAGCAGTATAGTTTGAAACAAAAGGTTTTAGCAAAAAAATGACATATGCACAATTTCTCCACCACTTTGTGTGAGTCAACCATTTAGTTAACTTTTCCACTTGAAAAAATGCAATAGAAAACCGGACACCATGTTTCACTATCTCAGTTAATATTCACAATTACAGTGGCTACAACTCGGAAACGGCATCACCAATGCTGCCCAGAGTCACTTTATATTGAAATTAAGTTCTTTACACCAATTAAATGGTTGTTTACAACCACTGGCTAGTGTACACAGGAAATAAAATTTCTAGATTGGGGGGGGAAACAAATGCTGCTCCAATCATCTCCTCTGCTGCTTCTGTTCCTCAATTCATGCTTAAAAACCTTTCATGTTACTCTTGGTTTTGTCCGTTTGCTTGCCTGTGGGGGTTTGGGCCTGCTGACCTGCACATTTCTCTCTTAAACTAAATGTTGTTTCGTGTCTCCATTTCTGCCCCCACCCTACATTCTTCGTGAATATATGAGGCTTAGGACAATATGTCCATTTTAAGGAAAAGCATAATTTTAATTACATACGTGAAGCAACAAGTAAATTATTTCCTTTCTCAAAGCCATGAAGGAGAACTTGACTTAAAACCAAAAATAAATAAATAAATAAAAATTAAAAAATCACAGTTTGGGCAAGTGATAGCAAGAACTTTGGGGACATTCACTGAAAGTTGTTTTTGGAATATTATTGCAGTATATATAATACAGAAAAGTACATGTAGATAGAAAAACTAAACTCTAAAGAGTTATCAATTATTAACTTTATTTTTGAAAATATTTCTTCATGTAAGAGACTTTTTATATATAAACAGTGATTCTGACCTAGGAGTAATGATGCTCGCTGTTAAAAGAGCATTGGGATATTTATGAACCAATAAGGTTTCCGGGCCCAGTAAGTACTATTCCACTAGTGGTAACTACTATTTTATTCCAGATCAGTTTGTGAAACAAAATTAGGACAAATTCCCAAAAGATTTACCAGTTAAAACTTCGCAAGCTATTGAAAATTTTGCTTAACCTCTGAGGTAAACAATAAGTGACTTCATATTTTCAGAAGGTCTTTCCTGAGGAATCTCAAAGTCACTTATAGATTTTACGAGTTGAATAAAGTTGAATTTTAAGAATCGAATACAATGTGTGGCATACCCCTCAGAGAGCTCTCAGAGATACTGTTGCTCTCTGACAGTGCCCATCTCCATGGCAGTTTATGACTAAAGGGAAGGCACAGATAGATGAACTGGGCAAAAAGGAACAGCTTAGATTGCAATTGATTACCCTCCAGATATTTACATTTGATAAGAATGTAAGAATTTTTTACATCAAAATCTTGTACCAAAGCTTCTGAGAAGGCCTGGTTTTGCCCCTAAACACAGCTTTCTGCTTTGTTCACATGGGGAATTTCATGTTTTACATTTATACAATGTTTCTTAGTGGTCTGGCCTAATTTACTCTTTCTGTGAACCTGAAAACAGTTTGTTAGAGAGCATGCCATAATTACTCTTTTGACCAACTTGAAAACTAGCCTGCTGTTGACAATTTTTTTAATTTTTAAATGAAGGTTATTGGCATTTGCATATGCCTCATCATTTCCCCTTATTTTTAGTTACTGAGCAAAAATCATTTGAAAAATAGTGCCTCTCCTCTCTCCCTTTCTCTCTCTTTCTCTCTCTTTGTCTCTCTCCCTCCCCCGGTCCCTTCCTCCCTCTGTTCTGCATTGCCAATGGTTCTCAGATGTTTGCAAATTGGACACAGTTCTGGTGGATTCAGAGCTCAAATCTCAAACAATGTACCTTTTTCCCCAAAGCTATTTATCTTTTGATGGTACATCTAGTACATTTTTACCAATCATTGCATCTTTCTTTGATTTATTTTGAAGAGTTTTGGATACAATAATGACAGAAGGAATGTTTTCTTTTAAAGTTTTGGAGATAATGTTTTGCTCCCAACTAATAAAAAAACTTGATTGCAAGTTTTTGAAAACTCTAAAGATGTAGCATATTGGATTTGTTTCTTAAAATTAATTACTAGTCTTTTTAAAGTTGATAAGTTTATGTAGCTTCTAATCAAGGCTAAATTGCTTAATTACTAAAATAATTTAAACTTAAAATTATTTATTTTTTCTTTTAAGGCCAGGCATAGTCTTTTTTTTTTTTTTTTAATAACTCAAGGAAATGTAAAGATTGTTCTTGAGTCACTTCAAACACTTTCACTAGGCCTCTAGCTAGTTTACTTGGAGCTGTGTAGTACTTTCTGATAGGTGGTGGACATGATGGTAATGTATTACCAACAACTGTTTTTGTCTCTGAAAACTAGTATTATCTTTTGACTCATGCAAATCTCATGCCCAGGACTCTCCACTATACAAGACCCCAACTCTGACTGTCGTAAGGCCTTGCCACTCTCCATGGGGCAGAAAATCCTCAGAGCCAAAGGAATGTCCAGAACTGTGTCCCGACTTCTAGACCACACTCTGGGCACTTGGATACCCAGAGTTCCCTGTCCAAATGGCTCTGATCCCATTCCAGGGATTTCATAGGCATCTGTCCTGGGTGTATTCTCCAGTGGTAGATGAGCTGCTGACGTGTGCACCCCTAGGCCTGGGGCTTGGTGGGGAGCTGTGGATGGAGCTTGGACATGCAGACTGGGCTGTCCATATTTGTGCATACAAGGCCTTTTGTGGTGCAGAATGGATCTTTTGGTAGGAAGATAAGGAGATGGAGCAGAGGCTGGAGATTCCTGTTTTGTTCTCTTGCCCTATCTCCCTGAGTTTCAGGACAAACAAAGGGGTTGAAGACTGCAGAAAGGAAACAAGAGCAGCTCAAGCTTTAAGGTCTTTTTTGGTTTCAACAAATGAGGATTCCATGCTTTTTCTCCCTATTGCCCACATACCTCAGGAGTCACCTTGCTCCACTGAAGAATCATATTTAATTAATAAAATGTTGATTGAGGAAAATAAAACCCACATCTGTATACAGAACTCTTCCAGCTGCTATTCAGTGCTTGAATAGTGGTGATTGCAGCAAAGGTAGTTATTCTGGACTCAGATACATCTTCCCTACAACCACGAGGATTTCACCTCCCCAAATAGTCTTTCATCTTTTTTCTTTTTTTCTTGATTGAGTTAGCTGTTTTCTTTTTGTGTTAAAAGTCTTGGTCAAGTTAAAGCAGAAAACGGAGAGTTGTGCATCTGTCTAAAGAAATCCCCTAAAACCACGACTATCTTATCAATCCTTCCTGTTTTGGCATTCTGTACTTTAAAGAGAAACATTTTTTTTTGTAACTTCCACTGCTTTTTGTTATATTTTATTACTTCTTTGTCTATTCTTCCAGAATGCTTTGCCTAGCAGTTTTCAAAACATATCTGCCAAGGTGCCCAATTTGAATAATCCCAAACTGGTAAGAATTTGGATTGTAGAATATCCTAATCACCTAGTTAAGAACAGGATTGCACATGAGAACTTTCTGACCTTGGACTGTCTAGAGAACACTTTCTCCACCATGGTTACATGCACGGTAGATAATAAGACTAGGAAATCACTAGCAAAACATAGAAACCAGTTCTTTATTTTACCTAGCACAATAAACAATGTTGGAGGTGGGGCATTTTCTAAAATCTATTTTACTTTTCAATATCAATATTACTGGTGTTGATATGTGCACTTTTATCAATGAGCATTCAGTTGAAACTGGACATGATTCATTTGATGTTGTCAAAAATAGAAACTAACTTTGTGGGGTTGTTTTTTTTTTTCCTCCTTTTGAATACCACACTGCTGAGGTAAAGAATGTCATAGCTTGTGGGCGAGCTCAGTAGGGCCAATTAAAACCTGGCTACTCTTCCACCATTTTGAAATACCTGACAGAACTTGCTGGGGCCTTGTTTCTCCCTTCTTAGATACCTAATTGAGGAGATTTCCTGTTTGGTAGTCAAGGAAAGATGAAAACGAAAGTACCACATTGCTGGTTCTGACCAAGGTATTTAAAATTGTCCAGTTGTTCACAATGCAATATTAATTTTAACCCTGCTTTAAAAAATGAAATGTAGACATTGTGAAAGAATACATACATGTTCTATAGTAGCCAAAGTATGTGTAGAATGCAAGGAGCGTGGTTAGTGTAGATTAGTCATTCAAAAGAAGGTGTAGTATTTTATAACATCTAATTGACATTGCAGCTTATAACTCACAGATGCTTTGAGGATATAATTTTGTTTCTGTTGTGATAAGTGCTTGTTGATAATTTCTTCATAGCTTAAATGTTTTTAGGGAAGTGCCAATTTAGATGGTTAAGTCTTGTGTTGGGGTCTGGGAGGAATCTCAAGAACCAGCAGCCCTTTTCTTCTAGTGGGTTTGGGAGCAGAAGAAAATGCCTGCTCCCTGCAGCCATATTGGCTCCATGTGGAAAAAAGGAGGCACCAAGACAAGCCTGTCTAATATAGTCTTTCCAAATTTTCCAGATGTGGTTCTTCACTCCCCCATCCTGGGTCAGTGTGAGTAACAGGAGTGATGGAGAAAGGCAAAATATGTTTCAGGACATTCCTGGCCATTGGAAACCTGAAGAGTGGGGAGAAATTGTTCTCTTCTGATAGCCAGCTGTGATACCTTTTTCTCTGACTCGAAAGGCAACAAATATTAAGTAGAAGCATATGAAATTGCCATTTTTGTTGATCAACCAACATGGTCATTTTGTTGGTCAACCAAAATGGTTGAATGCTCCCTGATTTCAGCAGTTAGATACCCCTCTTGTGGGTGTGCTATAGTATTTTCCCATCATTTTATGAAACTATTTTTCACTAACTCAGAGTTGGCCTGATGTTGAGGTAGAAGGGGTAGGGGACAAAAGGAGATAGGGGGTGGGGCAGGGAGGATATTATATAAAGGAGACAAATAGAATGGAAGAAAGAGGAGGATATACAGATAAAGCGAGGGAATGAAAAAGTGGCAGAGAGTCTGTGGCAAATTGTATTTTCTAAAACTGGATGCAAAGTTATTTCCAACCCTACATGTACTTCTACAACCTTGCCACCTTCCTTCAAGAGGTAGAATCTCTGTCTCCACCAATCAAATTTAGGTGGGGCTTTGTGGGCTGTCTTGACAAAATGAATGTGGCTGTCACTTCCAAGGCCAGGCTATAAAAGGTGGTATATCATCCTCTTGTATGAGATGTGTGACTCAATATTGAGATGCTGGCTCTTGGAACCCAGCTACCATGCTGGAGGAAGCCCAGGCCACATAGAGAGGCCACCTGTAGGTATTCCAGCAGACTGCACCACTGAGGTCCTAGCCAACAGGCACCATCAACTGCTAAACATGTGAGGATGCCTTCAAATGATTCTAGCCCCCAGCTTTCAAGCCACCCCAGTTGATGCCAAGTAGAACAGAGACAAGCTGTCCCCGTTGAGCCCTGCCCAAATTTCAGACTTATGTGCAAAATATTTTTATTCTTTAAACCACTGAGTGGTTTGTTACACAGCAATGGATAACTGGAACAGAGACATTTTTTTCCAGATTTCAGGAGAGTGTAGAACTAAATGGAAACAATTGAAAGTAGAATGTAATCTATGGAGCAGGATCTGTTCTATCTCATTTACCTGAGTAGCCACTTATAATAAACCTGGAAGCTTTGGAAACATTTATCTAATGGCTGGCATTGAGAACAGAAGGATTTGAAGTGATGGATGATGAGAGAGGTGCTCAAAGTAACATTTTACAATGCTGTGAAAACTCAGCATGGTAGGCAGAATAATGGCCCACCACAGATGTCCATATTCCATTCACTGGAACCTGTGAGTATGTTACCTTGCGTGGCAAGGGATAATTAAGGTTGCAGATGTGATTAAGGTTGTTAATCGCCTGACCTTCTGATAGGGAGATCATCCTGGATTATGGCCTTGTATGGGTCCTTGATGGACCCAATGTAATCACAAAGTCCTTTAAAAGATGGAAGTAGGAGGCAGAAGAGTCAAAATCAGAAGGATGTAGCATGAGAATGACTCCATTTGCCATTTCTGGCTGTGAAGATGGAAGAAGGGGCCATGAGCCAAGAAATGTAGGCAGCCTCTAGAAGCTGGAAAAGGCAAGAAAACATTCTCCTCAAAGCCTTGAGAAGGCGTGCAGCCTTGCCAACACCTTGATTTTAGCCCAGTGAGACCCATTCTAGACTTCTGACTTCCAGAACTGTTAGATAATAATCTTGTGTTGTTTTAAGCCACCATGTTAGTGAGAATTTCCTGCAGAAGCAATAGGAAACTTATTTTAGTTTTCTATTGGTATCTAGCATATGGCCAGGAAACAAAAAGGTTATATATTCTTGGCACCTAATCCATTTGTTGCCTTTTGGATGGTTAAAATAGAATTTCTAGCACAACAACCTATTGAAACAGTACTAAAAGGTCCTTTTTGTCTTGTTTTGTGAAGGAAACTTGATTTTTCTTTTAAGCTCTAATCTTGGTGACAGTGGCTCTGCATAAAAAGATACTACTTATGGTGCTGTCATTGTATTACTAAAAACCTTGCTTCAAATATAGCAGCACTATTTATTATGTATTTGTGATTAAGATCTTAGACCCAACTTCTCTTTCTTCATGCACCATTCTTACTTCTTTCCTTTCAAAACATTTTGTGATTCTTTTGTGTAGCATTTATTTCTGTAGCCTCCATTTCATTATTATTTTTGTTTTTTATTGCCATATAATTGCACATAATAAATGCACAGATATTACATATATAGTTTAAGTTTTGATAAATGCATACAGCCATGACTAACACCTCAAAGTACAGAACATAACCTTCACTTTAAAAAAGTTACTGCATCTTTCTTTCTTTCTTTCTTTCTTTCTTTCTGTCTCTCTCTCTCTCTTTTTCCTTCTTCTTTTCTTTTTTTTTTCTTTTTTCCCGAGATGGAGTCTCATTCTGTTGCCCAGGCTGGAGTGCAGTGGTGCAATCTCGGCTCACTGCAACCTCCTCCTCCCGGGTTCAAGCAATTCTCCTGCCTCAGCCTCCCGAGTAGCTGGGATTGCAGGCATGCACCACCACGCCCAGCTAATTTTTGTATTTTTAGTAGAGATGGGGTTTCACCATGTTGGCCAGGCTGGTCTTGAACTCCTGACCACATGATCTGCCTGCCTCGGCCTCCCAAAGTGCTGGGATTACAGGCATGAGCCACGCGCCTGGCCTTTTTTTTTTTTTTTCCTTTTTTTTTTTTTTTTTTGAGACAGAGTCTTGCTCTGTCACCCAGGCTAGAGTGCAGTGGTGTTACCTCGGCTCACTGCAACCTCCGCCTCCCAGGTTCAAGTGATTCTCCTGCTTCAGCTCCCCAGCTGGCTGGGATTACAGGTGCCCGCCACCACACCCTGCTAATTTTTTGTATTTTTAGTAGAGACAGGGTTTCACCGTGTTGGCCAGGCTGGTCTCGAACTCCTGACCTCAGTCAGGGTGATCCACCTGCCTTGGCCTCCCAAAGCACTAGGATTTCAACTGCACCCAACCCCCTCATGTTCCTTTCTGATCAATCATCCTCCTCACCCCATCTCCCACACAACCACTGTTCTGATTTTTATCTTCATATAATTAGTTTTGGCGGTTCTTGAACTTCATATTAAGAGAGTCGTACAGTGTGTTCTCTTTGATGTCTTGCTTCTTTCACTTAACATAATATTTTTGAGATTTACCCATGTTCTCGCATAAGTCAGTAGTTCATTCCTTTTTATTGCTGAGTAGTTTTCCATTTTATAAACGTCCATGACTTGTTTATTCATTCTTTTGTTGATGGACATTAAAGTTGTTTTCATTTTTTTTTTTAGCTATCATGCACAAAGCTGTAAATAATATTCTAGTGCAAGCCTTTCTTTTTTGTTTTTGATAAATGCATAGAAGTGAGATTGCTAGTTCAAAAGATAGGTATGTATTTAACTTTATAAGAAACTTCTTTAAATGAAAAACCTTACACAAATTAAATTTAGCAGAGTTTAATTGAGCAGAGAATGATTTGTGAATCAGGCAGCCCCTGAACCAGAAAGGGTTCATTCAGAGAGACTGGTGCGCTGCCGAGTGGTTGAAGATTTGTGGACAGAAAAAGGAAAGTGATGTTCAGAAAATGGAAGTGAGGTACAGAAACAGCTGGATTGGTTACAGCTTGGTGTTTGCCTTATTTGAGCACAGTTTGAACAGTTGGCCACCTCTGATTGGCCAAAACTCGGTGATTGGCAGGAGAGTAGGTTGCAGTCAGTTTACACATCCAGTTAGGTTACAGTTCACTATGTAAAATCTTTAGCCTGAACTTAAAATGTGTCAGGAAGCAGCTTTAGGCTAAACTTAATTTAACACTGCCAAGGAGTTTTCCACAGCTGTTATAACATTTACCCTCTCACCAGCAATGTTTGAAAGACGCAGTTGTGCAGCCCCTTTGTTGATTAGTGGCTCCTCACCATTGATTCCTTACCATTGGGACCTAGTACTCCTGGCTCTCATTGAATGGTGATGAGTTAGTCTGGAATGCAGCATAAAACCTTTTCAAAGGAGGGAAGCATATTAGATATTGTCTCAGTGAACATAAGGATCATAATAAGAGAAGTGGTGTTTGCTAGTTGTCAATTAAATATGAGGGCCAGGGAAGGCAGAAAAAAGAAATCCTTGAGGAAAGAGCTTCTTTTCTTTCACCTGATTTGTTCTTTAAGGCTTTATAAGACACTGCAACTAATTTCTGGATTGTTCTGACTGGTTATTTAATCTGTAGATTTTCCAGGCCTTTCTTTCTCCTCTTTTTTCTACCTTCATTTACTTCACTGCTTGTTAGTATATGCACTGATGAAAACTCACACTAAAAGCTTTACATTCTTGTTGATAACACTCATAAAGACTTGTAAAGACCATAAACTCAAACTCAAAGCAATCATTCCTGAACTAGGCCCTGCAGGAATTGGGAAGGAGGCTAAAGGAACTGGACTGGCTCCCATCCCCCTCCCCTCCCCACTGCGATTCTGGGAGGCAGAGTAAACAGGAAGTGGGGTATGAGGGGGAGGAGTAGCTGGGAGAGACACTCCAGAACAGTCTGCACATGCTCAAGGCAAACTCAGAAGGAACAAAGTTTTAAAACAAAGGCCCAATCCCTCCCTCTCTCCCTTCTCTCTTTCCTTCCTTCCCTCCTCAGCCTGTTAAGGTGCAGTGGAATCAAATGCAAGAACTCAGATGTGGTTCCAGGAATTTTCAAGCTCACTGCAAAGACGGAGTATAGACAAACAATTTAGCAATACCATGAGAGAGATAATGGAGTTATGCTGGGCTCTGGGAACATGCAGGAGGAAGCTTGCAAGGTCAAAGAGTCTTCACAGAAGTGGTACTTCATTCAGCAAATATTTATTTAGCACCTACTTACTATATGCCAGGCACTGGGCTATGTGCTGGCAATGATAGTGAACATTACACAGTCTGTACCTTAAAATGCTTATTGTCCAGAAGAGGTTACAAACAAGCAAAGAGGTAGTTACAATGCAGCCTAATAACTGCTATGATGGCTGGGTGCTGGATACTCAGGAAGGGCCCCAAATGAGGACTAGGGTTTGAGGAACCATCTCTTGGCAAGTAACCTCTGTGCTGAGATCTGGGGGAACAGTGTGGATTAACTAGGTGACAATGAGGTTGGAATGGATTCTCTGGGGCTGTGTCTAAGAGCCTGGGAGCAGCGATGGGCAGAGGGTGAGAGAGGAAGGCAATACATGAGCAGAAGCAACATTATGAAGAAGGCTTAAAAATGTGTGAAAGACCTGCTTCCTGATAGTATGTGCTGAGAAGGACCCATCACTTCTGCCAAACATGCATAACCTAAATTTAATCACGAGGAAACATCAGGCAGATCCAAATTGAGAGGAATTCTACAAAATATCTGATCTATTCTCTTCCAGAATGTCAAGATCATGAAAGGTAAAGACAGAGGAACTGTTCTAGGAGAAATAGACACTTAAAGAGATAGGAAAATGGAATGCAGTATGTAACACTGGATTAGATCTTGGACCAGAAACATCAACATCTATATGTATATTTACACCTCTTTTGCTATAAAAGACATAATTTGCTTAATTGAAAAATATGAGTAAAGTCTGTATTAAATAATGATATTGTAGCAATGCTAATTTTCTGATTTTGATCATTGTACTGCAATTGTGACAGTTATTTTTCTCATTTAGAGGAAGATATACACTGAAGTATTTATGGGTACAGGGCATTGTGTTTGCAATTTATTCTCAAATGATTCAGAAAGAAAGCAATGAGAGGGAGAGAAGTAAAATTAGATATTTGGGTGAGGGGTATATGGACAGTTTTTGGCACAGTTCCTGCAACTTTTCTGTAAGCCAGAAGTTATTTCAAAACAAAAAGTTTTAACAAACTGTGCTCAGTACTTTATTCAAGGACAATAGGAAGTGGTAGGCCATTGGAGGGAGCTGTGCTTAGAAAGATGTCTCATGCTGCAAGGTTCAATCCAGGGAAGACTCATCACCAATTTGAAGGCTCTTATAATAATGCAAGTGAGAAATGATGCTGACCTCAAACAAAGTGGTGGCTGTGGACAAAGAAGTGGATAGATAAATGAGATAGTTAGGAAGTAGAAATCAAAGCACATGAGGGGACTTTATGGAGATTTTAGAGAGAGAAGAGTCAAGGGTGGCCTTTGGGATTCTTCCTGGGTGACTGAGTAGGTCTATGTCGAATGCGTGAGATAGCACTAAACAAAAGAGTAGATTTTAGAGGGAAGGATGGTTTTAGTTTTAGACATTATCCCCAAACTAGCTCTGGCTGCAGCCTTTCTTATCTAGGTTGATGACAACTCCATCCTTCCAGTTGCTCAGGCTTAAAACTTTGGAGACACCCTTGATTCCTCTCTTTCTCACAATCCACGTTCAATTTGTCAGGAAATTTTGTTGGCTCTGCCTGCAGAAAATATCAAACATCTGACACTTCTCACCACCTCCACTGATACTATGCTAGTTCAAACCACCATGATATTTCACCTGATCTCTTTGCATCTATGCTTTTCCTCTACAGTGGCCAGATGGATGTCACTATTTTAGAAGTGATATGTCACTCCTCTGATCCAAACCCTGCACTGATGCCTCATATCTTTCAGTGTAAATGCCTTCCAAAGGCCTTCCAGACCCTTCGCAGAATGGCTTCAGTACTGCTCTGATCTTATCTCACACTCTTCCTCTTGTTTCCTCTGTTTCAGCCACATTGATGCCCCATGCTCCAGCCCTTGAGCCCTTGCTCTTGCTGCTCTCTTTTCTGGAACATTCTTTTCCCAGATATCAAAGTAACAGAAAACCCCAAAATAACAAATACTTAAACAAGATATAATTATTTCTCACTCTTCGATAAAGAAAATGTGAAGTTAAGCTATCTGGGAGTGCTATTGTGGCCCTGTGGTGTGCCATCCAGCCCTGGGCTCAGAAATTTATGCTTCCATAGCCTCAGTACCTCTCCTTAAGGATATTTCATGGCACAAGATAGATGCTGGAGCTCAGGATATTACGTCTATGTTTCAAGCTGCCAGCAGAACAGGTAGAAAGAAACAGAGGAGTACTAAGTAGTTGCTTTCAATTGAGACAGTTTCATCATAAGCAGCAACTTACTCACAACTGATAATTTAAAGGCCTTTGGAAGGAATTTGGCTTTTACATTGAGAAACTGTATTTAGTTGCTATGAAGGCTGGGACATGCAGTTGTTTAAACAGGTGGCAACAAGCCCTGATAAAAATTAAAGTTGTGTTACTAAGGAGAAAGAGGAGACTGGATATTGGCATAGGTAGCTAGTAGTGTTTGCCATAGATCTTTTGTTTTTCATTTTGATGGTCTCACCATTCCCATATCCCCTGACAGCATGACCACAGGGTCTGGTTCCATGTGACCCATCTTCACTGTGGGAAATGGGTGGTGGGTAGCCTGGGTTTTGAGCCACACTGGTGAGGTAGTAGGAAGAAAAGACAGGCTAGGGTAGAGGATGTGGGAAGCCTGGACATGTAGGAAATGGGAGGAGAAATAAATGCAGGAATGAGGGCTCTGCTCTTTGATTAATTAAAGCTAAACTGAAGTTTTAATCTTGCTCCTGATGTTTATGCTTGTTTCTTTTTCCTCTGTAACCATAAACACTCAGGGTGGTCTCTTGGTGATTTAGCATGACAAGACCTAGTTGTTCTGCTGGGCCTGGGTATGAAATCTGTCCATGTTCAGAGTTTCTAATATTTTTCATTCTATTTTCATTTTCATTGCAGGGAAGGACATTGATAATGCTTTCTAGCCATGTGTGAAGTTTTGCTGCAAAGAGGTAAAAAGGACTTACAATTACAGTATATTTCAATAATATATTTTCTGAGGCATAAACTTTTGTGGGACAGAAATATGTACTAAATTTATTTATTTTAATAAACTAGCAGAATTAAAGGATTGCAGGAATTAAAACAAATAAAACCCAAGCGATCATGTCCTAGAATTTGGCATGTCCATAAATAACTTTTAAAAAGAAGGCAAAATATACATATTACAATATATCTCATAGAAAAGACTTTAGGGATATCCAACATTCTCCAACCACTGGTCATCTCTGCCTGAGTGACAGGAGGACTCTTATTTTTTGTTGTCTCATTTTAAAATTATTGATTTGTATAATTTTTAAATGTACATAAAGCCCCACCCTTAAACCCAAGGCAGGACAAATAGCTAAGGGATGATGAATATTACTCAATGAGGAGGCAGCTAACACGTGAATGCTTTTGTGGGACACAAGCCATGCAGCCTGTGGCACTGCAGTGGTGGCACATGTGTTGGAGGTAAGGGGAGCCCGTACTTATCCCAACTCTTGAGTTACCAAGAAACTCTGTTCTAACTTGGTACAAACCAACTTTGGGGGAAGTGTGGTATGGTCAAATAGTTTCCTATTCTATTGTAGGGGTAATGGCTAAGCAGAGGCCCCTGTGTTTTTCTAATAAAAAGCCCAGGGCACAATAATCAGATTGTTGCCAACCCAAATAATTAGTTCTAACATTTCCGACTTACCTATTTTGAGAAAGACTGGAGGAAGAATAGAGATCTTTAAGGTGACGAACACTTGGAAATGAAGATTCTTCTAAACCTCTAAGGCAACAGTAATATGGACACCTGGCAAAACATTTAAATGTATGTTAAGTATTTAGCAAAATAGGAAGGTAAACGATGGGGATTAAATACTGAACTGTGGAGAAATGGAGACAGAGAAGATGAGACAGCACGATTGGTGTAGAAGGCAGCTCTCATGATGGCAATGAGACTGTGAGGAGCACAGCATAGCTGAGTAGGATGAGCCTGCTGTTCAGGAAAGGGAGGGAGTCTATGCACATGGTCAGAGCCATGGTCTATGAGACTAGAGGAAGGGAGAGAGTCTAACTCAACATGTTTTTGTCTGGAAGATGCCTCTCAGAAAGGTAGAAATAAAGGTCTTGATGTCTGGTTTTTTGTTTTTTTTTTATTTTTGTAAGATCAAACACATTCCTACCTCAGCAAGCTAATTCCTTTCCCAAAGATGTGTTTGTAGTTCTGTGGAAATAGCCTAATTCTGTGATATAATGCCTGGTAGGAATTCTAGCCTTTTCTCTATAAAGGTCAGTTTCTCACTAGCAGTTCTTCTCTCATGGAAACAGAGATCTGATGATTATTCCAAGAGAAAATAATTGTCTACATTTGTTGATTTAAGCATTTTGCCAAAAGAAACCATTTCTTCTCTCAATTGAGAAAATGGTCTCATCTAAAAAATCATTATTTAATATGGTAGAAATTTTCATTTCAAGATGAGACTATGATTCTGTGCATTCATGGGCACCATGTCTTGATAGGTCATGACAACATGAGCATCCGTGTTAAATAAGAAAGAAGCCCTTTGATTGGACATTATGTCTTAACTCAGGTAATAATGTTACCTCGGCCGGGTGCAGTGGCTCACACCTGTAATCCCAGCACTTTGGGAGGCTGAGGCGGGTGCATCATGAGGTCAGGAGATCAAGACCATCCCAGCTAACATGGTGAAACCCTGTCTTTACTAAAAATACAAAAAATTAGCCGGGTGTGGGGGCGGGTGCCTGTAGTCCCAGCTACTCGGGAGGCTGAGGCAGGAGAATGGCGTGAACCCAGGAGGCGGAGCTTGCAGTGAGCAAAGATCATGCCACTGCACTCCAGCCTGGGCGACAGTGCGAGACTCCATCTAAAAAAATAAATAAATAAAATAAATAAAACTAAAATAAATAAATAAATAATGTTACCTCTATGTTAATAGTAGGACAATTTATTTATTTAGGCTGTTTTAACAATATAACTATCTTTACTCATTCTGGGCATCATGGTTTTTAAAATATGGTTTATTCAGATATGTTTGCAGGTATTATATTTTTATTCAACTTGAAAGAACAGTGTCTTTTGTTTTTAAATCATGAAAGTTAAAATTTACAAAAATAATCCACTGTGTTACTTGACTCTGATATTTTAATCACCTAAGTCAAAAAAGTCAAGGTTGCTCTCTCGTGGCAAATATAAATTGCAGATGACCTTGCTGTTTATTTCTATCTATTCATAGGATAGATTAGAGGTTTTACAAAATCTTCAAACTAAGAGAGTTACTGAGGTGCATACTATTAAGGTAACATGAAAAACGTCACCACTCATAGGTTTTCCCCCGGTTGAAAAGCAGATGAGTTTATGACTTTAAAACAATCACCCGAATAAGGGATGTATCTCACAGAGGGATATTGTGTGGGAAGAAATGTGTCAAATACTGAGAAACCAGATATAAAAAGAGTAATATGATACATGGAGAAGAGGTAAATATGTTAATCTTGACTATATGAAAAGTAATGACCTAAGAGATGACCTATTTATCCCTTAGGAAGAGGACCGATGTGCTTTGCTAGAATGAAGCTTTCTCCAACAATAGTTGTATCCCTTCTCAGCTTCTTATGATGGTTTCACACTAAGGTGGCATATATTTCCTGGAAATATTTCTTTCTTCCCAAAGCAATTAAAAATGCAGGCTCACTTTTAAAAGTCTCCTATGAGAATTAACTTGCATATGATACTTAACAACTTAGTAAACATTAAAGTGTCATAATGATGCTGAACCTTACAACAGGGGTACATAAGTCTACCTGAAGATAAAGATGTAAAAGGGAATGCTAAATATTCATCAGATTGTAACTAAAATCATAA
Source organism: Homo sapiens (assembly GCF_000001405.40). Lineage (NCBI taxonomy): Eukaryota > Metazoa > Chordata > Mammalia > Primates > Hominidae > Homo > Homo sapiens. The sequence goes on from NC_000023.11 coordinate 38,823,422, forward strand.
TAATAAGACATATTGGTATTATAGTTCTTATAAGTTAAGTAGTAATTCTATGTAAGAAAATAATTTAAGAAGTGCTTCTAATCTAATATTCCACCTCCCCAGGATTACTTGGAAGTAAGTTAAAAACCCTGATGAAAAAGTTGTTTATATAAATGTATGCAGTATATTATTTATGTGTGTATTGAAAGCCAGACAATGAAATTCATAAAAGATTAGAGCTAAAATGAACCTTAGGGATCACCTAGTATATTTTCCATCAACTAATTTGTGACAAAGGCAAGACTAGAATTTAGGTCTCTCAACTTACAGATCTTTTTCTTTCATTACATTGAATTCTTTGTTGTCCCTATTTAAATTATTTAATTTGCTCAGAAAATTAATAATTTTACCATATTATTTTACAATTTTATCCTTGGAGATGAATTTCTAAAATTTTGGGGATATTAGTTACTGGTTTCTATGGGAAGGGATCATTTCATAATGTGTATAATAAAAAATTTTTCAGGCTAAGAAATAGGTTTGTTTACTTCACACATGGGCTAGGAATGCTTACTAGCAAGATAAATCTCTACTTTTTACATTGAAAAGATCTTATTTTTATTTTATGAGTTTTGTAAACTTTTTCTTCCTTGATGGTAATTTTGAGCCCCTATATAAATCAAAAATTAAACTCTCAAACCTATTGTAAGAGCGTAAACATTCAAAGTTTTGGTACTACAACTTTAAGGAAAATCTAAAGTCCTTTCTTTGTCGTTGTCTCATTCAGATCATAATAAATATTTCATTCCCAATTTAATGGATTTGGCTTGGAGGTGCCTTACATAGCCATATTGTAATGTTCGGGTTTGGTTTGTTTTAAAAATTTATAGCAGTTCCAAGCAGAAGTTAGATCTGTTCTCACAACTGCCAATACCGCAGGCCATTTTCTATAAACATCTTCTCAAAAAGAAATCAAACACACACTACCCAAAGAACCAGAGACACAGCTGTTTCTGGTTCTGATCTTAAGAGCCATCAACTTTTGCTTGGCACAGTGCAAGTGAGAAGGGAATTGATGAAGTCTGATCACCTATTCCAAGAAGTTCTGCCTGGGGATGGAAAGAATGGAAGAGGATGTCTCTGACATCACCTTCTTATTTAATTCAAAACTTATTTCCTAGCTGAGATGAGAAAGTAGAAGTAGTGAGAGAATCCATATAGTTCAAATAAGATAAAATGCCATTTATTTTGTCTTTCTTTTTTTAAAAAAATATAACCCCTTTGAGTTAAATGTATACTTGCCATATGACCCAGCAATTCCATTTGTAGGTGTTCATCCAAGAGAACTAAAAACATATATCCACATAAACACTTCTACACAGTTTTCATTTTATTCCTAAAATCCCTAAACTGGAACCAATCTAAATGCCCATTAGTATAGTATAGCCATACGATGGAATACTATTCAATAAAAAAGGAACAAACTACTGATACATAACACAATATGGATGACCTCCAATATTATGCTGAGCAAAAGAAGTCAGAGATAAAAGAGGAAATAAAGCAAGATTTTATTTCTATGAAGTTCAAGAACAGATGAAACTACTCTCTGGAAGAACACATAAAAATAGTAGTTTTCAAGGACAGGTAGTGGGGAAATTGATTGAAAAGAAGCACAAGAAACTTTTGGGTTACTGCTGTGTCTTGATTTGGAGTAGTGGTCATGTGAGTGTATATCAGGAATTTCTCAATCTTAGCACTACTGACATTTTGGTCCGGATAATTTCTTCTTGAGGAGGGCTGTCCTATGTATTATTGGATGTTAAGCAGTGTCTCCAGCCTCTACCCCTTTTCTATTGTGACAACCAAAAATTTCTTCAGAAATTGTCCCCTGGGTGGCAAAATTACTTCCAGTCGAGAACTACTGGTGTAGTTCCTCAATCCCCATCAAAGTGTACACTTAGGATGGGTGCGCTCATTTTACTGTATGTAAATTATACCTCAATAAAGTAAATAAAAATAAGCCCTTTTGGGGAAGGGCTTATTTGGGCAAGAGTAACTTTATAGTGGAGAAATCTAACAAACACCTTCGCAGCCAGGTGAACAAGGTCAACATCAATAGTGATCAGTCATGTTGACAGTGTGTACCTTTGATGTGATGATGAGAAGAGAATGACACTTTATCTCTGTGGTCTTCCTTACAAAAATACATAACCGCAGTCTAATCATGAGAAAAACATCAGACAAATCCCAATAGAGGGGCATTTTACAAAATACATGATTAATACTCCTCAAAACTGTCAAGGCCATCAAAAACAAGGGAAGTCTGTAAAACTGTCACAACCAAGAGAAGCCTAAAGAGACATGATCACTAAATGTAATGTGGTACTCTGGATGGGGTCTTAGGACAGGAAAAGGATAGTAGGCAAGGAAACTAAGGAAACCTGAAGAAAGTATGGACTTAGGTTAAAAATAATATATTGGTCAGACATGGTGGCTCACTTCTAGAACCACAGCACTTTGTTTATTATTATTATTATTATTATACTTTAAGTTCTAGGGTACATGTGCACAATGTGCAGGTTTGTTACATAGGTATACATGTGGCATGTTGGTTTGCTGCACCCATCAACTTGTCATTTACATTAGGTATTTCTCCTAATGCAATCCTTCCCCCAGCCCCCCACCCCCCGACAGGCCCTGGTGTGTGATGTTCTCCGCCCTATGTCCATGTGTTCTCATTGTTCAACTCCTACCTATGAGTGAGAACATGTGGTGTTTGGTTTTCTATCCTTGTGATAGTTTGCTTAGAATGATGATTTCCAGCTTCATCCATGTCCCTGCAAAGGACATGAACTCATCCTTTTTTATGGCTGCATAGTATTTCATGGTGTATATGTGCCACATTTTCTTAATCCAGTCTATCATTGATGGACATCTGGGTTGGTTCCAAGTCTTTGCTATTGTGGATAGTGCTGCAATAAACATACGTGTGCATGTGTATGTATAGTAGCATGATTTATAATCCTTTGGGTACATACTCAATAATGGGATGGCTGGGTCAAATGGTATTTCTAGTTCTAGATCCTTGAGGAATGGCCATACTGTCTTCCACAATAGTTGAACTAATTTACACTCCCACTCAAAGTGTAAAAGTGTTCCTATTTCTCCACATCCTCTCCAGCACCTGTTGTTTCCTGACTTTTTAATGATTGCCATTCTAACTGGTGTCAGATGGTATCTCACTGTGGTTTTGATTTGCATTTCTCTGATGGCCAGTGATGGTGAGTATTTTTTCATGTGTTTTTTGGCTGCATAAATGTCTTCTTTTGAGAAGTGTCTGTTCATGTCCTTCGCCCACTTTTTGATGGGGTTGTTTGTTTTTTTCTTGTAAATTTGTTTGAGTTCTTTGTAGATTCTGGGTATTAGCCCTTTGTCAGATGGATAGATTGCAAAGATTTTATCCCATTCTGTAGGTTGCCTGTTTACTCTGATGATAGTTTCTTTTGCTGTGCAGAAGCTCTTTAGTTTAGTTAGATCCCATTTGTCAATTTTGGCTTTTGTTGCCATTGCTTTTGGTGTTTTAGTCATGAAGTCTTTGCCCATGCCTATGTCCTGAATGGTATTGCCTAGGTTTTCTTCTAAGGTTTTTATAGTGTTAGGTCTTACATTTAAGTCTTTAATCCATCTTGAGTTAATTTTTGTATACAGTGTAAGGAAGGGATCCAGTTTCAGCTTTCTACATATGGCTAGCCAGTTTTCCCAGCACCATTTATTAAATAGGGAATCCTTTCCCAATTTCTTGTTTTTGTCAGGTTTGCCAAAGATCAGATGGTTGTAAATGTGTGGTGTTATTTCTGAGGCCTCCGTTCTGTTCCATTGGTCTATATATCTGTTTTGGTACCAGTACCATGCTGTTTTGGTTACTGTAGCCTTGTAGTATCGTTTGAAGTCAGGTAGCATGATGCCTCCAGCTTTGTTCTTTTTGCTTAGGATTGTCTTGGCTATGTGGGCTCCTTTTTGGTTCCATATGAACTTTAAAGTAGCTTTTTCCAATTCGAATCACAGCACTCTGAAAAGCTGAAGTGGGAGGATCACTTGAGCCCAGGTGTTGGAGACCAGCCTGGGCAACATAGTGAGAGCCCCATCTCTACAAAAAATTAAAAAGGAATAATATATTAATATTGGTCCTTAAATCCCAGCCAATGTACCACACTAACGTAAGATGTTAATAGGAGAAACTGTGTGTGGAATATATGGGAACACTGAACTTTCTATGCAATTTATCTGTAAATCTAAAATTATTCCTTTTTATTGAATCAAATTAAATCCTACTCAGCCCTAACATGACCAGAGCAGGTTTTAAGATCATTCATGAGATCAAAGGACTAGGTGTAGATGACAATGACTTAATAAAATGCTGTTTTCATGTTTGTGGTTTGCAGTATTATGAACAAAAAAACCCAACAAACTTACCAAAAAGCGCAATCTGTAGATTTCAGAATGCTATATAAGTTCAGTGTCAACTCTAAAAGGGTTTGTTTATATAAAAAATTTCATGTTAAAAATTAAGCCCCTTGATAGGTCATTGGATGGGAAGAAAGAAAAAAAATTTAAAAAAAGCCCTTTTAGAATTGACATTGAGTTTATGTAGCATTTAGAAATCTACAGACTTGTATGAACAACTACATGCCAACAAATTGGAAATCTAGAAGAAATTTTTAAATTCCTTAAGACATGCAACCTTCCAAGATTGAACCATAGAGAAATAGAAAACTTGAACAGTCTTCAACAAAATAAAGGCCATATATGACAAACCCACAGCTAATGTCACACTGAATGTGGAAAAGTTGAAAGCCTTTCCTCTAAGATCTGGAACTAGACAAGGATGCCCACTCTCACCATTTCTATTTAACATTGTGCTGGAAGTTCTAGCTAGAGCAATTGGGCAAGAGAAAGAAATCAAAGTCATCTAAATTGGAAAGGAAGAAACTGAATTGTCCTTCTTTGCAGATGACATGATATTATATAGAGAAAATCCTAAAAGCTCCACCAAAACACTAATAGGACTAATATTTCAATTCAGTAAAGTTGCAGGATAGAAAATTAACATATAAAAACCAGTAGTGTTTCTATAAGCCAACAGTGAACTATCTGAAAAAGAAATTTTAAAAAAGTCCTATTTGCAATATGTACAAAAAAAACCTTAGGAATAATTTTAACCAAGGAAGTGAAAGTTCTCTCCAATGAAAACTATAAATCATTAATGAAAGAAATTCAAGAAAACACAAATAAATGAAAAAAATCGCATGTTTATGGATTGCAAGTATTAATATCATTAAAATGTCCATACAATCCAAAGCAATATACAGATTCAGTGAAATTCCTATCAAAATACCAATGACATTCTTTATGACAATAAAAGAAATCCTAAAATTTGTGTGGAACCACATAAGACCCTGAATAGCCAAAGCAATCGTGAACAAAAAGAACAAAGTTGTAGGCATCTTATTACTTAACTTCAAATTATACTACAAAGCTATAATAACCAAAACACTGTGGTCCTGGCATAAAAACAGGCACTGACCAGTGGAATAGAATAGAGAACCGAGAAATACATTCATGCACCTACAGCTAACTGAATTTTGACAAAAACACCAAAAACACACATTGGGGAAATGACAGTCTTTTTCAATAAATGGTTCTGGGAAAACATGCTGAAGAATGAAACTAGACCCCTATCTCTTACCATATACAAAAAATCAACTAAAAATGCATAAAGGCTTAAATGTAAAACCTAAAGTTATGAAACTACTAGAAGAAAACATATGGGAGTCTGGGTGCAGTGACTCATGCCTGTAATCCCAGCACTTTGGGAAGTCGAGGCGAGTGGATTGCTTGAGCCCAGGAGTTCAAGATCAGCCTGGATAACATGGAGAAACCCCATCTCTACTAAAAATACAAAAACTAGCCAGGCATGGTGATGGGTGCCTGCAATCCCAGCTACTTGGGAGGGTGAGGCATAAGAATCACTTAAACTCGGGAGTTGGAGGTTGCAGTGAGCTTAGATTGTGCCACTGCACTCCGGCCTGGGTGACAGAGCAAGACTTTATGTCAAAAAGAAAAAAAAAAAGAAAGAAAAATAGATAACACATGGGAAACAATTCATGACATTGATCTAGGTGGGATTTTTTTTGGATAGAACCTGAAATGCACAGGCAACAAAAAGCAAGAATAGACAAATGAATTTACATCAAACCAAAAAGCTTCTACACTGGAAAGGAAACAATTGATGAGTGAAGACAATCTGCAGAATAGGAGAAAATATTTGCAAACTATGCATCTTGACAAGGGGTTAATACCCACATATATAAGGAACTCAAATAACTCAATAGCAAAAAAACAAATATCTGGTTTAAAAATGGGGAAAAGACCTGCTCAAAAGAAGACACAAATGGCCAACAGGTGTATGAAAAAATGCTCAATATCACTAATCAACAGGGAAATGCACATCAAAACCACATGAGATATTACCTCTCCAGTTAGAATGTATATTATCAAACAGACAAAATAATAACAAATGCTGGCGAGGACGTGTAGAAAGGGGAACTCTTACACACTGTTGATGGGAATGTAAATTAGTAGCGACATTATGGAAAACAGTGTGGAGTTTCAAAAAAAATAAAAAGAGAACTACCGCCGGGCATGGTGGCTCATGCCTGTAATCCCAGCACTTTGGGAGGCTGAGGCAGGCGGATCACCTGAGGTCAGGAGTTCAAGACCAGCCTGGCCAACATAGTGAAACCTTGTCTCTACTAAAACTACAATAATTAGTCAGGCATGGTGGTGGGCACCAGTAATCCCAGCTACTTGGGAGGCTGAGGCAGGAGAATAGCTTGAACCCAGGAGGCGGAGGTTGCAGTGAGCTGAGATCGCACTACTGCACTCCAGCCTGGGCGACAGAGTGAGACTCTGTCTCAAAAAAGAAAAAAATAAATACAATAAGATAAAAATAGAAATATAACTACCATATGATCCAGAAATATCGCTACTGGGTACATATCCAAAATATATAAAATCAGTATGTTGAAGATATATCTGTGCTCCCTTGTTTATTGCAGAACTATTCACAATAGCCAAAATAAGGCACCAACCTAAGTTTATATCAATGGATGAATGGATAAAAATATATGGTACATATACACAATGTAGTAATATTCAGCCATGAAAAATAAGATCCTGTCATTTGTGACAACATGGGCAAACCCAGAGGACGTTATTTTAAGTGAAATAAGCCAAGCACAGGACAACTATAGCATGATCGCACTCATATGTGGAAGCTAAAAAAGATGAAGTCATAGAAGTAGAGTAGAACAGTGGTTACCAGAGGCTGGGGAGAATAAAGGGGAAGCTGTGAAGGGGAAAGGCTGCTCAACAGGTACAAAATTACAGTCAGATAGGAGGAATAAGTTCTGGTATTCTGTTGCACAGTAGGGTGACCATAGTTAACTATAAAGTATTGTATATTTTCAAAAAGCCAGAAGAAAGGATTTGGGGTATTTTGTTTGTTTTTTAATTGACAAATTAGAAGAATCATTCAGAAGTACATTTATTTTATTATTATTATTTTTGAGACAAAGTCTTACTCTGTCACACAAGCTGGAGTGCAGTGGTGTGATCTGGGCTCACTGCAACCTTCGCCTCCCAGGCTAATGCAATTCTTGTGCCTCAGCCTCCTGAGTAACTGGGACTACAGGCATGTGCCACTGCATCGAGCTAATTTTTTGTATTATTATTTTTTTTTGTAAGTAGAGGTGGGGTTTCATCATGTTGGCCAAGCTGGTCTTGAACTCCTTGCCTCAAGTGATCTGCCCGCCTTGGCCTCCCAAAATGCTGGGATTGCAAGCATGAGCCACCCTGCCCAACTGTAGAAGAAAGAATCTTGAATGTTTTCACCCCAAAGAAATGATAGATGTTTGAGGTGATGGATATGCTAATGACCCTGATTTGATCATTACATATGTATCAAAACATCACACTCTACCTCATAAATATTACAATTATTATGTGTCAATTAAAAACAAAATAAAACTAAAAAGAAAAAACAAAAAGAAAAATCTAGTTTTTTTGCTGTTTTTTTGGTTTTGTCTTTGTTTTTAATACTGCTAACCACAAACTTGACAAAGGTTTTTATTAAGCCATTGTCATCTGCTGCTACACCTTTGATCTAATAAATGACCTTAAAACCTGGTTTATATATGTTAGGGTCGAGTAAGATTTAAAGCAATTCAATAAAAATTTATTGAGCACTTACTATATGCTAGGCACCGAACTAGTTATTAGGAATGTGAAGATGGGTGAGATCTGGTCCCCTGGCCCCTGCTTCCCGGGAACTCAGAGTCTTAAAGGAGGGCATTATCTAGTGTAATGGTAAATTATTTATTACAGGAATATCAAGGTGAAAAATATTGTTGTGTAATGAGAGAGACTTTTTGTCTCCCCCAAAACAGATTGCAGTGATTCTGAAAGAGTGCAGGCTTGGATTACGGGGGCCAAGGACTATTCTGAAAAAGAGAGAAATACAGGTCAATGGGAAGGAGGAATCTTTCTTCAACCTGCTCCCATTGGTCTCATTGCTCTTTCCATGTTGGCTTGTGGGAGCAGTTCAGGGAGTTTTGTGAACCATAACACTTGCTTCCTGTATTAACAGCCAAAGAACAATTGTATTCTGCCAGGTAGGCTTTCCTGCCCTATTGACCTCTGAGTCTTACTGTGGCCAACACTTACGCTTACATCTGGACAGAGCTGTGGAAGGTTTAACCAGATGGACAAATCACGGAAACTCCCTGTATCTCCATTTTCTCATCTACAAAGAAAGGAAAACCTAAAACCTCATAAGATAGTTGGGGTAAACAAAAACTCCTTATAAATGTTTAGGTGTTTGGCAGACATTGGTCATTTTTACTATCCAGGCCTCTTTCTTGACCTGAGATTTACATGGAGCCTTTTATCCTGTGCTTCTTTGCAGTTTTAGAAAGTTACCTACCATAAGGGAATTAGTATGGCATGGTGATTAAGAACATACACTTTAAAATCAGAGAGACCCTGGGTTTAAATCTCAGCTTGACTATTTTCCAGCTGTGTAGGAAGAAACAGTGCTTCCCTTGGAGGTTCCTGTGAGGATGAGATGAAATAATGTACAGTTAAGTGCCAAGCATAGTGCCTGGTGGGCAGCAAACACTTGATAATGAAAGTTGTTCTTTTATCCCATTTCTTCATTTATGTTCCACTACACTGTAAGCTCCAAGAAGACAGGATTTTTAAAAATTTCATTCAGATGTATTTCAAGTACCTGAAACAGTGGATAGCATATGGGAGTGCGTATTAAATATTTGTCAAATGACTGAATGAACATGTGGGCTTCACTCCAGGCTCTATCTGCCACACATAGCACAGAAGACAGACACTCTGGTGGAGACAGAAAACTCAGAGGCTCAAGGATATCTGTGCCAGTTTCTGGTATTTTAATAGTTCCATTTCCTCAGGTGGACAGGTAATCCACTTAAGATCCCCAGTTCTGGTGGACTAAAGATGCCCACACTTTTTTTTTACTCTCTTTTCTTAGAGACATGGGTGTCTATGCCCCCTCCCTTGAAACATAACAGGCTTTGTGACTGCTTTGACTAACAGAATATAATAAAAATTTAATCATGCCAGTTTTCAGGCCCAGGTATTAACAGAACGATAGTCTCCATTTCCTGTCTCTTGGATGCCAGCCACTATTAAAGAAGTATGACTACCCTGAGACCCCCTTGCTGTAAGAAACTCAAGCAACATGCAGAGTCCTTGAAAAGTGGTGCGCTATGTGAAGAGAATAGACAACTGAAACACTGGCTATAGAGAAAGAAACTATAAACTGTGTGGAAACTGAAATTGGTTTCAGAGTGGTCAGTTACTTATTTTCATCATCCCTCTTCACTTTGTTCCCAGAAATAAAATTGATGACCTGCCCACTTTGAGCAGAGGAGAGAAAGTGGGAACTGGCCCCATCAATGAATCCAAAAAATTCCTCTTTGGGGTGATATTATAAAACAAGTGGGCCCATGAATTACCATCATTCCTTTGATGGCCACTGGGCAACCAACCACCATGGCACCCCACTGGTTCTTGCCTCCTGGTATTCACATCCTTGTGTAGTACTTTCCCAAATAGGACATAGGAATAAGGCTGACCTGGCTCTCCAGTAGGAGAGAGTGCTTTCTGAGGAGTGTGATTTCTGAGTGTAAGTCATGAAAGATATTGCAGCTTTCACCTCGCTTCTCTTGAATCACTTGCTCTGAAGGAACAGAGATGCCATGTTATGAGGACACTCAAGCAGCTCTATGGGGAGATCCATGTGGTGAGGAACTGAGGTATCCTGACAACAACAAGCACTAATGTGCCAATTGTATGATGAAGCCATATTGGCAGTGGATCCTCCAGTCTCAATCAGGCCTTCAGATGAATGCAGCCCTGGCTGCTGACATGCTGACTGCAACTCAATGAAAAACCATGACCCAGAAATGCCCAACCAAGCTGTTTCTAGATTCCTGATCCACAGAAACTGTATAAGGTAATAAATGTTAATTCAGAGTTTTAGGGTAATATATTACATAGCAATACATAACAAATATATCCACTATCTGCATCCATACGGTATTTGTTTTTGTTTCTTTGCTATTTTGTCGCTATGTTCACTCAAGTGTAGCTTATATTTGGAGCTCAGAACTTTAACAACAAAATTGTTTTCTAGCTCTATGGTGTCTCAGGAAACTAGATTCTGTTTTACTGATCATCTGTACTTCCTTTGATGGTAGGTAGACCCCGCCTTGTCACACGCCTTATAAAAGGCACACTCTTTGAGGTGGTGACACTCATAAGCCAGCCCAAAGTTGCCTAATGGACCTATGTTATCTGAAACATTGCTAATATTTCTATTTCAGCCATATGCAAGTATAATTTTTTTAAAAAAATCTGTATATGGAAATCCATGCTGAGGCCCAACTAGGCCATGACTGCAGGACATGAGTCTTCCAAGGGTGTGTATACACAGACCTAAAAGGAGAGGAATGTCAAGACAGTAAGAAAATTAAGAGACTCCTATCCTTAGTAACTAGCAGCAGAAACTCTTAACATTGTGACTTGGACCCTGATTTCCCTGCCTTCTTCCAAAACAAAGTTTTGGCAGTGCCATCAGGAGCTTCTTGCCTAAGGTTTGCTTAGGAGAAGTTACTTCTCTAGATGGGTGATTTTCCAAGTATTCAGAATTAATCCAGAGCAGGGGCAGTTATCTACCTGTTAATGAGGAGTCTTTTAACATGGACTTCCTCACTCCCCATCTATCCATCTGGCTGTGCTTTCAAAAGTTGAGGACTGCTTTATAATATATAAAGGAGTCAGAAGAAGATAGAGAAGAGTTCTAGAAAGTTCTGCTCCATGCTTATGGAAAGAGAAGAAAGAGTAGACTTTGATAAGGCAGGGATTTCATCAAGTATAAGGACATCTTGTCAGCTGGGGTCAAAGAACCCAAGGGTGGATTTCTGAACTAGGACTGTGTTATCATTCCAGAAGAATTTTAAGAGGAGAATCAGAATGATCTCACTGGAATGGCTTACGTATCTTGTCCTATAAGTAGGACACTGGATCATATGACCTCAAAAATTCTTGATCCAACCCTAAGATTCCATGAAGAGGCCACCTAGTATATTTATTCTCTTCTCCATATAACATACTGCTTTCCCATTTTTATGAGAACCTAGGCACTTTAATAACTGCCATCTTTATTTTTGTTGTCTTTTGTGGATGCTATTATAGTAATGCAAGTTGATTCTGTTTTTCTACATCTTCTTTCTCTTCCTACAATTTCATAAAGCAGGTTTATTCCCAACTTGACTATATCATGAACATGTATGGAAAAAAGCAGTTAACTACGTTTGTATCAAAAGAAGTTCAATAAGACTGAGCAGGAGCAGCAACAGAGGTTAAGAGTAACTCCAATTCATGGACTAGGAATGGGATGAGAAGCGAGATAATTTATAGCCAACTGGCAGCTGGAAGGGTAGTGAATGGATAAGGTCAGAGTCACAGATCTTTAACTGTGATGGCTCTACCATCTGTATAGAAACCATGTGAAAATAAGAATGAATGGTTTGGGCACAGAGCTCAGTGTGTCTGTGCAACCAAGTCACAGGAAAAGAGATGGCAAAAAAAAAAAAAAAATCAGTTTAATCCCCAGAGTTTATGTTGCTCAGTCTCCAACTAGTTGAGAATGTTTTCTCTGCCATGTCTTAATGAATGCCTTATCTGTATGACTCAAGTGGAGAAGCTTCCACAACAACATGGTAACAACAGGACCACAAACCTCTACCTAACAATTATCCTTTGCTGGCATGTTCAGGTCAAGTCTCTGAAGCAAGCAAGAAAACAATCATAAAAGTGATCTGTATGCATTTGTATGGACTTGGCTTCTGCCATGTGTCCACATTTCTTCAGCTCAGACTGTAGTCAGGGTGCAGGTGCCAAAGGCCTTGTATTTTCAGGTGTTTCCCATGTGGCATGTCTGCAGTGATTCAAATTGAGAATTATGATCTGCTTAATTTGGCCCTGTTGTTAAGGTCACCACATGGATCTCTGACATGTGATGATTGGAGAAGGTTGAGCAGCTTCACAAGCACCAGAAGGTGTGTGACACCTGCTAGTTAGAAGGAATGGAGAGGAGGCATCTGGTCTCCTCTCACAATGCATGCAGTAAAAAGCAGGGTTATATTAAAAAATCCACCTTGATCCATCCACATGATGCTGTGCTCATAGATGAAGACATAGAAATGAAAACCAAGAAATATACATTACTTTGAGATCCCTAGCAAAGCAAGTATGGTGGTGCTCCCAGGGCCAGACTCCATAGCAAGTGAAGGGTCTTTACTGTTGTATAAGTCTATGTTTACCTCTGTGGGACCTGGATGCCTCTCAAAGGTCATATTCACTTTTTCATTTCAGCCATGTTATCTGAAAACCTTAGTTTTTCTCAACAACATCTTTGTTTTCCTGTTTATAAAGGCCATATATTGATCGTAGTAGAAAATTAGAAAAAGTACTTTAATTATAAAATAGAAAATAACAGTTCTCCATAGAACAACTCCTCAGCAATAACCACAGTTAATATTTGATGCATTTCATGAAAACTTTTCCTCTGAGTATGTGTGCATGCATATTACAATATTCAGATTAAATACATACAATTTTCTATCATGTCTTCCTTCAACATTAATTTTTTTATCATTGAAAGTTTTAATGCATAATATTTTATAGTATAGAGGTACTGTGTGAGTACGTGCTATGGAGTCAAACAGATCCTAATTCCAGTCATGATTCCTCTAGTTTCCAGCTCTGTGAATGGGCAAATGACTTCAGTTTTAGCATCTGCAAAATAAGTATAATATGAATTACTTCATATGGTCTCTGTAAGGGTTAAATGAAACAATATCTTACAGAGTTCCCATAGATAATAAATGTGAAATATATGTTAGCCAGTACTGAATCGTTCAGTTGTTGGATATGGATCCTGTTTCCAATATTTTTGCTGTTTCTAATGTTATTATATTTGGCTATATTTAAAATTATTTCCTTAGGATAAATTCCTAACAGTGGGATAAAGGGCATAAAGCTTGATTCCAGTGCCTTTCTAGACCGGTTGTAACCATTTGCACCCCCAGTAATGTTGCATAAGCATGGTCATCTGGCTTCACCCTTGAGAGCACTATGTATTATCTTTTGTAACTGTGCTAACATAATTGGCAAATAATACTATCTCATTTAAATATAAATGTTGTTGGTTACCTAGTGACATTGAATAGTTTTTCATGCATTTGTCTTCTTTTGTGAATAGTCTGCCAATCAATCAACATATATCAATCATCAGGTGCCACTTTTGTGCCAGACACTCTACTAGATATATGACAGGAATGCTTTGGGATCTAGGCAGACATGACCCAAGATCTGGTAACACACCATTTATCGGGAGTGCTTCTCCTGTCAGTCACTGGGCCAAATGCTTAACTTGAGGGTAATGTTAAACATTTTGGGTTTTCTGGTTAATACTTAGCCTCCTTTGGGTAATCTGAATCCTGTTTTGCGAACTTCCTTTTTTTTGGCCACATTCTTCAGAGTTGAGGATGCTGTTTATACATTCTGGATGAGTAAACTGTTATGGTATGAATTTAAATTTCATATACATACATGAAGCCAAGATGGGTGGATGGACTCATTACAAAAGGTATAGAGAAGAGAAGGATAGTGATTAATTAATAATATTGAGGAGGGCAGAATAAGCTGCAGAATATGTAAACCAAACTAAACAATTTTCGCATGTGTGAAGCTGGGGCACTTGATCAAAATTAAGATTGTATTCTTTGAATTCTTAGGTTGAAAAGCCTGTCCTACATTTGGCAACTCGAGTGGAAGCATCTTGTCGTAGCTACCCACCCATCTATACACTCATTGTCCAGTTATGTCTTAGATTAAAAGATCAACTTTGGTTTGGTAACTGGAGAGTACCAGCTTTGTCACCTGTGTAGGTGAAATAGAACAGTCCAAAGACAAGTATAGGTGGAAAAGTTTCTCTTTGCTTCCAATAGTAAGTGTAAGATTCCCCAACATCTTAACAATAGTTTCAAGGAGTTGCCATTCACAGGAGCGTTCATGTCCCCTTCTGGCATATTGACACCCTCTGATTTAGCAGAATATTATTTATGATCCTCTGCAAAGATGTCACACAGGAGGGAGGAGAGGCTAGCTCCTGGTTATTCTGAGGCAGGGTATTGCTGTGTTGCCCAAGCTGGAGTGCAGTGGTGCAATCATGACTCACTCAGCCTAGAACTCCTGGGCTCAACTGATCCTCCTGCCTCAGCCTCCAGAGTAGCTGAGACTATAGGCAGCACATGCCACCATGGCCGGCTAATTTTAAGACAGATTTTTTTTTTTTTTTTTTTGGTAGTGATGGGGTCTCACTGTTTTGCCCAGGCTGGTCTCAAACTCCTGTCCTCAAGTCATCTTCCCATCTAAGCTTCCCAAACACTGGGATTACAGGTGTGAGCCACTGTGCCTGGCCCCCATTTCATATTTTTATTGCAATTCATGACATTCAACATTTTTTCATGCATATTATTACAATGATTCTAAGAGATGTCAAAAGCTGATTTCCCAAATATCACCAATACAACCTATTGGTAAGACAAAACTGAGATTCTTCCTTTGGTAGTGTCTCAGAGAGGGACACTACCCTCAGAGAGGGGAAGGTAAGGTCAGAGTTTCTTGAGAATTGGAAGTTTGTTTTAAGGTGGGTATTTCCATGCAGGAGGATTTGATTAAGACCTTCTATATGACAGTCCAGGATTGGTTAAGATAAAAAAAGATGTTGAGATGAGAGATCTTAGGGCAAAAATGGTCTCCTGATGCTTTCCATTGAAGTGGTGATGAGTCCTCCAGCAAGGTCCTATAATAAAAAATCAAACCATTTACCTAGTCATGACAGTCCTGGAAAAGTAGTCATACTAATAAAGCCAGTGGAATAGCAAAGTCACGTTAGTGTAGCTGATAAGGTGTGATTTCGGCTGACTGTCAGGAAGATGGTTTTGGTTCTCAGAAGAAACATGATCATGTATCCATTTTATAGATGAGGAAAATGAAGCTCAGGAAGATTAAATGGCTTGCCATGGTCAAATATCTAATGAGTCCTAGAGAGAGAACTAGCACTGAGCTCCTTCCCATTTTGTTCACTAAGAACTTTCCCTCCTATACTGTTCTTGCCCTTGTCTCAAATCTCTCTGGGCATTGATGAGTTGCTAGAGCAAAAGGTATCTTCAAATTGATTTTAAAATATAAGCCACACCGTCTTACTTGAACAGATGATAAAATGCTTTACTGAGAATGGGTTTGTCCAATGAGTCTAAGTGCTTTCCACTCTATGTTTCAAAGATAATCTGTGGATGAGGAAAAGGGAATTATGTCCTTACTAGAGGTTCGATGTGACAAATTAATCATTAACATGGCACTGGCTGCTATATCAATGGTATGCAGGGGACAGAAATCCTTTACTGTTTTTTTCTCTAAGTTTTTTCATAGGGATGTTTTTAAGCGGAAGTAAGAAGTTTTTAAGTGGAAGTAAGAAGGAGCCAGGGAGAAAGGGAGATAAAGCTGGAAAAATGGAGAGAAAAGGTCTCTCTCTGTCTCTTACACACTCTCTCTCATTTCTGCTGTGTACATTTGGATTTTCTTTAGTTCTTTTTCACCTCCCTGACTCTTCTGTCCTTCTAATTCCCACTCCACCTTACTCCCACGTCTTATGTGCTACATCTGTGGGTATAATTCATGAAGGTAAAATATACCCCAAACAAAATGGCTGTAAAGAAAAATATGGTGCCAAAGAACTGTGAAAAAGTTTACCAGTGTGAGCCCAAGTCTTAGTGTGTTAAGTGGGACACAGATTATGCTTTTTATAAGTCTACTACTAAGAGCACATAGCAGATGCTCCAAAGTATTTGTTAAAAGAACAAATGAACAAACAGGTGGACACCAGTTACCATTTTGCTTTTGAGGTCAACTCAAGATGCCATTTTGTTTTCATTACTTTGGTCCCAGACATGCTGATCAGAGCTTATCCTAATGTCAGCAGTGTGTGAATCAGGTGACAAGTAGGCAAATATTGACAGGACTTGGTGGTGTCTCTGCCCTACCACTGCTGCTTAGAGTGCCAAGTCCTTCTCCAAGTTTGGGTGGAGATGGGGTGAGGGAGACAAAGGCTTGGAGAAGAGAAAGCCTGGATGAGCACTGGAATAAATAACAGGCTGGATGGATGGACAAGCATAAAGAGGTGGGGTGACATTCGTGAAGCAGAACTAGTTTGATTGGAAACTGAATAGATTTTTGGCAGGTTAAGTGGTTCTAAGCTTTTCTATGAATTGCTCTAATGTTGCTCTCCAAGAAATATGTTAAAATTAGTCACTAAAATCTCATAGCAGAGACTCAGGCACTAAGACTCACTTGTAAACATAACGCAACCAAAGTTTCTTGTTTTAAAAAATCTAAAGATACTTGCAGAAATGTTATAGATTTTATTAAAAATTATTATCCTCTGAAGTGATCTAACAAATGTTTTAACATTTTGACAATAGAATATTATATATTTTGATATATGTGTCTCAATAGGCTTACCTCTATGTATGCTGTACTAAAGGAAATTGCATTCAATATCAGTTGCATGGAAGAGCAATTTTCCTGTTGATTGTACTTCTATTTATTTATCTATTTAATAATTAGATCTCAGATCTAATTATTAATTTAAGGGTACATCACTCAGTGTTAGTAAGTAAAAGTGTCTGTTGAGTCTAGTTAATTTTATAACAGTTATGGGGCACCAAATTAAATATGAAATGCAAATATATACAAAATGCAAATACATGAACAAACTGATAAAATTGCTAATTGCTCTGCCTTTTAAAAAAAAGCTTCTGTGTGGCAAATGTACCTAACAAAATATTGCTACTAGTTATAAAATTTCTTTGTTCCAAGCTTGATGCAAACAGATTAGGGATATAATCTGTCACATATACACATGAAAAGGTGGATTCTTGGAGACAATGGCTGTGAGGAGTATTTTCATTAGCTTGTCTCTGTGGTATTGTATTTGTGTATAATTGAAAAGTGAACTACTTTCATTTCCTTTTTAAAAACAGAGTCCTGAGACTGACAGGATAATGGAATGGCCAGTGGAATAGCATGATTTAAACCACTATTTGTTAGTCATGATGTCTTTGTGGACAACTTAGAAAAGTAACATCCTAATAATTCTACTATTGTGAAGTTTCATGGCTACTTGAACATTTTTAAAAAATTAGATTCTTGTCAGCTTAGGATGAGGTTTTTGGTAGTGGGTTCCAGACCTCTAACTTTGGCCTTTTCTTTTTTTACTTTCTTCAACTCTTTGAATGAAGACCCCAAAGACTCATGAATCAAATTTAGAAATGAACTAAAGCTGAAAGAGATTGTTAGACTGGGAGTGTTGGAAAATAAGTCAGAGAACAAAATAAATATTCAAAGATAATGTCATAAATTGGAGTTAGGAAACAAAAGCAGCAAAATTAAACCTAACAGAGATAAGTGCGAACTTCTCATTAAGGGTTCATGATTTAATCACCTGAGTGTAAGTTGGAAGGAGATCTCAGGACTTCTTATTAAAATGACCTAGGGGATTTAATTGGTTCCAACTTTAATACAAACCAGTAAGTCTACAAAGCTATCCAAAAGCTATGATTCCCTTGGCTATAAGTTACTCTAGGAAGAAGAGCCTGTTTTTCCTTCTCCCTTCAATCTATATCCGAGGAGGAGTATTTTTTTGGATTCAAATCTGGGACATGATTATGCTATGTTTGCCAGTGGACACAGTCACTGTGTATTAACAGGTCAGCACTTGGGTGTGACTATTTTGCTGTTCTTGGAAATACTACTGAAGTGGAAAAGGTCAGGGCCTACTTTCTATTAGAGACTCTCTTCCTCTCTCTTCTTTATCTGCCATCCATATGCCAGAAATGATAAGCCAATTCAGGGCTTACTCTCCTGGAGTATATCCAACAAACTAACTTTTCTTTTTTCTTGACGTGGGACTGGAGTATGGTTAGATCTAAAATTTGGGGGCAGGTAAAAACATTCACAGGCCTCACTCACAGCCTGCTTTGGGCTGAAGGCATTTACGCTAAGTAGCCTAGGAAAAAGGTTATGCTACACGTGGCCCAGCCCAAATATTACAATATCTCTTTTTGGAAGCTTGGGATCTAAATTCAGAAATCAATAAGGATTTGTTTCATTTTTCCTGTTTCATTATTTTTGTGTGTGTGTTTGTGTCTCTTTCATGAACCTCTCCCTCTCAAGGGAGGATGGCAGTGTCTAGAGTGGGCGATACATATTCCTGTATTCTTGGGACATTTTACCATTCAGAAGCACAGCACCCTATCCTTTACTACTTCTAATAGCTGGATTAAGAGGACAATATAAGAGTTAACATCCCTTTATACTCCAGACATATGTTTTTGACTCTATCGTACATCCCTATTTGGGGGTCCCATATGCACCTCAAAGGTTTATTTTCAAAATTTAACCTCTTTGTAACCTCTTCCCCTGACTCTCCACCCCTACTACTCACTTACAAATGTGCTTCTGCTGCTGTTTGAGTATTCTCTGTTCATTAAAGACATCATCATATTCCTTGTTTCTTGGCTCTTTTGACCCTCCATATTTAGTTTGACACCGATTCTGTCATCAATTAAAAAAAAGGTCTTTGGAACATATCTACTCCTGTCTTCACATAGTTTGCCATCACTATATATCACTTGGATTATTTTCAGTCATGGCCTATATTTCCATTCCTGCTACAATGCTTAGCACATAGTTTGTGACTGACTATGGAAAATATAGCTTTTATGTCTGCCTTCAAATGTTTAATGGAACATGATGTTTGAGAAGCAATAAATTTATTTTTTGGCTGCTTCAGATATCAAGGAGGCCAATTTTCATTAATGTGGGATAGAACTTAAGACAGATTGACTCCAACTATGGACTAAACCATTTCATAAATCTTTGAGCTCTTTATCATTGGAACTATTCAAGGAGAGACTGGATAGACATCAGGGAGAAGTGCTGTCAAAAGGATGCTGGCTTTAGTAAAATGTCAGACAATATGACTTTTAGGGTCTCTTTCCATCACAAGATTTGATGATTTATATATTAATTTTCAGGGATTAATTGAAATTAATTAATTCAATTCTGTTCTGACTGGTAGAATTAGAGATGTGTAATTTTTTCTTATTTCTTTCCAAAATTTTTAAGTTTTCCAAATAGAAGTGTATTACTCTCATAATCAGAAAATTTTCATCTTGAGTAAACTCAAAGACTTTGCTTTTTAAAAGAACATTTTGATCTCCCCTTTGAATATGAGCATAACCTTTCATTATATGTATCAAAGAAACATTTTTGTTATTGTGTATATGCCAACTGTTAGTTTGATGTAGGTTTGGCTCCATATAATAGAAAAGAAAACATAACAGTAGCTTAAACAAGCTAGAATCCTAGTTCTCTGTTTTTAAGTAAAAGAAGTTTGGATGTAGGTAGCCAGAAGTGGTATGGTGACTTCACCATGTCAGGCACCAACACTCCTTTATCTTGTTCAGCTGTATGTGACTTCAATTCCTAAGGTCACCTCATGGTCCAAAACAGCCGCTGAATATTAGCATTACATATGTGTTCTGAACAGCAGGAAAGAGGAAGGAGAAGATGGACCTGCCTCCTTCATTTTAAAGTTCTTCCCAGAAATACCAGACAACACTTTTTTATAAATTTCACTGGTGAGAATTTGGCCATAAGGTCATATCTAGCTGCAAGGAATTCTGCGGGGAAAATCAGGGCTTCGTTTCCAATGAGGAAGAAGGGAATGGTTATTGGGAAGCTAATAGCTGTCTCTGTTACACCTGTTGACTAAGGGTAAGCATAATACAGAATCATTAAGGAAATGTCACTGGCCACAGCTTCTTTGCTAATAGTTTTAGGAACTTCCTATTGGGCTCCATTTATTTAGATCAGTCAACAATTATTTGCTAAAAACCTGCTATTTGCATCATTTTTTTTCTTTTGTAGAATGGATTTGTACCTTCCCAATGGGGTTTTAGTGAGCATTAAATGAGATAATAATGTAGAACGCTTGGAAGAGCATCTGATATATATTAAGCACTCAATACATGTCAGTCATTACTCTGATTAATATTACTATTTGTGAAAGAATAAAAGTGAGATTGAAAACATAGTTCCTGCCTTAGGTTCCTTCTCTTCTGGTGAAGACAAGATACATAGATGTGAAGTAACTTCAGAATAAGTGTGCAATTAAAATCCAGATGTTATGGAGCAAAGTATATATTTTGTAAACATTTAAAGGCTAAAAAAGTCCCTATAAGGGTGTGTGTGTGTGTGTGTGTGTGTGTGTGTGTGTGAGAGAGAGAGAGAGAGAGAGAGAGAGAAATATCATGGAGTATTTATGAAGACCTAAGGCTTTAGGTTTTATGATATCTTAATTTTTTCTGGTCGCATAATTTGGTTTCATTTCCCAGAGAGGCTAACCACTGGCCTATATCATCTCAGGCTGGTAAGGGTCTTTCAGTTTCTTAAAAGTTTCAAGGCAGAGGCCACAGACTCCCAAATTTTTCTCTTATGTTTATTTGTGATACTGTAAGTATTAGCTTTTTTAGGGCAAAACTCATGAATTAAAGTAAAAAATTTTTTGTAGTTTAAGAATATAGCACCAACTTAAAATTGTATCAATTGAATTAACAACATCACTGGTATGGGAGAGAATGAATCACCTATTAGAACAGATATTGCCTGCTATTTTTTTTTAGAAGTAAAGTCTTTCCTAGCATTGCATTCTATTTTATGCAGTACATTTGCTAAGAGAATTCAAAAGTAGAGATTGGGCCCATTGTCCTTCATTCCAGCAGCACTGAAGGTCCAATTTCATCTTTTGAGGCTCTTAAGGAGCATACCACATAAAAAGGAATGGACTGCTTGCTATTCAGCCATAGCTGGAATAGCAATACCAATCATTATACTGTTATCTATTTGAAAAATGTGGATTTTACTTGGAGATGGTATTTATTGAAGCCTGCAAGAAATCTGCTTTCTGTCTACCTGGCAAGAGCAATTTGAAATGGAAAATTCAAGCTCAGAAATTCAGTTGAAATTTGAACTTCTCTATATTGCCATGGATTTTGGTATGATGATATATGCAAGGGTAGGGGTGAGGGGTGTCCACTGGCTTCTAATCCTGTGCTGTGCTTGTCTCCTGCTGCACAATAGGGCAATCGAAGGGAAACCTTCTCCAGCTTTATTAAAATGGGGAGGGCGTGGGATGCTGGGGCTGATGCACTTAAAATGCGCTCTGAAGCATCATGGAAATTTTGCCGAAGACTTTTTATGTAGCAACAATTCTATTGATAGAGTCAATGAGAGTTTTGTCTGTGCAAAAACTGCAGGATGGGCCCCCAAGTCACATGCTTTCAAAATTATTCTCCCTTTGTTGGATATCACAAAGAATATTTTCCCATGAAAACAAGATCTTTTGTTTCTCATGAATTCATTCTAATTGTAAAGCGGGCTGATAGGGTTACTGCATGTTCTTTTCTCGCACTGGCAGGTGGCCTGAGGGAGCTGGTGAAATGGGCTCAGTCATCTATTAAGTTTTTTCTGGTCTTAGTGTCATTTACTTATCATCTAAAACCGTAGTCCTTGATGTTCATCTCAAAAGGAGATAACAGTGATGTCACAGATACTGATTTGTTCCTATTTGGCTTTAAGAGATAGCAGGCAAAATATCCCTGCCTTTCTGGTTTCCTTACCTTTTTGCAAATGTGTATGACTAACAAAGAGAAACACATAGGAAATATAGACAGGTAGGGAAAGTTGAGACAAGTTACAGCATCAATTTTCAAAAGAACTTGTTAAATACTTCATTGCATGTGCTAGGTTCTGTGCAGAAAATAAAATAGGTACAATTTCCTCTTTATGAGGACTTACAATTTACCAGCCACTGTGCTGTGGTGAAAACATTTAGCAGCAATTTGGCAAGCATTTGCATAAATGCTCTGTAGAAGACCTGTGCTAAATACTGAGGATTTAAGACAGGTGAGGCCTAGGCTTGTCCCTCAAGAAACTCATGCAGAAATGCTATGTAATGATGTGGCAGTGCTGCAGCAAAAAAAAAATGAAATTAAAAGTGCAATAGGAACCAGATGAAAGACAATTCAGTACGTAAACATGAAAGACTGCAGCCAAAGCCCACAATATGTTAATGAAGGATAGGAAATGTATTTTTAAAAATTTCCTGTATGACCTATTGTGGAAAGCTTTGGCCAGATCTTTTGCACGGAAATCTTTAGTAAGTCCAATGATACAGTAACAAGTGAGAGGGTGCAGATTGTGCTGAGTTACAGGATGGAGGCTGGGGCTGTGAACCTCTCTAAATAGTAATTGTAATCTGTGGACTGTGCCAGTTGTGCATGCACACACAACCACATGATCACCAAACTTCTAGAGAGCATCTGTATGGAGCAGAGGAAGGTGAGATGAAGGAGCTTCATTCACTTTTTTTGTATCTTTGATCTTGAGGACATCTATTGTACTTTTTGTTTGCTGGCTCCCCATCTAATCTTGGAAACTGGACTGACCTTTGAGGTCTAGCATAGCTCATCTGTGGTGGGTTTTGGGGACAAGGTAGGCAAGATATGGTTGGAGGCAGAGATGACTAGAGAATATCGGACACGGACAAAACATGGTGTCACCTTTAGATCAAGAAAGGAGGACTTTGTGGTGAGTAGGATGTGAGTTGTTTCCTTAATTGGATGAGGGTAGTAGATTTCCCCCCTTTTTGGTTGAAGTAAGGAAGAAAACCCTGGTTAACAGGGATGAATGGGGGAAAGGAGATGTTCTTGGCCCAAGCATAGGGATCAGGTGCAGCATAGGCCTAAGGACAATGGAAGCATTTGGGCATCATTGAGCCTGGTTTGAGTGCAGGTTATTCAAGGGCAGGGATGCACCATTGTGAAGGGAGGTGGAAAGTGCTGATCTGGGACCTGATACAATGGTATGATGACCATAGTCTTACATTAGAAACAAAGGACACATGATTCGATGAGGGACTGTATCTGAAGATGAATAGGAAAGAGACAGGCAACACAGGCAGGGCATGTGATATTAGTAATCACAGCGATAAAATAACCAGAGAGTGACTCTATTAAAAATGGGGCTTCTAGTGAAGTCTAGATTGTAGGGGGAGAAAAACTATTGTTTTATATCAATCAAGCAACATCTACAGACGTTCAAGCTCTCTGGATTGCATTCGCTGCTTATTATACTGCTTTATCAGGTTTCCAAAGGTCCTGGTTGCACATTAACCTAGAAATACACAAAAGCCAAATTCGGTAGCTGGTATGGTGAAAAGAAGATTTTCTTTTTCATGTGTTGTCTTGAAGAGAGTCTGAAGGGGCTCAAATGATTCTCACATGCAGTCCTACAGTATAAAGGGACTTCCTGATCTTTAAGCATTTTCCTCCCTTATTCCTATCCCCTCTTTTTGTCTGACCCTAACTCTAAACATCTTTAAGAAAAGCACTTAGAAAAATATAAAATAAAAGCAGCTGGGTGGGTGGAGGTGGAGTGTGCTTTGGTTGTTCTTTGTCAAAGCTGCAGGCATTAAGTGAGCCAAGGCCTCACAGAAAGAGCTCTCTCTTGCTCAAGTGTCTGTGGATTTTGCTCTGCACCATTTCTTTGAAAATCTCCTTGACATAACCCTGATGTTTCTTCTTTCTCTTGCCTGACTGCAGCTGTACCTGACTCTTATTTTGTCACTTGCCAGCGGCAGGAGCTAGCAGATACATTTTACTAATTTCAGCTGTTTGGATTAGTATCACCATAAGTGGATTAATATGGATTTCATTAAAGAACCCTAAAGACTCAATCAAGGCCAAAAACTTCAGTCGGCCAAATCTACAATTCCTTATGCAACCCTCACTGATAACAAGGCTGCACCCTCCATTGCATAACCACCAAATAGACAAAGGATGGCAGACTTTTCATAAATACATATATCTAGCAATGGCCAGCACAGTGGTCCTCAATGTTCAACTGACTGGAGTGCCAAAAGTAAGAAAATGCTAGAAAAAAAAAATCTATTGATGAGAATATGTCAAAGGGACACAGGGGCTTACTGAAAAAGCTCCCAGTGGCTAAAGCTGGAAAAATTTGAGCAACAACATGAAGTAATATCGATTTAAAACCAAAAGTATGATATAAAAAAAAAAGAGAAAAAAGAGAAAATAAATAAATAAATAAAACCAAAAGTATAAAATAAATATCCACGAGTCATACTGATATAAATAAGTACTTGAATACATAAATAAATGGGAGAGAAAGACACAAGTCTCCTGTGCAGATAAATTCCAAATAATTTATGTAGGTTCTCTGCCTTCAAGGGATGGGATATAACTTCCCACTCCTGATGTGTTGGCTACAGGGACTTTCTTTCAAGCATACAATATAGAAGAGCTGGGGGAAGAGTAACTTTACAGTGGGGAAACCTGATAAATGCTATCTCAGCCAGGTGATCAAGGGTCAGCATCAACAGTGGTCAGTCATGTTGATGGTGTGTACCCTTGAAGTGATGTGACGAAAATGGCACTTCACTTAGGTGGTCTTTCTTCTAAAAACACACAATTGCAGTCCCATTATGAGAAAAACATCAGAGAAATTCCAATTGAGGGACATTCTAAAATACGTATGACAAATACTTCTGAAACTGTCAAGGTCGTGAAAGACAAGGGAAGTTTGAGAAACTGTCACAGCCAAGAGGAACCTAAGGAGTCATGATGACTAAATGTCATGTGGTGTCCTTAATGGGATTCTGGAACAGAAAAAATAAATCTGAATAAAGTATGGTCTCTAGTTAATAATAGTATATCAACATTGGTTCATTAATAGTAACTATACAAATGTACCACACTAATAATGCAAGACGCTAACAATAGGGGAAACTGAGTGTGGGATGCATGGGAACTCTCTGTACTATCTGTAACTCAATAGCTACAGTTTTTTTAAAAAAAATAAATCTGAAACAGTTGTAAAAAATAAAGTCTTTTCAATAAAACAAAGCCCACAGATAGAGATTGCTGGCAGTCAGCCGGCCTGGGCTCATAGAGGGAAGCGTGACTAAGATGTGGGCATCTGCACCACCTAATATCTGCAGATGTGAATTACTAGAAGAGTCCCAGGCACCCTTCTGGGGCATTTTGAAAGTTCCCCTCTCTTGCTATGGTCCTCTCTTGGAGAATTTGCAATGCACACTTCAAATCTGTCAGCAGAGAGTGGGCTCTGATTACAGCCTGCACAGTGGCCTCAAGACGGTTAGGAGTCCCATCAGACCACCAAGGCTATCTGAGTCAGAGACGGGGGTGCCTGCCTGTACCGAGCTCTGCTGACCAAGTAGGCAGAGCAGCCCACCAGTGTGTATGGGCCTGTCCTTGTTCTTAGGAAACAACAATGCTACCCACTTCTCTGGGCTATTTTCTTGGGGCTTCACAGGGATCCAATATGGATGAGGCAAGAGGCTCTGCTTTGAGGGTTTCAATGAAATCTCCCCATTCTATCCAACATAATCTGGCAGTTGTAGCTGAGGAAGTCCCCAAACTACAGAACTGAGGAAGGCATCTCAGCTCTGCAGACCCTCACCAGGCTGAGGCTGCTATTTGTAAAATTTGAATATCTAAACAAAAGCAGATGGTGGCTATGCCTTTTGTTTCTGGGCAAATCATGAACAATAGTTTGTGTCTGAATTCCATAGGTGGCCAGGAGCATAGACTTCTCTGCTCATGAATGGTGTGTTTTTGTCAAGACTGACTGAACCCTTTTCTCTAACCATGATTCCCAGGAAAGAAACTGATTAACTTCAACCTGGGCAGCATGCCTCAAAGAAGTCATGTTAAGCACAAGGCATAGTCTATGTTCCATGGTACCGGCCATATTTGGCCACTAACCAATACATTTGAGAGTGGCATATACTTCCTGATTCTTCTAATTTCCCCTTTGAATTTTAAAATTAGGGGGCTGTTTCGTGGCCAGAAGACAAGGTGTTAGATGGCAATTAATGTAGGCCAAAGGTTCCATCCCTTTTCCACATTAATTTTGGGAAAAAATGCTTTTATGTTACATGGTGGCCCTCTATCAGACTAGCATAAAACTACAGTAATTAAGATGTAGGCCAGGCGCAGTGGCTCACACCTGTTATCCCAGCACTTTGGGAGGCCCAGGCGGGTGGATCACCTGAGGTTCGGGAGTTCGAGACCAGCTTGACCAACATGAAGAAACCCCGTCTCTACCAAATATACAAAATTAGCTGGGTGTGGTGGCACATGCCTGTAATCCCAGCCACTGGGGAGGCTGAGGCAGGAGAATCTCTTGAACCCAGGAGTCGGAGGTTGCGGTGAGCTGAGATTGCGCACCTGCACTCCAGCGTGGGTAACAAGAGCGAAACTCCGTCTCAAAAAAAAAAAAAAAATTAAGATGTAAACACAAAGCATTAACAAAGAACATTGGTACTTCCTGTCTTGTCCAACAGAGAGTCCCCTTACTAACAGAAATGAAAAAAGCGGGCCTTGGAAAAAAGGAATTATCTCTGACTTTTTGTCTAGTCCATCATGATAAGCAGATATCATCAATGAAACTTCATTCCTAACTGACTTTGTTCTGGGCTTTCATATATGCATAAGTTAGCAGAGAAGAAGAGTTAATAAAGGATGCCAGGCTCTGTACCTATTGATCTGAGATTGGGATTTACTGCTGCCTGGAAAGTTCTACCCAATTTCAGCTTCTGCAGTGTACCCAGCAGAGAGAATGATAAATACCACTGTGCCATTGGGGCTGTCACTTTAGAGAGTGACATGAATGATGATAAAAGACAAACACAAATTCCAGAAAAACTTGGATTGGTTTTCCTGTCAACACGACTGAAATGGGAGATGTGAGACTATTGATAGAAAGCACTGAGTGTTCCTGATGCAATGTTATATAACAATGACTATGCTGTGCGAAGGTACATTTCACTGTCTCTGGAAAACAGGAATACATTCTCCTGGGGAACCTGCTTTTAGAAAAGATTCTTGTATTTTCCTTCCAAGGGAAATGAAAGCAGAGAGAGAATGGAATTTGAAAAGCATCAGAGAAAGTTTAGAACACCATCAGAGACTACAAGATGGTGTTTGAGAAATCCTATGACTACTCTATCCTCCTCACTGCTTGAAAGAGATGATATCATTCAGGCTTTGGAAAGATGGCTTGGGCTATTTTGACCCATCTGATGGGTGACTTAATTACTTGCTTTGCCTGTTGCCTGATGCAGTCAGCAATACGAAATCGTCTTTAGAATAGCTAACGGATTATGTAAATAACAAAGCCAAAGGCACTTTAAGACGTGTTACTAAAGCATGCTCTTTATTAAGTTAACTAATGTATGTAAAGAGTTTAGAACAGTATCTGGAATATAGTAAGTGCTCAATAAATGGTGGCTATTATAGCAGACACTATTTTTAAATTTTTAATTTTAAGTTCTGGGGTACATGTGCAGAATGTGCAGGTTTGTTGCATAGGTAAATGTGTACCATGGTGGTTTGCTGTACCTATCAACCCACCACCTAGGTATTAATCGCAGAGTGCATTAACTATTTTTCCTAATGCTCTCTGTCCCCCCACCTCACCTTCCGACAGGCCCCAGTGTGTGTTGTTCCCCTCCCTGTGTCCATGTGTTCTCATTGTTCAGCTCCCACTTATAAGCGAGAACATGCAGTGTTTGGCTTTCTGCTCCTGTGTTAGTTTGCTGAGGATAATGACTTTCAGCTCCATCCATGTCCCTGCAAAGGACAGGATCTTATTCTTTTTTTATGGCTGTATAGTATTCCATGGTGTATATGCGCCATATTTTCTTTATCCAGTCTATCATAGATGGGCATTTGGGTTGATTTTATGTCTTTTATAGCAGACAATATTAATGTCCTGCCACATATTCCTTGGCCTTCCTCTGAGTTTGCCTGCATGTGCCTCCTAGTTCCTGTGCACATCAACAGGTGCCCATTTTGAGTGCTGGGCTTCCTTGGTTTCTCTGCCCAAGGGCCTCCTTAGCTACCAGTGGAGCTTGTACATTTCTTTGCGGGAGAGGCTAGAAATGCTGGGGCAACCGTCAACCCATGAGAAATGGGACCTGATGAATAAGTACCCCAGCTTCCATGTTCTTAGGTGGGAAAATTCTGAGGAGTGTTCTATAAGCTTCCTAAGAGGATCCTCTTCAGGATTGAACTCTAGTTGCCCACAGCAGAAGGCTGCTCATTAAAGCACCCTTTCCTTGTCTTTTCACTATTTCTTATTTCACTTTATCAATTATGCTTCCTGGGATCACCCCTCAAATAAAATGCCCAAACCTCAGTTGTTTTTCACAGTCTATTGTTTTGGTAATCAGAACTGAAAAAGTATTGTTGGCATTAACTGCTGCTAAGTATGGGGGCCATAAAAGGTCATGGCAGAAAAATTCATTACAATATTATGTAATATGGCTACACAATGATTTATCATTTGAAGACAAATAGATGCATGCCGATTTTTGGATTTATAGAAAATGACCAAAAATTATTCAAGTAATAAAAAATAGGCTTTTGGAATAGTAGCTATAGCTGGAATTAGCCTCCCTCAAAAAGCTCATGTTTACCAAAATGTAGAAAGAAGTAGTGGCTACGTGGTAACATTTACAGCAACTCTTGTGCTCACAGTTCATCATCTTTATTGTGTTCCAACATGGACAGCAAGACATGTCCAGTATGCATACACAGTGGCCTGCACAATTGTATTTGCTTCATGAAAAGAATAAGCAAAAAAACTGTTCAAGGCTTTTAGTTCAGTATAAATTCATTCCTCTAAAGGAAAATGCCATCCTAAACATTTTTTTACTTGCAAAACAATCTTCAAGCTATAGAGCAATTTATTTTACATGACATTTACAGAAAATCAACAGAAGTAGCTTTTATAACGTGTGTATCCACAAATCACGTTTCCTTGCTATGGTTACGCATTGAAATCTCTTGAGGTCTCTTCTGGTGCTGCCTCTGGGAGAAGGCCTTTAGAAATGATTGTTTCTGTTCACGTAAGTATCCTTTTCTCAATGGAAAATGTATATTATTCCCTACTGGGGTACCACTGCTTTCTCCACTCCCAGGCCCCCAAAGACAGTATTTGACAAGGATTGCTACCTTCTGCCTTAATACCTTCATAGTCTCCAACATTTCATATGGTGCTTTACTTGAAACAAATGAGCAAAAATTGAAAAATGAAATAACAAACAGGAAAACTGAAGTAGTATGTAATTTAACTGACAAAAATAATTTGAACATGAAAATGTGGGTGAGTTCAATGAGTATAATTATAACAGAATCTTGAGATTTCATAACAACATTAGCATCCAGCCTTAGCACACTGTTATTCCAAATGACCTTTTCCCCCTTCCCATTCACTCCCTTCAGTACTTGGAGGATGGGTTTCATAATATCAGCTGAGCTCAGGGGTACTGTGGGCTCTCACACAGTGATGCTTAATCACAACATCACTTCTCCAGCCTAGGATATTGCTGTTTACCCTTTAATGCTGGTCAACAGAAGACAGATGGTAAGCAATCACTTTCTAATGGCATGTTCGGAAATCATTATATTTAAAATGTTAATTTATTAAACTTTTTTTTTTATTCCAACTGAGCCTAGATCTTTGATCTGGAGGATTTATAGGTTATGAACAAGGACACAATGGTTACCAAAAAGAGGATAAATTAAAAGAAGTTTTCAAATGAGTAAGGTGGTGTGAAAGGGCAGAGGATGTGCTGTCAATGAAATGTAGGTGAACACAGAGTTTAGTTGTGATGAACATATTTTGTCTACAGTAAGCGAGGCATCCAGAAAATGGTCTATAAGAAAGTAACTCCCAAAGACAGATTTTTGAGTGTCCACTGGCCCAAAGAAGGCAAGGATCTTGCCAGAACTTCCCACATCAGCTAACCTTTCTGGTATTGTTAATAGCCTTAAACACACAAAGCCACCTTGTGCAAGTGAACCGAGACTGCAAAGATTCTTAAAAAAAAAAACTTTTGTATTTTTTAATAAGTAGAGACGGGGTATCACTATTGTTGCTCAGGCTAGTCTTGAACTCCTGGCCTCAAGTGATCCTCCCACCATGGCCTCCCAGAGTGCTGGGATTACAGGTAGGAGCCACAGCATCTGGCTCAGATTCCTTTTGAAGAGTTTGGCCACAAGAATTATGCAGAGGCCAGGCACAGTGGCTCCTGCGTGTAATCCCAGCACTTTTGGAGGCCAATGCAGATGCATCACTTGAGCTCAGGAGTTTGACACCAGCCTGCCAACATCGTGAAACCCCATCTCTACTAAAAATACAAAAAATTAGCTGGTTGTGATGGCATGTGCCTGTAGTACCAGCTACTTGAGAGGTTGAGGTGGGAGGATCACTTGAGCCCAGGAGCTCAGGGCTGCAGTGAGCTGTGATCATGCCACTGTACTCCAGCCTGGGTGACAGAGTGAGACTGGGGGAAAAAAAAAAAAGAGAGAGAGAGTTATGCAGAGACGTTCAAACTTGAGTTACAGGGGGAAAAATGATTCTTGGTAGCCACAAGGGCCTTCTCAGGACAGTAGGTCTCATTAAATCAGGGCTATTTTTTATTGTGATAGAATTCATATAAAAATTTTACCACTTTAAATCAGGGCTTCTTACTCTTTTCTTATGCCGTCGACCCCATTGGCAATTTGGTAAAATCTGTGGACCCCCTTCTCAGAATCATGTTTTTAAATGCATAAAATAAAATACATAGAATTTCAAAGGAAGCCAATTACTTTGAAACTTTGTTATCAAAGAATTTTAAGAATCAAATATGTGAAACTGATATATGTGCTTCTTAATTAATCTATTAATAGCAAGATCTAGCAGGCAAGACTAATAACTAGCATAATTTTAAAGTGGTGATGAACAAAGAGAATATTTTGATTCAGCTGCAACAATTATGGGGTGAAAATATCTGTGTCTTCTCCTGGTGGCAAGGGTCTCAGGTACAGATAATACTGCTGTAGGTTGTTGATTAGATTATTAATAGAAGCAAACACTAAGTTTTAGTTAGAGGTTAGTGCAAATAAAGTAACATTTTTCTATCCAAGTTTATGAAACCCCTGAACTCTTGTCACCAGATTAGGAACCCCTGCATGAAATACAAGCTCCCCTGCCTCCGCCCAGTTTTTGGTTAAGTTTGGAAGCAAATAATAGAGGGAGGGTGAAGTAGTTGGAGCCAAGAGGGACTCAGCCAGGAATCGACAAGGTGAGGCCAGTGCAACCATAGTGGCAAGGTAACCACAGGGCACTTTTAAGTCAGTGATGCCTACTCTAACTCAAAAAGTTGTTTTTTAATCACGTAGTGTCAGTCATTTCTATGTTTCCCTCTGAACGCTTCAGTAAAGTCAGGTATATTCCAGAATGTATTTTGGGAGTGGCCTTTCCATGGCCCTTGAGGAAGGGTCTGATTTACACACTTGAGAGGCAAAGGCCACTGATCACCCAGGCAGACGCAGGAATTCTCAGGGATCACCAAAGTTCTGGGGAGGGCTTTGAACTTCTGTTGCATACAGAGCTGGGGGCTTAGGTTGACCTAGACCCCCAAAAAACAGAGAGCCCAGATGATATCCAGTTGTACTTGGTTTATATGGAATAAGTATTAATAGAACTACAGGAGGTGTGGGACAGATCCAGTGAGACGAACTGCCTTCCCTTCCTCTTCAGCTAATCTCTGCAGTCTGGAGTATCTATTTTCCAGTAGAGTCAAGGGCTGTAAACTAGGATTCTAGCTAAATGAAGAGCATCATTTTGCCTCCTCTGACCTTACACAGAAGTCGCTGCTTGCCTTTGCATTTGGATTGCTCCAACTATCATTTGCTTACTGTTCCCAGTCATCTTATCTCGGATGTGAAAGATGGTGACACCACAAGCAGAGCTCTGTCATGGATTCCAGGGGCTGAGTAAGGTGGTGAGGTGTAGTGGTCTACACCTTGCACTTTGGATCTGATCCGAGTTTGAATCCTGGCTCTGCTACTTGCCTTGGGCAAGTTTCTTCACTTTTGCAAGCAACAATTCTCTCCTGTGTAAATTGAGGAAAACAATTACACTTGATTCATAAGGCTTTTGTGAGTATTAAACCCAATAATGTGTGTAGCACCTTTAGCGTGGTTTGTAGTGCATAGTAGGTGTTTAATAATATAGCTATGGCTGGGCGCGGTGGCTCACACCTGTAATCCCAGCACTTTGGGAGGCCGAGGCGGGTGGATCACCTGACGTCTGGAGTTCAAGACCAGCCTGGCCAACATGGCAAAACCCCATCTTTCCTAAAAATACAAAAAAAATTAGCCAGGTATGGTGGTGGGTGCCTATAATCCCAGCTACTTGGGAGGCTGAGGCAGGAGAATTACTTGAACCCAGGGGCGGAGGTTGCAGTTAGCCAAGATTGGGCCACTTCACTCCAGCCTGGGCAAAAAAGTGAAACTCCGTCTCAAAAAAAAAAAAAAAAAGTAGCTATGTTTGTTGCTATTAGTATTATCATTATATCACACCTCACTATATAAGAGAGGTTAGCCCTATTTTTTCAAATGTTAGTAAAAAACACAGACAATTTTTCCATAAAAATTTTAAATGTTCACAATAATACCTTCTCTCTACTCCAGTTCCTACCCATATACACCCCCACCATTTCACTTCCTCATCCCCTTTCTCCTCTTTGCCTTTCTTCACATGACAAATGTTAACTTTTTTCAAAAGAAACAGGTTTTTTTGATAACCTATTCTCATCCTCTGCCTCCTTATTCGCTATTGTAAACAGATGCATGCATACACACACTCTCACACACACACGCACACATATTCCTCTCTCCCTGCAGCAAGAGAATCAAATCCAGGCCTCCTGCCTGGAACTGCAGAACATTACCATCAGGCTGGTCCATTAAATATCATTTGAAAGTCAATTTTATCCCGCAGTGGTAAGTAGTATGCGTGCTTCTGTCTTCATCTACCTTAATTAGGAAAAGCAATTTGCTGCACATTTCTTAAAAAAAAGAAAAAAAAAAGCTGATCAAATTTGAGCTCCTGATAGATTGAAACACAGTGTATGTTGTGGTGGTGATACAAAGATGTGAAACCACTTCCCACATCTAAATTATGGCTTGGTCTAAAAACAGTCTAGCCTTATGACTCTCGTGTTTTCTAAGTAACTTGTGCAATTGCCCATAATTATGGAAATAGGGGCCATCTCCTGAAAGCTAGCCCCTCCTCATTTTGTTTCCCAAACCGAGAATAGAAAACTCCATTTTGAGTCTATCATTGGAGATCTTTCCATTCCATCATATTTTCTGTGATTCGGTACCATTAACAATCTCAAGACCATTTTTGCACATCTACTTATGCCAAAATGGTTAGAGCAGCTGAGAAGCTACAGCTCCGTTGAAGGCGGGTCTCTGCTTTGCTCATTTGTTTCTTTTAACTAGCCCAGGCTAATTATAACTCACATGGGTACCTCTGACTTGAGTTTTCCTGGTATATGAGGAGGGTGCCAGTGGCAACTTAGCTGGCACTCCAATGGCCTTGGAGTGTCTGGAGAGCTGCAGGGACAAGCCCATTGGAAGTCTTTGTGCTTGAGGAACTAAGGAGTATCCTAAGAGGGCACAACCCCTCAGAGAAGGATGAACCAGGGATGAAGCAGCCAGGCCTAAGGAGCGTGGCCTGGTAAGAGAGCTTTGGACTTTAGAAGGGAGGTGTGATTATGAGTACATGCCCTGTGGTCATTGGCATGCTAAACTGACCCCTGTGCAGCCTCTGAACCCCTGTTTGGGTCCTGGTGAGAGATGAACTGTCATTCTTGCACCACTGTCTATATTCCATTTGCCAGGAAGCAGCCAGATAACTACTTCCAAATCATAAATCAGATCACTCCTCTGCTTAAAAACCTTCTATGGCTTTCCACTCCACTTAGCAGTAAATAAAACTCCCCTTCTAAGAGCCTACAGAAAACCGACCTAAGCAGATTCTGCTGGCTTCTCCCACCTCATTTTCACCCCTTTGCCCTGAGTTTTCAACCACAGAGTCTTCTTTGTCTTCCTTAGCCAGGCCCGTTCTCACTCTACTGCCTACATATTTGCTATTTCTTCTGTCCTGATTACTCTGCCCTGGGGGATCTCTCTGTATCCTCCAGATCTCAATTTAAATATTACCTCCTCAAAGAGTCATTTTTCTGAGCCCTCTGTCTAAAGTGGCTGCTGTCTCACGCCCTCTCATGCACCAGTAACTCTCACGTATCATTCTCTTTTGTTTTACTCCTAGTCCTTATCACAGGCAAACATGATATTGCTTGCTTATTAATTTATTGTTTGTCTCTTACCTCTTGAGTATGGGGTCTGCCTTAGTTAGCTTCCATCTCAGAAGCAGAGCCTGAGACAAGGGTTTGGTGCAGGTTCTCTATCTGAGAAGATAGAGAGCCTTTAAGTATAATATTACAGAAATAAAGGGGTTTGGTGTAGGAATCAGAGCTTACACAAATATGGAAGGTTGCAGGGGAGTGAAGATCAAAGAGACTGAAGCTGGAAGGTCAGAGAAATGGCCCCCGATGACCTCAGCCTGCAGCAAAGCACTGAAATGGTTGGCTCTCAAAAGTTCTCTGGGAAATTATGTCACATCTGTCTTCTATAACTTTCTGAAAATATTAGCCTCTTGGCCTCTCCTAACTTTTGCCTTTCCAATCTCACTTAGGTTCCTCTCATTGGCAAGATGTCTTGAAGTGTGTCTGGAACTGTTCACTGTAGCCATGTTGGGATCAGAAATGAGTCT
The DNA here is from genome assembly GCF_000001405.40 of Homo sapiens. Classification (NCBI taxonomy): domain Eukaryota; kingdom Metazoa; phylum Chordata; class Mammalia; order Primates; family Hominidae; genus Homo; species Homo sapiens. Next base: position 38,858,975 of record NC_000023.11, read on the forward strand.
GAATGGATATGAGGTGCCTGATACAGAGATACTGCCTGTCTTTTCATTTCTCTGCCCCAGACCCTGAAATAGTGCCTGGTGCACCATAGATACTCAATAAGTGCTTGCTGAGTGGCTGATTCACAAAAGGTCTGTAAATAAAAACTCACAGAGTTGTGTCATTCAATTTGGGAACCCAGCAGCATCCAAGCCACCTTGCTATGGGACCCCTTTAATAGAGGGTACCTCAAAAATCTAAGAGGCATTCACTATCTATTGTTCCAGACAGTTGGGCTCTGCCAGTGCCTCAAGGTTCCAGGCTTTAATGACTGTGCTCAGTGGATAGTAATAGAACAAATACGGCTAACAGCAAGGGGTGGTGGATAGACATAGAGATATCTGAGCAAACTTGTTCATGAGCACGTGTGAAACAACCCTGGGACCTCCTAGAACTGCTATGGATAGGGGGAGCGGTGACTAAAATGTCTGCTATTATTTGTAATATAAGTCCATCAGGACCATTGGCTTAGCCAGGAAAAACTCAAGTAATAACAATATCTGTAAGAAAATGTGTCATGAACATAGCACTCAAGGATGGGGCACATTGCTTAAAAGTTCAGAAACTCTTAGCATAGGAACTACCCATGAGATTCCATTAACCAGTACAAAATTGTACTGGCTAGGAAGAGGGAGGAGGCTGTGAGTTTAACAGTGTTGTTCCTGCATCTGTTGATAATGTGGCCATGGAAGACAGCATGAATCCAGAGGCCTAGGGCCTGAAAGAAATCAAGTGGTGGAAAGTTGCATTAGAATTTAAATCAAACAGGGAAACCAAAGCATGAGTCATGTACAGGGCAGAGCATTAAAAGGCCCTGTACCTCTGTGTAGTAAGCATGAGCCTGCTGAGGTCTGGGGATTAGTTGATGAGATAGATGAGTGCTGTTCCATGAATTCCATAATGGAAATAGATGCTGTCCCAGAAGTTATTCAGATAAGATGTTTATAAACATCTATGTAGTGTACAGCTACTTTAATTCTCAGCTTTTACTTGAATCCTCCTGGGCATGAAGACAGCTCTTCATCATTTTGAATATGCTATTTCTATGTTCATTCATTCAACAAATATTCATTGAGACCCTACTATGTGCCAAGCAATTAGTTAAGCACTAAGGATGCACTGGTGAACAAAACAGAGCTTATATTACATATTTATCCAAAAGAAATAAAAGCATACATTCATACAAAGACCTATAGACATATGATCAAAGCAGCTTTATTTATAACAGACTAAAACAGCCCATCAACTGGAGAATGGATCAACTAGCTGTGGTACATCCATAAGACAGAATGACTCAGCAATAAAAGGAAACAAATTATCGGTAAATGCAATCACATGGATGAATCTTAAAAGGTATGCTAAGAAAGAAGCCAGGCACAAATGACTACACACTGCAATTTCATTGATATGACCCCATTCTGAAACAGGCAATATTATAGGAACAGAAAGTAGATCAGTGGTTGCCAGTGGCAATAGAGGATTGACTGCAAATGGGCAGAAAGTAACTTTTGGGATGTTGGAAGTGTTTTATATCTTGATTGTGGTGGCAGTTTTATGACCGAATACACTTATCAAACTCATTGAACTTTACTCTTCAGTGTGGACTGAATGCTCAAAAGGCTGCGTATTACTGTATGTAAATCGTACCTTAATAAACATAACTTAAAAAAAACCATGATAGTCTGTATTCTAGCAGGGTAACAGACACTAATGACTCAATATATAAGATGCATCAGACCCACTTGTGCCCCACAACACTTCCTGTCAGCCCACCTCTTATTTCACCTGCTGCTCCAGGGGACAGTCCCCTGCAAACTTGTGCTTGTCTCACATTCACAGCATCTCTCCTCAAGCATGCACTCTATGCATTGTTACTTTCAGCTCTGGGGCTTCTCCAACACCTTGGGAATTTTTGGCCTGCAGGCAAATGCAGCCTGGATGTGGGGTACATTAATTACCAGGGGTAAGCTCAGCACTTCAGGCTGAAATTTCTAGGAGGCATTCTGTATACTTTTCAGGAGGTCTCAATGGAACTGAGCCCTCATGGCCCAAGTGGCAACATTATGAAAGTACCCTTGCATTGGCCATTGGCTTTTTCTCCTTCCCTGCCTCACTTTCCCCATTTCCTCACTCCTGCTTCATGGGATAACCTCCCCTAATAAACTATCTGCACTGGAGTCCTTCTCTGAGGCTCTGTTTATTTATTTGTGATTTCAGGGACCGAAACTGAGACATATTGTAATCTCAGATGATAGAAAGAAAAAACAAATAGAGGAGATAGAGAGATAATAATGCTACAACAGATAAGGTGAGGAAAGATAACTATGAAGTGAGGACTTCTGAGCAGAAACCTGAACTCAGCAAGGGAATGAGCAATGTGGCTTTTTCGGGGAAGAAAATTTGGGGCTGAGGAAGCAGTAAGCCTAAATATGGAACATTCTAGAAATGTCAAAGAGTTCGCTGTAGCTGGATCTCAATGAGCAAATGATTAGGGCCTAGAGGTAGTAGGGCAAGGTCATGTAGGATTTCATAGGCTACAGAGGGGATTCTGGACTTCATCCTGAATGATTTAGAAACCAGTGGAGGGTTTTGAGCAGAGGAATAAAATGATCTAAGTGTTCAAAAAGACAATTCTGACCGTTGTGTTATGATGAAATTGTAGGAGTTATTGGTGGAAGTAGGGAGAACAGCCAGAAGTCTGTTGCAATAGTGCTGATAAAAAATGATGGTAGATGAAACCTTGGTGGTCATGGTAGTTTCTGCTGAAAAGTGGTGATCCTGGATAACTTTGCAATTATAACTGATAGAATTTGCTGATAGATTGAATGTAGAATATAAGAATAGGGAGAAGATTCAGGATCGATACCAAGATTTTTGTTTTGAGCTATCTAAAGAATGGTATCATTTATTGCACTGGTTTGGGTAAGGGGAATAAAGATCCTCGTTCAAGCCATGTTAAGTTTGAGGAGTGTAATCTAAGTAGAGATTGTTGGGGAATCAATTGGACATACAAGCTAGCAGGTCAGGACAGTTGCCAAGGCTAAAGAAATAAATTTGGGAACTGTCAGCAAATGGCTAATATTTAAGGCCCTGAGATTCAGGATGAGATCACCTAGGCAGCAAGAGTATACAGAGAAGAGAAGAGGTCCAAGGACTGAATGCTCCGTCATTTATTTTAGAGGTCAGGAAGATGAGGAGTAACCAGCAAAGGAGACAGATATGGTTTGGCTCTGTGTCCCCACCCAAACTGCATCTCGAATTGTAATCTCCAGATGTTAAGTGAGAAACCTGGTGGGAGGTGATTGGATCATGGGGGTGGCTTCCCCCATGCTGTTCTTGTGATAGTGAGTGAGTTCTCATGAGATCTGATGGTATAAATGGTAGTTTTCCCTGCACTCTCACACACTCACACTCTCTCCCGCTGCCTTGTGAAGAAGGTGCCTGTGTCCCTTTCTGCCATGATTGTTAAGTTTCCTGAGGCCTCCCTAGCCATGTAGAGCTGTGAGTCAATTAAACTTCCTTTGTTTATAAATTACCCAATCTCAGGTGTTATCTTTATAGCAGTGTGAGAACGGACTAATACAGAGACTAAGAAGGGAAATCAACAAAAATAGGAGGTGATCCAAGAAGGGATGGTGTCTGGAAGGCCAAGAGAAGAAAACATTTCCAGGAGGAGAAATGATGCTGATGGGTCAAGTTAGGGAGAAGCCTGAAAATTAGTCTTGGACTTAATTGTAGGGACCATTGGTGATACTAAAAGTGAAGTTTCAGTGGGACAGTGAGGATGAAAGCCTTGTTAGAGTGAATGCAAGAAAGAAAAAAGGAGGAAGTAGAGCAAGTAGAAATAACTTCTGAGTTTTGCTGTAGAGGGGAGCAGAGGAACAAGGCAGTAAGTGGAGGGAGATATGGGGTCAAAGAATATTTTTATTTCTGTTTTTGTTGTGTTTTAGATTCATAATATAAGAGTGAGTTTGTGTGCTGGTGGGCGTGTTTTAGCAGGATGGGCTAACTTCATGGCGCAGCAGCAGGCAGGAGGGAAGTCTCAGTAGGCTGGGAGGGGACAGGATCTGATTAACATACAGATTGCTTTGGCTTTAGAAAGGAGCATGGATAGTTTATCTACTATGTCAGAAGAGAAGATGAAGTATATGATCACAGAGGCAGAGAGGCTGGGATATATGGTGGAGGATATGGAAGTTCTCTTCTGAATACTTTTGTTAGTGAAATAGGCAAGATCATCAGCTAAAAGTGAAAATGAGAAAGGGAGTATCGAAGATTGGAGGAGAGAAGAAAAAGGGTGATAGAGTTGTTTTAGAGACTGAAAGGATAGACTGACTAGGGAAGTGTAGTGGGACTCTAGGCGGCATTACAGACCTACTTCAAGTTTGTGGTCATGAATTTAAAGTGAGACCAGTCATCATGGAGCTGCCTCAACTCCTTGCTTGCCGGTGCCAAGGAAGTGGAAAGGTGGATTTAAACAGCATAGGGATGTGAAGGTAGGAGAAAGAGGTGAGGGAATTGAGGTGGTTGAAGTGGTAGGAAAGGGAGTGGGTGTTATGATGGGATCAAAGCCAGGTAAGAAGGGAAGCAAAGCTACCAAAGGGGTTAAGGGGAGTGAAAAGCTGGTAGGATCAGTGGATAAGAACTCCCAATGAGATTCAAGAATCGTTGGAGTTGAGAGACGACAGAGTAATATGGAAAGCTAGAAAGTGGTAATTGGAAAGTGGGAAACTTGAAACTGAGATATGTTGGGAATGCAGTCACTGGTAATGACAGGTCTAGAGTGTGACCTTGCTGAGTGGCTGAGGTAGGGCAGAGACACAATTGTTGGAGGAGAAAAGGTCAAAGATCTGAGAAGCTGGAGAGTTGAAAGGATCAACTCTGTTGGAGTTTTGGTCATGAATTTGACCACTAGAATTATGATAGCGCCAGTGGTGGAGGAAGTCATGAACCAGGTGCTTAAATATTTAAGAAACGAGGAGAAAGGGGTGACTGGAAGATGTATGACAGCAGCAAGGCATTTTGCGTACTCTACCTGTGATGTTCATTCTTTTGGTTTGTGGATTTTTTGTTCAACCCCTTCCCACCCTTTTCCCAACTAATTATGCTGTGAGCTCATAGAAGGAAGGGACTATGTTGTTATCTTTTTTTGGCAGGTAAGCTAGTGCTTAGACCAGAGGTGTTGGTTACTTGATTGGCAGAGGGAGCAGGACCTTCTTTCCTCAGTCCTTTTTCTAGAATTTCTAAAATACCAGACATCTGTCCAGATGCATTTCAGCCCTTGTAGCAACTGCCCTTGTAGCAACTACATTTCTAAAGATAGCACAGCCAAGTTAACTCCACATTACCAGTTATTTTTAGGGCACGGTCAGTGCCAAGTCTTGAAGTTGAGGAAATAATTTCTTCAAATCTACATAATTGTGGCCAAAGGTTAGGCCTTAGTAAAGCTGTGAAGCAGTCAATGTTGTTTCAAATGCTTTTTAATCTCACTGTATGCAAACTGTAGCACCCAGTTCCCCACTCCTTTATTTCCCCTAATCAGAGCTTTTCAAGAATGACCTGTTAATTCCTGGTCTTCGCCCTGACTAATTAAACCAGCATCATTGGGACAAGGCCCAGGAATCGGCATATTCAATGCTTGTCAGGCATTTCAGTGGGCCATTTGAGAAGCCCTGAACTAAAATAGTGAGTGGTAAGATTGGACCTCTCCCAAGTGTTTTCATATTTTAAAAGTGACCTCTTTAAGGGGACAACACTGTCAAGTCCAAAGGAGCCCATTTTGGCTGGGTGCAATGGCTCATGCCTGTAATCCCAGCACTTTGGGAGGCCGAGGCAGACAGATCACTTGAGGCCAGGAGTCTGAGACCAGCCTGGCCAATATGGTGAAACCCCATCTCTACTAAAAATACAAAAATAAGCCGGGTGTTAGTGGCGTGCACCTGTCATCTCAGCTACTCGGGTGGTTGAAGCACAAGAATCACTTGAACCTGGGAGGCAGATGTTGCAGTGAGCCAAGATCATGCTGCTGCACTCCAGCCTGGGAGACAGGACTCTGTCTCAAAAAAAAAAAAAAAAAAAAAAAAAGAGCCAATCTCTAATGGAACTTGGGGCGCCTGTCAGGATACTATTAAGCAGCAGAGGGCTGGTCTGCAGCTGTTAAATTTTATAAGTCAAGATTAAGGTAGAGAAAGAGATGCTACCAGGTGTACCATGCCTGGCCTTCATGAACTGTGATTATGATGCTCACTCAAGTTTGAGAACCACTGTTCTTCCAACTTGTGAGTCTGAGCAATGGGGGTCCCCTTCCCATGCGACTGAGCTCAAGGTAGGTTGATCTCACTCACTCTGTGGATGTACAATGCTCCCTATGCATGGTAATCTGGGATGTGGAAGAGGTCCCTTGCTCTGATTACTGTGCCAGGCTGCGTGGCTGCAATGGTGTCTGTATCTTTTCTGACACCACTCTGATAGGTAGTTGGACAAAGACTGTTGCATAAACAATAGCTCTTCCTCTCACTCCAACATCCTAAAGTCTCCTCTATGAGTGGTCACCCCACGTTTACTCTCAAAGCAGGTCTAGGGTAACACACTCTGATGTGTCTATACAGCAAACCATTTGTTCTGACAAGGGAGGGTTGCCTCCTGATGAGCTTCGTTAACATTCACCTGTTGGTTTGGATTTCAATGCTAAAAGCTATAGGCTAACACCTCCCAGGTATTGCCAGGGCTATCCCACTATAGCATTAAAGAATGTCACTAATTTAAACAGACACTTAAGTAACATCAAAGTAGCAGTGTCCATCTTATGCAAAGTCACATACAAATGATTTGGAATTACTTCCCTCCCTGCCTCTTTCATTAGTCCAGAAAATAGGGGTTTGATTGAATTACACAGGAGTCTTACATTGGCTGTTGATTATTTTTCAACTTGTTCTATTATTTAAAAGTAATAGAGATTGCAGTTTTATATGATCTGATTTTTATTCAGATTTGTAAGTCATTCACATCAAATTAAAATTCCTATGGGCCCTTTAAAATACCTTGAATTAAAGTTTATTATTTAATAACTAAAGGGTACAGAGGGAATGTGAACTGACTTACTGAATCTTCAGTGATATGGAAATTTCCAGAAGATTCACAGCTTCTCCAAATTAACATTTCCTCTATTTAGCAGACAGCGTGATGATGGGGGGAGGATCCAGGTCTGTAAACCACAATACCTGCATTTCAGTAGGCTTTGCTGAAAGTGAGTTAGTACAAAGAAAAGAACTAGAATACTTGGTCACTGTCCTTAAAGGACTTAGAAAACCAGAGGACAGAGAGAAGGGAAAAGGAGGAAAAAATTAAATGTGTAAAAGGCTGGTAGTTTTAAGAAAGTCACAGTGAATACAAACTCCTGTACCAGCAAAATGTCCAGTTCTAGGGAAAAGATCTTCCTCTGTCCTTTCCCTCCTCCTTGTTTACTTCCTTCCCTCCCCCTCCTTTCTCTTTTTATTCTTCCCCCACCATCCCTTTATCAATGAATCTATATAACTGAGCAGGCATTCATTAAACTTCTCTTGGTCCCGGATGTGTGGGAAGTGCCATCTATCCTTAGACCAGAGCTAGAGGGACCTCTGCCTGGGGCCTGGGGGTTTCAGACCCTTGCTACTGAAAGTGTGGTCCATGGACCAGCAGCATCAGCATCACCTGGTAGCTTTATAAAATGCAGACCTTGAGCACCACCCCAGATTTAAGGCATCAGAATCTTCATTTTAACAAGATCCCCGGGTGATTCTTGTGCACATTAAAGTTTGAAAAGCGCAGTCAGTAAGTCCTCCCTTGACATAATGGATTGATTTTTGGAAACCGTGACTTTAAGTGAAATGACGTATACTGAAACCAATTTTCCCATAGGCTAATGATATAAATGAGAGTTAAGTTCCTGTGGCATGTCACAAAAACATCACCAAATTTGTAAATAAAGACCAAAACATTGAAATAAATGTAAGCCACACATACATTTAAGAGCAATTAATTAAAACACATAGGATAATTATTTACCTACTTATTCCAGTTCAGGGTCATGGGTGGCTAGTGCCTATGCTGGCAGCCGAGGGTGCCAGGTGGGAACCCACTCTTGACAGGACGCCATCCCATTGCAGGGTGCACTCACACATCCACAACTCACTCACTGGGACCATTTAGACACAGCAGTTCACCCAACGTACACAACTTAGGGATGTGGGAGGAAATCAGAGTGCCCAGGGAAGACCCAAGCAGACATGGGAATAATGTCCACACGGACAGTGGCCCCAGCCAGGAATTTTTTTTTTCTTCTGACTAACACTATAATAAAAGGACATTGAATGAAACAATCTTTTAAAAAATTTATTATTTTTGAAACAGAGTCTCACTCTGTCTCCCAGGCTGGAGCACAGTGTCGCAATCACAGCTCACTACAGCCTTGACCGTCCCTGCTCAAGCAATCCTCCTGCCTCAGCCTCCTGAGTAGCTGGGACTACACCCTCAGCCTCCCAAGTAGCCTGGGACTACAGCCACATGCACCATGCCTGGCTAATTTTCATATATATGAAAATTATTATATATATATGTGTGTGTGTGTATATACATGTGTGTGCATATATGTGTGTGTGTGTGTGTGTGTATATATATATTATATATATCTATATTTTTTTTTGTAGAGATGGGGTTTCACCATGTTGGCCAGGCTGGTCTCAAATTCCTGGGCTCAAGCCATCCTCCTGCCTCAGCCTCCCAAAGTGCTGGCATTATAGGCATGAGCCACCATGCCCAGCCCAACAAAACAACATTATTTAACGACTTGCTCTACTATATTAGAGGCCCTTTCTCCAACTGCACCACTCTCTGCCAAGCAAGATTCTGAAAAGTCAAGGGATGTGCCCACCTTTGATAATACCCTCTGGATTCCTGGACCCCTAAATTTCTTGCCTACAAGCCCTGAGCCTGCTTGTGGGGCCTACAATGAACTGACTGTACAGCCAGTTCCCCTCAGTCTGCAGGGTGGGTGTGTCTGTTTAGAGGGCAGAACATGGAGGTCTGTGGAAGGAACTTGGTGAGGCAGCTGAGATAGCCACATACATGGGCCGCCAGGCTCACTCAGTGCGGGATGGACCTGCAGGGGGTGAAGGGTGAAAGGGGATGGCTGAATGTCAGCTCTCTCTCTCTCTCTCTCTTTCTCTCTCTCCCTTTGCTCCTCCAAATTCCAGTGTGAGACTCCAAAGAGCCACCAAACTCTAAATGCACACCTGGCCTTCCAAATTGTTCTGACAGATTATTAGGCAAGATAGAAGGAAATAACTTTTTTTTTATTTAAGCGTTTGTTAGCTTGATATATAACTTTTAAACATTCACACATATGGTGTGTAGGCCTCTGTTTGTACTCTTGGCTCAGTCCTGCAGATGTTAAGGGCGAGCCTGTTCCTGGTGAGATGCAAAGACATCTGAGGCTTTCATGTTTTCCAAGACAGCATGCCCCTCTTTGCCTTCCGGAGATTCAAAGCTAGAGTGGCTGTGCCGCGTCTTGCCTGCCTAGCTCCCTCCCTAAAGCTGCATTCCTTTGTGTGCTTGAAGACTCTTCCTAAACCTCATGGCCTTCTGTTTAGATTGCCTTTAGGATTTCCTTATAGGAGCTATTTGTCCAGCCTTTAACAAACCTTCCTCTGGCTTCCCTTCGATTGCTCCATATCGCTCTTTTTGGGTTCAAGCTTGTAATAGAAGTAGCATTCTATCATAAGCACCTGCCCAATGCAGGGTATAGAACCCAGGGCCTCTAACTCAGCACCCAGCATCTTGGGCCTGATCCCCAAAATTACAATTTGCTAAAGGCAAGGCCCAGGGGTCTGCATTTTGAGCAAACACCCTGGTGACTTTGATGCTGGTGGTTGGCAGGCCACACTTGGAGAAATCTTAGTATGGAGGGAGGGTGGCCTCACAGTCCCTGTGTTGCCTAGTTCCATTTATATCCTAGGTCCTGACTGCCAATTAGCTGTACAGACACTGGTGACTCACAAGTGGCTAGGAGCTCGTGAAATCCCCTGCAGTGAATTGAACTAATATTTATTAGGCATCAGCTCTACATGGAGGAATGTCGTAGGCACTGGGAACCCACTAAAGGATGAGACATGGCTCCAGTCATGAGGAGCTTGGACTCCTTTTCTGTCTATTTACACTAAGTCAGGACTGTCATTAATGTAATTTAGGAATATCTGTTTTGTTTTGTGAGTAGTCCTAGGTTGGAGAGGAAATAGACACAAGACAATACAGAGGAATGATGCAATATCTAATGGTGAAAGAGGATGTACTGACTGTATCTATAGTTACAAAATAAAACATTCTAACAATCCCAACGGCAATTATAATATGTCTGTCTTTATCAAAAACCATCCATTAAAAAAAAAACAAAGACAAAAAAACAGGCCACCAAAAGTGGAACTTTTGAGTTCTTGTGAAAGAATTTTAAAAAAGACTTTCAAGGAGCTATTACTAAGTCTGTACAGCCACACAGTTATGTGATACATGGGGAAATATCTATTTAGATTTCTTATCTGAATAAGAAGGAAACCTTTTTTGTTTCTTTTTAGCCTGGAATTGCCGAACTTGATTATCTGTGTTGTATCCAAAACTCAAGGTAATCACTTGGCCCCAGCCTTCGATATAGCTGGGGTGTGGAATTAGAGATACAAGCAGTATTGTTTTTGTTAAATTCCATGCATAGCCTCTGAAGCCTAGCACAGTGGCTGGCATCCCTGGACAGAGCACAGAAACCCACCTGGACACTGTTGTCAAGGTTTCTCTCACACAGTTCACTGAGGAAGTTAAGAGCCTCTGAGGGAGTTTGTTAACTAAATGCCCTTTAGTCATGAGGTTTATTGAGACTGTTTTTAAGATATATTTGGGGAATTCATGGAATATCTATTTTTTTAACACCCTCCATGCCTACCACACCCATCAGTCCCTGACTTCTATCTCAGAAAAAACAAAGCTGTGTTTATGATTTATTATCAGGCCGGAGCTAATGATTACAGACCCCTCCCAGGCTGCTTCTGGGGAGTAGGGATTCTGTCTGTGCTCACTAGGTGCTTGTGGGGAGGATACATTTCTCACCTAAACTGTGGGAGATCCTCTGCCTTTGCCTGAGAATGACCCAACTGCTTGATTCTCCACTCACTGCTCACTCCCTCCCACTGCCTTTCTTACCTTTATTCAATATGCAGAAGATACCCAAGTGGTCTTAGGTTAAAATTCTGAGCCCCCAAAGCAGATTTCAGAAAGGAACATCATCATGCTTTTGGGATTGTGAAATAAAGCCACACTGGACCTCCACGCAGAGGAACTCTGTAGGCGATCCACATGGTTCATTGCACCAATCATATTCCCTGGCATTTCAACTGTGGGACCACTCAAAGCAGCCGCAAGCCTGGTATTTCTCTCTTTTGTCCTCCATTGGAGAGCATGGTTGTGCCAAGGCTCTCTAGCCAGGACAGCCCATCCTCAGGCCACCCAGCTCCGTGAGTGAGTTCCCTGCACAGCCTGTGACTGACTCACCGATGCAGTGGGGCTGATCTTCACATGGCACCCCAAGCAGGCTTTTCCAGTTCACATCTGCCAACAAGGCAGCCAAGGGGGTGGTTTAGGAAGTAGAGAAAAGGTGAAAAGGCAGCGGAGGGAGCCGGCTGTCCTGTGTCTCCTCTTTTTCCTGCCCCCAGTGACTTGCATTTTCTCTGAGACAGCTGCCATTCTAGTCTCCCAGCCATTCTTAGGAAGAGACGTGCCTGTCTCTGGGAAGAGGCAACTTCTCTGCATGTCAGAGGTAAGGGGAATCATGTGACATGTAGATGGGGGAAGAGTGGGAGTTAGGGGTGGGAGAGGGCCCAATCTAAAGTCAACAAAAATCCTATTTTTCTTCCCTTAACTTTACACTCTGTTGTTTTCCCAGGCTGTGTATTATCTGCACACACACACACACACACACAGACACACACAATGCAGGAATTCTCTCCACAGTGCCCCTTGTTGATGGCTATCCGGACACCTGCCTTAAATACTTCCAGTGATGAGGCTCACTCTCTTCTGAGGCTGCCCTTTAAAGTCCACTATACAAATATCCCAGATACCCACTTGTATGCTACAGGTTCAATGTTGCGAACTCAGCCAGACCAGGCCCTCTGAGGACCACAGGTTTAGACCAAAATGGTTTTGGCCTTTAAAATGAAATCATGAACTCAGTTGCCTTCCGGGTCCACCACTCCCTGGCTTTGGACAGCTGTTAATTCTCAAGGAGCCTCATGCTGGGTCTTTGTATGTTTAATGTAAACAACACCATTGTGTTTCAAATTCTGTTACAACTACCTTTGCTTCCTGTATTTGCTGAAAGTGGTGTTCTTGTTTTTGTTTTTAGTGGGAGTAGGGAGTCAAACTAGCCTAGGTGAAAAGTTTCTAAGTAACTCTGAATAAAGAAGTGCATTTTTCAAATGAAATGAAGGTACATGGAAGTTGGAATCATACAAAGGACATTGGACTTGAATTTGTCCTTAGATACTTAGAGACTGCAATACCTTTTCGCTGTTTTATGTTTAATTTTCTTCTGGTGTTTGTTTTGCTCCACTCTCCTGGAGGCTATTCAGCTGTTTTTTACTATGGTTCTGAGGACATTTCTGTTGCAAAAATTTATCAGCTAGGACCCTTTGCAAGTATTTAAAAACCCAACTCCAACTGTCTTAAGGGGTAGTTAGAGAAAGAGTGCTGGTTTGCATAGTTTGCATAGTTTGCATAGTTTGCATATGGTTGCATAGTTTGCATAGAAGTTCAGGGTAGATGCTGGCTTTAGGTAAGGCTTGATCCAGGGACTCTCGTGCTGTCACCAAGACCCATTTCTGTCCATCTGGAGATTCATCCTGACTCTTCTCCTTCAATTGGCTTTCTTCTCAGACTTCACAAGGCAACAGGGCACTGGCAATAACGTCTCATTATTTTCTCATTTTAAATTCTGCTAGTCCAATCAGAGGGAAGCTACCAGACAGGAGCTACCAGAAAATAACTCCCTTTCTCTTTCTTTTTTTCACACCTTGATATGAGAGGTTAAGCCCTGCCTAGATCATTTGGACTTAAGATCAAGGGAAGAATCTGTGTCCAGATAAAAATCTGGGTTGTTGTTGGAAGAGAGGGTAACGGGTACTGAGAGACAAACAGAGAATGTCCATAGAGAGACAGCCATCAGTTTTCTTCTTGGATGCTGTCACCCCCTCAGTAGGACGCATATGTAAATATACATAAGAAACAGCCAGTATTGGCAGCTACAGCTTCAAATAAAACAGGGACAAATCAGGAGCTTTTTTGGAATGGAACACCAAGAGGAATTTCAAAATCAGTGACAATACTAAGAGGGTGATGGAGGAAATTCCACTCTGGGTGGTGGGAGGAGGAGAAAAATGAGGAGAATCAGAGAACACAGTTCAAGTTGTTTGGCCATAGTATCCTCCAATACTATATAATAATATGAATAGCAATCCTTTGCAATAATGTGTATTATGACTTCAGAAACTACCTAGGTACTTTACACGTATTAATGCATTTGACTCTCACAATAACCCTGTGAAGTCAAAACAATTAATATTGTAATCATCCCCATTTTATAGATAAGTAAATCAAGGACCAGAGAGGTTAAACAACTTGCCCAAGATCACAGAACCAATAAGTGGCAGTGCTGGGATTTAAATCTTGGTGGCTCTTAACTCCCCGTATTATAGTGTCTCCAGTGTATGAAATGAATGCACAGAAATGGCAATACTCTGGTGGCCCTAGGGACAGAAACATGGCTAAGAGAGTGCTTGAGTCATTCTCTAAAGCTGGCAGCCTCAAGGACATAGGAGGATGAGGAACAAGGGAAGGAAAGTTCACTTCTTCATTATAGAAGTAAAAAGGGGATAATTATGTCCCACACAGCACAATAAAGTATCAAGTCTACAGACTACAGTAGAGTAGGTGAAATGTAGGGTGTGGATTAGCAATCAGAAGCCCTGGGTTCTTTGCCAGGTCAACCACTAACTCGTAGTGCAACTGTGGACAGGTCACTTAACCTCTCTGTGCCTCAGTTTTCCCTTCTGTGAATAAGGATGACTGTTGTCTTGCCTCCCTTCTTTTATCATTATGGAGATTAGACAAGATAATGTGAGATGAAACACTTTGTATAGAGAACTCATAATTATGCCTTCTATAGGCACTTAAAAGCTTATTTGCAGTAATTTATGACATTGCCATTGAGGTACTTTTATTTCTAAAAAGCCTATTTTTCTAAAGGATATTATATAGCATCTTCTAGAAATAACTTACCTTTTTAAAATTATATGTTCCATGTAGATAATTTAAAAAACAAAGATGAATACAAAGGAGAAAACAATGAAATCACCCAGAAAAATCTACTCAACATTATTTTTTCAGTTGATTTTCTATGCCTGTCTATGCTTTTTTTAAAGCGAATAATGTTTCAATCTAATATTTTTTCTTACATACATACACTCTTTATTTTTTGCTATCTACTTTTTTCCATTTAATGCATTATGAATATATTTCCTTGTCATTAATCTTTTGCAACAGTGATTTCCAAATTTTCTGACCAGGATCTGTAATAAAAAAATTTATATTGCTACTCAGTAGACACACATACATAAACACACATTTGCCCAATAGTTATCCTTATAATATATTGTGTATTCTGATATTTTCTATTCTATTTTATAATGAATTAGTATATAAGAGAATACACTATTTCATGATTCACTACTTGATTACATGAGCCACAGACAGATCATATTTTGTAGTTTGAAAAATATTAACCCACAACATCTATTTTGTTGGTTAGATGATAGCCCATTGTAGAGATTTGCCATAATTATTGAACAAATCTCCAATTGTTGGACTTTCTTATTATTTCCAATATTTTGACATTCATTCTTTTGTTTATTAAATCGTTAAACCAATATGTATTAAGTGTTTACTACATGCCAGGCACTATTCTAGTTGCTGAGGACACAGAGGTGAACTAGATATATTTGGTCCCTACAGTTAATGCACTTGTATCCTATGGAGCACAGGGAGACAGACAATACGCACATCTAGAGACCAGGAAATCCCAGGAGACTGTGATAAGAATTGATGGAGTGGGGTTACTTTAAGTGATGGTTGGGAGCTCTCTGAGGGCCGCTTTCTGAGGACTCTCTTAAATGCCAGCTCTCTGAGGGCTGGCATTTAAGCTGACACTATAGTAACAAGAAGATATTGTTGAAGTAATTCTTGAGAAAATCCGGGGTAAGAGAATCTGGGCTGGGAGAACAGCTAGCAGAAAGGTCCTAAGGTCGTTGAGAGCTTGGCACTTTTGAGGATCAGAAGGATGGCCTGTGTGACTTGAGAACAGTGAAGAAGGGGGAATGGCCATAAGAGATTAGTCTGGAGAAGTTGTTAGAGGGTAGATCATCCAGAACTTTCTATCACAAACATACTCCATCTTTGCTTACAACCGCAGTTAGGTAATGAGGAAAAAGTTCAAGAAGTGTCCTGAACAGCAGCAGCTGTGGGTGGGGAATGTTGGATGTCTGGGAGACTGAGAGCTGGCCCAGTTTTTTGAATGAAGGCCTCTGTGCTAAAGAGGATCTAAGGTTTGTTGGAGGAGCATGGCCCTGGCACAACACTTTGTCCTTTTCCAAGTAGGTCCTTCATAGGGGATTTAAGCAATAGAGTATTTTGTTTTAAATTCTGAGCTATTATTTTTTAAAATTTGTATTTTCAATAGCTTTAGGGGTACAAGTGGCTTTTGGTTACATGGATGAATTGTGTAGTGTGAAGTCTGGGCTTTAGGAGTGCCCATCATCCAAATAGTGTACATTGTACCCAATAGGTAATCTTTCATCCCTTATGCCCCATCTAGCCTCCCCCATTCTGAGTCTTCAATGTCCACTATACTATGTATGCCTTTGCATACCCATTGATTAGCTCCCACTTATAAGTGAGAACATGCAGTATTTGGTTTTCCATTCTTGAGTTACTTCTTGCTGCAAAAGAGATTATTTTGTTCTTTTTTAAGGCTGAGTAGTATTCCATGTGTGTGTATATGTATATGAATATATATGAATATATGAATATATATGTATATATACGAATGTATATATATATATATATATATGTATGAAACTGGATCCCTATGTATATACCACATGTTCTTTATCCACTCATTGTTTGATGGGCACTGAGGTTGATTTCATATCTTTGAAATTGTGAATTGTGCTGTGATAAACATGTGTGCAGGCATCTTTTTCATAGAATTGACTTCTTTTCCTTTGGGTAGATGTCCAATAGTGAGATTACTGGATCTAATGGTAGATATACTTTTAGTTCTTTGAGAAATCTCCATGCTGTTTTCCATAAAGGTTGTACTAATTTACATTCCCACTGTCAGTGTATAAGCGTGCCCTTTTCACTGCATCCACACCAACATCTACTGTTTTTTTTTTTTTGCTTTTGAACAATAGCCATTCTTACTGGGGTAAGGTGGTATCTCATTGTGGTTTTAATTTGCATTTCCCTGATGACTAGTGATATCGAGCATTTTTTTCACATGTCTGTTGGTCATTTGTATACCTTCTTTGAGAAATGTCTGTTCATGTCATTTGCCTACCTTTTTTTTTTTTTTTTTGAGAGACAGAGTCTTGCTCTGTTGCCCAGGCTGGAGTGCAGTGGTGCGATCTTGGCTCACTGCAAGCTCTGCCTCCCGGGTTCACGCCATTCTCCTGCCTCAGCCTCCCGAGTAGCTGGGACTACAGGCGCCCACCACCACACCTGGCTAATTTTTTGTATTTTTAGTAGAGATGGGGTTTCACTGTGTTAGCCAGGATGGTCTCGATCTCGTGACCTCATGATCTGCCCGCCTTGGCCTCCCAAAGTGCTGGGATTACAGGCTTGAGCCACCGCGCCCGGCCATTTGCCCACTTTTTAATAGAATCATTTGTTTTTTTCTTGCAGATTTGTTTGAGTTTTTTGCAGATTCTGGATATCAATCCTTTGTCAGATAGACAGTTTGCAAGTATTTTCTCCCATTCTGTAGATTGTGTATTTACTCTGTTTATTATTTATTTTGCTGTGCAGAAGCTTTTTAGTTTAATTAAGTACTATTTATTTATTTTTGCTTTGTTTCATTTGCTTTTGGGATCTTAGTTGTAAATTCGTTACCTAGGCCGATATCCAAGACTTTTCCCTTGTTATCTTACAGAATTTGTATGGTTTTGGGACTTAAGATTAAAGTATTTATTCCATCTTGGGTTAATTTTTGTATACATTTGGTTATCCAATTTTCCCATCTCCATTTATTGAATAGGGTGTCCTTTTCCCAGTTTATGTTTTTGTTGGCTTTGTCGAAGATCAGTTTTTTGTAAGTATTTGGCTTTATTTCTGGGTTCTCTATTTTGTTCCATTGCTCTATATGTCTCCTTTTATATCAGTAGTGTGATGTTTTGCTTACTATAGCCTTGTAGTATAATGTGAAATTGGGTAATGTGATGCCTCCAGATTTGTTCTTTTTGCTGAGGATTGCTTTGGCTATTTGGGCTCTTTTTGGTTCCGTATGAATTTTAGGATTTTTTTTCTATTCTGTGAAAAACGATGTTTGTATTTTGATAGAAATTACATTGAACTATAGATTGATTTGGGCAGTACAATTATTTTCACAATATTGATTCTTCCAACCCATGAGCATGGGATGTATTTCCATTTGTTTGTTTCATCTATGATTATTTTCATTAGTGTTTTGTAGTTCTTCCCGTAAAGATCTTACAATTTCTTGGTTAATTATGTTCTTAGGTAGTTTATTTTTTTGCAGCTATTGTAAATGGGATTGAGTTCTTGATTTGATTCTCAGCTTGATAATTATTGTTGTGTAGCAGTGCTACAGATTTGTGTGCATTGACTTTGTAACCCGAGACTTGCAATAAGGTTTTTGCTAATTTACTGCCTGGTGCTCAACACCTAGGGCAAGGCTTGACACATAGTAGGTGTTCAATACATGTCTGTGAAGCAAACAAATGAATACATGGACATCCCCCAGGCCTAAAGGCAAAGGACAGTGGTAATTTCTGACAAATCATTATTGCACATTCAAGTTTTTCAAATGTGACTGTCTATTCTCATGCAAACAGAGAAGAAAGGACTTTCATGTGATGAAGAAGAAGAGAGCATTTCTTTCAGCTCCTCTTTGGTAAAGTCACAAATAATCTCTCAAAAGCCACTATGTATTTATTTGGTCTTTTTTTTTTTCTTTAATGAAATGCCATGACGCTTCACCAGCTGCTTTTTGCAATGAAAAAAGATAACACATTGGGATTACCAGGAACAGATGTTGAAGAGGCCTAGAAATCTGATTTTTCCACATCAGGGACCCTGTTGTGTGCTGAAATAAATTAACAGGGTTATTGGAAGCTAGATGTTGGTTTCTTTGAGATTGCTTATTGCCTTGAAGAAGGGAGGGTGGGGAATGCCATCACAGGACAGCGCTGGAGGAGCCTCCAAAGGAAGCCTTTGCCTGCCAGGGTCTCCCTGCTGCTCTGGCACTAGCTCCATGTGACACAGCTTTCCCCTACTCTGCATGCTCATCCTCATCATAAACCCATGCCCTCGGTAAACTTGAATGGGGCAAGACAGACACATTTTATTCTGGTGCTTAATGAATGCCTCTCTTGACTTTTTTTTTGTCTTCTGAGTAAATGGCCTAGGCCTGGTGCTTTGAGATACAAAAACCATTTCAGTAATCCATATAGGGCAAAATATGTGGAATAAGGAGAGATCTCTGAGAGATCAACCAAATACCTCCCTAAGGAATTTGAACTCACAAGTGTGGTCACTGGGTAAGAAAACTGCTTTGATCTTCATTGATATAATTTTCCTTGTGGAAAG
This sequence comes from Homo sapiens, assembly GCF_000001405.40. Classification (NCBI taxonomy): domain Eukaryota; kingdom Metazoa; phylum Chordata; class Mammalia; order Primates; family Hominidae; genus Homo; species Homo sapiens. Next base: position 38,877,969 of record NC_000023.11, read on the forward strand.
AAAGAGACATTCTATCTATGTGGGAAGATTTTCTTTCCCTTTTAACAAGATTGTTCTCTGTCATTTCTTCAGCTTTTAATTGAAGCATAATGACCATACTGGAAGTGCACAAATCATAACCATACAATTTGATAGATTCACATAAAGCCAACACAGCCATGGAACTACCACCTAGATCATGAGAGTGAATGTGACCGGCACTCTGGTCCTTTCCCCTCGTGCCCCTTTCCAGTCACCTCCCCCACGAAGGGTGGCCACTATCTTGTCTTCTAATACAATAGATGAGTTTTGTCTAGTTTTGAACTTAATATGAGTGGAATCATGTAGCATACACTTTTTTTGTGTCCAGCTTCTTTCATTCAACACATTTGTGAAATTCATCTATATTGTTATGTGTCGTTGTAGTTCAGTTATTCTCATTGCCATAGAGTCATACATTGGATGCATTTACCACAGTTTATCCTTCTTACTTTTGATGGGTATCTGGGTAGTTTCTAGTTTCTTTTACAGTTATAGCTAATGTTGCTTTAAACATTTCTTTCCATGAGCCTATGTACCCATTTCTGTTGGGTATATTCCTAGGAGAGAAATTGCTGGGTCATGGGTTTGTGTATATCCCACTTTAGTAGATGCTGCCAAACAGTTCTCCAAAGTGGTGGCACCAATTCACACTCCCACTGGCAGTGCACAAGAGCTCTGGGCTTCATTATTTTGCTGTTGTATCGTCCTCCCCTATGCCTCTATCTTGGGTAACTTTCAGCCACCGCCACTGTGAATATCTGAGTATGCCTTGGCAGGATTTCACTTGAAAAAGGCTGTTCTCTGGAACTGTCTTTCCTACTTTCTCTTAAGTACTTTCTGTAGCCACAGAAGTGCAGACCGCTTAGCATCTGCTCAAGTACAAAACTGATCTTTACATAATGCTGGCTGGGATTGGGGGAAGTGCAAGTAGAAGAAACCATTCTAGTCATTGAGCTTTGTTTTTTGGAATTATAGTCTTAAAATGTCTCTAATTCCCTGGATGTTAATGCTTGTGGAAGGAATAAGTGAGAGTTAAACTTCCCTTCTGAAAAAGAACATAAGCAGGTATTAAAAGAGAGTTATGAGAATCAGTAAGAATTATAGTTAAGGGTGGGACTGCCTGGATTCAAATCGTGGCTCCATCACTTACCATGTGACTTTAGGCAAATTACTTGAAATCTCTGCTTCAGTTGCCTCAGCTGCCAAGCAGAGAGAATAGTAACATCTATGTCATAGAGGTAGATTTGTGAGGACTAAATGGATTAATACATGTGTAGCTCTTGGAAGAATGCCTGTCATGTGGTAAGTACTATGTGAGTGTTAGCTGTAATGCCTATCTTAAGTCTTGAACCCTAGAAGCAGTTCCTGTGATGCCACAGAGTCATACATTGGGTACATATACCTACGCTGAAACTAATAGAAGTGTGAATTGGTGCACCCACTTTGAAGAACTGTTTGGCAGCATTCATTAAAGTGGGATATATACAAATCTATGACCTAGCAATTTCATTCCTAGGAATATACCCAACAAAAATGGGTACATAGGCACACGGAAAGAAATGTTTAAAGCAGCATTAGCTATAACTGTAAAAGAAACTGGAAACTACCCAAATGCCCATCAAAAGTCAGAAGAATAAACTGTTTTGTTCAAGTTCAGTTGAAAGAGTATTCTCAGGAGGGGGAAGGCAGGAAGCAGGACAGGGCATAGGGAGGAGCTAAGGATGTGGTTGAGCTGGAGCCCAGCTTTAACCTGATTCCAGGGTGGTTCTTGGGGCATAAATGACACCAGAGTTATCTTACCATGAAGCAAGGGGGTTGACTTTTTATACTGTTATGTCAGTCAGTCATTGGCTATGAGATGCTGGGGCTGGGGCACTTTGGACTGGGGACTCAGTTCCTGTTAGTTGAGGACAATCCTCCAGAGAAGGCTGCAGCTGTAAGCTCTTAGCAGTCAACAGCTCACAGCAGCTGGAAGCTGGGTGCACCTGCCAAAAAGGGGATCTGGGCGGGGCAACAACACTGTTTATTTTTCATAGCCAGGTTTTTATTGTAGTGACATCAGAAGAACTGTAAGGCCAATGATAAAGCAAGTCTTTCAGAGGTAAGGCACATAGCTTCCTGGGCATTCTTTTTCAGGAGCAGGAATGTCCACATGTGCTCACGAGCCCGAGAAGTCTGTACCTGCAGATGAGTGATGAGCTCGTGAATGTACCTGCTCCTCCAACAGCAGTTGCCTCCGTATAAGCTTAAAGCATTAAGGCTCCCCTTGTCATCATGTTCCTTCCACTCAAGCGGCCCCTCCCTTAGCCCTGCTTCTTGGGATACTTACCTTTCTAGACCACTACTTTTAATCTAAGTTTTTCTCTGCCTTCTGACCATCTCTATTCCTATGAGGGAAGTGAAAAGAAATGTACAAAATACATCGTCATTTATTGGAGGCTCACTGGCTCCTTAGTCTGTTTGCTTGGCAGTGAAATGTCACCACACCAAGAGCTCATGACTTAATCAGCATTTATATAATCTGCCCCTCTCTTTGGGAGATGAAGCCAGTGAGCTCTGCTAGATGCATGTTTGATTTCTAGAAGGTATTTCTGCTGGCCGTGACTCTCTCAGTATCCAGCTCTCCACTTGCACTGAACAAGGCAACATTAAAGCAAGCTGAGTCACTCTGTAGACAAATAGGAAGCCACTTACTTCCCTGTCTCTGCACCTAGGGAATGCTGGGAGAGCCGGTGAACACCCCAGCACTAGTGGGGCTGGGAGTTTTAAAGTACTACATGAAAAAGCCAGACTCACACTAACATACACATTTCTTAATTTCAATTCAACAAAGTGGGAGAGGTGCACATCAGCCTACCTGGGAGGTAAAATCTGGGAAAGGAAACTAGAATGTACAGTGGCACTAAGCTGAAATCTGCAACATGTACCATTTTCAAGCATTGGTTTGTTAGATAGTAAGTAGTTTGCTCATTCATTCATTCAGCTGGTATTCAGTAACTATCCTCTATGTGTCAGTTTCTGTGCTCCATGCTGGACCTATCAAGGAAATTAGCCACAAAACAAATAATTGTAATTGTGATAAGTATTATAAAGGGCCAAATCCAGTAGGAACTGGGAGCTCTAGCATATTGCTTACTACTACCAGGAGAGAAGTTGGGAAGATTTTTAGCATAGGGACTGCTACTTCTGACACACATGAAACTTTGTGGGTTCATCAGAAGGCCAAAACCAAAAAGGTTAAAAAATTAATTTTTGGACTCCAGTGCTTTGCATGCAATGAATGACTGCACAGATGCCTGCCAGTTCATTCACACATTCGTTTGACAAACATCTGAACACCTCCAGGACATACCAACTGGACAGACTCATTTTTGATTCTTCAGGTATAGCCATGTGCCACATCATGACATTTCAGTCGATGACAGATTGCATATACAATGGTGGTCCCATAAAATTATAATGGAGTGATATGATGGAGTAGGCTATACCATCTAGGTTTGTGTATGTAAACTCTATGATGTTCACACAATGACAAAATCGCCTAATGTGCATTTCTTAGAGTGTATTCCCACCCTTAAGCGATGAATATCTGTAGTAACATTTTTGCATTCTGCATCAAGGGCATCATCCCTTTCTTCTATCCTCCCTGGGCTGCTCTGCTCAGATATACCTGAAGATCACCTGGGTAGGTTAGAATTTAAAAGAAAACCCTGATGGAAGAAGAAAATGATTCCATCAAGAAAAATTGTTAATTGTGTTTTCTAAACCTTTTCCCCAAGGAGGTTTTCAAGCAAGCGGTGAATTTTCATGTGCAAAGCAGGAGGGCTTGTTTATGTCTTTAACCTTGATGAACAACAGGAGAGCTGGCCAATGTTCGTGTGATTGTTGGTCACTACGTGACTCAGTGGTCAAAACAAAACCCATGGGACCTGACTCCTGAGGCCTGTGCTTCACTATCAGCCATAACTTCCTCATTTCTTTTTATGGCTGGTGGATTTGGCCCTTTAAATAGCATTGCATGAAGCTAGCGCAGTCAACAGTTCAGGATTTGAGCTAAATGGAGGCAGCATAGGCCAGATAGGTAATGTAATACAGTAGCACAGCAGCAGCAAGAGCAACAGTAATGATAGTGATAGCAGGAGTAGGAGTAGTAACCATATTGTGTGTGTTGTGCACTGTACTTAGCACTTGTCCTCATTATCTTATTTAATTCTCTCAACGGTCTCAGGATATATGTACAATCAACCGTCCACATCCATAGTTCCATATCTGCGGATTCAACCAAACTTGGATAGAAAATATTTTTTAAAATAACAATACAAATGTAAAAATAATACAAATTTTAAAAACCAATACAGTGTATCAATTGCTTTGGGAAACTGAGGTGGGAGGATTATTTGAGGCCAGTAGTTTGAGACCAGCCTGGTCAACATACTGAGATAACATTTACACTGTATTAGGTATTATAAGTAATCTAGAGATGACTTAAAGTATGCAGGAGGATATGCGTAGGTTATATGCAAACACTAAGCAATTGTATATAGATTTTGGTATCCATGGGAGGTTCTGAAACCAATCCTCCACATATACCAAGGGACAACTGTGTTAGTATTATTGTTCAATAGAGGTCAGCTAACTTGCCCAGGGTTACAATGGTTTAAGTGGCAGACTCAGAAGTGGAATCAAGATCTTTCTGACCGCAAGATTTATTTTCTTATTTCAATTTATCATCTCTCAAGAAAGTGAGCTTTGGGATAAAAGAAAAATAAAACTGCCAGTTAAAGCTCTATGAACATGGTGAGGATATTTAAACATTTTGTCCTTTGGTTTTCTTCTCTGAAAAATGAAAATAGCTCAGAAGAGTTGTGAAAATTAAATGGATTAATTAATTTAAAATCTCTGGCACATAGTAGGCACTCAATAAATGTTAGTTTCCTTCCTTTTTGAGAAAGCCACTTGGATTCCTTTGCAGGATGGAAATCAAGGAAGCATTAGCTCAAGTTGAAGCTTTTCAGAGATCTGAAACTAATACTGCCTGAGTTTTTCCAACTCAGGAAGGAGGCTAGTGAAATATCACAGCCCTCAGCCAGGTGGCCTGTTACTGAGTAAACCCTGATGGGAAATGGTGGCAGGGGACTACTTCTGTTACACAGGGTAGCTGATATGCAAACATAAGTCACTGTATTGCCATATAAAGATTTAGTTCATAACCGTGTGATACTATAGTTACTTTGAGAGAAGAGAACTAAAAAAACTCAAGCTGTAGTCCAGTGAAATTGTTCATTTTTGGTAAAAGAGATTCTGGCAGTTTGAGACTCCATCCCTGGTTGATTGTTGAAGCTTCCAGAGAATGAGTCCAGTGACTCCTCATCTCCTGTACTATGATTGGGCACTGAGTCACACTCCCAACCCCACCCTGGCCCTCTATGGCACTCCCCAACTGGCGTTCCTGCAAGCTTTCCAAACCAGGGTACAGTCATACTTCCCACAAACCTGCTAAGGGCTTCCTGGGACAGCGGATGCTTGAGGAGTGCTTGGTCAAGGCCTAGGTTTAAGTCGTGGTTTTGCCTCAAGTGAGGGATAACTCTCAGCAGTCTTGCTCATAAGTCTTTTTGAAGAACCAACTTTTTTTTTTTTTAACTTTTAAGTTCAGGGGTACGTGTGCAGGTTTGTTATATAGGTAAACTTGTGTTTACCTTGTGGGTTTTGTTGTACAGATTATTTTGTCACCCAGATATTAAGCCTAGTGTACCAATAGTTATATTTCCTGATCCTCCCCCTCCTCCCACCCTCCTTCCTCTGATAGGCCCCAGTGTCTGTTAGAACCAACTTTTCACTTCTTGAGTATCTCTATTGTCCGTTTATGTTCTTTGGCTTATCTTTATTGTTTCCTTCCTTTTGCTTTCTCTGAATGTAATGTGTTGTATTTTTCTTCTTGGAATGAATAATGAGATCACTAACTTTTAGCTTTATTTCCTAATTTATGAATTCAAAGCTATAAATTTCCCTGTAAGCATAGCTTTAACTGCACCCCACAAGTTTTGCTATGCTATATTTTTATTACCACTCAGTTCAAAGTTTTTTTCTAACCTTTATTGGGATTTTTTTTTTTACCTGGGAGTTATTTAGAAGTATAATACTTAAGTTCCAAATATTTGAGGATTTTCCAGTTATATATCCTTAAATTGCTTTTTAATTTATTCTAGCTGTGGTCAGGGAACATACTCTAAGTGATCTCAATTGTTCAAAATTTATTCGATGTGCTTTATGGCCCAGCTATATATAATTTTGGTAAATGTTTCATGTACACTTGATATATATATATATATAATATATAGTATGCAATATTAAACATATGCACAAAATATATCAATTAAATCAAGTTTGTTATTTGTATGTTTCAAATCTTCCTTATTGTTTCAATTTCGTGCCTGTTGTTTTTTTCTTTCTCTAACAGTTGTGGAGGGAAATAACTAACAAGGCAGAAATTGTAACAATAATCCAGGTCTCAGAATGAAGTACATATACCTACATTTTGCATTCCTTGGAATTCTTTTTCCATAACTTCCTGCTAACCAGAAAGATGTGAATTTGGGAAAGGTGGTCCAAAGGCTTTCTGTTGGGCTTGTATTTTCAAATGTAAGGGAGTTGCCTTACAATTCCTCACCATGATTGTGAATTTGTCTGTTTCCTCTTTATTTCAGTCAATTTTTGCTTTATAGTTTAAGGCTACATTATTACATACATATAAGATTGTTTTATCTTCCTGGTAGACTGTGACCCATTTAATCAAATGTCTATCTTTTTTCTTGAGATAGGGTTTCACTCTGTCACCCAAGCTGGAATGCATGATCTTGGCTCACTGCAGCCTCCATCTCCTGGGCTCAAGCAATCCTCCCACCTCATTCTCCTAAGTAGCTAGAACTACAGGAGCACGCCACCATGACTGGCTAATTTTTGTATTTTTTTTGTAGAGATGGGGTTTTGCTATGTTGCCCAGGCTGGTCTCAAACTCCTGGACTCCAGAGATCCACCCACCTTGGCCTCCCAAAGTGCTGGGATTACAGGCGTGAGCCACTGCACTTGGCACAAATGTCCATCTTTATGTCTTGTAATGCTTCTTCCTTTAAAGTCTACTTTGTTTGCTATCGTTACATCTACACCAGTTTTCTTTTGGTTAATGTTTGCATGGCATAACTTTTTTCATCTTTTTACTTTCAGATTTGCTGTATCTTTATACAAAAAGGCAGGGCATCGTGTCAAATGCCTAAAAAAAATGTCGGGCTCACTTCAATGTGTTTGCCTTCTCCCTGAGATCTTGACTTCTCCAGTTGTGGCCTCCTGGGTATTCCTGAACTCCAAGTTTTGCCTCCCTGGGTTGTGAGACTTCCAAAACCTCCATTTGGCTTCCTAGTGTCTCAGTTGCCACTCTTTTACTTGGTTTTTTAGACTCGTGACTCCAAGCCTCTTATGAATCAGCAGATTCATCAAGGGGAAAATTGGGTTCAAAATGCCAGATTCTTCTCAATGCATTTCCTTTCTCTACAGGATGCTGGTCTTTCAAGTCCCTGCTGCTTTGGAAGATCTCTGAGGCCTTCAACCACATTCTTTGTATTTATGTCCTACTCTTCTACTTGTTCTCTGTGGAAGAGAGACAGAGGAAAAAAGCTACTGTAACCTTATCCTAAGTGGATGCCTAGGTGAACATTTTGGATGGTCACTTAACCTAAGTCTCAGTTTCCTCATTAATAAAATGGGGGCACATGAGACATACCTCATGAGGTTGTTTCGAGGCTTAAATATACGTTAAATGTATTTTGTGAGCCTAAAAGATATTTAAACACAAGCCGCTATTACATCTTTACATGATTGAAGTTCCTGAAGGAGACCTGTAGTGGGTGTCTATACAGGGCAGTTGGTTCATGTGGCCAGGTCTACTTGGGGATGTGAATGGAAGTTTACTTCTTCTGGGAACTTTGATTGTTAATATTGTTGGATTTATCACTCTTTAGTGAAACAAGTTACTTCCTCATGGTGGTAAGAAGTCCCAGAACACTGTTCCAAACACTTTCCCAAAGGCTCATCCTTGAAAACCCAAGGCCATCAACAAGCCATTGGACTACCCTTTTTTCAAATACACATCTTTCTGGCAAACAGGGGATTCTTCTAAAATAATTTGAAGAAATGAAAAATACCAGCTTACGTGCTTCACTCTGAGATCATTTCTGTCCTGTTAGGTACAATCTTAGGGTTTATCCCTGACTTTTCCCCCTGAGCAAGTCTTACTCAGCTCAGGTGATATAAGACAGTTGCACAACTTATTGGTCTTTTTTGAGTAAATATTTGCTTGAGCTTCAGTTCTTTTTATCACTGTCCTGACAGTTCTACATTTACCCACAAGTTGTAGAACTCTCTGGCTTTTTCTCCCTGTGCAAGATCAGCACCATCCTTGTAACAGAAAGATGCATTTGTCCATCACTTGAGTGATCTTTTTGAGAGACCACTTTACCTCTTCTCTACTGAGTAGTGGATGATAAGACCTACTTCTAGTCCATTCCACCTGGCATTTGAAATATCACCTTTTTATACCCATTATCATATCCACTATTTAAGGAATCTCAGCATCCTGATGTCTTTTTGTCTATAGGAAACCTACTCTGACTCAAATCTGCCATTAAAGTCTGAACAATGCAGCCACTGATCAGGCCTCAGACAGGCTTGACTTACACATGTTATCTCAGAGGGATATCAATGTGATTCAGGATCACCCACTAAAACCTGAGCTCCAACTAGCCTTTTGAATTGGCTGACAAGCTCCTTGCCTGCCCTGATGGAACAGAACACCAGACACTATGGGGGGAAGTGAGAGGGAAAGTTCTAGTCTCTAAAGCCATGGTTTTCATTTGGGAGTTATGGGCAGTAGGGAAAACACTTCTACAATGCAAATTCCAGACTATACCTTTGGCCTACTAAATCAGAACCCAGGGTGGAGGCAACCCTTCCCCTTTCTTCTCCTTTCCCTATCCAAAGAAAAGCCATGGTAGCAAGGCACAGAGGGGGTTGAAGTGCCTGTGTGCCAGGGTCATCAAGAGAGCACTGGCATCTAAGGGTGGTAGGTTTGCCACCATTTTGACTGTGCCAGGGCTCAATAGATAGTCAAGAATAAAATTATTGGACAGCAAAATTCCTGGGTGTAGGAGACATAGTGCAGCTATACTATTTATTCACTCTGCATCTGGAAGTAATTGATTCAATCTCTTAAACAGCAATTTCTTAAATAGGAAGTGGGCTAATGAGATAGGTGTTTGGTAAAAGTTTAGTGCTTGACAAGTTGGTTTTTGTTGTTGATGCTATCAACAGCATTCTTCAAATGATGAAGAATTAGATGTTATCATCTTCAGTGCCTTTCAAGATTCCAAATGAAAATTGGCTGACTCAAGGTTGATTTGTACTAAACACTTCCTCATTATGCTAAACAGACGTCTCATGGCCAAGTTGGTTTGCCCTTTCTTCATTCTCAATATTTTAGGAACGCATGTTTACAATTTTTTAACTCTCTTGGAAAGAAGTTTGGTAATATGTATTAATAGGCTTTAAATGTCTCTTCCTCAGACCAAGGAAATTTTTAGACAGCTATTTTATTTATTTATTTATTTTATTTTTTGGAGAGATTATCACTTCTATTGCTTTATCCATACCATCTTACATATGACCAATAGGAGAATTTCTATTCCCTAATAGTGAGAGCTGGTTTATCTCACATTCTAATAGTAGGAAACTCTATCTATGATATTTCCAAATTTGCCAGAATCCGTGTCCATAATGATAGCTTCATGGCTTAGAAAATTCTGATGTGCCTGATTCTGAACAGAATTTCCTACAGTGAATTTCCTACAGTGTACCTTGTTGCAATCATATTATTCTTTGTAAATTGGCCATACATTTTGGTATAAAAATAATGAGAACCCCATTCCCTGATCATTCAAGATAACTGAGTTCACCACCTTATGGAGCAAACACAATCCCAAATGGATTAGACTTTCAGCACTAGTTGATAACTATTTTAATATGAATTGGTTCTTCATCAGCTCTCATTTCTTTCTACTAAAAGATTCTGAGGAAGATGGAAAGCCAAGCTTGGGTACACAGAATACAATACCTTTGTTTTACTTGGGGTGATGATGTTGTTTCAGGTGGTCCATTCCCAAAATATATCCACGAACCCCAGATTAGATGTTGATGGCCACTCAGTCCTTCTTAATAGCAATGAATGGAAATGGGTTTTACCAAGAAATTTCAACATTTTCTTGCTTCCACATAAACCTTTTGATGTATTTTCTAACATTTCACAACTAGATTAAAACATAACACGTAAGGGGTCTGTTACCCCTCCCAAGCCCATCTCCATTAAGAAACAACACACACACACACACACAAAAGAAACATCAGGCTGCACAATAAAGGGGTCACCTTACATAATGCACAAAGCTGTGCATGCTGCCTTCTCTCACATGCTCATGGTAGCTAATGCTCTGCACATGAGAGGGGCTCTATAAAAGTGGTCAAATGACAAAAATGGTAGGTTGTATAACAAAAGCAGCACACACTAAAATTATAATTCTCATATTCACAAAAGCAGAGGTAGGCCTTTTCTTGTGACTGTTAGAAGTTCTGCATGGATGAATGCTAGGTCACTATCAGAATTGTTTTCCCATCTGTTTTTCCACCCACTCCCTGCTATTGGTTTAGCATGTTTTCGATACCTCAATAACTCAAAGGTCAAATGTTTCCTTCCCAGGTATATTTCCAGCCTCTGTAGTAAAGTTTGTAAGCTCTCATGTCTCAAGAGGAGTCTAATAAATTCACTGTTTTGTTTAGTCTGAAGATCTTAGCCAGAAGCAACTAGAGAGCTGTATTAGTATTTGGTTTATTTCAAAATTGGTGAGCATGCTTTGAATTTTGAAAATCCCTATGTGATAACTCTTAGGAAGAGCCCTTCTGGCCACTCAGAGGCTTATCTGCAAATGGGTGGATGTTTTACTTAAATGTAAAACCCAAAACCATAAAAACCCTAGAAGAAAACCTAGGCAATACCTTTCAGGACGTAGGCATGGGCAAATACTTCATGACAAAAACACCAAAAGCAATTGCAACAAAAGCCAACATTGACAAATGGGGTCTAATTAAGCTAAAGAGCTTCTGCACAGCAAAAGAAACTATCATCAGAGGGAATAGGCAACCTAGAGAATGGAAGAAAGTTTTTGCAATCTATCCATCTGGCAAAGGTCTAATATCCAGAATTTACAAGTAACTTAACCAAATTTACAATTAAAAAAACCCATTAAAAAGTGGGCAAAGGGTATGAACAGACACTTCTCAAAAGAAGACATTTATGCGGCCAAAAAACATGAAAAAAAGCTCAACATCACTGATCATCAGAGAAATGCAAATCAAAATCACAATGAGATACCATCTCACACCAGTCAGAATGGCGATTATTAAAAACTCAGGAAACAATAGATGCTGGTGAGTCTGTGGAGAAATAGGCACGCTTTTACAATGCTGGTGGGAATGTAAATTAGTTCAACCACTGTGGAAGACAGCATGGCGATTCCTCAAGGATCTAGAACCAGAAATACCATTTGACCGAGCAATCCCATTACTGGGTATATACCCAAAGGAATATAAATCATTCTACTATAAAGACACACGCACACGTATGTTTACTGCAGCACTATTTACAATAGTAAAGACTTGGAACCAACCCAAATGCCCATCAATGATAGACTGGATTTAAAAAATATGGTACACATGCACCACAGAATACTATGCAGCCATAAAAAGGAATGAGATCATGTACTTTGCAGGGACATGGATGAAGCTGGAAGCCATCATTCTCAGCAAACTAACACAGGAAGAGAAAACCAAATACTGCATGTTCTCACTCATAAGTGGGAGTTGAACAATGAGAACACATGGACACAGAGAGGGAAACAACACACACCAGGGCCTGTTGGGGGGTGGGGGGTGAGGGGAGGGAACTTGGAGGATGGGTCAATAGGTGTGGCAAACCACCATGGGGTGCGTATTCCTATGTAACAAACCTGCACATTCTGCACATGTATCCCATTTTTTTAGAAGAAATTTAAAAAAAGCTATTTTAAAGAAATGGACAAGCTCATAAAATTGTTTTTATATCTTCAATAAAGTATTGCTTGTCAACACTAAAATATTATTTGGATGAAGTCAGGTGTTCTTTTTTTTTTCACTAGTAAATTCTTAGGACCCTGGCACACAGAATGTGCTTAATAAATATTTGTTAGATAAATGGATGGATAATTACATTCTACCTACTTGTCTCTGCATAAGTCGTTAAATTGACTAACCTTCAATTTTCTTTCCTATAAAATGGGACTAATAATACTTAACTCTTGGAGTATTTAGAAGAAAACAGCTGTAGTGGATGCTGTGACTGGCCACCCTGATCCCCTTTAAAGAATGACACACTCATTCCTCCAGCTGTTGGGACTGATGGCAGCTGAAAACACTCAGCTGAGTCCAACTTTGCAATTTGCTTCAGCTGCAGAGAGCTACCTTGCCCCAAATCATGCTCCATTTCCAGGGCATCCCACATCCAGTGACCATCTGGCACAATATATAAAGGCTTAGCCTCCCTTGCCCCAACTGAGGACAACTCTGATCAGCCACTTTTATCTCTTGAGCTCTCTATAAGGTCAACTGAGGCGTTCATTGCAGCCCAATTTTTCCATCTGTCCACTCCTGCTTTCTGTTCCTCCCTTCCCCGGGTGTTGATACCAAGAGAACACTAATAATTCTCCTACCTACTAATCTGTCTCTCAGAGTCAGCTTCCCAAAGAATCTAAATAGAGATAGTAGAACATAGTATATTCTAAATAAAACATTTATTGGGTCTGGCAGTCAAAGAGAGGCAAGAGTCCACAAGAACACATGACTGTTTTGTGAGCTCTAACGGTCCTAATAGAAGTGTTTTCTGTTAAATCTTTGTGGATAAAGGTCAGGGAAGGAGTTGCAGTCGGAGCCTACAGACCTATATCTGTTCTAATCAATACAGTGTCATAGTTAAACAAATGGACTTTGGAATCAGACAGCTCTGAGTACATATGCCAACTCTGCCATTCACCAGTTATATGACCTTTGACAGGTTATCTCTCGTGGCCTGTTTCCTCATCTACAAAATGAGGATTATAGGAAACCTACCTAGGTTGGGTGTGATGGCCCACACCTGTAATCCCAGCATTTGGAGAGGCTGAGGCGGGTGGATCATCTGCGGTCAGGAGTTCGAGACCAGCCTAGCCAACATGGTAAAACCCTGTCTCTACTAAAAAACACAAACATTAGCCACGTGTGGTGGTGCATGCCTGTAATCCCAGCTACTTGGGAGGCAGAGGCAGGAGAATTGCTTGAACCCAGGAGGTGGACCTTGCAGTGAGCCAAGACCACGCCACTGCTCTCCAGCCTGGGGAACAGAGAAAGACTGTCAAAAAAAAAAAAAAAAAAAGAAAGAAAGAAAGAAGAAAAATAAAAGAAACCTACCTCAAGGTTGTTATGAGAATTAAATGAGATAAAGTAGGTACAGCTCACAGCAGGGGTCTAACCAGTGCTTAATTATAGGAGCTGTTATGCTGTGGTCAAAAAAGACATAACTTGATCTGGGCTAGGAAATGACTAGAGATCTAGAGATGCAAAGAGTTGGGCTATGATCATGTAGGCAATTGTGAGTATCTCTGCTGTAGACACAGAGATGCATGGCTCAGATCCACCTCCAAGGGAAAGATGTACCCCAGCTGTCAGCTCTGTCAGTCACGGTTTGCCTCAGCTGCAGGAAGTGAGCTCAGTCTCAGAGTATGCCCTTGCCCTTGCAATGATGAATGAAAGTGTGGGTGGGGGATAAAGGTCCAACCACTTTAGCCCAACACAGGACCATTCCAAAGCCCCTCAGGGAAGGGAGAGCTAGCTTAGAGTTTGTCCAGCATGTGTCTTAGCTCAACTTCTTCCTGTACCCAATTCTGCTTTCCCCTCCTCCCTGCCATAGGTGTTGATCCCTCATAAACAGCCTTCACCTCAACTCCATTTCAGAGTCAATTTCAAAGAATTTAGCCTGTGACAAAGTCTGAAAGCACAGCTAAAGGATAACTCCTCAGACCCTACCCCTATCCTCCCCCACTTCCTTTGTTCATCCTTTTATCTTTCAATCTTATCCCTTTGTCTGTGTTTTGTACTTTCAATATTCAGAGCATTGAGTTTTAATGGCCTGTTGTACACAACTTGTCCACGAGCTGTCAGGTCGAGGCAAAAGCCTATTTAGACAAGTTGTCAGGTTGAAGGGGAGAGGGAAAAAAATCCTAAATCAATGTGTTTTCGCATGCAATCACACATGGGCTAATTTATCTGCAGCCACGTTCTACCCTGCCAGTTTGGCATAAGAGTCCTCAGTCAAGGGGGCTGCAAGTTGGCTGATTAACAGAGCGATTTTTATTGGGAGAAGGACAACACAATTGTTTTATGGTAATTATCACCATTTGAACCTGTGCACAAGCTCATGGGGAAGATGAAAGAAAAGGCTCTGTATGAATGATGAAGCAGCTAGAAACATATACAGGACAGAGGGCTAGAACTGTTTAGAATATTGACGTTGTATACCTTGTGTAAAGCCCCTGGAAGGCGACAGATTGGCTATTTTTTTTTTTTTTTTGAGACGGAGTCTCACTCTGTCGCCCAGGCTGGAGTGCAGTGGCGCTATCTCGGCTCACTGCAAGCTCCGCCTCCCGGGTTCACGCCATTCTCCTGCCTCAGCCTCCCAAGCAGCTGGGACTACAGTTGCCTGCCACCACGCCCGGCTAATTTTTTGTATTTTTAGCGGAGACGGGGTTTCACCGTGTTAGCCAGGATGGTCTCGATCTCCTGACCTCGTGATCCACCTGCCTCAGCCTCCCAAAGTGCTGGGATTACAGGCGTGAGCCACCGCGCCCGGCCAGATTGGCTACCTTTTTAAATAGCCCTTGTGCCTTATCTGTGGGACTGAGTGCAAGTATGTTCTGTTTTTAGAGTTGGGAAAACAGGAGGGTAGATTACTAGGTTGACTTACTTAAAGATAACAGCCAAGTCCATTTCAAGGCTGAGAACAGAGCCAACCATTCTGAAAGTGCTGAACTAGGCCATTAAACATTCTCCCTTACATTTCACAAAAACAACTAAATAGAAACAAAACACCAGAAATATAACCCTCAAAACAACACACACACACATGCTTGCACACACACACAGGAGATAGATTTTAGAGTTTTGTTGCCGTGATAATTTTAAATTTGAAACACACTGAAAACTACAAAATACATCCCAGGTGAATTGAAGACTTCAGCTGGGGAAAACACAGACTTTGGTATTTTCTCCTTTGATATTTGATAATTCTCTTTGCATCTTTGTCCATTCCCGCTGTCATAGCTGAGTTTAGGACAAGGACAGAATGAGATAAGTCTGTCACCGCAAGGTAGAAAAGACAAGTGGAGAGTGTAAAAATGGTTTGCAGACTGGAAATGTCTGTTTTAAAGGTTTGTGGTATATGATTAACTTTAAAAAATCTTGCTTAAATTGTTAAGAACAAATTCCTCCAGGTCTGCGGCGGTATCTGTGGCTAGAATTAGAAACACATAGTAATGGGGGCTATGACTTTTGGAGATCTTCCCACTTCTACTACTTTCTCTGCTTTTTATTTTTATTCCCTTTACAAGTAAGGATCATTAAATGATACCTCTCTCCTCATGGCTGGAGCAGAAGAGGGGAAGGGCACAGAGCAAGAGCATTTCTGACAATCATTTTGTTAAGAAAACCCAGGCTTAGAAATAAAAACAGCTTTCTTTCCCCAAAACCAAGAAGACAGATAAAAGTCTAGGCATTCTGGAACTCCTACCCAATTGAGAAATGCTTGCCCCAGAATGGAACATTAGAAAGCTGAGCTGCTGAGAACGCTTAAAACAGATCTCACAGGCAGGATTCCACTGTGCTTCCGCTTGTAGAATGTCTTAGAAAGACAGATTTTATAATTGAAAATAAAAACATTTGATATGTGAATGTAAAAATTTATTTTCCCCTTTGTAATGCCACCACAAAGTTTCGCTAAGGGAGGAAAGATCAATTCTCCATTAAAAAAAGATGTGCAAATTAAGCAAAGCATCATGATTCATTTCATCGTGATGGACTTAGAAGGATGAAACTGGCAATGGATTATAGAACCAGGTATCTCTCAGCTATAGCTTCACATATGAGCTCTTTTTTGGTTGTTTGTTTTTTATATCATCAGCTGGTTTCTCTCAATTTGCTAGAATTTTCTAGAAAAGAAGTTTTAGTCTCCATTTGATGTTTCTCTCAAAATCACAAATGATTTTTTTTGCGGGGGGGGGGACAGGGTCTCACTCTGTCATCCAGGCTGGAGTGCAGTTGCACTACATTGGCTCACTGCAACCTCTGCCTCTTGGGCTCAAGCAGTCCTCCCACCTCAGACTCCCAGGTAGCTGGGGCTATAGGCACGTACTACCACCCCCAGCTAGTTTTTGTATTTTTTGTAGAGACAGGGTTTCGCCATGTTGGCCAAGCTGGTCTCCAACTCCTGAGCTCAACTGATCTGCCCACCTCAGCCTCCTAAAGTGCTAGGATTACAGGCATGAGCCACTGCACCTGGCCAGATTTTTTTATTCAATAACCTATATGGTGTAGCCAGCATGTGTCAGGCACTGTGCTAGGCACAGGAAACACAGGGCTAAAAGACACAACCTCTGCTGTCAAACTGCATAGAGTCTAATAAAGGAGTAGGATAAAATGATAATGACTGGACAGTGTGGGGGTAATGAGAGCAAACACTCAGAGATTACTTTCTTCCAGGCACTTGTCTAAATGCTTACAGGTATAACATCATTTAATCCTCACCACAACTCTGTGAGGTAGGTGAGTACAGGCACAGAAATGTTAACTTATTTGCCAAAGGTCACACAGCTAGTAATTGACAGAGTCAGAATTCAAACGTAGGCAATCTGGTTCAAAGTGGGTGTTCTTCACCTCAACACTGGAGATGTGGCAGCCCCCTTGGGTTGGGTGGGATTGAGGTGGGCTTGGGGTGGGAGATCTCAAGGAAAGCTCTCCAGAAGAGATGACAACAGCCTTAAAAATACTTCCATTGGCTATGTTAAGATGAATGTGCATGATCACCCAACCAGTGTGCAGATTAGAAAGCTGAGAGTGAGGAGAGAAACAGAAAAAGAGAGAGAGAGAGAGAGAATCTTCCAGGACTTGAGAGAGAGAGAGAGAGAGAGAGAGAATTCTTCTAGGACTTCCAAGGCATGACTATATGGAAAAAGGGTCCACACTGCCTGAGAATACTGGTGCTGTAGGGCAGTATTTCCATAGCTGTTGTCTTGGAACCTTAATGCTCCCTGAGACAATAATAGGCAGTCTACAAAATAGGCTTCCAGGATCAAGTAAGTTTGAGAAATGCTGGAGTTCAACAAAGGTCAATAGGTTTCTTTACCTCTGAACTTGCAAGAGTCTTTAACATACTAATGTACACCATGAAACTCCGAGAGGTAAACAGAATTTGGCCACAAATCATCCCTTAACAGAAAGCTCTATGAAGCTCTTGTTCATAGAACAAGAGTCCCAGGAATAGTCTGGGAAATGCTGTCTTCCAGGAGGCACATAAGGGCTCAGCCTGTCCTGAATTCTGAGGCCTGCTCTGCTCCTTAGCTGGATGGTAACAAAAGCCCTGTGTCGGGTGGTGGGCAGTGGGTAGTGGGTGGAGGGTTTGGTGTTTAGTGTCTTCTTTTCTGTCAGTGCCCAAATTCCTGCCCAATTACTTAGACACTTTTCCTGGTTCCCTGACCTTTTGATCCTCAGTTTTTTGCTAAGGGCTGTAGACTCTTTCTTTGGTTCACCTGCCATGACCTGTGAAGCCAACCAGGAGCCAATTTTTCTAGACTTGACCTTTGAACATGAGGAACCTATTAGCCTAAACCTTCAAGTTGGCTTAGCTTCTCCTGACTGCACCTGCCCTGGCCCTTCCACTCCCTCCCTTCTAACTTTTTCTCCCTCCCTTCTTACCTTCCTTCCTTCAACATTTATGATTTGCATTCTATGGGAGCCACAGAGTTTTAGGGTTTAGCATGGTCACTTGCAATTTACAGTTCGTGTCAAAGTTCTGCAGTAGCTGGCCAAACTCAAGTCATGTGCCTGCTCCCTAGCTGGTAGGCTGAGGGGACATAATTCTTGTAAGAAGTATGTGGGAGAGGAAGGCTAGATTTGTAAAATATTCTTCAGATATGTTTTTCAAATACATGTAGATCCTATTGTAGTTAATAAAACATTGTGTGTAGATACTACTAGGATTCATACAATAGATCTTTATGTATACTGAATTAACATTGCTTTTGTCATTATGTATTTAAAAATCAATACATACTATAAATGCTATTGTCTTGTTGGTATCTATGAGTTTTTTGATGTTGAAAGGGGATTCTTTACACCATCCAAACCTCAGGCTTTAGAGTCAGCCAGACTTGGGTTCAAATCCCACTTTTGTCATAGATTAGCTGAGTGACTTTAGGCAAGTTGCTTAATTTTTAAAGCCTTAATTTCTTTACCTGAAAATGGAAATTGTCATACCTGCTTCATGAGTTTATGTGGCAATTAAAGAAAACAATGAATGTAAATCATCTACCAAATTGCATGGTTGTTCAATGATTGATTATTAACATTGTGGAAAAATAGGGGAAAAAGGAGGAGGGTTGCAAAAGAGCATTAGCATGAGCTAGCTGAAAATCACAGGGGCTGGAGGTACTAAGGGAGATTAAACACAGTCATATCTGTCATTACACATGTCCCACATCTTTGGCTCTTCTGAGGTTTTGCATAAACCCCTTAGCTGAATGAACAACCAATGTGAGAAGACACTTGTTATATTTTGCCTGTCCCACATCTGAGGCCCCTTCTTGTGTTCCTGAGTGGGGCTTAGTGAGAGACAAGGAGGTGGGCGGTGTCTCTTGTTTAGCAGTGACCATCCCAGTGGCAGTGGTAGCGTTCAGAGGTTGCCGTGCCTGGCACCATAACCAGGCTGGTCTTGCATCATGACCTTATCTGTGCTCGTGTTCTTCAGCTTCTTTTGGTCATCTCATTCTCTTGCTTTTTGTCAAGTCTGTGAGCTAACCAATAACCTACCAACAAATTCATCTTCAACTTTTGAATGACCTAGGAACAATTTCTGGTGTTTGCAACCAAGAGAGCTACCTAGCACATCCAGAATGTCCACCAATCTCATCTGGCTTGTCTTAGATATGTAGGCTCCAGATCTGATGGCCAATACCAGACCCTTTCTGCATAGCCCTATTCACATTGCAGAGACTTTGTGGATGACATTCTCTCTTGGTTCCATAGTCTGTCTTCCAGGGTGGTTGGTGGCAGAAAACTCATCACTCCATATTTCCTCCCTGTCACTCCATGTTTGACTGTTTCCAGTTGTCAGACCAGAAGTGCAGTGGGGGAACAACTGTGAAGGTTGCCTGGGGTAATACACAGCCAGGTCCTGACTCTAACCCTGACACACTGCAGAATCATGTTTGCAGGGCCACTTCATCTCAGTGATGGTGAGAGCAGCTAGACCCATGCATAGGGTGGAGGATAATGCTGACTTTCGGCTACACTGCCTTCTCCTTCCTCCTCACACATATTGTATTCCAGGGATCAGGCCTCTAGAGTTTACACTGGCTCTCTGTGACCTATGAATGTCCTGGCCCCAGTTTATACTGTTGTTTGTTGTGAGAAAGGACAAGGTGGCCGGGCGCGGTGGCTCACGCCTGTAATCCCAGCACTTTGGGAGGCCGAGGCGGGTGGATCATGAGGTCAGGAGATCGAGACCATCCTGGCTAACAAGGTGAAACCCCGTCTCTACTAAAAATACAAAAAATTAGCCGGGCGCGGTGGCGGGCGCCTGTAGTCCCAGCTACTCGGGAGGCTGAGGCAGGAGAATGGCGTGAACCCGGGAAGCGGAGCTTGCAGTGAGCCGAGATTGCGCCACTGCAGTCCGCAGTCCAGCCTGGGCGACAGAGCGAGACTCCGTCTCAAAAAAAAAAAAAAAAAAAAAAAAAGAAAGGACAAGGTAAGGGTGAGTGCTGCTCTAAAATCCCAGGCTCC
This sequence comes from Homo sapiens, assembly GCF_000001405.40. Classification (NCBI taxonomy): domain Eukaryota; kingdom Metazoa; phylum Chordata; class Mammalia; order Primates; family Hominidae; genus Homo; species Homo sapiens. Next base: position 38,898,204 of record NC_000023.11, read on the forward strand.
CTGAAAGTGCTCTACAGATCCCAAACGTGTACAAAGCACTCTCGTTTTCTTTTCAAATTTCAGATGTTAATTATAAGGAAGAGAATTAGGCATATAAAACAAATTACATTGGCAGCGTTTGCTTTACTCGTACACCATGGGGCCCAGGCTCCCCTAATGAGATGTGACTACAGATCATCGTGCTTCCTGCAAACAGCCAATTGCTTCTAATGTGGCAGAGTCTTCCTTGTATTGCCTGAGAATTAGCCACAGGTGTAGCATTTGACTTTGGAGAGCATTACCCTCCCAGGGAATGTGGTTAAGTCAAAGGCAGAAAGAGGAAGGCAGAGAGGAGAAAGGGAGAGACAGACACCTAAGGTTTAAGAGCTTCCTCATAATTCGCGTTAGCTGCCCCTCCTCCAACCACCACAGCCACTCCAAACAAATGCTTAATCCGAGAAAAAATAGTGTATTTATGTCCTTTCTGTAGAAAGCAATTCTGCAGCTGCCACAGGATGCAGGCAACAAATGCTGTCTTTTATCAGTGTTTAATAATATTAATGTCCCCAGCAAAGAACAAACATCCACTCTACCATGGGTCGAAAACTGTTTGTGGGCTAATTGGAAAACATTACTTAATGTTTTTCTTAATTAGAATTAATTACAAGACCCTAGTGAAGAAATAAGTCCATATGTGAGATGCTAAGTCCTCACACTGTGATGTTAAATTTCCCTAGGAGAGCTGGTCCCTATTCTATCATACCCTCTAAACTGAAAGATCTTCCTCCATTAGAAGTACCTCTGGTAACCTATGTGTACCTAAACATCTCTGTGTTCTTTGTAAGCATGAATGCTCCAACAGTACTGAGATCAGCACAAGTAAAACTGGCTTATTGTTAAACAAAAAGGAGAAACATGATATTAGGTCTAAGGGGCATAGAGGAGGGGGTCTGATTTGTTGGGCTGACCAGCCACTAAATGATTATGGAATTTTGAGGCTCCTGTTCTCTTATCTGTAAATTAAAGGGGCGGGAATAGAGTTTTCTAAAGTTTTTTTTAAGCTCAAACACTCCCGCGCTCTCATTTTCCCAGTCCTGAGATTCTGTCTTGAAATTGCTAACTGTGAGATACCAGAACTGAAACAAAAAGCAAGCTTTTTGAGGTAAAGAATGAACAGTCCAGATAAATTATTTTGATTAAATTTTTAACTTTGTTTAGGGATAGTCAATGTATCTATCTACAGAAACAGACTTTTTTTTAGAGGAGCAACAAAGGAACTATTGAGCTAAGTCAAATGTGCAATTGCTTTGAAAATAACAAGTTAGCATCTCATGAGAAAATATTAGTTTGAATGAATCAAGCTATATTCTGTAAAAACAGATGTTTGTTTGCATATAGACTCGACCGTTACTTGCTGTAAGAATTTCCCAAACCCTGTTCTGAGGAGTAGAAGTGTTTTTCTAATCTGTAAGTATTGGTACAGTGGAGAAGAGAGGAGGTCTGTGGTTAAATAAGCTTTGGAAATGCTGAATCAAATAGTTATATAAGGTCTCTTCACAATGAGATCCTTAGGGCATTTATCATGCTGAGGGGCTTTGTGACCATCCTGTGACATACAGTTTGCAGTGTTTGATCTTATTTGACATTGGAAACCTTTTTATTGACATGTCAGCAATTCGTGAAATACCAGTGAGCTACAAAATTATTATAAGAAATAATATGGTACTAGGGTCTGAATGTTTGTGTCCCCTCAAAATTCATATGCTGAAACCTAATCCCCAAAGTGATGTTATTAGAGATGGAGTCTTTGGGAAGTGATTAGGCCATGAGGGCTGCACTCTCATGAATAGGATTGGTGCCCTTATTAAAGAGGTCCCAGAGAGCCCCTTTTGCCCGTTCACCATGTAAGGACACATAGAAGGTGCCATCTAGGAGGAACAGGCCTTCCCCAGTCATTGAATCTTCTAGCACCTTGATCTTGGACTTTCCAGCCTCCACATTTGTGAGTAATAAACTTCTGTTGTTTATAAACTACCTGGTGTAACATTTTTTTTATAGTAGCCCAAGAAGACTAAAATAGAAATTGGTACCGAGAAGTGGGGTGTTGCTATAACTAATACCTAAAAATGTGGAAGTAGCTTTCAAACTGGGTTATGGGTAGAGGCTGGAAGAGTTTTCAAGTGCATTGCTGTGAATGTAGCTTTAATGGTGATTTTGGTGGGGGCTCAGAATAAGAAGAGAGCTGTAGAGAAAGCCTCATTCTTCTTAGAGATTACCCAAGTGGTTGTAATCAGAATGTTGGTGGAAGTATCGATGGCAAAAGCCATTCTGATGAAGTCTCAAACAAAGATGAAGAACATGTTATTGGAAACTAGAGGAAAGGCCATTTTGTTATAAAGTGGCAAAGAACTTGGCAGAATTGTGTTTATATCCTAGTGTTTTATGGAAGGTAGAACTTATTAGTGATGAAATAGGAACTGCCACAGGGGTGAGACCACCGCAGAGAACCCCCACTAGGGCAATGCCTAGTGGAGCTGTGAGGTCAGGGCCACCGCAGAGCAACCCCACTAGATAAATGCCTAGTGGAGACATAGAATGGGTGTGCCTCCAAGACACTAGAATGTACCAGTGTGCAAAACCAGCCTTGGGAGAGCCACAGGCATGTGACACCAACCCACGAGAACAAAGAGCATGGGCTGTGCACAGCAAAGCCATGGGGGTGGGGCTGCCTGGAACGTTAGGGACGTAACTCCCACCCCTTCTGTATGCAGAAGGTACAACATGAAATCAAAGATTATTCTCCGGCCTTGAGTTTTTGTTTGTTTCTTGAGACAAGAGTCTTGCACTGTTGCCAGTAGTGTTAGCTCACTGCAACCTCTACCTCCCAGGTTCAAGCGATTCTCATGCCTCAGCTTCCTGAGTAGCTGGAACTACAGGCGCCCGCCATCACGCCCAGATAATTTTTGTGTTTGTAGTAGAGACGGGGTTTCACCATGTTGGCTAGGCTGGTCTCAACCTCCTGACTTCAAGTGATCCACCTGCCTTGGCCTCCCAAAGTACTGGGATTACAGGGGTGAGCCACGGTGCCTGGCCAGCCTTTAGATTTAATATTGTTTGCCTTGTTGAATTTTGGATTTATTTGGGACCAGTTACCCTGTTCTTCCTTCCTGTTTGTCCCTTTTCAAATGGGAACGTCCATCTTGTAACTGTCTCAGCGTTGAATTTTGAAAGTGCATAATTTTTTTTTTCTTTTCACAGGCTTAAAGCTAGAGAGCAATTTGGTTCAAGATTAATCATACCTTGAGTCTCACACATATCTGGAATAAGTTGATATTATATTGAGATGAGTCTTTGACTTAGATTTTAAAGTTAATGCTGGTATGAGTTGAGGCTATTGTGATGGAATGAGTGAATTTTGCATGTAAGAAGGACATGAATTTGGGGTGGAGGGCAGGGGTAGAATACTATGATCTGAATATTTGTGTCTCCCACTTCCAAATTCATATGTTGAAACCTAATTCCCAAGGTGATGGCATTAGGAAGTGGGGCCTTTGGGAGGTGATTAGGTTATGAGGGGTCCACCCTTGTGAATGGGATTAGTGACCTTATAAAAGAGGCCCCAGATTGCCCTTTTTGCCCTTCAGTCATATGAGGTTACATAGAAGGTGCCATGCTGGTGCCTTGATCTTGGACTTTCTAGCCTCCAAAACAGTGAGTAATAAATTTCTGTTGTTTATAAATTACCCAGTATGTAAGGTGTTTTGTTACAGCAGCTCAAATGGACTAAGACATACAATCTACAATTAGAAGAGTTTATTTCACTATGTCAGCTGAAAGCCCAAGCAAAACAAGCTTAGAAGAAAGAATAAACTAGAGAAATCCTGCAAATGTAGACTTTGATCAATTTCCTTCCTGATAAGATTCAAATAAGTATATGAAAGAGTTTGCCATTAAGAATCAGAATAATGAAGTTTGATTAAGTACAATCAAATGATTTCTTCTAAGTGGCAAGTGCAACACCCATTGATACGTAAAATAAATTTTATTTCTTGAAAAGAGTACAATTTTATTTGCTCTTAGAAGATTTTCATGTTGTATGATTTAGAAGACTATAGAAAAGATAGAAGATGGTGGATAGCAATTTTATTTTTCTACTTTAATAGTTATTAAATCAAACTCTATTAATCTAAACAAGGAATCCTATTTTCTTTGTGTGAAGAAAAAACCAGCAGATAAATTTCTAAGTGTCACAAAGAGAATTGTGGGTGTAAAGTTGTTGTTATTATTAATATGAGTTAGGTGTAAAATAGCCAAAGAAAATCTGCTTAAAAATCACCATTATATAAGACTTACTCTAGAGAATAAAGATGATCCCTGGAATGTACTTAGCAAGACAATAAATAAAGGTGTAAGCATCAGACGTTCTCAGAATAGGGATATTTCTTATGTGGGTGGTATATTATTTTCCCCCAGTCATGAGATATATATGTCTGTCCACAGAATAGATGGCTTAGGGATAAATCTGAAGGTGAGTAAATGATTTCATTCTGAGCATAAAGAGTTTTTGTACTTGTTTATTAGAAATACCATCTAAAACTCAGATTATTATTTTTGATTTTGGTTAACAATAATGTCTTGGTTCCTGTTTCTTTTTCTCTTTCCCATGTTGCTTAGCACCCATTATCAGTGATGTCAAAAGATGGCAGGAGAGAAAAAAGGATTAAAAAATACCACAAAATAATTTACCAGAAAGAGTACTTCTTGAATGCACTGTAATTTTGCTCTCAAGTAGGAATTTTAAACCTTCAAGGAGTGAATCTTTGTCTCCTGGGAAAAGGATATTTCCCTTTCTGGATCGGTCAGAGCTCCCATCTGCCTCCCACCATGACCATCCCTCATCATAACTGTGACTGGTATGCTTCTAGTTGAAAAGACACTGGATTTATGCTGTACGGCATGCACAAATGGGACACTGGCCTGTAGTGTTTGATTGATCGGATTCGCAGGAGGCCGTCTGAATACCACATGAGGCGTGAGGCTGGTGTTCCCCAGTCCCTACAGTGAGCTGTAGTGTTGGGGATAGGCTGGGCCACGTTGGGCGGGCTACACTTTTCAAACCTACTCGGTTCAGCTGTGGTGACGCAGGCCAGGGGCATCTCAAGCTGTTTGGGGCTTGCACTAACCACGTGTGACAGACACCTTTGCTCCTGCTTCCCAGCAGTAGAATCTCAACTAGAAACAGTGGGAAAATCGCTCTTCTACTTGAGAGGAGACTACAGAGGTGAGGACTGACTTGTATTTCGTATTATAATGAAAGGATGCTTACACTCCAGCAGGATATTAAAACCATAAATATTATAACAGATGAGTTTGCAAACACTATTTCCTCAGAGAAATCGTTTCTTATACCCCAGACTAGGTGAGGGACCTTTGTTATATAATACCCTGAATTCCTTTTTTTGTGGTATGCACTGGCATTGTCATGAATCAATCCATTATTTGAGGAATTATTTGTTTCTTATTGGTTCTCAAATATTTAATGTTAATTCCATAAGTGTAAAGAATTACATCTTTTTCTATCATTCTCCCCAGCACCCAGGGCAAAATGCGATTAAGCTCTTCCTTTCCCTTCTTTTCCCTTTTCTTCATGAATAATTTAATCCTAAAGACATTAGGTGGGGCAGAACAAGATAGGTGTCCGTGGTGGAAAGGGGAGGGGGTGTGGAGGCCTAGACTTGGATGTCAGAGCCCTAGCAGAGTAAGCAGTGTATCTGCATCCTCATATAACTAAGGGATGGGCTCATTTAACTCCTGTCCCATAGCAGACACTCTTGGTGTACTCAGCCACTTTGGAGAGGGGGGAGAGGGCCATCAGATTATAAATGCAATTAGAAAAAACATCTGTTAGATTGATTTTTTCATTGTTTCAACCAGTTCTTGTGGCATTGTAGAGACAGATCACTAGTTAATTTCATTTGATGGGCAGTAGTATCTGTGCTAATTGAATTTTTGACTGGATGTTTGGGAGTCATAAAAATATATTTGTATTTGTGTGTGTGTGTGTGTGCATGTGTGTATGTATGTGTGTGTAAGAGAGGGGGAGAGAGAGAGGGAGAGAGAGAAAACCACAGCCTTTGAAATCAGGCAGATTCTGCTTCAAGCCTTGGTTGCCTCATTCATAAAATGGGCTTGATAATAAATTTGCTTGTGGAATTGTGGTAATTATATTAAATGAGCTGTCCATATTTATTCATTATGAAATCTTGACATAGATGCTCAAAGACAGGAGTGCTTCAAAAAACTTTTTGTGCTGTGGACCCCCTTGGAAGTCTGGTGAAGGCAGTGAATTCCTTTTTGAAAGAGTGTTTTTCAAATACATAAAAAATAAATAGAGCTAAAAGGGAGCCAATTGTATTGAAATATAGTTATCAAAATATTAGTAAGCACATTTGTGATACAGTAATCTATGTGTTTTATTGATATATTCAACAAGATCTGGTGACAGATCTAATAACAGCCATAATTTTGAAGCAGAGATGAGCGTAAATGATGTGTTAATACCAAGGTATTCTGAACAACTGTAATGTGATACAAATGAATCTGTGACATTTATTGGTGACGAAGACACAAGTCTTACTAGTAAAACTGTTGTCTGTTTGCTTTATTCATAAACAAAGAAAATGTTAAATGTTAGTTAGAAGTTGGAATAAAAATACCAATCTTTCCTCATCTGAGTTCACAGACCTCTGAATTCTAGTCTCAAATCCCTCAGTGCAGCCTAGGTTAAAACCCCTACTCTAAGATAACATTGACTTATACAAATTTTTCTACTCCTGTCACCTTCTCCAAAGGTAAGTAAATAGAGTCTGTGATGATAGCTGTGGAACTTTCTGCCCTCCAGCTGCCATTACAAGCTTGTCCTCAGTCTGGGATTCTGGAAGCAGTGCCTAGGGTGTTCCCCGTTCCCCTCCGTCCTTTTTTTTTTTTTTTTTTTTTTTTTTTGAGATAGAGTCTCACTCTGTCGCCCAGGCTGGAGTGCAGTGGTACAATCTTGGCTCACTGCAACCTGCGCCCCTAGGGTTTAAGCAATTCTACCACCTCAGCCTCCCGAGTAGCTGTGATTACAGGCACCCACGATCATGCCCGGCTAATTTTGGGAATTTTAGTAGAGACAGGGTTTCACCATGTTGGCCAGGCTAGTCTTGAACTCCTGACCTCAAGTAATCTGCCCACCTCGGCCTCCCACGGTGCTGAGATTACAGGCGTGAGCCACCACACCTGGCTCCCTCCATCTTATATTTGATGTGTCAGGGCATGAACTAGAAGAGCCTGTGTGTGCTTAGACATGGAGAAATCCTTGCAATGTCCCAAATACGTTTGCTCTGCTTGCCTATGGAGGATATGTGTGTGTCCAGCATCCTTTAGGCTTTCCAGTTTTCATCACTGGCCATGCTGGGTGGGCTTGCTTCTGAGAAGACACTAATATAGCCATAGCCACTTGTGTTAAAAAATGATTTCCCTTGCCTCCAGCAAGCTATTTGTCCTCTGAACTTTATTTATAAACACCCCCACAGTTAAGGCATCTGTTTCTTCATGTTAATTTCGCCAGCACTGGTCTTCCTAGCCGGGAAGGAGGGTTTCAGCCTGTGGGTAGGCCAAGGGAGGGAAGCAGGTAGCATGAGCATTAGGCTGGGAAAGAAGAGCTCACCACAGGCCCTGTGGAACAGGCAGATGGAAATGCAGAGGGAAGCACCATTTCATTCCTAACCTCCCCTGGAGGTTTAGGGAAAAGGAAAGCTGTGAAGCCCTGAAATGAGCTCAGGCTGTAGAAACAAATGAGGTGGAGAAATGAAGAATCCAGGAAGAAAATAAAAGCCCAGTTTTTAGGTGGGTAAAAATTAAGCTGAAAAAGTTGAAGTAAAATGTCTTCTTACTTTTCTAATTAAAAAAGATAAATGATATGTGTGACTTTCTCTGCTTGGAAGCTGGCCTCTTGTGTCAGTTCAGAAGAAATCATTAAGAAACAACACTGACCTTGGAACTCTGGGATTACTGTTGCTACTCTGGCTACTTCTGTATCCATTGGCTGGGCTCTTTACAAACTCCCCTATGCCTCTTTTGGGGGTGAAGTGTGGAGAAAACTAGGTCGCTTGGAGATGGAAACAAAGGAAGGAGCGAAGAATAGATGTAGTTTTGTGCTGGCTTTTGAGGCAAGCTGAAAATCACCAACGAGATGCCTGAGCACAGCCTCCCTGAGGTGGCTCCTTGATATATCACATTAACAGTTGAAATTGTCCACTGAGAGAGCAGAGAGGGCTGTTTGCGGGTAGAAGAGGCAAAGGATGGTGTGCTATACAGCTGCCATATCTGTCTGAGGAAAGGATTTCCCCTCTAAGGCACCAAGAACTAGTAGCAGTGTGAGGTCCCTGGTTAGAAAAGGGTAGAAGGATGAGAGAATGATTAATTAAAAACCTAGCTTGGCCCTGAAAAGATCAAATGAGTAATAATGAAATCCATCAGCATCCTTGGCAGAAAAAGAATTTTCCTAAATGCTTAGAACCAGCATGAAGGCCCTATCAAGCTAGTTTCATGTTTCTTTAAATCATGTCCTTTTCTGTGGATAAAAGTCCTACATCCTTAAGGCAGGGTGCGATGGCTCATGCCTGTAATCCTAGCACTTTGGGAGGCTGAGGCCAGAGGATGGCTTGAGCTCAGGAGTTTGAGAGCAGCCTGGGCAACATACTAAGACCCTGTCTCTATTTTTAAAAAAAGTTCTACACCTTCACTGTAGGACCTTAAGTACATAAAGAGAGACAGGAAAAGTAACCTATAATATTACCACCCAGAACAGCCCATGGTTAACACCTTAACTTCTTTATTTCTTCTGTTTCCTTGGTTTCGATTTCCTCTGTAAAATTATAGAATGGACTATATTTATTTAAGAGCTATTGGCTACAGAGGAGGGAAGCTGACAGAGGCCAGGCCCTGGGCCTCACATTGCTCGCTGTTCAACGTAGCAGTTTTGTCACATGGGTACTTGCCTGTCCTCCCTCTTTGGACGGTGAGTTACTCAATTGCCCCCAGCAGTTAGACTGTTCTCTTCAGTGCCCCTTTGCCATCTTGTATGACCCTCTCTTGTCACAGTGTGAGTTCCTTAAGTTGAACCCTCAGTACTATTTTTTTTTCAATGACTATTTTTTTTAAAAAGCAATCTTGAATGCCTACTTTGGGTCAGGTCCAATGGCAGGTGCTTACACATGCCTTTAATTCATTTAATTCTTCATTTAATTCTATCAGTTTTCCTATTCCTAGGGCCAGGCCAGTGTCTGGCCTGCAGAAGGTTCAGTAGGAAGGTATTTTGGAAAGAATGTGAGCACTGAAATTAGACTGGGTTTGGATCCCAGCCCTTCTGGTCAGCTGTGTGACCTTGGGACAGCAATTTAACCTCTCTAAACTTCAATGTCCTCATTTGAAAAATGAATATAATAAGATCTTCAATTGGGGCTTGTGATGAAGATTAAATGACATGATATATGCAAAATTCTCACGCATACTATGTGTTCCATATATATAAAATGAATGAATGAATGAAGAAATGAAGAAAGAATGAGTGATCAATTAGAGTCCAAGGAAGCAATCAAAGACTACTGTGGGTATTCAGGTGGAAAAGGAGAATGAACCAAGACTCAACCTTCATGCCCCAAGGACTTCATTGTCTCCCTCCAAATCTGGTCTCAGAAGAAGTCTTAACATGAGGCATTGAACTTTAGGTGAACATGTAAGTTGACATGCTCCCTCTCTGAAAAATATTTGCATTTTTAAGGCAAATTTCCAATAATCTGGTTTAGGTAATATTTTGTAGAATTCCAGAGGGCTCACAGTTTCCTCTGAAGCCCATCTATGAACCCTGTCCTACCCATTAAGAACCTCTTATGTCTCCACAAGTATTAATTGGGGGGTCACAGAGAAATTGTTAAGAGACTTTTCTGGTAGGATGCATTTTAATTGGAAGCAAGTCAGGATACGATTTTAGTAATTGAGGCATGAAGAGTCCTTCATACTCCAGTGGTGCCAGTATGATTGGACAAAAAAAGTAGATTCCAGAGACTAAATGTTGAGAACTGAACATAGTGAGGCCCAAGCTGATGCTGTCTTTCATAGAGAGAAATAAAGAACAATTCAGATAAGGTTCCAAGTTTTGAACCTGAGCAGACAAGGTAATGACACCCTAAGGTAGTATAGAAGGGAGCTGGTTCTCTGGAGAACAGATGATAACTTTGATTTTAGCCATAGTGAATTTGGGGTGATTAGGAAGCAGCCAGCAGTCGGGGGCAGGAGTTGGGGAAGTAGGGTGCTGACAACACAGTTGGAGGTGTAAATTCCTGAAGGAAAACCATTTCTTCCAGCACCAACATCATGATTCTATGATGACTGGGAATAAAAATTGGGGCTAGAGCTTCAACTGGGGGATCTTCATCTTAGATGTAAAAGTGAAGGTGTCAGGAAGGTGGATTAATGGCCTGAGAGAAACAATGTAGAGAAAAATAATAAAGGACCAAGTACTAGATCGTGAAATTAGCTCACATTTAGGGGTGAGGGAAAGAAGTGAGCTAAACAAAGGAGCTAAAAGTGGCTGGAGAGAGAGAGAAAGAGAGAGAGAGAGAGAGAAGATACAGTGCCACATAGGAGGACCTCTCAGCAGAGAATGGACAACCCAGCCAGGCAAAGAATGAGGACATAGGCACATCTCAAAAGACTTAGACAGATGGAGACCAAGAGGGAGGCACCTCTTCCTACTGATACTGAGACAGCATTTGGGTAAGACACAAGCTGAGCTCCAGCCCAGGAGAGGGAGAAGGGGCAGCACAGGGAATTCTGAGTTTGTTTGAGCTTCAATATGGATGACAGAGAAAATCACTGAAGTGTCTGACAGCCTATTAGTGATCAGACTATGCTTTCTGCATTAGACAGATGGGAGCTCCGGGTAGAATTTAAGTCCAGTTTAGAGGGAAATTTTTAAAAGTTACAGTTTTGTATACTTGAATTTGTGACCATAATATTTATACTGCCCAAACCATAAGAATTTGAACAAAGCACTTTAAATTCTTCAAAGCCCACTTGATGTGCTTTGTTGATACACCTGTCAAGAAAGAAGACAATAAATGCCTTTGTGCATTCAAATTCTTATGGTTTGGGCAGTATAAATATTATAGTCACAAATTCAAGTATACAAAATTGTAACTTTTAAAAATTTCCCTCTAAACTGGACTTAAATCATAAATTGGGTATTGATGGGACATATCTCAAAATAATAAGAGCTATCTATGACAAACCCACAGCCAATATCATACTGAATGGACAAAAACTGGAAGCATTCCCTTTGAAAACTGGCACAAGACAGGGATGCCCTCTCTCACCACTCCTATTCCACATAGTGTTGGAAGTTCTGGCCAGGACAATCAGGCAGGAGAAGGAAATAAAGGGCATTCAATTAGGAAAAGAGGAAGTCAAATTGTCCCTGTTTGCAGATGACATGGTTGTATATCTAGAAAACCCCATCGTCTCAGCCCAAAATCTCCTTAAGCTGATAAGCAACTTCAGCAAAGTCTCAGGATACAAAATCAATGTGCAAAAATCACAAGCATTCTTATACACCAATAACAGACAAACAGAGAGCCAAATCATGAGTGAACTCCCATTCACAATTGCTTCAAAGACAATGAAATGCCTAGGAATCCAGCTTACAAGGGATGTGAAGGACCTCTTCAAGGAGAACTACAAACCACTGCTCAATGAAATAAAAGAGGATACAAACAAATGGAAGAACATTCCATGCTCATGGGTAGGAAGAATCAATATCGTGAAAATGGCCATACTACCCAAGGTAATTTATAGATTTAATGCCATCCCCATCAAGCTACCAATGACTTTCTTCACAGAATTGGAAAAAACTACTTTCAAGTTCATATGGAACCAAAAAATAGCCCGCATTGCCAAGTCAATCCTAAGCCAAAAGAACAAAGCTGGAGGCATCACGCTACCTGACTTCAAACTATACTACAAGGCTACAGTAACCAAAACAGCATGGTACTGGTACCAAAACAGAGATATAGACCAATGGAACAGAATAGAGCCCTCAGAAATAATGCCGCAGATCTACAACTGTCTGATCTTTGACAAACCTGAGAAAAACGAGCAATGGGGAAAGGATTCCCTATTTAATAAATGGTGCTGGGAAAACTGGCTAGCCATATGTAGAAAGCTGAAACTGGATCCCTTCCTTACACCTTACACAAAAATTAATTCAAGATGGATTAAAGACTTAAATGTTAGACCTAAAACCATAAAAACCCTAGAAGAAAACCTAGGCAGTACCATTCAGGACATAGGCATGGGCAAGGACTTTATGTCTAAAACACCAAAAACAATGGCAACAAAAGCCAAAATTGACAAATGGGATCTCATTAAACTAGAGAGCTTCTGCACAGCAAAAGAAACTACCATCAGAGCGAACAGGCAACCTACAGAATGGGAGAAAATTTTTGCAACCTACTCATCTGACAAAGGGCTAATATCCAGAATCTACAAAGAACTCAAACAAATTTACAAGAAAAAAAAAAAACAACCCCATCAAAAAGTGGGCAAAGGATATGAACAGACACTTCTCAAAAGAAGACATTTATGCAGCCAAAAAACACATGAAAAAATGCTCATCATCACTGGCCATCAGAGAAATGCAAGTCAAAACCACAATGAGATACCATCTCACACCAGTTAGAATGGCAATCATTAAAAAGTCAGGAAACAACAGGTGCTGGAGAGGATGTGGAGAAATAGGAACACTTTTACACTGTTGGTGGGACTGTAAACTAGTTCAACCATTGTGGAAGTCAGTGTGGCGATTCCTCTGGGATCTAGAAGTAGAAATTCCATTTGACCCAGCCATCCCATTACTGGATATATACCCAAAGGATTATAAATCATGCTGCTATAAAGACACATGCACACGTATGTTTATTGTGGCACTATTCACAGTAGCAAAGACTTGGAACCAACCCAAATGTCCTACAATGATAGACTGGATTAAGAAAATGTGGCACATGTACACCATGGAATACTATGCAGCCATAAAAAATGATGAGTTCATGTCCTTTGCAGGGACATGGATGAAGCTGGAAACCATCATTCTCAGCAAACTATCGCAAGGACAAAAAACCAAACACCGCATGTTCTCACTCGTAGGTGGGAATTGAACAATGAGAACACATGGACACAGGAAGGGGAACATCACACACCAGGGACTGTTGTGGGGTGGGGGAGCGGGGAGGGATAGCATTAGGAGAGATACCTAATGCTAAATGACGAGGTAATGGGTGCAGCACACCAGCATGGCACATGTATACATATGTAACAAACCTGCACGTTGTGCACATGTACCCTAAAACTTAAAAGTATAATAAAAAAAATTCTTCAAAGCCCTTCCCCCTCAACTATCTCATTTGATTCTTTTCATGTGGCAGGTAACACAGGCATCATAGTTCCCATTTTACAGAAAAAGAAACTGAAGCTTGAAGAGATATGAGTATATTCCCAAAGTCCCAGGGGCCAAGCAAGAACCTCAGCCCAAGGACTTTGAACTCCTGATTCTGTATTTCTTCCATGCCAGAACTCTGAGGATAGGTTCAGAAGTTCTTACCATCCCATTGGAAGTCTGTTTGGGTTTATATCTTCCAAGTTATAGAACCCAAATTATAGAGTCTACTGGATCATTTGGGTAAATGTGTCACCAGTTCTGCTCATTGACTGTAGTGAAATAGGAATGTCCTGTGTGTGTGTGTGTGTGTGTGTGCGTGCACGTGCGTGTGTGTATTGCATGTGTGTGCACCTGTGTGCATACATTGGAGGAGGGACAATTCAAACATCATTTTGAAGAATGGGCCTTTTAGCATCCCTCAAAATGCAGGATAACATAATGGCCAAAAGCATTTGCTCATTGTAAGATTTTGGACAAGTTTCCTCCCTTCCCATTGCCTCAATTTCTTACCTATAAAATGAAGATGACAGTATCTATTTTGTATGGAGTCTGAGAGGATTAAATGGGTCAAATGAGATAGTTGAGGGGGAAGGGCTTTGAAGAATGTAAAGTGCTTTGTTGATACACCTGTCAAGAAAGAAGACAATAAATGCCTTTGTGCGTAAAGTACCTGGTTCTCTAATTTTCTGTTGTAAGTATACAAAACATGTGTTGTCACCAACACAAGCAGTACTCTGTGGAGGGTGGCCCACGATGGCTGCTCTAAGTTCCAGATAATGTCGGGACACTTGAGCTGCTCACGAGCGATCAGCTGTGACCTGAGATTTGGCTTGTAGCCCCCTTCTGCAGCCTTGAGGAAAAGCTAGTCAGAGCAAAGTGGGGAGGGATGACTACAAAGGCAGACTCTGGAAAGTTATCTGGGTATGATATAGTGGTGGGACCTGCCTTACAAAAGAAGGACAGTTCTTGAAAAATCTGTTACTGTCTCCTAAGAAAGAAAGTAAACAGTTAGGGCTGCAAACTTCAGCCCGTTAGACTGGCCCTTTCTAAATAGTGGCTACAATTTACTCACATGAGTTTTCAAGGGCAGAGAGCACAGGCAGACCCACAAAGAGGTAAAGAAGGAACCTAGATTCTGACAGCCAGGCCAATGGGCAGGGAGCTGCTCCAGCCCTACAGAGATAGGCCAGGCTCTGGAGGGCCCTCTAGGAACTTCGGGGATTCAGAAAAGAAGCTGGAAGGGAGAGATATGTGGGAGGAGGCATGAGCAGATGGAGGAGTATCAGAGGCAGGGAGAATTGATAGTATTTTAGCAGCTTCAGATAAAATACAACAGATTTTCCTACATGGCCCTAAATCTGGGTCTGGGAGGCAGTTTTCAAAAGATGGGCTTGAAAAATAGTTTGAATAAGGTTGGGGGCGGGGAGTGGGAGAGCATATTTTCCAAGGAGATACATGCAGGAAGGGGTCAGTTCCTGAACTTCCATCAAGCTGTTTTCATTATTATATCCTGGTTGATTGCAGAGGCTCAATAAATAATTGTTGATTGAATCAATGAATTAGACACACACCTTACACTGGCCATTAGCACATAAAACCTTACTTTGGTTCTCAAGTGGAACAAAAGGCCAGGCCAGCACTGCCAGTTCTACTTGGGCTGAATGAAACCTCATACCCCAAGAAAGAAGTGACTTAGAAAAATATAGTCCATTACGATAACATTCATATTGCAACTTTTCGAGTGAATTAATTATCCCAGCCAACATGATCTCCGTTGGGGGTGGAGACCAGTAGAGCCTTTGCATGTTAAACACTTATAACAGGTTTTGTGGGGTGGAGCTTAGAGCATGGTAGTGCCCTTCTCCTATTAAAACCTTTATGGAAAAGCTAAGCTCTTCTGATCAAACATTTTCGTCAATTAATATGTGTGCTTCTTCTGGAGGTGTTTGCATTGTTTTGTGTCCCCTACTAAGCAGATTTCTGACATTAAGGAGCACGTTGGGAAGGCTCCTGGAGTCTTGGAAGATGAGCTACTGCTGCCTACTGTGTCCTCATTACAGCAGGGCCTGGTTAGCACCCCTATGATGTTCCCTAGGCCCTAGCAGCCCTGGGTACATCATGTGGCTCTTTCTGTTGCCAGCTTTGGACAGAGAAGCCAATTCATCTGCTGCCTTTGAACTGGTTATCTGGGCAATAATACCCAACTAGAATGTAATTCAGAAGGGGCTGATTCCTTTAAATGCAAAGGTCTTGAGGTAGGAGCAGGTTAGCAGATTTAAGGACCATCAATAAGGCCACAACATCTGGAGTCTAGTAGTGGCCAGGAAAGTGGTAGGAAACCAGGTTCCAGAGGAAGCCAGTGTAGGCTCATGTAGGGCTTTACAAGTAGGTCTGGGTATAAAAGTCTTGGGACTGGATGAGCTCACCTAGGTAAGTGTGTGTACAGTAGACAAGAGGCTCAAGGTGTGTTCTAGTGCATTCCAAAGTTTAGGATAGGGAGAAAGGAGGAGGATTCAGAAAGGAGATAGAGAAAGAGTGGTCAATGAGGTGGGAAGTATGGAAGTATGTCACATGCTGCTGAGACGCTGAGCCCAATGAGATGGAGCACGGGTCATTGTGTTTGACAACATGGAAGCTGCTGGTGACCTAGAAGAGGATAATTTCAGTGGAGTGGATGAGACTGGAAGCCTGATTGGAAAGAGATCTGGAAAGACTAGGAGAAGAGAGAGTGTGGAGATAGCAAGCCTAGACATATAGTTATGCATCCTTTAATGACATGGATTCGTTCTGAGAGATGCTTCATTAGGCAATTTTGTCATTATGCAAACCTAAATGGTACAGCCTATTACACACCTAGGCCATATGGTATAGCCTATGGCTCCTAAGCTCCAAATCTGTACAACATGTGAGTGTACTAAATACTGTAGGCAACTGTAACACAACGGTAAGTATTTGTGTATCTACACATATCTAAACATGGAAAAAGTAATGTGTTGCACTATGCCATTACAACGGCTACTATGTCATGACAGCTGTGATATCATTAGGCTATAGAAATTTTTTAGCTCCATTATAAGCTTAAGGGACTACCATTGTACATGTGGTCCCTCATTGACCAAAACATTGTTATGCGGCACATGACTGTATTTTATTTTAGCTTAATTATAGAATGGAGTAGGGAAATGGAGTGGTAGCTGGAGGCAGTGATGGGGTCAAGAGTGGTTGTTAAAGGTGGGCGACAGTTTGGGATGTTTCTATACAGATGGTACTTCCCAGTTGAAAGGGAAAAATTAGTGATGGTAGGAGGGGTATCTTTGAGGAGGTAAGAGCTGATGGGATTTCAGGGTGCAAGAGAAAGAGTTGGCCTTAGAGAGCCAATTCTTTCTGTGGGAGGGTCTGTGCAAGGGAGGGTAGAGATGTAGAGAGGTGAGGATAGTTGGAGGTAGGCTTATGTGTGGTTTCACTTCTGATGACTTCAATCATCTTAGTGAATGAGAAGTAAGGCTGTGAGCTGAGAGTGAGGAGGGAAGTTTTCTACCTTATTCTACTTTATTGAATAGTCAAGAATTTTAATTTAAAAGTTGTCCTTGGCTGGGCATGGTGACTCATGCCTGTAATCTCAGCACTTTGGGAGGCCGAGGCAGGCAGATCACTTGAGGTCAGGAGTTCCAGACCAGCCTGGACAACATGGTGAAACACTGTCTCTACTAAAAATACAAAAATTAGCTGGGGGTGGTGGCGGGCACCTGTAATTCCAGCTACTTGTGAGGCTGAGGCAGGAGAATTGCTTAAATCAGGGAGGCAGAGGTTGCAGTGAGCTGAGATCACGCTATTGCACTCTAGCTGGGCGACAGAGTGAGATTATGTTTCAAAAAACAAAAACAAAAACAAACAACAACAAAAGAAACAAAAATAAAAGTTGTCCTTGCAGATTTTTCTTTTAGAAACATCAGTAAACAGTATAACATATGTACATGACTTTTCAAGCACAACTTTTACAGGGACTCAGCAATTTCAGGCATGCATGGACTTTAGGGATGTTCTTTTCATAATCAAAACACCATGCACTGGGCCCCAACTGAGTACAGACAGTTTTCAAACTGAAATTTATCCCTCGCCCCCAAGGGAAACATCAAACAGGGTCTTGTTTACATTGTAACATTAATTTAAAAATTCTTGTTTGTTCTCTGGTCTATGACCATTTTGCTTTTTTGGATATTTATGGCATGCATTTCATTCATTTCAATTTCATTTCAGAAATCCTAATATGAGAAGTGACTGTGAATCCCAATATTTGTGTCCCATTCTCTTACATATTTAAAAAATTCTCCTTCAATTGACCCTTCAGTGGATATCCTTGACTTGTTTTTCTGAATATAGTGGTTGTCAAACTTGAAAGTGCATCAGAATCCCCTAGAGGATTGTTAAAACCCAGGGTGCCAGCCAGGCCCCTACTCCCAAAGTGTCTGAATCTGTAGGTCTGGGATGGAGCCTGAGAAATTGCATTTCCACCAAGTTCCCAGATGATGCTGATGCTGCTGGTCTGGGGACCACACTTTGAGAACTCTGCCTTAATCCATTCTATAATTTCCTCTTTTCTAGTAGTTTTTGAGGAAGGGCCATGCAGCTGCAAGGCTTCTCTCTGGACCCGCAGGAGTGATGGGGAGGGTGATATAGAGGAGAATGGCTCACAAACTTGCTCCACCCCTCTCTCCTGCCCATAGAAGCTCCTTAGCTACCCCTTACAGAGGAGACCCTGGGCTGGGTGGACCTTTGGTTTCCCCTGCAGAGCATCTCTGCTAATTCTTGTGTCTGTCCTTGTCCGAAAGCAGTCATGACTGCAGCTGCCCCAGGGTGCTTTCATCTTTCAAGTCCTGATCTCTCGTACCCCTTACCACCCTCCTGTCACCCAAATCGCCTTTCCCTGCTCAGATCCCTGATCTCTGGCTTTCCCGTCTGCTGCCAGTTGCTCCCAGCAAGCTCTTGGTACCGGATGGATGGGCCTTCATAATAACCCTGGCAGGCAGCTGTGGGCCAGGGCCTCCCCTTTGAGGTGGTGTGTCTTTGATTTCTAGACAGATTAGCAGCACACAGAAGCAAAGCCCATGTAAAAACCTGGAGTAAAAGGACCAGCTCTCCACATGACACATGCCTGTAGTACACCGTGACTGGCAGGTAAGGGGAAAATCTATTTGCAGAGCCCAGCAAGCTAGACGCTCGTTCTGAAGAGCCTGCGAGACCTAAAAATACCACAAAGGGTGGGAGGGAGAGAAAGGAAACTTTAGCATGGAATATTTTCAAAAAATTAAAAATAGAACGGCCTTTGGTAAATGAGAGTCACCAGTTGCTGTTCTGGTCACCACCTATGGGGCTTTTAGGATTCCTAGCAGACAGCCAGTAGCTGGCGTGGCAGGAACAGTGACATTATTTTGAGAAACAGACTCAAGCCACCAATAGATAGATGGTAGAGGCAAGTGTGGAGAGATGAAATTGCCACGTGGTGGGCTGAATTGATTGGGATTGACAATAAACTGGCCTGGGAATTAATGAGATCCAATAGATGTGGGGTTCTTCTCTGATTTGATGAACCACTTTGTCAGGCTTGCTTAACCTTGGTCTCAAATCAGTGAGATTGTGTAGTTTGCAACAGGACCCTGATTCTTCTCCTTTTTTTATTAGGATGCTGAAGTGCTGCCCCAAATCTCTTGTACAGCCTCCTCCTCCCTCTCCCTTCCTCCTCCCCCTACAGCCTTTTCATTCATTCTGAGCTCTGGCAGGTGTTTGGTTTGGTTTCATTCTTACTGCCTTTCTTAGAAAATGCCTGGATTAGTGAAATAAACAAATGTCTTCCATATGGATGAGTGGTCCCAATCAAGGGCCTCATATATAAATAGATTGGGCCCAGCACTAGCAAGATCTTGGGATGAGGGAAGCTGTGATATGTTAGCAGTCTAGAAGGTTTACCTTGTATCTCTATCCAGGCCTGGAAGAAAAATGGTACCTGAAAAAGGATCAGGCTTATGCAGAGGAGGAAACTGGATTTCTGCTCTCTAAGGGGTTCAACAATTCAACTCATCAGTGTAGGCACAGTTGGGAAGGGTTTAGAACAGGGGCACGTGTTCTCAAAAAGGCAATTCCCAAGGGAACCCAAGGTACAAATGTAGACTGCAGGCTCTGGAGGCAATCTGATTTATTTTCCAGTTCCCCTATAACAGATGAAGCAGAGAAGACCCTCAATAAATGTTTGTCAAATGAATAAATGGATGATGGACTAGGTTGGCATTCACGCCAAACGAGGGGACTTACCCTCAAGGCTGGGGATTTTTCAGTGAGGAGTACAGCAAACTGTCTTAGGGTTCTCCAAGGACTGGCTGGTTGTCACCTGAACTGTGCCCAGATTACACATTCCCAGCTGTCAAGTTACCAACTGTGTGCCAGGGGTCAGGGCCACCTCCATCCAAAGAGACAGTTGGCAGGACCATTGTGTCAGTAATGTCACATACCTGAGCATGACCTTAAGCTGCCCTCACAGTCCGACCCTGTCCTGTTCAGCTCGTGAGCAAGATCAGGCCTGTGCATGGTTGAAAATTCCTCCTCCTATAGACAAACTAGGTTGATAAATATTATATGTTGCTGAATTTCCATGGCACTCTCTGAGGATTTCAGGCACTCCATATCATGGATAGTCTTGATGTAAAATGTTGTATCATATAAGATGCACCAAAAACTCCTAAGGGTATATGGAGGTACTTAGATAAACAGACAACCTGGGCAAAAAAAATAACTCCAACTGAGTTGACTTTGGAGATAGAAGACTTGGGAGGAATTTCTAGCGTTTTTAGAACAGCTTTGTTGTTGGGAATTCAGAAACATAGTATCTTGGGTATAGGTTTTATTTTTAATTTATTTTTGTTGAGACAGAGTCTCACTCTGTCACCCAGGCTGGGGTGCAGTGGTGTGATCTCAGCTCACTGCAACCTCCACCTTCTGGGTTCAAGCAATTCTTGTGCCTCAGCCTCATGAGTAGCTGGGATTACAGGCGTGTACCAACACACTCAGCCAATGTTTTGTATTTTTAGTAGAGATGGGGTTTCGCTATGTTGGTCAGGCTGGTCTCAAACTCCTGTCCTCAAGTGATTTACCCGCCTTGGCCTCCCAAAGTGCTGGGATTACAGGCATGAGCCACTGCACCCGGCCGGGTATAGGCTTTAACATGTACACTAAAGATTACAAGGTATCTAATTTAATATATTCAGTATATAAGGTTCAGAGAAGTTAAGTGACTCTTCATGGCTCATCACCAGTTTAAAGCCTCACAATGTTAAAATCAGCTACCTGGGCTTAAAATGGAAGACAATTTCATCAGTCTTTCCATGGTACCATTTTGCAGTTCCTTTTCATGGCAGTTCCTTTTTCATCCATGATTTCAAAAGCATGGACGGTTAAGAACATTAGGGAAGAGAACATTACTGAGTGTATTTTGTGTGCCTTACATGTGCTAGGTACTTCATACACATGAGCATGTATCATTCTAAAAATACTCCTAAAAATACTCCTTTTAAGTCGGTAGTAAAAGCTAGATTTAGCAGTTAAGGAAACCAAGGTTGAAAGAAGTGGCTAGACTAGCACACCAATTTTAGGCATGTTAATTTGACTACAAAAGCCATGCTTGATTTACATTACCACACACACACCAGACTGCCAACCAGATTAGCCCAGAGGGCTCAGTAAGTTCAGATCTTACTCTTGTCAACTGCTAGAATATAAGGGCACTGAGTTAAGAGAAGGGAGATATCAACGCAGCCTTAACACATAATAGAAGCCTGCACATTCATTCTTTGATAATCAGTGAAGCCATAGCAAAATTAAAATTAGGAAAGTTGCTAGTAAAGAATCACAATGTATAAAACCCAAGACGTGAAACAGTGTTTCCTCTCCCTAAGTCCTTAGCTGCTGCTTTGGACTTTAAGCTCACCTATCAGGTGAGGACAGCTTTTTCCAGTATTGAAAGAGCTCCTATAATGTTTGTGGAATGATTGAATGAAAAAACAAACTTATATTCAGAAGTCCCAGGCTGCAAAACAAGGACCAATAGTTAGAAATTAAAAGAAGGCAGCTTTAAGCTAAAAGGAAAGAAGGAGTTTCTAACAAGTGGATTTGGGTGACTGTGGTAGCTTCAGGATGAGCTAAGTTCTTTTTCTCAGACATGCTTAAACAGAGATTTGGAACTACTTTGCTAGTTGGCATTGAATAAATGTTGGGTTGGATGATCTCCAGGGGTCTGAAAGCATCTGAGAGTCCATATTTTGTGGCACCAACAGTAAGACAATCAATAGTTGACTGGACTCTTTGACTTTTCTAACCTGTCATTGTGCAACCCCTCTGGTTAGTTTGCTCATCATTTCCATCAATACTAATGGAAGCTGCAGTGAGCCCGAATCCATCTTCAGCTGGAAACAGATTTAGCTCTTACCTGAGCCAATTCTGGTCTACTACTCAATGCCAAAGAAAGATTTTGCGGGGTGAGACAAAAGGCAAATGAGTATGTATGGTTCTACTTGAGGCACGGACAATTTAAAGAGAAGAGCGGGTGGAAGCCACAAGGAGGCAGGACTGTCTGAGTCCTCTGGAGGTAGTGACTTGTGCCTGAGAAAGTGGCTCAGCTCAGGTAAACTATGGATGGAGCTATGAAAGGACACCGATGTTATTCAGAAGGTCAGGCCATTACCTCTTTTTAAGATGCCTTACAATCAAAGACTCTGGTTTTTAATGAGGAGCCATTTAGGAACAGGAGACCTGTTCCCTGCCACTTTTTTTAGGTTAGGGACTTTCTTCCAAGTAATGCATCTATTAAAGTGAAACATCTAATAGATGCAAGTAACACATCTATTAAAGTGAAACATATGCCAATCCTATGACCAGCAATCCACTTCTTGGTGTGTACCCAATAGAAATGGGAGTTTTATATCCTCCAAAGGCATGTTTAAGAATATTCATGGTAGTTTTATTTATAATAGCTCCAAACTGGAAACAACCTATTATGTCAATCAACAGTAGAATGTTAACTGAATTGTCGTGTAGTCATACCACGTGGTGATGGAAAAGTAGTGACTACTAATAAATAAAATAAAATTGATGTGTCTTATAGACGTAGTATTGAGTAAAAGAATTAGATGTCAAAAAATATATACTGTACGATTCCATTTATATGCAGTCCCCAAATTGGCAAAATATTCTATGGTGAGAGAAGTGTGAACAGTAGTTTTCTTTTGAGGAGGGACTATTGACTGAGATGGGGCATGAAGATAATTTTGGTATTACTAGAAATGTTCCATATCTTGATCTGATGGTGAATAAATATAAAAATTTATGAAACTGTGATTTCTTTTTCATTTTAGTATATGTAAGTTATATTTTGATTTTAAAAAGCTAAAAAAATTAAAAAGAAATAGTAGTTACTTTCCCGTAAAGACTGGGTTATAGTCTAGATTCTGCCAGGATTCTATGTTAAGGGAAAATATTCTATCGTATTGCTTTGATAAACTGGTCCATCTACAAAAGAAATTATTGGACTGGGACTAGTAAAACCACTAATTACAGAAGATACTCAATAAAACATATTATTACAGAGATTTCAAAATGTCCTGAATCAAATTTTGGCTCCCAGACCTAGGTTCTACTTCCAGCTCTACCACTAATTAGTTGTGCATACTTGATGACTTCATTTTTTTTAGGGGGGGCTTCAATTTTCTCATGAATAAAATGGCAAGCTGTTCATTCTTTCATTCATTCAATCAACAAATATTTATTGAGTGCCTGCTATGTGCAAGGCATTGAGCTAGATGTGTGTGGGAAACAAATAAATCAAACAGCTTTTTACAGAGTTGAGAGGTTTGACTGAGATAATACATGTAAAATCTCATCATAACAGGAAAGGCTGCAGTATTGCAAGAATTTGTTATTAGGACATGACAATTACAGTCAATGCCTTATTTAGTGCAACAAGGTAATTCTTTACCCCAGAAAATTAATACTTTTGCTAAAATATTATTCTCAGTATTCTGTGTATATAAAAATTTGCATCTAGTTGGAAAATTTACTCTGTACTGAGATTTTCAATTTTAAAAGCCCCTTTAGATGTTAATGTGTTATGAATTGAGAAAGATTTAACATATAGTGTGTTGGATATAATACAGTTGTCCAACATTTGGAAACCAAATGTATTTTGTGCCTGGTTACTTTTCCATGTGCTAGAAAACTACAAAATGAGTAAAAAAAGTCATAACTGCAAAAAGTAAGTACAGTATGATACCATTTTAAAAGGGTTTTAAAACGTGAAAAAAGAATACTATTATTGTTTCTGGATGTATGCAAGCACATCAGTGATAAAAGCATCAAACCATGCCTGCCTATAAGCAGTATAAAATTCTAGGAGAGCATGTCTTAGGTTGGGTATCCCCATAGCCAATCCTGAGAACAGGACTTGAATGCTCAGTGTTTATCAGAGGGTGATCCCAGGGAGCAGGGAGATGGCGACAAAGAAGGGAAAAAGCCAAGAAAGAGTGTGTTGTTGACTTTACTGCTGTGCGCAAAAGGGCTGGACTCCAATGGGACTTCTGAGATTTGTCTGTTCTAAGAGCTTTTATATATGCACTGGCTCTGTCCCAATTGGTTGATGTTTCTCCTTGGGTTGTTAATTCCTCCATACTTCCTTGATGTGCCTATGAGGATCAAGTGTGTTCTTGAGGGTTTTGAGGAAAAGTCTTTTCATAAAGAATTGGAGACTTCAGGTGGGCCCTGGAAGCGGGATACTGCCAATGTGGTTGAACCCAGAGATGGGCTGAGGACATGTGACACAGAGCACCAGTCATATCTATTCCAAGTTCTTATCCCTAGGAAAAGAGGAAAGGAATGGGATGAGGAAGGAATATACAGGGAGCTTCCACTGGGCTTCTAGTGTGTTGATATCTTAAGAACATGTGTGAAGAAAATATGGCAAAATGTGAATCTTCAACAAAGCTAGATGGTAGGTGTATGAGTGCTCATTATATTATTCCTGAAACTTTTCTGTATTCTTGAACTATTTCAAATTTAAAAAAAAATTAGGTTGCATCAGCATTAATTTGTTTCAGGGGAGCTCTGATTGAATAATTATGCAGAGCAGTTATGTGTCAAATAGTAATATAATTTGCCACTAGTTCTTAAATTAAGTTAATGTACCTAAGTATAATTTCGATGGAATTTGACTAACAAAATATTGAGTTTTATCCCAAATGTCATGGTTTAATTTTTATTCTAGTTGAGAGATCTCACTTGATAAACTTTTGATTATATTTCCAGTTGTCTTATCGGAGCACTTTGTAAACGGGGTGATTTATCCATTTTCTGGTTGGGAAAACTGTAACTCAGAAGAATTTAGTAATTCATTTGAGATCACTCAACAGTAGAAAGGTAAGAGAACAATGCAGGAGCTCTGCCCTTTTGTTTTAACCTGTGATCTTCTCCCTGTTTTACCCAAATCTTCACAAAATGATTAGCAGAACAACCTAAGGTATAATCTGGAGGACACTTGCTTGTGATTGGGTCTACATAGGGGAGTGAGGTAGGGGACCATGGGATTTATAATCTTCACACTCAAGTGCTTTATAATCTTATGAAAATATAAATAAACATATCAGCCATATCAGCCCATCCGTCCCTCCCAAGTGTGAGGAAACGGTCACAGTGGGTTTTGCCTACAGAATATCAGCAGCAACAGCTGCCACTACACAACTATTTACTGAGCGGCCACTGTGGGAAGGTACTGTGTTAGCATTGCTCATTTCCAGACCATCCCAAGGTTACTGAGTTCCTCTTAACCTTTCCTTAGATGTGTGTGCATTGTGTTTTGTCCCCTGAGGTCGCCAACTCCTTGTCCAAGGGCAATTTGTTTGTAGCAGGAGGTGTTTTGAGGAGCAAGCAAACTCAAACCTGATGACCACATAACAACCACAAAAACCAACACAGCCACTTGAGGAAACCCCCCTTTGTAAGGACATTTTGAGATTTCATGACTTCACTCAGGTCAAACATTTCAAGTGGTTGAACTTGGAACTTGGACTCAGAACCTTGTTTTCCGGAAGGAACTTGATTGGCTGTTTAAATGGTCAATGGGTAAATATTGCAGAATAACAGCTGCAGCTCTCTGGGCTTTTGACACTTATGACTGATGGAAAATGCCATTTGTACCCCTTGATTTACATGTAAAAAGCCCCATGCAAAATGACAGCCAAAGGATTTGTTTTGCTTTCTGCCTCTTCTAGCTGAATGGCATTTGAATCGAGGAGTTCCTGTGGCATAAAGGAAAGTGGCCTGTTCTCCTCTATACACTTTCCAGACCCATCACTGCACCCATGAAGGATTAAATATTTCCTTCCATCTTGGCCCCCTGAGAGCTGCATCCTAATTCCTCAAACTGCTCTCCAACAATTGGCAACCTCAGCTTCCTATTTGTTCTTTGAGTTGTCAAAGCAGGCAGTATCAGAACTGGGGAGCTCAGAGTTTCTACAGGAAAACTAGGCTCAGTGACAGCAGTTAGTTCCTCAGTGGCTCCAATGGGAACCCAGTTGGAGGAAGCTGGGTATCTTAGATGTCTGTGTGTCTTGACTACTTACCATTGCTTTGGTTTTTTTCTTACTTCTCTGGCCACGCCTTCTGCCATTTTGGTGTTCCTCAGTGTTCTCTGGCAGAAATTCTTAACCAGGAATCTATGAGCTCTGTGGCAGATGTTGGTGGTGCCATATTCATGTCTCCTGGGCTCTCACCTTTAGGGACAATCTGATGGCTTCTTACTGCAAATACCTGTACCTGTCTGCCTGAGAGTGTTCTCTGGCTACTGGGCCATGTTGTTCTTGGGCCTGCAGGGATAAGGGCTGGGTAGGGACTGTGTCCTAGGTGAACAAAAGGGCCAGAGAATTAATGCCCCCAGAGGTGCCCTTCAACCAATGAGGGATGGGAAACTGTAGACAAATGCCTCAGTTTTCTTGTACCTAGGTGAGATTCTTCTAGGGCGTGTTCCACAGGTTTCTCAGAGGGGCCCCAGAAGAATTGAGCCCCAGTTACCCACCTGTTCATTGATGCATCTTTATTGGCTTTTCTCTTTTCTTTGTCATTTGCTCATTTCTGTACCCCGTCTCCATGTTTTCTGAGATCACGTCCCAAACAAATTTCTCACATTCAAATCTTTGTCCTAGAGTCAGCTTTTGGAGGAACCAAAACTAAGGCCTCTGAAATGCCATGCAAAGTTATGTTTAAACTTGTGAATATGGAGAACCTTCATCAGCTTTTCAAAAGGGTCTGTGACCCCCAAAGGGGCCAAGATCCAGTACCTAACTCCTTCTTCCCAGGTTTTCTCATCCACTCCTGAGATTCAGACACAAGGAGCATGGATTACCCACTGGAAGTCTCACAAGCATCTCACATTCCAGTCTGTTGTGGCTACTGTGCTGTGCCAACCAGAATCCCTGCTATGATGGAAGGCCCCCCTTCATCAGCTACTGAGAAGGTTGTCAGCTTATGGCTCAGCTATTAGCCTTTTCCACGAATGGCCATCAGCTGAAGGGAACCATATCACCCAAGGTTGGTGCATCCAATGGCTTGTTGATGTGAGTGGGTGGAGGCCTGGCTCCCTTGCCTTGACTCAAGATAACTCTTCAGGGCTCTCCTGGCTCCAGAGCTCCCTGTGAGTCTGGCTGAGGCCTTCTTGTGACTTGTATCATAGGCTACCTCCTCCCCCTGTCCCATCTTGCTTCCTTCCCCTTCTCCCAATAAGGGTCAATCCTGAGAGCACTTCCCAATAAACTTCCTGCATGCCAATCTCCAAATAGGAGTCTGCTTCCCAGGGAACTGTACCTGTGACAGCATCTAGGAATCATTTCTGCCTTCTCTCTTTTCTTACCCACCACCCCTGTATAATGAGTCACTCAATCAATCAAAACTTGAGTCTTGTTGACTATGATTTAGGAGGATCTCTTGAGTCCTTCCACAGTCTCCTACTCCACTCTTATAATCTCTTCAGTTATTTTCTGGATGTCTGTGACAGCCTCCTAACTGCTCCCAGACTTCTGTTTTGCTCCTCTCAAATATGTTCTTCCCATTGCAAACAGAGTGATCTTTCAAAAGAGTAAATCTGGTTGCTACCTTGTGTATGACCGTCCAAGATAAAGTTCTTGATTATGACTCAGACCTTCATAACCTCCATTCTCTATGGACCCCTTCAGTCTCATGTCTCCCCACTTCCTGCTGTGTGTGCTGGTCTCCAGCTAAACTGGCCAACGTGCTGTCTCAAATTTCCCACAGTCTGGGGCCTTGGTGCCTGCTTCTCCCTCTGCTGATGGTTTTGCTCTTCCACATTCACCCAACACAAACACACACCTACATACACACATGTATACACACACACACACATTTGCACACACTGTTGCTCCTTTTTTAGGTTTCTCAGACTCCAGTGCCCCTCCCAGTTGCCTCCACAGCTCCACTTTGGTGTTCCACAGTTGGAGCATGTTTAGGTTGGGTTTCTCAGAAATAGACCCTGAAGTGAGGATTCCTGGGGAAGTCATTTACTAGGAAGTGTTTCCAGGAATAACAATAGGGGAGTAGGGAAGCAGGAGACAGAAGGGGAGGAAGCCAAGCCAGGGTGCATTATTAAGCCAGCTCCTCTAGAGGGTAGGTATTATAACTTTGTCTCACTCCCAGAGCTGAGCTCTGGAGGCAGTGAAGGCCACAGCGCAGTACTGTTCCTAACAGGGGGCAAGGGAGCTAGACTATTTACACCTGCATTAGTAGTCATTGGTTAAGAGAAGGGGAAAGGAAAGTTCCCAGATACTTCTGGTTTTCTTTGGTGCAGGCAAAGCAGGCTCTAGCAGCATGAGGGCCACCCTTTGACAAAAAGACTGGGGTGATCTCTGTGGGATGAAAGCACTTTGAGGGCAGGCAAGGTCCCAGGGAGGTGTGCTCCAGGGCTCTTGCCACACCTGGCTGTAATGGCCTGTCAGCTGCCTGTGGCCCCCTGCCCCTCCTTGTCCTATGAGGCAGTGAGATCCTGGCTGGCAACATGAGTGTTCACCATGGTAAGCTGAGCACTGAGCAGGGGCTCAAATATGTTTGTCAGATGAATGAACGAGTAGATGAACAGATGCATCACCAAATGGGTGGCTGAATAAATCCACCTTCTAACAGCAGCCTTCAAAACAGGGATCTTCCACAATGAGAACACAAGCAGACAGGTGCAATTTTCCTACATTTGAAAATACTTTGTCCTTTTTGGGAGAGAAGCATGCATACATACTTGGAAAAGAGGATCCTTTTCTTTTGCAGGGACCCGTGAGGAGTCAGATTTATATGCTTAATGCGGAGCACGTGTCACATAGAAGTCTCACTTTCCCAGTTAGAGAGGTCTGGTGCCGGCAGGCAGCAGGAATGTCAGGCCTCACGATGAAAAAGCAATAGATAGCTCTGGATGTCTTCAAGTCTGAGGGCAGCCAGGAGTCATGGTCTCTTAGCCCTAGAAATGACTGTGGGAAATAAATCCACCACCCTCATTGTTGCATTTCACACTGAGTGTGAAAGGAGTTAACTTCCTTGCCCAAAGCCACATAGACCTGCTGCAGCTCCCAGAGTGACAAATGGCAGAGCCAGATTATCAGCCAGAACTGGAAGCTCTCATCCTTTTCCCCTTCCCCTACTCTGATCTCATCACTTACTATAGCCCATTCACCTAACCTTCCACCTTGTTGTTTGAATTCCTGCCCTTTCACAAAACAGTTTCCAAAATCAGCTTTACTGAGGTATGGTTGACATAAAGTAAATGTGTCAATTTTAAACATCCAGTTCTAAGAGTTTCATCAAATTTATATACCCATACGTAGTATGTGTAACCCCCAGAATCAAGATATAGAACATTTCTATTACCCTCCTAATTTTTCTTGTTCCATTTGCAGCCAACCCCACTCCAATCCCTGGCCCTAGGCAACCACTGATCTGCTTTCTGTCACTGTTGATTAGTTTTGTATGTACTCAAATGTCACATAAATGAAATCCTGCCATGTGTGCATTTTTATGTTGTCTGGTTTCCTTCATTCAGCATAAATATTTTGAGATTCATTCGTGCCATGGTGTTACCTGCCTCAGTAGTTTGTTCCTTTTTATTGCTGAATAGAGTTTCATCGTATGGATGTACAAATGTCTGTTCATTTGTTCTCCTGTTGATAGATGTTTGGGTTGTTACTAGTTTTTTGCTATTATGAATAAAGCTGCTACGGATGTTCTTGTACAAGTCTTTGTATGGACATATATTTTTGTTTCTTGTGGGTAAATATCTAGAAGTGGAATGAATGGGTCATCTGGTGGGTGTATGTTTAACTTTATAAGAAACTACCAAACTGGTTTCTAAAGTAGCTGTGCCATTTCACAATCTCACTAGCAATGTAAGCAAGTTCTACTTGTTCCACATCCTTGTCAGCTCTTGATATTGTCAGACTTTTCAATTATAGCCACTCTAGTGGATATGTAGGAATATCTTGATTTGCATTGCAACTAATGATGCCGAGCCACATTTTCATTGGCTTGTCGGTCATTTGTATTTTTCTTTTAAGGAAGTGTCTGTTAAAATATTTGCCCATTTTTTTTTATGGACAAAAGACATAAACAGACACCTCTCAAAAGAAGACATACAAGTGACCAACAAACATATAAAAAATGCTCAATATCACTAATCATCAGAGAAATGCAAATCAAAACCACAATGAGATGCCATCTCACGCCAGTCAGAATGGCTATTATTAAAAAACCAAAAAAACGACAGATGCTGGAGAGGCTGTGGAGAAGAGGGAACACTTTTACACTGTTTATGGGAATGTAAATTAGTTCAACTACTGTGGAAAGCAGTTTGGAGATTTCTCCAGGGACTTAAAACAGAAATACTGTTCAACTCAGCAATCTCACTACTGGGTATATAGCCAAAAGAATATATACCACCTTTTGGTTCCAAAAGAATATATACCACTTTTTGGTGTCATTTCACCAAAAAGACGCATGTGCTTGCATGTTCATTGCAACACTATTCACAATAGCAAAAACATGTAATCAACCAGGTGCCCATCAACAGTGGATTGGATAAAGAAACTGTGGTATGTATACACTATAGAATACTATGCAGCCATAAAAAAGAACAAGATCATGTCCTTTAAAGGGGATATAGATGGAGTTGGAGGCCATTATCCTAAGTGAATTAATGCAGGGACAGAAAACCAAATACCACATGTTCTCACTTATAAGTGGGAGTTAAGCATTGAGTACTCATGGACATAAAGGTGGCAACAATAGACAGTGGGGACTACTAGAGGCGTGGAGAAAGGGAGGGGAACAAGGATTGAAAAACTACCTATTGGGTACTATGCTCAGTACCAGGGTGACAGGATCAATCGTATCCCAAACCTCAGCATCATACAATATACCCATGTAGTAAACTTGCACATATACTCCCTGAATCTAAAATACAAGTTAAAATTATTTAAAAAATTAAAATCAAATATAGTATCTGCCCATTTTTAATTGATTTGTTTGTGTTATTATTGAGTTGTAAGAGTTCTATATTCTGGATACAAGTCCTTTGCCAAATATAGGTATTGTAAATATTTTCTCACCATTTGTGGCTTGCCTTTTTCATTTTCTTAAAGGTATTTTTTGAAAAGCCTAATATTTACATTTTGATATAGACCAATTTGTCTATTTTTTCTTTTATACTCCATGCCTTTTGTTATTATTACTTAGGAATCTTTGCCAACCCCAATGTCACAAATATTTTCTCACTTTTTTTCTAGAAATTTTGTAAAGTTCGCTTTTATATTGGGGTCTGTGCTCCATTCTTGAAGCCCTTTAGTCTCCACAAACTCAGAGAGGATTTCCGTGCTGATGCCTGAGGGACTGATTCCATAGACTGAGGGGTGCAGGGGCAACAGCTGGCCAATACGATTTGTCTCCTTTTTAGGTCCTCAGTGCACAACCTCCTGTAGCACAAGTGTCACATCCCCGGAAATTGGAACTGCAGAGTGACATTTAACACAGAGCTCCCAGAAGCTGTGGAGATCACGGCCTGTGTGACTGCAGGATAGTAGCTTGACCTTCCTGAGGCTGCTTTTTGTCTGTAAAATGGGGATAACAAACCATCTCCTGCAGGACTGCTGCCAGGATGAAACCAGAGAGTGTATTATAAGAATGCTCAGTAGGTTTTACCCAGAGGAGGCCCTCACTAAGTAGCAGCTTCTCTTCCTGCTGCTGCTGTTGCTGCTGTGTTGACTCAGCATTATTTGAAGGCTACACAGATGGCCTGGCCTGGGTTTTCATAAAATTGTGTTGATGGCATGACTTGCTGGCTCTCCGCAAGCTCATTTGAACCTTTTTAAAAATAGGGTCCCTGCTATATTAGGCAGGTCACTGCTTTGGTATGAAGGGACTTTTAGGGCCATGCTGATGAAGCATGGCTCAGGAGTGGCCACCAGTCAGCCATGAGTCAGGACCTCTTTGGCATGCTTCTTGCCAGTGTTTTAAAAATGAGTCCACGTGGGAACTTTCTGTTTATTCTCAGGAACAGGAACAGATGGGAATTATGGGAAGGCCTTACTCTTTGCTGTGACACCTTATGTGGTCACATCATCTCCTCTTCACCCTTCCCCATAGTCAGAGCCTGTGCCTCTACATGAACTTCAACAGGGGAAATGGGAACAGAAGTGCTTAGGGATATATTTTAAGGCTTGTAGTTTTATGCTTTGGGTTTACTTTCCTCTTAAACTTTATCTGTGCAGCTGAATACACTTTCTTTCCAGAACCGCTTCTGGAAAACAATGTTCTAATGCCAGGAATTCTGATTGGGTGCGTGGTTGAGTTGGTCCTGTGTACACAATTACAGCACATAAACCCATTAGTCAAGTGATGTCACCCTCTATGCCTCAGTTTTCTCACCTGTAAAGTGGGAATAATAATAATAATAATATCTCATATTATTGGTTGTGAGGGTTGTATTGGTTACTACAAATAAAGTGTTTTAAAGAGTGCCAGGTACACAGTAATAAATCCTGTAAGTATTATATTATTATTATTATTATTGGATTCTGCTTGAAATTGCCTTTTTTTTTCCGCTGTGTGTGTATGCGTACACACTCCACTGGGCAGCTGGGTGAGTGTTTTGGAGGGGCTTATCTAAACTTAACATTTTTCCTTTGATCAGATGAGTGTCTGTTTTCCAAGCCCTTAAGTAGCAGGTGATTAGCAATTAACAATAACCAGGATTCTTCTTAACCTTTATTTAATGTACTGAAATTCTCCTTGCTTCAGTGATGTTTTGTGACTCTCCTCTCCCACAGCCTCCACAACTGTTCCTGGCCCCCAGACAATTTCTCCAGAGCTTCAGAAAGTTTTGGTTGAGTATACCATAGGAACATTAATTCCTGGGA
This sequence comes from Homo sapiens, assembly GCF_000001405.40. Classification (NCBI taxonomy): domain Eukaryota; kingdom Metazoa; phylum Chordata; class Mammalia; order Primates; family Hominidae; genus Homo; species Homo sapiens. The sequence continues at coordinate 38,931,207 of NC_000023.11, forward strand.
CTTGCACAGAGGTGAAAAGAACCTCTTCAGCATTCTCAGCGCTATTTGTCCTCCACCTCTGTGCTCCCCTTCCTCCCCTGCCCCATTCACCAGATCTGTCACTCAAACCAAGCCCTCCTCCTCTTTATCCTAGAAAATGTTGTGCAAGCCAACATCCAGTCAAAGCAGTTGGAGAAGTGAAAAAAGTTTAAGTCTGTGTTGGGGGTGGGGTGGGAGAGGGAGGGGGTTGTTGGTTTAGTCTCACAGTGTGGTAGAAAAGTAAGAATGGACAAGCTCCGATGGAGAGGGTTGAGGTGTTAGCACTCTAACCCCATGCTGTATTCAGGAAAACATCCTCAGTGTGAAGAGAGCAAGGGCTAAGGGTTGTGTTCCCAGACTCAACCAGGATTCTCTAACCTCGGGTGGTAAAGCCAAAGGCTACCATCCTGCCCTGGTTCAGAAGTCACAGATCTCTCACCAAATATAAAGATGCCCAGTTGGGCTGGCTTCATGACCTTGCGAGCAGTGCTATAGTAGCTCAGGGCTCCATATTCAGAAAAGCCTCATGTGTGGGGTTTAATGCCTTGCATTTGCCATCTTGAAATTCTTAATCATCTTATCTTTGAATTTGTATTTGATAAATAGAGTTCAATGGTACTGTGGAACACAATAGCACTTGGGGTTTGGAGCATCAGTTTACTTGTGGTCCTGCCTTCTGCTGCCTCCCTTCTTCTCCAGAATGGATTCTTGGCCTATTGCTGTCCTGTCCCCATCCTGAGGCCCCACTTCTGTCCTCTGTTCTCATAGGGGGCCTGAGTACAGGTGCAGGAAGGTTGGGTCTGGGAGCATGCATCCTTCCCATCTCGCTGTGGGGCACAGCTGCAGCCACCTCTGCCCTGGGCTTGCAGTGCGTGCCATATTTGGTGGGAGACTTGGCAGGGGTTGGCTATGGGTTGGTATGACAAGTTTATGGAAAGAGGAGCTGTCTGGCCCAACTTCCCTGTCTCTGGCTGGGGCATTGTACGTTGGTCCGGCATCTGGTGGGAGGGTGAACTTGGCAGCCGGTGGGCTGTGAGTGTATGCATGCATGCACTAAGTCACAAGGTGGAGGCCCCCACAGCTTCTCCATGCCCAAGAGAGTGTGCTATTAAATAACAAATAAAAAACACCAGGATGGTTCAAAAGAAAGACTGCAGAAGAAAGCATGAAGCTTTGTACTTAGGATTTTTAGTGGCATGTTCTTTTTTTCTCTCTGTTTTTGTGTGAGGAGTCCTGCATTTTCATTTCGCACTGGGTTTAATAAATTATGTAGCTAGTTCTGGTGCCCATGTCTAAATGGTGTCCAGCTGGTTTTGGCTCACTCTTTCCCCAGGTCCCAGCTGGTGGCGAGGGAGAGGAAAGCATGGATGAGGCTCTCCTACTGTCATAAGTTGCCAGCTGGGGAGGGACGCACATCAGTTCCTCTCATATGTCATTGGCCAGAACCCATTCTCATGGCCACATTTAAGTGCAAGGGACAAAAAAATGTATAGTCCAGTGGAGTCCAGGAGGAAGAGGTGAATGCCAACATTGGTGAGCACTGACTGTCTCTGCTGCATCCTCAATCCTGGTTCTCTTTTTGGTAATGACACTATCATCTGTTTAATCATGGAGGCCAGTCTTCTCATGCATCCTTATCCTTCATCTCTTTATGGCCAAGGTCGCCTCAGGCCTTCACAGTCTGATCTTTGCTTGTTCCTTTGATTTGTCCACTTCAATGCATTCCCACCTCCACCATCTTAGTCGAAGCTCCCATAGTCCCTCAGCGATTTCTAAGCATTTTGATCATGCACCACTATCATTAACACATTTTGAACACAGACCCCAAATATACATACTTTGTTTAGAAATACCATCTGTTTGCACCATTGTTTTTCTGAAGATTTTTTTCTTTTTCTTTAGAATAATATATTTTTATATTTTTCTTCATACTGCCACAGATGCCCATCTCATGCATTTCCTGGAATATGAGCCTCCCATGCTGGCCCCTCCTGCTGATGATTATTGGCCTAGAAATCTACAACAGACTTTGAGTTGTCCTTTTGCTTTTGCTCTTATCCTCATCTAATTTCTTCCTTGTATCCAGGCATGCATTCGTATGCAAATAGTCACTAAGAGACCAGTGTGTGCCAGGCACTATCTTTGGCAATGGAATATACAAGACTGACAAAGTTCCTGCCCACATGGAGCTTACTCTGGTGGAGGTGGTTGGGACACAAATAAATAAAATAAATATGTCAGGTACTAGTGACTAGTGAGTCCTCCAAAAAAAAAATAATGCAAGGAAAGGGGAAAGAGAGTTAATAGAGATAGAAGTGGCAAGGTGCTCTTTTAGAGAAGACCTTGTTGATGAGGTGACATTTGAATCCTAGGTAAATGGAGGTTGAGGGCCACACATCATTCTGGGAAAGGATAATTGCATGCAGAGGGAACACTAACTGCAAATACCCTGCAGTGAGAACATGCTTAGCTTGGACATGGGACAGCAAGGAGGGGAGGCCAGTGGGCTGGAGAGGAGTGAGCGAGAGAGAAGTGTTAGGAGAGGGGCTTGGGGAGCCAGGCAGAGGCCATCTACCACAAGACCTTGTAGACCACAGTACAGACTTTGTGTCATTTTCTGAGGATGACGGGAAGACACTGAAGGGTCTTGAGCAGAAAGAGGACATGATCAATTTTACACTTTAGAAGAATGACTGGCTGCTGTATGGAAAACAGACTATGGAGGTAGGGGCTAGAGAATCAGTAGGAATGTCACTTGGGAGGTGGTTTCAGAGATCAGATGGCATGGACATCAATGATGGTGGGTTGAGTGAGGCTGGTGGCAGTGGGGATGGGGGAAGTAGTCGGATTAAGTTGTATTTTAAGGGTAGGGTCAATTTTGATAATTTCTTCTTCATACCCAAAACACCTTGTGATGGCTTTCTAGTGCCCTTTCTCGTGGAATAAAGTCCAAAATCATTAACAGGACTTACAGGGCCCTAGAGCCCCCCATGTCCCAGTGCCTTCCTACCTCTCCACCCAGCACAGTGTTCCTTCTTGGGCTCTGTATTCCAGCCCCTCTTTCTTTTGCTCAACCCACATAGTTCCCTCTACTGGAAATATTCTTCTCCTTCACCTGGTCAACGCTGACTCTTTTTTAGATCTCATCTTAATCATCAGTTTCTCTGAGGACAACTCTTTGATCTCCCTTCTGCTAGATGGCACCTCTCTAACCTTCCTATTGCTGCTCTCCCAGTGCCACATCCTCACCCATTCTTCTTAGCTCTCCTTTACATTCCTTTGTGTGATTATGTGACTCTGTCTCCCCTAATAGACTGCAAACTTCCAGAGGGCTGCCACTCTATTGTTTTGGTGATTGTTCCTCCTGCCCCAGGGTAGTGCTAAGAGCATAGTAAGCTCAATTGCTATTAGTGCATGAAGATGCAGATGAAGAAGTGTGGATGGAAGAAACAGAGAAGCTTCTTCAGGAGCACATGTGAATCAGTGTCATGGAGAACACCCTAAAATAGCTTGAGGGGAGAACACTTTCAAGAGTACTGACTCTAACAATTGGATTGGTGCAGGCTTGTGCCCTAATATTGAGTATAAGGTAGTGCAGCAATCTTACTTGAAGTCACAAGCTAACAAAGGACAGAAGCATACATTATAATTGGTGTTTTACTTATATCTCCACTTGTGTGGGGCTGTGAGAAGAAAATAGTTCATTATTCCTTCTATTGCCTTATCAAACGCGATTTCTCAGATAGGTCTTTCTCACTCCTAGATGAAATCTCAGACTGGTCCCATAGGTTTTCAATCCCCATCAGTCTCCAGTGCAATCTAATTTCAATAAATAAAATGTCCCATCCAGTCTAACCTGAAAACTTCAATCTTTTATTTAATTTCAGGCACCTTCTTTCCCCATGCCCCATGTCAGCCTACCTCTGATTGGGATGTATGCAGGGGAGAGGAGAGAGAGGCCACAGTTGATGTCCTTTGTCTCTTTTTCTCCTTTCAGTGCCTGTTTCAGTTTCTAGCTACCATTTTCAGCCCGTCCATAGTTGATGCATAGGAAAGCTGAGTAGCCAGGGCAGGGAATCCCTTGCTAGATTGGTGCATTTATTACTCGCAAGGGAACATGCCAGTTCAAAGCTAACTCTTGTTTTGGTAGCTCTTATGGTCCCTCAGGGACTTTGCATTCCTGGGACTTTCTCACTAGTAGGCCTCTGATGAGGTTGAGCATCCTCTGGTTGGCTTCTCCCTCAGAGTCCTGGCTATGGGACAACTCATCCCTTGATGGGGCCAATCGCCCTACAAGTGGCCACTTTGGCAGAGCCCTCTTGGGATGGCTTGGTCTAGATCCCTTCCAAGGTCCACATCTGACTCAAGGGAAATGTGCATGCATTCTTGACCCTCCAGCACTGGAAGTGCTGGTAGTTCCCAGAACATTACCTCTCTTTATGCTGCTTCTGGGGCAGCTGGGCAGCCACAGGCTCATACCTTCATATTTCCCCAGGAGGCAGTTCGATGGCTGCCTTTATGTCCTTCAAGCTTCAGAGAGCATTGGCCAGGTTCTCATGTGTTCTCTTAAAGCCCTTGTCACGCAATTTAGGTGAAGAGGAAATACCCTATTTTCCTCAGTCACAGCGGTGGTGAACACCAGCACTGTAATCCCTCTCTCTCTCCCTTTAACTTCAAGTGAATATCTGGCTCCTCTTATATAGCCGGGAGCTGGGTAAAAGACATAGTTTCCTTATAATTTATCATCAAAAAAGTCACTTTTTAAGATTGTAGTTATTTTTTCACCTTACATAAACTTTTTAATGAAGTGTGATATTCATATAGCAAAGTGGACAAATCACAAGTGTACAGCTTCATGAAGGCTCACAAAGTGAGCATGTGTGTGTAATCAACACTTAGATCAAAAAAGCAGAACATTCTCAGCACCCCAAAAGCCCCCTTGTAGTCCTGCCAGTCACTTCCCTTCTCTCAAGTGGAACCACTATCCCAACTTCTTAAGACTACAGATTTATTTTGAAAACTAGGAACATTCTGAGAGTGAAAGGGGACATGCAGGTACTTGCCCCTCAAAATGGCCCCCATGAATGCCTTCTCTTCCTGTAAACATATGCTATGGTTCCATTAAGATATGGTAACCATTCTTACATCCCATTGAATGTGGGCTGGACTCTGACTACTTTGACCAATAGAATATTGCAGTATGATGCCTTTCCAGTTGTGGTCCAGTCTTGACCCTTAGTCTTCATGCGGAAAGTCAAGGCTACCCTGCTGAAGAGAGGGGCCATATGAAAGGAACACTGGGCTCCAGACATGTGAGTGAAGAAGCCAATCTTGAATGTTCAGCCTTGTGAAGTTGTCAGATGACTCCTATCCCAGCTGCCATCTGACTACAAATGCTGAGATTCTCACTCTTGGATCTTTTATTTTAACTGACTCTATTGGTTTTCAATTCAGAAAGGTCAACGAAGAAAATTCCCTTTGGCAGGTACAAATCAAAAGAAAGGTATATAAAAAAGAATCATGAAAGATTTAAGCATTAAAATATTTATTTTTGCATAGTTTAATCTTTTTCTGTTGGACTTCTGTCCCACATACCCAATCACAATGTGTGTGAGTAGAATAAACTATGATCTGAATAATTTACAAATGTTCTTAATTCTAAAAAATTAAGAATACCACTATCACTGATGATAAATTAGCTTAGCATTTTCAAAGCAATGCATTTTACACTTATGTACTTATTTTAAATGATTTTAGAATTGACTTAAAAATAAAGGGAAATTTGTCACCCTTAGATCTTTAAGGAGAAAGTGGCTTTGGTCCCCAACTCCTAGAACCCATTCAAGTGCAGGCAATGTAACCACCTACCATGGAATTACTCACTAACTCTTTTATTCTTTTCCCCAGATGTTTTCTCTCTCCTGAAATAAGCCTTGACTCTATTTGATCTGCAGAGCCTTGGCATGAAGAATATTTTATGTTTCTTCTGTGAAGTAAAAAGGCAAGTCTTGTTGACTGATGGTGATTAACCATAATAAAGATGCCTCAGTCATAACATGAACATTGAATATAGGATATCATCTGCTCAGAAGCAGACCCGAGTAATCCAAATGACAGACTGTGATATGAAGCTCAGTGATGCCAGGCTTCTGTGTGAAGACTCAGATGCTCAAAAAGTAACAGAGAAGCTCTAGAAAGGTTATTTGTGCCTCCATTATGGAAACTTCTTCTGAGCTTAGGAGTAATGTTATGGGAGAAATGCAAATAAAGAGTGCCTGCTGTCTCTGTTCTGGTTCTTTCTACTTCCCCTCTGTCCTCCCAAGGTAAATAGCTGATGGGCTGCCAGACAAATACTTTCAGAGTACTCAAGGACAGAGCAGACTAAGAAAGGCTTAGCCAAAGCTGGACAGGGACCAATAATAGAATCATTTCTACTCATCCTTTGGAGAAGAGCCATTTCTCCTTTCTGCAAACTAAGAGTGGGTCTTTTGTTTGTTGGCCTTGACATGAGGTGGTAATATCTCTAGGTTTGACTCCCAATTTTTCTCTTGGAATTGAACCTTCTTTCATATAACTATTTTTTTTCAAAACAATATAAGAAATGCAGATTAATTAGAGGAGAAATAGGCAAAATAGAGACATGATATCAGCAATTATGGGATCTGTCCTTCCATATTGTCAAGTGTGAGATGCCATATCAATCTCTATTCACTTTTACTATTGGCATTTTGAATTCATGACAGTATTACTTGGAACTTTCTTTTATTTGAACTGCAGGACTTATCATTTATCAATATTTACACGCCTACAAAATGTGGCTGTAACAGGTCATATCCTAGGAAAGGAGCAATTTACATCCGAAGTTCATTTGGCATTTTATCATTGGTTACACTTTCTAGAGGGCAGATAAATACTTTGCCAACACTGCATCAATGATTTGAAGCATTGTGATTGCTCAGGGTGCCTGTTGAATCATGTATATTTATACTCTATGACATATTTCACCTATTTTCCTCTAATACCTTGTAAGTAATTCCTTCTGGGAGGAGGGAATGTGTTCTGGAAGACGTGCCAGAAATGTGAAGAACATGGAAGTAAGGAAAAGGAAATGAATAAAATATGTTTCAATTGTCTATTGCTATATAATAAACCACAGTGAAACTTAATCGCTCAAAACAACAATGATTTATTATATTTCATGATTCTGTGGGTTGGTTGGACTTAGCTGGGCAGCTCTTCTGCTCTTTGTGGTGTTAGCTGAAGTCACTCATGTAACTGTAGTCAAGTAATGATAGGGCTGGAGATGTCAGTTTGGAAGCTTTGGCTCTTTTCCACATGACCTCTTTGCTTTGTTAGCTTGGACTCCCTTATAGCATAGTGGTCTCAGGGTTCTAAGAACATGAAAATAGAAGGTGCCAGACTCCTTAAGGGCTAAGTCAAATACTGTGGAATTAAACCACATCAATTTTACAGCATGTTATTGGTCCCAACAAGTCACAAGGCCATCATAGATTCAACAGTAGGAGAAATAGATTCCACTTAAGTGAAAGCAAGATCATGTACATTCAGAATCAGAAGAATAAATAATTGACAGACATCTTTAGTGACAATTTACCAACAATGAGAAATTAAAAACGTAAAGAAATGGTAAAGAAACTTTAAAAAACAACACAGACATTGAAGAATATCAAAGAATATAATAAGAATATTCTTCAAATATTCATTCATTCATGTGTGCATCCTCAACATTTAGCATAGTGTCTGGCATATAGAAGACTCAGTTAATGATTGTTAAAAGCATGAATTTGATAAAGCTACTATGGCAGAAACTGTCTATTAACTAAACTGATTCTTATTTTTTCTGGGCACATAGACAGATTATCCTTCCCATCCTCCCTTGTGGTAATGAATGGCCTGTAATTTCTAGTTGATGGAACTGAGTGGAAGCACTATGTCCACATCTGACTCATAGAAACCTATCACATGTTATTCTTCATTTCTTCATGTTCTTTTCCCCTTATGGATTCCTGGAATAGAAACAACCTCTGGGGTGACCTTGGAAGCCACTTTGAATATAGTTGAGCAACAAGATGGAAGGAGCCCAAATCCCTGAATCACCACTTGGAGGAGTCCCACCTGAATTGGAAAACCCATACTGCATGGTTATATTAGCAGTGAATAACCTCGTTTGTGTGCAGCCAGGGAAATCTGGGCTTTTTTTGTTGTTATAGCAGCCAGTGTTATCTAAAACAACACATCTCTATTTCTCAACCATCCTACAGTTTCAAGGAGTACAATAAAGTTCAAATTTATTAGAATTGATATTGTAGTAATATGTATAGGTAGTAACACCTCTAGGTTTGATTCCCAATTTTTCTCTTGGAATTGATTCTTCTTCTTGTATAGCTATCTTTTTTTCAAAATAGTGCAAGAAATGCAGATCAACTATAGGAGAAATAGGCAAAATAGAGACAGGATATAAGCAGTTATAGGATCTATCCTTCCATATTGTCAAATATGAGATGTCATACCAATCCTTGTTCACTTTTACTATTGGCATTCTGAATCCATGACCATACCACTTAGAAGTTTCTCTTATAAGAACTACAGAACTTATCACTTATCAATAGTTGACAAGTAATAACTTATCATTTATCACTCTAGTTGATACAGTGAAACATATGCTTAGAACCACACTGTGGTAGACAGACTTCTAAATGGCTCCTATTGATTCTCACTCCTTGGAATTCACATCCATGTATAATCCTCTTACCTTGAGTGTGAACTGGATCCAATGACTATTTTCTATCCAGTAGAATATGGCAAAGATGATGAGAGGTCAATTCCATGATTATGCTACAGAAGGTTGTGACTTTCCTTTTGCTAGCAGACTCTCTTTCTAGCTGGCCTTGATGAAGCTGTCATGACAGAAGGTTGTGACTTTCCTTTTGCTAGCAGACTCTCTTTCTAGCTGGCCTTGATGAAGCTGTCATGTTGGAAAGGCCTGTGTGGCAAGAAATTGAGGATGGCCTCTGAGCAATAGCCATTGAGGAACCGAGGCCCTCAGTTCAACAGCCCTTAAGGAATTGGAGTCTGCCAGCAAATATATATATATATATGAGTTTGGAAATGGATCCTTCTCCAGTTGAACCTTGAGATGAGACTGTAGCCTTGGCCAATACCTTGATGATAGACTCTTGACTCTAAAATAGAGGACCCAACTAAGCTGTGCCCAGATTTCTGATCCATGAAAATGGTGAGATAATAAACGTGTTGTTTTAAGCTTCTAAAATTTGGGGCAATTTATAATGCAACAATAGGCAACTAATACACCCACAAGCCTGGATTTTAATCTGGGGTTTACCTGTAATCTATCGACACTGACAACCTTCTAGTTTCAAGTAGATAATCTTAGAGATAAACGCATGTTGAACTGTTTCTGGCACCCATGTGCATTTTTAAACCATGAACTTCTGGAAAAACTGCCCTATCTTACCCTTCTGGTTACCTAATCAGTGTGATGAAACCACTACATGTTTGTTTAAAATCTTATTCATGTTTGAAATTGCTTCTGAAAAAGGAAAAAAAAAACAGGGAGAGGCAGACAGAACTAAAATACGAGTGTTGTGTTCCAGATTACCATGGCTGGAGAAACCTGGAACTTTCTCCATCCACATGAAAAACAGAAAAAAACAACAGATGCTCAAAGAGTAACAGAGAATCTCTAGAAAAGTTATTTGTGCCTTCATCACAATCAGTTGCCCAATTTCAGGAGATGAGTTAGGGTTAGTATAAAGAACATGAAGTATCCTGTTGATGAAAGAGAGGATAAGAGAAGTAAACACATTTGGAAGGTCTGGCAGCAATGGATTCACAGTCCTTCAAGCCAACCATTGATGAAAGCTGAAGAGAAGCTGAACCTTCGGGATAGAGCTTGAACAATTAGTTGTTCAATTAACTACCTACTGACCTCCAATGCTGAAGCCATGTCAGTCACCATCTCTCATAGTGCTTAAAATTACTGATTCCTTTCCCTGTAATTAGAAATATTATTTTGTTTCCATGTCTCTATTGAAAGCCTTGCCTGTGTGGGGGTGGGCATGTGGAGGGAGCTAGAACACAAGGACCACATGATTTTAAGAAACACAAGGTGGGGGCATATTTCATAGTGGAAGTGGAAAACTGGGTGTTTAAAAAGAAAATTCAAGGCCTGCTGCACTCATTGATGTTAGCTACCTGGTCCCAGAAGGCATTTTACTGGGACCCTGATTTAACCTCTGCATAATTTAAATATCTTCATCTCAGTAAAAGAATTAAGATAGTTGAAGCCTAAGGTCTATGCTGCCCTAATGTTTTGACTCAGTGATTCTGACAGTGGACATTCAGGCCAGAAGAAAAACCCATTTAGAAGATTTCCTTAAAAGAAGAGAGATGGCTTATTGGAGAAAAAAATTATAATTAACTTGAATGATGTTGCTGTAGGGCAAGATAAAAATATGCTAGATGATGAAGATTCACTTTAACTGTGCCCTTAATGTAACCCTGATATCATTCTTGTTTGCCTAAGCAAAACAGAACTTTCACAGTTCTGACAGCTGAACCTAGTTCTAAGAAAAGATCAACTGGAATCAACTTTTTCCCCAGTGACTTGTCATTTCTCAAGTGCTGAGTCACTTGGAAGAGACTGAGGGTGCTGAAAATATCCAGTACACCAGGCTAAGTCCTTTCTTAATTTGACATTCATCTATGAGCAGATCCCAACATGAGCTGTATTTCCGAAAAGATTTTGTTGAAGTGTGTTATGGATCTCTTTATATTGCAACTTTACCCATGTGCCTTAAAAAAAGATTCACGGTCATACTGTTGTATTTTTCTCTCAGTTTTGATTTCTACTTCTCCAAACATCCCATTTTCCCATGATATTTAGACATATGAATGTCTCTTAGTGTTTATATTTAGGTGGTCAACAAGTATTGAACTATTGATGCTCCTCAAAAGACCTATTCTTATTTCTCTTCTCTCTATATTCAGTATACATTCCATGACTTATGTTATCCCATGGTTTCATTTACAATCTATGTGCAGATATCTTCTACAGGTATGCCTGGTTTTATTGAGCTTTACTTTATTGTGCTTCACAGATATTGCATTTTTTACAAATTAAAGTTTGTGGCAGCTCTGCCTCAAACAATCTATTGGCACTATTTTGCCAACATCATATGCTCACTTCATGTCTCTGTGTCACATTTTGGTAATTCTCACAATATTTTAAACTGTTTTATCATTATTATATCTGTTAAGATGATCTGTGGTCAGTGATCCTTAATGTTAACATTATAATTGTTTTGGTATGCCAAGAACCGTGCCCATATAAGATAATGAACTTAATTGATCGATGTTATGTGTATTCTCACTGCTCCACTGACCAATCATTCTCTGGTCTCTCTCCTTTTCCTCAGGCCTCCCTATTCTCAGAGACATACTAATATTAAAATTAGGCCAATTAATAACCCCGCAATGGCCTCTAAGTGTTCAAGTGAAGAGAAAAGTCACACATCTCTCACTAAATCAAAAGCTAGAAATTATTAAGCTTAGTGAGGAAGGCATGTCAAAAGCTGAGATTGGTTGAAAGCTAGATCTTTTGTACCAAACAGTTAGCAGAGTTGTGAATGCAAAGGAAAAGTCCTTGAAGGAAATTAAAATTGCCACTCCAGTGAATACACGAATGATGAGAAAGCCAAATTGCTGATATGGAGAAAGTTTTAATGGTCTGGATAGAAGGTCAAACTAGTCACAACATTCCCATAAGCCAAAGCCTAATCCAGAGCAAGGCCCTAACTCTCTCTTCAGTTCTATGAAGGCTGAGAGAGGTGAGGAAGCTGCAGAAGAAAAGTCTGAAGCTAGCAGATGTTGGTTCATGAGGTTTAAGGAAAGGAGCCATCTCCATAATATAAAAGTGCAAGGTGAGGCAGCAAGTGCTGATGTAGAAGCTGCAGCAAGTTATCCAGAAGATCTAGCTAAGATCATTGATGAGGGTGGCTACATTAAACAACAGGTTTTCAATGTAAACAAAATAGCCTAAGATGACGTCATCAAGGACTTTCATAGCTAGGAAGGAAAAGTCAATTCCTGGCTTCAAAGCTTAAAAGGACAAACTAATTCTCTTCTTAGGGGCTAATGCAGCTGGTGACTTTAAAGTTAAAGTCATTGCTCATTTACCATTCTGAAAGCCCCCAGGCCTTAAGGATTAGGCTAAATCTACTCTGCCTGAATACTTTTAGCCCATTTTTGAGACCTACTGCTCAGAAAAAAATATTTCTTTTAAAATATTACTGCTTTTTGACGATTCGCCTGTTCATCCAAGGGCTCTGATGGAGATGTACAAGGCGATTAATGTTGTTTTCATGCCTGCTAACTTAACCTCCATTCTGCAGCCCATGGATCAAGGAGGAATTTTGACTACCAAGTCTTATTATTTAAAAAATACATATAGTAAGGTTATAGCTACCATACATAGTGATTCCTCTGACAAATCTGGTCAAAGTAAATTAAAAACCTTCTGGAAAAGATCCACCATTCTAGATGCTAGTAAGAAAACTTATGATTCATGGGAGGAGATAAATCATAACCGTAATGTCAAAGGAGGTTAAAAGAAGTTTATTCCAACCCTCATGGATGGCTTTGAGGGGTTCAAAACTCCAGTGGAGGAAGTAACTGTAGATGTGGTGGAAATAGCAAGAGAACCAATATTAGAAGTGGAGCCTGAAGATGTGACTGAGTTGCTGCAATCTTATGATAAAACTTTAACAGATGAGGAGTTGTTTCTTATCAATGAGCAAAGAAAGTGGTTTCTTGGGATGAAATCTACTCCTGGTGGAGATGCTGTGAACACTGTTGACATGACAACAAGGGATTTAGAATATTTTCTAAACTTAGTTAACAAAGCAGCAGCAGGATTTTAGAGGATTGACTCCAATTTTAAAAGAATTTCTACCGTTGGTAAAATGCTATCAAACAGCATTGCATGCTACAGAGAAATATTTCGTGAAATGAAAAGTCAGTTGATCCAGCAAACTTCAGTGTTGTTTAAGCCACCCAATCTTCAGCAACCACCATCGTGATCAGTCAGCAGCCATCAACATCGAGGCAAGACTCTCCACCAGCAAAAAGATTAGGACTTCCCAAAGGCTGAGATGATTGTTAGCATTTCTTTTAACAATAAAGTATTTTAAATTAAGGCATATACATTACTTTTTAGACATAATGCTATTGCACATTTAATAGACTACTTTGTAATGTAAACATAACTTTTATATGCACTGAGAAGCCAAAAAAATTCATGTAACCTTCTTTATTGTGGTGGCCTGGAATGGAACCTGCAATATCTCTGAGGTATGACCATAAATGTATCTCTCCTGTTACATATGTTAAAATGTACCTCCACTTTAATCACCTCCAGGTCCCTTGAACTTAATATGCCCCAAAGCAGAATTCATCATCTGTCCATTCAGCCTCCCCTTCCTGACTTCTCTATTTTGGTTAATGGCACCATCTTTGGCCAGGTTGTCATCCAAGACTCTTCTTTTTCCCTTATTCTTTACACCCATTTCCCACACTCTGGCAGTTTTTCTTTTAACCATTTCCTGATTATGTCACCTCCTCCACTCTTGTTTCTTTGTGCCAACCCTTATCACCTCTGACCTGCATTATTTCTTTCTTTTTTTTTTTTAGTTTTTTATTTCCATAGGTTTTTAGGGAACAGGGGGTATTTGGTCACATGAGTAAGTTCTTTAGTGGTGACTTGTGTGATTTTGGTGCACCCATCACCAGAGCAGTATACACTGAACCCAATTTGTAGTCTTTCATCCCTCACCCCTTTCCCACCCTTTCTCCCGAGTCCCCAAAGTCCATTGTGTCATTCTTTATTCTTTTTTTTTTATGCTAAAAGATTTTTTAAAATTTATTATTATTATACTTTAAGTTTTAGGGTACATGTGAACAATATGCGGGTTAGTTACATATGTATACATGTGCCAAGCTGGTGTGCTGCACCCACTAACTCGTCAAGTCAATCCTAAGCCAAAAGAACAAAGCTGGAGGCATCACACTACCTGACTTCAAACTATACTACAAGGCTACAGTAACCAAAACAGCATGGTACTGGTACCAAAACAGAGATATAGATCAATGGAACAGAACAGAGCCCTCAGAAATAACGCCGCATATCTAAAACTATCTGATCTTTGACAAACTTGAGAAAAACAAGCAATGGGGAAAGGATTCCCTATTTAATAAATGGTGCTGGGAAAACTGGCTAGCCATATATAGAAAGCTGAAACTGGATCCCTTCCTTACATGTTATACAAAAATCAATTCAAGATGGATTAAAAACTTAAACGTTAGATCTAAAACCATAAAAACCCTAGAAGAAAACCTAGGCATTACCATTCAGGACATAGGCATGGGCAAGGACTTCATTCTTTATTCTTATGCCTTTGCATCCTCATAGCTTAGCTCCCACTTATGAGTGAGAAGATACAATGTTTGGTTTTCCATTCTTGAGTTACTTCACTTAGAATAATAGTCTCCAATCCCAACCAGGTTGCTGCAAATGCCATTAATTCAATCCTTTTTATGACTGAGTAGTATTCCATTGTGTGTGTGTGGTGTGTGTGTGTGTGTGTGTGTGTGTGTATATGTGTGTGTATATATATATATATATATATATATATATATATATATATATATATACCACATTTTCTTTATCTGCTAATTGATTGATAGGAATTTGGGTTGGTTCCACATTTTTGCAGTTGTGAATTGTGCTGCTATAAACTTGTGTGTGCAAGTATCTTTTTCATATAATGACTTATTTTCCCCCGGGTGGATACCCAGTAGTGGGACTGCTGGATCAAATGGTAGTATTACTTTTAGTTCTTTAAGAAATTGCCACGCTGCTTTTCCATAGTGGTTGGACTAGTTTACATTCCCACCAGCAGTGCAGAAGCATTCCTTTTTCACTGCATCCATGCCAACATCTATTATTTTTTGATTTTTTGATTAAGGCCATTCTTGCAGGAGTAAGGTGGTATTGCATTGTGGTTTTCATTTGCATTTCTCTGATCATTAGTTATGTTGAGGATTTTTTCATATGTTTGTTGCCCATTTGGGTATCTTCTTTTGAAAATTGTGTATTCATGTCCTTAGCCCACTTTTTGATGGGATTGTTTTCTTCTTGCTAATTTGTTTGCATTCGTTGTAGATTCTGGATGTTAGTCCTTTGTCAGATGTATAGATTGTGAAGATTTTCTCCCACTCTGTGGGTTGTCTATTTACTCTGCTGACTGTAGAGTTTTGCCATGCAAAAACTCTGTAGTTTAATTAAGTCCCACCTATGTTGTTTTTATTGCATTTGCTTTTGAGTTTTTTGACCTGTATTATTTCAGTGAACTCTTAGATTGTCCCAGGCCACATACTACAGAATGAGGGTAAAAATCAGGGCCAGAATATCTGTCACGAAGCTGCCTTTATCTTGGTCTGTCCCCAACTTTCTGCTAGAATTCCAAGTCAGCTCAATGGGTTCATATGATGTTGACAGTCTTCAGAGAGCATTTCACATGCAACTGAAGACCTTCTTTGCTTCTTCTTCTTGGTTTCTACACAAGAATTGTGTAGTCTTCTTTGCCACTATACAAAAGTTGTCATTTTCCTATTTCTGTGCTTTGGCTTGCTCTAGTGATAATGCATTGTCATTGTTGTTAAAAAAAAAAAAACAACCCAACCCAGCAGATACCTCACTGCTGGTGATATCCACAAATGCTGAAGTCGTAGCCCACTAAGCCTATTGAAGTGTGGCCATTGCTGCTGATGCCAGAACCAAGGGCATTGCTCACCATCTTTTTTGGACATTCTGGACACTAATGCTGCTGAAGGCCAAGTTCTTGCTGCCCCATGAGTATTTTAGTGAACCAGATCTTTTTTAAGAGTTTACATTTTCCTTGATGTAGCCCTCTTACCTTCAGACTTGGGTATGAATCTATGCAGTCTGAGACAGAAAGCAATTAAGTGACAAATTGATCTTTCCTTAGAATCATTATCCTCCCCTTACAACTTTGTCCTATTTCTATTGAATAAATTTGGCACATCTATTCTTTTTTTTTTCCCCCTTAAGGGTAGGTGTTTCCCAGGATGCACTTCAATCCCTCAAAGGTGTCCTAGGTCAAATAGTCCCAACCCCTTCTACAGTCCTCCAAGAAAGCAGGCCTGAACAATGGAATAACATGGTCTATGCTCAATCAGGGAAGCTTGGGAACACTCCATCACTTTCCACAGTGTTGAGTCATTGTTTTAAAGATCAAAACAGCCCATATTTTTTTATGTCCCTGATTAAAAGTATATCCAAATTAAAATCCTCAATGGCTTCTCAATGCCTAAAGAACAGTGTAAAGTCTTCAAAAAAGCATATAAAACTCTTCAGAATCCAGTTGTAGCCTTCTTATCCAGCATTTCCCATGAAACCAGAAAAAGTTCCCAACACAAAAGGTGGCTTGATCATTGTGCATTTGTCCATGAACTACCTGTAATATCACAAAAAGATTAAGAGTGTGAGCTATTGGTTCAAACAGGTCAAGATTCAAGTCCTGCCTCTGCCTTTACTACCTGTGAGACTTTAAGAAAGTTACTTAACCTCTCTGAGCCTTAATTTACATATCAGTAAATGAGGATAATAATAGTCCCTATTATGTGGGGAATACATGAAATTTATTCATTATTTATTGCCATGAGGAATAAATGAAATTGAAATAAATGCATATAAGGGCAATTCCTGATGCATGAAAATCACAATAACAAAATAAATAATAACCAGTGTGATTACCTGAAATACTATACTACTTTTCATCATCTTTAACTGCTGAGCAATTATTTATTCTTCATGATCCAATTGAGCAGACTTATCACAATAGTCAAAATATGGAAACAACCTGAGAGTAAACAAAATATGGCATATCCATACAATGGAATATTACTCACTCCTAAAAAGGAATGAAGTACTGAAACATGCTACAACATGAATGACCTTGAAAACATTAAGCTAAGTTAAAGGACCCAGACACAAAGGCCACATATTTAATGATTCAATTTATATGAAATGTCCAGAAAAGGCAAATCCATAAAGACAGAATGTAGATTAGTGGTTACCAGAGTCTGCAGTGAGACAGAAATGGGAAATGACTGCTAATGAGCACAGGATTTGTTTCGGGGATGTTGGAAATGTTCTGGAATTATTACAGAATTATCTATAATATGTAGAGGTGATGGTTGTACAATTTGGTGAATATACTAAAAACCACTGAATTGAGTAGTATTTTAAAGGGATGAATTTATGGAATGTAAATTTTATCTTAATTTTTAAAAACAAACAAATAGACCCAATTGAAAAACCACTTCCTTTTTGAAGACTTACCCAGACATAGTCACTCCATATTCTGTGTCCCCAAGGATCTTGATACTTACCCTTTCACAGCATTAATCCAGTAATTACTTGGCTTACATGACTATTGCCCTCATTAAACTTTAAGCTCCCTAAGGGCAGAGGTGCTACATGTCTGGAATTTGTCCACTTAACATATTTTGTTTTGAGAACTGTCCCTTTCCTGCCTGCCTGGCTGCCAATTATAATGTCCCATTTCTTTCACTGGGTTGACACAAGACCTTGCCTAGCCTACTTGACTTCTCTATCCCACTGGCCATAGTAATTGGTTTAAGGATGAACATATGACCCAAACCAGGCCAATTATTGTTCAACACTTTCATTGGAATTGTAAACTGTAAGAGCCATGTAAGTAGACAGTAAAAGTGCCTACCTTTGATAGGCAGTCATTGATACAGCTGTGTAAGAATGAAGCCAGGGGAGAGGAAGGCAGGGCTGAGCTGAGCAGCTGTGACAGGTATTCTACTCCCAGACTTTTTGGCCACCTAAGACAATTGATTCCCATTTTTACTTAAAATAGTTTGAGTCGAGATTCAGTTACTTGAAATGGAAGGAGTTTCAATATAAGAAAGTTATATATAATAGGTACTGTGTCTTAGTGTTCAACATAGCTACCTTAGTGCCTGTAAGGAGTAGGATCTCAAACAAGGTTTTCAGATGAGTATAAGATGCTGTTCTCAAACCCCCTTTCCTTTCTCCTCACCATAAGAAGCATGGGGAGATTTTTAGTAGCAATCATAGTTTCTGCCTTTCATTTTCTTTTGTCCACGCACCACACTCCCTGACATGGGAAAAGTAGAGGAAGAGAGTGCAATATTTCTTAAAATTTTAGCATTATTTAGAGGTTTTCAATGTGAGAAGTCAGAGGAGCGTGCTTCCTTTTCTCTCCTCATTGCAAATACTTCCCTTTGCTCTCCCTCT
The DNA here is from genome assembly GCF_000001405.40 of Homo sapiens. Classification (NCBI taxonomy): domain Eukaryota; kingdom Metazoa; phylum Chordata; class Mammalia; order Primates; family Hominidae; genus Homo; species Homo sapiens. Next base: position 38,949,637 of record NC_000023.11, read on the forward strand.
TCTAACCCCTTCTCTCTTCTGCTCAACCCCATCTATGGTTATAGAGACAGGAATTTTGCTTCTCTTGAAGAAGGTGAGCAGGAAAAAGTTGCCCACAGTCTGGAATTCTTCATTCTTACAATTTCTTAATATTCTGCTTATACTCTGTCATCTATCCACGGGGACCATCTTGCATCCTGTGATGGATAATACATTCTGGTGTCCTCCACGTTCTACCAGCATCTACACAGGACAGTTTGGTAATACCCTCCCAAAAACAGGCCTACAAATCCCACTTACTAAGTAGAATTTCTAGGGACCACAAATCCTCTACTATTTCTCCACAAGTTCTACTCCCCAATACTGCCATTTTCTCATGTCACAAGTAGAAGAAATAATATTTAATTATAGGTACTTTCAATTGCCTCCTCTGAGCCTCCTTGGGGGGAAGACTCCATTGCTTTCTTGGTTCTGGGGCCTCTGCCAGCTACTTAGGTAAGGAGGGGTGGAAAGAAGAATGACAGCACTATTTGTGAGTACAGATGAGGTAGGATGAGAGCAGGGGAAGGGAGAGAGTAAGACAAAACAGCATAAGGATAAGGGATAGAATGGGGAGAGGTGGTAAGAGAAAAAGACAGATTTTGGAAGAGCAGTGTGTAAATTAGATATTAATTAGTCTTTCTGTATGTTTCCTGATGTAATTCCCCCATCACCACCATCTCAAGAGATCGCCAGTGCTTTTAAAGGCTTTGGCAATTACATTTTTGTTTCTTTTGGATATATCACAGTGCTGAGACAAAGGCCTCAAGGCAGTCCAATTTTATTTGGGTTACACTTAAAACAATCAGGTTACCACGGGCTACAGTGTAAATGACCAGTTCCTCTCCCGGGGAGCCAAATTGTGACTGAAATGAATATAATTTACGTAATTTTCTCATTTAACAATTTTGACAGTTGTCTTTATCTTTTAATTTAAGAATTCAGAAAAAAATTCAGGATTAGAGCCAAACTACCTGTGTTCAAATCCTCATTTTCCACTTAGTGATTGTGAAAGGTTGAGCAAAGTATTCAAACTCTCCAAGCCTCAATTTCTTCATACAGAAAATCTAAAAATAGTTTATCTCACAAAGGGTTGTTGTGGGAATTAAATGAGTTAAAATATGTAAAGAGCTTCGAACATTTCTTGGCACATAGTAAGAACTCCATAAAAATTAGCTATCATAGTACTTTTAGCTATCTTCCAAAATAGATAACTCAGTTCAGTGCATACAAAAGGCATTGAAAGTCGCTATATACACACACTATATATACATGGATATGGTGTATATACACATCTCTGTACACACCATATATGTTTACGTACATATATGTGTACATACTATATATACTGTATACATACTCTCTATATTTGTGTATGTATATACAGTATATATAATACGTATATGGCATATACACATCTCTATGTATACACATATATGCACATATATATATATACACACAGACAGAGAGAGAGGGAGAGGTGTGATATTTTAGTAATTACCCTCAAGAGATAGTACCAATATTTATTTATTCGTTCATCCAAGTTATCTGTAGAACAACTACCATGATCCTATGTAAAATGGCAAGACTGTAAGTACGAGCATACCAAGTGTTGCAGTTGCTGAGGTCAGCACCATCTCAGAACTTAGAAAACACTTCACGATGTTATCAGAAACACAAAGAAAGATCTGGGGAGAGGATGAAGTGAGATGATTTGCCCAGAGCCACATGTTTTACCAGCACAATTTTGAATACAGCAGGTCAATTTGCTAGCCCTTTATTCTCTCTGCTTGTCCACCTGTGCAATGGAAATCATCATAGAAGCTTCATAAAGGGATTCTGAGGATTTGTGAGTTAAATATGAACTCTTGCTGGCTCAAGGATCATCCTCTACATTCCCTAAAATAACCTTGATTTTAAGGTAGAGGGATAATTACAGAGGGCACATTTTCTATGTGCCTTGCATAGGTGTTACGGTCATGTCCTGTTTTCTATTAGCACTCGTTCTGGAGTGCCCTTGGAACTCACCTGCTTTTTCTGTAGTTGAGGTGGACTCTTCTGGGGACTGGAAAGCTACAGTGAAAACTCAAGGGTGAGCACATGAAAACAGGAATGAGAATTCTGCAAACTATTGATGTGTTGAAGGCCACTTTAATAATGTATGTGTGGAAGAAAACCAATCATATACTCCTCTGGCACATGAACTCTTTGTTTATCACCATCCTGTCTCTTGAAGTGTTTGCAAAAAAAAAGTGTTCGTGAAGGCCTTATGTTCTCAAAATTTTTGCTTCTGCATGGTTAGATCGAGGGCAGCTGCCAGCCCTGGTTTATTCAGAATTAGACTTAAACCTGATAGTGAAGGTGGGGAGGGAAAAATAAGAATTATCTTTATAAAATCTTGACCGTGGCATCCTCCTGAAAAGATTATATCCAGGAGAGCACAACCAATGCTGCTTTTGCAATTTCACACCTGTATTGGATATTTTGTATAGGAAAGGGTGTTATCTATGGTGAAACAAACCCATGGTCTCTTTCTGCTTTCAAACAATCCTCCTGCTGTTGCCTCTTGTCTTCCCAAAAGAACATCTCATCTGTGTTATTTCCTTGCATACAAACCTTCGATGGCTCCCTTTTTCTTTTGGAATTGGCATTTCTTCATATTGTGTAACACATTCTACCTTTCCAACATCACATCCTGCCGTGCCCCTCATACACTCAATGATCCAACCAGCCAGGACCACTTGGGAATTAAATGAGGGAGTACCTATGGTATCTCAGATTGTAGGTTTTTGAAATCAGACTCTCTTGGCTTCAATCCAGGATCTCACTAGTTGTGTAGCCTCAGACAAGTTATTTACCTCTCTGTGCTTCAGTTTCTTCATCTATGGAATGGGGAAAATGATATTATCATAAGGCTACTGTGGCGAGTAAATGAGTTAATACAAATTAAATGTTTAGGAAAGTATGATAGTGCCTGACACATGGCAAGCATCATAAAAGATAAGATAGCATTAATATTATTTACAATTACCTGAATATGACATTCTTTTTGACACCTCTGAGCCTTTAACATGTAGTTACCATAGCCTGTAACACCCTCTCCCTCCTCTATGCCTAAAGGCCAACTTATTTTCAACACCTCTTTCAAATATCAATTTCTCTGCCTCTCTTTGCACATCTTATCATATGGCATTTATCACAGCACATTATTGCAGCTTTTCAAAAACACATCTTTCTTCCCCTGTATTGTGACTTTCTTGAGAGCAATAACCACCTTCATTTTTGCATCTCTAGGTCTCAAAAGTTTTGGTGTGAAACAGGCCTCAAAAATTGGTTGATCCCCACAAAAAGTGTACAGAAATGTTCATAGCAGCATTACTCATAATAGCTAAAAAGTGGAAACAACCCAAGTAACTACCAATAAACGAATAAAGAAAATGTGGTACATCCATACAATGGAATATTACTTGCCTGCAGACAAGAATGAAGTACTGATACATACTAGAACATAGATGAGACTTGAAGACATTATGCTGAGAGAAGCCAGTCAGAAAAGACCACATATTATATGAAATATCCAGAATCTGCAAATCTAGAGAGACAGAAAATGGATTAGTGGTTGCTTAGAGCTGGGGGAGGGGATGGAGGGATTTACGGGAGATAGCTAAAGAGTATAAAGTTTTTCTGGGGGGGTAATGAAAATATTCCAAAATCGTAGTGATGACTGTACAACTCTGAATCATGAAAAAAATCACTGAATTGTATAATTTAAATGGGTGAATTGTATGGTATGTGAATTATATTTTAATAAAGCTGTTTCTAAAGAAAAAATATATTGATTGAGTAAATAAGCAAATGAGTGAGAGTTGTTTTGAGTTTGTGTTGAGTGTAAACACATCCAAGAGGTAAATCAAAAGCTGCTGCTTCCTTGAGTAGGGACCCGTGCTCAGCAAGCTCCTGGCCTTCCTGCTGCTGCTTCCCCCTTCTTGAGGACTTGCTTCCCTGTTTGCGCTCCTGAATCCTTGCTTTCTTCCAGTTTCTCCTCTTTTCTCCTAATTTTCTTTTCCTTATTTGTATACAGCCCCTCAGGATGGTTTGTATGAGACCGTGAATGGAATGGGGACTTCTTTGGGAATCTGGAACATGAAAGCCCAAAGAGACCCTGGCAACATCTTTTCAGAGGAACACTTAAAAAAAAATAACATAAAGAAATGGAGGCTCAGAAGGATCAAGGAAATGTCTTAACCTTTCGCACATTGAGTTGGTGTCAGAACTGAATTTAGAATACAGGTCTTTTATTCACCTGTTCAGTACAATTTCTACCACACTACCTGCCTTCCTCACCTGCCCACATACCCACCACCAGGCCGGAATGATTTGGATGCCAAAACAAGTGTAACTAATGAGGATCCAAAACCACATATTGAATGGGTCATTTCATATTAGGTGCTTTCTATTCATTCTCTTCCCAAGAATATTGCAGATACCAATAACATCTCATCACATTGAATTCCAAGAAGTTTTTAAATTTTCCTTTTTTTGCATTTTAGTTTTATTAGTACAGAACACATGATATAGTAGAGAAAACACAGGATTGGTAGTTTAGAGGTCTAGACTCCACTTTCCACTCTGTAATTAACTAGCTTTGTGATTTATGTAAAACATTTAACCACTCAGGGCCTTACTCCTGCATTATAAAATTAGGGTTTGGATTAGATTACTTCTTTGCTTCCTCCCTCCTCTCTCTACCGTTCCATAATTTGATAACAATAGGTTGACATAAAGATACTATCAGCTAAGATGTATAGCTCTTTTCAATGTAGAGATTTTCTTTCAGAGATACTTGTGGTAATTGATTCTGATCAGTAAAAACAGTTCTTCAGCAGCGCAGCATATGAACACAGGAATAATTGAAGGAACACTTTTTTGTTCAATCTGTGTATCAATACTCTATTTTGGAACAAGACCATGACGATAATAAGGGAATTAAAACCAAGACACACTGAAATGAAGGTAACAGATGTATATGGCAGGCACTTTCATTTTCCATTTAACTCTCACAACAACCTTATAAGGAAAGGAGTGTTCACCCACTGCACAGATATGAAAAGTGAGGATTGGAAGATAACCTAACTTGTCCAGAATCACAGTGAACTGTGGGTGCCACAGGGATATGGCACCAGGTCTGTCTGGCTTTATTGAATTGGGATTTCTGGCTTCTCAGAACAGCAACTTTCTAAATAAGGGGTCAAGGATGGAGAAGACCTCTATTTTGGAGTATGGATCTCTGCCACTCACATTGCTTCTAATGCTTTAGTCCTTCTGATAAGATCCTTAATCGATTAGGTATGTTCCTTGGTCCCAGCTAATTTTTAATTTGAGATAACCTCTCTGTGGCATTGATTGACCTAGTTTGGCCAGGCAGAGTTTGTAGTTTAAATGGGAGTCAGAAGAAGCCCACCTGATCTAATCATGAATTAGCATCTGGAATCCTTTGTGCCACTTGAATCTGTTGGGCTGGTGGCAATTGTAGGCCTCACAAGAGAACTGCTAGTGGGAGACAGATAATAAAAAGAGACCCTTTCCTAGGGAATTTTCTAAAATTTGAAAATTCTTTCTGAAAGTGCCCAAAATCACAACCCACATAATTTGAGTCCTTCCTGGCATCTGGTAGCTTAACCTGGGACCCACAGAGGGGCTTCCAATGACTTGTGAGGCTCTTGAAATGATATTCACTGTTTTGTGCATTTGAGTTTGTTTCTGAGAGGATCCGTGGTTTTCTTGGGACTCTTAAAAGGCTTCCTCAGCCAAGAAAGGCTAGAAATCCCTGGCTAGTGTCATGAAGCCTTCCATACTCCCTTGTCTTTCAGAGCCCTTCCTCTTACAGAGTGTGTGGCTTCCTTCCTCTCTAGGGAGGAAAACCTGGGTCTGCATCATTCAGGGTCCTCCCTGTGGCAGTCTGGTGAAGGGAGTTTGAAGTCAGGCAGATGTACACTCCAATCCCCCATTGCACCTCTTTCTTTTGTGTCTGTGGACAAGTTGCTTAGCTCAGGGCCAACAGTCAGCACATAAACATGGGTCCAGTCTTCCTGACTGATAAAATATTGAAGTACTTAGGATCTGATTGTACAGTGCTGCTTTTTTATCCTCCTGGGCTACCTTGGCTCCTCCCAGGACCCGATCCTAGTCCAGTAACTAAGAGGTTTCTGTAATTCAAACCTGATTCTAAGTGTGATCCAAAAGAACATATTGGTGGGCTAGACAAGTGGACGCTTTCATCATCAGTTTCTAACCAAATGTAACCCTTTTTTCATTGACACATGGATTTAATTATGTACTATACAGCACACACTGTTGGTGGCTGGCCTATGTTCCCTGAGCACTCACTGTCCTGTACACCCAATGACATCTTACTGTTGGAAACAAAAGCCCTGTACCCAAAGGTTTTGTCTTAGGCCTTGCTCATGAGGCATATTGGAAGTGCTAGGAAGTTAACACCCCTGGAAACATTCCTCAGCTAACAACGCATGAGAGTTTGTTGAAAATACTCTAGCTTCCTTCCTCTCAGACAGGGAAATTGTCTACACCATCTCCCAGAGGTCTTAAGCAGGACTGAGCCCAGGTTTGCAACTGTGGCAATGAATGAGCCCTGCACTGGCTTCTTTCCCTTCCCTGTGTCAATTCCCCTCTTCCCAACCAGTGGACCAGCACTTCCTGGGATCACATCCCAAATAAGCTACCTGCACCCAAATCCTTGTCTCAGAGTTGGCTTCTGGAGGAAGCTGGCTTAAGACACATTTACAAATAAATATTACATAAATGTTAGTAGAAAAATTTTCATATACAACCTCCTCCTCAACATCAATAAAAAGGAAAATTGAGAAATGTGAGATTTAATATTCCGCAGTGGACTGTCAGCAATTTCAAAGCCCAAAGATGTCTGATAAAACATGTAATTTATTCAACCTCATTTCCTATGATCCTCCAATATTTGCTTAACTGTATTAATACTGTGGGACTCATCTGCCTTAGTTGGAAATCCTCTTCTTAAATTCTTTTTTTTAAATTAACTAACAAAAACCTCTGCTTCTGAAATGTATACCATCTTATATTATTCTATGCTCTGGAAGGAATAGTCCCATATTCCTTTATAGCATGAGACAGATTTTTCTTACCACTTTTCTCACCACTCTGCCTGCCCTTTATGAGCTCTCCCCAGCCTCTCCTCAGCAGCTATCTACTTGTTAGGAGAGATATGTAAGTTAACATTTTTCATCCATGACTTAAGTTCCACATTACTCACGGTTGTAAGATACTTTTCAAAATTTGGCCATAGTCACAGAAACCAGCTTATTCCTCCTGGGAAATCCATTTCTAGCTTTTTATGGTTGATGGGGCTGCTATGACTGTATTAGAGTCAGCACCATGCATGTACCTTTTTCTGAAGGGGTCATCAATTTTAATAAAGAGCAATAAGAAAGGGATATGTAGATTGGATGAGGTTTGGGATTCTATTCCTCATTCTTTTTACTCTGGAGATATCCATGAAAGGTTAATACATGGGCCCTGCATTACCCCAACGTAATCCAAACAAAAGTCTTATTTATAGGATTGGCAATGGCAAGAATTCCTGCAACTCTTCTTTGGGGTATGTGCTTATGTGTTTAGTGGAGGGTGTGTGGGAAGAAAATGTTGGCAGAGAAGAGCCACAGTAAAGCACTATCCCTGTACATCCCTGTCATATCCACCATGGCCTATCTCAGACAGCTATTGCCATGATGCTGCATAACAAAACACCCCAAAACACAGTGGCTTAAAACAATCAGCTATTTCTTGCTTAAGTGTATGTGAGTTGGCTAGTGGTTAGCTAATGCAGGCTGGGTTCAGCTGGATTTGGTTCCCAGCTGTTGGTTGGATCTGAATCTGCTCCTCTCATTTCTCATCCTGCTTGGACCTGTGGAAGATGCTCAGTATGTTCTTTGCATGGCAATGAGAAGCACAAGAGTGTAAGCTCATTTCAAGCCTCTGCTAACACCACATCTATTCATCATTGGCCCAAGTCGGTTATATGGCTAAGCCCAAAGTCTAGGGGCAGGGAGGTACCCCACTCACAGAGAGGCCATGGTAAGGTTGTATATGTAGGTGTTTGATAAGAGTAGTGAATAACTGGGGCCAACAATTCAGTCTACCAAATATCTTCTGGGCATCTAAGCACTTTAGACAGGTCATCTAATGGCACCATCACAGTGTCTTAGCACTATGTGTCCACATCTCTGAATCGACTACTAAACTGAAAGGCCAGGGCTGGGCTTTTTAAATCTTTGATCTCCAGGACTTAGCAAAGTGCTTAGCACATAGGACCAAAGCAGTTTAATGTGAGCACATGGATGCTCAATGAATGGGGTCTTCAGAAGAGAATAGAATAGAATAGAACTGAAACAACCTGAGGAAAGCTTTACAAAATGTGTCTTTTATCTACCCATTAGACATTTCCTCCTTAATATAGTATACATGAAATACCTACATGTCTCATTTGAATCTTCTTACATTCACAGTAAGATGCAATTTTAAATCATCTATCAACTAATCTTTCTTTTAAACATGAGATATTTGAATGGCAATATAAAAGAGTAATTGTGAATGTTGACTTTCCCAGTCTAATCTCATTGTTCAATTTGGCCCCCAATTCTCATTTTATTCCCCTTTGGTTACAACTATCATTTTTCACTCCTTAATATTAAAAATTCAACAAGTTATCCTTTTTTTCTTATAGTTCTTTTATTATGTCAAATTTGTTTTCAAAACATGCACTATTATATCTATCCCAGAATGCTTTGGTACCTAATACCTACAATGATTACATAGGAATTGTCCACTCTCATCTATATTGGTTTGCATAATCCATATAGTCTTAACACTGTAATGGCTATATTTAAAGAGAACTGATTATGTGCCAGGCACTGAGCTCTGTCATGTGCATGATCTCATTTTGTGAAGAAAAGGCTGATAACGGATTATGCCAGGTGCCTCCCCCAGCCAGTGAGCAGTGGTTTCAGCCTCTTAGCTGTCTGATTGTAAGCCCATATGCTTAACTACTACCTGATATTGCCTCTAGCTCTTTGATCTTCAGGGTGTTGGCAAGAGCAGGGTCCATGATGCAGGAGACCTCAGCTCAAGTTCTTCTTTTCTGATTCCCTTTGTGACCAAAGGAAAAATATTTGACCTTTGAGAGCCTAAGTTTCTTCTTTTGTAAATGGGAGCTCATTTACTGTCAACAAAAAGAGCCAAACTCTGTAAAATATCTGAAGAGATTTATTCTCAGCTACATATGAGTGACCATGGCCCAGGACACGGCCCCAGGAGATCCTGAAAACATATGGCCAAGGTGGTCGAGGTACAGCTTGATTTTATATATTTTAGGGAGGGATAAGCCATCAGTCAATATATGTAAGGTGTACATTGGTTGGGTCTGGAAAGGTAGGGCAACTCGAAGTGGGGATTTCCAGGTCATAGAGGGATTTAAAGATTTCCTGATTGGCAATTAGTTGAAAGAGTTAAGTTATTATCTAAAGACGTGGAATCAATAGATGGGGATGTCTGGGTTAAAATAAGAGGTTGTGGTGACCAAGTTCTTTTTTTGTTTTTGTTTGAGACAAGGCCTCGATCTGTCACGCAGGTAAGAGTGCAGTGGCATGATCACAGCTCACTGCAGCCTTGAACTCCTCGGACTTGGGTGATCCTCCCACCTCAGCCTCCCAAGTAGATGGTACTACAGGTGTGTGCCACCATGCCTTGCTAATTTTTTTTTTTTTTTGTAGAGGTGAGGTTTTGCCATGTTACCCAGGCTGGTCTTGAACTCTTGGGCTTGGCAACTCAAAGTTCTGGGATTACAGACATGAGCCACCACCTCCAGGTAGCAGGCTTCAGAGAGAATAGCTTATAAGTGTTTCTTATCAGACTTCAGAAGGTGCCAGACTGTTAGCTAATTCTCTCCTGGATCAGGAAAAAGACCTGAGAAAGAAAGAGGATTCACTACAGAATGTAGATTTTCCCCGCAAGATACAGCATTGCAGGGCCATTTCAAAATATGTCAAAAATATATTTTGAGGTAAAATACTTCAGTTTCTTCCAGAGCCTGCTATCTGTAATGTTGGTATTTTACTGCTACAAAGAATCTGCTTTGTCAGTGTTAAGGTCTCTGTTTTAATTTTAGTGCTGGTCAGTTGTGCCTGAATTCCAAAGGGAGGAGGGTATAATGAGGCATGTCTGAACACCCTCCCCCACCACCCCGCTTCCCATCATGGCCTGAACTAGTTTTTCAGGTAAACTTTGGAATGCTTTTGGCTGAGAAAGGGGATCCATTCAGTTAGTTGGGGGTGCTTAGAATGTTAGTTTTGTTTTACATTACCTTATTTACCATACAAGGGAGTTGTATGTGGAAATACTTTAGAAATATAACATCCTACTCAAATTCTGAGGGATCTCTATTGTATTCTCTTTAAGTGTCCCCTAAACTTCTGTGCTGACCATCCTTCCATCAGAAATGGTTTTGCTTCTTTGTTTTTGCTCCACATTCGCTGACAAGGCCCATCTGGTCTTCTGTCTTGAGAAATTTCATTTCCCTTGAGCCTTCCTATTTGTTTGTTGAACAAACCACACATCACTAGCAATGTCATATTCCCAGGCTTTCTCAATATTTCTTGATTAATTTCCCCCTTGTCCTTGCAGCTTTGCTGTTTTTTTCCCAGGCTCTCCCCTCAGAAGGGCTGCAGACTGTGTCTGATTGTGTCCACACTTGCCAAAGGCCAAATGGGAATTCAAGAGCTTCGGTTTTCTTTTCTGAAGTTGTTATTTTGTCTAATTAGCCCCAAATATTTAATTATTTTGAAATGACAATAGTCTCATTTTTAAAAACTGACCTAAGTGTTCAGCCTCGTAATTTCTATTTGGGGCCTTCATCCCTCTCTCCATCCCTCCCTGCCTGGGAATATGAGGGTGAGATCAAACAAACACAGTCCCTGCACCCCATTTTACATTTACATTCTCCGTGTGTGTGTGTGTGTGTGTGTGTGTGTGTGTGTGTGTGTGTGTGTGTGTGTTCATCATTGAATTAATGCTAAGTCGTTCTATTTAACTTGTCTTGGCCTAATAAGAAAATCAAAAAGACAGACCTTATATGTAAATGAAGCATTTGCACTGAATGCACATTGCTTGAGCCAAGGTTTCCTAGTAATTTGAAAATAATTTGCAAAGTACTAGGAAAATTAAGCCATTGTTTGACCTGTGGTTGTGTAGGCATAATGTCCTCTCTCATACTCTCAGTGCCAGTTTAGTTTAGTTTCAGCAAAACAATATTACCCATTATTTCAAACCAATGTTGTTAATTGGAATTGTACTAGTGTTACAGTTCTATTTATATTAATTTGTAAATATTTAAGGGCCTCAAGGATGTAGACGATTGGTAATATAAGAATTCTGTGGTCTTAAGTTTGCATATAATAAGCACTGTTTTAACTAAATACTACTATTCAATAATGCACATCCAAGAGAAAAAAATTTCCCTCAGAAAGGACTGTACATTACTCAAATTTGAAAACATGAAAGCTTCAGATTTTTCTCTGAATCATCACCAGCAGCAGATAACAGTGAAGCTATATTCACCACTCCCACCCCTGCTATCATCTTGGTAGGTCTGGGAAATGGCTTGAATGCAAAGTTGACCTATGCTTTATCTCAACAGTCATTTTGCAAAGTTCTACTTTGTAACATACAATGGAATCACGTCATACACTCATTTAAATTACCTGAGTTTAACTACATATATTAGTCACCTCCACCTGTAAAAGGAGGAGATACACAAACACAAAAATACATAGGCAGGTGAGGAGAGACTACCTTTTGAATAAATGTGGATGATTTCAGAACACCTCCTGTGCATTACCTCAAATTCCCACCACCTTTTGGTGTCCTCGTTGTTTATTGTTTCCATCTTTACATCTATGTGTACCCAGTGTTTAGCTCTCACTTTTCATTGAGAATCTCTGGAATTTGGTTTTCTATTTCTGCATTAATTCACTTAGGATAATGGGCTCCAGCTCCAGCTCCATCCATATCCCTGCAAAGACATGATTTCATTCCTTTTTATGGCTACATAGTATTTCAAGGTGTATATGTTCCACGTTTTCTTTATCCATTCCACAACTGATGGGCACCTAGGTTGATTCAATGTCTTTGCAGTTGTGAATAGTGCTGTGATAAACATACGAGTGTATGTGTCTTTTTGATAGAATGATTTATTTTCCTTTGCGTATTTATTCAGTAATAGAATTACTGGGTTGAATCGTAGCTCTATTTATAGGTTCTTTGATAAATCTCCAAACTGCTTTCCATAGTGGCTGAACTCATTTGCATTCTCGCCAATAGTGTATAAGCATTCCTTTTTCTCTGCAACCTCACCAACACCTGTTATTTTTGACTTTATAGTAATAGCCATTCTGACTGGTGTGAGATGATGTCTCATTGTGGTTTTGATTTGCGTCTCTCTGGTTAGTGATGCTGAATATTTTTTCATATGGGTGTTGGCTGCTTGTATGTCTTCTTTTGAGAACTGTCTATTCATGTCCTTTGACCATTTTTTAATGGGATTGTTTTTTCTTATTGATTTGTTTGAGTTCCTTACAGATTCTGGATATTAATCCTTTGTCAGATTCATAATTTGCAAACATTGAGAACAGATTTGTAAACATTATTCATTCAGTTTTTATTTTTATTGTATTATTATATTTCTATCTCTTACTATACAGAATTATATTGTATATAATATAGTTACTGTATTAGTCTGTTTTCACGCTGCTATGAAGAAATACCTGAGACTGGGTAATTTATAAAGAAAAGAAGTTTAATTGACTCACAGCAGGGGAAATGCCAGATGCTTATAAAACATCAGATCTCATAAGAACTCACTCAGTATCATGAGAACAGCAGGGGGAAATGCCCCCATGATTCAATTACCTTTCTCTGAGTCCATCTCATGATACTTGGGGACTATGGAGATTACAATTCAAGATGAGATTTTGGGTGGGGACATAGCCAAACCATACAATTCCAACCCCGGCACCTCCCAAATCTCATGTCCTCACATTTCAAAACACAATCATGCCTTTCCAACAATCCCCCAAGGTCTTAATTCATTCTGGCATTAACCCAAAAGTCCAAGTCCAAAGTCTCATCTGTGACAAGGCAAGTCTCTTCCACCTATAAGCCTGTAAAATCGAAAGCAAGTTAGTTACTTTTTAGATACGATGGGGGTACAGGCATTTGGTAAATACACCCATTCCAAATGGGAGAAATTGGCCAAAACAAAGGGACTGCAGGCCCCATGCAAGTCTGAAATCCAATAGGGCAGTCAATAAACCTTAAAGTTCCAAATGATCTCCTTTGATTCCATTTCTCACATCCAGATCATGCTGATGCAAGAGGTGGGCCCCCATGGCCTTGGGCAGCTCTGCCATTGTGGCTTTGCAGGCTACAGCCCCTCTCCCAGCTGCTTTCATGGGCTGGTGTTGAGTGTCTGTGGCTTTTCCAGGCATACGGTGCAAACTCTCAGTGGATCTACCATTCTGGGGTCTGGAGGATGGTGGTCCTCTCCTCGCAGCTGCACTAGGCAGTGCCCCAGTGGGGACTCTATGTGGGAGGTCCAAACCCACATTTCTCTTCCACACTGCCCTAGCAGATGTTCTCCTCAGGGCTGCACTCCTGCAGCAAACTTCTGCCTGGACATCCAGGTGTTTCCATACATCCTCTGAAATCTAGGTGGAGGTTCCCAAACTTCAGTTCTTGACTTCTGTGCACCTACAAGCCCAACAGCACATTTAAGCCGCCAAGGCTTGGGGCTTGCACCATCTGAAGCAACAGCCTGAACTGTACTTTGGCCCCTTTTAGCCACAGCTGGGACTCAAGCAGCTGGGACTCAGGACACCATGTCCCAAGGCTGCACAGAGCAGGGGGACCCTGGGCCCAGCCCAGGAAACCATTTTTCCCTCCTAGACCTCTGGGCTTGTGAAGGGAGAGGCTGCTGTGAAGGTCTCTGACATGCCCTGGAGATATTTTCCCCATTGTCCTGGTAATTGACATTTGGCTCCTCGTTACTTATGCAAATTTCTGCAGTGGGCTTGAATTTCTTCCCAGAAAATGGGCTTTTATTTTCTGTTGCATCTCCAGGCTGCAAATTTTCCAAATTTTTATTCTCTGCCTCTTCTTGGACACTTTGTCACTTAGAAATTTCTTCCACCAGATACCCTAAATCATCTCTCTTAACTTCAAAGTTCCACAGATCTCTAGGGCAAGGACAAAAAGCCTCCAGTCTTTTTCCTAAGGAATAGCAAGAGTGACCTTTACTCCAGTTCCTAACAAGTTTCTCATCTTCATCTGAGACCACCTCAGCCTGGACTTCATTGTCCATATCACTATCAGCATTTTGGGCAAAGCCATTCAACAAATCTCTAGGAAGTGCCAAACTTTCCCACATTTTCCTGTCTTCCTCTGAACCCTCCAAACTATTCCAACTTCTGCCTGTTACCCAGTTCCAAAGTTGCTTCTATATTTTCATGTATCTTTGTAGCAGTGCCCTACTACCTTGGTACCAATTTACTGTATTAGTTCATTCTCATGTTGCTATGAAGAAATAACCATAGTCTGGATAATTTATAAAGAAAAGAGGTTTAATTAACTTAGAATACTGCATGGCTTGGGAGGCCTCAGGAAAGTTACAGTCATGGCAGAAGGCACCTCTTTACAGGGTGGCAAGAGAGAGAATGAGTGCAAGCAGGGAAATGCCAGATGCTTAGCAGATCTTGTGAGACTCACTCATCATCATGAGAATAGCATGGGGGAAAATGCCCCCATGATTCAATTACCTCCACCTGGTCCTGCCGTTGACACGTGGGGATTATGGGGATTATAATTCAAGATGAGATTTTGGGTGAGGACACAGCCAAACCACATCAGTTACCTATTACTATAAATAATATACAGGTACACTTGCATATTTTTGAATGTGCAATATGCATGCATACCCACAGCACAGAGCTGCAAACTCCTAAACATGCATATGATACTTTGGTGAATTCCTTAAGAGTTTTTTCATAGGAAATTGAATAGTGCTTACATACTGGATGTAGAATCCCCATATATGATGGTGCTCAACTCCATTTGCATTTAATATAAGTCATGGCTAGTGGGAGTATAAAATGATAGAACCACTTTGGAAAACAGTTTATCAGTTTTCAATAAAATTAAACATAGACTTATCTTAAGACTCAGTTATTTTGCTCCTTGATATTTACCCAAGAGAAATGAAACGTGTCCACATAAAAACTTGTACACAAATATTCTAGGAGCCTTATTCCTAACAGCCAAAACTTGAAACAACCTGAATTTTTATCAACATGAGAAATGGTTTAAAAAAATTCTGCTATGTTCTTACAGTGGAATACTACATAGCAATAAAAAAGAAAGAACTGATGCACAAAACAACATGGATGAATCTCAAAACTTATGGTGAAGAAAAGAAGCCAGATGCAAAGGAGCACATTGAAGGGGTACTAACTGTGAACAAGCAGAAGGAAAATTTGGAAGATGATGAGGAAATTTGCCTTGTTTTGATTGTGGTGGTGTTTGTATGGGTATTTACATTTGCTAAAACTCATGTACACTTAAATTTTTTTTTCTATCTCACAAAGTCGATTTTCAAATTAAAAAGAAGCATAATTTAAAGTTATCAAGATTGATGCTTTTGCAAGATGTGCCATGCTTATTCCTGGGGTACGTGTCCATCTGACATTTCACTGTCTTCCCTTGTTTCAGAAGCATAGGCCTGGTGCTTATCTGTTTTTTCTCAAGCAACAGAACCAGTGGCCAAGGTCAGTCTAGGACCCCTGCCACTTTGCTTCCAGCCTTGTTTATGGATTTCTCAGCGTCGTCATTGTAAGTGGTTTCCCTGCTTTCTCAACTAATAGCAAAACGGACCTTCACTCGTTGCCCTTAATACTAAAATTGAAATGTTTCCCATTTCAATTCAGAGCCAGCATCCAAAGGGTGCTTTTGTATATCTATATATTTCCTGTATCTTATTTTAGGGCAATTTAGTTCCTAGATATATCTATATTTCAAAACCCAGATTTTCATCAGATTAATCAGGATGAATCTTAATCAATTTCTTAAATTTGCCATTCTATACCAGCCATATTTTGCAGGAGTCCTTAAACCCAGGGTAACTTGCTCCAGTGTTCCTTGCTGCTGGGTTTGTCAGTGAGCCCAGCCCCATTGGAAGCTGTTCTGATGTTCCTGTCCCTCGGCATGGGAAGGTAAACTGCTTGGTACGCGTAGTGTGCAATCCTTTCCCTCGCTTGCTGTCGTCTTAAGCAGGGAGGACTGCTGACAGCTAAGCCGGCTGCCTCATTAGAATTCACTGGGTGAGCTGATTCTCCATTTAACTGATGAGGGAATTCTTGCATCAAAGGGGTGGGGGAGAGGTTCATTCTCTCAGAAAGCTGCTTTCTTCCTGCTTTGCTGTTAGGAGGAGGGGATGCCTGGTATACAATCTAAAATGGCTTATACAGGAAGCACTAGGAAACCCCAAACAACTCCACCAGGAAACATTGAAAATTATTTCCAAGAATTACTTATGTCAGGGTGTCACACATACATCATATTCCTTTTGAAAAATGGTGAGTACACTTTATCTCCCTCAGAATACAAAGCCTATGCCAAATTGACATTCCTTTCCTTCTAAAACCTTCTTACACACCAGAATTTTGGGCCTTCACTAAAGGGGATGGAGGAAGGAGAAAATGTGCTTGTAGGTTGTGCTGAAGCATTTTCATTCTGCCTGTGATCACATTATTGAAACTTCTTCCCACCGTTGATTTGTCTGACATGTTGCAAAGCAAGACCTGGGCTTCTGCTTTAGCTGCAAGCATTAAACTTTGCAACTACAAGAGGTCTTCAAGGCCATCAAGACAAACTTCTTTGTTTTATGAAGGCAGAAGCCAAGGAGTGACATGAAAAATCTCCCAGATGCAGAACAGAAGACTCCCTGAGATCTCGTCTGATCCCAACTCCTAAAGACCACATTCCCTAATTGGAAAGGCTGACCCTCTCCAAAGTTGCACCATGATGATTCCAGGTTCCAGATTCTAAAGCAATTGCTCCCCTTTGTTTTTAGCTAGATTCAAGTCAAATTAGTTTATGAACGATGGCGTTGCAAAATGGGCGTGGGGACACCTTGAATGATTTATCAACCTGGAACGAGATTGAGCTCTTGTCTCAGAATCTCTGAAGGGCTTTGCCCTGTGCTTGTAGCTGTTTGGAACAGGATCTATTTTGTATGAGATGACAGGAGGCATCAACTGGTGGTTTTCTTCAGAAGAGGAAGGTGAATAGCCCATGACAATCCAAGTTAACCAGAATAGGGGAAGGTTGTTGGTGAGGCTAGTGATATGGCTAGAGTACAGGAGAGACCTCCTCTGCTTTTCTAAAAAGACTTTCTTCTCTTTTACATTTTCCTTTCAGTTTTCTCCTTTTATTTTCAAGCTAAAAGAGAAACATGGGTTGGCTGCAAAAAAATTCAGACAATAAAGAAATGTATTTTCTACCAGTTATGTATTGCTATGTAACAAACCACCCCAAAACTTAGTGGCATAAAGAAGCAACATGTATTTTGCTTTTGAATCTGCAATTTAGGCAGTGCTCAGCAGGGAAAACCCGACTCTCCTCCTTGCGATGTCTGTGACCCCAGCTGGGAATGATCGGAAGTCATAGGGGCTGGCCCGTCACTTCTCTCTCCTTTTTCAGGTAGTCTTAAGGCACATGTCTCAGTGCCACATGTTCACTTTATGTGTCCTCTCCAGCATGGTAGCCTCTGGGTAGTCAGAATCCTTATGTGACAACTGGCTTCCTCCACAGCAAGCATCCTAGGAGAGCTTTGCAGAAGCTGCAAGGCTTCTCATGACTTAGCTTGGAAAGTCCCAGAACATAAATTTCACTGCATGCTATTGATCAAGCAAGTCAGTAAGGTGAGCCAGGATACAAGTTGGACATTAGACTCCACCTCTTTATGGGAGGAGTAGCAAAGAGTTTTGCACCATCTTTAATCTACAAGATCATATTCATGCTTAGTCACAAACTCAAGAGGTGACTTCTGTTAACACTTTGCTGTGCATTTTTATGTGTGCATTCTCTGAAAGTGTAGATACCATGAGTCTACATGTAGAAATCTATGCACTGGGATACGGGCTGGATTTTGTTTCTGTTTTGATGGGTTGTAGTAAGGGGTGATGAAGGGGATATGCTGTAAATTCTCCGATTCTGCTGGGGGCTTTTTATTCACCAACCCTAAAATTCTGTTTCAAGATTATGGTTCCCTCAGGAGTTTTATACACAGCAGAGCATTAAAAAATCCATGACAAGTGTTCTCAGTGGTCTTCATGGTGCTCTGAGTAACTCAGAGAGCTATAATCACATACATCATCTCATTTTGTCTTCCCAGCTGTTCCATGAGGACAGTATGGTAGAATGGCATCCTACCCACCTAGGCAAATTCAACTGATAATATTCTTATTCCTATTTTCCAGATGAGTTCAGAGAAGCTAGGTAACTCACCAAGGTCACTTAACTATTCAATAAAACACCCAACTTCAATTCCTAGACAGCCTGGTAACCAAACCTATGCCCTGAACCTCTTCCATTCATCTTAATTTTCTAGATGAAAAAAATTAAAGGTCAGAAAGCCATCTGGCATGTTTCATTTCCCAGAGTGGTTACAACAGGCACAGAAACATTTATCTGATTCCCATATTCTGGAGTGTTAACCTCTCATGAAGAGTGTTTTGTGTTGCCCATAGCAACAAAGTTTATTGCTGCTTCCACTTGCAGGAACTACTTCCACAGGCTTAACATCTTGAGTAATCTAAGAGCAGTGGGAACATTAGAGTGGAGGGGGTTGGAGAAAATCCAGTGAATTTTCTAGCAAACTAAAAGATAAACTGAGAACAACTGGATCCTAAATTTGAAGCATGATTTCAAGCCATCATGACAGGGTGGTTTTTTGGATTAATTGATACTTCCCTTTCATTAGAGAGATGAAGAAGCTACAGATGCATCATCATCGGGCTGATTCTGGAATAGTTCCTCTTTATCTTTTGTCATCTGTTTCTGTGTTTGGCTTTGATTTGATTCAACATTCATATGCCACCAGTCTCATCCAAATAGAAGCTGGACTGGCCACATCCCTCGTGACAAGTCAAGTCATTGATATCGGGCAGCTTTCTGGCCCTCTGTTAGCAACTGTGAAACATTCAAAGCAGAGACCTTCTGCTTTGTCCTACATGGACTTCTCTAACTGTGTTTCTGTTGTCCTAGCTCTTTCTGTTCCCATGTGCTCTTGCTTAAATCCATACAGGGCTGGAGTGTAGCTCTCAGTGCAGCCACAATGTACAAAGATAATGAACTCAGCTGGGGCCTTCTGCAAAATACTTTATTTTAAAAAAAAGTCTGCTGCCTCTGGATGTCTATAAATGGCCTTGACTCATGAATGACTGTCATTGCTAAGGTGGAATGAGTTTTGGGGGTGGATATCTTGGTCTTTAAGAGAGAAAAGAAAAACTTTAATCCAGAATGGTGCCTGGAAGACTTTCCTCCATTATTCATTAATCCTTTTACCTATAGCTTGTTCTTTTGTTACTGCATTCATTCAATAAGCATTTTTTGAAGTCTTCTTCTATAACAGGGATTGACTGGACACACAAGAATATGCAAGGTCAAATAGAAAATAATCCCAGGACCTACTCTCTGGGAGCATACAGCACAGTGGTGAGGCTTCTATACTCATTTCAGGTGTTTCTTTGTTCCTTTCCCTTTTTCTCTCCTAGCCCCTTCCTGCTGCCCCTTTCTACAGAAGTTACCTCACTCAGGTTTTGTTGTCAAATTATTAAAGTCACTCTAAATTTTAATTACAGTTCTTACAAGTTATTATTATTTTTACAAGTTTATCATTACTATTACATTATAATATCTATTTATTCCTTTATCTCTTTAATAACTTTTAGGATCTTTATTTTATAAGCTCCTTCAGATTTTTCTACTATTTCCAGTGGTCAGGCTGTACTTTTTCTCTTTGTTGCATCTGCTAACTATCCCTTATGGTATTTACTTTCCTTGTGTAGCTAGTAATTTTTTTTTAAATTTTGAGCTTATCTGTAGCTTTTGCTTACCTATGTGAAAGTCCCTGTGTTCTTCAGATTTCATGTTAATTTTACCAAAACCCTAGGGTTTCCCAGGCCTTGGGCCGGTTTTTATGTTAATTTCTCAACTTGAGTTTTCTATACCCATAGGTAGTATTAACTAATACTTATATCTTCAAGGAATAGAGGCCTGGGTTGTTTATTTTGCATAGATGTCTTTTTTTAAAAATTTATCTACTTAAGGCCCAGACATACAGCAAGTATCCTTATTGCCCCCACTGAGCCAGTGGACAGAGTAATTCTGTACCCTTCTAATGGGCAGGGCATTTCTGTGGTTCCAAGTTCTATGCAGGTGGCTCAGTTTGAGCGGTCACTTTGCATAAGCCTGAGGCCACAGTTTCTGTATGTGTCAGGTTATTAAAGCCCCTGTCTTAGTCCCTGGAGCCTATATCTGGGCTGAAGTTCTTGTGGGACACCATGGTACCAGTATGTATTTACTGCTCTGGTTTTCATTTTCCTCTTCTTATCTAATACTTGGATGTTTGTCTTTCTTTCAAGCCAAGCTCTGTGCTTTTCCTAAAATTTGGGGAGGAATAGTGCTATATTTTATCTAGACTTTCCATGTGTTGTAGCAGGACAGTTTCTTTTTATTTAGTTCTTAGTATTTTTAAAATATATTTTGAGTTCTTATAATATTTCAGGCACTGTTCCCACTCAGATTGTCATCACTTGGAGCCTTTGCAATTTTTCTAACATGTTTTCTTAGAAACAGCAAATTAAAAGGTAGCATGGCCAGTGATGCTGCAGATGGGTACAATGACACCAGCAAATAGAGCTCACGACTGATAACAACAAAGAGATGAAAAAAAAGTTACTAAACGCAAACAAAACCCTAAAAAACCATGATTTTCTTTCAGCAAATAATGTGAACAAACCAACTGACATGACTGTATCACATAATAACTTCATCTTATTACATCACAATAATATAATAGCTGATATTCACGATGATGTCTCTGTTGAGGAATCTTCCTGTAATAGAAACTGTATCTGCTGTTGTCATCATGTGTTTAAAGCATTTTGATATTCTATGGCAGCCACCTGAGGACTGTGAGAGCTCACACAACTAGGGGTATGGGAATGGAAACTGTGTGTGGCAGTGGTGGTTTGAACGAGTCACCAGGGAGAATATGGATGAGATATGATCTGTTGATGATCACATTGAGTTATGTCAGTCATATCTGTCCTAAAAATGAACTGAGAATTAGATGGCTCCAATTACCAGGAAACTAGAATTGAGTGGGAGGTCCGATGGGGCCACTGGTTTTAAAATGGGAAGAGTGGAATTGGAGGTAGGTAGGAGTAGTGTTGTTAAAAGGATCTGAGGGTAGCCTCGTGGACTCTAGGAAACATGGCAAAGCTGCCATTAATGTCCCACGCTGCCAGAAAGCCTGGGCTGGTAGCTTAAAATAATAGGCAAGAAGCCCAACTTCACCTGAGGCCAGAAGCCTCCTTGGAAGTTTGCAAGTGAACTTTCTTCAGGGGACTGGAACAAGACAAACAGAAGGGATCAAGGGGGAAAGGAAGATTCCAGAGGCCAGAGGATTATTGACCTCTGGGGAGCAGAGATGATTCCTGCCAAGGCGTTGGCATCCTGTTAAGACAGTGACTTTCTTAGTTGGGGCAAGGACCAGAGAACAATACTACAGTTCCAGGCTGCTGCAGAAGACATGGGTGGGGCTATTCTGAGACTAAAAGAAATCTGAGGAGGGTGCCAAGCCCCTCACTGAGAGAGAAGTGGAGCGAAAACAGCCCTGAGTCCTGAGTTGGTGACCAGGCTGGGTTGGCTCTAGGTGAATTTTTAAAGAGGGTGAAAATAGCTTCTAGAAACTTCCTTTTCTGCACCTCCTTCTGCCTCTTAGGGTGCTCTCTTCCTATCCTTAGCTCAGTTTCCTCTGTTTCCTTCTGGCCATATTAAAACTTTACCCCAGCTCCACCACTTCATGAAACTGTCCTCTTTAATATCACCAATGGATGTTAAATCCAGTGGAAACTTCTCAGTGCTCATCTTATTTAATATTGGCAGTGGGACTGTGATGCATTGAGGAGAGAATGGGTGATAAGGGTATAGAGATGTTAAAGGTATTTTATGTATTTTTGAGACGACAGAAGAGGTTTCTTCTACTAGCAGTTGGAGAATTGGGACCTCATGAACACTAGGGTCTTGAGTTTAGCTTGGCTTTAGGTCGGGTGGCTTCCTTCCCTAAAACCTGACCCAGACCCAGTGAAAAAAATGAGAAATACAGCAGTGGATAACTCTTTGTCCTGGTGAGCACAGAACTCAGAGACCACGAAAATGTGTATTCCCCTCTCTCTGGTCCCAGGTGACATTAAAGACTAATAATTTTCATTTATATAAATTACTTCTATTTTTGTATCTTACCTTATGAGGCAATAAAATTAATATATATATATATATATATATATATATATGCTCAATGAATGGGAATCAGATTAAGTTGAAGATTGTTTTGGATTTCATCACTTAAAAATGTCAGCCACTTGAGAAGGTTCACCATGTGATAGTGGGAAGTAGAATGTATGAGTTGATAGGTCTATTCCACTTATACCTGTGAACCTATAATGTATTTCCATCAATCCAAAATTATTCTTGGTAGCCAAAACCCCCCTGGAAACAACAAAATATCCATCAACAGGTGACTGGATAAACAAATTGTGATAATTTATATAATGGAAAAAATACTATTTTTTTTTTTGAGACAGGGTCTTGCCCTGTTTCCCAGGCTAGACAGTGTGGTGATTCCTCAAAGACCTAGAAACAGAAATACCGTTCAACCCAGCAATCGCATTACTGGGTATATACCCAGAGGAATATAAATCTTTCTATTATAAAGACACATGCATGCATGTGTTCACTGCAGCACTATTCACAGTATCAAAGACATGAAATCAACTTAAATGCCCATCAATGATAGACTGGATAAAGAAAATGTGGTACATATACACTATGGAATACTACACAGCTATAAAAAGAATGAGAACATGTCCTTTGCAGGAACATGGATGGAGCTGGAGCCCATTATCCTTAGCAAACTAATGGAGGAACAGAAAACCAAATACAGTGTGTTCTCACTTATAAGTGGGAGCTGAATGATGAGAACACATGGGCACATAGAGGGGAACAACACACACTGGGGCCTATCAGAGGGAGGAGGGTGGGAGGAGGGAGAGGATCAGGAAAAATTACTAATGAGTACTAGGCTTAATACCTGGGTGACAAAATAATCTGTACAACCAATCCCTATGATGCAAGTTTACCTATATAACAAACCTGCCTATGTGCCCTTGAACTTAAAAGTTAAAAACAAACAAATTAACACAAAAAAAATTTCCTTGGAAACTACCTATGACTACTCTTGATTGCACAAAGAGAGAAATGCAGGGACTTAGAGCTGGTAAATTGGCACACACTACTCCCACTTCCCTCCTTCCCTGTCCCCTCCCTGAACTCTATTGAATTTGTAATGATAGGATCTGTCACCTCCCCAAATTGTATTGTAAAATCAGAAAACATACATTCTCTGGAATTGACATTCCCATCTCGTGACCTCATTTGGCCAGAGGCTCAGCTGCGATTTGCCTGGAGGCTCACATCCCCTGTGTGGGCTGGGCTGACACCACATGACCTTCCCACCATTGCAATCTCTTGCACATGTACATTACACAGAATGCGAAGTGTAGGTCAAAAGAGGCTGCCAGGAATTTTTTTTTTTAAAGCTCCCTTCTTCTCCATGCTGTTTAGCTTGAAAACAGAATACTGCATTTGATATTTTTCTGTCACTGCCTTAAAGCTTCTGTGCAGGGAGCTGAAGCATAAATAAATGAACATACAAGTAAACCCTTTATTTGGAGGCAGGGAATTGTAAGTTAACTCTTGCTGTAACATACAAAGTTTTTCTACCAAACAATTTAGTTGAGATGGAGGACACCAATTTATTTGATCTCATCTAGGCCAAAGCCACTTGAAGAGAAAGGTAATGGCCTAAATCTCTGTTTCTAAGGTAATTAGAAAGCATTTGTGCTGACAGTTAACATGTAGCCTGTAGTGCCTCCCTTTCTGAGGGTCAGAGTTGGTCTTCAAAGAAAAGCCAGGTTTCATCAAGGAAGGCCAAATGCATTTCTATTGTTTAAGATCTGAGAATAGACATGAAACTCCGTTTCTGTGGCTGGACTGCTTTATAGTCATCCATTCAACAAATATTTATTGAGCATCTACTATATGCCAAGTATTATTCTTGGACTCTCAGGTCTTTGCATGTGGTCCCTTATGTGGTGGTGCCTTATATGGCTCTGTTATTTCTGTGTAGTTCAGCTCTTCTACCGGGCATTAGCACTTTTTGTTGGGCTTTGTTTTATTCACTCCAGTAGTTTTTTCACCTCTGTTGTCTCACTGGATGAGTTTTCAGGCCCCTCATGGTTGGTTAAATGTAGATGTTCTGTGATTGTGTGATTGTGACTTGAGCATAGAAATGGCCTGACCGACAGACCCTGAGTTGGTGGAAGGCACAGCAGCTGTGAGCTTGGGCTCCTGCTAGCTGACAGCAGCCAACTCCCCCTTAAAAAGCCAGGCAGGGCATGGTGGTGCCAATCCAAGAGACAGTAGGCTCTGGGGAGAGATGAACTTTCTTTGCTGTAACCTTGGATTTTGAATAACTACCTACGGTTGGCCAGTCAGTTGGCATCTCCATGCACACATATTGCTGGCTTACTCAAGTAGTGGGTGGTGTCCTTCATGCCTGCTAGCCTGAGTGAAATGTCTCAAGTTGACTTGTTGACAGCAGTTGGCAGAGACTATGAGACTGGCCCTGTGTTCAAGCCTGGGGGTCTGAGAATGGCCAGACTCACCAGGTGAGAAACCTTTACTCCTCTTTGTCGTTTTGCCACATCCTTTCTTTCCTTACCCACTCCAGATTTCCCCACAGAACCAGTCACCAGTGATGCAAGGGACAGCCATTAGCCGGCTGCAACCTAAAACCAGAGCAATACTTGAAATCTTTCTTTTAGGACCTAGATCCTCTTCAAGCCAGCTTCATGTACTTAAACAGAATTTTATAAAAGCTGGTATTCTTTGTTTACCCTGAGCTTAAGTCAAAGGATGCATATGCATCTGTGTACATTGGTGTGCATTCTAGTGTGTGCATATGTGTTTGCATGAGGAATGACTTTTTAAGGTTAAGCGTGAAAAAGAAGGGTAGTTTAGCATAAAATAATGATAAACATGGAACATTAAGCACTGATGGTGCAATGCTGCTTGTATCAATTAGCTCTTTGTGTGTAACAAATCAACCCCAAATTTAATGGCTTAAAGCAACAATCATTTGTTTGCTGAAGATTCTGTGACTTCTGCTTTAAGCTGGCTTGACTGGGACTGGATGGTCTAGAATGGCCTCACTCAAGTGTCTGGAGCCTCAGTGGGGATGCTTGGGACAGCTGGGATTGTTGGAGCCCCTTTTCCCACACAGACTCTCATTTTCCAGTAGGCCATACTGGGCTTCTTCACATGGTAGTGGAAGTGTTTCCAGCAGCAAGAAAGAGCAAGCCCCAATGTGCAAACTATTTTTCAAGCCTCTTCTTGCATCATATTTGCCAATCATCATATTTCTTATCATACTTATCATACTTTTTACATCATACTTGCCAAAGGAAGTCACATGGCCAAGCTTGGGATTCAGTGGGTAAAGAAAAAGACTCAACCTCTTGGTGGGGGGAGGTGCAATGAATTTCTGGCCATTTCTTTATAATCTATCACACTGTGGATGATGTCATAGGGAATAAGCACAGGTTTAGAGATGGGAGGCACAATAAAATTACAGCTCATCTGCTTAATAGCAAAATGACCTTAGACAATCACCTACCTCTTCTGAATCTCAATTTTCTCATCTGGACATGGGAAAACCACATCCACCACACTGGATGAAATGGGATGTTTCATTTATCTCTTTTTGTAATAGGCATGTGCTAAGCCTATGTGCCAGGCTCAGGCTATGTCAATCATGGGATATAGCAGTGAATATTCTGATCTCATCCTTATGGAGATGCCAATATGGATATTATTTGTGAAAGTGTTTTGAAAACAACAAATCGTGGTACAGATTATTAGTAATATGTGTCATATCCTGATGGGTTATCTTCCTTTCCCCCTTTTTTCCTTTGTAACATTTACTTTGCCACCAATCCTGGTACACTATGGAACCATAAAGGCCTACTTACCTGAGCAGACAGTTGGCCTTTGTTACAGAGTTGTGGACAGAGTGTGAACTGGCCCCACACAGCTTTTGTGAGTTGATTCATCCATCATCATTGTATAGGGGAGGTAACCACTGTGTCAAGCCTGACAGGGAAGAACACCATAGACATTGAAAGTTGAGGAGATGCCAGAGATTATCTAGTCCAATTTGTTCATTTTATAGGTTAGAAAACTTAGGCCTCAAGGGAGAATATGACTTATACAAGGTCACACAACTAGTTGGTGCCAATAACAAGATTCCTAGTGATAGTGGTCTCAGTGGCTTTATGTTTGTTTCTGTGTCTCCCTCTTACACTTTCAGCCTATTTTGTTCCAAATCATTACACACATACATGTGCCCTCCATCCAAACACAAACATAAACACACAATTGGGCTTTTAATGGAAATAATAATAAATGGAGCCTGTTCTCTTTATCTTCCACGTGAGTAAAAAAAAAAAAAAAAAAAAAAAAAAAAAAAAAAAAAAAAAAAAAAACTCTTCAGTTATATCTCCACATCTGACCAAACAAAGAAATATCAGTTGACCAAAACTTATATATATCTTTAGCTTAGAACTTATGGATTACTTTCATTTATTTTTCACCACAAGGGAGGACAGTGAGGGAGTTGGGCCACATATTTAAATCCCTATTTTAGAGATGTGGAAGCCAAGGTCCAGAGAAGTTGAGTGAGTTGCATGAGGTTGCAGAATTAGCAGTAGTAGCAGCAGGCCCAGGACTGTGTTCTTTCCACATTATGGGTCCACATTATGGGTCCAGTGGAAGATAGCTGGCCACCACAAATCTGTTTATTGTGAATGGGTTTTCCTTGGGGGCAAATGAGCAACACTTTATTTATTTATTTATTTGAGACAGAGTCTCACTCTGTCTCCCAGGCTGGAGTGCAGTGGTGCAATGTCTGCTCACTACAACCTCCACCTCCTGGGTTCAAGCGATCCTCTCGCCTCAGGCTCCCTAGTAGCTGGGGCTACAGGTGAGCACCACCACACCTGGCCAATTTTTGTGTTTTTAGTAGAGAAGGGGTTTCACCATGTTGGCCAGGCTGGTCTTGAACTCCCGACCTCAGGCGACCCATCGCCTCAGCCTCCCACAGTACTGGGATTACAGGCATGAGCTACCGTGTTCAGCCCAAATGAACAAAAATTTGCTTAAAAATCATACTGTTTAGGTGAAATAATTCTGGAATGGGTGTATGTGACCTACTGTTAACACATACCCAGATAAATGAAAAGAATTCTAGTTACAGTAGTATATATAATTATTAACAGAAAAGAAAATGTATTTAGCATCACTGATAACTCTTTTTGTTTCTATTTGCTACACATGCTGGATCTGTGTCCTCTTTTATCTGAATTTATCACTGACATATGCATTCTGAAAAAACACCAAATACACCTGATAGTTTATAAAATTTAAAAAAATTTTCTGTGCAAAATAATTGAATGTACCAACTTTAAGAGTTACCCACTTGAGAAAAGACAGTACGAAACAATACAGAGGAACACAATTCAAATAAATTCTGAATAATCTGGAAGACAGAACTGCTTCTAGAATCCTCTTCCAACATGAAGATATTTGTTTATCAGTATTTGGTTATTCATTTATGCAACATAGTTTTCCAAACTGGGGGAAAATGGGGTCTCTAACTTCAATTGCTTTTTAACAACTATTACACTAATTGGCGATTCTGTCTTGAGATTTAGTAACACAACAAATTCCAAGAGAGCTAGGAAAGTTTCAGAGTTACAATTATAAGCCCAAACTAAAACTATCTATAACCACTCCCCAAAATAGTTAAGATTTACTGGGGTGAGTACTAACTATGTATTCAGCATAGCACTGAGTATTTTACATTAATTACCTTATTTTGTCCTCATGCCATCCCTATAGGCTGCCCCATTTTGCACACATCACCATTTGATCCATGAAGAAATGGAGGCTTGGAGGGCTAATGACCTGTCTCACTAAGTGGGCAATCTGAGATATGGGGTAGAAGAAGTCGGACTGCTTTTGGAGTCCCATTCTCAACCACTGCTGCTGTAGGTCCTTGGAAAAGAGAAAGTAGAAACCAAGGAAATATTTCCACATACCAAATTCAAAAGGTCTTCCCTTTTGGAAACATAACTTTTCCATGATAGCAAATGCTGGCCACCCCAGCCTGACATTTCATCTTTGGGAATGGCAAATACCACTTCTGGTGCATATAGAGGGGAATTTAGCTTGGCAGATGCCTAACCTCAGTGCAAACAGGCAATAATCTCTTGACAAAAGGGCCACTGATGATCTGGGCTGAATAAGACATTGTGGTACCCTTCTTCCCCCAGAATTAGGGGATTCTGATGTGCACACACATCCCCTGGAGATCTTGTTAAAATAGAGACCCTGATTCAATGGGTCCAAGGAGGGTCCACAGTTCTGCATTTCTAACACACTTCCAACTGATGCTGATGATTCTGGTTACTGGGCCACACTTTGGGTAGCAAGGTGTTAATAAACCTCCACACACTTCAGTTAATCTCACCCATGCCTCAGTTTCCTCCTCTGTAAAGTGGAGTTAATAATAATATCACCCTCAAAGGATTGTAATGTATTTAAACAGGTAAAGTACTTAAAACAGAGGTTGGCATATGGTAAGTGCTCCATAAATGCTAGCTATCACTATTATTATTCTTTTATGCCCTCACATTTTTCTTTTTGAATTCTATACCAGCTTACACCCACGGGCCGTATATTAACAGTAGCTTAGCTTTCAAACTGCATTATCCTGGCCCTTCCCCTCTGCTGTTGGAACATCTGTGCAGCAGTGAATCAAGGCAGCTCTCAGACTTCCATACATGCTCCTTACATGTGCAGCAGGCCTTGCCACACTGCCCACAATTCCTGCTGTTCCCACTACTCTGTAGCTCTGCCCTATGTATTCATGGGTTTGTAGAACCTTAGAGTTGGAGTGGGTTTAGGTGGTCAGTTAGTCCTACTTAATAGGAAGGGTCTCATGCCATACTTGCCACCTAAGTCAAGGACCTGGGCACAGGGAGAGATGGACAGGATAAAGTCCCTCACTGTAAGAGTTGGAATGATTCAAAGCAAGCCCACCTGCTCTCTGCCCATTTCTGTTTGCTGTGCTGAGACATCTCTGGAAAACCCTTGTGCCCCAGGAAATTTTCCTTCTCACACAGAAAACTGTCCCCTCTCTGGTCAGCTCTCTAAGTTATGGAACAGGGGTCTTCAGAATGGGGCATAAAATACCAGGGGGGGCAGGCGTGGTGCTGTGTGTGCCTGTAATGTCAGTTACTTGGGAGGCTGAGACAGGAGGATCACTTCAGTCCAGGAATTTGAGACCAGCCTGAGCAACATAATGAGACTCCATCTCAATAAATAAATAAGTAAATAAAAGTCCAGGGAGTAATGAGATAATCTATTGGGGAAGAAGAAGGAAAGAATTAAACTTATCTTTATATTTACTTCTTTACCTAAAACATAAAGAAATCAAGCACAACCAAATATATGATACCTAAATTGGCTTAAGTGAATGCATATGCTTTCTATATAAATGTATATCTATTGAAATGGGCCTAAAATGTTTTGCCATTAGGTGTGAACAATCTAAAATGATTTAGAGATCATGTCTAGAAACTATAATGTTCACCTCTTCATGGATGGGAAGATAAAATGTCTCTGTGGCAGAAACAATTCTGGTGTCCACCACCCTTTCATTTTCTTCCTGGGAACCCAAGAAGGAAAGGCTCTTTCCCAGCTCCTTTGCATTGATGTGGGGTCATGTAATTAGTTCTGGCCAATGGAAAATGGGGGGAAGTGCTGTACTCAGCTCCCAGGCTTGGGCCCCCTCAAATAACTTGTGAGATCCTCCACTTGGTCTGAGTCTTCTCCAATCAGCTGGTGGAATGCAGATGGTTTCAAAATCTGCCAGTGGAGAGTGGAGCCATCAGTGGAAGGTACCTGGGTTTGATCTAGGTGGGAGGAGTGCTCCCCAGAAGAGCAACTCACCTAGGAGTACCTGTGATGAACTTTGCGTGAAGAAGCAATGAGCATTCATTGGTCTAAGACACTGAGATTTCAGGGGTTTCTTGTTACTGCAACATAACCTAGCCTATTCTGACTAATACATTTCCCTGTAACTCACCCTCCTCCCTCAATTCCATTGCCTGGGTGTCTCATTGGCACCAGCCAAAGACCTTCTAGATCCTGGATATTTAACTTCTTAAGGTCTTTAGCACTAGGGAGGTTGTAGCACAGAGTAGAAGTTAGAATCAAACTCTGAAGTCAGACTACCTGGGTTCAAATCCCAACGATACCACTTATTAACAGTGTGATGTTTTCAAAAGTCACTCAGCCTCATTCTCACTTTATTTCCTTATCCAAAATAAAAGATGGTATTAATGATTTTATAGGGTTATTAGAAGAATTAAAACAGAAAATCCTCTCAAGGCAAATTAACATATGTTATCTACATGCCTGACTGTTATTATATGCCTGATATATAGTAAATGTTTAATAACTGCTAACTTTTGGTAGTGGTATTATTGCAACTGCAAAGTTCCCTGCCTTCTCCAGCTACAAAGCCCTTCTCACAATAAAATGACAAATATCAGTGCCCTCCTCCTGCCTGTGTCACTGCCTCCTAACCATCTTCCCCCAACCCCCAGCCCTCAGAAGGACCCTCTAGTCCCCGATTCCACATATCAGAAATCAGTGGGGAATTCCTGAAGGGCTTTAGCTTCTCCAGTCTCTGCCTCTACGCATAAAAACTGAACAGAATCCTGATGATAGGTTACACTGCCTCTTCTGGAACCTGTTGAGCTGCAGGAAATTTAGTGGATAGCCTCTTTACTATGGTCTGAATGTTTGTGTCTCCCCAAAATTTATATTTTGTAATACTAACCCCTGAGGTGATACCTTTGGGAGATTAGGCTCTGAGGGTAGAGCCCAAATGAATGGGATTAATGCCCTTATAAAAGAGACCCTGGGGAGTTCCCTTGCTCCTTCTGACATGTGTGGACACAGCAAGAATACACTATCTATTATCCAGAAAGCTGGCCCTCACCAGACATCAAATCTGCTGGCACCTTGATCTTGGACTTCCCAGCCTCCAGAACTGTGAAAAAATAAAGTTCTGTTGTCTGTAAGCCACCCAGCCTATGGTATTTTCTTACAGCAGCCTGAATGGACTAAGACACTCTGCCATTATTGCAATAGACTGATTCAGAATTTTTTTGTACATTAAATGGAAAATTGTCTCCTTCTTAACTGAGAAAAAGCTTACCAATTAGCCCAATGCTTATCAAATTTTAGTGAACATTACAATCGCCTGAAGAGCTTCTGAAAACGGAGTGCTGGGTTCCACTCTAGAGTTTCTGATTTCATAGGTCTAGGGTGGACACACAAATTAGTAAGTCTAACAAGTTCACAATGATACGATGCTGCTGGCCTGCGGACCATGCTTTGAGTAATTCTGTGTTAGTCTATTTGACAGCCTTTTAACTATTTAAATACAGTGAATGCGTCCTCCACCACTTTCCCCAGTCACTTCTTTTCCAGGTTAAAACATGTTAGGGCCTTCAATTTTTGTTATCCTGCATCAAACTCTATTCTTGGTCCTGGGTATCCAAAGATGAAATGTACTTAGACTTTGTCCTCAGAGAGCTTAGAATTATGTGGAAAAATAGAGAGAAAAGGAATCCAGTATACTGTGACCACAATAAATATTTACTTTATGACTACTATGTGTCGTGATTGTCCCCAGAGTCTGGTGATTCAACCGTGAAAAAGATGTCATAGTCCTTCTTCATGGAGCCCTCAATCCAGTGGGGGAAACTGACCAGTGAACAGGAGATTATAGTCCAGCATGATAAGGGTGTGGAGAGGAAAAGTCAGGGAGCTCTGGGAGCACAGAAGGGAGATCTCAAACCCCAGCATATGGCTGGAGAGTCAGGGCAGGTTTCCCGGTGGAGGCGATGGCTAGGACTGGACATGGAAGATAAATAGGCATTAAGCAGGTAAGGGATGGGGTGGGATTTTTAGGCAAAGTGCTGAGGCGCACAGGAACCTGCTGAAAGTTAGGCTCAGTGGGAAGTGCTATGTGGCTTAAAAGAGAGTACAGACAGGTCCTATGGGATTGGGAGGAGCTGGAAGACTGATAAGAAGTGTGGGAGAACAGGAGAGACTACCACTTCCCAGGTGATGTTAGTGAGCCCTGACCTCTCTGGGATCAGCTGAAATTACAGATCCATACCCCACGCCCAGTCCACTCTCCATTTGAAGGATAGAGGGCAGTTTTGCCCCTGTGTTATCTAGACAGTTGGAGGCATGACTTGTGGTGGAGGAGAGCTGGCCCATGGTTAAACATTGTCCAGAGCCCCAGCGGGACATGTCTGACAGGGGGACTTCCTTCCTGCAATAGGGCCAAGGGCATTGCCTTGGGTCATGAGTGTGCTACAGTGTGTAAGTGGCTGGGGCGGTGGGACAGTTAGAAAGAGCTCAAGGGGAATTTAATGGGCAAAGTCACAGTGGAGTAGAAAAGATGAAGCAAATGAAGAATTCAAAGTATCCCATGGTGCTCTACTCTAATTGAGAGGTTGAAGAGCCTGGGTGTCTGCGGGGGGTGGGGGGCAAGATAGGGGGTGTGGATGGAAGGAGGAGTGAGGAGGGAGAGAAAGAAGAAAGTGGAGAGTAGGGGGAGGGAGAGAGAGAGGAA
This sequence comes from Homo sapiens, assembly GCF_000001405.40. Classification (NCBI taxonomy): domain Eukaryota; kingdom Metazoa; phylum Chordata; class Mammalia; order Primates; family Hominidae; genus Homo; species Homo sapiens. The sequence goes on from NC_000023.11 coordinate 38,982,935, forward strand.
GAAGGAGAGAGAGAGAAAGAGAGAGTGAGCAAAGGAAGGAGGGAGAGAGGAAAAAGGAGCGAGGTCAGGGAGAGAGAAGAAAAGACAGAGACAAGGAGACGGAAGAGGAAAGGGGAGAAAAGGAGTGAGGGTGGGGAAGAGAGAGTGAACAGAAGAAGGAGGAGAAGGAGGAAAGAAAGGGAAAGGAGGAGGAGAGTGAAGAGGGGAGGAGGGAACAGAGAAAAGCAGTCTGCCCAGAGGCAGAGCTAAAGATTTGACTGTGTTGGTTAGGCAAAGGAACACTTCAGCAGGATTTTGAACACGACTGTTTTTAAAGGAAGTGATCCCACAAGTTGGGGGAACCTGGTAGAGGGAAAGGAAGGAAAACACAGCCTCTACATGCAAACAGGCCTAGGTTTGAGTTCTATCTCTAGCACTGACTTGCTGTGTGAACTTGGGCAAGTTGTTTAAATTCTCCGTATCTCAGAATCCTTATCTGTGAGAGGAAATAATAAAAGCCAGTTCTCAGGGTTGTTGGGAGACTTAAAGGAGGTTCGGATGTGTAGCTCCTGGCACTTAGTTGGCACCCAGAAAATGTATGCTCCTGTGCTATGTATGTCCTCTCTTGGAATCCAGAGAACTCAGCCACGACCCCCATCAAGCTGAGAAGAACTGAAATTCCAAGGCTGAAAAAGTTGATGGAGGGAACTATCTCTTGCTTTGACCCTCTGCCAAACTGAGAGTGTAAATGTTCAGTTGTTCTGTGAGCTGACTGTGTGCCTTGGCTCAAAGTGGCAGGTAGCCTGGGAATGCTGGGAGAGAAGAAAGTCTGGTGCTCAGAGAAATGAACTCAGATAGAGAAAGTGTCCCCCTTTTCAGAGCAAAGAACAAAGCTAAGATTCACTAATAGGAAGACAGGGCCCTGGGCCTTGTACTCAGCAAGAATGTAGAAAGCTTTCTATTGCCATTTTGTAGATTATACTGTAAAGGTGAGTGTGTTTACAACGTATCATAGACTGTGGATAATGATTTGAGCATCATTTTATAGTTTGATATAACTTTCACTGACATCATTTGTTCAGCCATTCAACAAACATTTACAGAGGGCCTAGGTCAATCCACACACTCATTGTCTTGGGTATTCACCAATAGCACTTTTAATTTGGCTCTCCTTTGGGGATTCTCCTGGCCTTCTGTTGATGTGAATAGTTAGGAATGACCCTAATTTCTTTCCCACTTCAGCTAGGCCTGAGGAAACTTCCATTTGCATTCCTTCCCCTTTGGTGATGCCTGAGTGGTTAGCTGGCTGTGGATAATCAATCCTGCTGGTTAATGAGCTGAGCAAAGAGGTTAAGGTCACAGTTTTGATCCCTGGGGGCTGATTTACCCTCTCCACTTGGGTGCACTGTCCTTCTTTCTCTACACCCACCGTGTATGTTTCCTCCCACCTCAAGGCCTTTGACAAGTTTTTTACTCTGCCAGAAGTTGTCTTGCTTCAGCTCCTAATTATTGATATTCAGTGTCATTTCCCCAGCCAAGCCTTATTCGCTCCCTAGACCTAGTCAGGTGCTTCAGTTTATAACCCATGGTGCCTTGTATTTCTCTAGCATGGCATTTATTAGTGTTTATAATTATCCTTTCATTTTTATTATTATTTGATTAATGTGACCTATTGTTAGCATAGAAAGCTAACAGGAAACAAATATTGAGTGAGTATTTAAATCTTATCTCTGTATTCTTCAGCCACATGACCTTGGGCATGTTACTTAATTTCTCTGGGGCCAGTCTTCTCATCTGTGAAATAGGTATGATGATATTTGAACTTACTGCCCAGTAAGTCCTTGTGTCATGTAGGGTAGTGTTCAGCTGCAAGTAGTAGGAAACCGGACTGATTGTTCTTTAAACACATGGAGTTTATTTAACTCCTATACCAACATAGGCAGTCCAACACAGCTCTAGTGGCTTGATGATGCCATATAGAGCTCAGATTCATTTTCATTCTTTCTCTGCTTTCTATAGCAAGTACATTTAATCCTCATGTTTACAAGGTGACTGCTGCTACTCCAGGCATAGTATCTGTATTCCAGTCAGAAAGAAGGAGAAAGAGGGAAAGTGAGCATCAATTGACTACTGTTAATATCTCATTGGCCAGAACTAGTTCACATGGCCACTCCTAACAGCAAAGGAGTTCAAAAGTTTTTTTTTGTTTTGATTTTTGTTTTTTTGCTTTTACAACCTGTAGAGTAGAGGCAAGTCATAGAGAAATGGTAAGCCAACTAAAGACGACTGTATGCCCTAACTGAACTTCAATATCTAAGATGGAAGGAACCATGCTCCTTTTGTTCACCATCGTAGGTTCACCTTGAACAATGTCTGTCTCACTGTAGGCACCCAAGAAGCCTATCGTTAAATGTTAATGAATGAAAAAATGAACTCCTGTAGAGACCATCTCCCAATTAGGTTTTAAGAGGTACTAGACAAGGATAGATGAATCAGTGCCATCTTAACATCACAGGTAGGAAGAATTTAAAATAGACACCACCATCAGACACCACCATCACCATCAGGGGCCCCACTAGCCTTTACATTGCCTTTGCATTAATTACAAAAGGGCACCCACCCCTTCCTTAAGACACATTACTGCCATCTACTGGAAAATTTTCTTAATATAATTGTAAGTCTACGGTATCTAAGATGTGAATGGTGCCCCCTTAGATGCAGAGAGGTCATTCACCAAAAAATCTACACAGCCCTGTGTAGCCACCTTGCAGGAAATTTAAACACACCTCGCCAGTAGGGTGGATGTAGCCAATGAAGGAGCCATCACATCTGTCTCTTGAAGCATAGAAGGCGGAGCAGGGGGGTGTATTTTCATGGAGCGGTCTGAAGATTTTAGCAGGGCTGATAGGAACTTGCCTTAGGTAAAGACTTATTCTGACAAAGCAGGGATTTGGTGAGAAGAACAAACAGTGTATTTGACTCTTGCTTTTTACTTTCTGCCTCTATAATACTAGAAAAATCACTTAATTCCTCTAAATTTTTATTTCCTCATCTCTTAATTGGGGACAAGAACACCTGCCCCAAGAGATGTGTTGAGTATCCAACAAGGTAATATACATGAAAGGGTTGGGAATCTGCTCTTGATTAGAAAATGTAAGCTATTGTTAGCATGGAGAGTTAACAGGAAACAAATATTGAGAGAGTGTTCAAATCTTATCTCTACCACTCACTAGCCACGTGACCTTTGGCATGTTACTGAATTATTCTGGGACCAGTCTTCTCATCTTTAAAATCGAATTAGAATTTACTGCCCAAGAAAGTCATGAGGATTAAAGGTAGTAAGTGTTCAATAAATGTTAAGCATGAACTTTAAGGCAGTTGTGCCTTGCATTATGCTCTGCATTTTGCATTCAGTATTACATTGAAATACTTGTTTAAATTACCCTTGACTTTTTAAAAAGAGGAAAAAAATAAAATGAAATGAAACAAAAGGGTTCCTAGGCCTTTTTGTGAAGAGAGTTGAGACTGTGGGAAAAGAAGGATTCAGTACATTTTTTGAACTCTGGATCTGTTGTGATGTCTCTGAGGAAAACTTTCTCTTCCCCTCCCCACTTCATGCCACCTCCAAACACTTTTTGGCCAAATCTAGAGCTGATCTTGCTAGATTATAGCTGGAATTTCTCATGAAGTAGTTATTAAGATTGATTTCATGAAAACTTCACATGATTTATAGAGCAAATAGAGCAAAACGGAACCAAGGGGAAGAAAAGGCCAGCCAGGTAGGCAGGCAGAGTGGGGCAGATCAGGCAAGCAGAATGTTGGTTCCCACATGTTCTGGTTCTCCCTTCTGCTACCCTCCTCCCTGCAGCCCCTCTGGTGGTGGGGCCCTGTGATTGCTGAGAAAATCCGTTCAGATTGTAGTGCAGTGAAATAGGAGGGCAGAGGAGTTTGAAGCAGAAAGCAAGTAACAAAGTTGTTAATTCAACTGTTATCTAATGGCCGACTTTCTCATGCACAGTCTCCCCAACCCTGATCAGCCTAACTGTCTAGTGACTATATTTTATCTTCTTCACCACCACTAATCTTCCCCCTAATCTCTTCAGTGTGTAGGGCTATGGGGGAAACAAGATATTGTTCCTTCATTTCTCAAGTCACATTTCAGTGAAGTAAACAGCACTTTCTTTTCCTTCCTTCTGTCCCATGAAAGCTATTTTAGAGAAACTATGTTGAGCACCAGAGGTTCCTGGGCTTGGTTGCTATGTGGCCTGAAGCTGACATCTTGTGTGTGTGTGTGTCATGGTTTATGGTAGAGTGGTTAAAAATCAGCTCCCATTCTGGTGACTAAATTTTATTGACTTTTCCAGGGCCTGTGGTGGGACTGACATGTCCCCTATTTAATTACTTCCTTCTTCTTGACAGCAGATTGAGTTAACCAGAGGACATGCAGGTGGCTCCGGGGCCAGGGAGCTTGGAGTGGCCGTGGCTTGGCAGCTGAGAGGGGCCAGGGCGAGCACAGGCCTGGGGATGTAACAACCTGCTGGCAGTTGTGAGCTGTGGGTTTTATGACTGCACTGGGGGTAATAACCGAACAGTGGGGCTTTTGGACTAATTTGAAGAATACTTTGCATAAATCCCAGCTGCTAGCCATATGTCCAACCCTTGTAGAGGGGAGGGTATGTTTCCCTGAGCTCTTGTTTATTTTCCTGGAAGTCAAGACTAACCAAACCTTTAAATGCCCAGCCGGAGTCTTTGGCGGAGGAAGATTGGTCACAAAAGCTTGAACTGATTTAATCACAATCTAAATTTATATTATATTTTACCAGATTTTCTCTTCCAATGATGTTGTGTCATTTTGTCCTCACAAAACCCCAAAATATAGGCCATGTAGAAATCCTCCATTTACCCATAAGAAGACTGAGACCCAGGGAGACTGAGACCAATAATAAAAGCAGCCATTTTGGAGTTCACTATATGTTAGACACTTTTCTAAATCCTTGATAGGTGTTCATTCATTTCATACTGACATCAGTCCTACAAGGCAGGTACCATTATTATCCCTATTCCTTGATGAAGGAGATGAGCCCAGAGAGGTTACTTAACTTGCCCAGGGTCACACAGATAGTTAGTAGTGGAGCTGGGATTCAAACCTAGGCAGTCTGGCTCCAGAGTCTGTATTTAAAACCACTATACATGCTGCCAGCTAGCTTGGCATTGGTGTAGCTGGAATTCGTATTCACGTACTCAACTCCAAGTTCAGGTTTTCCCTAATGCCACACCACTCTTCTGAAATTTGCTCCTTAAATATCTCTTATTCCTGCAAACATTAGCCACAGCAATTTAGATTTGGACTCTTTTCATCTGGTATCGCAAAGTCTTTCACTTAAATTTATTTAATTAGTCCCTCCCTACCTACTTACTGTGGAGTCAGAGGCATACCCAGTCTAAAGGAGTTGTAATGTGTTAGGAAATTACTCCCAGACTAAGGCTTTGGAAAAATACAGGTATATAGGTGTTGGGAGTTGCTAAAGCCTGGCAGCCTCATATCTGGAACAAATATTTTCTCTCTCCCCATTTCCTGGGAAGAATGGGTGTGGTTCTCACAGCACTGTCTGATTTTGTGAGCATGTGCACTCCAAAGTTTCACACAGAGTTGGCCTCTCCCTTTGGGAAAAGGTAATTCCAGCCCCTACTCCTCTGGCAATTACGGGCCTCTTAGCCTGTGGTAAGTGTGAACAAATCAGGCGAAAGGGAGGGAGTTGTTTTAATGTGATAATATCTCTAGCTGCCCATGCTGACTTTCTCACGAGAGGAAAAACCAGCAAAAGTTTTGTTCTGCATTCACTGGTGCCCCAAAGAAAACCCTGGGGGAAGGCCGGGCGCGCCTGTAGTCCCAGCACTTTGGGAGGCTGAGGCGGGTGGATCGTTTCAGGTCAGAAATTTGAGACCAGTCTGGCCAACACGATGAAACCCTGTCTCTACTAAAAATACAAAAATTAACCGGGTGTGGTGGCGGGCGCCTGTAATCCCAGCTACTGGGGAGGCTGAGGCAGGAGAATCGCTTGAGCCTTGGAGACAGAGGTTGTAGTGAGCTGAGATCATGCCACTGCACTCCAGTCTGAGTGACAGAGTGAGGTCCTGTCTCAAAAAAACAAAACAAAAACAAACAAACAAACAAACAAAAACCTTGGGGAAGCCTCCAGATTCTTATATCTCATAGCCAAAACCAATGTAGACCAAACCCCAATTCGAATTTGTGATAATGACCAAAAAGCAAGAGTATGACTCTCATTTGCAGATCTGGATAGCAGTTTTCTTTCCTCATTAGCAGACAAACTCTGTAGGCAGGCATTGGGTAACATGAAACAAGGAACATGACATAACTTTGGCAGAGAAACCATCATAGGAGAGTACTAGAAGGGGAAGGACAAAATAGTTTGGGTTGTAGTGATAATTTGTCATATTTACTTAATTTATTTGGTGACTATTTCTCTAAGTTAGATTCCCCCAGATGCAGATCCTGCCACAAGAATTTGGATGCAAGTTTTTTATTTGGGAAGTGATTCCAGGAAGCATCTTTAGGAAGTGGAGAAGTGAGACAGGGAAGAGAAAAAAAAAATTCAGAGTGTCAAAATAGGTTATCACTGTGGGCAACTGAGACTCAATCCTGCTGGGGACCTCAGGTAGATGGTGTGGAACATGCCTTAAAGTCTCACCTGAGTGGCAAGGAGGCTGAGGTATTTATCCACAGTCTCCTGTTGGTCATTGCTTTAGAGTTGCCTCTATGTGTGTTGATTCATTAGCACTGTGGCCTCTCTCACCTGAGAACATCTCATTTGCTTATAGTAAGAAGGCATCAGGCTACATGGGGACAGTGAGTGCCAAGGTAATATGGGCAGGGCACTGATACTGTCTACTTAAGAACCAAACCAGTTTGTGGAGGAGGAGGATATAAGGGAAGACATATTGTAATTAAGATTATTTCAGTTGCAAGTGATAAAATCCCAACTCAAACTAGCTTGAGAAAAAAATAAAAGCAATGTATGTGAGTTATATCACTGAAAAGTTCAGGGGTAAGCAGTCTGAGGCATAGCATAGCTAGCTTCTATCCATCATTGGCTTAAGGTTTCTCTTACGTGTGTTAACTCACTAGCACTCTGGCCTCTTCCACCTATGGGTATAATAGGTGCACAAGCAATGCCATCAGGGCTCTGTCTTCTGTACGTCTCTTGTTCTGCTTTCTTCTGTCTTGGCTTTATTATCTGGCTGGCTGAGAAGAGGGTGGAAAAGATGGCACCTCTAGGCTTATATGATCCTTATTCCTGCTGGCCCTAGAGGAGAAGAGCATTTTTTTTTCTGATAGCACTGGTTAACATCTTGGGGAACAAAGGTAATGAAATCAGCAAATTGAAGAGATGTCTGTATGCCCATGTTCGTTGCAGCACTATTTATGATAGCCACAATATGAAATCAACCTAAGTGTCCACCAATGGATGAATGGATAAAGAAAACGTGATATACATGTACACAATAGAATATTATTCAGCCTTAAAAATGAAGGAAATCCTGTCATTTGCAACAACACAGATGAACTTGGAGGACATTATGTTAAGTAAAATATGCTAGTACAGAAAAAAAAATACTGCATGATATCACTTATATGTAGAATCTAAAAAAGCTGAATTCAGAAGCAGAGAGTAGAGTGGTGGTTCCCAGGAGCTGGGAGGGGAGGAGGGTTGGGAACATGTTGGTCAAAGAATACAAAATTTCAGTTAGACAGGAAGAATAAATTCAAGAGATCTGTTGTGCAACATGGTGACTATGGTTAATAATGTATTCTTGAAAATTGCTGAGTAAATTTTAAGTGTTACCGCAAATAAATGATAAACACATGAGGTAATACATATGTTAATTAGCTCAATTTAGCCATTCTACAATGTATACATACTTCAAAACATGTTGTACATGATAAATGTGTATAATTTTTGTCACTTAAAATCTGTCTACATATATGTGTGTATATATATATAATATGTGTATGTATGTGTGTATATATATACACATATATGTGTGTGTGTATATATATACATATATGTGTGTGTGTATATATACACACACATATATAAATCCTGGAGAAGGCTCTGATTGGCCTATTATGGTTCCTGTGCCTATTCCTGTACCAACTGACGTGGCCAAGAGGATAGTGCACTCTGATCAGCCAGACTCAGGTCATGTGTTGGGTTGGAGAGGATGGTATCATCTTACCCAAATAAGCAGAATTTCTGGGACCTGAGGAAGGAGTGGCTCTAGTAGTGTGCTGATAAACAAGCTTGTAAACAAATAAACAAAGCCCCTGATTTGTAGCTGATTTCCACCGTATAGATACTCCCACCATGGCTAATTTGAAGCTATCAACATGATGTCACTAAACATGGAATTGAGAAAAGTTGCACACAAGTGGCCTTGAGCCAGCACGAGCTGGCACCAGCACACCACTGGGTGATACCCCATGAAGAGGAACCATGGGCAAACAGTGTGACCACTACAACTATAAACAAGAAGGCCAGTGTCTTTCTTGTGTAGGCTTGGTAGCTACAAAGATAAAAACTGATAGGACAGCTTGCTTTCTTTGGCATGTACAATGCTTGGGATGAACTGGTATGTTAAAGCAAGTGGTCTTCTTCCCCCACACTCCTTATTTTGCAACCACCTTCAGGAAACACTTAGCTAACAATTTGATGACTTTAAAATAATATTCAGCAACATTTATTCCACTACTGTGTAAGTTTCACAAGGGCAGGGATTTTGCCTGGTTTGTTCAGTGCTATGTTCCCAGGGTCTAGAAGAGAGCTCAGGAAAACACATAGGCACTCAATATTTGTTAGATGACTGCATGAATGACTGGACAGCCCATAGAGTTAGATGCTTTTCCCAACAACACAAACATACCCACCTGGTGAGTAACCATCGCCTCACTTTGCATCTCACAGCTGCCATCCGGGTCCTCCAGACTTTCTCTTCCTAATCCTGGGAGGGCCACACTACTTCCTGGTGTGAGGAAAATGCAACTTTGGTCCTTTGCCCTGTAATGGACACTTTGTTCTCCTTGTTCCTTGATTTCGTTTACTTGGTGGTTCTTGTTGTTTTAGGTCAGGAGGGGTGGCTCTCCCTTTCTGCCTTGGGGCTCAACCCTTCCCAGACAGGGGCAAACCAAGATGGCATCTCCTTATTAAGTCATGAGAGCCTGCTGGGGCTTGTCTGATTAGAGTCTCCTTACACATTGGTACAGAGAACTTTCTGCCTTTGCAATTCTTTTGTTTCAAAATAAAAAAAGGATAGCCAGGAAGCTGCAAGGTTGGAAAGTTGTTAAACACACACACACACTCACACTGAACCAGATTTGCTGATAACAGGAGAATAGGAAGGCCTGAAGCTGAGGGAGCATTTCAAGGTCACAGGCAAGGAGGGGCCTGCAGTGGTGGTGATGGAAAAGATGAATAGACAACAGTTGAATGCATTATTTAGTGTGTTCCACATCGCAAAGCCAAGAACGGTTCCTTCGCACCAGAAGATTTGATGTATCAGGCTGGCTGTCTCCTCAGAGGACACCCCCCGGTCTCCTCTTGAGTTCATGGAGACATGGTTGTCTAGGTGACAACTGTCAGGCAAGAAGCTGCAAGCTGAAGAATAAAATCGCCTTAGCTAATAGAGCAGCATGCTATTATGTACCTGAAGTTTTAACTGCTATATTACCCTGAAAGAATCATTTGGTGGGAAGGAAGGAGCTCACTTTTCCCTGGGCTACATCAGTGAATTCAATTTCGATTGAAGAGAGACTAGCATTTTAAAAACCACTGTGTGTGGAGCTTCGAGTCCTTTTCTTCTTTCGGTGAGAAATGATTTAATAATGAACTTACAACTGCAGGGCCTCCAGTCAGCCCCATGGAGCCCTGGAAGAGGGAGGAGGCGGTGTGCAGGGGCCAGGGGCTGGCAGGCTCCATCCTGTTCTGTCCCTGCTCAGGCCCAGGCTCTGTGACTGAGGTTACCCCAGAGCAACTTGGTTCAGAAGCTTGTAGAGTCTGAGCGATAATTTTCCTCCCTCACAAGATTGCCGGGTGCCTCTAATTAATGGTTGTGAATTCCTTAGATGGGGTTGTTATCAGATGGAAAGGGGCTAATTGTACCGGTCACAATAGTTAACCTCTTCCAGAAGGAAGGGTGTGTGTGTGTGTGTGTGTGTGTGTGTGTGTGAGAGAGAGAGAGAGAGAGAGAGAGAGAGAGAGAGAGCACCCTCGTTCTGGTTCGTTCTGCAAATGAGGCAGAAAAGCTTGAGAATCATTGAGGTTCTTTGACATCAAGACACCAGAAAATGAAAGATTGTATTCACTGAGACCTTTTTGCCAAGCCAAGAGTAGCCAACATTTACTGGGCTTTTTCTAGCACTAAGTGTTTTACCAACTTGACTACATTTAACCCTCAGCATTCCCGAGTCTTAAATGTGATGGTTATCATCTTCACTCTACAGATGGGGAAACCAAGGCTTAGTGAGTTAAGGAGACTTCGCAAAGCCTTGACCAACACCAGTAACAAATGAAGGCCTTTTAGATTCAGAAGATCCTGACAAAGACTGAGAGTTGAGCAGGAAAACTTGAGCTCTCTGCATTAAAAGGCAAGTAGGACCCCTCATGCAATGAGCTGGGACAACTTTGCCAGAACACCCTCTGGGCATCAGGGCAACCTCCTGCCTTACCTTCAGCCCCAGTTATCAGCTCTGCTGTGTGTTTTCTTTGGCTCCTTTCTTGCACTACAAACAGTATCTCTAGTCTATTTCCCTGAGACTCAAGTATCTGGCCTTCAAATTGCCTACACTCCTTCAGAGACAATTCTAGTAAGACATGCCTATGTTGATCTCCTACTACGTGCTGGGCTGTGCTGGGTAGCTGGAGAGAAAAAAATAAGTGGCATCAATACACTGCTTTGAAGAAGTTCATTCTGGAGAGGGAATGAGATATAAAACCACACAATCAACACAGTATGATCAGTACAGTGACAGTAATGAAAATAATAACAACAGCTATTTTGGGAGTCTTTCCTATGTACTAGGTCTTGCGTTGAACACTGAAAACAAGCCCATAAGGTAGATACTATTATTATTTCCATTCTAGAAATGAGAAAATGAAAGCATAGAGAGGTTAGGTCACTTGCCCAAGGTCATGCAAGTAGTAAATGGGAGAGCAGGAATTTGAACTAAGAAACTCTATCTCCAAAGCTGATCCTATTAACCACTATGCTGTATTGCACATGTATAGGCCAGGATAGAAGCATATATATTATATAGGAAGCCCAAATGAAGAGATATAAATTCTCTTCTAAGTAGAATGGTTCACAGGAAGAGAGACAAAAGCTGTAACTAAGAAAGGGAGAAAGGTTGTGTGTCCAGAATATTAAAGACACAGCCCAGACACTGGGCTTGTGCTTTTGATCTCATGGCCTGTATCTAAGGTTGCATAACAAATTAAGTTTAATGCCTTATAATATCCATAATTGTGTATTATCTTTCATGGCTTCTATGGGTCAGGGATTCAGAAGTGGCTCAGTTGGGTGGTTTTTGACCCAAGTTCTCTCATGAGGTTGCACCTACATATCAACTTGGGCTGCTGGAATCCAACATGGCTCACTCACATGGCTTGTAAATTGGTGCTGGTCTAAGTTCTTAACATGAACCTCATTCCACAGGGCTGCTTGAGTGTCCTCATGACATGGCAGCTGGCTTCCTCAGAGCAAGAGATCCAGCAGACGAAAGTAGAAGCTGTAATGCCTTTATGACTTATATAGAGGTTACACACTGTCACATCTGCCATATTCTATTGGCCATTCACACAAGCTCTGCTTTTATATGGGAGAGAACTACAAAGGGATATAAATACTAGGAGCGAGAGATCATTGGGGACTCTCTTATAGTTCACCAACCTGGAATTAAAGTTCTAATATTTTGAAAGCAAAAGCCTATGCAGTCCCCTCAACTTGCCTTAGGTTTGCTGTTCCAAGCTGTAGACCTTTAGGATGAAGAAGCCCAGTATTTTATGAGGAGATGGCATGTTTGAGATCTTAGAGGCCCTGTGGCTCTGGACAAAATGGTGGCTTTGATGAGGACATTGGAGGTGAACTCAAGGCTTATAGGGAAGCTGGGAAGAGAGGCCAGAACTGGGGACAGCTATAGGCCTTTTGGTAACTAAGCCTAGGTGCCAAGTGCTCTGGAGATTTACTATCATTTAGACCATTGGACAGGAATATGTTCTGGTCCATGAATACTCTGGAAACAAAATCTATCCAACCAGAGTCTCCTGCTTCCAGACTGGAAGTCTATCTGTTCATCACATGCAGAAGGAAGCCACCAGCATTTTCTGTATAAGAATTTGGATCTTGCTTTCTTCCTTCTACTTCTGTGCTTCGCACAGACCTGGAGTATGTGTACATAGGAATATCAAAGCCATTGCTTAATAAATGGCTATTCACTTGTAAATTAAAATATTTCATGGGAATATATTAAACATGGATTTTATAGACTCAATATTTTATGTCATCCTAATATGTGCTGGGCCAGACACCACACTAGATGATAGAGGAAAGCAGTGAACAAAAAAGACATTATCTCTGCTCTTATGATGCTTACGAGAGAGATATTAATCAAATAATAGTACAAATAAATGTGTAATTATGAACTCAGATAGGCACCATGAAGGAAAGAAAGTGGCATCAGGAGATGAAAAACAGAAAACACTGAGGAAGTGGTGCTTCAGCTGAGATATGAAAGATGAATAGGTTAAAAAGGGAGGAAGGACATTTCAGGTAGAGAGAAAAGCATGTGCAAAATGTGTTTGTGGAACTGTAAGGACCCTAATGTGGCAAAGCAGAGGAAGTGAAGATGAGGGTAGAGAGGTTGTCAGGGACCCAGATCATGCAGGACTTTACAGACATGTTTAAGGATGTTGGTCATTATCCTAAACAATGGGTAGCCATTAAAATGCTTCAAAGCAATACAGTGGCATCATCAGATTTGTGCTTTGAAAATATCCATGTCTGTTATATGGAGACTGGATTAGAGAGGCAAGACTGGAGGCAGGGAGACCAGCTAGAAGGCTATGTCCAGAAGGGTGATGTTGGTAGTGGAGATAGTGAGAAGAGAGTGGAATTGAAATATTCCACAGATAATTTAGTGTAACCTGGAAGGTAAAAACATACATCAAATATCAGGGGCCAGGTGACAATGTAGGGGATGGGGGAATGGGAAGTCGGCATGGAGTTTCTAAGAGGTAAGAAGAAGAAGGTGATCTGTGCAAGACAGTTTGAGTAGAGAAAGTTAGAACTTAGTCTGTAGAAGGGATGTGTAGTTCCCGGGGTGTTTGAGTAGTGGTCTTTGTTGCTAAGAGGCATTGGTCATTCCTATGTATGGTTCTGGTACATAAGTACCTGTGGTACTGTAAGCAGTACATTTGTAATATGATTTGAATTTGTAAAATTCTACTTTTTTTTAAATATATATATATGGTTTGTAAAACAGAACAGGTAGTCTCAAGAGTGGGTTTCCAGATGGGGACTTTAAGAGTGGCCAGCCTTTGAGAGTGACTTTAGACTGCACATCTGAAATAACTGAATTTAATTAAAAAATATAGGCAGATGTCTTAGTCAGCTCAAGCTGTTATAACACAATACCATAAACTGGGTGGCATAAATAACAGCAATTTATTTCTCAGAATTCTGGAGGCTAGGAAGTCAGAGATCAAATGCCAGCAAGTTCTGTTCTTGGTGAGGGCCCTCTTCCTGGCTTGCAGACACTCATAATCTCTCTGTGTGTTCACATAACTTCTTTGTGCACTTGCTGAGAGAGAAAGCTCTGGTGTCTCTTGCTTTACTTATAAAGACACTCATCCCATTATGGAGACTCCACCCTCATGACCTCATCTAAACCTAATTAACCTCCCAAAGGACCTGCCATTTTGGGGGTTAGGGCTTCAACATATAATTTTTATTTATTTATTTATTTATTTTTTTTGATGTGGAGTCTCTCTCTGTCACCCAGGCTGGACCATAGTGGTGCAATCTTGGCTCACTGAAGCCTCTACCTCCCGGGTTCAAGCGATTCTTCTGCCTCAGCCTCCTGAGTAATTGGGATTACAGGCACACACCACCATGCCTGGCTAATTTTTGTATTTTTAGTAGAGACAAGGTTTCACCATGTTGGCCAGGCTGGTCTCAAACTCCTGACCTCAAGTGATCCACCCACCTTGGCCTCCCAAAGTGCTAGGATTACAGGTATGGGCCACCGCACTCAGCCCAACATATGAATTTGAGGGGAACATAAACATTCAGTCCACGGCAGTCAGTGTTCAAATAGGAAGACCCATGACCAATGTGATGGATTAGGAAGTCTAGAGATGGAACCGAATAGATACAGGAACTTAGATGTAAAGGTGGAATCTTTTATTAGTATGGGAAAAGATGGACTGATTTAAAAAATAGTGTTGGGACAACTGGTTAACCATCTAGATAAAAATATAAATGAATCTAGTCCTCATATAATGTGACAGAAAAAAAACAAATTTTATTCCAGATTCAAATGCAAAAAGATGAAATCTTAAAAACTGTTAGAGGAAAACATGGGGGAATTTTTGTATACCATTGGAGTGAGCAAGGTCGTTCTGAGTTGAAATGCAGAACCCATAAGAGAAAAGGGTGATAAATTTAACTACATAAAAATCAGACTAAAGTCTCTACATGGAAAAATGTACAATAAACAAAATAACAATTTGGAAGGCTAGAGCAAGAGGATTGCTTGAAGCCAGGGGTTCAAGACCAGCCTGGGCAACATAGTGAGACCCCCATCTCACAAAATACAAAAAAAAAAAAAAATTGAAAAGCTAGCTGGGTGTGGTCGTGTGTGCCTGTGGTCCCAGCTACTTGGGAGGCTAAGGCGGGAAGATTGCTTGAGCCCAGGAGGTCGAGGCTGAAGTGAGCTATGATCATGCCATTGTGCTCCAGCCTGGGTGACAGAGCTGAACCCCATCTCTAAAAACAAAACAAAACAAAAGCAAAAAAATCCCAACTAACACAACAACAATAAACAAATGACAAACTAGAAGAAAAGTTGTCACCCACATCACAACGCACAAATCTCCTTGGAAAAATCAATAAGAAGAACAATAACGTAATATAAAAATGGACAAATGATGTAAGCAAGATAGTTCACAAAAAAGGAAATATAAATAGCTCTAGAAGTTATGAAAAGATGCTCAACCACACTCATAACTGTACTAATATACTATTTATTTTTACCTCTCAGATTTAAAAACAACAACAACAGACTACTCACTGTCTATTGACAAAGCTACAGGGAAGAGGCACGCTCATACCTTAATTGTCGAGGGTAGATCTGGTGCTCCCCTATGGCAGAAAATTTGTCAATATTCATCAAAATTATGACTGCCTGCTCTATGTTGCCTAGCTATTCAATTTTAAGATTTTATCCTATAGAAACACTTGCTCTCTTGTGAAATGATGGGCACACCAGGCTATTCACTGAAGCATTATTTGAAATAGCACAAGATTGGGCACAACCCAAATGTACAACAGGAGAGGACTGGTGAAATAAATTGTATCATGTACATTTAATAGCTGTAAAAATAAATAAAGCAGATCTCCATCTACTTACATGGTAAGATCTCCAGGATATACTTTAAAGTGAAAAAAGTAATGAGTAGACTATTGTGTACTCATTGCTATCTTTAGGATGTAGAACTGACATGTACACTCATATTTGTTTGTATATACATAAAGAATTAGGGAATGACTCTATGATATACATTTTTCACATTTTAACATCTGTGAAATTGAAATGTCTTCCATTATGTGGCATTTTAGAATTACAATTAGCCATATTATTTTTTTTCTAAGTGGTACATAAAATAATGATGCATCTTAAAATGGATGACATCTTAGATTTGATGGAATACAGTAATAACAGTAGTTGCCTATGGTGAGGGGAGACTGGGGAAGGGATGAGGAGGAGCCTCTTCACTTATATGCCTTGTAATGGTTTTTATTTGAGCCATGTTAATTTATGCCTACTCAGAAATTGAATAAATAATAGTCAAAAAAATAAGATAATAGGAACTAATATATAAATGGACAATAGATTATTTCCTGGGGTCTATGTCCTCCTGCAATACTGGTCTAAGTAAGAGATTCAGTTCTAAGATATTAAAATGTGCCACAAAGTGCCCAACACTTAGCATGTGCTAGTCAATGAGACACAACAGCTGTGTGCTGTGTTGACCTGGGTCCTCCTGGGAAGCTCTTTACTCCTTGGCATCACACCTGGTTTGGCCAGTAGGCAGAACATATTATTTTTCCAGATGAGGCTAGTGCAACGTTAGTTTGGGAACCGGAAAGACATTGTGTCATCATAAAGCCTTATGAGAGGTGGAGACACACCATTTAGGCATCTACTGTGACCTAGTAGACAATTTCAGAACTCTCAGACAAAAATCAATGCTTGGGCAAACACAGAACTGAACCAAGATCTTGCTTTGACTTTTTTCTGCCTTGAGAAGACTAGATAAGCTCCAAGTTAGAAACGTTTTTCTTTTTGGTATGTATTTTAGTAGTAAGGGCAATTGCTCCTCTTTCCCTCTTCCCTACTTCCACAAACCTTTTCAGCCTCTTCTGGGTTAAATGCATTTTCTGGGTAAGATGTTGGCAAAAAGCAAGGTAATAAATGCCACAGGAAGGGCCAGATGGATAGTATTTTGAGTTGTGTTTCAAATATATTGTAATGAAAAATAGAACCTGGAGAAATCCCAGCAGATCTTTCCTTTTGTGAAAGGAAAGGTTTGTAGCTTTATGGAATGCCTAGTTTAGGTTCAGGAAACCAGGATTTTAGTTTCAGGTTCTTCAGTAAACCGCTGCATGATTTCTGGGTATTGTTTTAGTGGTTCTTTTGCTCAGTTTCCTTATCTGAAAAATGAATGTGCTAGTACCTTTTCTGCTTTTCTTAAAGGACTATAGAAAGAATACATGTCATAGTGTTTGGGAAGACATTTAAAGATAAGTTTATCAAGTTGCTACAGGTAGAGGTAAGGTTCTATTTTTGCCATAATTTTAAGGGGACTTGTGTTGAGCAGCCATTTGATAGAGACTGGTCATGTTTCAGCTAGAGAGGCCTCTTTCCCAACTGCACTGTGTGACAGTTAGGAAAATCTCTGAAAAATGACAACTGGGAGCAGGGAGGGGCTAGGCCTGTCACCATCTGAGGAAGTAACAACAACGGCCAAATGTTCTTTGCAAAGTACTTTCTCACCTTTTATACCACATCATCCTCTCAATAGTCCTTTGAGGTAGGTATTAGCATTATCATTCCTGTATTGCAGAGAAAGAATCTGAAACTGGGAGCCGAGCTGGAACTTAGGCCTATGCTTCTGTAGCTCAAAAATGTGTTCTGTCACCCATATCCTCTACTCTAAACTAATCTCAGCAACTTGTTGCAGAAACCACAGAAAGCTGGGGCCTGGACTACTCTGGGACCAGGAATAGAAACAGGGAAAGGGAGAGGGCATGGAAACTTTATCTACTTGTAACAAAAGCTATTAGCACACATGTGCTAGGACATATGGTGACCATCTGGAACTGAAGCCACATTGGTCATTGCTGAAATTCAGTCTAACAACAATGTACTCAGGTTAGATAGCATTGTATTGCCCCAGTACCCTAAAATTTTGCCTTAGGGGAGAATGACCTTGGTAAATGGTGATTAAGAGTAGCAGTATATCTGTTGACACACAGAATAAAATATTAGTTGACATATGGGGCCATGGTACTAGTTGACCTTAAGGTCAACATTTAATGTCTTCAGGCAGATTGTGTCCTAATCTTATCATACATGACTTCATTAATAATCTGGCCATGCAAGATTATACAAACAGAAAGGACACCCACAAAAGGATCCAGCTCAGTTCCATAAATCAGGTGTCCCTAATGAAGAACCAGATAACCAGTTCCAGCTGGTGGTGCTTAGAGCTAGACTGAGGATAAACAAACTACAGTCCTTGGGCAAAATCTGTCCTCTGACCTGTTTTTGTAAATAAAGTTTTATTGGAACAAAGCCATACCTATTCGTCATACATTGTTTGCTTTTATGCTACAATGGCAATGTTGAGTGATTCTGACAGAGGCTATATGGTCTGCAAAGCTGAAAATATTTATGATTTAACCCTTTACAAAAAAAACATTTTGCCAAACTCTATTCTGTACAATGAATGTACAGGTGATCTTGAACTTGTGAGAATAGCCAAAAGCCTTGAGCATGTCCTCTGCTGGTGAGACACAGGAAGAGAAGATAATAGAAATCTCTAGATAACCATATCCAGAGAAATGCTCCAAGGGGCCTGGTTCCAGCTGATAGGGGGCAACAATCCTATGGATTCAAACGTCAGGGAGCCCAAACCATGTGTATATAGTATTTCTGTTTTAGTTAGGTCTGAAGAGCCTCAGAGACCCAGCTGACCACTCAGCTGGCTGCCCTCTCTACTAACTTTATGATGTTTGAATAAAACTGAGACAGAGTGAGCCCTCGTTAGAAGGTCATTGTGAGTGATGTCCCTGGAGCACTGAAGGCCTCTCTTGGATAGTTAAGTGGTTCTCAAAGCCCTGGAGGAACCTCTTGAACCAGGACCCCAAACTAGCAGATCTTGAGGGAACCTCAGAGATCATCTAGGCCAAAAGAATGGAATGGCTTGTGCAGAGGCTCATTATGAGTTAAGTGATGAAGTCTTCCAAATCCCATTCAGGTGCATCCCATCATGCCCTGCAACCTAACATCAATCCATGGCGCACTGTCTCAAATACCCAGTGGGCCAATGGAGTGTTTATAAGTTCAGTATGACCTATCCTTTATGATCCTGATCTGCTAGGTAGAGATGGCTGCTTGAGGGAAGCCATAAGCCTGCGGTTATTCCTGGAGCTCAGTTTCTTATAAGAGTTTTATTAATCAGTTCTCACGCTGCTAATAAAGACATACCTGAGACTGGGTAATTTATAAAGGAAAGATATTTAATGGACTCATGGTTCCACATGGCTGGGGAGGCCTCACAATCATGGCAGAAGATGAAGGAAGAGCAAAGAGACATGTTACATGGCGGCAGGCAAGAGAACGTGTGCAGGGAATCTCCCCTTTATAAACCATAAGATCTTGTGAGACTTATTCAGTACCATGAGAAGGGTATGGGGAAAACTGTCCCAGTGATGCAATTATCTCCACCTGGCCCCACCCTTGACATGTGGGGGTTATTACAATTCAAGGTGAGATTTGGGTGGGGACACAGCCAAACCATATCAAGAGTTAAGGGGATAAGGAGAGTTGTGAGAAAGCCTTTGTGGACATATGAAGGAAGAATGAAGGAGCTATCTGTGATCATTGGTGTATGGCTCTTTCATAAATGACTGGAACAGTAAACTTGGGTCAGATCCAGTGGTGCAGGAGCCAGGACAAGTAGCCAAGACGAGGGGGAAGAAAAGAAGCACATCCTAAGAATGCTACCAGGGTCTACACCCATGCATAAGAAATCTTCCAGATTAGCATCAGCATCCCAAGTCAGGGTCACTAAGTAGAAATAAGGACAACCCAGGGAAGGGAAGAAGTTCCATTATAAATGCTGGGACAGGATTGAAGGGCTGAGGTAATGACAACAATGTGAGGCATGTAGGATTAGAGATTCCACGTGTTGATAACATACCAACTCTCTTATAATAATGTTCATACTGCAGGCTCATAGGATTCCAGAATGCCAGTGTTTTTTTGAAGGAGACACTATAAAAGCCTAGAAGAAATATGTGTAACATTGGTTTACATAAAGACCACTATTGCTAGAAATATGTAAAAGGATAACCAATTATAAACACAGACTGTCCAGTCAAGGAGTTTCAAGGTAGCTACAGAACTGCCTAGGAATTGTGAGGGATAAATGATTGAGTGCCACATTTCGTTCAGTGATAACCTAGGCAACCATAAACAAACACAAGGTCAGGACAGTAGAAAACATCAGCTGCATGGTGAAGCAAAAGACAAAAAAGTGGACTGAGGAAGACCTTGAGAATAGGGTTTGAAGGTGCCCAACTGAATGTGGAGCTAACCCTAGCTTTCCTCACCATAGGTCAATTTGAAAATCATGGGTCTTTGAGTAAACAAGAGAGAATTTGTGTTCTCAGAAATAAAATCTTGAATAACTTTTATGTTAAAAATCAGTCTAGTTTGTCTTTGGCATTTGTTCTAAGGCAGTTGAACAAATTTTATTGCCTGCCTGTGGGCACTATACTTTGTAATAAGTACCGGGGGTATGAAGATTAATCAACAGTCACTTTCCTCTAGGGGTTCCTTGCTTAATAAAGGAAACCAACACATAAACAGACAATTTTGATATAATTTAGTAAGTTCCAGAGAGTTAAGGGAACGGACGTGAGCTACATAGTTCAGGATAGGATGTTATAGAAGCTTCTGGAAGGAGAGGGTACTTGATTTCCCAGTGCGGTCAGTAATGGAACAGTGGGGCAGGAGGAAAACCAGGGGACATGGAAACCAAGAGAATGGAGAGATTCAAGAAGCAGTGAAAAGACAACAGTGTCAAATACAGCAGATAAGGACAAAAAAGTGCTTTGTTGGATTTGGAAATGAAGAGGTCATTGACGATCTTAAAGATAGCATGTTTCAGTGAAGCAAGAGTGGGGTCCAAGAGCCAGTATTGAGGACTGAATGGAATTGAGGAAGAAGAAACAGGCAGCATAGACTACCTTCTGAAGGGTTGTGACTGGAGGGGAAAGAGAGCGATGAAGTGACGGACAGTGGTCAAAGGAAGTTAAAGGGAGGACCGGTGTGTGTGTGTATGTGTGTGTGTCTGGATTAGAGGGATATTTATCATGTCTATACTCTGAGGAGAAAGTGAATAGAAAGAACGCAGTGTCAGAAAAAAGAAGTGGGGTGAGTGACAGAGCTGTGAGGGAGTAGCTGGCCTTGAACAAGAAGGCTACCCTCATTCTCTGAGATTAGAGGTGGGACTGAGGAGGGGTGGGTGCCATGCAGTTAAGCCAGTAGGTGGGAAAGGGCGGTGGTGGGGGCAAATCTCCATGGCTTCAAGTTTTATCAATTTGTAGAGGCACTGACATCTTCAGCGAGTCCAGGCTGTGGAGGCTGGGCTGGAGGCCCGAGAAAAGCAACATAGGCCTGAAATGTCCCTGAGAGGAATGAGAACAATGCTAAGCAAGGACCAGCTATGTGAAAGTCAGAGCTTGCCCAGGTCCCCAGGCACTGTGGTGTGGTGATGGCACTGCTTTGTGTGTTTCCTTCTCTGTCAAGGTGACCCCGTGACATATAGCTCTGTTGTTTGTGATTATGCCCTTGACTTTGCAGTCATTGGTTCTGTGTCTCCCTGGGGAAGGAGAACATCCCTAAGGTTTTAGAACAATCGGGAGGCTAGCCAGTAGGGCAGAAGGTGGAGTTGGAGAGATATCCTGACTCCCTGCAATCAAGGTTAGGCACCTAATTAATCCTGCCATTCTTCAGAATGGCTCTGCCCTTACTTTACAAAGGTTTGTTCCAGGCCATGCAGCAGGCCAGAGTGAGAGTCCTGCATAGAGTAGAAACCTCTACTGCAGCCATTGTCCCCTACTGTGGCTCAGTTGCACCCACTCCTTCCCAGTTTAACAGCCCAGCTGAACTGCCTGCCATCTTTCCTGCCCGCTGCTGAATGCTGTGAAGCTGTCCATGCATGGTTCAATCCCACCCTCTTCATGACTCAGGCTCATAGACATTTTGACTGTTCCCACTGCAAACTCCATTCCTGTCCTAATGCAATTCACTTGAATTCAGTGCAATCCCTATAAGTTTTATTTTTTACCACTCTCTTGACATTTATTATCTACTGCTTTTTATTTATAGTTTTTCATGTTAGTTTATCTTATCCCCCTCTCCACCCAACAAAACAGTGACCCTGAAGGCAGGAGGGAATCTTGCACATTTTGTTTTGGCATTCCCCAGCACCAACCTAGAGTTGCTGCTAAATAATTACTGGTTTATTTGGCTGAACTGGTGGATAAAGCAAGTATGAGGTGTGCTTTGCCTTGGAGTAAGCTGGTTCTTTTCTGACCCCTGGAATATCAGAGTTTTGAGAGCAACCTCCCTCTTTGGGTGGAGCCAGGGAAAAAGTTACCAATAAACATGACTTTCTTATTGAAAAATGTGTGACTGGTGATTAACAGCTGCTGGTTAGTATTTCCTGATTGTCTGAGACACTGTGCAGGAGGGCATTTGGAGAAGGATGTGAAATGGAAATCTGAACCCTCTGTAGCTCCTAGGTCTCCTGCGTACCCCTCAGCCACCCACTCCTCCTGAATCTTGTCCTTGTTTCCAGGCACACATTATTGCAGATTATGAGGGCTGCCAGTCACTTAAGTGGCCCCACAAAGCAGAGGGCTTGATGATCCAGCACACTCTCTGCTTGCACATGATGTGTCCTGCTACAATGGCAAAAAAAGGACTTTATTATTTTCCTTCTGATTTATGGAGCAGGAAAAAAGATCATGTAAGTAAGAATTACAGAGATAACTAGTATTCCTTCTTGGGTTTTATTGGAGACTTTTCAAGATTTGTGCTTTGTGAACTTTGGCTTCGCCTGCTGAATTAGTTGCACCTGGTTACAGGGCCGAACCATGGAGAGTTGGGAGGCTGAACTCTTTAAACGTTGATCTAAAGAAAGCGCTTCCTGGGATTTTCAGTGGTGGAACATTACTGGATGAGTAATGGTCTTGAGCATTCTTGTTAGGTAAGATGTTTGGTCTTAAAACTGGGACAAATCAAAAGGCCATTTCATTGCTTCTTGTGGGTGAGATGTGAATTAAAATCATGGATTTTCTAATTCACTTAAGGCCAGACTATCCTTCATTTTAAGCCTTGATGTGCTTGCATTTATCTTGGTTTCTTAGGTTGTTTCTCACACTACAAAAAACAATGTAACACTTGGGCAATGCAAAAAAGGTTTCAAGGCATTTTTGTTATAAAATCTAAAATTCTCTTTGTTTGTCCTAGCTCCATTCCAGGCCACATGCCAGGTACACTTTACATTATGCTAGATAGGTCTCTTATGCCAGCCCTTCCAAAATACCACCAAATGCCACCAGTGTTAGAGCACAGGGTCATGTATTTTAAATAATGAGAAAACACTTAAAGGGTAGGAATGGCAATATGCTCACTTTCACCACCCTAAGGGCTCTATCTCCTAACATTGAATTTGTGGATTCCGGAGCAGTGGTTTAGTTCTGTGATGGTTTAGTTCTCACTTAACCTATCCTCTCAGATGACATCAGGTTCTGAGATTCACATTCTCTTTACTTGAGACTAGACCCAACTTCTTGATTCAGCATGGAATCACTTGAGTAGCAACTGCTGGTCTTTCTGTAACCACAGGAACCTCTTTTGGCCTATTTTGCAGGCGGGACGGTCTCCATGCCAAAGATCCTGTACTATTGTCTCCATAAATATGTTCATACTTATCAGGTCATGTGTCTCATATTTGAATTGCAATATATGGCCATTGATAGCACAAGACAGCAAAAAAGCCACTTTTTTTTCAACTCTAATGTACAACAGTGATTCTCAAATGTGAAGACATCTGCAAACCACCTGGGCAAAATGCAGATTCCGGCTCAGTAGGTCTGGGAAAGGGCCTGAGACTGCATTTTTAACAAGCACCCAAGGGGTACCACACATAGATGCTATCTCCCTTAAGTTAAGTACATGTTTAAAACCAGATCCTAAGTATGTATTTTAAATTTGTCAGGACAAAACTAACTGATAGTATTTGGCTTCTGATCTAGCCTGACAGCCCCTTCTTAACTCTCAGTTCATCCACTTCTGACCCTACAGGACTTGAGTTATTTGGCTTTTAATTTCAAGAGACAGGAACCTTGGGGATCCGCTTATTATTAGTGCTTGATGAATGCTGTTTGTTCATACTGAACCTGATTATGATTATCCTTTGAATGTTAGGTTCCAAATCTGTCTTTCAAACATAATAACACCTAACTAATTTTTGTCCTGTCTCACCTCCATTCTCTCAGGCCCCCCAAGGCCATTCATCAGGCCACACTATTTACTTGGTTTTAGATGTACATGTACAGATGTACATGCTAAGACCTTATTCTGTAATTCACCTGCTTCCCAAGTTCGGGCTCTTCCCACTTAATCCAATGTGGAATCATAGCAAGTCAAGAGCAAAAGGGACATTGGAAGCCACAACCCTTGTACATCATTTTGGAGCTTCCTTTGGACTTCTTCAGGTGACCTGGAGTGCTCCTGCCTCATGAAGCAGCTTGTTCCATGGTTGTGATGCCCTGATTGAGAGAGAGTTCTTTAGTATTTTCAGCCACACGTTACCTCTTTGTAATTTTTGCTGTGGTTTTGCCTTCCAGAATTAACTTCTCTTTTACAATATGGTTCTTCAACCCATTAAAAGCTACTCTTGTGACTCTCTGTTTCTTTTCTTCAGGTACAAGTGTCCCATTTATTCATTTATTTCTTGTATATCGAAGTTTCCTGACCTCTTACTCTCCTGGTCACTAGGCTCTGACATGCTCCAGTTTGACAATGTCCTCCCTCCCCTAGTTTCTCTGCTATGATCTGGCCAAGCCTGGTTCTGAACATCTATGTTGGCAGCCATGTTTTGCTGTTGACTCATATCAAGCCAAGAAATCCCCTGGAGCTTTTTAAAAGGGAGTTGAGTCTCCTTAACTAGTGCTGTTGACTATGTGAATCTAGCACAGATGTTTACATTTATCTTTATGGATTTTACCTTGTTTCTTTCAACAATTCCTTCCATTCATTTGAGATCTTGAGTCCTGATTCTATCACTTGTTATATTAGGGCTTCCTCCTAGCTTTGCCATCCACACACATACTAGGTACATCCTTTATAGCTTCATCATTGGAGATAAAAATTGAAATGAACAAGACTGAATGCTGATCCCTGTGGCCTTTCACTCAATCTATTTGCCACTTGTAAACTCTCATCCATGATTGTCAACTTGTCATCAGGAGACTCACATTCTACTGTGCCTTTCTGATCCTACCTGTCACCTGCCAGGCCAGCCTCCCATTCTTCTTATCACCTGTTTTCCTTATAAAGTGAGAACCAAGGCCCTAGAATTTGGAAGGGAAAGGCCCAGAGACTGAGTATAAACATGGAGTAGGCTCTACAGTGAGAATTAGAAAGGGAAGAGGAAAGAAAGGGAGAGAGAAAGAGAAGGGGAGAGGGAGAGAAAGGGGAAAGAAATCCCATGCAGAGGAGGCTGAGAGGGGACCCTCTGACTTGTTGGGTGGTTGGATGTGGTTGAATGTATGTGTGAGGTGAATGAGTATAAATCAGGACATGCCTACATAACCAGTATGTAGACAAGCATAGCCTCTGACATGAACAAAGCAAGACTTGATGGTTTGACTGTCTTCAGGGAGGGTAATCTTCCCCAAAACTGAATGCAAACTGAGCAAGTCTTATTTCTACTCATTGTTAGGTAATAGAAAGTCACAACTGAGTAATTAGAATGTTCCATTCAAGATGTGATAAGTCACAACTCCAAGCCTGGCTTGCCATTAAATCTTCTCTGCCTGGTTCAGGTCTATTTTAATCTGAAAGGCAGCATTGGGGAGGTAGAGTAGAGGAGAGCAGAACTTCTCCTCTCTGCCTGTTCACCTCTTCCTCTATTTGTTAGCTGTCATTTTATTGCGCCACTAATGAAGCTTGGAGAGGGAGGAGAGGCCAGGAAGCAGATAGCTCTGACTCGGCAGTGACGTTGCTCTTATGGGGCCTCATTTTCAGATGATTAAAGCTGGGGCCCTGGTTGTGGGCATGGAAGATGGATGAAGCCACCTTTTCCCTCCTGAGGTGCACTACTGGCCCTTTCAGAGGTTCCCATGGCCGTAGACCTCTCTCCTATGGTTCTCTTGACCTCTGCCTGATATGTCTCCATAAGAGGTAGTGGCTTGGGACTACTCTTCAGCTAGATATCTGGCAGAACACCTCCAGTCTCTTTATGATGAGATCCCCTTCCACTACTGGTCAGGACTGAAGTCTGCTTCACATCAGCGCTCTCTCTGCTATAGTCACTTCTGACCTATGAACCATATTCTCACATCTCTTGTCCCAACATACTCTGGGAATCCAGGGTCACCCCAAAGCATCAGCCTCCATTGACTTGGCTGCCAAAGCATGTAATGGCCCTTCCCTCTCACCTAGATGGCCCCAGGCAAGAGGCAAACTCTAACCCACAGTGTGCTTTAGCTTTTGTGGGTGTACGTGAGGTCCCCTGTGGTTACTGACCATAGCGAATATATTGCAAAGCACCTTGAAGGTCCCTCACTGGACTTGGGGTTAAAGAGTAACACCCCAACTTCTGTTTTAAAAGGAAGAGAAGAGGGCATTCACTGCAGAGCTATGACTCAGTTCCAATCTCCTCACATACAAGCCTCTCTTCCCACACTGGCCATTTCTTGTATTTTCTAAATGGGAGATGGGTTTCAAGAGTTCTCAAGAATAGCCATTTAAGAAAGCAGGTTGATATTACCTCCTAAAGTCGAGCATTCACACATCTAGGTCTATCCCTAAGAGTAACCTTGGCATATTCAGTAAGAGACACGTACAGGAATGTTCATAGCAGCTCAGTTCCCAACCTAGGGTTGTCAGATAAAACGCAGGATCCCAGTTAAAATTGAATTTCAGACAAACAACAAATAGGATTGTTTTTTCTGTCTGGTCTAAGTATGTCCCAAAGATTGCATAAGCTATAGTTCAAAAATTTCATGTTTTAAGTTCAAATTTAATTCAGTGTTCTTTATTTTTATTTGCTAAATCTGGCAACCCTATCCTAAAACAAATGCCTGTCTAAGGGTGAATGGAAGAAAAATTGTGGTATTTACACACACTGGACATACGCAGGAGTCTAAATAAATGAAAAACAGTTACACGGAAAAATATGAATGAATTTCAGCAATATGAAATCTGAAAAAATAAGGCTCCAAAATATTACATACGGTATGGTTTTTTGTTGAAATTGGAAACTACTAAAATAAAATATTTCTATATTTTTAAAGGAATCTATCTAGTTGCAATAAAACTACATAAAAAGGAAAGGGAATGATGAATATATATATGATTCAAGACGATGATACATTTTCTCAAATGGGGAGAAAAGGGTATAAATTGATGGTGTGATGAAGTGTAGGCTATTAGCAAGGTTCCAAGGTGCTAGCTTTTTTTTTGGGTAGTGGCTTTCCTAGTACTTACGGGGTGTGCATAGACCAAAGATGAGAATATTTCATTAGCCAATGCTTATAACTAATCAAATAATCTGCACCTGATATCCAAAAAGAAAATAAAAATTTAAAGAGAAGGAAAAAGAAGAAACAACTGAGGTTGGAAGAATTCTATTATAGAAGCATACAGTGTTTGTCTAGGCAGGAAGGAAAGTGGTATTGGCACGGAAGATGTCTCCAAGGAGGTAACAGCTGAATTGGCCCTTGAAGTATGAATAGAAATTCACTAGATGGAGAAGGAGGGCAAAACATTCCAGGAACAGCATGTCAGAAAGCAAAGCAGCACAACAGAGCCTGGCCTTCTCAGAGAACAGGCTCAGGATGGTCACAACCAGAAGTAGGTGACAGTGGCAAGAACAGAAGCCAGAGAGCTGGGGAGAAGGATAGGGTGTGGAAGACCTTATGAGCCCTGTCAAGGGGTGTGGAACTTACTCTTGGGCCTCAGGGTGGGAAAACAGCAAAAGGATTATGCAGGAGGTTGTTATTGTGGATCCCCAGAAGATTATTATACCAAAATGGGAAGTCTCTTGGCTTCACATATGCAAACTATTGATAAAACTGTTGCATTTGGTGGAGGGTAGAGAAGGCAATGAGGCAGGCGCTAAAAAATCATAGCCTCATGGGCTTCATGGATGCTAAGTAAAAATAGGCAAGGGATGGATTATAATTATGGTTCAAAATCATAGATACAGTATGATTGACAGCTCTGAGAATAAAGATGGTTATCAATTTGGTGGGAAAGTGGGGATAGCAGGAAAGGTTGGATAATTCTCCAAAGGGCAGTTCCAAGAAAAATTAAAAACCATTAATAAAGAAATATTAGTAGATTCCCTTGATGGCACCTCTGGATTTCTTGTGTATTGTCTGCATCAGCCACTCCTCTTCTGCCAAACCCTTAGAATTTGTTCTCTCAATTCGTTCTGTTCCATTTAGCAAAGTGTACTGTGCAACTATTATTGAATGTCAGGTAGAATGTTGGATGCTGGAAATACTAAGATAGATAAAATACAGCTCATCTCCTCATTAGGATTACATCTGAGCAGGAATACAAACCATCAACAAGTATCAATAATATATGTGAAAAGTACTAGAATAGATACAAGTTACTACACAAATATAAAAGGGAGAGCAATTGGTGCCACCTGCAGTGGGAGTGTCAGAAACGAGATGGCATTTGAGTTGGATGGGCAAAAGTTCAAGGTTGAGCAAAAGTTGGACAAGCGGATGGGAGAGGCATGCAAAGCAGAGAGAACTGTAAGAGCAAAGGCCTGAAGGTGAGGCTGCCAAGAGGAGGCTGCAGCCGGGTTGGGACAGGCTTTCTAGATCTTGCTGAGAAGTTCAAACTTTGTTGTACATGCTGTGGCTCTTAAGCAGGGTGGGGTCAGGAGCAGATCTGGGTCTTTGGAACAAGCTCGCTGGCCATGTGTGGAGGATGGAATGAAGGAGTTTGGGGCTGAGGTCACAGAGAACAGCCAGGAGGCAGCTGCAGGACTTGCCATGAGTCACAATGAGCCTATAGAAGGACTGTGTAGGTGGAGAGCCAGTGAGGTCGGGACCAGAAAAGGCCTTGCTTGTGGGGTAGTTTGCTGCCCTCCCTGCCATCCACATGGGTGGGCTGTGTGAGAGGGACAACGGCCTGCAAGGAGGCCAGGAGTGGGAGTGGATTTGGGAAGGACCTCAGTGACAGGAAGGGTGTTTCCACTGTGCAGCTGCCAAAAGAAACCTGTGACTCAGTGGGTGGCATGTGTGATACCCAGAAACTTTATAGTCCGAGTTATCCTGGCTCCTATCTACTTCCGTAAGTCAACACTGCTTCACAGGTGGGATAGCAGCCAATGGGTGGGGTCCATAATGCCTTTTCTCAAATTTAAATAGTGTCTACACCAGCCGCGAGCCTATTACAGGGGAGTGCCTTTGTAGGAGGCACATGCCATGGGAAGATTGATAAGGAGCAGGAAAAACATCTTTTTCTAAGGCCTGCAATTCTCACACCCAATTAGAGTGGTCTTGCTTGTGTAAGAATTGAGTTGTATCAGTCATGAATAATATCAAGGCAACTCCTGCTTAGAGAGGACCCACTATGTGCTATAAGCTAGGTGATACACTCTTCCTCACTATCTGATTTATTCTCCACAGTAATCACACAAGGTAGTCATTTCTTGCTCCATTTTACAGGTGGAGAAGTAAGGCTCAGAGAGTCCTAATGGGTTGGTCATCAGATGGAGTCTAGAAATATTCTCCCTATTCCAACTGGTGATGGCATTGCTTGGCATCTCACCAGTATATCGTTTTCTTTGTTAATGACCAGGGCACTGATAGCAATCATGCTAGATGCAAAACCTTCCCTTCCTCCCACACTGCAAAGTCCTTCTCTACAGCACAATCATTCCAAGAATGAGGTTTAGTTGCAAGGTCTTTTTAAAACCCAGTCACCATGGGAATTGCATTCCTGAAAGACTAGGGCTGTGATGGTTTTCAACAACGCCTGGTGTTCTGTTTGCTTCGGCTCATGCTTAACAGTCCAGCAGTTAGAAGATGGAAAATAATTATTCAGTCTAGCCGGGAGATGGGGTGATAAAAGGAAACTTTGGGCTGCTGATTAAATTGTTTATTTAAGCACAAGCTTGGCTATGTCTTCAGCATAATGTGCTGTAGGAAGAAGATAGGGATCTCTCCTTATGGAGAGACACTGACAGGGGGGACTGAAATCCCCACCTCTGCTCACTCCCACGGCTGCCTCTCTGCAATGCCCTGAATCTTTGTTTCCTGCTTGGCTCTGGATTTTGAGGACTTTATGAGGCTGGGATTGGGCAGAGTAACAGAATAGTAGAGCTTTTTGTCCAAGCTCTGCATTTTGCAAAAGAGAAAGCTGAGGTCAGAGAGAGGTTGTGATGGTGCTGGGCAGGGCAGAGAATGTCCTGGAGTCTGGGTTCCTTGATTTCTGGTCCCGTGTTCTCTGCATTATTGCATGCTCACCCAAGTGTGTGTGCATCACCTTTACAAAACATCTTTTGCCTTTTACCCTTCTTGGTCCTATTCTGCATTCTTCTCCTTCTGGCTTTTGAAACAAAATCAGCTTTCTTTAATCTCTTTTTTTGTGCACTGTTTCTCTTTATTTTCTTCCTCCTTCCCTGCATTAGAGCATGTACAAATTGTACATAATGCATAATTTAAACCCTCAGTTTGCCTATATTTTGAGCATATGCAAACTCAACTTTCAGGAAGTACTAGACCAGTAGTCAGCAAACTATGGCCCACAGGCCAAATCTAGCCTGTGACTGTTTTGGTAAATAAAGTTTTATTGGAACCTGGTCACCCTCATTTATGTATTGACTATGGCTGCTTTCATGCAACAGTGGCAGAGTTGAGTAGTTGCAACAGAGACTGTAGGGCCTGCAAAACCTGATATATTTAGTATCTGGCCCTTTACAGAAACAGTTTGCCAAGTCCCTGCACTAGAAAAATATATTACTGACTAAATTCTAATATAGGGCATTCCTGCCTCCAGAGAGCCAGGGCCTAACTTTTATGCCTGCAGAATAACAAAAACACAAGCTGTGTTTAAGTTGAACCATTGAGAGCATGAGGATTCAGCAAGAATATTGCAATTCACTAAGCTAGGATTTTGTTTATAAACTTTAATTTTTGATACTTTGAATGCTAAGGAAACTCAAATTTAGTTCCCTCTCCCACTTTTAAGCTTTTGATGACTCATCCTCTGAGCTCCATATCCCAGACCCTCACAGCCAGGCTGGCCCTTCCTGCTGGCCCTGCTCTGCCCCTTGAGGACTCCTGGCTTGGAACTGAACCACCTTGCTCCAGTTGAACCATACCTTTGCTCTAGTCATACATCTTGCAGGACTAAAGTTCAAAGGGTGGAATTTCCAGATCACAATCTCCTTTAGTGTTGCCTCAACTCATCTCACAATAAATGAAAGTTCTTTCCAAGAAGTGCTATCAATTAAGACATTCCTTCTGGCATTTTCTTTCCTTCCTTTCTTTGCATTTTGCTTATGCTGATGTGGGTTCCTTTAGCTTGATTTAGATTTTGTCGATGCTCTCCTAAGCTCATGGAATTTTGGAGGAGATCATCAAGTCTAGCCCCTTTTCCACCACGAGGAAGCTGAGGCCCATGGCAAGGTAGTCTTTAAAAGACACTTTGTTTTCACGCTTCATTTCTTTGGTTGTAAATGAGAGTTTTTATTTTCTTTTTAAGCAATTTAATTTTTTTCCAGTTCCTTTTCTGAATTTACATCTGTCTTTATTGTATATGGTCTTTACTTCTCTTTCCCCTCCAGGTGCCTAAAAGTAGAGTCTGCAAAGGGTATATTTTGCAGAAAGCTCTCCACAGATCATAGTGCTCACATTTATTTGCTCAGAAAAATTCTCCTTAGGTTTTATTAGAGTTTTCTGGAATCACATAGAAAGTGAATTCCTAGTGAAATGTTTGGGTTCAGATTGTTAATTGAATTGTGGGCAGCCTAAAGGTCTTTCTGCAACCTCCTGGAATTTCTCAGCCTGAATGTTAAAGATGGAGCATGGATCTTTGCCACCTGCAGCTACCACTTAACCAGGTGACTGGTGCCAGTCCAGCAGCATGCTGGATCTGAGGTTTGCCACCTGGGAAGATAGATGATAATGCTTCTCTCCTCCTGGCCTGGATAAGGGGGAAAAATGGCACAAGGTGCATGTGCTCAGAACATGGAGTTCCTCTTAGGATTAGGGCTAAGATGCTAGAGTCATTCTAGCCAGTGGAGACTCCCAAAGCTGCAATAGTATTGGGGCTGTCTTGGTACCTCAGCACACAATGCAGGTAGACCTGGTACAGCATGCTTTCCTAGCTGGCTGTCAGATGAGTGAGAAAATAAGCTGCTCCCTGTATGATGGATACCCCAAACAGTTTTCTTTAGGCCAACCCCTAGATGTCACAGGCAAGGAAACTGAGGTTTGATGTCAAAGTCACTGTGGTGGCTTTGTACTGTAGTAGCTAAGCTGGAACTGTGTTTCCCAGAATTCCTTTCTTTTTTATCTCCGGTTGGAGTTGGCCAGAAGAGAAATTTGTGTGCAATTTGTGGGTGGAAGTGAAGCAGCAGTCATGCCTATGCTCTGACTGTCAGGAGAAGGGCTAGTGGGCACTGTTGCAGCTCACAGGTGTCATCACTGATCTGAAGGCTTACCTTGCTGATGTGGGTGACAGCCAGGCCTGCAACCCCTTCAGTCCCATCCAGGCCTCCTACCTTGGCTTTCTGGGGTCCCAAGGCTGGGCGTGTGTGCAACTATATTGGTAAAGGGCACCGGCCTAGCCTGCAGGTCACCTGCATCAGTAAAGTTGAAGATGGTGAGAAACTGATGGGGTTTTCATCTGTCCAGGGTGGGTTCTAGTTTGTCCATGTTCTCCCCCACTTCATGTGCATCTCTCCTTCCTGACAGCCAACTCTACTGTGTTCAGGATCAAAGCTAGATGCAGAGCAGCAGACCTACATAGACTGCTTAATCAGATTCTACACCTGTGGAAGGTTCAGTCCCTATCATAAGGCCCTCATTCTAGAGCCTCATGGTGGTTTCTGCTTCTCTGACTGAACCTTAACTGATACAATCACACAGCCTTGCAGTGGAACCCAGGTGCCCCAGGCTTCCAGGACAACAGGCTTCCTGCTTCCAGTGTCACCTCTGCTTAGAGGCTCTGTCTGCACGGCACATTGCTGGTGTTGATAAATGCTGGAAAGCAAATGAGGAGGTTCTGGCCAAAGAAATCTTCTGGGTGCTCAGCCACAAACTTGTCATCAAAATGCCTGGGTCACCCCCTCAAGCCCCGTCTCACATTGCGCAGGGTAGACACTGCTTGCATTACTCTTTGTGTCAGGGCATTTGGGTACGTAAGTATGACAGAGATCGAATCAATCCTAGATGCTTGAGCCAGAGATTCTGAGCAAAATCAGATGAGTCCAAGATGCAGTTCATTTTCTCCATTGGTTACTCCACTTTCTTGTGGGAAAAGGTGGTGGGGGAGGGTCAGGCAAACTTTCATTCAATCACTCTGTGTATGGTGAGATTGGAGAAGAAAGAGGGTGTTGTCTCTGCAGTAAGCCTGAGGGAGTTGGTGAGGGACACCTTAAGTCACCCTCTCTCTTTCTGCGTGTCTCCATCTCCAAGATGCACTATGAGGAGCCCTGCTCAGAAGATGGTGGCAGGGGATTGTGTGGGAGACCCCATGGTCTTAGGTACCCAGCACTTCAAAGCAGGGAGAATTCAGCATCTCTCAGTCCTCTCACAGCATTCCAAGATTGCTGCTTGAGGTCTGAAGACTGATTTGTCTTTACAGCCACCCTCATTGAAATGCAGGTGAGCTAAGGACTCAGAGGGGTGGGGCATTACTCCTAGTTGGTTATTAATTAAACGAGACTGTATCTGAGACTAGGTGTTAGTTAATGGAGAACTAAGGAGTCCTATGAACCCTGCGAGGTGGCTACTGAGATCCCCGCCTGGCAGAGCAGGCTGATGGAGCAGTGAGGGCACCAGCTATAATGTTCTGTGATTCTCTACCACACTTAGGACCTGCAGAGACACACAGCCTCTCCACTTCAGCTCCACTGGCTCCCATGGTACACTTTGGCTCTACCAGGCATGCTCTTGCCTTAAGACATTTGTGCTCACTGTCCTCTCTACCTGGGTCCCTCTTACCCTAGAGAGCCTTCTGGCAGGCTTCATTCTCTCATTTCTTCACATCTTTGCTCTAAAGTAACTTCACCTTCAGGAACTTTTGCCTGACCACCCTACTACAAATTGCAACCCTCCCCACTCTCCATGCTAATGTAGTTTTACTATAGTGGGCATTGCCGTCTACCTTCCTACATAACTTACTAATGAGAGGGTAAGTGTCACTGGGGCAGAGATTTGCTTTATATGTACTCTGGTGTATCCAAGTGGTGGCACCTAGCGGGCACTCATTGTGGCCTTTGCCTTTCTTCACTCCACAGGACACCATTGGCACTGCATTCCCTGTTGAATGACGCCCCCTGGAACACAGCTTTATAGACTTCAATGTGAATAGTGCCCCCTAGAATTGTTCAAGTTGGCAGTACAGAGCCTAATATTTGTTGAAAAGAGGCCACAGGCGATCTACTCTCTCTGCTCATCTTCCTGATCCAGTGGCCTCTGAAATCCTTCTGGCGGCTTCTAATTGTAAACCTTCTCATACTTGAAACCTTCCCTGTGTCAGGATGAGGAAGCTCGTATGAAGAGTGGGCTGATTCCATTTGTTTGCAGTTTATGATCAAATTTGGACATCTTATTTCGAAGCGATATAAGAAAGGCACTTGATAAGCTGTCTGCAGCAGTTTCTCCTAAGGGGTCTGCCAAAAACGGTGTGGGATTTCAGGGTCTGGTTTTCTTTGCCTTCTCCAGGTAAGCTTGTTTATAAAGAGGAAACATTTGTGCCGCTCAGCAGATTTGAGAGACCCGGTGGGAATTGCTGTTTATTTGTCTTTTGATCACAAAGCCTGGGGTTTGGCTCCAAGGCTGAAGGTCTCGAGGCCTCTTTATCTCCTCCCCTTGAGACTTTAATCTCTCCTCTGACATTCCTTTGGCCCGTGAGGTGGCTGGGGAGTTGAAGGAGGGGGAGTACTGCAGGTGGACAAAGATTCCCTGGCCTCATCAGAGTATCTGTCCTTAGTCTGACCTCCCACCAGGGACTGTGGTTCTTTCTGAGATCGGCTCCGGAGCCTAACCTCCCCCTCCCCTTTGTCCTACAAACAACCAAAAGGAAGAAACAACAAAGCCACCCACCCTCCCCCAAACCCCAGGCAACATTTATTTTGGGGAGCGAATCTTTTGTATTTGAAGCCACATCTTATCACTTGCCTTTTATGGAATCCAAGAGGCGAAGTGAGGTGAAGGGTCGTGGCATTCAATTCGCTCATTTTATAGATGATGATACAGCAGTCCTCAGGGCTTCTGGGGCCTGCCCAAATGGAGAGGGGCAGCCTCTCCATAAAGGTGGCTGGGCCAGTCCCCTGGTTGTGTGCCCCCCCCAGGTGGTTTTCAGGGCGCCCCACAGCCCTATGCAATGTGAGCTGCCCATGACTGGCCTTAAACCCCTGTGAGCAGAGACAATTTTCTTTGAATCAGCATGCACACCACACAGCGTTCCCCATGGGGGACATATTGAGAAAATGAAATTCAAATCACCCCTCTGGTATGGTTTTCACTCCCTTTCCTGATAACACACAGAGAGAAGCCAATTTTGTGGGTGAGCAGGTGGGTTTTTATAGGGCCAGGCAGTAAAACCTATGAAGGCCACCCAGGTCCTTCTCCTGTCCCTAGGTGCTTCTGACAGG
Organism: Homo sapiens; assembly: GCF_000001405.40. NCBI lineage: Eukaryota > Metazoa > Chordata > Mammalia > Primates > Hominidae > Homo > Homo sapiens. The sequence continues at coordinate 39,018,652 of NC_000023.11, forward strand.
AGCCACAGAGAGCAGCCTAGGGCTGGGGACACAGATGAGCCTCCAGCCAGGACTTTGCTCCCTGACTCGGGGCTCACTTCCTCAAGTAGCTGAACATTTTAGGGTATATGGCTACACCCATGTCCCACTCTCTTACTTGGCACTAGGCTGAATGAACACCTGGTATTCAGTGACCTCGAGACACTGTGAACCCACTTCGAACTTACTTCCTCAAGTCATTCAGCTACACAGTAGATTGCATGCAGTCTGTCTTTAAAAAATAAATAAAAAGTCCTTAGTTTGGTGAAGTCATTTTACTCGCGCAGAAAAAAATGTAAAGGTAACCATGAAATTACAAGAACAAACCTTTGTGCTCCCTGGGGCTCTTGGAAAAAGAGGGCAGGCAGGGCTTGTGTGCACAAGGCAGGAGCTGTTTGTGCAGAAATGGAAATGCTCCCCCATCTTTCCTTCCACGCTAAGTCGCTTCATTATATTTTCAGGCGAGCAAGTCATGGGTTCCTGGTGCGCGGTGCTGTCTTTTTCAATTAATGCTTTTCACAGAAGTTCAGGTTTTAAACATCTCCCCCTCTCTTCCCAGGTCTGTTACATTTCCCAGAATGGTTCCCAGTGCTGGAGATAATTCCTTTTCGGAGAACCTACATTTCTCACCTGCTGATTGCAATTAGCCACTACCAGCTGGGGCCTGGTGTGCAGCTGAAAAGCTAACAAGAAGTGGAGACCACGCGGAACTCAGACAGGGCATAGGATGTGCATAAATAAGCAACGGTGCCTGTGTTTATGAGATGCTCCTGTGAATTCGAGGCTTCCCCACCCTCTGCATAACTCTCCCTCTTCTGGCTTTGTGCTGCACACCCCTCCCCTAACTATATTTTTTGTCTCTGGTTTTGTAGCCTACGTTTAACATCACAGTCACGAATTTACCACTAAGTACATTTTGTTAGGCAATAAACAGCCTTGGAAGAAAAATGAAATCCGACTAGGACTTCTGTTCTAATAATGTCTGTGAGCTGTGGTGGATTCAGGCAGGCCCCACATGCAGGTCTTAGAGCTAACCTTGACCATGAGGGCTAGTGGGGCTGGGAGAGGGCTCAGGGACCCCAATTCAACTCCCTTATTTTATGGGGGAGGATACTGAATCCCAGAACGGGAGCATGGCCTGTCCAAAGTCTTAAAGGAAGTCACAGGACTGGATGAAGCCCATGTCTCCCAAACCCCAGCTTAGGTCTTTAAACACTGAACTGCTTTGCTTTCAAACATCATGGGCAGCAGATTGATAGTTTGTGAGGAAAGCACCAAGGAGACTTCTGAGTGCTGGAAGGCAGTTTCTGTTGGACAATGTGGTCTCCAACCCAAGGCAATCTTTCTTTCCTTCCTCATGGGCCAGGCATGCCCCCTGTGCCAACGTTGTAACCTTTTCATTCAGAGTTGATACCCATGTTTCCGTAGCTCACAGCTGCTGAACCCAAATCCCTACTTGCCCCCTAAGGTGAGTGCTCTCGACCTTTAGAGTTGTCTTGGGTTTTTGCTGCAGGGAACAGCAGAGAACAGACACACAAACAGGGGGAAGTTAGCAGCTGTCCCTGCCTGGTAGCTCTGTGGTGTAAACGGAGGGAGGCCAGCCTCATGAGGTCTGTGGCTTCTGGTGCAATCATATTTGCTGGCTGGGGATGAGCTGGATTTTTTCTAGCCCTCTCCACTCAGAGGGTCAGCCATTCCATACCCAACTCAACTTCCATCAGGAGAGGCCATCTTGTAGGATTTAGGGTCAGGGAGTTAGACTGGCTTCCAGGTAGCAAGCAATAAAGTGTACCGGGACTTTGGACTCCAGTTCTGGCTTTGTTCTGCGGTAAGCATGCCTCTCAGCCTCTGTTTCCTTGTATGTAACATGGAGACTCCAAATGCATAGTTCAATGGGCTTTTCTGAGAGGGTAAGGGAAGGAGTCAAAAACAGGTTTGCTGTAAGTGTTCACTTTACTTCCCTCTAGTACTAATTTCTGTTTTACTGATAAGGAAAACTGAGGCCAATGGAAGTAGAAATACTCTCCCAAGGCCACAGCCTCTTCTATTGCCTCCAGCCACCTGTTTTTATCCGTCAGGCACTCGGGGGAAAAAAAAACTGCAATGAGCTTCACTAACACAAAATCCTTTCTCCAAAAATAAGTGGTTCTACATGCTGGTAAATATTTAACAATTAGCTGGGGGGTTGGAGGAGGAAAGGTGGGAGAAAGCTCTGCTTTGTAGGCTTGTTGATTTTTATTTTAAGAGAACTGTAGATTCACATGCTGTTGTACGAACTGTTATAGAGAGATCGCCTGTACCCTTCATGCAGTTACCTCCAATGGTAACGTCTTCAAAACTATAATACAATGTCACAACCAGAATATTGGCATGATATAATCCACGAATCTTTATATTTTCCCAATTTTACTTGTACTCATTTGTGTGTATATGTGTGTGTATTTAGTTCTATACAGTTTTATCACATGTGTAGGTTCCTATGACCACTACCTGTATTCACAGTCAAGATACAAAATAATTCCATCACCACAAGAACCTCTCTGTTATAATCTCTACCTCGCCGCTGCTCTAACTCACCTTGTCAATGACCCCTGACAACCTCTAACCTGTCCTCCATTTATTTAAAAGATTTCCTCAATTCAAAATGTTATATAAATGGAGTCACACATATGGAATCTTTGGCAGTTGTTTTTTCACTCAGCATAATTCTGTCAAATTTCATTCAATGTGTTGTGTGTATCAATAGTTAATTCCCTTTTATTGTTAAGTAATATTCTATGATATGAATGTGCCACAGGTTGTCTAACCATTCACCTGTTGAAGGATACCAAGGTTGTTTACAGATTTTGGCTCTTGTGTATAAAGATACTATGAATATTCATGTATAGGTTTTTATGTGCACAAAAGTTTCCATTTATTTAGAAACTTGGCATTCTATCCAATAAGTGATTGCTGGATCTCAGGGTAGTTACATGTTTAGTTTTATCTTTAAAATGCTAAATTGTTTTCCAGAGTGACTGTACCATTTTATATTCTCTCCAGTGATGTACAAATGATCCAGATTCCCCACATCTTCACCAGCATTTGATGTTGTCAGTATTCTTTATTTTAGCCATTCTGATAGATGTGTAGTGATATCTCATTATGGCTTTAGTTTGCGTTTCTCTAATAGCTAATGAAACTGAACATCTTTTCACATGCTTGTCGCCTGTTTATCCTCTTTGATGAAATGTCTTTCCTTTTTTTATACTTTGCAAATTATCTAATTGGACTGTTCATTTTTGACTATTGAGTTCTGAGAGTTCTTTATATATTCTAAATACTAGTCCTTTGTGTGAAATATGTGGTCTGCAAATATTTCCTTTCACTCTGTAGCTTGTCTTTTCATCCTCTTATGGCGTACTTCACAGAGCAAAAGTTGCTCATATTGATGAGGTCCAATTTACTAATTTTTAAAATTTTATTGAGTGTGCTTTTTCTGTTATTTTTAAGAATTCATTGCCTCTCTCTAGTTCTCGGAGATTTTTCTCTTTTCTTTTTCTAAATGTTTCATAGTTTTTTGTTTCACATTTAACTCCATGATTCATTTTGAGTTAATTTTTCCGTAAGCTGTGAGGTTTAGGTCAAGGTTATTATTTTTTTTTGTGGTTGTTACTCATGTGTGTCCAATTGCTCTGGCATTATTCATTGAAAGGCTGATATTTCTCCATTGGATTACTTTTACATCTTAGTAAAAATTTAGTTGGGCATATTCATGTGGGGCTATTTCTGGGTTCTCTATTCTGTTCCATTAATTTATATGTCTATTTTTCCACCAAGTCCACACTCCTGATTATTGTGGCCAAATAATAAGCTTTAATATAATTGCTTTTCATTTCTCACCATAGAAAATATAACAAAACAATTCTCATAAGGGAGGCAATTAAAGAGAAAGCAATTAAAAACTGTAGGGAGAATGTATTATAGAAGTGTGTCAGGAAGTTAATTAATATAAATATTGGATTTAAAAAAATTTTGTGATGATTATGGTATTTTCAACCTTTTAAAATTTATTATTTATTGCAATTCCTTCTCGTGCTAAATAAATTTTCATTTTCATACTTAAAAATAATAATAAGCCTTAACACTGCAGAGAGTGATTCCTTATACTTTATTCTTTCACTTCAAAATTGTCTTACCTATTTTAGGGCTTGTGACTTACCATATAAATTTTAGAATAAGTTTGTCTATCTCTACAGAAAATCTTGATGGGATGTTGATTGGAATTGCATTAAACCTATTTACCAATTTGGGGAGAATTGATATCTTTACTATGTTGAGTCTTCTAATCCACTTACTGGAATGTCTCTCCATTTATTAGATCTTCTTTGATTTTTTTATTAGCATTTTGTAATTTTCAGTGTACAGATCCTATAAGTGTTTTAAGTGTATATCTAAGTACTTCTTACACTGTACAGCTCTTGTAAATGTTTTGTTAAGAGCATACCTAAGGTTATAAGTATTTGCAATCACATTGGAGTTATTGTAAATGGTATTGTGTTTTAAATTTGTTTCCACAGCTCATTATCAGTATATAAAATATGTTGATCTTACATCCTGCAACCTTGCTGAACTTACTTCTTAGTTCCAGGAATGTGTTTTTTTGTTTGTTTTTAGACTCCTTGAAATTTTCCACATAGACAAACATCTTATCTGCAAATGGAGACAATTTCATTTCCTCCTAATTTTTGTGATTTTTATTTCTATTTCTTGACTATTGCACTAGCTAGAACTTCATGTACTCTGGTGAATAGGAGTGGTGAGAGTGAACATCTTTACTTTGTTCCCGATCTTAAGGGGAGAGCAAACAGTTTTCACCAGTGAGTATGATGTTAGCTGTGGGTTTTTTGTAGAAGTTCTTTATCAATGTAGTTCCCTTCTATTTGTAAGTTACTGAGAGTTTTTAACATGAAGAGTTCTGGATTTTCAAATGTTTTTTTCTATTTCTATTGATATGATTTTTCTCTTTTGCCTTGTTGATACGATGGATAACCAGCCTTGCATACTTAGAATAAATCCCGCTTGATCATGACATGTAATTATTTGTACACATCATTAAATTGGATTTGGTAATATTTTGTTGAAATTTTTTGTTTCAAAGTTTATGAATTTATATTGGTATGTAGTTTGCTGTTTTGTGCAGTCTTTTTCTGCTTTTGGTATCAGTGTAATACTGGCCTCATGAAATGAGTTCTAAAATGTTCTCTGCACTTTTATTTTCTGGAAGAAATTGGGTAAAATTGATGTTAATTCTTTAAATGTTTGGGAAAAAAATCCCTGTGAATTCATCTTTCCTTTCCCATGCCGAGCCTCTGCTAACTACTATTCTACTCTCTATTGCTATGAGATACACTTTTTAGATTCCACATATGAGTGAAATCATGCAGCATTTGTCTCTCTGTGCCTGGCTTATTTCACTTAACAGTATGTTCTCCAGGTTCATCCATACTGCTACAAATAACAGGATTTCATTATTTTTTACAGTTGAATTGTATCTCATTGTGTATATATATATATAACATTTTCTTTATTCATTCACTTCTTGGACACTTAGATTGATTCCATCTCTTGGCTATTGTGAATGGTGTTGTAATGAACATGATTGCAAATATCTCTTTGATAAACTGATTTATTTTCCTATGGATAAATACCCGGTAGGATTCCTCAATCAAGTGATAATTCTAGTTTTAGTTTTTTCAGGAATCTCCATATTGTTTTCCATAATGGCTATGCTAATTTACATTCCCACCAACAGTGTATACGAGTTTCCCTTTCTCCACATTCTTGACAGAATTTATTTTTTGCCTTCTTAATAATGGCCATTCTAATTGAAGTGAGGTGATATCTCATCGTGGTTTTGATTTGCCTTTCCCTGATGATTAGTGATGCTAAGCATTTTGTCATATACCTGCTGGCCATTTGTGTGTCTTTTTTTGAGAAATGTCTATTCAGATCTTTTGCCCATTTTTAAATCAGATTATTTGTTTTGTTTCCTATGGCATTGAGTTTCTTGTATATTCTGGTTATTAACCACTTGTCAAATGCATAGTATGTAAATATTTTCTCCCATTCTGTAGGTTGTCCCTTCACTTATTATTTCCTTTGTTGTTCAGAAGCCTTTTAGTTTGATGTAACGCCATTTGTCAATTTCTGCTTTTGTTGCCTGTGCTTTTGAGCTTCTATCCAAAAGCCCTTGCCCAAGCCAATGTCAGAAAGCATTTTCCGTATGTTTTCTTGTAGTAATTTTAAGTTTTCAGTATTAAATTTAAGTTTTTAATTCATTTTGGTTTTTTTTTTGTATAAAGTCAAAGATAAAGATCTAGTTTTATTCTTCTGCATATGGATATCCAGTTTTCCCAGCAGCATTTATTGAAGATACTTTTTCCCCCAAAATGTGCATTCTTGGCACTTTTTTGTTAAAAATCAGTTGACTGTAAATGCGTGCATTTATTTCTGGGCTCTCTATTCTGTTCCATTGGTCTATGTGTCTGTTTTTATGCCAATAACAATGCTAGGTTACTACAGCTTTGTAGTATATTTTAAAGTCAAATATTGTGATGCCTTCAGCTTTGTTCCATTTTCTCAAAATTGCTTTGGCTGTATGGGGTCTTTTGTAGTTCCATGCAAAATTTAGGATCGTTTTTTCTATTTATGTAAAGAATATTATTGTTTCTTTTTTACGAAGATTGCATTGAATCAATAGATCTCTTTGGGCAGTGTGGACATTTTAATGATATTAATTCTTTTAATTCATGAGCATATTTCTATTTGTGTCCTCTTAACTTTCTTTCATCACTGTTTTATAATTTTTAGTGTAGAGATCTTTCATCTTCTTGGTTAAGTTTATTTGTAGGTATCTTTTTTGTAGCTATCGTAAATGGAATTGCTTTCTTTGTTTCTTTTTCAGATGGTTTGCTACTTGCATATACAAATGCTACTGGTTTTTGTATGTTGATATTGTGTCCTACAACTTTATTGAATTCATTTATTAGCTCTAATAGTGTTTTTGTGACGTCTTTGGGATTTTCTGTATATATAATTATGTCATCTGCAAACAGGAACAATTTGACTTCCTCCTTTCCAATTTTGATGCCCTTTATTTCTTTCTATTGCTCAATTGTTCTGTCTAGGGCATCCAGCACTATGTTAAATAAAAGTGGTGAAAGTGGACATTCTTGTCTTATTCCAGGTCTTAAAGGAACAATTTTGAACTTTTCCCCATTCATTATATTAGTTGTGAGTTTGTCATATATGGCCTTTATTGTATTGAGGTATGCTCCTTCTATAACTAATTTGTTGAGTGTTTTTATCATAATGAAATGTTGAATTTTATTGAACACTTTTTTGCATCTATGAAAATGATCATATAGTTTTCATTCTTGATTCTATTAATGTAACGTATTATGTTTATTGATTTGTGTATGCTGAACCATCCTTGCATCCCTGGGATAAATCACACTTGATCATGGTAAATGATATTTTTGGTGTGTTGTTGAATTTGGTTTGCTAGTATTTTGTTGAGGACTTTTGCATCTATGTTCATTAGGGATATTGGCCTGTAGTTTTATTGTTGTTGCTGTTGTTTCCTTGTCTGGTTTTGATACCAGGGTAATGCTGGCTTTGTAAAATTAGTTTGGAAGTATGCCCTCCTCTTCCTTTTCTGATAAGAGTTTGAGAAGAATTGGTATTTGTTCTTCTTAAAATGTTTGGTAGAAATCAGCAGGGAAGCCATCAGGTCCTGGGTTTTTCTTTGATGTGAGAGCCTTCATTATTGCTTCACTCCCGTTACTCATTATTGGTCTGTTCAGGTTTTCTACTTCATAATGATTCAGTTTTGGTAGTTTGTATGTGTCCAGGAATTCATTTCTTTTAGATTTTTTAATTTGTTGATGTATAGTTGTTCATAATAGTCTCTTAAGATCCTTTGTGTTTCTGTGGTATTAGCTATAATATCTCCTTTTTTGTCTCTTATTTTATTTGTTTGAGTCTTCTTAGTCTAGATAAAAGTTTGTTAATTTTGTTAATCTTTTCAAAAAGCCCAACTTTTTGTTTCCTTGATCTTTTGTATTGTTGTTTTAATCTATTTCATTTATTTCTGCTTTGATCTTTGTAATTTTTTTAATTCTACTAATTCTGAGTTTAGTTTGTTCTTGTTTTACTGGTTCCTTGATATGTCACGTTGGGTTGTTTATTTGTAATCTTTCTACTTTTTTGATGTAGGCATTTATTACTATAAAATTCTTTCTTAGCACTGCTTTTGCTGTATCCCACAGGTTTTGGTATGTTGTGTTTCCATTTTCATTTGTCTCGAGGAATTTTTAAATGTCCTTTTTAATTTCTTCATTGACTCATTCATTATTCAGGAGCATGTTGTTTAACTTTCATGAATTCATACAGTTTCCAGTATTCCTTTTGTTATTGATTTCTAGTTTTATTCCATCGTGGTCATAGAAAATACTTGATTTGATTTTGATTTTTAAAAATTTGTTAAGACTTCTTTTGTTACGTAACATATGGTCTATCTTGAAGAATGTTCCATGCACTGTTAAGAAGAATGTATATTCTGCAGCTGTTAGATGGGATGTTCTGTAAATATCTGTTAGGTCCATTTGGTCTAGAGTGCAGTTTAACTTTGATTTTTCTTTGTTGATTTTCCTTTCTGGGTGATCTGTCTATTGCTGAAAGTGGGATATTGAAGTCCCCTACTATTATTTTATTGCAGTCAATCTCTCTTTTCAAGTCTATTAATACTTTCTTTATATATTCAGGTGATCCAGTGTTAGGTGCATATATATTTACATTTGTTGTATCCTCTGCTGTATGGACCCCTTTATCATTACATAATGGTCTTCTTTGTCTTTTTTTGTTTTTAAATCATTCTTGATTTAAAGTCTATTTGATCTAAGTATAGCCACTTCTGCCGTTTTTTGGTTTACATTTTCGTGGACTATCTTTTTACATTCTTTCACTTTCACCCAATGCATGTTTATAGATGAAGTGAGGTTCTTATAGACAGCATATAGCATATAATTGGATTTTGTTTTTTTTTAATCCAGCTGGCCTCTCTCTCTCTCTCTCTCTCTCTCTCTATATATATATATATATATACACACACATATTAGATATACATTATATATATTATATGTATGTATATATATACACACACATATATTATATATATAATATATATATTATATGTATGTGAGTGAGTATATATATAGGAACAGGGTCTCACCCTGTAAGCCAGGCTGGAGAACAGCAGCACAGTCATAGGTCACTGCAGCCTCAAACACTGGGCTCAAGCTATCCTCCTGTCTCAGCTTCCAAAGTAGCTGGGACTATAGGTATGCACCACCACATCTGGCTATTTTTTTTTTCCTTTTTGTAGAGACAAGGTCTCACTATGTTGCCCAGGCTGGTCTTGAACTCCCAATCTCAAGGAATCCTCCTGCCTCAGCTTCCCAAAGTGCTAGGATTACAGATATGTGCCACTGGGCATAACCTATGAGTTTTAATTGGATAATGTAATCAAGTTACATTCATAATTATTATTGATAGGTAAGGATTTACTACAGTCATTTTATTACTTGTTTTCTGATTGTTTTGTAGATCTCTTATTCCTGTTTTCTTCTCATTGTATTCCTTTGTGGTTGAGTAATTTTTTCCATAGTATTATATTTTGTTTCCATGTTATTTATGGTGAGTGTATCTATTACAGGTTTTTGCTTTGTGGTTACCTTGAGGCTTACAAAAAACATCTAACAGTTATAACAGGTTATTTTAATTTGATAGCAACTTAACTTTGATTGCAAAGAAAAGTAACAAAAACATACTTTGCACTTTAACATCATTCCTCCTTCCACATTTTGACTTCTTGATATTTCAATTTACATCCTTTTGTGTTGCCTATCTCTTGACCAATTGTTATTATTATCTCTTATACTTTTGTCTTTTAGTCTTAATATTTAAGATATATGCAGTTTATATACCATAATTACAGTTTTAGAATATTCTGAATTTGTCTGTATTCTGACTTTTACCAGTGAGTTGTATATCTTCAGATGTTTTCTTGCTACACATTAGCATATTTCTTTCAGATCGAAGAACTCCCATTAGCATTTCCTGTAAGACAAGTCTGGTGTTGATGAATTCCCTAAGTTTTTGTTTGTCTGGAAAAGTGCAACTCTCCTTTGTGTTTAAAGGATAGCTTTGCTCGTTAGTTTTCTTATTTTCTTTCCCCCTTTGGGATTTTTAATGGATCATCCCACTCTCATTTGGCCTATGAGGTATCTGTTGGGAAATTTGCTGAAAGCCATGTTGGGGCTTCATTGAATGTGATGTGTTTTATTTCTCTTCTGCTTTCAGTATTCTTTCTTTGTCTTTGACTTTTGATAAATTGATTATTATGTGCCTTGAGGAATTTCTTTCTGGATTGAATTTGATTGGTGACCTCTGAACTTGTACCTGAATGCTGTCATCTTTTTCCAAATTTAGGAATTTTTCAGCCATTATTTCATTACAAATGCTTCTTAGGCCTTTCTCTCTTGTTTCATCTGGGAATTTCTGTTATGTAGAGGGTAGTTTGCTCGATAGTGTCTCATAATTCTCTTAGGCCTTCCTCACTGTTTTTAATTTTTTTTTCTTTTTGCTCCTCTGATTGAGTAATTTCATGTGTTCTGTCTTAAAACTCACTGACTTTTCTCTGATCAAGTCTGCTGCTGAAGCTTTCTAATGAGTTTTTCAGTTCAGTTACTGTATTCTTTATTTCTAGTATATCTAAATCATTTTTAAAAATGATTTCTATATTTTGTCAAATTTCTTATTTTATTCCTGAATTGTTTTCCGAACTCATTTCAGCCCTGTCAGTTTTTGCTTTATGCATCTTAAAACTCTGCTGTTTGGTGCATGTACATTTAGATTCACTATGTCTTCTTATGGGATTGATCCTCTTGTAATTATATGATGCTACTCTTTTTCCCTAGTATCATTCCTTGCTCTGAAGTCTACATTCTCTAATATTAATATAGCTAGTTCCATTTTTAAAAAAGTTCATATAAGCATGACATACCTTTTTCATTTATTTACTTTTGACATACCTATATCATTGTGTTTGAAGTGAGTTAATTTTAGTAAACACATATTGAGTCATGACATTTTATCCACTGTGATAATCTTTTAATTGGTATATTTACACCATTTACATTTAAAGTAACTATTAATCCATTAGCCTTAAGTCTGCCCTTTTATTATGTGTTTCTTTTGGTTTCTTGTTTCTTTTTTCTGTTTTCTTGCCTTCCTGTGGGTTACTTGAACTTTTAAAAAAATTCCATCTTATTTCATTTATACTAATTTTTAGTATAGCACTTGTATAATTCTCTTAGTGGTTGCTCTGGGTGCTACAATATACATACGTAACTTATTACAGCCTACTGATATCAGTGTTTGATTGCTTTTAGTGAAAAATTGAAGTCTTCTATTTAGGTCCCTTTACCATCCTTACTTGGAAAATATAATCATTTTGTGTCTGGAATTGGTGGGTTCTCGGTCTCACTGACTTCAAGAATGAAGCCACGGACACTCGTGGTGAGTGTTACAGTTCCTAAAGATGGTGTGTCCGGAGTTTGTTCCTTCAGATGTTCAGATGTGTCCGGAGTTTCTTCCTTCTGGTGGGTTCATGGTCTCGCTGACTTCAGGAGTGAAGCTGCAGACCTTCGTGGTGAGTGTTGCAGCTCTTAAAGGTGGTGCGTCTGGAGTTGTTCATTCCTTCCGGTGGGTTCGTGTTCTCAATGGCCTCAGGAGTGAAGCTGCAGACCTTCGCGGTGAGTGTTACAGTTCATAAAAGTGGCATGTCCAGAGTTGTTTGTTCCTCCTGTCCAGAGTTGTTCACCCTCCTGGTGGGTTTGTGGTCTCGCTGGCTTCAGGAGTGAAGCTGCAGACCTCTGCGGTGAGTGTTACAGCTCATAAAGGTGGTGCGGACCCAAAGAGTGAGCAGCAGCAACTAAAAGATAGTTTCAACAAATACAGAATTCATGGTTGACAGCTGTTTTGTTTTGTTTTGTTTTGTTTTGTTTTTTTGGCACTTGGAAAATGTTGTTCCACTTCCTTTTGGCTTCCATGGTTTTTTGTGAGAAATTTGTTGTCATTTGAATTCCTGTTTCCTCTAGGCAATGCATTGTTTCTCTCTGGTTGCTTTTAAGATTTTTTTCCTTTGTTTTTAGTTTTCAGATGTTTACTATTATTTTTCTTGGTATGAATGAATTTCTTTGAGTTTATTTATCTGGGTTTTATTCAGTTTCTCAAATCTATATGCTTAGATCTTGTGCCAAACTTGATAATTTTTCAGCAATTATTTCTTCAAATACCTTTTCAGTCCCATGTTCTTCGTTTCCTCCTTCTGGGATTCTGATGACATAAATTTAGATCTTTTTTTGGTGTTCTAAAAATCCCTGAGGCTCTGTTCTTTTTTTCCATCTATTTCTTTGTTGTTCAGATTGAGTAAATTTTCTTGCTCATTTATCAGGTTCACTGACTCTTCCTTTTGTCATCTCTACTATAAGCCCATCTAATGAATTTTTTATTTTGATTATTGTATTTTTAAGCTCTATAATTTCCATTTGGTATCTTTGAAATAACTTTTATTCCTTTGCTATGTTTTTTAAATTTTTAATTTGTTTAAAATAATTCATAATTATTTGTTGAAGCAATTTTATGGTGGATGCTGAAAAATCTTTGTCAGATATTTTGAAATCTAATTCATCTTGCCATTGGTACCAGTTGATTACCTTTCTTGTTCAAATTGTGATCTTCCTGGTTCTTAGTAAGGTGAGTAATTTTTTTATTGTATCTTGGACATTTTGGATCTTATTTAGGAGACTATTTAAATTTTCTCTTATAGCAGGCATTTGCACTGTTTAGGCTTAGCTTATGGGTTCTCTCCTACTTTTGTGACTTGTAGTTTCAATGATAACTTAGTTTTCTGAAACTTTGTGATAATATTCTGGTCTACTTCATTCATCTAATTCTACTTGAGCTTTCATTAGACACCTGCTGGTGCCACCTGCAGAAGTGGAAGGTGCTTCTCTGGGTCTCTTAGTATTATTATATGGCGAGTAGGGCATTCCAAACCTACAAGTAGGAGCGCATTTCACCTAGCCTGTTCACTGGTCACTTGGCACCATTTCGCTTCCCACTCTTACTTATTCAGGTGCCTCTGAAGGAGTGAAGAGCCTACCTGGCTGCCTTCTGCCACTGAGTAAAGGATCAGGAAGCACAGGGTCTGGGCAGTTCTCTGCCATTAAGTGGAGGGTTTGGAGACACTCACCTTGGGTCATTTTCTGCTACCAAATCAATGGCTGGAAACCATAGAAACTGCTGGCCCCACTGATGATACTGCTGGCTGGTGTAGGGTGTGGGTGGATTGTCCAACTCAGGACCCACTATTGCTCCTGCTATGAATACATTGGGTTTGCTGCTATTGTTGGGTGTGGGGCAGGAGATGGATTGAGCTCTAATGCTACAACCGTTGTGAATAGATTGGCCTGCCACTGCCATTGGGTATGGGTCTCTGTGCTAAGTCATTGCTAGATTTCTCTCTTCCTTGTAAAAGAAAAAAGAAAAAGAAAACCCAGGGAACTCACAGCAGTGTTGTTCTTCAAGTCCTGAGGTCTCTAGCCAGTCCATTTTTTTCTATCCAGCATTTAGAATGAATCCTTTTTATCATTTTCTGTTGATTTATTTCTAGGATATTTCATTATATTTAGAGGGTAAGAGCAGGAAAATTTGAGTCTATGTCATCTTGTCCCAGAACTGGAAGCCTGGAATGAGCTTTTTTTAAAAGCCAAAATTACTGCTCAGAATAGTAGTCTTTTCTGGGTGATGGATATACAAATGTTCATATTACATTATTTTTATACATTCCTGTGAGTCTGAAATAGCAAAAAATGGCTGAATGTAAGGTTATGCCAGATATAAGATAATCTCCTGTTGCCATTACACTGTCTTTCCTATTTTGGTTTACTTTATCTATTTTGATTAACAAAATACTTGTTTGGTCAAGACACAGTAGCCAGGAATTATTTCAATCAATACTAGTTTTGGAGGATCATCTGACAGAATAGATTTAAAATTAATCAAATAAATTTAATGCATATTTCTCATTATACATAGGGGCATGACCTCACAGTTGCAACAGTTAGATGTTGATGTAAGCAAGTCATTTAAGAATTGCTTTAAAAAGTAATGCAGTAAGTGGATACCTTTGGAAATAGTAAACATAAACCCACAGGACAATTTTATTTTAAATTTTTCCTAATATTTTAAAATTTTCCTAATAAAATAAAATTTTATTAAAATAATTTAATTTAAAATATTCCTAAGAACTTGAAGCTTCAGATATTTCCAGTGACAGCATCATACACAGAATAAAGGATACTGTATCTCACCTTTGAGGAAAATGAAGATAATATGAACAGAACTGTGTTACATGGCTCAAACATATCCCTATAATTACTAAGAAGGTTATTGATGTCAAAGATGCATGATTAGTTTAAATACAATTGTTTAATAAGGGAAAAGGATATTTCCAAATTAATAATTTGTTTTATATAAAATACAGTTTTAAATATGTATATATAATTTTATTAGAAAATTAAATATTCTAAGTAGATCTTTCACTCTTCTATTTCTTTAGAAGTTTATGAATTCAAAATGACCAAAAACTGTTCTTAAAGATTTTTTTTCATTTGGATAATTGGAGGTTATGTTATATTTGATATGGACTTATGTATAGTGATTTTGGTACTTCAGATGCCCAGAAAGTGACAGTTGTGAACCCATCACCCAGATTTATAAAATATTAGGTTCTTGTCACATTTACCATATAATTCATAAAAGAAATAGAGCGCACAGTGAAAGTCCTTTGTGTACCTCACTTCCATCGCATTCCCTCATTCCTTCCCCTAGATATGGGTTATGTATCATTTCCATGCACGTCTAATGAGATTACCACATAGATATATACCTGAAAACAATACATGGAATTAATTGCTCTGTGAGGTTTTAAAATTACGTAAATGGTACCATGCTATACATATAATTTTGCATTACTGATATATTTGGACTAATTTTTATCAGATTATTTCATGTTTTCTGCTTTTGTTATCCTTCCAACCCTCTGATGGATTGGAAAAAATTCCCTTTTGTTTCCTCCCACTGCTAGTTTAGAAGATATATGCTGCATTTCTATTTTTTTTTTACTAATTATCCTTACATTTTCAACATGAAAATTTAATTATAAATGTTTTATCAAAGTCTAAAAGTATTTAATATCTTTATTCTTCTCCCCCAAACCTTTAGCTACCACCTGATAACCTTCTCATGTTACTTGTTGTCTAGAATTTTAGTTCCATCCTTTTTTAACCACACAGTTTATAGCTCTTACTTTTTAAATGGTCACTTGTTAATTAATTTTATCAACCTATATTATTATTATGTATTTCTTTGCTCATCGTGATTTCTGGTAGCCCACTCCTCTCTGAATTCACTTTTTTACTTATTGAAACATATACTTTAATTGTTCATTTAGTGAACATCAATGGGTCTTTTATATTTGAAAATACCTTTATTTGTCTTCATCTGTAAATGATATTTTAGCTGAAAATGAAAATCTAGGTTGACAATGATTTTTCCCTTAGCAGTTTGAAGATTTCACTGTCTCTGGCATCTATTGTAGATGAGAAATCTGCTTTAAGTTTACTACTGTTTTTTTTTGAAGATAATTTATCTTTTTCATTCTAGTAGCTTTTAAAATTTTCTCTTTATCCATAATGTTCTAAAATTTCAATACAATTTGTCTAAAATTTGGATTTATTTTTATTCATACCATTTAGAGTTGGTGTGTCTTTTAATCTGAGTACTTACTAACCTTATATAATTGCCATAATCCTGGAAAATTCTGTTCCTTTGTTTTAAACTCCAATTAGTTGTATGTTGAAGCCTTCTCTCAGTCTTGCTTTTAACTGGTCTTTCATTTTATAACTAGGAATACAATGTACTCTTTGTACTCTTTTACAAATTCCACAAGACTATCTTCCAATTCATTAATTTTCTCTTTGATTAAGTCCAATCTAGAACTGACTTATTTATTGATTTGTATATTGCTTTACTTTCATAATTGTATTTTTATTTCCAAGATTGCTAAATGGGGCCAGGCGTGGTGGCTCACGCCTGTAATCCCAGCGTTTTGGGAGGCTGAGGTGGTTGGATCACGAGGTCAGGAGATTGAGACCACAATGAAACCCCATCTGTACTAAAAATACAAAAAATTAGCTCAGCGGGGTGGCAGTCACCTGTAGTCCCACCTACTTGGGAGGCTGAGGCAGGAGAATGGTGTGAACCCGGGGGGTGGAGCTTGCAGTGAGCTGAGATCACACCACTGCACTCCAGCCTGGGTGACAGAGTGAGACTCTGTCTCAAAAAAAAAAAAAAAAGAAAAAAAAGATTGCTAAATGGTTCTTCTTCATTTCCACTTATTCCAGTTTCATTTTAGCCACTTTGCCTACTTGCATTTCATAATTTTCTATTTTTTCTCTCTCTGTGTCATAGTCTTTCTTTTGTCTTTTTGAGGATCCTAGATATACTAATATTAAAGTTATTCTCATACTATTATGTTAATTTCATTTTATCTGAAGAAAATTTATTTCCTAATTGTTGATTTCGTCAGCTGTCTTAATGTTCATTTCTTCATGTGTTTGGAAATTTGGTTTTCAGGCTTATTTGAGTGGGAGTTTGATGTCAGTATTTTTCTTTCTTTCTTTATGTGGTCACTTCTTTCTGTCTAGCAGTTTTGGAGTTGCTTCCACGTGATCCACTGGGACCCCAGGTTTTGTGTTGCCTGCTCAAAGCTCCCATTTCATGATGACACTGGGATGTCACCAATCCAGTCACAGAGCCATGAGTAGCTTCAACCAGGTCCTAGTTATAGGATACTCTTACTCCCGGTTTAACCTGTAATTACTGAGCACCACCTCCTTCCCTCGACTTAAACCTGATTCTCGATTCTGATTTATTGCCAAAGAGGATCTTAGCTTTTGTTTAATTGCTGCTTTGAGTTTCTGCTTTCTTTATGTTTCCCAGAGATTATTTTATAATTTTTGACCTTGGCTAGGTTTTTAAAATTTTATCTTAAAATATTTGATCTGTCATCCCTGTTGATCTATTGGAAAAAAATAAGTATAATCTTAATTTTATTTTATTTCCTTGCCTTTATTTTCCCTTGGCCTATTTTCTACATCTATTTAGATAAATTATTATATCAAATGAGTTTATTCAAACTACCTCCACTCTCCCCTGGTTTGATGAGTAGTACAAACAAATAAATATAGAAAGATAAATAAATAATACATTATATTCCACCTACAGATTTTTGTGGTTGGTAAGGCATCAAATGTCCCTCACTTGAACCCCGTATTTTTGCTTATCAGAACCAGATCTTCAGATAACCTTTCAAAAGTGATTCTGATTACCCTACCTCTTAGGTCCAGTCCTGCAGTTTGCTGTTGGCTGCAGAACCCCTACCATTTCATTCCCGTGATACAAATATAACCACTGTGGCTTTTGATCTTACCATTTTGACTGTATAAAAAGAAAAAAATGATCATTCTTTCAACAGACATTTGTTGGGTGATTTACTACATGTCAGGCATTATGGTAGGCACTGTACTTATACAGATGAATGAGATAGATTTCTACCTTTGATGCAACCCATGTCTAGTTAGAAAAAAAGGCAAATTAGCAAACAATTCTACATGGCATCATAAGTATTATGACAAAACCATGGTGGTCTCTTAAGCATTGAGCAGCGCTACTTAGAAATAAAAAAAAGCAACCTTAGGTAAAAGCTACCAAACAAAACCTTGCAGGCCAGGTAAAATTTTTTTCCAGGTGAATAAAGAGGTGGAAGTACATGTCTGGTAAAGAGAACAACTGTACAAGGTAGAGTAAGAAATACTGTATCTGTTAGTAGCTGAAGAAGAGGCATAAGGAGTTCTAAGGAGAGGGTGAGAGATTAAATGAGAGAGGTGGGAAGAAATTAGATCCTGAAGGGTCTTGTGCACTCCGTTCTTGAGTGTGATTTTTTTTCCTGAAAGTATTATTGTGGGCAATCATTTAGCAATTGTAAGCAGAGGAATGACATCCTTAGGTTTGGGTCTTAGAAATATCACTCTAGATTGTAGGAACTTGCAGCTCGATACAGTAAATAATGAACATATGGGTTCTGGCAATGAGTAGAGGGGTTGGAGAAGATGGGGTGAATTCAAGAGATGTTTAGAAGGCAGATGTGACTGAGCTTGGCGACAGAGAGGCTGAAGGGTCTGAGAAAGAACAGAAGTCAAAGATGACTCACAAGTCTGTGGATTTTATAATTGGATAGACAAGATGTTCTCACTATAAATAAAAAGAAGGAGCATATTTGTGGGAGGATATGGGAGTGATAAAGAATCAGGGTTGGGACATGTTAAATTTGAGGAGCTTTTGGGTCTTCCAGATGAAGATGTGTAGTAATAGGCAGTCATGAAGATCTGAAAGTCACAAGAGAGCTGTTAGCTAAAGACATAGAATTGAAAGTAATAGTTAACATCAATGGCCAAAGTCATAAATGTTGATAAGCCTTCAAGGGAGAGCATAAAAAAGACAGGAGAAGAAAGTTTTTGATACTGCTGGTTCTTTGAATATACATAAATTGTTAGCATCACCTCAATGATAGAGGTGATTTTTCTGTTTTCCACATATCATCATTCTCACAAAGACCCTAGAGTTCCCAAAATCACTGACAAATGAAGGTGATAGTACCTGGAATCATTGTTCCAAGGAAGACAAGACTTAAGACAGGCTTTCAATCTCTCTTGGAGTGTAGTGAGATTCCATTGTTATCCCATTTCTATTTACTGGTTGTATCAGGCCCCTCCTCATTCAAACTACCATATGGAAGAACATGCTTGGCATCAGCCCAGTTAACACATAACACAGGGGTTTTACCTATTTGTCAGTACTTTTCCACTTCATGAAAAAAAAACATAGATAACAGTAACCAGTGTGTTTTAGGTCCACTAAACAACAACAACAACAAAACTATACATTGGTTAAAAAAAAATTGGGTTAGACACAAGAAAAGCTTCCATGAGGATCTTGGCTAAGTGCAGGAATGGTTAACCCAAAGTGTCAGGGAATCTCCTTCCTAAAATGCTTCTAAGAATATAACATTCATTCTATTGGAAAAATTTTAAGGTGGCTCAGTAAAAGCATAATTTTTTTTAGTAGCACTTCTATTGCCCTCAGGATGCAATACAAGATCTTAACAGGGCTTACATAGCCCATTATAATCTCTTCCCTGTCTAACTCTCACCTCCTGCTTCCATCCACCTCCAAACCTGTTGAATTTTTGCTCTCTGCAAAACCCCTTGCTCTTTCCTCTTTGGTCTTCTCTCTATTTGGAATCCTCTTCCTCCTGCATTATATTTCTCTTGCCTCTGATTCATCCTTCAAGTCTCACCTTAGATGCTACTTCCTGCAGGAAACCTTTCCTGATCTTCTAAATCATGGCTGTCCCTCCTATGTGCTCATATTTATTAAGTAAATCATTTAATAAATGTTTTTTAAGGACCTACTATGTGTCAGGCACTGTGCTAAATTCTGAAAAATATTAGAATCTAGAATCTACTGGAGAATCTAGAATCTAGAATCTACTGGAGAAGAGAGACAATAAACAAGTCAGCCAACAGTATTAATTAGTGCCAAAGGTGAACAACTCTACTAAGGTATCCACCAATAATATAGCATGAAGAACAAAGTGCTTTATTTCTATTTCATGTAAACAATTGGAGGTGAGTGTTCCAGGTCAATGGGCATCCCAGCTTCAAGCGGTTGTGCAAGAATCCAGACCAAGAGTGGCTGTGCCATCTTCAATGCTTTGCTTCCAAAGTCACTGTAGTCCAGTGCTGTCTAGTAGAATATTGTATGATAATGGAAATGTTCTATGCATATCTGTGCCATCCAGTATGGTAATTACCAGCCACACGTGGCTATTGAACACTTGAATTGTGGCTACTATAATCAAGGACCTGAGTTTTAAATTTTAATTAATTAGAATTTAAATAGCTACACATGGCTAGCTAGTGGCTACCATATTGGGCAATGAAACTCTCTTGCCACTCCAGCCAGTGGAATGGGAGAAAAAGTGGAATTCGAGACCCTGGGATTGCCCCTTAAGCAAGTGATGCCAAAGTTGCTTCCGTGGCTTCTGCTAACATTCTATTGGACCTACTGTGTTTCATTGCATTCAAGTTGACATCAGTTATAAGATGAACCATGGTTTTATATGCAACCAGAAAAGAAGAAAAATGCTCCAATTAAACTGCTGTAATGCTTTTTAAATATTACATAATCCTTTTTATTTTATAAATATTAGAAGTTCTTTTTTGACGTACTAAGTACACATACATGAAAAGGAAAATATAAATGAGATAAATTCCTAAAACTTTTTTCTATCTAGTCTAACTCTTCTGAGATGCTTTTAAGCTCAGAATTGTCAATGTCTGGCTTTCCACAGAAGATCTTTCTCTGTGTCCCAAAGAACATCAGTGATGTGGAATTTCTTAAAAGAGTGCTGTATTATTGTCTCCAGGATTTTCCTCCGAGATGATGAACAGCCATTTGGCTAGTTTTGATTCTGGTGCTTTACCATTTGACCAAATTAATAGCGTTATTTTTTCCTCAGTTGAAACAAATGTTGCTAGAAGTTGAGCAGTTTATGATAAACATATGTTCACTGTCTCAACAATGGTCTTGCTTGACACATGAATTGGTCACATCAGCCTCTCATGGCTTTGAAATTTCCTCAGCTTGTGCTGAAGGATTTGGCAGTTTCTCTGCTTTCAATTGCATTGTTCAACATGAGATAAGGTGATCTTTTTGCTCATATGTTGGAAGCAAAATGTAACACAGCTTCATCTACTTGTAGGTATCTTCCTTTCTTAGGTCTTATAAAGTGCTTGGTTGTTGCTTTGCAAGAAAATATGAAATTGCTGCCATTCCTCCAATGATGAATATTTGCTTTGCTAATATCGAATTTATGCCCCATTGCTCTGTTTACATGCCTTTCTGTGTACATGATACCTTTTCATTTCAATGCTAAATCATAGTATAATCTTTCTGAAGACATTTTAAACAACAATTCAATTCAGTATATGTAGCACCAGCAATGCACAAATCTCAGTTGAAGTGATGACAATGTGAATAGCTATGATCAACTTTGTATATACAAGGGCAATGACAACTCTTTCATGACTGCCATCTAGCCTACAGCAATTGTAAAATGCCATTGATTTGGGAGCAGAAGTCAGTGCCAGGACAAACCACAGCCAAAGCCAAGCCAGTTATGGGTGAGCTAAGGGGATTCTGGACTGTCGGGAAGAAGAAAAACCCACATATAGGCAGAAAGAGGCAAAAGTAAAAGCCTGTAATACCCAGAGTAGAGGAAGGAGGGAGTAAGGGGAAGAGAGAGGAAGGGAAGGATATTTGCTTTCTGAAGACTTCTCAGCTTTAGACCAGTTTTATATACACATATGTATAAACATACACATACACATACATATACATGCCTACATATTTGTATGTTTTAATAAACCAATTCTTACTTGAGCTACTTCAATAGGGTTTCTGTGCTGGCAAACAAAGACTCAAACACTACCCTTTTAAGATCTGTTTCAGTTCAAGGACTGACCTTCAGAAAAAGTCTAAAGAAGCTCACCTGAACCACCACAAAGCAACTGCATCGGTTGGGTCAGTTTGAGGGATTCTAACTAAAGAAGAAACATGAATTTCATGCAGCTTAATATGAACTGACACTCAAGCACATACCCTCTATAGGATTTCACCCATGACTAACAAGCCTTTTAATCATGGCAGAAGACACGGAGATTTTGCAAACATGCTTTTACAGTACCCACATTTGGTGTTCCTGACCCTGTTTTCTTGCCAGATTGTGAGAAGCACCTGCTCCTTTTCAAACAGTTGTCAGATCAATATTTAATCAATTGCCTTTTGATATTTGGTAGCGCTGAATGAATGGGATGCCAATATTTCTGCTCAGAGCTGTTCCTCTGGTGTACCTCATTCGTTTTCTGTGAAAGCCTTCAGGAACCTGTGAACACTAAGTGGCATATCCTCCGAGTTCTGTGGCTCCTCCCTCTACTGCAGAAGGACTCTGTGGCTAGAGGAGGCGCAAGACGCTGGTGCCTGTGCTACTCTTATTAAAATGACGTCCAAACTGAGTCATGAAAGGAGGAGAGCAGAGCCGCATTTGGGACACTGGGGGAGCTTTGCCAGGTGAGGGCTATTTAATAGACCAGACACATTAAAGAAAGGCGGTGATGTAGTGAAAGGAGCCTAATGAGCAGTAGTGAGGCTACCGTATCTAAAGAGAAAAAATAATGAGCTGCGAAATATCCCCCAAGGCGAGATTGCCAGCCTTCTGGAAGGAGGTCTCAGCCTACAGGTAAAAAGGCTCATGTGGTCCCTTATCCTTGTATGGTAAACAGAAGTTTTGTGGGCAATTAGGGACTGAGCTGAATGTGAGATTTGAAAACCGAGAACTATGTCTCCGACTCTTTGGAGATTTCCACACCCAAGACCCCAGCTTTAATTCCCAAAGGAAACAGGGAACATACTCAACCTGTGAATAGAAATGAGAAGCATCGTATCATCAAAAACAACCTTCCTGGTGTCTGTGCAACAGACGGACATCTGGAAATCTCAGTTCTAGCAAGCTCAGGGACTAGCACTACAGAATCTTTATAAAACTGTCCTTAGGGGCCATGCCATAGGGCTGCCTTGAGGGCAAAACCACTTTTTAATGAGGTCCTCTTGGTCTTTCAGTAATGACTCCTCCTAGAATAAGATCCATGATCTTATATAAGATCATGGGTAAGGCATGCTCAACTTGGATCTTATTCTAGGAGGGGTCATTACTGAAATGCTAGGGCAGATTTTGGTACATCTAGGTAGGAAAAAATTATTAAACTCAAAGCTTTACTACATTACTAATGCGGAAAAAAAAGATTTGGTTCCCACCATCAAGAAATGTACAAACCTATACCACATAGACAATAAACTATTAACAGAGCACCTTTTCAAGTTCACATAGTGGAAAAGAGGATGGTACCCATGCTTCCCAGATGGGGTAAGAGACAGGAGAATAAAATACACATAAGAAAACTGTGAAAATAATACAGCTATATGATGTAAATCCTTATCACTTATAAAGTGCCTTCTTTAGCATTTTCTAAATAGGTGCTTATAGCAACTTTATGACACAGACAGATTTGGTATTAGTCCCCCATCTCACATGCAGATAACTGAAGCTCAGAGGGGTAGAGTCAGAAGTTCCTAATTTTGTAGCCCCTGGGGAAGCACAAGGATGAGTAGAGTTCACATGCATGGTACACTCCCATGGCCATATCCAAGTTTAGAAGAAATTCAAGTTTTTAGGGTAAACAAATAGCACTATATACTGCTTTCTGAGGGATGAGGCAGGGATAGGCATTGTATTCATAAAAATTTTACAAACACATGAATAATAAAAACAATTATTAAAAAATACCAAAGTATTATCAGGAAAAAATCCAGAAAGATGTCCAATCAGTACTCACAAAATCACTGTATTAGTGTGAATTGATCAGGCAATCCATAGAGCCATTCGTGGACCAGTAATGATAGTGTATGTCCCATTAAAATTAATATGCAACAAATCACACCAAAACTTAGTAGCTTGATACAATGGCAGTTTATTATCTTTCACTGTGGCTAGAGGTGATTCTGGCTTGGGATCTCCCATGGGGTTGCAATCAGATAGTGGTTGGGGCTGAAATAGCTCGGGTGTCTCTCATCATGTAATTTCAGGGCTTCTCCAAGTGGTCTTGCCATGTGCACTAGGCTGGACTTCCTTACAGCATGGCACTTTGGGGCTCCAGCCTGAGTATGATAGCAAGCGAAGCAGAAGTTAGATCACCTTTACTGGCTTCACCACATTCTTTGGTTACAAGTGAGTTGCTCACCCAGTTTCAAGGAGAGGGGACACAGATCTCTCCTCTCTATAGGAGGAGTGTCCAGGCCATATTATTGATAAGCATGTGAGAGGAAGATATTGTTGCAGCTGCCTTTGAAAAATAAAATCTGTGGAGCAAGTCTTGAACTAAGGGTTATGCTTAATCTAATTTTATGCCTCTGAGGTCCAATAAGAGGAAAAAAATGTGGTCACTCAAATTTGCTTCAGTGGAACTTATTTTTTGAAAAATGAGTCTTGCATTTTTTTCAGACTTTCATTCCATAGGTAATTTTAATAAGGCACTAAGCATGCAATTGAAGAAAAAATATAAATAAATTTTATTTTATTGTTTAATATCACAAAAGATATAATTTACAGAGTATTAACATCTTATAAATGTGAAGACTATTTTATAATTCCATTCATTTTATCATTTTGTCTGTCTTTATTAGGAAGCTAACTTCTGTATCATAGATAGAAATGTATCTAAGACTATTTTCACTCATGTGCACTACTTTTTCTTCCCTTGTCTTTCCTTGCAGTTTTGTCATTAAAAATTTATTATTGTGTGAAATGTAAAGGAAAATTGAAGCAATTGTAGAATCGCAACTCATATGCGCTGTATAAATCTATAATCATTATAACTAATACTGATGGAGCATTAACTATCTGGTTTGGCTGAGCATGGTTGAAGAGTTTTTACAAACTTTTCCACTTCAGGACCTATATCAGCCAAGGAGAAAGAACATATAACCCTGAATCCTTGGAGACGTAGCCCTATCAGCCTCAAGTCTGTGGGCGATCTTGACAATTCAAGGACATTTTATTTTCTCTTCCAGAAGACATCAGTTTTATTATTTTAATATTTAAAAAGATAATTTGGATACCATCCCTTAACATAAAAAAGCCATGTCTATCACATAGGCTTTAAGATCCTCTGCACATCTCCTCATATCAGTTAGAGAGGCAATTGATGGGTCATACTTAGTCCCCATGATGCTGGCTATCATTTCCCTAATATGTTTTCTCTTCTTGAGAAAACACACCAGAATGCAGGTAAATAAGAATGATATGATTATTTGCATTACTTTGAATTCACTTTATGTATTTTAAATTACTGTCAAACATCAGTACTTGGCTACTATTGTTAATTAATTACTTAAGGCACACCTCACAGTGATTGTGACACTCTAGAATGTCCTTGGCACCTCTGCTAAGAGTTGCTGGGATTATTGACTAACTCAAGGTCATGTGGTTAATTAATAATAGTGCTGGTATTCAAACCCTATCTCTGGACTCCTTATCTAGTGATTTCTCTGCTACACTTTGGAGTTATAAAGACTACTAACAGAAATCCACATTCTTAATAAGGCTGGGGACGGGAGGCAGGTGTAAAATAACATTTTGCAAAGAAGAAAAATGTAACTTATGCTATGTTACTCACACATTCAATTACTTATTTAGTCCTGAAAAGTTTAAAGGAGAAACATACAGTACTGAAGAGTTTCTGCTTTGTAAACTGAACCAGACTTTGTGATCTCTGTATCGCAAGGTTCTGCAACAGTGCCACTCCATGCTGGTCCTCATACCTTATGCCCAAGGGCTATGCAGGTACTGGTGATGATGGAGCCCCACTGAGTTTTGATATGATCAAGTAGAAATGCTATGTCACTGGCTTTGCAAAGTGAGGAGTGTGTTATGATCAGTTGAGGTGAGTATTAACATCTTATAAATGATGTTCTTCTTCTCACAGCAAGGTTGCTTGAGCCACAGGGTGTTATAGACTTTAGTGTTATAGTTGCTTCAATTATCTGTGGGAAGGAGAACTTCAGTGGCGGTGAGGGGTCAGGGTCCTACCACTGTTGGCTGTCATTTTGTAGCAGAAACCATCATTTGCCTCAGAGGCTTAGGTTCTGTAGTTAAATGGTTTTCACTCCTTTCCTTATGGGGAATTACCTCTTAGTGTTCTGTTTCCCTCCATGAAATCTTGCTTCTAGATTAATAGCACATGTATTTATGTGTCTGAACCTCAATATTATTTTTTTTAGCCAAGAAACTTCTTAGCTCCTATTAAAACAGTGAAAGCAAATATGTATATATGGTGGTGGGGAGTGGGGATGTCACTTGACTGCACTCACCATTAGCATTCAAGTCCCATCTTTGTATCCTCTAATAGAGTTTGTCACACTGCTAAATGTAAAGCCTTAAGAAGCACTTTGGCAAAGAGCCCCAAAAAGAGAAAGACATTGGTGCTAAGATAGAATTGCCAAACTAGTTCACTGCATGCACTTAAGTCCACCAAAAATACTGAACAAAAAATGTGGATCTACCATTCCGCCCAGCAATCCCATTACTGGGCATATACCTAGAGGAATATAAATTATTCTACCATAAAGACAAATGCACACGAATATTCATTGCAGCACTATTCACAATAGCAAAGACATGGAATCAACCTAAATGCCCATCAATGACAGATTGGATACAGAAAATGTGGTACATATATACCATGGAATACTATGCAGCTATGAAAAAGAATGAGATCATGTCCTTTGCAGCAATGTGGGTGCAGCTGGAGGCCATTATGCTAAGCAAATTAATGCAGTAACAGAAAACCAAATACTATATGTTCCCACTTACAAGTGGGAGTTAAACATTGAGTACACATGGACACAAAGAAGGGAACAATAGATACCAGAGCCTACTTGAGGGTGGGTAGTGTGGGGGAGGGCGAGGATCATAAAACCTATTGGGTACTATGCTTATTACCTGGGTGGTGAAATAATCTGTATACCAGACCCCTGCAAAACACAATTTGCCCATGTGACAAACCTGCACATGTACCCCAGAACCTAAAATAAAAGAAAGAAAAAAAACGTGGAACACATACCACCTGGGTGTTATTGTTGTTGCTGCTGTTGTTTGCTTGCTTCTTAAAAATCATCTTTGTTTTATAAGGCTTGAGGTGTTAGAAAAACCCTGGAATCCCCTGGCCTGGGTTTTAAATCCTCATTTTTCTTAACTGACCTGGCAAACCCCTCTCCTTCCTAAGCCTTAGCCCCTCATGCTTCCTGGAGGGTTAGACTAGATGGTCTCTCAGAGACTTTGCAGCACTGTTGTGCTACAGTTCCATGAACTTGTGAATTCTGCAAAGTGATGATAGTTGTGAGAATCCAGCACAATTGCCCCCAGCAAAGTCTCCTGTAAGCTTCATAAGAATATTTAGCAAACTGGCTAATTGACTCATATGGATAGTGCACCCGGCTCTGTGACTTTAATGGGGGCCTGTGTAGAATCCTGGAACTTGAATCTGTTGGTTGCATGCCCCTTTATAAGTTTTAACAAGTAAAAACAGAAAGGAATAGCTGGTCATCTGCTACATTCAAAAAATCCAAACAAAGAGAATGCATGCAGGCAACCTATAATAAGAAGATAAGAGCTTATATTCCAGAAACAAAAGTCCCTGAAAGCAACTGTGAGTAAAGCACACACACTTGTATTGAATCCTTTGCAGAGTTTTGAACTCTCTATTTTAAACCCTCTGTTGTTTTGGACCTTCTGCAGAGTCAATAGGCTGAGTCAAATGTCTTCTTGGCATAGATTTTATTGCAATTGTCAACAGGGCAAGAGAATAATGCAGTGAGTTGTTAATGAGAAGACCTGCTCATCTTGCTTCTGGATCCCAAGTCCCCAGAGGACCCTGGCTCAACTCCAGCTTAGTGTTGGAACTCTAGCAGGTAAGGATAAGCAGGTAGAAAAAAAGGGGGAAAAGGCTCACTCTGGTCTTGAGTGATCCAACTCTGGGTTAACAGAGCTTCAGAAGCACTCAGTGGTGACAATTCAGGATCAGCTCTCTCTTCAGAAAGCCTGGGCTTTTACTTCAGGAAAGGGCTTTCCAGTTTCACTCAAGAAAAGATCTCAATCCCCTAACTAGCACCAAAACTATCTAAGTCTTCCAGGTCCAACATAAGAAAGATTATTTTATTTAAGAACCCTTTCCTCATTCTTCTGCTTGATCACATCTCATTTATTCATCAGTACCAAGCTCAATGTCACATTCTCCTGGAATTCCCCAGATAGAAAGAGGAATTCTCTTCTCTTCTCTTTTCCCAGAGCACCAAAATCTTATCACAAGCCACCCTCCTGTTATAGGACGGATCATGTTATATTGTGATTATTTCCTTTTAGTTTTGTATGTTAAGATTTTTGTTTCATTTCAAGAGTCCAAAAGCAAAACAAAGCTACTGGCTTAAACCAAGATGAGAATTTATGGGTTTGCGGCACTGAAAATTTCACCTTCAGTTGCAGCTTGATTCAGCTGCCCAACAGCATCTCCAAGATCTATCTGGGTGAGCTCCAGTCTCAGGTTTCCTGTGTTCTCTGGCTTTGTATGTTGCTCCTCAGGAGCTTCAAGTTTAAATAATCTCGGAACTCCTGCCAAGAAGAGAAAAAGCCTCCTTTTCCCCGAAGGTAGACACAAATCTTGATCCTGATTGGCCTGGCTTGCATCATGAACCCATCTCTAACCAATCACTGTGATCTGGAGGATGAACTTTTCTAATTGGCTTCAAAGAGGTCACATGCCCCACTCATAGAGTCCAGAAGTGGAGCTGAATTGCCTAAGCCTTGTGGGCTGAGGGCAACAGTGGAGTGGTTCTTACTACAAATAAAGAAAGTGGATGTTGGATTGCAAAAAAATAAAAAAGTTCAAAAAGTCCCCTGTAATGTAAGCTCCCCTGCACATAGCACTGTGTCTGACACAGAGAAGGCACTTAACAAATGACAACTGAGTTTGTGAATAAAGAAGAGAATGAATACAGCTTGGCCCCACCACCTTCTCTCCTCCCTGCTCTCATCCATTAGCCGCTCATGACCACTGAACGCCATAGCCTTCTGGGGTTTGGGGCCTAAACAGCTGACATTGTTTTACACTTTTCTCCCTCCTACACTTCTAGCCAATAACTTTGATGGGTCATGATTAAATTGCTTTTGTTTAGAAGCCACAGAAAGAAATAATTTCATGTTAATATTCTTGAAGGATTTTGCACAAAGTGATTAGATTATTGCTAATCTAGTGACACCATATAAATAGTGATATTAATAATGTTATGTGACTTTTTCCAGCAATCATATTGCTCACTCAATGAAAATTTTTGAAAATTTTCTTTCTGAAAAGCTTTGGATGACTAAGCTATAGATATAGTCAGTTGCATTACTCTGTAGTCACCTTATAGCATGTTAATAAAAACAAACAAATAAAAACTTAATATACATATCAGGGTAATGGAATTATGTGTTTTATTTCCTTTTTATGCTCATCTGTATTTTCACTCTCTCTACAGTGAGCATTCATCAATTTATACTTTAGAAACTCTTTTTTTTTTTTTTGAGAGAGTGGAGCTTTGTAGGAGATTCTATTCTCATCTACTTCATTATCACCTTGGGGCAGACTCCCTCCAGATTGAGATGGATTGGATTCAGGGGCTCTTTGGTGAGTCCCAGAAGTACGTGCCACTAACATTTGCAAAACCAGAGTGCAAGTGTAAGTGGAAACCTGCATACCATATATCTAGCTATTTACAATATATAATTAAGTTAATAAAATGTTAAGTAAAATATCTCCATCCACCTACCTTGACAATATGCCTTCAAAATGATCTGGATGTTCAGCTTTGATTTTAGAATCCTTGGACTCCTCAGAGGTGGATTCCTTGGACTCTGCAGTGGGTTCCTTCCTGGTGGCATCTAAGGGTGGGCCCCTGGCCCTTGGCCCACTCTCCTTCTCTTCCCATTCCTGGCTCCAGCTCCCATTGCAAGAGGCTTCACATATATGCATGAGTACACTTGAGCCTCCATGTCCAAGATCCATTGCCCTACTTTGGAAACAGCCATTCCTTAACCACCTCTTGAGGATAGGGGTGCACCTCAGCTATGTGATCCAACCTCAGAAGGACCTGGGGAAGAGGCCTGCATAGCCCCTAGGTATATTCCCTTGCCGCTATGAATTCCTCACCTGATAAAGATGAGTGTAGCCAGAGGAAGGCCCGGAGAGGGATCCTCTAAAGCATAGGGTCCAGGGCAAGAATATTTTGTGTTTGAGACCAGGAGAGGAAGTGCTCATGACTGAGGGTGCTGGGTCACGCCTAAGATGGAGTGGCCTCTATCATTATGACTAAGGTTCTAGGGACACTCCCTTCTACCACACACACACACACACACACACACACACACACACACATAAAAGCAGGCCATGGTCTGGGTCTTAGAAATGATCAATATAGTAAAAAACAGCGTGTTCTCAGATGGGGCCATACTTGAATGTGGATGCCACTTTATGTGTACTCTCTGGTCCTGGGGCCCTGGGTCCTTAAGGGCCCTGTTAAGGGGCCAGCTTACAGTGACCAAGACAAGTATTAATGGAGACTTCAAAGCTGTTGTAACAGATGTTGTTGCTACCCTGCCCATATTTCCTCAACACTCACCATTGCAGTCTCTGCCAACGATGTCATTTTGTGAGCACACCAAACTCTCCACCTGAAAGATTCTCTTTGCTAGAGCATGAGTGAGCCAGAACTACTGTCAAGGGGTTGATGACTTCTGGAGCAGCACTCAGCCAATAATGGGTGGAGCTGAAGGGTGAATACCCCAGCTCCCTCATTCTTCAGATAGAATCATTCTGAGGCATAAGTTTTAGCCTCTCTCCCAGAGGTGTCCAGTGGGATTGAGTCTTCGTTGTTCATGATGGTAGCCTGATCATTAATGGATCCTTTATCGGTTTCTTTTTATTTCTTGTCACGCTGCTTCATTCCTCTACCCAGACTTCCTGGGATATTTTCCTTGGATGCTTCCCTAATGAACTCCATGCACCCAAATATTTCTCACCATTTGCTTCTGGGGTACGTAACCTAAGACAGTTTTCCATTTCTAGTTTCACTGATTTTGATTGCTTATGGCATGCCAGGCACTGTTGTCTGTATTTTACTACTATAATCTCAGTTTTACAGATGAAGAAACCAATGCTCAGTGGAATTAAATACCTTCCCTGAGATTTCACAACTAGGAAGCAGCAGAAACAGGATTTGAACCAAGTGGTCAGACTTCGCAACCCAAACTATTGATGATTGAGCTCTAATTGCATACATATGTCACCATAATGCCCATACTTATTTTAGGCTTAGAGTCAAATAGAAGAGCAGCAAAGAGTGTTTGGAATCAGGTTCAGGTCCCCAATCTATAACTTGCTAGATGTCTGACCCCCCATGCTCTTCCGCATACATTAGTGTTAATAAGAATAGCTACCTTCCAGGGTTACAGGGGAAGTTAAATAACGTGATGCATTCACAGTGCTTCACACCTTGCCAGGTATGTGGGACATTCCTTGTCCATGTTAGTTGGCTTCCTGCCTCCCCTTCTCCTCCTAATCAGGTCCCTTCCCTGGTTTGACAGGAGGACAGGTAATGGCAGAAGAGAATGCAGCCTCAAAAGCCTGTTGTTTCCAGAAAGTATCTGGCTAATTTATTTCAAAAGGTTTTGCTTCTATGAAGTTTAATAGAGTTGATGAGTATTAAAGGAATCATTTAATCTTCATTTGAATGTGAGCAATAAATGTGTTTTGGAGATTATATTCATTCCCCAGTGACTCCAAGTACTTTCCTATTCCAAAGCTGATTTTCATACATCAGAGCAAAGGGTTTTCAGCTCTGTGTAGCTGGCTGAATGAAATGCAGTTCTCAAGCAAGGTGGCAGAGTCTCCTTCTGGCCACACCCACTGAGGGCCACAGTGCAGACATTTGGCTCCTTCCCGACCCATATGTTCCTGTCTCAACCTGTTCCCGAACATGTGCAAGGCTTCCTGTCTCTGTAAAACAGGCTTCGCAAACACAGGACTTAGCCGCAGGGTCTGCCTCCCTCTTGCAACTCACTAGTTCTTCCACTGTGCTGCACCTAATGGAAGGTCTGCCCATCCACCAAAGGTGAAGCTGCTAAGATCTGTCAGGGGAAGCATTTCACCAAATTAATTTTAGTAGCTTGGAATCAGGTTAAACTTGTGAAGAAGGAAAGAAAAGAAGCCTTACTTGGTATCCAATGCATGATACTAAATTTTACATCCTGTAAGCACTTGGGATGTGCATGTTGCTTTAAGGGTATGAAGAATTTTCGCTTCCCTGCTAGGAGCAATTCAGGCTTTTGCTAAGCCCAGCATTATCTGAGGAAGCGCTTGGAGTTCAGGGTTTCTTTTCTGCATTAGTAAAACATTCCCAAATTAGGACAGAGCACTGACGGGCTAGTTATACAATAAGTGTGCATTGAGTCCAGTTGTGGAGTGTGAAGGGTAACAATCAAGGAGAAGGCAGCCAAGGGTTTCCCAGGGTGTTTAGTGGGCCCCATGCCTTCTCAGTTGGATCTCTCATCCTCTCAGGTATCTTCTGAAGTGTGCCCCTGGGCACACACCTAGGCTTGTTTTGACAAATGGGAAGATAGAGTCAGAGAGATTTAAAAAACTGGCCAAGTTCCAATCCCAGTGGGGATTGGAACCCAAATCTTTCTGTGGCCAAAGCTTGTGGTTTGTTTTTTTTTTTTTGGCATTGGGACTAAGAAGACCTGAATTTTAGGCTCAGCTCCAGCACTCATGTGGACCTTACCAAGTCACTTACTCTGTTGGACACACAGTGCCATCTGCAAAATGGAAATAATTCTGATTTTCATGCATTATAAGACTGTCATGAGGAGCAAATGAGATAATACCATGTAAGTGCTTTAAAGGCAGTTAAGTGCTAGTCCAATATAATGCATTGTCATTTAGTGATGATTGTCATGATGACAACAATGGTGGTAATCATTGTATCACCAGAGACATCCAATAGAAGAATCTTTCAAGTAGGGACGCCCAGTAGCATGAGTCTCTTCGTGAAGAAATCCATGGGATTTAGTATTTGCGAGGCTGCCTTTGACAAATAGAAAGATGAAGCCAGATACTAGGGAATCAGAGGCAGTGTAGGTTGAGAGGAAATGCAGGCATGTTCGAATACTCCGGCGGTGAACTCAGATGAAGGAGCAATAAATAGGGCAGTAGCTGAGGGGTCAGCAGGGTCAAAGGCCAGCAAGGAAGCAAAGGAGGGGGCAGGGGAGAAGCCGGATGAGACAGCCCTGAGCAGCAGTGAGATCTGAATGTCTTTGTTAGCTGTCAGTTTTAGGTCATATTTTTGAACAGTGAGCAAGCAGCCTTATGCCAAAACCATCTGGGTGAGCTCTGGGACAAGCCTCCAGCTGCAAGAGTACATGGAGGTGGAATCTTACAATATTTATGGACTTCAGATGCATGGCCTCTGGAGCTCCAGGAGGCAAAAGCACATTCCACATGCATATAGGCTGAGTTTCAGTGTGGGAGACACCATGGGAGGCTCTGGTTATGAAGGTCTCACCTGAGGCTGGGTTGCTGCAAATAGAGGCAAGGAGTCCGGGAGCCTGAGGGCAAGCAGGTTTCAGGGTGAGCAGACTCTGAACTCCTCATGTTGCTTTTTGGAGAAACATCACACAGAGACCCTTACCCAAGGGATTTATTTAAGGTGGCCATGTTAGTGTTCTCTTGTGAGAGTGAGTGTAGTGAGCGTAGCTAGCAGTTCTTCCTCCCCTGTTAAAAGTTACTCTCCTCTGGGTGAGATAAAATAGGTTACCCTTGTTTCCGATGGAGCTAGAACTAATTCCAGCACTTCACGGGTGTTTGTTATACAAGAGGTGGCTTGTTCCCAGTGGCTGGGGTGACTCCAGTGCCTTTGGCCCCAGAGCTTGGTCTCAAGCCTTTGGGCAGAGAAAGTTCACAAAGAAGTGACTGTAAGAAAGTATAAAAGGCCACAGTCTGCTGAAGGTCAAGGGGTAAAGAAGGGGAACATTTCTCATTTCTGAACCACCCGAGGCTTCTCAGGTGTGACTTTGATCTGTCCATGACTCTGATAAGGTGTCCCTTCTCCAGACACATTATCTATATCACCTTTCCTCACCAACCCTTCAGCAGCTGGAAGATGGCAGGGGCCCTGTGGAGGCTGTGAGGGAGGGAAATGCCAGGGGAAGAGAAATTGGGCATTTTATGATTTAAGCCAACCTCAGTTTCCGGTGGGTAAAATGGAGATGAAAGTAGGACATTCGGGTGACTAGTTCACCACAACTGAGGTTCCTCCTCACCTCAGAAGGAAGGAAACATCTCAGGCAGCCCTTCCCAGTGAGAAGGGAGGATGGGATGGCTCTCTGGAAATGTGAGGACAGCCTTTGCCCATAAACTCAAGATATTTGGAGCTCTCCATGGAAGGCCTCTTATGCCAGGAAGAGAGGAGGCCCCAAAGGAACAAATGATACTTTGAAACCTCAACACTAAAAATATTTTGCGGCAACCACAGGAGAAGGTCTCACCAATGGTGATCTCATGGGCTCCTGAGAGTCATTGAGCTCAACATTTGTGTTTGACCAACTTTGAGAGTGGGAAGCAGAGACCCCAGTTCTAGCTTCCAGAACCCCAGCCATCTTTCCACTGCTCCCATGTATGTGCTCTACTTTTTCAGGGTGTTTTTGAGGAAAACTATACAGCAGCCATGATTCCAATGTGTAACAACCTTTTTAGTTGAATTCATCCAATGGCAGTGACTTCGTCACTATTCCTCAGCAGAACCCTTGATGATGTTCTGCTGGTCCAGTCCAGTCCATGCATATTCCTCCCTCTCAGGGTCTGTTGCTCAGCTCCTATAGTATGCAATATGGAGCATCCTTCTAGTAAATTCCTCTTCATGCCAGAGTTGATTTTTGGTGCTTCTAATTGAAGAACTCTAACTGATATTCCTATTCATGTTGCATTCATTCATTAAATCATCATTTATTCAGCACCACCATCTGCCAGGCACAGATATCATTAGGGAAAAAGCATAGCCCTTGCCTTCAAGGGCCTCAGAGTCTAATGGGGAAAAGACACAAGTATGAAGGGCCACAATAGAGTTATTAGGTAGGTACCAGAGAAGCAGAGGAGGTGCAAGCAGCTTAGACTTGGTAGAGCCAGGGAAGGCTTCCAGAGGAGAGGATGCTTACGTTTTGATGAATGGGTAGAGGTGGTCCAAACAGAGGAAGGAGGAAAGATGCATTCTCTTTAGGCAGAAAACCATTGTGCGAAGGCTTGAAGATATGCAGAAGCTGGATAAATCTGAGGCACTGCTAACAGATTAGCTGGAATATAGGGCAGGCATGAAAATGCAGCAGGAGGGGCAGCTTAAAGAGGTTGGCAGGAAGATGCCAGACCAAGATATATACTAATGATGAGCCAAGGAGGCTAAACATTCTCCCAGAGGAGTCACTGAAAAGTTTCAAACAGGGAATGCTTTGGTCATGCTTATATCTTAGAAAAGTCATTGTATCCCCAACTACAGAGTGATTTGGGAGAACCGCTGGTCAAGGAAGGGAGGTCAGTCATCCAGAGGGATGGGGGGCCTGAACCAAGTTACTTTGACATAGGAATCAAAATGCTAAGGTTAAGATCAAGGAGAGGGGCATTTAGAAGGTAGACTAGAATATACCCATCTAGATAGGAGATGAGAACAAAGGAAAAGCCAGAAGCTGAAGTCACACTGTGCTCTTTCTTTACTCCCACCTCCTACATCTAATTAGATCATGTCATTTTTCTGGTTAAAATATTTCTGGTTTCCCTTAGCTTTCAGGGAAAAGTTCAAACTCACAGGATAATCAAACAAAGCTTTTTCTAATGTGGTCCTTGATGATGTTTGTGTTGGCAGGAGCAGGAGCAAAGTCTGTTTGCTTGTTTTCCCATATTTCTGTATGAAAATTTTCAAAGCTTAAGAAAAATAGGAAAATAGCACAATGAATAACTGTAGGCTTTACCTAGATGCACCAATTGTTACCATTTTGCTGCATCTGCTTCATTTCTCTCTTTCTCTCAACTTCTCCCTCTTTCTCTCTTTTTCAATGTATGCACATTCACACACATTTATATTTTTTATCTGGGCCATTTTGGACCATTTGTAAGTTGCAGACATCATGACACCTCAATCTCTAGATACATCAGTGTGTATCTCCTAAGAGCAAGAACATTGTCCTAGAAAACACCAATATCCAAGACATTTAACATTGATTAAGTAATATCATTGAGTATACAGTCCACACATACATTTCCCAGCTGTCCCCAAATATATGCTTAATGGCTTTTTAAAAAGTCTAAAATCCAAGGATCATGAATTGCATGACTCTGTTCTGTCTTTAGCATGCCCTATCTTTCATTTGAGGCCCTTTCCTCTCCTACTGAAATATCACCCTATTCTGGGGCATACAGTGATATCTCTTTAGTCTGCTTTGATTTACAAAAGTCCCCTCTGACTTTCTGTTTCATGACGTGATCTTTCCTAAGAGTCCAGGCCAGTTGCCTTGTAGCATGAACCACAATCTGAGTATGGTGGATTGTTTCCTCATGGTTAGATTCAGGTTTCACATTTTGGGTGAGAATTCTGCATAAGTGACGTTATATCTTCCCTGTTGTGTCCCATCAAGAGACACATAATAGCCATTTATCCCATTATTAATGATGCCAAGTTTGATCTCTCCACAACAAAGGCACCTTTCCCCCCATTGTAATTAATCAGTAATTTGGGAGGTGATACTATGTGACTGTGTAAATATCTTGTTCTAAACGATGTTTCACCCATTATCATCCATTAATGATCCTTGCCCGAATGAATTATCCTATAGTTGGTTGTAAAATATTGATTTCCTAAAACCTGTCATTTCTTATACATTTGTTAGCCAGCATTCATTTGTAAAGAAGAGCTTTCCCTCCCTACTTCCACATTCCCTTCACACTTTTTAAAAAAGTATTACTGTGGACTCCTGGATTCTGTTTTTTATATGTACAATGTTATAATTTATTACTGCCATCACTCTTTTCGATGTTGTGATTGTCCCAGATTTGGCCAGTAAGATTCCCTTCGAGCAAATTTTTGTTTCCTTCTGGCATATCTACAGTTGCCTTTGAGTACTTCCTTGCTTTCTGCCATAATATTATTTTCCAGCATCATCTGTTACTTTCCTGAAAGGCAGAGTTTTGGGGGAGAAATGGTGTTTAGTTTTGGACATGCTGCATTTGAATTTGGTATATCTTTATGATATCTGGTGTCTAGTAAACAGTTGCACATTCACATACACACACACACACACACACACACAGACACTTATATACATCTCCAGCTTTGTTTCCAATGTATTTGAGTGGTGGTCTTTCCTCTTGACAGGGTAGGCAGCCCCCTTCCAGCTATGCTGCAACTATGGAAAGGGAAACATGAACCGCTGGCTGTGTCTGCCACAGGGAATCATCGGTTTGTCAATCAGTAGTCTCCAAGAAGGATGTGGGCAAGATGATCCATTAAGAAGGAAAAGAACAGATTGGAACTTCTATCTAGATTTATTTTTATCTAATTTTTCACATTTCTATAATATACAGGTTTTATAATATAATGAGTAAATAAGTACAGTAATACATGTATGTCACCTTGTAAATAAACATCCATACACACAGAGGGGTCTATGCTCAATTTAAAAAATGAAACCATGAAGAAAAATATTGGAGAACCCTAGTATAATTGCAGTGGAAGCTATGGGTTGAAAGGAGTCATCTGGGAGGTGTTTGTAGAAAGAGAAGAGTAGAGGGTATAGAATGGAAGCACAGGGAAGCCCCAACCCTTTGGAAATGAGGAAAGGACTAGAGTAGACACCAAGAAAGGAGACTAAGAGAAAGCTAGTCAAGAAGCAACAGAAAGATCTGGAAGAGTGCTGTCACAGACACACAGAGAATGATGGAAGTGTTTCATATAACCAAAAAAGGTTGAGGAAGAGAGGCCAGAAATGTGCCCACTGGATATGGCAATATGGTGGCCATCATATTGCTGACAGATCACAGTGGCCTGAGGAAGGAATGCCAGGAGGTATGTAGAAAGTGAGGATGAGTCAACAACTGTGGCTATAAAGGGGAAAGAGATCAGACAGACCCTGGAAGCATGTGTGGGACCAGCTAGAACAATAGTCATTTTAGCTGCTGTAACAAATTCAACCCAGCTGGGAAGTGGGAATCATAATAGAATATGATGTGGAGTTTTGAGAGACCTGTGAAATACTCTGAGGCTCCGAGAGGAAGGGGTTGCAGAAGTCTGCCTTGATGTGACTGAAAGCAGACAGTAGCACAAGGCACTTTGGGGCATGTGTTTTAACAGCACAATGTCAAGCACAATCCGTATTTGCTGAATAACAATGACCTTCAACTCTCCTCCACCAAGGCTGGGCCCAGTCTGAGGTGGCCCAGTGTTACCCCTTACATAGCCTGAATTTTTCTGGCAAAAACCTGTGACAGACTCTGTTCTGTCTTTAGCACTGCCTGTCTTCCATTTGGGGTCCTTCCCTGTCCTATTGAAGCATCACACCATTGCAGGGCACATAGTCATGTTCTGTGCCCCACCTGGCCCTTTCTGTGACTCTTCACCTGAGCAGAGCTTTTACTTTGGACCTCTTCCCTACACTTGTACCCTAGAAGCATTGGCTGCTCTCAGGAGCCTTATTCTCTGCTGGATGATACATAGAAAATAACCTGTGCTAAAAGGTGAGCTTGCTAATGTGCTTGCAGAGAAAGAATTTGGCCCTGCTTTGGGTGAGAAGTCACGGAAAGGGCCCAGGTGTGCAGGTCAAAGAGGCTTTCAGTTCTCTTCTGGGCTCTTCTACTTTCCACATTTAAGGCCTGGTTGGGGCAAGGGCTTAAGCCTGCCAGGCCCAGTTTCCTCACCCTGAAAATGGGGACAATGATGATAATAATATCTAGCCTGCAGGTCATCATGAGAATGAAATTAAGTCATCTTCAGAAAGTCCTCAATATGTAAGTATGTTAATAAATTCATTCATTTACTAAAGATGTACTGTGCATGTATTTTAGACCAGACATTGTCCAGGCACTGGGGATGTGAGAGTGCAAAGAGTTAAAAAGAAAAGAACAAATGCTTCCCCTCATGGAGCTTGAATTCCACTGAGGGAGGGGAAAAGTAAGCAAATAAATGCATAATACATCGTCAGACAGTAATAAGTTCTATGAAGAAAAATAAAGGAGGATAGGGCCTAAGGAATGAATGGGAGGTAAACTGAGAAACGTGCTGTGAAGACCTCCCTAAGAAGGTGACTATGAGTAGAAATCTAAGTGAAGTGAGGCTGTGAGCCGCAAAATGATGGGAACAAGAGCATTTCAGGCAGACGGATCCGCAATTTCGAGGGGCACAGTAGGGAAGCACCGTAAGTGTATGTGGGGGTGGGGTGGGGAGAGCAAAAGGAGATGAGATCAGAGAGGTAGGCAGATGTCAGATCATTTGAATCTTGTAGGCCACTGGAATCTTTTGGGTTGGATTTTATTCTAAACATGTTAGGTAACATTGGAATGTGAGGGCAGAGAAAGATGATATGATTTATTTATTTTTAAATGATTCTTCTGGCTGCTGTGTGGGAGATAGATCATAGGTAGGGGCAGGAATGGAGTGAGGAAACCAACTAGAAGGCTCTTCCAGGCATCCAGGCAGGAGATACTGGTGGCTTAAACCAGGACAGAAATAGTGGGCATGGTCAGAAGTGGTCAGATTTGGGATATGTTTTAAAGTTAGAGCCGACAGCATTTGCTGATAAATTGGGAGTGGAAATGGGAAAGAGCTGAATCAAGGATGATGCCAAGGTTTTTGGCCTGAGTAACTAGGAAAATGGTAAGGTCTTTAAAAAAAATGAGTATATTAGAGATTATCAGCAGCAGCAGCAGCATCTTGACATTCAACCCTATTTAATGACTATTTGGAACAGTATGGAGGAGATAAGAGTTCCAAGGTCATTACCAGGCTTAGTAGAAAAGTGGGAGTTGACTGATTAGCTCTTTCTGCCATGAGCACAGGAGCAGAGCTAGGTGTTTTATGTCCTGAATAGTTATCAACCTGGGCCTATAGCAGTGTTTCTCAAAGTGTGGCCCAGCAGTGTCAGCATCACCTGGCAACTTGTCAGAAACGCACATTCTCAGGCCCCACCCCAGACCTGCCGAATCAGAAACTCTGGGAGGGAAATGCGCTGAGAACTCTGTTTTAACAAGCCTTCCAGGTGATTCTGATGCATGCTCAAGTGTGAGAACCACTAGCCTAAGGTGTTTCTATGCTGATGGGCACCTGTAGAATGCTGCAATGTTTCCCAGGGATGGGTCATTACAATGTGTGTTCCTAGAAGGTCTGTGTGACAAGAGATCTCTGCTTGGAAAGGGAAGGGAAAGGAAAGAAAGTGGGGGAAAACCTAGGAATCTAGAAAAGATATTGTTTCGGGCATTAGAGTCCTGAAAAATAGGCCCATGAGCCAAGTGAAGAATCAGCTAGAATAGAATCAGAATCCTTTACTTGATAAACATGACTTGCTTAATATTTGTGTAAGGGGTAGGGTGGGGGAGTGGGGAGTTGTATCCGTTTTCCCTTGTTTGTTCCTAGAATTTTAGAGAGATTTCTTTTTGAAAATTCATGACTTTCACAGCAGCCTGCATGGTTAAAAGGAAGGGATCATTTATCTATGCTAGGGCCAGAGTTTTAAAGGGAGAAGCCCCCAAGACTAGCCACTAAGGTCATGAATGGCAGCTATGGGAGCCAGAGAACACTAGAGGGATGATGAAATTTAGGTGGGGATTCCTCCCTGACCTGACAACCTATTCTAAAGATAGCCCCTTTGGAAGGTTATCTGCTCTCAAACCTAGGAAGTGTTGAGGCTTTGTTTTTATAATGGCCACTTCTAAACCTAAACAAAAAAACTAACAAAAAAGTAACCCTCCTTAAAATAAGGCCCTAAAGGTCAGACTTTTAAAATGGACCAGGTGGGGCTGGGTGCAGTGGCTCACACCTATAATCTCACCACTTTGGGAGGCCGAGGTGGGAGGATTGCTTGAGGCCGGGAGTTTGGTGGCATGAGCCTGTAGTCCCAGCTACTCGGGAGGCTGAGGCAGGAGGATCACTTGAGCTCAGGAGAACAAGGCTGCAGGGAGCCATGATCATGCCACTGCATTCCAACCTGGGTGACAGAGCAAGACCCTGTCTCAAAAAAAATACAATAAGATAAAAAATAAAATGGGCCAGGCCATCTTTCCAATGTGGTCTGCTTCTCTTCACTCCAACTGCCAGTTGCCAGGAGCAGCCTGCTCTGCCTGGGAGTGAGGCTGACCCTGATCCTTATCTTTCCTCAGTGGCCAGCTGCAGGACTTCCAATTGGCTGACCCCATTAGTTCTAGTTTCTTTGAGTAACCATAGAACACTTGCTCACATTGACACAGGATTCTTTCAGTGCCACTTCACCAGCCAGAGACCTCCATGGCTGGCAGCACCTCTGTCTGGAGTTCACTTGGACCCACTGGGCTCAATCTTCCCACTCTGCCCAGCAGGCTGTGCTCGGCTCAGGCTACCAGCCTCGATGCCATGCCCAACATGGCTCTGCACTCAGCCTGTAGCTGGTCTAGGCATGCCGTGACCGGCTTCCACCTTGGGTGCCATCTGGATGAGGGAGATGTGGTGGCATCCGAAAAAAATTGAAGATGCCAGCAACTACAGAGCCCCAAAGGGGTGTCACAGCTTCTGCTTAGGGAGTCCTGAGGTCTGAGCCACCAGGGAATGTCACAGTTCTCTCTCTCTCCCACCACTCACAGCTCAGTGAACAGGGGTGTGTCATAGCTCTAGGCTCTGGGAGTCCCAAGGTCTGGGCCCCCAGAAGGGTTGTAGCTCTTCACTTCTGTAGCCCATTGAATGGGAGTGTGTCACAGCTCTTTTCATTCACGCTGCCTGCAGCTCGGCGAGCCAGCCAGGAGTGTGTTACAGCCCTTTTTTGCTCCCGCTGTTTGGTGGGTTCTGGGTTTTTGTCCCATGATGAAGAAGAATGAGGTACATGGACGCTGGAGAGTGAGCAAGGCAGAGAATAATTTTACTGAGTCACAGAAAAGCTCTTGACAATGAGAGGGGACCTGAAGTGGGTAGCCCTCTGTGTGAGAGGGGGCCTGAAAGCAGGTAGCCGTCTGTGTGGCTGAGTCTGGGGTTTTTATAAATTTGGAATGAGGAGGCATGGGTTGTAGGTAGCTTTGGAAAAGGCAACATTCAATTGGTTAGAAAGCATTATTCAGAAAGAACCAATCGGGAAAGAGTGGGCAAACAGGAATAGAAGTTCTCACTTCAGTCGTGGACTCTATCTGGAATTGGCAGCTCAGTTTTCAGGCTTTAAATTGTCTTTGGCTTGAAGGTTGGGTTTCACTGGGGACCCACCCCTGTCTGCCTAGGAATTTGTCTGTCTCTTTCCACTAATGTGGGTCCCATGGTGCCAAGGAACACCTGGGGAAGCATGAGGTCTCTGTTGTTTCTCATCAGAAAACTGCCTTTTCATAGAAAGCTTCAATTGTTCATTGCTTCAGGCTGAGTTGCCCTTTGTGCCCTGGCCAGGGTCTCTGTAACCAACTTGGTGGTCTTGAAATGCCTGCTTCTCTTGAGGGCTCTCTCCCTCCTCTACATTGTGGTCTGCTGCACGCCATTGTCACTGCTCTCATCCTGAGCATTTTCCATTTCTCAGCCCACCCAACTTCTTAGAAGCATTTGGCACTGACAGCCACCCTCCATGTTGAAATTTGTTTTCTCCTTGTTGTCTGTGACCTCCAATCCACTTCCTTGCTCACTCGACAGC
Organism: Homo sapiens; assembly: GCF_000001405.40. Lineage (NCBI taxonomy): Eukaryota > Metazoa > Chordata > Mammalia > Primates > Hominidae > Homo > Homo sapiens. The sequence continues at coordinate 39,061,550 of NC_000023.11, forward strand.
TGCTAGCAGGCTCCTTCTTCTATGACTATTTCTTAGAGTGTGCTCCTCAGGATTCTGTCCTGTGCCCTCTTTATGCATCCTTGAATGGCCTCATCCATTACTGGGATTTCGACTATAATCTGCCCGTGTTCTAATGTGTCCCAACCACCACCTCAAGCCCAGGCCAGGCTTCTGAGTTTCAGACCCAACATCTACCTGGGAGTCCCATGTCCCTCTCAAATACAATATGTTAAAACGTGCTCATCCCCTGCAGCACCTGGAAATCTGCTCCCAGCCTTTGTCTCTGATATGATAACAGTGAACTGCTCCACCATCCCTCTAGTCCCTCAAGCCTGAGCCACGCACATTGTCCTCACCTCCTCCTGCTCCTCCTCCACTTCCCATATCCAGTCACTCACCAAGTCTAAGTCCATTTACAAAATGCTTCCTAGATCCATGCTCCTCTCTCCATCTGCATCCGCCCCGGTATAGACCCACAGCATCTCCATTCCCTTTGCATACTCTTAGCACCAGCCATGCCAAGGTTCTCTTTTGCCTCCAAGTCTGAAATCATTCATTGGGCGACTTCCTCTCTCTATAGCACCTTGATCTTCTCTGTCTCACCACCATTTCCCTTTGCTGGCTTACTCCTCATCCTTCAAGTTTTAGCTTAGATGGCACCTCCTCTGGAAGTCTTCCCTTATCTCCTCACTCCCAGCCCAAGACTGGAGTAGGTATCCTGCTTTGGGGTCTCACTGTACTGTTATTGCCTCCTTATTTGCCTGGATTCCACTCCAGCCATATCTGTTTGTTTCGTTCATCTTATTCACCATAATAGTCTGCACTTATCAGAGAGTCTGGCACATAGGGACACAGAATGAAGAAGCCAGAGAACTTATTTCCCAGCACACCTTTAGACTAGGTCAGGGACTGGTCTGAGGCTTAGAGTGAGGTGGGTTCATAGGCAGACCCTCAGTGTGGGGCCAGCAGCAGTTCTCTCTCTCGATGGGCTTCCTCTTTGTGCCCTGTCTGGCATCAATATAGGGAGGGCAGAAGACCCAGCAAGAATTCCAGGCATACCTGCAAGCTCCTTTCATCTGGGTAGATGTACCTTGCAAGCTAGTGGACTATAAATCAGTGCCCATTACTTAGCACATTGTAAATGAACATACATTGATGAAAAATGGTCCTATTTGGCTCAGTTATCTTGGGTGAAGCACGAAAATGGCACCTGTTTCCAAATCTTTATCTATGGAGACTAGAACCTCCTTGTATTCTCATAGCCAGCAGGTTACACACTCCTATTATGGCATTTGTCACACTGGTTTATAATTATTTCTTTATGTTTCTGTCACTTTGGGAGCTCTTCGAAGGCAGGAACAGATTTTACTCATCTCCTGGGCCTCAGCTGGTGGCATGGAGCCTGGCAATGACTAGGAGAACACAAGAGTTTGCTGAACAAATATCCCAGGTATATATTGTTTTGCTATTGGATATAAGCCAGGAGTGGTAGTGATGAATTACTGCCACAGCCCCTTTCTGATTCTAGGAGCCCTGGCCAGCATTATCTCAGTATTGTGTATAGGAAAGATGCCACAGGCTCCTTTGAAATGATGCTGGTGCCACTACATATGTAATAACAGGTCATGAGGCAATATTACGAGGTCAAAGTGTGATGCAAGGACCTCCTTGCAACACCCAGCAAGGAGGAAGTGATGTGAGAGGAGAACAGGATTGACGCCCCTGGACCAGGTCCAGAGCTTTAAGAGCTTGTGCTTCAGGGAGTGTATCTGGGTGATGCCGCCTCTGTGAATTTCACAAACCTGTGTGTCCAGTCAGGAAAGGAACTGAAAGCCTGGGCCACCCACCCTCTCCACAGTATTGGGGCAGATGTAAAACGGGACCCAAAGGATTGCCTTTTTGCTCTGCTAGAAGGTAACTGTATAAGCTATGTGAATTCAGGGAGGAAACTGCTCCAAAACATGCCCCCATCCACTGAGCCACATCCCTTTACCCAAGGATGTAGTCTTTCTTCTCTCTCTCTCACCCTAGAAGGAAATGAGGTGTCTTAGGTTGCACTTCCTGGAAAACCCAATTTGAGTCAGCAATTGATGTGCAGGAAGTTTATTGGGAATGCCCTGGGGAGCAACACCTATTAGGGAGGGAGAGGGCAGGGGAGCAAGAGGGAGAAGTTGAACTGCAATGCCAGTGTGCTTGTCACAGAGGCCACAGCTCATCCCTCAAGGGCCTCCAGAGCTGGGGTGGCCTTGCAGAATTGGCCCAAATTGAAGCAAAGGGGCTGGGCTTTTGTATTGCCCCCACCCATGAAAGAGGGGGTGACCTTGGGCAAAAAAAGTTCTTATCAGCTGAGAGCAGTTCCCAGAGGAGGACTTACCAGCCAACAGTCATGGTGACTGAAGGAGGAAGTGCCTGGGAAATAGCACCTGGACATCACAGCATCTGCCACAGGAGGCTGAAAATACAAATATACCTGAGAAAAGTAACAGATGGTTTTCAATGGATACCAAGAAGTAAATGACTGATCCAGAGCCCTTTTGGATAAGGATCATGGAAGTGGATTTGAGACTGAAATGAACAAGACCAAGATCAGGGAAGAGAAGAAGAGGATGTGCAATGTCAAGGAAGGAGAATCTGGATTCGGACTGCAGAGACCTGCCCTGGGGCTTCCTGCTGTGGAATTCTGCTAGCAGCACAGGAATGGAGTTTAGTTGTCCAGGACCTGGAACTGCACCTTACCTCTGAGAGACGTTGGGTAGAAGTTCTCTATTTCGGCTCTCCCACTTGGCAAATGAGGACTGGTGATGCCAATCTCATCTAGGGACTTCAGTCTTTAGGGGGAAAAAGATATAACACAACATCTATATTTGCAGCAAGGGACACACAGATAAAAACAAACTTTGTTAATACGAAATAAGATATAAATCATTATCAGAATCACAGAAGCTGGGATGGGCAAGTTCAATCCACTCATTTTATAGATGAAGAAACAGATTCAGGGAGCAGAAGTGACTTGCCCAAGGTCTCCCAGCAGCTCCTTAACCAAAAATAAGCCCAAAGTTCCTAACCCCTGGTTCAGGGCTCATTTATAACACCCAGCTTCTAGAAATCTTTATGGGGTTGCCTGTCTTTTTTTGTTGTTTTTTTTGAAACAAAGTCTTGCTCTGTTGCCCAGGCTGGAGTGCAGTGGCTCTATCTCGGCTCACTGCAACCTCCGCCTCCCGGGTTCAAGCGATTCTCGTGCCTCAGCCTCCCGAATAGCTAGGATTAGAGGCGCCCACCACCATGCCTGGCTGATTTCTGTATTTTTAGTAGAGAAGAGGTTTCACCATGTTGGCCAGGCTGGTCTTAAACTCCTGACCTCAAGTGATCCACTCGCCTCTGCCCCCCAAAGTGCTGGGATTACAGGTGTGAGCCACTGTGCCTGGCTGCCTGTCTTCTTAAAAGCAACTTCAAACTCAGGCAGATTCCAAATTTTCTAAGGCAAATTTGTCTTAAGTACCCCTCTCTGTCGGAAGCTCCTGTCCTTAGCAGAGTTCTGTCGCTGCCACTGCTCGCCAGCGCCAGTGAAAGGCCGGCCAGCCAGAGAGGCCTTGGAGACATTTGCATTTGGGTGAAAGGAGCTGATGGTCTTGGACTCACAGCTGAAGGTTTTCTGGGGTGGAAATTAAAGTGGCAGCAGGAAGCAGAATGCGACCTAATTAGCAGTTTGGTCTCTGAGGCTGACCTCCTTTCGGGAAAGCTGGCACTCATAGGAGCATAAAGCAGCTGTTGCCTCTTCCCTGCCTGGCCAGGTGGGCTCAGAGCAGTGCCAGCCCAGCCGTCACCCCATGGCAGATGCCCTCCTGGAAAGAAGTCTTGCCTCACCCCTCAGCTCTCCATCTATGGCTCCAAGCAGGGTTGTGAAAACGAGCAGTACGCCCAGCATGAAACTCCTTAAAAAGGAGGGAAGGAAGAGAGAAGACAAAAGCCTTTCATATCTCTGGCGGGGGCTGGCGGGGAGGCTTAATGACTTGAATGGGGCTCAGGAGGTGGAGGGAGGGGGAGCAGAGGGCTGCGCTGTGGGCAGTTGATGTGTTCACCAGCGTCTCGCACCTGTTGTTGTCTTCTGTGACCACACGTGCAGGCAACCCTGGGAGCTCCAGCTAAACAGGCGAGGAGTGTAATTAATCCATTGTTTAGCATTATTGGAGCTCACTGCTGTGCGGATTCTTCCTGGCAGTTCTCCCAGCCTGATGGTGGCGGTGGAGGCAGCAGCTCAGCGAGCAAGGAGGGGGTTTGGACGGATTGAGATGTCAGGTCTGGGGAAGGGCAACTACTTATTAAAGAAGGCTCATGCCTGAGGGTGAGGGGAGGACAATGCCCAGCTCTCCTCCCTGGTGGCTCACTTCCCACTGCTAGGAAATAATGTCTATCTGTTTGGCTCCTGTTGAGAAAGCCCATTTTCCTCCTTGTTCCTGGGAGGCTGGCTGAGCTGTGAGCACAGTATGGATGATGTTTGCCTAGAGGCCTGGGCCTGGTCTCTGTCTCAAACTGGGCTGCTTCCTACTACCTGGCCTCTTGTCTGGTGCGGTCGGTGGCTTTCACCTGACATAATGATCCAGCATCAGCCTACGTAGGAGTCTTAGCAGCCTCCCCAAGGGTAAGAGCCAACACTTTGACAGCTCTTACTAAGTGCCAGGCATTGTTCTAAGCACTGGGCATGTATTACTGCATTGAATTTTCACAACAATCCTACGAGATGGGTGCTATTCTTATCCCTACTTTACAGATGAGGTAAAGGAGGCACAGAAAGGCTAAGTAACTTACCCAAAGTAGCACAGCTAATAAGAGGTAGAGGTGTGATTCAGAGTCTTGCTGCAGACCTTATGTGTTCAACTGTTGCACTGTACAACCTCTTCAGCTCACACTCCTAGCACCAGTGGGACACAAAGAACATTTCCTGGTATTTCAATCCCCATACCTACCTGCCAGGGGACATTTCTATTTCTGCCCCATGAGTCCAGATCATCCAGTGGAGGAACTTTGCTGGCTCCTTTTTAATAAGCATTAGGCATACCTTTCATGATTTGGTCTGTTTGAGAAATCCTGGAGATAGGGAGTTACTTCAGCTCATTGATTCGCAAACTTAGGTGTCAGGAACAAACACTCTGGAGGTTATTAACGATACCAGTTCCTAGACCCCTTGGACTGCCCGTCCCCCTCCCTGCCCCCGCTAGATTTCTGGTTTTAGACCCACTGGTTGTGTTGCATCACTCTCTGTCTGTAGCAGATATGATAGGACTATTCATTCTTTGTTCCTCTTCACTCTGTTCTCGTACCTGCAGCCAGGAAGTCCAGAGCTGCCCTGAGCATCTTGATTGTGCAGCACTGGTCTGAGGCAACTTATAGGGCTCACTGGTTTTCAGAGGCATGGAGAGGAGAAAGGCAGGCTGAAGAACTGGCCGAGGGATCACGAAGCAACCTCAGTGATGTTGCTACTTAATTGGGTGGTTACTGGATTGCCAAGGCTGGGCCTTGTTGGCTCCTTACTTAAAAGCATGCAGAAACCCAATCTGAGACAACAAGAGTGGCTTTTTGCTTCTCTGGACTCATGTGGATAGTGGTCAGTGTTTTCCTTTCTCTCCCAATTCCTGGGAACACATTCATGGAACTTGGCACTATCAAATAATAAAACAAAGACCATCCAAGCTTATGTATATATAAAGGCGAGTCTATTAGCCTTCTAGGCATGGGAGCATAGACCTGTCAGTGGTTCTCCGAGGGGACGGCTCAGGAGTTTTTATTTTCTCTAAATGGAGAAGCACTTGATGTTTATGCTAATTAAGAATAAAAAACTAGCACTGGGGACAGGACGAGAGAGTATAAAGCTTCACACACAGTTGGTTAAAAGCAAGTCCAGTTTTAACTTAGGAAAGTGTCTTCAGTTAGGTTGAGTGAGGACTGGCATCTTGGGTTCTTTGACCACACAGCATTCGGTTATGATACCTCCTAGGCAAGTGGTGCTGTAAATAAAAAATTATCCTTTTACAACTTGCCAGGGCTGTAGCTGTGAGCAGGCCCAGAAAGACCCAGGTTGGTTCCTTGAGGTCATTTTGAGCCCCTTCTGGGTGGAAGTACAGCTGTTCCCAGTCTCCTAGAGCCCAGGCTGGTGATCCTTCCCTGCAAGGGTAGAGCAAAGCAAGCAAGGTATCTGGGGGCAGTATTTAAGGAGGTACACACTTTCATGTTTGTGCAAGTGCAGAGTTGACCCTTGAGAGTGAGCACCTCCTTAAATATTGAGTTAGTGTCAGCCTACAGCTGCTGTCTTCCAAGATGTAAGGGAAAATGTTTTCAGTGTTGGTCTTGCTATAAAACATTCTCTTTGGATGAACTATGATTGCCTTTGCTCCAGATACATAATATTTCCAGTTGCTCTTGTTTCGCCAAGACTAGAAATGAATAGCATGTGGACCAGGACGGGAGAGTAAGGAGGAACGCATCTGAGGATGCGTCAACTCTTGATCATGTTCTCTGTAATTTCAAGGATTTTACTCATGTGACCAGATCACAGTGGCACAGACAGTCTGTCCCATTACAGAGCTGTACTCAGTGTTCTCTCTCCATTCCCTCCGGCCAGAGATATTTTGTTTCAGGAGATACTTATTTGAAGTTTCAGGCCACAGGGAAATTATTCATATCAGATCTTATCCATGGAATTCTTTTTGCCTGGCTGTTATGAAACATCATCTGCAAAAAAGTACAGGAGAATGGCTCCCTAATTCTAGTTCCCTTAGTGGGGCTTCTCCTACAGTTTTCTAGAAAGTCATCGAATCCAATTCCAGGTATCCTGATTTGCAAATAAACATGGGCCTCTGGGAGCCTCCACATGCAACTAAATTATCCATGCCCCTGACTCTGGGTTGAATTGGGCCTCAATACTCCTGAGCAGATAAAACTCTGTTCTATTTTTTTTTCATTATTATAATTTAAGTTCTAGGGTACATGTGCACAACGTGCAGGTTTGTTACATAGGTATACATGTGCCATGTTGGTTTGCTGCTCCCATCAACTCGTCATTTACATTCGGTATTTCTCCTAACACTATCCCTCCCCCAGACCCCAACCCCCAACAGGCCCTGGTGTGTGATGTTCCCCTCCCTGTGTCCATGTGTTCTCATTGTTCAACTCCCACTTATGAGTGAGAACATGCAGTGTTTGGTTTTCTGCCCTTGTAATATTTTGCTAAGAATAATGGTTTCCAGCTTCATCCATGTCCCTGCAACGGACATGAACTCATCCTTTTTTATGGCTGCATACTATTCCATGTTCTATTTTTAATGGCCTCTCATTAAGGCAAGCTGTGGTCTATGGCAGTCCTGATTTCAGGAGCTACCCCCTCCCCCAGCCTCAAGACTATCTCATGATAGCATTGTTGTGTTGATAAAAAGAGTCAAACTCTGTGAAATATTTGAAGAGACTGATTCTAAGCCAAATATAAGTGACCAATGGCCAGTGACACAACTCTCAGGAGACTCTGCGAGCATGTGCCCAAGGTGATCAGGGTGCAGGTTGGTTTTATACATTTTAGGGAGACATGAGACATCAATAAATACATGTAATAGTGTGTCCAGAATTGGTGGGTTCTTGGTCTTGCTGACTTCAAGAATGAAGCTGCGGACCCTTGCGGTGAGTGTTACAGTTCTTAAAGATGGTGTGTCTGGAGTTTGCAGCTTCAGATGTGTCTGCAGTTTATTCCTTCTGGTGGGTTCGTGGTCTCCTGACTTCAGGAGTGAAGCTGCAGACCTTCACAGTGAGTGTTACAGCTCTTAAAGGCAGCACGTCTGGAGTTGTTCCTTCCCTCAGGTGGGTTCGCGGTCTTGCGGGCCTCAGGAGTGAAGCTGCAGGCCTTTGTGGTGAGTGTTACAGCTCATAAAGGTGGTGCAGACCCAAACAGTGAGCAGCAGCAAGATTTACCACAAAGAGCGAAAGAACAAAGCTTCCACAACATGGAAGAGAACAAGAGTGGGTTGTCGCAGCTGGCTGGGGGTGGCCTGCATTTATTCCCTTATCTGGCCCCACCCACATCCTACTGATTGGTCCATTTTACAGAGAGCTGATTGGTCCATTTTACAGAGAGCTGATTGGTCCATTTTACAGAGAGCTGACTGGTCCATTTTGACAGGGTGCTGATTGGTGCATTTACAAACCTTGAGCTAGACACAGAGTGCTGATTGGTGGCACATTTACAATCCTTTAGCTAGACACAAAAGTTCTCCAAGTCCCCTCTAGATTAGCTAGACACAGAGCACTGATTGGTGCATTTACAAACCTTGAGCTAGACACAGAGTGCTGATTGGTGCATTTACAAACCTTGAGCTAGACAGAGAGTGCTGATTGGTGTGTTTACAATCCTTTAGCCAGATAGAAAAGTTCTCCAAATCCCCACCGGACCCAGAAGTCCAGCCAACTTCACCTTTCAATGGCCCTTGCCACAGGACTTTGCAGCACCCAGCCCAGGCACTCTGGCAGCCCAGAGGGAGCTCGTTCCCCCATCAAGCCCATGAGGCGCCGGCCTGCCGCACCGAGTGCGGGGCCCGCCGAGCTGTGCCAACCCGGAACCCGCACCGGCGCTCCCGGGAGCGCCGCGTGCAGCCTGTGCTCCCGCCTGCGCCTCTCCCTCCACACCTCTCCATCCACACCTCCCTGCCAGCAGAGGGAGCCGGCTCTGGCCTCGGCCAGCCCCAGAAAGGGGCCCCCACAGCCCAGGGGCGGGCTGAAGGGCTCCTGGAGAGCAACCAGAGCGGACGCCAAGGCCGAGGGGGCGCCAAGAGCGAGGGAGGGCTGCTAGCACGTTGTCACCTCGCAATAGGTTGGTGCAAAAGTAATGGCGGTTTTCACCATTAAAAGTAATGGTGAATACTGCCATTACTTTTGCACCAACCTTATAAGACTTACATTGGTTTGGTCAAGAAAGGCAGGACAACTCGAAGCAGGGGGTGGAGGGGGCTTCCAGGTTGTAGGTAGATTCAAATATTTTCTGATTGGCAATTGTTTGAAAGAGTTATTATCAATAGAAAGGAATGTCTGGGTTACTATAAAAGTGACATGGTTTGGATCCGTGTCCTCATCCAAATCTCACATCAAATTGTAATCCCCAGTATTAGAGGTGGGGCCTAGTAGGAGGCCCTTTGGTGCTGTTCTCGTACTAAAGTTCTCACAAGAGCTGGTCACTTAAAAGTGTGTAGCACGCCCCCCCAACCTTCTTTTCCTCCTGCTCCAGCCATGTTAAGACATGCCTGCTTCCACTTCGCCTTCTGCCATGATTGTAAGTGTCCTGAGGCCTCCTCGGAAGCTGAGCAGATGCAGGTGCTGTGCTTCCTGCAGAGCCTACAGAACCCTAAGCCACCTAAACCTCATTCCTTTATAAATTACCCAATCTCACGTATTTCTTTATAGCAATGCGAGAACGAACTAATACAAAGAGGTTGTAGAGACCAAGGTTTTATCATGCAGATGAAGCCTCTAGGTAGCAGGTTTCAGAGAGAACAGATTGTAAATGTTTCTTATCAGACTTAAGGTCTGTGTGGATGTTAAATGCTGGTGGGCTTTTCCTGAATTCCAAAAGGGAGAAGGGCATAATGAGGTAATGAGGCATGTCTGACCCCAATCCCCTTTTGCGTCATGGCTTGAACCAGTCTTTGGGTTAACTCTGGAATGCCCTTGGCTGAGAAGAGAGGTCTATTCAGATGGTTGGGGGGCCTTAAGATTTTAGTTTACAGTTGTCTCTGGAAGAATCAGTCCTTTCTGTGTGATTTAAATTTTTCCAGCTAGTTTACCTCCTCTTGCAGCTATTTCAGCTGTTTCTTCTTGTTCTGTCCTTCAAAGACACAGGGAGGAGCCAGCCACCAACTGCTTAGTAATAATCCTTCATGTGCAGCTTGTAAGAGACACATAAGAAAATGCAGGGTTAATTTGAGAGCCACATTCCAATTTATTCATGCAGGGACCTCAGGAAGTTTTCTTGTTGCATCCACCTCCCTCCCACTCCCAACATCAAGTAAGCATAATGAAGTCAGTTCAGGATGGGCTTTAAGCCAAAATTCACTTGCTTTGGGATTCGTCACTAAGGCTCCTATATTAAATTCACCTTGGGGTCTATGGTAAATTTTATGAAATGTTACTTTCCTCTTTATGGCTAGTATAAACATTTATTATACATCCTGTGATATATGTTTCCAGGAAGTAAGGAAATGCTGTTGTGGAAAGATATGATTCCCAACTGATTTGAAATATAGACAAATAGCATGTTTTAGAAAGGGGCCAGGACTTTAATGGAAAAAAAAGTAGTTATCAGATTTTTTCTTTCTTGTCTTGCTCTGCCTTCTCTTCTGGCACCAGTTAAAGGAATATTTCTCATCCTTTCTCCCCATGCACACAAAAGATGATACCTGATATGAAATGCTGTCAAATCCTGCTTCATTAAAGCCCACAAAAGCTAATGCACAGCTCTCCTTGCACTGCCCTAAAATGGGAACAAAGAAGCAGAATAATGTCAAAATAGAACACAAAGGAAAAGAGTTTGTCCTCTGGGCCCGAGAGATGAAAGATATCAGGAGTCTTCTGTGAATGTTGGGCTGGGCCAATGTTTCTAGGGCTTGTTTCATAGATGATGGGGGATTGCCAGATAGGGCAACTCATGAAAACACAGCCAGAGTACAGTGAGGATCCTCCAACGAGGACCCAGCCAATGCTTCTGTCATTGACTCAGTCACAGGCAACAAGGAAGATTGCTTGCCTCAGCACAGGGACAGCTAAATAGTCAGGGAATATGGCTTTCCCATTCACTTCCTGTGCAGAAGAATACACCTTGCAGAGGAAAGAGGTCTGGGGACATGAGTTCAGTTGGAGGACCCTGGTTGGGGAACCCAGGAAACAGGCAGTTGTAAAAGATGTGCGGGATTCTTAATAGGAAGTAGCTTTAAGAAAACTCAAGTCATATAACAAGCTTTATCACTACTGGTAGCATGAACCACCATGAGGACCAAGCCCCTTGGCTTTGTGGTTAAACAGGGTTTATTAGTAAATCACAGATGGGGACAAATGTATTCTGCCAAATCGGAGTATGACCCCTGGAAATGTGAGAGGGCAAATTCAGAGCAACTTAGGTGGCATCACCGGGAAATGGCAGACTCAAGTTAAAATTAGGGCTCAAGTCAAAATCTAGCACTATGGGATTCAATGATGTGATGCAGTCAGTCAAAGCAGGGATAGAACATAGTCCAGTCCCTTCCCACCATCCCACGCTACCTCCTCATTTAATCTCCTGTCCTCCCCTTCATCTTCCTTCACTCTTCTGTCATCCACAGCTAAAGCCAGCTGCTGGATGCTATCACTGGGCCGTGGGAAAAGAGGAAACAGTGAGGGTTGGACAGCCACTGGGAGCACACAGTTTGGCAAGTGAGGTTGTTTGTTACTTGAGTTATCCCAAAGCAGAGCCTGAAACAAGTATTAGAGAACAGGTAGTTTGTTTGGAAGGGCATTCCAAAGAGCAGGAGTGAGGGAGTGGGGAGTATGAGGCATGGATGGAGAGAAAGTCAGTATAAGGATGAATTGTTAGGGCACCGTTCTGCCAGAATTCCCTAGGAAGCATACAGAAGACTTCCCAAAAATGTCCATCTAAAAGATGGCAGGCAGGAGCTGGCTCCCATCCTTCATTGATTGAGGGCTGCCCCTGTATGTGTTGACATTCCTGAAATTCCCACCTGGGCATGCAGTGTCCTGGACTCATAAGTGCCTTGGGGCAGAGAGCAAAGGTGTGGTGCTCACTCATGGTGAGACAGGTGAGTCTAAGCTCACACAGAGCTGTGCACCCCAGTCAGCTGTGGAATTAGAAGTATGACCGACAGGATGTGTGACAGGGCACAAGACATATGTACTACAGGATGTAAGTCTGCCAAAGTGCAAGAGAACAAGGAGATACTATACTATCACTGGGAAGCCAAAAATGAAGGGAACTTGGAAAAAAGTCCTCAGAAAATAAGCTGGCATAGAATTATTCAAACTGACAGAAGTGAGGAGGCTTAAAAGAAGAGTTGAGGAGGGTTACGGGGAGTTGGATGGGGGATACTGTCAGAAAAAAGGGAAGAAATCTTTCTGGATAGTCAGCATCCTGAGCATTAGAGTGCACTTGATACCTGAACCAGCAGAGACCTCAACATGGGGTGATAAAGGAGGTGAAACTACACTGTAATGAGATCTTCTGGATCCAACCTTAATAAACCTTTGTGGGCAGGGACAAGGATGCCTTACATATTATTGATTTCAAAGCTACAGCAAAGTCATATTTTTGTGAGAGTATTTGGAAAGCTTAGAGTGCTTGAAAACAGGGGAGGCTTGAGCTGGGATCTTGATTAGACTTTTGGAGCTATATGCCCTACAGAGCCAGAGTCTAGACATTGTCATTGCCACTTCTACCTGCAGCAAAGCACCTTGGGAGTAGTCAAGGATCTCTGAGGCACTGCAAGCCCAAACCTTCCCTTACAAGAAAGGAAAGCCCCTCTGTGGCATTCATATTGTAAACATTTAACTTCTAGAAAGAGCCTGAAGATTACAAGCTTCACAGATTAGTAAGATGAAGTCTGTGAGGTTGAACTAATTAAGTATATGAAAGGATAATAGAAGATATGTATAGGAAAGACCTACTAATAGACCCATTAGAAATACACTGATGCCTCCCAGTACCACAGTCTTAAAAGTTATAGTGAACTTTATACAAAATTATAGTAAACATATATTATTAGTGTTAATCTTCTCAGTGTTCCCTCCTCTGGAGAATTGACTCACTTCCATTTTATGTGGTTTTGGTGGGATATCAATCACAGTGCCTTACTCCATGCTCACCTCCAGCACCACCATCACATATTCCAGACACAGGGGTGATCATGAAAGAATCAGCCATCAGATACCTCTGTTCCTCAGGTCACAGTGATTAATTCAAGGATGAATGTGTGACTTAAAGAGGAATAATCAAAGTTTTCCACTAAAATTCAATATATTGATGCTGGCAGATAGAGAATGGTGAACCTTCTTAAAAATAAAGCAGTACCTGGAAGAAAGAAAAGCTGGAGGCCGGGCGCGGTGGCTCACGCCTGTAATCCCAGCACTTTGGGAGGCTGAGGCGGGCGGATCACGAGGTCAGGAGATCGAGACCATCCCGGCTAAAACGGTGAAACCCCGTCTCTACTAAAAATACAAAAAAAAAATTAGCCGGGTGTAGTGGCGGGCGCCTGTAGTCCCAGCTACTTGGGAGGCTGAGGCAGGAGAATGGCGTGAACCCGGGAGGCGGAGCTTGCAGTGAGCCGAGATCCCGCCACTGTACTCCAGCCTGGGCGACAGAGCAAGACTCCGTCTCAAAAAAAAAAAAAAAAAAAAAAAAAAAAAAAAAAGAAAAGCTGGAAAGACTGAAAGATATTGTTGGGTCCCTGGATTCAGCCATGTCCTATGCTACAAGTACCTTCAGACTTGCCAGTTACGTGACTAATAAACTCCCTTTTTGCTTAAGCTAGTTTGACTAGAATTTATATGATTTGCAATGGAGAAAATGTCTAATACAGTATTTTCTGAGCACATAATGTGGGCTATGCTAGGTGTAGTGGGTTGAAGGTTGGCTCCCAAAAAGACATAGCGCATCCCAGACACTATATTTGAAAAAGGGGTCTTTTCCAGTTAAGTTCAAAATCTCAACATGAGATCATATGACTATCTGGATGGGCCCTAAATCCAATGATGAGTGTTGTTATGAGACACGCAGATTAAAACAGAAGAGGAGAAGACACAGACACATAGAAGAGGAGATCGTGTGAAGATGGAGGCAGAAGTTGGAATGATAGAGTCACAAGGAATGCCAACTGCCACCAGAAACTGGAAGAGACAAAGAAGGATACTCCCCTAGAGCCTCCAGGGGGAGGGCAATTCTGCTGACACCTTGGTTTCAGACTTCTGGCCTCCAGAACTGTGAGATAATACATTACTGTTGTTTTAAGCAGCCCAATTTGTGAAAATTTCTTATGGCAGCCCTGGGGAACTTGTATATTACGCTAGTGATTTAAATTTGAAGAGAAGGAATTATTGCTCTGCAGATACTGGCATAAAATATTATTTATTATTTATTTAAAAAATAATTGTTATACAATAATTGCTTTAATGGAAGGGCATGTAAAGTGATGTAGGAGTGAAGAAGAATGGCTTATACAATGAAGTCCCATAATAGAAACAGAACTACGTAACAGTTAAAAGAACTGCCTGGGTTCAAATCCTAGCCCACTACTTACTCCACCGTAAATAGCTGTGCATGCTTGGGTAAATTGACTAGCCCCTCTGGGCCTCAGTTTCCAAAACTGTAATACAGGGTTGGCAATAAGGATTTTTTTAATTGGATTTTTGTAAGTTAAATAGGACAATATATGTAAAGTGCTTAGAATAGAGCCTAGTACATGGCAGGTAAGCAGTAAATGCTATTCAGGAGGAACTGCCCTGTAATGAGGTACTCTATATCAGAGCTTCCCCACCAGCATGCTGCAAATGGATTATGGATATAAAAATACAATATTCAAAATATGTGGGACACAGCTAAAGCAGTGCTAATAGGTAAATTTATAGCAAGTGGGTTTTAAATTGGGAATGCAAGCCTGTTTCAATATTCAAAAGTCACTCAATGCAATCCACCACATTGATAGTCAAAAGAAAAGAAATCATATGATTTTATCAATTGATGCATAAAAGGCATTTGACGTAAACGATGAGTTGATGAGTGCAGCAAACCAACATGGCACATATATACCTATGTAACAAACCTGCACGTTGTGCACATGTACCCTAGAACTTAAAGTGTAATAATAAAAAAATAAAAATAAAATAAAATAAAAAAGGCATTTGACACAATTTAAAATTCTCTCATGATAAAAACCTTTCCACAAACTAGAAACATTAGGTTGGTGCAAATGTAATTGTGGTTTTTGCCTTTAAAAGTAATGGCAATTGCATTTGCACCAACCTAATAGAAGAAAACTTCCTCAATCTGATAAAGGGCATCTACAGAAAACCTATAGATGATATACTTTTTAAAAACTTTTATTCGGCCAGGCACGATATGGCTCATGTCTATAATGCACTTTGGGAGGCCGACAGGGGCGGATCACTTGAGGTCAGGAGTTCAAGACCAGCCTGGCCAACATGGTGAAACACCGTCTGTACTAAAAATACAAAAATTAGCCAGGCATGATGGTACATGCCTATAATCCCAGCTATGTGGGAGGCTGAGGCAGGAGAATCACTTGAACCTGGGAGGCAGAGGTTGCAGTGAGCTGAGATTGTGCCACTGCAGTCTAGCTTGGGTGACAGAGCAAGACTCCATCTCAAAAAACAAACAAACAAATGAAAACAAAACAAGACAAAACAAAACAAAAATACCTTTTAAGTTCAGGGGTAAAAATTCAGGTTTGTAACACAGGTAAATATGTGTCATGGGAGTTTGTCCTACAGATTATTTTGTACATTATTTTACCCAGGTATTGAGCCTAGTACCCATTAGTTGTTTTTCTTGATCCTCTTCCTCCTCCCACCCTCCAGCCTCTGACAGGCTCCAGTGTGTGTAGTTACCCTCTAATGTGTCCATGTGTTCTCATCATTTACCTTCCACTTACAAGGGAGAACATGCGGTATTTGGTTTTCTGTTCCTGTGTTAGTATGCTAAGGATAATGGGCTCCAGCTCCATCCATGTCCCTGCAAAGGACAATATCTTGTTATTTTTTATGGCTGCACAGTATTCCATGGTGTATATGTACCACATTTTCTTTATCCAGTCTATCATTGATGGGGATTTAGGATGATTGCATGTATTGTGAATAGTGCTCCAATGAACATACATGTGCATGTGTCTTTATAATAGAATGACTTTTATTCCTTTGGGCATGTACCCAATAATGGGATTGCTAGGATGAATAGTATTTCTGTCTTTAGGTCTTTGAGGAATTGCCACACTGTCTTCCACAATGACTGAACTAATTTACACTCCCACCAACAGTGTTTAAGCATTCCTTTTTCTCCACAACCTTGCCAGCATCTGTTATCTTTTGACTTTTTTTTCTTTTTTAAAAATTTTATTATTATTATACTTTAAGTTTTAGGGTACATGTGCACAATGTGCAGGTTTCTTACATATGTGTACATGTGCCATGTTGGTGTGCTGCACCCATTAACTCGTCATGACTTTTTAATAATAGCCGTTCTGACTGGTGTGAGATGCTATCTCATTGTGGTTTTGACTTGCATTTCTCTAATGATCAGTGATGTTGAGCTTTTTAAAATATGCTTATGGGCTGCATGTATGTTCTTTTTTGAAAACTGTCTGTGTCATTTGCCCACGTTTTTATGGTTTTTTTTCTTGTAAATTTTTTTAAGTTCCTCATAGATGCTAGATATTAGACATTTGTCAGATCTATAGTATGCACAAATTTTCTTCCATTGTGTAGATTGTCTGTTTATTCTGTTGATAGTTTCTTTTGCTCTGCAGAAGTTCTTTAATTAGACCCACGTTGTCAATTTTTGCTTTTGCTGCAATTGCTTTTGGCATCTTTGTCATGAAATCTTTGCCTGTGCCTATGTCCTGAATGGTATTGCCTAGGTAGTCTTCCAAGGTTTTTATACTTTTGGGTTTTACGTTTAAGTCTTTAATCCATCTTGAGTTAATTTTTGTATATGATGTAAGGAAGGGGTTTAGTTTCAATCTTCTGCACATGGCTAGCCATTTATCCTGGCACCATTTATTGAATAGGGAATCCTTTCCCCATTGCTTTTTTGTCAGGTTTGGAGAAGATCAGATAGTTGTAGGTGTGCAGCCATATTTCTGGGTTCTCTATTCTGTTCCATTAGTGTATGTGTCTGTTTTTGTACCAATACCATGCTGTTGTGGTTATTGTAGCCCTATAGTATAGTTTAAAGTTGTTAGCTTTGTTCTTTTTGCTTAGGATTGCCTTGGCTATTCAAGCTTTTTGATTCCATATGAATTTTAAAGTACTTTTCTCTAGTTCTGTGAAGATTGTCAGTGGTAGTTTAATAGGAATAGTATTGAATACATAAATTGTTTTGGTCAATATGCCCATTTAAACCATGTTGATTCTTCCTATCCATGAGCATGGAAAGTTTCTCCAGTTGTTTGTACCATCTCTGATTTCTTTAGCAGTGATTCGTAGTTCTTGTAGAGCTCTTTCACCTTCCTGGTTAGCTGTATTCCTAGGTATTTCATTCTGTTTGGTGGCAATTGTGAATGGGAATTCATTCCTGATTTGGCTATTGGAATGACTGTTATTGGTGTATAGGAATGCCAGCGATTTCTGTGCATTGATTTTGTATCCTGAGACTTTGCTGAAGTTGTTAATTAGCTTGAGAAGCTTTTGGGCTGAGACGATGGGGTTTTCTAGATATAGGATCATGTCATCTGCAAACAGGGATAGTTTGATTTCCTTTCTTCCCATTTGGATGCCCTTTATTTCTTCCTCTTGACTGATTGCCTTGGCCAGAACTTCCAATACTATGTTGAATAGGAATGGTGAGAAAGGACATCTTGTGCTGGTTTTCAAGGGGAATGTGTCCAGCTTTTTTCGCCCATTCAGTATGATGTTGGCTGTGGGTTTGTCATATATGGCTCCTGCTATTTTGAGGTATGTCCCTTCAATACTTAGTTTATTGAGAGTTCATAACATGAATGGATATTGAATTCTATCAAAATCCTTTTCTGCATCTATTGAGATAATCATGTGGTTTTTGTGTTTAGTTCTGTTTATGTGATGTATCAAATTTATTGATTTGTGTATGTTGAACCAACCTTGCATCCTGGGAATGAAGCTGACTTGATCATGGTGGATAACTTTTTTGATGTGCTGCTGGATTTGGTTTGGCAGTATTTTGTTGAGGATTTTTGCATTGATGTTCATCAAGGATATTGGCCTGAAGTTTTGTTTTGTTTTGTTTTATCTCTGCCAGATTTTGGTATCAGGATGATGCTGGCCTCATAGAATGAGTTAGAGAGGAGTACCTCCTCCTCAATATTTTGGAATACTTTAAGTAAGAATGTTACCAGCTCTTCTTTGTACATCTGATAGAATTCAGCTGTGAATACATCTGGTCCTGGGCTTTTTTTTTTTTTTTTTTTTGGTTGGTAAGCTATTTATTACTGCCTCAATTTCAAAACTCTTTACTGGTCTGTTCAGGGATTCAATTTCTTCCTGGTTCAGTCTTAGGAGGGTATATGTGTCCAGGAATTTGTCCGTTTCTTCTAGATTTTCTAGTTTACATGCATAGAGGTGTTTGTAATATTTTCTGATGGTTGTTTGTATTTCTGTGGGGTTAGTGGTAATATCCCTCTTGTTGTTTTATTGTGTTTATTTGAATCTTCTCTCTTCTTTATTAGTGTAGTTAGTGGTCAATTTATTTTATTAATTTTTTCGAAAATCCATCTCCTGAATTTGTGGATCTTTTGAATGGTTTTTTATGTCTCTATCTCCTTCAGTTCAGCTCTGATTTGGGGTATTTTTTGTCTTCTGCTAGCTTTGGGATTTGTTTGTTCTTGGTTCTCTCATTCTTTCAGTTTTGATGTTTGGTTGTTAACTTGAGATCTAACTTTTTGATCTAGGCATTTAGTGCTATAACTTTCCATCTTAACACTGCCTTAGCTATGTCCTAGAGATTCTGGTACGTTGTCTCTGTGTTCTCATTAGTTTCAAAGAACTTCTTGATTTCTTCCTTAATTTCATTATTTACCCAAAAGTCATTCAGAAGCAGGTTATTCACTTTTCATCTAATTGTGTGGTTTTGAATGAATTTCTTACTCTTGATTTTGTATTTGATTGTGCTGTGGTCTGAGAGACTGTGTGTTATGATTTCAGTTCTTTTGCATTTGCCGAGAAGTGTTTTGCTTCTGATTATGTGATCGATTTTAGAGCAAGTGCTATTTGGTGATGAGAAGAATGTATTTTCTGTTGTTTTAGGGTGGAGAGTTCTGTAGATATCTATCACGTCCATTTTATCCAGTGCTGAGTTCAAGTCCTGAATATATTTCTTAATTTTCTGTCTCGGTGATCCATGCAATATTGTTAGTGGGGTGTTACAGTTTTCCACTATTGTTGTCTGGGAGTCTAAGTCTCTTTGCAGGTCTCTAGGACTTCCTTTATAAATCTGGGTGCTGCTGTGTTGGGTGCATATATATTTAGGTTAGGTAAATCTTCTTGTTGAATTGAACCCTTTATCATTATGTAATGCCCTTCTCTGTCTGTTTTTATCTTTGTTGGTTTAAAGTCAGTTTTTTCAAAATAAGGATTGCAACCCCTGCTTTTTCTGTTTTCAATGTGTTTTGTAGATTTTCCTCCATCCCTTCATTTTGAGCCTATGTGTGTCATTGCATGCGAGATGGGTCTCTTAAAGACAGCATACCAATGGGTCTTGGTTCTTTTTTTAGCTTGCCACTCTGTGTCTTTTAATTTGGGCGTTTAGCCCATTTAAATTTAAGGTTAGTATATATATGTGTGGATTTTATCCTGTCATCATGATGTTAGCTGGTTATTTTGCAGACTTGTTTATGTGGTTGCTTTATAGTGTAAAAATATGGAATGTTTCACAAATTTGTGTGTCATCCTTGCACAGTAGCCATGCTAATCTTCTCCGTTTGTTCTAAATTTAGTATACATGCTGTTGAAGCAAGCACTAGATAATATACTTCATGGTGAAAGACTGAATGCTTCCTGTAAGATTGGGAACAACACAAGGATGTCCACTCTCAGTACTATTCAGCATCATAGTGGAAATCTTAGACAGTTCAATAAGACAAGAAATCAAAAGAGATAAAGATTAAAGAGGAAAAAATAAAACTGTTCCTATTTGCAGATGACATTGTGGTTTACATAAAAAACCTGAAAGAATAAAAAACAAAACAAAACAATTCAGAACTCCTTAAAAAATGAGTGATTTTAGGAGAGGTTAAGAATACATTGATGAAATAGAAAGTCAATCATGTTTCCACATATTAGCAATGAACATTTGTAAGATGAAATTTAAAAACTACCATTTCTATATACTCTAAAAAAATGAAATACAGTCCCCAAGTTACCGTGATTCAACTTACAATTTTCTGACTATATTATAGGTTTGTTAGGATGTGACTCCATCATAAGTTGAGGAGCTCCTTAAAACTTATAATGGGATTATGGTTTATATTGAATGTGTATCACTTTTGCACCATCATAAAGTCAAAAGTTTGTAAGTTTAAACATCATAAATCAGGGACAACTGTGTTCCTAACATTAAAGGTATTTTCAATTTATGATATTTTTTACTTATGTTGGGTTCATCAGGATGCAACTCCATCATAAGTCAAGAAGCATCTGTACTTATGTGTAAATCACACAAAACCTGTACACAAATGTTTAGAACAGCTCTATTTGTAATCACCAAAAACTGCAAACAACCCAAATGCCCTTTAAAAGGGATAAAAAGCAGTGTTACAGCCATACAATGGAATATTATTCAGCAATAAAAAGGAATGCACTATTGATAAAATAAACAACTTTATGACTCTAAAAGGCTGAGTAAAAGAATCCAGTCTTAAAAGGTAACATTCTGTATGATTCCACTTTATATGACATCCTCTAAAAGACAAAATGATAGAGATAGAGAATAGATCAGTGGGTGCCAGGGGTTAGAGGTAGGGGCAAGGAGTGGCTACAAAGAAATTTCATGAGTGAGTCTTTTGGATAATGTAAATGTTCTTTATCCAGATATTGGTGGTGGTCACATGAATTAAAACATGTGTTAAAAGTCATAGAAATACATGTCCCTCCCAAAAAATATCCATTTTACTGTATGTTAATCTAAAAAATAAAATTTAAAAGAGAAAAGATTAAACAAGAGGATTCTGGGAAGATGACAGAGTAGAAAGCACCATGAATATGTTTCCCCAAGAAGACAACAATTGCACTAGCAAAATCTGTGTGATGTAACTATTTTGGAACTGTAGAGTTTATTGAAGGCTTTTAACTTCCAGTGGAAGGCATGGGTGGTAAACTGTGGTTAATTTCAGCTCTTAGCACAGTAGTAGCTACCCACTCTCAGCCCTATGGCAGTCATCTGTGCATTTTCCTTGGAACAACCTGTACATAGCTTGCAGTGCCCAGGATACACATAAGAACCCTGCCCTCCAAATACTGAGGATCTGTGCTCAGATTGCTGATTGCTATTTCTAATCATAGAAACACAAAAAGGTGGGACGCCACTGTTGTTGCACCTTCCCACATTTTGCAAGAGCCTCCCCCTCTGGCTAAAATGACTTCCAGGAGATTTAAAGTGCTGGCACTCTTTTTTTCTCCCTTCATTTTTCTCTTTTTCCCCTTTTTAGAGCCAGCCACTAAAGAAAAAGATACTCAGACCAGGTGCAGTAGCTCACACATGCAATCTCAGCATTTTGTGAGGCCATGGCAGGAGAATCACTTGATTCCAGAACCTCAAGACCAGCCTGGGCAACATAGTGAGACCCCCATCTCTACGGAAAAAAAAAAAAGAAAGATTCAAAAGCAACTATGTATATGAGAGAGATTAGAAAGTGACTGTGCATGCCCAGGGAAAGGTGCAGGCTCACAAAAGGCCTGGGAAGATCTTAAGTTTACACCTCAGGCTGATCCTCGGCACAAAGACAGAATACAACAATTAAGAAAGAAAAAAAATAACAAATCCTCAGGAAGGGGGGAATTTGATTTCCAGAGTTACCACATTACTAGATTCAAATGCCTGGATTTCAACAACAAAACTGACAAAGTATACAAAAAGAGAGTAAAGCATGACCTACTCAAAGGGGAAAAAAGTAAGCCAATGAAAACTGTCCCTGAAAAAGAGCAAATGGCAGACTACTAGACAACTACTTTAAAACAACTATCTTAAAGATGCTCAAAGAACTAAAGGAAGATATGGAGAAAGTCAAGAAAACAATGTGTGAACAAAATGGGAATGTCAATCAAGAGATAGAAAGCTGAAAAAGAAACAAAAAGAAATTATGGAGTGGAAAAATATAATCACTGAAATTAAAAATTCACTAGAGGGCTTCAAAGGCAAATTTCAGAAGGCAGGAGAAATAACCAGTTAACTTGAAGGTAGGGCAATGGAAATTATTCAGTCTTAAGGAACAGACAGAAAGGAGATTGAATAAGAGTGCATAGAACCTAAGGGACCTGTAAGACACCATCAAATGGAACAACATATACATTGTGGGATTTCCAGGAGAAGAGAGACAGAAAAAGGCAGAGAGAATATTTGAAAAATTAATGGAAGCAAAACTCCCCAAATTTGCTAAAGGGCATGAATATAAACATCCAAGAAGCTCAACAAACTCCAAGTAAGATGACCTCAAAGACACCCTCACTGAGACACGTTATAATCAAACTTTTGAAAGACAAAGACAAAAGGGGAATCTTGAAAGCAACAAGAGAGAAGTGATTCATCAGATACAAGGAATCCTCAGTAATACTGTGAGCAGATTTTTCATCAGAAACTTGGAGGCCAGAAGGAAGTGGGCTAATAGAGTCAAGGTGCTAAATGAAAAAACAAAAAAGTCAACCAAGAATCCTATATTCAGCAAAACTATCCTTCAAAAGTGAGGCTGAAAGTAAGACAGCCCCAAATAAGCAGAAACTGAGGGAGTTTGTTACCACTAGACCTGCCCTGCAAGAAATGCTCAAGATAGTTTTGCAGGGTAAAATGAAAGAACACTAGCAGCAAGTTAACTCTCTATGAAGAAATAAAGATCTCAATAAAAGTACATACACGGGCAATTATAAAAGATAACATTATTCTAACAATTTGTAATTACACATTTTCCCTCATGATTTCAGAGATTAATACCTTTTAAAAAATAGTCTAAAAGCTAGTGTTACTATAATTTAGCTTTATAAGTCCACAATTTGTTTTCTTCATAACCTAAGACACTAAGCATTTAAAATAATTATTGGTTTATGTTTTGGGCACAAAATGTACAAAGATGTAATTTGTAACACCAATAACCAAAAGGGGCAAGGATAGAGCTATTAAAGGAGTAGAGTTTTTGTGTGTTATTAAAGATAAGCTCACATAAATTCACTTCAGAGTGTTATAACTTTAGGATGCTGAATGTAATCTCCATGGTATCCACAAAGAAAAGGTTTATAGAATATATACAAAAGGAATTTAAACATTTCAGTACAAAAAAGCAAATAAACACAAAAGAAGACAGTAATGCAGGAAATGAAGAGCAAGAAATTTTTGGTTTCTATAAGGCTTATAGACAAAAATAGCAAAATGAAAGAAGTAAGTCCCTCCTTATCAGTAATTACTTTAAATGTAAATGGATTAAACCCTCCAATAAAAAGACAGATTAGCAGAATGAATTTTCAAAGTCCAGCTATGTCCTTTCCACAAAAGACTCACATTATATCCAAAAATACAAATATAGTGAAAGTGAAAGGATTAAAAAATATTTTATGCAAACAATGAAAAGAGAGCAGGGGTAACTAATACTAATATCAGACAAAATCAACTTTAAATCAAAAAAGGTTATAAGAGACAGTACTACAATAGTAGTTTGATACTTTAATATTACATTCTTAATAATGTGTAGAAAAACAGACAAAAGGTAAACAAGAAAACAGAGGACTTAATGCAACAAACCAAGTAGCTCTAACAGACATACAGAACACTCTACCCAACAACAACAGCATACACATCCTTCTCAATTGCACATGGAATATTTTCCAGGATAGGCCATATGTTAGGACACAGATTAAGTTTCAAATGATTTAAACAGATAGATATCACAAAATGTAGCTTCTTGGACCACAATAAGGTAAAGTTAGGAATCAATAGCAAAAATAAAACTGAAATAGTCACAACTTTCTGGAAATTAACAATTTTAAACAACCAATGGATCAAAGAAGAAATTACAAGGGAAATGAGAAAATGCTGAAAGATGAATGAAAATAAATACACAATACATCAAAACTTATGGAACTCAGTAAAAGCAATGATCAGGAAAATATGTACAGAAAAAAAAGCTTACATTTAAAAACAAAACAGATCTCAAGTCAACAACCTAATTTCACAACTTACAGAAATACAAAATAGTAACAAAATAAAACTAAAAGTAGCAGAAAGAAGGAAATACTAAAGACTAGAGCAGAGATAAATGAAATAGATAATCGAAAACCAACAGAGAAAGTCAATAAAATCTTTAGCTGATGGACAAAGAAGAAAAGAGAGAAGACTCAAATTATTAAAATCAAAAATGAAAGTTACTACCAATTCCTTAAAAATAAAAAGTATTGTGAAAGAGTACTATCTTAAAAATTGGATAAGCTAGATGAAATGGGAAAACTCCTAGAAACACAAAATCTACCAAGACTAAATTATGAAGAAATATAAAATCCAAATAGACCTATAACTAGTAAAGAGATTGAATCAGTAATCAAAAATCTCCTGACAAAGAAAACTCCTGGAGCTAATGGCTTCACTGGTGAATTTTACCAAACAATTAAAAACTAACAATTATTCTCAACCTATTCCAAAAATTGAAGAGGAGGCAATACTCTCTAACTCATTCTATGAGGCCAAAATTACCCTGATATCAAAGCCAAGTATCAAAATTACCCTGATATCAAAACACTACAAGAAAAATACAGATCATATCTCTTATGAGCAGTGACGCAAAAATCCTCAACAAAATACTATCCAACCAAATGCAACAGCATATTAAAAGGTTCATACATTATGATTAAACGTGATTTATTCCTGAAATGCAAAGATGGTTGAACATATGAAAATTAATGAATATAATACACCACATTAACCCTTTTCCCATTTGCCCTGAGAATACTCACTGGCAGCGCTTGCAGCTGTAGCATGTATCCCAAGACAACTTTGCCACAAAATGTCTCACTTTTATTATAATTTTTATATCACTCTAATATATCAGCTTTGGAAACAAAAGATGTCATACTATTTATAGCATTCTGTTTTTAGTAATGGTATTTCCATTTACAAAATATAATAATTCTCAATCACTGAAAATGTCAAATTCTATAAAACATAGCATTCCTATGTATGATTGTTCTCGAATGTTTGTTGCCTGAAGATTCATTTGATAAATCCGATTTTTCCCAAATAATAGATGATTCTGATGATTCAGACTATTCAGATGTTATTTCTGTTTAGAGATAACTCCAGGAACAGCTTTTATATTTTGTTTTCACATTAAAAATCAGTCATATTTGCTTCAGCCTCAAAGAGAGTGTTTATGTATAATTAAATAAGTGTTGGCAGCTCACTGCACTTTTTTTTCTGAATGGGAAAAGGGTTAACAGAATGAAAGGGAAAAACCACGATTGTCTCAATTGATACAGAAATAGCATTTGATGGAATTCAACACCTTTTCATGATAAAAGGACTAAAAAAACTAGAAATAGAAATAAAACCACCTCAAAGAAATAAAAGCCATGTATGAAAAACCCACAGCATACATTATACTCAATGGTAAAAGACTGAAAGCTTTTTCTTTAAAATTGGAAGTGAGGCAAAAATGTCCACTTTTGCCTTTTCTGCTCAGCATAGTATCAGAAGTTATAGCTAAAGCAATTAGGCAAGAAAAATAAGTAAAAGACATCCAAATTGAAAAGGAAGAGGAAAAATTATCTCTGTTCACAGATGATGTAATATTATATTTTTAAAAACCTTAAAAATTCCACAAAAAACTGTTAGAACTGTTAAGTTAATTCAGAAAAGTAACAGGATAAAAGGTCAACACACAAAACCAATAGCATTTCTACATACATACTAACAATGAATGATTTGAAAGGGAAATTAGGAAAAAATGTCATCTACAATAGCACTAAAAATAATAAAATATCTAGAAATTAACCAAAGAAGTGAAAGACTTGTACAATGAAAAGTAAAAGCATTGCTAAAATAAATCAAAGAAGACATAAATGGAAGAACATCCGTGATTATGAATTGGAAGACAGTATTGTTAAAATGCTCATACTATTCAAAGTGTTCTACAGATTCAGTGCAATATCTATCAAATCCCTATGACTTTTTTTGCAGAAATAAAAAAAATTTAAATTCAAAAGGCATCTTTAGAAACCTCAAAACAATCTTTAAAAAGAAGAACAAAGCTTGGGGACTGGCACTTCCTGATTTCAAAACTTACTACAAAGCTATAGTAATCAAAGCAGTGTGGTACTGGTATAAGATAGATATATAGACCAATGAAACAGAATAGGTATCCCAGAAATAAATCTTTGCTTTCTTTATGAGATGGTATGGTCAAATGAGTTTTGACAAGGATGCTTAGACCATTTAGTGAGGTAAAGACAGTCTTTTCAACAAAGCATGCTGGGAAACCTGGATATTCATATTCAAAAAATGATGTTGAACTCTTACCTAAGAATGTATACAAAAATAAACTCAAAATGGATCCAATACCTAAACAAGATCTAAAACTGTAAAACTGTTAGAAGAAAACGTATGGCAAAAGCTTTACAACACTAGATCTGGCAATGATTTCTTGGATATGACACCAAGGGCACAGACAATGAAAGAAACAAAGGAAAATTTTTAAAATGCATATGTCAAAATATAAGATCAATAGGGTAAAAACATTCAGATGAGAATACTTTCAAATCATATAGCTGATATGGATGAAAATACTTTCAAATTTTATAGCTGATAAGGAATTGATAACAGAGTGTATAGAAAACTTCTAAAACTCAACAATGACATTAATTCAAAAATGGGCAAATGACTTGAATAGCCATTTCTCCAAAGAAGACATACAAATGTCCAATAAGCAAATAAAGATGTTGAGCGTCACTAATCATTTGGAAAATGCAAATCAAAACTACAATGATGGGGGGCGGCAGGCAAGATGGCCAAATAGGAACAACTCCAGTCTGCAGCTCCCAGCAAGATCAATGCAGAAGGCGGGAGATTTCTGGATTTCCAACTGAGGTACCTGGCTCATCAAATTGGGACTGATTAGACAGTGGGTGCAGCCCACAGAGGGAGCCAAAGCAGGGTGGGGCATCACCTCACCTGGGAAGCATAAGGGGTCAAGGAACTCCCTCCCCTAGCCAAAAGAAGCCATGAGGGACTGTGCCATGAGGAATGGTGCACTCTGGACAAGATACTATGCTTTTCCCATAGTCTTCGTAACCCATAGACCAGGAGATTCCCTCAGGTGACTACGCCACCAGGGCCCTGGGTTTCAAGCACAAAAATGGGCAGCCATTTGGGCAGGCACAAAGTTAGCTGCAAGAGTTTTTTTTCATACCCCAGTGGCACCTGGAATGCCAGTGAGACAGAACCATTCACTCCCCTGAAAAGGGGGCTGAAGCCAGGCAGCCAAGTGGTCTAGCTCAGTGGATCCCACTTCCATGGAACCCAGCAAGCTATGATCCATTGGCTTGAAATTCTCACTGCCAGGACAGCAGTCTGAAATCGACCTGGGACACTTGAGCTTGGTGGGGGGAGGGGCATCCACCATTACTGAAGCTTGACTAGGTGGTTTTCCCCTCACAGTGTAAACAAAGCCGCAGGGAAGTTCGAACTGGATAGAGCCTACCACAGCTTGACAAAGCTGGTGTAGCAACACTGCCTCTCTAGATTCCTCCTCTCTGGACAGGGCATCTCTTAAAGAAAGGCAGCAGCCGCAGTCAAGGGCTTCTAGATAAAACTCTCATCTCTCTGGGACAGAGCACCTGAGGGAAGGGGTGGCTGTGGGAGCAGCTTTAGCAGACTTAAATGTTCTTGCCTGCTGGCTCTGAAGAAAGCAGCAGGTCTCCCAGCACACTGCTCGAGCTCTGCTAAGGGACAGACTGCCTCCTCAAGTTGATCCCTGACCCCCATGCCTCCTGACTGGGAGACACCACCCAGCAGGGGTTGACAGACACCTCATATAGGAGAGCTCTGGCTAGCATCTTGTGGGTGCCCCTCTGGGATGAAGCTTCCAGAGAAAGGAACAGGCAGCAATCTTTGCTGTTCTGCAGCCTCCGCTGGTGATACCCAGGCAAAGAGGGTCTGGAGTGGCCCTCCTGCAAACTCCAGCAGACCTGCAGCAGAGGGGCCTGACTGTTAAAAGGAAAACTAACAAACAGAAAGGAATAGCATCAACATCAACGAAAAGGATGTCCACACAGAAACCCCATTCGAAGGTCAACAGCATCAAAGACCAAAGGTAGATAAATCCACCAAGATGAGGAAAAAACAGCACAAAAAGGCTGAAAATTCCCAAAACCAGAATGCCTCTTCTCCTCCAAAGGATCACAACTCCTCACCAGCAAGGGAACAAAACTGGGCGGAGAATGAGTTTGACAAATTGACAGAAGTAGGCTTCAGAAGGTGGGTAATAACAAACTCCTCCAAGCTAAAGGAGCGTGTTCTAATCCAATGCAAGGAAGCTAAGAACCTTGAAAAAAGGTTAGAGGAATTGCTAACTAGAATAACCAGTTTGGAGAAGAATATAAATGACTTGATGGAGCTGAAAAACACAGCACGAGAACTTCGTGAAGCATGCACAGGTATCAATAGCCAAATTGGTCAAGCGGAAGAAAGGATATCAGAGATTGAAGATCAACTTAATGAAATAAAGCATGAAGACAAGATTAGATAAAAAAGAATGAAAAGGAACAAACAAAGCCTCCAAGAAATATGGTACTATGTGAGAAGACCAAACCTACATTTGATTGGTGTACCTTAAACTGATGGGGAGAATGGAACCAAGTTGGAAAACACTCTTCAGGATATTATGCAGGAGAACTTCCCCAACCTTGCAAGACAGACCAACATTCAAATTCAGGAAATACAGAGAACACTGCAAAGATAATCCACGAGAAGCACAACCCCAAGGCACATAATTGTCAGATTCATCAAGGTTCAAATGAAGGAAAAAATGTTAAGGACAGCCAGAGAGAAAGGCCGGGTTATCCACAAAGGGAAGCCCATCAGACTAACAGTGGATCTCTCTGAAGAAACCCTACAAGCCAGAAGAGAGTGGAGGCCAATATTCTCTCTCTCTCTTTTTTTTTTTTTTTTTTTTTTTTTTTGTGAGACGGAGTCTCACTCTGTCGCCCAGGCTGCAGGGCACTGGTGTGATCTCGGCTCACTGCAATCTCCACCTCCCGGGTTCATGCCCTTCTCCTGCTTCAGCCTCCTGCGTAGCTGGGACTACAGGCACCCGCCACCATGCCTGGCTAATTTTTTTGTATTTTTAGTAAAGATGAGTTTCACCGTGTTAGCCAGGATGGTCTCAATCTCCCGACCTTGTGATCCACCCGCCTTGGCCTCCCAAAGTGCTGGGATTACAGGCGTGAGCCACTGCACCCAGCTCAACATTTTTAAAGAAAAGAATTTTCAACCAAGAATTTCATATCCAGCCAAACTAAGCCTCATAAGTGAAAGAGAAATAAAATCCTTTACAGACAAGCAAATGCTGAGATATTGTCACAACCAGGCCTGCCTTACAAGAGCTCCTGAATGAAGCACTAAACATGGAAAGGAAAAACTAGTACCAGTCACTGCAAAAACATACCAAATTGTAAAGACCATCGACACTATGAAGAAACTGAATCCACTAATGGTGCAAATAACCAGCTAGCTTCATAATGACAGGATCAAATTCACACATAACAATATTGACCTTAAATGTAAACTGGCTAAATGCCTCAATTAAAAGACACAGACTGGCAAATTGGATAAAGAGTCAAGACCCATGTCATGTGCAAAGACACACGTAGGCTCAAAATAAAGGAATGGAGGAATGAATATTTACCAAGCAAATGGAAAGCAAACAAACAAACAAACAAACAAAAAAGCAAGGGGTGCAATCCTAGTCTCTGATAAAACAGACTTTAAACCAACAATGATCAAAAAAGACAAAGAAGGGCATTACATAACGGTAAAGGGATCAATGCAACAAGAAGAGCTAACTATCCTAAGTATATAAATATATATGCACCCAATACAGGAGCACCCAGATTCATAAAGCAAGTTCTTAGAGACCTATAATAAGATTTAGGCTCCCACACAAGTGTGAGACTTTAACACCCAACCGTCAATAATAGACAGATCAAGGAGACAGAAAATTAACAAGGATATTCAGAACTTGAACTCAGCTCTGTACCAAGCAGACCTAATAGACATCTACAGAACTCTCCACCCCAAATCAACAGAATATACATTCTTCTCAGCACCAAATAACATTTATTCTAAAATTGATCACATACTTGGAAGTAAAACACTCCTCAGCACCAAATAGCATTTATTCTAAAATTGATCACATACTTGGAAGTAAAACACTCCTCAGCAAATGCAAAAGAACGGAAATCATAACAAACAATCTCTCAGACAACAGTGCAATCAAATTAGAACCGCACAACTACATGGAAGCTGAGCAACTTGCTCCTGAATGACTACTGGATAAATAATGAAATTAAGGCAGAAGTAAATAAGTTCTTTGAAACCAATGAAAACAAAGACACAATATACTAGAATCTCTGGGACACACCTAAAACAGTGTTTAGAGGGAAATTTATAGCACTAAATGCCCACAGGAGAAGACAGGAAAGATCTAAAATCGACACTCTAACATCACAATTAAAAGAACTAGAGAAGCAAGAGCAAACAAATTCAAAAGCTAGCAGAAGACAAGAAATAACTAAGATCAGAGCACAACTGAAGGAGATAAAGATATGAAAAACCCTTCAAAAAATCAATGAATACAGGAGCTGGTTTTTTTTAAAAGGTTAACAAAATAGGCCACTAGCCAGACTAATAAAGAAGAAAAGAGGGAAGAGTCAAATAGACACAATAAAAAATGATAAAGGGGATATTACTACTGATTCCACAGAAATACAAACTACCATCAGAAAATACTATAAACACCTCTATGCAAATAAACTAGAAAATCTAGAAGAAATGGATAAATTCCTGGACACATACATGCTCCCAAGACTAAATTAGGAAGAAGTCGAATCCCTGAATAGACCAACAGCAATTTCTGCCAGACAGATTAACAGCCAAATTCTACCAGAGGTGCAAAGAGGAACTGGTACCATTCCTTCTGAAACTATTCTAAACAATAGAAAAAGAAGGACTTCTTCCTAACTTATTTTATGAGGCCAGCATCATCCTGATACCAAAACCTGGCAAAGACACAAAAACAACAACAAAAAATTCAGGCCAATATCCCTGATGAACATCGATGCGAAAATCCTCAATAAAATACTGGCAAAGCGAATCCAGCAGCACATCAAAAAGCTTATCCACCATGATCAAGTCAGCTTCATCCCTGGGATGCAAGGCTGGTTCAACATATACAAGTCAATAAATGTAATCCATCACATAAACAGAAGCAATGACAAAAACCACATTATTATCTCAATAGATGCAGAAAAGGCCTTCGACAAAATTCAACACCCCTTCAGGCTAAAAACTCTCAAAAAACTAGGTATTGGCCAGGCACGGTGGCTCACGCCTGTAATCCCAGCACTTTGGGAGGCCGAGGCGGGCGGATCACGAGGTCAGGAGATCGAGACCATCCCGGCTAAAACGGTGAAACCCCGTCTCTACTAAAAATACAAAAAAATTAGCCAGGCGTAGTGGCGGGCGCCTGTAGTCCCAGCTACTTGGGAGGCTGAGGCAGGAGAATGGCGTGAACCCGGGAGGCGGAGCTTGCAGTGAGCCGAGATCCCACCACTGCACTCCAGCCTGGGCGACAGAGCAAGACTCCGTCTCAAAAAAAAAAAAAAAAAAAAACTAGGTATTGATGGAACGTTTCTCAAAATAATAAGAGCTATTTATGACAAACCCACAGCCAATATCATACTGAATGGGCAAAAGCTGGAAGCATTCCCTTTGAAAACCAGCACAAGACAAGGATGCCCTCTCTCACCACTCCTATTCAACATAGTATTGGAAGTTCTCGCCAGGGTAATCAGGCAAGAGAAAGAAATAAAAGGTATTCAAACAGTAAGAAAAGAGGTCAAATTGTCTCTGCAGATGACATGACTGTACATTTAGAAAACACCATTGTCTCGGCCCAAAATCTCCTTAAGCTGATAAGCAAATTCAGCAAAGTCTCAGGATACAAAATCGATGTGTAAAAATCACAAGCATTGCTGTACACCAATAATAGACAAACAGAGAGCAAAATCATGAGTGAACTCCCATTCACAATTGCTACAAAGAGAATAAAATATCTAGGAATACAACTCACAAGGGATGTGAAGGACCTCTTCAAGGAGAGCTACAAACCACTGCTCAAGGAAATAAGAGAGGACCCAAACAAATGGAAAAACATTCCATGCTCATTGATAGGAAGAATCAATGTTGTGAAAATGGCCATACTGCCCAATGTAATTTATAGATTCAATGCTATCCCTATCAAACTACCATTGACTTTCTTCACACAATTAGAAAAAACTACTTTAAATTTCATATAGAACCAAAAAAGAGCCCATAGAGGCAAGACAATCCTAAGCAAAAAGAACAAAGCTGGAGGCATCAGGCCACCTGACTTCAAACTATGCTACAAGGCTACAGTAGCCAAAACAGCATGGTACTGGTACCAAGACAGATATGTAGACCAAAGGAACAGAAAAGAGGCCTCAGAAATAACGCCACACATCTGCAAACATCTGATCCTTGACAAAGCTGATAAAAACAAGAAATGGGGAAAGGAATCCCTATTTAATAAATGGTGTTGGGAAAACTGGCTAGCCATATGCAGAAAACTGAAACTGGACCCCTTTCTTACACCTTATACAAAAATTAATGCAAGATGGATTAAAGACTTAAACGTAAGACCTAAAACCATAAAAATACTAGAAGAAAACCTAGGCAATACCATTCAGGACATAGGCATGGGCAAAGACTTCATGAGTCAAACACCAAAAGCAATGGCAAGAAAAGCCAAAATTGACAAATGGGATCTAATTAAACTAAAGAGCTTCTGCACGGCAAAAGAAACTATCACCAGAGTGAACAGGCAACCTACAAAATGAGAGAAAATTTTTTCAATCTATCCATCTGACAAAGGGCTAATATCCAGAATCTACAAAGAACTTAAACAAATTTACAAGAAAAAATTGAACAACCCCATCAAAAAGTGGGCAAACGGTATGTACAGACACTTCTCAAAAGAAGACATTTATGCGGCCAACAAACATATGAAAAAAGCTCATCATCACTGGTCATTAGAGAAATGCAAATCAAAACCACAATGAGATACCATCTCACACCAGTTAGAATGGCAATCATTAAAAAATCAGGAAAAAACAAATGCTGCAGAGGATGTGGAGAAATAGAAACGCTTTTACACTGTTGGTGGGAGTGTAAATTTGTTCAACAATTGTGGAAAACAGTGTGACGATTCTGTGACCAGAAATACCATCTGACCCAGCGATCCAATTACTGGGTATATACCCAAAGAATTATAAATCATTCTACTATAAAGACACATGCACACGTATGTTTATTGCAGCACTGTTCACAATAGCAAAGACTTGGAACCAACCCAAATGCCCATCAATGATAGACTGGATAAAGAAAATGTGGCACATATACACCATGGAATACTATACAGCCATAAAAAAGGATGAGTTCATGTCCTTTGCAGGGACATAGATGAAGCTGGAAGCCATCATTTTCAGCAAACTAACACAGGAACTGAAAACCAAACACTGCATGTTCTCATTCATAAGTGGGAGTTGAACAATGGACACAGGGAGGGGAGCATCACACACTGGGGCCTGTCGGGGTGGGGTGCTAGGGAAGGGATAGCATTAAGAGAAATACCTGATGTAGGTGATGGGTTGATGGATGCAGCAAACCACCATGGCATGTGTAGACCTATGTAACAAACCTGCACGTTTTGCACATGTATTCAGAACTTAAAGTATAATAAAACAAGCAAAACGAAACAAAAAACTACAATGGTATACCACCTCAAATCCATTAGGATGGCTACTACAACAACAACAGAAAATAACAAGTGTTGTTGAGTATATGGAGAAACGGGATCCCTTATGCACTGTTAGTGGGAATATAAAACAGTATAGCCAGTGTATAAGAGTATGGTGGTTCCTCAAAAAATTAGAAATAGAATTACCATATGATCCAGCAATTTTATTTCTGGGTACATACTCAAAAGAATTGAAAGCAGGGTCTTGAAGATCTATTTGTACACTCATGCTGATAGCAGCATTATTCACAATAGCTAAAACATGGAAGCAACCCAAGTGTCTATTGATGGATGAACCGATAAGCAAAATGTGGTATATGCATACAGTGGAATATTATTCAGCCTTAAAAGGAATGGAAATTCTGCAACATGCTACAACATTGATGTATCTTGAGGACATTTTGCAAAATGAAATAAGCCAGTCACAAAAAGGCAAGTACAATATAATTTCACTTATATGAGGTACCTAGAGTAGTCAAAATCACTGAGACAGAAAGTAGAATCGTGGTTTCCAGGGGCTGGGAAGAATGGGAAATGAAGAGTTAGCATTTAACGGGCATAGAATTTCAGTCTTACGAGATGCAAAGAGTTCTGCGGATGGATGGTGGTGATGTCTGCATGACATCCTCAATGTATTTAAATACCAATGAACTGCACATTTGCAATGATTAAGATGATAAATTTCATGTGTTTTTTCCACAATAAAAAATTGGGGGGGTGAAGTGGAACAATATTCTAATTATAACCATGTTATTGGCACCACTTAGATAGCACTTGCTCTATACTAGACACTGTTCTAATTTCTCTCTATATATTAACTCAAATGTGGAAAATAAGACCCAGTGATTTCCCTAATTCAGTATTCCTCATATTTCATTTGGAGATCTGGCTAAAATGCAGATTTGAATGCAGTAGGTTTGGGCTGAGTCCTGAAATTCTCCATGGGACACTGATGCTGCTGGTCCATGTACCACACTTTGAGTAGGCAGGGCCTAATGTTCCACATCTACTAAATCAAGACCAAGATTCACACTCTGATTATCAGAGATAGAGCCCAGTGTTCTTTCTATTCCATTATTGCTATCTCTAGAGATTTTTTCCCTCCTGCTGCAGTTTGATAGAAGGCAACTCGGCAGTTAATTACAGGCTGCCAGTTCCAGAGTGCAGTGCTGTGCAGCAGAAAACAGAAAGCACCATTTTTCACAGTCAGCTCTCTATTGCACTTAGCAGCCTTGGCTATGAGTAGTTGTCTAACCCTCAGTAGATTTGGCCATGGGTGCATCATGCTTCAGAATTGAACTTTTAAAAAATAATGTGTTGGGACTGATAAGCCAGTTGTAGGTAATCAATGCAGCTCCTCAGAGGAGAAAGGAAAGGGGAAGAAGGAAGTGAATAGACTTAGGAAAGAGAATGGATGGACAATGGAAGAGTGTGGAGGCTGGAGGGGAAAAAGGTCTAAATTCCTTCTGTAGTCTATTGGGGATGATTACCATAATAAAGAAATCACAAACATGCTCCCTGGTTGGGAGCAAGCCACAGCTGTTCAGGTGGACTGCTGAGTAGCACCTCTGCTGAAGAAGCCTGATGATTATTTATTTGCATCACAGATTCCTCATTTTGCAGGTCTGGCTGTCTCAGCCTGCATGCCGACTGGCTGTCCAAGCGTGGGGCCATTGCTGATGATGATAGATTTCTGAGTTAGCCCCATTCTCTTCCTCCATGGAATAGCACTCGCTCTGAAATCAGGACTGTGCATGACCTTCCTGCTCCTGGAATAAGGGTGCCAAGGACTAGTGAGAGGCTCATGTCAGCAGGGCCAAGTACATTTGACATGTGCACAGGCCCTTTATTCTTGCTAGATTTCTGTTAAAAAGGATATCATGGGTTATATTGAAATAGGGTATTTTTCTTTTTAATTTTTTATAAAATGAAATATAACTTACATAAATCCAATAAATCTTAAACATACAGTTTGATAAATGTTCACAGATATATGTATATATGTGTGCATATGAGATATATATCGTATATATAATATATATTTTATATATAATATATAATATATATTTTATATATTTTATATATAATATATATTTAATATATAATATATATAATATATATTTTATATATAATATGTAATATATATTTTATATATAATATGTAATATATATTTTATATATAATATATAATATACAATATATTATGTATAATAATTATATAAAATATATATTATATAATATATATTTTATATATAATATATATTTTATATGTATATATAATATATATTTTATTTGTATATATTATATATAATATATATATAATATATATAACATATATATTTTATATAATATATATAATATATATAACATATATATTTTATATAATATATATAACATATATATATTATATAATATATATATATGCATATCCTGCCATAGTCTTTTGAAATTCTTTATCAACCACTAAAGACAATATCCTCAATGCTCACAGCATAGTAAATACTAATGGGAATCACCTTCATGGTAATGAATCAAATTTCACTAGTTCTTGTGCCATCACTGTTAATGGACCCCTCTACAAATTATTCTCCACAAGGTGTTTTCATGTGCTTATGAAAGAGTCTCTCTCACGGCATCAATTACCTATTTTCAGATTATTGCTGAATAATAAATTAACTAAAAAACTTCCATGGCATTCAACTATATTTTTTTATGCAACCAGAGTATTGCATAAGCATAGGCTGCTTTAGGATGGACTCAGAAAAACCGTTCTGCTAACCTTGACTGGGCTTCTTACACTTTTAAGTTGGAGATTCTAAAAATCCAAGATGGGTTTACCTGGGTGTCTCAACTGTGCTCCATGTTTCCCTCATCTTTGTGAGACCAATGGCTAACCCAGGCATGTATTTCTCATGCAATGGCAAAAGGGTCAGAATCAATTACTGCTTCATTGGACCTGACCCACCCTCACTTCTGGCTCATTCTATTGGCCAAAGCAATCACATGGCTGAACCCAGAATCAAGAAGAAGTACACACTTTGATGGCAAAGGGTGCAGAAACAAGGAAGAAAGAAATATTGTAGCATTAATGCCATGTACCACACTTGCCAAGAGATGCTGTTCTCTTTCTTTCATCAGGCACCAGAATCTTCCACCAGGTGCCACCGCTGCTCCGTACCATGGCCAGGTCCATTTTGGAGGCACCAGACCCATGATAAAGCCCAAGCTGTGAGGAAGGAGAAAAATTTAGTGCTCTCCTCTTTCTTGCAGTCTGAAAGATGGATGTGTGTAACCTTGAGTCTTTTAGAAACCTTAATAAAATGGTTTTTACTCATGGTCCTTCTCTCCCTAAGAACCCTTAGAGCTGGGGTGGGAATGAATTTATGTGACATCTACTAGGCATACTCAGAATCATTGCTTTCCTCCAAGAATGTGGTCAAACTGGAGCCTGTCTTTTTCCTTTCTTCCCAGGAAGACCTCAGGAAATCTCAGTGAAGTTGTACCAAGTTTTCTTGCTTTATTAACAGATCTCCAGCTATCTCAACATGATTTTGGCTTAAATTATATATATTTACTTATCATAATGACTGTTTAGTTAATGACTTCCTGTCATATCAGCTTTTAGAAAGCTATACCACTTTTAGGGCAACTGTTTCTTTTTTACTATTTCTCTATTGTATTTTGGTACAATTTTCTCACCCCAAAACACTCATGGCATAGTATAATATAATATAACCTATGCACATCCTCTCATATACTTCAAATCATCTCTAGATTATTTATAATACCCAATGCAATGTAAGTGCTATGTAAATAGTTGTTATGCTATATTGACTTTTTATTGTTATGTTGTTATTTTTTTCAAGTATTTTTGATCAGCAATTGAATTCACTGATACAGAGGGCTGACTACATATTCAAATCCTCTATATAAAGCATGACACAATGCTAAAAATAATTCAAGTAAACCAGAAGAAGGCAGAAAAGGGGAAAGAAAGAAACAAAAATCAAAACAACTAGAAAACAATAAAGTATCAGATGTATATCCTAACAATAATTGTTTTAAATGTAATTTATATAAATATACCAAGTAAAAGGTAATAATAGACACAGTAGATTTAAAAAATGACCCAATTATATTCTGTCTATAGGAATCTCAAGTACAATGATATAGGAAATGAAAAGTTTACCTTGTTGCATAGGTAAGCTTGTGTCATGGGGGTTTGTTGTACAGATTATTTCTTCACCAGGTATTAAGCCTAGTACCCATTAGTTATTTTTCCTGATCTTCTCCCTCTTCCCACCCTCCACCCTCCAATAGGCCCTGGTGTTTATTGTTCCTCTCTATGTGTCCATGTGTTCTCATCATTTAGCTTCCACTTATAAGTGAGAACATGCAGTATCTACATTTCTGTTCCTGAATTAGTTTGCTAAGGATAATGGCCTGCAGCTCCATCCATGTCCCTGCAAAAGACACAATCTTGTTATTTTTTATGGCTGCATAGTATTCTGTGGTGTATATGTACCACCTTTTCTTTATCCAGTCTATCCTTGATAGGCATTTAGGTTTATTCCATGTCTTTGCTATTGTGAATAGTGCTACAATAATCATACATGTGCATGTGTCTTTATAACAGAATGATTTATATTCCTTTGGGTATATACTCAGTAATAAGATTGCTAGGTCAAATGGTATTTCTGTCTTTAGGTCTTTGAGGAATTGCCACACTCTCTTCCACATGGTTGAGCTAATTTACATTCCCACCAACAGTGTATAAGTGTTCCTTTTTCTCCATAACCTCGCCAGCATCTGTTATTTTTTGACTTTTTCATAATAGTCATTCTGACTGGTGTGAGATGCTATCTCATTGTGGTTTTGATTTGCATTTTTGAATGATCAGTGATGTTGAGCTTTTTTAAATATGCTCGTTGGCCACATGTATGTCTTCTTTTGAAAAGTGTCTGTTCATGTCCTTTGTCCACTTTATCATGGGGTTTGCTTTGTTCTTGTAAATTTGTTTAAGTTCCTCATAGATGCTGGATATTAAATCTTTGTCAGATGCATAGTTTGCAAAAACTTTCTCCCATTGTTTAGGTTGTCTGTTTACTCTATTAATAGTTTCTTTTTGCTGTGCAGAAGCTATTTAATTAGATGTTCTTCGTCAATTTTTGCTTTTGTTGCAATTGCTTTTGGCATCTTTGCCATGAAATCTTTGTCTGTGCCTATGTCCTGAAATGTATTACCTAGGTTGTCTTCCAGAGTTTTTATACTTTTGGGTTTTACATTTAAGTCTTTAATCCATCTTGAGTTTTTTTTTTTTTGGTAAATGATGCAAGGAAGGGGTCCAGGTTCAATCTTCTGCACATGGCTAGCCAGTTATCTTGGCATCATTTATTGGATAGGGAATCTTTTCTCCATTGCTTGTTTTGGTCACGTTTGTCAAAGATCAGATAGTTGTAGGTGTGCAGCCTTATTTCTGGGTTCTCTATTCTGTTCCATTAGTGTATGTGTCTGTTTTTGTACCAATACCATGCTGTTTTGGTTACTGTAGCCCTGTAGTATAATTTGAAGTTGGGTAGCGTGATGCCTCTAGCTTTGTTCTTTGTGCTTAGGATTGCCTTAGCTGTTCGGGCTCTTTTTTGATTCCATATGAATTTTAAAGTAGTTTTCTCTAGTTCTGTGAAGAACATCAATGGTAGTTTAATAGGAATAGCATTGAATCTATAAATTGCTTTGGGCAATATGGCCATTTAAACGATGCTGATTCTCCCTAACCATGAGCATGGAAAGTTTTTCCAGTTGTTTGTATCATCTCTAATTTCTTTCAGCAGTGGTTTGTAATTCTTCTTGTAGAGATCTTTCACCTTCCTAGATAGCTGTATTCCTAGATATTTTATTCTTTTTGTGGCAATTACGAATGGAAATTCGTTCCTGATTTGGCTCTTGGTATGACTGTTGTTGGTGTATAGGAATGCTAGTGATTTCTGTGCATTGATTTTGTATC
The DNA here is from genome assembly GCF_000001405.40 of Homo sapiens. Classification (NCBI taxonomy): domain Eukaryota; kingdom Metazoa; phylum Chordata; class Mammalia; order Primates; family Hominidae; genus Homo; species Homo sapiens. Next base: position 39,101,614 of record NC_000023.11, read on the forward strand.
CTGAGACTTTGCTGAAGTTGTTTATTAGCTTAAGAAGCTTTTGGGCTGAGACGATGGGGTTTTCTAGATATAGGATCATGTCATCTGCAACCACGGATAGTTTGACAGGAAGAATAAAAGTAAACAGATGGAAAAAGATATACCATGTAAACGCTAACCAAAAGAAAGCTAGAGTGGCTATACTAATATTAGATAAAGCAGATAAAGCAAATGAAATTATTAAATGCAAGGAGAGATACTCCATGATGATAAAAGGGTCAATCAACCAAGAAGACATAACAATTATAAATGTGTATTGCCAAATAATGGTGCTAACAAAACACACGAAATAGAAACTTACAGAATTGAAAAGAGAAATAGATAAATTCACAATTATACTCAAGAGCTCAATACCCCTCTCTCAATAATTGATAGAATCACCACATAGAAAATCAGTGAAGATATAAGGGAACTGAACAATACTATTAGCCGCAGGATCTAATTAACACTTATAAAGCATTTCACCCAGCAATATAAGAATTCACTTTTTTTTGTTTGTTTGTTTTTTGCTTTTTGTTTTTGAGATGGAGTCTCGCTCTGTTACTCAGGCTGGAGTGCAGTGGCGCTATATCTCGGCTCATTGCAAGCAAGCTCCGCCTCCCGGGTTCACGCCATTCTCCTGCCTCAGCCTCCGGAGTAGCTGGGATTACAGGCGCCCACCACCCTGCCCCGTTAATTTTTTGTATTTTCAGTAGAGATGGGAAGAATTCACATTTTTTAAATCATGCACAGAACAGTCACAAAGATACTTCATATCCTGGCTCATAAAATAAAACTCAACAAACTGAAAAGAATTAAAACTGTTTAGATATCATCTCTGATCATAATTGAATCAAACTAAAAATTAACAGAAAGACAACTGGTAAATCTCCATATACTTGGAAATTAAACAACATACTTCTAACCAATTCATGAGTCAAAGAGGTAGTTTCAATAAAAATAAAAACCTACATAGAACTGAAGGAAAATGAAAATACAACAACCCAAAGCTTGTGAAATGCAGCTAAAGCTGTTCATATAAGGAAATTTATAGTATTAAATGCTTATATTAGGAAAGATTAAAGGTTTCAAAATAATAATCTAAGTTTCTACATCAACAAATTAGAAAAACAATAAAATAAACCAGAGAGCAAGCAATTGAAGAAAAATGATAAAAATAAGAGCATGAATACATGAAATTGAAAACAGGAAAATAGAGAGGAATGAATAAAAAATTAACGCAGATTCGTTGGAAATGTTAAGAAAATTGATAAAATCCTAGCACAACTGAAAAACAAAGAAGTCATAAGTTATTAATATTGGAAATGAACAGGGATACCACTGTGAACACCACAGATACTAAAGGAGTAATAAGATGATTCTACAAACATCTTTACAGACATAAAGTCAACTATAGCATGATAAAAGAAAATTACAAACCAATATCCCTCTGGAACATAGACACAGAAATTTTCAACAAAACATTAGCAAATCAAATCTAGAAACATATAAATGGAATTACAGATGACAACCAAGGAATTTTATTCCAGGAATGCAAAGGCTGTTCAGTATTTGAAAATCAATCAATGTAATCCTCTATGCTAACAGAACTGAATAAGAAAACTTGCTTGATCATATTAATTGATGCAGAAAAGGTACTTAACAAAATCCAAATTCCATTCCTGGGAAAAACTTTCAGCAAACTAGGAATTGAAAGGAACTTGAATATTCTTGACCAGAAAAAGGGCAATTGCAGAAAAACAAAACAAAAAACTCTATGGCTAACATTATACGCAATGTGAAAGACTGAATGTATTTTGCCAGAGCTAAGACAAGGATGGCTACTGCTACTACCCTCATTTGACATAGTACTACAAGTCTTAGCCTGTGCAATAAGGACATAAAAGGCAAGAAAAGGGTATAAAAGGCAGGCAGATTAGAAAAGAATAAATAAATGCTTTTTATTTGTAGAAGATAGTAGAAGATATATTGTCTATGTAGAAAAATCCCAAGGACTTTATAGGAAAACCTCTATAAATTATAAGTAAATTTAGCAAATTTACACAAAAATTAATCACTTTTTTATATACAAACAATGAACTATTGGAAAACAAAATGAAAAACAATTCAATACCATTTATAATTGTTCCCAGAAAAGGTACACAAAGGTATAAATCTAGTAAAACATATACAGATACTATATGCTAAAACTGTTGAATTTTGATAAAATAAATCAACAAAGTTATAAATATATGGAGAGACAATACCATGTTCATGGATTGGGAGACTAAACATAGTAAAGATGTTATTTCTCCTAAAATTGATCTATAGAGTCAACACAATTTCTATAAAAACGCCAGCAGTATCTTTTGTAGATATAGACAAGCATAATATAAAAATTATATGGAAAGACAAAGAAACTAGAATAGCTAAAACGATGTTAAAAAAATAAAGTTGGAGGAATCACACTACCAAATTTTAGGACATAGTATATATTTACAGTAACAAAGACAGCGTAGCATTAGTGGAGGGAGAGACAGGCAAACAGATAGATACATACATATGTACATACATACATACATAGATTGATCAGTGGAATAGAATAGAGAACCCCAAAATAATATTCACCAAACATGTGTAACTAATTTTTGCAAAGATACAAAAGCAATTCAAGGAAGGAACTATTGTCTTTTCAGCATATGTTACTAGAACAATTGGACATCAATGGGCCAAAACACACACAAACACACATACAAACACACAGAACAAGCCTTCTACCTCATATTAACATTTTTATTTCAAAATGGATTATAAATGTAAAACTATAAGATTTATTGAAGAAAACATAAGAAAACATCTTTGTTAGCAAGAGAGTTCTTAAATGTGATGCCAAAATACATTATCCATAGATTTAAAAGATCACCCAAATCTACTTAATCAAAATGTGAAATTTTTGCTCTGTGAGATGAAGAGGATGAAAAGATAAGCCACAGCCTGGGAAAAATATTTGTAAATCATATATCTGAGAAAGGAGTCATAACCAGAATATATAAGGAATTATCTAAACTCAACAGTAATAAAACAACACGGTCCAGTTAGAAAACAGACAAAAATATTTGAATAGCATTTTACCAAAGAAGATATATGGGTGGAAACTAAGTACATTTGAAAAAAGTGTTCACCATCATTAGCCACTAGGAAAATGCAAATTAAAACCACTAAACATCTTTTAGAATAGCTAGAATTTAAAAAAAAATACTGACTATACCAAGTACTGGTGGTATACTGGAGGAATTGGATCTCTCGTACATTTCTGGTGGGAATGTAAGATTGCACAATCACTTTGGAAAACAATTTAGTTATTTCTTAAGGTAAACATACATTTATCATATAATCCAGCAACCACACTTCTGGACATTTATCCTAGAAAAATGAACACTTGCATTTACACAGAAAGCTGTACATGAATGTACTTAGCAGGTTTATATGTGTAAAAGCCAAAAATTGGAAACAATCTAAAGGACCCTCAACAAGTTAATGGAGAAACAAACCTGTGGTACATCCATACCATGGAATGCTACTCATCAATAAATAGTAATGAGCTATTGATACATGTAACAACTTGGATAGATCAAGGTTATTGTAATGAGTCAGTAAAGCCAATCTCAAAAGGTAACATGATGTATGTATAATATTCTCAAAATGACAAAATCATAGACAAGGAGAACAGATTGGTGTTTGTCAAGGATTTGGAGAGGGAGTGGGAAGGTATGACTATAAAGCATCAACACAAAAGAGTTCTTTTATGGTGACATGACAGTTGTATATATTGTTGGTGATGGTGGTTCTATAAATCTATACATGTGATCAAATTTCATAGAACTGTACATACTAAATAAGTGATGAAAACACTGGCAAAACCAGAATAAAGTCTGTAGTCTAGTGAATTGTATTATGTCAATGTCAATTTCCTGGATTTGATAATGTACTATAGTTATGTAAGATGTTCCCATTGTGGGAAGCTGGGTCATGGGTACAGGAGACCTCTCTGTAGTATTTTTGCAACTTTTTGTGAATCTGTAATAATTATGAAATTAAAAGCTAAGAAATATTATTTGTTGTCATATCACAAATTGTTACAATTTGTCCCCTCTATATCTTGAGGATACATTTTCTTTATTTTCACATTAAGGAAGACTTTAATGGAATTTTTTTATATAACAGTATTACCCTGAATAATGGGTTTTTCAGGAATTAATCGAAATCATTAAACAAGGGATAAGGGCGTAGTCTTGTATCTCTTTTTTTTTTTTTTTTTTTTGAGATGGAGTCTCGCTCTGTTGCCCAGGCTGGAGTGCAGTGGCACAATCTCGGCTCACTACAAGCTCTGCCTCCCTGGTTCACGCCATTCTCCTGCCTCAGCCTCCCCAGTAGCTGGGACTACAGGCCCCCGCCACCACGCCTGGCTAATTTTTTGTAGTTTTAGTAGAGACAGGGTTTCACCTTGTTAGCCAGGATGGTTTCAATCTCCTGACCTCCTGATCCACCGGCCTCGGCCTCCCAAAGTGCTGGGATTACAGGCGTGAGCCACCGTGCTCAGCCGTCTTGTATCTCTTTTGATGACCTGACCTTCATTACCCAGAATGTGTCACATTTTGTGCGTACCCTTGACACATAGGTTAAATTGCATTACAAATAATTCTGTTACAATTGTACATATAAATTCTTCCACCTTGTTTCAGCAAACTTCTGCTGCATAAATCAACTGCATTGGTTTTCTATTGTTATATGATGCATTTATACAAAATTAGTTGCTTAAAACAGTCCTCATTTCTTAGCTCACAATTCTGTAACTCAGCAGTTCAGCATAGCTGGTCTGGGTTCCCTGATCAAGGCATCACAAGACTGAGATCAAGTTATCAGGCTAAATTCTAATCTGGAAAACACTGGGGATAAAAATCAGCTTCTAAGCTCATTTTTGCTATTGGCAGAATTCAGTTTCTTGCAGTTGTAGGACGGATGTCCCATATCCTTGTTGGTTATCATCTGGGGGCCGCTCTCAGTCCCTGGAGACCACCTTTATTCCTTGCCATATGACTTCTTTCATCTTCAAACTAGCAACTGTGCATCAAATTATTCTTATGCTTGAATCTCTGACTTTCTTCCTGCTTCTAGCCAGAGAAAACTTCACTTTTAAAAACTGTATAGAGTTAGGTCAATCTACCCAGAATAATCTTGTTTTATTTCTTTTTAAAATTGTGGTAAAAAATACACAACATAAAAATTTACTATCTTTTTTTTTTTTTTTTTTGAGATGGAGTTTCACTCTTGTTGCCCAGGTTGGAGTGCAATGGCAGGATCTCAGCTCACTGCAACCCCCGCCTCCCGGGTTTAAGCGATTCTCCTGCCTCAGCCTCCTGAGTAGCTGAGATTACAGGCATGTGCCACAACGCCCGGCTAACTTTGTATTTTTAGTAGAGATGGGGTTTCTCTATGTTGGTCAGTGTGGTCTCGAACTCCCGACCTCAGGTGATCTGCCCACCTCAGCCTCCCAAAGTGCTGGGATTATAGGCATGAGCCACCCCGCCTGGCCAAAAATTTACTATCTTAAGTGTTTTTAAGTGTACAGTATAGTAGTGTTAACCACGTGCACATTGCTGTGCAATAGATCTCTAGAACTTTAATCTTGCAAAACTGAATTACTGTATCCATTGAGAAACAACTCCCCATTTTCCCCATATCCAACCTTTGGAAACCACTACTCCATTTTCTGTTTCTAAGAGTTTGATTACTTTAGATACCTCATATAAGTGGAATCATGCAGCATTTGTCTGTTTGTGACTGCCTCACTTCACTTCAAATAATGTCCTCCAGGTTCATCCATGATGTAGCATGTTTCTTCTTTTCTAAGCCTGAACAATATTCCATTCTGCATATACTACATTTTGTTTATCCATTCATCTGGCAATGGGCATTTAGGTCGCTTTCACCTCTTGACTGCTGTGAATAATGCTGCAATGAACATGGGTGCTCAAATCTCTCTCTGAGATCCTGTTTTTAATTCTTTTGGCTATATACCCAGAAGTGAGGTTGCTGGATCATATGGTAATACTGTTTTAATTTTTTGAGTAATTTCCCTACTGTTTTTCATAGTGGCTGCACCATTTTACATTTCCACCAACAACGCAAAAGGGTTTCAATTTCTCCACATCCTCACCAATACTTGTTATTTTCTCCTTTTTTGATGGTAGCCATCCTAAAGGGTCATTTGCATTTCCCTGAAGATTTGTGATGTTGAACATCGTTTCATATGCTTATTGGTCACTTATATATCTTTTTTGAAGAGATTTGTATTGCAGTCATCTGCTCATTTTTAAATTGGATTGTTTGTTCTTTCGTTGTTGCTGTTGAGTTGAAGGTCTTTATGTATTCTGAATATTAACTCCTTAATGGATATATGGTTTGTAAATATTTTCTCTCATTCTGTAGGTTTCCTTTTCACTCTTTTAAAGCTTCTTTCATTTGCTGTGCAGTTTTTGTTTGATGTAGTTCCATTTATCTAATGTAACAAAGCTTTTCTCCTACGTTTTCTTCTAGGAGTTTTATAGTTTTAGATCTTATGCTTAGATCTTTAATCCATTTCAAGTGAATTTTTGTATATGGTGCAAGGCACAGGTCCAGTTTCATTCTTTTGCATGTGGATATCCAGTTTTCCCAATACCATTTTTTTAAAGAGACTGTCTTTCCCTCATTGTGACAACTTGTCAAAAATCGTTTGACCCTATATGTGAACATTTATTTCTGGGCTCTCTATTCTGTTCCATTGGTCTGTGTCTGTTTTTGTACTAGTGCCATACTGTTTTGATTACTATTGTCTTGTAATATAATTTGAAATCAGAGAGTATGATGCCTCCAGCTTTGTTTTTATTGCTCAAGATTGCTTTGGCTATTTGACATCTTCTGTAGTTCCATATGAATTTTAGAATTACTTTTCTATTTCTGTGAAAAATATCATTGAATTCTCATAGGGATTGCATTGAATCTCAAAATAGCTTTGGGAATTATGGAATTTTAACAATATTAATCCTTCCAATACATTAACACAGGATATATCTTTCTACTTACTTGTGTCTTCTTCAATTTTTTTAATCAATATTTTATAGTTTTCATTGTACCAATCTTTCACATCCTTGGTTAAATTCATTTCTGAGTATTTTATTCTTTTTGATGCTATAGTAATTGGAATTGTTTTCTTAATTTCTTTTTGGGATAGTTATTGTTAGTATATAGAAATGCAATTGATTTTTGTATAATGATTTTGTATTCTGAAGATTTACTGAATCCATTTATTTATTCTAATGGTTGGTGGAGTCTTTAGGGTTTTCTCTATATAAGATCATGTCATCTGCAAACTGAAACAATTATACTTATTTCCTTCCAATTTGGATGCTTTTTTTTCTCTTGCCTAATTGTTCTGGCTAGGACTTTCACTGCTATGTTGAAAAGAAGTGGCAAGAGTGGGCACTCCTGTCTTGTTCCTGATCTTATGGGAAAATCTTACATCTTTTCACTATTGAGTATGATGCTGCCTGTGAGCTTGTCATACATGGCTTTTATTGTGTTGAGTTATATTTCTTCTATACCTAATTTGTTGAGAGTTTTTATCAGGAAAGAAGGTTGAATTTTGTCAAATACTTTTCTGCATCTAGTGAAACAATCATGTGACTTTTATCCTTTTTCTTAAAATGTGACATATCACATTTATAAATATGCACATGTTGAATCGTCCTTGTATCCCAGGGGTAAATCCCGCTTGATCATGGTGTATAATCCTTTTCATGTGCTGTTTAATTCAGTTTGTTAGTATTTTGCGGATGATTATTGCTGCCTTGTTCATCAAGGATATAGGTCTGTAATTTTATTTTCTGGTAGTGCCCTTGTCTGGCTTTGGTAACATAATAATATTGGCCTCATAAAATGAGTATGGAAGTGTCCCCTCCTCTTTTTGTTATTTCAGTCTCCTCTCTTTTACTCTAGTTAAGGGGTTGCCAATTTTGTTGATATTTTCAAAAACAACTCTTGTTATTTTTTCTATTGTTTTTCTCTTCTCTGTTTCATTTATTTCTACTCTAATGTTTATGATTTCCTTCCTACTGCTTTTTTGGAGTTAGTTAATTTTTCTTTCTAATTCCTTAAGAAGAAAAGTCAGGTTGCCATTTGAGATCTTTCTTCTTTGTTAATGTAGGCAGTTACTCTATCAACTTCCCTCTTAGTACTGCCTTTGCTGTGTCCCATAAGTTTTGGTATGCTATATTTTCATTTTCATTTGTATCCTGATATTTTCAAATTTCTTGTGACTTCTACTTTGACCCATTGGTTTTTTAAGAGTGTTTTCAATTTACACATATTTGTGGATTTTCCAGTTTTGCTTTTTCTGTTGATTTCTAGTTTCATTGTATAGTGGTCAGAAAAGATAGTTGGTATTCTTTAAATCTTCATAAATCTGTTAAGACTTGTTTTGTGGTCTAACATGTGATCTACCTGGAGAACACTCCATGTGCACTTGAGAAAAATGTTTATTCTGCTATTGTTGGGTAGAGTGTTCTGTGTATGTCTTTTAGGGCCAATTAGTAGTGTTGCTCAGGCTCCCTATTTTCTTATTGATTTTCTGTCTGGTTGATCTACCCATTACTGAAAATGGACTATTGAGATCCCCTACTATGATTGCATTACTATCTACTATTCCCTTCAATTCTATCAATGTTTGCTTCATATATTTGGGTGATCAGCTGGTAGGTAAATATATATGTATAATTGTTATGTCTTCCTGATGAACTGACTCTTTTATCGTTATATAATCTCCTTTGCTTCTTATGAAAGATCTTTTGTTAAATTCTATTTTGTATGATATAAGTGTGGACACTCCTGCTCTCTTTAATTCACCATTTGCAAGCAATATATTTTTCTATACTTTTATTGTTAGCCTACATATGTCCTTATATCCAAAGTGAGTCTCTCAAAGGGAACAACACACACTGGGGCCTGCTTGAGGGAGGAGGGAGAGAGAAGAGTAAGGATTGAAAAACTACCTACTGGGTACTATGCTAATTACCTGGGTGGCAAAATAATCTGTACACCAAACCCCTGTGACAATCAATTTACCTATATCACAAACCTGCACATATATACTCCTGAACCTAAAACAAAAGTTTTTTTAAAAAGTCTCTTGTAAACAGCATATGGTTGGATCTTCTTTCCTATCTGTTTAGCTAGTTTATGCCTTTTGATTGGAGAGCTTAATCTATTTAAAGTAATTACTGATAGGAAAGCACTTACTATTAAAACGTTGTTAATTGTTTTCTGTGTATCTTGTAGTTATTTTGTCTTTCTTTGCCTCTCTTGCTGCCTTTCTTCATATTGCTTTGATTTTCTTGCAGTGACATGGTTTTATTATTTTATCATTTTCTTTTGTTCATCTTCTATTGGTATTTTTGTGGTTACCATGGGGACTACCTAAAGCATTATATATTTATATCAATCTATTGTAAACTGATAACAACTTAACTTTAGTCACATGCAATACCTCTACTTCTTTACACCTCCCTCCCCCTACTTTATGCTCATCCATGTCATAAATTCTATATTTTTATATTTTGTAGCCATTAACATAGCTTATAACCATAGTTATTTTCTTATTCTTTTATATTTTAAATTCTATACCTGAATTAAGTGATCTATGCACCACAACTACAGCATTACAGGATTCTGTATTTGTCTATATATTAATATTCACCTTTACTAAAAAGTTGTATATTTTTATTTTCTTTGCTTTTATATTGTTGTCTAGTGTGCTTTTGCTTCAATTTGAAGTACTCCCTTTTGCAGTTCTGGTAATTCAGGTCTAGTGGTGATGAACTCCCTCAGCTTTTGTTTTCTGGGAATGTCTTTGTTTCCCCTTTATTTTTGAAGGACAGTTTTGTTGGATATGACATTCTTGGTTGGCAGTTTTTTCTTTTAGCACTTTGAATATATTATACCACTTCCTTTTGGTCTATAATATTTCTTCTGAGGAACCCACTGATAATCCTATGGGTGCTCCCTTGTACATAAGGAGTTACCTTTCTCTTGCTGCTTTCAAGAGTCTTTCCTTGTCTTTGACTTTTGACAATTTGATTATTATGTGTCTTGGTATGGGTCTCTGGGTTCATCCTATTGGAATCCTTTGAACTTATTGAATTATTGAATTTGTACATCAATTTCTTTCCTCAGATTTGGGAAGGTTTTGGCTATCACTTCTTCAAATAAGTTCTCTGCCCCTTTCTTTCTTCTTCTGGGACTCCCAAAATGTGTATATTGGACTAGCTGATGGTGTCTCATAAGTCCCTTAGGCTTTCTTTTCCTTTTTTCATTCTTCTTTCTTTCTGTTCCTCTGCTGTGATCATTTCAAATGACCTGGCTTCTAGTTTGCTAAGTCTCTGGGACCCAAGTCAGGGAAAACAGAATCCAGTCACTTGGGCAGCCCCCAGAAAATCCAGAATATTGGATATATGTTTCACTCCTCCGTTTTCCTCCTGAGGTTGAAGCCGTAAACAAGGCATTTTCCCCAGATCACCTAAAGCTATATCAGCTACTGTCTGTGGTGTTAAAATTTTTTTGGTGCTGTAACAAACCACTGCGTTTTCTTTTGTTCTCAGCAGCCCCCAGGCATCCAAAACATTCCAGTTCTCTGTAAGCACTCTGAGTCAGAAACCATTCCCTTGGGCAACCTCCCAAAGGCAAGAACACTGGACATATGTTCCACTCTTCTCTCTCCTTTCCAAAAGAGAAGCCATGAATTGGACTTTTTTAGGCAGTGGGGTTGACCTGTGCAGGCTTAGGGGAAGGGCTTACACAACTGAAATAAAACAGCTTTTCTTACCATTTCAATATGGCTGATCTTGGCTTTCAGCTTGACAGGGGTACTGTGTCTTCATAACTGTTTCTATAATTCTCATAAAAGCTTTTGGACCATATATACCATATATTGTTGTTAAATCAGTGTGTCTGTGGGGCAACAAAGTCTAGGCTTCCTATTCCACCATCTTGCTGACATCACTCCAAGAGTAGTCTAATCTTCCTTTCAAAAAGCTAACGGTGCCCTATAAGATAACCTAATCACAGCAGTGATATCTTACCATATTACAATCCAGAGGGATTAGGGAAGGACGACTTATGGTCCATCTTAGAATTCTGCCTGCCATGTTACTCTAAAACTTAGTATCTTAAGAGAATCAACCATTTTATTTGCTCATTATTTTGTGTGTCAGTTGGTCAGTCCTCTGATCTGAACTGGATTGGCTGGAGCTGATGGTCTAGGAGGGCCTCATTGATATGTCTATAGCCTCAGCTGAAATGTCTGGAATGGATAAATGACTAGGGAACATTGTATTTCATTCTCCAAGATGCTAGCTCAGGCTAGTTCATATGTTGGCAAAAGAGTTCAAAGCAGCAAGAGAATGAAGCCTCCATGCACAGCACTTTTTAACTTTCTACTGGAGTCACGCTTACTAATGTCCCATCAGCCAAAGCATGTCACATGGCCAAGTTCAAATTCAAGGGGTGGAGGAATAGACTCCGTCTTTTGATGGGTGGAGCTGTAAAGATTTTATGGCCATTTTCTGTGACCTACCACAGACACTTAACTAATGCATATTTATTATCAGCAATATTTTATGCCATGAAATCCTGACACAATCAAATTATTGGGTACTCCCTTGAACTTCATTTTAACAGGATTTGACTGGTATTAATTACTCCCACATAAATTATACAGCAGAAGAGTTATTGACTTGAAATCCAGGCTATTCACCTTGCTTTTTAGCTTCTTTTTGGCTAGGGAAGACTTGGGTCACAACTCATTGAAAATTGCAAATAGCTTTTACATGTGTATGGGTTTTTCATTTGATTTTATCACACTGGTATTTCTTGCCATCTTCTTGACATTAAGATGAACACTTGAAACCACAACAAACAAAATAAGATAATAAGAAACTCTGTTTACAAGAGACAAAAAATAGTTTACTTCATTACACTGGTGGTGAAAAACAACTTCAAAGAAGGAACTACTAAAAAAGATGATGTAAAGTCAGTTATGAAAAGAAAATTACAGAAAGCAGCCAAAATTTTTGGAACAGAATATCGATCCACTCTCAGATGATAAGAATGGGCTTATGGGAAGGTCGATTGATTCCAAAACCTATCCTAGAGGCACCAAGAACCTATAAACAATACCAACTGACTCACTTAGATACTGAAGTATGTGAATAATTTAGGTCCTTCTGTTCAGGATGCAATTATTCAGTTAACAAAGCATCATGAGACTGTAAATGCAATAGGATATAATTTGTGTAGATATATAATAATAGTAATGGCCAATATGTGTTAAATAATTACTATTTGCTAGGCACTGATCCAAGTGCTTTGCCAAAACGAACTCATTTAATCTCAATAAGACCTATATGAGGTAAAGTACTCCTATTATCAGACAAAAAACTGAGACACAGAGAAGTTAACTAATTTGCCCAAAATCACAGCTAAAAAATAGCAGAGTAGGCAGTTGAACCCGGGAAGTCTTGGTTGACAGCCTGTTCTTGCAACCACTATGCTATTAGATGTGGGCGTGTGTGTGTGTGTGTGTGTGTGTGTGTATCTCAAAAGGCACACAAAAAAAGTCAGGAGTCATTATTTCAAGATGGTGGGATTACATGTGATTTTATCTTTGTTTCTTTATTTAGCTGCATTTTCTATTTTTCCATAATGTGTAGTGCTACTTATATAATCCTATTAAAGACTTTTAAAGATCATGCAATCACCTGCCTTTTCCCATACTCTGCTTCACCTCAAAGAAAATGTTCTTCAAGATCTCAGGCAGTGAAGTGATCTCATCAATAACTCACGCTTTTTCCTCCATTCTGCTCTGCCAAGCTCTGCCTGTTGGATTTTGCCCCCGTGCTTATAAACTCAGTTGAAAGATGCTTGCTGTAACTCCAAGCATCACAACTTCATTCAAGGACAGAAAGAAGTGTTGTTGATCAAACAGACAAAAAGGCTTTTACATTCAGTGACTCCTTTTATCAGAGCAGTCCTCTGAAGGACTTCCCTTTCATATTATTGATCCAAACTGGGTCCATGTACATTTCTAGCTGGAGAATTGAATATCTGGTTTCCAGTTTCTATAGTGGAGGGAAGTAAGGGAGAAGGCACTTGGGCATGACTGTTGGGTCAGCCCCAGGGGATCTGCCACATCCCAAGACTAGTGGGATATATATTCTTCTTCCTGAAGGGACTCAACAGACAGCTCATAAGGAGATGACAGCCAATACCCTGGTCAGTTATTCAAGAGATCTAGGTTCTAGTTCTACCCATCACACGAATTTACTGTGAGACTGAAGAAATCACTTACTTCCCTTCTCTGGGTCTCAGTTTACTTGACTGCAAAATGAGAGTATTGTAGTAGTGATCACTAAGGTCCACCTAATAATACTGGCAGTCAAAAGATCCTGCCAATATTTATATTGTGGAGCAAGTCTGCAATAAAACACATTCACAGAAGAGCCCCTTATCACCTGCATGGAAGGGAGAGGAAACAAGATATATACATATTCAAAAAATAACTGGCCCTATAAACACAAACCTCTGTCCTGAAGCAACAGAGTCATGTAGACTATTTGAGTCACAAATGAATCATAAGTTTTACAAAAACAATATCAATGCTGAGCTTGTGAATTGATGGAGATGACAAACCTGCTCAACAACAACAGTCATTCCTTTTAGAAGCCACCATTCCCTTTGGAAGCACCATTTCTAACATAGTGTTTCTCTCTAATTGAGTATCATTTGCATCTCTCTCTCTCTCTCTGTCTCTCTCTCTCTCTCTGTCTCTCTCTCTCTCTCTCTCTCTGTGTGTGTGTGTGTGTGTGTGTGTGTGTGGTGTTTTCATGGGTGGTCATTTGTCTTTTGTAGTGGATCCTGGGACTGGGTTGCTTGAGTTTTATTCCACTCTCTTTCTCAGCTTCTCAGCTACCTTTCTATATTGCACAGGCTAGAAAGCTAAAACTACATTTTCCTAGATTCCTTGGTTATATAGTTTGGGTATTTGTCCCCTCCAAATCTCATGTTGAAATTTTATCCTTAGTGTTAGAGGTGGAGCCTAATAGGAGGTGTTTATATCATGAGGGTGGATCCCTCTTGAATGGCTTGGTACCATCCTCACAGCAATGAGTGAGTTCTCACTTTATTAGTTCCCATGATAAATGACTGTTTAAAAAGAGTCTGGCACCTCCATCCTCTCTCTCATTTTCTGTTCTTGCCTTGTGGTAGGCTCACTTTAGCCTTCTGCCATGAGTAGAAGCTTCTTGAGGCTCTCATCAGATGCAAATGCTGGTGTCGTGTTTCTTGCACAGCCTGTTGAACCATGAGCCAAAGAAACCTCTTTTCTTTATAAATTATCCAGCCTCAAGCATTCCTTTATAACAACGCAAATGGACCACTGCACTTGGCAGTTTGAATTCTTCATGTGAATTTTAGGCTCTGCTGACTAGATGTACTCAACTCATGTGAGTTTTGGAAAGTAGAAGTGAGACAGAGGTCATAGTTCTGCCTTTTGGCTTTTTTTTTTTTTTTGCATAAAGGACATTTGTAAAAATGTGAGGTTCCCATGTCCGTTCTCCATGCTTCTTCTCCAGAGGCACTGGTGGCAATGGGTTTAAGGTTAATGGCCCCTGTTTTATTCTGGTTTCCTGATTCCTGGATCACAGTACAATGCTATGTCCTGGAACTCAATATCCTGGTCATGGGCTCAGAGGTAGTGCTACTCTGGTGGGTCAGTACTCTATTGTTCCATGAATTATTCATAGAAATAGAGCTTAGAAATCACTCTTTCATGCCTTCTAATGATATCATAAGCCCCCAGTTTTCTGTATTAAATTCCTTTTTTTGCATAATATGGGGGTTTCTGTGTCCTGCAATGAATCTTTTTCTAAAATACCTATCAATAAAGCATACATGCTAATACGAAAATAAACAAAGATATCTTTGGATGTCAACACTACCCAGGCATTTCTTTAGTCTATTTTATAATATCAGAGCTCTGTTGCTACCTGCCTTCACCTCGTCATTTTGGCTACATCTTTGGTCAAGCAGAGCTGGAGGCATACTGGAAAGACCACACAGAGAGGCCAACAGAAATCACCCATGTGTAAAATTCCTTCTGAGCCTCCAGACCTTTTGAAATCAAGGTCTTCATGACAAAGGGGTTTATGGATTAGAATTTGTTGCCACATTAGAAAATTAGCACCCTCATATTCTTGCATTGTTAATTTCTTTTCCGTAGCTTTTACTGACTGCTGGTTAACCAAAGTCTCTCTAGATCTTAATTCAAGAGGTAGGGTAGATATGGGCCAGTGCTTTAGTTTAGAGATGCTAAGTGACTTCAGAATTCTAGTGTGAAAATCCAAGTATTCACATTCGACTTCCACCTGTTAATTTTTTTCTTTCTGGTTCCAGATTTTAGTAAATAAGTAAAACTTAGCATATGTGTCTAAGGGGGAGATCTCATCAAGACAAGTGGTATATTTCTGTATGTCACAGAAACACACGTAGCTAAAAAACCCACAAGAGGTGTAGGTGGGCCAGGAAGCCTTGCAATGAGTAACAGAGGTCCTTGCTATGGGCATACTAGGGGAAAGGTACTTCAGGAGGAAGTCTTTCTGATAGTTGAAATTTAAATGCCATTGAGTGAGTTTCTCAATCACATGTCTTCCTTCAAACATATTTCACTTTGCAATAAATAGTTTCATAGAGAGGATTTAGTAATTAATAAAAGGACTAAAATACCTTGCTAAATGAGAGCTGTAAACACTCACTAAAGTTGCTCTTGTCTATGTTATTTTTTCAAAATTTGTAAAGAAAGGAAATACTATTGACTATATTTGGGGTTCTAGAAATAGTTTTCAATTATTTTATTTTAAAGAGGAGTTTGATAGTATGAGGAAAGGGACATACAGTACTTGCATACTGTTGGTGAAGGTGTAAACGCAAAATTTCTGGAGGGCAATCTGACAATATGTATAAAAAATTTTAAATGGGCATTTCTTGATCCAACTGGTAGACATTTGTTTTAAGGAAAGATTCAGACAGTTTCAAGAAGACAGACATATGTCCAAGGTTTTTCACCAAAGGAGTCTTTATGAAATATAAGAAGTGGAAACAGTCAAAAGGTTTGTTGGCAGAAGATCAGTTTAGTAAAATATGATGGAGCTTTCCAAAGGAATATTATTCTGAGTCAGGGGAATTTATGTTTTTCACATAGGAAAATATTCACAATAAATGGGATATTGATAAAAGCTAGTTAGAGAGTGTTTTGCTTTATTTTGTGTATTTTGAATGATTTGCATATTCTCTTATCACTCAAACTTGACTCATGACAGATGCTTAATAATATTTAGTGAAGTAATTCATGTAAATCTATGTCTCTGTATTTACATATGCATTATACATTCTGGAACGATACGTGCCTACCTGTTAACAGTAGTTATTTTCATCATCATTGGGTGGGGGTGAAGCCTGAGGACATACTGAAGATTATTAAAGATCAGTTTTACTTTATACTTTTTCTCTTCTGCATTATTTAAATTTTAAAATAAACATTTTATTTTATAACTTTTAAATTGTATTTCTATTTTGAAACAATACAGAGTTTCCAAATTTTGTTAACAGGCAAAGCACCTAGAATACACTAGAATTCCTACAAATCAAATGGTAAAAGGACGACAACACAACGGAAGAATGGGCAAATGGTATGAACAGGCTAGCCACAGGATAGAAAAAATGAAAGGGCAAAAAATATATGCTAAGATGACAAAGTAAAATAATGTAGCACCTCTTCTTAGCCACCAGATTGACGATATCACAGGCTTTCAATAACAGAGGGAAACGGAGATTCACAGTCAAGGCTGGTAAGACTGTGAATGAGTGCAAGCACTTTGGGGAACACCTGGTAAAATGGAAACTGTGCATGCTCTATGACCCAGCAATTGCTCTAAGTTTATACCTTAGAGACAATATAATTTTTCTGCAGAAAATCATACACATGTGTGAAATGAGGCTATTTTAATTTGTTGTACTCTAAGAGTGTTGGCAGTATGTATGAAAAAAAAAAAGTAGTCTCCCTGGAAGCCAGTGAGGGAGGAGGGAAGCAGGATAGACAAAGGGGAGAAGCCAAGCAAGGGTTGATTTCAGGCCACGTCCTCACAGCCTCAGCTGATGCAGAAGTGGAGCTCTGGGTTTTTCTTCTTTTGTACCAGTCAGTCATTGATAAGGGCCCCCTTGGAAGACATAAATTCCCAGGCACTTCTGACTCCCCGTGGCAGCAAGCAAAGAAGCTCCAGGAACCCCTGGGCAATCTCCAGAGTCTTTACTGTGTGTCATCAGAAACAAGAGCCCATATAAGCCAGGAAGGGGCTAGTAAAAAAGATCATAGGTCTAGAGGGAGTACCGAGAGCACACAAGATGGGTACAAAAAATACACTGGAATGATATTTAACAAATTTGTGATTTTCATTGAGAGGTAGGAGAGGGAACAGGCTTTTATCTTTCTATAATATTTTATTTATTTATTTATTTTGAAAAGGTGATGCCCAAATCATAAATACAAAAAATAGCCAATTCCGAGTGGTGAATATATGGATGAAACCAGGATCCTTGTGTGCACCTCACTGGGCATCAAACAAACCCAAGCATAGCTGGTGAAGAGGTGAGGAGGAATTCCAAAACTTGGTTTGCAATAGAAACTGGGGAACTTTCCTGTGCATCGATTCCACCTAGGCTTTGAGTGTCCAGTACTAGCACAGAACCTGGCACATAGCAGGTATTCAATAAAGAGCTAATGAAGAATGCAGCTTTAGGATCCCTTCAAAGGCAACTACACAAACTATAAAGAGGCCTCCTCCTGCCCACGTAGGCTTTGCTACAGACCCTGTCTTAGCTTTAGCACTTTGAGGATAGTATGTATTGGTGTCAACACCTGGCAAAGATTTCACAGTTTGAGAGGAGCAGACATGTTCATACACATCTGGGGAACACTCTGTGCACTCCCAGAAATACCTGGAGGAGGGGGCCAGGTTAAGATGGTACTTTGTAAGTGGCTGAGATACCTCACAAGCAGGAGTACATTAAAAATGAGTTATTTGGGAAATGATGGAAAATGCTGTAAAATTAGATTGTGGTGATGGTTGCACAACTCTATAAATATGCTAAAATTAATAGAATTGCTCACTTTTAAAGGGTGAATTTTATTCTATTTAAATTATAAATCAGTATATCTAAGAAATATCTGCCTGTCATGTTTATTGCAGCACTATTCACAATAGCTAAGATATGGAATCAACCTAGGTATCCAGCAACAGATGAATGGATAAAGCAAGCATGGTGCATATACACAATGGAATACTATTCAGCCATAAAAATGAATAAAATCCTGTCATTCACAGCAACATGGATGAGCTTGTAGGACATTATATTAAGTGAAATAAGTCAGACACAGATAGACAACTACATATGTGGGAGCTAAAGTTGATCTTATAGAAGTAGACAGTAGAATAATGGTTACCAGAGGTAGGGAAAGGGAGGAGAGCCGGAGGAATAAGGAGAGGTTGGTTCAGGAATATACACTTACAGCTAGACAGGAGGAATAAGTTCTAGTGTTTTATAGCACTGTAGGATGACTATAGTTAACAATAATTTATTGTACATTTTCAGATCAAGAGAGGATTTTGAATACTCCCGACAGAAAAAATGACAAATGTTTGTGGTGATGGAAATGCTAATTATCCTGACTTAATCATTACACATTGCATGCATGTATTGAAACATCACACTATACCCCCATAAATATATACAATTATTGTGTCAATTAAAAAATAAGCAAATTTTTAAAAATATAACTTAAAATTGAATCATTATTCTTAAGAAGACCTTAGTAAGTATCAGAACTAGGACCCAGGGGGAGACTGTGGCTTCTGAGAAGAACCACCTGTGCTTTTGTCCTGCAATATGTTGTGACTTTCTATGGAATAAACTCAAAATAGTTGTTAATACAGTTAATACAACTGGCATGCCACATAGGTTACAGATTTGCTGGGGCAGTACTGATCTTTACAGCCCTTGGGGCCACTGCCTGGAACCTGGAGGGCAGAAAATCCTCTTTCAATTGCTTCTGGCCAAGAACATCTTTTTTTCATTTGCCCTAGTGCGTCAAACAAATATTATACATTTTCTTGGGTCCCATAATGTGAAAAGGGCTAGAAAGCACTGCCTTAGGGAAATGCCATATCTATTGACCTTTTCTACATTTCTTAACCAGAGACTGAGCCTTGCAGGGGTGAGAATGGCACTAGAATTCTCGCTATTGGCAGATTTGGGGCTGTAGTAAATCAAAGGAAGCGAGGCTGGGTAGCTAGGAGAGGGTGCCCTGGGTAAATGTGAGGGCAGCCAGAACCAACTGTGGGAATCAACTTGGATGCTTCCTTTAATCCCACAGAGAAATATGTTTACTCACCTGGAAAGCATAAACTGTTGCTAACTGGAGCAGAAAAGTAATTTCCATTTAAATATGGCAGAGGAAGACCAGAACAACAAGAAGAGGAACCTTCATATTAAAGAAATAGGGTCACCTGTGTCTCCATTTTCAAATATAGAAACCACAGTCCAGGAGTAACTCCAAGTGCTCTGGAAGCCACCTGGGAGGTGTAGTGAAAATTTAGAGTATTTTAGGCTCTCCTTTAGGCCGATTTTAAAAGCCCTTTGCCAGGCGTCTCTAAGCTTATCTTACTTCTATGACCTACCTGTCTTTGGGGAATGATACGGTTTGGTTGTATCCCCACTCAAATCTCATCTTGAATTGTAGCTCCCATAATTCCCATGTGTTGTGGGAGGGACCTGGTGGAAGATAATTGAATCATGTGGGCAGTTGCCTCCATGCTGTTCTTTGTGGTAGACAATAAGTTTCATGAGGTCTGATGGCTTTATAAGAGGTTTCCCCTTTCGCTTGGCTCACATTCGCTCTTTACCTGCCACCATGTAAGACGTGTCTTTTGACTTCTGCCATGATTGTGAGGGCCTCCTCAGCCACGTGGAACTGTGAGTCCAAAAAGAGATTAAATATCTTTTTCTTCACAAATTACCCAGTTTCGGATATGTCTTTATCAGCAGCATGAAAGCGGACTAATACAGGGAATGTTAGACTCCTGAGATTGTTATAGATGGAGAATGTGTCTCAGAATTTATTACAATTTGCCACCAATAATCCTTTCTGGTGCCTTAGTTTGGGTTCTCTAGAAGCTGACCCTGAGACAATGAATTGAGTGTGAGTAATTTATTTGGGTGGTGCAGAAAACGCAGAAAGGGGTGCAAAGAAGTGACTCAGGGGAGAGAAGGAAGGAAGCTTATAAAGGGTGTGTTATCAAGCAAGTCACCACTTTGGGCAATAGAAACTAATCCCACTGGGCACACCTGGGAGACAGTGTAGAGCACATATTTCAGAACTATGCCCACTGAGGGGCAAGGAGGCTTCCCACTAGTTCCCTATTAGTTGAGGGCTACTTCCTGGGGATGTTAATTCCTCAGAATCCCAGGCCTATTGTGCAGATGGTCAAAGTAGGGTCTGGGGGGCAGAGAAAGCGCCCAGGGGATGTGGGTGCTGGCAGTTGCTAGTTGAGCCTGCATGTACTGATGCAGTAAGAGAGGGTGTATGGGTGGATATCACCAGCCTCCGTTACACCTGGCTAAAGCCTTCTTGTGTTGCAGGCACCTGCTGCCTCCTTTTTGAAAAGACAGAAATTAATTTCCACCAACCATTTGCTCTCAAAGCAGGGACTCTGGTACCAATGATGTTTGGCCCAGCACAGTGTGGAACTTGCAGCCACCAAGGGTGCTGACTATGCTGTTGGCTGTTCTGAGAGCATTATTTGTGATCCACCCAGAGAAAGCCTGAGAAGGGAGGATCGTTACACTGGCCTGTTGAGGACTGAGCTATCCATATCCACAAGCTGTCTGAGGTCACCTGTGTCTCTGACAACAGAAGCCAGAGCCTCTGGCCATAGCCATCAGATTGGATTTCTAGACAGCTCTGTCTCTAATCTGGAGGAGACTCAGTGGCCAAAGAAAGTGGGTCACTCTGGGCTCTTGGCTGATGTTTCTCAACTGCCATAGTGTCCTTGTGAGGTAACAGTGGGAATTTTGGTTCTTCCCATCATCCCATCCCCAACACACACACACACTTTAGCAAGGCAGCACAGCACAATGGTTAAGAATTTGTGTATACGCTCTGGGGTTAAACTGCCAGCCTCAAATGCCAGGTTTCCTACCTAGGTAAGTCACTTAACCTCTCTGTGCCTTGGTTTCACTCTCATAATAGCACCACAGAGGACTGGTACAAGGATGAAGTGATGGAAAACATCTAGAACATTCTAAGAGCATCTAGCAAGTGCCTGATAAATGGTAACATTTTTAAAATTCTGCTTATAAAAAAATAAAAACACTGGAAGTGGGGAGATGCACCCAAGGCCACAAAGCAAATTGGATTTATAGCAGAAAAGAACTGAGCTTGGCAGGCCCTACCCAACCTCTAACCCAGCAATTCTCCTCCACATATTGGGAGTCAATTGACATTCCAATTCTCTTTGCTAATCCTAATTCTTGTAACAGCTCCAGCTACAGAGACTGGGATTTCAGCATTGATTTCCCTGAAGCTAGGATCCTGACCATATGTGGGCCCTAGTCCCAAGCGTAACTCCCCCAGCCTCAATCCCATTTCCCCTAATTCCCATGCCTAGGCTTCTCTTGTGGTCCCTGTTCCCTTTCCTTGGTTCGTTCAGGGCAATGTTTGGCTCCAGGTAGGTGCTTGGACAGGGCAAGTTGCAGGCAGTAGTCTGCCTAGTGAGTAAATATAAGAGTCAATACGATTATTCCTACCAGGAGCTAAAGTCCTGTCAGGGTCAGGGGACCGATCTCATATCCTGGTACCATATCCTGTTTGCCTGGAATTCCATGCCTAATTCACCACGAGCTTCTGGGCTCCATGCTCAATCTCTACCTTTTCATGCCAATTTTTGGACTTGGATGAAGACCAGAAGTGACTATAATTTCTGATGCCAGATTCTACTTCCAGGAGAAATCTCTTCTGGCAGCACCTGCAGCTGAGCCAACACCCCCAGAATTTATCCTAGTCCAATGAATGGGTGCACAGCCTGCTTCTAACCTCTCTTCATCTCTCCATTCTGTTAGGTGATGGGGCTACTGGTCCAGGAAGTGACCCTGGCCAGACTGGCTGCACCATACTCCTTTATTCTCCACCTATGACAAACAAATGCCTCTGACTTTGGAGTCCAAACCTAGATTCAGAAATTCCATTTCCATCCAATCAGACATTGGCTGATTCTGAAACCAGTCAATTTGCAGACTAAGTTCAAACTAAAGTAATTCTTGAGGTCCTGTAAAAATGCCTGCTTCAATTCACCATTAATTTTTTCATTGCCAATTCTAGGTGCCCGAAGAACAAAAATTAATAAGTCACATCAGTTATCTCCTGATAAAGAAGGCAAATGTGTAAGCAAATAGCTATTATATGAGGTTATAAATGCTAAAATAAAAGTATTATTTGAATGCTATGGAAATTATAAAAAGAAAGAATTAATCCTATGGGGAAAGATCAAATAAAGCTTCGAAACAGAAATGATGTGTGAGCTAAGTTTGAAGGATGAATGGAACACTTCAGGTCGAGAAAGCGGAAAGGACATTTTAATTTTCCCTCCTTTTTAACCTGAGATCAAGAGAGCTCTTTCGGCTATGTCTCTTAGTTTGCAAGCACTATCTTCATTGGCCCATCAAAGTTCCCCATTTTCCTTTCTTTCTCTTTCCCTTTAAATCTTCAATTTCCCAGGTCCATTTCCTTTCCCCATAGGCTCCCTCTTGAAGGTGCATAAGTGATATCTTTAAATATTCTTTTGTATTTGTATAATACATACTGTTTTATGCATATGTGTTTTTCATTTACATAAGTGGTATTATGCTGTAAATACCATTCTCTTTCTTATATTGTTCACTCAATACTCTTTTCAAAGATCTACACATGTTGGTGTACATTTAGTTTTTTCTTCTAACTGCAGCATAGTGCTCTAGGGTGTGCATGAACATCAGTTTGCTCATCGGTTCCCCTAATAATGGACACCTAGTTTGCTTCTAACTCTCTCGCCTCACAAGAACATCCATATCACTTTACATACCTCTGCATGAACTTTTCTCGGCCAAAATCCCAGAGGTGGCACCGCTGGGTCATAAAGCATCTGCATATTAATTCTTCGAGATATTGCCAAATTGCTCTCAAAACGCATGCCTTTAGCAAAGAGTTATTGGGCACCAACCACATACATACCAGGCACTATTCTAGCCACAGGAGATTTAGCCGTGAACAAAGTCCTGCTCTCAATGAACTTAGTCAAGTGTAAGAGATAGCAATTAACTCATAAATGTATAATGAAATAACACACCGTGAAAGGTGCCATGAAGAAAATAGAGCAGGGTAGGGGACAGAGAGTAACAAAGAGTGCTATTTTAGGTAAGAAAGTCAGGGAAAGCCTCTCTGAGAGAGGGCCCAATGAAATGAAAGAGTGAGCCATGTATTGGATCTGGGGGAGAACATTCCAGGCAAAGGAAACAGCAAGGCTTGGAGATGGGAGCGGATTGGTTGAGTGTGAGCCACAGCAAGAGGGCAGCGTTTGGGGTATTTAAGCAATGGATTTATTGTCTAATTGATGGTAATGCTAGTAAAATGCTTAGCGCAGTGCCAGGTGCCACTTAAGTGCTCAATTGTGACAAACTATTACTATTATTGGAGCACTGTGATTAGATTGGAGGTTTGGAAAGGTCTTTTTCATTGTAGAAGAAAGAAGGGTGGGAGAATTAGAGGCCAATGAGAGGGGCTGGGGCATGGACTGCGGAAGTGGAGCTTCAGCTTAGCATTGTTTAAACAGCCCTAGAAATATTGTTTTGTTTGTTTTTTCACAAGTGTTCTTTTTAACAATGCTTGAGAACTGGTTTTGGAGCCAGAAATTGAGCTGATAGTCCTCATTCATCTTCATTGCCTTAGTTAGTGAACCCAGAGTATGGTCCTTACAGAAGAGGGAGTTACTTCAAGGATTAAGGAGATACTCGGAAGAGAAGCTGGACCAAAGTGTATCCTTTGCTCATTGGGAGTTTAGAGTGAACAGTATCTTGGCAGGATGTTGCAGCTAAATGCCCAAATGATCAGCTAATTACTTGGGTCTGAACACAGCTGAACAAATCCACCTTCCCAAGACACTGCCAGAGGTTTGAGCAACTTCATTCTGGCTGGATTTCAGCACCACACACCAAGGACTAGATGACTGGGCCAGGAGGGACATTTTTCACTTTCCCACTTCCTTCTGTTAAAAAAAAAAATACTACAGTACAATCAATTTTCCTACTGACAGATTTGATAGCAGTTATAGAAAATATAAAGAGATATTCAGCCTCACTAGAAATCAGTACTATGCAATTATAAACAGAAATGAGAGGCCATTTTTCATCTACTAGGTTGGCAAACATTATGGGGGTTGATAATATCCAGTGTTGGGGAGAGTGGGAGGGAAATGGGCACTGTCGTATACCTTGGTGGGAGTTTTAATTACAAAAGACATTTTAGAGGGCAATTTGGCAGCTTCTAACAACATTTAAAATGATCAGAGCCTTGATTTAGCAAGCCCCCTTCCAAGCCAGTTTCTAGAAGCTCTATCCTGTTGCATGTGTACCCAAAGATAGACATACAGCTGACCTTGAACACCACAGGTTTGAACTGTGCAGGTCCACTTGTACGTGGATTTTCTTCTACCTTTGTCACCTCTGAGACAGCAAGACCATCTCCTCCTCTTCCGCCTCCTCCATAGCCTGCTCAATGTGAAGATGATGAGGATGATTCCCTTTATCATGACCAACTTCCACTGATGAATAGTAAATATATTTTTGCTTCCTTATGATTTTCTTAATATTTTTTCTTTAGCTTACTTTATTGTAAGAATACAGTATATAGAACATATAACATACAAAATAAGTTTTAAACGAAGGCTATCAGTAAGGTTTATGGTCAGCAGTAGGCTACTAGTAAAGTTTTTGAGGAGTCAAAAGTTATACACAGATTTTTTTACTATTTGGGGGGTCAGTGCCCCTAGCCCCCACATTGTTCAAGGGTCAACTGTATATATACACATATAGTGAAAAGTGCAATTGACCTAAATGCTCATCTAAAGGGGAGAGGTTAAATAGATAGTTGCATGTCTGTATAATGGAGTCCTTGGTATGTATTGACAGGGAAATATATAATAATACATATATAACATGGACGTAACAATTTGGATAAAATGTGCAATAGGACCCTATTAATATATACAAATGAAACCTATATATGTTTATTTATGTGTGTAAACACTTTTCTAGAAGGTCTGAAAGAACACACTTCAACTGTTAACTCCAAATACTCTCTGGGGAGGGGAGTAGGAAAGGGCGGGAAGGGTTTGAAAGGTTTTTCTCTCTAAGCAGCCTTGCATTATATGTGCATTTAATGGCAATTTTATAAGACAGAAACTAAGGGACTATGGCATTTGTAATATGTTTCATGTACTTCATATGCTTCATCTTCCTCCTCCTCACCACCATTATCCTGATCATCTGTTCAATGCCTTTTCTCTTTCTTGGCACATGACAAACTCTGAATCCTAAGCAAGCTCTTACTGTGGCTGATAGCTCTGTCAGCTGTTAATTATTCATGCTAATGGAAGGGGCCGGAAGCACAGATAATGCAAAATCAAGAAGAGTAAATCTTTCAGAGTCTTGTCTACTCCCCTCTTGGGTCCTCTGGGAAC
Source organism: Homo sapiens (assembly GCF_000001405.40). Classification (NCBI taxonomy): domain Eukaryota; kingdom Metazoa; phylum Chordata; class Mammalia; order Primates; family Hominidae; genus Homo; species Homo sapiens. The sequence continues at coordinate 39,127,602 of NC_000023.11, forward strand.
ACCTTACATACTGTAGGTATTTACTCAGCAATAAATATTGATTGATATGGAATGATATTTGTCTCTGCAATTTCAAGCCACCCACATTCTCAGACTTGCAGATTCATACCCCTGGTCAGTGCCTTCCTCAGATCTTTACTGGCCTGGCCCTGCAGGTAGGGGTCTGACCACTGCAGGGGTTCCCATGAGGACTGTCAAGCCTCAGGAATTATTCGACAATGGTATATTCCTTTCATGGAAAACACAGAGATTAAGGGAATCCTTGTAGTTATTTGTTTGTTTTTACATAAAGTGAACTGGTGAGTTTCTTTGTCTCGTGGATTTTCAGCCAGCTTATGTTCAGAAATCAGAAACAAATCCAAACAAGAATTTCACATCCATTGGAATGGCTAGAATAAGAAAGGACTGACAACTGTGAATATTGATGAGGATATGGAGCAATCAGAACTCACGCACTGCTGGTGGGAGTTTAAAATGGTACAACCACTTTGGAAAACTGGCAGTTTCTTAAAATCATACATCTAATCCTATGACCTAGCAATTTCATTTCCAAATGTTTACCTAGGAGAAATGAAAATACAGGTTCACAATAAGACTTGTACATGAATGTTCATAGCAGCCTTATTTGTGATAGCCACAAACAAGAAACAACCTAAATGTCCAACAACAGGCAAATGGATTAACAAATTATGGTATATTTGTACAATGAATATATATTCAACACTAAAAAGAATAAACTAATGATACATTCAATATCATGGATGAATCTCAAAAACATTTGTTGAGCAAAAGAAGCCAGACACACAAAAATATGTACTGTATAATTCCATTTTTATGAAGTTCTAGAACCAGCAAAACTACTCCATGGTGATTGAAGTCAGAAGTAGTTGCTTATGGGGCTGTGGGGCATTGATTTAAAAGGTGCACGTAACATCTTTCTAGTGTCATGGAAGTATTCTAGATCTTCATAAAACTCATCAAACTGAACATATAATAACTGTATTAGCTTGCTACGGCTGCCATAACAAAATACCACAGACTGGGTGGTTTAAACAACAGAAATTTATTTTCTTACAGTTCTGGAGGCAAGTCCAAGATCAAGGTGTTTACAGGGTTGGTTTCTCCTGAAGCTTCTCCCCTTGGCTTGTAGACATCTGTCTTCTTGCTGTGTCCTCACATGGTCTTCCCTCTATGTACTGTCTTTGGCCAAATCTCCTCTTGTTTTAAGGACATTGGCAATACTGAATTAGCGTCTGCCCTAACAACCTCATTTTAACTTCATGACCCCTGTGAAGACCTTATCTCCAAGTACAGTCACATTCTAAGGTGCAGGAGGATAAGGTTTCAACATATGAATTTTTTGGGGGGATACACTTCAACACATAACAATACCTGTGCATTTTCCTATATGTAAATTGTTTCTCAGTAAAAAAAAAAAACAGAAAAGTAAAATCCCCCATATTTCTGGAGGTAGAGGGAGACTGGACATTGGTGAACAGTGAAGATGTCTGTCATCTAGTGTTAAAGGCACCGCAACAGAGTTACAATACCATGACAGCCATCATTTATTGAGTGGGGTTCTTTACATATATTAACTTACTTAATCTTGGCAACCATCCTATGAGGTATAGATACCATTATTATACCTATTTTAGATGAGGAAACCAAGTCACAGAGAGGCTAAGTAGTTTACTTAAGGTTACACAGCTAGAAAGTGGCAAAGCCAGGAGGTGACTCCAAGCAGGCTGTGCCCAGAGCTTGCACAACTACCACCTAACTCTGCCCCACTGGCTTGAGAAGAGATCACCGATAGATGGATATCTGGGAAGGCAGATGTGTCCAAAAATCATGGGACCCTCCTAAAGGAGAATAGAAGAACTCCAGGTTACAGACTACATGGGGGTTCTGAGGAGAAATTAGCTGATCATTGTGTTGCCTAGCATAGTGCTTGGCACATAATGGGTTTTGAATATTAATTTTGAGTATACTTCACAGGCTTCTCTGCCTGGTACATGCAGGTCCCCTTCTTAGGGAATCTGGCCTCCCCACCTATAACCCAGAAGTCCCTAAATGTGTGTGTGTTTGTGCTTGTGTGTATTAACTTTTCATCAAACTACAACACACATAGAGAAAAGTACATAGATTCCCCCCTTGCTCCCCTTTCCAGACATCCCTGCCAGCAAGGGTAACTGCCTCCTAACTTTTAACAGCGTGGATTGGTTTTGTCATCTCTATGAGTTTCCCAGAACTGCTGCAACAAAGTACCACAAACTGGGTGGCATAAAACAATAGAAATTTATTGTCTTACAGTTCTGAAGGCTAGATTTACAAAATCAAGGTGTCAGCAGAGCCATGCTCCCCCTGAAACCTGCGGGGGACAATTCTTCCTTGTCTCTGCCTAGCTTCTGATAGTTGCTAGCAATTCCTTTAACGTGTCTTTTTGGGGAACACAATTCAACCCATAACACCATACAAATGAAACAAATGAAATCATACAATAAGAACTCTTGTGGCTGGTTCTTTCTTTTTTTTAAATTTTTTTTTATTTTTTATTTTATTTATTTATTTTATTTTATTATTATTATACTTTAAGTTTTAGGGTACATGTGCACAATGTGCAGGTTAGTTACATATGTGTACATGTGCCATGCTGGTGTGCTGCACCCATTAACTCGTCATTTAGCATTAGGTATATCTCCTAATGCTATCCCTCCCCACTCCCCCCACCCCACAACAGTCCCCAGAGTGTGATGTTCCCCTTCCTGTGTCCATATGTTCTCATTGTTCAATTCCCACCTATGAGTGAGAACATGCAGTGTTTAGTTTTTTGTCCTTGAGATAGTTTACTGAAAATGATGATTTCCAATTTCATCCATGTCCCTACAAAGGACATGAGCTCATCATTTTTTATGGCTGCATAGTATTCCATGGTGTATATGTGCCACATTTTCTTAATCCAGTCTATCATTGTTGGACATTTGGGTTGGTTCCAAGTCTTTGCTATTGTGAATAGTGCCACAATAAACATACGTGTGCATGTGTCTTTATAGCAGCATGATTTATAGTCCTTTGGGTATATACGCAGCAATGCGATGGCTGGGTCAAATGGTATTTCTAGTTCTAGATCCCTGAGGAATCGCCACACTGACTTCCACAATGGTTGAACTAGTTTACAGTCCCACCAACAGTGTAAAAGTGTTCCTATTTCTCCACATCCTCTCCAGCACCTGTTGTTTCCTGACTTTTTAATGATTGCCATTCTAACTGGTGTGAGATGGTATCTCATTGTGGTTTTGATTTGCATTTCTCTGATGGCCAGTGATGGTGAGCATTTTTTCATGTGTTTTTTGGCTGCATAAATGTCTTCTTTTGAGAAGTGTCTGTTCATATCCTTCACCCACTTTTTGATGGGGTTGTTTGTTTTTTTCTTGTAAATTTGTTGGAGTTCATTGTAGATTCTGGATATTAGCCCTTTGTCAGATGAGTAGGTTGTGAAAATTTTCTCCCATTTTGTAGGTTGCCTGTTCACACTGATGGTAGTTTCTTTTGCTGTGCAGAAGCTCTTTAGTTTAATTAGATCCCATTTGTCAATTTTTGCTTTTGTTGTGGCTGGCTTCTTTCACTTAATGCAGTGCTTGTGAGATTTCTTCATGTTGCAATATGTAGTTGCACCTTGTTCAATTTCATTACTGTATAGTATTCCATTTGGTGAATATACCATCATTTAATTATCCATTATATTGTTGACGGCATTTGTGGTTTCCTAGTTGATGCTTATATGAATAGTACTTTGATAGATATTAAAGTATATGTATTTTAATGAACTTAGAACTTATGTATGTATTTCTGTTGGTATATATTTTGGAATAGAATTGCTGAATCGTAAGTTAGGCATATGTCAGTTCTAGTAGATGCAGGCGAATAGTATTTGAAAGGGAATCTACTAGTTTACCCTTCCACCAGCAATGTACAACAGTTCTAGTTTCTTCCCCTCCAATAGTTGATATTGTCTTTTACACTTTAGCTGTTCTGGTGGGTGGGTGTTGCCATCGTATAGTGTTGTGCTTTTCATTCACATCCTTTTGGTTTTCATTCACATCCTTTTGGTTTTCATTCCAGCTTCCCGTCTCTCTTTGCTCATCTTATACACTTCATGGTCTCTTCATTACCCATTACCACAATTAACATTTCCAAATTTCTTCTTTATAGTTGGATGCCTTGATCTAGAGGGAAACCGGTGCTTTTCCCCATTTATCATCCTCTTACAGAAGAATTTCACTTGCAGCAACTTTGAACTGCCTCTGAACTCACTCATGCTGCAGAAGAATCCATGCCTGTTTGTTGATATTTTGTTTTTCATGCCTGAAGAGCACAACTGGAACAAACAAGAAGTTGGAGAGTAAGATGCTTGCCATAACAAATCTGTCTGGCCTACAGTGCATGCAAATATACTTGTAAGAAAATTACCACCCCCAACTTCGCTCAATGGGTGTCTTTGTTATTGTACAATTGTTAAATGCATTTCACAATGAAGTTATGTTAGAGTGTCAGGCCTCAAATGGAGATAAAGCAATTCCTAAACATAGTAGGTGGGTGTGAGTAGACAGCTATTTCTTGTTCGAATCACTACCACCAGCATTATCACTGAGAAGAAGAATCAACAGGTCTCTTAGAGTGGAAACTGGGACCAGCCCCTCTCCTTCCTCCTGCCTGCACTCTCTGCCCAGGAGGTAGCAAGTTTGAATCTATTCTAATGGCATCCTTGAAAGGATATAAGCTTGTTTGGGGGAGCAAGGTCAGTCACCATAACTCCAACCCCTGTCCTGTCACTTGCTGGCTATGTGAAAATGGGGCAGGGAGCTAGGCAGATGGGCACCCTTGAGAAAGTAGGTGGCTCAGCAAGAGTGGAATGGGTGAGGGCCTGAGCCCAGAAGCCCACTCGGCATAACACATAAGGCTGTGCTTTTGGTGCATTCTGGGCTTGGTCCCTTTTTGCCCCTGAAGGGTTCTGCAAAGTCTCTTTGAAGAGGCCAGTCTGTCTGGGGTACTGTTTGGACTTGGGTTAGAGATTTAAACAGGCTCCACCCCTCTGCACCCATCAGTGTGTTACATGGTTAAAGAGCACTGGTCTTTCAGCCTACCTCTTCCTCCATCTTCAAGTTTCTCCTCTCAGAACTGATAGTGAATGAAAAACAATCACCTACAAGCCCTCAGTTTCCAATTTGTGTTGCTTCCAAATCTGGCCTTGAACAAGTCCAACTCTTGATATTTGACACTTCTCAAATGTCTCAGTGGATTTGGTATGATACAGATTATAAATATATCATCAGCTGGCCCTATAAGGACTTTTTATTGAACATTTATCAAGAATCTTACATCTGTAAAAGGAATCCCAAAACCATCCACACCCATCATCACCACAGGGCTGACAAATGAGGTCTGCCAAGCTCTAAGGTAAGTGGAATAAAGACTTTCCTCAACAGGCCCAAAAACCAATGCTGGACCATGACTGTAACATAGAGTTATACTATTTCTGTCATTTACCTTAGCTTTAACTTTCCCGTATGCAAACAGCTGGACTCTGTGACTTATTTAGGTGGAATTTCCCCTAAGCATTGTGTTCTTATATTTATCTTTTAAAGGGGAGAATCATTTCCTCCCATGGAAGAATTTGATGTGAAGTCAGGTAGTAGCGGCCCCTTCAGGGAGGAGAACATCAAAAGAACAGTTTGTGATCTTTGCCTGAGGTGGGGGCCAGGAGGGGATTGTGGAGGGGGTACACTGAGGAAGGGAGGAAACCCTAGAACAAATCTCACTGGTCTTAGAGAACACTTAGGCTAATGCGTGGCTTCTCCCAAATCTATGCAAATTTGATGGCTACCCAGGGGCCTTCCTTGTGGTGAGAGAATGACTGAGGACTGTTGTAATATTGGGGCCAATATGATAAGGCAGAGAACTAATAAATGAATTAACTTTCAACATACAGACTGAGTACTGCCCACCTAAGCTTCAACACAGGCCCACCACTTAATATCAGGAAGAAAGGATAGCTCCTTCATAGTTGATTCTTCTCAAGTTGTCAAGATACCAATATTAAAGTTGCCAGAAATCAGTACCAATTTTCTCACTGACATGTTTCTGTAATTTATTCAATGATTAGTAGGTAAACTAAGTTGCAAGAATATACATCTTCCCAGACATAAGTAAATGGAGCTACATTTAAATAAATGCTATCGAGAAGCATTTCTTCTTTTTTAAAACCTGAATTGGCAAGAGTTTGTTCATTACTGCTCTACGCATCCACCATGGAGAACAGCAACATCTCTCGGCCTCCAGTATGATTCCACCGCAATCCAGAACAATCACTTCTGTGTTCTGAGTTTGTCATCGTTCTAAGAGCTTGTTGCTGATGGCATTGTTGATCCCAATTCTTCAACTCTTTCTATTGCCATGCCTTTTGCCATGTGACTTTGTAATGAAATGGGAGAGTTCCCTGATTTCCCCTTGCAGAACATGCAACAGAGGTGTGGCTTGTCTGTTCAGTTGCCCTGCAGCTCAAACCCCTAGGGGGAGCACGCAGACAGGCAGGTGCAGAGACCAGGGTGAGTGCTTTGGGCTCTGGGCCCTGTGGTTGGTGTCTAGGGGAGAGTGCCTGCAACCTCTGTGTTACAAAGTTCTTTCAGCTTTGCCATCTGCAGATGGCTTGAGTGTTAATCAGCTCAATAGACCCTCTGACTTATCTCAAGGCAGAGGGCCAGTGTGACAGCCTTCTGTGTCCCAAGCTCTTGCACAGTGTCCCAGAAGAATCGGATCACATGCAGGTTTGAAAGATGAGTGCAAGGTTTTGTTGAGTGATAGAAGTGGTTCTCAGCGGGATGGATGGGGAGAGTTGGAAGGGGGAATGGAGTGGGAAGATAATCTTCCACTGGAATCAGGCCACCCAGTGGCTGGACTCTTCTCTAACCACCCCCAACTGAACTCCCCTCGGCAACCAGACATCCCTCCTCCTCTTCCTCTGCCACATCATTCCACTCATTGCTGGTCTGCTGCTGTGCTGGTCTGCTCTGCAGCTTGGGGTTCAGGGTTTATATAGGGGCAGAATAGGGGGCATAGTGGGCCAAAAGGCAACTTTTTGGGTGTGTAAACAGAAATGCCATTTAGGGCCTCAGGTATCCAGGCTTTAAGGGTGGGGCCTTTGCCAGGGAACTGGCATCTTCTACTCATTATTTCCCTTTCTCCTGTCTGTATCAGTAGTGCCTCCCTTCTCCATTGATATTGAAATTGGCCAAAGACAAAAGCTTGAAATGGGCTTGTGCTATTGTGCTTGTCCTCTCTTGCTTGTGCCATTGCCAGGAAAAAGCTTCCCTCAACACACACCTGGTAACTCCTGCCCATTTATCCTGGCCCCAGAATAAAAACACATGGAGCAGGCCTGAGTGGCCCTCTGTAGCTTGGAGCTAAGTGAGGTTGGACCTGCAGCTTAAAGGTGAGCCACCCAGGATTGCTGTACCTAGGTCAGCTGATCCACAAACACCTGCAAACCTAGAAATGTGAGATTCAATGGTTATTTTGTTTGCATTGAGTATGAGGACATGTCATAATAGCTGACTGCTTTATAACCCTAATTTTGTAGGTGCTACTATATTATTCCCATTTTAAAGATGTGGAAACTGATTCATAGAGAGGTTAATTAATTTGCCCAGATTCATAGAGCTAGGAAATGTCAGACTGGTAATTTAAACACAGGTGCATGAGATTTTAAGGCTTGCAGTATAAGCAACTATGTTTTTCCTGTTGAGGGCAAACCTGTAAGATATAGGGTAAGGAGAGACCGGCTACTTTCTTCATTTCCTTTTCAACTTAAATGTCAGCCATCTGACTTCTTGTTTTTGAATCACTGGACAATTTGAGATTTTGAACTTCCCATCTCTATCTTCCCCAGCAGATGCATCTTGTTCTTAAGAAAACTACAGCTTAACATGCTGTTGACTTTTTGAAGTTTGGGAAAATTCTCTGGTGATATATTTGCTTACCGAATATTAGCCATTTACTTACCAAGAGATGCAGGACCTGAGAAGTTTATATCCCCTGGCAATTGAAGGTCAGTCAGTGAAGACAAAGAACCATTGAAGCCTTAATCCAAATCAGTGGAAAGCTAAAATTTGATTTATAATATTTCCATTTCTCTTGAATTTTCCAGGAATGTTGGTAAATGTGAAACAACTTGGCTTCAGTTTTACTGGTTAAAATGTAGGTTTTGGAGATAAATGACTGGGTTCAGGAACTAAGTGACATTGGGCAAGTTACTTAATCTTTCTGTGCCTCAGTTTTTCACCTATAAAATAAAGATAACAATACTATCTCCTCTAGGGTCATATGGGGATACAAAAAAGTATATAAAGTATTTAGTAAGATGATTTTGGCTACAAGTGACAGGGATCCTGAGTCAAAATGGCTTAAACAATTAGGAAATATGTTATCTCACATAGTCCAGTGACAAAAGAGAGCTCTAGATGTGACCCAATCAGGCCTCCAGCCCATATCTGTCAGCCATTCTCTTGGCTTAGCCTTCTTCAGGCTGGACCTCATGGAAACAAGATGGCTGCTGGCAGCAACAGGAGCAGTGGGATTGCTTATTCATAGCCAGTGGAAGAGAGAGAGAAGCCACTCCCAAATATGAAAACAAATTTTTCCCCTCAATCTCTTTGGGCCAACCTTGAATCAATTACTATTGCCAGAGGAATACTCACATGGTGACTGGTTTCAGTTTGGGTATGTGAACTAGTCAGGGGAAAAGAGGAATGGATTATGGTGCTTGATTCACATGAGTCAGGATTCATTGTTCTTGCTGGGGGTAGGGGTTGCCTTCCCCTAAGTCACATGATCTAGGTGGAGAAAGTGTAATTACTCAAGCAACATCAAGATCTCATTAGAAAGCAGTAATAGATTTGAAGAAGGCACTCAACAGTGGTGACCAGAGCTGGCCGAAAGTAAGTGCTCAATAATTGTCAGCTTATTTTGGAATTCTATTTTTGCGTCCATAGGAATTTTTGTAGCAGCCAGTTGTGGTTTTATGATAAGACAACTAATACTTGGCCTTTAGCATTCCCTAAAAGACAAATTTGGGAACTCGGAGATGACAAATTGTTTGCATTGGAAGCTTCTCTTTCCTCTTCTTTTTTGGAAATTAACCTGGAAAACAAGCTCCAAGGACCTGTGAAGACTAGGAAGGTCTCAGTTCAGTTCCTTATGTCATTGCCACCTTGAAAAGACAAAGTTGATAGTGCACAGCAATTTTTCCTCTCCTTATGCCAAGCAATATTTTCTATGAAAAATATTATACTTCAACAATTTTTGTGCAAAATGCTGGCACTCTGTGGTGGACATCTCTTTGCCTTTTTATTTGCTTTATTTATTATTTCTACCTTTCCTTCTTCTCTACCTAACAGAACCTCTATTTTTATGGCAAACCTATTCTATATTATTTGGATGAGGCTGACCTTATCTACACACGTGCATGCACTTGACCAATCAAAGCACATCATCCTTTCTTTGGAGAGAGTGATTAGTTCCAAGATGCACACGTGACCTAAACTTGATCAATTAATACTCTCTTCCTGAAAATTTGAACCTTGAGCTAAATGAAAAATACACTTTATGCACTCCTGTTATTTGTACTCAGAGCTGACATAGTTTCCATTGGTCCCAAGTTTTCATTGTGTTGATTATTCAGTTCTGTGAGCTCCCCAGTATTTCTGTAATACTGTTATGGACTGAACTGTGTCCTCTCCCTACCCTCTCCACAATTTTATATGTTGGTACCCTAACCCCCAGTGTAACTATATTTGGAGATAAGGCTTTTAGGAGATAATTAAGGTTAAATGAGATCACAAGGTAGGGTTCTAATATGATAGAACAGATGGTCTTATAGGAAGAGGAAGAGAGAAAGAGTGAGCGTGAGAGCCCTCTCTCTTTAAGTGCATGAACCAAGGAAAGGCCATGTGAAAACTCAGAGAGAAGGCAGCGATCTACAAGCCAGAAAGAGAGCTCTCACCAGAATCTGACCATGCTGGCACGCTGTTCTGGATGTCCAGCCTCTAGAACCATGAGAAAAGTAATTTCTGTTATTTAAGCCACCCAGTCTACAGTATTCTGTTATGGCAGTTCATGCCAAGACAAATATTATTTTCCCTCTTAAGACAGCCATTGCCAATGTTTATTGTGTGCCAACAAAATAAGTCCTCATTTTAAGGTAGCAAAGCAGCTAGTTAAATTGTCATCCCCTGGATCTTCAGATACAGGCAATATGCCTACTTACACTGGAACTATTTTGCATAGTAGGAAAATATTAGAAGTGTGGAATGTTGGAACTACTTCTTGTAGCTTTTCCTCAAGGTCCTACGAGAAAGCCTGTTCCATCTGGAAGCAAATAGGGAGTAGCTTATACCTCTACTAAGAGAGACTCTTCCTAATGAGACTATAACTACCCAATGGCTTCTCCTTGCCCACTGCCTAGACAGAGCTGATTTGTCAAGACAGGAGGATTGCAATAGAAAAGAGTTTAATTCACGCAGAGCTGGCTATAAACGAGACCAGAGTTTCATTATTACTCAAATCAGTCTCCCAGAAGACTCAAGGATCAGAGTTTTTAAGGATAATTTGGTGGGTAGCAGGCCAGTAAATCAGGAGTGCTGATTGATTGGCTCGGGGATGAAATCATAGGGAGTCAAAGCTGTCCTCTTATGCTGAGTCATTTCCTGGGTGGGGGCCACAGGACTGGTTGGCAGGTCCAGGTGCGGCCATCTGGTTGTCAGAAATGCAGAAACCTGAAAAGACATCTCAAAAGGCCAACCTTAGATTCTACAATAGTGATGTTATCTTCAAGAGTAATTGGAGAAGTTGCAAATCTTATGACCTCTAGAATAATGGCTGGTAATTATTTATTAATAGAATCCAAGCCCCTTTCATCCTTACTTGGTGGCCTTCCATTAGTTTTACAAGAGCAGTTTCCTTTTTGGGAAGGGCTATGATCTAAACTATAAATTTCTCCCAAAGTTAGCTTGGCCCACACCCAGGAATGAGCAAAGACAGCCAACCTGTGAGGCAAGAGACAAGATGGAGTCAACCATGTCAGATTTATCTCACTGTTATAATTTCCTCAGTAATAATTTTTCCAAAGGTGGTTTCATGGCTAGCAACCTCAAATATATGAGAAACATGACTCAGAGTCTTGATGGGACTGAAAAAGTCCTACTTTATGCCCCAACCTAAAGTTAGAGTTCACCAAGGCAGGGAGGAGGGAAAGGTAGTGAGGGATAAAATCAGTCCCAAGAAAGATCTGTGGAAAATCAGAATCCCTTGGCTGCTTCCAAATATCTCCAGATGAGTACTCTTTGCCTGACAAAGGAAATAATTATCCTCATTGTAGTAAACCATTTGCTCAAATTGAACAGGAGCTTTGAATTTGGAAGCAAGGGACAAATTACTTGGGCTTCACAACTAGCCTGTTGTTTTTTATTGCCCAAATGCAGGGGCCAAAATAGAACTGTTAAACTAAGAATAAAGGGTTACCTGCTACACACTGAGACCAATTATGAATAAAAGGAAGTTATAAGGCCAGGGTCTAGGTTCAAGCATTATAACTCAACAAGACCTCCATGTTTGATTAGAGCCACTCCTAGGTGCAGGATCCCTGTGTAAGTATTTTTTTGAAGGGGCAAGGGTTATCTATATGAACAATTTAATTTTTAAAATGTGCTACCAAACTGGTGGGCTTATGTGAGGTATACTGATTTATCGATGAAAATTCAGAATGATGGGATTAGAAGAGGTACTTACATATTTGTTTACTATTCAATCAGTGCTTGTGAAGATTCTTCATAGTATCCTGGCACCGTCTTTTCCTGTTCAGGTCCAGGAACTATCTCTTTGTGTTCTTTATTGCCAAATGTGTCATTCCTGTATAATTTCTTATCACTCACTGCAAGAAAAAGGTAGCAATGCTGTTATTACTCACAATGCCATGGCTCTTTGGAACCTGTTTATATTGTAACTCTATAGATCTTCTTGCCTCTTCAGTTCCCTCATACCACATATTCCATTTATTCAGAGCTGGATACTTTATCCATGTTGCCACGTCATCCGTAGTGCCACCCATGAACACTGGCTTCCAATGACTCTCTCAAAGGTCATCAACTGTGCTTTGTTGATGATGATAACAAATGTAAGTCTTAGTGAGTATGCAAGAAAATGCAAATAAGTTGCTTTGTGGTCTTGCCAAAATTACTGTTTAAGCTGGGTGCAGTGGCTCATGCCTGTAATCCCAGCACTTTGGGAGGCCAAGGCAGGCAGATCACTTGAGGTCAGAAGTTCGAGACCAGCCTGGTCAACATGGTGAAACCCCATCTTTACTAAAAATGTAAAATATTAGCTGGGCATGGTGGTATGCACCTGGGATCCTAGCTACTTGGGAGGCTGAGGCATGAGAATCACTTGAACCTGGGAGGTGGAGGTTGCGGTGAGCCGAGATTGCACCACTGCACTCCAGCCTAGGCGACAGAGCAAGACTCTGGCACACACACAAACAGACACACACACACACACACACACAATATTGTTTAGAATGTTATAGTTTATAGAACAACTCATATTCCACTCATGTCTCTCCTTGATCTCTTTAGGCTGTCATCATTGTATTTCTAGAATGTAATCTCTTTCAATGATGACCTCCACTCTTGCCTTGCACACATCACCACCAATAGGGAGGCAGATAGGTGAGGAACCCATGGACAGATAGAGTAGAGCAGTATCATTTGGGTAAGGAATGTCCATCTTTGTCCTGCATAGCTTGAGACCAGTCCAAAAGAGCACGATGTTACATTGATTGGAGGCAAGAAAGGACATCAATTAGGAGGGTCTATTCACATTATGGAGCAATAGTCTAGGAAGCCCTTGGAGGAGATAGGCATGCTCACCCCTGGGGGACCAGTGATGTGAAGCCCAAGGAGGAGGTGGGGTGACCATTCTGTGTGCCAGCTGTGGGAGGCACACAGCACAAATGTAGCATTGTAGTTCAGGACAAGGATAGATGATAACCGACATGTGGCTGGCACTCATGGCACATGGCTTGCACTCAAGCCCTTTGGCAATGAACCGTTGTTAACCCAGAGTCCTGAAATCACCCAGTGTCCTATGTAAATGAGAGTTAGTCACAGTCAGTGTGTCAGCACCATTCTGGCAGCCCAGTCTCTGTGATCCTGCAAAAGAAATACTGTGCTGGCCCACAGAAAGCATCAGCTCACCAGACTGCCCTCTGGAACCAGTCCCAGGGCAATCCTATAGACAAGAGCCTCAGATTTTCTCAGAGGATCCGATCAACCCCTCTCAGGGGATTGAGGGAAGATGTCAATCATTGGAGAGTGACCCAACGAGGTAAAATAGGGACCAGGGCTCTTATAGGTCCTCATCTGGACTCAGGAAGCTCCATCTAGGTAGAAAGCACTGCCAGCCCTGGTCCCAAACACTGAAAGGAGACATAGAAAATATTGAGGTAGGTGCTTCCAATGACCAGGACCCATATGGGACCAGGCTGGGGAGAGGGGAGGCCATGCCCAGATGGTCCTGTGGGCTAGTTCAAGCCTCAAAGGGGTATTTAGAAGAATTTTTAGGAAGGAATTCCAAAATACAGAGCCCTTTTGGGCACAAAGATTGGAACAAGGGTCCTGCTTGCCTGGGTCTAAGGCCCACACTGGCTTTGATTACTAACCAGTTCTCTTGTTGAGAAATCTAATGACTAGGCTCTAAGTGAGATTTTTACTACATTGCTAAAGTATCTCCCAAAGTTTGGGAATCAGGTGTCTATGACAGTTCAGTTCCTAGGCCATCCACAGGCCCAATGCTGTGTGGACAGGCACTGGGCTGCTAAATGGATGCACCATCTAGAACAGAATTGTTTCTTGCACATTCCTTAGGGAAGTACATGCAAGACCAATGGTCAAAAGAAATTCTCCCAAAGGGTACATCTCTGAATAAGTTGTGCTCTCACTCCACAGAGCATGGAGTCTTGCTGACTGCCTCTGAAAGGTATACAGCACAGACTTTGATCCAAAATCCCTTGTATTTTATTTTCCTTTCTCCTCTTCCCAAAACAAAGAAGCTTTATATTGTAGTTTCCTTATTTTCCTTCACCACTCTATATGGGGAATATTTTAGGTGGTTAAATGTACCATCTGGATTTGGAGTTTTCTTCATTTTCACTAATATCTAACTAAAATTGAGCATTTCTTTCAAATATCATTGCAGGCAAGAGGCTGAGGTGGTATTAGCAGTACTGGTCACCAGTGAATTGCAGATATTTTTATATCATGTGAGACTTGTGGTAGATATCTCATAATGCCATTCATGGTCATCACTTTTGAAATTGTAGTATTACTGGATTTACTACTAGATCTTGCTATTTAATGCATCAATCAAGAAGTACATACATCTCTATATCATGAATTTGTTTTATAATGTTTTGCGAAATATATTTCAAGCATATTTTATTTTCTTCGATTAAATACATGATTCTGAAAAGGGATCCATAGGCATCACTAGACTACCAAGTAGTTTATGGTACAGAAAGTTTAAGAAACCCTGATGTAGATGGAGGTAACTGGGCTATAAAGACCTACATTCATATCTGCCCCCAGAAACAGTAATCTAAGACTTGGATTTGAACTTAGTATCTGGAAAAGACTTTGGCTTCTCTCCCTCTAGGAGGGGAGTAAATACACATTTATTGTATGTGGGACTGATGTATTAAATGGGGTGGGGACATTTTTAAAGTAATGTATATGAATTCTGGGTAGCCAAAAGATAGAATGTAGTGGGTATCTCTGTTAGTCCTACTTTCTGAGACTCTTTCCCTCTTTCCTCTGAAAATGTAATTCCTTTTTCCTTTGGGGAACTAAGGTTTAGTTGGGTCTAATGACATTCCATCTCCTCCCCTCTGACCCCTGTGTAAAGGGTGAAGAGGTGAGCTAGGCTTGCCCAGTCAGATTAATTTATCCCCCTGGCCAGAATCATCAGTTCAGAGCACAGCACATGTCCCCAAACAGACCTCTCAGAACAGACCTTCCCTGAGATATTCTTGCTGAAATAATCTGAGATTTTCTTGGAGATGATGAGTTATACAAAGAGACTGGAGGTGCTTTAAGCAATTTCCCAGCTCAGGGATGAAGCTGTTTTCAGTAGGAGAGAATGAGGGCAAGGAAAAGAAAGCAAGGACAAGCTAAGAAAGGGGCCAAAGAAACATAACCACATTAAATTCAGTTCCTTGAATAAATAAGTCCCGCTCAGTTTGCGTTTTTGCTAGTTTAAAATGAGTCTCTGTCACTTGCAAGCAGAAGATTCCAGACTCATACATTCAGGGAAAAAGAGAGAGAGAGAATTTGTGTGCATGCGTGTGGGTGTCCTATTCCAGCAGGGATTGAGAATGATTAAGAATTGGATTTCTATATATTTGGTAGTGACATGTTTATTGTTTTTATTTTTGTTTTTTTTTTTATAGTTGAAGAAATGAACACACAGCAATCATATAATCCTCCCAATGTTATACAGATAGAAAGTGACAGACCCAGGATTTGATCTATTTTATTCTCAAGCCCATATTGTATGTGAACTCAAACGAGATAATGGGATAAGAAAAACAGCCTTGAGCACTTGGGTTCCCCAGACTTATCTGGTGTTTGGTCTGGTGGGTTGGAAGGATGGGTGGACAAAGCATAGCAAGAAATCCCCTTTCTCGGGGATTCCTCCAGCAACAAAGGCTCTTCTTCCTTTCGGACTTTCTCCCTGTAGCCTAGTGCTGGAGGCCTGATCTTACAGCATCATGCAATGTGATGTCTAAGGGCTTTGGAAGTCTAGGCTCTGTCACCTTTTTGGTCATGCTTTCAAAACTTGAAATCCCATTCTCTAGTTACTCGCTGTATCATTTCAGCCTTAAGTCAATGAATGCTGCTGATTGAAATGGATGATTCCTTTTGAAATATGGGGATTCCTTTCATTTTTCCTTTCTTCCTTTCTCCCTTTTTTCTCTCTCCTTTCCTTCCCCTCCTTCCTTCCCTCCTTCCCTTGCACCTACCCTCCCTCCATCTGCTCGTCCTTCCTTCCTTCCTCCCTCCCTCCTTCCCTCCCTCCCTCCCTTCCTTCCTTCCTCCTTTTCAAACTGTGTACTTATTTACTTTTTCATTATGTTTTATCAGATATCTCTCTGTGTTTGCAGTGGGAGCATGGTCCTTGTTAGCTCAGTCCACCAAGTTATTGAAACATCACATATCTCTCCCACTCCAGCCTTCCACCCCTATTCTTGTTGATTCAGTCATACTGCCTTCATCCTCACTTTAAGGAAACCTGAATCATGAGGGTTATAGGTGCAATATCAGTGATGAGTTTGGAGAAGAGGGATTCTGTGGCCTGGGACTGCCTTAGGATAGATTCTGATCCAGAGATGGCGAGTCTGGTCCTGCCTCTCTCCTGAGAGGCACTGCACACATCAGCTGAATCCTTTCTGTTATGAGAAACTCTAATTAATGCATGTGCTGATTTGTTCTTCCCTGCTGAGGATGTTGGATTAATGATTACTGGGTGCCACATATGTTATCTCTTATGTATCTTTAATAAAAATAACAATGGCTACAAGTTACAGTAGCTTTACTGTGTTCAGCAGCCCTGTGCTGTCTTCCATATTCATTCTTTCATTTATCCCTCCCCCACCCTACGAAGTCACTATTGAGCATTATTTGCTTCACTGTACAGAGGAAGGAACTGATGCTCAAAGAATTTCAGTAAATTTCTCAAGGTCACGCTGCTAGAAAGAGGTAAGGTGGGTTGCACACCAAGGCTTGTTTGATTTCATAGCACTTAACCACTTGCCATCGTGCTGTTAGGTTTTAATGTTAAGGGGAAGTGAGAAATTTAATAATAGAACTTGGGCAAGGTAGCAATAAAAATGAGGTAGTGCTGTTGCATCACTCTTACAACTACCCTTCTTGCAATCCCCTTGCCTTTACATTTCAGAGGTGCTTGGAATGCTGATGGAGTTGAATCAGCAAGAGGGCCTGACTGAGAAGGCAGAGGATTTCTGACTCCACAGTTGGCCTTGCCAAGTTGGAGGTGCCCTTCCTGCCTCAACATCCACCAACTAACTACCAGAGAGCTTTGGGGTGTGATGTAGAGGGGAAGAAGGGGAAAGGTGTGGTGTGGAGAGGGGATGGAGTGGGATGAGGTGGAAACCCTGGCTGGTCTTGAGGGCTAGAAACCAACGAGCTCTGTGACCTTGGGGATGTTCCTTAACCTCTCTGGGCTTACTCCTGCTTTGTACCACAGCGAGTTTAAGCTATGTTTGCTGCTAGTTCAGGCAGTCCATGATGACATGATTTTTAGGAGGAGAAAACAGAGACAGATGTGCTGGAAGACACAGGCTCAGAAAGTTTCCGAGCCAGCCAGTCCCACATGAATGCCTACCACTCCAACGTTGTGTCAGTTCCCCTTTGGCTTTCTGACACTGCCTCGTGTCACCATATGGTTCCTGTTAACTGTTAGTGATCAACAGTCAGCTGCATCTAGAGCTTAGCTCCAACATGGGGGGGAGGAGTTTTGGTTCAGGAGTCAGACTGCCTGGGCTCATGTTCTCACGTCGTTGCTTACTTTCTGTGCGTTAGTTTCCTCATCTGTGAAAAAGGGAGAAATAATGGTGCTTTTCTCATGGGGTTCTCTGAGGACTGAAGGATATATTCATGTAAAATGATCTACCTGCTTCATTTGGTGCCAGGTACATGGGCCTACTCCTTCAATGTTAGTAATTACTAGCAGCAATTCAATCAGCAAACATTTGCAAGTCGTCTTCTAAAGCAAACCCCACAGGTAAGTGCTGTAAGGGACACAGAGAGGCATAGCCATGCCCCTTGATCCAGAGCTACATGTTGTGATCACCAGATACAAATGCTGAGGCAGAGTTCTGGGTATGAGATGTCTGTGGGGGATCAACACCTGTGAAAAGAAGGGGGAGAAATAAAAACTCTGCAAAGAAGGACCTGGAACTGTGTGTGATGCAGACCCAACGAAGCCTCCGCCAGTCAGGCAAACTCTGGAACAAAGACTGTCCTCAGAGGGTACAACACCAGACCAAAATGGCCAGGTTTCTACAGCCCTGCCTTGCTCACTAAACCAGACATGGGCCACCCCAGAAAGGACATGACAAGGCCAGTCTCAGCGTTTAGGCAGACTCTGAAGGGGCTGACAACTGGAAGCTGTCTGCAGAGCTGGACATCAAGTCCTTCCTTGAAGGGGGATCTAGGCAACACAATTGAATGCCCACCACACTCAAGGAGTTTATAAATAGTCAAAGGAATAGGCAGAGGACTAAAACAGATCACAGACTGTCCCTGGAAAAGTTTCCAGAGCTTGGCTGAGCTGAGAGGTTATTTGCCCAGGGCTGCCAAAGACAAACTTGTGACAGGGAGAACACAGGTTCTTGTAGAGAATGGGTGGGAAAGCATTAGATCTGTGCCCATGCTACACCAGAGATGGCAGATTGAAGGTCTACCTAGAGAAGTTAAGCCCAGGGTTAGAAACCTGGGAGATGGGGGCCTGGAAGAAGAAAAAGCCAGGACACACATTTTATACATGATTTTATGAATTTGGGTTAATTGAGTGGCAGGCATGAAACTTCCAAAACATGAGCACGTGTCCTGCCCAAGGTGAAGGCCGTGGGTGGGTGCCTGCTGCATGGCACAGTGGAGAACCTGAAGTCCTAAGGGCTGGACAGAAGCCTGATTAAAGACCCAACTAAACAGGTGTTAGGGGGGAGGAACCAAAAACACTATATGGCTCTTGTAAAATGCGAGTAAGTAAAAGTGAATCTAGATTCTCAAACCAGAGGAAAATTAATAAAAATGGCTCCATACCCTCTCTGATTCCCAATGTGTCTCATTCAGTGTGTCTCACTCGTGTCTCCTCAATGTGTTTGTCTAGCACAGTTCTTCATCTATTGTCTTTGCACCACGGTCTTGACCACCATGATGATCTCAACATATTAAAAAGGCTTACTTTGAGGGAATGTGCTGAGTGTAGGTGGTGGCTTCCCATTTTGGCCCTCAAAAATTTGGAGATGCAGCCTGGAGGCATGTTGGGGAGAGCCTGGAATGCCCAGACAAAAAGGATACACTTACTTCAGCCAGAATTTTCAAGTCACTGAAAACTTTGTAATCGGGGGAGGGATGGAGAAATTCGACCTGGGCAGGATCCATTTGCCAGCAGTGTCCAAGGTATTCTGGAACAGTGGGAGGTAGAAGGTAGACACCTAATACTGAGGGCTGGCTGTATTAGTCTGGGAGGAGAAGGAAAGGGTCCTAAGCTAGGAGGGTGGCAGTAGGGAAGAATGCTTGGGTAGTAGAGACAATGCAAGATACCCATGTTTCTGAATTTGGTGTCAAAGAAAATGGTGGGTCTTTCTAAAGGCAACAGAGGGGTCTGGAGGAAGAGCTGGCTTATGGGGAGGTGGGGTAAAGGTAATTAGAGAGAGAGAGAGAATAGGAGCAGAGCATTTCTTTTGCTTATGAGATGCTAATGGGAGGAAAACTTAGGATTTTGTATGCAAACTCTAGGCTGGGTTGCCAGAAGCAGACCCTAGGATGAGGATTTGCAAGCAAGTGAATGGTGAAGAAGCCCTCCCAGGGGAGACCTGCAAAGAAGGAGGGGAAGTAGGGAAAGAGAAAGGAAGAAGCTGGGCAAGGGCACACTCAGGTGAGTTGCAGCCTTAGCCCAATCTGCAGGGGAGTTCTGGAGGGTAAATTGTGCCTCAGAATTGCCCCACTATGGGTAAAAGAGCTAGGTTTCATGCATCTGCCTCCAGCAGTCAATGACGGAGAGTCACCCAGGTACTTCCAGTTCCCTGCAAATGCGTGCAAAGTGGCTCCCTACTTTTAGTCTGGGGGCTGTCCTCCCGAAGCAGAGCATAGGTGCTAGGTGTTTGAAGTAAGAGCACAGTGAAGGGGGCAGAGTACGCAAAGGATCAACAGGGATCCAAGGGGGTCTGAGTGGAGCACTAACACTATCTGCTATTACAATCAACGCTGTCTTGAGAAAGAAGAGTGGCTTGCCAGTGAATGTTCTGGCCTGGCTGGTCCTTGCTCTCCTCCAACCATCTGCTACTTCAGTGAATAGGGTTTGGGAGCCTGGGTCGATGTGTTTGCAGACTTCATGTTAGATTCACCTTTTGCCATGAAGAAGGGGAAGCCAGAAAGTGTTTCTCCATGTGGAGCACCCAGTGGGCTAGATTGTGCCCTGGCAGTTGGCACATCCCTGAGGCTCTGATTTGGGGGGCGGGGAGCCTGTAGAGGGCTCTGAGTTTCAGCCCATTATTATTTTCAGTGCTGTGGTTTCTGAGACAGCCATTAGTGCATTGGCCCTCTGGCAGCCCTCTCTAAGGTGGCCACTTGTCAGCAGTCAGGAGTACAGCCCTTGCCCACTTGCTGATACTCTCAGCCTATTAGACCTCCTGGAAGATGCAGGAAGTGGAGGACACAGGTGTGCTGCAGTCACATGTGAATTGCTTTGACTTAGAGTACACTGGGCCTGAACCTGAAAGTGGGAAGGGGTGGAGAGGATGCCTTTTCCTTCCTTGTAAATACATCAATAAATAAATAAGAATGAAAGCAATGGGAATGCAAAGAGAGACTAAAGAGCTGCCTCAGACCTACTGGGTCACCATCCCACCCATTTGGGCCTGTGCCTATGCCCTGAGTGTCGGGTAAAGTTTCAGGCCAGGACTTCAGACAAGCCAGCGAATGAAAGGTTAACTCCTGCATAAAGACGATATTCAGGATCCCACTCCAGCCTCTGGCTGGCTTCTATTCTAATGGGTCCATGCCTATGGCATACCAGTTGTTAAACATATTTTGCATCTCAGGCCTGTGTATATCCACTCCTTACCCCCATCACCCCTCTTCTATCACCTCAGCTGATCCCTACACACTTAACTCTCAGGAAGGGAAAGAAGTAGGCCTGATTTTGCCCTCAGCTTCCAAGAAGCAGACAAGAAAACAGTAGATATCCAAGAGTTGGCTGTCTTGTCCCCAAAGCCTAGATACCATCCCTTTGTTTCTCTTCCTGTCAGAGAGCAGTGAACTGTGTGCTTTTAAGCTGCCCATCTAGGGACTACCTTGCTTTCACTGGGGCTAGTCTGGAGCAAGATTGTCAAGGTGGCACCTTCTTCCAGTGTGGACCACCCCACTATCTCTCAGCCAGCCCCCCTATGCCTTCCCACTTTCAGGTTTTTCTGAGGTTTGGCATCCTTCCAATCACACAGGAATTCAGCTGATAAATGAATTCATACTCAAAAGTTATTGACTTAATTTGTCACCTCCGTCCAGGAGCTATTTGCACTGAAAAGAGATCCACCAGGGAGAGGGCAATGTTTAACTTCAAAGAATGCCTTCCTAATGGTGGGGTTTCAGGCAGTGTGGCCTTCGGGCAGCTCCTTCAGATCACCATGGAGGTGACCTTTCTCTCAGCAAATTCATGCTGCAGGAACTTCCCATTTTCAGTGTGCACCAAAATGACCTGAGGTGCTTGTGAAAGACTGCAGATTCCTGGACCCTAGAGATTTAAATCCCAGGATGGGAACCTGTACTTTAATCCACTCATCACTTTCTGATGAAAGTGATCCACAGACCATATTTTGAAAAAACTACTCTGCTATCGTATTAGTTAGCTTGGGCTAACATAACGAAATACCACAGTCTGGGTGGTTGAAACAGAGAAATGCATTTTCCCACAGTTCTGGAAGCTAAAAGTCCAAAATCAAGGTGTCAGCAGGTTTGATTCCACCTGAGGCCTCTCTCCTTGGCTTGCAGATGGCCACCTTCTCCCTGTGTCCCCACATGGTCTTTCCTCTGTGCATGCACACCCCTGGTGTCTCTCTGTGTGTCCAAATCCTCTCCTCTTATAAGGACACCTCTTGCCAACCTTGGATTAAGCCAACCATAACGGCCTCATATGAATTTAATTACCTCTTTAAAAAAGACCCTATCTGCAAATACAGTCACATTCTGAGGTACAAGTACTGGGGGTTAGGGTTTCAGCATATGAAGCTTAGGGGTACACAATATACAATTCTGCCCATAACAGGAATGTAGAAATAAAAATAAATGAGGCATTTATGAAGGGGCAGTAGGAACTGCCAAGTTCTCGCCTCTTTTCAGTAACTGCAAGAGAGAAACTATACCCAAGTTGAAAGAGATTGTGCAAAAAGCACTGGGGATCAGTCAGCTAGGGAGAGGTACAGCGCCCCCTGTTGGCACGCTGGCCTCTGTTTAGGAAACCACCTTGGCTCACCCTCTAAATTGCCTTTCCTGTTGTTATTCTTCCCTAGGTTTAGAAACACTTTCTTCTTTCAGCTTCATGAGAGAGAACAGTCTTTGGCACTGGCACCAGAGTGGCCGCCCGAGGCAGCCCTTGCCTCCGCCTTCGAGGATGTTTCTTTCCCCAGAAAAAAGCGAAGACCCTTCAACCTCCCCATTCATCATCACTACGGGCAATCTAATTACAGCCTTGTCTTAATGAGGAACTCATTTACAATTGAGACTTCTTCCTTATGAAAATGTAACATCTTGAACTATGTTTTTATGGCCCCTTTTTACAAAAATAAGAAAGGAAATTAATTAATTTCCTTGTACACAGGAAAGACTCATGAGGTCTTGCCGGTTGTGCGCAGAAAGGATGTGCGCTCTCTTTCTCTCTCACTCTCTCTTTCTCTCTCTCTCTCTCTCTCTCTCTCTGGGCCTCCTGCTGTGTGACAGTGAAATGCTAAAATGATTTTGGCAGGAGAATATTCTCAAAGGCTGTTTTTATTTCAGCAGCAGAAGAGTATCTCAGAACGCAGGCTGCACCTCTGCCCTGTGGGGCTGTTTCTAATTGCATGAGGTGAGCTGCAGAAGTCCTTCCCCCAGCCGGATGGGGAGAAAGTGGTAAGAAACCTAAGGAAGATAATCGTGTCTGCCACACTCAGCGCTCGCCACTTAAAGGAATTAACTTGTTGGAATGAAATATTTCTATGGATGCAGAAAACTATGCATTAGAATAATGAGACTAACCCCTTCTTACGCATTGCAATCACTGGGGTTTGTTTCTTCCCTCTCTAATCATAACATGCTATCTTCCTCCTTGCTCACACCTCTGTAGGCAAGACTGGCTGCGAATACTTTAGATTATCACCTTCTCATTTTCAGTGTGAAATAATTGCCCAAGGATGGAAACTGACAAACAAGAATGTGGATTTCAGAAAGCAGCCCTTTTGTTATTTAGGATAGCCAAACTAAAATGGAGACAGGTAGATTGTGTGCCATCAACTTCCCCCATCCTCACACTTCCCCCTTTAGAAAAAGCTTTGTGCTTTTGCAGACCTGGATTGATTTGAAACTTGAAAGGCAGTTGAGATACTGATGTGTTTAATTAAAAACCTATGCTATACAGCAGCATAAAGGTATGAGGCTCTGGGGATAAGCCTCATGGCTTTCCCTCTTGGTGCCACCATGTACTGGCTGTGTGACCTTTGGCAAATTATTGAACCTCTCTGTGCTTCAGTATTTTCCTCTATAAAACAGGACAATGATAATTATGCTTTATAGGATGGTGAGGTTTAAATGAGTCAATACATGCCAAGTGCTTAGAAAAATGATTAACATATAGTACACATTCCCTAAATACCAGTTATTCTTATTTATGCTCTTGGAAAGGAGAGAGAGGCTGCCTTCCTTCTCTCTTTCAGGAATATTAAGCATTGTGCTCCTGCCCTCAGGGAGCTTTAGTTTAGTGCCTGTGCCAGTTGTGTAAACAACTCATTATAAGACGCATTTAAATAAATTCTGAGTAAGGATAATAGCAACATGGTATGGGTGTCCTAAGAGGAGACACGCTTAATTGTGGATTGTGGACCACAACATGAAGGAGGTGGCATTTGAGCTGGACCTTGGTGGAATAAACAGCCTCTGTAAGCAGAGAACAAAAGAAAGGTGTTCCAGGCTGTGGGAGAAGCAAGGACACAGGCGAAGGGAGGAGAGAGTGCCTGACGTCTTTAGAGAAAGGCAAGGATGCCTGTGACATGGATGGTAGTTGGAGGCCTCCTCTGTCCTGCAACAACCTAGCATCTTGATTTTTATTTTCAGGTAAAAGAACTGCAAATGATATTGGAGTAATTAAGTGTTCTCCATAATTTTTTTCCCTGAAACATTTGAAAAAATTTTTAGTGATGAGCAAAGTCCTATAGTTACCAACTACAATTTGGCAGAAACCCCCCACCACCCACTCCCACACACACACATTTCTGTCCATACAGGTCACTTATTACACCCAGAGAAATCTTTGTAGTCACCACAAAAGTGCAGCTACCTCTGGGGTATGATGCAGCTGCTATTTAACTGTCACGTAACATGACAATCTAGTGTCCTATTAGAGCTAAAATTTAATTGTGAAGACGGGTACCATATTTAACTGCAATCCTGGGGGGAATTTAGGTTGACAGGCTGTAATTACCCAAACTGGAACCTGGCCAGGACACACCTACTCTTTGCCAAAAGAGCTATGGGGGTTTTAACCGCCATAGGCCTTGGGAAGCCAGCAGTTCTGTAGGGTGGTGAAGCAGCACTTGCAGCCCCACAGCGCCCCCTAACAAAGCTCCGGGCAAGTGCAGGCTGTCCGGGGAGCAGGCCTTTTCTGACCCTCCAAACGTGCAGTTTCCCCCCAAATCCCCTCTCTGCCCCCACCTGGCTCCAATCCATCAGGGGTTATCAGAAACTTTCCATTTAAGGTTGTGTGACTGTGGTCCTGCAGTCAGGTTCTTGCTGGGTCTTATCTGTGTCTGTCTGTCCTGGGTGTCTCTCCCCAAGTCCTGCTGTTTTTCTCTTATCATGACAGAAATGCTTGTCCTGATAAAATAATTACCCACCAGAGCACAGTGGTTATCATCACCAGCTGCCATTTCTACGTAGAGATCAATTAGAGGCATCTTTTTGCTGGGGAAGTGGTCAGGCCAACTTACTAAAAATCCCATTCGGATTCTTTCTGCAAAATGCATTGTGTTTTGGTCTTCCAATGCAGTTGTTACTAGAAAAAATAAAAATTGAGTCAAGAAGAGGTGGAAATATGGCTTGCCAATGTCACTGAAGCGTTAAAAAGGAGAAAGTTCTGGGCTGCAAGCAGCAGTGTAAATAAATGTGGTGTTAATTTAAGGTTATGGATTTTTAAAAAGACTTGTTTTTTTGTCTTTAGAAGTCTTTGCATTCATATCAGTTAAAAAATGATTTAGACAGAAAATAAATGTTGGAGCAAACTCAAATTATTATGTGCATTTTAAATAAACCTGTGTTTTCTGCTGCAGACATAGCATATGAATAATAACATTAATAATGATCACGATAATTTGTCAGCTGATGATCTTTTCCCTCAGACCTTCCAGGCTGTTGGTTCCTGGCCCTGCTATTTAACTTAGCCAACCTGTTCTTCATGAGGGGAGCTGATGATAATAGCCCTCACTTCCTCTGCAGGGTGAAAAGGTGGAAAAGCCCAAGGTTATATTCCCAGATTGTTCTAATTAACTGTGTGACCTTGGGCAGGTTGCTTCACTTCTCTGGCCAGCTATCAAAGAATGGAATGCTTTCTAAAGGGAATCGGCAGAAATGTAACGTGTAAAATCAAAGCAATATGGTAATGTCACCTGGGAAGATTTTTCCCCCTTTTTAGGATACAAGTGGTAAAAAAAAGAAGCAGACTCAAAAAGCAATTATTGGTCAAGGCACAGGAGGAAGTCAGATTAAGACTAATTTTTAGAAACAGGTGGGATGGTTTTCTGCTCAGTTTCTAAGGAAATACACACATTCATACACACATAGGTATACTTTGGTCAGTGGGAAATCTGCTTAAAATGCTCACTTTTTTTTCTTCCCTGAAAAAAGATTTTCAGTGTTCTACAAAGGCAACAAACACGACATCAAAATATTATTATCTATTTAATTCTCCTAATAGCATAATACGTCTAGATACTACCAACGTAACAATAATATACTAGGTTGAGAGATCAAAGAGTTTAATATCAGAAATTTCACATGATTCAAACTAATGATGTATATATAGTATATACGTAAGGTGTATATATATATATCTTTTGATATATAATAATACAGTCCAGAAAACTATAATTCTTCTATGCTTTTATTTCTCTAACAAATCTTAGGAAAAAATTGGTAAACTCTTCATATTCCCATTCTAATAGTTAGCATGAGATAACGTAACACTTATTAACAGAAGACACTTTGGAATCTCAGGTTACATTTCTAAACATGGGTCAGGCCCTGATTTGTCCCTGTAAAAATATAACCAGAAGTTGGCATGTGGGAAGGTCACTTAGAGGCACTGGTGGGGTTGTTGGCTCCCACCAAAGGGGAAGGGTACCCTGAGCACTTGGTGAGGGTGATCCCAGTGGAGATTAGCTCAGTGAGGCCTCTCTGCACAGCTTCACTCAGAGATTTGAGATTGTAATATATGTCCCTGGGGGGAGATCATTTTTCATTAAGAATTCATTAGAGTTAATTGGCAATTATTTTTTATTAGCAATTAAAAAATAAAAATAAAAGTATTATACCCAGTAATGATTTCAGGGGCAGCTAATGTGATAGACAGAATGTTCCAGGATATTTTCAAAAGAAAAAGTCAGGGCTGCTAGGGGTAGGGAAGCTCTCATGAATAAAGTGGGTAGATACCAAAATGAGTACTAAAATAATGATTTCAGATAGGAGCAATCAAATTTACCACTGATTGAATTTTTTACTTCCTTATTTTTATTTCTGTATTTATTTGTTGCTTCTTCCACCCCTGTAAAACAGCCAGAATAACTAGATGAAGTCTTCTCCAAAACATATTTTTCAGTGGTGATGACTATCAATTTTCATTGTAGAAACATCAGTAAATTATGAAAAAATACAAAATAAGAAAATAAAAATCGCCTATAATCTCATCATTCAAAAGGTATCATCGCAGAGTACTTTTACACAGGTTTTCACACAGGCGTGCATATGCATGCACACACATACACACACACACACTTTTAAAATGCTCAAAAATCAAATCATTCTTTATTCCCTATTTCCAACTTTATTTTTTCAATTAGTGGCAACAACATGTCATGGACACTTTTCCATATCAATAAAGCTATACATCTTTTTAAAGTGACTACATACTATTCCACTGTATGCCTCACCAATCAGCTACCCCTGAATATTTAGATTGCTTCCACTTTTGCCTCTGTAAACCTCACTGAGATGACCAATCTTGTCATACACATCTTTGTGTACTTGTTTGATTATTCCTAAAGGTAGAATCTGTGAGTCAGAGGACAAGGCTTTTGTTATGCATTGTCAAAGCATTCTTCAGAAAGGCTGTACCTATTTACAATCCCATTAATGACAAATGGAATTGCCCATTTCCTCTGACTTTGCCTGGATATGATCAATATGTTTCATCTTTGCCAATCTGATAAACAAAAGGGAGTCTATGGTGCTGTTTTATTTGGCATCTCTTTGATTACCAGTGAGACTGAACCTCTTCAGTCCTCATATATAGTTGATTTATGTTTCTTCTTTTGTGTATTGCCTACTCATGCCTTTTGCCTTTATTGATTGTAAGAGCACTTTACATATTAAGGATACTCTTCTTTCAGCTGCCATCTATGTAAAAAATCTTTTTCCCAGATTTTCACTTGTCTTTTAATTGTTTCTGGCTATTTTTCAATATCAAAGTTTTACTTTTTTTTTTTTTTTGAGATGGAGTTTCGCTATTTTGCCCAGGCTGGAGTGCAATGGCATGATCTCGGCTCACTGCAACCTCTGCCTCCCAGGCTTAAGCGATTCTCATGCCTCAGCCTCTTGAGTAGCTGGGACTACAGGTGCGTGCCACCACGCCTGGCTAATTTTTTGTATTTTTAGTAGAGACAGGGTTTCACCATGTTGGGCAGGCTGGTCTTGAACTCCGGACCTCAGGTGATCCACCCACCTCAGCCTCCCAAAGTGCTGGGATTACAGGCGTGAGCCACCACGCCCAGCCCAAAGTTTTACATTGTTATGTATTAAAACAACCTTTTCCTTAGGGTTTCAGTCTTCAGGGTTACTGTAGAAACTGTATCATATTCATCTGCATTTTATTTTTCCCACCATATTGAGGTGAGGTATAATACAATTACGTCTCTTTTTTTTTCTCTCTAAGAAAAACATTTCTCATTACTTTCCAGAGGTTCTGAAGTGAAAGTATAAGGGACCTGAGAAACCAAAGCAGAGGAAACACGACTATTAATAACAACACTTGGCATTTCTATTTTCAGTGTGCTATAGGATCACTAATTAATGCCCCTCCTTAGCTTAGCCCCAGGGGTCACCCTGACTGACATTCATTCACCCTACCTGACACTGAGACCTGGGAATGGGGAGGCTGTGGCATTCCATCTGATGGGCACTACTCTCTCTGGCCAGGACTTAAAGCCAAGCTCCTGATTCCCCATCTGTGCTTAAATCAAGGTGAGACAATTCCTTCATGTGGACTGGCAGATTTCCAGGATGCAATGAGACCATCATTGGAATGAGCTCTCTGGGTGAAAGATCACTGCTGTTCCTTCTCCCCACCCCAGAAAAGGAAATTCATATACCAAACAGGATGGTTTGTAACCTGGTGCCACTTCTGAATTCTCTGTTAATTTTTGACAATTGGATGATTACTACAAGAGTTAAGGAGGGCAAAGTAAAAAGGAGGGAATGAGTGGAAGGAAAATGCCTTCAAACTTGGTGAATGGGGTGCTCCAGAAGGTGATCTAAAGGCCACCTCACATGAAACTCATTCATACCACAAAGACTGATTGGGGTTACCTTGTGTGCCAGGCACTGGGCTAGGAGCTGGGGAAACAATGATGCCTTGCAGTCACAATAAAGTCTGATAGAGACTGTTATGGGAGTGGCACAGAGGAAAAGCTTCCTAGAGGGGGTGGCCTCTGTGCTGACATTCAAGAGATGATAGGAGCCCATAAGGGAAGGAAAATCTATGGCAGTGAGAGATCTGGAGACACGCAAAACTTTTTAAAAACAGTGGATAAAGTAGGAATGAGGCCAGGAGAGCCAGGGTCAGAAAAATATAAGGATCTACAGCAGTGTTTCTTACACTACCTATGGAGAAGGATCAGGGATTTTCCCCCCAATGTGTAGCAGACTAATACTTATGGAATAAAATGCAATAAAAACGAATTAACAAAAAGTCCAATAAGCCATTCAAAATGCAAGCTTCATTTTTTTGTAGTAGATTCAGCAAACAAAAATTACTCTGTCAAATTGCTACAAAAGTTTCTATTATTCTCAGTTTCTCTACTCCTCTCCCTGCAGACCAGCAACAGTTGGCCTACTGGTCCCAGTCCACAAACCACGCACGCTTTTTGAGTAGCACTGAGCTAGAACACTCAAGGGAAGGAGATGGGGTCGGCAGTGTCAAATGCTGCCAAGGTGTTCAGTAAAATGAGGTCTGGTAAGTATCCTTTGAATGTAGCAACAAATAGGGAGTCACAAAAAGCAATTCAATGGAGTGGTTGAGACAGAAGCCAGACCCAGTGAGTCGAGGAGTTCCTGAGTGTTCACAGCAACTAACAAATATGTGGAAGCAAAGATAAACTAAACCGTGAAACACTTATGCTTTATATTGATAAATATCATCCTTGTTTACACAAAACAGTTAACAAAAAATCTATGCTGTGACATGGAATAAAGATGGTCAATGGAGTGTATAGTATAGTAGAAAATACCTCAGTCTTAAGTCCAGAAGCCTGTATTGTCAAGTAGAGTCAGACAATTAGTATAAGCCCTGTGACCTTGGACAAGTCATGCACCCACTCTGATCCTCAGTTTCCTTCTCTGCCAAATGAGGGGATTGTACAAATCTGTCCCTATGTTTGTTTCTGACTTTTGCATTCTATGATTTTAATTTTAAATAGTCACTGCAAATATTAATGCTCCTCAAAATGACCCAACTTATTTGGAGCCCTTGAGTTCTATTGAATCTAGCTGTGCACCTTCAAGAGCTCACCCACTGCCTGCAGACAGGTGCCAGCAAAAACTTTCTCACTTGGGAACAGCTGGTAAGATAAACCTGCCCTGCACCTCCTCCCTCTGCCCCCATCAAAGATTTAGGAACCATAAACCCTATAATTAAATTTATAGCTTCAATCTGAAACAGGAATAGAAGCCAAACTGGAACTCAGAAGCGTCAGGAATGCTGAGAATTCAGCCTCAGAACCACGAAGTGGCTTCTGAACTCCCCAGATTTCTAACACTTGATTAGATTGGCTTGCAGGAAAGTCACGTTCCACTGACCTAGGGGAAAGAACATAGAAACCATGGGTTCCATGACCTCCTTCTGGAAGCCAGATGATCCATGGGAGGCTCCCACCGGCCTCTGGAGTTAGACAAAGCCACGTTCAAAGCCAAGTTTTGTCTTGGAAACTTGTCAATCCCGGACATCTTATGCTAAGACCCTAATGTTCATGGCAATTGTATAGAGCTCGCGGCAGGGCTGGGCTGGAAAGGAAGGAAAGAATGTGAAGGCGTCCTTGAGCTGTTCTGGGCTTTGCAAAAGGTAAAAGAAAAGGGAATATGGGAGAAGATGGGGAGCAAAGTAATGGTATTGGTGCAAGCTGGGGAAGGAACAGGCATGCTGCAGTGGGCTGATTTTTTTTTCTACCTGAACCCCTCTGAAGTGTCAGGGATGCTGGCTGGATTCTTGGTCCCCATCCTTGTCCTCTCTATAGCTAAGAAATTGGCCTGTCATCTTCTCTTTACAATCCCTGATATCACAGCTTCCAAATTCACCAAATCATGAAGTGTCATTGCAAGTCTTTCTCACATCCATTATGTATTATCTTTGAACATTACTCCTAGCTTTATAGACCTTACTTTGACTGTCCCCTGCATTTTTTCTGGGCAAAGTTGTCAGAGGCACTGTGTGGTCACACACACACACACATACACACACACACACACACACACACACACACACACACACACACACTGTATTTAGTCAGAGCAGAAGAAAGCCTTTCAGTGGATCCAGGTAAACAATGAATTGCCGTGTGCTCTCTGCAGAGGGGCTCCCTGATAATCAGCAGGGTTGAAAGCAGTGGCTGTTTTCTGTGGGTCCCCTTGTAGCCTCTCATCACCCTCTGCCTATTAGTGAAACTGGAACAAGCCATTTGGGTGGTTGCAACCAGATCTGGCTAAAGGAGTGCCCAGCTGTTGCTCTTTCCTCTCTCTGGTTTTCAGTCCCCGTGATGTGGACTCATTATGGCTGTGATCGTTGCTGATGACATTAATGCACTGTGCTGCTTCTCCATCGCATGTGCCATCTGCTCCCATCAGCCCTGTGGGGTAAGTGGTAGGTAATTGTTTCCCATCGGTAGTCCATTTTCTCAGATAAAGGATGTGAGATTCAAAAATAAACATCCACTCTGAGTCATTGCAACAAGGCCAGTGTGGATCTGGGGGCAGCCACCCCATCTACCGCAAGTAGTGGGTGAGGCTGCTTTCCCCGTAATTCAAGTCGAAGGGCAATTTGATTCATTAACAATGACTCTGGGGGAGGAGGAGGTTCAGGGAGAGAGCAGAGACAAAAAAAAATCCTGAGGGTTCTTATAAACCAGCAGGGTCAATGCAAAAGAGAAAGGGAGAGATGGAGAGAGAAATTGGTGATTCATCAGCACTAGCTGATTTAGCAGCACTAGGCTTGCTAGTGGATGGGAATGTAAGATAAGAGCCCATGTCATTTCAGCCGTGGGAAACAAGCTTGGGCTCTACAACCTCAGCTTCTTCATTAGCTATGGCCACGGCTGACTCACCAAGGACCACGGGTTCCAGACCAGAATTGAAAATTCCTCATATGGGCAAGTGTGGGCAGGGCTCGGAAGGTGGGCAAGCAGATAGGGCAGGATGGGGAAATGCCAAAGAGGAACCAAAAGCCCAGCTCACAGAAATTATCATGGGGGAGAAACATGATTTATTTACATGTTCCCAGACTCCCAAGATGACTGATAGGATTTGCTTTTTTTTTTTTTAAAAAAAAAAAAAAAAGGAATTGCATCTTAGAGCTCACTTTTAACCTGTTTTCTCTTAAGAATTGCCATGGCATCCTCAGTTTGACCTTCACCTCCCCTCAAAGCTCATCTCCACATACATCAGTCATGTATTAAATAAATATTTACTGCACTCCTGCTGGATGCCAGGCCCTGTGCTCACTGGGGAGTTACTATGGGCCTCTGGAGCTGGACAGGCCAGATTTGCCATTTGCTAGTGCTATCTTGTGCAAAGCTGTAAGTGCTCTGAAGTCATATTTCTTCACCTCTACAATGGGATAATTGCATCAGTTTCCTAAGATTGTCATGAGAATCGAGTGAGAGAATGTGTATTGAGCTCAGGCCAGAGGCATAAGGGCCCTCCATAAACACTGGGGCTGAAATGACGAGTTTCCCTTCTCTTTCCCTTCCCTTTTCCCCACATTTCCTGTCATGCATGGGGTCCTCTCACATCTTCTCCACCAGCCCTGACCTGCAGCTCACATGTGCTGGCTCAGGCCCCGATTTCATATCTCCTCTGCCCACCTACTTGTCCCCACTTGTGGGACTGCCCCATCCCTCCCTGCATGGGCAGGGTGGGGACAGGGATTTCCTCCTAGGGCCCCTCCCAGGCAGCTTAGCTGGTCTGTGGGTCTTGCACTCCAGCTGCCTTCATGCCAACCCAGGGCTGTTTGAGTCATGAGAAGGAGATTCCCCAACACCACGCTTGCTCCAATCACAGCGAAGCCCACTAATTGATTCATGTTATTTTATTTTCTATACTGGTGGTTAGGGCCTCAAGCAATTTTATGCAAATTTATGAACCTTATGCAAATGAGGGCATCCCTAGACTAATTGCACACAAATGGAAGCTTTGCGGGCACCTCCCCCATTCAAGTGTGCCCTGATTCCTTCTCATCCCTTAAATGATTCCCAAAGTTCCCCATCACCAAATGTCCCTAAGATCAGCAGCCTCGTCTCCTCCCTGCCTCCCCACCCCACAGGCTTCTCAGTGGCTGTTTGGGGATTTTGAGGGACAGTGTCAGCCTTGTTTGCAAAAGCTCACGGCTGCCTTATGTCCCAGGAAACCATAGCCTGGGGGAAAAGCCCCCTAGCTTATTTTAAAATTCATTTGAATCCCACCCAGCTCCCTCTTCCAATCCTCCTAGGGGAGGTGTGACTAGCCCAGAACAGCCTAGGACCTGCCAGAAGCTCACATAGTTGGCCCATCTAGGTTGGGGCAAAGCTGTGTGTGGCCCCTCCACTTCCAAAAGGCCCACTCCTCAATCTTAGGCCCATCCTTGGTCCCAGCTGTCTGACAACTAATTCTCAGGAAGGGGCTGTCTTAGGTCCGGTTCCCTAGAGACAGACAGAGTGCAAGATAGGAATTGAGCAGGAAGCTCTGGAGTGTGAGAGCACCACACAGTTAACTACCTTGAGGAAAGGTGATGAGTTTTTGTATTTCCCCTTCCCCTTTGACAGGCAATGGCTGCCAGTAGCCCCAGGGGGCAGGATAGTAACCTCTGGAGCATTTTCAGGGCAAGAGGGCTCCCATCTTGCAAAGAGGTCAGCCAACATTCAGCAGCTGGGGGATGGGTGTGCCAGCCCAGGTGAGGGACCAGCAGCATCTCCTAGAGGCATATTTGTTTGTTTAACTTGATTTAACTTCAACATCCCTGTAAAGCAGGCATTTACATGATTTCCATTTCATAAATGCGGTACCTAATGATCAGGGCAGGTTGCTACCTGCTTCCACAGTGCACCTTCTAAATGAGACAGAATAAACAGACTGGGGCTTTGCACCTGGACCCACTGGCTCTCCTGCTGGCCGCCTGTCCAGCCTGCCAGTGGGCCAGGACTTCTGTCTCCAGCCACTCTCAAATCCAGGGACAGGATGTGTTGCTTCAAAACTCTTTTATACACCTGGCTTTTCTCTATGGTCCTCCTTCCCTTATTCACCCTTTTATATGGCTTCTTTTTTACGAAGTTCCTCATAGAAATTGTGTGTGTGTGTGTGTGTGTGTGTGTCTGCGTGCACACGCTGAGGAGTGTGGCACTGGAGTCTAAAAGGACAAGAAGCAGAACCAAAGCTGTTCTGTCCTCTCTTCCTCCTTCTTTTCTGTTCCCTTTCCTTTCAAACCCTTGGGTCCCATTTCCCCTCCTCCTCCTCCTCTTTCTCATAGCCTTCCCTCTTCCCTTCCTTTTCTCCTTGGCCCCTTTCTGCCAACTTCATTTTTCTTCCTCTGTCTCCTCTTCTACTCACTCCCCTTCAACTTCACCCTGCATCCTCACTTCCTTCCTCCTCCTCCCCTTTCTCTTTCCTCCCTCTCCTTCCCACCCACTCCTTCTCATCCCTCTCACCTTTTCCCCTTCCTTTCCCCATCCCTCTTTCCTTCTTTCCTCTCCTTTCCCATCCTTTCTGCCCTATCTTACTCCATTTTTCTCTCTTCTCTTTCTCCCTCCTGCTCCCTCCATTTCCACCCCCACCACCTTCCTTCCTTCTTCTCTCTTTCATCCTCCTATTCCCTTCCTTCTTTTCTGCAACTTTCCTCCCCTCACCCTCTACCCCTGCCTTAGAGGACTGCCACCCTTGCCCCAGTCCCCGCCCACAGATGAACCAAGGTCTGTCCTGAGCAGCTCAGGGCGGATTCTCCTGTGGCGCGGGGAAGGCGGCTTGTCTTGCCCTCTCAGGGCGCTGGGTGTTTCCAAAGGGCGGTACCCGCCCTCCTGCGCCAGCTGGGGCGGGAAGGGAGGCTGGGTGGGGGCTGGCGGGAGGCCTTAAGTACGGGAACCACACGTGGCGCGCCGGGGCCGCGGGGCTTCCAGAGGTCCCAGCAGAGCCACAGACGGTACCGGGAGCCGCCTCGGTGAGGCAGTCTAGCTCGCCGGCCTCGCTCGCTGGGGGAAGGCGAAGAACACGAGCTGAGTGGGAGAGAAGAGCGGCTGGAGGTGGGGGAATCACTTTATCTTGATTCGTGGGAACAGCCTTGCCACCAGGCAGCCCAGGCCACCAGATAGTTAAAGGAGGAATGCTTTGCGGACCCGCGCGTCTGCGAGAAGAGAAAAGGAAGCCGCGATGCCCGGCGCTGGGAGCATCAGTGCCACACTCGCCGCCCTTTGAACAAGCAGCAAAGCCTGGGGTCTTGACTCCCTTAGGTTCTCTTTATTGCGGCAGGCCCAGTGTTCCCCCCCGGAGTATTTCCTCTCCATCACGCCGGCCTTGGTCCAAAGGAAGCCACTAGCCCTGTGCCCCCTCCCAGCTTCCCCTTCGCCCACCCTCCTGGATTCTCTTTATTACTAGGCTATGGCTCCTTCCTGACTCCCTCACTCCCTTGCAAACACTCTACCCTCTTTTGAATTTTATTCCCTGGTTCCACGATTGAAACTTGTCTACTCGACAAATTCCACTATTATCTCTAATGAGAGCATACAACTCTGGAGCTCTCACAGTTTAAGAATTGCCTTCATATGAATTTGCTCATGGTATTTCTACAGATATTCACTCCAGGAGGCAAAGCAGACATCAGCCCCATTTTACATAGTAGGAAAATGAAGCTAGGGCAGGGATGTCAGAGGTCCTCGCAGGACTGCCATGTAGGATGTTCAGATTGTGCACTCTACAAGAGTTGTGCATTGAGGGAACTATTCAAATGGGAGGCATATGCTTATATATGAGAGTGCTCAAGCAGTACAGAGCTGTTAGTCCTCCAGGCCAAATCTGGAAGCAGTGATGGAGATGTTCCATTCCTTCCTGCAGAAATCTACAAAACTTTCATGCATTTATGGGAATATGCATATGATACAAACAGGGCCTTGAGAAGCACACACACATTTCTGCCTGCCTTCTTGCATAATTGAGCTTCCTCACTCTTGCTCTTGTGCCTTTGCCATGAGAACGGGCTAAGGTAGCCTGCTGAAGAATGAGACAAGTGAAGCAGAGCTGAGTTGGCTCAGTTGCTCCAGTTGAAGCTTTCAGATCTATGAGAGCTCAGCCCAGATCACCAAAGCCTCCTAGCTGACACACAGCTCACCACAGGCACGCAAGTGAGTTGCGCCCAGCCAAGTCCAGCTCAGATCAGTAGAACTACACAGCTAATCTAAAGACTCATTAGAAAAAAACAGTTATTGTTTTAAGCCACTATGTTTTGGAATGTTTCTTGCATAGTAATATCTGACTGATGCAGAGAGAAAGATAACCTTTTACTAGAAGCAGCAGAAGTGTTGGAAGTCTCACTTCAAACAGCAGCTCATCAGAGTAGAGACAGAAAGAGAATGAAGATTCACAGTGTATGGCTTGCTTGGTTCTTCCCAGCTTGCAGAGTGCCTTCACAAGCATTCCTGTTTGATTCTTTTTTTTTCTGATTCTTAAAGAACCCCTGGAAGTTGGGGTAGGAAGCTGTTTTATCTGCATTTGTCAGATGAGAAAACTGAGTCTCAGACAAGTTGCATGACTTGCCTAGGGGGTCAGTAGCTAGTAAGGGATGGAGCCAAGACTACAGCCAGGCCGTTTGGCTCCAGCCCTGTGCTCTTGGCACTGCCCTGTGCTAGAAACAGGGTTTGTTGAAACAGGGGCTCAAGGGAGAGCTGCTCATGCTTGTAGCCAGGAAGCAGAAGGGCAGATGGAAAAGCTCCTTATTAAGTGTGTACCTGGAGTGGAGAGGAGGATGGAGGGCGTGCATGGACTGAGGATTTTGATTTCCTGTTGAAACAAGAAGAGGAGAACAGGGACTCTGCTGGAAAGAGAGAGCTAGAACTAAGGCTCCCTAGGACTTATTACTTACGTTGGACCAAGCCTCCAGTGAGGCTTCAATTGACCACCAGGCCACAGTTGACCCACTCTCCTCCTGAGTACTTTTCCCCATGCAAGACAACTGGCTAAGGAGTATAAGGAGTATAATTGTAAGCACCGTAATCAATATTGCAATAGCACTTACCATGTGTCTGACATTGTGCTAAGTTTCTCCATTTTACAGATGAGGAAACTGAGGCACACTGAACTTAACTCACACAGCTGGCAAGTTGTAGTGCCAGAATTCAAATGCAGGAGGTTTGGCTTCAGAATCTGGACCCTTAACCACTACACTGATGGCCTCTTCATGCTTAGTGTTTTACTATTTAAGATACTCCAAGAGGCTCAGAGAATGGGTGAGAAGATGATCTGAGACCATTTTTTCAAGACAGCAGCCACGGAGACAGCCCCATTTCCCTGGGGGAAAGTGGCCACAAAGATGGGAGTTTCTCGCTAACTTTGCCCTGCATTGGTGGGCTGTGTGCCTGGGGGTTCTTGTGTCTCTGGTCCTGCCTGGTGGTTCTGGCCACACCCCAACCCACTAGAAACCTATTTTCCCAGGAACAGGAAGAAAAAAATGTGCATTTCTTCTTTCCCTGGCACTTGTCCTGGGAGTCACCCCATACACAGACACCTCTGTATTAATCTTATACACTGCCCTCCCCACCTTTTCCATCCCTGTGAATGCCAGTGTAACCTACAACCACTGCTACTCTTTGCACTATTGCCCCTGTGACATAACAATTGGCAAGAGTCAGGAGGGGTTTGGCTTTACTGCAAGAGAAGGAAGCATATCACCAGTATGTCCTTCATGGTCTCCTATGAATGAGGCCAAGAACTGACAGCTTCCAAGATCCCTTCTATTTCAGGCACCAGTGACAATAGCAGCCATTTGTTGAGGACTTATTCTATGCCAGACTCTTGACAAACAGTATTGCTCATCCTCTCAGCACCGGTGAAAGACAAGTATCCTTATCCTCACTTTGGAAATAGGAAAACTGAGATGTAGAGAAGTTAAGTAATCTTGTGGTTCAAGGTCACACAGGAGGCCAGCTGGACCCCCAAACTTCTACTTTCCCCACATCATGTTTTCCTGCTGGGTCTCAAGGGGAAATTTGATGTCTGCCCTCTTACCACCTCCCACTCCGCGCCCGCCCCCAACCCTCAGCAGAGGCACTGTGTCTCCCAGAGCCCTCCTCACTGCTCCTCCCCACCTTCTCTTGCTCCTTCTTCCTTGCTTTTTCAAAATGTCCAGCTCCACTTCCACCTGCCACCAGCCCAGCTAAAGCCTGAACATGAAGGTGGAGCAATTGGGATGTAGAGGGAACCATGCCTTTCCCCACCTCTCCAGGTCCTGACTCAATTAGCGTTACCTATCTCTGCTGTAACGGAAGCAAAATCTAAGAGCTGAGGACACAGCCAGAACATGCGCGTGAGTGTGTGTGGGAGTGAGCATGCATGTGGGAGCAAGTGTGCCTGTGCAAGTATGTGTGTGAGCAGGAGTGAGTGTGCATGTGGGGGTGTGTGTCTGGTTGTGGTGTGTGCCTGCACACCCAGCAATATCTATGACAAGGGACAGGGGAAACTTTAGTAGGTTAGGAAAGGGGTATTCCTGAAGGATAGAGCCATCAAGATGGGTAGCTAAGATGTGTGCTTGCCCCAGCTTCAGGGGCCCATTTGTCTTTCACTTGCTCCATCAGAACTGAGAAGTGAGGCTCTGGGTCGCCTTCACATTGGAGGAGTATTTTGTCCACTTGGGGTATTAAAAGGTGGCTGGGCTGAAAAGGAAGGTGGGGATGACCGGGAGGACTGCTGGAGGCAGAAGCCTGCTGCTGGCAGCTCTGGGTAGTGGGAGGGAAGTTAGACCATTCTGATCTAGGAATCATGAGGAATGGCAGGCTTCCCTCCACTACCCCAGGGTGGGCCTCCATCACCTTTGACTTCTGGGCCCTTGGAGAAAGAAGGGCATGGGGGTCGAGGGGATGGTGGAAGGTGGGGATTGATAAGAGGACATGAAGTGGCAGCTTGAGCTCTAAATGAAGGCTTTGGCTTCGACTTCTCAGCTGGTTGCATCAGCATAAAATTGAGAAAAGGTGAGGTAGAAGGGCCGGTTGTCACATCCTAGAAGGACCCAAATTGCATAAGTGCTAGTTCCCAAAGGCCTTGGGAAATCTCTCTGTGTGGTCCAACCCCCACTCCCATCCCATCCCACCCTGCCCCCTGATCCCTGCTGACAAGGCTGTACCAAGCCTTCGATCCTGCGCGGGCCTGGGCCATAGGCAGCATTCTCATTATGAGGGCTGCCTTCTGCAATGCGGGGGCAAGTCTCCTCCTCCTGCTGGAGTGCTGAGAAATGAGGCCCAGGACACATCAATCTGTTTCACGGCATAGTTCTGTGCTAAGAACAGGCAGCTTCTGATAGGTAACCCACCAGCAATGGGCAAAATGACTCTCTGATGCAAAGGCTTGGGTATTGCAGACATATGCTTCCCAAAGACATAGACTGAGGCATGCATCTCTATCACTTCAACTTTGCTCTGCCTCAGCACAAACACTGGAGTTATTAGGGGAACTATAATCTGACAACTGAGTGGCCTCTGCATGTCCCCTCACCAGGAAGAGAAGAAAGTGGGGGATATCTGTATCGGAGATTTCTGCTCACTCCCTGAGAGAGCTTTTCTGGAGCTTCCTATGGCTGGGTCCCTGTGGAATTTCTGTAAGTCAGGAGTGCTTCCTGGGCCTTTGTCCCACCCACCTTTAACCTGCAGGGGCATGCTTTACTAGAAAAAACTTTTGCTGCTGCTGCTGCTGCTGCTCAGGGATTTTTTTAAGGTAGCACCTCCTCAATCCCCATTTACTGGAAGGAGGAGAGATGGAGTCCCAAATGAAAATGCTCCCTGCATCTTCCTCTCATCCCGGACAGGGAGTGTTCCTCCAGGAAGGCTGAGTCAGCCTCCCCAAGGGCCTGCCTCCTTTAGGCCCCTTATGACTCCAGCTTCTGAGGGGAATTAGAACGAAATTCAAATGGTATT
The DNA here is from genome assembly GCF_000001405.40 of Homo sapiens. Classification (NCBI taxonomy): domain Eukaryota; kingdom Metazoa; phylum Chordata; class Mammalia; order Primates; family Hominidae; genus Homo; species Homo sapiens. Next base: position 39,167,587 of record NC_000023.11, read on the forward strand.
GAGGTATCCAGGGTGAACAAGGCTGCTTCTTGTCCCTCCTTCCGCTGGAGGGGCTTCAGAGCCTGACTGGAACACCTGCGTGTCCGTGAGGTCCTTCAGGAGGCTTCTGGAATGGGCTCACTTGTACTGTGCACATCAGCATCCCTCAGCATGAACCTCAAGCTTGTTGCAGCCACCGTATTGGGAATTAACCTCAGCACACTGGGAAGAGGGGGAAGTGTTTCTTCATCATTGGCTTTTCTGGCTGAGGATGCTGTTTTAGCTTTGGCTGCATCTTTTATGTTGCCACCTGAGGCATTTAGCTCATCTCTGGGCTCTCCTAAACTGACAGAATGCAGACAGGTTACTCAGAAGCATCAGCACAGAAACCACAGAATCTCACTGGCTGTGACTACAAGCCTCTTGCCTTCTGACCCGCGGTTGGCCACACTTCCTGCCTGCCAGGTCAGGCCGGGCAGCCAGCTGAAGGCTGACCTGCTTGCAGAACTCTGGCCTCTGGTCTGCAGGAGTTAGCAAGGCGCCATTTCCATATTCTCTGGCAATAACTAATTAGCGATTATAAAGCTCTTTGAAATATGAAGTGCTGCATGATAATATCTGTAATGAGACTGATTCTTTCCCTCTTGCAAGAGGGAGGGGGGAGTAGGTTGTACACCCATTAAGGGGAGTTGGGTGGGAAGGCTGCTTCCTTTTCCTGACCTGCCTCAGTGTCCTGGACCTGATCAAGTGACTCTGGTGAGAGGACTTGAGCCCTGGTGACTGGACTTGGAAAGCCTCCCAACGGCAAAGGAGCACTTTGACACCTGTACTCCTCCAATCTCCTATCCCCCTCTCCATCAGCTGCTTACCAGCTGCTGACTTACCCTCCCCTGTGTGGGGGATGTGGGGGATGAGGATGATGGATGGAAAGAGCAGAAGAGAAAGGTGGAGTTAGGGTAAGGAGAACCAGTTGGGCTCGTGGTATCCTTAATGTGATTTAGAATTTCATATTAATATATCACCTCGGAAAAAAATTAATGAGAAACGTGAAGAAAATAGGATAATGAATATGATAATATATGGGGAGTGCTTTGGGCTTCTTGGAACAAAGGTGCAAGGAATTATTGCTGCGATTTTCTCACGGTGCATATATATTTTTATTAAACTCTAAAAAAAAATGCCAGTAGATTCACTTCTTTGCAAGGTATTAACGCCCCGCAGAGGAGTCGTTCTTCAATTAGTTCCCTGAGCCTCGGCCCACCTCTTGGCTGTTTTCTCATGGCTCTTCTCGAGACTTCCAGCTTAAGGGACCCAAAGAGCAGATTAGAATGCTCGGTGACTGTGCCCAGTAGAGTATCTGGCACACACGTGCCTGGGGAGATGGCTTCCTGAGCAAGTAGGGCTCAGGAGAGGGGCAGGGGACGGGGAGGAGTGAATACAAAACAGATGGGTGAAAACTTGGGGTAGCTGCAGGATAAGAGCGACTTACTCATCTCCAGACTACTGACCTCTCTCTTCTACCCAAGGATCCACTTAGGCCAGACTTTTTTTAATATATAAATTAAATATAATTAAATATAAATTCCCAGTTGAAAGGGGACTTCGTGTGGCCACCTTGCTGAGGGACCACAGAGACTAGAACTGAGAGAAGGATGACAATCTCAGTCTATTTGTCACTTCCCTATACCAGTGGCCTTCACAGCCTGCTCCCTGAGAAGCAGCATCAGCATCACCAAGAACGTGTTAGAAATGCACATTCCCAGACCCACCCCAGAACCACTGAATCAGAAACTCTGAATGTGGGGCTGGGCAAGTGTTTTAAGTTGGAGAACCCCTGTGCTGGAATGAATACTCCACAGGAAGCTACAGACAGTCCTGTTTCAGGAAAAAAAAAAGGGGGGGGACAGGAGGCATTGTTGGTAAAAAATGCATGAATTCTGGGCAAAGCTAAATGGATGATTGGAAGGTCTAGGATACAGAATGGCACAGGTTGCATTTCCCAGAAAGTAGACTTTGAAATAGCATTGAGCATGTGGGAAATTGATCAGGGAATGCCCTTGGAATCAGTACCAATGGAAGGGCAGGGAGGAAACAAAACTGGGCAGAAGGAGAAGTTGAGCCCTGGGGACTGTGTTAAGGAGTTTGGATTTTATACATAGCGGAGTGGAAAGCCACGGGAAGGGTTTAAGTAGGTGAATGACAACAATCTCTCTGGCCGTTGTGTGGAAAGTGAATTATAAGGGCAATAATGAGAGCAGTTAGGGACTATGGCTGCATCCTGGCCAGAGAATGTGGTAGCTGGGATCAGCTGGTGTCGTGGAGGTAAAGAGCTGTAAACAGGTTCCAGATAGACTCTAGATGCAGAGGTGACAGGACTTGGTATTGGTTTGGAAATGTGAGGTGAAGGAGAGAAAGTTGTCAACTTCATTAGGTTTCTGGCTTGAGCAGATGAGTAGGGGAAGGGGAGGTGCCATTCCAGAAAGTGGCCAGGGGATGCTAAGGGAAGGAACAGAGAGGAGTGGTGCTCAGTAAGGCTTAGTTCTCCCACCGCCCTGGCTATATGTCTGTGGAACTGAATCAAGGAGGTTTTCAGTCATCTCAGGGGTTGTGTAATAGAGACAGCAAAGAAGTGGGATGGCTAACAGGAAGGACCTCACTCATGCACAATGAGAAGAAAAAGAAGGAAGAGAAGAAGGAGCAGGAGAAGGAAGAAAAGCAGAATCAACAACAGCTAATATTCATTGAGTACTTACAACAGACCATGTTTTATTCCAAGCACTTTATGTATACATTATCTTATTTATTCCTGACAGCTATTCTATGAAGCATATAAAATTACTATCCTCATTTTACATGCAAGGAAATGGAAGACCAGCAAGGTTATGTAACTTGGCCAAGGTCACCTATCTAGGAAGTGATGGAGCCAGGCTTTGAACCAAGCAATGCAGTTCTGGAGCCTAAGTTTGAGCATGCTATATCTTGCTGCCTCTCATAAAACCAGCTCATGTTAAACAGGCATCTACATGGGCTCTGTGAGCAGTTTCACACCATTGTCTCTATCTCTCCCACAACCCTCATTTCGTGAATGGAGAACCTCAAGGCTGAGAGGTTTAATAACTCACGCAAGGTCAGTCAGCTAGAAAAGGGCTGAACCAGCATTCAAACCGAAGTCTGTCTGGGTCCAAAGGCCCTGTTGTCATCACCACACTGCACCTTTCCCCAGAGGCATTCAGATTGTCTTCAAGAGTGGAGATACAAAATGTTTCCTATATTTCATTCCAATGGCAAGCTTTTTTGCCTCTAACTGTAACAGAGACACACCAGATCTCTCCCCCACACACCTCCATATTGCCTGAACCCATCCCAGAATCTTCTTGGGACTCAAGTCTTCATCCCTCACCCATAGATACACCCCTCAATGCATCCATCCAACCAGTCAGAAGCCAGCATTTCTTGAGACTCAGCCATGTGCTTAGTACCACTTGATGTTCTATGGTACACTCAAAACACATAAATATACCAGCATGGGCAACATGGAAAAACCCTGTCTCTACTAAAAATAAAATACAAATACTAACTGGGCATGGTGGCATGCGCCTATAGTCTCAGCTACTCAGGAGGCTGAGGTGGGAGAATTACCTGAGCCTAGGAGGTTGAGGTTGCAGTGAGCCGAGATTGTTCCACTGCACTCCAGCCTGGGCAACAGAGCAAGACCCTGTCTCAAAAAAAAAAAAAAAACCACATAAATACAATACTGTGTCTCTGACCTCAAGGATCTTACAATCTAGCTGGAGAATAATAAGCAGCATTTGTGTAGCTCTTTTTTGTATCCCCAACACATTCACAGGTTTTTACCATCAATCCTTACTACGCTTTCACAGATGAGGAAACTGAATTTTGTCAAAAACCACATGACCTTGGAAGAGGATCTTGAGCCCCGGAAAGAAACTCAGTCTGGCTGACACTCTGATTGAAGCCTTGTGAGACTCTGAGCAGAGAACACAGTTAAGCTGTGCTCAAACTCCTGACCCTGGGAAATGGTGAAAATATACATTATGGCAGCCACTAAGCTTGTGGTAATTTGTTATGCAGCACAGGAAACTAATTCTGATGGCCACCACAGTATACCCTATCCCACACTCTCCTACCTTGTGACCTTGACATTCCTCTCATCAACAGGTGGAGTCTAATGGTCCAGGTGGGCTTGTGACTTGACTTCAACAATAGAAGACAGTAGGTGACACTAATTTCCGAGACTAGATCATAAAAGGCAATACAGCTTCCACCTGGTCACTGGATCGCTTGCACTCAGAGGCCTGAGGTGCCGTGTAAGAAGTCTGACTACTCTGAGACCACCATGTTGTAAGGAAGCCCAGGTTCACTGGGGAGGCCTCATGTAGGCACTCTGGTTGGCTGTCCTAGTCTTCAGACTAGCCCAAGCCAGGCTCTAGACATGTGAGACCACAACTGTTAGATGATCCCAGCTCTAAATATTGAGTCACTTTCAGATTTCTAGTCTTTCCGACTGAGGTTCTAGACATCCTGGTGTAGAAACAAACCATCCTGACTGTACTCCCAAGCAAATTCCTGATCCACAGTGTCCATCAACATAATAAAATGGTTATTGTTCTTTATTACTAAGTTTTGGGGCCATTTGTTGCACAACAATGGTAATCAGAAAACATGACCGAACTCTGAATCCACGAGATAGTGAAGGAAACTCTGTCTACTCTAATGTGAAGAACTACAAATACACTTGGCAAAGGGCATAAATGTATGTAATTCTAATATAGGAAGGGCCTGAAGGATTGAGAACAATGCCACAAGCTACCGCAGAGCCTTATAGCCACTTACGTTGAGGATTCCACTGAGGCCCAGAGAAGATTACTGCTTTGTCCGTGATCACACAGCACATTGGTGTTGACGCTTCAAAATCAACCCTGGTGTGCATCCACGCTGTCCACATCTGTGGATTTGCTTGACCCTGAGCTGAAACTGGTTGAACAAACTTCACCTAAGAATGACCTTCCCAGTGAAAGAGGAGCCCAATGAATGCAAACTGTGAAGGATTTCCTTAGCTTTGAAAAGCCCCAGGCTGATACCTGTTGTAAATGGTTCAGTATCACTGTCTGTATCACTATCTATTGTGCAGTATCACTATCTATCGGACTTCAGCATCCTATGAGTCTGTTTTGTGACTGCACACCCATGATGGGTCACCGTTTTTTTAAAGATTATAAATGTAACATGCAAAAATCATATTTGTTACATTTATACATATTTATATCATACATTTGCAGTATATAGAGGCACTCAGAATATATATTATTTATAAGCATTGCTGCGGCTCAGGTTTGTTAGAAAGGCTCAGAGTGAGAGTGTGTTTGTAAAGTGCTCCAGGGTCCTCTGGGATGAGGGCAGCTATGTAAGTGTAAGTCATTATCATTAAACTAAACTGCCTTCCTCCGATTACTGACAGCACCGAAGAGGTTCTCCCGCCTCCCCGGCCCCTGAGCACGGCCTGGTAATGCTGGGATAATATAAAGATAATATTACTGTAATAAGTGCTTTGCAGCATTTATGCCTTTATTAGCTGCAGCCATATTGTAAGAAAGGGAGAGGCCCCTAGACACGCCAAGGGTTTAGTGCTGAGGGCAGAATACTCAGAGAGGCGAGAAGAATTCTGGGTCCAAGCTAAGTGTGGGATAGTGTAGCATGTGGTAAAATTCTCACTCCTCATCCCTTCCTGCAGATCCTATTTTCAGTTTTGGTTGAGCCCCAAATATGCTACTGAGTGTACTTGGGTCTGGGGTTGAGTGGGGCGATTGATACAGGGAGGCCTCTGGAATTCTACTCCCAGGGACTTCCCACTGCATTTTAAGTCACCTCCAAATATAGGGGACATCCCAAATTGACTGCAGAGGCCCTCACTTTGATTAGGGTATAAATGAGAGGGCCACAAAGTCTTGGGCTTCCTAGAATAAAATTAATCTCCACAGCTGAGCAACATCAGTGGTTGCCCCCTTGTAATTATGATAGATCATAAAAAAATAAGAAGAAGCTTCTATGTAGTTCTTGTATTTTACAAAGTCCTCTTTCCTCTTAGAGTTGCGTGGGGCTGTTCATTTTCTACATGTATGTAACACCTGTTATATAGGTTGCATATATCTTTCTGCAGCACACTTGTGATGAAGAGGCCCTCAAAAGAAATGTATTTATCATAGCTCTTGGATCTCAGGGCATTGAGAACTCTATAAGTTATATCCGCCATCTCATTTGACCCTTCTAACATCTCTGTAAAGTTAGCCTCATTCTATCATCCCCATTTTATAGATGTGCAAACTGAGGTCTAGAAGGGTTGAGTGAATGACGAATATTATGTGACAGGAAGAATCACAAGTGAAATACAAGCCTTTTGACCCGAGATCAACAGCCAAAAGAGGATTTTACAGCAGAAAGGGACCTATCTTCCACAGTTTTGCTGTGGAGGAGACAAAAAACGGAGAAGGCCATTGTACTGGTTATCCATTGCTGTATTACAAACAGCCCCAAACTTAATGGTGTAACATAGTGGTAATCATTTTCTCAGCACTCACAGTTCCAGGGGGCCTGGGCTCAGCAAGGCAGCTCATGGGCTCTCTCATGCTGCTGCAGTTAGATGGCTGGAGGTGAGGACATCACTAAGGCTTCTTCTCTTACATGTCTGGTGCTTGGGCTGAGAACACTGTAACAGCTAGGGCTGCCACAGCCAGGCACCTGGTGTCTCTGTGTGGTCTCTCCACACAGTCCCTCCAGGATAGTGACTTCAGGACAGCTGGATTTCTTACATGGCAGTTCGGGGCTCCCAAAGTGAGTGTCCCATGAGAGAGCGAGCGCCAGGTGGAAGCTGTTTTACTTTTTATGATCTAGCCTGGGAAACTACATAGCTTCACTTTTTGTTACTTTTGTTACTCTTTATTAGAAGTGAGTCATGAAAGGCAGCTCAGATTCAAGGGGAGGGAAATAAAGCTCCACCTTTTCTTGGGGGTACCGTCAAAGAAATTGGAGACAAGTTTGAAAACCATCACAACTCTGCAGACTGTTTCTCACAGAGTCTGTTTTCAGGAGCCCAGCCAGGACTCAGGCAGGGGTTAACCACCCCCTCCTGACCTTTCCTTTCACCTGCCTCTTTTAGCCAGCCAAATTGCCTAGGACCCCGGCATGATCTGTGAGGTGACCCAGACACTGGCTGATGGCACCATGTTCATGCGCTATGACGCCAAAAGGCTGTGGTCAGGCTGGGTTCCCCAGGCTGACGCGTGTCCTGCTGAAGGAACAACAGCAACTCTTAATCAAAAGTCCCCAGTAAGAGCCAGGCTTCTCTCAGGAGCATCAGCCTCAGCGACAGTCCCTGGGCTGGAGTTGCTGAGAAGGTGTGTTTGCCTTTTGGCTGAGACACTTTAAAACCCCAGCGTCTAGGTTTCATTTTGAACCTGACAGATAAAAGGCCGACTTTGACCGAGAATATTAACTTTCTGGCTTCCGCCCAAGAAAGCTGAACAGATGAGGAAATAATATAAAATAAAAGGCGTCTGCAAACACTGATTGTCGGCTGCTTTCCATAAAATACGCCCACTGTTATGTGTAACACTCTCTGAGTCTTTCATTCCTTGGCCCCCTCCCTCTTTTTCCACTTCTGGTGTTGAAAGAACTGCCTTCTCTTATTTAGAAATAAAAGACAGACAGAGAGAGGAAAGGGTGCGTGTGCTAAAAACAAGGTCTCCAGGAGGCACCAAGCAGGTGCACCCACAGGCTAAAGCTTCTTACTTTTTGAGGGGATCACAGGAGGCTGCTAGGTGCTAACCCCAGGAGAACCAGGCATCCTTAACCCTCTCCCCTGCCCTTGCTTGCAGCTGCTTTTAGGTGCCAGAGGAGCAATGGCTGGCTGTTAGGAAGGTGCTTCTAGCTGTGGGGTCTCCTTCGGGCAATGTGGGGGGGCCTGGTGAGGCCCTACAGCTGCTCCTGGTTGGCCAATAACGGGCCCAGAAGGCAGTGGGGAAGGAGAGAGGAGGGATGCTGGAGACAGAGGCTGCAGGAAGTGCTTTGTGTTGGGCCTCTCCACTCCCCACTCCTCAATTTCTGTCTCAGTGGCCGCCCCTTGATTAGGGGCATCGGCTTGGACTGGGGAGGACAACACTTGTCATATCTTGGCCTGCAATCTAAGAACACAGGATGACTCTTGTCTAAATCTGCTCAGGCTGCCATAACAGAGTACCATGGACTGGGTGGCTTAAATGACAGGAATTTATTTCTTGCACTTCTAGAGGCTGGAAATCTGAGATCAGGGTGCCAGCAGGGTTGGCCTCTGTCCTTGGTATGTAGATGGCTGTCTACTACCCAAGAGTCTCACATCGTCTTTTCTCTGTGAGTGTCTGTGTTCAAACTTCCTGCTCTTATAAGCACACTTGTTATATTGTACTAGGGCCCACGATAAAGACCTCATTTCAGTTTGATTACCTCTGTAGAAACCCTGTATCAAAATACAGTCACATTCTGAGGTACCGGAGGTAAGAATGTCAACATTTGAATTTTGGGGAGGACACAACTGAGCCCATAACAACTCTGTAGCCTAAAAATTAAAATAACAATAGGCGCATGCCCTCACTTGTGTTAAAAGCTGCAGTCTACACCCAGCACAACTGCCTGATGGGCACTTCACACTGTTAGTCACTCTGCCTTGGTCTGTCACTGTGCCCGGCTGCCTCTGCTGCTTGTTCTCCTTCATTGCCTGGGTGAATGGGAGGTCAGAGCTTGCAGGCAGGCATGCAAGTAGGCAAGGGGCTCCTTAAGAAGCAGAAGCCTGGAGGGCATCAACTCCCTGCACCACCACCCTGGCCGCTGCACAGCTGACCTGGTTCATGAGGGAAGGCCTCTGGGCTCTTTAGAAAGATAAAATTACTGAGCAGGCACGGTGGCTCACACCTGTAATCCCAGCACTTTGGGAGGCTGAGGCGGGTGGATCACAAGGTCAAGAGATAGAGACCATTCTGGCGAACACGGTGAAACCCCGTCTCTATTAAAAATACAAAAATTAGCTGGGCGTGGTGGAGCTTGCCTCTAGTCCTAGCTACTTGGGAGGCTGAGGCAGGAAAATTGCTTGAACCTGGGAGGCGGAGGTTGCAGTGAGCCAAGATCGAGCCACTGCACTCCAGCCTGGTGACAGAGTGGGGATCCATCAAAAAAAAAAAGAAAGAAAGGAAAGGAAAGGAAAGAGAAAGAAAGAAAGAGAGAGAGAAAGAAAGAAAGAAAGAAAGAAAAAAGAAAGAAAGAAAGAAAGAAAGAAAGAGAAGATTGCTAAAGAAAGCAGAAGGTGGCCATCTGCCCTGAGCACTTCCCATGCACAACTGGACCAGCAGACAGAAACTGCAGCTCTGCCACCAACTAGATCTAAGATACTGGGCGAGGAGTCATAGTTCTCTACATCTAAGTTTCTTATCTATAAAATAAAGAAAAGGAAATCTATTCATTTGTGATCTGAAACCCCATGGAGTGGGTCCAGTCTACCAAACTCTGTTGGCTGGGCCCATGATGCCAGGCCATTCGGCAGGCCAGCTGAGGAGAGCTGCTTCTTCCATACACCTTGGGGAAAAGTTCAGAAGTTCCCAAGAAGGTAAGACAGTAGCTTTCTGCTTGCCTCACCCATTACAGGGACATACTCTCGATTGGCATCCAGAGGTCTGAAGCGGTTGTAGGATCTCTGAGTCAGCCTTCAAGGAAACAATGGAGGGGAAATATTATTGCTCAGGTTTTTTTTTGTTTTTTTTTTTTTTGAGATGGCATCTCTCTCTGTCTCCCAGGCACTGGAGTGCAGTGGAGCGATCACGGCTCACTGCAGCCTTAACCTCCTGGGCTCAAGTGATTCTCCCACTTCAGCCTCCCAAGTACCTGGGCTACAGTCATGTGCCATCATGCTCAACTAATTTTAATATTTTCTGTAGAGACAGGATCTCACTATGTTGCCCAGGCTTGCCTGGCTGGTCTTGAACTCCTGGGCTCAAGAAATCTTCTTGCCTCAGACTCCCAAATTGCTGGGATTATAGACGTGAGCCACCTCCTCCGAACTCAGATTTTTCTTCTTTTTTTTTTTTTTTACTACAACCCACAGTAAAAAATTCTCACCACAGCCCCTAACATTCTCTCTCTCTCTCTCTCTCTCTCTCTCCCTCTCTCTCCCGACACTGTGTACCTTCAAATTATGTCAAATTATGTCCAGACCCATTGACAACATCTCAACACCTCCACTGCTTGCTTCCACCTTGGTCTAAGTCACCACCATCTGTCACATGGATTATCTCAGCAGCTTCCTAATTTGTCTCCTGGCTTCATCCCTTGCCCTCATTTAGTCATTTTGCAACCTAGCAGTGAGAATGAGCCCATTACAAAGATAGTCAGATTGTGTCACTCCTTGGTTCAAAACCCTCCCAGGGCAAACCTCAAAGGAAAAACTCAAGTCTTTCTGGGTGCCAACAAGGTCCTCTGTGCCTGGGCCCCTTGGACCTCACCTTCTACTGTTCTTCCCCTTGCTCCCCATGCCCCAGCCACACTCGCCTCCTTGTTACTTGGACATGCCAGAGCCTTTCCACTTGCTGTTTCCCCTGTCTGGGACACTTCCTCCCACCTCGTTGCCTGCTTCTGAAAAGGCTATGGGCTGTAGGAGGCACTCAACTGCTCTTTCAGGATTTATGGGGAAAGTTAGAGTTTCTTCCATGTAGGGCTCCCTGTGCCCACTTAAATCCCTGACCACAGACTGCCAAAAGGGACTAGTGCCCACTCCTGGCAACTTCATCAAAAATCAGTTGGCCATACTAGTATGAGTTTATTTCTCGATGCTTTATTCTAATCCAGTGATCTATGTGTCTATCCCTTTGCCAGTCCACACAGTCTCAATTACTGTAGCTATAGAGTAAGTCTTAACATGGAGAAATGTGATTTGTTGATTCTTTATTCTTTTTCAAATTTGTATTAGCTACTTTCCTTGCCTTTCTATATAAATGTTGGGAAATCTTGCTTGGATCTTGACTGGTATTGCATTTAATCTATACATCATTTTTGGAGAGAATTCACATATTGATTTACACTAAACTAACAATCCATGACCATGGTATATCACTTTTCCATGATATACCCATTTTTCTTCAATTTTAAAAGACTTCTTTGATTTATTTCATCACTGTTTTGTACTTTTCAGCATATAGATCCTATACATATTTTTTTACATTTATGCCTGAGTAGTTCATTCTTTTAGAGCTATTATAAATTGTGTTGCTTTAAATTTTGTTTACAAGTGTACATTACTAGTGCATAGAATTACCATTTAGTTTTGTATGTTGAACTTCTATCTGCAACTTTGCTAAACTCACTTATTAGTTCTAAGGGTTTTTTTTTTTGCTTTTAGTTTTGTTTTTGTTTTGCAGATTTCTTGGGATATTCTGTGTCGACAATCATGTTGCCTGCACATAGGCACAATTTTATATCTTCATTTCCAATATATACACCTTTTATTTCTTTTTCTTGACTTACTGCACTGCTTAATGCACTGGTGTTGAACTGGAGGGGTAATTGTGGTCATTCTGGCCTTGTTTCTGATCATAGGGAGAAAGTATTGCATTTTTTGCCATTAAATATGATGTTAACTCTAGGTTTTTTGTAGATGCCCCTTTATCGGGCTAAGGGATAGTTCTTTTGCTTCTAGTTTTTTTTTTATCGTGGATGAATATTGAATTTTATTAAGTGCTTTTTTCTGCATAAATTGTTATGATCTTGTGGTTTCTTTCTTCTTTAAGTTGTCAATATTGTGAACTACTCTATCTACTTTTGAATACTGCATTTCTAAGATAAACCCCTCTTGGTTGCTTTATTGTTTTCTATATTGATGGATTCAATTTTCTAATGTTTCACTGAGAATTTTTGTGTCTATGTTCATGAGAGGTATTAGTGTGTAACTTTCCATTATTTAAATTCCTTTGTCTGGCTTTGTTATCAGGGCAATGTTGGACTTATAAAATGAGCTGGGAAGTGTTCCATCTTCTACTGTTTTCTGAAGAGATTTTAAAGAACTGATGTTATTTCTTCTTTAAATGTTTGGTAGAATTTACCATCTGGGCCTAGAGATTTCTTTTTGAAAGGTTTTTAACTATGAATTTAATTTATTTAATAGGTAAAGGATTACTCAGGTTATCTATTTTATCTTGGCTGAGTTTTGCTAATTTGTGATTGACAAGAAATTGGTCGATTTCATCCAAGCTTCTATGTAGACAACCATCTTGCTGGCATGTAAGAACAATTTTATTTCTTCCTTTCCAATATATTTGCTTTTTATTTCTTTTTCTTGACTTACTATACTGAATAATTCACTGGTGTGGAATTGGAAGGGAGTAATTGTGGTCATTCTTGCCTTGTTGCTGATCATAGGGAGAAATTCATGTTGAATTCATGTACATAGAGTTGTTCAGATTATTTCCTTATTATCCTTTTCATGTTTGCAAGGTCTATAATGATAGTCTTCTTTCCTTCCTGATATTGGTAATTTGTGTTTTCTTTCTCTTTTATTCTTTGTCAGCCTTGCTAGAGATTTATCAATTCTATCAATCTTTGCAAAGCTCCAGTTTTTGGTTTTGTTGATTTTATCTATTATTTATTTGTTTTCAATTTTATTGATTTCTGCTCTTAACTATTTTCTTTCTTCCATTTGATTAGGGTTTATTCTGTTCTTTTTCTAATTTGTTAAAATGGGAACTGTTTGTTATTATTCAAGACTTTCTTTTTTTCTTTTTTTTTAATTATACTTTAAGTTCTAGGGTACATGTGCACAACGTGCAGGTTTGTTACATATGTATACATGTGCCATGTTGGTGTGCTGCACCCATTAACTTGTCATTTACATTAGGTATATCTCGTAATGCTTTCCCTCCCCCTCCCCCCACCCCACAACAGGCCCCAGTGTATGATGTTCCCCTTCTTGTGTCCAAGTGTTCTCATTGTTCAGTTCCCACCTATGAGTGAGAACATGTGGTGTTTGATTTTTTGTCCTTGTGATAGTTTGCTGAGAATGATGGTTTCCAGCTTCATCCATGTCCCTACAAAGGACATGAACTCATCCTTTTTTATGGCTGCATAGTATTCCATGGTGTATATGTACCACATTTTCTTAATCCAGTCTATCATTGATGGACATTTGGGTTGGTTCCAAGTCTTTGCTATTGTGAATAGTGCTGCAATAAACATACGTGTGCATGTGCCTTTATAGCAGCATGAATTATAATCCTTTGGGTATATACCCAGTAATGGGATGGCTGGGTCAAATGGTATTTCTAGTTCTAGATCCTTGAGGAATTGCCACACTGTCTTCCACAATGGTTGAACTAGTTAACAGTCCCACCAACAGTGTAAAAGTGTTCCTATTTCTCCACATCCTCTCCAGCACCTGTTGTTTCCTGACTTTTGAATGATCTCCATTCTAACTGGTGTGAGATGGTATCTCATTGTGGTTTTGATTTGCATTTCTCTGATGGCCAGTGATGATGAGCATTTTTTCATGTGTCTTTTGGCTGCATAAATGTCTTCTTTTGAGAAGTGTCTGTTCATATCCTTTGCCCGTTTTTGATGGGGTTGTTTGTTTTTTTCTTGTAAATTTGTTTGAGTTCTTTGTAATTTCTGGATATTAGCCCTTTGTCAGATGAGTAGATTGGAAAAATTTTCTCCCATTCTGTAGGTTGCCTGTTCACTCTGATGGTAGTTTCTTTTGCTGTGCAGAAGCTCTTTAGTTTAGTTAGATCCCATTTGTCAATTTTGGCTTTTGTTGCCATTGCTTTTGGTGTTTTAGACATGAAGTCCTTGCCCATGCCTGTGTCCTGAATGGTATTGCCTAGGTTTTCTTCTAGGGTTTTTATGGTTTTAGGTCTAACATTTAAGTCTTTAATCCATCTTGAATTAATTTTTGTGTAAGGTGTAAGGAAGGGATCCAGTTTCAGCTTTCTACATATGGCTAGCCAGTTTTCCCAGCACCATTTATTAAATAGGGACTCCTTTCCCCATTTCGTTTCTGTCAGGTTTGTCAAAGATCAGATGGTTGTAGATATGTGGCATTATTTCTGAGGGCTCTGTTCTGTTCCATTGGTCTATATTTCTGTTTTGGTACCAGTACCATGCTGTTTTGGTTACTGTAGCCTTGTAGTATCATTTGAAGTCTGGTAGCGTGATGCCTCCAGCTTTGTTCTTTTTGCTTAGGATTGTCTTGGCAGTGCTGCTCTTTTTTGGTTCCACATGAACTTTAAAGTAGTTTCTTCCAATTCTGTGAAGAAAGTCATTGGTAGCTTGATGGGGATGGCATTGAATCTATAAATTACCTTGGGCAGTATGTCCATTTTCACGATGTTGATTCTTCCTATCCATGAGCATGGAATGTTCTTCCATTTGTTTGTATCCTCTTTCATTTCGTTGAGCAGCAGTTTGTAGTTCTCCTTGAAGAGGTCCTTCACATCCCTTGTAAGTTGGATTCCTAGGTATTTTATTCTCTTTGAAGCAATTGTGAATGGGAGTTCACTCATGATTTGGCTTTCTGTTTGTCTGTTATTGGTGTATAAGAATGCTTGTAATTTTTGCACATTGATTTTGTATCCTGAGGCTTTGCAGAAGTTGCTTATCAGCTTAAGGAGATTTTGGGCTGAGATGATGGGGTTTTCTAAATATACAGTCATGTCATCTGCAAACAGGGACAATTTGACTTCCTCTTTTCCTCATCTAATACCCTTTATTTCTTTCTTCTGCCTGATTGCCCTGGCCAGAACTTCCAACACTATGTTGAATAGGAGTGGTGAGAGAGGGCATCCCTGTCTTGTGCCAGATTTCAAAGGGAATGCTTCCAGTTTTTGCCCATTCAGTATGATATTGGCTGTGGTTTTGTTATAAATAGCTCTTATTATTTTGAGATATGTCCCATCAATACCTAATTTATTGAGAGTTTTTAGCATGAAGGGTTGTTGAATTTTGTCAAAGACCTTTTCTGCATCTATTGAGATAATCATGTGGTTTTTGTCTTTGGTTCTGTTTATATACTGGATTACGTTTATTGATTTGCATATGTTAAACCAGCCTTGCATCCCAGGGATGAAGCCCACTTGATCATGGTGGATAAGCTTTTTGATGTGCTGCTGTATTTGGTTTGCCAGAATTTTATTGAGGATTTTTGCATCGATGTTCATCAGGGATATTGGTCTAAAATTCTCTTTTTTTGTTGTGTGTCTGCCAGGCTTTGGTATCAGGATGATGCTGGCCTCATAAAATGAGTTAGGGAGGATTCCCTCTTTTTCTATTGATTGGAATAGTTTCAGAAGGAATGGTACCAGCTCCTCCTTGTACCTCTGGTAGAATTGGGCTGTGAATCCATCTGGTCCTGGACTTTTTTGGTTGGTAGGCTATTAATTATTGCCTCAAGTTCAGATCCTGTTATTGGTCTATTCAGGGATTCAACTTCTTCCTGGTTTAGTCTTGGGAGGGTGTATGTGTCCAGGAATTTATCCATTTCTTCTAGATTTTCTAATTTATTTACGTGGAGGTGTTTATAGTATTCTCTGATGGTAATTTGTATTTCTGTGGGATCAGTGGTGATATCCCCTTTATCATTTTTTATGGCGTCTGTTTGATTCTTCCCTTTTTTATTCTTTATTAGTCTTGCTAGTGGTCTATCAATTTTGTTGATCTTTTCAAAAAACCAGCTCCTGGATTCATTGATTTTTTGAAGGGTTTTTTTGTGTCTCTATCTCCTTCAGTTCTTCTCTGATCTTAGTTATTTCTTGCCTTCTGCTAGCTTCTGAATGTGTTTGCTCTTGCTTCTCTAGTTCTTTTAATTGTGATGTTAGAGTGCCGATTTTATATCTTTCCTGCTTTCTCTTGTGGGCATTTAGTGTTATAAATTTCCCTCTACACACTGCTTTAAATTTGTCCCAGAGATTCTGGTATGTTGTGTCTTTGTACCCATTGGTTTCAAAGAAAATCTTTATTTCTGCCTTCATTTTGTTATGTACCCAGTAGTCATTCAGGAGCAGGCTGTTCAGTTTCCATGTAGTTGAGCGGTTTTGAGTGAGTTTCTTAATCCTGAGTTCTAGTTTGATTGCTCTGCGGTCTGAGAGACAGTTTGTTATAATTTCTGTTCTTTTACATTTGCTGAGGAGTGCTTTACTTCCAACTATGTGGTCAATTTTGGAATAAGTGCGATGTGGTGCTGAGATGAATGTACATTCTGTTGATTTTGGGTGGAGAGTTCTGTAGACGTCTATTAGGTCTGCTTGGTGCAGAGCTGAGTTCAATTCCTGGATATCTTCATTAACTTTCTGTCTCGTTGATCTGTCTAACATTGACAGTAGGGTGTTAAAGTCTCCCATTATTATTGTGTGGGAGTCTAAGTCTCTTTGTAGATCTCTAAGGACTTGCTTTATGAATCTGAGTGCTCCTGTATTGGGTGCATATATATTTAAGATAGTTAGCTCTTCTTGTTGAATTGATCCCTTTACCATTATGTAATGGCCTTCTTTGTCTCTTTTGATCTTTGTTGGTTTAAAGTCTGTTTTATCCGAGACTAGGATTGCAACCCCTGCCTTTTTTTGTTTTCCATTTGCTTGGTAGATCTTCCTCCATCCCTTTATTTTGAGCCTATGTGTGTCTCTGCATGTGAGATGGGTCTCCTGAATACAGCACACTGATAGGTCTTGACTCTTTATCCAATTTGCCAGTCTGTGTCTTTGAATTGGAGCATTTAGCCCATTTACATTTAAGGTTAATATTGTTATGTGTGAATTTGATCCTGCCATTATGATGTTAGCTGGTTATTTTGCTCATTAGTTGATGCAGTTTCTTCCTAGCCTCGATGGTCTTTACAATTTGGCATGTTTTTGCAGTAGCTGGTACTGGTTGTTCCTTTCCATGTTGAGTGCTTCCTTCAGGAACTCTTTTAGGACAGGCCTGGTGGTGACAAAATCTCTCAGCATTTGCTTCTCTGTAAAGGATTTTATTTCTCCTTATGAAGCTTAGTTTGGCTGGATATGAAATTCTTGGTTGAAAATTCTTTTCTTTAAGAATGTTTAATAATGACCCCCACTCTCTTCTGGCTTGTAGTTTCTGACGAGAGATTAGCTGTTAGTCTGATGGGTTTCCCTTTGTGGGTAACCCGACCTTTCTCTCCAGCTGCCCTTAACATTTTTTCCTTCATTTCAACTTTGGTGAATCTGACAATTATGTATCTTGGGGTTGCTCTTCTCAAGAAGTATCTTTGTGGTGTTCTCTGTATTTCCTGAATTTGAATGTTGGCCTGCTTTGCTAGGTTGGGGAAGTTCTCCTGGATAATATCCTGCAGAGTGTTTTCCAACTTGGTTCCATTCTCCCCGTCACTTTCATGTTCACCAATCAGACGTAGACTTGGTCTTTTCACATAGTCCCATATCTCTTGGAAGCTTTGTTCATTTCTTTTTGTCCTTTTTTCTCTAAACTTCTCTTCTCGCTTCATTTCATTCATTTGATCTTCTATCACTGATACTGTTTCTTCCAGTTAATTGAATCAGCTACTGAAGCTTGTGCATTCATCACGTAGTTCTCGTGCTATGGTTTTCAGCTCCATCAGGTCATTTAAGGACTTCTCTACACTGGTTATTCTAGTTAGCCATTCGTCTAATCTTTTTTCAAGGTTTTTAGCTTCTTTGCGTTGGGTTCGAACTTCCTCCTTTAGCTCGGAGAAGTTTGATTGTCTGAAGCCTTCTTCTCTCAACTCGTTAAAGTCATTCTCCGTCCAGCTTTGTTCCGTTGCTGGCAAAGAGCTGTGTTTCTTTGGAGGCAGACAGGTGCTCTGATTTTTAGAATTTTCAGCTTTTCTGCTCTGTTTTTTCCCCATCTTTGTGGTTTTATCTACCTTTGGTCTTTGATGATTGTGACATACAGATGGGGGTTTGGTGTGGATGTCCTTTCTGTTTGTTAGTTTTCCTTCTAACAGTCAGGACCCTCAGCTGTAGGTCTGTTGGAGTTTACTGGAGGTCCACTCCAGACCCTGTTTGCCTGGGTATCAGCAGCGGAGGCTGCAGAACAGCGAATATTGCTGAACAGCAAATGTTGCTTCCTGATCGTTCTTCTGGAAGCTTTGTCTCAAAGGGGTACCTGGCCTTGTGAGGTGTCAGTCTGCCCCTACTCGGGGGTGCCTCCCAGTTAGGCTACTCGGGGGTCAGGGACCCACTTGAGGAGGCAGTCTGTCAGTTCTCAGATCTCAAACTCCGTGCTGGGAGAACCACTACTCTCTTCAAAGCTGTCAGACAGGGACATTTAAGTCTGTGGAGGTTTCTGCTGCCTTTTGTTCAGCTATGCCCTGCCCCCAGAGGTGGAGTCTACAGAGGCAGGCAGGCCTCCTTGAGCAGCAGTGGGCTCCACCTGTTTGAGCTTCCTGGCCACTTTGTTTACCTACTCAAGCCTCAGCAATGGTGGGTGCCCCTCCCCCAGCCTTGCTGCCGTCTTGCAGTTCGATCTCAGACTGCTGTGCTAGCAATAAGCGAGGCTCCGTGGGCGTGGGACCCTCCAAGCCAGGCGCAGGATATAATCTCCTGGTGTGCCGTTTCCTAAGACCATTGGAAAAGTGCAGTATTAGGGTGGGAGTGACCCGATTTTCCAGGTGCCATCTGTCACCCCTTCCCTTGGCTAGGAAAGGAAGTTCCCTGACCCCTTGTACTTCCCGGGTGAAGCGATGCCTCGCCCTGCTTTGGCTCATACTCGGTGGGCTGCACCCACTGTCCTGCCCCCACTGTCCGACGAGCCCCAGTGAGATGAACCCGGTACCTCAGTTGGAAATGCAGAAATCACCTGTCTTCTGCGTCGCTCATGCTGGGAGCTGTAGACTGGAGCTGTTCCTATTCGGTCATCTTGGAGCTGCCTCTTCTTTTCTACTGTAAGCATGTAATGCTATAAATTTCCCTCTGAGTCCTGCTATAGTTACATTGTACAAATTTCAATATGTTTTATTTTTATTTTCGTTCATTTGAAACATTTTTCAATTTCCCCTCCTATTTCCTCTTTCACCTATGGATTATTTAGAAGTACCGTGTTAACTTTTCCAGTGTTTGGAGCTTTTCCTCTTATCTTTCTATTATTGATTTCTAGTTTAATTCCATTATGGTTTGAGAACATACATTGGATAATTTCACTTCTTTTAAATTTGTTAAGATTTGTTGTACATTGTTTATCTTAGTGAATATTTCATGTTCACTTGAAAAAAATGTGTGCCCTGCTGTTATTGAGGGGAATATTCTTCTAAATGTCATTTAGGGCCAGGCACGGTGGCTCCCACCTGTAATCCAAACACTTTGAGAGGCTGAGGTGGGCAGATCACTTGAAGTCAGGAGTTCGAGAGTAGCCTGACAAACATGGTGAAACCTCATCTCTGCTAAAAATTCAAAAATTAGCTGGGCATGGTGGTACACACCTGTAATCCCAGCTACTCAGGAGGCTGAGGCAGGAGATTTGCTTGAACCTGGGAGGCAGAGGTTGCAGTGAACTCTGAGATCATGCCACTGCACTCCAGCATGGGAGACAGAGTGAGACTCTGTCTCAAAAAAAAAAAAAAGTCAATTATATCCAGTTGGTTGACATTGTTTAGTTCTTCTACATGCTTGCTGATTTTTTGCCTATCAGTTCTATTACTGAAAGAGAAGTGTTGAAAAATTTCTAACTATAATTGCTTATTTGCCTATTTTTCTTTTTAGTTCTGTCAGTTTTTGCTTTATATAGTAGAAACTCTTCTGTTAGGTGCATGCACATGTGGCACTGTTATGTCTTCTTGGCAAATTGAGCCTTTTTTTGTTATATAATGTCCGTCTTGATTCCTGGTAATTTCCTTTACTCTGAGGTCTCCTTTATCTGTTCATTAATAGAACAACTCCAGCTTTCTTTTGATTAGTGTTTGCATGGTACATCTTTTGCCTCCTTTCACTTTTAACCTACCTATATCATCATATTTGAAATGAGTTTCTCGTAGACAGCATATAGTTGAGTCAAGTTTTTCTTTTATTAATCAATTCTAATCATCTTTCTTTAAATTGGTGTGTTTAGATCACATATATTAATGTAACTACTTATATTTAGATTAATTCTACCATTTTATTATTTGGTTTCTGTTTGCTACCTCTATTTTTGTTTTTCTGTTTCCCCTTTCTTGCCTAATTTTGGGTTATGTGAATATTTTTTAAATTTTTTATTTTTGGAAAAAATTTTGACTTATAGAAAAGTTGCAGTGATAATATAGGAAGTTATTGTATACTCCTCACTTACTTTCCCCTAATGTTAGTATGTTATATTACTATGGTACATTTGTCAAAATTAAGAAAACAATAATTGGTACATTATCATTAACTAAACTCAAGCCTGCTTGGATTTTGCCAATTTTTCTACTCATATCATTTTTTCTATTCTGAGATTCAATCCAGTATACCACATTGTATTCAGTCACAGTGTTATTTGAACATTTTTAATATTCAGTTTTATCTATTGTGATTTTAGCTATATTTCATATAGTTATTTTAGTGGTTTCTCTAGGGATTACAAAATACATATGTGCTTAACTTTTCACCATTAACTTAGAATCAATGTTTTGCTACTCAATTAGAATATAGAAAACATATCACAATTTAGGACTCTTTACCCTCTCCCTTTTGTACTATATTTGTCGTATATATATTACATCTACTTACATTAAAATCTCCAGAAGACAATGTTATAATTTTTGCTTTTGATGACCAAACATATGTTAAATATCTCAAAATCAAAAATAATCTATTACATTTACCGAGATACTGACCATTTTTGTTGCTCTTACTTTATTTCTAATATTCCAAGTTTCCTTCTTTTATTTCTCTTTTTTTTGAAAAACTTATTTTAGCAGTTCTTTTAGAGCAGATCTACTGGTTATAATTCTCTTAGTTTTCTATCATATACAGATATCTTTATTTCACCTTTATTCATTCCTAAAGCTTATTTTTGCTCAATTTGGAATTGCGCTGACAGTTTTTTTTTTTCTTTCAGCACTTTAAAAATGTTGTGCTGCTTCCTTCTGGCCTCTATCATTTGTAATGCGCTAACCATGGTCATTCAAATTGCTGTCCCTCTATAGGGAATGTGTTGTTTTTCTTGGGCAGTTTTCAAGAGTCTTTCTTCATCTTTACTTTTCAACAGTTTATGATGTGTCTAGGTATAGATTACTTTGGGTTTATCTTACTTGTGGTTCAGTCAGTTTCTTGAATATGTAGGTTTATGTCTTTTGCTAAACTTGAGAAATTTTCAGCCATTATTTCTTCAAATAATTTGTCAGCATTTCACTCTTCCCCCTCCTCTCTGGGTCTCTGATGACATTAATGTTAAATCACACAGGTCCCTGATGTCCTATTCATTTTTTTCAGCCTGTTCTCTATTATTCAGATTGTATAGTTTCTATTGATCTATCTCCACATTCACAGACTTTTTGCTCTCTTATTGAGTCCATCCTGTAAGTTTTTAAATTTCAATTATTTTATTTTTCAGTTTTGAAACTTCCATTGGTTCTTCTTCATAGCTTCTATTTCTTTACTGAGACTTTCTGTTTTAGGATTTGTTCCAAGAGTGTTTGCAATTGCTTACTCGAACAATTTTTAAGTATCTGCTTTGAAATATTTATCTGATAATTCCAACAAGTGCTTCAATTCATCATTGGCATCCGTTGATTGTCTTTTCACATGTAAGTTGAAATTTTTGTGGTTCTTTTTATGCTGAGTAATTTGAAGTTGTTTCCTGAATATTTTGAGTATTATACTATAAGACCCTGGGTCTTGATTAAATTTTATGGAGGATATTGATATTTTTGTTTTAGCAGGCACTTGATCTAGTTAGGATAAGGCTGCAAATTACCATCCCCCTTCTTTGGGTTATGGTTCCTATGTCAGTTCAGTTTTCTAAGGCTCTGTAGTGCACTTCAGATTTGTCTTGGGTGTGGACCATCCAGTGGCCTGTCTGGGATCTGGGCAGTGATCTATGTCTTAGTTCAGTTCTCAAAGTCTTTGGTATGCTAATTAGGATCAGAACCATGCATATGCAGTTTGAGGGTGACTGGAAATAAAATTTCGAGAACTTTTTGGTTGGAGAGTGACACAATGAAGTAGGAGAACATTCTAAAGCAAAGATGTGCTGGCATCTCTAGATAAAACAGAGCCATCCTATGGTGTCAGGAATCTCAGAAATGAGGGTTATTTTATCCCCATTACAGATGCTACACAACTGGTCCATAAGCAGTGATATCAGTGGAGGTCTTTGGCAGCTAAATAGAAAAAGAGAAGAATTAATTATCATATAATACAATCAATCCATAAGTCCTTCCATTCATAGATACCAGATTGGGGTTCTCAAACATCTCTCAGACCACTATTCCATGGCTCCTTTTTTCTCTGTAGCCTAGGTAAACTTGAAAATAAGTGTCACCTTACTGTCATCTGAAGATAATTTTGCATGTTTCGATCTGGCTGTTTTTGTTTTCAAGGAAAAAAAAAACACACTGAAGGGATTTTCTTAAGAAATTATCTTAACCATTTAATGTTGAAGCAACCTAGGTCTGAGTTCTTGGTCCTTCCATTCTCAATCACCAATCACAATTTTAGTGATTCAATCTAGTCTCATTACCTTAAACAGAATACATACACTAATATCTCCCACATTTTTACCTCTAGCCCAGTCTTCCCCCTTTGACTCCAGAATTGCACATCCAAATCAAAACTCAACACTTCACTTGAATACATGCTAGGTACATGAAAATTAAAATGTTCCAAATTGCAGTCACCCTGCTTCTGCCCTTGTAATGTAGTCTATTCTTGGCACATCAGCCAGAGTGATCCTTTAAAACCTAAGCTCAAGTAAATCCCTTTGCTCAGAACCCTCCATCTCACTCAGACTGAAGACCCAAGTCTTATAATGGCCTACCGAGACCTTCACAATCTGGCCTCGCTAGTTTCATCTCATACTTCTAGTCTCCCTTGCTCATTTGGTTCTGGCCACATTGGCCTCTTTGCTGTTCCCCTAATACCCCAGAATATTCCTACTTCATGGCCTTTGCACTGGCCATCTTGCTCCTTGGGACTGTCTTTCCAGCTATTCATAAAGCAGGCTCCCTCACCTGTTTTCTTTTTAGTGAGACTTTCCATGACCACCTAACCTAAATCTGCAACCTCGTCTTTGCCTTTCTCTGCATTACTTTTCTCCTACCATATTATCTAACATATTATATAATGTACTTACTCATTAATTCTCTAGAATATGAACTCCATGAGGGCAAGTGTTTCGGTTTTTTTTTCCTCTGTCATGTTTCCTGCTGTATGATCAGGGCCTGACACATACTAGATGCTTGATAAATATATGTTAAAAGAATGAGTAAAAGTATTCCCTGGGCCTGCTTTAACCATAGGCTATAGAAGACAGAGGTTTTCGTGTTTTATTGAGTGCTTCCAAATGTGGACTACAAAAAGTTCCTGAGTATTTTTACAAGAGCAAATTCGATGTCATTGATGGTGTAAGATCTTCTGCAAGAAATCAGTGGCTTAGACACCTGCTGTTACTGCATCCTCCTAGAATTGAGTATCAGAAATGCCAAAAGCGTGAGGTTCTGCACAGATTGACTCTTTGCAAGGTGTTGGAAACAGGTACCAAATTAGAAACTGAGAGCTTTGTACTTGGATTGATTCACAGGTTTCAGCATTTCAACTTCCCAAGTGCTGCTAGTTTCTGAAATATCTTGCAAATGGCCGCCCCAGCTCTTGCTGGTGTGTGCACGTGCACACACAGGCACACTCACGTGCTTTCCTACACCAGGTGCTGCTCCAACAAAACTCAATCCTCATCCCAGCTTAAGTCTGGAGGGCTGAGATGATTGTTTTAAGGAGGCTGTTGCCAGGACAGAATTTTCCAAGCTTCCCAGTTCCCAAGGGAATGAGGTGTGTCTGATGTTGTCCACAGTTCCCTCCCACATCTGACAGCACAGAAATATTTCACTGCATCGTGGTGGTTTAAACAAGCATGACAAGATTGTGATTTCAAACCTGTATAAGTCACAGACACCTGAGCAATTGTGGCTTCTCTGCCATCTTACTGGCAGACAAGGTTAAGTACCTGGTGATTCTTCAGTCTCAGAACTGGACCTCAGCCCTTTCTTCTCATCCACAATATGAGATTGGCCTGTATTTCCTTCTGAAACCTTTCCCTTTTTCACCATGTCCCTGTGTCCCCAGGAATCTAGCCCCAAAAGGCTGCAGAGCTCTGTGAAAGAAACTGTCTGCTGGATTTGTAACACAGAATGGTTATTTGAGGTGCTTTGTTTCTTATGTATCTGTGTTAAATGAGTTGTAGACACTATTGTAGAAGTAGAACCTGAGGAAAATTCGAGCCCTTTTTCTGTAAAACATACCTAAGACTCACTATAGTGAATATAGTTTTATGGATACCAGAGACTACTGGAGCCCCAGGTTAAAAATATCACATCTACGGTGTCAATGACCTATCTTCTAATTGGTTTTATAGATGTATAATTAACATACAACAAAATGTACCCATTTTAAGTGTATAGTTTGATGACAATTGTATACACCCATGCAACCACTACCTCACCAAGATATAGAAAATTTCCATCTCCCTAGAAAATTCCCTGTGCTCCTTTCCAGTCGAAACCTCCTCCTCCCCCCACCAAAACAACCACTATTCTGACCTCTATCACCATAGATAAGTTTTGCCTGTTCTACAACTTCCTGTAGGTGGAATCCTTCTGTGTCTGGCTCCTTTTGTTAAACATGTTTTTGAAATTCACCCACATTGTTGCATGTGTTGATAGTCTATTATTTTATATTGCTCAAAAATATGGATATACCATCATTGGTTTGTACATTCACCTATTGATGGACATTTGAGTTATTTCCAGGCTTGGAATGTTACAAATAATGCTGTTCTGAGAATTCATCTACAAGTCTTTGTACATATGATTTCTCTTGGGCAAACTCCTAGGAGTGGAATGATAAGCATATGTTTAACTTTTTAAGAAACTACCTAACTTTTCCAAAGTTGTTTTTATCATTTTACATTCCCATTAGCAGTGTAGAGGAGTTCCAGTTGGCTTTTGCATGTCAAAAGAAGGTTCTAGGGAAAAGGCAATGATTAGCTCTCAGGACTGACAATACTGGAAAATTTTAGATGTTAGGGGTGAAAGGGGGGAGCTTCCCAGAGCTCCACAAATCACACCACATGAGATATCTTTCAATTGGTCTCCCTGCTTCCTCCAGGAATTAACTTCCTGATATATATGTGCACAACAGGAAGGGAACCAAGGAAAGGAAGTGGCTTTGAGGAGATCAATTAGGGCAGGGCAGGGTGGAAAGAGCACTGGACTTGTAATGAAAGTCCTGCGTTCAAGTCCTAGTTCTTCCATGGCCCAGGTGGTGATTATGACCCTTAGCCTGTGTCTCATTATTCTCATCTGTGAAATAGGGAATATAAATCCCACCCTACCTGATTCACAAGGTTACAGTGAGTCTTAGCCCTGGCAGAGGAGCCATGTGTACAAGGACTTTATTAAGGGGAAGATTGTAATGGCATTGATGGGGCTGATACAACTGCCCAGATTCTCGAAATCCTAGAGTCTTGGAGTCCAGGCAGAGAGGCAGAGTGAAGGTATGGATAGCCCCACTTCCTGGGCAGGGGCAAAGTCTCATATAGAAGAGCATCCTGCCCTGCTCTCAACCTAAAGTTTTGGCTGGGAAGCATTAGCAGGGACAATTGCAAGACATCAGAAATTGGATAGCTCGGTGCCACTCTCTGCTGTGTTACCAACAGACAGAGTAAGTCCTTTGAACTTCCCTGGGCTTAAATTTTCTCACTGATAAAATTAAGATGATGATATCTTCCTTTCCATCCCTCTCCGAAAGTTGAAAGATCTCTGTGAGATAGAAGCATTATTGCAAACTGCTGCACTGTTCGTTCCCATGAACAGTGGATGGATGGCTGGGGCTAGGGCTGGAGCTGCCAAAAAAGCCAGGGCTTTGGAGTCTGACACATCCTGGCTCAAGTCCTACTGAAGCCCCAACCCCTTACTTACCATCTCAAGCCTCAGGTACCCTATATGTAAAATGGGGGTAGTGATACCTCTGAGGCTGGAGGATTAAATGAGTCAAAGAATATGGATATAGTCCTAGGCCCCATGATGGGAAGAGTGAAGCTTCTCAGTAAATGAGATAGTGGTAGGTAAGTAAGAAGGTTAAAATGACATCCACTGGCCATGAGCCTGTGACCTTGACAAATGTTATGTTACTTATCCTCTTACATCTGGTGGGATCACAAGGAAGCACACTGTGAGATGGAGGTGGACATGGAGATGTGAGTGCAAGAGGTTTATTGAGGAGTGCCCTTGGAATCAGCAACAGTGGGTGAGTGAAGAAGGCAGGGCTGGGTCAAGGAAGGAGTTGAGCTACTGCGGTGTGGTCACAAAGGAGACCTCAGTTGAATCTCTGGGACCTCTGGAGCTGGGGTAGCCTCACTGAGTTGTCCAGCATCCAAGTGAGGCAATGAGCCTTTATACCCCTGCATAACCCTGTCACTGAATGTGGGTTGCCCCCAAGAAGGGGTGTGACCTTAAGGATGTTTTCTGAAGGGACAGTCAATGTGAACTGTCCTCATGCCAACACTCCCAGAAGCTGGGGGAATAAGTGCCTCGGTCCTGAAGGGACATCTGCATCCACTAAACCTCCCTGTACCTCAGTTTCCTCATCTATAAAATGTGGATAATCATAGTGCCTACATTACTGGTTTAGATCAGGATTAAAAGAGTTAATTCGTAGAACGTCCTTAAAACAGTGGCTGCTGCATACTATTTGTAGTGCTAGGATTTTAGAAAACATCCAATAAATCTTTTTCAAATGAATAAATAGATGAATGAGCTCTTTCAACCCTGTCCAGAATAAAAAACAAATGTCATGTTTGCTCATTTTGGGGAAAAAAGCCCACTAGCCAGGTGACAAAGCATTTGGCTGGAAAGCAGAGAATTCAATATATTTTAAACCATGGGACTCCTGTGCAGAGGAAATTTAAATCTCCTTTTCAAAACATTTGCTGCACCTGAGGGTCCAGTATTCCCCATGTGCGCATTGCCAGAGTCCTTTACCCTCAGTGTGTTGAGCTGCAGTATGGGGATTTGACAGCTGAAGACAGCTCAGCAGGGTGCAGGAAAGCAGACATTTAATGTGCTTTGACAATACAAAGGGTTATATAAACGACCCAGTTTCTGTAATTTTGCTGTAACTGTCATGAGAATTGCTATAGACAGATACGGAGAAGGCCCTGTTTATGCACTTAAACTTTAAAAGGTTTAACCACTAAACACAGTCTCTTTCTCTTCCCCTCCCCTCCTCACAATCCTGCATTTAAATTGCATGGAGGTGGGGGTGCAGGGCCAGGGGATGGCAGTTGAAATAATGGGTTGCCTTTATCCGCCCAGCTTCTGGATCAGCGCCCCACTTTCTGACTCCTGGGCCAAGCACCTGCCCCTGGCCAGCCTTCTCTGGAAGATTTCCTTCCCTACCTGCTCGCGACAAGATGCTGAGAGGGGGAGGGATGGCAGGAAGTGAAATGCACTGGCTCTGAGCTTACGGCTTTTGCCCAATTTAAATCTGGTTCCCATCCCAGTGTTCAGAGCACGTTGCTGTTTGATTCTTGCCATCACGTCTTAGAAGACTTTGCCCAAGGTGGGGGTGGGGATAGTTCTAAAGCCAGACAGGCAGGAGGCAGGAGGGTTTATGCAGGCAGATACCACAGGCTTCCAAGCTAAGTGCCTTAGCAGGGAGAGCTCCCGGCTGCTGCTGACATTTCTCAGACAGGAGATCAATAAGTGGGCAGAGCTTGAAAAGCAAATCATGCTTCGACCTGCCCTGGGGAACCCTCAGCAACTGTCTTGGTAGAGAAGGTGTCCCAGAGGAGGCCAGGAAAGACAGGGGGACGCAGAGAGCCTTGATATTCTGAGATGGGGGCAGGGAAATCGAGACTGCCCAAGGAGATGAAAGGGGCAGATGCTGCCATCCTCCCTACTCCCATCCTCCCTCCACAGTTCTTGCTGAGTGTGTTAAGACCCCTGACTTCTGCCTCCTAGGTAAAACCAGACATTTGGAGGTGGATCTGCAGCTGATGTAGCATTTACAGTCCAAATGAGCTTGGCTTGAGCATGGAAAGCTGCTCCAGCTGAGAGACCCTCTATCTGTGGTTGAGCCCCTCCTACTCTCTGTCCAACCAGCACCCAGGAGGAGTTTAAATATTTCTCCACACTCCAATCACATGGTCAAGAAAATTTTCTAAAGCAGATAGTCATGCACTCACACACACAAAGTGGACCCCACAGAACTGGAAGTAGGTACAAAACTTGGTTCTGATCTGGTAAACCTGGTCCACTGCAATAATTTAAACTCTCTTTTGGAAATTCAGTCTCCTTGACTTTAAATTGTCCCTGTCTTAGTACGTTTCGTGTTGCTATAAAGGAATACCTACCACTGGGTAATTTATAAAGACAAAAAGTTTTTATTTGGCTCACAATTCCGATGTCTGGAAAAGTTCAAGATCAGGTATCTGGTGAGAGCCTCAAGCTGCCTCCACTCATGGTGGAAGGCAAAGGGGAGCTGATGGGTTCAGAGATCACATGGTGAAACAGAAAGCAAGAGAGTGAGGAAGGAGACGCTGAGCTCTTTTAACAAACAGCTCTCAAGGGAATTAATAGTTAGAACTCACTCACTCTTTCCAGAATGGCACCAAGCCATTCACGAGGGATCCACCCCCATCCAACACCTCCCATTAGGCGCCACCTCCAACACTGAGGATCAAGTTTCAGCATGAGGTTTGAAGGGGACAAATATTCAAACCAGAGCAGTCTCTCTCTCCAGTTTGCTTTCCTTTACTTGATCCTCTCCAAGATGGTACCTGGATATGGGGTGGGAACATGCTACATCCTTCTGGTGGTGGAGGAAGGGGATCTATCAGTGTTATCATTCCAATTCCTGGGCGCTTCATGTCTCCACCACAACAGATGTCCCACAACGCTGACAACTGCTGAAGTCTGTGGTTAGTGAACCTGTGGTTTCCTCTTTGCTGACTCAGTCCGTACTCAGCCCTTGCTGCTATTGAATGTCCCCTGAGACATGGTCATGACCTCTATTCAATCTCCCATTCAGGTGGCCCAATCCACTCACTTGACTCTAGAATTTTTTCCTTTTTTGAGCTCTTCTGCCTGTGTCTTGCCAACATCTCTGTTCCCCTAGGGGCCTTTGAGCATTTCTGGCATCTTTTGTGTGCCAAATGGAGCCCAGGATAGCTCAGGAATGCTAACTCGACTTGCTCTCTGCCTCACCAGTAGCTACTTGAGGTTACTGCGGGTACACAGCGCTAGGCTGGCTCCTCCTGGAGTCCCAGACAGAGAGTAAAATGACTGCACTTCTGCCATTGGCTTTTCCTTCACTCCAATTAGACAACTCCCCTCTCTGAAACTTTCATCCAGACAGAGCTAGAAGGAGCAGGATTTTCTGGTCTAGTTGAAGCTTCACTCATGCCATATATACTGTCTTCCTGATCCAAGCTTCCTCATGGTTTAGCCTTCATGGCAGAGGCTGGATGGAGAAAGAAATGGTTTCTCTTCTCAGTTTGGGTTCTTTTGAAAGCAAAGCATGACACAAAGTCCTGGGTGAAGGTAGCTTATTTCAAAGGTAATCCCAGTGAAGAAGTAAAGTGAATGAATGGAGAAAAAAGAAGGGATTAAGACACAGTAGGAACAAATATCAATATAATGGAGGGCAACAGGGACTGATTTCCCAGGAAAGCATATAGAATGCCTTGTAGAATTGTCCACTGGAAGGGCAGGAGGTTGGGGCATTTATTCACTAGCCACTGTCTGACCCTGGTGAGGATTGTCCCTGAGGATGTTAACTTTCTCCCATTTCTGAGCTACACAAGCACATGACCTGGGCAAACTTTCACATAAGTAATGAAGGTTCAGGGGCAGAAAGAAGACAGACGCTTGGCTTAAGGTAAGTCTGCCCATTGCAGCTGAGGCTGAAACTGGAGGTGGGCCAAGGGGGTGATGAAGGTCTCTAGAAGTGTCTGATATACTTCCCCAAAGGAAATTTAAATGAGGAGGAATTATTTAGACCATATTACTGTATGCCTTAAATATTTGGTCTAATCTCCTTGTTTTAATGGGAGAAAACTGAGGCTCTACAAAGTCCTGATTCACCCAACATCAAAATAGTCAAACCCTGAGCCATATCTACAACTTGAGTGCTGGAGATTCAGGTCAGAGCTCTTTTTACTGTATCATACAAATCCATTCAGCCAACAATAGAATCTTTATTAACTATCCATGATGTTCATAGGATTGTGAAGTATAACGATAGTTCCTGCTTTCAGGGAAGTTGTAATCTAGATGACAGAAGTTTGTTCCCCAGTCATTATATGTACTTCTTAGAAAGGTATTGGCTTAGGTATCCTCTATTCGATCAGCTAGTACTCCAGAAACATAAGGAAGAGACCAAAGGGCACCCAAAATACAGAGTGCTTATGAGAAATATGCACTCAGAAAGTTATAACTGGATATTAATCTGAGCTAGGAAGGTGTAGCAGGCAGTCTCTAAGAGTCTTGTTCCCAAGATCCCTGCCTCGTAGTATTCATCCCTGCCCTTGTGAAATAGTCTCCTCTTTGAGTATAGGCTGGACCTAGTGACTCACTTGTAATGGATAGATTATGGCAGAAGTGATGAGATGTCTCTTGCAAGATTAGGTTATAAAAAGACCATGGCTTCGGTTCTGGGTGCTTTCTCTCATACTCTGTTGTGTTGTTGGCTCTGGAGGTGGCCAGCTACCATGTCATGAGACAACCCACTAAAGAGGTCCATGTGAGTGAACTTGAAAACACATCCTCTGTGGAGAAATAGGAACACTTTTACACTGTTGGTGGGACTGTAAACTAGTTCAACCCTTGTGGAAGTCAGTGTGGCGATTCCTCAGGGATCTAGAACTAGAAATACCATTTGACCCAGCCATCCCATTACTGGGTATATACCCAGAGGACTATAAATCATGCTGCTATAAAGACACATGCACACGTATGTTTATTGCGGCACTATTCACTATAGCAAAGACTTGGAACCAACCCAAATGTCCAACAATGATAGACTGGATTAAGAAAATGTGGCACATATACACCATGGAATACTATGCAGCCATAAAAAATGATGAGCTCATGTCCTTTGTAGGGACATGGATGAAATTGGAAATCATCATTCTCAGTAAACTATCGCAAGGACAAAAAACCAAACACCACATGTTCTCACTCATAGATGGGAATTGAACAATGAGAACACATGGACACAGGAAGGAGAACATCACACTCTGGGGACTGTTGTGGGGTGGGGGGAGGGGGGAGGGATAGCATTAGGAGATATACCTAATGCTAAATGACGAGTTAATGGGTGCAGCACACCAACATGGCACATGTATACATATGTAACTAACCTGCACATTGTGCACATGTACCCTAAAACTTAAAGTGTAATAATAATAATAAAAAAAAGAAAACACATCCTCCCCAGATCGAGTCTTGAGATGAGACTACAGCCCCAGTGATACCTTAATTGCAGCCTCATGAGAGACACTGAGCCAGAGGACCCAGCTAAGCCATACCCAGATTTCTGATCATACAATACTGTGAGATAATTTTTTGTTGTTTTTTATTGCTAAGTTTTGGAGTGATTTTTTATACAGCAATAGGTAATTGATACAGAAAGCACTGCATTAGATGTTGGCAATGAAAGTATGAGTAAAATGCATGGACTTATAAGCAAGTAACAGAAATCTATGCAAACTACCTTAAGCAGAAAGGAGCATGTATTAGAAGGATTTGTGGTTGTTTCCCAGAAATCAAGGGCAGGAAGGGCAACAGTACTCATGAAGACTGGAGGCAGAACTTAAGATCTGTTGAGAACTAGGTAGTGAGTCACTTTTTTCCTGACTTCCTCTGTTTATGAGGCCATTAAATATTTTATGATGGCCTCCTTCTGTCTCAATGACAGACATTTTCTATTTCTCCTTATACATGGGAAAAATCCAACACCCTAGGGGATCTTACATGTTGTGACAGTTAACTTTGCATGTCAACTTGACTGGGCTAAAGTATGCCCAGGTAACTGGTGAAACAGTTATTTCTGGTTGTGTCTGAGAGGGTATTTCTGGAAGAGATTAATATTTTAATCAGTAGACCAAGTAAAGATCTGCCCTTGCCAATATGGGCAGGCATCATCCAATCCATTGAAGGCTAAAATAGAACAAAAATGCAGAGGAAGAGCAAATTTGCTGTCTCTTGTTGAGTTGGGACATCCATCTTCTACTGACCTTTGACATTGGTGTTCCAGGTTCTCAAACTTTCGGACTTGGATGGAGACTTACACACCATTGGTTCTCCAGTTCTCAGCCTTTTGGACTTGGACTGGAACTATACCATTGGCTTTCCTGGGCATTCAACTTGCAGATTACAGATCATGGGACTTCTCAGCCCTCCAAATCATATAAGCCAATGAGTCATAACAAATCTCCTTCTTCTTTCTTTCTTTCTTTCTTTCTTTCTTTCTTTCTTTCTTTCTTTCTTTCTTTCTTTCTTCTTTCTTTCTTTCTCTCTTTCCTTGTTTTTCTTTCTTTCTTTCTCTTTCTTTCTTTCTCTTTCTTTCTTTCCTTCTTTCTTTCTCTCTCTCTCTCTATATATATATATCAGATCATGGGACTTCTCAGCCCCCCAAATCATACATATACATACACACACACATATATATATAGTTCTGTTTTTCCAGAGATCCCTGACTGATACATGTGTTTTTGCCATTTGTGTATAACAGATATTTACTTAAGTTGCTGTGACCAAATTCCCAATTCCTGAAAGAGAACATCAATAGGCACATCTTAGGTCAGTTGTACTTTTATGGTCCCTTTAAGAGAGGAAGCAAATGGGGTTATGGAGCTGGCTGTCCACTCAGAAGGGACTTTTTTGAGAAGAAGATATGGCAAATGCAGGCAAAGTAACCAAGAAGTTTCTTGAAGTGCCCTCAAGAAGCTTGCTATTTATTTGACTTTGCTGAGAAGAAAGGAATCTGGAATTTAGTGCATTTTACTGGCACATTCTTAGCTGGAGGACTGGGAGTAGACTAGAGAGAGCTGTGCACTGAGGCCTAGCTGAGTGTCTTCTTGAAAACCCCTAATCTTTGCTAGGCTTCAGGTTCCTCACCTATGAGATAAGCAATTGGACCTCGGGTGAGCTCTACTGGCTCTCCTACCTTCAAAATTCTGTGACTCTAAGGGAATGAGAAAGCAGAGGTGACATCTCCAGATGTCCTCATGGAAATGTGGTGCCTATCATTGTGTGACCAGATAGTCAAGGTCTCCAGCATGTGCTGGAGGTGCTCAGGGCTGTGAGATCCCTGGCCAACACTAAGATCAGTAGTATTGATCTTGAGGACAATCAAACCACGATGCCCCAACTTTTAGAAAAAAGAATGTATTTGTGGGCAAAGATTCAGATACACTGAACTTTAGAAGCTCTCAGTGGCCTTGAGCCTTATACAGTTGAAGGCTACCTGGAGAATTTACAAGGCGGAACATTTTAAAAATAGAAAAACCAATTTTATCCCCAAGGCTGTGCTGTCTTCTTGCAGAAGGTTGTTGGGATGAACACAGTTGCTTTTCGAATAATGGGCTGGGGCGCACCCACATGTGATATTGGTCTCATGCACCCACCTTCCCACTTCCTCTTACACACACACACATGCACACACCATCTCCTGAGAGTCTTAATCTCAATAATCTCTCTTCAGGCTTTCTCTCAGCCACTCAGAGTTCAGCCTGCTACTGACATCACCATATCCGGAGAGAAGCACCAATCAGCCTGCTTCTTGCCTTGTGTTATTTGCATGTCACCACCTTATTCCAGTGTTGGTGGAGATTTTGGTTTTTGTTTTATTAATTTCAATGTAGAAACACTTTCCTCCCCTTGGCATTTCTAATAGCTGGAAGGAGAAATGGGTGGAAATAATTACCTCTGCTCATTTCATGCCTGAACTAGAAGAATGTGTGACTCAGGTCTGGAATCTGATAAGGAGGTGCCTTTCTAGGAAACAAAACTTACACAAGGAATACCAATTTAACGTGGCAGACACATTCTTGCTTTGCTTTCCTCTCCTTTTTTCCCCCTTTCACAAAGAGAAGCAGTGTGTGTGCTAAGGAGCTGAGAATCCAGCTACGTCTTTGTGGTAGCGGGAAGCCACCTCCTTCACCAGTGAGGATGGATTAGTTAATGCCTGTTAAATGCTTTGAAATGAAATGTCTTCTGTACCCAAATACTCAATCTGATTATAGCCCTAGGTCTGATATCACAGGAGGGAAATGTAGTTCCTGACTGACACCATAGCTGTCAAAGTGGGCCTTTTTGGTGGAAGCTGTGATTGCTGCTTCCTTCCTGATCAAAGGACAACACCTTGGAAAGGGAAAATGGCACTAGTGCCTTACCCAGTTGTGAGAGACGGGAAGGGAGTGGGGTGCACAGAGAGAAAGAGAGAGATGGAGCAAAAATCTTGAGAGGAGGGAGGCAGGGGATTGGGTAAGGAGCAGAGTGGGAGAGAGGGAGAGAGAATTCCAATTATTATCAGGATCAGAGAGCTGTAGCTTACCCTTACATTTCTGTGAAACCCACTGAAAACAAATGCAGTCTTGGAAAAGATAAGGTTTACCCTAACAACAACAACAACAACAACAAAAAGCTGCTTTTCCAAGTTAAGGTGTCAGGGATTGTTTTACTTGGCTTTGCTTTATCTGTTTGCTTATTTGGTTAGTGGGTTGCTTGGTTGGCAGCATTTTGCTATTTTAGTGTAAAATCCAACAAATATGAGTCTTTGTATTTTGCCAAGGTAGATCTTTCTTTTTGCCTTGAAATATGGCCTGATCATTTGCCCCAGTTGCAGGAAGATTCGAGACTTCCTCACATTAAATGACAGGTCCAGCCTGCCTGGACCTTCTTGGATTCTGATCCTGTCTTTGTCTGCCTTGGAGATACCTGCACTCAGGTGGTCATTCCAGCTGCCCTCTAGTTGCAGGCAGCTGAGGCTTGCTCTTATCCAGTGGTCATGCTGAGCCTGCTAAGTTAAATTACCTTCTTTATCTGTGGGGAAGAGGACACAAGGCAACTCAGAGATAGAAAAGATAATGGGCAATGACAAGAGAGGGTTCTTGTCAGGGAAAATCTGACAAAAAGAAGGTAGAAGTACTGCTGAGTCTGTGAGTTATCCACCCTGGAGGCTGTCAAAGCCCATGCCAGTGGAGGCTTACCCAGAATGAGCTGCAGGATCACTCATTCATTCATTCACTCTTTTTTCTTTCTCTTTCTCTCTCCTTTCTCTTCTTTCTTTCCTTACTTCCTTTCATTTTTTTCTTTCTTTCTTCCCCATTTCTTATAGTATACATTTATCCATTCACCTGCATTCATTAATGATAACATTTATTGATTCTGCATTTATTATATGTCTATTCTTTCAACAAACATGTATTAAGTATCTCCTATGTACTAAGTACTATTCTAGGTTCCAGTCTTACAATGATAAATAAAATAAGGATTCTGACTTAAAGAAATCAAGCTCATACCCAAACAACCGTATTACAAATTAAACATAATACTTGTCCTAATAAAGTTCCTCCAGTGGGGTTTCTGGGTGCTCAAAGTGGAGGGGTTATGTCCAGCTACAGAGATCTCAGAAACTTTTGCAGAGGAGGTAATATGAGCGGGGCCTGAAGAGATAGAAGGAATTTTCCTACATAGTCATAGGTGATTGACAAGAAATATAACTGTCAGTAGGTCCAGCTCAAAGAAGGGCACGGGGATAAGGCTTGCTGGATCAATGCCAGGAATTAGATGACTGGAGCACAGGGTAGAGCAAGCAGGGGCAGGAGATGGGTCCAAAGTCTAGAGAGCCCTAGGGTGCTGTGCCACTTTCCTTTCTAACATCGCTGCCACATCCAATATTAAGGGCCTCCTTCTGGGACTTCAGAAGGGGCTCCAAAGGCCACAGATAAAACATGGTCACTTGAGAGAAGCAGGAGGGAAGGCTGCCTGGGTGGTGGGTGAATGTCCTGGAGTCTTTTCTCATTAGCAGTTCAGCCTAGATGAGTTGATCACATTTACTAATTTTAGTAAAAGTATTATGTATCCTAGCCCAAGCTTGTATAGCAAAATGAATAAGAGTAGTGAGTTTGGATTTTGGGTTTCATAGACCAATACAATTTTTTTAAAATTAGGGGGGTGGCCATAAGTATGTCAACTTTTAGTTTTGACCAGAAAGAATATACTCAAAATTTGTCAATTCACTATCACCATCTGTGGCAAAGGCTGCAAATTGCCTACCAAGTACCCATTCTCTCCTTCTTCTTGACAAACAGAATGCTATTTTATTTGGGGAAGCAATATGTCCAAATCAAAACCACATTTTCCAGCCTCTGAGTGGAACATCTGGGAAAGCTCTTAAAGAGGGCTGACCAGTTGGCATGGGTCTTTTTCCCTCCTCTCTTGTTCTTTCTTCCGATTTAAAATTACCATCTTTGCAGGACCATAGCTGGTCCTCCAAAGCTCTCTTAGTGTTTGTGATTCTCTCCGTTGATGCCCACCCCATATTTGACCCCTTGTGGGTGTATGAGGGAAGTGATCATGTTGACATCTGACCCCTCAACCTTCTCTCTCTTTCTGAGGCTCCTCCTTCTACCATCGCAAGAGCTTTTGTTTGCTCCTGCTGTCTGGGAGTAACTGCCATTGAATCATGACCTTCTCATTTCATAGCGAGAACTATGCCTTTCATATAAGTTAATGTTCAGCCAAGACAGCCTAAAGTACTCCAGGTGTTTCAAAACAGAGGAAACTGAATACAAAGAACAGGTTTCAAATGTGTTGGATGGGCAGTAGGAAGAGATGTATAGTGGCAATCATGACACTCCATCCAGAACCACCTTCAAGGAAGAACCTGCTGTCTCAGCTGCTGGGAGTGCTGTGGGCAAGCAGCCTCCAGCTGTCAGCCTCTTCAGGACCTGCCTCAGCTGCAGACAATACCTTGCGCAAGGCCACACCCTCCTGGAGTGCCATTTTGGCCCACTGCTGGATTACTGATGGGCCCTATACACTCCGGATATCTCTGTGGGAGTCTCCAAAGTTTTACCAGAACTGCATCACAGTTTGACTCTCCATCTGCCCAATTCTGCTTTCTCCAACTCCTTACCACATTTGATAATTCTTAATAAATATCCTGCATGCCAGACTTTATCTTGGTGTCAGCTTCCAGAGAACCCAACCTATGACATGAGGTAACCCAGAGATTAGTAACTAACTGCAGGAAGTCACAGACACCTCTATACTGGAACAACAGAGTTCGGGGCCTGGAGTCCAGGTCCTGCTCACCACTGATGTGGCTGGAACATTTGACATGGCTAGAACAGAACCATTACTGAAACTCCAGAGGCCCCTCTGACTCACCAAAGTCACTGGAGCCTGGAGCCACCCACTGCTGACAAAGATGCCACCAGACATAGAAAAAAGAAAAATGTCTTTTTATCTCCCTCTCACTTTCCCAGTACCCATCACTTCTTCCCATTAGAATAAACTGACTGGAAGCCAACTGACAAATAAACCTGGATAACTGTTTTTGTAGGTTTCCAATCCTGAGTGAAACAGAGCAGGGCATGAAGGGCAAGAGTGGAACTGAGAGAGAAGAGGAAAATGACTGGCAATATACCCCAGCCTTAAGTCCCCACCTTATGGCAGAAGAACCGAGGGGAAGGGGGAAGGATGAGCATTCAGATGAGACCCCAGGCCTGGCTGACACCTTGATAGCAGCCTCATGAAGGACTGAAGCAAAGGATCGAGCTAAGCCACACCCAGATTCCTGCCCCCCTACCCCTAGACACGGTGTGATAATAAATGTGTGTTGCCTGAAGCTGCTAAGTTTGTGGTAATTTGTTGCACAGCAATAGATGAGTAATACAGTGAGTGATTAACAAAGTGGGATGAGGGAAGCCCAGGAAAGCATTTTAGAGAAAACGGGAGACAAAGAATAATGTTTCTATAGGTAGCAAAAGAAGAAAGAATATCTGAGCAGAGAGAACAACAATTGCTTAGGAATATGAAAATGCATAGTGTATTCCAAAATTTACAAACAGTTTGGTGTTGCTAGACTTCAAAATGTTGGGGTACGTGGCAAGAAATTAAGCCAAGAAGTCATGAAAGCAAGACCAGTGGTTCTCAAATTTGGCTATTCATTAGAATGTATCAGGGAGCTTTATACATAAGGATGCCTGGCCCCGACCCCAAGAGATTTTACTGTAATAAGCGTGAAGTGCTGTGTTGACATAGGGATTTTGAAAAACTCTCCAGGTGGCAATGGAAGGAGTGGCATGAAACGGGTGAGGTACTTGCCTCAGGTACAAAATTTAAGGGGACACCAAAAGAAACAACTCAGTAGTCAAGATAAGTAACGTTTCAATACAATATTTAAAAAATCAAAATTAATGCAAAAACTCTGTGATAAACAAAATAAAGTTTTAAAATAAAGATAAAATACTCGGGTGGTTCCAATGTACAGAGAACTACTGTTCTAGACCTTGAGGGAAATTGTGTACTGTCCAGTAAATCTAGGGATTTGTACTGGGCCAGGTTTGGGCATTAAGGAGCAGGAAGACGTGGTCAAATTTATGTTTTTTGAAAGTTCCTTTGGCTGCTGAGCAGTAAGTAGGTGGGGAATGGAGGATAGGTGTGGTAGGATTCCAAGAACAGAAAGAAACAGACTAGCTGGAAAGATACTGCATAAATCCTACTGGAAAGCGATTCAGAATGATCCAAAATCAATCACAGCAAGGTTAGAGGAGAAGAGGGATGAGTCAGTGGCTGCGCCAGTGCTGGCTGCACCAGCTTGCAAAAATGGATTATATACCTCTCTTTCTCAGCTTCATGTTCAATGATGTCATATTGTTAGCTAAAAATTAGCTATGTTGAAGGTATTTACACCACAGAAATTGGCAAACACTGCAAATCAGAAGGTAGTTTTATTTTTTGGCTGAGAAGCCTGTTTATGAACATGACTAACTCATATGGATTAGACATGGAGGGAGAGAGGGACTGAAATGACCTGTAAGATGACCGTCTGCTGCCACTAACTAAATTATGAACTTAGGAGGGGATTGGCTCCAAGTTAATATCAGTTGCAAACAGCAGTGTGCAAGGAGATATCTGAAATCACCATTAGTCTTACAAGCTCAGCAGCTGGAAGGAAGATTTCTAGGATGCCATTTATTATAGTGCAAAGCAGCTCTGAGGAGCCACAAGCCCTAAAAGATTTAGGGTATGCCTAGAGAACATTGAGAGACAAGTTGATTAGGAAAGAATTGGTCTGTGATCTTTAGGAGTCTATGTCTAGGAAAAAATTATGAGAATCACTAGTAATGGAGCTGGTGTTCACTCAGGCACCATGGAAGCAATTAACATTAGATGGTCAACTGGAAATTAAGCTGGGAGTGTTGATTCTAGGGTCTGGTCTGCCAATAATTTGTTGGCTAACCTAAGACAATGTGTTAAACCTCTTAGTGCCTCATTTTCTTTATCTATAAGATAGTCTTACTTTCCCATATTAAGGTGTGATGTTGAAGACAAATGAGATAATATATGTTAAGAATCCCATAAAAATTTAAAGGAACTCTTCAAATGCAATATATAATCACACAATTGTAAAAATTATAATTATGTTAATAGTATTATGCTAATTATCCAATAATTTTCAAAGACCTGAATGGACCACTGTGGTGTCACTATAGCCAGGCTTCTACCTTTAGACAGATTTGGAAAGCTGGTTAACTTTAAATTCTATGAGTGTCAACTAACTAAAGTTTTGGTTTATTTTTCACTTCAGACTTCATTCCTTTGGAATTTAAGAAATTACTGCTCTGCCTTTAAAGGGGAAATTTATTTGGTCTCATGATAAGAAATTTCAGCTTAGCTTGCCTATTTGTGTTTGAG
Source organism: Homo sapiens (assembly GCF_000001405.40). Classification (NCBI taxonomy): domain Eukaryota; kingdom Metazoa; phylum Chordata; class Mammalia; order Primates; family Hominidae; genus Homo; species Homo sapiens. The sequence goes on from NC_000023.11 coordinate 39,207,737, forward strand.
TTCAAAGTTTCTCTAGATACATTATCATTTAAACTGGAGGGAAACAATCTTCCTTAACTAGAGCACAGGGCCATGACCTTCCCTACATGATGGGCAGCTAATCCACTTAGAACCAGTGACTCGCTTTGTATAATTTATAAGACCCCATGAAAAGACAGGCCTCCATAGATTAATATTTCAGCTGTCTTCCCTTTCATTTCATCCTCTGGATGTGGCAGCAACAATCACATGAATCATTCCTGAACTGAGTCCATATCAAACATCCAGAGCTTCATCTGCATTCGCTGAAGGTCCAGCTCATTCAAGGGAAGTTCCTACAGGATTTCAAATACATGGGTAATTTGCCTTTGACACCTCTTACCCCAACCTGGCTGTGCTAGTGTTTTAAAATGTAGCTTTAAATTCTTTGAAAGGCTTTAAATTCTTTGAAAGGCTTTAAATTTTTATTTAGAGGTGGGGGGTTCTGGTTCATGTCCTCTTCAATCTGAACAGACTTGTGATTGCTTTGACCAAGAGTATGGTGGAAGTGTGCTATGTATGTGACTTCTGAAGCTAGGTCATCAAATGCCATGCAGATTCCTCTGTCTCTTGAAATGCTTGTTCCCTGGACACTCCCTCAGGACACTCCCTTTCAGAACCCTGCTGTCATGCTAAGAGAAGCCCAAGCCACCAGGAAAGGTCATATGTAGGTATTCTGGTCACCAAAGCCAGCAGAACCCGGCCTTAAATCGTCACATCCCAGGCACCAAGCATGTAAGTGAAGAAGCCTCCAGATGATTCCAGTCCCAAGCCATAGATTCACCCAGCCCCTTAAGTCCCTCTGCCTGAGGCACACTATGGAACAGAAACATTGTAGAGCAAAGACAAGTCATCCCTGCTGTGCACTGTCTAAAATTCTAACCCACAGAATTCATGAGCATAAGAAAATGGTTGTTGTTTATGCCACTAAGTTTGGAATGGTTTGTTATGCAGCAATAGATAATTAGAACACTGGCTGGCTAAGCTAAAGTTTCTTTTTCTTTCTTGGGTTATGAGAAATTACTGGCCTAGTCAAAAAGGATATATTTCTTCAAAACAAGAAGACTGTTCTGTACCTCTGGCTGAAGTATTAAGCCTTCTGAATGAGAACTCTAGATTTTTTGTCCCTATGTGTTGACTTCCTGATGGAAAGACTAGTTCTTGGTGTTGAATTTCCTTTCTCTGTCCCATCTTTACAGATTTTTGATGATTTATTAATTCATTTATTTATCAAATAAATATTTATCAAACCACTACTATGCAGTGGGTGTACTTCTAGATGTTCAGGATGTGATGGTGAGCACAACATGCAGGGTCTCCGTCTTTCTGGACATGGAGTCCAGTGCAGAAGTCTTACTATTGTTCATGCCACAAACTCTTTTGACATCTGGTGAGGTCTATGGACCCTTTCTCAGAAACATGTTTTTAAATCTATAAAATGCCTAAGCTCATGAAGGAAACTACTGATGTTGCAGTAGTTACCAAAATATTTTTTAAAAATTGTGATATAATAATATATGTGTTTCTTTATGAATGTATTAAATAACAAGATCTAGTGGTGAGCCTAAGGAATTTCATGGTAGTGATGAGTGGGAATAATATGTTGAGATCCTTGCAAAAACTGTATTATGAAAATAGTTGTGATATCTGTTGGTGACAAAGTCACAAGCACAGTCAATGCTATTGTGGTTTGCTGTCTATATACATAATAGAAGGAAAAGATACATTTTAGTAAGATTTAGTAGAAATAAATATGTAATATGTAATTTTTTTCTTATCCAAATTAATGGATCATCTGAATTCTGTGGTCTATAGATCTCAGATTAACAACCCTTGGTCTCAGGGTGTGAACAGACTTCAACCAAATAATAAGCTGTGATGCCTGCTATGTGAATGTATTAGTTTCCTAAGACTGCTGTAACAGATTACTACAAACTCAGTGGTTTGAAACAACAGGAATTTATTCTTTTTCATTTCTAGAGTCAACAAATCCAAAATCAACATCACTGGGCTATGCTCCCTCTGGAGGTTCTAGGAGAAATTTCTTACCTCTTCCTGCTTCTGGGGGTTGCTGGCATTCCTTGGCTTGTGGCTGTATCATGCCAGTCTTCAAGGCCAGCATCTTCAAATCTCTCTACTCCACTTTCACATGGCTCTCTCTGTGTCTGTATCACAGTTCCCTCTGGCTCTCTTATAAGGACACTTGTTATTGCATGTAGAGCCCGCCTGGATAATCCAAGATAACTTCCTCATCTCAAGATCCTTAATTTAATCCTGTCTGCAAAGTCTTCGCCTTATAAAGTAACAGGTACATGCTCCAGGGAATAGTATATCTTTCGAGGGGCCATCTTTCACCCTCCCACTGTGACCATGAGTCCTGATCCAACCTGGGGGCTACGATGTGCCAGGAATGGCTTTCCTGAGGAAGAGACTATGGGCTGATAACTGAAGGAAGAGTGAGAGTAACTAGACGAAAAGTGTGGGTGAGGCAGGTGAGATTGTTTCAGACAGGAGGATGAGTTCATGCAAAAACCCAGAAACTGGAAGTCTATGCTACATTCTGGGTATGGAAGACAGACAGTGTGTTTGGGGCCCAGTGTGTTTGTGGAAGGTGGTGGGGGCAGAGTAAATAGAGATGCCCAGGAGAGGCCAATGGGGAACACATCCTGAAATGCTTAATAGGATTTACTTCTTTCCTTCATAGCAGTGAGAAGACAGTGGATGATATTATATGCACAGAGCTGGGGTTTTGAAAGATCATTCTGGTTTAAGTGAGGAAATCAGATTACGCAGTGGAGGGTTGCAAGAACTAGTGGTTGGGGGAACCAGTTAGAAGGTATGGCAGGGTCCCATCCAGAGACGACAGACACTTGGTCTAGGGAATAAGTTTATGGAGGTGGGAGAGGATTTGAGAGCAGTTTAAATCAATGAACATTTTAGAAAATCCAGCAATTTATGACACAGTATAGATTTGATTAACTGTAGAAAAACATGGACAGAGTAAGTTGCCAATGTGTGTAAGTATGGGTTTTAATTTACAAACCTGGGTGCAGGAAGCGATTTGTACCTTAATTTTACTATATTTAACTTAATCTGCTCTGAGCCAGTGGAAAATTCAATCTCAGTGACTACTGATAATTCTTCATGCCCCTTTCTCAAGACTGTGTGAAAGGTTTGAGCAGTTTATACAATCCAGACACTTGAAGAAGGATCCTGAGGGTGTGTGGGGGTGTTAAATGCTCAGTGATATATACATATTCCTTGTTGAGGCCCACATGGGCTCTTCAAGGCTATTATGGATTTTAGGGACAAGCTGGACCAGTCTTTTGCCCAGGCTCTGAACACCATGGCTCTTAGGGTTTAGTAACCCATTTCCATACAGTTGCAAAGTAATCTATGACAAAATGAACAGTTCTGAGGTTCTTTTGGGTAGGTAAATGTAGCCATCAGAAATATTGCGATGGGGAAGCATTAGCTACTCTTGCTATAACCTGCCAAGAGAATGCAGCTCTTAGAACAAATTTCATCATTTATCTGGACATTTATTAATTGTTTAAAGGAAAGTAACAGTTCATACAACCTTAGGAAGACGTTAGTCTCTGTTCTTTCAGGTGCTCCAACCATCACCATCTTGCTTGAAAGGTTCATTTGAGGGCGATCTCAAAACTCTAGAGGCAGGATTCATGAATCATGCAATTGCACCTCTCCTATTTAAGGCCATATATAAAATCATTTAGAGCTACAGTCTAGAGCTGCCAGTGAATATGGGCTACAGGCCTTACTAGCTTCTTATAGCCTGTTCCTGTCTCAATTTGAGCTCTCCCATAAGCTAGAGTTTAAATGCAAGTAGTTCATTTAGGAGAAAAAACCACCAGTAAGAGAGTGTATAATTAAGCCCTTGGAAGAAAGGCCAAAAGGAATGTTGTCAAGCTAGTTGCCATTATAGGTAACTAGAGATTAAATCTGTAGGGAAAATGCTGAGGGCCAGGGTAGAGCACATGCCTCTGTGTTAGTCTGTTCTCGCATTGCTGTAAAGAAATACTTGAGACTGGGTAATTTATAAAGAAAAGAGGTTTAATTGGCTCATTGTTCTGCAGGCAGTACAGGAAGCATAGCAGCTTCTGTTTCTGGGGAGGCCTCAGGAAGCTTCCAATCATGGCAGAAGGCAAAGGGAGAGTGAGGCATCTTACATGGCAGGAGCAGGAGAGAGAGTGAAAAGGAAGGTATCACACACTTTTGAGCAACCAGATCTTGTGAGAACTCACTCACTATCACAAGAACAGCACCAAAGGGATGATGCTAAACCATTCATGAGAAAGCACCCCTATGATCCAGTCATCTCCCACCAGGCCGAACCTCCAACAGTGGGGATTACAATTTGACATGAGATTTGGGTGGGCACACAGATCCAAACCATATCAGCCTCCAAGTAATTCCATCTGAGTCCCCATAATTCCCATGTGTCATGGGAGGGACCTGGTGGTAGGTAATTGAATCATGGGGGCAGTTACACCGATGCTGCTGTCCTCATGATAGTGTGTGCGTTCTCACAAGATCTGGTGGTTTTATAAGGGGCTTTTCCTTCTTTGGCTTGGCACTACTTGCTGCAGCCATGTGAAGAAGGATGTGTTTGCTTCCCCTTCTGCCATAATTGTAAGTTTCCTGAGGCCTCCCCAGGCATGAAAAACTGTGAGTCAATTAAACCTCTTTCCTTTATAAATTACCCAGTCTTGGGTATGTCTTTATTAGCAGCATGAGAACGGACTAATACAGAGGGATAAGGGAGCTGGGGTATTTATGTACCAACCCTGGGTCATTGAAGAAGTTCATTTGAGAACTACTCAAAAGGAATCAATTTCCTGGCAATTTTGGTGAGTCACACAGGCAGAAAAGTGAGAAGAGAAAGCCCACAGGCTAGGTAGCTGCTGGCATTTGGCAGTGGGCCAGTTTCCCCAAAGTCTGAGGGTGAGGGAACATAGGTGGCATGCCAAGAGCATCTGCTACAGATAGCCCACTGCTGGCATTCCTTCTGCTACATAACAAGTCGCTAGTTTTGCCAATGAAAGCCCATTCTGATATTTACTATATATGAATTAGGAAAGCCTCAGGTGTTGATTGGAACACCATTGAAGGCATGCTTGCAGAAACTACCTCTGTAAGTTAGCCTTTCTGGTCTAATATCAGCAGAGCACTCCTGGAGTGGGAAGTCTCTAATAGGCAACTGATGGCCCCTAAAGCTGAAGCTTAAACTATCACATACATAAAATCACATGGTCTATGCTAAAATCATTTAAAGTGAATTACACACATCATCATACTTGCCATCCCAGAGCCCTTTTGTCATAGGACTTGATCCTACTCAGTCACTGTGCGAGGAAATAAGGCTCAGATTCCCCCAACATACCAGCAGCACCTGTAGGAACCTGGTCCCTTTCTTTAAAGAGTCTCAAGCAATCTTTACCTCTCTTCCATTTCTCTTTCTCTTAAAATCCTTGAACTCCAAGTATTCCTTATGTCCAACCCTGTTGCCCCCCGCAGGCACCCCCCCGCCCCACTCCTCACATAGATGCATCCTTTGAATAATTCCTTTCACTGGCTTTAGGTTTCTGTAAAGCCACAGGCTGGAATTGCATTTCCTATCCTGTGTCTTAATGGCAGGGATTGTAGTTTTCCACAATTCCACACAAAGCCCCTGAGGCAAAGGAGTGCCCGGTTTGTCTTCCTGTGAGAGGATGAGGAGAAGGAAAAATACCTACAGTAGCAAGATCGAACTGAAAATTAATATCTTAATAAATTATTCTGCCACATTTGTGTAAAACTTCCATTCTGTGCTTTCATTTAAAAAGCAAGGTAATTTGAAAACACATAACATAGATTGATGCAACCACAGCATATTTACCATCTATTGGATATCTCCTATGTTTTCGGGTCTATGGCAAGATCAGTGTATATATTATGTCATCAAATTCTCGTGTATCTTACGTGAAACATGATTATCCCCTTTTTATAGATAACGAAACTGATTTTCATAGGGATTCTTTAAAAACTCATTTTTTATTATTACAAAAGAAGTTCGCTAACAAGAAAATTAAAAAGTCCTCCCCCAAAATAGAAATCATTATTATCCTCTATCCATACATGACAATTTATACCATTTTGATTATATCATGCCCATATTTTTTTCAATGTCTATTTGCACATATATTTTGAAAAACAAAATTGGGTTCTTTCAGTAGCAATCTTTTTTATTTATCCTCTGAGAATGCTGAAGGACGATTTTCTGACATGGGTTTTCTTGAGCTGGAAACTAAATCTTCACCAGGGCAATCCAAAAGCATGCAAGCTTCAAATCATTCATGGTGTGAAGAGATGTATGCTGAAAAGGGGAGTGGGAGCAGCTTAATTGTGCAATTTTTGTGGGTTCTTTGTAAAACTCTTGGGCTGCAGCTTACAAAAAACCTTTGCCTGGTTTGCTAAATAGCTCTGCTTACTTGGCCCAGGATCTTCCATCTGATTGAGCATCCCCAATTTGGATTGTATTACTTTAAAATTTGAGGCCATTCTCATTGGCCATCTGGGACCATAACAAAAATCCACGCATTTTATTCTTTCACTTTTCTACTTTGTCAAATACAGACTAGTTTGAGAACTCTAATTAAGTAGAAACGTAACATTTTTAGAGTGGCTCTCAAAGGGTAAAAGGAAAGAAAAGAGAAACCCTTTGGAGTCTTCTCACCAAGCTCCCCCACAAGCCCACAATTGTCTCAGGTTTGAGTCCCAGCTGAGTGAGCACATTCCCTGACTGGAGCAAAGACAGGGCTTGGCGTCTTCCCAGCCCTTTTTATTGTGATGTCAGGCTGAGACCAGCCACTGTTGGAGAGGGAGGAATGGGGAGGACTAGGAAAGCCATGCAACGGGGGGTGGGTGGCCTCCCCCCTGGCAACCAGGCTCTCTGTGGCGCAGCTCCTTTCAGGGGCACTCACAGCCATCCTCCTCTGCTTGTTCCCTTGCTATGGACCACAACCCAGGCTGTGAATCCTGTTAGGGTAGGGACTGTGTCTGGCCAGCTCCTAGCAGTGTTCAAAGTATGCTTATTGAATGAATGAATGAATGAATATTCAAAGTATGCTTATTGAATGAATGAATGAGTAAATGAATGAATGAATGATGATCTGATTTCCATAACACTAAGGCATTTCCCAGAGGCAACAAGTCCCTTAACCTTCAGTGAGCCAAATGCACACTGGCTTTATTTCACAATATCTACTCCTATGGAAACAGGAGTCCCAGTGCTAGATTTAAACAAACAGCTTTCCACAAAGCCAGACTTAACTAACCAGGGCCAGAAACCCCTGTGATGCTTGACTTCTCTTTTTCATTCCCCCGTGTCCAATTTGCCACTGCAGCCTTAGAAGAGGGGTTCATATCTGGCCCCTGCTTACTTATCAACCTCACTTAGCAACTTTAGCCAAGACCCTCATCCAGGCTCTCCCATCACAGTGAGATCTAACCAATTTCGGAGCAAAATACTTCCATCAAATGAAATTTTATACAAAAGTCTAAGGTGTAAAACTGATGAAAATTGTTGCTGTGGATAAAGGTAAAGGTGCCCTAGTACATCTTCCCACCCTAAACCTACTGTCATGTGGAATCTTGGACTCTAGGGATGCACCTTGAAACCAATAGACCCAGTCTTCTACCTACCTGGTTTCCCTACCTCAGCTTGCTAAAATGAGCATCTAATCACTCCAGGTTCCTGCTTAAAATCTTGTAGTGCTTCTGTAAATCCCTAGCTGGCATGCAAAGTCCTTCTTAACCTGGCCTCTGCCTGCATTTTCAGACCTATCTCTTGTGAAGTTACCCAGTGCTCCATGTTTTCCAATTTATTTAAACTTCTCAGTTTTCTCTGAACACCCCAAGACTTCTCACAACCACCTACCTTTGCATATGACATTTCCTCACCTGAGGAGTTCTTCACTTCCATTTTTGTGGTTTAAATTTGACAGATTCTTCAGGGTCTGCCCCAAGGGCTGTTTCCCCCACTTATCCTTTCCTAGGGACTATTTATGTTTCTTTTCTTTCCTATCAGATTATGGTTTTCTTGGGGATAGGGACTGTGTGTCATTCAACTCTGTACTCAGAGTGCCTAGCACAGTGCTTGGTACAAGAGCAAATGATCAATAAAAGTTGGTTGAATAAATTAATGGATTAACAAATGCAAGAATAGATTATTGTGGTCTGAAGCCATCAAAAATGGATTCCCAGAGAAGGTGAGACTCAAGCTGGATTCTGAAACACAGGAAGATTTGGTATAAATGGAAAATCGTTGCAGGGTTTTAATCCACTGCTGACTTTGGCTGGAGGAAATCAGGATTATTACTCTGACTGGCCTTCCTCAAGGAAACCTTGAGAGGAACTGAGATAGGATAAATGCCCCAAGGTATTTATTTACCTAGGTGAACCACCTAGGTAAAAGGCATTTCCAGAGTGAACCTCATCCCCTCTAAACCATAGTCACTGTGCTAGTTATTATCTCTCTTTTTCCCACCAATCCAACACCCACTCATCCATTTTATACTCTTCTAACCCCTGGGGACAGCATCTCCTAGCTCCCTTGGTAGCTGATTGCTGATTACATTCTGATCATGGGAAGCATTGGCAGGAGATCTGAAGAGTCTCTCCCTGAATCCATGTTTTTGGTAGGGACTGTGCCATTCAACTACAGCTCTGTGGCGGGCAGAATAGTGCCCTCTCCCAAATGTTTATGTGCTAATCCATGGAATCTGTGAATATGTTATCTTACATGGCAAAAGAGACTTTGCAGATATGATTAAGTTAAGGATCTTAAAATGAGAGATTATTCTGAATTATCTGGGTGGGCCCAGTGTAATCTTAAGCATGCTTATAAGAGGGAATCAGGGCCGGGAATGGTGGCTCACTCCTCTAATCCCAGCATTTTGAGAGGCCGAGGCAGGCAGATCACTTGAGGTCAAGAGTTTGAGACAAGCCTGGTCAACATGGTGAAACCCTGTCTCTACTAAAAATACAAAAATTAGTTGGATGTTGTGGCAGGCGCTTGTAATCCCAGCTACTCGGGAGGCTGAGGCAGGAGAATCTCTGGAACCCAGGAGGCGGAGATTACAGTGAGCCAAGATGGTGCTACTGGAGTCCAGCCTGGGCAAGAGAGGGAGAGTCTGTCTCAAAAAAGAGAGAAAAAAAAAGGGAATCAGGAGGACCAGAGTCAGTAGTAGATGTGAGGAAGGAAGCAGAGGTTGAAGTGATGCAAAAAAGATGCCATGAGCTGGGGAATGCAGGCAATCTCTAGAAGCTGAAAAGGCAAGGAAACGGATTCTCCTCTGGAGCCACCAGAGGGAATGTGACCCTGCTGTCACCTTGATTCTAACCAGAGGGCATATGACCCTGTTGTTACCTTGATTCTAGCCTTGCAAGACTCATTTTGAACTCCAGAACTGTAAGATAGAGATTTTGTGTTGTTTTAAGCCACTAATTTATGGCAGTTCATTACAGCAGCAATAGAAAAAAAATATAAACTCCTACTGGGTCATTCCTTTTCTGTGGCCCTTCCTTCATGGCTCCAGCTCCTATTGAGTTCAAGTAACTCTGATTCTTCCCTTGTTCATGTCTCCTGCTTCCCAAGGTTGCTAGTCTCTGGGTGTCTCAACATTCCATTGGTTCCTATAAACCCTTCCCACAGCTCTGTGAGTTTGCCTTTGGTTAAAGTCTCCAGAACCGTTTGATCTGGATTCTGTTTCTTGCTAGGGTTGTATCTGGCTAGCCACCTCTAAGAAACGTGGCAAAATGGTTTCTCTGGCACCAATCAGAGCTCTCTCTGTGCTGAAGGGCCATGCACTGTTGTCAGAACACCTTTTCAGTGGAGTCTGACTTTCCCAGAGGCAAGATGCCTGCCAGTGTCCACAAAGAAGTCTGTCAGAATTTGAAGGCATTAAGATAGCCCCTCCAGCAGTGTAACTTGGAAGTAAATCCCACTCTTTTTTCAGAGTAGAGATTTTGAACCTTGGTGGTCCCTGAATGAGAGCTTAGGAATGAGAGCTCCATGAAACACCCGAAATTTTGAATTTTGTGTGCAATTTTGTGCATATGTATATTCTCAAGGGAGCTCTACTCAGCTGCCTGGATTTCCTTCACTGCTGCAGAGGTAGCTGACCAGGTGTAGCAGATGTTTTCTGTACCCTGTGTCCTGTCCCCTTGGCCTATCTCTGATTTCAGTGAAGCTATTAGAGACCGGTTCCTGCAGAGGGAGAATGCAATCTCTCTCCCATTCTATGTGTCTTTCCACTTTTCTACCTCAGAATTTTCTCTGAAGCTGTAAACCTGTCTAGCCTTTATGTAGGAATAGCCCAGAAGTGCAGGAGATAACCTGCACTCACTCCTGGGAGTAACTGTTGCACCATGAAGGCAGAAGTCAGTGAATAAATGCCCTAATCACTAAAATCTCCAGTGGGGGCATTCCACAGAGCATTCTGTTGGCTTCACGAAAGTGCCTGCAAAATCCGACTCCTGGCTGAATAGCACCTTGATAATGTGTCATTTTATTGGCTTTATCTCCTTCCCTGTCTCACACTCTCTGCTCCTTCCCTCCTGCTTCCTAAGTTCACCTCTAAAATAAACTACCTCTACTCAAGTCCTTGTCTTGGACTCTGCTTTCTGGAAAAACAGACCAAGACACTAGGACAGTTTTGCAGAGACCCAAATTCGGGCATCAGATGTTGAGCACCACATCACCCACACAGTGATACTCAGACTCTCAGACCCACTGTTGCTTAATAAAAGGTTCCTTGTTTCTTCTTAGATTCCACAAAGTCCACAGCTAACAGTTATTCCTTTTGGAAAAGTAAACTGTATTTCTTTCTTCATATACTGGGACCCATAATGGCCAGCCTCTTCTCTCATTTGTGATATTTGTCTTCCAATACCCCTTCCCTACACCCAAACCCACACTGGCAAGCAGAAGCTGGATGAATGCAAAAATCCACTTTCGTTCTAGAGGAAAGGAATTCCACTGGGGCCTTATTAGGCTTCCACTGCCTGCTAATCATGCTTTCATTCAAACATTCCAGCATCTGCTGTTATTATTACTGGAACACCTCAACCAGATCGAGCAAATTTCATGGGTGGGAGTAATAGGACAGGGAGAAGATAGCAAGGGCTGAATCAATTTTTTAATTTGGCGGAGGGAAATCAAGATCACCACCATGTTAGTCATCTATTGCTGCATAACAAATTCCCACAAACACGAAGGCTTTAAACTATTTATTAGTTCATGGTTTCCATGGGTCAGGATTCTGATACAGTTTGGCTGGGTCTTCTGCTCAGGGTGTCACAAGACTGCAATGGAAGCATTTGCTGGGGCTGAGAGTCTCATCTGAGGCTCAAGATCTTCTTCCAAGCTCATGTGGTTATTGGCCAAATTCAGTTTCTTGCAGTTGTAGGGTTCATGAGGGCTTGCTTCTTCAAGGCAAGCCAGGAGAAATATCTCTCTGACTTCTTCTGTCTTTGAACTCTAGATCTTCTTTAAAGGACTCACCTGATTAGGACACTCAAGGGGAGGGGATTATACAAGGAAGTGGGTCATTGGGGTCATCTTAGAATTCCACTTCACAACCACCTTGACTAGCCTTTAAGAAATACAAGATAGGGTTGGGGTGGAGACTGCAGAGAGAGGAAGAAGCTGACCCTAGTTTGTTTTCTCTACTCGTCATTCTCTATGAGTAATGCCTTCTCTAGTGAGAAAACATTTTTTCATTTTGAAAATTGGCCACCAAATGAGATAGGAAAGCCCCCAAAATTGTGAGAACACAATTAACTTATTTGGTGAGATTAGGCAGAAAAAACCCCCATAACCCTCTTTACTTTTCTGTTACCAGGTCCTCAAGTCAGAAACTGGGGGTCACATTTGACACCTGTATCTTCTGCCATGTATATCATTAAAATCCATCCATTTTACCTCCTAAATGTCTCATGAATCCATGACTGCTCCCGAGACCTCCTGACTGTCCCTCAGCTTCCATTCTTGTCCTCTATACCCCATTTTGTCCACAACAGCCTGATCTGGGTGATCACACTCTTGACCTAGGGCAGGGTGGTGCCCTGTAACCATCCTTCCAGCCTGCTCAGTCCAGCTGCCTTAGGACAGCCCAATGGGCCACCCCATCAATGTATTGGTTTGCTAGGGCTGTCATAACAAAGTAATCTAAACTGGGTAGCCAAAAACAACAGAAATATGTTGGCTCACAGTTCTGGAAGCTAGAAGTCTGAGAACAAGGTGTTAGCAGAGTCATGTTCCCTCTGAAGTCTCCAGGGTAGGATGCTTCCTTACCTCTTCTGGCTTGTGATAACCCCAGACATTCCTTGGCTTGAGACAGCATAGTTCCAATCTCTGTCTCCATATTCACATGGCCATCTTTCTTCTGAGTCTGCGTTTCTGTCTGAGAGTGCAAAGACACATAGCACTCTCCCTATGTGTCTTTGTCCCAATTTCCTTTTTTGTAAGGACACCAGTCAGATTGCCTTAAGGATGACCATAATGATTAACTTGATCATTTGCAAAGACCTTATTTCCAAATACGATCACATTTACAGGCACTGGGAGTTTGGACTTCAGCCTCTCTTTTTCTGTGGGGAAGTGCAAGGAACATAATTCAACTCATAGCAACCATTCTAATAGAAATCTAGGTATGCCACTGATCTATGATTGTCCTCATAGAACAACTGAATAGTGGAAGAACACAGACTGGGGAGCAGTCTAGCATGGCTCCCTCTGGGTAGACATGTGGCTGGCTGCAGATAGAGGCAAGGCCCCCATCTTGTGAAGACTGGAAAGTAGATTGGCTAGACCAACAGTGTGGGTGATATGACATTCCTAGTCACAGGAAGATGGAATGTTTGGCCAGCAAGAGCAATAAACATGCCTCTGGCAGTGCCCTTTCTCTGGCTGTGACCCAGACATTGCACCCACCCACCCCTCTCTATCCTTCAGATCTCAATTGGTGCTCTCTTTCCCTAGCAAAGCCACCTCTGACTCCCAAAGCTTATGAGGGTCCCCTGTCACCTGCTCTCTCAGCCCCCATTCTCCTTCACAAAGCCTCATGGATGTGACTATTCCATTCATGTGTGCTTTATTCCCTAGACTGTAAGCTCCGTGACTTCAGGGTCTGTGATGATTATGATGAAGTTTTTTTCCCCTACCCACCAACTAGCATGTGCCTGGCAATGAGAAACTGTTCAATAAATATTCAACAAATAAATATTTGTTGAATAAATGAATGAATGAATGCAAACCATTTTGCTTCCTGGACATCTTGATAAATGGCAGAGATTAGAACAGTTGGAGAGCTATAGAGCCCTGATATTTGTGATGGATGCATCTTTAATAAATCCCCAACTTCCTGGAAAAAGAAATGTTAATATGGGCTTTGTCGAATATTACATTCCAATGAAAGCAAACTGACTCTCTCACACCAGCCTCAAAGTAGGTGTAATTTAAATATGTGCTTCAGCAAAAGGGAAATACAGTGTTAGGAACCTTCAGAGCTGCTTGTGAAAAACTGGAGTTCCTTATCTTAGACCTGAGGTGGCCAGGATCCACTGTGGTGGTTCAGTACAGAGGAGCAGACTCCCGGGTCCTCCCCTTCCTGTGTAATCAGACCTGCATATTAACAAGAACCCCAGGTGATCCATAAGCACAGCAACATTTGGGAAGGATTGGCATAGAGTACAGGTGGCCTCCCCATGTGGCTTAAATCACTAAGGGCATGGCAATTGGGTTCACAGAGAGAGACAGAGAGAGACAAAGACAGAGAGATCAAGATCAAGACAATAGTTGCAAAACTTTTGACCTAGCCTTAGATGTCATGTAGTTTTACTCCCACTACATTATCTTGGTTTTGAGCCCCTAAGTTCAGCCCAGATTTAAAAGGAGGGGAATTAGAGGGCACGGCTCAATGGGAAAAGTACCAAAGAATGTGTGTTCACCTTTTAATCTGACACATGCCACTTCTTTCCATGAACCAGAAATTGGTGTCTGCTGAGGTATAAACAGGTATATGGAGCTGGAGCTTGGGATTAGGAGGAAAAGGTGAAGGGAATTCCTTTCTCACTGTTGGTGGGATCTTAAGCACTTCTTTTGGTCTGTCTGAGCCTGTGTCCTCATCTTTGAAATAGAATAATATCCCTGTTATGGGCTGTTGGGAGTATTTTACATTGAAAAGACCCTGGAAAATCACAAGTAGCATGCAAATGTTGGTTACTGTTGTTATTAATAGCAATAATTATGACAATAATGGGCTAGGCTGTTATATGTTAACCTACAACTAGGGGGTTTCTGAAGATGCTGTCTTAACCCTGAAGAGTGGATTGCATGCTGAGAGTTTCAGGAGGCAAGGAGATGGAGGAGAAAATGTTTCTGGGCATAGAGATTTTTCCATGGCCTCTGCCTTGGCCAACACCTGGATTTGTGGCTGCCTTTGACATGTTCTGCAATCTGAATTCCCTGAGAGCAAGAATAGCTTCACAGTCACAGCCATAAAAAGCAGAGTGTCTCTGGGTCTACTCCCACACACTCTGCGGAGACTAGGAGCCCCTCTGATTCCTCCCAAATGGTTCTGAGCCTTCCTGCTGTGTTCAGCAGGCTCCTGCTCTTGGTGGCCTGTGGCGTCACCAGCCTCCCCTCTCCCTCCCTGCAGCTGCTATAGCAGAGTCTCTCATCCCTGCCTAAGCCCAAATGGGCCTTTCACCCCTAATGTCTGCCAAAGGCACTATTACTGCCACCTGGCCCTGTCAGAGATACCCTGGCTGCCATAGACAACTAATGTCTGATTGGGGTGCCGAAACCCCACACTGGACAGCTGGTGTCAGGCAAAGGAACCCCCTCCAGTGGGCCACCAAAGGACTGCTATCAACCCTCCCAGGCTCTCCCTATGCATTAAGTGCCCAACGAGAATAGAGAATTTCCACCCTCACCAGCTGTGGGATTTTGGTCTGTAAGGTAACTTTTCTGAGCCACTGTTTTCTCATCCACAAAGTAAAGATATTGATAGCACCTACATCATAGAATTGTTGTGAAGTTTAAATGGACTAATCCACATCATTGAGCACTTGGTATAGTACCTAGAACATAAGCACTCAATAGATGCAAGTTATTATTGTTTACTACTACCCTTCATACTTAGGGTGAGTTATTTCCCAGAAGTCTCTGATATGAAATGCTAATAGATTACTGGCTGTCTCCCACCCCAATCCTTACAAACATGATTGAACAAGTTTGATTTCTACCATGACCATAGTATTAGGCTCAACCTGGGACAATTACTGCAATCAGAATCACTGTTTAACAGAATTTCTATTTATTTTGCGTAGCGTGGGTGTTAATACTAATAATTATAAGAGCTAACACTTATTGAATGCTTGCTATATGCCAGGTACTGGGCGTACCCAAGTTTTTAGCTTATTTAATCCTCATGACATCTACCGCTATGAGGTAGATGCTATTATTATCCCTATGTGACAGATGATGTATTAGTCTGCTCAGGCTGCCATAACAAAATATCATAGACTGGATGGCTTAAACAATGAAAGTTTATTTTTTTCTCACAGTTTTAGAAGCTGGAAGTCTGAGATCAGGGTGCCAGCATGGTCAGATTCTGGTGAGGGCTCTCTCGCTTATAAAAAGCTGCCTTCTTGCTGTGTACTCACATGGTAGAGAGAGAGAAGCAAGATCTCTAGTATCTGCTCTTATTAGGGCAGTAATCTAATCATAAGGGCCCCACCCTCATGATCTCATCTAAACTTAATGACCATCCAAAGGCCCTATCTCCAAATTTCATTATACTGGGGGTTAGAGCTTCAACATATGAATTTGTGGGGGAACCAATTCACTCCATAGAAACTGGGAAAACAGAAGCACAGAGAAATTAAATAAACTTCCCAAGGGTACACAGCTACTAAGCAGAGGGACCAGGATTCAAGCTCAACTCTGGCTCTAAAGCCCCAAGTATCTTTCTATACAAGACTTTGATCCCCTCATTAATGGGTAGATAAACTTTGCATGCTAAAAAGCATCAAGTACTTTTTTCTGTGTAACAATGACTCCAATGCTGAGTGGCTTACAACAATGATTCATTATTTCTCCCAATTCTGTGGGTTGGCTTCAGGTTCTTCTGTTGGTCTTGCCTTGACTCCCTCACGTGGCTGAATTCAGTTGGAGGGTTGTCTTGGGGTTGGATTCAGGGAGGATAGCTGGGGCAGTCGATCATCCGTTTGCATGCGGTCCTTCATCCTATATGAATGGTGGTCTCAGAGCATGGTGGTTTCAGGGTATCAAGAGAGTGGGGCTGGATGCTGCAAATTTTTTTGAGGTCTAGCTTCAGATGTTGTACAACATGACTTCCACTACATTCTATTGGCCAAATCAAATCACAAGGTCAGCTCAGATTCAAGGGAGGAGAAGAATAGGCTCTACCTCTTGAAAGGTGTAAAATCATATTTTGCTATAAAATCACAGTGCAAAGAAGTGTTCATAGTGGGACAGGAGAAATTTGTAGTTGTTAAACTATATACCACAGATAGATCAAACCTGGACACTAGATAGTACCTAACACATCTCTGTTATGGAGAACTCTTGCTTGCACATGACAGAATTCCAGCTCAAACTGGGTTATCAAGAAAAACGAGGAGCCAGGCATGGCGGTTCATGCCTGTAATCCCAACACTTTGGGAGGCCAAAGGGAGAAGACCACTTGAGGCCAGGAGTTTGAGACCAGCCTGGGCAACATAATGAGACCTGACCTCGACTTTACAAATAATAATAATAGTCCAATGTGGTGGTGCACACTGGTAGTCCCAGCTACTTGGGAGGCTGAGGCAGAAAAATGGCTTGAGCCCAGAAGTTTGAGGATGCAGTGAGCTATTATTATACCACTGCGTTCCAGCCTGGCCAACAGAGCAAGACTGTCTCAAAAAACTTAAATAAATAAAAAATTAAAATAATTAGAATAATTTTAAAAAGAAAAAGGAGGGAACATTTTACTGGGTCACTTTCCTTTTAAACACAAGGGTTAGTCTGGCTTTAGTCATCAGCACTTGGTCTTTTGTTCTTTCCTTCTCTCAGATGAGACCACCTCCTTATAGAGGTAAATTGGAGACTAGCAGCTTGATTCTTACAATCCCACCACAGGAAACTTTTTTCCCAAAGTTTTCCAGCAATATCCCAAGATCTCATTGGTCTGGCTCTGAACGTGTATCCCTCTCTGAACCAATCACTGAGGCCAGGCAGTTAGAATATGTTGATTGGCCATTCTTAGGTCACATGTCTATAGGAGGAGTGTAAGCCCATGAATTTACTGGTAAATGTTTAACAACCAGCTCTGGCATGGGGGAAAGGAGATGCCCATTTGTAGTGATTGCCAAGTTTGGTGGTGTAAATACCCCCGCCATGGCTGATTTTAAGCTACCAGCATGATGCTACTGAACATGGAGCTGGGAAGAAAAGTCACAGTTAGAAGTGGACTCCAGCACACCATTTCAGTAGCCCATCCAAACCAGAGGACCAAGAGTAGGGGCAGGGAACCCCAGAGAGAAATCAGGAAATGGAAACAATAGATAAAACAACACATTTGTAATCTAATTCCTTTATTTTTCTTTCCCCACAAATGGCCAACATTTAAGAGACTGGTACTTTGCCTGTTTTTTTTGCTTTTTTAAAAAAATAATCAAAATTAAAAGGAGGTTTGGGGACAGTAGATGTTCACCATGAAAAAATCTTGAAATAAAGCATTTGCTCAGCATCTTTTCATGCTAAATCAGTTCTTCCTCAACATGAAAAGTTACCAGTTTGTCTGGCCTTTTTCCCTTCCCCAAACTGAGTGTAGATTGATAGCTGGCTTTAACAATCACATTTCAAGTAATAGCTAACCTTTTTGAAAGCTTACTCTGTGCCAAATTCTCTGCCTGAATTATCTCATTTAGTCCTCACATCAACCTTAATAGGTAGTTGCAATCAGTGCCCCTATTTTACTGATGTGGAAACTGAGTCACAGAGAGGCGAGATAACTTGTTTAAGGTCACGCAGTTGGTCAGTGGTAATGCCAGGAATGATCTTAAGGCTGTTAGTCCCTTCAGTCTATAGTCTTAACTTCTGCCTTCTACTGCCTTCTCTCGGCTGGAGTGGGGTGCCTCACAATCCCAAAGAGCTCTTTGGCAAATATTTTGCAAAACCAAAGAGCCCTTCACAATGTGTCTGTGATATCAAGTCCCATGTTTGAATATAGGTTTTCATTAAAGAGAGAAAGACAAGCCTTTTGAAAGAGCAGTTTCTCCTGGGAGAACAAATCTCATTCAGGACACGTGTGCAGGTCGTGGCTCAGGCTCCATCTGCTCACAGCAGGGATCTCTGGCTTGTGGCTGGTAAAAGTGTGAGGTCTTCTGGCCTCTGCATGGGGGGGCTAAAAGACAACCTTAGCTCCCCTGGGTCGGTCCACAGGAATTAGTTGCCAGTAACACACAATTCCAGGTAAGACCCAGGGCTCCCTTAGAACCTCCTGGACTTTTTATTTGGCTACCACTCATGGAACAATCTGAGGAGTGTGGAAATGAAAGGGCCTTGGAGGTGGGATGGGCAGGGCTGATCCGATGACTAATGTGTGTCCTTGAAGACCTTGGCAGGGTTGGGTGTCTCCCTCAGGCTGGAAATGATGATTTGTGGGTCGGGGAGTTTGGATTTTATGACCTGAACCTTTAGCCTTTCTGGGTCCTGGGAGAGAGGCGAAGAAAGAGGAGAAGTTGCCAGAGGCAGTTAACGTTTGGCCTTGGTTTGATTTGTTCCAGTTGTTTTGCAGCTGCCCCTCAGTCTGTTGTCATCGATCCTGGAGGGTCCCTGGACACCCCACTCCCAAGCTGGAGTCAGGGCTATGGGCAGGAGAGAGCAAGAAATAAAACAAGGATGAGGACCCTGTCTTCAGAAGACAGGAAGGAGGGTGTAAGGAAAACTACAGAGATGCAGAGAACAGAGACCTGTACATATTCATGGCATCTGCTCAGGGGAGCCCTGGTACGTAGAGCCTTTGGAGTTCAGTGGAGGGAGAGAGGGAAGGCTTACTGGAGGAAGGGGTCTTCCTATGACTACTCAAAGGGCAGACATAGGCAGTTTGAGAAGAAGGGAAAAGGCACTGGAGCTGGAGAAATGGCTTGTGGGGAGGAGACATGGAAGGTTCTGGGCCTGACAAAGAGCAAGTAGGAGCAGAGGACAGAATTGAAGAAAGGGAGGTGGGGAGGGGATGGGTCAGAAGCCACTGAAGCTGACGATAAGGACAGCTCCAAGCCAGGGGAAGATCAGGATGGAGATTCATACAAATATAGATGAAAACAGAATCCTTGTTTTCCCACAACTTGCAAATGAGTCTCTGAAGGTTTTTTTTGTTTGTTTGTTTGGGTTTTTCTTTTTCTTTTTCTTTTCTTTCTTTTTTTTTTTTGAGTAGAATCCATGTTATTGAGTAATCCAGGAAATTAAAGAAATAAAAATAGAAATAAACCCTTGGAGGGAGGCACCATCCAGGCCTCTGCTGGATAGTAAGGGTCTAAGTTGCACACCTACAGGCTTTTCCTCCACCCAGACAATGTTTCTCTTCTTTCATAACATCAATCCTACAGCTGGGGGAAAGGGGTGATTTTAAAAACCACTCAGAGAGATAAATCTTGTAATACAAACTGCTGAACAGCTGGCCCTTTAAAGCATAGAACAGCCATTTAGCCATTAATCCATCCCTTTAAAATGCAGAACCATCCCACCCCACCACACACACACACACGCATGTACACACATACACATGCATGCACACACACAAACGCTGGCACAAAGAGTAGTTCAATTTCATCTGGTGCAGTTACAGCTGCTGCTCCTGTACTTTTTATGTTCACAGATACAGCCCTGGCTCCAGGTTTAAATAGTTAACACCAGCAACAGGAAGCAGGGGAGGGGAAGGAAAGAGAAGCAACAAATTCTAGCTGACTTTTCACCAAATTCCTCCCCAGGTGCTGCCTCTGAGCCTGGATCCTGAGGCAGCAGAACCTGGTGCAGCAGTACCTGGTGCTTTTCCCAGATCCTCCTGCCTTCCCCAGACTTCTTGCTCTCCTGGGGACAGTCTGCAAAAGCAGCTGCTCCACAAGGTCCCGCAACCCACTTTAAAGGGCGGACACTCACCAGATCAACCTCCCAGGCCCAACTCTGCTGTTTCTTCTCCATTTTATTCACAATGGTCACCTTGGGTGATCTACATCACATGTCATCCTGCGTCCTGATTGTACCTGATAGACTTTGATGAGGCCATTCTCTCTGTACCTCCCTTCTTGCCATCTGAGTAGCCTCTTCGTATTGCAGTTTGTGACCTTCCTGAGAGGCAAAGAAAATTAAGCCCCATCATACACACACACACACACACACACACACACACACGCAAACTGTGACTGACAGATTTGAAAGAGTAGGGTGTGTGTGTGTGTGTGTGTGAAAGAGAGAGTGAAAGAGAAAGACAGAGGGAAGGGACAGGAAGGAAAAGGAAGGAAGGAAGGAAGGGAGGGAATCAAATGAGTAACTGTTTGGGGTGGGATGAATTGGTTAGCTGTTAGGTGTAAGAAAATTAAGGCCATTAGCTATTTTCGATTTTTTTTCTGTCACGTTTTGGGGAGCTATGAGTGTTCCACGAAACCTGCAAACCTCTGCCTAGGGAGATTGCCTGGAATTCTCTCCCGCCTGCCCTTTCAGTGGGTAATAATAACGGGAGAATTAGTGAGCAGACAGATGCTGCCCGCACTGGTGCACAGCACTCGGCATTGTATAATAATGAATATATTTTCAACAGCTGATTCAATGGCTGTTTCTTAAAATAATAAAGTTAATTTTGCTGGGCGATCCTTTATTTTTTTAAACCTGAGCATCACAAAAGATGGAAGCTGAAATCATCTCTGATTCTTTCACTAACAATGGTTTCAGTATGATACTTGGAAAAACAAACAAAAAAATTGTGTTCTGCAGGGAGCCAGAAATACGCAAAACCTGGTATGTTCTTCCAGCATCTGGTTGTCCAGTGATTGTTACTTTGTTTTCATCTTAGTCGGCAGTCAGACAGGATCCTTTAACAGTGGGACATTATTATCATTATTTACTTAAAATCTGGGTAGGGTTTTACAGTTTTTATGGTGTGGTCACCACAAGATGTTATCTCAATAATAGTCGTAGTAGCTGTAATGGTACATTGAGTACCTACTATGTGGCAGTCAGTACACTAGGTGTTTTTCATATATTATTTTAAATCCTCATATAAACACTGCAAGGTCTTAGGTTGAACTACATGGAATTGCTGTTTCTGTAGATCAGAAACTCAAATATAGTCAATTTCATTGGTTCAAGTTAATGTTATTTCTCCATTTTATAATGAAACAGTCTCAGAGATGTTAAGTAACTGACACATGGTCACCCAGCAAGTAAGGGCAAAGCTGAAGTTTCGTCCCAGGCCTGCAGAGACTAAGGGCTCTGCTCTACTCCACCTCGGTGCAGTTTGGTTCAATGGGCATTATTATTATCTCCAATTACATCCAGGGACATCAAGGCTTAGAAAAAGAAAATGACTCGCTCCAGGTTATACACTCAGGAAGAGGCAAGACAAGACTCAAACCCCACATCTTAGGGGGAGCTCATTAATCTTTCCCATTTTGCAATGCAAACCCAAGGATAGGATAAGCTCCAAGCAGAATTGCAATGACAGAATATCTGGCGCCTTTCTGTCTGGCAATCAGCGACCTGTGTTGCACCTAGTTCTCATATCCCCGCAACATACCCCATACTCCCATCCCATCCCTCACCTAGGGGATTATCCTGAGTTCCTCTCCCACATTTTATTCATAACTTGTTCATTCATGTTGTGAATCCACTCCCTCCTGAAGCCCTGGACCTTTGCCACCCTGGAGTGGTGGCATTTTAATGGAGGAAGTTTGGGGCACTGTCTTAGTTTGAGTTCCCCGAGAAGCAGATCTTCTAACAAAGATTTGAGTGTAAGTAGTTCAATTGAAAGTGGATTTCAGGGCGCACTGATAGAGGGATGGAGACAGGGAAAGAAAGAACACCCACATAAGGTGTGTTATCAAACAAGTGAAAACTGTGGGAGATGAAATCTCAATCCTGCTGAGGACTTCTGGTTGGCAGTATAGAACATGTCCCAGAGGTATCCCACTTAAGGGATGAAGAAACTTAGGTACTCATCTGTCGACCCCACTGGTTGAGGACTGCTTCCCAGGATATAAAGTCTCTGGCACTTCCAGCTCATCTTGTTTGAGGCCTAAACATGCTCCTGTGACCAGAATAAAAGCCCTCAGGCAGAGCTCAGCAGGTGTTCAGTGTAAGTGCCTGCAGGATACAGGAGAGAATGCCAAGGGGAGGAAGGGAGGGTAGCAATAGTGTCTGCTGCAGGCAGCTGAACATCATCTGAACTTACAAGAATGAGTCTGTAACTATTAAACTCAAGGACACCTCTAAGCTCAGGGGCAGGCAGTTGGGTTGGGACATCTTGAGGCATGGGCTCCAGTACAGTTTACCTGGCACTCCTAAGGTGAGCCCTAACCAAAGTAGGGTTTTCAGAATTTCTCTCTCTCCTTTCTCCAGAGCCCCTCATTCACAAATGTGAGAATTCTCTGCAATCTATCTTCTTCCTGTTCTGTGAGTCAACTCTAAAAGCCATGATTTTTCAGCCCCATGTTACCCCTTGAGGTCACCTTCACCCTAGCAAAATTGGTGATTCCTTGAGGAGGCTGGGAGAAGGCACCTTGCAAGTTTCACAACTTGATTGGTGGTGGAATTTTTTTCTCCCTCTTCCCATATTTAATGTGGCTCTAATTCTGACTTCATTGCAGAGCGGTGAAATCAAATTAGGAAATGGGAGGAGATGAGCAACCCCTTCAAGCACAATCAACTTCTGATGGCTTCCCCAAAGCTCTAATGAATCTGCATAGACTTCCAGTAATAGAAGGCTGTTTCTTCGCAGCACTTTGTTTTTCTCCATTTCTAAAGAGAAAACAAGCCAGAGTATAGGTACGCAGGGAGTCAATGCAACAAGGTTGGTGGAAAGCCTTGGCTTTTCACAGCTGAGTGGGAAAGCCTTGGAGGAGGGCAAGTAGGCTGATTAAAAGAAAGAGAAAACATGAGCAGCATCAACAACATCCAACCATCATGGTGGGTCTGTTATGTATAAGCCAACATGCTAGATACTGTGTGGGAACAAAGAGGTAGAAAACAATTCCTGACCTCAAATGGCTAGCAGGCTGTTTGCTCAGAGCCTTGCTACTCAAAGTGTGAAAGAGCAGCATCATCATCACTGGAGAGCTTGTTCGAAATGCACAGTCTCCAACCCCCTACCCAAGACTTACTGAATCAGAATCTGAATTTTAACAAGATCCTCAGGAAATTCCTATGTGCAATAATGTTTGAGATGCACTGATCCAAAGGATTCCAGGTCTGATCATATCACATACACGCTCAGAACTACATCCTGATCTTATCTTAACTTCCCATCCTCAGCTTTTATCATTCCCCACCATACCTTGGAATCTTATGCTCTAGTCTTATGATTGCATCATGTCCTTCCATCCATCCTCACACTGTATCCTCCAGCAGCAATGCCCTAACCATCCTCCATGCCTATCAAAAATTCTCATGGTCTTCATGCCCAGATATCTTCTTTGTGAAGCCTGACCCAATCCCCCAATAGAAATGTGTCATTACTATTCATTAGTCACTGATTGACTTGATTATGTTTACATGATTACATCTAGCATAACGGTTAAAAAGATGAAATTAGACCCTGATCATCCTCACTTTGAACCCCAGTTTCACCAGTTTTAATCTATGTGTGGTAGATTAGATCACTATTTTCAGTTTTTCACTCTCTTTCTCTATTCAAATTATACCCACAGCCTTCTCTATGTGACTTTGCAGTTTCTCCTACTTGATTGGGTGTAAAATATTTCCCTGCCCATTGACGTTGGTCTTGGTTATGTGACTTGAATTGGTTAATAGACTATGGGTGATAGTGACAATGTGTGAGTTCTGAGCCTAGGCCTTAAAAGGCCTTAAATGGTATTATATGTCTCTAGTTGTCCCTTGGTGCTTCTACTGTAAGTATGATCAGGACATGCCCAGGTTAGCTATTAGGTTGAAGGAAGATGAGATATACATGAAACCGATTTGAACTCAACCTGCAACCAAGCCAAGGTGACACACGTCTTGAAGCAGAACTGCCCCAGTAGACCCACAGACCCATGCTAAATAAAAAACAAGATGACTTATGGTATGTCACTGAGCTTTGTGGTGGTTGGTTGCAAAGCATTATTTGTGGGACTACATAGCTGATACACTATGCCTCTGAGCCACAATTTTCCCATCTGTATCATAGATATGTAAATATATACCTCATATTGCTGTTGGGATGATTAAAATGTGTTAATGTATGTTAACCGAGTTCATAGTAGGCTTGATAAATAGGAGGTAACCTATTTTATATTATTATTATAATGTCTTCCCACTAGACTGAAGACATTTTGTGGGTAAAGTCTGTCTTAGCTATCTTTTTATCCTCTCCAATACCCACTGGGCTCCTAGAAGGCACTCATTCAATAAACAGAACCAAACACTAATATAGAAAGTTATTCTTTTGCTTCAGCAGTTCTTGCCTTGTAAATCCTTACTCAACCTATAGTGGTGAGCCCAAACTTATCACAACACTGATGAAACCTCCAAGATTGAGGGCCTTTTGTTTAAAACAATGGTTATAGCAGGGCTTGGGGGTATTTTGTTGAGTTTTGTGTGTACTTTAAAAATCTGATAGTATTTTGATTTGTTTCTCAATTAGAAATGCTACACTTAGAATTTCATGGAAAGGAAGCATTTTATCTTCAAAGGAAGTTGTGAGGAATATGGAAACAACTGACCCCTCTGCCTTCCAACTTCAAGTGCAAGCCTTAAGTGAATTCTTCATCTAGTCTGAAGTTTAACCTCTGAAAAGCTGGTTATGGGGGTGGGAGAGAGTGATGACTGGGGCAGGACCTGGTGGCATCTGTCTCTTTAAGAAACAGAAATGAAACCTAATTAGCATAGACTGGCTGCAATTAACATATAAGTCCCAGTTCTGGGAGTTGGAGGAAGGGAAAAGGATAGAGCTAAAACTTAATGGGGTTTTGTTAGACAAAATTAGCTTCCACAGAACAGCCATAAAAATATCTAAATTATGAGAGCCTCTTGCCATTTGCCATTAACACGAGGGGACATGCTAATATTTAGTGGCGCCATGTCCTGGAAATTAACTGCAGTGAAAGAAGCCCCAGAGGCATCCCTGTGAGCAATAAGGGCTTGTCCACTGTCTCTACTGCTACCAAACTGCTTGACTAAATGCTTTGCAGAAACTTAGAACCTACAAATCACACATGGCTCAGCCAGTCCTTTGGCAGTGGTTCCAGAACTGTAGGATGATACCTCCATGAGTGATATATGGAAAGCTGAAGTCTCTTTGTACAGTCTCTGAATTTGGGGACTATTTTCCTCAGAAGAAGATTCCTAAGGCTGCTTTGTGGACATGTGAAGATACTTCCAATTATTTCTCCAGCCTTACACCCTCCAAGAAAATCAGCCCATTTGCTTTTTGTATAGTATCAAACCAACTAGTATGAGTTTCCTTGTAAACTCCTCCCATGGTTTTACTTCTTGACTCTCCTAGGGGAAAAAATATTAAACCATCATCTTCTATTTTCTGCTCCTGAAAGTCACCGATGATCACCCAAACATATGCAGGACGTTTTTTATAGTCCTTCGTCTCCCTGACCCCCATTTCATTAGACATAGTTGACCAGGCCCTCCTGCTTTGGTTTCCATATCACTTTTCTCTGAAGCTTTTTCTCTTTGCCCTTTCTCTTTTAGTAGATTACCTATCTTCTTTCACATTTACAGGAATTGCTCACAGCTCCTGGTCTCTGCCTTAGGGTCTTCTCTTGCTATTCCCTTTGAAAACAATTACTCATTATTTGCTGGTGTCTACCCTCACTTCTAGTAATATCACTCATATCTGAACCTTTACCCTAACCATTAGTCCTTTGTTTCAAACTTCCAGCAGAACAACTACATTTGGAGTTCTTACTTTCACTTCCAATTCAGCCTGTTCTTCCCCCTGTTCATTATCCTTGCCTATTTTATGGAGGTGCTTGTTATTTCTTCCTTACTTTTCATCTGCTCTTTACAATTCTGGTGAGTTCACCCTATAAGCTTATCATTCTCATCCTCCCCAACAGTCAATTAGATCAGGGTCCATGAACACCTAATCCAGGGGCTCATCTACTGTGGGGCTGCTAGCCTATCCGATTCTCTCTCTTTCAAGAAGTTGAGCTGAATGGAGAACCAGAGCATACTGGAATGGCAGGGTGAAGATCCATAAAATTTTGCTTCTGAGATTTCCAAGCTTAGTCTCTTTCTTGCCCTTTCTACGGCTTGGGTTGCCAGTTTTCCCTTGAACTCTGAAAGACATCCTGATTCTTCCAGTAAATCACTCTTTAAGTGAGTTTTACAATTTTATTTTTTTGCATCCATGAAGTTTCTGACTGAATCGTACTGGATTTTCCTGCCCTTCCTGACTTTTCTTTTGATAACTTTGGCATCATTGTTTTCCCAGGCTCCAGAAAGATACACTTTGAGGCATCTTTGAGACCATTCTTGCCTACTCTATAGCTTATCTGTCTTAATGTCTTACTATGTTTTTCCTCTGAAATGCCCCTGACATTTTGGATCCTCCCTTATCCAAGACCTAAGCCAGGCTGGGCTTCTCCACTCTAAGCTTAACTCCTCCAATCTATCATTTATTTATGCTTAAAATATTGCTGTTATCATACTATTGCTCTGTCAAAGAACATCAGAGTTCTTTATGGTCTTTTGCTCCTCCTTTATGGTCTTTAAGGCCCTCTGCTTATCTTGACCACCCAATTTATTTAAGTCCCTTTCAGGTAAATTTATTCTACATACAAACTTAGCTATTCTCCAATGTATCAGTTAACTTTAGTTGCATAACAAAACATCCTGAAATTTAGTGGTTTAAAGCAGTACCCATTTTATTTAGCCCTCAATTCTGTAGGTTAGCTAATCTGAATTGGCTTGGCTGGGCTTTGCTTGGCTTGTTCCTGCATCTGCATTTGGTTGGTGGATTGACTGGGAGCTGGATGGTCAAGAATGATCTCCCTTATATGTTTAGTGGTTGGCAGGCTGTTGGCTAGGGTGTCTCAGTTCTCTTCCATGTAGCCTCTCAAATAGATTAGTGCAGGCTCATTTAGGTGGTGGTATCAAGGTTCCAAGTACAGCAAGAAGACAAGCCCCAATGTATAAGTCTTTT
Source organism: Homo sapiens (assembly GCF_000001405.40). Classification (NCBI taxonomy): domain Eukaryota; kingdom Metazoa; phylum Chordata; class Mammalia; order Primates; family Hominidae; genus Homo; species Homo sapiens. The sequence continues at coordinate 39,235,201 of NC_000023.11, forward strand.
TCAAACCTCTGCCTGTGTCTTTTTGTTAATGGCCCATTGGCTAAAGCAAATCACATAGACAACCCAGATTCAAGGGGTAGGGAAATAGATCTCATCTCTTGATGGGAGGATCTGCAATGTCACCTCACAAGGAAGTGGATACAGAATAGGGAACAATTTGTAAGCATTTTTATAATCTACCACACTGAGCAGGAACTATGAGTTCGACTCAGTAGTATACTCTTCTTGTTCATTCTGCCATGGGAATATCCCCCCACCTTGCTCTTTTCCCTTAAATCAGATTCTTCTCACCAAATGTTAGGTTAACTTGCCTCCTTTTTTAACTCTGCTTTAAGAAACCCCAAACAACCAGTTCTCTGCCATTTCAGCTCTCTGTGTCCTCACTTACTTTTTGCCATCTTCTGATCATTTCTTAAATTCATAATTTCATCTTCTGAATTGAAATATGAATTTTCCAAGGAATAATTTTCTTATCTTTAGTCATGAAATGTACATTTATACTTTTAATATATATTTACTTTCATGTCTAATGCAGTGTTCAGCATCTGGGAGGTGCCAAATAATACTTGTTGGTTATTTAATATCTAAGAATATCTCAGAATTCTCCTAAAAGCCATTTTTCTCTTAAATTCATTTAAGTTAAAAAAAAATATATGCCTTCAGCAGTCATAAGAAGGTGGTTGGGAAAGCTCTGATAGTTTAATCAGTTCAGCTTTCTGACTGAAAGGTGGGAATCACAGCTCCAACTGGAATGGTCCTCCTTACCTTGGGCCCAGTAAAACCTTGTGTGTCTCCTGGGAGAGTTTTCTTTAGCTCTCTAGCCACATGCCTACATTTAAAAGCCCTTAGCTCTCATTCTGTAGGCTTAACACCATACTGCATGGCTGGAAATCAGCATCTTTCTCAGTCATGACATGTCCTTTGAGAAAATTCCATGAAAGATGCCAGTTTTCTAGGACTCAACAATGACAGCTTTTATGGCTACAAGGAGTGGCGTGGGATGGGAAATACTCTTTTCCTACTGGCTGTAACTTTCTCTAGTTCCCCCTCTCAGGCAGTTAGGGCTTCCTACTCTATGTTGTCAAGGATGTCCATAGACAGGTGTTGGCATAGAACCTGCCTTACAAAGGCCTCTGCCCCAGCCACACCTGGACTCTCCTTGCCTTCCCAGACTTGGCTTTCCAGGACCTGGTTTGCCCAGTGTGTTGATACTGGAGCATGTTCATCTCTTGGGATGCATGCCAGGCCTACTCTTGGAAATACATTCTGAAACTTGATAGGTATCCTCTTCTCTCATTTCCCTTTCAGAGAATTTGAAGGGGAAACCAGGAAGCGCTGGTCATATTTAGCCACTGATTTTGTTTTCAAATGCTCTCAAAAACAAAACAACCAACCAAACAGACAAATAGTACCAAACACCAAAACAAGGCTTAACTTCTGGACCATATCACCTTGTGGTGATATGGGGTTATGGATCAAGCTCAGAGATGCTCTGCTGCTTGTAATCCTCACACTGGATTTTCATATTAAAGGCTCTTTCTGTTGATATAAGAAATTATATGCTTCTGGAAAGATGGAGAAAGGTGGAAGAGGAATGTGCATGTGTACATTTGTGTGTGTGTGTGTGTGTGTGTGTGTAAAGAAGAATAGCTGATTTCCCAGTTTAAGAAATTTCTCAGCTGTGGGACAAGATTTGCATGTCCTTCTGCGTCGCAGAGACTTGGGATGTTTGCAGCACGTCGTTGGGGTGCCTGCGTCTCAAATCACTGGCTCTGTGCAGCCTTGATGAGGCGCCCGATTTACATATTCTCAATTTAATCTAAAGTAGGTACTAATTGATTACTGCTGAATGTCTGCACGCTCTGATTATCTGTTTGGATCCTGAGGGGGGTGGGGGAATAGCAAGGGATCTTTCTTCTATGACTGGGACTTTGGTTTTTTCTGATCCAAGGAACACTTATTTGCTAGGCCTGGGAGACCCAGCAAACCACCCTCCAGCCTCTCCCCACCTTCACCCCCAATTGCTGAAAATAATTATCAATCACCAGCTCCAGCACTGGTTCATTTTATGTTGTAGGATAAACTACTCTCTATTGCGTTTTTCAGTATTTATCAAACAAATATTTTGGAAATGTTTCCCAAGTGTATTAATTTGACCTAAAGGCAGGATTCCTTAGGGCTTGAGAACATGGGCTCTGGAGCTGAATTGCTGAGTCTAACCCAGGTTCTACCACTTACTAGATATGTGGCTTTAGGCAAGTTGCTTAGCCTCTCTGTGCCTCAGTTTAGCCATCTGCAAAACGATATTAATAGCAGTCCTAACCCAACGGGGTCAGTGTGAAGATTAAATGAGTTGAGACACATGAAGTACCCAGTGCTGCATCAATCCACTGCATAGTGCATAGCTCTATTTCTTCAGAGCTCTGTGGAGGGCTTGCTTGGGGGAGGCAGGCAAAAATTTTGATTAAAGCTTCCTTTGGGGAGTTTTAGGGTCTTCAGTCATCCTTGCTTTATCTGTCCTGTGTCATCTAAGGTATCAACAATGGCAGGGAGTAGGTATAACAAAGTGTAGACTTTGTTACAGTGGGGTATTGTTACCTTCTGGAAAAGCTTTTCCTGTTAGTTGGAGTTAATGAGCAAAAAGGAGGAAAGGGAAGCTAAAGGTGGTGGGTCAGTGAACATTCGTTGGATACCTTCTGTATGTTGGGCTCTATGTTGGTACTGGTGACACAAATAAAAAAGTCTCTTTTCTAAAGGAGTTCACTGTGAGTGGCACCACTCCAATCGCTGTAGTACGGCACACTGCCTCTGCTATCACTCCTCAGGCATTTATTTTAGGTCTCATCCCCGCAGCTGAATTGCGTGTCTGATTTATTTTCTTTCTATTGATGTGTGACACACACGCAGGAAAAATGCACAAGTTGTAAGTGCACAGCTCCATGAGTCATCAGAGTGTGAACACACCGTGTAAGCAGCACCCAGATCAAAACACAGGATGTGACGGGCCCCTAGAAGCCCCTCTCCCACTTTGTGTTCCCTCCCAGTCATTACCTTTCCCCAACAGCGAGTCACCTTCCTGACTTAAAGACTGCTCTGCACAGAGTCCCACCTTCAGGTTTCTTAGCTGGGTGCTGGTCCCCAGCTGAGAGAAGCTCCGAGAGCCAAGCTGAGAGATGTGATGAGATCAGGCATGATGGGAAGTGCCTGGACCATTATGATACTGGTCTAGCACTTGGCGCCATGTCTGTGTGGCTCCATTTAAGCCCACTTTGACTTTTTCAAAGGAAAACCATCCTTGGCTGCTCTGTAACAGAGCCAGCACCAGGCAGAGCAAACGCAGCCTTCCTGTTTGTATGAACAGGCCCCAATCCAGAAATTTGTCTCCAGCCTATCCAGTGCAGGGCCAGGAACTTCCTCACTTGGCTGGCCTGGCTCCTACAACCTTTTATGAAGATGGGCATATTAGCAGAAGAAGGCCCTCTTATACCTTGAAGTGGTGAGCATTAGCCAGGAAATAGCTTAGCAGGGATGAGTATAGTTAATGCTCTCTGGGTTTTTCTCTCTCATGTGGAGAGTTCAGGATCTTGGGAGAATGGGAAACAGATGGGTAGGTTTTGCTAGGACCATCCAGGACATTGCAGTCAGGAATTTTGACCAGTCATGAAGGGAGATCCTCTGAGGGAACTGAGAGAGAATAGCAAAGTAATTGTTCCAGTTATCTGTTGCTGCACAGCAAACCTCTCCAAACTTAGTGATGTAAAACAACACTCATTTTATATGTTTATGGAGACCATGGGTCAAGAATTCAGATGGGGTATAGTAGGGGTGGCTTGTTTCAACTCCATGATGCCTGGCACCTCACCTGAGAAGACTTGGGCAGAAGGAGACTGGGATCCTCTGGAAGCTTCTTCATTGTGTGGCTGGCACCTGGGCTAGGATGATATGAAGGCTTACCTCAGCTGAGACTGTCAACAGGCAGCCCACACGCAGCCTCTCCATGTGGCCTGGGCTTTTCATACCACAGAGTCTGGGTTTTGGAAAGGAACATCACAAAAGAGAAAGTCTCAAGAGCAAGTGTCCCAAGAGACCCAGGCAGAAGTTGCATGATCCTTTCTGAACTAGCTCAGAAGTCACATGGTGTAATTTTCGCCACATTCTATTGGTTACAAGTGAATCACTAAAGACAGCCCACGAGAAGAATTAGACTCCATCTTCTGATGGAGGAGTGGCATGGGATGGGAGCTTTTGTTGCCGCCATCTTTGGAAAATACTGTCTGCCACAGTAGCTGACAGCCAGGACTCTGCAGTAAGGCACACCTGGTTTCATTTCCTGGATCTGACACTTATTAGCTGTGTAACCTGGGGTAAGTTTCTTAACCACTCTGTGTCTCACTTTCCACATAAGGAAATTGGAATAATAGTAATTCTGACCACATAGCATTACTGTGAGAATTCAGTGATATGAGCCATGTATAGTGTTAGTAGAATGCTTGGCACATCATAAGTGCTCATAAATGTCACCTTTAACAGAGACTCAAAGAGGTGATTGCTCAAGACCAGCCTTACCTGTGACACATTTCCTTAGGCCTGCTGTATGTGAAAAAGTGGTCCACAAAATTCCCACACCAGATCACATAACCGCCCAGGATCCACTAGCAGTTAATAGGGACTATGGAGACTAAGCACTAGGGTACAGCTATTTACAGTTTACAAAGCACTTCATACTCATCTTTTGTTTAATCCTCCAAAAAAGTCCATGGGCCACACATAACTCTTCCATTTTACAGATGAGGTTTATCAAGGTGTGACCTACCCAAGGTTACAAAGCTAATACATTATAGAGCAAGGTTATGACCCCAGAGTTCCACTCTAAAGTCCCTTGCTCTTATCTTCTGTAATGATCTCAAGAACATTGTAAAGTTATCAAAGGAAAAATACAATTTAATTAAAATTTAATAAATTTAAAAAATGTTCTCTAACCCTAATAGAAGTGGGAAAAAAAGAAGGAGGTCAGATTTTCAAAAGCCATGGAATGTCATAGCCAGGGCCAGGAATTGACTGCCAAGCATAAGAGGGGACCTCACGTTGTCACTTTCCTCCAAAAAGCTCAGAGGCATTCTTTAAAAATGCCCGAGAATGCTTTTCAAATTTCATAGCTAATCATTCAGCCAAATAGTACCTTTTACTTTGAGAACTCCAAATTCTGTAATCACCCCCTCACTTCTTCAAACCGAGAAACTAGTGATGCCCTCTTCCTTCTGTCTTCCTTCAGATTTCAGTCCAACCACATCAACATCAAAATGCACAAATGCTGGGAAAGCATTGTAAATCCTGCCTTTCTGGTGTTTTCCATTTATGTGACAGGAGGAAAGATGCCACTTTCATCCATTTTTGGAAACAAACCAAAACACCCATAAATATTCAAGCTTATAATATTGACTTAAAGCTCAGTTAGAGCCCAGGCTGCAGTCAGCTCTTGATTATCCATGTGTAACTTATCCACAGCTAATTTTAAAACTCAAAATTACTTCCTTAAAACTTGCGACGCACCCTTGGCCCCCTGTGCAGGTGTCAGCTTGGGACACAGCGAGAGGAAATGGAAGTGTGCCGAGTCAAGGGTCTGACCACCTGGATTCTGCTCTTGACACACTCCTGATTAGCTGGGTAACCTTGAACACATGTTTTTACCTGCTGGGACCTCTTAGGTTTTTCAGCTGTAAAATGAAGAAGCTTGGCTTTATGCTTTTTAAGATCTCTTCCTGCTCTAAAATTCCATGAGGTAGCAAAGTAGTCAAAAGAAATGGGAAGATAAGTCTACTGCAAAGATCCCGCATTGAAATCAGTAGTCCAAACCATCCATTTTCTCAGTGAGATATTGTGTGGCCTCAGAACTGCTAAGCAGCCAATCTAAGCCTAGCACCCAAGACTCCAATAGTTATTTCACAATTTCCAAAGCCAAACACACAAGATTTTTATTTTCCAAATTATAATTCTCTTCAATGAGCACAGATAGTCAGCTATGTCTGAATGTGGAAAATGCTCTTTCTGTGTTTTCCAGAATGTTGGGTCGCCTTTCTGATGAAGCCAAGGTGGGGATTCAGAGCTGTGTATCTGTGGGAGCCAAGGCCACTGCCCACTCTCTCACCTCTAAAAAGATCCAGTGCAGGAATCAGCCACAAAGCTGTTGGGTCTTCTTCCCTTCCCCTCTTCTCCCTCCCGACCCTGGCCATTCTCACAGGCTATAAAATGTCCTCTTTGTCGTACAAAGGAGAAATCTTTGATGTCTTCTTACTCCTGCCTTAAGTTTGAGCTCCCATCCCTAAGTTTTTTTTATAGAAGGAAGGAAAAGTCATGGAGTGATGGTGGGAAGGGACTTTAAAGTACGATGAGAAGTGGGTGTGGTGGGATCCCACCACCATCCCTTTTCATCTAACGCATCTCAAGTGCAAACTTTGTGCTTGGCACCAGGGTGATAAGGGACATACATCATCCAGATCATTAAGAGGTCTTGGGTTTGGGGAAGAGTAGGGAGAGACATATGTGAACATGAGTTTCATAAAGTATCATAGATACTATGAAAGAAAGACATGTAGGACCAGAAGGTATGGTGGGGGGCACAGAGGAGAAAGCACTCGGCTTCATCCAGGGCCAGAATTATCAAGAAATGCTGCTTGGAGGAGGTGGTGCTTGATTCTTGAGCTGAAGTACATTAGGTCATGAGAAGCAATATTTTAAATGATTTTTCATTTCTCACAAGTGTTGACTCTGTGATCAAAGATTAAGTAGCACCGAAGGACTGGCTTGCCAATCCAAAGACTCCTTATATCATTATCTCTGTGAGTCAAGATGTTCCCGGTTCTAAACAATGTGTAGACAATCATTAGAACACAGGGTGTTCTTTAATTTTTTACTGCCTGTGTTGTGCAAAGAGAAACCCTGCCCTACCTGAACAATACATGGTATGAAACTGCAAAAGCACGATGTAGTTGACCTTGGATGCTTTCAGGTCTGAACAAGTGTTCCCCTGTTTGGGACCCCATGCTTGCTTTCAGCTAAGTGCAGTTCTCCTGGAATAAACTACAGATGAAAGAACACAGTTGGTGGAAATTTATCACCCAGGAGAAATGTGACAAGGGAGGCTCCCCCTAGCCTATTTGTGGATTTGTTTATACTCCCTCTGGTGGCTGATTCAGACCTGCATGTTCTGTCCCTTTGACCTGAGAAGCAACCACACCCTACCTGATTCCAGAAGCCCTGAGTACTGGGATTGTGGCCATGTCCGCATGAGCAAAGGTATGAAGGTTCAGCATTGGTTTGGGTTTGGGTTTTAACTAGCTATTGGCTTTGATGTTTGAAAACTCTTGATTTAAATTAATATATCTTATTCTTTTTGTGCCTAGCACACAGTTTGTGCTATATAGCCTTGTGAAACTTCATAGGATCATAGACTTCAGGCTCCTGCTATAGTTAGGTTCTTTTAGGTTTCAAGAAGCAACAACTGAGTAAGCTTACAAGAGTACCTCAGTGGGATAAGGATACTTGTGTCTAGGAACCTTTGTATAGCTAGGCCTTGGGAAATGCAAAATTGACAAAAGGTTCAAAGCTGGTGAGTATATAACCCTTAAGAGCAGGATTTCTGGGGCTCAACAAACTCCTATGTCAGTTCCATTCCCTCCCTCCGCAGACTTTCTCATCATCTACCAATCCCTACCTTCCAATTTCTGCTTGCTCATACTTCTTGCTCATCACATTGACTTGCATAGGGCCCATCTTGTCATACGTGACTTCTCTCTACCTAACGGCTTTTCAACTTTAGCTCCCTTCGCAAATAGATCCCTTCTCTTGGTGTTTCCTGAGTTTATATTTAATAAAGGGGGGAAGCTAATCAGCTGAATTTGTCTCTTAAAGCCAGGCCATGTCAGATCATGTACTGGCTGCCTTGGGTCAGGGTCCTGCTCCTGGCCGTGAATGGGCTTGTCTTTGAATGGGCCAGAGGCAGGACAACCACCATAATTGGAGTATATAGTACACACCTGAAAAGAACTTTGAACTCCTTCAGGTCATCATATGGGGAAACTGGTACCCCTGAGAGCTGATGCAGTGTACCTAAGATTATACACATAACCAGGGAGTGGTGATGGTAGGGTGAGACCCCTGATTTTCCACACACTGCTGAGGTCACCTTTACACTAAACTGCATCATCTGTTATGTTGTCATGTGGAAGGAGTGTTTTCATGCATAGGCATCTTTTTACTCACCTATTGTGCTTGCAACCTGGGGACAAATAATCTCTTTTCTGCCTCCCTCCGTCTCCCTACTCCCTGTTCAGGCATCTTTTTTTTTTTTTTTCCTGTTAGAATTTATTCTTATTAGAAGCCGTGGCTGGTCTATGGGCCAGTGATTTCAAAGCCACTAAATTCAAGCTAAGATTGACAGTGAAGTGTTTCACCAAGTAAGTTTCATTCAGAAAAGGGAAATTATGCAGCAAACTTCAAATGAGAAAACTTGATAAATGAACCAAATTCTAAGTTGATGAGGCCAACTAGAATGTAGGTAAGTTGTCAACTGAAATATTTCACCCTTTATTTATCTTTGGCTGAAGATATTAGAACAACACTTTGGGGTCACCCAGATTTAGGACACGAAGTAGATGCTTTCGATAGGCCAGGCTTGAATTTGGATTTAAAAGTCCATACTGCTTTTGGTTTTTCTAAGACTTGCTTACTAGAAAAAAATTCTATGAAAGCCCTGATGTAACAATCACCTTGACAAATTTACTTATACTGCTGGAATGCTTTAGTTAATGCAATGGGATTTTTAAACAGGAGAAAGAAAGCACCATCATATTCACCCTTGGGCTTAACAGATTAACATGACTCAGTAAACCATCCATGCAGTTACTTGTTCATTTATTAAATATTTGTTGAAAACCTACTATAAGATAAACACTGTGCTGGGGATACAAGGATAAAGGTGACACAGCTGGCCTCAAGAAACTTACAGTCTAGTGAGGCACATAGACAAGTAGAGAGAATTACAATGCTAGATCTGAAGAGCTTGGACATATCAGTCACAAAGGAGGCCATGCTAAGTCATCCGGCTGTCCTGTAGTAGAACTGAGTTGGCTGTGTATCATATCCCATCAACTCTCTGATAATACTGTCCAGATGCCATGACCTCATAAGCAGATGACTCTTATGCTGTATGTCAGTTTCCTTTGAGTGAATGTTTCAGTAATTATGTTGTATTCTGTTAAGGCTCATCATTTGAGATCAGCAAAGTAAGACATCTTCATGGGCAAGAAAGATGATCTTTTCTGAAACCCAAGGTCATTCCCAGAAGGGTGAGTCCTTAGATAGGGACCCAGAACTCAAGGAGAAGCCTCAGGCATGTAAGAGAAAGCTTAGCCTCTCCTTTGCCTTAAGCTTGGTAGTATCCAGACATCTAACATATGATGCTGGGAGGGGGGTTTTAAAGGCCAGAAAAAAAGCAAGAAATCAAATAAAACAGAAATCAAAGAAGGATTTCTTCTTTTTCCTGGGTCCTACATGGATGGGAAAAGATGAGTGAGCTTCAGAAAGCAATGCATGCTTTGAGGGCGAGACTGTGCTGCTTCATGATACTCTGTGTTTACAGCCCTTTGAGCAGCCTCCAGCCCAGTGCTCATCTAGGAGTTGTCAGGAACCACCTGTGTCAGATTATTCTGGAGCACTGGGTAAACATATACATTCTTAAGTTCCACCTCAGATTCACACCTCTCAATCATAATGGAGAGGGAGTTGTAATGTGCATTTTAGTAGGTCCCCTTAAGTTTGAGATTTCCTGGTCTTGACTTCATTGAGGTCTTTGTGAAGTTTAATATGGTCAAACTGCTTCCGCTCACCAAGCAATGTGCCTTCTAGTGTCATACTTGGAGAAACTAGATTTTATTATCACATGTGTTTGTATTTTATTTTATTACTTGGACTCTCTGACATCTCCCTTATTAAAATGTTCCTGTATCATGCAACTAGTCTAGACCAGGGGTTAGCAAACGTTTTCTGTAAATGTTCAGGTAGTAAATATTTTCCACTTTATGGGTTATATAGTCTCTGTTATCACTACTAAACTCTGTTATTGCAATGCAAAAGCAGCCACAGACAATATTTAAACAAATGGACCTGGCTATGTTCCAATGAAACTTTATTTGCAAAAATAGGTGGCTGATAAGATTTGGCCTATGGGCTATAGTTTGCAGACCCCTAATCTAAGCCATTAGACAACTAAATATGTATCACCTTGTATCATTTCCTTGTATGGAACCGCTCTGTCTTGTAATAGTAAAATAGTTACAAAAAAAATGGAATCTCATTCAAGTTATTTTAATGGTTCTCAAACTTGAATGTATATGATAATTCCCTTGAAGGGTTTATTGAAGTATGGATTGCTAGGCCCACCCACAGAATTTCTGACACAGTAGATCTGGAGTAAAGCCCAAGAATTTGCACTTCCAACAAGTTCCCAGATGATACTGATGATGCTGGTCCAGGGACCACATTTTAAGAACCACTGCCTTGAGTAAAGTGGAACAGGTTATTGATAGGATTTATGTGAAAATTAGGAGTTCAGCCATGAGGCCAAGAACACAGGATCAGTTTCGCAAGGGTCCACCCAGAGATTGGAAGGATGTCTTCTGCTGTAGGAACTAAGTTACAATAGGGCTGGTCACCCTTGCCATTATGTGGTTCTCTATCCTATAGATTTCTGCTTCCATTAGAGTAGCTATCTAAAAACTCAAATCTGATCAAATGATTTCTCTCTCTAGATGAACCTTTATTTTTACACATGTTCTTAAAGTCCAAACTTCTTAACCTGACTCGTGGGGCCTTTTATGATCTTCCCACCCACTTTATCACTCTATCCTCATTCCTGCCATCCTCTATTGGTGCACAATAGGGACTCTGGCTTTTTCCTCCAGATATTCTCCATATCATAAAGTATCCCTTGTATAAATATCCATCTGTTCTGTTGACTGTAAGCTTTAAGAGGACTGGGATTATGTGTCTCTTGTTTTATCTCCAGTGTCTAGCACATGAATGAAGAAATGATTATTTCTTCTTCAGATTTGCTACCAGATACAAGGGGAGAGGTGTACTCAGGGACACAGTGAAGGTAAAAGCCTTTTTGGAACTGATGGCTGAGGAATATTTATAGTAATGACACTTAAAAGTGGAGGGGGACCACAATGAGATACCATGTCACATCCACTAGGATGGCACTAATCAAAAAGGCAGATAATAACAAAGTTGGTGAGGTTGTGGAGACACTGGAACCCTCATATAGTGCTGATGGGAACTTAAGATGGTGTTACTTTGGAAAAACAGTTTGGAAGTTCCTCAAAATGTTCAATATGAAATTACGATATGACCCAGTAATTCCACGCCTATGTGCCTATCCAAGAGACATAAAAACACATATTCACGCAAAAACTTGTACTCAAATGTTCATAGCACCATTATTCATAGTAGCCAAAAGGTGTAAACAACTCAAATGTCCATCAACTGATTAATGGATAAACTAAATGTGGTACATTCATACAATGGAATATTATTCAGTCATAAAAAGGAATGAAGTACTGATACCTGCTACAACATAGGTGAATAGGTGAACCTTGAAAACGTTATGCTAAATGAAAGAAGCCACACACAGAAAGCTACATCTTATATAATTCCATTTATGTGAAATGGCTGGAATAGACAAATCTATAAAAACAGAAAGTACAGTAGTGTTTTCCAGGGGTTGAAAGGAAGGGAGAATGGGGAGCAACTGCTATTGGGTATGGGACTTCTTTCTGGTATGATGAAAATGTTCTAAAATTAGATAATGGTGGTAGTTACACAATTGAAAATACACAATAGTGTGTAAATTATATCTTAATAAAGCTGTTTTTAAAAAGTGGATAAGAAATTGCTCAGATAGGTCCTAGAAGAAAGAGTGGAGCCAACTCCACAAACAAAACTTGCTCCTGTATCCACTTTGACAACAAAGTAGAGCTTTGGAACAGCTTGTCTGACAATAGAGCTCATCTGTATATATATATATATATATATGTATATATATATATATATATATATATATACATATATATGTATATATATATACATATATATATACATATATATATATATAAAATATATTATATATCTCCACACAGCTTGAAATATAGTGAGTTAAGTTGTCATTAAAATGTTTTTGACTGACCCAATAAGAGAAATTCTTAATATTCCTTTTTTTCCACAAAAAGCTCAATATCTTGAGTATTTAGCAGAATTTCATGTACCCCATAACTCAATCTATTCTTATTGATGAAAGTAATGAATTTCCTCAAAATGCTAAAATTGCTTCTGTTGAAAAACAAAGCAAAGAACAGCCTAAATTCATTTAGGACATCTATTGAAAGAAGCTCGCATTGTTTACAGATCTGCATCTGCTTTGTACACAAAGAGCTTTTATATCAAGGCCAACTGTTATTGTATTCTCTCTTTATCATGCAACCTTTCCTGAATTCATGGCTCTAAGAAAATGCAGTTTAGCGAATAAATGTAGACTAGCAAGTTCCCTTTATTTCCATTGATGTTGTATGATGCTAAAATTCCCATTAACGTTTTCCCTCATCAGTGATATTACGAACTAATTCTTATCACTTCTCAAAGCAAATAAGGAATGGCTTGTGATCGAAAACATTTTACAGAAATAACACATCCAATTTAGGAAGAAAGACCATTATTGCCATATAGGGATATAAGCATGGAAATAGTCATATTTGGTGAGGATTAAAAGCTTAATCGAATGGAAAAGAAAGAATACAGCAATGTCAATCTGATGTGTGATTCTGAATCTGAAAAGTGACACTAGGATGGAAGAGTTAGAAATTGCTCAGTTGGTTCTCATTGCATGTGAACTAAAAGCCCACAGCTGGACAGTGGTTTATCAATGGTTTAGGGTCATTTGGTCATTTTCCAGCTTGGTCTCCAGCCCCAAGAGACAGGGGTTATGCTGTCTGAGAAGCCTTTATCTCCCAATCAAAACTATCTTTTTTTCTGAAATTCTACCATTACAAAATCATATCGTTAAGTATTTAAGGGTTTGTCTATTAACCAGAATCCTCTATTAAACTGTAAATTGCCCCTGACAGGCTTAGTTGGCAGCCAGTTTTGTCCCAAGGGAACTGGAGCACAGAAAATATGCAAGATCTCAGTTGATTTTAGATTAGATAGTGCTTTCCTCTCAGGCTCTCAAGCTACCCTAACAACCGTTAGATATGCAACCCCTTGCCAACCCTACTCACGGTGGTGAGAGGAAGTCATTTCTGAGGACCCATCTTGCTGGAATTTCCTCAGCCAGACAGTTGTCACAGGTGATAGATGTGACCCAAATGCTCTGGGGTTTGTGTGGTGTGAAGATGAAGAATCTAACCTCTGTTCAGGCGACTGTGACTTAAGGTTCCACCATTGAAGCCAAGGAAATAATTAAGAGTGGCATCTCTTTAAGTTTGATTAGTAATTTATTAAGCAATAACTGACATTTTAAAAGGCCATTTTAAACGTGATTAGAAGCCATATATTCAGGTCTTCCATAAACCTCTCCAGTTCATGCCAAATGAACAGTGACTTAAGCAAAAGTAGTTTATAAGCCTTAAGATTTTATGAACTTTTCTTCTCCAGTCTCTCTTCCTATATTTTGCTCCCTCAGCCTCAATGTATTCCTTCTCTCCACTTTTTCTGTATCTTCCTTTTTCTGGAAGCTGCCTTGGTCATAACTCTTTTCCTGCTTTTTTTCTCCAGTTCTCCTTTTAGCATCCCCTCCCTCTCTGCCTCTTCTTTCTGTCTCTGTTTCCTCACTCTACCTTCTCCTTAAATAACATAATATAAAGCAAATATATTTGTAAAGAGTTGTTCAATGAAGCTTTGTTTCTTTTTCTTAACTTTTGTTTCAGATATTACTGATAAAATATTTTTATTTGTTTTTATAGTTTATGTTACAATTTTCTATCTTTTCATTTATCACAAGCATATTTTTCTTTAAGTCATTTAGCATATTTATAATAATAACTACTTTAAAATTCTTGTTTGTTAATTCTAACATCTGGGTTCTCTTGAGGATATAATTCATTGATTATCTTTTCTTTGAGAGTTATTCACATTTTTCTGCATCTTCATATATTGAGTAATTTTGGATCATATCCTGGACATTGTGAATGTTATGGGGACTGTGGTCTCTGTTATATTCCTCCAAAGATTATTTCTCTTTTTAAAAAGACAATTAAATTGGTTGGACTCAAACTGCAAAGTCTGCTTTTTAGGTGCTAACTCAAATCTCAGTGTAATTTTTTTGTCCCTACCTGGGATACTTTGAGTCTTCCCTGTACATGTGATTCAGGGATCAGATGGAGATTTGGGCAAAATATATACACTGAATTTAGATGCTCTTCTCTAGCCCACTACTTTCTAGGATTTTTGCCTCATTTTCTAATGACTATGGGTTCAGGTTGCCCTGAACCATTCATGCTGGGAAGATTGGATTTTCTATAGGAGTTTCAGCAGCCCCTTGCAGCATCATCTATTGTCTAATCTCAGACTAAACGCTACTATTGTCTAATCTCAGACTAACAGCTGTAAAAATCAGAAGCTCATCCATTTTTTTCCCCCTGCTTCCCTAGATTGACTCCACGGCAGGATCTGCTTATTTTTGCTGCCTTCCAGGGCCTTCAGGTAGTTATTTTCTTTTTGTATTTTGTTCAGACCATGTAGCTGATATCTGTGGCAGAGTTAGTCAAGTAGGAGCTTAGGAGCTTATTCAGCCATACTGGGAGCAGGACTACCTTTTCTTGATTTTTGAAATGATGTGAGTTCAACCTTTCCTGTGGTTTTCTCTAAAAGAATGCTAATTTACATTGCAGGTCACAGCCTTTGATTGATTTTTCTGTGTGGGCCAATGACCTTCAATAGAGACAGAGTTCTATAGCTCAGTCATAGGGAAGGATGTCACATCAAGCTTCATTTCCATTTTTTTCAACAAAATTTACTGTCATCCTGTCATGAGAAAAGCACTAGATTGCCTGTTCTGTTTATCTAGGGGGCATCCTTGAGCTTTGTGGGAAGAGGGCAAACTTGACCTTCAGAAAGATTATATGGCTAAGAGAAAAAAAGTTTTACCCTTAAGAAACACTGATTTCGTATCAGGTGATTATTTTATGGATTCTTTCTTGTTTAACCCTCACAACTCTGCCAGATGGCTATTATTGTCCACTTTTTATGGATGACAGAGGTGAATCTGAAAGGTTGTACAGCTGGTAATTTTTATAGGCTTTTAATTTTAAAAATGAGTTAATACTAAAAGAATTAAATTGGCATATTACTGTGTTCTCAAAAATAATATTAATAATGATAATGATAATACAAATAACAATATCCAAGTGTTACTTTTCCTCCTAGCAAAAAGGGATTGTGACACAGTACAGTCCCTGACTTTTGACTGACAAGGTTCTATAGTGCTAAGTATAGTTTTCTATTAAGATTGAAACCTATGAGAAAAAAGCCGTGGGCTGACCCATCTTCAAAGTGTCCATTTAAGATTATTTTCTGTCAGCCAGGTGGCTAATGGGCTGTGTTAGACAATGGATAGATATTGTATTCTGTCTGAAACCATAGAATTGGAGAAAAAAAGAGCAATTCCGCATTTATTTGGCTTGTCTACTGCCCAGGAGCCCAAGCTACAGAGAACATTTATTTCATTTTAACAAATGGATGGTACCTCCCTATTTTAGGCTGGAAGAAAACCTCTGCTCTGGCCTCAGTGTGAACAGAGGCATTGGTGATGGAATATCCAGTGTGAGTCATTGTCCCCACACTGGGCAAAAAATAGTGAAAGCATTCCGGGGCAATTCTAAGGAAAAATGTTCAGTTAATGGTGGGTTTATCTAATGCTGGATTTGAAAAAAAATATTGACTGCTTCATGTTTTACAGAGGAAACTTGCAGACAAAAGAAAGTAAGCCCCCTATTGAATTTAATAGCGACTCTGATAAGAGATGAGAAGACAAGAAGAGATGTTTAAAGCACAGTTGGAAGAGAAACTAATAAGGCTGATGTAGACAACAGACAGCAACCTCAGCCTGGTCAGTTGGAGATACTGGGAGAGCATTGGTTTTCAGTCCACAACTTACTCGGTCATGAAAGCACTGTGGCCTATAGGGCTGCATGTCTCCCCGAGTTCTGCAACTCACTCTACAGTTAGCCATTTGACCTAGGGGAAGTAATTTCACCTCCTCTGAGTCTCTATTTTCCTGTAAAAGAAGGTGGTTGGGCTGGACATGGTGGCTCACACCTGTAGTCCCAGCTACTTGGGATGCTGAGGCAGGAGGATCACCTGAGCCCAGGAGTTTGAGACCAGCCTGGTCACATAGCGAGATCCCATCTTTTTTTTTTTTTAAGGTGATTGGATTAGGTTATCTTCGAGATCCTTTCTAGCCTTAACTTTTAAACATCCAAGTAGAAGCTTTTCACCCAGGTCTTTTTCCACTCCTTCCAAGAATCAAAGATTCTACATGTGGGAAAGCAAAATGGCATCAGAGTAGATGGGTTACTTGAAACTTTTGAATTAGAATGGAAACAAATCAAAATAAAAGCAGGGCAAATACATCTTTATCACCTGAACTAGAAAATAGATGGCAGGTGATAAATGAATAGATTTTGGACTACTCTCCAACTGTAAACTTTCCTGCACTTTTATGTGAAACTAACAGTTCACTTTAAATATCTACAATGAGTTCTGACAGAGAAGAGCAGGCGGCTCAAATAATGAAGGTCAGCAACTAAAACCCAAATTCTACTGCTTTAGAATGTGCTCAAAGACAGTTTCAGATGCATGAAGAGGAACAAACACATTTGTCCCACTCATGACCCTGCTAGTAGCAGGCTGGGCCAATGGTGGACATGGCTAGAATCCAAAGGTCAAATAGACCCAGAGGGAAGGATACATGGTTTGGGGAGGTCCCAGTGTGACCCTGATGGAATAAGCAGTTCAAGCTTAAAAGCCTAAAGTGCTGAGATCATGAATTGCTTTTGAACCATTATAGCTTTGAGGTGCTTTGGGGTAAAGGAACTGCAAGTACCATAGAAAATAGGTAAGGTTGTTTGTTTCATTGTTTCCTGAGGAAGTGGCATTTTTCAGTACATTTCTAGAAGCCAAACTTTTCCTGTCCCAACTTTTTGGTTTTCTAAAGGATAGATGAATCCTTTCTCCAGCCATATAGCAGGAGTGAATGAAACAAAAATGATTGACTGAAAGAAACCAAGCATATGTGAAAGAAGAAGGAAAAGAAGAAGAGGAGGAGAAAGGAGAAGGGCAAAGTGAGTTAACCCGATGATAGAGCAGCTGTGGGTTTTTAGAGAGGGCAACAAATCCTATTAATGTTCAGGTCTTGAGTTACTGATAGAAGCATTCCCTACTACGCACATGTCTTATTTTTGGTTCTCCCAAAAGCAGATCTTAAGATGAGGATGCAGATCCCATGTAACTCAAGTGAGGGAGTGGGAAAAGTAAGACAGGAAGAAGAGACCAAGTGAAAGATCCCTTTGAGCAACTGGGGCTCAAACTTCTAGGAACCCTCTGAGAAACTGTGTAGAATATATGGATTCGTTCACTAGGGCTGCCATAAGAAATAACCACAAACTTGACAGGTGAGAACAACAGAGATTTATTCTCTCCCAGTTCTTGAGGCCAGAAGTCTGAAATCAAGTTGTTGGCAGAGTTGGCTCTTTCATTCCAAGACTCCCTCCAGAAGCTTCTGGTGGTTGCCAGTATCCCTTGGCATTCCTTGGCTTGTAGCTGCATCACTTCAGTCTTCACCACATAGCCTTCTTTTCTGTGTCTTCTCTCCTTCTCTTCTCTTGTAAAGACACTTGGCATTCTATTTAAGGCCCACCCTAATCTAAGATGATCTAATCTCAAGATCCATAACTTAATTACAACTGCAAAGACCCTTTTACTAAATAAGTTTGCATTTATGGGCTCCAGGTGGACATGTCTTTTGGGAGGCCATCATTAAATCCAGTACATTACCCATTAGAACTGACCTACTGAGGAAGCTCCTGGAGTATGTAGTCTACTGACTCTGATTCCCCCTTGCTTAACAGTTACCCCATGGAAATAAGAAATCCCCATTCCTCTGAGCTGTCCTTACTTGGGCTCCTTTGGTGCTAGTGAAATCCCTGAGATAGAGAAGAAGAGAGACACAGATGCTTGAGGTGGGAAGCAGTTGGAATCACAGTGCATGCACATGGGAACTAACAATAAGGTCCACAGGGAACCATATTGGTGAGCTTGGGGAGGGGATGTGAACAGAGACACCAGTAGTGACTGTTACAAGACATAACAAAATAAAGACACTGCATGGGATGACTGCCAGGTGAATTGATGGGAATGGATAAAGACAATGTGGAAAGCCTGGGGCAAGGCTGGAGACAGCAGAAAGAGACTCAGACACTAGCACAGTGGCAGGACTTGTGCAGACTCAAGTATGCAGTCATGAGTCACTCTGCAGCACAATGCCCACAGAAAGTGGTGAAATGTATACTTGAGGAAACAACCAGCTGCCCTGGAAAAGCCATTCAGAAGGCCCAGGTAGTGTCCACTAGTTGCTGCAGCCTCATTTTCCTTCAAGAATTTTTCAGGTGGGTCTCAAATTCAGAAGTTGGTTAAATCCTTAGAGGTTGGAAGAGGATGTTTCCTGAACATCTGTCATTAGTGAAGACCCCAACCATTGAGCTGGGAACACAAAGACAGATCCCATTCCTGGGAAAGGACAGGGACTAGCAAAAGGCAGACAGGATATTACAATCCCAAACAGATAACCTTGGGTTTAGTATAGGGTTTTGGTGTGGGTAAGGGGAAAGGAAATAAGAAAACAACGAACCAAAAATAAATATGGGGTTCTGGGTAGGATTCCAATTCTGCTGGCTGATTCAAGTGCCTGGAGGAAGAGGAGTCAACACAATGACCCAGAGGCTTTGCGAGCTAATCTGGGCACCAGGTCTAATCGGCATCAAAGATAATTCAAGGAGGGGATGGCTGGGTCCCCTGAATGACAGAATGCCAAGACTCACTGGATTGAAGGACATATTTTCTGAAGCTGTCAGGGCCTTTGCAGACCTGGGCAGGCCTTTATCTGCTGGTGGATCTGACAGTTAGGGGAAACTAGAAAAGGAGGAGGAGGATGGTATTTAAAGCTACCCTGGGCCAGCGCTGTCCAGGCCAAATGAGATTACTTAATTTAACTGCTTAGTTATTTCAGTTTAAATTTTTTCCATATTGTACATAGAGAGTTATTATCCAATAATTCTTTCCATCTTTCAGTTCCAAATTTAAGGATCCTAAAAATGCCTTGTTTATATCAGAAATATCTGATTTGTTGATGGAGATTATGCTAACTGTTGTAAGAAACAAATCTCAACATGTGTGCTACTCAAACATGGTAGATTATTTCTGGCTCACTTAACATCCTAAAACAGGTACTTCTGATTCATGAGAAGTTTCCCTCTAAGTGAATTCAGAGACACAGGCTGTATATTCTGCACCATTTTCGGCACAGGTCTTCCAAAGTCACTCATCTACACCAAGCTAGGATTAGGGGAAACAGCTGAAAGAGTCCCTGTCTTTAGGGACCAGGCCTGAAAGTGACACACATCACTTCCCTACTGGTCCACTGCCTGGAATTTAGTCACATGGCTTCAGCTAACTGCAAGAGAGCCTGAGAAATATAGTAGTGTGCCCAGAAAGAAGAGGAAATTAGGCCTATGAATAGCTAGTTAGTTTTCATCACTCCTGAATAATGAGCATGAGGCCACTACACTAACAAACAAGCAGGAGGGAGAATGGAACCCTGATTGGGTTTACCTGCAGGTAAGACTTGGGAGGGATGGCTTATCTCTACTCCACATGTGATTGGCTAGGTCACTCATGTGGGTGCATCACCTGATGGTACACTGGAAAGTTCAAGATGCCCTCACCCATGTGTCTGGATCCTTGTGCATGTCAGTCCTGCTCCACTTGGTCCCCTTTTTTAGCCTCTCTTTCCAAGTGGGTGGCCTGGACTTCTTTACATAGTGAGTCAAAGTAGCAACTCATACCTATAATCCCAGCACTTTGGGAGGACCAGGTGGAAGGATTGCTTGAGCCCAGAGGTTCAAGACCAGCCTGGATAACATAGTGAGACCCTGTATCTACAACAAATGATAATAATAATAATAATAACAATAATAATAAGCTAGATGTGGTGGTGCATGCATGCATGTAATTCCAGCTACTTGAGAGGAGGTTGAGGTGGGAGTATCATTTGAGCTCAGAAGGTCGAGGCTGCAGTGAGCTGTGATTGTGCCACTGCACTCCATCTTGGGTGACAGAACAAGACCATGTCTCAGAAAAGGGGGGTGCAGCAAGGCAGTAACAGCAGAAGCTGCCAGGTCTCTTAAGGCCTAGGCTTAGAGGTAGCATGGTGTTACTTCCACTGCATTCTGGTGGCCAAAACAAGTCACAGGCCAGTCTGGATTCAAGGGGAGGGGACACAGACTCTCTCTTAATGAGAAGAATGTCATTGTCTAAGTATGTTCAGGCTGCTATAACAAAATATCATAAACTGAGTGGCTTATAAACAACAGACATTATTTCTCACAGTTCTGGAGGTTGGGAAGTCCAAGATCAAAGTTCAGGCAGATTCATCATCTGGTGAGGGCCCATACCTCATAGATGGTGCCTTACTGCTGCATCCTTGTATGATTGAAGGGGAGAATGAACGCCCTGGGGCCTCTTATGAGCACACTAATCCTATTCATAAGGGCTCCAACCTCATGACCTAATCACCTACCAAAGGCCCTACCTCTTAATACCATCACCCTGGGGATTAGGTTTCAATGTGTTACTTTTGGAAGACATAAACATTCAGATCACAGCAGTCATTTGTATACAGGATGGGAGGAATTGTTGGCAGGAATATTCATAGGCACAAGCAGCAGGCAACAGGAGGGCATCCAGGCCTGCAGGCCTCAGAAAGTACAGCAGTGAATGACAGGCGATGTCTTCATATTTGGGAGAAAAGGTGACAAGGATGGCTGTCCGCAAGTGATGTTGGCACAGCCATGGGGACTGGCATTGCACATATTACTTCATTCTCTACAAGGCCTGGTGGGGGAGGGGTCAGATTGGAGGTTTCAAGATTAAGAGCCCCCGTGCATGTGTTCATTCATGCCCCACAAGAAGACTATTACAATAATGTACTTTATTATTATAGTGCATTTATTTTTTTTGTGTTGCTCTCTTTGCTTTTTAAGGTCCTTGAAAGTTGAGATGGTGTCATATTCACTGATATGTCCCTAGCATCTAGTTTAGTCTGTGACATAGTAGATCTTTAACAAATGTTTGTTGAACACTGTATAGGCAAGGCCTGCAGTGTTCAGCATGTTCTTGGCAGGGCTTCCCCTCCATTGGCCTTGACAAGGCCCAAAGTAGACCTGAAGAGGGGCTCCCAGAGTTCTGTGGGCTCCTGGAATTCTTACCCCTTGCCCTTCTATCACAAATCCATATGGGTCCCAAGAACGGACCCACAATTGCAACTACTGATCATCTACTCCCTCCCAAGAGACCATGTGGGCTTGTCCCATCATGCCTCACATCCTGATTTATCTTGGCCACTACCAACTGTCCTATCCCTTCAGGTTTCTCTAAGACCCCTCTTCTCAAATGGTCTGAATGTTCCCCAAGCTGACTTGGGCTCCCAATTCCAACCCGCCCCTCCCCCCCACCCCTCCCCCAGCCACCTGGACACTTCAACTCTGCCCTCTGGAACATGTGATCTTTATCCACATAATAACTTTTATATTTTCAAACTCTTCACTAAACTTAAAGGAAAATAAAATAAAGATCAAACATTGAGCTCTTCGTGAAGAAGTTTCATTGCTAAGGGGTAACGGGATCCAGCATGGAGTCTAGGCTGTGGGAGATGAGGTACAAGGAAAGAGAAATAGGGCAGGTCTTTTAAAGCCAAAAGACTGAGTGTTTCCATCCCATATTAGAAAAGCAAAATCTCTTAGGCTGGTGATGGCTGGGCTCGTTAGACAGATGAGCCCAGGGGAGGAGGGATAGTTTACTGTGCATGCAGGGTGACCGTCTGGGAATCATGCTGTCTGACTGCTTCTGTAGCATATGCCATAAGTCTGGGCTAGGGTTACAGAATCTTATCAGGGCACCATTGGTATCATCAGGCTAGGTGGTCGGGTCAGGGATTGGCAGACTGTTCCTTTCACTTTTTGCCTACCTGAATTCTGTCTGAATCCTGGAGACATTACCTCCCATTCAGCCCTTAGAAGAAGTGGTATTTTCTTACCACCCTGTCACACCCAAACCCCATGAATCCTGGGCTTGGAGAAGGGATGAAGATTTTCCTTGCAGATTATTTTGTCCCTCCTTTATCCCTAAAGCACCCAGATCCCTGGAAGCAATTCTTACAGACCACATTCTGTTATATGGTTTGGAGGCTGAAATGTGACCTCCAATGTCACATTGGAGGTGGACCTAGTGGGAGTTGTTTGAGTCATGAGGGTGGATCTTTCATGAATGATTTGGTGCTGTCATCACGATAATGAGTGAGTTTTCTCTGTGTGAGTTCATGTGAGATCTGATTGTTTAAAAGAGCCTGGCACCTCACCTTTTCTCTCTCTGTCTAGCTTCCCCTCACCATGTGATATGCTGGCTCTCCATCACCTTCTGACATGATTGTAATCTCCCTGAAGCCTCACCAGAAGCCAAGATGCTGGCACCATGCTTATACAGCCTGCAGAACCATGAGCCAAATACATCTCTTTTCTCTATAAATTATCCAGTATCAGGTATTCCTTTATGGCAACACAAAATGGACCAATACACTCCCCATATCCTCTCTCTGCTAGCTCAGGTCATCTGAAAAGTTGACACTAAGACAAGATTAGACATGCAAGAGATTTACTAGAGAAACTACCTGTTGGGGGGAAAAATGGAGAGGGAGCTGGAGGAAGCAGAGAGAGCCTTCACACATGATGCAGGTCTAATTCTGTAGAAGGAAGGGTAACTGGGAAAGTCTGACTTCAGTGCATGTCTAAGAAAGTTTTGGCAAAACTAATGAGGAGTCCTTGGGCCAAAGGGGCAGATCAGAGGAATCCTGCATCTCCCATTGAGGCGCCTGCCCTAGTGTCCCTGCTGTGCTCACTCATGGCTGAGAGCAGCTGGTGGAGGGTGTGGCTTCAATGTGATAATGGATTTCAGAGTGCAGCCACAGGTCAGTTACACTCCTGCCAGTAAGAGGTCTGAGAAGGGCATTCTTGTGGCTGCCACAATCTCCCTATTGCAATCATCTTCTATCAGACACACACCATCACTGCTTTTCACTGAAGATTTTATCACCAGGAACACTATCTTTCTCTCCACCACTACAAATTTCTTAACTCTTTGTCATTTCAACAAACACCTAGAGAGACCTTCCAACATTGTGACCTCTCATTGCCTTGACATCCTCACTTTCTGTGGTCTTTATCATCTCCATCTCAGCTACCTATTGCCAAGGTGGCATTAACAAAACTGCTCCATTCCCAAGCCTTAGTTTCCAGCTTCCCATATTCCCACCTCATATCATCCCAGCTCTCTTTCTCTAGTGTTCTGAAGCCAATCAATCTTGGGCCCCTTTAGGTCCCCAGTCCCGCCATTGCACCAACTTTTCACTGCATCTTACCTCCTTTACTCTCTCCTTATTCTCCTATTTCACCTTAGAGTCCACAGCCCATTCCCATAACCACTTCTTGCACATATTGTCAATTCCTTGTACATTCTCTCAACTCCATTATTTTGCTTGCCCTTGTTAAGCAAGCTGGTGAAAAACACTCAACCATTTCTGACCGGTCTCACTTGAAATTTATGATGGCAGACCTCTAGTGGGACCTCAGTGCAGCCAAGCAATCTTATCGCATTTCCCCAGTCAATTCTCTCTCCTCATTCTCTGAGATGACTATTTCATACTTTTTCACCTTTACTCTAACCTCCAACAATTCCTCCCCCTTCCTTCTTCTCAGCTGATGACCTTCTTCCTTACTTCCCTAAGATGGAAGCAGAGAACTTGCTTCCTTTCCACCACACCATCTGCCTACCTACCCAAATCTATACTCACAAACTCTGCTTTTCCTCCTAATAAAATGGATGAACTTTGTGTTATTATATGCCAGGTTAGCCCCACTAGGTGTGAACTGGATCCCATCCTCTATTGCTTATTCAAGGCCTGGGTCTTGCAGTTATCTCTTCTCTCTCCTGCTTCTTCCGTTTTTCTCTCTTCACTGGATCATTTCCATCAGCATAAAAACATGCTGTAATACCTGCCATTAAAAAATACTTTAGAAACCTCCCTGGTGCACACATCTCTCCAGCCACCATCCATTCTCCTCCCCATCTTTATAGTAAAACTGCTTTTGTCTAAACCTGCCATCTCTACTTCCTCTCCTCCCATGACCCTTGAACCCCCTCCAATCAGGTGTCAGGAAATGAGAACCATTTCTCCAGCCCCCTTGTTGATCTGCAGTAAAAATTTCATAGTGTCAGGCTGCTTCCCTTTCTCCAGTGTTCTTCTGAGTAGATCATCCCGATTTCAGGAGACTCTTTCTGAGTAGAGAATCCGCAGGCTCTAGCATCTACTTGGTTTGGGGCTAGGTTGACCCAGGCACTTCTTTTCTCAAGACCTTTATAATAGGGCACCCAGAGTGTGTACTGATGATGGACTTGATGGAGACCCACTTAGCTTCACCAAGTTCACTCATTCTGAGTCCCCATCTTACCCTGGACATTCCCGTGCTCTGTGTCTGAAACCTCACCCTCCACTCCAGCAATGCAAAAAAAAAAAAAAAAAAAATGTCCTGCTGAAGTTTCTCTGCTCTGAGTTCTCTTCTTTGTTCTAAGTTCTAAGACTTGGGCACCACCCTGAGCCCACAAACGAACACTTGTTCAGACAGCACCTGGCACAAGTTTTACACAGGCTGCCTTCACTTCTCTTTTAAAAAACACAAGGGCTCCCTTTTGGGGATTGTCTTCCCAGCTGTAGGAACTGGAAAGACAAGTACATAAGAAATAGCAAATCAATTAGTACATAAGAAATAGCAAATCAATTAGTACATAAGAAATAGCAAATCAATTAATTTAACAAATACTTGTTAATTAACTGCTCTGTGTTAAGTGCATATTTATATTCGTGATCAAAAGAAGCAAATTCATATCCATATGGATCTTACACTCTAATGCTACCTATCATCTGTTATCTATATATCTATGGAAGCCTACCTGTTATCTATATATCTATGGAAGCCTATATTATAATTTCCTCAAAAAAATCTCAAGCTAAGTGAAGGAAAACATGTCCTATGGCCATGCCCCTTCCCCTTACACCTCAAACCAGCCTTCACATCTATATACCTATTGTCACCCCTCTGTAGAAATGGCCTATTCATTGATGAGCACAAATGGGTCATGATTGCCAGTTCTATACCTTCTTGCATGTGATACTCAACAGGCATCTTATAAGACATAGAGCCATTACCATTAGCTTCACATCACCATTAAGGAATTTCTGGTTCAGAGACGTTAAGAAACTTTCATGAGGTTTATCAGCTATTTAGTGGTTGAGCTGGAGCTTGAAGTTCAGACTTCTACACTCAGATTGGACAGTGTTATAGGCCATATCGGTCATAAAGATTACGAGGTACCTAGAAAAAAATAATGTAAGTGTGCAAGGCCATATCGGTCATAAAGATTACCAGGTACCTAGAAAAATATAATGTAAGTGTGCCAGGTTTGTTTCTGTAGTTATATTGCTTGCATAGAGGTATTTTGTTAGCCTTGTGGTGGCCACAGGGAGTATTACAGTCCTCATCTGTCTGTGTTTATTCATCTTGAACTCAAAATGGGGCCTGAGTAATCATGACCTCACCCAATTTACATTTATCCCTAGTAGCAGGAGACAGGATTCACAATAATGTTCTTTAGTTCTTTCTTAAGTAGTCACCCATATTACATATTTCCAATTTATAATCACACATATAATAACATAGTTTTGTTATTCAAGAGTGAGACTGTGATAGTATTTACTGAGAGACTCTTGACAATTGTTTTTCTAAGCATTGCACAGAGTATATAGTTCATACTTTGTTTTTAATCATGCTTGGCTCAGATATGAAATTATGAAGTATATATAATGTGTATTACCAATATGTAGCCCCTACATAAGTCTGTTCTTCAATAGATAAGTATCTTTATTCTTCACAAACTCCCAACACTTGATAAAGAAACAGTAAGTGGAAACATGTAACCTCTAGGGGGAGCTCAAGGCTTCTCTCTCCTCCCTCTGCTCTGGGGAGGAGGAGGACTGGTAGAAATGGGTCAAGGTCAAGGATATTATTGGGCCCAGGAGTGGGTAGGTGATCTTTGACTGTGCCTAGCCAGGAGGTTAAAGGGTTTTGTATATGCATAATGGTTTTTGTTTTGTTTTGTTTTGTTTTTTTATCTTCCCTCGGAAAGCAACCTTTTGAGAATTCTCCCCTATGGCTGATGTCATAGGAGTGGCCCTTCCCACATTGAAGGAACCCTGGCAGGAACTGGATGGGGCAGAGAAAAAGATGATGCATGGACATACTTCAGTCTGGGCCTTAGGCCAGAGGAGCAATGGAATCCTGTGGCTTGCCATGATTCACCTTTGCTCACTAGATCCAGGGGTTCCTCACAGGGGTGCATGGGGGATTGAGGTCAAAGTCATATGTCATTAAGCAGAGGAACTTTGCTGGAAAGTCTCTCTGTTGAGCTTTTAGAGGAGCCTAGTAGGGCTGTCAGTGGCCACAGTGGGTTAATGTGTGTGGACTTGGGGATCAGGAGGCCTGACTTGTTCCCTAATTAGTAATACAAGTAACATAAACAAGCACAGCAATCCAATTATGGCATAGAAAATGTGTCCTAAGAAAATATGTATACTATAAACATAAATACAATACTATGTGTTTATGCAAATGAGTTATAAAATATAATATATTAAGGAAAGTTTCAAGTAAAGCATTACTGAACAAAGCTGAACTGTGGTTTATTCAACAGAATGAATGCACATGGAATAGAATCATGTTGAGAGCCTTGGCGTGGAGCTTCAGGGGCTGAGGCTCAAGATGTCTCATTGAATGGACTCTGCCAGTTCAGTGGATCTTCAGAAAAGAAGTTCATTTAGTGGGAAGAGTAGCCTCCCCAGGGAAAAGGAACAGAAATCCTTTAGCTTCTCTGGGCTCCTGTCTTAGTTTGAATTCCCTCAAAACAGATGCTGAGATGAAGATTGGGTATAGGTCATTTATTTGCAAGGTGGTCTCAAGAACTGCAAGTAAGGGAACAAGGAGAGTGATAGAGGGGAGGAAAGGTAATAAATGTGTGTTAATGAGCTGGTTATGCTGAAGGCAATTAACATTCAATGCTGTGTGGAGCCAGGTGAAACAACATGTGGATCACACCTCTGAGTCAGCTTCCCTGGAGGATGGGAAGGCTGGGGCATTTGCGCACCAACTCCTATTCCCCATTCATTCAAGATTTCCCCTTGGGCATCAGCTTACCCACATTTCTGGGTTGTGCTCATGATTCTGGAGAGTGATGTCAGAAGTGAAGGGCAAACTCTTGAAGTGGAAAGCTGTCTGCATGCCAAAGTTTGTCCGAGACTTCTAGGAAATCAAGTGTGCTAAGGGAACATAGGAAAGGGTATCAACAACATTCTCATATCAAAATTGAGACTGGTCTGGATGACCTCCAAGGCTGCTCCCAGCTTATGTGTCCAATAATTCTCTGCTGTATGGAGTTGCCTGCACCATGGGTTTTCTATCCTTGGTGGTGGTGAGTGCCCTTCTCTAGAAGTAAGTAAGCAGATGCTTGATAACCACATGGAAGGAATGTTGTAGCATCCAATACGTGATTGAAATAAGAAACTTTCAACACGCTGTCTTAGATTGAGTTCCTAGAAAACAGACCTGTGATGAAGATTCAGGTTTGAGTGATTTAGTAATGAAATGCTTCCCAAGGAGGACAGTAAGGAAGTGCGAGAAGCAGGATAGAGAAGGGAAGGAAGCCAAAAAAGGGTTTTATGTCAAGGAAAGTCCCAGCCTCAGCCTGATCCCACAGGGAAGCGCTGGTGTGCAAATCACCTCATATTCTGTGGTGACCCCAGGCAAGGGAGAGGGTTTTTCATTCTCCCTTACCCTTCAGTCATTGCCCTCAGGGGAATGTAAACTTAGGGAGGTATGGCACAGCCACACTTGTATGAATGTTGGCTCTGTTCTGATACAGATTTACAAGACTTGGTGGATGAGACCTTGGCCCTCAGGCTCCAAAAATCCTGTCTTTGGCCCATTCTAATGCAGCTGACAGCTGACATGCAGGAGACTTAGTATTTCAGAGCTCTAACTTCCAGAATCCATAGTGCTGAAGAGGGCAATTCAGGGAATTTTTTTATAGGATAGAAATTCAAGCTTTCAAGGTACAGAATGACCCCAAACCCTCATGCAAACTGTGTGTAATCTTTTCAAACTGAAGTAGATTTGGGACTAAAGACAGTAGAAATATTTCTGAAATGAAGGGATAAATCTACCCATGCAGAGATGCAGCACAATGCTATCATAAAAAATCCACTTTTGTCCATGCCACAGCCCTGAACCTCTCGTGCACCAGATCAGAGACCCTGATAAATCTGGGCTGCTAGAAATGCCAACCAGCTCATATGTTTTCAGTGAGCAATGACAGGGAGCCAAATTGCTTTATTCCGATTAGGGAAGGGCCTCTGACTGTAAAATATACTGTGTGAAAAAAAATATTGAGTTTTAGTTTGCTGACACATCAATTTAAGAGAGTTATGGCTCTCACATGGAGGCCAAGCAGGTATCTCTCCACACGTATGTGCAATAAAAATTAACTGTGGCCTTTTATACAGGGCACTGTTCTCACTTGTGGGATCAGAGGGTGACCTGAGTGTCACTTCCAGTGGCAAGCCACAACACTGGAGGTGTTGGTTCTTTTCTGAAAAGACCCACAGAGGGAAACCAACACCAAAAGCCATAAACGAGCTCCATGTTTAACTTTTTGATTCTACAAAGAGATATGCAGTCATGTTTTGTTTGTATATTTCCAAGAATATGTACATATATATGTATGTTTTATGGGTACAATGTATGTGCATCAATCAGGATCCAGACAGGAAAAGAAAAACTTCTCCAAGTCTTTCAAGTTAATTCAGGGAATTGGTTACACACAAACTGGAAGGGAGAAAAAGTCAAACAGAGAATGATGAGGCAATCCAGAGATTAGCAACAGTGGGAAGCTGCTACCACCTTAAAGTCTCAAGGGATACAGGGATGGCTTTATGGAATTCAGGGGCTGGAGCCATCTAGGGTGAGCTTAAACCATGGTGAGAGCTCCCCAGAGAGCTGTGGCCACAGAAGGAGAGGTTGTCTTGTGGGATCTGGAATGTCTCTACTGCCAGAGATGCCTTAGGAAACTGAGAGTGAGGGAGGTGAAATGTTCTGACTTCTCTCTTCCCCCTGCTCTCCAATCTTCTACCAGTGCCTCTCATTGGCCAAACTGAGCTGGAAGCTGAAGGGCAAGGGAGTCTGGGATACGTAATTATCTGCCATAAAAGGCACAGCAGCGATGGATCTAAGAGCAGAGGGACAGTTGACAGACATGTTATATAGGTAAATCTCTCTTTGTTGGTTTGTGTCCTAATTTGACAAGTCTGTAAGACTCAGTGTGATCGTATTAATAGGTAATGCTTTTAAGAGGTAATTAGGTCATGAAGATGGAGCCCTCATAAATAGGATTAGTGCCCTATTTACAAGAAAGAGACCAGAAACCTATCTCATTCTTTTTCCACCAAGTGAGAATACAAGGAGAAGTCAGCTGGCTGTCTTCAGCTCAGAAGCAGGGCTTCCCCATAACAAGACCATGCCAGCACCCAGATCTTGAACTTCTAAGCCTCCAGAACTGTGATAAATAAATTTCTGTTGTTTATAAGCCGCCTAGTCTATGGTACTTTGCTATAGCAGCCCTAACTAAGACAGTATCTTACTATTAGTAGTGGTATGGCATTACTCTAAGTTCTGTGTGCCTTTGTATTTACTTCCTTGAACTAGTTTTCCCCTTGGGAGGAAGGAGAGAATGTGAGATGAAAGAGAGGGGTACCAGCTCACTTCAAGACAGTCTGGAAGGGATCTCAGAGTCTCCTTTTTCTAGTCTCCTTACCTGAATTCAATCACTGGCATCCCCTCATGCTCTGATACTGGAGCAAATGGAGGCTCTTCCAATGGAGGGATTTCTAGGGATGCAGCGCTGATTAGGGACAGAAGAAATTCTTGGGATCCTTAGTTCCAGTGAGGGGAAGTGGTCCACTTAGCAGTTCCCACACTGCCCTGTCACCCATACCCCAGCCCTGTCTCCCACACAATGGATAGTATACATGACAGCCATCTTGCAACTGATGTGGACAGTGGCCTAGGTGGTAATTTAAGGGCACCTAATATTCTCTTTCTAAAAGTATCTCCCCTGACCCATTATGTTGAAGTTTGCTCTACTGATATAAAAACACCCTTGCATGAGTGAGGGGTGAAATATTAATCTGGTGTAAGACACTAACACTGCAGAATAAAATAGTGGCCCAGACTTCTTCCTTCTGTGACAAGTAGCTGGGAGCAAGAGGTTTAGAGGATTCAGGGGCAAGAAAGTCATTTTGGAGCAGATGTTACTGGCCTGGAAGGCGGGGCAGGTGGGAGAAACTTCAATAAGGACACAGGAAATGAGAAAGAAGGTTTCCATAATAGGAGACATGAGTAAAGGAGAGAATGATAGGCTTGGTGAAGCCAAAAAAGGTCTTCTTTCCCCAGGAGTAGCCTTGATGCCCTCAGCTCACGATCAATTGCTTCTTCAATGAAAAGAACAAACACCTAGTGCTCTCTGTGTGCCAGGCACTGATCCAAGTGCATTTTGTCTTCAAAAAAATCTTTAAGGAAGTTAGTACTATTATTACCCCCCTCAAAGGGTGTTGCTGAACACCACTGCTTGCCCAAGATCATATAGCTGAGAGTGGCAGAGCTGGAATTTGAACCCAGAATGTCTGGCTCTGGAGACTGCTTTCTTAACCACTAAATTGTATCCCTCCTCAAGTTAATGCAATTGAACACACAAAAAAAATGTTTTGAGGGGAACTTTGTATGAAGCATCATGGAAGTTGGAAAGGATGAGAGATACCATTTTTACTCTTCCTCAAGGAATTTCTCCTATAATGAAGATCAGCCAGGCAGGGCTGTGAGGGCCTTTGGGAAAGTAATTCTGGGCAGTCAAGGCAGGCAGGTGGCATCCATGAAACTGATTCCCAGAAAGAGGGGTTGCAGGCATCTGGCTCTACTTGGGGACTAGACTCCTGCCCTAGATAAGCAAAAACAAGGAACACCCAAGAGGCCTTGTGGGGATGAAGGTGAGAACCTAGCAGTAGGATGAGTTATTGACATTGGAATTCAGAACAAGACTAAAGCTGTAGCACACTGCATCAATTAGGAATGATTTTTAAGCTGCGTCTAAGAGCAAACCTAATATTGACTTGATTTTTTTTTTTCGTTTACTCCTTGCCTCCCTGAATCCCTCCAGCTGGGGCCCATCAAGCTTCCCATCTACACATTCAGCACAGTCCTGGGTCCCAGAACAATCTATTGAGGTAAGAAATTTTCAATCACCATTGGCTTCTATCCCTCAATCTCTTGTGTCTTGATATGAAGCCAATTCCCCACACTCTTTAAGCTCACCAAGAAGTTAGGAATCTCCTGGCACTGACCTCTAGGCTTCGAAACAGAGTGTCTGGTGGTAGCTTATCTCCCTTCCCCTGCAGTTCATCTTCAAGAGTTCCCAAATCCCAGCCCTGGTTAGTGTGATTATATGGGTCAAACACTCTTAGTTGTCTGCCTAGTACCCATCCACCCTTCTTCCTTGGTAACAGAAATTCAATTTTGTTTGGGAGCATTATGTCACTCCCAGGCATCGGACCATGATTTGTCTAAGCCAATTATGACAATTTTCTTCTCCATTTTCCCAG
This sequence comes from Homo sapiens, assembly GCF_000001405.40. Classification (NCBI taxonomy): domain Eukaryota; kingdom Metazoa; phylum Chordata; class Mammalia; order Primates; family Hominidae; genus Homo; species Homo sapiens. The sequence goes on from NC_000023.11 coordinate 39,267,392, forward strand.
CCTCCTGGGATGCTAGGGATGCCATATGATCCAATTCATTCTGGCCAATAAGACGTAAGAGGAAGAATGTGTATGTGTGTGTGGAGTTGGGGGAGTATACTCTGGAAAAATTTTTCCTTCTCTCTCTTGCCTATAAGAAACAGGCAAGATTTCATGGCTCTCCTTGCACTTTCACCTTGTCTGAATTTAGACTTGATGTCTATGGTTTTACCTCCTAGTTCATAGCTTCAGATCTAAGTATTCAGACTTGAAGAAAACTGAGCCATCATCTTTCCTCCCAAACTGCTCCTTCCAAAAGTTGATAGTCCTGTGGTTTTACCTACGTACATCAGTAACCCAGGCAAAGCTGAGAGCCATTCCGGACTGCCCCACTCCCTATAAATCACCAAGTCTTATTCGTTTGACTTCTAGACTATCTCTTGAATCAGCTTCTTCTCCATCACCACTGTCACTTCCTTAGTTCAGACATTCATTCTGCCTCACCTTGATTGCTTCGATGGCCTTGATTGCTGGAACTGCTATCTGCCTCCCCTCTAAACTCTCAAATCAGTCCTCCAAAAGTGAGCTTGAGTTTCATTGCTAAAATACAAATCTGATCAGATTATTTCTCTGCATAAAATTCTTCATTTATTCCCCAGGCTTTAGCTTAGGTCCCTAAAGATCTAACTTTTAAAAGACCTCCCAAAGGGATCTCTTACCATTCAAGTGTCTCAAATGCCAAGTATCCTTGGAATCATCTCTGCTGTCTCTCATGCTGTTCCTTCTACCTGGATTTTTCATTCCCTCTAACTCTTCTTTGATAAATCCTATTTGACTTTTTAACCTGGCCAATTTGTCATTCCTTCCTTTCTCAAGAAGCCTCCCTCAACTCTCCTTTTCTGTCTACTTTAGATGTCCTCTTTTCTGTTCTATATCTACAATATCACTTTACACATGGATCTGTAATTTCCAGCTATTTTTTAAGAGCTAATGCTCATTTAGATGCACTCATCTATTTACCAAGCTCATCACTCATCATTGCTTTTCACCTCCTACAGCTTCTTTCTGGGTTTCATTTCTGAAGTCAATACTTTAGTAGTTCTTCCAGTTTAGATCATAAGAGTATGTTCTTTCAGACTTTGTTTTAAAATGTCTACATTTATTTTGCCCTCACTTTCTTTCCACTTTTTGTTATGAAAAACTTCAAATATACAGAAAAGTAGGAAAAATAATATAGCAAACATGCATATTCTCCATAGGGATTTAACAATTGTTAACATATGCCATATTACTTCATCTATTACAGGCATCTTCACATTTTCCCTGGTGCAGAATACTTTTATTTTGCCCCATCACTTTCTCCATCCTGCTTTTTTCTTGAGAAACTGACCTCTCTGGACTGCATCCTCTCCTCACACTCCCTTGCCCTCTTGCTCTTAGTTGGGCTTGGCCAATGGGAGGATCAGACAGAAGATCAGAAGGTGGGCCAAGAGTGAGCAGTGGTTGTGTGTTCCCACTAGAGTCCACAGCTTCTTTCAGTAAATTGTCTAGCACTATAGCCATGGCTCGTTTTTTAGGTCCCAGTAACTGCTCCCTCCTGTCTCTTAAGACCTGTGATTGGGAACCCCTATAGCTCTGGGGTGCTTCAACATATTTTGTTGGTTTCCTATCTCATGACTATACTGTATAGGTAGTCTTTTTATTAAATCTTTCTCTATTATTCCATTTGATCTACACTTCTAAGTGTGGAGCTCCTAAAAAATAAGCATCTCTTAAAAAAAAACTTTTCTCAAGATTCAGGAGAAAGTCAAAACCCAATCCAAGGAATCTAAGGAATACAGTAAAATGATACAGGAGCTGAAAGATGAAATGGCCATTTTAAGAAAGAACCAAATTAATGTGATACAGTTGAAAAACTTACGTCAATAATTTTATAATACAATTGCAAGTATTAAAAGCAGAATAGGCCAAGCTGAGGAAAGAATCTCAGAGCTTGAAGACCAGTTCTCTGAATTAACTCCATCAGCCAAAAATAAAGAAAAAACAATTAAAAATGAACAAAACTTCCGCAAAATGTGGGATTATGTAAAGAAACCAAATCCACAACTCATTGGCATTCTTGAAACAAAGGGAGAGAGAGCAAGCAACTTGGATAACATATTTGAGGAGATCATCCATGAAAACTTCTCCAACCTTGCTAGAGAGGCCAACATTCAAATTTAGGAAATGCAGAGAACCAGAACCCCTGCGAGATATTATACAAGATGACCACCTCCAAGACACATAGTCATCAGATTCTCAAAAGAAAAAGTGCTAAAGACAACTAGAGAGAGGGGGCAGGTCATCTACAAAGGGAACCCCATCAGGCTAATAGCAGACCTTTCAGTAGAAACCTTGTAAGCCAGAAGAGATTGGGGTCCTATGTTCAGCATTCTTAAAGAAAAGAAACTATGACGAAAAATTTCATATCCAGCCAAACTAAGCTTCATAAGAGAAGGAGAAATAAGACATTTTTCAGACCAGAAAATTCCAAGGTAATTCATTACCACCAGACCTGCCTTACAAGAAGTCCTTCAGAAAGTGCTAAATATGGAAATGAAAGACCATTACTGGCCACCACGAAAACACACTTAAGTATGTAAACCATCGATGCTATAAAAGAACTACACAATTAAGTCTGCATAATAACCAGATAACAACATGATGACAGGATCAAATCCACACAGATATCAATACAAACTTTCAATGTAAACAGGCAAAATGCCCCAATTAAAAGGCACAGAATGTCAAATTGGATTAAGAAGGAAGACTCAACTGTATCTTTTCTTCAAGAGAACCATCTCACATGCAATGTCACCTATAATCTCAAAGTAAAGGAATGAAGAAAAAGCTACCAAGCAAACAGATAACAGAAAAAAATCAGGGTTTGCTATTCTAATTTCAGACTAGCCAGACTTTAAACCAGCAATGATCAAAAAGACAAAGAAGGGCATTACATAATGGTAAAGGGTTCAATTCAACAAGAACACCTAACTATCCTAAATATATACGCACTCACCACAGGAGCACCCAGACTCAAAACAAATTCTTAGAGACTTACAAAGAGACTTAGATAAGCACACAATAATAGTGATAGATTTCAACATCCCACTGACAGTGTTAGACAAAGCATTGAGGCAGAATACTAACAAAGATACTCAGGAACTGAACTTGACACTTGACCAAATGGACCTAACAGACATCTACAGAACTCTCCATCCAGAAATAAGAGAATATTCATTCTTCTCATCTGCATATGGCACATACTCTAAAGTTGACCACATGCTCAGCCATAAAACAATTCTCAGCAAATTAAAAAAAAAATCTTACCAACCACTCTCTTGGACCACAGCATAATAAAAATAGAAATCAATACTAAGGAGATCATACAAACCATACAATTACATGGAAATTTAAAAACCTGCTTCAGAATGATTTGGGGGTAAACAATGAATGTTATTCAACATATTATTGGAAGTCCTCATCAGGGCAATCAGGCAAAAGAAAGAAGTAAAGGGCATCCAAATAGGAAAAGAGAAAGTCAAACTATCTCTGTTTGAAGACAATATGATTCTATACCTAGAAAACCCCACAGTCTCTGCCCAAAAGCTCCTATATCTGATAAACAATTTCAGCAAAGTTGCAGGATACAAAATCAATGTTACAAAAATCAGTAGCATTTCTTCTTTTTTCTATCTTTTTAAAAATTATACTTTAAGTTCTGGGATACACGTGCAGAATGTGCAGGTTTGTTACATAAGTATACACTTGCTACGGTGGTTTGCTGCACCCATCAACCTGTCATCTACATTAGGTATTTCTTCTAATGCTATCCCTCCTCTAGCCCCCTACCCCCCAACAGGCCCTGGTATGTGATGTTCCCCTCCCTGTGTCCATGTGTTCTCATTGATCAACTCCACTTATGAATGAGAACATGTGGTGTTTGGTTTTCTGTTCCTGTGTTAGTTTGCTGAGAATGACGGTTTCCAGCTTCACCCATGTCCCTGAAAAGGACATGAACTCATTCTTTTTTATGGCTGCATAGTATTCCATGGTGTCTATGTGCCACATTTTCTTTATCCAGTCTATCATTGATGGGCATCTGGGTTGGTTCCAAGTCTTTACTATTGTGAACAGTGCTGCAATAAACATACATGTGCATGTGTCTTTATAGTAGAATGATTTATAATCCTTCGAGTATATACCCAATAATGGTATTGCTGGGTCAAATGGTATTTCTGGTTTTAGATCCTTAAGGAATCACCACACTGTCTTCCACAATGGAAGCAATGAACCATTGGAAAATGAACCAATTTTCACTCCCACCAACAGTGTAAAAGTATTCCTATTTCTCCACATCCTCTCCAGCATCTGTTGTTTCCTGATTTTTTAATGATTACCATTCTAACTGGCGTGAGATGGTATCTCATTGTGATTTTGATTTGCATTTCTCTAATGAGCTTTCTTCATATGTTTTTTGGCCACATAAATGTCTTCTTTTGAGAAGCGTCTGTTCAGATCCTTCGCCCAGTTTTTGATGGTTTCTTTTTTCTTGTAAATTTGTTTGATTTCTTTGTAGATTCTGGATATTAGCCCTTTGTCAGATGGATAGATTGAAAAACTTTTCTCCCATTCTGTAGATTGCCTGTTTGCTCTGATGATAGTTTGTTTTGCTGTGCAGAAGATCTTTAGTTTAATTAGATCCCATTTGTCAATTTCGGCTTTTGTTGCCATTGCTTTTGGTGTTTTAGTCATGACGACTTTGCCCATGCCTATTTCCTGAATGGTATTGCCTAGGTTTTCTTCTAGGGGTTTTATGGTTTTTGGTCTTATGTTTTAGTCTTTAATCCATCTTGGGTTAATTTTTTATAAGGTGTAAGGAAGGGGTCCAGTTTCAGTTTTTTGCATATGGCTAGCCAGTTTTCCCAACACCATTTATTAAATAGGAAATCCTTTCCCCATTGTTTGTTTTTGTCAGGTTTGCCAAAGATCAGATGGTTATAGATGTGTGGCATTATTTCTGAGGCTTCTGTTCTGTTCCATTGGTCTATATATCTGTCTTGGTGCCAGTACCAAGCTGTTTTGGTTACTGTAGCCTTGTAGTATAGTTTGAAGTCAGGTAGTGTGATACCTCCAGTTTTGTTCTTTTTGCTTAGGATTGTCTTGGCTACACAGGCTCTTTTTTGGTTCCACATGAAATTTAAAGTAGTTTTTTCAATTCTGTGAAGAAAGTCAATGGTAGCTTGATGGGGATAGCATTGAATCTATGAATTCTATGAGTTACTTTGGGTGTATGGCCATTTTCATAATACTGATTCTTCCTATCCATGAGCATGGAATGTTTTTCCATTTGTTTGGGTCCTCTTTTATTTCATTGAGCAGTGGTTTGTAGTTCTCCTTGAAGAGGTCCTTCACATCCCTTGTGAGTCATATTCCTAGGTATTTTATTCTCTTTGTAGCTATTGTGAATGGGAATTCACTCATGATTTGGCTCTCTGTCTATTATCGGTGTATAGGAATGCTTGTGATTTTTGCACAGTGGTTTTGTATCCTGAGATTTTACTGAAGTTGCTTATCAGCTTAAGGAGATTTTGGGCTGAGACAATGGGGTTTTCTAAACATATACTCATGTCATCTGCAAGTAGAGACAATTTGACTTCCTCTCTTCCTACTTGAATGCCCTTTATTTCTTTCTCTTGCCTGATTGCCCTGGTCAGAACTTCCAATACTATGTTGAATAAGAGTGGTGAGGGAGGACATTCTTGTCTTCCGCCAGTTTTCAAAGAGAATGCTTCCAGCTTTTGCCCATTCAGTATGATATTGGCTGTGGGTTTGTCATAAATAGCTCTTATTATTTTGAGAAATGTTCCATCAATACCTAGTTTATTGAGAGTTTTTAGCATGAAGGGGTGTTAAATTTATCAAAGGCCTTTTCTGCATCTATTGAGATAATCATGTAGTTTTTGTCATTGGTTCTGTTTATGTGATGGATTATGTTTATTGATTTGGGTATGTTGAACCAGCCTTGCATCCCGGGGATGAGAATGACTTGATTGTGGTGGATAAGCTTTTTAATGTGCTGCTGGATTCAGTTTGCAGTATTTTATTGAGGATTTTTGCATTGATGTTCATCAGGGATATTGGCCTGAAATTTTCTTTTTTTGTTGTTGTGTCTCTGCCAGGTTTTGGTATCAGGATGATGCTGGCCTCATAAAATGAGTTAGGGAGGAGTCCCTCTTTTTCTATTGTTGGAAATAGTTTCAGAAGGAATGGTACCAGCTCCTCTTTGTACCGCTGGTATAATTCGGCTGTGAAACCATCTGGAAGAACTTGTTATTGGTCAATTCAGGGATTCGACTTCTTTCTGGTTTAGTCTTGGGAGGGTGTATGTGTCCAGGGATTTATGCATTTCTTCTAGATTTTCTAGTTTATTTGCATAGAGGTGTTTATAGTATTCTCCAATGGTAGTTTGTATTTCTGTGGGATCAGTGGTGATATCCCCTTTATCATTTTTTATTGTGTCTATTTGATTCTTCTCTCTTTTCTTCTTTATTGGTCTGGCTAGCCATCTATCTATTTTTGTTAATCTTTTCAAAAAAACCCAGCTCCTGGATTTATTGATTTTCTGAAGTGTTTTTTGTGTCTCTATCTCCTTCAGTTCTGCCCTGCTCTTAGTTATTTCCTGTCGTCTGCTAGCTTTTGAATTTGTTTGCTCTTGCCTCTCTACTTCTTTTAATTGTGATGTTAGGGTGTTGAATTTAGATCTTTCCTGCCTTCTCCTGTGGGCATTTAGTTCTATAAATTTCCCTCTAAACATTGCTTTAGCTATGTCCCAGAGATTCTCATAGGTTGTGTCTTTGTTCTCATTGGTTTCAAATAACTTATTTATTTCTGCTTTAATGTTGTTATTTACCCAGTACTCAATCAGTAGCAGGTTGTTCAGTTTCCATTTAGTTGTGCGATTTTGAGTGAGTTTCTTACCTCTGAGTTCTAATTTGATTGCACTATGGTCTAAGAGACTGTTTGTTATGATTTCCATTCCTTTGCATTTGTTGAGGAGTGTTTTACTTCTAATTATGTGATCAATTTTAGAATTAGTGCTATCTGGTGCTGAGAAGAATGTATATTCCATTGATTTGGGGTGGAGAGTTCTGTAGATGTCTATTAGGTCCACTTGGTCCAGAGCTGAGTTCAAGTCCTGAATATCCTTGTTAACTTTCTGTCCCATTGATCTGTCTAATATTGACAGTGGGGTGTTAAAGTCTCCCACTATTATTGTGTGGGGGTCTAAGTCTTCTTGTAGGTCTCTAAGAACTTGCTTTATGAATCTGGGTGCTCCTGTATTGGGTGCATATATATTTAGAATAGTTAGCTCTTCTTGTTGCATTGATTCCTTTACCATTATGTAATGCCCTTCTTTGTCTTTTTTGATCTTTGTTGGTTTAAAGTCTGTTTTATCAGAAACTGGGATTGCAACCCCTGCTTTTTTTTTTTGCTTTCCATTTGCTTGGTAAATATTCCTCCATCTCTTTATTTTGAGCCTATGTGTGTCTTTGCACATGAGATGGGTCTCCTGAATACAGCACACTGATGAGTTTTGACTCTTTATCCAATTTGCCAGTCTGCATCTTTTAATTGGGGCATTTAGCCTGTTTACATATAAGGTTAATATTTTTATGTGTGAATTTGATCTTGTCATTATGACGCTAGCTGGTTATTTTGCCTGTTAGTTGATGTAGTTTCTTCATAGTGTCAATGGTCTTTACAATTTGGTATGTTTTTGTAGTGGCTGGTACTGGTTTTTCCTTTCCATATTTAATGCTTCCTTCAGGAGCTCTTGTAAGGCAGGCCTGGTGGTGATAAAATCTCTTAGCATTTGCTTGTCTGTAAAGAATTTTATTTTTCCTACGCTTATGAGGCTTGGTTTGGCTGGATATGAAATTCTGTGTTGAAAATTATTTTCTTTAAGAATGTTGAATATTGGCCCCCACTCTCTTGTGGCTTATAGGGTTTCTGAAGAGATATTGAGAGGTGACAGCGTGCTGGCAGTCCTCACAGCCCTCGCTTGCTCTTGGCACCTCCTCTGCCTGGGTTCCCACTTTGGCGGCACTTGAGGAGCCCTTCAGCCCACCGCTGCACTGTGGGAGCCTCTTCCTGGGCTGGCCGAGGCTGGAGCTGGCTCCCTCAGCTTGCGGGGAGGTGTGGAGGGAGAGGAGTGGGTGGGAACCGGGGCTGTGCGCAGTGCTTGCAGGCCAGTGCAAGTTCCAGGTGGGCGTGGGCTTGGCAGGCCCTGCACTTGGAGCGGCCAGCCAGCCCCACCGGCCTTGGGCAGTGAGGGGCTTAGCACCTGGGCCAGAAGCTGCTGTGCTCAATTTCTCACCGGGCCTTAGCTGCCTTCCCATAGGGCAGGGCTCGGGACCTGCAGCCCGCCATGCCTGAGCCTCCCCTCCACCCCCCTGCCGTGGGCTTCTGCGTGGCCCAAGCCTCCCCGACGAGCGCTGCCCCCTGCTCCACTGCACCCAGTCCCATTGACCACCCAGGGGCTGAGGAGTGCGGGCGCACAGCGCGGGACTGGTGGGCAGCTCCACCTGTGGCCCTGGTGCGGGATCCACTGGGTGAAGCCAGCCGGGCTTCTGAGTCTGGTGGGGACTTGGAGAACCTTTATGTCTAGCTGGGGGATTGTAAATACACCAATCGGCACTCTCTATCTAGCTCAAGGTTTGTAAACACACCAGTCAGCACCCTGTGTCTAGCTCAGGGTTTGTGAATGCACCAATTGACACTCTGTAACTAGCTACTCTGGTGGGGACTTGGAGAACCTTTGTGTTGACACTCTGTATCTAGCTAATCTAGTGGGGACACGGAGAACTTCTGTGTCTAGCTCAGGGATTGTAAACACACCAATCAGCACCCTGTCAAAACAGACCACTCGGCTCTCTGCAAAATGGACCAATCAGCAGGATGTGGATGGGGCCAGATATCAGAATAAAAGCAGGCTGCCCAAGCTAGCAGTGGCAACCCGCTTGGGTCCCCTTCCACACCGTGGAAGCTTTGTTCTTTCGTTCTTTGCAATAAATCCTGCTGCTGCTCACTCTTTGGGTCCACACTGCCTTTATGAGCCGTAACACTCACTGCGACGGTCTGCAGCTTCACTCCTGAAGCCAGCGAGACCACCAACCCACCAGGAGGAACGAACAACTCCAGACGCGCCACCTTAAGAGCTGTAACACTCACCGCGAAGGTCTGCAGCTTCACTCCTGAGCCAGCGAGACCACAAACCCACCAGAAGGAAGAAACTCCAAACACATCCGAACATCAGAAGGAACAAACTCCGGACACGCCACCTTTAAGAACTGTAACGCTCACTGGGAGGGTCCGTGGCTTCATTCTTGAAGTCAGTAAGACCAAGAACCCACCAATTCCGGACACAATATCTGCCGTTAGCCTCTCCCTCTCCCTCTCCCTCTCCCTCTCCCTCTCCCCATGGTCTCCCTCTCCCTCTCTTTCCATGGTCTCCCTCTGATGCCGAGCCGAAGCTGGACTGTACTGCTGCCATCTCGGCTCACTGCAACCTCCCTGCCTGATTCTCCTGCCTCAGCCTGCCGAGTGCCTGCAATTGCAGGCACGCACCGCCACGCCTGACTGGTTTTCATATTTTTTTGGTGGAGACGGGGTTTCGCTGTGTTGGCCGGACTGGTCTCCAGCTCCTAACCGCGAGTGATCCACCAGCCTCGGCCTCCCGAGGGGCCGGGATTGCAGACGGAGTCTGGTTCACTCAGTGCTCAATGGTGCCCAGGCTGGAGTGCAGTGGCGTGATCTTGGCTTGCTACAACCTCCACCTCCCAGCCGCCTGCCTTGGCCTCCCAAAGTGCCGAGATTGCAGCCTCTGCCCGGCCGCCACCCCCTCTGGAAAGTGAGGAGCGTCTCTGCCTGGCCGCCCATCGTCTGGGACGTGAGGAGCCCCTCTGCCTGGCTGCCCAGTCTGGAAAGTGAGGAGCGTCTCTGCCCGGCCGCCATCCCACCTAGGAAGTGAGGAGCGCCTCTTCCCGGCCGCCATCCCATCTAGGAAGTGAGGAGCATCTCTGCCCGGCCGCCCATCATCTGAGATGTGGGGAGCGCCTCTGCCCCACTGCCCCGTCTGGGATGTGAGGAGTGCCTCTACCCGGCCGCGACCCCATCTGGGAGGTGAGGAGCGTCTCTGCCCAGCCGCCCCATCTGAGAAGTGAGGAGACCCTCCGCCTAGCAGCCACCCCATCTGGGAAGTGAGGAGCGTCTCCGCCTGGCAGCCACCCCGTCCGGGAGGGAGGTGGGGGTCAGCCCCCGCCAGGCCAGCCGCCCCGTCCAGGAGGGAGGTGGGGGGTCAGCCCCCTGCCCGGCCAGCCGCCCCGTCCGGGAGGTGAGGGGCGCCTCTGCCCAGCTGCCCCTACTAGGAAGTGAGGAGCCCCTCTGCCTGGCCAGCCACCCCATCCGGGAGGGAGGTGGGGGGGTCAGCCCCCCGCCCAGCCAGCCGCCCCATCCGGGAGGGAGGTGGGGGGGTCAGCCCCCTGCCCGGCCAGCCGCCCCGTCCGGGAGGGAGGTGAGGGGGTCAGCCCCCCGCCCGGCCAGCCGCCCCGTCTGGGAGGGAGGTGGGGGGGTCAGCCCCCCGCCCGGCCAGCTGCCCCGTCCGGGAGGTGAGGGGTGCCTCTGCCCGGCCGCCCCTACTGGGAAGTGAGGAGCCCCTCTGCCTGGCCAGCTGCCCCGTCTGGGAGGGAGGCGGGGGGTCAGCCCCCGGCCCGGCCAGCCGCCCCGTCTGGGAGGGAGGTGGGGGTGTCAGCCCCCCGCCCAGCCAGCCGACCCGTCCGGGAGGGAGGTGGGGGTTCAGCCCCCCTCCTGGCCAGCCGCCCCATCCGGGAGGTGAGGGGCGCCTCTGCCCAGCCGCCCCTACTGGGAAGTGAGGAGCCCCTCTGCCCGGCCAGCCGCCCCGTCTGGGAGAGAGGTGGGGGGGTCAGCCCCCCGCCCGGCCAGCCGCCCCGTCTGGGAGGTGAGGGGCGCCTCTGCCCGGCCGCCCCTACTGGGAAGTGAGGAGCCCCTCTGCCCGGCCACCACCCGGTCTGGGAGGTGTACCCAACAGCTCATTGAGAACGGGCCATGATGACAGTGGCGGTTTTGTGGAATAGAAAGGGGGGAAAGGTGGGGAAAAGATTGGGAAATCGGATGGTTGCCGTGTCTGTGTAGAAAGAGGTAGACATGGGAGACTTTTCATTTTGTTCTGTGCTAAGAAAAATTCTTCTGCCTTGTGATCCTGTTGATCTGTGACCTTACCCCCAACCCTGTGCTCTCTGAAACATGTGCTGTGTCCACTCAGGGTTAAATGGATTAAGGGCGGGGCAAGATGTGCTTTGTTAAACAGATGCTTGAAGGCAGCATGCTCGTTAAGAGACATCACCACTCCCTAATCTCAAGTACCCAGGGACACAAACACTGCCGAAGGCCGCGAGGTCCTCTGCCTAGGAAAACCAGAGACCTTTGTTCACTTGTTTATCTGCTGACCTTCCCTCCACTATTGTCCTATGACCCTGCCAAATCCCCCTCTGCAAGAAACACCCAAGAATGATCAATAAAAAAATAAATAAATAAATAAAATAAAATAAAATAAAATAAAAAAAGAAAAAAAAACAATATCTGCTGTTAGTCTGATGGGCTTCCCTTCATGGGTAACCCAACCTTTCTCTCTGGCTGCCCTTAACATTTTTTCCTTCATTTTAACCTTGGTAAATCTGATGATTATGTGTCTTGGGGTTGCTTTTCTCAAGGAGTATCTTTGTGGTGCTCTATTTCCTGAATTTGAATGTTGGCCTGTCTTACTAGGTTGGGGAAGTTCTCCTGGATAACATCCTGAAGAGTATTTCCAACTTGGTTCCATTCTTCCTGTCACTTTCAGGTACACCAGTCAAACATAGGTTTGGTCTTTTCACATAGTCCCATATTTTTTGGAGGCTTTGTTCATTTCTTTTCATTCTTTTTCTCTAATCTTGTCTTCATGCTTTATTTCATTAAGTTGATCTTCAATCTCTGATATCCTTTCTTCTGTTTGATCGATTAGGCTATTGATACTTGTGTATGCTTCACAAAGTTTTCATGCTGTGTTTTTCAGCTCCATCAGGTCATTTATGTTCTTCTCCAAATTGATTATTCTAGTTAGCAATTCCTCTAAGCTTCTTTCAAGGTTCTTAGCTTCCTTGCATTGAGTTAGAACATGCTCCTTTAGCTCAGAGGAGTTTGTTATTACCTACCTTCTGAAGCCTACTTCTGTCAATTTGTCAAACTCATTCTCCACCCAGTTTTGTTCCCTTGCTGGCGAGGAGTTATGATCCTTTGTAGGAGAAGAGGCATTCTGGTTTTGGGAATTTTCAGTCTTTTTGAACTGGTTTTTCCTCATCTTTGTGGATTTATCTACCTTTGGTCTTTGATGTTGGTGACCTTCAGATGGGGTTTCTGTGTGGACGTCCTTTTTGTTGATATTGATGCTATTCCTTTCTGTTTGTTAGTTTTCCTTCTAACAATCAGGCCCCTCTGCTGCAGGTCTGCTAGAGTTTGCTGGAGGTCCACTTTGGACCCTGTTTGCCTGGGTATCACCAGCAGAGGCTGCATAACAGCAAAGATTGTTGCCTGTTCCTTCCTCTGGAAGCCTCGTCCCAGAGGGGCACCCACCAGATACTAGTTGGAGCTCTCCTGTATGAGGTGTCTGTCGACCCCTGCTGGGAGGTGTCTTCCAGTCAGGAGGCATGGGATTCAGGGACCCACTTGAGGAGGCAGTCTGTCCCTTAGCAGATCTCCAGTGCTGCACTGGGAGATCCGCTGCTGTCTTCAGACCTGGAAGGCAGGAACATTGAACTCTGCTGAAGCTGTGCCCACAGCCACCGCTTTCCCCAGGTGCTCTGTCCCAGGGAGATGGGAGTTTTATCTATAAGCCCCTGACTGGGGCTGCTGCCTTTCTTTCAGAGATGCCCTGCTCAGAGAGGAGGAATCTAGAGAGGCAATCTGGCTACATCGGCTTTGCCGAGCTGTGGTGGGCTCCACTCAGTTAGAACATCCCAGTGGCTTTGTTTACACTGTGAGGAGAAAACTGCCTACTCAAGCCTCAGTAATGGCAGACGCCCCTCACCCAACCAAGTTTGAGTGTCCTGGTGGACTTCAGACTGCTGTGCTGGCAGTGAGAATTTCCAGCCAGTGGATCTTAGCTTGCTGGGCTCTGTGAGGATGGGATCCGCTGAGCTAGACCACTTGGCTCCCTGACTTCAGCCCCCTTTCCAGGGGAATGAATAGTTCTGTCTTGCTGGCATTCCAGGCACCACCAGGGTATGAAAAAAATCTCCTGCAGCTAGCTCAGTGTCTGCCCAAACGCCTGCCCAGTTTTGTGCTTGAAACCCAGGGCCCTGGTGGTGTAGGCACCCAAGGGAATCTCCTGGTCTGTGGATTGCGAAGACCGTGGGAAAATCATAGTATCTGGGCCAGAGTGCACCGTTCCTAATGGCACAGTCTCTCACAGCTTCCCTTGGCTAGAGGAGGGATTTCCCCAACCCCTTGCACTTCCCGGGTGAGGTGATGCCCCATGCTGCTTCAGCTAGCCCTCCGTGGGCTGCATCCACTGTCTAACCAATCCCAATGAGCTGAGCCAAGTACCTCAGTTGGCAATGCAAAAACCACCTGCTTTCTGTGTTGATCTCACTGGGAGCTGCAGACCAGAGCTGTTCCTATTCAGCCATCTTGCCAGCCATCAAAAATCAGTAGCATTTTTGTACACCAATAACATCCAAGCTGAGAGCCAAATGAAGAATGCAATCCTATTCACAACAGACACAAAAAGAATAAAATACCTAGGGATACAGCTAACCAGGAAGGTGAAAGATCTCTACAATGAGAATTGCAAAACACTGTTGAAAGAAGTCAGTCATGATACCAACAAATGGCCAAACATTCCATTCTTGTGGATAAGAAGAATCAATACTGTTAAAATGTCCATACTGCCCAAAGCAATTTACAGATTCAATGTTATTCCTATCAAACTACCAATGGCATTCTTCACAGAATTAGAATAAAACTATTTTAAAATTCATGTGGAACCAAAAAAAGGCCTGAATAGCCAAAGCAATCCCAAACAAAAAGAACAAAGCTGGAGGCATCACATTACTCAACTTCAAACAATACTACAAGGCTACAGTAACCAAAATAACATGATACTGATACAAAAACAAACACATAGACCAATGTAATGGAATAGAGTCCAGAAATAAAGCTGTACACCTGCAACCATCAGGCCTTCAACAAAGTGGACAAAAGCATGCAATGGGGAAAGGGCTCCCTATTCAATACATAGTGTTAGGATAACTGGCTAGCCATATGCAAAAGATTGAAACTGGACTCCTTCCTTATATCATATACAAAAATCAACTCAAGGTGGACTAAAGACTTAAATGTAAAACCCAAAACTATAAAAAACCTGGAAGATAACCTAGGCAATACCATTCTGTACATAGACCCTGGCAAAGATTTCATGATGAAGACACCAAAAGCAATTGAAATTGAAACAAAATTTGAGCAATGAGACTTAAACTAAAGAGCTTCTGCACAGCAAAAGAAACTATCAACAGAGTAAACAAACAACCTACAGAATGGGAGAAAATACTTGCAAACTATGCATCTGACAAAGGTTAAATATCCAGTAAATATAAGAAACTTAAACAAATTAACAAGGAAAAAGCAAACAACTTCATTTAAAAAGTGGACAAAGGACACAAATAGGCACTTTTCAAAAGAAGACATACATGTGGCCAACAAGCATATGAAAAAATGCTCAACATCACTGATCATTAGAGAAATGCAAATCAAAACCACAATGATATGGCTATCTCACACCAGTCAGAATGACTATTAAAAGTAAAAAAAATTAAATAACAGATGTTGGAGAAGTGGCAGAGAAAAGGGAACATTTATACACTACTGTTGGGAATGTAAATTATTTCAGCCATTGTGAAAAGCAATTTGGTGATTTCTCAAAGAACTTAGAACTACCATTTGACCCAGCAGCCCCATGATTCTGTGTATGCACAAAGGAATATAAATTGTTCTGCTGTAAAGACACATGCATGGGTATATTCTTTGCAGCAGTATTCACAATAGCAAAAACACGGAATCAATCTAAGTGCCCATCAATGGTAGACTGGATAAAAAAGATGTGGTACATATACACCATGGAATACCATGCAGCCTTAAAAAAGAATAAGATTATATCCTTTGCAGCAACATAGATGGAGCTGGAGGTCATTATCCTAAATGAACTAACACAGAAACAGAAAACCAAATACTACATGTTCTCACTTATAAATGGGAGTTAAACATTGAGTATACATTGACACAAAGAAGGGAATAGCAGACACCAAGGCCTACTTGAAGGTGGAAGATGGGAGGAAGGTGAGGATTGAAAAACTACCTATTGGGTACTATGCTTATCTGAGTGACAAAATAATCTGTACACCAAACCCCCATGACACACAGTTTACCTATATAACAAACCTGCACATGTACCCTTTAACCTAAAATAATAGTTTAGAAAAAAGTTAGAAGAGTTAAGACACACACACACACAAAGTTTTCAAACATGAACATAATATTATTATCATACAAACTAAATAAAATTATGGGTAATTCTCTAATATCATCTTACATCCAGTCTATATTCACATTTCTCCAATTGTTCCAAAAATGGCTTTTATAGCTGATTCATTCAAATCAAAACTCAACCCAAGGATCACATATGGCATTTAGTTGTTATGTCTCTTAAATCCCTTTTAATCCAGAAGAGCCCCCTTTTTCCTTTCTTTTTAGGTTAAACATTTTTTACAAGAATAGTTCATAGGTGACACTACCTATTTCATATTGCACCATATCAGGAGGCACATGTGGGACTCACTATTAGTAATGCTAAGTTTGATCACTGCCATTCTCACTCTTGAGTGATAGTTGAGATGGGTATAAAATTCTGAATTAATAACTCTTTTTCCCTCTGCTCTTCAGCCATTTTTTCTTCTGGCCTCTATTGATGCTGCTGCAAAACCTGCTGCTGTCATTTAATTGTTGCTCCTTGTAAATGCTTTTCCTTTTCTCTTGATCTGTCTTTGAGATTTCCTCTTTGTCATTGCTATTCACTATGATGCATCTAATTGTAGATTAATTTTCACTTACCTCAGGACTCATTGTGCTTTTGAATCTGAGGATTCATGTATTTCATTCATTCTGAAAAGTTCTCTGCCATTTTGTATACCTTTTAGCCACACCCTTACATTCTCTATTCTGTATTCCTGGAGACATTATTAGATATTCACTGAACCTTCTCATATCTTCCTTGTTCTCTCTTTTATTTTCATCTCACTATACATCATAGGTGCTTTCTTCTGCTCTATCTTGAGGTTCACAAATCCTTTCTTTGGCTCTGTCTCTTATTCTGTTCAACTAATCTATTAGATTTGTAATTTCAGTAACACTTTATTTTTCATTTTCAGAAATTCTATTTGTTTTTTGAATGTATCTGCTTTGTTTTTATATACTGTCACATTCTTTAATTATGACTTACACTTCTTTTATTGATTTAATTATTTTAAATTTGTTAACAGTCTTACTCAGTTGTCCTATTACTTCATGTTCTTAGGGTGCTTATTTATTATTTTATTTATGTGTTTTTTTTGCTGACTCTTCCTCATGGTGAATCATGTCCTCATATGGCTTGTAATGTTGTTTTTGTTTGTTTGTTTGTTTGTTTTGTGAAGTCATCTTCAGCAGTCTTTCTTAGGTGGTTTTATGGGAGGCTTTTTCACCCTGGAGTGTGGCAGTATTGCTATAGAGGAGTTTTGCCTTTGTTTTCTAGGGCCAGCTTTTATGTAATTTTTTGCCTTGAGGAATTCCTATATCATACATATAGTGTAAATTTACACTCCAGATGGCTTTGAATTCTTATAAAGGACTTTTTATTTACTACCCAGAGCTCTGGGAAAAGAGAAGAGGATACTTGCCACTATCCTGGACTGATGGCAAAATTGTCCGCTACCCTTTTTCATTCTTACAAGGTATCAGCTTTATGCAAAGATCTGTTTCAGTTCTCTTATTTTATGAGGGCCCAAGATCATCTTTTCTGACTTCACATCCACACTCAAACTCTAACCCCTAACTACTAAGGCCTATCTATATTCTTTCTGATAGAAGTCTGGATGCTGCAGCATCAATTCCTACATTTATTATTCAAACTTCTCTTTTAATTTGAGCCTGGCACCTCAGGAGTTTCATTTCTTTCATTTCCAGCCTGTACTAATTTTTGTATTATTATATTACTGTAATTCCCTGAACTTTCTAGGCATTACTGTTATTGTCTGTCTAATTTGCTGTCTTCCTGTCTAGGCTGTAAGCACTTTGAGGGCATCATCTATGACAGATTCAACCCCATATTCCCCAAGTTTTACAAAGTTCCTGGCAGATAATGGGTATTCAATAAATGTATTTTTAATATCTGAATGAATAAATTCAATTGTAATTATGAAGTTTAATGTTTTCCTAGGCATGAATCTACAGTTAATATTCCCTTTTGTGAAAGTTTATCATTGTTCCACTTTGACCCATTGTATTGTAGACTCTGGATGTCGGCTTCATATGTTTGCATCTGTTCTTTCTATGTTTTAAAAGAAAACATTTTTCTATATTTTAGAAGAAAACATTTATTATTTACATTCCCTTGCTTTCTCTTATGTGTTTTCTTACTATTTGTTAGTATACCACAATATAACAGTTAATTCCATTTAGTCTAAAGAGTAAATAATAATAAAAACTTCTGTATGTAAGGGGGAAAAAACCCACTCCAGCTAGCTCCAATAAGAAGGAGGTTTACTTGTCAATACACAGATCTCACAAAATCTCAAGAGCAGAAAATGGAGACCAGCAAGTCTGCTATAAACTGGAACCAGGAATAAAAAATCAGGAACTGAGGGACTCACTCTATCTGAGGGGCCATATGATATCCTTCATCCAGGACTCTCTCCACGAGCCTTCCTCAGGCTCCCTCTCCCATCGAGAGGATGCCTTCACTTACTCAATATGCCTACCCTATCACAGCCAACCAAGTCCTGAATCTATAAGCCCTTGCAAGTTTCAGTATCAACTACAGATGAGAACAAGACTTCTTTTGCTTCAAGTTTTGTAGAGTCACAGTTTAATTGGCTCAACATAGCTTATGGAAGACCTACCGATCCTGCTCTACCACTGTAAGTCAGGTGACCATTTTTGTTCTAGTCAACTCTGGGGCAGGAAGTGTGTTGGGTTCCCTGGCCTGCTGCCTACTCAGCAGGGTACAGGCATAGGGGGAGCCTGTCTAGTGTGATTTTCCAGAATATTTATGCTACCTGAAACAAGTTGGGATATACACACAGGAGCTAGAGGGGTTAATATGGGTTTACAGAATAAATGAATGATTCAATGAATGAAGGTGCATATGGGGGTGATTCAGCAAGTATCCCTAAAGGAAAATCATAGCCCTGTTCCCAAGCAGCGTCAACGAGGCTTGACTTCATCTGAATTAAAACATCAACTTAACCTCATCCACTCTTGGGACCCTAAGCACATCCACCCCAAAACTTCCAAGCACCTGTTCTTGTAAAAGCCAGAATGAGACATAAGCCATAGAATCAGAGACTATTTAACAGAGGATAGTACCCTAGAGGCTATTATAAGGCTTATTTCCTTTTGCTTCATATCTTTGTTATTTGCGTAAATGTCTGAATGTCTGTCTCCCCCAATAAATGTTAGACTCCTTGAAAGCCAGAAATGTGTCCCACATGACATCTATGTACCTAAAGCACCAAATACCTTGTCTTGCTCATATATTTGCCTGGCTTCAAATCCTAGTCTAGCACTACTGGTTATGTAACTTTAGCCACTCCACCTCAATTTCCTCATCTGTAGATAATGGATAATAATAGTACCTACCTCATAAGCTTGTCATGAGGATTAAATAGCTAATATGTGGCAAATAATTTAGAACAGTTCCTGGCACAATAGTAATCTTGTAATCAATGTCAGCCACTGCTAATTGGTGTTGTTTTTAGACTGAGTTGACTTTCCAAAGACTCCTGAGACATCTTTTGACTGATCTCTGCATTGGCATTGTTGTTTATCTGCCTCATTTGGGACAGCTGAGACTGTACAACCTCATGGACCCTACTGGCATCTAGAGGTCACTGTTGAGGACAGAAGCTGTGTCCAGTCAGAATTGAGTTTCAGGCAAAGTTTTGTCACTGGGTCTTGACCCTAGCACACTGTCTTAGGACCCAGGCCCTTTCTCACCTAAGGATGCACCTTCATATTGTCTGGAAGCTGTGAAGTCCCCTCTACATAGGCACATGCACACACACACACACACACACACGTGTGCACACACACACAACCTAGAGCACATGATCTGTTGCCTGCCCTTGCTCTTGTCACTCTTGCTGAGTCCTGGTTCCCCAGGGCCTCTTTTGTCCTGTTCCCTTCCACCCCTCCAGCCTCCCATTAATGATCTTGCATCTCTTGATTCTCCTCTCTCTGCCTTCCCAGGTGACAAATAACTCCTTTGGTGGAACTTCCACATGAATAAGAAAGAGGAGAGGACTTTTCTTCCCCCTGCCAAGTTACATGTGTGCATTTTTACAAGAGCTATGGGAAGATGCCCTGCCTTTATCTTATTCAAAGGAATGAATCCAATGATGTGCATCTGTCTTAGTTTGTTTCTTCTGGAAGCAGAACCTGAGTCCTAGACTTGTGTGCAGGGCATTCATTTGAGAGGTGATCTCAGGGAGAGGCAGCACGAAGAAGGAGATTAAAAAAGGGGGAAAAGCCAATACAATAGAAGTGTGTTTTAGGGTTCCTTCCACAGGGAATCAGGATTCGACCCTGCTAGGACATCCTGGGAAGTATATGGAATGCTTCTGGACTTGCCCACCTGAAAGAAATGAGGCAGGAGCATTTATCCCCAATTCCTGTGCTGCATTGATTGAAGATTGCCCCTGCAGGTGTTAACCTTGCACTTCTGGGTTTTACGTGTGCACTAGCCAAGAGTGCTATTGCAGCCTAGCGTAGAAAATGGAAAGACTAGAGGTCTGTACATGAGGTGGAATGCTGCCAGTTGGAGATGAGTCTGAGCTCACAAGAAACTGACCACCTCTAGCTGAGGCTTGCCAGAAGATGCAGCTCTGCACAACAGAGTGTCTGAGACCACATTGCAGGCCAGGTGGAAGGTATGTGAGTACAAGCATCAGAGAGGCAGTAGATAGGGCCCATCCTCTCTGTATAAGAGGCACCTAGCTGAGAATAGACAGGAGGGTAGAAATTGTCCCCTTACACCACCACCTTCTTGTCCTTGCTGCCTGTTCTTTTTTGGAGGACAACAGGGGCCCCAGACTGCATCAAACACAGCTCCAACCGGTCTGGAGTCCTGAAGCCTGGCTAAGCATGGCAGCACTAGGGCTTAACAGCCCATCCTACCAAGTTGCAAAGTTTGGTTGGATTCTGAGCTGATGCTGTACCACCAGCCTCCCAGATTTCAGGGTTGGCTGTGCTTTTGTGTCCATTTTCATCAAAAGCAACTCATGGCCTGGTCAGAGGAGCAGCACAAGGGTCCTAAAGGGTTCCATCTGAAGTGATCATCATTTCTCTTCCTCTGGGGATCTGAGAAACTTCAGGCAAGCCCACCAAGACTCAGACAGAAGCCCCCGGATCTCTGGAAGGTCCTTTTTTATCAGTCTGAGAGACCTCAAGCTGGGTGACTGGAAGCTGACATGCCTTCTATTTATTTATGAAATTTGTAACTGTGGAAATTAGCCTTAGAAGTTGTAGACCCATTACTATTAGCTTTATCGTCCTGCTAAGACATACCCTGAGGCATCCTCCAGATTGAATCCTATTGTGCTTTGCAATAAACCCATAATTGATAATGCCACGGAGCTTTAATATGGATGGAGAAATGAAATCTAGAAAGTAAATACATTCAGAATTTTGCTAGCAGGCTGAATTTAAAACTGATTTTCTGAACCTACCAGGATTATTCCAACTCAATAATGATTTAATTTGAGTGAGCCACCCTGAGAGCTCTTGCGGATGTGGGGAGGGAGGACAAGTGTAGCCTGGTTTCTCACAGGGGCCCCTTAAAGAACTTTATCCTGCATTTTGCACCTGTAAGTTTGTGAAGATAAAATTAAATTCTGAAATTATACATGATGGGCCAGTAAATAACACAGGCATTAGGGCCCTGGCTGCTGTTCCAGTGTCCTGATGCAATCACCTGTCACTAACACTATCAGCAGAGGGACACTGATTCGGTTCGCTTCCACAAGGCAAGCAATTATGCTGTGTTCCTACATGAGCAGGGCAGCAGCAGGGAGGGACAGGTCAGAGAAAGAAGGCTGTCTTCATAACTCCTGGCCTGGAAAGAGCCACTCTGGCTGCAGGTGTTGGGAGAGGCTCCATAGGTGGTCTGCTGGCTGCCTCTTAGGAGAACGGAGCCCTGAGGAAATCCATCCCACTTGACTCCTAATAGACTTTCAGGGAGACAAGATAAGAGAGCCCAGATTGCCACCTTCTCTGGATCATCTGCCATCAAAGAGAGGGTTAGCAATCAGCTATCCACTGGATGGGATTGTGTGATTCAAAGTTTGAATTCTGGAGCCAGACTGCATGGGCTCAAGACCTGGCTTTATCACTTGCTAATGGTGTGGCCTTGGAACAATTGTGTAACCTCTTTCTGGGCCTCAGTTTCTTGAATTGTAAAAGTGAGATGTGGAAGATTCAATTGTCCAGGAAGCCAATCCTAAGATGGAGACTGGCATGCAAGAAGGTAATTAGGGCACACTCTCCACACCAACACTTGTGAAAGGGTAGGGAAGGAAGCAGTGTAGGCCGAGGGAGAAGTACAGATGTAAAGGAGTCACATCAATGAACGCTTCAGCAGACTCCCTCTTGGGGGGATCTGACATTGGGATGATCCAGGGTTGGGGGTGCAGGGTTGAGCTTTTATACTCCTGTATTGATCAGTAGTTGCATGAGGTTTGCTGACTCTTTTGAACTGAGGCATTCTTGAAGAGACTGATAGCTTAGGACCATCTGCAGACAGCCATCCCAGCAAGAGGGTGGGGAGAGGGGTAGAGAAAAAGAAACTGTTGCTCCTAAAGAGGTTGGGGGATTTGAGGGAGGCATACAGTTTTCACTGCAGACAATAAATACAATAACCTACTTCACAAAGTTAGGTGGCTTAATATGCATACAATGCTGATGAAAGCAGTGCCTGGAACAAAGTAGGTGCTATGGAAGGAAGTGTTAGCTATTTTTATTATAAGGTGCTCAGACCTCTTCCCATTTAAAGAACCCACGCAACTGGCTATAACAGTGCAGGCACTTTTATGGGGAGTGTGCATAAGAGTATGAGAGGAAACATTAAGGAGCAGCAAGCTTTTGTTCTGGGTTCAGCTGGCCTACATTTATTCCCAAAACTCATTGTGAGGAGAAGCAGGCTCTGTGTGTGGAGGGGACACCCCTAACAGAGATGACACGCTTCTTTCCTCTACTAGTTCTGGGTAAAACAACGAAACAGGCCAAGGTGATGTATTTGTTTGCGTGGGCTGCCATAACAAAGTGCCACAGGCTGGGTGGTTTAAACAACAGAAATGCATTTTCTCACAATTCAATAGGCTGGAAGTCCAAGATCAAGGTGTTGGCAGAGTTTTTTTCTGAGGCCTCTCTCCTTGCCTTGCAGAGGGCTGCCCATCACCTGGCATCCTGTGTCCTGCATGTGCACCCCTGATGTCTTTCTCTGTGTCCAAATTTCCTCTTCTTATAAGGACATCAGCCCTATTGGATAAAGGACCCAATCTAATAGCCTCATTTAACTTAATCGTATCATTAAAGGCCCTGTCTCCAAATATGGTCACATTCTGAGGTACTGGGGATTAAGGCTTCAACATATGAATTTGGTAGGGGGGATCACAGTCATTCCCCTATTTCCTCAATTGAGGTCTGCTCACCCCCTCCAGCTGCACTTCCTTACCTCATTCCATGCCCCTACTCCTCCCCCTCCCCCACCACCAAATGCTCATCTGGCTGTGCTCTAACCCTTCTAGCTCCCTTTGTCTTTCCTGCCAAAGCTTACCTGTTTATCATCCCATTTCCTCAGAGCTATGCTGGGTGACTCCATTGCTTGTGGCTGAAAACCAAATTATACTAAGGTATAAAAGGCTGAGTATGCTACCCAGGGTTTTGATAGTATTTTTACAATAAAGATACTTCTTGGGGTGGCAATTTCATGGGGGTGTGGGTGACTTTTGTTGACGGGTGAATGGTAAGACATTTTGGAGCTGGTGAGAATTTGGACTTATTGGCTAAATCACACTGAGATTTTGTCATCTAGCCCGGGGCTTCACAGAGTTAACGGTGCACAGGAATCCCCTGGGGATCTTGTTAAAATTCAGATTCTGATTCAGGATGTCTGGGTGGAGCCTGACATTCTGCATTTCTAACCAGCTCCCAGCTGCTGCTGATGCTGCTGGTCGAGGTGCCACACTTTGAGAAGCAAAGGCCTAGACCACATGTTTGGAATTTGGGATGTCACCTATGGTTCAGCCCTCAGTGGCTACAACAGCTCTGGCTTTGAATCATGAAGGTCCCTCTCACAATGCTGAGGGAGGTTTCTGGAGAGAAGGGACCTCAGAGGCCCCGGCTTCTATGGATCCCAATCCACATTCTTCTTCAGTGCAGTCTTGGGCAGGGAGGAAAGGTGAATTTGGGCAGAGGGGAGCAACGGCACAGGAAAAAGGACAGGATCTCTCATTTGAGGAGGTTGTAGAGAGTATTTAATAAGAAAGTAACCAGTATTTCAAAGGAAGGAGACTATGGAAGCTTCCGCAAACCATGTGGACCAAAAGCAGGTGTAGACCCAGGGGAGCCATGAATCTGCAAGTCACAGTGGCATATCTGGAATTTGGGGCAGAGCTGGGGGTCTGGGAGAGCAGGCCAATAATTACCAGTAATAGGCCAGTGGTCTGGGCAATGTGGGTGGGCCAGCTGAATTTCAGGACCATGAGGAGATAGACATTCCCCCCATGATCATATGATCATCACATTTGGAAGGATTTTGCAACTTAGCTACAACTATTATGTAATAATTCACTCATTTTCAGTTTTTAAAATAAAAAGCAATAAAATTATAAAGCAGGGCTTCTGATTAGCATAATCTGAAGTTTGCCCATGTTTCTTCCAGAAAAGATGTAATGCAAGCCCAAAGCAAAAGTATTTGACTTGTGAGTTGCCTGGTGGGCTTCTCAAAGACAAGCACATGGTTCCCCATCTGGATTTTGGAAATACTGACAACAGTGGATGCCTTCTCATTACTTACCTCCTTTGTATCCTGGGTCAAGAGATGTCAAGCTAGCCAAACTGACCTAGCCCAAGACTCATATTAGAGATGACAAAGTTTGTGCCCAGAAAAGGTAAAAGAAGACCCTTGGTCCCTGTTGAAAAAGGAAGAACAAAGCAGTGGCAGGCTAGGCAGGACTAAGGGCAGGCCAGACCTCTCCCCTGAACCAAACAAGGGACAGTTCTTTAAGCCCTCTGTTTCTAGATGTTAGAGGAAGGTAATTGGGAAGAAATTAGTTCCACTTAACAAGACTTGATTAAGCCTCTGTTTTGAGGAAGGCAGAAACTGTGGTTGACTCTGGAAGGTAGGGATGACCAGCACAGGTTTCTGCCCCAAGAGCCCTAAGTTTGAGTTAGATTGGTAGGGTGGACTTGAGTTGACATTGAGCCCACCCTGAACCACATGACTTCAGGACACATAACTCTTTGGTAAGGCTTTTTTATTTCCGCTAAGATTTTTCTTGATATCAACCCAAAATTCCACTCTCCACTCATGCATTCCCTCACCCACCACTCATCTGTCATCCATCCAGTGTCTTACAACCACTCCCATATCCAATCCACATATTCACCACCCATCCACCTATTGCTCCACCAACTTGCCTCCCATTCTATATCCATGCATCCACCGACCATCCATCCAATCACATGCCCTCTATCTCACTGTCAGCCACCACCTATCCATGTCTCCTTCTATCCACCATCCACCTAGCTATTCATTCACAAACCCACCCATCTCCCACCTACTTATCTATCCTACCCACCACCTCTCCATTCACTCATCCTTCCACCCACACACCACCCTCCCAGAATCCATTCATCCATTTACATATCTATCTGATTCTTTATTCATTCAACATTTATTGAGAGATATAGTGGTGAGTAAGTCCCACTCTATATCCTCTGGACATTCACAATTTAGCATATAAAGATAATATCATTTGATAAAAAGTTTACTAGGGAAATAGAACAGGAAGAATTAATGATGAACTGACTGGAAGCATCAGAAAACAGTGCCTAGATGAGAGGGCATTTGAGCTGGGCCTGGAAGATATTATGGATTTCACCAGTCATTCCTGGCAGAGGAAGCAGCCTAAACAAGGATTTGCAGGTGTGAAGAAACACTCTGAAGTTTTGTGAATTGTTGTGAACAGCTGATACTTAAGATGGTGGAAATGGGAAAAAGACTGCTAGGAGGTAAGGTTGGATAGGTTATCTGGGACCAGTCTTGAGAAAGATTTTGCATCCCATGCTATGGAGGTTGAACTTCATTCCAAAAAGCCAGAATCATCAAAGTGCCATGACCATGATTTGTACTACAGAATAATCTCTGGTGATACTCATTAAGCTGAGAGAGAGGAAAGAAACAAGAGGCAGAAGAACCAGTTAGAAGACGATTTCATTATTCTAAATAAGAGAGGGCAGGCATCTGGCTGTAGGAGTGGAGTGGAGATGACAAAATTTAAAAACAATTTAGGTGGTTGAGTCATTTGCATTAGTGTAACTGAGGTTTCTACCAGGGGCCACAGAGTTGACAGTGAGGTTACTTGCTAAGATGGAGCAAGAGGAACCAGACTGTGCAGCCAGAGGAAGAGGATGCGAGAAGCAATAATCTCGATTTTGCCTGAGAAACAGGTGAATCTGGAATACTAAAGGCAGGTGGTATTCAGTCCAGAACTCAGAAAAGGTACCCTTCAGGTGGTAGGTGTGGCTGGGGCATAAGGGGTGCATAGAGAGACCAGAAGGGCAAAATAGAATGCTGGGTAGCATGAGACATTAGGGTGGCAACAAAGAATGCTTACCAATGGGAAACAAGGAAACTGAGAAACCAGATGCCAAGTGAGAAGAGATTTTTTCATAAATATTATCATTATTTTGTGTGCTATTCTTGTTATTATTTAACTTTATATTTTCAAATCATTTTAGACTTACTGAAAAGTTGTGAAAATAGTGCAGCATTCTCATATACCCTTCACTCTGTTTTCCATAATTTTAATGACTTGCCTAACTGTAGTACACATATCAAAATCAGAAAATTAACATAAGCACAATACTATTAACTAAACTACTGATTTCATGCATGTTCACCAGTTTTTCCACTAGTGTCATTTTTTTATGTTCCAGGATCCAATCCATGATATCATGTTCTACATTTAGTTGTGTCTTTTTAGTGTCTTCTAGTCATTGAGGAGAGGAATTTGAGGAGAAAGAAATGGCCCAAGTTAAATACTGAAGATAAGCCTGGTGGGATGAGTATTATAAAGATACTATTAGTCTTGGTAATTGTTGGAGTCTGCTCCAGTTTCTATTGCTGCATGATATATTATCCCAAAGCTTAGTCCCTTAAAACAATAGCAATCATTTTATTATCTCTCAGTTTCAAACAGGGCACAGCAGAGATAGCTTGTCTTTACCCCACGATGTCAGGGCCTCACTAAGGAGACTCAAAGTCTGGGGGCTGGAATGATCTGGAAGCATCTTCACACACATGTCTGATAGTAGATACGGGCTGCTGGCTGGAACCTTAGCTGAGCTATCAGCCAGAGCACCAACATGTGGCCACTCTGTGTGGCTGCTGGGCAGGCTTCCTTACAGCATGGTGGCTAGATTCTAAGAGTGAGTACCTCAACAGGTGAAAGCTGAAGAAATCACACACTGTCATTCCACTACAGTCATAGACATGCTCAGATTCAGGGTTGGGGGGAACATAAACCCCGTGTCTTGAAGAAAGGACTGGCAATGTCACATTATAAGGTGATCACATGGTATGGGAAAGCGTTTTATGGCCATCTTGGAAAATATAGTCTCAATAAGGCTTTCAGTTTTCAGGGGTGTGGTGGGACAAAAAGTTAGGTTGAGACGAGCATGGGGTAAAATAGCAATAAGGAGCTAGAGAGAGCATGTTGTATATTTTCATAGGTAATTTGGTATTTTAAGGGCACAGGGCACCTTGAAGAGGAAGTGTAGGAAGCAAGCGTTTATTTTAGGAAAAGAGATAAATTGAATGTGTAGAGAGGACTAGATTGCAGAGATTAAAGAAATAATTGGTGGAACAAATTTCCTGAGAAAACTAAGAGGGATAGCATCATGCAGTTGCCAAGAAAATGGGCCCTGGAGCCAGATGGTCTGTGTTCAAGTCCTCACTCTCCTAATCACTACTGGGTAGCCTTGAGTAAGTTGCTTCTCCTCTTTGCACCTCAGTTTTCCCACCTTTAAAATGAAGAAAATAATAGAGCAAACCTTTTAGAGTTGTTCTCAGTAGAAGATAAAATATTGAAAGTGTGGCTGGAACAGAGTGAATTGCTCATAGCATGTTAGCTACACATAGCTAAGAATCAGGACAAGGGAGGTGTCATTCTGAACAAGGAAAAGGAGTTATTCTTGGCAAGGAAAGGGGATGCTTTTCTTCAGAAAAGAATGAAAAACAGAAAAAAGTAAAGTTTGAAGGCAGGGGAGATGGAATCTGGAGAATTTATGCCTCAACTTGCCTTTGATTTGTCTTCCAATTAGGAAATTAGGGCACGTAACAAGACTGAGGGAGCTGTAACTGGGTTGTGAGCTTGAGGAGAGAAGAAAAAGTTAGGAGCAGCCACCTTAATGGGAAATGGTGAGTGGGGACAGTGGGGCTGGGTGGGGATTCCCTAGGCTGGGTAAAAGATGACCACCCTTTGTCAGTAGTTCTGCTGAAGTGGAAAAAGATCAGTTTACAATCTCCTTCTGAGACACAGTTGTAAGATTCTTTCCAACAGGGTGACTGGTATTGGAGGGGAAAAACAAAGGTTTGGTACTCTGGTAGAAAGACCAAGGTGGAAGGATACTGAGGATGCTGATAAGGTCATGATGCTAACGACTGGCAGTGGGGGATGTCCAAGCCAGTCTGGGAAAGAGAGGAGAGAGTGTTTACTGAGGAATGGGAGAAGAGGAGAGCCTGGGGGCCTGGTGGACACAGGAGGGTTAGATCAAAGAAATGAGAGAGTGAGAGGATAGGAAATGGTGGTTAAGGAAGAAAATTTCTGAGCTGGCAGCTTTCACATGTACACAGAACATGGCCAGAAAAGAAGTGTACACACATTATTTGCTTTGGCCCTTTTCTACCCACTAGGATTCTGCCTTTACCTACTTCCTACCTGGTTGTCTTCCTTTCTGCTGCTATAACAGCATACTACAGGCTGGGTAATTTAGAACTTTAGAATAAAGAATATAACTTTATTTGGCTCATGTTTCTAGAGGCTGGGAAGTCTAAGAACATGGCACAGTCATCTGGTGAAAGCCGTCATGCTTCATCATTCCATGGCAAAAGGGAAAATGAGCATATGAGACAGGAAGAAAAAGGGAGCCAAACTCCCACAATGCCTAGCCCACTCCTGCAATAATGGGATTAATCCATTCATGAGAGCAAAGCTCTCATGACCTAATAACCTCTTAAAGGGCCCACCTCTCAACACTGTTATAATAGCAATTACATTTCAACATGAGTTTGGAGGGGACATTCAAATCATAGCACTGGCCTTTCTCATGAAGCTCACCCAACACACACACACACCCACATACTCACATACAGTCTTACTCAGGTCCTCTGATCCCTGTGTTGCTAAGGTTTCTTGCTAGGACATCCCACAAAATCCCTGGCGGTTGCTAATGCTCACCAAAAGAGAAAGAAAGGCTTGAGAGTGTGGAGAACAAAAAAGGAGTCACCCAGACTTGAGATAATAAGAAATGTTGGGCATGTTGAGTGACCCAGCCTGTTAGTGCCCTGAGGCCTGGCATCTCAGTGTGTGAAATGCGAAAGTTATTTTTATGTGAAATTTCCCACAGTCTTGTCACCTGGCGCATCCTGCCCGGGTGGTGTTGATGTAAAAACAACTTGAAAGAAAAACAAACCAGAAAAATGAAGAAGTTCACATTCGTTAAGCAAAGAAAACATTTCCCTCCTAAAATTAACTCTGAAACTCTATCTTGGTGGTTGACTGTGACAGAGGGAGGGCATGAAATAAAAGACAGTATTATTTAGATTTAGGGCATACTTCCTAGTCCATGGGGTTCAGCAAGTTTCTAAAACTGTAGGATTCTTTGCATTATCTAAGTAATAATAACTACAATAATAAAACTTCTTATTTATTGATAGCTTACTATGTTCTGGTCACAATGACAAGCACTTTTCCTACATTTTCCCATTTAATCCTCGTAACACTCCTATGAGGCAGATGTTATAATTCTCCATTTACAGAAAAAGAAACTTAAAGCTTCAATTAAATAATTTACCCAATATAACACAGCAAATGATAAAACTGGATTTGAATCCAAGAGTATTTGATCCCCTGAATCCAGGTTTAGTCACTTCACTATATGGAAAATATGGAAAAGAAAAAAAAAATTCACTCAAAAGCAGCATTGTGACATAGTGTTTGGGTGTATTTTCACCTTGCCTCTTTTCATGTTTTAATTTGTGTGTGTTTGTGAGTATGAATCTATGTAATTATCACATACTGCTTTAAGCAAATTTTCTTCCCCTTCCCAGTCAACATTATACAACGTTTCTTCGCCCATGGTACTATCCAATCATCCTAGCCATCATTTTAAATATATTCATAATGTTTCATCTGGTAAATGCACCACAATTTATTCTATCAGTCCCTTGTAGCTGAAAGTTTAGATTTGGTATTTGTGTTGCTGCTGTTATAGTATTCCCCTGCATACAGTGTTTTTCAGATTTATGATCTTGTCTTTAGACTAGATTCCTTTGGATAGAAGTGGAATTGCTAAGTCTAGCCATATGAACATTTTTATGGATCTTAATTTGTGTTTACCAAATGCCTTCCCAACATAGTTTTATTAATTGACATCATTGTCAGCAATAATTTTGCCACACCCTCAGCAGCACTAGGTAAGATTTTAGGCAATTTTATAGGAAAAAATGGCACCTCATTATTTTAATTTGCAATTATTTTCTTACTAGTGAGGCACGACATTCTTCTAAATGTTTGTGAACTAGTTGTATTTTCTCTTTGGCAAATTATCTACTCTTGTTCTTTGCCCATTGAAATATTAACAACTGAATGCTTTTGTTTTCTCTCCATTTTCTGATTTCTATATAAAAATAAATTTGCTGCAGTATTTTATAAATGTTGTGTGCATGTATGTTATATATATAAACAAATATTTTTAACTAAGAATAACTATAAAGTTAAACTGGTTAGTCTCTTTCCTTTCTGGTGTCTTCTGTCATTTCAACACATAGAAAGTTCTTCTTCCCCCAGAGGTTTGCTAAATGTACACTTCTATTTCCTTCTGGTTTTTCTACTAGATATTTTAAAAATTATATGTCTCTCTTTAATCCATGTGATATTTATTTTGTGTATGTAGTGAAAGAGGATGGCTGACTCCAAAGAAGACCACCAGCCCTTCCTTGAACAATGAAATTCATAGACAATCCAACAACAACAAATGGAAACCAACTAATCATTTCACATTATTCCTCAGCTAAGTCTTTCCAAAGAACTGATAGATTATGTCATAAAATTGACTGGGGAAAGTTTATTTCCCTTGTCCAGCCTTTGGTTGAAGGGCTGATAAACTGTGAAATGACTCAAAAGAAAGCAGACAAAGGGCCTGGGTAGCCCATAAACTGGTCAATAAACCCTCCTCCCCCAACAATTGAGAGGTACATATGGAATGCCAAGCACCAAGTCAAGAACTCACTGAGACAATAATAGGATACAGAGAATAGTTTTCAGTCTTCACTTTTCTAGGCGTCTATGTAGCATTTGACACTGTTTGCCAATTTACAGAATCTCCCTACTCCCTTGACTTCCCTTAAACCATCTCCTGTTCTCTGAACTCTTCAACTATTCCTCAATCTCCTTTTCTGGCTCCACTCCTTTAATGTTTATCTTTCCTGGATTTTGTCTTCAACCTTCTTTGTTCCTCCTTCTGCTCACTTTCCCTGGATAAACTCATCTGCTCGCATGGCTTCAATTACCATCTACATGCTGATAATTGCAAAATTCATGTCTCCTCTGAGACTATCCCTTGAACTGCTCACAGGACACATCCATCTGGAGGTTCTCACCTGTGCTTCAAATCTATTAGATCCAAAATGAGCTCACCAGCCCACACTATCACTACCACCATCAAAATAGCCTCTTTCATTTTTCTCTCTTGGATACACTGACTCACTAAAGGACCACATTTTCCATCTGGTTAACACTGTCCCAACCCAGTCCTTTTCATTCTACCTCCTTCAAACCCCTTAAATCCATCTCTGCTTATTGCATTCATATGCAACCTCTTTGGTTTCAGCACCCATGTGGATTATTGCAATAGTCTCAAAACTGGCTTCCTGGACCCGCTTCAGGGATCCCTCATGGAATTTCCCAGGAAAGATGCACAGGGCCTTTTGTGATAAAGCCCATGCTTACTTTCTCATTCTTATTTCTTTTCCCTCCATCCCCAACACCCCACACAGTAGCATGACTTTGTGCATGCTATTCTTACCGCCTATAATGCCGTCCTTTGCCCCTGCATCCTCATTTCCAAGCTTTTGGTGGTCTTAGTGGGTCTCCTTGGCTACACCATGGCTGGACTTCATGTGCATTCTGTTAAGGTGGAGATGAGAATCAGACCCCCACCAGCCTCTCCCTTCCTCATCCTCTTGGGGCTCATCTCTGGGAATAGACACATAATATTTCATGAGGTTCGCTCTAATAAGGTTAATGGCTTGTCTAAATCCAGGTCAGAAAGCTGGATAAAATATTTTTTTCTGCCTTTTTAGGGCTTATTTGGGGACTGCCGACTTGTAAGAAAGCCAAGATGAAAGTACAATTTGATTTCCATTTTTTAAAAAAGAAAACTCACGTGTGTTTCATTCTTCACACTTGGATGCTCTTTAGTATTCTTTGTAAGATTCTTTCTCCAGGGTGGCTTAGCTGAGCTGTGTGGCTCTCAAATAAGCTTCAGGGCCAGACCTGTATTTGCATACATAATCAGAACTGCCTGTCTGCACTAGTCTCCCCAGGAGGCATCTTGCTTGGGAAAAGGCTCAGGCTGCCCCCTAAAATGTGGGTGGCATCTTCCTGGCTAAGAGGATCCCTGACTGCTCAAAACAGCACAGTTTCTGAATGCCAGAGAGGTCTTCATATAGCCAAATTGGGTCAGCAGATTTTGTGTTCTTAATCATGTATTCTTGTTTGATTTATTAGTCTGCTACTATGTGCCAGGCACTGTGTGGGTGTTGATGATGCTGTCCTAGTTTGGGTTCCCCCAAAAGTAAGCCTGAGACAAGGTCTAAGATACAGATTGTTTATTCAAGAGAATACCTAGGAGGCACAATCAAGGGAATGAGAAAAGTGTGGCAGGGAAGGAAGAAAAGCTATTGACGTTAATAAGCAGGTTACCACTGGGCAACTTAGGCGCCATCTCCCTGAGGACTCTCTGAGGCACCATGTGGAACATCCTGGGAATACTCTTAAAAGAGGACCGAAAGCCTGGGGCATCAATCCACCAACTCCCATCCCTAGGGTGTTAACTTCTTTGGCCCCAGAGGTATTAATTTCCTTACATTACAGGGTTATGCCTACTGCAGCAGATCATGCTCCCAAGGTTCTGGGGAAACCCTGAGACACAGAAGCAAAAAAAGGCAGGCTCTTGAGGTTGGAAGTTATCAGTGTACTTTGAACCATACACTGTGGCTGCAGGTAACTTGGGTCGGCCAAGGTGATACAGGCTGAGGATTAGACACCAACAGGGTCTGCTACAGATGGAGAGATGAATTAGACACGTTACCTCTGCCCTCAAAGAACTCATTAGCTTATGGTAAAGACAAACAAGCAATCTAACCACCAGATGCTGGGATAAGTCTTGGCTTGGTGATCAATACAACCTGCATGGGGGCATGTAATTCACCCTGGGCTGGGAGAAGTGAAAGATCAGTGATATCTTCTAGAAGACACAATAGTTGGGCCGGCCAATCCTTGAAGGATGCACATTCTTCAGGCACAGAAGGAGGAGCAATGAGCTTTAGGGTGCACAGGCAGTGAGCCCTGAGTGTGCAAGGCACGTGCAGTGTGAAGTGCAGGCTTCCTGGCCTTGCCAAAGCATTGGCTTCATTATAGGGAGCAGTAGGAGGTTGGCCAGAATGTAAACAGGGGCCAGATTGTGCAGGAACTTGAATCTACCTGAAGAAGGCGTTTACATTTCAGCCCCCATGAGGCAATGAGGGCCCATCAGTGTTTAAATAGTGACATGTTCTGAGCTTTAGCAAGCTCTCTCAGAAAGCAGCTTTGAGGGTGGGTTGGATGGTGACAGGTGAAATTTGAGCCCAAGGATCATGATTAGGAGTTTTGCCAGCCAGGCTCTGGGCAGGAAACAGATGGCACTCTCAAAAGGAGTGGAAGAGTTCCCAGACATCAGAGAGTCCCATGGCTATAAGAGAGGGCCACTCAACAGGAGCTGGGGCCTTAGGTAGAGGAAAGCAGCCAGAATCAACCTCAACCTGGTAGGGAGGGTGGAGGAGCCAGGGGAACAAATACTCCCACTTGTCTGCTTGCCCACCCTCTTAGCTTCTGCCAGAAACTCTCCTTGGTAAAATCCAACCATAAGCCAGATGGTGGGGCTTCCCAGTTGATGTACCCCACAAAAGCCAGCCTTTCTGGGGTTCAGAGGAGGGTGGATGATATAGTTTGGATCTGTGTCCCTGTTCAAATCTCATGTCAAATTGTAATCCCAATATTGGAGGTAGGGCCTGGTGAGAGGTAATTTGATCATGGCAGTGGGTTTCTCATGCATGGTTTAGCACCATCTTCCTTGGTACTGTCCTTCTAACAGTGAGTGAATTCTCATGAGATCTGGCCATTTAAAAGTATGTAGCACTTCCCCCATGTCTCTCTTGCTCCTGTTCCTGCCATGTGAGATATCTCACACCCCCTTTGCCTTCTGCCATGATTGGAAGCTTCCTGAGGCCTCCCTAGCAGCAGAAGCCACTATGCTTCTTCTGTAGCCTGCAGAACTATAAACCAATTACACCTCTTTTTAAAAAAATATATTACCCAGTCTCAGGTATTTATTTATAGCAATGCGAGAATGAATAATACAGAAAATTGATACCACTTCCACATGTTTAGGTATAAAAGATACCTGTATAAAGATATCTAAAAGTGTGGAAGTGACTTTGGAACTGGAAAACAGGCAGAGGTTGGAAGACTTTGGAAGGCTCAGAAAAAGACAGGAAGATGAAGGAATGTTTGGAACTTCCTAGAAACCAGTTAAATGGTTGTGAGCAAAATGCTGATAGTGATATAGACAGTGAAGGCCAGGATGAGGAGGTCTCAGACAGAAATGAGGAACTTCTTGGGAACTGGAGCAAAAGTCCCTTTTGTTATGCCTTAGCAAAGAAATTGGCTGCATTGTGACCCTGCTCTAGGGATCTGTGGAACTTTGAACTTGAGAATGATTATTTAGAGCAGGGGTCCTCAACCTCCAGGCTACCAACTGGTGCCAGTCCATAACCTGTTAGGAACTGGGCTGCACAGCAAGAGGTGAGCAGCAGGCGAGTGAGCATTACCACCTGAACTCTGCCTCCTGCCAGATCAGTGGCA
The DNA here is from genome assembly GCF_000001405.40 of Homo sapiens. Taxonomy (NCBI): domain Eukaryota; kingdom Metazoa; phylum Chordata; class Mammalia; order Primates; family Hominidae; genus Homo; species Homo sapiens. The sequence goes on from NC_000023.11 coordinate 39,302,461, forward strand.
GCATTAGATTCTCACAGGAGCATGAACCCTTTTGTGGACTGTGCATGCAAGGGATCTAGATGGCATGCTCCTTATGAGACTCTAACTAATGCCTGATGATCTGAGATGGAACAGTTTCCTCCTGAAACCAACCCCCTCCACCCTGTCCATGGAAAAATTGTTTTCCATGAAACTGGTCCCTAGTGCCAAAATGATTTAGGGTATCTGGCAGAAGAAATTTCTAAGCAGTAAAGCATTCAAAATTTGGCTTCTTCTAACAACCTATGCTCATGTGTGTGACCAAAGAAATAACCTAAAGTTGGAACTTATATTTAAAGGGGAAGCAGAGCATAAAAGTTTGGAGAGTATGCAGCCTGCCCATGTGGTAGAAGAGAAAAGCCCATTTTCAGGGGAGGAATTCAAGCAGGCTGCAGAAATTTGCATAAGTAAAAAAGGAGCCAAGTGTTAAGACCCAAAACAATGGGGAGAAGGCCTCAAAAGCTTTTTGGTGACTTTCTTGGCAGCCCCTCCCATTACAGGCCTGGAGGCCTAGGAGGACTGAATGGTTTTGTGGGCCCTGCTGCCCTGCACAGCCTTGAGACACTGCTCCCTGCATCTGGACTGCTCCAGTTCCACTCATGGCTCAAAAGGGCCAAGGTAAAGCTTGGGCCACTGCTTTAGACAGACCATAAGCCTAGGCAGCTTCCAAGTAGTATTAAACCTGCAGATGCACAGAGTGTAAGAGTTGAGGCTGGGGAGCCTCCGCCTCAATTTCAGAGGATGTATGGAAAAGCCTGGATGTCCAGGCAGAAGCCTGTTGCAGGGGCAGGGCCCTCATTGAGAACCTTTACTAGGGCAGTGTGAAGGGGAAATGTGGTGCTGAATTCCACACAAACAATCCCAACTGGGGCACTGTCTAGTGGAGCTGTGAGAAAAAGGTCATGATCCTCCAGACCCTGGAATGGTAGATCCACCAGCAGCTTGCAGAACACTATGCCTGGAAAAGCTACAGGCACTCACCACCAGCCCATGAGTGAGGCCATGGGGGCTGAACCCTGAAAAGCTGCAAGGGCAGAGTTGCCCAAGGCATTAGGAGCCCACCTCTTGCATCAATGTACCCTGGATATGGGACACTGAGTCAAAGGAAATTATTTTAGAGCTTTAAGATTTAATGACTGCCCTGCTGGGTTTAGAACTTGCATGGAGCCTATAGCCATTTTCTTTTGGCCAATTTCTCCCTGTTGGAATGGGGGTATTTATCCAATGCCTATACCCCCATTGTATCTTGGAAGTAACTAATTTTTTTTTTTATTTTATAGGCTCATGGATGTAGGGCACTCTAGCCTTGTCTCAGATGAGACTTTGGACTTTTGAGTTCATGCTGGAATAAGACTTTGGGAATTATTGGGAAGGCATGGTTGTATTTTGCAATAGAAGAAGGACATGAGATTTGGGAGGGGGTGGGGTGGAATGATATAGTTTCGATCTGAGTCCCTGCCCAAATCTCATGTCAAATTGTAATTCCCAATGTTGGAGGTAGGGCCTGGTGAGAGGCAATTGGATTATGGAAGTGGGTTTCTTAAGAATGGTTTAGCACCATCGCCTTGTTGCTGTTCTCATGATAATGACTTCTCATGAGATCTGGTTGTTTAAAAATCTATGGCACCTCCCCCCTCACTCTCTCATACTCCTGTTCCTGCCATGTGAGATGCCTCACTCCCCCCTTTGCCTTCTTCCATTATTGGAAGCTTCCTGAGGCCTTCCCAGAAACAGAAGTGCTATGCTTCTTGCACAGCCTGCAGAACTGTGAGCCAATTAAACCTATTTTCTTTATAAATTACCCAGTCTCTGGTATTTCTTTATAGCAATGTGAGAATGGACTAATACAGTGGAGAAGCACAAAGGCTGGGTCTAGAGTGGCAAACAGAATATCCAGTCCAGGAGGTCCCTGAAGTTGGCCAGGCCAGAGGTGGAAGCAGGTGAAGTTACTTTTGAGACCATGGAGTTTGAATAGCCTGAGGCACTCTCTAGTGGCAGTGGTGAGTGATCTGGAGACACCAGGCTGAAATTCCTACTGCTAGAGGATCATTTCTTGGATGCTGAGCTTTTCTAATGAGTACCTACTTCTGAGAGGGGCAAGACTTTGTTTCCCATCTGCCTTTAACTTCAGTGTAAAATGGAGCATTGATGACAAGTAAGGACAAAGCCTGAATGAATCTTTGAGAAAAAAGGGCCGTGTGGAAAGGGGGCCCCCATATGTCTCCATGAAGCCATGTTGGAACTTTGGTAACTACAGGCCAACAGGAGGGGAAGGGAGACAACACAACTCTGGAGACAAAGGGCTGAGAAAATAGAGTGCTGGAAGACATCGGAGAAAAGCTTAGCTTGGGCAGCCAGTGTCAAGGCCTGATATTATCTAGGAATCTGTAGAATTACACAGAAAAAAAAGCCAGCTTCATGAAAACCCCATTGTTATACATACACATGGTTCCTGCAGCCACACATAGGCAGTACATAAAGACAATTCCCCTTTATTAGTCTGGTAGGGCTGATGTAACAAAGTGCCACAAGCTGGGTGGCTTAAACAACAGGCATTTATTGTCTCACAATTTCAGAGGCTAGAAGTCCAAAATCAAGGTGTCAACTAGGTCACACTCCCTCTGAAGGCACTAGGAAAGGATTTGTTCCTGGTCTTCTCTCTTACCTTCTGGTAGTTCCTTGGCTTTTGGTCACATGATCCCAATCTTCACATGGTGTTCTCCTTGTTTGTGTCTTTCTGTGTCCAAATCTCCACTTTTAATAAGGACACCAGTCATGTTGAATTGGGGACCACACTAATGACTTCATCTTAACTTTCATTTGCAAAGACCCTGTTGCCTAATAAGATCACATTTTAAGGAATTGTGGTTTAAGACAAATCTCTTTGGAAAGTCATAATTCAACCTATAAAGCCTCCCAATACTCACATGGAGTTGTTGTGACTCACTCCTCCTAAGGTCAATCTTTGTATGGAGTCCAAGGAGTCTTGGGGATGGCAGCCCCAAGGTTTGTGAGCATTGGCACAGCAATCCTCCCTATGGCTGCAGAGCATAGGACTGGCATGGAGCCACAGGGAGAGGAGTCCTTCCTGGAGGGCTTTAGGGAATTTTTTACATAGAAAATACAAAATATAAGCAGAGAGACCCACATTTGAATTTTGGGTATCTAGAAACTACAATAGTGACATGGTCTATTTATTAAGCACTTGAGTCATACCAATGTCTGGACTTGGATTTCCCCTTAGCAGACCCCAAGACGAGGATTTGAGTGCAATCATTTATTTGGGACGTGGTCCAGGAGGCACATTGGGAAGGTGAAGCAGTGAGAAAGGGAGAGAGGAAAGCCAGTGGAGAGTGAGCAGATGTGTGTATTACCAGTGTGGGCAACTGGGGCTCAGGCCCATGGGAGGCCTCTCAGAGGCTGCATGGATCATGAACATGCCTTGGAGTGGAAGCTGGGACTTTTATCCAACAATTCCCATCTCTCATTGGTGGAGGGTTCCTCCAGGGCCAAAGAACAAGCTCAGGCAGAAAGACGCAGGAAGCCACCAGCAGAATGACAGCTGACTGCAGTTAACCTCCTGAGTGGACCACAGGGATGTGGGAGGGGCGCCAACAGCTTCTGGTGGCCCCATATGTGGCACTTGAACCTCACAACAGAACTTTAAAATAGGTATTCTTATCTTCACTCTGCAAACAAGGAAATGAAGGTTGGGGGGTTAAAATTATCCCAAAAGTCATAATTTAGTAAGTAGCTTACCCAGGATCATAACTCATTTCTATATTATTTTGGGGCCAATATCCTGAAGCATCAAACTTTATGACTTCCCAACTGATCGGTGTTTTGTGTTATCTTACTCTGAAGAGACAGAATTTTTTTTTCTGAGCTGGGTCTTAAACTAATAGTGACTCAAAGTAGAGACACACAGTGACTCTGTAGAAAGGTTACACCCCAATGCCAGCCTTGTGAAGATGAGCTTAGTTCTCTTGAAGTTTCTCTGCATGGTGCCCTGAGATTCATTTTTGAGGATATGTGGATAGGAGGGAGAGACCCCTGCCCAGACCCCCTGTTGAAAGCCTTTCATGGGAGTGTGGCTGGATGTCAGGGCAGAGCCCCATGGCAGCCACATCCAAGTTTCAGTTGGCACCCGTATGGTTCCCAGACTTGCTGCTGCCTTACGTTCCCAGTAGTTCACAAGACCTGGGGCAACAGGGAGACCCTGAAGTGGGGCCACTTAAGTCTTCCCATCACCTACCACTACGATGAGATTCTCCCCCGGTTGGCTTGGAGTGACAGTGATAGATTAAATGCACCAATTAAATTAGATCCTATTTTAAAGAGCTTGAGCTGGATTTACTTTTAATTATAGTGCTGTGCTTGCTGATGAGGTATTGTTGAGGACTTAACAATGGTTGATTGTGCATCTGAGTGTTCAGAGAGCAGTTTCTGGGAGATACTGGGGATGGGTTTCTTCCTAAGGAGCTCCTTGGGATAAGACAGAGGAGGGAGGAGGCAGGTTGAGAAGGAGAGAGGGAGGGGAATATGTCCTATCTCCACTGAGAATCCATCTCTCTTCTTCTTGTTTTCTGCTTTATGAATCCCATGTTCTTTGGAAACTTAACGAGCCCAGCACAAGGTAGAGAAATGGGCCAGAGGCCATGGAGTCAAGCTGGCTTGGGGCCCCATAATGCCTCTGCTCCACTTAGCTGAATGTACTACCTGGGCCCAGGTAACTAACCTGTCCTATCTGAGCCATAGTTTGCTTTTAGTGTTTAATTAATTCATTCAACAGGTATTTCTTGAGCTTCTAGGATGCACTAACATTGTTCAAGGTGATGAGAATAAAGCAGAAGAAAAAACAATAAAAACAAGTATCTGTCCTTGTGGAACGCACATGCTCATGGCTGGGGTCAAGGTGCGGGGGCAGAAATAAACAAAGATAACACACAATATCATGTAGTGGGTGACAAATGCTAAGAGAGAAAATGAAGTGGGTTTAAAACGTTGTGGGACAAGAGGCTGTATTTTAGACAGTGGTCAGGAAAGGTCTCTCTGAGGATGGCATTTGAGCAAATTCTGGAAGCAAGTGAGGGGCTAATCCATGTGGCCATCTGGGAACAGCATTCTAGGCCAAAAAAAAGAGTAAATACAAAGACCTTGTACCTGGGCTGGTGGAGTCCCAGCTGCCCCCACTAGACCTTCTGCCATGCTAGCAGCCAAGCCGTGTCTGTGACCACTTCTCGCTGCCTTAAGGGAGACAGATTCTCAGACCTTTGTGATAGCCCTTCTGGAGGTTCAGCCACTGGAGGTGTTGACCTACATACAATCTGGCCCAGGAGGGAGTGGAGTGCCAATGTACTGATTAAGTGATGCATGCTCACAGTCCCCATTGAGTATGCTACTTTCAGGACCCAATTCTTTGCTGTAATGAAAAAGAAGAAGGATTCAGAACAAAAACTCATGAGCCAAGTTTACACATAAATAGCTTTACTTGACAAATACTGTGGACCATAAATCTAGATGCTTGGGTTTTGGTCTCTTCTTTGCCTGACATTTGCAAAGTAAGTAAATTTGGGCAAGTTTTTTACCCCTCTGAGCCTCAGTTTTGTGTTCTATAAAATGTAAAAATGAGAACAGTGTACTAGACCTGGATGATATCTTGTAGCTAAGGATAATGTTGGGAGCAAGACTTTGAGAATCATGGAATCATGGAAAAGAAGATTTAAAAAGGCCTAGGAAGAGGTCAGAGAAGCTCCCAGACTTAGCCTCCAGACATGGGAAAGTTTCCAGAAATCTTTGCTTCAGGCTTGGAAGTGACAGCCCCATCAGTGGCTGGGGTGGCAGAAGAGTTCTTCCCATGACTCAGTTAGGTTCTCCAGAAGCAGAATGAGATAAGAACCCAAGTGAAAATAGTTTATTTTGGAACTAATCCAAAAAAACACTAGTAAAGCGAGTGGAGAAATAAAAGAAGGCATCACCAAGTCAGTTGCCACTGTGGGCAACTGGAACTTAATCCTGCTAGAAACCACTGAAAGTCAGCACAGAATGTGTGCCTCAGAGTTAGCCCACCTGAGGGTGATGAAGCTGGGGTATTTATATACCCAGTCCTGTCTGTCAATGGCTGAGGGTTGCTCTGCAGAATTAGGAGGGATGTTAATCCTTGGTACTTCTGGCTGTCAGCAGCAACAGGTAAAGTATGCTTCTTGTCCTAAGAAAGCCCTGAAGCAAGGGAATAAAGGAATTGCTGGCTGGGAGTTGGGTGGTATTCTTTAAAATATTAGCGGCAAGAAGATATGGGTTGGATTCTGACACCATCTACTACAACCTCCAGAATATGCAACACTGCCCCAGATCAGCCTTGCAGGGAGAAGGCCCTGAGCTTATGCTCCAGACCCACATCATAGTGGGCCACCCCTCGGTTGCAAGTGACAGATCTGCTCCCTGATCCAAGGTCTACACCTGTGTGGTCAGGCCTCTGGCCTTTGGGAAGTATTAGAGACAGGAAGCAGGAAAAGGAAACCCATCTAAGAGAGACAAAGCTTAGTGCTCCATGCAGTTCAGTTTGCCATAGAAGCACCATGTGCTCAGCCCCTCAGATAGTGGACGATCCTGGCAGGTAGGGATGTTTCTGTGTGACGCCCCCTGCAAGGAATGCTATTCCCTGACTGTCAAGAGAGTAGCTGGCAGTATTGTCATGTCAACCAACAAGAGCCCACCCAAGGACGCTGCTGGTGACAGAAGAGATGGAACAGAAATGGCCATTGCCAGGAAGTGCACCTCTATGGCAGGTGGCCAGAACCAAGATAGTTAGTTTTCCTTGCTCTTGACATTGTGATTGTGACCCATATTATGCACACACACTCCCTACTCTAGACTGGTTGGGCACTGGAAAACACCTGTCATAATGTTGTGCTGACTTGCTGGGTAAGCAGGAACAAGTGGGTGTCTGTGTTTTCCCCTCCATAAAATGATTCAGATGGTACTGGTTCCTTGGCCTCCACCGTGGGAGGCAGCAAGAACTGACGCAATCACGTCTGGGAGGCATTTGGAGCATCTTGAAAGAAAGAGGTTGTCAAGAATTCCTGTTATAAGATCCTAAAGTATTTTTTTCTTTTAATTTTAAACCTTATGAGTTTTCAAATTACATTTAAGGTATTTCAAACCAGCAGCTGTTCTGAGAGCTGCTGACCACAAAGTGAAGGTAAAAATAAAATTCGAATTAAGAAGATGTGCTCCTGACTTGTGGCCAGATTCCAGTTTGGATCTTAAAAGCTTCCTCCCTGGCCAGCTTCCTGTGTTGACCCCCAGGGTCACTTAGCTCTGAGCGGCTGTGTATTCTTTGCCATTAGATATTGAAAACAGGAAATGAAGGGGCCTGTCGGGGGATGGTGAAGCTTGAAACAACTTCAGAGAACAAGCTGATGAAGTCATAGATCTTATCTCCTTGCCTTTTCCATGTCGGGTTTCTTTAAAGATAAGGTAGTGAATCAAAATGTGCCGCTTTTTTTTTCAAGATGGAAGCAGAGGAGGATTACTTTAATATCCCCTTCCCTTCCAGTGTTTCCAAAGATAACCAGATGAGAGAAATGCCTCGATCCTGTGCACGTGCATGTAAAATGCGATTACAGGACAATTTCCCCATCTTGGTCCCTGAGGGCTGGGGGAAGAGAGGGAGGAGAGATGACGCTTGGGATGGAGAGGAGGCAGATAGCCATTCAGACTTGTGTTGTTGTGTATGATGATGATGATGATGTTGATGTTGTTGTTATTGTTGTTTTGTTAAGGCAGTGCTCAAGCTAGAGGTGTCGTTGTGGGCCTATGGCCAGTTTATACTGTAGAACTGGATGACCGGCACTGTCAGGGGCTGGAGGGAAAAGAAAAATCTTGTGTATTTGGATGGGACACACCCAGCTAGAATGCCAGTCCTGTGGGCATATTCCTAAGTGCTAGATCCCCAGACTGGGCTGGCTCAGACAGCAGTATTATGTGGAGAGTGGCTGAAAGCACCCCAGGAGGACAAATGTGAGATGGGACCAAGGAGGGAAGGCAGGCATTGGAATTGGACACATAGGTCTGATGGGAGGGTGAAAGGCCATGGGTCATGAGCACAGGCACTGAGAGGAACAGGGAAGGTGGGAGACGGGCGTGGGACAGCTCAAGGGAGCAAAGATCTAGGGTGACTAAGAACACAGGCAGACCTTGGATCTCTTTGGGACTAGCAGACTTCAGTTCAAATCTGACTCTGCCACAGGGATGTGATCCAAGCCTCAGTTTTATTTTCCATAAAACTGGTCAATATCTCTATCATGGGATTGTTATGGAGAGAAAACAAGGTCACCTTTTTTTTTTTTTTTAACATGCTTGAGGCTGTGAACTGTGCAGGGTGCTGTAAGGATGTATGTATGTAGTTCCACAAATTTGGTGCTCGGGGAGGAGCAGCCCGCCAGGTTAAAGGGAATACGCAAAAGTAGATGCTAAGCTTATTTATGAAACAGCTTCTTTGGCCTTTTGGTGAACCTAGAGAACAATTTACTTCTGGCAAGGCAAAACTGTGATGAGAAAAAGATTCCGGGCTTTGTGAGCTGTTTGGGGCAGCTCCCTGGGAAAGGAGGCCCCTTGACTCTCTTGAGCAGTAGACACCTGGCTTTGGCCCTGCCCTACCCTGCCAAGGGTGATAAATGTGGGTCAGGCCCTACAGAGGTCAGGCTTCTTCTCTCTTGAGGCAGTTAGGGAAGAGGAACTTGCAGGAAATGAAGTAAGAAGGGCTCTATGGGGTTAAAGGGACTGGGGAGGCATGGCAGGCAAAACACAGAGGGGATTGGGGATGGGAGAGTTTATACAGTGCACGACCTACACAGCTATATAGAGGAGCCCAGGAGTGGGGATGTGAGAATCAACAGAATTAATTAGAGCAGAGAAAGGCAACAGGCAGGGCAGCAGAGAGAAGAACACAGGGGACGGCTGTTCCAGGTTTGATTTCATGTGCAGTCCAAAGAGAACTGAAAGGCTGTTGCCTTTGTTGTTCTTTCTTCTGCTGAATAGTCTATCATAAATGAAAAAGCACAATCCACGGGCTATCTGCTTGTCCCAAAAGAAGGAAAAGAGAAGATGAGTTAGTATCCCCAGGAGAGGGACTTATCAAACAAGCTTGCTGTCCCCTCCCCACTTCTCTCCATCCCCCACCCTGCATGGGGATGAAGGAAAGGTGAGAATGCTCCTTTCTTTTTCTGGAGCTACAAGAAGAGATTCTCTCTTCTACTGGATGGTAAAGGGCAAATACAGGAGGCTCTGCTACTCCTGGGCTACCTACAACCCCCACAGGAAGGCCTGTGAGCACTTCAGCATAGATAGGGTGGGTCGAGTTCCTCTGAACTACATTGTACTGTGCTGGTTGCAGAGCAAGGCCCAGAATGGGGTGAGGGCATGGGTAGGAAGCCTGGTAGAAGAAATGTTTACCTAAGAACCCGTTGTACCATGAGAGAGATCATGGCAGCCCAGGGTTGGAGGTTCTTAGGCAGTTGTTTCATTAAGCTCTTAGGCAGTGGCTCTGACATGAAAGAAAGGTGCCCATCCTGGCACCAAGTATCTGTCAATAGGCACTTTTTTTTTTCTTTTTGGTAAAGATGGAGGTCTCAATATGTTGCTCAGGCTGGTCTCGGACTCCTGGCCCCATGCCATCCTCCTGTCTCACCCAAAGTGCTGGGATTACAGGCATGAGCCACCGCACCTGGCCAATAAGCATTTGTTCAACGAACGAATGGATGCTGGATGAGAGCAGAGGGGTAGCTAGGAGCACAGCACAGTGAGTGTGCCACCCTGTAACAGTGAGTAACTGACCTAAGAAGGAAGAATGTGGGGCCCCTGATGGATACAAGGCTCTGACTCTGGAGAGATGGAGAACTGAGCCGAGAGGAGCAAGCTATGCACGAGATGAGTGGATGAAGGACAGTCACATCTGAACAGGAACTGAGGAGGGGGGCTAGGGCAGGCTCACATAGGACCATCCTGTTGCGGCCAAGGAGAGAACTTCAAGCCAGAGTTCCAGAAATTTCACTGAGGTAACCAGAGCCAGTGACTATTCTTGGTACTGTTACTGGGGCCTTTTCTTATTCACACTCCAGCATCATGGGGGGAAAAAATAGATTATTTGAGAAACTCAGTTTATTCAGTTTCCTCAGTCTGAGGTATGTCTTTTTTTAATGTTCAACTTACTTTGATTAGAACTCCCCATCTTGCAATGTCTCTTCTCTAGCACCTGCTGCTACCCTTCCTTCTCTCTCTGCATCCCATAATGAGTCCAAGTGCTGCCAGAGCACACTTGCTCAAGGAGTCAAAAAAATTGAGAAAATCTTTTCCAGCCATGGTCTCATTATCATCATTCACCAAATGGTCCTTGTGTTCCTAGGCAACATGTTCCAGAATCTTAACAGAAGCTTGGTTTGGAACAGCCAGACTGGAAGCCGCCCAATATACATCAAAAAGGGCATGGATAGATGGATCAGCATATATTCATACAATGAAGTACTACAAAGCAAGGAAAATGAACAGCAACATGGATGGATCTCACAAATGTAATATTGAGCAAAAGAAGCCAGATGCAAGAGTCCAGATCACATAAGTTCATTTACGTGTCTATTTCAAAAGCAGGCAAGAGGAAGGTGTGGTGTTAGAAATTAAGATGTGTACAGTGGAAGAAATGGGCATAATAAGAAGAGGGCATGAAGGAGGCTTCTAGGGTGCTTGTTTTGCTTTATGTCTTGACCCAGGTGGTGCTTGACACAGATGGGGCTTGTGTGGTCATTAAGTGAGCTTCTGCATATGTGTGTTTTAATTCATAATAAAAAAGTTTAAAGTCCATAACGCCATCACCCAGGAAACAGGGAAATGCTGGTGGTACACAGTCTAAGTCCAACTTTGTTCCATGCTGTGGAACTAGGCATGCAACTCCAAGATTTACACTTGTCTGTGGTAGTCCCAGACCACAGTAGAACTGGGCTCCTGGGTTTTCTTTTGTTTCTAAACATCTGTTTTCTAGATGCCCTCCTAGGCAACTTTCCAAGGACACACCAGCTCAGCAATGCACCCTCTCTTTTCCTCTTCATGCATGAACACCAGGCTTCTTGCTTGGCAACATCATGCTCCTCAGTCCCTCAGGGATGGTCTAAAACCCCCAGAAAGAAGGTGTCAAGATTACTATCCCATTTTTCTTACAAGATCTCTTGCTCCTATGTACATTTGCCCTAACCTTCCCTAGAAAATATCAAGTTCCTCCTCCCTGAGCTTCATGGAGGGACAGTCTTTGACAAGCCTTCTCCATAGCGAGGGTTCTACTTGCCTTGTACCCACAAAACAAAAACGTCCAGCATCAGTGATGGGCTCTTCATAAACAGAATCGTCTGCTCCTTGGGGATTTGAGGTCTCTTCTGCTAGATATGAGGCAGCCTTTAACTCTTAATGATTTGCTTAACTGCTTCCTTGGTTCCTGACCATGTAACTGCCCACTTTTGCTGTTCATAAGACTGACTATTTCTACAACAAAGATAATCTCTTTTGTCTCTGTATGTCCACTTGTAGCACAGTGGTAACCCTGGCAAGACCCATCCTTACCCAACAAAGCCCCGCCCAACCAACAGTGTTGATTGAAAGAATAAGTGAATAATGAGCCAATTAACAATCACCTCCATAGCCTGGCTGGTCAGGATTTCAAGGGATGTGACTGGAGTGGAAAGCTACCTTTTTGTTAAAAAACCTGGAGAGGAGGTGAAGGGGAAGGACAGAAGGAGAAGAAGGAAGAGAGGGAAAGGGAGGCTAAGGAGGGGAAAGGGAAAGGAAGGTCAAAGGTAGAGGGAGAGAAAGAGGAAGAGAGGAAGAAAGAGAAGGGAGGGGAGAGGTTGGGGAAAGTGCAGGGGGCAAAGGAAGGACAGAGGGAGGGGAAGGGAGAGGAAAAGGAAGAAAAGAGGAGGAGAAGGAGGAGGAGAAGAAAAGGAAAAGGAGAAAGAGAATGAAGCTCTTGGTAAGAGCCAGGAAAAGTCATTTAGTTAAGCAAGAGCATCCAGTTCATGGGCTTCCAGGATGGTTAGCCTTAAGCCAAAGACCCATGTTGAACCAGCAAGAATGCAAAACCTTTGTAGCAAGCCAATTTCTCTTAGCCAGGGAGGCATGCCTCCACGTAGAGGAGCATGGCCACATAAGTACAAGGAGATTTGTCATCCAATTGAAAAGTGTTGTAATCCAAGTAATTTATTTCCAAAGTTAGGAGGACTTCAAGTTCAGCCTAATATCATCAACTCACAAAACACACTCCCTTATCACACACACTCATACCTGCTTTCTCAGACCATATAAAAATAGGGCCTGCAGGCCTCAGCTTCCTTTCTCCATCTGTCCACTCCTCACCATACCACAATTCTCCTTTCACAACCCTAGGTTCTCAAGTATTTCCTAGATGATCAGTGGGAGGCCTGTGCCCCTTTCCTTGATGTGAATCTCTTTACTCACCTCCTACCAACAGCCTCCTTTCATCCAGGAATTGGTAAGAATATGACTGGTGAATCCATTTGTAGAAATGCAGTTGCTCATTGTATTAGTTAAAGTAAAGCCAGAACGAGCCTAACACAATGGAAGTGTTTTTTTGTTTGTTTGTTTTTTTTCAGGTAAAGTACACTTGGTGGAAGAAGCAGGGACTTTTCTTCACACAGTCACTGAGGTGTTCAAACCTATGGAGAGCTCTGCCTCTCTGACAGTAGAAATTCTAATTCCATTAGTTCAGGGTGGGATGTGTGCACAGAATTTTGTTTTAAGTATCCTGGTGTCTCTCTTGGGCAGCCAGGGCTGAGAATCTCATCCTGTCTTCCAACACCATTGTGGGCATCAATATCCAACCCCCAGATATGGGAAATGGAAGAAACACATCAAAGGACCATGTGGGAAATACAGATAGTTTTTGACTTACAGTGGTTCAACTTACTATGATTAGGCTTACAATTTTATGACTTTACAATGGTGTGAAAGTGATACGCACTCAGTAGAAATTATAATTCAAGTATCCATACAACAATTCTCTTTGTCACTTTCAGTACAGTGTTCAGTAAATTACATGAGATATTTAACATTTTATTATAAAACATGCTTTCTATTAGGTAATTTTGCCCAATCATAGGCAAACGTGTTCTGAGCATGTTTAAGGTAGGCTATGAGGTTGTGTAGGTTGGGTGCATTAAATGCATTTTCAACTTATAATATTTTCCAATTACAGTGAGTTTTTCACAGCATAACCCCATCATAAGTCAAGGAGCATCTGTATTTATGGATCGGACCAGGAAGTAATATACATCACTTCTGTCTACATGTAATGGGCCAGAAGTCAGTCACATGGCCACAATTTACCCCAAGGACCACTGGGAAACATAGTCCAGTTGTGTACCCAGGAACAAAGCAAAATGTTTTTGAGGGACATCTAGCTAGTCTCCACATATCCAAGATTATTGCTGTCTCTGAAATATGATCTTAAATTTAGAGAATACATCTCGGTTTTGTTTGTTTTGTATGACAAAAATGATATGGAGACTGAGGGAGTTATGAGTTCTAGAAGTCCCTGGGGGAGTTAATGGCATGGCCCTCTATTGACGTAGTCTGACTTGGAGATTGTGAATGATGCAATGTTCATCAACCTTTGGGCTGATCCAGGGATGTAGCCACAGAACTAATGGCTGTTGGAGGGGGTTATGGTGAGGACTGGGGAGACAAGAGTCTTCTAGAAAATAATGTGAGAGTCAAGGCTGTGAATGGCAGAACAGAACCTGGGGGAGCAGGGAGAAACAACTGGAAGAGAGAAGAGGAGAAGGGCCGTAGCCTCAAAAATGGGTGAAACCATATACACTGTGGAATACTATGCAGCCATAAAAAGGATGAGTTCATGTCCTTTGCAGGGACATGGATGAAGCTGAAAACCATCATTCTTGGCAAACTATCACAAGGACAGAAAACCAAACACTGCATGTTGTCACTCATAGGTGGGAATTGAACAGTGAGTACACTTGGACACAGGGCAGGGAACACCACACACCGGGGCCTATCGGGGGGTGGGGGGCTGGGGGAGGGATAGCATTAGGAGAAATACCTAATGTAAATGAGGAGTTGAGGGGTGCAGCACACCAACATGGCACATGTATACCTATGTATCAAACCTGCACATTGTGCACATGTACCCTAGAACTTAAAGTTAAAAAAAAATGGATGAAACACAGCCCTTGTCTTTAGGAATTCATAAACTCTAGGGAAATAACAGGTGTTTGCCCAGGTCCTCATAGTGGAATGCTAACTGAATGGATGAATGGGTCTAATGCACAGCCTGGTCTTTCAGGCTAACAGTTTTTCAAAGTTATTGTGCCACTGAGACTTTTGAGAGTGAATGAGGTTGCTAACTAGATAAGGTACTGAAGTAACAGAAATAAACTGGCACTGTCCCAGGAAAACTGGACAAAATAGTTACCCCATTCATGGAAGTCCTATCAATCCATACACCATGGGCATTCCCTCCAGGGCCCACCCTCTGAAAAAGGTGGACATGATTTGAGGCTTGTGGGACTTTCTTGCAAACATATGTGCTCCATAAAGCTGAGAAGCTGCAGATGTCCTTGCAATAAAAATCCATAAACTAACACCTTTTCCTCAGCAACTGAGAGGTTCTGGACACCTACTCACTGCTTAAGCTCTTCTTTTATCATTTATGAGCATTTCCCAAACATCTCCTTCTCAAGCCTTCACAGAAGTCGGTTGAATCTGAAACTCTTAGCAGGTCCCTGAACCACACAGCTAAAAAATTACATGCCATGCACATCTGCAGTGAGGAACGTGAGGCTTTCTAGGGGAGATTTATTGCCTCCCTTCCCTCCACCTCTTGGAAGGTTTCTGGATGCTGTTCCTTGTGTATAGCATGTGCCTCCGGCTTATCACTACAGTAAGTATAAAAGCAATTAATTTTTCCCCCTTTTGGAAAGTGGAAGTTTTAACCGCACTTGAATACCATTTGCATTTCTGATTTCTATCAAGTTCACACTTCCAGCAAAGAGAGTCCTGCTGATATAATTTTTTTATTGCATATTCTCTAGTAGGAAGCTGCTTCTTTTGCCTCTAAAGCAGAAAACATGTACACATTGGGAGGTGCTCAGCTCTTGACCTCTTCTTCAGGTTAAATCACCTTATTGGTATTAGGGAGGCGAGGACAGGTGGGGAAACTTGGAGCAGGGCCCTTCTGCATTTTTATATAGATGCTCACATATGCTGAGCTTGTGAAAATTAGTTGCCCGATTTGAGTGAGGTGGGCAGGTTTCAAAAGCCATCTCTTTGTACCTGGTTGTAATTTGCTCATACATTCAGAGAAATTTTATTAAGACATACCAGATTTATTTCTTGGTTTTTTTCACTGGTTTATATCCTTTTACACTGTTCTGCTTCTACATCATTATTTAGACCTACAGAATATTTAGGTTATGAGGGGCCCAAGGAACCATGTGATCTGCTGATCTTCTCATGTTATAAGTGAGGAGACTATGGTAGGTCGAATAAATGGTCCTGATGCTTCTTCACCCCAACCTGCAGTCGCATCATGGTCATGGCATATCATGGGTGGAGCATACTTTCTACCTCTTGATTTGGGGCCAACTGACTTGCTTTGGCCAGTGGAGTGGGACTTATGCTAGTTCTAAGCCTAGGCCTTAACAGGTCTCACATATTTCCACTTCCTCCTGATACCTCTGCTGTTGCAGAGAACATGCCTGTTGTCTTAGTCCATTTGTACTGCTATAACAGAATACCTCAGAAATTTATTTATTTCATAGTTCTGGAGGCTGGAAGTCCAAGATCAAGGCACTGACACCTGGGTGAGGGCCTTCTTGCTGCTTCTTCATGTGGCAGAAGGTGGGAGGGCAAGACAGATGAACTCTGTGCCCTCACATGGCAGAAGAGCAGAAGAGAGTGAACCCACTCCTACAAGCATTATCAGCATTAATTCATTCATGAGAGCAGAGCCTTCATAATCTAAACACCTTCCAAGAGGCCCCACCTCCCAACACTGTTGCATTGGAGATTAAATTTCAAACATATGAATTTTGGAGGAGACAAAACCATTCAAACCATAACAGCTGTCTAGCCCACTAGCATGTGGAGCAGAGTTAGCCCATCCAAGCCCCAGTCCTGTGATATGAAGCAGAACCACTACAGTCTGAAGCATTGCTGCTAAGCTGAGCCCAGACTAGATTGGCCAAACCCCAGCCGACCCGCAGATCTGTGATACTAATTGTTATTGTTGTATGCTACTAAGACTGTGGGTATTTTTACATGCAATAGCTAACCAATACAGACACTGAAGTTCAGAGGGGAAAGGTGGCCCTGTCATCGTCACACAGCTGGCTTGTGTCAAAGGCAAGATTAGAACCCATGCCCTCTGCTCTTAGCCCTGTAGGAGTTACCCCAGGATTTTCACACACATGTGAAAGATGCTGTTTGGTCGTAGGTCTTGCAGCTTTTGGAAAATGTAGTTTGTAACAAATCGTTGAGAGAAAACAGATGAAACTTTACATGGCTCCAGGGATTAATAATGTAACAGGGATTGTTCCACTTCTGGTTTGAAGTGAATCTGAACTGGCTGTTCCACCCTGTCTCCTCCTCGTCTCTGACAGCTGTGGAGCTCCCCAGGAGGAAGGGTTTAATGGCTTGGGAGCTGCTCCAAATAGCATCTGCAAGAACCAGATCTTGAGCAGCCCTGGAGACCAACAATGACTGGAGCTGAGATTTGGCCCTTTTCTAGACAAGCAGGAAGCCCAAGCCCCAACCTCAGCACTCCCAGACCCAGGCCAGCCTATGTGAGAAACACAAGGAAGACCCTAGAAAGATAAGCTGTCCCCACATCCCAACTCTTTCCCTACAAATGTTGAAATCCCATGTTTAGAACTTTATTTCCTTATGCTCATTAGCCCTGAGATGCTAGTATGTGATGGCATGCACTTAGAGAAGAAGTCACACTTGCTCTTATATTAGCCATTTATACCTCCCTGCAAATAATGATCCCACCCCATTTTCCAGGAGTTACCACCTACTGACCTGTCTCACCTTGGCCTGCAGAGAAGAAATACCTGTCATAATTAGAGTGGCTGGCAGAACTTCTGTGTATTACATTTTCTTACCAGTGGCTGCATAGCTGCTTGCTTCCTGGCATAACTCTGGAGCTTTTATCATACTAAAGGACTCTTTCTTTTCACCATCTTTAAAGCACTCTGTCTTGATATGGGCTTTGGCTCCAGATGGAGGGTGGGTATGAGAAATGGGGAAAAGAAAATCTCAGGATTCCATATAATTATATGTCTGATATTCTATCAATATCTTCCTCCATTCTATGTTATAAGTTCAAGGAAGGGAGAGATTACATCTCTCTCATTCTCTCATATACCTAGTTCATATCACAGTACCAGGCACATAAGGAGCATCAGTAAATATTATACAAGTGAATGAATGAATGCTTGAACAAATGAACACAGCTGTTCTGGTGATAACCCACAGATGACATCTTTGCACACCCAGCCTGCCACAGTTCAGCATGTCAGACCTGGGCCTGTGGGCCCTTTGGCATCTGGTTGAGGCCCCTCTGCTGCTCCCTATGGCACCATGCCACACTAAGCTTGTCTCAACACATCAGTCACTGCTGAGCTGACATCTCTATCAAACAGGCCTCTCATGACTAGAAGATACAGGGAAGAGGATGGAAACTGTGGCAGCCAGGGCAAGTGATCAAACTCTGCTGCCCAGTCCCAACCCTGAATCCGCTGCCAGGAGATGGTGAGCTGGCAGCATCTGCTGCTGTCTGGGACCAAGGCTGTTCATCTAGTGCCTGGTGCCAGCTGGGCAGCAGAGCAAAGTCACCATGCATAGAGGAGTCCAGACTGGCAGGTGCCACCAACTGCCTATGAAAAGGAGGAGAGTCTGACAGGAAGTGTCTGATGAGGTGTTCATGTGGCCTTTATCCTCACTCACTGCCATGAGAGGTTATCCTCACTCATGCCTGAGTTCAGTTCAGAGGGAGCAAGAGAAAAAAAAAAATCCTGTTTTCCCCTGCGTGCTTCTAATTTCTCTAGTCCACGTATACTGCTTAAGTGTGGGTTACCCTGAAAGCAGACTCTAAGATAAGGAATGGGTTCAGGCAGTTTATTTGGGAGATGATCCCACAAAGCATGGATGAGGGAGCAGGGAAGGGAGGAAAGCCAGTTTAGTGTGTGCTAATGAGCTGTGGATGCTTGCTGGAGATCGGTCCTGCTGAGAACCCTCTGAGAAACCAGGTGGAGTACACCTCAGGGAATGGGAGGCTGGGTATTTATCCAACAACTTCCTGCACCCCATTGCTTGAGGATTGACCTCTGGGACATTAACTCCCTTACATTTCCAAAGTCGTGCCTGTGCTGAGCTAAGAAGACTCCCAGGGTGCTGGAACAAATCATCAGGCAGAGAAGCTGAGAGGTACAGGTCCTTGCAGAGGGAGAGCTGTAGTGTGCTCTAGAATTGTCCACCTCAACTGCAATGAAGTCAGGTAGGTCTAGACAGTATGGGTGGGCTATCACCAGGGTCTGCATATTTTGCTTACAAATGTTCTAGAGCTAGAAAACATGGGTCCCAGGCCTCTTCCATGTAGCTGAGAGGTCTTAGCCAAGTAAGCTCCCCCTCAGCCTTGACTATTCCATCCAGAAATACATATATATTAGATTTTGTCCATCTAACTTTGAGGGACTGTTATGGGAACCAAATTAAATCAGAGAATCAAATATGAATTATTTCATTAACATAAAATCCTCTTCCTTTAATTAACTTACCCAAAAAGCTATATTGTTCACCTGTCAGTAGGTTAAATATGAAGAGTTTCCAAGGATACGAGTTGTCAAAGATACTTTAAGAAACTGAGGGTAAAATTCAGTTTCAGATAAGAATGTGTCAATGAGTCAATCTGCAGTGGGTTCCAGATATTTCTCTATATACATTTGGCCACATGGAAAGGAAGACTGTCATTACCTCATTCAAAGAATTCTTCCCAGATTTGGCTGGCCCTGCTTCAGCTTGAGTTATTATCCTCCCCTTCATGCAATCTCCTTCCCCACAAATTCTCCTGTTTCTCAGGGTGATGCTAAGAACTTCTCTGCCTCCTCGGTTCCCCGTTATATTAGTTGAGGCAATGCTGACAGCTATAACTTATGAACATCCACAAACTCAAGGGCTTATGACAACAAAAATTGTTTTACTATCACTCACATGACAATCCAGCCTGGGTGATCCTAGTTGGGCAGAACCCCTCCATACAATGATCCAAGAACCCAAGCACTTTCCATCTTGTGGCTTTGCCATCTTCAACACAAGGCTCTCAAAGTTGCCATCTTCCATACAAGGCTCTCAAAGTTGCTTTGAAGTTGTTCTCTATTTGCAGCCAATTGGAGAGGGAAAAAAAACGGAAGATGGAATGGAAGGTTTTCAACAATCCAAGTCTGGAAGTATTGCACGTCACCACTTGCACCCATGTTCTTTCGGCCTGAACTCAGTTAACATGGCCAAAACTAACCACAAGAGAAGCTGAGAATTATGGTCTACCCGAGTGCCCAGAAAGAAGAGAAAATGGCTTCAGTGGTCAGATAACAATTGCCAACATAGCTTTGATATTTATCTGATCAAAAAAGAGCTAGATCAGGTGGGAGTTCAGCAGACCAGGAGTCATTGCCAGGAAGCAAGTCAAGTCCAGGGAAGTCAGATGAGGCAAGTGATGAGAGCCAAGCAGAGATCATGGTTGAAGAAGCCAGCACTGTAGCTTTATCTTACTCATTGGTGCCTATATACCCACCAACTTACCACCCAGAAATGCTTAATTTTCCTCAAAACACTATAAACTTCCAGGTCTTTGCTCTTATTTCTTCTCCTGACTGGAGCCTCTTTCAACTTCATCTAGCTGATCAATCATATGATAGCTCCAAGGAACCATATTAATGCACTTACTTCTGGCATTAATGCCCTTCTGTAATCTCCCCTTGAATCTGGGCCGGTCTCCTACGATTACCTTTAAGTGACACTTGAATAGCTACAGGCCTAATATTTAAGAAGACTTGGCAGCTTTTGTTTTTCTGTTCTTGGGAGCCTGATTCACTGTCTAAGAAATCCAGCTGACTCTGTAAGAGAAAACACGTGAAAAAAACTATGTGGACAGAGGCCCAAGACTACTTGGAGAGAAAGAAAATCTCAGCTGAATTCAGCCATCAGCCAAACTGCCTGCTGAATTCAATCATAAAAGTGATTACCAGCAAAGCTAGCAGAAGAGTCACCTAGCTGATCCCAGCCCAGATTGCAGAATCACGAGCAAAATAAAACGTTGTTTGAAGATAAGTACTGGAGTGGTTTTAGGCAGCACTGGATACCTGCTGGATACCTGGTTCAATGTCTATCAAGTTTCATGCCAGCCTCTGCCTCTTCTTAGATGCATTTTCCTTATTTCTCTCTCTACTTTCTCTAACACTTCCCTCTTAGCATGGTTAAGAATCTGACTTTTTAGATGCACTTCCACAGAATCCTACACACATATCTCTTCTACCGTTTCTCACTCAGTATCATATAATTTACTTTCTTGTCCCTCTACCTTTAAGGGCTGTGCACTTTTTGAAAACTGGAACCAAATCTTATTCCTTTCTGTGTTGTTTGTGCCTAATACAGTGTCTTCTCAGACAAGTAGGTGCTCAAAAGTGATTCTTAAATAATAAATCACTGTTTCTTAATTTGTTCATGAACTTGAATATAAGTGGTGTCTAAGAGAAAGAGAGACCAAGGGAATAAGAAGGTGTGCCTTCAACCCAAAAATTCATAAAGGAAATTCAGAACAGGTCCGTGTGAGAGAATTGTGCTGGATAACTGGATTCACTTTTCTCAAACTCCAGTTGAACCACTTTCTATTTGGGTATATTGGAAAGCTAAAAACTACATATTGGGAGAAAAGCGAATCCTTACACACTGTTGGTGGAAATGTAAATTAGTACAGTATTATGGAAAACAGTATGGAGGTTCCTCAAAAAATTAAAACTATAATTGCCATATGATCCAGCAATCCCACTGCTGGGTATATATCCAAAGGAAATGAAATCAGTATATCAAAGAGATGTCTGCATTTCCATGTTCATTGCAGTGCTATTCACAATAGCCATATATGGAATCAGCCCAAGTGTCCAACAACAGATGAATGGATAAAGGAAATGTGGTATATATTCACAATGGAATACTATTCAGTCATAAAAAAAGAATAAAATTGTCATTTTCGACAATGTGAATGGATGAACCTGGAAGCCATATGTTAAGTGAAATAAACCAGGCACAGAAAAACAATACATGATCTCACTTATACGAACAATCTTAAAATTTTTTGATCTCGTAGAAACAGTGAATAGAACAGTGGTTACCGGAGATTGAAGAGTATGGGGGAAGAGGGGATAAGAAGAGGCTGATCAATGGGTAAAAAGATGCATCTAGAAAGAAAGAACAAGTGCTAGTGTCCTATTATACAGTAGGGTGACTATAGTCAACAATAAGGTATTGTATATCTCAAAATAGGTAGAAGAGCAGTTTTATATGTTTCCACCACAAAGAAATGATAAATGTTTGAGGTAATGGATATGCTAATTGTTCTGATTTGCTCATTACAAGATGCATACATTTATCAAAACATCACACAATACCGCATAAATTTGTACAATTATTATGTGTCAATTAAAAATGTAAAACAAAATAAACCATATTTTGAACATTACTTTAGAACTAGAGTTCTGCCCATTTGATATAATTCTGAGAGATTTGGAAGGTGAAAGGGAGGTGTAGGTCATCTTTCCAAGGCAATTCAGGTGGCCAAGTAGGCTCTGGCCACATGAATCCTGTCAGTAACTGGACACCATAGTCTGCTGTGTGGTCAGCAGCTTTATGGATGCAGGTGGCTGTGGAGGCAGTGAGAGTAAGTTTCCTGACATCTGGGTTATAGCTGTATGGAAAAAGTGCTGCAAGGGCATGGGACACTGGAAAATACCATTGGCTTTGGTCCAATGATTGCTGACAGGCCTGGTGGTCAAGAGCAAGAGAAGATTCCAATAATTGGGAGACATTATTTCCTCATGTGCCAAGGATACCTAATCAGAGGATGTCTCTGGGAGCTTCCTGAGAACAGGGACCACATGGCTGAAATCCAACATTTCGATTCAACATACCATCTGGAGGAGCTGGGCAGCATGAATACAAGATCAGCATCGGGGGCAGGGAGATTCTGTATCTTGTCTAGAGTCTGTGAAAAGAATCCAAGCTAAAACTCAAAAGATGGGGTACTGTGGGGTGAGTCTCAACACCATACAGTCAACCACATTTTATAACATGGTGTTGATAAGGCTCTGAGTGAGGCAATGTTGATTTGTCAATGATGTATATTTTCCCAGAGGCCAGAACATAAATTAAAATTTACTCTACTTTCCTGACAAAAGAAAATTTTAAAACACCGAACCCTTCCTGCAAGGGACATCTCTATGTAAATGATGGAAACAAGATCGCATAATGGTTTGGAGCAAGGACTTTCACATCAAGAAGACCCGGGTTTGAGTCTCAACTCTATCACTTTCCAGTTGTTTAATGTAAAATGAGTTAATTATCCTCACTGAGGCCCTATTTTTTAGTTTGAAAACCCTCATATGTTGCTGTGATGATTAAATTAAATGTTGCCTTTGAAAGCACATAACACAATGCCTGGCAAACAGTAAGTGCTTAAAAAATGATGGCCACTAACCCAGTGGATTGTGAGAAATAATCAAAAGCCAGTCTAGGGTAATTTACTCACATGGAATCTATTGTTAGCATTTGAAAATTCTTTGAATGATAAAAAAGAGACATAAAATTAAGATATTATTTATAAATATATTTATATTCATAATATAATACTAAATAGAAAAAAATGACATTTTCTGTAACTGACAATGATAAAATATTCATTTTAATATTTAATTATTAAAGGTTTACAATATGCCAAGTGTTGTGAAGCACCTTATATGCACTAAATTATTTAATATTCTGAAAAATCCTATAAGTTAGATACTATTATTACTCTCATCTTACAGATGAGGAAACTCAGGGCACAGAAAGACTAAGGAACTTACCCAAGGTCACACAGCTAGTAGGGTGCTGAGTTCAAATTTATCCCCAGCTGCTCTAACTAATCAGCAATTAACCACTACCATAAAATGCCTCTCATTTGCAGAATATTTTAGGAGAGTTGCAAGATCAGAACTTATTTGTAAGCAGGAATTGTTCTGTTATTAAAAAACTTACAACAGAGACTAGAAAAAGAAATATATTGCTCATGTGAGTAAATATTTACATACACCAAAATATTTATGTTCATATATGTGAGTACTGCTTTCCACAGGGGGAGAGGAAAACGTGTAAATATTTACTCACTGGAAATAGCTGACAAGTAGTTAGGAAATAAGAATATTTATACTGTACATTGGTTTTGTGCTGTCAAATTGTTTCATCTGGAGTCTATGCACTAATTCCCAAATTGGACATGCAATACAAGAATCCTGAAATTGTAAATTCAGAGCTCCATTTGGAGTTACCTAACTTGGTTGTGAGACTAATTTCAAAACAAAGTTAATTCTGATTTTTCTAAATCATATTTTCTAAAAATGTACACTGCTTTTTAAGATGTCCTGATTCTTTCTAGGAGAAATTATCCTTAGGCTAAAAATCAAAGGCCCTGTCTTTATGCCCTGAGCCCCATGCTGTGGGTTCTTGCTAGGAGACATACTCTGGGGACCACTCCTGGGCCAATAGTTAGAAGTGGTTGGGAAGCAGGTCAAATAGTTAATAGGCCAGACAATGGCCCAGATTGCTAGTGACTCCCAGACAGCCAAAGATAGAAAAATTTTCAAATAAAAAAATTACATAAGTAGTTGGGATTTTGAGAGATATTATAATGAAATAGAATTCAAATAAATGAATAAATATATATTATGGACCTAGTGTACTGGCTTTGGACTGACACTTTCACATGCCACTGTGTTTAGTCCTTACTGCAGCAGATAACTTTTGTATCAGTTGGATAACCTTTAACTGCAAATAACAAAAAATCTCAGTGCAACTGATTCAAACAAAGGATTTACTCCCTCATGTAATAAGGAGGTCTAAAATGTGGATGCTCTAGGATTGGTTAATTCAGTGATTCACCTCAGTCATCTAGGTCTTATGCTCTTTCTATCTTTCCCTCTGCATTCTTGGTATATTATTTTGTCCTTGGCAAAATCGCCTCATGGTCGCAAGACGGCTGCTGGAGTTCTGGAATTCATTTGCAGATATTATAAGGTGTAATAGAAAAAGTAGAGTTTTTATCTCAATACATCTCTCTTTATCATCCAAATCTTTCCCAGAAGGCTTCCAAAGCCTTCCCCTCCCAGAGCACTGGCCAGAATTAAATTACACACCCATGAGTAACCAATCACTACCAAAGGGAGTGGGACCATCATACTTAACTTAGGCGAATCATTTCTTGTAAATTTGAGAATTAGGGCATAGACTCCAGTTCTCTGGCTCGTGAGGCCAAGACTACAGCCTGCTTCCTTTGAAGCATGTGGCCTCACTGAACAAGGAGGATTCCTGAATGACATTGAGGTTTTGTAAAAAAGGATAAAGAAGGTAAAAAGTTACCGGGTAGGCAACAGGGTCCACTGCATCCCATTTGAAACGTGGGGAAAACGAAGCTCAGAGAGGTTGTGACGTGCATTTAATAAATGCTACAGCTGCAATCCAAATCCAGAGTCTTTTTCTGTCAATACCATGGCTGCCTTAAGTATCTCCAACTGCTGTTGCTTTTATGTTACTGGAACAGTTGGGTGCGTGGGCACAACTGATGTTTTCCACTGAGCTCCCTTCTCTATTTCCTGTCTAGACGATTGTGAAAGGGCTGCTTGTGTGAATTTAATTCACTCATAGGCATTACCCACCTGCCACGGGCTACAAACCTCATTCCTCCCTCCTTCTCCAGCAATATTGTCAAGAGGCCACACTTTCCCTAGCTTGGAGATCTGCCCAGAGGAGCATCTCTGGACCTAGGCGGGAGGAGTGAAAAGCCAGGGAAAGGACTATGGCTCCTTGGCCAGCACTATTTTTGCTGCAGGTGCCTGAGCTTGTCCCACACTCTGTCTCCACCATGCTTAGATTCTGGCTTCCCAGTGCTCAGTTCCTCCAGCTTGGGTTGTATATTGCCTGTCATCCAGCTCCCTGCCCCTCTGGCCCCTGCAAAATATATGCTCCTCTTTCCTTATGATGATGTCTTCAGTATCTCTGCATTTCTGGAGCCTTCCCTGTCTCTTTGACATAGACCAGGGTGCTCCTCTTTTCAGTTTCCTTTGCCTTTAGAACATTCCTCCCCTCCCACTTAGGGTATTGTCTTATATCAGGTTGTCATATATTAGTTTGTTTCCACATTATATTGTATTTCCTGGGGATGAATCTACATCTCTTCATCTTGGCTCAGTCGGCCCCAGTGAAGATCAAAATATCTTTAGCATAGTGGCAACCATCTTCCTTGCAAGGTCTATACACATAAGTTTTTACACAGTTTTTGTGAGACTTTTAATAAGTTTTTGTTTATTAGCTAATGAAGGAAGAAGGAGATTTATTCATGTTTGTTTGCTTTGTTTATGTGTTTGGTTTGTTTGCTTGTTTGTTCATTTTTAATGCTAAAACAGTAGGAGAAGAGAGAGAAGAGAGATAAGAGAGTAGAGAAGGGGCACCATGGCAGAGGCCACTGGTCACCTGCTTAAATACCCTAAATATTTTCCCCTTCTTTCTTATTAATGGAACCTTCATTTTGTTCATGGTGGCCCAACTAGAAGTCTATATTTTGCAGCTACCTTCAGCTAAAGGTAGCTACATGCTACAGCTCTGGCCACTGAAATATAAGTAGAAGTTAGTATATGGGCTTTCAAGAAAGCTTGCATGGTAGAATCTTTTGTGCACGACCCAGATCTCTCTTGTTGATCCGAAAAGGTCTCCGTGATAAATCTCCCACATGCTAATGTCCATCTAAGAGTCTGAATTCTGGGCAGCCCAGCCCATGACAGCTCCTTAAAAAGGGAGACTCAGCCAATTGATATTTTTTGATCTTTGACCTTCTTTTTCCTACCTTGTACAAAACATTATAAAGAGGGCAGAGAGCCATCTTGTGACCGTGAAACAACAAGCATAAAGTTGAAAGCCACCCATTCAGGACAGCCAAATGAAAGCATGAAGAATCCCCCTGTCTTGGTGGCATTGTAGAACCATGGTACAGTCCTAGACTGACTGACTACCCCTGAATTTCGCGGTCTGTGAAAAATAGAAGCAAATCACAATTTGACTAAGCCACTGTTATATGCAATAAAACCTATTTCTACCTGAAACAGCTACCAATAGCACCTGAAGGACAGTTTTGAGCCCTTGTTAAAGAGAGAGTCACTCGCTTAGTAGTCAACAAACAGTCAATATGTCTCTTCTATTATCTTCAGCTCTGTGCCAAGCATTGGGGAAATAGCATTAAACAAGACAGGCAAGGTCCCTGCTCTCATAGAGTTTACATTTGCATAAAGAGAGACAGAGAAATATGTAAACAAAATGAATAGACAAGGTAATTGCAGAAAGTGATACAGGCTATGAAGGAAATAATCACTGTTTTTTGCTAATGTATAACTTGGGTGGGGGTAAGGGTCTGCTTTTAAAAAGGTGGTCAGAGAAAGGCTATCTGAGAAAGCAAAGGCGACATGATCTTTAAAGACTGAGTAGAAGGGAGAGGTGTGAAGATAGGGGAAGAGAACAGAAAGGCACTGGGGAGGGTGGACCAGTGTCTGAAGAACAGATAGGAGCAAGGTGTGCCTCAGTCTTGGTGAGCACAAGGAAGTACACAGGCGTAGATCACATAGGGCATTGCAGAGCAAGGCAGTGTGCTCAAATTCCAGTACTATTATAATGGTGCACCGCTGAAGCAACAGCCTGCGGGATGTTCCATTTTGGCTGCTGTGAAGAATCGGCTATAGTGGTGGCAAGAGTAGCAGTGGAGAGGCCATTTAGGAAAACAGGTGAGGGAGGATGGAGGTTTGGAATAAGACTGTAGCAGTGGAAATGGAAAGAAGTAGATGGATTTGAGATTTTGGAGGTAAGTCCAAAAGGACTTACTTCTGGACTGGATGTAGGGAATGGGGCAAAAGATTAAAAAATGATTTCTAGATTTTTGGCTTTAGCATCTGGAAGAAAGTGAGGCCATTTACCAAGATGACAAAAATTTAAAGGGAATACATATGTGATGAGGACAATTAAGAATTAAGAATTCCATTTTTTTTCTATGCTAAGTTTGAGATGTCTGTTAGAAATTAAAGAAGAGATGTTAACTGATATTGGGGTGGTGAAAATGTGTCACTTAGATCTCTTGCTGCATGAAGCAAAGTTGATTGATGGTCCCACCTTCTACATTGCACACTGAGGCCACATTTGCCACAGGCTGCTCCCAGGCAGTGACTGAAGACACCAGGGATACTAAAGCAGGTCCACTCCTGCAGGACATGGGGACTCCTCTGACAGGCAACCTTGGCTCAAGGACTCTTCATCAGCCTGGCTGGACATTTTCTGGAATTCTGCTACAGTCCAAGACTTTTTCTACCCAAGTCCCCTTCCTTCACTCTCCTTCCACAGGTGTCAGACCTGCATTGCTCTCTGGAGGCTCCACCTGCTCTAGCTCCCTACCTGCTGTTTTACTTGACAGGATTTTCCTCCAATAAATCTCTTGCACTTGTAATCCAGTCTGTTTTTTGGAGGACCCAAATGAACAAAACTAAGCAGGTTATCTATAAGCTTGGAGGGGTCTGTGCTGGAAATGTAAATCTGGAATATAGATGCTTCAGTATTCAAAGTCATGAGACTGTATGCGATCACCTAGGAGTGTAGGTATAGATAAAGAAAAGATGACTGTGAGACTAAACCTTGGAGTTATCTTTGTAGAAGTTGAGTAGAAGACAAAGAGCAAAATTTGTGTCATGAAAAATGAGGTATGGAAGTATTTTAAGAAGCAGGGAGGGCCAGGCATGGTGGCTGGTGCCTGTAATCCAAGCTACTTGGGAGGCTGAGGCAGGAAGATCGCTTGAGGCCAAGAGTTCAATACCAGCCTGGGAAACAGTGAGACCCTGTCTTTACAAAAAACAAAAACAAAATTAATTAGCCAGGTGTGGTGATTTGCACCAGTAGTCCCCGCTACTTGGGAGACTGAGGTGGGAGGATTGCTGGAACCCAGGAGATTGAGCTGGCTGCTGTGACCTGTGATTGTGCCACCATACCCCAGCTTGGGTGACAGAGCAAGACCCTGTCTCAAAAAAATTTTAAATTTAAAAGAGAAGAAGAAGCAGGGAGGGCCAACTGTGTCAATTGCTTCTGCGAGAACCAGCACAATGAGGGATAAGGAGAGTGTCCATTGGATTTGGTAACTTGGTAACTTGGAAATCAGAGCATGTAAATTTGTTGGGTTAGTGTTGAAAATATGGAGGCTTCATGTCATTATTTCCACTTTGTTAACAAAGAATGACATGAGAGCATAAGCTTTTGAGTAAGGAGTTGGGGAAATGTACGTTTGAAGAAAGAGAAGAAAGTGTGAAGTAGGTTTATCAGAGGGCAAATTTAACAAGCTTCCTAAGAAGGCTTGCCATGTGGTTAGAATGCTATTTCGAGGTTTGTGGTTATATATTTAAAGTGCAATCAGTTAGACCATTTGGGTAAAGGTCAACATGGAAAAGGCTGATTTCATTATAAAAGCATGTGAGACAGAGACAAGTGGAACTTTCCAGGACCCAAGGGATAAAAAGCCACCCAAGTTTGGAGAGGAAGTCATTCTTTCCCCATATCTTTTCACTCTAGATCTCAATGCAACTTTGGCACTCTAGCACTTCAGGGTTGGCACTGCCGGAAAGAACTGATGTGTGGTGGAACTGTGAGTATGACCATAGTCCCCAGGGGAACCACATCTTCTCAGCAGCGTTGGAGCAGGGTCCATGAAGAAGAGTCATCTCCTGAATGGTTGACTGGTTGTGGTTCTCCTCTAAGATGCCAAAGTTACAAAACCTGAGTGGACTTCTTCTCACAGTCAAAGCTTTCTCTGAGCAGTCTCAGAAAAACCTGGAGGAAACTTTATCATCCTGTAGCCTTTTCGGTAGAAACAACATGCTGTTGCAACTTAAATACTATGATGGTTAATTGTATGTGTCAACTTGGCTGGATCACAGTGCCCAGATATTTGGTCAAACATTATTCTGGTTGCTTCTGTGAGGGTGTTTTTGGATGAGATTAACATTTGAATGGGTGGGCTTTGAATAAAGCAGATGACCCTCCCTCATATGGGTGGGCCTTATCCAATCAGCTGATGGTTTGAATAGAGCAAAAATCTGACCTTCTCTGACCAAGAGGGAATTCTGTCAGAACACTAGCTTTTTCCTGGGCCTTCAGCCTCTGCTAACCTATCCTGCAGATTTTGGACTTTCCAGCTTCCATAATTGTGTGAGCTAATGCCTTAAAATAAATCTCTCTCTATCTCTGTCTCTGTATCTCTGTCTCCCTCTCTCCCCCCGCCAACACACACCCACCCACACCCACACACATCCCATTGATTCTGGTTCTCTAGAGAACCCTAACACAGATATAAATTCTAGTATGACTTATGTCTTGTCCAATAGTACTGCTATAAAAGGAATACCCGAGGCTGGGCAATGTATAAAGAAAATAAGTTTATTTGGCTCACAGTTATTCATGCTGTACAAGAAACATGGCACCAGCATGTGTTTCTGGTGAGGGCTTCAGGAAGCTTCCACTAATGGCAGAAGGCAAAGGGGAGCTGGTGTGTGCAGATCAATTGTGAGAGAGGAGGCAAGAGAGAGAGAGAGGAGGAGGAGGAATCAGGCTTTTTTTTTTTTTTTTTTTTTTTTTTTTTTAACAATCAGCTCTCACAGGAACTAGAACAAGAACTCACTCATTACCATGAGGGATCTGTCCCTGTGACCCAAACACCTCTCACCAGGTCCCACCTCCAACATTGGGGATCACATTTCAACATAAGTTTTAGAAGGTCAAATAACCAAACCATAGCACCTCATTTGCCCTCAAAGCCTGTGGAGGTCTAAATACTAAAGTTACATTTTTTATATCCAGAACCTGAAGCATTATCACATAAAAGTAGTCTAATTAGTGTTTGTTGAATAGATGAACAGATAGATGGATGAATAAGTAAGCAGAAGGAAGGAAGAGTAGATGGATGGATGGATGGATGGATGGATGGATGGATGGATGGATGGATAACTGAATAGATAATTGGATGATACCGTGGTGGAAAGAGCACTGAGCTTGGAGTCAGATGTTTTGCATTTAATTCCCAATATTGCCGCTTCTTAGTTTTGTGACCTTGAATATTTCTTTATTATTGAAATGGGAATAATAATAAATAACAATACTTGACTTATCAATCCCATAGGAACCTTGTGGCAATTAAGTTATTTGGAATGAAATGCCCCCAAAAGCTAATGCTACCCTAGATTGCATTCATAAACATACAGTACTCATATCAAAGCTCCAATAGTCCCACAGTGCTCTGCAGCATTGAGACAAGTTGAAGTATCTATTGTATGTCTTGAGAACTGATGTTGTTTTAGAAACTATGAAGCACTCCATACCTCCAAAGCACTTTTATTATCACCTTTATTTTTTCACAGTCTCTGATCCCATTTTTTAATTCTTTCTTTACATTTCTGAAAATTTGAGGACTTTCCTTGCTACCTGCCTTCCTGCTGAAGAAGCTAGACTTTTTGGACCAAATCTGTGGTACGCTTGGCTTTTTATTATTCTTAATAAAAAGAGGAGTTTATTGGTTTACATATATCAGAAATATAAAGCTTTGCTTGTAGCTAAGAGTTCAGATTCCAACTCTGTCTCCTTTTCTCCATCTCATTTTGCTTTCCTTGGCATTAGCTTCATTCTCAGGCATTCTTTTTCCATGTGGAAAGATAGTGTGCTGGCCTTCTGTCGCCTGCAGTGTTCTTTGAGTCTAGCTCTATTTCTGATCCAACTCTCTTTTCTTAAGATACTCCCTCACCCCAAAACAAACATATGTATATTCAGCCAATCTCGTCTTCTTGCTTCATCTTCTGATTGGGACTCAGACCAGCATCCAGCAGAACTAATAGAATTTCTTCTACCAAACT
The DNA here is from genome assembly GCF_000001405.40 of Homo sapiens. Taxonomy (NCBI): domain Eukaryota; kingdom Metazoa; phylum Chordata; class Mammalia; order Primates; family Hominidae; genus Homo; species Homo sapiens. Next base: position 39,333,783 of record NC_000023.11, read on the forward strand.
GCCTTGGGATAAAGAATGCAGTTAACTCACTGGGACTCCAGATTGGTTGGCTGCAGAAAGCTCTATGATTTAAAAAAGAATCATGATGTATTGAATTCTCGACTTTCTGAAAAAAAAAATACTCCTAGGCTGTCAGGGGGCAGAAATACACTGGGGACACTGGGTTCCATTTTCAAAACTCAGCTGTGTTTTGCATCGAGACAATTCAGTCCAAAAGGCTCTCTGAAGCTACTCTGAAAGTGAGAAGCCTCAATAGCCATTGAAATGGGCTAAACGCGTCTGATTTAATTAAATCATAGAGCAGTCCCACTCCAGAGCAATATAATTATATTTGTCCATTTATATAACTGTCGACTGCTTTCCTTCTGTCCAGAAAAATGGGATTGGGCCTCTTGTAATATCAGCTTCTCTAGACTATGCATACATACAGACATCCTAGAAAAGAAGGACCATGTCTTCACATAGCACTGTGCCTGTAGCAGAGCTCAGTAAAGAGTCCTCCAGCATTTGACTATCTGATTCTTAGCCATTGATCTTGTCCTATGAAAACAAGAATTCAAAGGGCCTCAGAAATGGATTTCCATACACTAGTATATGACAGTTCCTAAATTAAAGTTTTTTGCTTTACTTCCATAGAACAGCGTATCCAGATTTTTATTCAGGGTCATAAGTGAAGCATAGCATTGGCAAACAGGTCCCTCACCCAGAAAGTCAGGGTGGGCTTGAACAACAGGCAGGAAGCTGGGATGCCATCCCAGTTTCTGTTCTAAGTGTTTCTGCCCTGGCCCCCTGAAACTAGAACACCACCAGCTGAAACCTTCGTTTTGGCTCTTTGTATCGGCAAAGAACTCTAACACATTTTTCTATTCAGAATCAGAGCCATCTAGTTCTGTGTTTCCCAACACAAACTCTACTAAGAAAAGGTAAGCTCTTCAAATTCTCCACCATGGATCAATTAAAAATGATATAGATGTAATATATATTTATTACATTATTTAATAAACAAGAGAAACCAGTTGAAACTCTTTTTATTCATTTATTTTATCACTAAAATAAAATATTAGTTCACATTAAAGATATTTTATTTAAAGATGAATTTTATTCATCTTTTAAGATTCAGATTTGAAGAAGTAAGGGTTTTCAGTCACAGAAAAAAAATACAGTCTGGAAAATTTGTCCTGGACTAATGCCCTATTGAATGTCGGGCTTTGATTCAATTTCAAACCTTTGTGTTTCTTCTACAGAAAGAGAGAACTGATGCCTGAGATCACAGACCTGAGACCAAAACTTTGCTATCTAGACACCAGTCCCATGAGCTTTCTGCCGTCCTAGGCTCCCTCATAATGAACGCCAATGAACAATCAATCGATTTACAAATAAATTTGGTGTTTGTGAGGTTCAGTGCTCTACCTAAACAGAAAACAACTTGTATTTCCCACCTGGAAGAATTAACAGTATATGTTTTCATCTTATTGATTACTCTGGTCTCCAATTTCCAATGTCAGTATGAAATAGCAGTTAGGATATATTTCAGTACAACAGAAAAATCTACCTACCAGTGGCTTATGCCACAAGTATGCATATTGCTTACTTAACCAGTAGCCTGGAGGTGGCCAGTTGCAGGATTGGTTCAGCAGCTTAACCAGGCCAACAAATATCCTCCAATTGCACAATCCTCAGACTGATGCCTTTATTCTCAGATTGGCTGCCTCATGGTCTCAAGATGGCTTCAGCAGCCCCAGGCATCATCCTCACATGTCAGCATCCAAAGCAGGAAGAAAAGAAGGGGTAAAAGGCCTTGTTCTCTTGTGGCCTTGTTTTATCGAGGAGCTAGTATTTCTCAGTGTCTCTCCAGCACAGATCTTCTTACATCTCACGGTCCAGAACTGGGTCACAAGGTACTAGTCAATTGCAAAAGAGAATTGTCTGGTTGCCTTGGTCTAATCATGATTTATCCTTTGAGCCTGGGCACATTGCCAATGAACAAACCAAAGTTCCATTAGCAAGGTAAAATGGGGAACACCCTTTGTCTAAACAACCATCAGTGTCTGGCACACAAAGTCACTCAGACACTGATACGTGAAAATGAGAAGTGTTCCCCCTGGAAAAAATGGCCACAAACTGCCTCTTTTCAACATTGTGACACCATCAATAATTTGTGTCTAAAAATATAGAGACACCCTGTCACATAGCACATCCTAAGCCCATAGCAGTTTGTCCAATGAGCTTTTGTAACCCCCTCCTAAAGATACATCAACCCACAGGCAGTGCTACTCAAGGCCATGGGGCAGTCCTCTCTCCGTGCTTCTAGGACCTACCACTTCACCTCTACTCTGTTCTCCTCCAGCGCCTTTCAGCCTTCAGAAAAGAGGTCTAGGGACTTGCTAACACCTTTGTATGTTTCTTTACTGCACACACCTCCAGGAATTCCCTTAACTGCAAACTCGGTGCCCTGAGAGGCCCCAGGTATCAAGGGATCTAATGTTAGTGGCAGCCCAGCGAAAATGCTACTGCTGCTCCAGGTGTGAAGTGCTTCTACAGATGAAAGAAATTCTTTTTAAAAAGCCAAGAGGAAGTATTTCTTTCATGTCGAAATTTTAGATATTGTAACATGGAGATGGCAGTGGGGAGATGAGCTGTTTAGGGCCTCTCCTGCAGCCCCCAGATTACCCCATCAGAGGACCCTGCCCAAGTGGACAATCGTTAGCTCCAGGGAGCCTGTGGGCCAGCCTCTCTCTCCCAGATCACTGTTGTGTCCAGGCTTTGCATTCAGGAAGCACACATCTTAGGTGATTCTGAGTGTTATCACCAAGTTTCCTACTCTTTGGAGTTGATGTCTCTGAGTTTGTACTGCACATGAGCATGTTTATGTTATTCTGTGACCCCCTCTGCTGTGGAGCTGGTTTCTTTGACGATGTTTCTGTTTTCTCTTCCAGACTGGGAGCTCCTGGAGCCTGGGGCTGACATCATATTTATATGTGTATTTCTTGTGCCTGGCCTAATGCCTGCATCTCAGAGGAACACCCAGTAACTATTACATTAACAAATGACCTCAGAGACCAAGAAGGAGGATAAAGCTCTTTCCAGGTCTAAAGGCAGGGTTGAAAAAGAGAGGGAGACAATTACAGCCACTGCTTTCTGGCAGAAGACCCACCACGAAGTCCTGCAGTCCTGAGTTACACCACACCCTCATGCACACACTACAAGTCCCACGGCTGCCTTCATATTTACAATATCCCTGTGGCCAGGGCCGTTTCCTGTGTTCGATTTAGATCTATCAATAGAACACACTCTGAGAGTTTCACTTTGTGCTTTGTTTTTCCTCTGTACTAACAACATGAGTGTCCTTATCACAGTCACACTTGCAGGCCCCCAACTCTTGCTCTCTCCTTCAGATTTACTCAGGGCCACAGGAACCCACTGTCACTGAGTGTCTTTGCCAGAAAGCAGAGACTATAATTGTCTCCTCTGTTTCCAAATCCTGGCTTTATATCAAGGAAATTTGATCCTCTCTTTTGGTCCATGCACTTCTGTGTCTTTTTTCCTTATTCTGTTGGTCTCTCTCTCTCTCTCTTTCTCTCCCTTTCTCCCTCTCTCTCTCCCTCTTTATCCCTCTCCCCCCTTATCCCTCTCCCCCTTTCTCTCTTCTCTCTCTCTCTCTCTCTCTTTCTCTTCAAGGACAGAAAAATATCACCAACTTTAATCCGGACTAATCTGCCCATGTGTCCGCCAGGTCTCTAGAAGATGCCGTGGGAAGAGAGAGCAGTGTTTGTGTTTGTCTTTGTGTTGGAAGAGGCACCATCTGTGTGTGGGGGAGCAAACATGAACCAGGGAACCTGCCAAACTCTACACAGGGAGGGGAAGGTGTGGAGTATGCCATCCAGAACCCAATAGCTCCTGCTTCGAGGCTGCCCAATGGGCCCAGAGCTCCTGGAAGGGTGGCTGCTTGGGCTGGCTGTGTGCATTCATGCTGAAGCATTGCCTTTTTCTCCTTGAGTGCCTGCCATTCAGAACCACTGGGATGCAGAGGACACACACACACACCGGTGTTTCCAGCTGTGCCAGAGCCTGGAGCGTGTGAGCTCACAGAAGCCAGCCTTTGCCAACTCAGACCAGGTAGAAACTAAGGACTGGGCAAGGGCTGAGGGTAGAGTTAAAGAAAGCAACCAAATCTGACAGATGAGTGTGCAAGTTTCCCCCTGCCTCAGTTTCCCCAGCTTTCAAAAAGGAATCATACTCTTTACTTGCTTTGTATATGATTTATAAGAATATCATAAACTGTTACCTGCTGAGTGCCTGACACTGTTTCAAAAGCTTTACTTTTATTAATTTATTCAATAGTCACAGCCACTCCACTAGATAGGTACCATTATTTTATCTCCATTTTTCACATAAGAAATGTAGGCACAGAGAGGTTGAATAACTTGCCCAAGGGCACACAATTGGTAAGTGGCAGAGGTGGGATTTGAACCCAGGTAGCCTAGCTCCAGGATCAGTGCTCAGAACAGTCACACTATACTGCTTTGTGATGTGTAAATACAAGTGCTTGAAATAGTCTGAAGTTCCATACAAATGTATTTTCACAAATGAGGTCAGGCAGATACTCTGCTCTGGAGAGATTATTGACTCAGTGTCATAGACTCCTGGACAATTCTTTTGGCTTTTATTATTATTTTTAATTGACACACAATAATTGTACATATTAATCAGGTACAGTGTGATGTTCTGATACATGAGCACAATGTGCGGTGATCAAATCAGGATAAGTACTATATCCATCACCTGAATCATTTACCATTTCTTTGTGTTGGGAACATTCAAAATCCACTCTTCTAGCTATTTGAAAATATATAATTTTTGTTAATTATAGTCACCCTATACTGCTATAGAACACTAGAATTTATTCTTCCTACCTGTTTGTACTCTTGTATCTGTTAACCAACCTCTCCCTATCCTTCCTCCCAACTCCACTCTCTCTAGCCTCTTAGTAATCACTCTTCTACTCTCTACTTCTATCACATCAACTATTTTTAGCTCCCACATGTAAGTGAGAACATGCAGCATCTATCTTTGTGTGGCTCGCTTATTTCACTTAACATAAGGTCCTCCAAGCTCATCCATGTTGCTGCAAATGATGGAATTTTGTTCTTTTTAAAGGCTGAATAATATTCCATTGTGTATATGCACCGCATTTTCTTTGTCCATTCATCTGTTGATAGACACTTAGGTGGATTCCACATCTTGGCCAATGTGAATAGTACTTCTATCAACATGAGAGTGCAGACATGTCTCAAACATAAGAAAATCAGTATGTCAAAGAGACATCTGCACTCCCATGTTGATTGCGGCACTATTCACAGTAGCCAAGATATGGAATCTTGGACTATTCTGATGGGCAGAGGAAGCAGCCACCAACCAATGCCAGACAGGAAGTTGGTGCATACATAGTCCAGCTTGTGCATCCCTTGGGTGGACAACTTTAACATGTGCTCTGTAGCATCTCCCAGAAGACCTAGTGGGACTGAGCCCCAGTGGCCCACAGCAATAACGTGCTCATCAGCATGCCTTTTATTGGCTGCCTTCCCTTCCCTGTCTCACTTCCCACTCTCCAGCAGTGCTCCCTTGGTCAGCTTCTACATAAACAACTCACACTTCAGTCCTTGCCTCAGAGGCTGCTGCTTGCAGGGCCTAGCCTTAAGATAACATATACTTTCTAAGATGTTTCTCATTATTTCATCTTTACAGCAACTCCATAAAGTAGATGGGGCAGGTAATATAGCTCCCTCTTACAGAAGAGGAAACTGAGCCCCCAAAACATTCAGAGGGAGACCCAATATCATGTGGTTTGTAAGTGGCAGAGCTGGATGGGAACCTGGTTCTCCTGAATCTCAGCATCTGAGGTACCTATGTCACAAGACCTTGAGATTCCTTAGGACACTGATGTGCCACTGGATATAAGACAGCATGGCTAAGTATTTTCAACTGTCAACAAAAGGGTATTTATGATTCCTGGGAGAGGCAATCAATGACTACTGAGCACTAACAGACGTACTACCTACCATATGGTAATAATATGATGCTGTGTCCAAATTCTGTTGATCCATGAAATATTTTGAGTTCCATATTTACATATATGTGTGTATGTATGTGTGTATGTATAAAATATATATATTATATTATATATATATATATATAAAAACACATATGTATCTATAAGTTATATAGTGGCTCCAGGTGTGTGCATGTTTGTGTGTATGTGTGTGTATACTACTGCCCTAATATAATGCATACATAATGAGATAAATTGAATTATTGGTTCCAGTTCTTCACTCCTCTGGAGTAGTATTGTACATTCACATTCCTGCCATGACATCATGGTAGCCATAGTATATCTCCTCACTCCTTGACATTGAGCTTGGGCTTGTGACTTGTTTTGGACAATGGGATGTTAGCACATGTGATGCAGTCAGAGATGTGAAATATCATTGCAAGTTTTGGCTAACCCTTTAACAAATCTGCCATTGCCATGAGAAGAACCTGACAGGTAGCAGGCAGGTCCAAGGAGGAAGAGACGCACGTGGAGCAGACCAATGCTCAACCTGCAGCTTGGCAGCCCAGAAGAGCCTGAGTCAGCCAACCCACAAACATGAAAATGAGGATAAATGTTTGTTATTTTAAGTCACAAAGTTTGAGGGTGATTTTGTCATTCACCATAATTGTGACGCCAGCTGACTGATCCAATAGTCAAACATACAGAAGAGAGATTTAGGAGAAATTATATATGTGAATATATTTATATATATTTTTTTCTAATACTTCTGGCCTCCAATGGCTCATCTTGGACGCCTCCTGTGATATGTGAGCTCTGTTTATGAGATCACTTCACTAAATTTGTAGGGATTATGTGAGTTTGTTGATAATTGAATTGAATATGAATTGGGCATCTACTATGGGTGTTAGGGTGACAATACGTGGTGACTACCCTAGGATAGTCTGAGTTGTCTTTATATAATTATTATGAATATCCCCTTTCACTCTCAGAAGTGTCCCAGTTTGAACTAAAAATTCTTTGGTCAACTTCACCATGCGGCAAATACTATGCTGGGTACAGGGAATGCAGAGCCCTTTGAGAGCAACAGGCACATCTATTGAGAACATGGAGTGGGGGCAAGAAGACATTGCTGGGAGAAGCAATGTCTGAGATGAATCTTGTAAATCAGAGATGGATGAAGAAGAGGGAGAAGGTGTCAGGACACAAGACTCACATACAGCAAGGCATGGATATGTCAGACTGTGCATGGAAATGAGTCCATGAGTGTAGGATGTATGAGAGGCGGTGTTAGATTCATAGATGGTAGCCTCATTTGCCATATCAATGATTTTGGCCTTTTCCTTGAAAGCTATGGAAAATCTCAAGGGATTTTATTAGGGGAGGGCCGTGATCAGATTTGTGTTTTAGTAAGATGACTCCAGCAATAAGGTATATTGGAAAGGGTCAGAGAATGGAGTTTGGGAGGCCAGTCTTGCTGAGAGACAATGAAGGCTTGAATGAAGACAAAGCGAGGAGGCAGAAAGGAAGGAGCAGAAGGGCTACTAAGGAGGTAAAGTCTATGTGACATGGTGACAGATAAGATGAAGGTAGATGAAGGGTGAGATCATCTTGGTCATTGACATTAGAAACATCTCCTTGGGTGTAGGAAGAGTAGCTCTGAGTTTCTTGAGTTCCATACAGTGATCTGTACTTGCCATCTTACTCGTGATACAACTAGTTGGACATGATTTTGAGTGACCAAGAAGCATTGTAATTCAGTGAGTACAGTAGGCACTTTCAATGCCCTGCCCATATCCCTTCTGCCCACCCAGGAGGTCACTGCTGAAACATCATATATATGACTAGAGGCTACTGTGTCCCACTGGTTGAGGCTGTTCTCTGGTCACGTGAGCATGCTTGGCACATGCAGGGTATGACTGAAATGACCAGGGAATTAACACATGAGGAATGATCCTCAATACTGGGCCATACACACCCTCTCAGGGCACCCCCAGCAGAATCAAGTCCCAGTTGCCCACAGCAGTAACCAACTTATTAACACATTTTCTTTTTATCAGCTTTCTTCTTTTCTTCTCTGCCTCATTTCTCACTGTGCTTCCTGAAAACATTTCACAAATAAATTACTTGAACCCAAATATTTGTCTCAAGGTCTGCTTTTAGAGACAACCAAGATAAGACAGTGGTTAAAATTATGGACTCTGGAGCCAGGCTTCTTAAGTGTGAATATCAGTTTGCCTCTTACCACCTGTATGTCTTCAGGCAACTTCACTTAATCTCTCTGTGTCTTGTGCCTCACTTTTCTCATCAGTAAGATGCAAACTAATAGTACCTGTCTCACAGGGCTGTTGTGAGGATTAAATGAGTTAATATATGTATATGACTTAGAATAATGGCTGGTACATGATGACTGTTTTTGTGTGCTAGATAACATTATTATTACTATTATTCCATTTGTCTCAACCAAATGTATTGCCAAGATTAATGGAAAGGAAACTTCCCCAGTAGCTCTCATCGAGCACTATTGCTCCTTGATCTCTACTTTACATTATGGAATATCCAGTTAGGAAAACAGAAACCAACTAGGTATTTTAAACAGAGAGGATTTCAAACGGGGTATTGGTTTCCAGGTATTGGAAGTCTGAAAAAGGCAAAAGAAAGTCAATTAACCAAAAGATTAGAAACTACAGGAAACAGCTACCACTGTGAAGGCTAGGAGAACAAATAGGAGGTGGTTACTAACCTCTGTGAATGAAGAGGAGGGACCATCACCTCAGGAACTGAGACCATGGAGGACTGGGCATAGCTACTCCCAGAGACCCCCATGGTAGAAGGAAACAGAAAGAGAAAGAGGGGCAGACAATGCTGCTTCCTATCTCCTGCCTTCTGGTTTCCTACCAGTGCCTCCTATCAGCAGGGTATAATGGGAGTCAACTTGCAAAAGATCCTGGGACATAAACCTTGACAAGTTTCAACCCCAGCATTACAGCACAGAATAAGGAAGGACAGTCTTGGGAATGAGAGACAACCAGAAAACACCCAGCATACCTGACTTTCTTATGCATGGTTGGATTTCTTTCACCTACCCACACATTGATCCGTCTTTCTTTTAGACAGTCTTAGAGGTCTTGTGGGCTATTGTTGAGTAGTCCTTATTTACAGCACAAAGTTATCCTTCTCCTGTTCTTGCAACAGCCTATCCCTCACATTCCATTTCCAGGGACTGCCTTTCCTGTGCCTATGCTTCTGCTAGCATACATGTGGTTTTGGCCCACATATATGCTAGCCCACAGCATTGGAACTTTGGCCCACAAGCTCCAATACCGTGTTTCCAATATAGCAACTGCCTATTACATAGAGTTGTCCTGGTTGAAGCATCTAGCCTGCATTCTGTGATCTTAAGACAAGGTGAATATTGTGGCATATACCATAGAGTGGTTGGAGGAACTGTGTGATCCCACACTCTATAGAATCCAAGGTTAGTTTCCTCACCTTTGAGGTCAGATTGGAAGAGGTACTGCCTGCTTCTCAAAAATTCAACCATCTTCATGCATTGCTTCACAGAGAATACACCAGATATTTTTCCTGGATATCAGGCTCAATTCAGGCCAGTTGGAGTCTTTAGTGCCAACTACACACACATGTCCTAGATCCTACAGAAGAGAAAGTCCCAACTTTCCAGGAATGCTCCATCAAATTGCAAATCAACTACTGATTAATCATGATACTGATAATTTAAACTAAGATTGATATAATATCTTGAAGTTTCCCATGCATAAAATTATCATATCATTTTCTCACAATTACTCTGTGAAGTAAGCACCATCACCACTTTACCAAGAGGAAGCTGAAGTTCAGAGAGGTTGATGGTTTGCCCAAAGTTGCACCACAGATAAATTCCAGAGTCTAGATTTAAATGTTGGTCTCAGTCCAAAGGTGAGCTCTTTGTCCTCTGCCCGATGGCACATAAATAAGCATCTAAATGAATATGAAAAAAGTTAGGGCCCATGGGCAGCCATAAATGGGGAGGTCAGTGCAGGCTGAAGTCAATGGGTACAACTGTGGGATGATAAGATTTGGGCTGCAGTCTGAGAGATAGATGGGATTTAGAAAGTCAGAGAATAGAAAGTAGGCATTTCAGCGGGTGATCTGCATTTGAGAGCAAGAAAATACCTCAGAAATCATGCAGCTATGTACCCCATGACAAAGTGAAAACCTGCCACATTTAAGAGATTTGTGCAAACCTCTCCAACTAATTCAGGCAGAACTTGGATTACATCTCAGTGTTCCTGACCCCAGATCTTCTTTTGCTTGCCCCTGGCTCTTGGGTAATAAATAGACTAGAGCCAAATTCTCAAGAAAGTATCAAGGTTGGGGAGCTCCTGAGATCATGGTGGACAGGAGGCAGACTAGATTGCAGCTCTGGAGAGCAGTATGTGGAGGCTTGCATTGTGAATTTTAGCTCCAGATTGACTGCAAGAACAAACCACCAATCCCAAGAGGACCCACAGACCCTCTGAAGGAAGAAGACTGCTCCTGCAGGACCCAGGAGACCCCCAAATACTGTGAGTGCCCCAACTGCAGAAGTAGGAAAGGGAGACTCTACTCTCCCAAACACACACCCCCACTGGAGAAGCTGAAGGTCTGTTTGCAGGAGAAGTTTCTAACTTTACATAGAGCTGAGTCAAGTTAGAGAGCCGAGCAAAATACACGGGTAGAGGAAGCAGCAGAAAGGCCCTGGGAGCTTGCTGGGTCCCCAAGCAGCCCAGTCCTGCCTGGCCCCACAGGGATCCATTGGGAGGGTGGCCAGAGGAGCAGGGGGTAAAATTCCACAGGGAGAAGGAATTCTCTAGCTGAACTTTGTAACAATTTGAACTGGGTGAGAAGCCTCCTGGTCAGAACTCAGGGGAGGGCACTAATACAGCATGCAGACTTCACAGGTCGGGAAAGAACTAAAGCCCTCCTCTTTGCCTGGGCAAGTTTTCAAGCCCCTCTAGCCCTCCACCTGGAAACAGACTCAGGGCTGTTGGCGGGGACACAGTGGGAGTGAGACTGGCCCTTCACTTTGCATGGGAGCTGGGTGAGGCCTGTGACTGCCGGCTTTCCCCCACTTCCCTGACAACCTGCACAACTCAGCAGAGGCAGCATAATCCTCCTAGGTACACAATTCCAGTGATCTGGGAATCTCACCCCCATCCCCCACCGCAGCCTCAGCAAGACCCTCCAAAGGAGAATCTGAGCTCAGACACGCTTAGCCCCACCCCCACCTGATGCTCCTTCCCTATCCATCCTAGTAGCAGAAGACAAAGGGCATATAATCTTGGGAGTTCCAGGGCCCCACCCACCTCAATATCTCTCCACACTACTATAGCTGATGCTTTCTGGAAAGCACCACCTCCTAGCAGTAGGCCAACCAGCACAAAAATAAAGCATTAAACCACCAAAGCTAAGTACCCTCATGGAGTCCATTGCACCCTCTGCCACCTCCACCAGAACAGGTGCTGGTATCCACAGCTGAGAGACCCATAGACAGTTCACATGGCAGGGCTCTGTGCAGACAACCCCCAGTACCAGCCCAGAGCCAAGTAGATTAACTGAGTGCCTGACCCACAAGAGAGACAACAATCACTGCAGTTCGTCTCACAGGAAGCCACATCCATAGGAAAAGGAAGAGAGTACTGCATCAAGGGAACACCCCATGGGACAAAAGAATCTGAACAACAGCCTTCAGTTCTAGACCTTCCCTCTGACAGAGCTCACCCAAATGAGAAGGAACCAGAAAACCAACCTTGGTAATATGAAAAAAGAAGACTCTTCAACAGCACCCCCACAAAAAAAAAAAATCACACTAGTTCACCAGCAATGGATCCAAACCAAGAAGAAATCCCCAATTTACCTGAAAAAGAATTCATGAGGTTAGTTATTAAGCTAATCAGGGAGGGACCAGAGAAAGGCAAAGCCTAATGCAAGGAAATCCAAAATATGATGCAAGAAGTGACTGGAGAAATATTCAAGGAAATAGATAGCTTAAAGAAAAAACAATAAAAAATTTAGGAAACTTTGGACACACTTTTAGAAATGTGAAATGCTCTGGAAAGTCTCAGCAATAGAATTGAACAAGTAGAAGAAAAAAATTCAGAGCTTGAAGACAAGGTCTTCAAATTAACCCAACCCAAAGAAGGCAAAGAAAAAGAGTAAGAAAATACGAACAAAGCCTCCAAGAAGTCTGGGATTACATTAAATGACCAAACCCAAGAATAATCGGTATTCCTGAGGAAGAAGAGAATTCTAAAGGCTTGGAAAACATATTTGGAGGAGGAGTAGAGGAAAACTTTCCCAGCCTTGCTAGAGACCTAGACATCCAAACACAAGAAGCACAAAGAACACCTGGGAAATTCATTACAAAAAGATCTTCACCCAGGCACACTGTATTCAGTTTATCCAAAGTTAAGATGAAGGAAAGAATTTTAATAGCTGTGAGACAGAAGCACCAGGTAACCTATAAAGGAAAACCTATCAGATTAACAACATACTTCTCAGCAGCAGCCTCAGCAAGCTAGAAGGGATTGGGGCACTCCTTCAGCCTCCTCAAGCAATACGATTATCAGCCAAGAATTTTGTATCCAGAGAAACTAAGCAACATATATGAAAGAAAGATACAGTCGTTTTCAGACAAACAAGCGCTGAGAGAAAATTCACCATTACCAAGCTACCACTACATGAACTGCTAAAAGGAGCTCTAAATCTTGAAACAAATCCTGGAAACACATCAAAACAGAACCTCTTTAAAGCATAAATCATACAGTACCTATAAAACAAAAATACAAGTTAAAAAGCAAACAAACAAACAAACAAACAACAAAAAAAAAAACCCACCAAAGTACACAGGCAACAAAGAACATGAGGAATGCAATGGTACCTCAAATTTCAATACTAACAGTGAATATAAATGGCCTAAATGCTCCACTTAAAAGATACAGAACCGCAGAATGGATAAGAACTCATCAACCAACTATCTGCCGCCTTCAGGAGACTCACCTAACACATAAGGACTCACATAAACTTAAAGTAAAGGGGTGGAAAAAGGGATTTCATGCAAATGGATACCAAAAGCAAGCAGGGGCAGCTATTCTTCTATCAGACAAAACAAACTTCAAAGCAACGGAGGTAAAAAGGGACAAAGAGGAACATTATATAATGGTAAAAGGTCTTGTCTAACAGGAAAATATCACAATCCTAAACATATATCTACCTAACACTGGAGCTCCCAAATTTATAAAACAATTACTAATGGACCTAAGAAATGAGATAGATAGCAACACAATAGTAGTGGGGGACTTCAATACTCCACTGACAGCACCAGACAGGTCATCAAGACAGAAAGTCAACAAAGAAACAATGGATTTAAGCTACACCTTGGAACAAATGGACTTAACAGATATATACAGAACATTTCATCCAACAACCACAGGATACACATTCTATTCAACAGAGCCTGGAACTTTCTCCAAGACAGACCATACGATAGGCCATAAAACGAGCCTCAATAAATTTAAGAAAATTGAAATTATATCAAGCACTCTCTCAGACCACAGTGGAATAAAACTGGAAATCAACTCCAAAAGGAACCTTCAAAACCATGCAAATACATGGAAATTAAATAACCTGTTCCTGAATGAGCATTGGGTCAAAAACAAAATCAAGATGGAAATTTTAAAATTCTTCAAACTGAATGACAATAATGACACAACTTATCAAAACCTCTGGGATACAGCAAAGGCAGTGCTAAGAGGAAAAGTTCATAGCCCTAAATGCCTACATCAAAAAGTCTGAAAGAGTACAAACAGGCAATCTATGGTCACACCTCAAGGAATCAGAGAAACACGAACAAACCAAACAAAACACAGCAGAAGAAAGGAAATAACCAAGGTCAGAACAGAACTAGATGATATTGAAAGAAACAAAAAAAAATGCAAAAGATAAATGAAACAAAGTCTGGTTCTTTGAAAAGATAAATAAAATTGATAGACCATTAGCAAGACTAATGAAGAAAAGAAGTGAGAAAATCCAAATAACCTCACTAAGAAATGAAACAGGAGATATTACAACTGACACCACTGAAATACAAAACATCATTCAAGGCTACTATGAACACTTTTACACACATAAACTAGAAAACCTAGAAGAGATGGATAAATTCCTGGAAAAATACAACCTTCCTAGCTTAAATCAGGAAGAGTTAGATACCCTGAACAGACCAATAACAAGCAGAGAGATCAAAATGGTAATTAAAAAATTACCAACAACCAAAAAAGTCCAGGACCAGACAAATTCACAGAAGAATTCTGCCAGACATTCAAAGAAGAAATCGTACCAATCTTTTTGACAGTTTTCCACAAGATAGAGAAAGAAGGAACCCTCCCTAATTCATTCTATGAAGCCAGCATCATCCTAATACCAAAACCAGGAAAGGACATAACTAAAAACGGAAACTGCAGATCAATATCCTTGATGAACATAGATGCTAAAATCCTTAACAAAATACTAGCTAACTGAATCCAACAACATATTAAAAAGATAATCCACCATGATCAAGTGGGTTTCATACCAGGGATGCAGAGGTTGTTTAACATATGCAAGTCAATAAATGCGATACACCACATAAACAGAATTAAAAACAAAAATCACATTGTCATCTTGATAGATGCAGAAAAAGCTTTTGACAAAATCCAGCATCACTTTATGATTAAAACTCTCAGCAAAATCAGCATACAAGGGACATACCTTAATGTAATAAAAGCCATCTATGACAAACCCACAGTCAACATAATATGGAGTGGGGAAACGTTGAAAGCATTCGCTCTGAGACTTGGAAAAAGACAGGGATGCCCACTCTCACCACTCCTCTTCAACATAGTGCTGGAAGTCCTAGCCAGAGCAATCAGACAAGAGAAAGAAATAAAGAAATAAAGGGCATCCAAATCAGTAAAGAGGAAGTCAAACAGTCACTGTTTGCTGATGATATGATCATTTACCTTGAAAACCCTAAGGGCTCCTCCAGTAAGCTCCTAGAACTGATAAAAGAATTCAGAAAAGTTTTCAGATACAAGATTAATGTACACAAATCAGTAGCTCTTCTATACACCAAGAGTGACCAAGCAGAGAATCAAATCAAGAACTCAATCTCTTTTACAATAGCTGCAAAAATATATAAAATACCTGTGAATATATCTAACAAAGGAGTCGAAAGACCTCTATAAAGAAAACTGCAAAACACTGCTGAAAGAAATCATAGATGACACGAACAAATGGAAACACATCGCATGCTCATTCATGGGTAGAATTGATATTGTAAAAATGACCATACTGCCAAAAGCAATCTACAAATTCAATGCAATCCCCATCAAAATACCACCATCATTCTTCGCATAATTAGAAAAAACAATTCTAAAATTCATATGGAACCAAAAAAGAGGCCACATAGCCAAAGCAAGACTAAGCAAAAATAACAAATCTGGAGGCATCACACTACCTGATTTCCAACTACACTATAAGGCCATAGTCACCAAAACAGCATGGTACTGGTATAAAAATAGACACATAGACCAATGGAACAGAATAGAGAATCCAGAAATAAACCAAAATACTTGCAGCCAACTGCTCTTCAACAAAGCAAACAAAAACTTAAAGTGGGGAAAGGACACCCTTTTCAACAAATGGTGCTGGGATAATTGGCTAGCCACCTGTAGGAGAATGAAACTGGATCCTCATCTCTCAATTTATACAAAAATCAACTCAAGATGGATTAGGGGCTTAAACCTAAGACCTGAAACTATAAAAATTCTAGAAGATAATCTTGGAAAAACCCTTCTAGACATTGGCTTAGGAAAGGAATTCATGACCAAGAACCCAAAAGCAAATGCAATAAAAATAAAGATAAATAACTGGTACCTAACTAAACTAAAGAGCTTTTGCACAGCAAAATGAACAGTCAGCAGAGTAAACCACAACCCATAGAGTGGGAGAAAATCTTCACAATCTATACATCTGGCAAAGGACTCATATCCAGAATCTACAACGAACTCAAACAAATCAGTGAGAAAAAAACAAACACTCCCATCAAAAAGTGGGCTAAGGAGATGAATAGACAATTCTCAAAAGAAGGTATACAAATGGCCAACAAACATACGAAAAAAAATGCTTAACATCACTAATGTTCAGGGAAATGCAAATCAAAATCTCAAAACCATAATGTGATACCACCTTACTGCTGCAAGAATGGTCATAATAAAAATAGTAATAATAATAAAAAACAGTAGATGTTGGCATGGATGCAGTGAACAGGGAACACTTCTACACTGCTGGTGGGAATGTAAACTAGTACACCCACTATGGAAAACAGTGTGGAGATTCCTTAAATAATTAAAGTAGAATGACTATTTGATCCAACAATCCCACTACTGGGTATCTACACAGAGCAAAATAAGTCATTACTCAAAAAAACATACTTGTATATGCATGTTTATAGCAGCACAATTCACAATCACAAAATCGTGGAACCAACCCAAATGCCCATCGATCAACGAGTGGATAAAGAAACTGTGGTATATACAATGGAATACTACATAGCCATAAATAGGAATGAATTAACAGCATGTGCAGTAAGCTGGATGAGATTGGAGACTATTATTCTAAGTGAAGTAACTCATGAATGGAAAACCAAATATCGTATGTTCTCACTGATATGTGGGAGCTAACCTATGAGGACACAAAGGCATGAGAATGATACAATGGACTTTGGGGACATGGGGAAAGAGTGAGAGAGGGGTGAGGGATAAAAGACTACAAATACGTTGCAGTGTATACTGCTTGGGTGATAGGTGCACAAAAATCTCACAAATCACCACTAAAGAACTTACTCATGTAACCAAATACCACCTGTATCCCAATAACTTACGGAAAAAAATAAAAATTAATCAACATCTAAATATAAAAAAAGAAGGAAGGAAGAAAAAAAAGTATCAAGGTCATCATCCCTTCCCTAGGATTTCTGGTAGATCTATGGATTGATCTCATCCTATTCCATTGAGTCAATCATGACATCCAGGAGACTTATCTCTCTTTGTGCAGTATGGGCTTTTGACACAATCAAGTTTATTTTTATTTTTACATGAATATGTTCTTTAGTGGTGATTTCTGAGAGTTCAGTGCACCCATCACCTGAGCAGTTTACACTGTACCCAGTGTGTAGTCTTTTATCCCTCACCCGCCTCCCACACTTTCCCTTGAGTTCCCCAAAGTCCATTGTATCATTCTTATGCCTTTGCATCTTCATAGCTTAGCTCCTCTTATGAGTGAGAACATACAATGTTTGATTTTCCATTCCTGAGTTACTTCACTTAGAATAATGGTCTCCAATTCCACCCAGGTTGCTGCAAATGTCATTATTTCGTTCCTTTTTATGGCTAAGTAGTATTCCATGGTACATATATTCAACATTTTGTTTATACACTCATTGATTGAGGGGCTTTTGAGCTGGTTTCATACGTTTGCAATTGCGAATTGTGCTGCTATAAACATGCATGTGCAAGTATCTTTTTTTGTATAATGACTTCTTTTCTTCTGGGTAGACACCCAGGAGTGGGATTGCTGGATCAAATGGTAGATCTACTTTTAGTTCTTTAAGGAATCTACACACTGTTTTCCATGGTGGTTGTACTAGTTCACATTCCCACCAACAGTGTAAAAGTGTTCCCTTTTCAACACCACATCCATGCCAACATCTACTATTTTTTTATTATGGCCATTCTTGCAGCAGTAAGGTAGTATCTCATTGTGGTTTTGATTTGCATTTCCCTAATAATTAGTGATATTCAGCATTTTTTCATATGTTTGTTGGCCATTTGTAAATCTTCTTTTGAGAATTGTCTATTCATGTCCTTATCCCAATTTTTGCTGGGATTATCTGTTTTTTTTCTTGCTGATTTGTTTGAGTTCCTTGTAGATTCTGGACACTAGTCCTTTGTCAGAAACATAGATTGCGAAGATTTTCTCCCCATCTGTGGGTTGTCTGTTTACTCTGCTGATTATTTCTTTTGCTGTGCAGAAGCTTTTTAGTTTAATTAAGTCCCATCTATTTATCTTTGTTGCATTTACTTTTGGGTTCTTGGTCATGAAGTCTTTGCCTAAGCCAATGTCCGGAAGGGTTTTTCCAATGTTATCTTCTAGAATTTTTATGGTTTCAGGTTTTAGATTTAAGTCTTTGATCCATCTTGAGTTGATTTTTGTATAAGGTGAGAGGATCCAGTTTCATTCTTCTACATATGGCTTGCCAATTATCCCAGCACCATTTGTTGAAAAGAGTGTCCTTTCCCCACTTTAAGTTTTTGTTTGCTTTGTTGAAGATCTGTTGGGGATAAGTATCTGGCTTTATTTTCATGTTCTTTATTCTGTTCAATTAGTCTATACGCCTATTTTTATACCAGTACCATGCTGTTTTGGTTACTACGGCCTTATAGTATAAAGTCGGGTATTGTGATGCCTCCAGATTTGTTCTTTTTGCTTAGTCTTGCTTTGGCTATGCAGGCTCTTTTTTGTTCCATATGAATTTTGGGATTTTTTTTTTAGTTCTGTGAAAAATGATGGTGGTATTTTAATGGGAATTGCATTGAATTTGTAGATTGTTTTTGGCATTATGGTCATTTTCAAAATATTGATTCTACCCATCCATGAGCATGGGATGTGTTTCCATTTGTTTGTGTCATCTGTGATTTCTTTCAGCAGTGCTTTGTAGTTCTCTTGTAGAGGTCTTTCACCTATTTGGTTAGGTATAATCCTAAGTATTTTATTTTAATTTTTGCAACTGTTATAAAAGGGGTTGAGTTCTTGATTTGATTCTGAGCTTGGTCGCTGTTGGTTTATAACAGGGCTACTGATTTGTGTACATTAATTTTGTATCCTGAAACTTTGCTGAATTCATTTACCAGTTCTAGGAGCTTTTTGGATGAGTCTTTTGGGTTTTCTAGGTATATGATCATGTATGTCTCAGCAAACAGTGACAGTTTGACTTCCTCTTTACCAATTTGGATGCCATTTATTTCTTTCTCAGGTCTGGTTGCTTTGGCTAGGACTTCCAGTACTATGTTGAATAGAAGAGGGGAAAGTGGGTATCCTTATCTTGTTCCAGTTCTCAGGAGGAGTGTTTTCAACTTTTCCCCGTTTAGTGTAATGTTGGCTGTGGCTTTTATTGCCTTAAGGTATGTCCCATCTATGCCAGTTTTGCTGAGGGTTTTAATCATAAGGGGATGCTGGATTTTGTCAAATGCTTTTTCTCCATCTATTGAGATCATCATGTGATTTTCGTTTTTAATTCTGTTTATGTGGTGTATTACATTTTATTGACTTGCATATGTTAAACCATCCCTACATCCCTTGTATAAAACCCACTCGATCATGGTGCATTATCTTTTTGATATGCTGTTGGATTTGGTTAGCTAGTATTTTGTTGAGAAATTTTGCATCTGTGTTCATCAGGAATATTGGTCTGTAGTTTTCTTTTTTGTTATGTCTTTTCCTGGTTTTGGTATTACGGTGATACTGGCTTCATAGAATGATTTAGGGGAAATTCCCTATTTCTCCATCTTTTGGAATAGTGTCAATAGGATTGGTACCAATTCTTCTGTGAATGTCTGATAAAATACAGCTGTGAACCCATCTGGTCCTGGACTTTTTTTTTGTTGGTACCTTTTTAATTACCATTTCAATCTTGCTGCTTATTATTGGTCTGTCAAGAGTTTCTATTTTTTCTGGTTTAATCTAGGAATAAATAGATTGTTGTTTATTAGGTTAAATAGGCTGTATATTTTGAGAAATTTATCCATCTCCTCTAGGTTTTCTAGTTTATTCATGTAAAGGTATTCATAGTAGACTTGAATGATCTTTTGTATTTCTGTGGTATTGGTCGTAATATCTCCAGTTTAATTTCTAATTGAGCTTATTTGGATCTTTTCTCTTCTTTTCTTGGTTAATCTTGCCAATGGTCTATCAATTTTATTTATCTTTTCAAAGAACCAGCTTTTCGTTTCATTTATCTTTTGTATTTTTTTGTTTCAATTTTATTTAGTTCTGCACTGAGCTTGGTTGTTTCTTTTCTTCTGCTGGGTTTGGGTTTGGTTTGTTCTTGTTTCTCTAGTTCCTTGAGGTATGGCCTTAGTTTGTCTATTTGTGCTCTTTCAGACTTTTTGATGTAGGTATTTAATGCTATGAACTTTCCTCCTAGCACTGTTTTTGCTGTATCCCAGAGGTTTTGATAGGTTGTGTCACTGTTATCGTTCAGTTCAAATAATTTTTTAATTTCCATCTTGATTTTATTGCTGATGCAATGATCATTCAGGAGCAGATTATTTAATTTCCATGTATTTGCATGGTTTTGAGGATTCCTTTTGAAGTTTATTTCTAGTTTTATTCCACTATGGTCTGAGAGAGTACTTCATATAATTTCAATTTTCTTAAATTTGTTGAGGCTTCTTTTGTGGTCTGTCATATGGTCTATCTTGGAGAACGTTCCATGTGCTGATAGAGTATATATTCTGCAGTTGTTGGGTAGAATGTTCTGTAAATATCTGTTAATTCCATTTGTTCTAGGGTATATTTTAAGTCCATTACTTCTTTGTTGACTTTCTGTCTTGATGACCTGTCTAGTGCTGTCAGTGGTATATTGAAGACCCCCACTATTATTGTGTTGCTGTGTATCTCATTTCTTAGGTCTAGTAGTAACTGTTTTATAAATTTGGGAACTCTGGTGTTAGGTGCATATATATTTAGGATTGTGATATTTTCCTGTTGAACTAGTCTTTTTATGATTATATAATGCCCATATTTTCCTGTTGGGTTAGTCCTTTTATCATTATATAATGTCCCTCTTTGTCTTTTTTAACTGCTGTTGCCTTAAAATTTGTTTTGTCTGATATAAGAATAGCTACTCCTGCTCACTTTTGGTGTCCATTTGCATGGAATATCTCTTTCTGCCCTTTTACCTTAAGCATGTTGGACACGATGGAGTTTAAATGTGGATCTTGCACCAGCATTCACTTGCCATTTAACCTTGAATAAACTCTCAAGTTATCGACCTCCCAAATTTCTGTGCTCCTATCTGTAGGAAAGGATAATAGAGCCATCGTTACAAGATGGCTGTGGGAATCAAATGAGACATTAAAATGAATAGTCATAGTAAGGGCTCAGTAAATAATAGAGTTGCTGTTTTGTGGTGGTGAGGGCTCTGCTGCCTTTGCACAATCAAGGAACCAAAAAAAAATCAGGAAAGAGAATAAAGGGAAAAATTGTCACATGGCTTAATCCACCTGATGTGTTTAATAAAACTAAAAATTATGTAGCACATCACAGTACAGACACAGATACCATCTCTCGCTCTGTGAGGTAGACTTCATGGGAACTCCTTTTACAGACAAGGAAACTGAGGCATAGGAGTGAAAATGGTTTTCACAAGGTCCTACAGCTGATTAGTGATGAAGTTAGGACTACAAACTGGGTCTCGTCTCTCCTAAACCTATGTTCTTCCCACTGTGCTGATGAAGAAAATGCAAAGTAAGGAACTGCCAAAGATTCTAGCACAGTCCAAGAGACAATTGCAAGGTCTAAACCAGGCAGCTGGTGCCAGTTGGGGCGAGAAACACGGACATAATTATTTTCCTGGGAACAAAACTTCAGTACGTTACAAAGGAGAGATCCAAGGGAAAAGGTAAATTTTAATGCCCAGGGAGGAAAGAAAATTAAGTAGAGTGTGTGTGTGTGTGTGTGTGTGTGTGTGTGTGTGTGTGTGTGTGTGTGGAGAGAGAGAGAGAGAAAGAGGGAAGGAAAGAAAACAGCAAGAATATAAATGTGTGTGTCTGTCACCAGCTGGGTTTCCTGGGAAGAAAACTTTGAGACTGAGGTTAGTGTGCAGGATGTGGATTAAGGAGGGACCTTGGGATCAACATCTGGGAAATGAGAGGAAGGAAGCTAGAATGGCCAGACAGAGCTCACCAGCTGCTGGGAAGCAGGGCCAACCCCATGGGGAGCTGTGGAGCTAGAATGGTCCTTCCAAGATAGGTCAAGATGGTCAAGCCTTTACAATCTTGTAGAAATCACCCACTGGATATGAGCTTCCCCAAGAAGGTGCAAAGTTCTTTCTGCCACTGAGGCCAGCCTGGAAAAGGCTGACAGCTGAGAGTGTCCACTGATGGCACTCCCAGCAGCTGGGAAACAAGTCCTTCCTTGATGGTGCATCTGAATATGTTGTCAGTGTGTTTACCAAAATTGATCCGTGTGAGTGTTTGTGTCTGTGTGAGTATACTTACATGGTGTGCATGTGTGTGATCTCTGCCCTCCCAGTTGAAACTGGGCTCCTGCACTGAGTGCCCATGCAAGCCATTGGCCCTCCAATAATGTTGTCTCTGCCAGTGTGGGCAGGGTCTGGGTGGCAAGGCAAGCTGTGAGCACCAAGCCTGCCCACAGAAGAACCGCCAGACACAGGGCCCAGAGCCACACACTGGCAGCTGGCAGGGCAGGGACCCTGCATCAGGATCTAAGAACAAACTGTGCAGATAGGCCAAGCATAGACACAGAAACAGGAGAAGATGCTCTGCCAGAGAGCAGCTCAGGGATCATGAAACTCTGAGAGGGCAGAGAGAAGAAAGCAAGAGAGATAGACACATATACACACATACCCACAGAGACAGGGAGAGACATGCGGAGACATCCACACACAAAGAGGGAACAAAACGGTATGAGTCAGACAGGATCAAAGAGAGACAGAGAAAAAACAGACAGACAGACAGACAGACACACACACACACACAGAGAGAGAAAGAGAGAGAGAGAGAGAGAGAACAAACACTAAGAGAAAGAGAAAAAAGAACAAGCAGAGAGAGACAGACATGACAGAGACAGAGACAGATGGAGCGAGACACATGAAGAACAAATAGAGAAACACAGAGGATCAAAGACAGACAGAACAGAGAGACATACATGACAAAGAGCAACTGAGAGGGAGACAGGCAGAGACCTAGAAAGACACAAGGAGACAGAAAGAGAGGCTGAGAGAGATAGAGGTTGAACTTGGGAGTCCAGACACTAAAAGAAACTCGATGCTGGTAAAGAAGATATGAGTTTCCTTCAGAACCCCTTCTTTAAATCCAAACATTTTCTTTAGAAATTACCCTGTTTCTTTATCATCGGATCCCAGAAACTGTAGTAACTTACTCCAGACAGGAAGAGTGAAAACCAACTCTCACCTAGGCCCCCAGGGCAAAGAGAGGGAAAGCTTTGGTGGGAGAGATCTCCCTGGCTCAGTCTCATGGGAAAACTGGGTTCCATTGAGCCCACCACAGGGAGTGGGGCTAAATTCCTTCCCTCCAGCTCCCTTCCCAGAGGTCCCCTCTCATGCATAGTCTCCCCTGGCCCCTTTCCCGGAATGCTTACCCGTACACTGAAACCACTCGCATTACTGTAGGCTGAGCTGCAGAGAGTATCCAAGTCAGTGAGGGCCGAGGCCTGAAGCCAGTCTGGCAGGTACGGGGCAAAGCTGAACTGTGGACCTCTCTCAGCAGCACCTGATTAGAAAAGGGGACACCTGCTCCAGCAAATGACTTGGAGATGCTAATAGGAACATAGCAGAGTAAAGAGGTGGAGAGAGAACACCAGCAGGCCAAAACCAGATATCAGCAGGTGGGAGAGAAGCCAGACCAGGAGAAGCCCAAGAAGATGCCTTTGGGCATGGAGGGATTGGGGGCAGGAATCTCAGACATAGAAAATCACCAACTATAAATGCAGTGCCACCGTGCTGGTGACATGCTAGAGGAACTCCTGCAGCTTCTAAGAAGTGAGGGAGAAAATTTGGCTGCTCTCTGCAACTAGGCTGGGCTGGATCAAGCCAGACACAATAGTTGGAGATGAATCTGGGGGCGGTGTACTGCCCAGGACACACCTGCCCTCTTCCTGGGAGCAAGGGATTCTGTGTTGCCTCAGCCTACCAGGGAGAGGAGCTGAAGATAGGGGTCTCCTGCCCTGTATCTGAGGACAAACTATGTCCTTGGGATGTCGGGAGCAGAGGAGAAGACAGGAAGCTTTGCAATCCAGAAGGACTGGAGTCCTGTCCATCCCAGAGGCACATGTAGACCCTCTTTACATCTAGGTTTCTGAACTTCCTCAGCACACATTATCTTTATTCGTCTCCTTTTGCTAGTTTATGCCTTCTGTGTCAAATTTAAGCTTCCTCTCCCCTAGTGGATGAAAGCTATCTCCCTCTGCCCAAGTATGAATGTAGGTGCAAGATAGATTCCTGAGAAGTTACACATGGCATCCTAATTTGAATGCCATAATGACAATCAACGCTTAACCCAACTGAGTGGTGAATTTCCTAAAGCACAGAATTCCCTCCTCATTTATCTTTTATTCTAAGCTGGATCTTGATGCACTACTCTAAAAGTACTAAAATTGAAGTATACCTGTATGCCTTCAAAACCAGTGCTTCTCAAATTTTAATGTACATATGAGTCACTTGGGGATCTTGTTAAAATGCAAAGCCTCATTCAGTAGGTCTGCGTAGGGCTTGAGATTCTGAATTTCCAACCAGTTCCCAAGTGATGCTGATGCTGCTGGTCCATAAACCACACTTTGAATAGCAAAGGCCTAAACCACTACAGTTAATTGTGAAACATGGCCCAAGAGCACCAGGCTTTATTCCTAGACACCTGTCTCCTTAACATGTTTGCAAATGCAAGGGTCCTCCACAGGCTGGAACATGCAGTAGATGAGAAAAGCGTGTTTGACATTTGTTTCAAGGAGGCATCATGGTGTAATGGACACAAGGGCCTTTGGATCCAAACAAACTTGATCTCTAATTCCTCCTCCACTATGTGCTATGTGCAAACTACATAGCTTTGTTTAAAGTCACTTTTTCCCATTTCTGGCTTCCAGATGTCTCATTTGTAGAGTGGAGATATTATATGTTGCCAAAATGTGGGGGAGAATTCAAGGTAAGGAATATGCAGGTGAATCCAGCTGAGTCCATGACCCTTTCCTAACCCCTTCCATCCTCACCTTCCTCTAAACACCAGTTCTTATAATCTGAAATTTTTGTCAATCAATTATATTTGGACTGCCATGTGCTGCCTTTAAACAATGTCGTCTTCTTGTAAATTTTTACCTCTCCTTGTATTCTCCTCAACTAGAATATGAGCTTGTCTTCAAGTTATTAAATATAGTGCTTTAAATTTCACTGTTGATCACTAAATACAAGTTCAATGGATGGATGGATGGATGGATGGATGGATGGATGGATGGATGGAGCAAGTCATACACATGTGATGGTATCTTCTTCAACCACTGTATGAAGCATGAAGCTTGGTGGATGTTGCAGCCCCTCCCTCAATCTCCCTGAAGCCATCAGTCACCGCTACCAAATCAAGGAGATGCTATGCAAGTTGCAGACAAGTGGCCCATTGGAGAGTGAGAGGGCAGTAACTTTAGAAAGCCCAAGATCTCAACCAAGGGTGGCCACATTATTCAGGGTTTTTTTTTTTTAAAGAAATGTAGACCAAGATCCAATTCTTCCATCGTGATGGAAATGAGAGGGTCCCAATTCTTCCCAGCTCCTGTGAAGAGCAGGAACTGGGGTTACTCAGGCCACCTCATGGCAAGTATAAATCATGGGGCTGCCACTGCACAGAAGAGGCTAGGGCCTACTTTGCATGTTTGGAAAGTGTCTAGCTATACCTGGTACAAACTGTTGCAAAAAGACCCACTAGAATAATTAAGAAACTTACTCTTTATCCCACAAGTACCCTAGGATGATGCCTTTCAGAGGTTCATCACTTCTACTAGAGACCTGCACTTCATTTTTAAGGATTAGGGGCTGAGCTGACTACGAAATCTACCCTTGTTAACCACACCAACCCACTCTTTTCAGCAGCAGAAGAGGTGCTATTCAGATCTCTATTCAATGAGTATCTATCTGGACCTACTAAAAAAGAACAAATTTGCTTCAAGAGCCTTAGATAAACAATGCTCTTATTCACTCAAAACGCAAGTATGTCCTCAGAATGAGGATTCAAGACAATATTTATCAACTTGGCAAGTACATCTTCTGGCTTTTTTGAAATTACTAATTGTTATGGCATTACATTTGCTCTCTTTGATATGTTTCTGATATCCTTGGCTTTGTAGGAAAGTCCAGACTTAGGTCTGACAAAAAAGGTTCTGGAGAATGGTTGACCTCTTGGGGTCCCATCCCATTTCTGTGGCCTCTTCTATAGCTGTTTTAGCCTAGCTCTTTTCTGCTCCTCCCCAAGGAGAGGTCCTCAGCTTTTCCTCCATCTCTCAGATGAAGGGAGAGGGCCAAATGATGGCTTGGCCTCCTTCCAGTTCTCTGAGTCCATGCATTAAGAGGCTGTTTTAAATTCAAACACCCAGAAAATTTATTTTCCTCCATATCTTGAGGCTGCAGCATGAGAAAGATATCCTGAGTAGGAGCCGACAGGAAATTTGAAAGCAAAGAGCAGAGCCACTGGTTTAAGAAGTCATGGCACAAATGAATCAAAATGGACCTTAAAGATCTCTAGAGCCACTGGACTCCTTCATGTTATAAAAAAGAAAACTAGAAAGAACTAAAAGAGGCCACATTTTTTCTTCTTGTTTAAAAGAGGTTATTGTACAGCACTTGCTTAAAAAAAATCCAATTATACAGTATGTGGTTGTTGTATTTAAAGAAAGTTCATCTTAATGTTTCATCTTCAGTTGTCATCTGTGGCAGGCTGTTACATTTTCCTCGCCTCCTCCCCCAATGAACCATGTCTCATATTACTGATTTCTTTATGGAGTCCCCTCTCACAATGACTTTGAGATTGACCTTAGTTTTGGCCAATGGGGCACTAGCAAGCATGAAGCAAGTTAAGGCTTAATCATCACTTGCACATTAGGTCTTGTCCTCTTGTACACTCAGTTTTTTGAGTACTCCCTCTCAGAACCCAGATGCCATGCTAGGAGAAGCCCAAGACATATGAGGAGGACATGTGGCAGAGCACTAAGGTTCTCAACCACAACCCTGACTGAGCTTCCAGCAAAAAGCCAGCACCAACTTGGCAGCCACATGAGTGAGCCATCTTGAAAGTGGATCCTTCACCCCAGGTTGAGCCACTTCAGTGGATGCCACATGGAGCAGAGACAAGCCTTCTTTGACAAGCTCTGCTTAAATTGCAGAATTGTGAGCAAATAAGTGATTGCTGTTATTTTAAGCCGCTAATGTATAGGGTTGTTTGGTTACATAGTGGTAGATAACTAGGACACTGTGTTCATGCTCAGAGGAGTCTGGTCCGACTCTCTGGGTCTGAAAGAATTCCTAAGGGGAGTCTCCATACTGCCTCATGGGGTTTCCTCTGGGGATTCAGTTGAGTATCTTCAATCCCATTGTGGTGAGCCAGGAGAACTGTTAAACAGCTTTCAAATTTCACCTTTGCAGTAATAATGGCTAGTTTGGTTCTCTGTGTGTGTGTCTTTGTGAATATAAGTTTGTTTTCTTTCCCAAGATAAATATCTTTTTGCATAGACAAATAAGGGCTGGTAAGATAGAAAGAGCTGATTTAGGGAAAGATTCTGTAGTTTGCTTGCTTATCAGGTGCTTATGGGGTTTAAATGCATCAAGGTCCCAAACCTAAAGGTTAATGTTTTGACACTGAAAATCCATCAGTCAGGGGTTGAGGACGAGAGGACAGTTTGCATTAATTATTAGTCTGGCTCTTAATTTGAATCAATGAAAATGCCAGAATGACGGAGGTGTTTGGGCTGAATAATAATTAGCAAGGCTGACATGGGCCTAAACAAAGAGTTGCAGGAGAGGAGGACAGTGTCTGCTAGCAGGCCATGGGCTAAGAAGGCAAGGCTGGGGCTTCATTGGAAAGAAAAGCAAGAGTCTTGCCCAGAGACCCCTGGCCTTTTCCAGAGTCATCTGGAGAGGCTGAGAGGGGAAGAGGAGGCATGCAGGACAGGGCAGGGCAGGGCCAAGCTGCTGCTCTGCAAGTCTGGGCCATGGAAATTTGCAGTCTCTAGAGCATTCTTAGCATCACTGAGCTTTTGAATCTGCCTATTGTTACTCTTTTGGAAATGGGCCAACTTGTGTATGCTTTCTTGTATCTAAACACAGCCTTACTGTGGGACCAGGGATGTCCTCTTGGACCTTAAATATCAGCTGTCCCAAGGAACCCTTTTAATATGCAAGTGAGTGAAGTGAAGCTGAGAGACTGGGGAGGCCTTGGTCAAAGTCACACGGCTGGGAAGGACAGAGATAGTAGAACACCCAGGTCTTCTCACTCCCCCAACCCCAGTTGTCCTTTCGCCAGGCCCCAGTGTTTCGTAGCTTTGCATAAATTAATTATCCTAATGTATTTCTACCCTCTAACTGTGGGCAGGACACCAACCAGTTAGATATTTCCCTGGTAGGAAAGAGGAGAGGGCAATTTGGGATAGATGGATGTTGGTTGCTTGGGTGAGACAGGACTCACTAATAGCTGGAAGGAGTAGCTAGCTAATTCCCGGGATTTGCAAGAACCCAGGTGTTTTTGCTCTGAAAGCTTGTCTTAAATTCCACTAGGAAATATTATATTTGTAGTAAATATTTCTATCTTTCTATGGTCCTTTAAACTACATAAATGCCCCAGAAGGAGACAGTATGAAAGTAATTCATTTACATCTTAGCATGAATTAACACAATCAACCCCTCTACTCCTTTAACAGATAGATATTGAGCACCTTCTTTTCTCCAGACTCTGGGACTCCAAAGTGAAGTCTGTGCCTTGAAAAGCTCATGATCTCTTAGGGGAGGCAGACATACGATGGCAATACCAGAAATGGCCTTTGTTGAGCATCTTCTCTGCTTTGGGCACTGGATTTAAAAAAATAAAAATCAGTTCTAACTAACTCTCCCTCTTCATGGTATTATCTCCAGGTAGATAATTCAGTACTGCAATAGACTGAATATCTGTGTCCCCATGAAATTCACATGTTGAAATCCAACCCCCAAGGTAATTGCATTTAAGAGGTGGGGCCTTTAGGAGATGATTGGATCATGAGAACAGAACCCTCATGAATGGAAGTGTGCCCTTATAAAAGAGGCTAAGAGAGCTTCCTCATCCCTTCCACCATGTGAAGACACAGTGAGAAGACACCATCTATGAACCAGGAAGCGAGCCCTCACCAGACACACCTGCCACTGCCCTGATCTAGGACTTCCCAGAGTCTAGAACTCTGAGAAATCATTTTTTGTTGTTTGTAAGCCATCCAGTCTATGGAACTTTATTATAGCAGCCCAATCAACCTAAGACAAACATCTTCCCAAGGCCACATAGCTAGTGAGTTGCTAGAATTCGGAGCCAGACCTGTCTGATTCCCAAGCCTGAGTGTTTTCTACCACTTCACACAGTGGCTCAAAGCCTAACTAAGATTTGCACCAGCTGTGATGGAAGGGGAGTTTCTGGAAAGAGCAAGTCCAGTTGCTTGAACTTCAAAGCCACTGGACAGGTAAGGGTAAGAAGACAGAGAGAGGGCATCTGGCATTTTGGGGAAAGAATATTATAGACAGAGGGGAAAGCCTGGGCAAAGGCATAGAAGGAGGAAAGCAAGCTTTGTTTTCAGGAAACTACAAGTAGTTCCTCATGACTGAAGCCAAGAGCATAAGTTTAATCTGCCCAGAAAACTAAGTTAGGCAGGCAGGCAGGAACCAGCTCTCCCAGGGTAGTACTAACAAAAATCTAGGTTTTTATCCTGAGACTGGGGGAAGTCTTTGGCAAATATTAAATGGAAGAGTGCTTAAAAGATATAGCTTTTAAAGAAAAAACAGACACTGGGGTGTACTTGATGGGGGAGGGTGGGAGGAGGGAGAGGAGCAGAAAAGATAACTATTGGGTACTGAGATTAATACCTGGGTGATGTAATAATATGTACAACAAACCCCCATCCATGATCTGTGTTTATCTATGTAACAGCCTTCACATGTACCCCAAGACTAAAATAAATGTTTTTAATAATTCGAAAAATTAAAATATATATATAGAGAGAGCTTTAAAGTCCAGGATTTCCAGAGCCCAATGCTTAAGAATGTAGGTCTTGGTATCAAATCTGGGGTCTCTCCTGCTTCACAACTATAGAAGGAGTTATTTGTTCTCTTTCCCACTGGAATCTAAGCTCTCTGAGGTCAGTGACTGATATGGTTTGCATCTGTGTCCCCACCCAAATCTCACGTGCAATTGTAATCCCCAGTGTTGGAAGTGGGTCCTGGTGGGAGGTGATTGGATCATGGGGGCAGTTTCTAAGTTTAGCACCATCCTCCTTGTGCTGTTCTCATGATAGAGTTCTCACAAGATTTGGTTGTTTAAAAGTTTATAGCACCTTCCCATTCTCTCTCTCTTCCTCCTGCTCCAGCCATGTAAAATGTGCCTGCTTCCCTTTTGCCTTCTGCCATGATTATAAGTTTCCTGAGGCCTTCCCAGCCATGCTTCCAGTACAGCCTGTGGAACCGTGAGACAACTAAACCTCTTTTCTTTATAAATTACCCAGTCTCGGGTATTTCTTTATAGCAGTGCAGGAACAGACTAACACAGTGACCATGTCTTATTGATCACTGCTGTAACCATGGGATCTGGAAGTCTCTGGCACATAGTATATACTTGTGGAAGACTTTTTGTTGCTCCTTCAAATCCATTCCTCTTTTCCTTCTGGACACACCAACCCTCCACATAGAGATAACATTTTCAGCCTCCTTTGCAGCTAGATGTGGCCATGCAATTAAGCTTTCACCAATAGAGTGAAAGTGGAAGATGTGTGTGCAACTTTGCCTCACGTGCTTTAAAAATTGCTTGCCCTGAAGTTCCTCTATTACCTTTCCACAAGCTAGAACACAAATGAGCCCATGGCCTGGCTTTGACCTTACTGATAACAGCAACACTCTAACAGATAGGAGAGCACAAAAATGAAGGATCTTGGATTCCTGAAGAACCACATGGAGCCAAGCTGCCCTGCAAACCAGGACCACTAACCTTAGAATTATTATATGAGAGACAAATGAATTTCTCTGTTTTGTAAGCCTCTGCACTAGGGGATCTTTTGTTACAGTGGCTTAGCCTTTATCCTAACTAATACAATGCTCAGTAAATATTTGTTAAATGAATGAAGTGTATGTTTCTGCAAATGCTGTCAGAATCTCATTTTATCTCTCTGACAAGACTGCACCTTTAGTGCAGGGACCCTATCTTTGTTTACTGTCCCCAAAGCACCCAGATTGGTGACAGGATCTTGTTGAATTGAATTAAATAGAAGAAACTTAATTCTGACTAGATGAGTCTCCCTAAACCAGCCATTTTAGTAGTCTACTTTGCCAGAAGGGGAGAAAGACTGTCTCCCTAGACTGGTAATAGTTAAAGAGTTTAGGAAGTGTTTGACGGTCTTCGGATGAGAAGGAGAAGCACAAAGTGGAGACACCAGGACTAAGGTTAAAAACCTCATGGATGAGTCGAGAAAAGTTACAGAATTACAGCTGGCAGAGCTCAAGCATTTGCACAGCAATGAAAAGTCACAGGGGAGAAAGGGAATCCTCTCTATGGAGAGAAGCACGCTGGCAGTGGAAGTGCATCAGATTTAACAACATTGCCACACACACACACACAAAATCCTGTACTGCTGAGAACTCGTTAGTTACATCGGATGTGACATATGGGGGGGTAATATAGTCTGGAGCCTAGATTTCTTTAATTAACCAATAGCAATCAGGAGTGAGGGCAATTCCAGGGGAATGGTAATTGTCTGGAAGTTCTGGATGCCTGCAGGCTGAGCCGCAGGCCAAAAACCCAGCCAGCTCTGTCCCCGGGAAGCACGCTGAGCCAAGGTCACAACTGCCATTTTAAACAGGGTCTTTTTTCAAAAACGTTTAGATCACAGCTGATTGTTGTGGGTGAGGATTTCCTCTGTGATACATACAACCTTGGGAGACTGTGTGTGCTGTTTGGGGCATCCCAAAGTACCACAGTAGTGAACATACAACCTGTTGGGGCTCTAGGGACCAAATTGTTCAGTCGCTGGGTGATCAGTGACTGGGAGAGGTCAAGTTGATTCAGAATTCTTTCATTTAACAAGTAGTTACTGTATAACTAGTACTGTAAGTCCTCACTTAATGTTGTCAATAGAGTCTTGGAAATTGACTTTAAGTGAAAGGACATACAGCAGGTCCTTGAATAAGCTCAATGTTATTTTTAGTAACGTTGATAAGAAAAAATAATTGGTTTCATTATACATCGTTTCACTTATATATATCAGGTTGGAGGCCGGGGCTAGATATTTAGGAAGCATTTTTAAATATTAGAAAAGAAATGCAAAAAACAAAACAAAAAAAAGGCCCAGTGCAGTGGCTCACACCTGTAATTATCACGCTTTGGGAGGTCGAGGAGGGCAGTTGGCTTGAGCCCAAGTGTTTGAGACCAGCCTGGGCAACATGGTGAAACCCTGTCTCTACAAAAAAAAAAAAAAAATTACTCAGGCAAGGTAAGGTGCTCCTGTAATCTCAGCTAACTGAGAGGCTGAGGTGAGAAGATCACCTAAGCCCAAGAGGTCGAGGCTGCAGTGAGCCAAGACTGCACCACTGCACTCCAACCTGGCCAGTGGAGTGAGACCTTGTCTCAAAAAAAAAAAAAAAGAAAGAAAGAAATGCAAATTTTTAATGTGGTGATAGCATCCACTATGATTGTAAACTCCTTGTGGGTATCTCATGCTCTGCAGGAACTAGGGGTTCAGTAAATGTCAGATTGAACTTAAGTTCATAGAGTAATGCCAACTAGACCACCAATGGGTTGCTTTAAAAAGTATTTTGATTGCAGGGAGAGGTGGCTCACACCTGTAATCCCAGCACTTTGGGAGGTCGAGGTGGGTGGATCACTTGAGGTCAGGAGTTCAAGACCAGCCTGGCCAACGTGGTGACACCCCGTCTCTACTAAAAATTCAAAAATTAGCTGGACATGATGGTGCACGCCTATAGTCCCAGCTACTCAGGAAGCCGAGGCAGGAGAATTGTTTGAACCCAGGAGGCAGAGGTTACAGTAAGCCGATATCATGCCACTGCACTCCAGCCTGGGTGACAGAGTGAGACTCTGTCTCAAAAAAATAAAAATAAAAATATTTTTATATCAGCTTTAATAAACTGATAAGAATGTCACATGAATTTTGGGACCGTAAACTGGTGCTTCTAAAGTGATAGAAGTTTTCTCCCCTCTCTTTAAAGTTGTTGACATGTCTCCCTTACAATCTTGCTTATATTCTCCATCTGCCCGGTGAGCTCTTTGCCCTGATAATGCAAAAGTAAACAAACCCCAAAGGGGCCCTCTCTGGATCATCACAAATTCCAAATAAGAACAGTCTGAATTAATGAGTTTTTTAAATTTACTTTTCTAAGTGGAGTTGAAAGATAAACAACTCTCATTTGTCCGGGCCACAGGACAGTGAGTGTGGAACATTCCCAGGCTTCAGTCAGGATACTTAACATCACTGAGGAGTTAAGCCCCTAGAGAGGAAAAATATTATGTGGTTCTGGATCCCTGAACTTCTAAAGAGAGCCTCAAATATTAACTTGAACTTGGAAGGAGGTCGAACCTTTGTTCCTGTTCTAGGCTGTGCCCTCTGGAAGCAGAGATGACGTTTGTGATATAAGATGGCTGTTAGAAGTCCACACCTGTGAAAGGGAGGGAGAGGAAGCAGGAGTGAGCAGAGGTCAGCAAGGAGTGGGACTCAAGCTGCCCTGCACACCTGGTTAAGATTTAGCCAACCCAGTGAAGTGCTGTGGACAAAGTTCGCCTCTAGAAAGTCTCATGTCGGGTAGAGAAATGGCTAGACCTTTATACTCCTCCACTGCTCAGTGGGGGACGTGGACTACCCAAGGGAAAGGCATGACCTAGGGCCAGACAGCTCCCAGCAGCTGAGATGCTCCCCAGAAGGAACTGACCGCTGGAGGCTGCCTGCTGACCATGTTCCTCGCAACAGGGCAGGGAAGCCCTCCTTGAAGGGGAAGCTGGGAAGTGCATCTGTCTATCACAGGCCCAGGGGCCTAAGTGCTTCTAAGTGCTGCCCAGGGCTTGCTGACTACTCCAAGCCTCCTAGCTGGACACACTGAGGCATCCACTGAGCACCAGGCAGAACTACATAGAAATTGTTTTTCTTCCCCACATGGCCCCTTCTTCCCTCCATCCTTTATCAGACCCTGTTTCTTTCTCCACCTTTCCTTTAGGAAATAATACTCATTTAAAAAAACTATAAAACACCAACTCACTGCTCCAGGCATTGAGGCTAAGCAGGGATAAACATGAACTAGTCCCTGCTCTCAAAGAGCTTATAGTCTAGAGGAGAAAATGATATTGAACCCACAAAAATTAATTGCTTAATTGCAGGTTAAATAAGTATATGAAAGAGGCTCATGCAATGCTATAAGTGCACTGTCTATTAACCTGTTAAAGAGACTAATGATGGGTATGACTTATGGGGTGTTTGTTATATTCCAAGCACTGTTCTAAGAAAACTGTCTATGCTAACATCTATTTCTCTCAGGAAGCTCAATAGGTTGGTTTTATTCCCACCCCATGTTGAGGCTTAGAGAGAGTAAGTAACTTGCTCACTATTGCTCAGGTAGTAAGTGGTGGAGGAGGCTTTGAACTGACATAGTCTAGCTTCAGAATCCATTGTCTTAACCTGTATGCTGCACTGTCTCTCCCAATTATTTGATACAGACAACAACCTATTGGGACCTCATGGAATAGACAGCAAGAGGAGAGGTTGGTGAGCACACAGAAGTGCTGGGGAAGACCCCAAGGAGGAGAGGGGCTTGGAAAAACAAACAGATGGGCAGGAAGAGAAAAGGGACACTTCAGGCAAGAAAACATCATGAGCAAGTCTTAGAAGAAATATTGGCAAGACTTGTGTCTTAGTTTAGAGGTGGGGATTTTAGTGTAAGTAGTTAATTTGAGAGATAATTCTAAAAGTTATCTCCCAATAATTCTTGTTTTTTTTAGATGGAGTCTCACTCTGTCCCCAGGCTGGAGTGCAGTGGTGCAATCTCGGCTCACTGCAACCTCTGCCTCCCAGGTTCAAGTGATTCTCTTGCCTCAGCCTCCCGAGTAGCTGGGACTACAGGCACACACCACCACACCCGGCTAATTTTTGTATTTTAGTAGAGATAGGGTTTCACCATGTTGGCCAGGATGGTTTTGATCTCCTGACCTCATGATCTGTCCGCCTCAGCCTCCCAAAGTGCTGGGATTACAGGCGTGAGCCACCATGCCCAGCCCCAATAATTCTTTATGTAGAAGAGTGGGGGAAAAGAGACAGGGCAGGCAGCCAACCAAGGGTGTGTTATCAAGCTAGTTACCACTGTGGGCAACTGGAGAGCAATTCTGGGAAACAGTATGTAGAACACACCTCAGTTATCCAAACCAAGGGTCAAGAGGGTTGGGGTATGTATCCACCAGATCCCATCAGACATTGGTTAAAGGCTCCTCCCAGGAAATGGGGAGGACATGGGGACCTCAATTCCCTGGCACCTCCCTCTTGCACAGGCAGAGCAGGCTCCAGTGACCAAAAGTCCTTAGGCAGAGATGCAGGTGCTGGCAGTTGGAAGTCCAACCCGCATACACAGAAATGTTAAGTACTGTAGGAGCATGGTTGGGATACTGACAGCTCACAGTAGGACACTTTCTGGGGATAGTGCGGAAAGTAGCTCTGCTAGAGAGGGGAGAATGGACTTTATGATAGGCTGAATAATTGCTTCCAAAGATATTCACATTCTAATCCCCAGAACCTGTGAATACGTTACATTACAGGGCAAAAGAGACTTTGCAGATGTGATTAATTTAAGGACCTTGAGTTGGAGAGATCATTTTGGATTATCTGGGTAGATTGGATGTAATCACAAGGGTGCTTACAAGAGGAGATAGAAGATCAGAGTCTGTAGCAGGAGGTGTGATGACAGAAGCAAGAGGTTGGAGTGATATGAGGAAGTTAGAAAAGGCAAGGATATGGGTTCACCCCTCAGAGCCTCCAGAAGGAACCAGCCTTCCTGGTACCTTAACTTAAGCCTTGTGAGACTGATTTTAGACATCTGGCCTCCAGAACTGTAAGAGAGCAAATATGTGTTGTTTTAAGTCACCAAGTTTGTGGTAAGTTGTTACAGCAGCAACAAGAAATGAATACAGGCCTCTTCCATCAAGTTACTGCATGCCGTATGGTAAGAAGTTTATCTCTGCCATTGGCATCTTGTGTTTGTGCAGTACTTAAATTTAGAAAAAAATTTCCCTGTGGCACAACATCAATGCTTCGGGGTAGGGAAAGAAGGTTTTGCCTCTGTTTTTCCCAGAGAACCAAGGCTCAGAGAAGCCAAAGGGTTTTTCCTGGGCTGCTTAGAACCTTGGCAGAGGAAACAACCTCTTTAGCTAGAACCCTTCTGCCCTGCTCTTGGCAGTGCACGGCCTGCATGCTGTGGACCTTCTAACTCAGAAGCAAGTCTTTAGCCTCCTGATGCCACCACTCCAGCTGCAGCTCTGCCTGGGACTGGGAAGACCCTCAAGGGACTGAGGCCCCATCCTTTGGAATCATAGACCTGGTGTAGGCAGCCATGCTAGAACCCCTCTCAGGGGCGATCTTAGACTGAACAATTCTCTGTGCCCACCCGCCCTTGACCTCCATTTGTTGACCTTCTTGATCCATCAGACTGCAAAAAGAAACTTTTCATGAGTGCACAGTATCACAGGAAAGGCTTCCCAAATTTTGATCTCCTTCATCTCTCCCAGAGTAGTGGCAGAAGAGATAGAGCTGCTACTAGTCAGCCAAGTGATCTTGGGAAAGCCTCATTACATCTCTGA
This sequence comes from Homo sapiens, assembly GCF_000001405.40. NCBI lineage: Eukaryota > Metazoa > Chordata > Mammalia > Primates > Hominidae > Homo > Homo sapiens. The sequence goes on from NC_000023.11 coordinate 39,370,767, forward strand.
GGCTCAATTTCCTGGTGAGATAATCATTTCTGGTTCACCTTGCAAAAAAAGGGACAGTTAAGAGTCACTTCTGTAGGGTCAAATAAGCAAAAGCTCACCACAGAGTAATTTACCTGCCAGTTGTTAGAGTGCCTGAATTCCTACTATTAGATATTCAGATCTTTGTAGAGATGATCTTCTATTTTCAAGGGTTCCCCAACAAAATGAAATTACCCTGAGTGGTAGTTAGACCTCAAGTTGCGATAAGCTATCATTTTAACTCACGATTATTGTATTCTTTCTAACCTCGGCTGCTGCCTGAATTTAGAACATAAAAGGAAAAGAATCTCTTTGGTAGGAAGATGGGAAGAGGTTCTTTGTAAAGACAGGCAAGGAGATACCAAGCAAAGTCTTCATACTGCCTTGCAATTTTGTCCTGAGCTAGTCTTCAGACCAAGCTCTAAACTCAGACTAGTTGGCTCAGTGGCTTATATCTCTTGGCCAATCATCTATTCTTAGTGAGTGTTCCTTCCTAATGTAGCCTCATTGGAAACTCATCTGTAAATCCAAATGCCATTTTACACGAGTGTCTATGCATTTGAGGTGAAGGAAGTTTTGTGTAATAAAATCTCTCAATAAATCTGAGGCCCCCTTCCCCTGCATTTATGTACTGGAAAAGTCAAACTATAGAAGTAAGTGAAGTTTGGTTAGTATCATAGCTGGTGTCCTCAAGAAAACAGAGGCTGAGGCCAGCTTGCTGATGCTTTATGAGGCAAGTGACAGGACAGTAGGAGTGAAGGGAAAGAAGAAGTGAGGCAGGGAAAAAACGAAAATGAACACAAGGTGGTACATTTCACAAAATGCACAGCTGACCACTCAGTCATCATGGACTTCTTCAAAGAAGCTATGAAACCACTGCATTTGAAACCAGCCAATGAGAGTGAAGGGCCCTGATACCAGTCCCTTCCTACCACTTGTCTCTCTCTTGTCACAGCTCACTCCAGAGTGGTGTTAATTCCCCCACATATCCCAGCTGTGTTCCTTACCTCTCCAGGAGCTTTTAGAGAAGCCAAGTCTTCATAATTTGAAACTAGTGCTGGAGACCCTGCAGTGGGTAAGAAGAAATCAGGCTGAAGCCCAGTGAAACTAGCGAAGTGGCACTTCCCAACTGCAGAAAGCAAAGCAGTGGCTGAAGCCGCTCTGACTAGACAGCACAAGTGACCGAGAAAGAGGGGTTGGGGTAGACGGGGCCCTGCAGAACTGGGATGGTGCTTAAACCTGGTCTGGAATGATTATTGAGCACCAATTTAGAAAATCAGAAAAGAATAGTCATTAAAGATTCTCCTATCTAATCCCTATACAGCGTCAATGCCTAAAGCACCACCTTTCTTCCCCTTTTGATGCCCTAAACTATCTGATGATGCTGGAAAGTTCTAGAGTTTAACATCCAAATTACTTGCGCAGATGGTCTGTCATGTGTGGAAGTGACTCAACAATCCTTCACTGAACCACATTATCATAAGTATGAGTTTGAAGAAAATAGTCCCTTAGCCCCAGGGCAATGCATCCTTTAAGTTATCAAAGCATCGTTTGTAGACGGCCTTCATCCTCTCCTGGAATGTTAGCAGAGTGAGGCAAGCAAAGCTTGAATTAGCATGTCTGTGTTTCTGTTTGTGCTCTTGTTATCAAATATATTGTCATGAGTACATGCCTGAGCCAAGAAGCTACAGGAAGAAAGATGTAAGGAGCATAGCCAACTCACCCTAGTTATCCCAAGCAAAGCCATTCTACATCATCTGATAACCTCCCAAGCAGACCCTCAGACATATGATTGAGCCTAGCCAAGGTGAGCAGAACCATCTGGTTGCCCCACAGCTGACTGCAGCCACATGAGCAAACCCAGCTGAGACCTGCTGAGTCCTGCCCAGAGTGGCCCAGAGTGGCTGAAACTTACAGACCTGGAAATGAAATAAATGTTTATTATTATATGCCACTGAGATTTTAAGGAGGTTTTTGTTACGCAGTATTATTGTGGCAATAGCTGGCAGATATAACTCCATCCATCCCAAGTTGAAGTCTCTCTCTCTGTGAATTTCCATTGGCTGTCTCTGTATCAGATTTTCTCACTATCCTAATTCTTTCATATTCACAAGTGTCACCTCCCAGACCTAACTGGTGGACTCTTGATTGTTTAAGTTTACATTTCTGTTTCCTTACAGATTATTTAACAGCCACACTGAGCATCTAGTAGACCTTCAAAATGTTGATGTGATTTCTAAGCCCACATGGATTTCCAATGCTACCACTATTTGCTTTTCATAGTTTTACAATGTGAGAACTAGAAAAGAACTCAGAGCAAGTCCCTCCTTTTACAGATGAGAAAGCTGAGGCTTGGAGAAATTAAATTACTTTCCCACAGCCACATAGCTGGCTGGAAGCACAGCTAGACATACTGGCCAGGTTTCTTGGTTGGGATTCCAGTGTTCCTTCCCCCAGAAGTGAAGCCCTAATCAATCAGTTTCCTTAATTGACTGGCAGAGGCTGCCTGGCACCAGTGTGATGAGAAGGATTCTGAGGCTCAATCTGGACATAGTAGGAGACAGTCCCATGATCAATGAGCCAAATCTTCCAGAAGTAAGGAAGTAGACATCACTATCTCTGCCAAATCTGTTTATTGGTTAACCTGTTGGCTTATATTTATGATAAAGATGCCATTTTGTTTATTTCACTTTCATCTAGCTCCTGGTTTGAAGTACACTTTGGAAACCTCCGAAGGCTCTGGTTCATTCCTTTCTGTGTGTGTCCAAGATAAGCAATCCCTTCCCCTTGCTGCAAGGCAGCATTTTAAAAACCCTTCTTCTAGTGTTACCTTTCGAGGTAGTGAACACACATAAATGAAGCCCCAAACCAAAGGAAGGTTTCAGATCTGAAAAAATCAATGTCAAAATCTGGCATTGTACACTGACATTGAAGCAATGGGGACATCATACACTGGAGGGACAGGCTGTTGACTTTTCTGCCTTCCCTGAAAAGTTGGGTACTCCTTGCCTCAGTCAGTGTCATTCATCCCCAGGTTAAGAGGCAGGGACTGAATGCAGCACAATCAGCCTTGAACTACATTTAAGGGAGCTGGTAATCAGGCCTGCTGAGGAGCCATGGGCCTCTGGTAGGGAAATCTCATGAAAGTAGGATGAAACAGGGGCTATATTTTTATTTCTTTCACCTAAGAAAATTGAAGAATCCTTTCCTAGTGTCCTTTTTTGCATGGATCTTAACTTAATGTCACTTCCTCAGGAAAACCCTCCCCGATGGCCAAGATAGGGTCAGGAGCCCCATTGCTTGTCTTTTTTCCTTTGTGGCAAGGATATTTCATTGAATCTTAGATCCATCAATATAAGACCTCCCAATATTTTATGTACCAAGCAGGGGAAAAAATGCCACCATTTAAATTATAACTCAATGCTTTCATGCCACTTAGAATTTTTATTGTATAGTTATTAAAAGAGTACTTTAAAATGTATTTATACAGATTTGTATGATATAGCACTCTTGTGCAAAGGAAAATATACTTGAAATTAACTGGTTGAGGTAATGAGGCTTAACTTTCTTCACATGTAGAATTCAAATATTTGGAACCACTTTGTGAGTTGGTGTTGAAGCTTGTGTGCTGCCACCCAGGCTTGGTCTTTTCACTATTGCCACCACACCATCCATCACCTCTCTTTCTACCCCAAACCACCAGGATATACAAATGAGTAACACCCTAGTAAAGAGACAGTCCACACACAAAAATCAATACAATGCAAGAGCATATCTATGAAAACTATAGTAGAAGTATGCACTGCTCTGGATAAAAAAAGGGAGGAAATTTTTAATTTGATTGAAGATATCTGGAAAGTCTCGAGGGCGAGACATGGCATTCGAAGGAGGGGAGAACCTCCAAAGCTTGAGATGGAGGAGTGGCATTTCATGGGGGAGGGGAGGAATAGCATAAACCAAATGTGGTGCTCTGTAAGTAATATATTCTCACAATAATGGTTGATTCCTTTTAGTTAGAAAATAAAATGAGCAATCTGAGTTTCATTCCATGGGGAAAAGGAAGTCACTGAAAGTTCTCCAGCAAGGGAATGTCTTGCTCAGCAACACCCTTTAAAAGGGTAACTTCTTGGGAGTGAATAGGGCAGCGTGATGTGAACCAAGAAGGGCAGCAAGGAAGCAATTAGGAGGGGCATTAAGGGGCTGGGTGCAGTGGCTCTCGCCTGTAATCCTAACACTTTGGGAAGTGGAGGTGGGAGGATTGCTTGAGCCTAGGAGTTCAAGACCAGCCTGGGCAATTATAAGGAGATCCCACCTCTACAAAGAATACAAAAAAGTTATCCGGATGTGGGGGTACATGTTTGTGGTGCCAGCTACTGAGGAGGCTGAGAGAGAAAGATCGCCTGAGGAGGTTGAGGCTGCAGTGAGCCATGATCACGCCACTACACTCCAGCCTGGGTGACAGAGCAAGACCCTGTCTCAAGAAAAAAAGAGAGAGAAGTATTAAGGGCCTAATCGAGGGCAGGACTGGTAGGAATATAAACAAAGACCAATCCATTTGAGCCACATTGTGCAAGGAAAACCAAATGATTAATCACAGGGTATCAGAGGCAGGCAAAAGGACAAGAAGAGGGAGCCCACTGAACAAGTCCCACAGATGTTTAAATCCAAATGACCGGGACCACGTGGGGAAAAACAGCAGGCCCTGGCAATGTGGATCTAGGCTTAGGAGAAGGGACTAAATTTGGCAATGAACGAAATGGCCCAGGCAGAGGGCTATAGTCACAAAGAAGGTAGCTCCAGATATGAGAAAAGTGGGGGCCCTCATGCATGAGGCTTGGGTTCTTCCATCAGCCAGTAACATCACGTGCCATCAAAATCTCTCACAGAGGCACAACACACTGGAGAGCAGCCACCATCCCCGTGGTGTCCAAAGAGATCACTCTTTCTTCTGTGAGCCACTAGAGAAGGTAGTTGGCTTGCACTGTGTCAGCACTTTATATTGAAAAAAAAAACAATAATAAGCTGTGTTTAATATTAAAGTCATATGCAGTGGAAGGAGACAGTCACATCAGGAGAGATAGAAACAGAGGAGCCTAGAGAAACCAAGGGAAACTCTCCCATCCCAGGCAATCAGTGTGGAGTCACCACCATCCCCCGCCACCTAAATTGTTCTCCCTCTCACACTCACTCACATATAGCCATGGTATATGGCTGATCCCAAAAGGGCTGCTTAGCTCCAGCCATCATATCTGTATTTGCAGTCAAGATAGAAGACAGAGAGGTGATGCCAGTTCTTTTAGTTTAAGTAGCTTCAAAAGCAGAGCCCCAAACAAAAACTTTGAGTGCACATAGTTTATTTGGTAACTGATCCCTGTATGCGCAAGAGGAAGCAAGGAGAATGAGAGAGTAAAGACGAAAATGACAATATAAAGGCATATTAAAAAGGTTACTGCCTGGGGCCCTAGAGGCTCAATTGCACCCAGACCTCCTGATAACTGTACACAATGCCTCCCAGAAGTGTGCCCCCAAAGGACAGGTGGCTGGAGCATCTATCCACTAGGCCGTGTTCCCCATCGATTAAGGGTCGATCCCAAGGGCATGAATCTCACACTTCCAAGTTTTGTTTTTATGCAGGCCCAGTGGGCTTCCATAGTGTCAGAGAAGGCCCTGGAGCAGAGAGCAGAAAGATGCACAGCACATACTTGAGACTGGATGCTGTCTTGCATGAGGTGAATTGGAACACACGGAACTGTCCACCACAGCTGTGACTGAAGTCAGAGGTGATTAGACTGTGGGCATGGGACACAGGGCATGCCACCGCCATCTGCCACATCAACAGACCTCCCAGTGTCTTATTGCTGGCAGAAGGAGAGGCTGAGAAATGAACATTTTAGCTCTTCCAGCCTCTAGAATAGAAGCAGAGTGGGGAGAAAGGGATTGGAAAGGGCTGTTAGCGGAGCAAAAAATATATAAGATTTCAGATTCACTAAGGACATGTTAGATTAGATCATCTACTGTGAATGCATCATTTTATAAATGAGAAAGGAACTGAGTCCTGGGTAGAGTGAGTAACTTGCCTGCCCCAATCCTGTAGTTGGAGTAGAGCTGGGGTTTGAAGCAAGCCTTCCAGGTTTGAAGATCTTTCCACCTCTCCATAATAACCCTCTTAGGCTGCAAAAGAATGTCTTGGCTGAAAATCTGTTTAAAAAAAGAAAATAAAAAAGCTCCTGAATAACTAAGGTGGGCTCTGTTGTCACAAGACCTGGAACAATAAGCCTAGGCATTTGGACTTGGTCTGAGAGACAATGGGGAGCCATTGTCGAATCTTAAACAGGATCATGGCAATTTGAGTTGCTTGTAGGTAGATATTATATAAATATAAGGAGTTATTTCTCTGTTGATTATGGCTGCTGATTCAGCCAAGGGGAAATGGAGTTCTGGACAGGCTTGTACCTCCAGCAGTGACTGCAGGTGCTGTCAAAAGGAGGTGCAGGCTGCTGTCTGACATTCTCAAAAGGCCCCTGCTCTCCTGAGAATGGCTTGATGCTTATTGCTAATAACAAGCCTGGCAGCCAGCTGCAGCTTTCACTCAAAATTCTCTGGCTTTCAGTAATCAAAGCCAGGCCTGGGTTGTTCCTTGGCCCTAGACTGCAAAAGGAATTTCCTTTATTTTTGAACATGGAGAGAATAAAAAGAAGTACAAGTTGTTTTATAAGACAAGTAGGGCAGCAATTTGAAATAGATATTTAGGCATCTCTTAGGGATTAACATCGGGACTCATTTAAGGGCTTGGAGTGTTAATAAGGATGAGATGTATTTATTTTTCCCTGGGTTCTTTTTTAGGAATCCCTGGGCAGTGTTCTGGAATTGATCTATACTGGCTCAAATTTCACATGTCCCCCCATTTTCCATGCAGACTCTCCCACCCCTCCTTTTGACTGAGTTGTGCCTCCTATTAACTTGGAGAAAATGCCCCAACCAGGGTGCACAATTGGGCATAATTGGTACCCAGAAATACTGTTCACTGGGTTGAGGCAGCTCAGCAAACAAAATGGCCTCCTTTTACCTAGGGAATCTGGTTTGAAAATTGGACATTAAGTTACACTTCTAATTGAAATGAATTTGATGGTTTCAGAACAGTCCCCAGTGATCCCAGCCCACATCATAAAAACCACCATAGGCAAATTGGCACCATTCAGCCTTGGCTCAAACAGGCTAGGGAGTAAAAGAAGATGTAAACTGAATTTGTGGTTGCTTTTATCTTCAGATAGACAGGCTGGGGTTGGGGGAGCTTCCAGAGGGGAATTCTCGGAGTGGATTACATCATTTTCCTGACAGTCTGGGAGGCAGTGGGGTATAGAAGAAAAGCACTAGATTAAGAGTCTACCCTTGTCTCAGACAGTAATTCATGTTCATTCTTTGGTAAGTCATAACATTTTTTCATGCCTCAGTTTCCTTGTCTGCAAAATGGGAAAACTAACATCTCCTTGCCTCATGGTTGGTATTGGGCCCAGGCAATGACAGCTGAATGGTTTACCTAATGGACTGAAGAAGCCCTCAGAATCTAGGCCTTCTGATTGCTTGGCTGGTGTTCACCCCACCAGCTGACATCCAAAGGACAAGATGCTTGTCTGTCTTCCCAGGAAACTTGGCTGTGAGGTTCAATGATCTCAAAGCAAAGAACAATGACAAGACAAGAAGGGTACTAAAGGGTGGACACTGACCTGTCACCAAGGCACTCTGAGCCACCTCATTATTCACATCAGTTCCTTATTCATCTCAGGCATATCTACCTAAGCAACAACACACATGTATTTTGTACCAACTATGAAAGATGCCAGTTCTGTAATGCACATTCATGCCAGGCACCCTGCTAGGATATTCAAACCTTCCTCTCTGCAACCATGTCAGGTAGATTTTAATACTCCCATTTTATAAATAAGAAAAGTGAGGCACAGGAAGATCACACAGCTTAGCCGAGGTCACACAGCAGTATGTTATTGACTGGAAATGTCATATGCCATGGCCTGTCTTCCCACTCCACTGTGTTTTCAATCACTGTTCTAAGGGGAAAAGATAAAAATGAAGAAGACCCAATCCCCACTTTTAAGAAATTGATAGTCTAGCCACATATCTACACAGAAATATGTGTGCACAAGCAGAATAAAGGTCTGAGGGGGAGGAAAGAGAGATTATTAGTCAGCTATTGCTGCTGTAACAAACAACCCCACACCTCAATGATTAGAAAACAACAATTCTTGCTTACTTATTTTCAGGTTGGCCATGGGTCGGCTTATGTGGCATGGGTCCCACTGAGCAACTTTGGTTTTGGCTGCAGATCTGCTGGGCTTGGGTCCTTACTGTGGAATGGGTTCAGTTCAGCTAGTCATGGACCCACAAGTGAGAGTGGCCATTTACAGGGGAGAAGCTCTTCTCATGGTGCTGGCAGAGATACAAGAGGTAAAGCACAACCACATAAGCACATGGCAAGATGCTGCTTGGTTCATTTCTACTAACATCCTATTGGCTGAAGCATGTCACATGGCCATGCTCCAAAGTCAAGGGGGCAGAGCAAAGGGTAGAGAAGGATACAGAAGGGGTGAAGAATTGTGTCCAATAATCTATCCTACACCAGAAGGCTTCAGTTTTTACAGTAAAGTATCTGCATATTAATTTGAAATGATAAGCATGTATTATTTTTAAATTTAAAACTCCAATTTAAAAATACCATCAGCCTTCTCTATCCATGAGTTTCTCATTCACGGATTCAACCAACCAGGGATTGTAAATATTTTAAAATGAATTAAAAGTAACAATAGAACAATACAAATATTACAAATTAGAAAAACAATACAGTATAACAGTCATTTACAGTTGTCCCTTTGTAACCACAGGGATTGGTTCCAAGATCCCTGTGGATACCAAAAATCTCGATGTTCAAGTGCCTTATATAAAATGGTGTAGTATTTGCATATAACCTACACACATCCTCCCAGATACTTTAAATCATCTCTAGTTACTTATAATCCCTAAGATAATGTAAATATTATGTAAATAGTTGTTATAATGTATTGTTTTTAAATTTGTATTATTTTTCATTATGGTATTGTTATTTTTTACTGTTTCTTACAAATTTTTTAAAATGTATTTTTGATCCATGGATTTAACTGTGGATACGGAGGGTTGACAGTACATAGCATTTACATTGTATTAGGTATTATACATAATCTAGGGATAATTTAAAGTATATGGAGGATAAGCATAGGTTATATGCAAATACTGTACCATTTTATATAAGAGACTTGAGCATCCAAGGATTTTCCTACTTGAAGGGGACCTGCAATACATTGTAAAAACCATCTCAGGGAGGTTAGAATGAACATACCCCAAGGTAATATTTCCTAACCCATCTCCTATATGCCAATTAAAAAATTTACACACACACACACACACACAATACTACAATATAATGGTTGCTGTAACATAAATGTGTTTCCAATGCTATGAGAACCCATATGAGAGCCATTTTTCATTCATTCATTTATTCATTCAACAAATATCTATTTCATATTACTATGTGCATAGGCATTGGAAATGAAGAGAAAAACAAAATAGGACTGATCACTGTCATCGTGTAACTCAAAAGTCGAAAATAGGCTCTGAACATATACAACTGGAATGAATTAAAGGAGGGGTGGACAAAGATATGGAAACAAAAAAGATAAATAACTCATTTACATGAGGAGTATTGCAAAGGCTCCTAGGGGTTGTGTTCCAATATCCTTTCCTTAATTGACAGTCAGAATCCTGAATTGTAGCTGAACAATGGCTACCTCAGATAATGACAACAGTTTCCAACTTTCCTTGCAGCTAGCTATGGCCATTACATTTTGGGCAATAGCTATAAGTAGAAATGGTGTATGCAACTTCCAGAAAGTGCCCTTCTTTCCCCCTTATCTTTCCTGTTGGCCAGAATATGAATGTGATAATTGGAATCAGGGTAGCTGTCTTGGACCATAAGTGACTTTGAGAATGGAGACCATAGGGGATGAAACAAGATAAAAGGAGCCTGGGTCACTGAAGACTTTTTGGAGCAAAATAGCCAAACCCACTCTGTACTGCCTACCTCTGGGCATTTGTGTGAGCAAGAAACACACCTCTATCTTGTTTAAATCATTGTTATATTGAGCTTCTGTTATTTGCAGTTAAACTCACCCTAACAGATAAAGGAGTTCAGGGGCAGACCTCCCTACAAACGTGAGAATAAGCTGATACCTGAATGGTGAGTGGATAAAAAGTGCAGGTTAATCTCTTCCAAGAAGAAAGAACAGCATATGCAAAGGCCCAGAGGTGGGAGAACACAGGAATTTAGGGCAGATACAAAGGGGAAAGAGGTAAAGGATGGCCATTATGAGCTTAGATCCCATTCAGTTACCCATACATTTGTTCCCTACACCTCTCCTTTCCCCTGTTCTCCTTCCTTTCTTCCTACTTCCCTCTCTCCCTTTATTTCTTTCCCCATCACTCCATCCCTTCTCCCTCTCCCTCTCTGCCTTCATCCCTCCTTCCCTCTCTATCTACCTTTTTCACTTTTTTTTAGAGAAATATTTATTGAGTACCCACTGTGTGCCAGGCACTGTACTAGCCACTGGATGCACACCCTCATAGAACTGACAGTCTACTAGAGGGACAGATATCAATGCGAGAGGTGGGAGTGAGAGAAAGAGCATGTGTTGACTTCCTATGGCATATATGAGGAAGCACTGTTCAGATCCCCTTTCAGGGAAAGATTTGCTGCCCAACTACGAGAATTGCAGTTAGCTGACAGCCTACAGCTGTTGGCTTCAGCAGGGTCAGCCTCAGCTTTTGAGCTGAGGTCACATTCCTCTCAGAGCGGCCCTGGGCCAGCAGCTGAGCAAGGAGGTGGTATTCTCGGCTGGCCATTTCTGCCCAACAAAGGGCTGCTCTCATGGGCACCCTTTGCTCAGAGCTGCCACTAGGCTGACAGGAACTTTTCAAATCTGCATTGCGATCTTCCTGGAGAATCCAGCCTTCCATAGGCCTCAAGGCAGGTGAGAGCTCATCATAATCACTGGAGGAACCAAAGGAAGACCTAGTCTGTCTGGAGCACAGAGAGGGAAGGGAGAGTTCTGGCAATGAGACATGAACTACAACACCATGTGTGACTTAGGAGGAACTGGGGTTTTATCCTAAGTGCATTGAAATAATGCTGAGAGGTTTTTAAAATTCACTGTAACTGCTGCATGGATTGGAGAGGCCAGAATACCAGTTATGAGAAACTGCAGTCAATCAAGGGAATAGCTGGAGGGAGCTGCTTCTAGCTTGGTGGCTGCGGGAATGAAAAGCAGTGGAAGAGATGTCCTGGGAGTTTGTGGAGGGAGAATGAGCAGTACTTAGTAGTGACAGATTAGATCTTGGAGGGAGGAGGGTGATAGGAAGAAAAGTATCAAAGGCAAGCAACTGAGTAGAGGGATTTGCCCTTTCCTGAGATGATAACAGTTGCGAGAAAAGTAACAAATTCAGTGGTGAAAATCAAGAGCCGAATTGTGGCCATGTGGGTTTTGAGACTGTTGGATACACAAACCTGGAGTTGAAGACTGGTCTGGCCAGGAGATAAAAGGGAAGTTATCAACATGCCCAGGGTACTAGACGCCCCGGGAGCATATTAGGAAGCTTAAGGAACTGCCCCCTTCCCTCCAGGCCATCTTCTATTTCTTCTTACTTCTATGCTCCCAAAAGCGTCTTCTTCTTTTTTTTTTTTCTTTTTTTCTTTTCTTTTTTTTTTCTTTTTTAGACAGAGTCTCTCTCTGTTGCCCAGACTGGAGGGCAGTGGTGCAATCATGGCTCACTACAGCCTTAAATTCCTGGACTCAAGTGGTCCTCCTGCCTCAGCTGAGAACCTGGAACTACAGGCTCATGGCACCACTCCAAGCTCATTTTTAAATTTTTTGTAGAGATGGGGTCTCACTCTGTTGCCCAGGCTGATCTTGAACTTCTGGCCTCAAGCAATCGTCCTGCCTCAACCTCCTAAAGTGCTAGGATTACAGGGAGGAGCCACCGCACCCAGCCCCCAAAGCTTCTAAAGCCTTATTTCATTCCAGGGAATCTTCTCAGGTGGAGAGGAGACAGGGTGCTGAGAGAGGTCCTTGTACTCCCTACTCCCATCCTTAGCTTTGCCCTTCAACCAAAATACACTTTTGTATGGTGAGCCTTTTGAGTAATTGGTGCATTCTACCACCCTTACAGATAAGACTCTCTCTGTCCTTAGGATCAACTGCTTCCGAGGAGGAAGGTGTGCCTGCTCCAGGACAGCCCAGGGACTTCGGAGGGTTGCCCTTCTGCCTGCCTAACCCTAAAGTGCTCCCCATAAAACACTCTGCCTGCTAATATCTAGACTGCACATCACAGATATGCAGTAAACGTGTGTTGAATGTATGAGGTCATTTTATTATTTGGTTGCCCGATCAGTGTGTCTGTCATAAAGCCCATCTCTTCGATTTTGCCTTTCAGCATAGATGAAAACAAGCTGGCCATTATTTTCCAGGCAAGCACTTGTCAAATAAATGTTCCTCATAGAGATGTAGCTTGCTGCAGAGTGAAAAGCGTGGGAAGAGAGCCCCATCTTTCTCATCTGTATAAAACAGGATGACAATCCCCACACCACACACTTTACAACTGAGTTGGTATGAAGAGCTAACAAAAGTCCTCAGCCTAACAGTGCTTTGGGCTTTACAGAGAGACAGTGGGCTGATACACCATTGAGTTCTATTCCAACCCAAGTCTGATTCGTTGAGTGGAATAATCCCAGTTCCCCTCATTTTTCCTTAGATATGACACTTTGCAGCAAAACATTTGATGCCTGCAGGCTTTGGGAACTGGCAGTGATTCACAGACAGCAAGCAGGATGCTGGACATTGGTCAAACTTTGGCCCTGCACACCTTCTCCCACTACCAGTTATGCTGGTGAGGAATTTCCTCTTTCCCATTGTGTTATGTGGGTGGGTGGGATGGTACCTAAGGGGCCTCGCCACTCCCCATGGAAGCCAAAGAGTGTTCTCCTTCACTACCCTCATCCAGCAAAGGGCAGCTATGTGACCTCATCTTCTGAGAGGATCTTGAGCAGTGAGCAGAGTGACACACAGCCAGAAGAGGGTTTGCAGGACACTCCTTTGCCCCAAGAGCATTGTCCTGCACCAGCCTCTATAGTGCCTGCCACACAGCTGGGTTCCCACCCGGTGTTCCTGCCTCCCTGTCATTTATCTAAGCTCCCAATATCATCCTTTAACAGTCCCTTTTGCCCAAGGTAGCCAAGAGGCAGTTTCTGTCACTTTTGCCCCCCAAATTTCAAACAGATACAGGCAATTTCTGAAAGGGGCACTATGTTATCATCAATATCCAGCATCGCTGAAGAGGAGGATTAATTAGTGACAACCCTCTTACTTCACCTATCATTGGGGCGGTCCACAGAGGATTTATCCCTGAACCACTAATGAATTTTCCAACTGTCACAAAACAATGCAAATAAGTAAGATCCACATCTGCTGAACACCATCATGAGGTCAAACTGTGGGTAAATAAATACTTGCTTCAAGGAGAGGGTAAATCCTAAGGTGAGGAGTGACAGGGCTTTGTTTGCATAAACCCAGCAAGGTATTATGGGTAGGATATTAATTAAATCATGCTCCTGGGCCTCACGGATCCCCAGCTCCACGGCTTCAGCTTGTTGACAAACCGAACACAGGGCCCCCAGAGAGACCACTAACATTTTGATGAACAGGATTTGTTGGGGGTGATGTTTCCTAACTAGCGTTTTAATATAATTTTTGACGCTTCATCTGAGCAACCTGGAAAGAATATGCAGTTAAAAGAAACGGACAAACGTCAAATTTACAAGAGAAGAAACTACCATCTAATGTTAGTCCACTGGAATTACTTCCTGGGAATAATGTCTTGCTACCTTCACCCCACCCCAGGCCTTCCTGAGACCTCCTTTTTTACCCCTCTCCCTAAACCTGGGAGAACATCTCTGAATAACATCAAGGCTGCCTCAAGTTTAAATGAACTTTTAATGAGTTTTATAATCTTCCCAAGACCCTGTAAGTCTTTCCTTTTTGTTCTTCTTTCCTTTTTGAAGAAATTAACATGATGGCAGGTACTGTCTTCAGGGAAAGGGCTTTTATTTTCAGGTTAAAATAAAAGACCTCATCTCAGCTGGAATGGAAGATTGGTGATGAAAAGACCCTCTGTGGCCACCAGAAGTACCCGCTGTCCGAGAGATGCTGACCAAGAACGTTCAAGCTCCTTGTAATTGGTCTACCATCCCAACCATTCCCATCTTCATTTGCACTACACGGCCTCTTTCAGCTCAAAATTTCATGCTTCGTTTGAAGATTATAAAGCCTCTTTTATCTGAGAATATGCAGACAAATATGAACTAATTAATGTTCCTACCAGCCCCCTGGGAGTGTGCAATTGTCCTATGACCCACTAGCTTCCTGGGCATTCCCTGACGTTACACTGCTGCCCAGTATCAGGCATCTTTGCTAGTCCTCCCTCCCCTCACCACCCCCAATCAGCAACTGTCAACCCTGTTTCCTCCAAAATACCATTAGAATCTCCCCACTTCACACCATCTCTGCCTATTTCCAGCTGGTTGCTTGCATTGACTATGGAAACAGACCTCTCACTTCTTCTCTTGCCCCTTCCAATCTAATTACCCAATTCTCTGCCCAACAGGCAGAGGGAAATTACTAAGACATAAATCTGAAGAAATCCCTTTTTACCTGCAATGAGTCTCTCACCTAAAGCCCCTCCCTACTATTCCCATCCTCCCCTGCCTGACTTTTGGTTTCTCAAACATACCAAGATCTTTCCTGCCTCAAAACCTTTGCACATGCAGTTCCCTTTTCTAACACTTGGACAGGAAGGTAACCAATTATGGATGATGTTCTCCATGAGCTAAAGTCTAAAGACTTGTTTTAAGTCTCTGAGTTTTAAGGTAGTTTCTTATGCAGCTTTGTTGTGGCAACAACAGCATCAAACACTCCTTCTAATAAGAGCACGTGGATTTTATTTTAGAGATCTACCTCATCCACCCTTCATCCTCATGATTCTGGTGAGGATGACCCCACTCCTGGAGTGCAGGGTTGGGGCTCATCCTCCAGACGTAGCCAATCAGAGCATTCTATCCCTCTAGCCAGAAGAGCTGGGTCAGACTCTATATGTGACCCAAGCTAGGTCAACAAGATATATAATCCTGGAAATTTCCCTAGAAACGATTAGAAAGAAGAAAAAGTCTTTCTAACAGAGTTTCTGTGCTCCTAGGTGAGAAGACTACAGCTGTCACCGGGAAGAAAGAGCCTGCCTAAAAATCAGAGGGCAACGAAACTGAAAGGAAAGACACAGAAGTCTAATGGCATCAACTGAGTGCCTGGGCCCAGCTATTCCTGATGATTTACTCCTGGAGTTTCCGACTTTATACACCGACACATTCTCTTTTTTCTTAAGTTATTTAGACGCGGTTTTCAAGTCACTTGTGACTTCAAAACTCCTGACTTTTACAAGTTCCTGCTTGCCTCTAGTCCAGCCCCGACATTGTACTCCTGTCTTCAACTGTGTGTACCCTAAGTCCTTGCCTTAATTTTCTACCTATTTCTCTTGTGCTTCCAAGTCTGTAGCCTTATCTTTAGGGCCAGCCTATCCCTTCCCTCTTTCTAGAAATCAAATAGGAGGCAACAGCACCTTTCAGAAAACAAGAATGGAATCTCAAAGTCCCAACCTCTTTATACTTTTCCCATGATCAGTCTGCAACATTAAGACAAGGGAAAGTTTGAGCAAGGCAAATGGCATGATCTGGACGTGGCAGGAAAAAAATGGGACAGACTCCGTTCCAGTGCTTTGAAAATCTGTTGGTTGTAAGATCTGGAGAAGGAACTCAAGTTCCAATAAATGTCACTGAACAAATTGTACGATGTATGGAGCTGCCTAATGTTTCATCTGTTTGGATGAAATGGTTGTCTTTAAATAAGCTAGGTGCAAAGTTTCTAATAACCACTGTTTTTCAGCATGTCTCAGAGCTCATGTTGTTAATCAAGCAAGGTTAGCTTATTTTTATTGAGTAAAGGATGTGTTAAGAAAGGAATGGTTTTGCATTTTAAGCAAAATGGATGAATAATGAATGAATTTTAAGTAAATAAATAAAACCTTTAAGTGACTGTTTCTCTTTCAGAGAAGTCATTGATGGAAGCTATGTACTGATTATGATGATGCTGTCATTACTCTCAACATTCCTTCAATTCCTACTGTGAAAGGCAACCCTCTTTAGGTTGTACAAATTCTAGTTTGGTGGCTAATTAAGCCATGATACTAGTTTGAGATTTTTTAAAATCTTCATTCTCATCTCTCCCTCTCCTAGTGTTTGAGGACTGATCATTCCTGATCTTAGTAACAGAGTAATTCATGTTGGCAGGTGTCATTTAAGCCCTCGTAGCTTGTAACTTCCTGACACAATTTGGAGTTAGCCCATTCTGGCATTCTCCTGCTGGATATCACCTACATTCTTAAATCTTAATGATGTAAAATTATTCTACATTTTTAATGATCCGTTGGAGCTGTTTCCTCCAAACCATTAGCAATACAAGAGGTATATAGGAATTTGACTTATTTACAAACTCTGTACTATTCTTTCTAAACAGTTTCCAAGGAATACAAATGCACTACATATTGGTTACTAAAAACTGTTTGGGAATTGGATTCTTTAAATATTATGAAGAAATAGCTGATTTTCTGCAAGTTTGACTTTTTCTCAAAATGAAAGCATGTGCACACACACACAGAGGTGCAAAAGCTCCCCATCAGACAGATGCAAGGCACCACTCCATTAAGGCAGGCAGTGACTTGCTAATGATCTATATCAGCCCTCACCTATATGGTACCTACTAGCCACATTTGTGACTATCTAAATTTAAGCTTACATGAATTCAAATTGAATACAATTGAAAATTCACTTCCTCAGCCTCACTAGGCACATTTCAAGTGTTCAATAGCCATGTGTGATGAGTGGCTACTATCCTGGACAGCACAGACATCAAACGTTTCCATCATCTCAGAAAGTTCTATTAGATAAGGCTGAGAGGGAAAGAGCACAATCTGCCTTTGTCACTTAGTAAATGACTTGGGCAAGTTTCTTTACCTCTCTGAGCTCCCTTTTCCTTAGCTGTATGATGAGGATAATCATAGCTGTCTCACAATGGTTTTGTGTGAGAGAATTTAGGGAGCCCGTGTGTGTAGAAATGCCAAAGACAGGCCAGTGCTCTACTCCTTGCTTCCTGGGCTCCCCAAAAGGGAGCTGACTCCTCATCCCTCAACCTGGAGAACCAGTTCAGCTCTTCTTTTCACCAGAATCCTTTCCCTGCTTCCGACTCATCTTCTTTTTCTCAAAGCTGTTGTAACTGTATTGTTCTCACCTGCTTTGCCCAAGACAGATTCCCCAGTCCTCCCCATCAGTGTTTGGCATTTATTCTGGGTGTTCTACTAGTAATGCCCAGCCCCGGTCCTGGGCTTCCTGCTGTTTCTATTGCATCTCCCTAACTCTTACATCCACCCCAACTCAGTGTTTTTGGCCTTCCTCAGCAACCAGGAATCTAAACCACCCTCCACCCCATAGCACCCTATGGATGACGGAGCCTTAGTTCTTGATGGTGATGCAGACACCTTGAGGTGTGGCCATGACATTCACTCAGCCCTTGGCCTGGTAGCAGCAATTTTCCCTGATAAGGTCCCCAAACTGACCCTCAGTTGTCCCCTGCAGTCCCATTAGGGCCTGTGGAATTTACGACTTCCATACACAGCACCAGGAAGTTGAGGATGGCTCCACGTGCTAGCTCAGTCTCTTTGCCCTCTCTCTGCCTGTGGCAGATTGTATTTTCCAAAGATGACTGCACCAAAATATTCCACCCCATGTTATCTTCTTAAATGTGAAGTTCACACTAATTCTTCAAGAAATGGGGCCTCTGTTTACACCTGCTGAATCTTGGCAGGCCTATAATTATAGTGGTTATGATTCTAGTGATGCTATATGACTTCTGAGACCATAAAAAGACAATACAGCTTCCACCTGGTCCTATTGGAACAGTCATTCTTGGAACCAAGCCACCATGTTGTGAGAAAACCCAGCCCACATGGGAAGGTCACATGTAGGGATGACAGTCCCCACTGAGCCCCAGCCAATAGCCGGCATCAACTGCAAGACATGTGAGTAAGCGAACCCTCAGATGATTCCAGCCCCCAGCCTTTGAGCTGCCCCAACTGATGCTTTGTGGAACAGAGAAAAGCTGTCCCCATTGAGCTCTGCTCAGATTTCACATTTATGGTAAAAATCTATATGGTCCTTACTTTAAGTTACTAAATTTGGGGATGCTTTCTTTACATAGCAGTAGGTAATTAGAACACTGCCTGATCAAACTGCACTGCAACTTTTACTCGGCTGCTAACTATATGGCTATAGCCGAGCATCATGGGGCCACCGTGTCTGGCAGTCCCCACATCCGAGTTCCAAATGCGGAGCACAAAAGTCCCACTGTCACTGATCTTCCCTTCCACTCTCAGAATCTCAGTCTAGTATGGGGAAGCAAGGGTCGAACCATGTGCTTCCCCCGTCAGGGCAGATGGTTCTCTTCCTGCCTGGAAGGAATTCCCTCTACATAAAAGCCTCTTTCCACCAGGTATGGTGGCTCAAGCCTGTAATCCCAGCACTTTGGGAGGTGAAGTGGGCAGATCACCTGAGGTCAGGAGTTTGAGACCAGCCTGGCCAACATGGTGAAACCCCATCTCTACTAAAAATATAAAAATTAGCTGGGCATGGTGGTGGGCGCCTGTAATTCCAGCTACTCGGGAAGCTGAGGCAGGAGAATCACTTGAACTCGGGAGGCGGAGGTTGCCGTGAGCCGAGATCATGCCACTGCACTCCAGCCTGGGCAACAGAGTGGGACTCCATCTCAAAAAAGTAATAATAACAAAAAATTTTTAAAAAGTGTTCTTCTTCCCAAGAAAGCAGACATCAGACATCTTTCCCCCTTCATTGGGGCCTTAATTGCAGATGGGACTCTGGAAGAGATACTGACATAAGCATAAAAGTAGGTCCAAGAATATTTAACCTCTACATAAGAATTCAAATAAGCTATTGACCTTATGAGAGAGTCACAATGATGGACACCTTCAAAGGAAGGAGAAGCACCATGGAGGGCAGAGGAGAAAGACCATACCTGCTTGACTTGGTGTGAGAGGCATTCTAGATGTTATTGACATCATATAATAGACAGATGACAAGCATAGAAGCTCAGATTCACAAAATGCCTTAATCTTATTGCCTGCTTAAGATCTATTTATAATATTTTCTCCACATGCAGAGAGAACACTTTCTTCACCTTTCATTCCATTTCCATATGTTTAATTTTCCTTACCTGCAGGAAGCCCAGATCTGTGGAAGCTCCTCCCTTGAAAGAAATTTGCAATAATTTTATCATTCCTCGCAACAAGTCCATCCTCACAGTGAGCTGTCCTTTGACATTTATAAGGATGTGGATTTATCCATAAGCAATCCTATTTACATAGTCTCACTCATGTTCTTTGTCATTATAATTGCTAATAACACTATGTTTTAGAATTGGCAGAATGCTTCAATATCAGTGTAGCAGATGCTTATTGGTGTGGCTGCCCAGTCCTTATTCTTTAAAAATTGTCCATGTCATGCACAGGGTTTGCTTCCATCATACATAATACTCATGTTTTTGCCATATGACTCTACTTTCCTGACTGTAGATGTCTTGCCTGGGGGCAAATACATGATAAAAACTGAATGAGATTCTCTCTCTTCAAAATATGAATAGAGACATCCAGAAGCTGTAAGTTAGTTGTTGAGTTGCATTAATAACAGCATTTTGGTGGGAAGTTTTATTGTAGATGAGACAGTGAGCTCTGATGTCCAGGCCATTGTTGGGAAACCAAGTTGTGGTCCTGAATGACTACCCAAAGTGTTGGTGTAGTCTCCTTTCCCATGATCCATACTAATAATAGAGATGACCACAGGTTGGCACATGACCTGTCTGAGTTTGGGTTCCCCCAAAAGCAGATCCTGAGAAAGGAATTTGAATGCAAATAGTTTATTTAGGAAAGACCAATAAGGAAATGAGGAAGCATATTAATCAAGGTTCTTCAGATAAACAGAATAGGATGTTTGTATGCAGAGATAGAGATATAGAGAGAGACAGAGATAGAGATAGAGACAGGTTTATTTTAAGGAATTAGCTTACATGATCCTGGGTCCTGGCAAGTATAAAATCTTCTGGGCAGGCTGACAGGCTGGAGACCCAGGGAAGTGCTGATGTTGCTGTCTGGACTTGCCATAATCCAAGTTGGAAGGCAGTCTGGACGCAGATTCCTTCTTCCTCTGGGAACCTCAGGATTTTTAAGACCATCAGCTGGTTGTATGAGGCCCATCCACATAACAGGTTTCCCATTATGAAGAGTAATCTGCTATACTCAAAGTCTACTGATTTAAATATTTATCTCATTCAAAAAAAAAAATACCTTCACAAAACCATCTAGAGTAGTGTTTGTCCAAAAACTGGGTACTACAGAATAGCCAAATTGATATATAAAATTAAACATCACAGGAAGTGAGGCAAGGAAGGAAAGGCCACCAATAAAGGGTACATTATCAAGCAGGTTATCACTACAGGCAAGTGGAACATAATCACACTAGGGAACTCTGGAAGACAATGTAGAAAATACATCTTAGAGCCATTCTACCTGAAGAGTAAGAGAGCTGGGATATTTATCCACCCAATCCTGAAGGTCATTGGTTGAGGGTTGCTCTGGGGAATGGGTATCAGTCCTGCAAGCCTCCAGTCCTGCTGCAGGCGTAGTGGGCCACAGCAGCCAGAAAAAGCCCACAGGCTGCAAGACACAGCTTCCTGCAGTCAGAAATCAGGCTGGCATGCACAGGACTGGTAAATGCTAAGGGGAATGTGGGTGGGGTACTCACAGCATCAGCTACTTTGTCATAATCCAGAGAAAGATGATCTTTGTGACGTTAGATAATAATTAAAGAGACAAGGACCCCTCTGCATCATTCAACTGAAGATGTGTTACTCTGTACTCACTCTCTTAGTTCTTAAGATCTCACAGACCTGTTGGCAAGTATACTCCAGGACAGCAGGAGGAGACAGCATGAGAGAAGAGAAGCAGCTGAGGTCTTTGGTTCTCACAGGTATCTCCTTTCCTCACACTCAATGACTTTTTCCAACCTCATTCAACATGTAAATTGAGAGACAGAATAGAATTGTGCCCAACACTGCCTACCCACTACCCACTATCGATTTGCTCCTTACACTAATAGAACCCCCATTATGTCTGGTGTGATGATGTACTTAGTTAAACTACTTCTTCCCAAACTCTCTTGCATTTATGCACAAGCACGTGACCCAGTTTTGCTCAAAGAGACGTAGGTAAAAGTTGCTGAGTAGTACTCCCAGGAAAGGTTTTTGGTTTTGTTTTGCTAAAGGGAAAGACCTGGCAGAAGTGAACCCTTTGATTCTTTTCTTTAACTCTTATCCTATTATTTTGCCTGGGACACGGTCACAATGTTGAGAGGTGGAGCAGCCACTATCTGGCCATCTGAGGTTGGCAGAACCAGAAGTGAAAAACAGTCTATATTCCTGAATTTCCTGAGCAAATGCATCAGGACTAGGCTGCCTATCTCAAAACTTCTTATTTATGGAAGAAAAATAAAGCCTTTTGTGCTTAAGCCCCTGGAGTCTGGTTTTGTTCTATGCAGCCAAATGTAATCCAGGCTGATGGAAAGTAATTGGAAGAATGAACAGCTTATTAATTGCAATTATTATTTATATTATTTCTCTATACCCCCTGCCAGAATATAAGCTTCATGAAGGTAATCATTGTGTTTGTTTACTACTATTCACTAATATTGGGCACTGTAGACATTCAATAAATTCTTGCTGAATTAATGAATAAATGAACAAAGAATGGCACTCATCTTTGACTGCTTAATTTACATTGTTTAGTTCCCCAGTGAGAGCATTCATCAGGTGCTGAGACCCAGGCTTCTTTGGCATCCTTCAAAGCACACATCACAATGGCAAAACATACCTGAATGAAAGAATGACTGATGGTCACAGGCTTCAATCCCAGCTCAGTCAGTTATCAGCTGTGTCACCTTGGGCGAGTCACTTACTCTTTCTGAGCCTATTTCCTCTTCTTTAAAGTGAGAAGAACACTTACTTCACAGAGTTGTTGTGGGTATAGGAACAATATATATGTCTCAGATTGGGTACTCTAAAAAGCAGAGGACTTGGTTATGGGTAGTTTACTTGGGGGGTAAGCTCAAGGAGCTAAGAGAGAGAAACGGGGGACAGAAGAGAAGTCATGACACAAATGGATTACTGAAGTCTTTGATATAGGCAATGGGGGCTTGATATGACTCTGAACTCATACAGATGGGTCCATCTCCACTGGGGTAGATATCAAAGTTGCTCCAAGATGCAACTTGGGGCCCCAAAGCATCTGCTATCATGTGTAAAGTACCTGACCCTTTATAACCATCAAAATGGCCAAAACTAAAAAGGTGAACATACCAAGCGTTGATGAAGATGTGGGGAGGGGAGTATTCGTGCATGGCTGTGGGGTGTGTAATGAGTGCAGGCTTTTTAAAAAACAATCTGGCTTGTCTCAGTGAAATTTAGTTGGTACATGCGCTATGATCTGGTGACCTCCCACATCCCAGGCATACAGCTTAGAGGAACTGACTCATGTACAGGTTTATAAGGACATCTTTATTCAGATGTTCACTGAGCTTGTTGGTGACAACCTGGAGGAAAGTTAGATACAAACTGAGTGTCCATTTTTAAAGGAATGGATAAGGAAACTAAGGTGGATGCACCTTATGAAATACCATGCAGCAGCAAAAAGCAACATACAAAATGGACATACAACAATGGCAATAGTTCTTCATGATAATGCATTGAGTGAAAAAAAGGTAAGAAAATAAATGAGATTTGTAACATGATGCCAATTATGGAAACTAAAATCCCACTCACAAAAAGGCTTTGCCTATTTGACAGGGATGCCTGCATATATCAGGACACATACCAAGGACACAGAGGGGATGCTTGTATGGGGGTGGGGCACGAAGGTGAGGACTGGGGATGATGGAGGTGGGGTGGGGGTGGAAGAGGAAATAAAACACAAGCAGGGCCTTCATAGACCAGGGTTTATTATGTGCTATGAACTGAGGAGTATGATTAATCATCTTCTCGTACCAGAAAGCCTAAACAGGTTTTTTAAAGTAAATAAAGTGCCTGGAACACCATAGGTGTTCAATAAATGGTTGCTAAAAATGTGACTGAAGGGACAATTGGGCAATTTCCCACAAAGACCTGCCATGTTCCCTAGAAACTAGAAGGCTGCAAAAGAATGGCTTTCTCCACCTCTTGCCTCATAACTAGGGGGGGTTAATATTGGGTGAGTGGACTCTGTCAATTTGGATGGGGAAAAATCATATTTATTTGCACTAACCTCTGACTGCAGTTTAGCATGTCCATAGTTGTATTAGTGATATCTATGAGTTTATCACAAAGAGAAATCATAGATATTTTTTCATCACGTTATAGTTGTTGCAGATATCTTGAAATATGCTCAGCACTATATGGAAATTATAGTAGTTATTAGACTTGCCAGTAGATCATATTTAATGCATTAGTAAATGTGCATTTATCACATATCTGGCTTTTTTTATTACTGTATTTCAACATCATTAGTTTCTTTTGTGATTCTCTGTATTTTATTTCATGTGCTTAAGACTATTATTCTGAGAAAAGGTCTATAGGCTTTACCAGATGCCAAAGGGGTTCAATGGCATGGCAAAGGTTAAGACTCACCCCTAAATAAGTTTTATCAGTACTTCTTTAAGTCACAAGGATTGGTGAGAAAATGCACTATTAGACTTTCCATTGCACCATCCTCACTGGCCAAGAAGGAGTTAAATGGTGTCCCCAGCACTGTATTGTCATCCAGCTGGTGCTGGTGCCAAAGCGGCTAGTGCCTGTCCTTCCTGTAGGGACAAGGGAGGAGAGGAGCAAAGGAAAGGAAGGAAAGAGGAGGGAAAAGGAGAAAAGAAATGAAAAGATAATTTCTCCTGCTTTTTCACATCACTGAATTGAACTTTGCTTTTAATAAAAGCATTATTAAATAGAAATGGCATTCTCATTATTTTGCATTTAGGTGATATTCAGAAACATGGTCCCAGTAATTATTTGTGCTGGGCAGGGCCAGCACATTCTCTTTTCCTGAGTACAGTTGAACCAGCATGTCTTCTTCCAGGGCAGCCTTTCCCAAGGCTATGGAGAGATGTAAACAGTCTCTACTGTTTCTCCCCACTTACATCCATGAAACCAATAGGCACCCTTAATCAGGCCCAGAGTTCACACACTGGGCATGTGGTACCTGACACTTGATATAGAGAAATATTTCACCTCCATAATTTATAATGTTTTCATCAGAAGGCATCCCAGAAATAAAGGCTCTCTTCTTTATACACATCACAGCTAATCAGACCAGTGCTTAGTTTTGGTTCTCCCTGAGGCACACCACTACACAGCATTCAAGTGTAGCTAGTTTATTTGGGAAATGCAGGAAATACCTGGAAGGACATGGAGCAGTGAGACAGGGAAGGGAGGGCAGACAATGACAGGTGCATTATCAATCCAGGTACCACAGTGGGTGACTGGGTCTCGATCTCCTGGGGAAGCTCTGGGAAAGGGTGTAGAGCATGTGCCTCAGAGTTATCCCATCTAAGGGGTGAGGGAGGTGGGGTATTTATACATGAACCCCCATAGTCACTTCTTGTGAGCTGCTTCCAGGGGATATTACTTCCTCAGTGCTTCCAGCTTTCACAAGGAAAGCCACTTTTCACAGTTTTGAAAATATCCTTGGGCATAGATCTGCAGACACTGGCTGTTGAGGGTTAGAGGGAGCCAACTGAATTGGGAAAGAGGGAGGGGCACTGGTGGGGTGCTGATGGCATCTGCTACTGACCTAATGTTGGTAAGCCATCTGCTGCTCTCCAGTGTAACAACCTCTTCACCTCTCCCCATCTCAGTTTCTCCATCTCTGCAAGAGGCCAAGGCTCTTCAAAAGTTGCAAACCAAAGCCCTGAGAACCAAATGAGGTACTTGGGTGGATTTTGTGTGGCCTTCATGGCTTTTAAAAAATTTTTAAATTGAATCAACTTCTCAAAATCACGAACTTTTGCATGAAAACATGACTATTTATGTTCTCTAGAAAAATATTTGGCAACACTAGACCCCAAACTAGATGATCCCCAATGCCATATGGTTCTGAGAATCTAGACGTTCCTCTTTCCTGCCAAAGTAAAATGGTTTAAGGGAAACCTTTCACGGCTTGTGGGCAGATTCTCTCCTGTCCCTGTTTTCTGAAAGGTTTTTGGTTCAGAGTGTTTTTGTTTGTTTATTTTGTGCGTGGTTTGGGGGTTTTGTGGTTGTGATTTTTGTATAGGACAATGCAATTTTCTGCCTTTTCACATAGCTGAGGAGTGGGGAATTTTTGGTTTTAAAAAATCCAGGTAGCCTCAGCCTGCCCTGCCAGGGTTTTAGAGCCAGTATGTTGTAGCATCAGCTGGCAAGCCGGCTGCTTGCAGGGAAGGCCCAGCCATCTGTTCCCGGAGACGGTGAGAGAGCCATCTTCCTTCCTCCACACCTGCCCTGAAACACAGGCCCAGAGACATTTTATAACCCAGAAACAGCTCTTGTCTGTGCCAAATATAGGACCTCAAATTCCTCTGCTCTTTCCTGTATTCTCCATTGGCTCCTTGTTGGTTATCTCCAGCTCAAAGAATCTCTCCAGCTACCGGGTTCCAGCCAAATGCCAGAGGCCACCAACTGTGCCTATCAACAGAAGTGGGAGTCAAGGGCTCTCAGCCCCGTTGCTGAGCTGCCCTGGGAGTCAGCAGCTGATGACACGGGCTGTCCCCTGATTGCCAATCTAGATGGCGCTTTGAAACATCCCATCCCCGGTGATCCCCTCAAAGGCAGCTGTGATTAGTTTAGTCTCCGAAGTCTTTGAGAAAAACCTCAGTGACTTTGAATAATAATAAGAAAGCCCACCTAAAAGCATAGAAAGTCTGAATCCAAGGGTCTTTTTGAACAAAATGAAGTTTTATTCATTTCACATGCATGAAATAAGGGCTAACAGGATGGTCAAGGAGCAACTTTGACTTAATGAATGGATAAGAATCATCGATTGGGTCACTGTCTTGTCTTTTTTTTTTTTTTTTTAACAACAGAAATGGGTACTGTTAAAATGATTTTCAGGTCCATAGAAACAATCTGAATTCTTGACCTAGCTGGGAGTTGCCTTTTAAAGTGTGATTGAGAATATGGCTCTGGCATCAATCAGACTGCTGGGGTTCTGAATCCAGGCTCTCCCATTCATTAGCTGTGTGACCTTGGGCAGGCCTTGACCTCTCTGTGCCTCAAAGTAATCGCCTGCAAAATGGAGAGAATAATAGGACCTTCCTCACAGTGTTGCTTTGAAGATTAAATGAGACATCCACGAAGAGCACTCCAGACAGTACCTCGTTCAGAGTCAGAACTCAGTAAATGTTATATATTATTGTTGTGTTATTATGAATGATTTTTTTTCAAGGATAGTGCCAAGATTCACATCAGTTCTAGTTCTCCGTGACAAAAAAATAAATCCAAATTTCTGAATAGTGGGGTCTGAATTGATGAGCTCTTACCAGCATCTTGCTTTTCTCCGGGTCCTTGTCACAGTAAATCTGATAAGAAATGCAGGGGGTGTGCTCTCAGCAGACAAAAGCCCGCGGTGGGGCTGCTCTGCATTGGCTGCCGGCCTGAGGTTGAGAGGAGGGCAAGCTTGCCCCAGTGCAGCCGGCCTCTGTACAGTGCCCATGGGCCCAAGGAATTTGTGTATTCAGCTGGCCTCTCAGCACCTCCCTGCTCATTCGCAGGTGGAGGTGAAACATCAGAATTCAATGTTTTGTCACCTTGTGAAATTATGAGACTCCATTCCAGTTGCGTTTGTATCATCAGAGCACAACGGACACGTGGGGTAATTGCTGTTGCTGGGTTACTCCTTGTAAGTTCAAACAGTTTCACATGCTGAATGACAATATGTTTGCCGTGACCTGGGTAAATTAAAACAATGCTTCCTGCCTAGGTAGACTTTGACGTGATTCAGTCCATCTGCTTCTGATGAAGGTAATACTTCAGTAAAGCAAGAAATCCAAACACACAGTGCTACCTCGACGTTTGGTTTTCCTTCCTGTCTTCCTTCCCTCCCTCCCTCCTTCTTTTCTCTTTCCTTTTCTTCTTCCTTCTTCCCTCCCTCTTTTCCTCCTCTTCGTCCTTTTTCCCCTTCCCTGTGCCGTCCTTCATTTCCTCTATTTTCCCTTCCCTCCCTTCTTCTTTCCTTCCTTCTTCCGTCCTTTGCTCCTCCCCCCTTTCTCCCTCTTTCTCCCTCTTCCTTATTTCCCTCCCTCCCTCTTTACCTGTCTCCCTCTTTCCCTTCCCTTCTTCCTTCCATTCCTCTCTTCTTCCTTTTTTCCTTCTTTCCCTTCTTCCTTTTCTCCCTTCCTCCCTCTTTTCTTTTTCTTCTCTCCCTTTTCCTTCCTTCCTTTCTTCTCTCCATCTCTTCCTCTTCCTCCTTCTTTTCCTTCTTTCCCTTCTTCCATTTCTCCCTTCCTCCCTCTTTTCCTTTTCTTCCCTCCCTTTTCCTTCCTTTCTTTCTTCTCTCCATCTCTTCCTCTTCCTCCTTCTTTTCCTCTTTCCTTCCTTCCCTACCCTTTCCTTCCCTCCCTCCCTCTTTTTTTCCTTCTTCTCTCTCTTCCTTTCTTCTTTCCTATTTTTCTTCCTTTCCCTGTCATTTTCTTTCCTAAGAGGAGAAACACCAGTTCTCAGCCGCTCTGCGTTCTTGGCGCCAGACGCTATTCTCCATGTGTACACAAGTCTGAGTCCTGTGTCCAAACATAAGACAGAAACGTGATCAGGGCTGGGGAGAGAGTGGGGGGTGGGGAGAGGACAGGACTTGACAGGTCTTCTGCATCCCAAGTCTCCAAGATGCAAAGGTAAAGTCAGGCTCTTTCCTTAAAGGTTACATTTCACATTTTAATTGCCTCATGTGGAGGCTGCTCCAAGCTGGGGCTCCCCTAGCCTGCTTGGCAGCCCTCCCAGCTAGCTGATGCTTAGGTTTCCTGTGGAATGCCTTGCCCCTCCCTCCAGTGCCATGAGAATTGGGGCAAGAACACAACAAATGCCAATGAGTGGAGCACTAAGTGAGGCTGCAGTACTAGAGGGATCTCGTTCTAGCCCTTCATGCTTACACCGACTAGAGTAGATGCTTCTGCCAGTTACTATTGCTATTTAACAAACCACCCTAAGACTTAGAGACTTAAAACAATGTTATTGTCTCTTCGGTTCTGTGAATAGAGTGGACTCAGCCGGATGTTTTTCACTTGGGATCTCTCCAGCCATCATAGCCAGGTGGTGGCTGGAGCTGGAGTCTTCTGGAGGTTCAACAAGGCTGGACTTCCGTGATTTTTTCTTGCTTTTGTTTTCGTTTTAGTCAGAAAAACATTTATCTTGGTATCATGTCTTTTTCAAAAGTGGGAGGATGCAATTCTAGACCAGTGGCTGGCTGTTGACTGGGAGCTGAGCTGGAGCTGTCCAGTAGAGTGCCTAAGCATGACTACTCCACAGGGCTCAGGCTTCTCTCAGCATGGATACTGGATTCTGAGACTGTCCTGAGGATCTTGAGAGGCTGAACATTCCAAGCACAAGCATTCAAGAAACGTTCCAGGGGAATCAGGAAGAAACTTCATGACCTTTTGTGACCCAGCCTAGAAGTCACATAGTATTGGTTTCTCCATAATCAATTGTTCAAAGCAGTCACAAGCCCACCCAGATTCTAGAGGAGAGGGCATAATAGATGCCACTGTGCAATGGGAAGAGTGCCAAAGAATATGGGGGACATATTTAAACATGGCTACAGTGTTTAAAAAAAGAAAAACACTTTGCTTATTTTACTTAATTTAAAAGTCCTGATTATGCCAACATCTAAAACACCAACCTGTTTCTGCTACTATGTCTGGGGGGTGGAGGGGAAGTGCAGCATTTGAAAAGAGTAATGGATGTCACACTTTTAATATTTCAGTTGTCCTTTTAGGTCTCAGGTGACAAACCAGAAGTCCCCAATATAAATGGAGCCTGACATGGGCTTTACAAAGAACTGGTTCAATACTTTAAAACTTGGAGATTTCATATAAAACTGAATTTTCAGTATCTCTTACAAAATCAGATCTGGCAATATAAGCTCTGCATTCACTCAAGGCAACAGCAGCCTGGTGCTGAATGGTGACTTCCCCTTTTAGATAGGATTGATGTATACCAATTAGCCACAGTCCCTACCCAGCCCTATTGCCCTTAATATTGAAATTAAATACTAGTACTCCTTTATCCACATGGCTATATTGGTTTTTTTCTTGCTTTTGTTTTTGTATCTTGCTACCATGTGTTTATCAAAAGTGAGAGAATATAACACTAGACCTTGAGGGCAACATAGTCAACACAAATGGGAAAAGGCAGTTTTTATGGACATAAAAAACTTCCTATATTGTTTTTAATACACACCAAAGATGATCTGTGCTGATTTTTCTCATAGTCCTTCCTTTCTCCTTCCTTCACCCTCGCTTCTTCCTCCATTCTCTCTTTTCATCCCTCTCTTCTTCTCTCCCTTCCCCCACTTTCCCCTTCTCCTTCTCTTTCTCTCTCTCTCTTTTTTTCTCTTTTAGCAGAAGATCTGATAGATTCTTGTTAATAACCCTGAATTTATTTCATTTTTAGTCTTAAGCTATTACTTGAGTTAAAACAGTTGTTCTCTCTCCTGATGTTTGTTTTTTATATGACAGCCAACAACATAAAGAAAGATTGGGGACCTCAAAACACTATCTTCAGTATAACAGACACATCAAAAGGCCTCCTGGATGAGCCTAAAGTAGTCTCCCAAAAGGTGTGGGTGGTCTGCTCTCCCCAGGGAAAGACCCCTTGCCAGCCCAGCTCTGGGCCTTTTTCGTGGTGTTTATATGCATTCCAGACCAGAAGAGGCAGCTACTCCAGAACCACCACTCCAGCTGGTTGTTCAAGGTGCAGCTTACTAGACAATAGGCAAGCAGTTTCTTCTGACTGACAACTCTATCATGTTCACATTTGGTGCTCAATGCTTGGCTACAGAGTCTAGCCCCTTGGCCCTAGAGAGGCCTGTCACCTGTTCACACTTGGCTTGGGGATTTCTGTTCCATTCATCCACCATTTCCAGACTTCCCTTGATTGATTCCAGAAGTCAGTCTCTCTCTCTCTCTCTTCTCTTCTCTTTCTCTCTCTCTTCTTCCTTCCCTGGAAGCATGGGTTCAGCCCTCTTTTCCTATGTTTACAGTTCTCCTTGATTGTCATTTGGACTTGGTTCATTCAATGCAGATGACCATTTATAAATATCTGCATTCCTTTAGCATAGACCACAGTCTTCAGAACTTCTCTCCTGGATTCATTTAAGAAGGAGGGGCTCCTTTGAGAGGAAGTCTCAGCACATTCAATTCCTAAGTAGTCCTAAGAACAGAAGGAATGAGCTAGAACAGGGATCAAATAACCATGCTCAGTAAGGATACACATTGGTCCAGGTCTTTCTCTGCAGGGTGGCCCCCCAGTCTGGCTCATGATGGAGCCCTGTGAGAGGGCACCCATCCAACCAGGGCCTGGAGCCATGCAGCTGCACGCATCAGGCACTATGAGGTAGAGGAGCCAAGGGCACAAAGGGATGAGGGTGCTGCTTCACTTGTCTCCATGTCAAGAAAGCAAATATTTTGGCATAAAATTTCCCTTCTAATTTGTTCTGATTTGGGAAGGAAACATTTTTCTGAATCATTTCCTCAGGGGAAACCCACCTATCTCAAGAAGGAAAGTATTCCTTCTGAGCTTACTATGCCACCTTGACTCATAGAGGAGGTACATCTACAGGGTCATGAAACTGATTTCTAGATTGCGACAAAAAGCAGCTTGCATGCATGCATGTATGCTTGTGCATGGATGTGCATTCCTGGGTGTGGGGGCACGTGTGTGTGTCTGTCTTTGGGGTGTGCCTGTATGCACATGTGTCTGCGTGCATATGTGTGTGCATGTATATGGGCATGTGGGTCTGCATTTGCATGTGTGCATGCCAGTTTGTAGACATTTATGTGTGCATGTGTTTGTGCTCATGTGCGTGCGCATGTACATGTGTGTTCATGTATTCATGGTTGTACATGCATGTGCATGTGTTAGCATTTGTGTGCATACGTGTGTGTGTGCACATCTGTGGATCGTAACAGATCACAGAGGAGCCTAAAGGGAATGTGGGAAGGCAAAGGCTGTTCTCCCTGGAGCCTGCTAAGGTGGGTGGGAGAGTGGGTAGCTTCCAGGCATGCTGTGAATTCTACACAGCACCCTCCCTGCCGTGCCTCTCCCACAACTGACTGCTCACTGGCATCAGTCACCATGAAAATAAGAGGTGAAATCATTCTATGTGTCCACATGCCCATCCTCAGCTGAGGCTAAGTCATCAGGGTGGCAATTAGATTGTCTCCAACCTTACAGCCCCCCTGCCACAGGAGAGACCCACGGCCAGATGTCTCTTCCCACTCCTGCTCAGAGCCTCACTAGACTTTGCACTGACACCATAGGTGTGGTCATTTCCTATTTTATGACATAAAAAAATCCTAAATTTATGAAGTTAACCAAGAAGGAAGTGATTTGAATTTAAAGATTTGGGGCAAGTACCCTAAATTCTCTGAGCTTCAGTATCCTCATTTGTGAAATGACGATAATAGTATCCTCTTCCTCAAAGGACTAAATGTATATGTGGCTGGTCAGTAGATGCATGTAAAACTAGCCTGTTACATGGACTGAAGTTGATGGGGTGGTAATAGGAAACAGACTGTTGCTCAAACACCTGCATTCGCACCTGTCACCATCAGCTCCCCGTTCCCTATCCCTTGACATCTTACTCAGCGCCCATACCTTCCAGGAACCTTTGAGGATTCAATTGCCCAGTCTGATCCCCTCAGGCCCGGCCTAAGGTTTGGCAATGGGAAGGACAATCTGTTGTCTCCTCCATCTCTCATTCCTCAGCCCCTCTCCTTGGCTGTTTCTTGGTCTTCCTGTCTTCTCTGACACACTGGAGTCTGAGCAGAGAGGTGGGAGAAAAGAGTACAGTCATACTTCCCTGTCCACCCTGTAATAATCCCATCATTGGCTGTCTCTAGGAAGGCTCCCAAATGATGCCCCCTCCTGGGGCATTTCCATAGGTGTTTGGGAAGCCTTGAAACATCCTTAGCACTGCACTGTCTCTGTTGCGGGCCTAACAGGAGCTTCCCTGTAGGATTGTTGTGAGGTTTACATGAGTTACTGTAAGACTGTACAGTAACAAGGCACCCTCTCAACTCCTGCCCAGTCTGGTTCACCCCCACAACCTCTCTCTGCTGGGACCCCTCACTCTAGCAGGCAGCTCTCTTGGGTAGGGACTCTTTGAAACAGTGCCAGCCCAGTTACCTTCTACGGAAGACACTTGGTCTCCAGAAGCTCACTCACCCTTGCCATTCCAAGTCCTAGGAGTGCAGTTTTGCTACCTTTGTCTGCCCTCTCTCCCTCACTTGCCATCACAGGTGATTCCAGCCGCCCTTCCTCCTTCCAGATTCTCCAGGCAGGAGGCAGTTGCTGGTCTCTGCTGGAGAATGCTCCCAGCCTCCTAGGGACAGCTCAGTCTATCCCTGGAATTCCAGTGCACAGGTTGAGCAGGTCCATAGGTTTCTGCAGCACAGGATCAAGCCTCTGAAGAGGGTTGCCAGGTGCCCCTTCTGGCAGGCTCTATTGCACAGATAAGAACACTTCTCCTGAAGACCCTCAATTGGTTGGTGGCAGAGGTGTTGTGGGAAGTGGAACCTAGGAGGAAAAAAACACTATGTTTCCCTCCAGGTGACCCCCCACTCCCACACACATCTGTATAACCCCCTCACATTTCTAAGCAGCCTTCTTACATAGGCTGATGGGGCCGAGTGGGAGATGCTTATGGGACAATTTTTCACTTGCATGCCTCTCTAGAGAGACAAAATTTTGAAAAAAGATGAGTATAGTGGTTGAGAGTGGAGGCTTGGGGACAGAGTGTGTTCAGTCCCAGGATTCTCAGCTGTGTGCCCTTGGGCAAGTTACTACATCTCTCTGTGCCTCAGTTTCCACAATTGTGAATGAGGACATAACAGGACCTTCTCTACAGGATTGTTGAAAGGGCTAAATGAGTTACTATAGGACTGGGGCTTCATAGTGCCTGGTACATATTGGGTACTCAATATATGATAGTAGTGTGTGAGTCTTCCCATCCAGTTGGCAAACACCTTTAGTCCTAAGGAAGAGATGGTACATTTGGGGGCTGAAAGTGTCCATCGCACAACCCAGCTTCAGTGGACATTACAAACTTCCAGTCAAGGAGATTTGACTCTATCATTCTCCTTCTTTTAAGCTTTCGGTTGCTCCCTTTATATTAAGCCTAAAGTCAAACTTCCCTCTGTTCCACTGAACTACCTGTGATTCTCTCAAGCTTGCCACACTCACTCTTTTTTTTCTTTTTTCCAGCTTTAATGAGGTATAATTGACAAATAAAAATTGTATATGCTTAATGTGTACAGTGTGATGTTCTGATATATGTATACATTATGAAATGATTACCACAATCAAACTAATTAACATATCCATCATCTCACACAGTTGCTTTTTTTGGGTGAGAATAATTAAGTTCTACTCTCTTAGCAAATTTCAAGTATACAATACAATATTGCTAACTATAGTCCCTATGCTGCACATTAGGTCTCCAGAACTTATTCCTCCTGTCTAACTGAAACTTTGTACCCGTTGACCAACATCTCCCCATTTCCCCAATCCCACAGCCCCCAGTAACCACCATTCTACTCTTTGCTTCTATGAGTTCAACTTTTTTAGATTCCACATGTAAGTGAGATCATGCAGTCTTTCTGTGACTGACTTATTTCACTTAGCATAATGTCCTCCAGTTTCATCTATGTTGTCACAAATGACAAGATTCCTTCCTTTTTTAAGGCTGGATAGGATTCCATTGTGTATGTATGCCATATTTCTTTTATCCATTCATCTGTTGATGGACACTAAGGTTGATTCCATATGTGGCTATTGTGAATAATACTGCAATAAACATGGAAGTTCAGACATCTCTTTGATATGCTGATATCATTTCCTTGGGATATATACCCAGCAGTGGGATTGCCGGATCATATGGTAATTCTGTTTTAGTTTTTTTGAGGAAACTCCATACTGTTTTCCATAATGGCTGTACTAATTTACATTCCCCCCAGCAGTGTAAGATGGTTCCCTTTTCTCCACATCCTCAGCAATATTTGTTATATTTGGGTATTCTGATAGTAGCCATTCTAACAGGTGTAAGATTATATCTCATTGCAGTTTTGATTTTTCACTTCTCTGATGATCAGTGGTGTTGAACATTTTATCATTTACCTATTGGTCATTTGTATGTCTTCTTTTAATAAATGTCTATACAGGTGTTTTGCCCTTTTTTTTTTTTTTTTTTCTGAGATGGAGTCTCGCTCTGTCGCCCAGGCTGGAGTGCAGTGGCACGATCTCAGCTCACTGCAACCTCTGCCTCTCGTGTCCAAGCAAGTCTCCTGCCTCAGCCTCCCGCATAGCTGGGATTACAGGCGTGTACCACCACGCCAGGCTAATTTTTGTATTTTTAGTAGAGACGGGGTTTCACCGTGTTGGTCAGGCTGGTCTCGACCTCCTGACCTCAAATGATCCACCCGCCTCAGCCTCCCAAAGTGCTGGGATTACAGGCGTGAGCCACCGCACCCAGCCATTTTGCTCATTTTTAATAGAGCTATTCTTTTTCATGCTATTAAGTTGTTTGCATTTTTATGTATTTTGAATATTAACTCCTTATTAGATTATGGTTTGCAAATATTTTCTCCCTTCGCCCTGTTAATTGTTTCCTTTGCTGTGCAGAAGCTTTTTAGTTTGATGCAATGTCATTTGTCTATTTTTGTTTTTGTTACCTGTGCTTTTGCCCAGACTAATGTCATGAAGCTTTACACCTATGTTTTCTTCTAGTAGTTGTATAGTTTCAGGTTTTACATTGAAACCTTTCATCCATCCATTTTGAGTTGATTTTTGTGTATGGTGTGAGATAAGGGTCTAATTTCACTCTTCTGCATGTGGATATCCAGTCTTCACAGCATCACTTATTAAAAAGATTGTCCTTTCTCCATTGTGTGTTCTTTTGTTGTGCTCACTCTTGCCGTCAGGCCTTTGCTCATGCTATTCATTCCTGCTGGAAACATCTTTCTCCATCTCCTCCACCAGGGTAGGCTTCATTTAGTGTGGCAGCCATGGGAAGGCACTGCCCAGACCTCCCTTCAGTGGAAAATGCCTTGGGGGTAATGTAAATGTCTGACAGCCTCCGAGTGCCACACCTTCAGGATCCACTGCAGAATTCCTGCCGGGGCAACCCTCTCTCCAGGCTGTTCCCACCCATGACAAAGCACAGGGAGGAGAGGTGGTCAGGACTAGCCCTGGGTCATTCCTGCCTTACATGGGACCTCTCTGATGGGCAGTCTGTGCTCTGGGGATTCCCATCAGCCTGGCTGAGACTTTCTCAGAGTTGTGCTGCCAGCTGAGGCTCTCCCAAACCACCCCTTCTTCCTTCCCCTCTCCTTCCACAGGGTTACACCTGCCTCCCTGTCTGAAGGTCCTTCTCACCTCCTCCTGCTTCCCTCATGTATCCCTCACAGGTGTCTAATTCCATCTAGGTGTCTGCTTCCCATACTGACATTCCGAAGAGCTGACATACTTAGCCATCAAGCCTCAGCTCAAGCTTCACTTCTTGGAGGTGTTTCCTACCTTCCCCCAGCTCTACTCAGATAATTGAGGTACCTGCCATGTCCCAGGCCCCTTCTGTGTGCTTCCAGACAACCTTGTAACCACCTCCACCAGAGCACTTTTATTCTGCTATACTCAGCAATTTCGTGTCTGCTTCCCCTAATAACTGAGTACCCTGAAGAAATTTTCCTACTAATCTCTGAATTCACAGCATATAATACAATACCAGGTGCTTAGTAGGTAATGAGGGTTTGTTGAATGAATAAATTATTGATTGAATTATTGAATGAATGGAATAGGAAGCCAAGGTACAGACCTTATGAATTTGGAGTTACCAGAATGTATGCATGGGAGAAATTCTTCAGAACCAAGAAAGGAAAAGGAAAATAAAAGAGATTTAAAGGAGAATTTCCACATTGTTCTTGGGTTTTGAAAACCTGAATTCTACGGCCTGACCAAAATTTTAAAGTTTCATGAACCAAAATACATGAAACTTTATCTGTTGAAAAACACTTTTCTTCTTTTGATGAAAACATATCTTTTAGGATGAAAGTTGCTAAGAAAATAGAACTGTTTTAGAGCAATTTGGTTTGTAACTCTCCTGGAATTCAGAGGACTACACTATTTATTCAGAGATTGCTTGATTTCAGAAAATAAAAAACTCAGAGCTAGCTAAAGGAAAGAGGCTTTAGGTAAAGAAGCTGAGGCTGGGCATAGGCGCCAAGGTCATGCAGCACAAGCAGATCTCAGGAGAAATGGCAACCAAGAGCTGGAAGGGTAATAGCTGAGGTCAGGGCCTCCTAACCTACCAGGTTACAGGCTTGGGACTTCTGCACACACTCCTGCATAAGACTAGTAGTTCATTGCTGCCTGGAGCAAGCATCCGACCAAGAAGACCAACTAAACTAATTGTGTCCCAATGCCAAAGTGTTAGAAGGAACTTAGCTTGGCTGACTGTCCATGCCTCCTTGCGCTCAGCTGTGGCCACAGAATGTGGTCTCAGAACTACAGAGCAGGGCTTGTGGAGTAAACTGGAAGAGGAGTGCATCCTCGCCCCATCCCCACCTCAAAGCTATGGAGAAGCCATGGAATTAGACCTGGCATTGAAAACCTTGGACCACCGTGAGAGGTAGAAAGCCCCCTAACTTCTCTGCACCTCATTTCCTCATATCCAAGATGTAGTGAGTAGAGGGTGCCTGGTTTGAAGATTTCTTTCTTCCAGAGCCCATACAATTCCATCGCTACACCCTGCTGTCTCCCTAGACTTTTGAAATCCTCAATAGCAATTTCTCCCTCACGGTTAGCAAAGCCATGCACTCAAAAAAAAAAAAATACTACACTGAACATTTTAAGGCAAATTTTTCTTTAATTTCCTAATAATAACAAAAATCATTCAAAGCCACTTTACTGTTGGAAAAGAAATATCTATGCATACACTTAGATCATTTAAGCCAAATGCCTTTTTAAAAACATTTCTCAATTAAGTATTCAGCAGAGATAATATTAAGTCTGAAGCATTTTATCCAGTTAAAAATATTAGAGATGAAAGAATTCAAAATGTGGAATATAAGAAATTAGAATGAAAGTATGATAGCATCAGACGCTTGTCCAAAAGGGCAGAACCACAGGTCAAAGCCACATCTCCCTGGATTTGCTGGCATTTAACTAGATGCAAAATGTCAGCACAGAAAATGGCTTGTTCAATGCAAATATTAACAAGAGAGGAGTGTGTCAGTGTGTAAATGTGGCTTCAGCGGAAGCGTGCCTTTCTGACCTACCTCCCGCAGTCACCTGGAGGCAACAAGGGAACTTTCTTTTTGCTTATTTTCACCCTCTTTGCTGGTGGTAAAGTTACAGGGCATTTGTTTCATGGAAGAGAGGGAAGACTGAAGCAGGAATCATGAAGCAGCAAGATGGTATTGTTTGCCTGTGTCATGAACTCAGCTTGTTTCTATTCTATTCTATTCTATTCTATTCTATTCTATTCTATTCTATTCTATTCTATTCTATTCTATTCTATTCTATTCTATTCTTACTCTGTTCTATTCTAATGTTTCTTCTGCATATGTTCAGACAAGACTGGCACTTAGCAATGTTAATTTGATCAAGGCCAGGAAGAAGGCAGAAAAGGAAAAAATCTGCCTTTTTTTCTCTCTTCTCCACACTGAGGTTTTAGTAGTAGCTCAAAGCTGCACACTGCCTTTCTGTGCTTATTCTCCTCTGGACAGAGTATC
Source organism: Homo sapiens (assembly GCF_000001405.40). Lineage (NCBI taxonomy): Eukaryota > Metazoa > Chordata > Mammalia > Primates > Hominidae > Homo > Homo sapiens. The sequence continues at coordinate 39,409,096 of NC_000023.11, forward strand.
CACAGATTTTCCTACTGGCCCTTTCCCCAGCTCTCTGCACTTGTTGTGTTGCTCTGAAAAGGGAACCTCACCTGTGAGTGGCTCTGATTCGGTGATGGTGGGGGGAATCTTGGAGCTGCTCTTTCAAATACAGAGGGCCTTGATTCTGAGGAATGCAGGAAAGTGATGTCTGGGAAGAATGTGATGGTCACTCAGGCTGAAACCTGCTCATTCTCCTCTGAGGTGGTGTTTTGGTGAACCCACCGTGGGTGGCAGTCAGATCTTCAGCCAGGCAGCCTCAGAAACTGGATACTCTCAGCACCCCGAGAATGGATCAACTCACTCATCCAGCTCAACAGAGACTTAAATATGCAAGCCATGATGACTAATCAGACTAATGCACAGTGATGCCAGACCTTCTCACCAGCCTGACATCACATTCTCTGCCTATGAACAAGTGATATGGGTGGCCATATTTGCTGATGGCAGCTTGGGTTTTAGAACAAAGTCTGGCTTAATTGGAGCATTGAAGCAATTGTTGAAGCAATATTAGGTGATTTGCCAAGTTGCTGGTAAAACTGCTGAACTAGCCTTGAAAAGCAGGTAGAGGTCGGAGAGCAGCTGGGGAGGCAGTCCCAAGCCAGTGAGAACACCAGCTTGTACTGCCAACAGCTGACAGACGTGACTCCTTTGTTCACTGGTGCCTGCTGGGATCTGGATGTTATAGCCACCATGGCTACTGCCTGAAAGGATTTCCCACTGTTCCTAGCTGCTGATTCCAATCTATGGCAGGTATATCTGACTGGCTTAGTCTACGTCACACACGTGTGGCCTGACCACCAGGAAAATTGAGAAGGCAAGTGTCTTAGTTTGGGTTTCTCCAGGTAAAAATCCTGAGGTAAGGATAATTTACTTGGGAATGATTCCAGGAAGTGCCAGTAGGAAGTGGGGTATTGAGATAGGAAAAGAGAGAAGCTGATAAAGGACAGGTCATGAAACTGTAGGCATGTCACCGCTGTGGGCAACTGGGGCTCATTCTTGTTGGGGACCTCTGGGAGATAGTATAGATTCTCTTGGAGTTATCCTACCTGAGGGGCAGGGAAACTGGAGTTTTGATTGACCAGTTCCCACCCATCATTGATTGAGTGTGGCGTTAACTCCTGAGCGAACTCACCTTCCCTGCCCATCTAACCTTGTCTGTATCGAGAGTTACATGTGCTTACATTGGCATATACAGGAGTGGTGAGTGCCAAGCACTTATTCGTGGGCACAACAGTGTCTGCTACAATAAGTGCCATGCATTTTTAGCTGCTCAAGTGACAGGTGGGCTCTACCTCCCACCTAGATTCAGAGAGAAGGGGTTCAGATGCCAGGCAACCAAAAATCTGACAACAGTCTCTACTACCGGGTGCCTTTCTCTTTATCGGCCAAACTCTTATTTTTTTCTTCATCTGTTAACTGCCAAAACATGGTAGTTTCCTTGGGAGTAAGTACTTTTTAACATGGTCACATGGGATGACCCCTGACCCAAGATGGACCAATCACAAGTCTTCTCTGGAGTTTTCTAAACTAGAAATGAGTCAGTGTTTCTCAAGTGGTCTGGAATTTAAGGTACAGAATTGGGAAGCTCTGAGCAGGCACATATTTCACCATGTAGTAGAAGCAGTCTACAGGTGAGAGAGAGTAACATGCACATATTTCACCATGTAGCAGAAGCAGTCTACAGGTGAGAGAGAGTAACATGCACACACAGAAAGAGTCATAGTGGAAAGGAGACCAATGGTTTCCCTGCTCTCTCCAGCTTTCAACTTTCCTGGGATTCTGTGCTCTGATGCATTGGTTTTTTTTTTTGTTTTTTTTTTTTTGTTTTTTTTTTTTTTTGCCTAAGTTTACAACCAAAACAATCCTGATTAATAAGGTGAGCACAGAAATACAAGGAGGAGGTGGAATGATTATTTCAGGCTGTGCTCCCCCATGAGTGGACTCCCCAGATGAGTTGCCACAAGACATGCAAGAAGTTTGTGGAGGAGAGCCTTCAGGGGAGCGAGGGAAGCAAAGCAGAAGAGAGGAGGACCTTGAGCTACAATCCCTCCACTGAGAGGCCTCAGCTGACACCCTGGGGGCTTTGGAGCTGAGATGGCCCTTCAGAGTAGTCCCAAGTTGGGGCAAGAAGTCAGGGCCTTTATACCCCTACATGGCCAGTCATTGGATGTAGGCTGCCCCAGGAAGTGAGTGGACCTTGGACAAAGTAGCTCTCTTCAGCTGAGGCAATTCCTGCAGGAGGTAGACTGCTGAGGCCTTTATGCCAAATGGCTCTCTCAGCAGCTGGAGGAAGCAGTCCTGTGGTTCTGAAGGGAAACCCAGGTGGCACATCACAGCCTCCACTACAAGGACATTAAGAGACATCTCTCAGATAATGCTGAATAAGGACTCTCTCCTCGTGGAGAGGATATCTTTCCAAGCCAATAATAACTATTTACTGGAGGCTGCACATTTAGTACTCCGCAAGCATCATCCTCCTATATCCCCTTGTGAGATTGAAACTGTATCCCTGTTTCACAGAAGGGGAAACTGGAGCTGAGAGAGTTAAGAAACTGGCTCAAGATTACAGAAATAATAAGTGGCAGAGGCAAGATTCAATACACACCTTCCACTCATGAACCGGCTGCTTTGAGCCTCTTTGCCAGGGCTAGGGCTCAGGTAAGACAGTGAGACAGCCAGGGCACAAAACTTAAGAAAGCACTCACTCTCAAGTGCTAACACTGAACTTCTACAACCCTGACAGTGAGTGCCTCCTCAACATGCTGTGCCCTGGTTACCTTGCTCAAGTCACCCAAGTCCCAGAGCCCTGATCTTAGCTAAGGGACCAAGGAAACTAACACACTCAAGGATCCTGAGCCAAGGCACTCTTTCCCCTGGAGTTATTCAGTGGGTCCCTCCGGCCTCTGCCTCTAGGTCTCACTTTTCTGGAAGCCTCATGGCTGATTAGCCTCTTTCTTTTCACAGTCTCTTTCCAAACAGGGCACGAGACAAGGGATTTGATTTGTTAACTTAGCATTTCCTAATTTCCTATCTCATTCCAGGGCTGCCTCCCAGGGCACTCCCCTATTCAGCTTAAGCTGGCATTTTGGAGCTCATTCACTCTTCTGTCAGCCAATCACCATCACAGGGTGAAGCTTCACCCCATATATTATGAATCAGTCCCATTCTACGCACATTGTACCAGTTTACCTGTGAGGGTAGCCCTATAGCTACTATTTGTTAGGGTGGAGGGGGCTTCACAATTGCCTTCATGTATGGACGGCCCCTGATAGGTACTTTTCTGCCTACAAAGAACCTTCAGACTCACACACTCCTTCAGCACATTGCACTGTAGTTGTCACTGGCCTGCCTCTCTCCCCTCTGGGCTCGGATTGTACCCATTCCCTGCAGACATGGTGTATTCCAGCTTCTCCACGGCCTAGGGTACTCAAGATGTATTTCTTGAATGAAGATTAACCAACCCTCTCTAGAGTTTAGCTCAAGTGAATCCACTGTTCCAGCTGGAATGAAAATCATGCCAGGCCTCCATCTGTTTTTAAAAGATAGAAGGGCATTCCTACTCTCTGGGGAGAAACTGCAAGGATTTAATGAAATGTTTCTTCAGTGGAGGCTATGGATGATCTGTTGACATGGTCTAAAAGGTTGTAGGTTGTTTAATGTCTTTCTGTACCATCAATTCTGCACTTTGTACCAACTCAGCAAGTTGGTATGAATTTAGGCTACTGACAAGGACCTCGGAAAATAATGTGGCTTCTGCAGGTTTAAGGAAAGAAAGAACTCAAAAGCAGTGCTAAGAGTCTGAGATGAGAACCTCTGTGATGCAGTGCTTCCAAGGATTTGGCCTGGGAGGGACTGCAGCAGCACATGTTTCCTGCCTCTGGTGCACCTTCCCGAGGGCTCCAGACCTGCCTCAGAGTGCCAGCCTGGAGACTCCATGAACATCACCTGCCCCATCCCCTGTATTTCTTGTTTCATTAAAAAATCCCCAAAATCACACTGTCTCAGGGCAGCTTTTTCAACCTTGGAGGCAGATGTTGCTCATCTCTGTCAGCTTGATGCAGTGAGAAAAGCAGGCCTTAGAATTTTGGCTTGAGAAGCCTTGAGTGCAACTCTGGATTGGCCATTTACTGACTTCAACTCAGCATTTTCCAAAGAGGATTCCACTGAGTGCTACAATTCTATGGCATATTAAATAGGACTGGTATATTGGTGTATCAGCATCATTGATAATGATGCTGTGTAACAAACAATCCCAAACCTCAGTGGCATACAATGATCAGCATTTATTCTTCACTTGTGCCTCTGCTGGTTGTCTGGGGAAGCTATGTTCCATGTGTCTCATTCCAGGGCTCAGGATGGTGGGGCAGCAGCCCCCGGGGGTGTGCTTCTCTCATTGAGCACAGAAAGTCACAAAAGGGCAAATGGAAGCATGCAATATTTTTAAAGCCTAGGCTTGAAACTGGCACACAATCATCCCCACCTTCATCCCATTGGGCAAAGCAAGTCACATGGCCAAGCCTTTCATCAATGAGACAAGGAAGTTTACTCTTCCCAAGAAGATTTAGAGAGACGGAGTGAATTTTTTGTTGTATGGTAATTTAATCTACAAGCTACATGGGGAAAATGTTCTATGGTCAAATAAGTTAGGGAAACGCTGTGTTTTTAAAATAAGATGAAAAAGAGTTGGGATGTTGGAGGTGGTCGGGGGGTGTCAATTAATCTTTTGAAAGATGTGAGACAGGTCTCAGAGCCTTTAGTGAGTATGTCCATCTTGAATACAGTTGGGAGGCATAGTATGTGAAATGATGTTTTCTGACTCTTTTTCACCATGCTATTAGTGTTCCACCGAACCCACTTTGAGAAAGGTTGCTATAGCTCATGACCAAGTGCCCTAACATCTCTGAGCCCTAGGTATCCAGGTTATTTGGACAGGAACAATGGTATCTATCTCAGAGGATGGTTAGGGGGTCTGACATGAGATAAAGTGCACATAGATGCCTATTCACTCATGAGTTCAATTCATCTGGGACCTCAATTAGAAAGAGGGCTCCCGTAGCATGGGACAGGTTGGATCTGGGCCACAGGAGATTCACACACTGGATTAGGCAGGCTCTGGGCAGCAGAATACCTATGAAAAGGAGTAGAAAGTCCTTCTGAATTCTGAGTGTGGCAACAGACAGCAGAGGCCTTGAAAATGGGGGAGTGTGAAGGGTTAACAGGGTCGTGGTGTAAAGAGGTTTTTGTTGGTAGCAAGTTCTGAGGGACTCTAGGCTAAACTGATGTGGCTACAGATTGGCAGAGGCATTTCAGGGAAGGATCAAGTGATACTTTGGCCTCGACTGATCCCTGGCCCTGAGGAACGGCCAGGCTGTCAAGTCAGAGATTGGCAGCCCCAGTTAGGGAGCAGAGGACTATAGGGGCAGGAGGCCATGGATGTCATCAGAGCTCCTATCACTGGAGCAGGGCCTGTATTCAGTTCAGAATCCTGCCTTTTCCCTGCACCCACCAGGAGCTTGTGTCCTTTTGCTTCTGTCTCACCCCTGCCTAAACCTGGTCCATCTTTCCAAAGCATGAACCATTCCTTCCTGTGGCCTCTGCAAACAACGAAACACCAGTGTCATTAGCGTAAGGACACAGAGGCAGGAGCAAAGTTCACAGAAGATTCCAATTCCACCCAGGTATGAATAGGAAATTATCTGTGGAATGGTCTGCTTCCCCTTAGTTACACATGTGGTTTTTATTTCTTGGGGAAAAAAGGCTCCAGGTGTTGTTCTCCAAAATGTCACCCCCCACTCCCGGCCTTGGCAGGCTCCCAACTGCCTAGGTCTATAGAAGTGCCAGTGCTGGAGCCGACAGCTTCCAGCACCTTCCACAGCTGCCACAGCTAACACAAGAGACCTTTTCTACACATTGGCTTTTCTCCCATCAGAAACACTCCAATATTTGTCCTCGCTGCTCCTCGGGGTGGTGTCTCCTTTCTTCACCTGTGGCATCTCCAGGTTGAACAATATTTTTAGGTTTCTCCCCTCTTGTTGTTTAAGAACCCTCACCCTAAAATCTCAGAAAATGTATCTCAGAGGCCTGAGGGGATGCACCCTGGGTCCCGGTGTCTCTGAGCTGATGGCACGGCATCCACTAGTTGGGTTTTTTTGTTATTTTCCTGGTGTTTTGTTTGTAGACATTTTTTTTTAAAAAAATGAAACAGATACCACATCTTTTTCCTTTGGAAAAGTATATTGGGAGGAAAGTGAAATGCTGGGAATATGTGGGTGCACCCTTACAATGAAAACATCTCATTGTAAAAAAATTACAATAGTATCTATTTGAAAGAAATATTGTATGAGTAAAAAAGCAAGATATCGGCTGGGTGCAGTGGCTCACACCTGTAATCCCAGCACTTTAGGAGGCTGAGGCAGGTGGATCATTCAAGGTTAAGAGTTTGAGACCAGCCTGGCCAACATGGTGAAAACTCATCTCTACTAAAAATACAAAAATTAGCCAGGTGTGGTGGTGTGCACCTATAATCCCAGCTACTCGGGAGGCTGAGCCCTGAGCCTGGGAGGTGGAGGTTGTGGTGAGCCGAGATCGTGCCACTGCATTCCAGCCTGGGTGACAGAGTGAGACCCTGTCTCAAAAAAAAAGCAAGATATCTGGGCAATTGAGACCATCCAATGATGGCAGAGCAATAACCTGCTCTTTTATAGTTACATAAAGTTACATAAAAATTCTTATGAGCACAGCCTCTGCAGCAAGGTGGCAGGGATTGGGATCCCAGCTCTGCTACATACCAGCCATGTGACCTTGAGCAAGTTACTTAATCTCTCTGTGCCTCAGTTTCCTTCTCTGTAATCTGTGGATACTAATAAACTCACCTCTTGGAGTTAACATGAGAATGAAATGAGTTAAGTTTCATACAGCTGTTGCGACAGTGCCTGGGTGTATAGTAGGCACCAAGCGTTTGTTAAAGAAAACTTCAGAAGAGGGTCACTCTCATAACATCATGTGAGCCGAAACCCAGGGCATGCTGGAAACACAGGAAGTACTCGCCATTCTTGTTGTTTTGTCCTCACTGACCTTGCCCCATCTCCCTTTTCTTCATGCTCTTCCTTCCACAATAATACCCTCTCATGAGGCCCTTTATGTATTCTACCTCCTTATTTTAAAAGGGAAAAATGAGAAAAAAAGAAATAAAATACAATTCTTGGAAAGCTGGCAGGAGGATTTGCATTTTAATGGCAGAGAAAATGTAAAGTCAAAGGAATGAATCCCTAATTGTAGAATTTGTGGTTGCTGGTGAGGGGACTACTTGGTGGGACAGAGGTGGCAGGACTGGGCAAGATAGGAGAGAAGGACAGAAGATCAACCTGAAATCCCTCCACACAGGCAGTTGCCTACTGGACAAGAAATGCCAGCCCCAGCTATGTACAAGAAAGTATGCTTCCCGTGAGGTCACACCCACTCTGAATGGAAACCCACGCGTGCCCTGGACTGGTTCTTCCAATTATGGAAAAGGCCCCCAAACGTCCCCTGATTGGCATACCACAAAAGCTGAATCTCTGCAATAATGATGATGATAATGGCATTGGTAATAGCCGCGATGCAGCTGTTACTCAGCCACGTGCATCTTCAGAGTCTCCTGGGGATTGACGGTGTGCTAAGAATAGTCCTGGTACCGGCATTCAAGAATAATCGGGTGACCAAAGTGAACCTCACAAGGTGGGATCCTGCTTGCCAAATGGGCTGCCAGGTGTGAGGGCACGGACTCTGCAATGCTCTACTCTCCTGGGTGGGCTGAGAATGAGTGAGGAGACTTGGCTGTGTGTTCAGGCTGGGGAAATCCTGAAACAAGGGCTGGAGTGAGACTTTTCAAAACTGCAGCACTTGGATTAACCTTGTTGTCAAATTCCACCTGTGTCATAGCTCCTGGGACCTACTCCCTTGTGGACTTTACCATTCAGAGCAGAGGGAGGAGTCAGCTGCATGACCGGTGACTGGCATGGAGAAGATGTAGTGCTGTCAAGACAGGATTAGCTAAAAGTGATAGAAAATGCCAAAGAAGACTGGCTGAAGTTTCTTTCTCTCATAATAAATCAGGTTCAGAGGTGGACGGTTGAGGGCTGAAAAGGTGGCATGACAAAGTCGAAAGGACCAGGCTATTATTGTTATCAATATCATTGTCATTACTATTGTATAATTTGCATGCGGTGAAATACACAGATCCTGATGAATTTTGACAAATGTTTGCACCATGTAATTAACTGCCCAACCAAAAGAGAACATTTCCATCAGCTCAGAAGTTTCCTTGTGCCCCTCTCCAAGTGATTTGACATTTATCACCAGGGAATGGATTTGCCTGCTCTAGAATTCCATATAAATGGAGTCATACAGTAGCTATTCCTTTGTTTCTGGCTTCTTTCACTCAATATAATGCTTTTGGGATTTACTGATGTTGCTGTATCAGTAGTTCTTTTTTATTGCTTATTAGTCTTCCATGGTATGAATACACCATAATTTGTTTATTCACCTGTTGAGGGACATTTAGATTTTATCCAGTTTGGGATTATTAGGAAAAAAATTTGTTACCAACATTTGTGTGCAAATCTGTGTGTGGAAATAGGTTTTCATTTCTCTTGGGTAATGAGTGGGAGTAGAATTGCTGAGTATAGTATAGGTACATGTTTAATTTTGTAGGAGATTACCAGTTTTCCAAAGTGATTCTACAATTGAAGGCTCTATCTTGCTCTTCTACCATTAGCCATTCATGACTTCTACCTCATGGTAAAATATGGCTGCTTGAATTCTAGCCATCATATCCACATTCCAACCCACAAGGAGGAAGATGGAGGAAATTATACGCTTCCCTTGCTTTAATAACATTTCCTGGAAATGTCACACAATACTTCTGCTTACATCCCATTAGTTAGAACTTAGTCCCATGATTGCACCTTGCTGAAAGGGAGGCTGGGACATGTATTTTTTGTTATGGAGACCCACATGCCTAGCTAAAAATTGGGGATCTTATTATTGAGAAAGAAAGTGATATTGGATGTTGGGGGGCAAGAAGCAGCTCTGCTACAGATGAGTGGTCAGAAATTAGTCAGGGATCATTCCTGTCTTGCTTAAGGGTGTTTCTCCAGAACCTATCGTGGACCTTGGCTCATGATATATGCTCTATAAATGTTTGTGACAGGTGGAAGGAGGGAGAGAAGAAGAAAGAGAGAAGTAGCCATGGCAGCCAGGCTCATGACTCAGGAAAGTTTCCTTGAGGTCACTATGCTCTTCTGACAAGAGTGTTGTTCTTAAAGGACTTTCACCATTCTTCAACTTCTGACATTGTTTCAAAACATCTCTTGGATGCAATTAAACGTCATTGTATGAATTGTCAAGACAGTCTTTCAGTGACTTGTTAGGTAAGGGACTTTTTGACATTGTTATCTGATAGAGATAGTTTGGGAATTTTGTTTTTCAGTGTGGAATAGAGTGTGTGTGGGTGGGTGTGTGTGTCTGCACAGGAAACCGTCTGAGGACTTTTTCCTGTCAAGAGTCTCACAATTTGTATGGTAATAAACGTGTTGTCATCAAGGGCTTGTGCCTTGGAAATTCGAAATGAAGGCCGAGATGCCTGAGGGGAGGGGAAGAAAAGAGAGCTGGGAGCAAGGTTGTTTCGAAGCCGACTCGTGGCCGTGACAGGCAGCGGGAACTTTTGTGAGAGGCCTCCGTGTTTCCAGCCGGGTGCCCCTTCAGCAAATGAGGGGGTCATCGGGTTATGTTATTTTATGGTACAAAAGCAGATACGGTCCGCTGCCTCCGCTCTACCCTGATAATTTTGTTTTCCTGGCGAGTTTGCCATCAAGGATCTGACATGCCATTAGGTTTTTATCTCTGTTGCCCAAGGAGGGGCAACGGTGAGCAAGGGTCTGCTTTTCATTAAAGTGAGCCTGGTTGCACGAGCACTTCTTTGAACAAAACAACCACGGTTCACGACAAGGTTAGGGGAAGGCGGGGCGGAGGGAAGGTTATTAGTTATTACCTCTGCTTCCTTAGCGGGAGTGGGGGCTTCTCTCTAGCGGGATTTGGATCCCTCCCTGGGGCGCTGAGAGCTAATTCCACACTCAAGCCATGATCCCCAGGCCCGCCTAAGAAGCGGCGCCTTCTAATCATGCCAAATCATCAGGCTGATTCTGCGACATCAACTGTTACCCATTAGGGAACAGGCTGACAACAAGAAATGCATTTCACTTCCAGTCTTGGCCCTCCCTGGACTTGTAGTCCAAGGAAGCTCCAGTGATCCTGCTGGGGACACGGGCCTCCTGCCAGCTCTTAAGAGCTTCTGCCAGGGTTTCTCTCCCCAAAGGAAAAAGTGTCTGGGAGGGCCTCTGAGGAAGGGGAAAGGGTGAAGGACACTAGCTGGGAGTCAGTCCAAATTGGCTCTGCCCCATGTGAAAGAGCCTGATACATTCAAGGTCATTGATCCGAATTTGTCCCCGCAAAGCAGAACAAAATGAGCAGAGACACACACTCAGTAGCAAGTCTAAGGGGAAAAAAAATATCCTGTAAATCTGTCCATGTTGTTTTCTTTTAAGATGCGGTAGCTAATGTTGGTGTCAGAAAGGGGCCCAGCTGTTTATGGTGCTTACCTAAACAGCCTGCCTGACTTTAAAGTCATTTCTGGCTGCTTCTGCCAACCCAAGTACTCCAGTCCACCTTTTTGTGTCATTCCCATCAGAAAAATCACACCGGTCTGATGCTCACTCTGGCGTGCTGGCCTCCCGTGAAATGCTGTGATCGAGGGTCTCCAGTGGGACTCAGAGACTCCATTCCTCTGCCCCTCCCCCACCATCCTCCTCCACACCATCTACCCACCCACTGCTGGGTGCGATTTATAAGCAGGGGAATCCCCTTAATCCCATAGATATGTGATTTACTTCACCCAAGAATTCGGAGAGCTGCGTCCTCTCTCAAAAAGTGAATTATAACACCAGCATAGAATATCGATTCCAGACATGTGGAATTTTAATCCCCAAGTCCCCACGAAATGCTTCTGTCCATGGTAAATTGGTCCACCATTTCAGCATGTCCAAACAGGTAGGACAGATGACCCCCTCTGGCCACCAACTCTCAGTCACTGGGGGCAAGGTCAGGGGGTTGCGGGGGAATCTGAGAGCCTTCATCTCACTCTCGTGACTGTGTCTGCTCTCAGGTGCTGTGTGCAATTCTATTTTGTATTTCTTGGAACCTGACATCAATTGGGCATTTTTAAATTCCCCTGCTGCCCGCAAAGCCAAAGCCAGGCAGCCATCTTCAAAATGTCACCAGCCATTAACCGTGAGCAAGGATGAATTATGCTCACCACCACCATCAGGTGCATTGAGAAGAACAACTCGCGGAGGCAGACTGCCATGTGCTGGGGGGAGTTCCAGCTCCAAGCCCTGCCCTGGGCTCTCCCAGGACCGCCAACCCGTGTTTCCAGAGATTGTGGTTTTATCTGCAAATAGGTTAGGTTTTAATGGGTAGTAAGCCCCCATAATATTCCAGGCCCTGTTCCCAGCACCACTTCCACAATAACTCTCCTCACTTCCTTGTCACAAGTGGGAATTGAAAGGCTCAGAGCTGTTGGGTACATTGGTCAAGGTCACACAGCTGGTGAGTGGAAGAAACATGCCTGTTACCAAGATCTATTTTCTATTACATCACACCCAAAGAAGCTTCTGCCAATCTTATGCATGGTTTTCACTGCATGTCTCAATAATATAACCAGTCCCAGGCACCTACATTTTAACGCCAATACAGCTGGAGCTCAGACAGGTTAAGTGACCTGTGCGAACACACACTCATGGAGGGAGAATGGGCTCTGTGACATGTAATGCGACAGATATTTATTGAGCATCCACAAGCTTTGGCTATACACAGCTAAATAAGGCACAGTCACTGCCATCGAAAGACTTGACGGTCACATGGGGGCAGACTGCAACATACATGATTCTGCATAATTCCAAGCATGGAATAGTATGTTATTTGTGTTTGTGAGTGTCATGGGATCCCAGGAATGGAGTGAGTCATTCACAGAGGAAGTGACATTTGAGGTGAACCATGAAGGCTGTGGAGGAATGAAGAGGCAGGCATCGAGTAGAATTCTCTGATGGCACACTGCCCCACCCCACAAGCCTTACCCCTGGGGTGGCCAGTTTACTGTGAGCATCAGCAAGTAAATGTCAAACAGCCTGTCCCATCCTCTAACTCAGCACTATACAACAAAACTTTCTATGATAATGGAAATGGTCTAGATCTGTGCTACTCGATATAGTGGCCTCCCAGCCGCAGGTCCCTACTGAACACTTGAAATGTGGCCAGTAGGACTGAGAAACTGATTGTTTCGTTCTATTTACTCTTAATTTATATTTCAATTTAAAAAGCCATATGTGGCCAGTGGCTCCTATAGAGGACAGCACCTGCAGCAGAGAGTGGGACTACAGGCATTAATCTTGCAAGAGGATGGCAGACCGACCTCTGTGCAGGCGATCACTGGACAGTTCTCCATCATCGACAGGCAAAGGGGCAGAAGCATGGGCACAGCCCTCCTAGGGCTAAGTCACAAGGTCCTGTCATAGGTCCAGATGCTCCAACAACCATTCAGTGCTCCCCAGCATCATGTGATCAGTGGGACTAGGTCTGAGTTGCCACCACGTCACCTCCTCCTGGCCCTATAGTCTCTGCTGAGGAGGCTGGAGAAAGGAGGCACTGTGAGAGACCCAGCCCCCATCTCACCTTCTGCTCAATGGTGACCTTCCCCTGGTGACCCTTTCATTGGATGAATGTGTCACAGCTGCCCTGCAGTGAGCAGGAGGGCTGGATGTGGTGCTGGGAAGGCCACCCTTGGTATGAAGCCCTCCTGTCTTCTCTGGGTGCCCCAAGCCCAGGGCTCCAGGATAGAGCTGTCTCCATGCTCACAACAGCAATGAGACTTATAGCAAATGAGACTTATAGCAACTGCATTAGTCCATTCTCTCATTGCTGTGAAGAACTACCTGAGGCCAGGCTCGGTGGCTCACCCCTGTAATCCCAGCACTTTGGGAGGCTGAGGCAGGTGGATCACGAGGTCAGGAGATCAAGACCATCTTGGCCAACATGCCGAAACCCCATCTCTACTAAAATACAAAAAATTAGCTGGGCGTGATGGAACGCACCTGTAGTCCCAGCTACTCGATAGGCTGAGCCAGGGGAATGGCTTGAACCCGGGAGATGGAAGTTGCAGTGAGCTGAGATGGCACCACTGCACTCCAGCCTGGCGACACAGCAAGACTCTGTCAAAAAAATAAATAAATAAAAATAAAATAAAATAAAAGAACTACCCGAGACTGGGTGATTTATGAAGAAAAGAGGGTTAATTGACTCACAGTTCTGCAGGCTGTACAGGAAGCATGGCTGGGGAGGCCTCAGGAAACTTACAATCATGGCAGAAGGCAAAGGGGAAAAAGGGAAAGCAGGCACATCTTCACATGGCGGTACAGGAGAGAGCAAAAGAAGGGAGAAATGCTACACACTTTTAAACAACCAGATCTCATGAGCACTCTGTCTCAAGACAGCACTAGGGGATGGTGCTAAACCATTAGAAACAACCCCCATGATTCAATCACCTCCCACCAGGCCCCACCTCCAACATTGGGAATTACAATTCAACATGAGATTTGTGTGGGGACATAGAGCCAAACCATATCAGCAACTCACCGTGCACCCCAATTAATTAATGCATGTAGCTTTCACTTGTCTTCTTTCCTACACTTTCATTGGGGGAACTATAGAAAATAGTGAAACATGAATAAAGGAAATCTATCCAGAACATGACTCCTTCTTTCCACCTCCACCACTGCCACCCTAGCCAAACTGTCATTGTATCTGCTTTTACAATGGCCCAATCAGTCTGTTCCTCCCTTGCTGATACATAGTCCATCCTCAACAGAGCAGCCAGAGGGATTCTTTAAACCCTAAACCAGATAGAGGCACTCCTTGCCCATAACTCTCCAATACTCCCCATCTTGGTGCAAAAGCTGAAGTCCTTACGAGGTCCTGTGCAGTCTCACAGTCTGCCCCCACTCTTCCTCACCTCTGGCTTCATCTATTACTCTCCTGCTCCCACCAAAGATCTGTCCCAGCTGCACTGGTCTCTTTGCTGCCCCTGGACCATGCCTGGCATAGCCTGCCTCAAGGCCTTTGCACTGGTCCTCTCCCCTGACTGGAGCACTCTTCCCTTAAACAGCCACATAGCCCACTCCTGAGTGTTTTTCATGCCTTTATTCAAATGCCACCTTCCTGGTGAAGTCTTCACTGGACACTTAATTAAATTTGCAATCTCACTCTTCTTCCAATTCCCCATTCATTTCCCCAGATCTCTTTTTCTTCCTAGTCTTATCTCTGTCATACTATAGATTTTGCTTATTTATTTGGTTTATTATCTGTCTTCTTTCACTCGAATGTGAGCTCTATGAAGGCAGGTGGTTTATTTATGCTTTGTACTCTGCTATAGTCACGGTGTCTAGAAAAGTGTCTGATACAATGTAGGCTGTCAATAGATATTTGCGGAATAAATGACTAAAAATCACTATATCTCTGCACTCAAAGATAACCATTGCTAATGGCTGGTTGTATTCCCTTCTAGACTTTCTTCTATTGAGCCTCATTTTGACTGAGTTAAGTAGGAGTCCTGTGGCCATCAAGAGAGTGCTGAGGAGAGAGGGAGGGACAGCTCTCTCAGGGTCTGTATCTGCCTGTGATCTCCTTGGTGGAGGCCTGGGCCTCATCCTGATTGGCCCAGAAATCCACACTTTCAGTTCTCTCAGGGATCATCAGCCTTGGCAGGACTGACCCACATTAACCAAACTCATAAGAACCTGCAGATAGATAAAACCAAAGACCACTTTACTCATTCCTACCCCTTTCCAGTGATTCTGCCCCTCAAGGAACACAGAACACTATGCTGGAAGTCATGGCTGCAGCTGGAGGAGGTGTACTTTGTTGATTGCCCAGAGGGTTGTATTAAGATTTTAGGCACCTTCAAGCACTGAAAAGATTATAGTGTGCTGTACGCAATCCCATGTGCTATTCACAATAAAAATAGTGCTCAACTATGAAACAATTACAATGAAAATAATGTTCCGAGTTTTCCCATTATGATAAAGTTAATGCTTTTAAATATATACGTTAAAAATAAAATTGCTTCTTTTAAAAATCATCTTTGTTTCTCCTGCTTTGTTTGTGATCTGGGCATGTTCTTAGGCTTCCTGTGGGACATTCCAGCCAATATAGTTTGGCTCTGTGTCCCCACCCAAATCTCATGTTGAATTGTATTCGCTAATGTTGGGGGAGGAAACTGGTGGGAGGTGATTGATTGGATCAAGGGGGTGGATTTCCCCCTTGAAGTTCTCATGTCAGTGTGATAGTGAGTGAGTTTTCACAAGATCTGGTTGTTTGAAAGTGTATAGCACTTCTCCCTTCACTCTATTCCTCCTGCTCCTGCCATGTAGGTGTGCCTTCTTCCCATTCGCCTTCTGCCATAATTGTATGTTTCCTGAGGCCTCCCCAGGCATGCATCCTGTACATCCTGTGGAATCATGAGCCCATTAAATGCCTTTTCTTTATAAATTACCCAGTCTCAGTATGTCTTTATAGCAGTGTGAGAATGCACTAATACACCAGCTTGGGTTGTTTCTCCAGCTTTTCTCAACCCTTACAAGCAAAATGATCCTGATTTTTCCCTTGGGGGATTGCTTCCCCATTTTCCAGTATAACCATACTGGAGTGTGGAGGTAGACATCCCTTCCACACTCAGGGTTGGGGTCAACTGTGAGAAGCAATTTGGTGGGACTTCTGAGAAAGCCCGTGGGTAGTGTGATGTGAACGTGCTTTAAGATCTGGTGCTGGGTAGCATTTGGTTATCATAATGAGGTACTTTGGACAAGTGGGGGCCACCATGTGTAATTGTAGTCAAAATGGAATAATACAGAGAAAAGAGATAAAGAGAAACCAGGTTTTTGGTAGCACGATTTTTGTGCTGCTGGGTCAAACTGTGCCTGAAAACAACATTTCTGCTCAACTTTTTTTTCAGTTATGTGAGCCAATTCTCTTGTGGTTTAAGTTGGTTTGAGTTGAGTCTTCTGACATTTAAAATCAAAAGATTCCTAACAGATATACCTTGGAAACATGAATCATAGCACAGAGAATTGAACAGACTTCAGCACCCTTTTAGATAGATTAAGACTGACACATTCTAACATTTTAGACTCTATGAAGACTGCCTATTTTCTGTTGAAAGATATATTTGATTGTTTTATAATTCATCCGATTCCTTTATATACTCCATGAGGGCCAAAATTGTGTCTGTTTTGTTCATTGCTGTTTCCTCAGCACCTAAAACAATGACTGGCCCTTAGTAGACACTCCATAAGTGTTTAGTGCCTGCCTGCCTGAATGAATGAATGAAACTGAGACACAGATAAAGTGACATGCCCAAAGTCACATAGCTAACTATTGAGATAGTAAGGTGGGGAATCCACCATATTATCCTAGCAACATACTTGTAAACATTCTTAACTCATCAGAAAGAGAAGAAAGAACTAATATTTGTTGTTGTCCTTTCCTTGGCCAGATGTAATTTGAGTGTCTTCACACTGTCTTATTATTCTATGTGAATCCCCCACCATACACATACAATATCAAGAGGTGGGTAAGATTACTGTCATTTTACAAGTGAGAAAACTGAGGTACAGAGATTTAAGTTTCTTCCCAAAGATCACAAAGCTACTATAGCAGAAAACAGCTCAGCTTAAAAGAGTCCTGATATGGAAAGCACTTGCAATGGTGCCTATGACATTGGTCAGCTCGGAGAAGATTCTACAGATAGCTAACGCCATGCATACCAGGCAGGTTTTTTACCACATTCCCTTTCAGAGACTGACATTTTGTGACATTGATCCCCAAATCTAGAGGAGACAGATTTCCCTGCACAAATTACATGCATGTGGATAGGCGGGAAAAGAATACCCAGTGGTGTGGCAGTTGCGATGTCATCATCCATGTGAGCTCTATGCTGGTATGTGCGGATGTGAACAGGAGCATTGTGTACTCAAAGGCACGTGTGTGAGTGTGTGTGTGTGTGTGTGTGTGTGTGTCTTTTCACATAGATGATCTCAGAACTGTAGGACTATTATTTCTGGGGCCCTACCCTGGTGCTGTGTAAACACATCACAATAAAAAGAAGTGACAGAATCTTCTGGTCACATCGAACCATGCGGATGTGTACCCAGCATGGCCACAATTTCAGCAGAGCATGCAATACTACTTCTCTGAACATAAAATGGCAGAGGAGCCTGGACACTAGTGTCTAGGGTAACTGACCATACACCAGAACAGACACTTGCCCCTATGTTCTCTCTAAGTAGTATTAATTCACACACCCTGATCAGTCCTGTTACTTGTCCTGGCTCCCTGTGTGCTCAAAGCAGCTTTATTTAGTAACACCTGGGGGATCCTTGAGGATAACCCAAATATGCCACTGTGGCATATCCCAAAGTGGCATATTTGTGAGTGGCATATTCTACTACCCTTCAGAGGCAACATTAAAACCATGTGGAAGACCACTGCATGGGAAAGAGGTGCAAATCCAAAACCTTTGCATGGGGAAGAGAAATAGGCTAATCATTGAATATAAGCATAACTACATAATTTTTAAACCATCGCAGAGGAATCCATAAACAATGGGAAAGAACAAAAATACGTTGGGAAAGAACAAAAATACGTTGGGAAAAGGCCTCCAACATAATTTGCATATATAGGGTTAATACTTATAAACCTTATGTTCTATGGGAAAGGCCCTGTGGGGAAGGGCCCTGTGGGGACCAGGAACCACAGTGACACTGTCATGCTTTGTATCCTAGGAAAAGCCTCTCCACTCTCTGGGCCTTGGAATCCTCATTGGGGGAATGGGGCGGTTAGATTACAGAATTTCTAAGCTCCTTCATTCTACAGTACTAAAGCAGAAATTTCTAGGCGCGGAAATAAGGAAATACTATGGCCATGGCTCTTCAAACTAGGGGGCTTAGGATCTGGTGGGAATTGTCCACTGAAGGGTACCCCTAATACAGATGGCTGCTCTAGGCCCTCTGGCCTTGGTTTGGAGGCTACCAATTTGGTGTGCTGGGGAGAAGGTAGAAGGAAAACTAGAAGGTGGTGAGGGAAGGGTAGAATGCAAAGGCTTCACAAACACTGACTCATGTTGGAGTCTGCCTGGTTCCTCCCCACTTTGCAGGGGAAGCATAAAAGTGTGTGTGTATGTTTTTTAAACCCACTCAGGTCAGGAGAAATGCAGAAAGTAAACATCTAAGAGAAAGAAAAGATTGCTTTCCTTTGTGATTTTTCTTCCTTTGAGCAAAGCGCCCCAGAATGTATTGCAAAGGGCGGGGCAGGGGGTGAGGAGAGAGCTGTTAGCACTCCCTTCGTGCCTTTGAAGGCAGCAGGCCTCTGTAAACAGAAGTGACTTCTGACTTCTCACGGCTCTAAAAATAATCAGAGTGTGGGGGGTTCTAAATCAGGAACAAAGAAGAAACAAAGGGTTAATGAGAGGACACAAGTTTGATGTCTTATTGCATAAACACAGAGCCAGCTAGGAACAAATGCGTCAGAAGCTGGCCTTCGCCAGAAGGTAACCAGCACAGCTTTTAGCCCTTAAAATTCTGCACATTGCTATTTCTTCCTCACATTTGCAAAGGGCACCTCACACCCTGCTCTCTGCGCCAGCCCCTCTCTAAAGTGTGCTGCTGGCAGGGAGTTGGCCCTTTCATCTATCTCAGGACCCTTCCCCTATAGCTTCACCCCTCTCCCCTCACCCTGATCAATGCTTTCCTGTAAGATCTAACTCATACTAACTTGCAAGTGACTGATATGGCCCTAGCAGCAGCTCATGTTTACCATGGGGCTCACTTTCTCTATGCTCTGTGCATGACCTCGCTGCGACTCACATCACCACTAAGTATTATTACCACATGCACGTTAAAGCAAAGAGGATGGAGAATTGCTCTAACTTCCCCACAGTCCCAAATCCAGTGGATGGTGGAACTGCAATCCTAAACCTCAAGCAATCAGGTGCCAGAGCCCAAACCCTTAACCCTCATTCCTCTGCATTTCAAGGCAAAGAATTAAGTAGTGGGGAGTTATCTAGAAGCCGAAAGCCAGGGTAGAAACCTAGGGCTGACATTGTAAGGCAGTCATTCCCTTTGACTCAAAAACCTATCTCAAAAGGTCGCTCCCGTTGTCTAGTTTTAATGAACTTCGAGGGAGGTCCACTCAGCACCACCTCAGCCCCACATACTGTGCCAGGCTCTTTAAGGCATTCAGCACACACAGCCATTAGCTGTTTGCAGTCCAACAAGTCAGTTTCTGTTTGGACCAAATGTCATGCACTACCCATCATGCTGCATGTGTAAAGATATCCTTCTGGGGTTGGGGGAAATAGGGAAAGAAAAATGTGGGGATTGGAAAAGCCAGCTTATAAAAGAGTATTGCGAGTCTCTTTCCTAATCCCATGTAACTAGCATATCACAGTTCCTGGCATAAAGGAAGCACTCCAAGAATACATATTGATTGAAAGCATAAAGGAATGAATGAGTGAACAAACAAATGAACTAATAAACTGACACATAGCTACCTTCCTTCTTTTCTTCTCTTATGTTCTCGAAATCATCATCAATATTCCCTCGACATCTAATGTGCACACCTGTCAGATAGGGGCACAGGTTCCGGCTGTGTAGATCTAGGCTAGGGCCTGAGATTGTACACATCTAACCAGCTCCCAAGTGATGCTATTGCTCTTGCTGATCCGTGGACCACACTTTGAGTATCAAGGGTCTAGTACACCTGTGTCTTACTCATGGCTGCTGTCACAGTTCAACATCATTAAAGGTCTCGTCTGTTCCATGGAATTATTTGCATTAAACTTTTGCAGCCATTTTATCAGTGTGTTTTTGTTTTTACTGTAGTTTTGGTCTAAGGTACACAGTACAGTACTGTATGTTAAAATTCCACCTGTGTTGCCTTTTACCTCCCACTTGTACCAGAGGTGGATTTCCCATGAAGCTAATGAAGCTTAAACCTCAGATCCCCTCACTATATGGACCCTGTTCCACATCCTCAGGCACAGATAGCAATATCTTTTCACAGTTATAAAATTTTGTGAATTTCCAAAATTAAAAGTATTTTGCAGTTTTTAAAGAGGTCCCCCAATTTGTACAAACCTCAGGTCCCACATAAACCTGGCTCCACTCCTGCACTTGCTCTACTATATTTCTTAGAGTAGATACACATTTTTCTTGTACTCATGTCTCTGTCAAACACAGGAAAATAAAGGAAAAGACAGCCATGAGTTTTAGGAAATGTGAAAGAGTGAAATTCTCAGAGGATACACTTGTATATTTAAATATGCAAACATTTAGCTCTGATTTATGGTTTCTGCTGCCCACCCAGCCCTTGTATGCATCTGCATTGGCAACCTCTAATCTGGCCTTTGGTAAGAAGCATTACAAAGAAAAAATGTTTCACTTTGTCATCCCATTACCTGTAGAAGTTCATGGAACCCATCAGCCTTGGTCTCCTGGACAAACAGGCTCAGTTAGCATCCTCACCTGTTTAGGGAGGAGGCCATGATTCTATGACACCATTGCACAGTGTAGACTACCATGTCAGTAAATAGTATCTGCTCCATTTATTGGATTATCACAAGTACGGGTGATAATACCACAAACCTCAAGACAGCTGGCTCCATCAAAGTCTGTGCAGCCATGTGGTACCTTCAACCAGTTCTACTAAACCTTGGCCACACCTTGGAACCACCTGGGGAGCTTTAAAACATATTTTTGCCTGGGTCACATCCCCAAAGATTATTCCGATTTAATCAGCCTGAGATGTGGTCTGGGCAATGACATTTTTTTAAAGCTTCCCAGGCGATTGCAATGTGAAGCCAAGGGTGAGAGTCACTGCCTGAGTCCATCTGATCTGGGGAGAACGCTAGAACCCTGTTACCCAAGGTGTGGTTCTCAGATCAGACCAGCAAGCATCGGCATCACCAGGCAGCATACTAGAAATGGAGAATTCCGCTCACACCTGTAATCCCAGCACTTTGGGAGGCCAAGGCAGGCGGATCACCTGAGGTCAGAAGTTCGAGGCCAGCATGGCCAACATGGCAAAACCCCATCTCTGCTAAAAATACAAAAATTAGCTGGGCATGGTGGAGTGCACCTGTAATCCCAGCTACTAGGGAGGCTGAGGCAGGAGAATCGCTTGAATCCAGGAAACGGAGGTTGCAGTGAGCCGAGCTGAGATGGTGCCAGGGCACTCCAGCCTGGGTGACAGAGCAAGACTCCGTCTCAAAAAAAAAAAAAAAGAAAGAAAGAAAGAAAGAAAAAAAGAAAAGAAAAGGAGAATTCCATATTCCAAGCCCCGTCCCAGACCTACCCAATCAGAATCTGCATTTTGTCAAGATTCCCAGGGGATTTGCCTGTCCAGTAGATTTTGAGAAGCACCGCCTTAGAAACCGTCAGTTTCTGGATCAGCCTCCTCTATTTCCAGATGCAGAAATTGGAAATCAATCACGTGAAATGATTTTAGCCAAGCTCCCCAAGAAGCCAGCTGGAGTCCCAGGTCTCCCATCCTCCAGCTTCAGCCAGATTTCATCCTCTCCCTCAGCTGGACTTCGTGCCATTTTAGAAGGATATCAAGAGTTAGAGGCATAGGTCCCATTTCTGAGTTGCAGAAACTACACAGTTTACTGCAGAATTTCTGGCTTTTTCTTGCTAGGGGGAAAATATGTCTCAGTAAGCTCCATTATGTATTCTGGGTATATGCAATGAGTTTGTCTTGAGACATATTTATGCTTGAGAATATTATGTATTCTCTTTATATACCATGCAAGGTTAAACTTTTTGAAAATTTGTATTTGCTTTTTATCACCCAGACATATAAGCAATTTATAGCCAGGCCTGATGGATTGGAATCAGATGGCAAAACCCGGATTAACCCCATGGATCCTGATGGCCATTGGTCAGTCCTTGCTATCCATGATATTTTCACCTGAGTGAATGCATTAAAGGCTTTCCTTTTAAGATAAATATGCAGGTGGGTATCGTTTTTGCAAAGCAGGCACTTCCTCTTGCTGCTTTAAGTTCATCCAGCACTTTTTTCAAAGACAGACATATTGAAACAGTCATACGCTGAATAATTCATGTGGAAAAATTGGGGGGAGAGCTAAGTAGAGGTGACTTGTGAGATATTCTTACTTGCTGGTGTTAAAAGATGGAGATTCCTTGTATTACATAATTGCTATTCACCAGAAATGCAGTGGTTGAGGCAGGTTAGGGATCCTTCATGAGGCCCCTTTTGCACCAATCCTTCGGTCACTCAACAAACTCTTACTAGTTATCTTTTAGAAATAAAAGATACTCCGAGTACACAGGCATATTTGAAGACCATCATGTAAACTGGCCTGGCCCAGGGAGGTCTGGTAACACACCAATAGAAGCTTCCTGACAAACACAAGACTTTATCACACGTGCACATGCATGGGTGCAGGCACAAACCCCCCAGCCACTAGTGTGATCTATCACCTACAATCTTTGCCAGGCCCAAAGAGGGTCTTTATGTGCAAATCCCTGGCCAAGGGTGGTCCTACAGAACTGCTCAGCATTCACCCAGGTGCAAAAGCCAGCCAGAGGATGAATCATTATTATTTTTTTAATCAAGTAACAGACCCAGGTGTAGCAGCAGCCCAGCTTTCTAATATCACTGTGGCTTTGATAAATATGTCCCATTCCTTGATAACTTTTCCAAATCCTTTAATATCCTGCAGCTCAGTCCCTGATGTCTGGCTGTCGCAAAAATGTGTGAAGGGAGACCAAATGTCAATAAAATCTCCCTGCCTGCCTCAACCCAGTACATAATCAGCTCCAAGGTAAATAAATGGTAAGTTAGTTATCTGCTGCCAGGGAGGGGAGGCCTCTGGGCTTATCTGGCTTTCATTTTTGCCTTCCTATGGAGCTGACCAAAACGTCTTCTTATTCCACTCTCTTCTGGGGGAGGGTGTTGAATTTTTTCCTCTTTTTTCCTTTTTTTTCCCTTTCCCCTTGGAGGGACAGACTGCTTTGCTTTTCTGAAATGGCTGTCCACTTTATGCTTCGCTCTCCTCAACTCCATTAAATCACCTTTCATCACATTAAATACAGGTCTTCAGGGTGGTCAGAGAGCTTCGCTCTGAGGGATGATGTTATAATAAGGGCAACGTGTATGAAAATCATTTTTCAGCTCAATCCCAGGCAGGCCACAAGGAGAGGGGAGGCACTACGTGTGTCTCACTTGAGACAGGAGCCAGGTTCCTGAAGAGATGTTTCATCTATTCCTTCCTTCCTTCATTCATTCGCAAACACATAACAGAGCACCACTATGTGGCAGGTTATAGGAATTTATCAGTGAACAAAAGAGACCAAGATATCCCTTCCCTCATGGAGCTTCCATGAGTAGGACGCATTGGAAAGCCTCTTAGGGAACATGCTTAACATCAGATTCACAGAACAGAAGAGGGGCTGCTTTGAAAAGTTTAAGATGTGGCTGCCTATAAATTGCTCCTACTCCAGTGCCAAAGTGTGGTATTCTTCCAGGAGACACCCTTTCTTTCTAGTTAAACCGTTCTTTTTTTCTATGAGCCATCATTTTTCTCCAAGAGCAATTGTCCTTGGAAGGGATTAGCTGTTATCACTCTCTAGCACCGTAGTGTGAATTTATTTATTGGCTTCCCTTCCTGCCTAGATAGGAGGGCCTCCAGGGCTGCCAAAAGACAGAAAAATCATGAAAAGGCAGCAACAAGAGAGACTGAGGACAATTTGGGCCACGCAGTCCCCTGGGGCCACCTGTTAAAGAGCTGGATTCTTCATCCCCCACCTGGCCCCACTGCACAAAGATCCCACTCCATAGCCTAAGAGCCCCTGCATAGGACCTTCCCACTAAACAACCCAGGGGCATTAAAAGAACTCTTCAGGAAATAGGCCAAATGGTGTTGAGGTTCTCCAAGCTCAGATAACTTATAGCTCCCCTTCCTCCTGGTGGTGACAACTCCCCACTGTTACTTAGCCTGGGGTACTGCACTCTCCTAGGTTGGCACCTTTTTATTAAAGGCATACTCTATTTGAGTGAGCCATCTGTTTGCTGTCCAGACTTAGAGCCATACAGGGGACTAAAAAGGAAGTAGAGAGACCAATCCTAGGACTAGAGTCTGGGCACAAGTGAAAAAAAGTGGGTAACTGCAAAGCCTGATGGAAGGCAATGTCTTTACATTTAGTGGACTTATGCATGTCCATAAAATGCAGATTCCTCCCTCATAGCCCCTTCTGACTCAGCAGGTCTGACCAGAGGCCTGGGAATATGGATTTTTAACAAGTACCAGAGATGATGCTAAAGCTGATGGCCTGTGTATCACAATTTCATACCTATTGATTTAATAGGTCCCAACTCAGCATGGTTACTCCCTTTTGCTGCAATTCCATTCTCCTTTCCACTTGTATTCTTCCGTTTTCATGCTGCTGATAAAGACATATGTGAGACCAGGTAATTTATAAAGAAAAAGAGGTTTAATGGACTCACAGTTCCACGTGGCTGGGGAGGCCTCACGATCATGGTGGAAGGCAAAAGGTACGTCTTACATGGCGGCAGACAAGAGAGAAAATGAAAGCCAAGCAAAAAGGGAAACCCCTTATAAAACCATCAGATCTCGTGAGACTTAGTCACTACCACAAGAACAGTATGGGGGAAATCGCCCCCATGATTCAATTATGTCCCACCAGGTTTCTCCCACAACACATGGGGATTATGGGAGTCACAAATCAAGATGAGATTTGGGTGGAGACACAGCCAAACCATATCACCACTCTATCTAAAATCTCTACCACCAGTCACTAGCAATTTAAACAACAGATGAATAGCAATAAAGTACAGGAGAGTAAAGAAGAGCTAAGGAAAGAACTATTCAGTTTATATGCAGAATTTAGACAAAATGTAAAGGAGCCAGGACTTGTTGGGCTTAAATATAAAACTTTTTAATCCCTGATCTTTCCTGGCAAAATACTGTCAAAGTAATAAGTGGCCTCCAGGCTGCCAGTAAAACATGGACTCAGAGTACAGTCAGATCAAGGGGACTGCCATAAGACCCTCTGTTGAGATTTCAATAGATAGAATGCAATGTCTTTTAGATCATCTCATGTAGACAAAATGTCTTCTATGAATCTTAAGGATGCTGTTCCACAGCCCTTGCTTGCAGCCCCCATATCTCTACCCATCACCAATATACAGTGTGACAAAAAGCTCAGAGAGGTTAAGTAATCTGTCCATAGTCACACAGGTATTAGTGACAGGGGCAGACTTTGAACCCAAGAAGATTGACTTCTACACTTTGACCCAAAGACAAACTATTGACTCCCTGAGAGAGATGGGTTCCCTTAAGTATCAGTCCTCAAGGTCTTTTAGTTTATTTCATATGTGTATTAGTTGATTTTCATGCTGCTAATAAAGGCATACCTGAAACTGGGAACAAAATAAAGGTTTAATTGGACTTACAGTTCCACGTGGCTGGGGAAGCCTCAGAATCACGGCGGGAGGTGAAAGGCTCTTCTTACATGATGGCAGCAAGAGAAAATGAGGAAGAAGCAAAAGCAGAAACTGCTGATAAACCCATTGGATTTCATGAGACTTAGTCACTATCACCAGAATAGCATGGGAAAGACCAGCTTCCATGATTCAGTTACCTCCCCCTGGGTCCCTCCCACAACATGTGGGAATTCGGAGAAATACAATTCAAGTTGAGATTTTGGTGGGGACACAGCCAAACCATATCATTCCACCCCTGGCCCCTCCAAATCTCATGTCCTCACGTTTCCAAACCAATCATGCCTTTCCAACAGTCCTCCAACATCTTAACTCATGTCAGCATTAACCCAATAGTCCAGTCCCAAGTCTCATCTGAGACAAGGCAAGTTCCTTCTACCTATGAGGCTGTAAAATCAAAAGCAAGCTAGTTACTTCTTAGATACAATGAAGGTACAGGTATTGGGTAAATATAGCCATTCTAAATGGGAGAACTTGGCCAAAATAAAGGGGTTACAGGGCCCATGCAAGTCTGAAATCCAGTGGGGCAGTCAAATTTTAAAGCTCCAAAATGATTTGCTTTGACTCCAGTCTCCCATCCAGGTCACGCTGATGCAAGAGGTGTGTTCCCATGGTCGTGGGCAGCTCCCCCACTGTGGCTTTGCAGGGTACAGCCTCTCTCCTGGCTGCTTTCACAGGCTGGTGTTGAGTGTCTGTGGCTTTTCCAGGCACAAAGTGAAAGCTGTTGGTGGATTTACCATTCTGGGGTCTGGAGGACGGTGGCCCTCTTCTCACAGCACCACTAGGCAGTGCCCCAGTAGGGACTCTGTGTGGGGGCTCTGACCCCACAACCCCACATTTCCCTTCTGCACTGCACTAGCATACATTCTCCGTGAGGACCCTGCTCCTGCAGCAAACTTTTATCTGGGCATCCAGGTATTTCCATACATCTTCTGAAATCTAGGCAGAGGTTCCCAAACCCCAATTCTTGACTTCTGTGCACTCACAGGTTCAACACCTTGTGGAAACTGCCAAGGCTTGGGGCTTCCATCCTCTGGAGCTGGGGCTGGGACACAGGGCACTAAGTCCCTAGGCTGCACACAGCATTGAGACCCTGGACCTGGCTCATAAAACCACATTTTCCTCCTGGGCCTCTGGGCCTGTGATAGGAGGGGCTGCTGTGAAGGTCTCTGACATGGCCTGGAGACATTTTTCCTATGGTCTTGGGGATTAACATTAGGCTCCTTGCTACTTATGCAAATTTCTGCAGACAGCTTGAATTGCTCCTCAAAAAAATGGGTTTTTCTTTTCTACTGCATTGTTGGGCTGCAAATTTTTTGAACTTTTATGCTGTTTCCTTTTTAAAATTGAGTGCTTTTAACAGCACCCAAGTCACCTTTTGAATGTTTTGCTGCTTAGAAATTTCTTCCACCAGTTACTGTAAATCATCTTTCTCAAGTTCAAAATTCCACAGATCTTTAGGGCAAGGGCAAAATGTCTCCAGTCTCTTTGCTAAAATATAACAAGAGTCACTTTTGCTTGAGTTCCCAACAAGTTCCTGATCTCCATCTGAGGCCACCTTAGCCTGGACCTTATTGTTCATATTACTATCAACATATTGGGCAAAGCCATTCAATGAGTGTCTAGGAGGTTCCAAACTTTCCCATATTTTCCTGTCTTCTTCTGAGCCCTTCAAACTGTTCCAACCTCTGCCTGTTACCCAGCTTCCACATTTTCGGCTATCTTTTCAGCAATGCCCTACTCTATGGGTACCAATGTACTGTATTAGTCTGTTTTCATGCTGCTGATAAAGGCATACCCGAAACTGGGAACAAAAAAAGGTTTAATTGGACTTATAGTTCCACATGGCTGGGGAGTCCTCAGAATCATGGTGGGAGGTGAAAGGCTCTTCTTACATTGCAGTGGCAAGAGAAAATGAGGAAGAAGCAAAAGCGGAAACCCCTGATAAACCCATTAGATCTCATGAGACTTAGTCACTATCACAAGAATAGCATGGGAGAGACCGGCACCCATGATTCAATTACCTCCCCCTGGGTCCCTCCCACAACAAGTGGGAATTCTGGGAGATAAAATTCAAGTTGAGATTTTGGTGGGGACACAGCCAAACCCTATCAATACGCATTTCATGTTATTTATTGCAATATTCTTTGAACTTTCACCCTGTCAGAGAATGAATTGAACCAGAGTTGATGTTTTAAAATTTGCACAGATGTTTTCATGAACTATCATGAATCACCTTCCATCATGTTTACCTACTGTAGGATGATGAGATGATGTTGCGTAGGGGTGGGAAGGAACAGGACATGGGCCCCACTGCTGCCCTCTTTCCTTGCTGTCCTTACCCTCAGAATTCTCACTGTGCTCTCTTCAGTGACTTTGCTCATGCCAGCCCTGCCATTAGAGCTGCCTTTTCACTGCATATAACAAGCAGGTGGGTAACTAATCACCTTCAAAAACGTAGTGGCTTAAAACAACAATCATTTTATTATGCTCAGAGATTCTGTGGGTCAGAAATTCAGACATGGCATGGCAAAGATGGTTTATTTCTGCTATAGGATGTTTGAAGCCTCATCTGGGAAGACTCAAGCCTAAGGATGACTTGCAGCTGGGGAGTGCAATCTGGAATCACCTGAGGGTTCCTAGTCCCATGTCTGATTCCTGGGTTGGGAGGACTCAAAGACTGCCAGGCAGACACCTACAGAAGGAAGTCCACATAGCTTGGGCTTCCTCACAGCATGGTGGCCTCAGAATAGTTAGGCTTCTTACATAGCAGCTCAGAGCTCATGGGCCTCCTATGCAAGTGATTTAGCAAATAAGGGGGAAGCTGCATGGCCATTTTATGGTCCAGTCTCAGCATCATTTCCCTTGGATTCTATTGATTGAAGCAGTCATAAACCGACCACTCCATATTCAAGAAGGGACATAGACCCCCACCTCTCAATGGGAGGAGGGTCAAGGACACCTTATAGAAGAGTCTGTGGCTCAAGGGATATTGCTGGCTGTCGTCTTTGGAAAATAGTCTGTTAGTCTGACCTCTGACCACAATTCATAGAATCCTACCCAACTTTCCTTGCCTAGATCAAGCCTCCTCCTCCAGGAAGCCTTCTCTGATTACCAAAGTCCACCTTAACTCCTATTTTCTGTGTATCACTTCTATTTAATATCACAGAGCAGTCGTAGTATTAATAGTAATAGTACAGCTAACGTTTTGAGGCATTGAAAACTAATTTAGATTAACTCGTGAAATCATCAAGACAATCCCTTAAGATAGGGGCTCCTACTATCACCCTTTTATAGTTGAAGAACGTGAAGCCCAGAGAAGTTAGATTACTTGTCAAAGTCACACAAAGCCAGAATTTGAACTCAGGCAATCAGCCCCAGAGTCTGACCTCTGCCCCTCCTCCTATTCTGCCTCTCAGTAGCTCTTACTGATCATAGTTCATTTTTCCCCCAGCCAGACTGAAACAGCTACAACCCTTGGCCACAGTCCCTGAAACGGTGCTAGACTCACTCACATTCTCATTGAGGGATTTCTAAATGGATGTACATTAGTGCCAGCAAGCCCCTACCCCAGAACTGAACACGTTCCTAAGAGCCAGTGTGCATGCTTGTGCAGGTGGCCTGCTGACTCCAGCCTGGCCGAGCCGGGAGGACAGACATTATTTGCAAAATATGTAAAAAGCTTCAAGAGAATCATTCTACTCCAGACCACTAGAGTAGGGCAAGCACTGAGGACTGGTGGCCAACAGGGATGTCTGAAGTACCGACATAAACACCCCCAAAAAGCCAAAGGTAAAATTACTTTGCTAGATGGAGAAGTACAAATTTGGATTTCAAGATGGTTTTAATTCCGGGCTCTGGGAGTTTTGGGGACTGAGTTGAGTGAAAGAGAGAGAGAAATGATTTAGAACCACAGAGTTTTTATGGGCGGTGGGGTCTCTTTCAGCCTGAGCAGACAGATTGAGAAATCTGTAAACAACCAAGGAGCAAGCCCAGAGATAGAGAGCATGGTCTAACAGGCAGAGGGATAATAGCACTCAAGTCAAGGGAGGCCCTGAGCCACAAGAAAATGATTCAGGGCATAACAGACTGAGCCTGGGTGCTTTATATCTGAACAAAAGCATTCCACGTACATGCAAAAGTGACTTCCGAAAAAGAACAGGTTTTTCTAACTGGCCCTTCTAGCCTATAAATTTTGTTTCAACTTTGGCCTCTGGGGCAACCCAAAGTCAAACACCCTTTCTTGTATAAGGCTACCCATGCCACTATCTGCTGCCCAGGGCATGCTTCAGACCTTTATCTTGAAGCCACATTGCCCTGTAAGAGCCCATCTTAGAAAGGCAGTGGGGGGCATTCAATATTAAGCAGAATATTGATGATTCTTGGCTGCCAACTGTCTGAAAGTGTGTTTTCTGTCAGCTCCAGCCAGTGTGTCATTCTGAAAAAGCAAAGAACGCCGAGGGCAGTGACTTCATGACCTTAGGCCATGGATGCTGGAAGAAATGCAGAGGTGGGCAGATAAATTTATCATCCTTAATGGGCTACCTAATTCCTTGGGGAAAAAATGAAGGAGCCACCAGTGACATGCCCCAGGCAGCAGATGGCAGCGTGGGCAGCCTTTTACAAGGGAGGGTGTCTGAGTTTGGGTTGCCCCAGAAGCCGACCCCAAAACAAAGAAATGAATGCAAATAGTTTATTTGAGAAATGCAAGAAACACTGGTAGCGGAGTAGGAAAATGAGACAGGTAACGAAAGGGAGCCAGTCAAAGGTGCATTATCAAGTTGGCTGGCACGGTGGGCAACTGGAGTTTAATCCCACTGGGGAAACTAGGAACTAGAGAGACCAGTGCTTCTCAAGCTGTCTGGGGAAAGTACCAGGTTGTCTGCTGTTGTTATCAATCCATTATAAGTGGATACTTTTGTAAAAATACAATTAAAATGTCACAGCAATGTCAAATTGCTATAAACGTTCGTAAACGCCAACTTTCCATTTGTGTATGTACCTTGAAATGTACAAGCAATAAACATTTCACAGCTTGTCAAGGGCCTGGAGACCACACTTCAAGTAGCACTGGTGGAGAACGCACAACCTTATCCAAGTTATCTCATTCATGGAGCTGGGCTGTTTATACACTAGCTTGCAATAGTCATGTAATTCTTTCATGTGCACGGGCAGTGTGGTGGTCCACAGTTTCTAGAAAGCCATCAGGCAAAGAGACACACACACTGGCAGTTAGGAGTCAGCCTGAACAGGCTGAGGGAACAGGGCGGGGCACCGACAGCATATAGAGGCGCCCACCCTGTCGGTGTCCTTATCTTGCCCCTGTTAGCAACACTCTAGGACTTAAGATGAGGGCAAGGCAGAGGCCAGATGAGTGTATCCTGAAAGCTGGGAGATCTGGAGCCCAAATTCAGGACTTCCCTATGGCTAGTTGTAAAAGGAGGGGGAATATTGGGTGGATTCTACTTTAGCTGCCTGGCCTAGCATCAGAATTCAGCTCTTATAAAAACAGCTAAGCCACTGTTAAAAGAAAACCAAAACCAAAACCATCCCAGCACCCGGTCAGCATTGATAACAAACACAGAGGGGCTTTTTTGCCTGACCGCAGTGCAGGTTGTTGTTTGGTTTGCTCCTGCCTGGAGCTTGTGCTTCACAGGCTTCTTTTGCAGGCTTGTTTTCCAGGGGACCTGGCAGCTATTTCTGACTGTGCGATAAACTCATGGCCTGCAAGATGGAGGCAGGAGGTGACTGCAGTCTCGGTGAAGGGGATTAAGGGATTGAAAAGTTTATCTGGGCTGCCCAGCAGCCCTCGGGAAGACAGACCAGCCTGGTCTCTCTACAGTCACCATCACTAGGGCTGACTGCCATTTTCAGGGCTCAAGAGAAGATGGGGATAAGAGTAATATTAAAATAATGACGATATCTGGAATGGACACCTTCAGACTCCACCTGGGCAGTGACTTTGGGCTGGGTCCTTTACATGCACTATTTCATGGTCCCAGGAACAGTTCTGAGGAGTGTGTTACAGTGACTAGAAGTGACATCACCCATGTCACACTGCTTGGGTCTGGATGCCAGATCTCCCATCTCAGAGCTGAGTGATTTAATGTGCTTCAGTTTCCTCATCTGAGGTTCTACCTCTCTCCTTGAGTTGTTGCTGTATTAAATGTGCTAATCTCTGTGACATGCTTAGAGTAAGGTGAGGCATGGAGTTAGTATCCAGCACTCATGCAGTCCTCAGTCCCAGGCCCTGTGGGGAAGTGACCAGTAGCAGGTTGGCTGGGCCCCCTGCTGCTGAAACACAATTTTACTGCTGTCATGCTGATGGTAGCCAAAGAAAGGAATGTGATTAAGACTTTCCATTTTCTGCTGTTGGCACTCTGTACTGCTACTCCTTCTAAGGCTACCTGGGAAATGTATGACTACAGCCTTGAAGGCCACTAGGGTTTTCACCTCAGGGAACAGACCCCTGGGTTGTGGTCATTTCCTTAACCTCCTTGAGTGATGTTTCTCCCCGACTGTCCTCACATGCAGTTAGCTGTATAGGGTGCCCAAGAGGATGATGGGGTGCAAACCACTCCCAGATTAGGTATGATAAAGGTTAAAAGGCTCACAAATCTGCCTTATCCAGTCCAGAATGACACAAAATCCAGGACTTTGTAATCATTTCCAGTTTCCTAATTAGTTCACCCTTCTTTCCAGCCATGATTCAGGTTGCCAGAGAAAATACAAGATGCCCAGGTAAATTTGGATTTCCAATAAACAATGATTTTTTAGTATAAATATGCCCAAACAACAATTTTTAGTGTAAGTATGCCCCCAATATTGCACAGAACTTACACTAAAAATGTATCTGTTGTTTATCTAAAATTCACATGTAAATGGGAGTCCTGTATTTATTTGTACATCTGGCAGCCCTTGTCCAAGGTCGCAGAAGCATCTCTCAGTATCATCAGAAAAACCTGGTGTCCCCTTCTGCATCAGGTTAGGTATCTCATAAAGGACTTAGATGCAGGTGGTTTGACTGGGAGGTGATCCCAGGAAGCACAGCAAGGAATCAGGGAAGTGAGGCAGGGAAGTGAGGGAAGCAAATAAAAGAGGTGTTAATGAGGACATTACCCCTGTGGGCAGCTGGGGCTCAATCCCTCCAGAGAATCTTCCAGAAACCCAGTGCAACATGCCTTAGAATTGTCCCGTCTGGGGACAGGGAGACTGGGTATTTACCTACTGTATTAGTCCATCAGGCTGCCATAACAAATACCAAAGAAATGGATGGGTTGAAAAACAGGTGTTTATTTCTCACAGTTCTGGGAGCTAGAAGTCCAAGAACAAGATGCCACAGATTCGGTTGTTAGTGAGAGCTCTCTTCCTGGCTTGCAGACAGCTGCAATCTCGCTGTGTCCTCACATGACAGAAAGAGAGAGAACTCTGTCTCATTTCTTCCTCTTCGTATAGGGATATTAGTACCATCATGGGGACCCCCATTCCCATGACCTCATCTAAATCTAATCATCTCTCAAAGACCCCACCTCCAAATACTATCACACTGGAGGTTAAGGCTTTGACATATAAATTTCAGAGGGACACAAACATTCAATCCACAACATCTACCAACTCTCATCCCCCATGTTTCAGGGTTGCCCTGGGGACATTAACTCCCCCTGTACCTCTGAGTTGCACTTGTGCTCAACTGAGCATGTCCAGGGCAGAGAAGCAGGGAGATGTGGTCACTGGAGCTGAAAGGCTGTTAGGGGACTGGAAACCATGAACCACAACTGGAGGTAAGCAGCCCAGCATCTGAGCCCAGAGAATCAACTGTGGGCCATCTAGAACACCTGCTTCATTTTCCTTCACCTCAGGCTGACCCCTCAATCATAGGAGGATAGAAGGGCTTGCCCAGTTGGCCTCCCACAGTTATTGCCAAGATCGGATGAGATTGTGTGAAAGAGTGTTACAAACTACAAGGCACTACAGAAATTGAAGGTAGAGTAAGCATTATTTAGTTAAGAAAGAAAAGGAGAAGAGGAAGCGAGGAGATGTGAGGAAAGGAAGAGAGGATGAAGGACGAGAAAGAAGAAGAGGAAGGGAGGAAGAAAGGAGGAAGAAAGGAAGGAAAGAGAAAGGAAAGGAGAGAAAAATACACTGGTCACTAACAGCATAGATTATGACCCAAGAAAATTAATGTTATGTACTCAACAAATTGTTATCAGGCACATCACTGTTCCAGGCCTTCTTCTAGGTATTAAAAATTCAGTTGTGAACCAACTGCCCCAATTTCTTGCCCTCACGGAGCCTACATTCTAGTGGGGGAGTAAAATATATAGCAAGGTTGTAAAGAGCTATGAATAGCAACAAATCAAGGAAGGTTGCTAGGGAGGGTTGAAGAGAGTAATAGGGTTGCAGCCTTTAATAGGTCTGGAAAGGTGTCACTAGAAGGTGACTTTGGGGTCAAGCCCTGAAGAAGAAGAAGGAGGAAAGGGCCAGGGCAAAGGCCCTCAGATAGATGTGTGCCTAGCCTGTTGGGGGAAGGGCAAGGAAGCAGTCATGACTAAGGCAGGGGGACAATGGGGAGGGTGGTAGGAAATGAAGTCACAGGGGCAATGGGGGAAGGGGAGATTGGGTAGGGCCATGTGTGCCACTGTGATGACTGGCTTTCCTTCGGATGAGCTGGGGGCCATTGGAAGGTAGTGAGCTGTGGAGGGACACGGTCTGACTCATGTTCTACAAGGAGCATTTTAAGCCCAGAATGGTGGCTTGTGCTTGTAGTCACAGCTTCTCTAGAGGCTGAGGCAGGAGGATCACTTGAGGCCAAGGTTCAAGACCAGCCTGGGCAACAAAAGTAAGACCCCTGTCTCTGAAAAAAATATATAATAATAAGGGAGCACTTTAGCTGTCGTGTTAAGAACAAGCTGTTAGGGCAGTCACTCAAGAGGCTGCCTCAGTGATCCAGGCTTGAGAGGGTGAGGCGGGACTAGAGAGGGTGGCAAGTGGCGAGGTTCTGCATCTCTGTTTTAAAGTGCTGCCAGTGGGATTTACTGCAAGAATGGGCAAAAGGAAAAACTGAAGGATGAATGTAAGGTTTTGGACCTGAGCGACTGGAAGAATGGAGCTGCCAAAACTGAGACTCCAAAGACCAGGAAGAATGGGCTCAAGCAAGGAGATAATGGGAACTTGGCTGAGTCTGAGATGCTATTTGGTGTGGAGGTGAAATGCTGAGTAGCAATCGGGAAGGCATGCACTGTGGATAGGAACCAGGGAGTTCTGAGTGCATAGATACCATTCAACACCACATGACTGAATGGGGCCACTTTAGGGGAGGGAATAGAGGGAGATGAGAAAAAGACATGCCCAGGAGTCCTGGGACACTGTGAGTGTGAGAGGTCGAGGAGGTGAAAAGCAAATGAGACAAGGAGGCTGGGAAGGTGTGGCCAAAGGGATGAGCAAAACCAAGACAGGATGATGTTCTGGGAGCCAGGTAAAGAATGGTGTGGCTTCAATAGCAAAGACTTGGAACCAACCCAAATGTCCATCAATGATAGGCTGGATTAAGAAAATGTGGCACATGGCTGGGTGTGATAGCTCTCGCCTGTAATCCCAGCACTTTGGGAGGCCGAGGAAGGCAGATCACGAGGTCAGGAGATCGAGACCATGCTGGCTAACACGGTGAAACCCCATCTCTACTAAAAATACAAAAAATTAGTTGAGCGTGGTGGCGGGCACCTGTAGTCCCAGCTAATCGGGAGGCTGAGGCAGGAGAATGGCATGAACCCAGGAGGCAGAGCTTGCAGTGAGCTGAGATTGTGCCACTGCACTCCAGTCTGGGCAACAGAGCAAGACTCCATCTCAAAAAAAAAAAAAAAAAGAAAAGAAAATGTGGCACATATATACCATGGAATACTATGCAGCCATAAAAAAGGATGAGTTCATGTCCTTTATAGGGACATGGATGAAGCTGGAAACCATCATTCTGAGCAAACTATCTCAAGGACAGAAAACCAAACACTGCATGTTCTCACTCATAGGTGGGAATTGAACAATGAGAACACATGGACACAGGGTGGGGAACATCACACACCTGGGCCTGCTGGGGGATGAGGGGAGTGGGGAGGGATAGCATTAGGAGATATACCTAATGTAAATGACGAGTTAACGGGTGCAGCACACCAACATGGCACATGTATACATATGTAACAAACCTGCACGTTGTGCATATGTACCCTAGAACATAAAGGAAAAAAAAAGAATGATAGAGAAAAAAGAAAAAAAAAAGAATGATGTGGCTTTAGAATTAAGGCATTGTGGGCTACAGGGATAACACCACCACAAAATTTCCCCTAACAATAACAACAAAAATCCTTCCAGGGAGGGTGAAGTCCTCGGGGGTCTTTCCACCTGGCTCAGTGCTTCCCTTGCCTCCCCTTATAGACAAAGCTGCACTTAGCCCCCCAGTTGCCTGCTCCCTGTTTCTTGGAACATCCTTCTGCTTGAGCTCCTGTCCTTGTCTAGACCTGGCTTCTGTGCTCCCCTCTTGTATCATACATATCTCCTGGCATCTGGCCGGGTCCTCATCCAAACATCCGCAGAGCCCCAGAATGCATATGCATGTCCCAACTCCACTCCGGTTCCCACCCAGCCTCCAGTTCTCGATCTACCAGCCACCCCTCTCAAACCAGCACCTGCCCAGATTTGTACCTGCACCCTGCCTCAAATCACCAGTCTGTGCTCCACAGCACCCCCTTCTGGCACAAGACTTGTTTGTAATTTGTCCACTTTTGGCCAACAGTTTCCATCCATGTATATAGCAAGCACCATTCTTCTGGAAGCTTTTAAGCAAGCACACCTTCTTTTCTCACACTTGGCTAACCTCAAAGAAACCTAAGATTAAAAAAACCTGGTATGCAGAGCCCACTTGATTGTGGAGAGGCACAGACACACACACACATACATACACACACACATACATACACACACACACACACCCCATCACCACCACCATCACCACCATCATCTTTTGCAACCACATCCATTGCTAAGCCACTCGGTGGCCAATAGCAATTGGGAATCATGACTGAAGAGGCCAAAATTGCACATCTCTTTTCTTCTTCCCACTCTTGCAGCAAGGGCCCTTAAAAACCGATTAGAACATCCTCCCTTCGTACCGAGTAAATAAATGCTGGCCTCTGAGGAGAGAGTGGGGAAGGGAGGCTGTGAGGCGTTGGGTGGGTTTTTCCCTCGCCACAGCAACCTCTTCACTCATCGGAGGCTGGCTCAGAGATTTTAGAGGGAGGCAGCGCCGTAACTCATGAGATTAAAACATGCCCACTTCTCCTCAGACATGTATTCTATATGAAAATGTGGTTTATGGGCAACAGGTCCACAAATCTAAAGCCCAAGCAATTCTACCTATGACCATCAGTCATGGAAGTTACACTCACGGGGAATGAAAATTTACACGACCACTGTTAGCCCATAACCAGCGACAGAGCGTCCTCCCCTGCGAGGAGCCAGGTCTCCCTGACAACAACTATCCGCCCCGTTTTTACTGGCTGGTACCCAGTCTAGTGGCAATGACTCTCAAATGTGAGTATTTATCATGAGATCCTCTCAAGGCCCATCTCCTCTCGTCTGCAGAGAGGAAAATATATTAGGAATCAGGAAAAAAGGGGTCGATTTCCATCTCTTCCCCTTACCGCCCATGCAAACCTCAGCCGTTCATCCTCTCCATCTCAGTTTCCGCCTCTGCTGTCCTGAGAACCTC
This sequence comes from Homo sapiens, assembly GCF_000001405.40. Classification (NCBI taxonomy): domain Eukaryota; kingdom Metazoa; phylum Chordata; class Mammalia; order Primates; family Hominidae; genus Homo; species Homo sapiens. The sequence goes on from NC_000023.11 coordinate 39,446,561, forward strand.
AAGTGTAACAGTTGTTATAAGGATGATCTTAATTCAGCATAGCACAGTTGGAAAGCTCTTAGGCTCCAGAGTCAGACTACCTTTCAAATTCTGACTCTATCTCTCACTGTGCAACTTTGGGCAAGTTACTTAACTTCTCTGTCTGGATTTCCTCCTCTGTAAAAGGAGATAATAACAATACCTTCCTCATTGTAGTATTTCCTATTATGAGAATTAAAAGAGTTAATATTTGTATAGGGCTTAGAACAGGGCCTGGCAAGTGGAAAATGCTAAATAAGTGTCACATCAAATTCATTCACTCAACCAACATTTATTGAACACTGTATTAGTTTCCCAGGACTGCTGTAGCAAAGTAGCATGCACTGGTGACTTACAACAACTAAAATGTTTTGTCTTACGGTTCTGGAGGCTGGAAATCTGAGATCAAGGTGTTGCTAGGGTTGGTTTCTTCTGAAGGCTGTGAGGAGAATCTGTTCCCTGCCTCTCACCCAGCTTCTGGTGGTCATTGGTGATCTTTGGTGTTTCTTAGTTCATAGAAGCATCACCCAGATCTCTGCCTTCATGTTCATATGGTGTTCTCCCTGTGTGCATGCCTCTGTGTCCAAATTTCCCCTGTTGTAAGGACACTGGTCATATTGGATTAGGGCCCACCCTAATGACCTCATCTGAACACGATGACATCTGCAAATACCCTATTTCCAAACAACATCCCATTCTGAGGCACTGGGAGTTGGGACTTCAGCACACCTTCTCTGGGAGGACACAATTCAACCCATAACAAATACCCACTAAGGATCAAGTATTCTGCAGGGCACTGAGAATACAAACATTAATAAAACATGGTCCTAGCCCTAAGGAGTTCACATTTGAATGTGGAAAACAGATTTTCATGCATTAACTCATTAAGTATTGTATCAGGGAAATATACAAATACAAGGACAAAAGGAACAGGAGTGGTGGCACCGGAAGAAAGATTTCAGTATGTGTGTGCTGGGCCTTCAAGGGTGAGCTGTATTGACATTCTCCAAAGGAAAACACACAATCAGAGATGCAGGAGTCTGAAAGCACATGGCATTTTCTGGGAACTCGAGTTCTTGATATGGCTATAGTGTCAGATGAGACTCATGAAAGATAAATCCAGAAACATTGTTAAGATCAGATTCCAAAAGGCCTTGTCTTCCAGGTTAAGGAGGTTTCACTTTATCCTATAAGTACTTGTCTTAGGTCAAGATCCCCAGAAGCAGAAAAGGATTCCTGTGAAAATGATTTATTAGGAAGTATTACCTTGAAATGCCAAGAAAGAAGTAGGGAAGGGTCAAAAGCCAAGCCAACAGACTGTACTAAGCAAAGTCTCATGGAGGGCAACTTCTGCTCAATCCTACAAGGGTACTCTGGAGACACTATAGGTCATATCTCAGAGTTGTCTAGATTGGAAGAGGAGGTGGGAGGACTTATAGCCTCTCACCCAGTAATCACTGGTTCAGAGCAGCCCCCAGGCACTTTGAGCTGCCCACAGTAGCCCACAATGCAAGTGGCATGGCTCTGGCAGCCTGAGGGAAGTCCCTCAACAGAGAGACACTGGCTTCCAGGAGTGGAGGCACACTGGGAGCCAATGTCCATAAAAATAGCAAAAAGACTGCAGAGTGAGACAAGAGCCTCTGCTACTGTTGCAGAGTCATTAAAATGTTTTAATGAAGGAATTAAGTGATCTGATCTCTATGTCAGAAATCTAACTGATAATGGTGTTAAAAATGGAATGGCAAGAAAACAGGCTGGTTGCAAGGAGAGCACTTAGGAAGCCATGACAATGGTCCAAGCCTACTGGGGACCCTAAAAAAGGTGAGGGGAAGGAGGAGAGGGGCATCAGAGAGATATTTATGGCTAGGACTTGATGACTGTTGGCTCTGAGGGAGAGATAACTAGCTTCTGTGTCTAAAAAGATAACGGATATAACACAGGTTTACTGAAGAAGTGGGGAAGATGGTTTGGGATATGTCAAATGCCTACAGCATACCCAGCTGGCAGAAATACGGGCCTCGACATCAGGAGAGAAGCTACAGTGGGAGCTATAAATTCAGAAGACTTTGGTGTGGAGGTGGTAGATGACAATAGGAACCAGAAAGAAAGGGTGGAGTCAGAAAAAAAGATCAAAAAGGAACACTAGAGAATGTCAACCGTTGAGAGATGAGTGAGGGAAAGAGATGGAGAAAGAGCCATAGACAGGTTCAGGACTAGGAGAGGTGTGTAAGCAAGAGGCAAAGGAGGACACTGCAAGAAAAAAAAAGTGGTCAATGGCATTTGATGATGCACAGATGTCAAAAGAGGGTCAGGAATGAGCAAAAGTCATTAGTTTTGACTATTACGAAAGCATTTGTGACCTTCACAGGAACCGTGATAGAGGAGAAAACCACACTGTTATAGGCTGAAAAGGAAATAAAAGAAATTGAGGTAACAATATATTACCATGCTACCAAAAGCAGGGTCCACAGACCAGCAGTAGCTATTGGTATCATATGGGAAGCTCGTTAGAAACACAAATTCTCAAGCCTCACCTCAGATCTACTGAATTAGAAATTCTGAGGCCGAAATCCAGGAATCTGTTTTTAACAAGGCCTACAGGTGATTCTGATGAATGCTAAAGTTTGAGAACCACTGATATATACAACTTTAAAGAAGTTTGACTGTGAACAGAAAACAATGTGACAGCTACTTACAGAGGAGGCAGTGCCCAGTTCAGATGGAAAATTGGTCAATACTTCACAAATAGAAGGAGGTATTGGAAAAGCATACAGGTAGCCACTGGTTTTGTAATTAACAAGAATAGACGATCTATAGGTAATCCATGAGCAAACTGCAAAACAGGTGCCCAGGGGAAATGTGACATTTGTTTCTTTTGGAGCACAAAGTTGTCATCTGGATCATAATTTTCACCTAGATCTCTCACAGCATTTTACAGAGTAGTGACTGATTATGACTACGTGTAAATGTAAAACCAACCATCAAACAGGTCATGAGAAACCACTGAACCTCTGTGTCTTTAGAGGCAGATAAGTTGAGAGTCTAAAGTGGGTGTGTTGTGTCAAATCTTGCCATAGAATCCAAACTTCTAATTCCTAATGTCCAGCTTCATCCTAGTTTTCTATTGCTGTGACACCAGACACCCCAAACCTAATGGCATAAAACTGCTACAATCAGTTATCATTTTCTCCTATGGTTCTGGGATTGGCTGGGCTCAGCTAGGCGACTCTCCCTGTGGTTTCAGGCAGACAGTGGCTGATACTGGAATCATATCAAAAGCATAATCATTTGCATGTCTGGCTGTGGATGCTGGCTGTTAACTGGGACTTGTTGGGGGCTGTTGTCAGGAATCTCTCCACACATCTCTATATCGTCTGGGCTTCCTCACAGCAAGGCAACTGGGCTCCAGAGATCATGTCCTGAGAGAGAGAGTGATCTAGGCAAAAGTTGCATTGCCTTTTCTGACCTAGCCTTGGAAGTCACGGAACATCACTTCTGCTGTACTCCATTCGTAGAGGCAGCCATAAGTCCTGCCCTGGTCCAAAAGGAGGGGACACAGACTCCATATTTGCATGGGAGTGAGACCATTTTCCAGAGGAGCATATAGGACAGAAACTATTGTTTCAGCTGTTTGTGCAAAATACAATCTGCCACAGGAAATAAATCCTCAGTGGTCAGCCCAGTTATGACCTTGCTCACTCTGGCAGGTAAGCTCTAGTCCATCTCTAATTACCCATGACCAGGCTGATTTGTCATTCCTGTGACCTTCCTTCAGAGGAGAGGCAAATCCTCAGAAGAACTCCGTGGCCAGAATACTGCCCTGGGTCCAGGGCAACTCTGAAACCACCCCTCACCATGACAGTCCCTTCCTCCCCAACGAGTGAAGCATGGGAAGGGTGTGGTTGCTGGAGGGACAAAAGGAATTGATCAACAGCCGGAATTACATCACCCCCTCTCTTTGTTCATTTTTCATTAATGTTGTTCTTTTTCCTGTGTTAAATTTCTCTCCTTCCTTACTCTCCCCTAGGACCTCCCCCTTAGAGATGGGGTTGGGGGGTTTGATTGATTGGTGCTGAAAGCAGGGAGGTTGCAAGTAGAGAGAGATCACCTTACCCCGGAGATAGTTTCCATGGCAACAGGGACAGGTCGGTGGGAGGGGCGGGCAGATAAGGGCCCCACTTTGGGGTTCAGTGCGCGGTGGAGGTGAAGGCTGCAGTGTTTACAGTAGAGAGACAGAAAACCAGCCTGTGCAGCTGGGTTAGGAAGTGGAAACATTCTTCGAGGCAGCTTTGAGGCTGGCCTTCGCTGACCTCTCACCCTCCACTCTCCCCTCCTCCATGATGCAGCAACCTCAGCACAGCTTCTGCCTGCCGGCCTGCCACCCTTCATCCTGACTAGTAGCCCTTCTGGTCATTATTTCCTCTAGGAAAAGCTCTCATCTTCCTCCTTCTCCTCCTCCTTCCTCCCTCTGCTTCCCCTTCTCTAGCTCAATCTTGACTTCTAACCCAGAGAATCAGCAAGCCAACTTCTCATCCCTCCAGGTCAAGGTGAGGGAGCCAGCCCAGCTCCCTGCTTCAGCCCGGGTGGGGGTGTCTCCAGGCCAACCCTCCCACTTCTCCACAACAGCTTTCACCTGGCATCATGCCTCGGGGGCCACAGGTCACCACGAAAGAATCCCCAGGGAATCACTGAAGACCATTAATTAGCCCAGAATACACAGGAGGCCCCTGAGCAGTGACCACCCAGGCATCAAACACTTTCCTGTGTGCCCGCCCACGCCTAGCCCTTCAACGTGACCAGACCCGGCATGTTCAGAGCAAGGGGTTGCTCAGCTGAGGGGTTCCTCCTGAAAGCAGAGAGGTATTTTCATCCTTTTGCTTTGGAGTGACTCCTGCTTTCCCAAGGATGGATCCAGAAATTGATTCTCTCTCCTTTCCCCCCACCACCTTCCCTCCCCTATCCCTTAAGTCACTGCTGCTATGGCCCCACACTTGAGAGCCACAACATACTTCGGTGCTCTCCGCTAGTTTTGTTGTTGTTGTTTTCACTGATTTTCTTAAGTGTCAGGGAGCGACAGAAATCTTTGGGGCTGGCTCATCCCAAAGCAAATGCTCCTCCAGTTCCCTTAAGGAGGATGCAGAGAGGGGAATGGGACTGTGGGGGACCTGGGCCTCAACAGGCAAACCCTCCAACTCACCCCTGGACTGGGGGCCCTCAAGGGCAGGATCTAGGTGTTGTTTCTTGCTAGATCTTAAAGGACTCTTCAGTGCTTACACATGAGGGGACTTAAAAACATATGTTGACCATCAGCAAGTTCAACACAGAATTGCCATATGATCCTCTAATTCCTCTCCTACATACACGTCCTCAAAGAATTGAAAGCAGGGATGCAAACAGATACGTGTACATGGATGTTCATAGCAGCATTATTCACAAGAGTCAAAAGGTGGAAACAACCCAGGTGTCCATCAATGGATGAATGGATCAACAAAATATAGTTTATACATACAATGGAATATTATTCAGTCATAAAAAGGGATGAAATGCTGACACATGCTACAATATGGATGAATCTCGAAAACATTATGCTAAGTGAAAGACGAAAAGCAACATATTGTATGATTCCATTCACGTGAAGTGTCCAAAATAGATAAATCTATAGAAACAGAAAGTAGATTCATGGTTGCCCAGGGCTGGGAGAAAGAGGGAATAAGGAATGACTGCTAATGGGTATGGGGTTTCCATTAGGGGTATAAAAAAAGTTCCAGAACTGGGTAGTGGTGACAGTTGCCAAACATTGTGAAATTACTTAATGCCACTGAATTGTACTTTAAAGTGGTGAATTTTATGTCATGTGTATGTAATCACAATTTTAAAGTGTGTGCTGTAATGATGCTGCACCCCTTAGTCGCCAAGGCCCCAGAACCGTGGAGTGATCTGCACTGAGGGTAACCAACTACACTGGTTTGCCCTGTCTGTTCCTGATTTAGCACTGAAAGCCGCTCAGTCACAGGCACACCAGGCTGATTGCTGACTCTCTGGAATCCTACTTCCTCCTGGCTGTGGGAGCTGAGGCAGAGTTGTTACCTACTCCGAGTCATGGTTTCCTGCCCAGTGGGTGTGCTTCAGGATTAGATGGGATAATAAATAATAACAGTAATCACAGCCAACAGTTATAGAGCACTTGGTTCAGGCACTGTTAACAGCCAGTGCTTCCAACTTCCACATGAACCCCCTGGAGGTCTTGTAGGCATGCAGATGCAGATTCAGCAGGTCTGGGGCAGGCCTGTTACCCTACATTTTTAGGGAGCTCCCAGGAAATGCTGGTCCACCGACCACACTTGCAGAACCATAGTTCTAAGCTCTTTGCATATGTTAATTCATTCAATCCCCACAATAACCTAGTGAGGTAAAAACCCTATTCACATCCCCATTCTACAGACAAAGCTGGAGGCACAAGGAGCTTTCAGTGACTTGTCCAAAGTCGCAGAGCTGGGAGGTGAGAGAGCCAGGATTGGAACCCAGGGCAGTCTGGCAACTGAAGCCACAGTTGCCACCAGTACCCTTTTCCATTACAGAGATAATGTGGGTAAAGAATTCAGCACCAGGCCTGCCACAGGGTAACCCTTTCGAAAAAAGAGTGCTATTGCTGTTGTGAATTACATTAGAAGCCTGCTTGTCCTTGAGAAAATCATTCATCTTTTCAGATTCCTCACTAGACCACACAGCCTGTAATGTCTTGCCAGTTCTCATCCGATCTATAGGCAAGGGACTGCCCTGCCAGCCAAGAGTTCACAGCCAAGGTCTTCCTTCTCTTGTCTTTCTTTTTCAGTAAATTGTTCAGAACTCCCCAGGAGCTGAGCCCCAGGGATGGGCTTCTCCGCAACCCTGCAATCTACCAAAGCAAAGAACCTGAGTCTCTCACCCTGTCTTTCAACAGTAACCTCCTCCAACCCCCCCCACCCGCCCATTGGAGAGGCAGGGATGATGACTTACATCTCTATCCCCAGTGCCTAATTCTCAACCTGGCATAAGTGCCCAACACACACCAAGTACCTGTCAGCTACCTCTGTGCCTCTCAAGTCTCAGTTTCAGGATCTGTAAAATGAAGATGCTAATACCTACCTAGAATCCCAGCCTATGCTGTCGGACTAGTAGAACAATCCTTTCCCACTGCACTGCAGATCTGTGAGTTAACACCTACTGTATGCCTTGAACTATGATACAGCCAGAGAGAGATGACTGGAACAGAAGCACCTCCCTGTCCCCCATCTGGCAGTTTTGTGATTTCTCACAGCAGATGGTTCTATGGGAATCGGGACTAAGAGGCGGACTGCATAGCACAACTGAGTGCTTTTAGTGGATCTGACCAGCCTGTGGGAGGGAACCTAGGATGGCTCTGTGAGAAAAGGGGGAAGACAGGCTTGATCTGAGTCTTGACTGAAGTCCAAGAAAATATTTGGATCTACAGAAGGGAGGTTTCCCAAGCCAGGGCACTAACAGCTGACAGCTGTCACCCTATCCCATGTGCCCTGTTCAAAGAGTCTTCTGAGCTGGTCTGGTCTGGGAGGGAGTGTGAGATGGGAAGCCGGTCAGGCAGAGGGCAGACGGTAGGCTTCCATGGGGTGGGTCTGGCCTGAATGGGTTTGTGCAGGAGGGGGCTGCCTTGAAGTGGTCCCCTCCCTTCCAACAGAGCTTGAGGCCCTGGAGCTTTTGCAGCTCTCACTGCCCTCCCTCCTTACCCCAACAAAGGCCTTCCAAAGGGACAGCTTCCAGAGGTCTCCCTGAATCCATATGTGGGTTTTGGCTCTTCCAGTTTTTGGCTCTACTCAGCGGCAGGGGATTTGAGGGGTGGTTGTGTGATTTGTACAGCTGTCATTAGGGTAATTGCATGATATTTTCCCAAATTTCTCCTGCAGCTTCAGGATGGGTTTCCAAACTTCCTGCCCTAACAGGGGCTCTAGTGAGAGAAGCTGGCTCTGAGCCTCCCAAGCAGCTGCTAACAGCACCCAGGGACAGCCCTTCCCATTCTTTCCATGGAACCAGGCTGGACCCAGTATTCCAGGACCAGGAAGAGGGGAAGAATGGGGCCCCCGGGTTGGAGGTATGGTGGCTTCATAAAAGGCACAATGGTGGTCACTGTTAATTGTACCCAGTGTCACTTCCCCCTCTCAATATGGAAACAGGTACAAATGAAACCTGTGCTTCTTCTGAAAAAGCAAGGACACCTTCTCATGACACCAGGATTTGGAAAGTTCTCTTACTGTCCTCAAAAAAGAAGACCAGCCAAAATCCTGTAGCATATCTCTCAGCACCTTCTGAACCCATCCTAGTTATATACAGAATGAGTGTCTCAAGCTGGCTTAGGTTAGTGGCCAGAAAGCTGGTGTGGCAAGCAAGTAGGGAGTTATGTAGGCCTGGCCCAGGTAGGGGATCAGAGCATTTCCAGCAAGCCAAATGAATGAATGGAAGGAAAAATGCATACTGGGGACCAGTTTGGATCTGCCTGGTGAAGGATTACCTCCCTCCCTTCTCAAGTGGATTTGGCCACTCACTTCTCACTCAGCCTGACAGATATTTATTTGTTTGTGTGTTTGTTTGAGACAGGGTCTCACTCTGTCACTCAGATGGGAATGCTGTGGCCCAATCATAGCTCACTGCAGCCTCCAACTTCTGGGTTCAAGGGATCCTCCCCCTTCAGCCTCCTGAGTAGCAGGAACTACAGGTGTGTGCCACTATGTTCGGCTAATTTTTTTTTTCAGTAGAGACTTAGTAGAGACAAAGTCTCATTGTGTTGCCTAGGCTGGTCTCAAACTCCTGGGTTCAAGCAATCCTCCTGCTTCAGCCTCCCAAAGTGCTAGGATTACAGGTGTGAGCCACTGCACCCATTACCTGACAGATATTTAATGCTCTGGACTGGCTCCTCCAGCTTTCCAAAATGTGTGTGCCTGCACACACACACACACACACACACACTCATACACGCACACAGAAAAAAGTGCTAGAGATGATGCTCCCTGGATCTGGCTTCCTGGACTGCCCAGGAAAGAGTCTCCACTGCCCAGGAAAGAGTTTCCGTGTTGGGCCCTCTGAGGCTGCAACAGCCAAGGAGACCATAGGCAGATCTTCTGGCTGTAGGCTTCAGGGCCCGTGTTCCTTCTGACCTGCTGGCTAGGGAGTGGGATGCACCGTGGAGAGCCTCGTCACTTAGCATCGCGTCTGCTCCGACATGATGCCTCCGAGTAATGTAATTTATATTTCATGCACAATTGAAGCAGCTAATGGTGTAATTCTCCAAGGGGGAAACAAGTTGTTATAGTGTTAATTACATTGCAGGCATGTTCCCTCTCCTTTGCCCCCCAACTGCTCCAAGGGAAGTTACCAGGTAGTAACGGAGTGGGTGTCCAAGAACATGGCTTTGGTGGGCTCCACTGACACTGGGGCTGAGCAGTGGCAGGAGGGCCAAGGACGCTTTCATCCTCCCTGTTGAGAGTAGCAGTCTTGGCTCAGACTCCCCAGAGGTCTGGATTTCCTTGTCCAGCCTGTTAATTGAACCTTGCTGGGCTGGGGTGCCCCTTCTGTGTTCACCAGGACACTGCTGGGGGCGGGGCAGCGGGTGGGTGGGGGGTAAAGCAGAGATGATACTTTTGGGAAAGGAGCCAAAACACAATCAAAACAAACAAAACCCAGCCTAGCCATCAGCAGCTGATGCCTGTAGAGCTTGGTGGTTGGGCAAGTGGCCTCTGAGGGAAGACTGCTGGGATTGGAATCCCAGCTCTGCCACTTATAAACTGAAAAACCCCAGGGGAAATTATGTCCCCTCTATGAGCATCAGTTTTCTCAACTGTACAATGGGGATAATAAATTATCAGCCCCACAGGTTTGCAGTGAGGATTAAATGAGTTAATATGTATGCAGTGTTTAGAATACTGGCATATAGCTTTAGTAAATGGAATTTATTATGGTAGGAGGGAGTAAATGGAGTTGAACTGTCGTAAGGTTCTGGCATTTTCTATAAAGTGGCAGAAGTACATATTTTTTATACATTCATGGAAACTAAATCTACTGAAAAAGAACAAATGTCTTGCTTTTCAAAAAAAGGAGAAATGTAGATTTTGAGGAATTATAGAACCATGAAGTTGAGGACGTTTCCCAGAAAAAAAAATTAATTTGATTGTTAAAGTGGTAGTCTTTTAACTTCTGGCAAAAGAAAGACAAAATAGGGGAGGATCAGAGGGAGGAAAGAAAGAACAAACAAACGAATGAAGGACTCAAGTCAGGCCACACTGACTCTGTATCTTTTTCAGTGATATATCAGAGTAAGTCACCCGATGGATCAGAGAAAAGCAATGCACATAATTATACCTGATTTATGCAGAGCATTTTACAAAAATCTCAAATCTTATTCTTATGGAAAATATGAGCAAAAGTGAACTGACTGGTAATATAATTTGCTAAATTGAAGCTGATTGAATTAATTGTATGCCTATGTGGGTTTGAACCCCACTTCTGGTACCCATTCCTATATTAGCCAGGGTATACTAACTGCTTTAACAACTCACCCCAAAATTTCAATGGCTTAGGCAATAAAGTTCCTTGCTCACATCACAGCAAAATATGATCAGCAAGAGAAACTTTTCCCCACATAGTCATTCAGATGCATGGGTCCTTCCATATTATGATACTACCATCTTTAATTTATGACCTCCAAGGCTTCCAGAGAAAGAGTAGAGAGGAAAATCTTGTGTGGGAGATTTCTGCAAGCCAGGACTAGAAATGGTGTACATAATCTCCACCCACATTCCACTGGCAAGAATTCAGTCACATGGGAGCACACAGTACACGGGGGCTGGGAAATGAGGTTTAGCCATGTGGCCAGAAAGAAGAGGAGAATATGGATATCACTGAGCACTAGCAATGTCTTCTGCAAGTATTGATCCACAATGATGTCACTCTTCAGGAAGATCTCTGGTGGCACTCAAAACTCTATCTCTTGCCCTGCCCTAAGCAACGTTCTTTCCTTTCAGTGACTTAGATGAAGACGTAGAATGTGCCTTATTATCCCTCTGGGGTGTAACTCATTCAGGTTATCTTATGTAATGGCAGTTTACTGGGAGTCTCCAGTAAGAGAGAATGCCATATGGCCAGATCTCACACCGACTGTACTATTGCAGAAATGGAAATATCTAACACAGCCATAGAGTCTAGATTATCAAATAAACCTTCTCCCCTCCCCGGCAGCAGGAGTTCACTCTCTCCACTTGATGATGCTCTGTATTAAACGTGACTCAACTATTCTCCTAAACTTACTTCTCTCTGTATGTTTGTCTACTTCCTCTCCTCCCACCAGGTGAACAATTCTATATCCTGCTTCTCCATGGAAATTCCTGAGTGGGAGAGGAAATGTGTCTGATTTGTCCAGAGAATGGTTGTGGTACCTGCTTAGGCAAAGCATGAGCTTTCAAACCAGATCCCCTGTAGGCATTTGGGCAGTGTAGGACTTGGCTGGCTTTGGACAGGAAAGAAGGCTTGTTTAGCAAGTTTCCAGGTAAGACAAACCTGGAAATAAAAGCTATTATGATGGATAAAAAACTAAGCCTCAAAAAGATTTCACTGGACTGGAGTGATGAGCTGAATTCAAAAATATTAAATATAAATTAAGGTATATTTTAATTAAAATGTTAAATATAAATTAATATTTTTGAGTTAAGCTCATCACTCCAGTTTAGTCAGGAACCCATCTGGAACAAATCACACACTCGGAAAGTTTCACTTAAGAGAGTTTAATTAAGGAGCTATTTACAGAGGTGGAGGCAGTGTTAAGGAAACTAACAACAAATGCTGAAGCTTGCAGAGGCTAGAACAGCAGAAAGCTGCTGCCGCTTCTAGGCCTGAAAGGGCAAGGGAAACAAATGGTTTTGTCACAATTCAGCACAACAACCATGGAAAAGATGCCACCAGACATGAGCTGTGGCTATGGGTAGAGAAATGCAGCCACTGTCAATATTGTGACCTGGATGAGAGAGATTATTTGGGGATGGGTTAAATACCCAAAATATGGACAAAATACCCAAACTCACACTCCTACCTCACTCTAAACTCCTGTGGGTGCCACCCATTAACCACAGCCAACAGTGAGCCACAGGACCAGTGATGCCATCTACAGAGGTCAGCCTCCCAAGACACAGAACACAGCAAAGAGCAGAGAACGGATCTGGAAGTAGAAAAAGAGAATTGTTCGTGCAAAGATTCCCAGAAATACATGTAAAATGTTGGCATTCAGTTTAGAAAGTCAGTTGCATAAAAATTAGATAGGGCACATTTCACGTGAAATTGCTGCAGGAGTGTGATCTAGCTCTAAGTTCTGTGTGAAACAACTGTGGATGCATTAATAGGAGCAAGGGGTCTCATTTGGGGAGGTTACAGCCCATGTGCCCACTGCTTTCTGCCCTGATTCAACCACATCTGGGGTTCTGAGCAAGGCTGGGTCTCATGCTTTAGAAGAAATATTTACAACCGAGGCAACCAACATATTGAAGAGACTGAGAGCCAAGTGTAAGGAGGAAAGACTGAAGAGGATGGGGAGCAACACTTCGGCCAAAGAGAAGATGCCTTAAGACAAAGACTTTAACTTTCTCCAAGTATTTGAAGTGCAGAGAGGAAGATTTCTCTTTTGGACACAGCTTCAAGCTCTCAATATCCTCAGGCTGTATGGCACCACTCTTAGGAAGTCCCATAGCAAACTGACTTCACAGCCTTTTCCCACCTTGTTCCACCCTGTTGCAATTGTTCGTTTGCTTGTGTATCTTTCCTACTAACTGAGGGCAAAGGGCAAACACTTTTTTTAACCATCGCACTTCAATACCTACTGCTTCGCTCCTGGGAGGTGCTCAAGAGAATATTTGTTCATTGAGTGAAATGTTCCTGCAGGAGCTAGAGAGTCCCCTGCAGGAACGTGGAGAAGAACATGTGTGCAGTGGATGGCAGTGGGGCATATTCCATCCAGTTTTAAAGTCCGCAACTGCAGATGTGTGAGTCTGGCCACAGATATCTGCTCTCTCTAAACCTCAGTTTCCTTACTGTTACTGGGAGTGTTTTGAAGACTCGAGGGGCTAGTTTATTTGCAAAAAGGTCAGAACATGGCAAGTGTTCAGAAAATGGCCATTGTTGTTATTGTTTCTGTTTGAATGATTCAGGCTGGTGAAAACTGTCTTAGGTTGGATTCTTCAGGAGACCTTGAGACAAGGTTCACATCAAAGTGGCTTTTAGTATTAAATGTAAGGCAGTAAGGAAGTGGTACTGAGGAGGGGAGGCCAACAAAGGTGTAAAATCAGGCAAAGTCCCATGGTAGGTAACTATGGGGACAGTGGAGGTCACATCTCAAGAGTCTTGGCTGGGGTATTTACCCAACCCCAACACATACCCATTAGCATTACTGGTCCAGGGTACCCCAGGGAAACAGAAATTCCCAGGCATTTTTGTTCTGTTTGCCCCCAGGAGAAGCAGCTGCAGTAGCTTGAGGGCAATCCACCTACAAAAGACACAGATGCCTGGTGTTGGCCGGGAAAGCCCATCAAGAGCGGTTGTGCATGGCAACAGTAAAAGGATGGTTTGTTACACTAGTACAAAAAGAGGTGGCCAGAGGCCAACGTTGCCAGGGAAGCCCCATTCCCCTCCCTCCAGGTGGAGGGAGGCCTTATATATTTCTGGTCAAATGCTTAGGTTGCAGACTCCAGGGCCTTAGTGCTCCAGAGAGTCTGTGAGCCAGAGGAGCCATGTCCCCGATGAGACACCTGCCTCCCCTCTCCTATGCTCATCCTAGTCTCGTTGGAGTGTGTTTGGCCTCTGAGATCATCTCAGGCTGTTATCAAACAGGAGTTCCCCATTGTGGCCCTGAGAGCCCCAGGGTCCCACAGAAGCTGCTAAGAGCAGATTTAGCAAGTACAGAGCAATAATCCCTGAGCTGATTTTTCTGTAGTTGTTTTCTTCTTTTCATCCTTTAACTTCCTGAGGACATGATACCTCTGATCCAGTCTCATTCTCCTTCCTGTCTCCCTGTTACACACTGCTCTGGCCCCTGTGGCAGTGTGTGTGGTCCAGGGAGCACTCAAGGGTGTCATCAGGACACTGCCCACCCTCTGTGGCTTCGGCAAGATTCTTTGGAATGGTTTCTGGCTTTAGAAGTTTAACTGCTTGTTATAGTTTGTATATATGTCACCACCAAATCTCATGTTGAAATGTAATCCCCAATGTTGGAGGTGGGGCCTGGTGAGAAGTGTTTGGGTCATGGAGCCAGTTTTCCAGAGATCTGGTTGTTTTAAAGTGTGGTACCTTCCCCAACTCTCTCTCTCTTTTGCTTCTGCTTTTGCCATGTGACGTGCCTGCTCCCACTTTGCCTTCTGCCATGAGTAAAAAAACTCCCTGAGGCCTCCCTGGAAGCCAAGCAGATGCGGGCACCATGCGTGTACAGCCTGCAGAACCATGAGCCAATTAAACCTTTTTTCTTTATAAATTACCCAGTCTCAGGTATTCTTTTATAGCAACACAAAACGGACTAACACTGCTTTTACTCTGGAGACCCCTATCCTGCAGAGGTGGGAGAGAAGGAAAAAGCCCATCATCCCAGAATCCAGGTACCCTACATCCCAGGGATCACTGAGCCAGACCTTTGACATGCCCCAAGCACAGTTGCAGGGGCCCTAAAGGATGTGTGCTGTGGAATGAATGTTTGTATCTCCCTAAAATTTATCTGTTGAAGCCCTAACCTCTAATGGGATGATATTAGGAGGTGGGGCTTTTGGGCAGTAATTATATTTAGATGAGACCAGAAAAGTGGGCCCTCCATGATGGCATTAGTGTCCTTATAAGAAGAGGAAGAGACTAGAACCTTCTCTCTGCTCCCATGTAGGAACACAGCAAGAAGACAGCTGTCTGCAAGCTATGAAGAGAGCCCTCACCAAGAACTGAATCTGCCAGCACCTTAATCTTGCACTTCCAGCCTCCAGAATTGTAAGAAATCAATGTCTGTTGTTTAAGCCCCCCAGGCTATGGTATTTTGTTATAGCAGCCCAAGCTAGCTAAGACAATGTGTAAAGTGGTAAGCATGCCTCCTGCTTTCAGGAGTTTGTGATTTTTAAGGTGTCATGTACTGCGGTCACTTGATAACCCCACAGGCTGCCTCAGGCCCCACCTAAACTTTACTTCCCATCTCTTTCCCCTGCTTGCTGGGAGAAGAACTGCTCTACAGCCACATCAGACTTTATAATGCATGTGCCCTTGTATTTAACTCCACAAAGTGCTTAGAGCAGCACCTGGCCCATAGTGAGTGCTATGTTCATGTGGTGATGCTGTTATTGCTGATGCTACTTCCGGTGATGTACTTTCTCCCCATCACACATGCCTGCGGCCAGGGGGAATTATTGGCACCCCCATGAAATAGACAAGGAGACTAAGAGTCAGGATTCTACCCTTATTCACTCATCCACTTATCGTGTGTCATTTGTGTGCCAGGCATCCTACAGAATCCTTGGGGTCCGTGTTCTGAGCAAAACAGACATGATCCGTGCCCTCAAGGAGCTTACAATCTAGTCAGAGAGACAGGCTATTGCCAAACAATCCCACAAACCATATGCAATTGCAAACTGAAACAACCTCTCTGCAGGAAAGGACCCCAGCTTACACTGGGCGGTCTCCCTGAGAGTATAAAAAGTGGTGTTAAGGCTGAGATATGGAACATAAGGAGGGGCTGACTAAGCCAGGAATTCTCAGCTGTTAGCTTGCATCAGAGTTTTTGATTCAGGGACTCTGGAGGTATCCTACAAATGTGCATTTCTAAAGAGTTTCCAGGTGAGGTTGATGTTGCTGTTCCTGGGACCACACCGTGAGAACCACTGAACTCGGACAAAGGGAGTTGCAAGAGAGCTGTGAGAACAGCATGTGCAAAGATGCTGGGGCAGGCAGGAGAGAATAAGACTCGGTAAGGCCAGATTTGCTGGAGCCCTGGGGGTGTGGAGAGCTTCAGAGGTGGAGGGTGAGACTGAAGATGTCAGCAGAGGCCAGACTGTGCACACAGCGTGGCAGACTGCCCCACATTTAGTTTTTAGCCCAAGAGTGATGAGAAGCCATTTGAAGCTTGAAGCAGGTCAGTGCTATAGCCATATTTGCATGACTCTGGCTGTTTTGCAAAGAAGGGGTGTGAGTGGATATCAAGAGGCCAGTTAGGTGGCCCAGGCTTTCAAATGCCCTGATGAGTTTTTTGTCCACCCCTGGTTGCTGCCACCAAACAAATCAACTATGTCTCATATCCCTACCCTCTGCCCATCAAGGCAGAAGCTTTTGTTGCTGCTGTTGCTATGAGGTGAAGGTTTTTCTCAGAGGCTTGGCTTACAGAGAAGGCACAGCCTCTCTCCTTTAGGGGTCTCTTTTTGTGCTGTGCCATTTGGCATCTGTCCCAAAAAGTAGCAAGTTTAAGACCACAGGCTGTGAAATGTGGGCTTTCAAAAACATCAAAACCACTAAAAGAATCAGTACAAGTTGACAGAGAGTTGGTTTCTAAAAATGGAGTGTTTGGGGAGGGATGAAAGTCAGTGTTTCTAAGGCTGGAGGACGGGGATCACTTCCATGTGTTCAAGACCACATGTTAGAGGAGACTGGGCACAGCATGATGGTTAAGAATGTGAGCTCTGGAGCCAGTCTTGCTGGGTTCAAGTCCAGGCTCTGAAACTTACTCATAGTGTCTCCTGGGGAGACTTAACCTCTTTCTGTCTCAGTGTTCTCCATGTATAAAATTGGTATAATAATAGTAACTACTTCATAGGGTTGTTGTGGGGATTCGGTAAGTTAATAAACATGTAGATTCATGCCTGGTATACATTTAAATGTTCATTGAATGCATTATTATCGTCATTGTCATTACCAGACACATCCATGGGACTTTGGGGAGGATCATTGGGCTTACTGTGGGAAGGGTGGATGGATGGCTCTATGTGTCATATCTGCTTTGGCTTTGCTTTCGATTGGTCTTTTAAGAACAGTGGGAGGCTTCAGGGGAAATCATGAGAAGAATAGGAGAAGGTGAAGAAGAAATCAAATAAAACTGTCCTGGCTGGGGGAGCAGGCAATACCATGCTCTGTCAGAGCCCCTGGGATGCCTTTTGACTGCTTTTGTGCCCCCATTCGGGAGCACACTTCCAGGGTCCCACACCCTTAGCCTGTCTTCCAAGCGCTGTCACTGGGCTATGGAACTCTTCCCCTACAAATGTGAGAAATCGAACATGTTTGGGACTTCACATCCCCTCCCCTATCCCCTACAGCTGTTAACATACAATGGTCCCATGGTCCCTTCCCTGAAATGGGACAACTCACCGTCCAGGGCTCTCCTGCAGAACCAGGCTGAGGCAATTCTCCAAGGACCTTACCTGAGATCACATCCTTACCTGGATTCTTTCCCTCCCTTGTCTAGTTTCCCTCATTCCCTTACCAGTTTCCTAGGGAACACTTCCTTCAGAAATCCCTTGCACGTGAATTCTCATCTAAGGGTTTGGTTTTGTGAAGGAATCTCATCAAAATTGTTTTCTAGAAGAAGGAACAGGCGCAGGAGTTTTGTATCATCTGAACCTGGATTGAGGTGGTCATATTTGCATTATGTGGGTAGATACTGGGCACTCTTGTGTCACAAAATTAAAGGAGCAGGAGAAGACACAATCCCTATGGCAGGGAAATGGCTAGGACAGCACTGGGAGGCCTTGCTTATGGGATGCACTCGTGTTTGCATGTCTCCAACCTGCTCAGAGAGCTAAAGCCCCAAGCCAGCAGACCCAGAGAGAAACTGGTGGTAAAAATAGACCAGAAATAGACCGTGTGCCTGGGAGACGAGGCTGCCCAGTCTGACTGCAGCCGTCGCACTCCCTGCCTGCTTAAGAGGACTGGGAGGGGAGGTAAGGTGGGGCTGAGGGTGCTGCAGGGCAGGGAAAAGAAAAAGAGTTCCAAATACAGTGCTAAGCTCACTGGCCCCACAGTCCACCCAGGAATCACTCTCGGGTTGCACCCTGCCACAGGGTCCGGGAAAGAGACAGAGATATGGAGACAGAGACAAGGAGATGGAGACACAGAGATAGGGACAGAGTCAGAGAGAGACAGACAGAGATACACAGAGACAGAGACAGGGAGAGAGAGACAGGTAAAGAAACATGGAGAGATGGGGAGACAGACAAGGAAAGAGAAAGACAGGGACAAAGAGAGAGAAGACAAAAAGGAGGAAAGAGAGACAGCAAGAGAGATAGGGAGAAACAGAGAAACAGAGACAGAGAGACAGAGAAGGGAAGGAGAGAGACAGGGACAAAGAGAGATGGGAAATAAGAGACATAGAGAGATAGACAGAGAAAGAAGGACACACAGAAGCCAGGAGATTTGTAGGCACACAGAGACAAAGTGAGGAAGAGAGAGACAAAGGGAGAGAGACTCAGAGAGAGAGAGTGAAAGATATATAAAGACAAAAAGGAGAGTGAGTGATTCAGAGAAACAGAAACAGAGGGGATGATCAAGGGAGAGAAGAGAGCTGCTGAGGAGACAGATAGCCAGAAGGCCATAGACAGATGCCAGGACCTACTCTCAGGGGTTCAGGTGAGAGCAGGCAGCATCCAGAGCTGGGGATGGTGGCTGTCCCCCAGCCCCTCCCACCAGAGGGCAAGAAGCAAAGCTGCACCATTGTGGTTCACCCTGAATCAAAGTGGAGGGTCCTAGTGTCCAAGAAAATCTTCAGGGCCCTAAGGACCAACCCCATCCCTCTGCTGGGCTGGCATCAAACTGAGAAGCACCCTGGGTCCAGCCTGGCCCTCGCTGGGCCACCGAGCCACACCTCCAGCTTCCAGCCCCAATTCAGGGGCTTAAAGACACCCAACATCAGCACCTACGCATTGAGCAAAAGCCCACAGAACACAAAATCTCCATATCAGAAAAAGCCTCCTTAGCGGTGAGGTTACCATCAGAGAGGGGCCAGCAGGGATGTGCGTTGTCAGGGAGCTTGTTTTCCCAGGAGCCGTAGCTGTTCAGATGTGCCATGAGCAATTGCCACTCTGCTTGCCTTCGCCTGGCAAATTATTCTGCTGGAGTTTCTTCCAGCGTTCAGAGCTGCGCTGCTGTAAATGCCAGAAATCATATACATTAAGCCCAGAGTGACGGCAGGCTTATGGATGGATTTACCTTCAAACAGAGGCCGCTGAGGCGCCTGGCGTGGGGGGTGGCACTTTATGGATGCCACTCTCTGCTCGCTGAGGCCTTAAGCGGTAGAGTTGGCCACTTAATCAATTTCTCATATAGGCCTGGCTGTGGACCACGTGCTCCAGGGCAGGGCTTTGGGACGCAGCCCCTCTACCCACCTCCCCAGGGTCCTTGTCCCCCTCCCTACCGGAAAGGAGCTGTTTCTGTTTGCTTGGGGTGCTGGGAGCAGGGGGCTGGATGGGTTGACACCAAGCCAACCCAGGCAATTGCAGAAGTCCAGGACCTGCCAACCTCCCCCCAACCACCCCTGCCACCACACTTCCCCTGGTGCCTCTTGTAAGGGGAGCAGCCATCCTTAATGCTAACTCACCTCTCTGGGCCTGGCCTCCTACTCACAGCCCCTTCCATGCTCCAAAGCTGGATCTGAGGTCTCCGTAGGGCAGTCTGAGCCTAGTGCCTTTTGTCCCATCCTGCTGTTCAGCCCCCATGAGCCACTAGTCCTCTGCTCTGATCTAGTAAGCCTGGGCCACTGGCTTTACTGTCTCCTGCATAGCTGCCACTCAGGCTCTCTCCTCTGTCACTTCACTGCCTCCACTCACCTCCTCCTGCCCCTTGACAGCCCCCCACTCACTGCTTCCTAGGGCTCCTGCTCCAGGCAAGTCTCCATTCAGCCTCAGGCAGATGGGTGGCTAAGGTGTAACTATCAGGGGCGCAGTCCAGGTCAAGAGACCCCTGCAGGTCTCTTACACTCTCATGAAGCCCTTCTCATACTCCATCTGTGGCGGATTGTATTTTCCAAAGATGGCTCTGATAATATCTCCGAGCCCACAGGCTCTTCTTATGAACTGACTGACACTCCTTCCATGGAGAGGTAAAGTCTACTTTCCCTTCTCTGAAGTTTAATTATGGTGGAAGTGATTCTGACTTCCGAGACTACATAATAAAAAACAATGCAGCTTGTTCCTGGTTCAATGGAACACTAGGACTTGGAGCTCTCATCCACTACATGTCAGGAAGCCCAGACTAGCCCATGCTAAAAGACCACATGGAGAGGCCCTGAGAGAAATGCCTGGCTAGCTTCCCTTCTGCTGTTTCAGCTCCAGCCCCCTTCTGACTGCAACTCCACCAAGCCACAACCATCCAGCTGAGCCCTTCCTGAGTTCCTGACACACAGGAGCTGTGGGAGAAAATAACATGACTGTCTTTGTTTTAAATCACTAAGCTGTGGGGTGACTTGTCACACAACAACAAGAAACCAGAACAGCTTCCATCTCCATAATACCAGTTTTCAAAAGTCAATGAAGCACTTTGGGAGGCCAAGGTGGGTGAGTCACTTGAAGTCAGGAGTTTGAGACCAGCCTGGCCAACATGATGAAACCCTGTCTCTACTAAAAATACAAAAAATTAGCCAGATATGGTGGTGCACACCTGTAATTCCAGCTACTCGGGAGGCTGAGGCAGGAGAATAGCTTGAACCCGGGAGGCAGAGGTTTCAGTGAGCTGAGATTGTACCACTGCGCTCCAGCTTCGGTGACAGAGTAAGACTCCATCTTAAAAAAAAAAAAAAAGTCAGTGAGGGTCCGGCACAGGCACAGATGGCCTTCACCTGTGATCCCAGCTCTTTGGGAGGCCAAGGTAGGAGGATCACATGAGTCCAGGAGTTCAAGACCTGCCTGGGTAATATAGCAAGACCCTGTCTCTACAAAATAAAAATATTAGTTGGGCATGGTGGCATGCTCCTGTAGTACCAGCAACTCAGAAGGCTGAGAGGGAGAATCATCTGAGCCCAGGATTTGGCGGCTGCAGTGAGTCATGATTACGCCACTGCACTCCAGCCTGGGCAACAGAGAGAGACTCTGTCTCAAAAAAAAAAAAAAAAAAAAAAAAAAAAAAAAAAAAAAAAGTCAATGAGTCAATGCAGTAAAAATAAAATAAGATATAAAGATATATACAATAATACAAAAACAAGGCTAAACAATCCAGTCTTTCTTTAATCATCAAAAGGCAGTTGGAGAGTTGCAGAGCACAGAATGTTGAGTATCTATTCACAATGCACAGTGCCCAGGTATCAGAGAGAAGTGTCTAATAAGCCTCAACAACTCCCAGGCCCTACATGGGTTCATTCACAATCCAGAAAACTAGAAAGCACTTGTGTCCAGAATTGTTTGGCCACTTAAACTCCTAGGAAGTAATGAACAAGCCAATGACATAAAGGCAAAAATTCTTCCTGAAAGCAATTCCTATGGTCCATGCATATCCATTCCAACATTTCCACACCTCTCTGGTGCCAAGAAGTGTGTGTTCTACCAACCAGCAGGTTTTGGTAATTGATAATATGGGAAACAGAGGGTGGGAGGGTTTTGCTTTGTTTTTTTTTTTTAAACAGGAGGCGTGAATTTCTCCAGGGTCTGGGCACTGCTGCGGTGCACTGTGATGAGAAGTTTACAGAAACCCGCTGCTACTTAGGGAATACCTTTCTTTTTCTCCTCTCACTCAAACCAGAGAACACTCTGAAAGGCAAAAAGGTGATTACAGACCTGGGAGTAAAGGCGTTAAGAGTATGAGTCTGCCACTTACTACATGTATTATCTGAAGCAAGTTTCTCAGCCTCTCCAAGCCTTGGTTTGCTGATCCACAAAATGGGTATGATAGTAAGACTTTCTTTATAAGGCAAAGTCAAGGGTAAATGAATTAATATGTGTAAAGAGCTTAGAACAGGACCTGCACATAGCAAGTGCTGTGGAAGTGCTACCTGTTATTCTTGTTGTTGTTGTTTTGGGATTTTACGCTATTGGCACTAACAGATTCTGTTAAAATATTTTCAGTGGCATAACTGCCAGCTGGGAAATTTAGCTTTCCTTACACTACCCCTCTTCAGTATCACCTCCCTTCCGTAATTCTCAAGTGGGCACACACACACACGCATACATGCTCATGCACACACACACACCCACACCCAATAATCAGTCCTTGTTTGCCGCAGGCCACACCGTGGTAATGTATTAGTGCAGGAGGAACAAGCTGCTTTATCTTCCTCTCCAGGCAGATGCCTGTGTGTGGAAGATGGATGCACAGCATCTGCCTGCATTGTCAGAGGACAACACATCCGGGATGGCTCTGCAGCCCCCGGAGAAGCAGGATAGAGGCTGGCCCTGGGGTCCTGACTTCATGAGTCCTGGGAGGCCTCGGAGGCCAGTGCTGTGGGTCACTGCCACTTTTCTCCTAATCACAAGCCCGGTCTTCCCAGTCTTTCAGCGCTTGCCTGGTTCCAAAGCCTCTCCAAGTTGTCTGCTATTGTGTCTGCCATGGGCTTACTGCTATGGACACAGACTCCAAGGGGACAAACGTGCTGCATGTCAGGCGGAGGGTCAGGGACAGGAATAAGCCACTGCAATGAAAGACACACACAGTCTTGCCCTCCAAATGCAAAAGGAGCTTCCACTCAAATCTCTTTCTCCTGGCAAATCTGACCCGAAGGTGGCTCTGCTGGACCAAGGCTCTGCCCAAGCCAGCTAATCCAGCAGAGGCATGCTGTCCACAGCAGAAAAGGCCCCGGGAGCCCAGCAGGCCCCAGCCACCAGGCCTCTCACCCTGCAGGACTTTCACAGTGGGTTGCATGAGGCTCTAGCAACATATTACCAAAATAGATTAATGTCACCAAGGGGGAAAATTTAGGAAAGAAAGGAATCAACCTCATTTGGAGGGGGAGTACATTTAGCAAAATGGAAAAAAAATACTTCAGAGATGGATACTGTTTCCAGTTTTTCAGTCATTTCACAAATATTTATGGAGTGACAACTATATGCTAGGCACTGCAATTGGCTTGGGGCCTCTGTCCCAGTAGAGCTCAAGGTCTTTCCCCTTCTGGTAGGCAACTTACTGGAAAGTAGCTGTACTGGAAATTGTGGCATCTGCAAGAATGTGCCTCATAGACCTTCAACTCCAGAGAGCTTAAGACAGAAAGAATACAGAGCCCCAGCTGGTGAGCTCTGAAATCCATGCCAGCATTTGGGCCAAGGCTACAGCTCCCATAGGTGGCTCCCAGTCAATGACTGTGCATGGCAGGGCATGAGGGCAGGCCCACCCTGGGAGAAACAGGACTTTTCTGACAGTTGGCTTTGATATGAGGACCGCTTGCCAGCCTTGAAGCTTCCAAAGACCCCACCGCAGTCTAGGAGGCTGCCACACACCCTCCCTGACCTCCACCACTCACCTGGGGTCAGACACAGCCTTTCGACTCCACCAGCCTTTCCCAGGTCCTGCCTCACTTTCTCTCACAGATATTTTCCCTAATAAAATCCTTGTCCATTTTTCTCTTCTGGCATCTGCTACCAGAAGAACTCAGACTAACCCAGAAGCATTGCCATGACCTCCTCCTCCTCCCTCTCCACAACCTGTCCAGATGGACCACCCTGGCTCTAGCCAATATTGACCCCTTGCAGACACCTGAGTCGGTTTATTCGTGGAAAGCCTCTTTATAAATTTGGTATCTCCCTGGTAGATTCTAAGTTCTGTAGGAACTCACAACAATCCCAAAGGCTCCTCACTTTGATGGCTCTAGGGCAGGTGTTTCTGACCCATGGCAGGGTGGTACTTGCCACCACTCTTACATCATGTTTCAAGAGACTTCTATGATTTATTAATATAATTAACAATAACTATTGTGCAACGAGCCCATAGCATGATGCTAAGCTTTTTACATGCATTATCTCATTTAATGGCTAACCCTTGGCATATACCCCACCACCAAAAAAACTGCTCTCCTTACCACCCGCCCATCCATGCAGAGGACACCCTCCTTCGAATGACAGCTCTATTGCTTGCTCTCCTTTGACAGCCCCTCTTCCTTCATGAATCCAAATCAAGACCTTTGCAGGCAGAGCACAAAGATGTGATCTTATAAAAGTGTGAGCATTTTCCAAGAGACAACCAATACCCAGGTTGAGAAATTCCAGGCACACAACCTAGTAACAAAGTCCAGCTTGCCCGGGCTAACAGAAGATATATTCAACTCTTCTTTATAATCCTATCCTGTTTCATGCCCCCCGAGCCATTTCTTTCCTCTGTGTGTCTCAGCTTCTTGGTACTTGAAAAACAAGGCCTCTGGGCTCTCATCCAGGACACATCCCAGGCATCCTCCAACCCTCTGAGCTTGATCCATCCTCCCCAGCCCCCATATGCGGAAATGTTCTCCAGCTCACTCAGAGACACGGCCCTACATACTAAACAGAAAGCGGCAGACTGGATGGCCGTGGGACCTCACACAAGTTACTTGGCATCTGTGAACATCAATTCCCTCATCTGTAAAACAGGGTCATTGGGAGGATTAAAGGAGAAAATAAATTTTAAAATTACTCTAAAGCCTTGCTATGCAAAGTGTGGTCCTTGGACCTGCCAGAGAATATGTCAGAAGTACAGACTCTTGGGCCCCACCCACAGCAACCCTTTTGGCCTGGGTGATTCGTGTACACATTCAAGTTTGACAAGCCTTGCTCTCTGAGTTTTAGAGAGCACCGAATTCTTCTCTCCACCTTATTCTGTTGCTTCCTCTCCTTTGCTCAATTACACAGTGAGCACTCCCCAAACCCACGGTTTCTACTGCCTCAGCAAAAAGGGGAGTGCAGGGGGTGAACCTAAGAATATATCTACACTCAGAGGGGGCCACTCATCACAGCTTCAGGGCCAAGGACCACAACGCCCCTCCTACAGGGCATGGAGAGAGGCTGGAACTGAACAAAGGGGCCCAGCCAGGAACAAAATCTGGGCCAGAGATGTATCCATTCACTTCTGATTCCAGGTCCCGCCGTGTGGTGAATTGCCCCCATTCCATGGGCCTGATGTGTAATATATTTTCTGTAATTACAGTGATGCCGTCTGTGTATACGTTAAATTACTATAGCAGTTAATTATTTGTGGGTAAACAAGGGATGCCTCTTTGCCCCAGGAGAGGATGAAAGATGCCCCAGTGAAAGAACCACAGGATCAAAGAGAAAGGGAGGGGGGAAGTAAGGGAAAAAGTCATTCTTCCCCCAGGAGCTTTGGAGGGGGGGCAGGGATGTGAACTGATTTGGCTTTAAAGGAGAACTAAAGGCCCCTGAAGCAACAGCAAACTGGTCACAAGAGTCCAAACCAAGGTGAGGAGATGAGGGGTGATCTCCAAAGATGGGCAGGAGCATCTGAATGCCAACCAGTCCTCAAGCAGCTTCTGACCCCCTGGGGGACTGCATTACCCTGGGTAACTCTGGGGAGCACACACTCGAAGCTTGATAGTTGCAAATATCTATTCTCCTCTTCTCTCTTAGACATAGAACTGCCCATTTTTGGCTGGGCACATATTCATCTCCCCTCGTAAAGACCACATCACGCAGTGTCAGTTTACACCCAAGTGTGGCCATGTGATCAAGATTGACCTTCTGGGATGTGTTCTAGAACATTGTGAGTACATTCCTCTTTGCCTTCCCCTTCTTCTTGGTCAACAGAAAGGGGATGTGATGGGGAGCTCTAGCAGCCATCTTGAACCATGAGGTAACTTTGGGACTAGAAGCTGTGTTGGACAGTGTGACAAGATAACAGGATCCTGAGTCACTTACGCTTACATCTTACAACCCCTCTGCTAACCATCTTACCAACCCAGGACTTTGGATCTCTGGACTTTTAGATAAGGGATCAATTTTTGGCATATTTAGATCACTGTTATTTTGGAGTTTTTGCTACTCACAGAAAACCTAAATGGAACAGATAAAGATATGTAACATGATATCTTAGATCAGGTTCTGTGAGATGCAGACTTTGAGATGGAAATTGGCATGGAGGAGGCTCATTGGGCTGTGGTCTCAAGATCAACACTTGAGTTGGAGTGAGGGAAGAAGATTGGGCAGAAGAAAAGCTGACTGGCAATGTGGTCACAACAGTGGCTTCGCTGGATCCCACAAGGACCTCTGGAGTGGAGATGGCCCTTCAAAGTTCTTTTGAATTGAGGCAAGAAGGTTGAGCCTTTGGACCTCTCTGGGCTTTTGTTGTCTCATCTGTAAAATGGATATGTTACTGACCTTGCAGCTGTCATGAGATTAAGAAAAAAAAATGTGTGCAGGACCCAGCCCACAGATGAACAACGAGAGCCAGCCTCCGGGAGACTGGAGAACTTTGCCCATGTTCTCTGGGGGCCCATGTGTGTGTCTCAACTAATTGACCTGTCTGTGCATCATAGAAGACAAGTGGGTGACTGCCTCTTCTCCAGAACCTTCTCTAACACTACCACCTTCACCAACTGGGAGAATTCCCCATCTCCTCTTCTGTGTTCCTACAAGATTCTATTCTTAACATCATCATTGTTCTTACCACATTGATCGTGGCTGTTTTCCTGGGACTCTGAGTTCCACAATCACCTCTCTATCCCCAGCCACCAACACAGTGCCTGACACATAGAAAATGGCCGATGTACAGTTGTCAAATCAATGAGCCTCACTGAAGGGGCCAAATTCCCGTGGTGTCAACAGGACAAAAACTATTCCCTGAAGCCAGGAAACATGGCTTTGAGTGCTGATTTTTTTTTTTTTTTTTTTTTTTTTGAGTTGGAGTCCCACTCTGTCGCCCAGGCTAGAGTGCAGTGGTGAGATCTTGGCTCACTGCAACCTCCGCCTCCCAGGTTCAAGCAATTCTCCTGCCTCAGTCTCCTTAGTAGGTGGGACTACAGGTGTGCACCACCACACCCGGCTGATTTTTGTATTTTTAGTAGAGACAGGGTTTCACCATTTTGGCCAGGCTGGTCTCAAACTCCTGTAAGTTCCAATCTTAATATTTCTTACTTAGAGCCCACCTGGGCCTCAATATTTTCATCCATATTGTGGGAATAATAATAACAACAACAAATGGGGCTGTTGCAATAATTAGACAACATATTCGTTTAAAAACTGCAAAGCATGACGCAGATATTATTTTATTGGAGATGGAAAAGGGGGAGGGTTTCATCAGTTGAGTCTAAGTCTGTGACTCAAAGGAATTGTTTTCGGTGCATAATGCTCTGGCTACATAGTTCTGCCAAATTAGGCAGCCACCAAAGTGTAGGGCCAGGAATAATTTGACACATCCCAAGGGTAGCCCTAATGCCAGCCTCTCTTGCCTGGAAATGCAAACTGTTTGGCTACACAAGGCCACTAAGTAAAGGCTCTCCAGTGGGCCCCAGCCCTGGAAGCCCAAATGCTAAAACAGAGCCGTTAGATATGGTATCTTAAGCACTTCACAGCACACCCATTGTGGTGACAGGCCCCTGTATAATGCATACAGGACTTGGGGATAGGGCCAGGCACCCTTACAGGACAGCTATGAGTGGTAATAAATAACCTGGGCCCCGCTTAGCTGTTCCAAAACATGCCCAGCTGAGGGGCCCAACATAAATCTGGGGGGCAGTCTTGAGACACCCATACCAGTCTGGCAGGAGGAGGAATTTAGATCCCGACTTGAAGCACTGGGGACATAGGCGGAATTCAAAGCACCCTGGACCTGGAAGATCAGTGATATGTCAGCAACACATTGAAGAGGCAGCAGGTCAGAGTGGTTAAAAGCAACATCTCTGGAGCAAGCCTGCCTGGAGTCAGATCTTGCCTCTGCAACTAGTTAACTGTGTTACCTTGCTCAGGTTACATAACCTTTCTGTGCCTCAGTTTCCCCACCTGCAAAATGGGAACAGTAATAATTCTCACCTCACAGGTTGTTGTGAGGGCTGAGTTAGCATAGGTAAAGCACTTAGTGACTGACACATGGTAACTGCACCCAGGGGCTGGGAACTGGGACAAGGTGGTAGGGGGACCAATTGCAATTCCATCAGTAATGACCACCGGCCCCACTGGCAGGAGGAGGTGACCATCCTGAATAGCAGGGAAAATGAACAAAGGGGCCCAGCCAGGAACGAAATCTGGGCCAGAGATATATTCATTCACTTCTGATTCCAGGCCCCACTGTGTGGTGAATTGTCCCCATTCCATGGGCCTGATGTATAACATATTTTCTGTAATTACGGTGATGCCGTCTGTGTATATGTTAAATGACTATAACAGTTAATTATAGCCCATCCATTCAGGATGGGCTCAGTCAGGTTGGGGATATGGGTCTCCATATCAAAACTGAAATAAGACCACAAAACTGAATGTGGTCAGAGATCAATGAGGGGTACAAGAAGCAAGGATCTACAGTTGCAAAAAGAGAGAGGTCACCAGGAGATAGCACAGTCAGGCAGGCAGGAAGAAAAAGAAGGGAGCGAAGGAAGAATGAACTGTATTGGCTCAGGAAGCTGAAATGTAATAAGGCAGTTGGCTTCAGGTTTGACTGAATTCAGGAACTTACTTCAAGTGGTGACAAGATGACCACTGGCAGGCAGCACTAGCAATTCCAAACTTACATTTTATTAGTAGAACAACCATGATAAAAAGCATGCTCTTTTCCAACAGTTCCAGAAAAATCCCAAAGGTTGCCATTGCCTGGCTAGAATTGGCCAACTTGGGCCATAGCCCATTTCAGGACCCAGGGAGCATGGCTGGCTGGAGAGGGTGGCTCCCCAAAGGAAAATTGGAGAAAGATGAGGAATGGATACTGACTGGTCAGGCAAAACAACAGATACCCCTTCAGAAGGCTTTGCTCAGAAGGTGAGATTTGAGCCCATCCCACTCCCTCCTACTCTTGTTTAAACAGTAACCAGCATTTCTCAAAGCCACAAATTGCAATGGGCTGGCACCTACACCGTTTAATCTCTTCACTCACTCAAATCAATTCTAGGCAGAGGAAAACTGACCACACAAAGGCTGAGAGGTGGGGCGGGCTCACGGCAGGAGAAGATTAATCTAGCAGCTGTGTGTAGGAGGGATCAAAGGTCGAGATCCTGGTGGGGTTTGGCAGGGGGTGCTGTTCTTTCCAACCCTCGGTGGGGGTGGGGTGGGGGGGAGTCCATCACTCTCCAGTTCATCAGTAAAGTCCTGGGGTGGCCTGGCAGGAGGGACAAGCCGAGGGAGGGGTGGATGTAGAAATAGGATGATGACTTGCTTGAATTTGGAAGCGGTGTTCAAAGGGTCAAACATGACTCTCAAGTGTAGGCTAAGAGAATAGTGACAGACAGAAATGGGGAACTCCATTAGGGGAAAGAGGGTGAATTTGATTCTATTAATTTGAAACGAAAGTTCCACAAAAGCATTCTCAGGCTGAGGCCAGGGCTGTCGATTTCAGGGTCCCAAAGTCACCACTGAGCCCCTGCAAGCGTCTTGGCCTGGCTCCTAGGGGAAGTTAGAGCACCCCACATTTAGGGCATCAGGCAAGGAATGGGGCCGCAAAGAAGATAGTGAAAGCTCAGCGGAAGTAATGAAAGGCAGACAGAAAAGGGGAGGGTACCGGTAGTGCTGGGGTACAGGGACAAAGTGTGGAAAGGGCGGTTCATTGGTGCAGAGTTGACATTTTCCAAACCTGGTAGTCATGGGTCCTTGGAATAAGGCAGCTTGTGGGCTTCCTGCTCTGAAAAGGGCTGAGGGACTCTGCCTCATGTAACTCCAGAGAGCACATTTGGGGTCAACAGAATTTGTACTCAGCCTAGAGAAGAAGGTAGAGGGTTGTTGAATCAATGCTTTCGTGATAGTGACTGGAGAGGAAGAAAAAGAAGGGGGAGATCATGAAGGGGAGAAATAGGAAGACGGGAGTAGCTATGGCACCTCCTACATGTGCACACTCACACATGCATGCACACACGCAAGGGCTTGAGAAGGGGAGAGAAATTGCTTCTGTTCTCAGAAAATCCCTTAGAGAATCCTCCCCAGACGCCATCTTCTCTAGAAACATAAGGTTCTCACACGCGGGCACGCATGCACACACAGTCACACAGAGGCACACGTGTCACTACAGGGACTGGGCTGCTTGGCTCACACTCCGCTGGCTGTAGAATGACACAGCAGTGCTGGGAAGGGAGTGGGAAGAAGCCGGCTGCGGAGGGGGCCTGGGCAGCTTCATCTGTGGCCACCCTTTGTGGAGGGCCCATGCCGTCGTCTGTGTGTGGACGGATGGGAGCTCAGTCCTCCCTGCTGGCTGGCCTGGGCAGGCACCCTCCCCAGATGTCAACGCTAATGCCTTGATAAACAGGGAGCTTGCTGGAATGTGGCTGTTAATTGGGGATAGAGCAGCAGCCTTTAGCTCTGGGAGCAATGGTTAATGACGGGCCCGCTGGGGGAAGCCGCAGACGTTTGCCACTGTTCGAGTTCCGTCCTCTCTGCTTCTTAAATAGCAGTTTATCTAAAACTTGAAAACACTTTCCTGGGAATAATTATTTCTTGGAAGCTGTGAGACTGCTATCAGATTTCATAGCCTGCTGTCGGGTCGACCTTCTATAGGCCAAGGGGCCGGCTGCCTTTTGGGGGACAGTTTCGCTTCTTCTCTTCCCCCTTCCAGCTTTCCTGGGTCCCAGCTGCACAGCCACTGTGGGCACCTTTGGAGAGGCTTCCGGGCTAATATAGGGCTGAGCAGGAGCTTCACTGAATGAAAGTAGGCCAGGAACGGAGGACTGGAGAGAATTTCAGACTTCCAGGGCCAGACTCTCCTAGTGTCACCTAAACCCACCGAAAAGCCCTGTCAGGGTCCTCTCTTCTGACTTCGGCTCAGCTCTACATCTTCTGATCGGAGAGTGTGAGGGAACAGGAGCTGTGGTCACCAAAAGACCCTCTGTGGGCCCCGTTTCTTCCTCAGAGGCTGTTTCCAGAACAGCGAGCTTGCAGCAGCAGGGGGAAGCATGGGGACGAAAGAGGGGCACCCAAGGACCCACCAGCTGTAAGGCAGGAGCTGTTCTGACAGAGGGGGCGCCCGTGAGCTGGGGCCGCTCTTGGCTTCTGCACTTGGGCCCTGACTCAGCGGCTCAGGCTGTGATGGAGGAGTGGGAATCCATGCCCAAAGCTGACCCCTCGGATGTCCTCCCAGGGTCAGGCCAGACCAGACCATGACAGGGCGCTCAGCCTGGAAACATGGCAGCGGGCATCCTCCTCGTTGGATGTGGAGGGCAGTGACACAGGTGGTTAAACTCAATACGCTGGCCACAGGCCAGCCTTCCGGCTTGGCAATTACACACTCTCCCTGCTGCCCCGTCACCTCCCTGTCAGGCAGCTTTAATGCCGCTCGCCTCTTCCTGTCAGCAAATGTTTGTGTGTGGCGTTGCTGGGTGACAGTTGAACAGGGCTTGCATTTTCCTGGCCCCTAGGCCCCCGAGGGAGCCTTCCCTCTGCGGGCTTTACAAGCCTTCCAAGTCAACGCCGTGCGAGTCACAGCATGGAGGGGCACAGGCCCTCGCCCAGCTCCTGGAGAAAGGGTCACTCTGGCCAGATCCACTGAGGGGGACCGGAAAGTGGAGCCAGACCTTTCTCATGCTCCCAGCTCCCAGGGGAACTGATCCATTAGACCCCCTTCTCAGCTACATCTAGGGAGACAGCAATTCATTTTACCAAATGCTTTGTAAAGACAGAAGCCACAACTCCAGTCCCAAGTGAGGTCACATGTGGTCCCTGCCCATGAGAAGCTGGACAGTAGGTTGGACCACCAGGCATTCTGTAAACACAGTAAATGTAAGGAGACACCCCAAGGTTTAGAGAGAAACTCAGATTCCAAGCCAGGCTCTGTCAACCACCAGCTATGTGGTCTCAGCACCTTGCACCACCTCTCTGGGCCTCTGCCTCCCTATCTGTGACACAGGGTGGTAATAACAACCCCTACCTTTTTCAAACCCTATGGGGCTTCTTTCTTATTGTGTGCACGGAGAAGCCACAGTGGAGATGCCAGAAGCGGGAAAGGACCCCCTAACCAAATGGGGAAAATGCAGGGGATTAAGTGAGTCAGAGATCCTAGGAAAATGAAACGAGCTAATGGAAAATGTTTTTATTTGGTGGTAAGGAGAGTGGCTTGAGAGAGTGGAGCCTAATGGGAGAAGATGCTGAAGAATTAAAATGATAACTGATGGGCCAGGGTGGACAGTGCAGGCCTGGAGCAAGAAGCAGCAAAAACACATGTCATCAGGCCATGCAGACCTGAGTCCAAGTGTTTGCTAGCTGTGTGACCTTGGGCAAGTTGCTTGATCTCTGTGAACCTCATCCAGCAAATCTACTTCCAGTCCTCACCTCATAGGGTGGCTGTGGGGGTTTCACAAGGCTTGGCATGCAGTGCACATCTAGTGAGTTAGGCCCTTGGTCTGCTTGGAGAAAGGGGACAAAATCAAGTAATCTCACAAGGGCAAAGGCAGTCAGTGCCAAAGGCACAGGAACAGGTGCATGGGGGCTCCAGTGGGGAACAAGTATCTGGGACTGGGGCAGCCGGGGGCCATGTGTTAATCAGGATTCTTGTGGTTGCAAGTGACAGAAACAGACTTGGAATGAGCAGCAAAGCAAATGTAATGGTGCAGGTGGGATGAGGATGGGGGTATTGAAACAGAGGTGTCAGTGCCCCATCCACATGCACTGGAAGGTGGCTGGTGAACACCAGGACTTTTCTTCTGGCCACTGGAGCACTTTTGGCCCATGCACAGGACCAGCCAGAAGTTCCAGAGAGTTAATGCCCCCAGAGGCAACCTTTGACCAAGGATGGTCAAGAAGCTGAAGGATAAATACCCCATCTCCCTCGTTCTCAGACAGGTACCTTAAAGGCATGTTTCACACTAGTTCCCAGAGTTCCCTAACTGGATTGAGCCTCAGTTGCCCAAAGGGTCATTGGCTTATTTATTCACTCAGTCGTTATTGGCTTCCTTCCCTTCCTTGACTTCCTTTCTCCCCTATGTGTGGCTTCCTGGGCCCATTTTACAAATAAACTACTTAAAATCAAATCTTTGTCTCAGCATCTGCTTTTGGGGACCCAAACTAAGACAAATAGTGAGGCTTCAGGTTTGGCTAGTTCTAGATGCTTAAGCAATGCTCTCAGGTATCTGTTCTTCTCCATCTCTTAGCTCAGCTCTCTCTTCCTCTTACCCCCATCCCAGATGAGGAGAAGAGATATTCAAAGTATTTACAGAAAGATAGATAAAAATTATACTCCATCCCCAGGGTACGGCTAAGCATCCTCTGGAATGATAGCTGGCAAGAAAAGACAGAAAAACATAAGAGAGACAGAAATAAATAGATTAGGAAAAAGACAGAGTGCCCACATTTCTCCCCTTGGCACCTGGCTTGTGGAAAAGCACTGGGCCACTGGGAGATACCACAGAGGGGGCAGACATGTTTGTGCTTGAAAAGAAATAGTTATAAGAGAGCAATGCAATCACATCCTGACGGATGATTGTGAAAATGCAGGTGTGTGCATGTGTATGTTTAGTGACGAACTGGCTCATGGGAGCAGAAGGTGCCCTGTGAGCTGGGAGGTGAGATCCCAAGGCAGCTTGGGTGGGAGATCCTGGGTGTGAAGCCCGAGGCAGAGGAATTGAAAGCAGGAGCTCTGGAAACTGAGAGCTCGGCTGAAGGAGCAGAGATTAGGGTGACTGACCATCTCTATTTGCCTGGGATTGTCTCAGCTGAAGCACTGAAAGAGCTATGGCCTAAGAAATCCTCCCATCCCAGGCACACTGAGACAGTTGATCACTCTAGCTGAGATGCTTTAATATAAGCTCCCAGGAGAACATATATTCTGAGCAGAAGAGCAGGGCAGAGCCCACCTAGATGGAACAAACAAACTAAAAGAGAGAATGATGCAACATCCAAAATACTTTAAGCAAAATGTCTGCATATCTTTCAAAATTTTAAATGTACATACCTTTTGACCCAGAAACTGTACCTCTTGGAGTCTTTCTTTCAGAAATGCTCACACCCAAAAATATATGTACAAGGAGGCTTACTGCGGTCTCATCTGTCACATGGAAAAATTAGCAACACTGTAATTGTCCAGCAGGACAGTAATAAGGGAATGGTTAAAGAAATCATGATCTAGCCATATGGTAGCACACTTGGAAGTTAATAAAAAGGAAAAGTGTTTCTAGATTGTCCTAGTATGAGTTTCTGCAGAAACAGATCCTGAGACAAGCATAATGGTATAAATTATCTGGGAGATGGAAGAAGCACAGGAGGGGTGCGGCTGGGAGGTGGAGGGGAGTGGAGAGGGGAGATGGGGAAGGGAAGGCAAGCCAATAAAAGGTGTGTTATCAGTTAGTTACCGCTGTGGGAAACTGGGGCTCAGTCCTGCTGGGGACCTCTAGGAAATGCCTCCAAGTTATCCCACTCAAGGAGCAAGGGAGCTGGTATAATTAGATATCAACTCCTGAAACTCTGGTTGAGGGCTGCTCCCTGGGCTGTTAATTCCCTGGAACTTCCAGCCTTCCCTGCTTTGGCAGAGCTTGGAGAAAGCCCTCAAGCCAAAGAATGTGTACCCTGGCAATTAGAAGGGAGTGGCACACGCCAAAGTGGTCAGACTCCAGGGATACAGGCCAGGCACCAACAGCATCTGCCAAATATACATATAGTCATAGGAAAGAAACCCCTGATACATTATTTAAGTGGGGGGGAAGAGATTACCAGTACTATGCAGAGTATGACTGCATTTTTGTTACTAAAATATGTGTCAGCACATGTGAATTTTGGGGTGTATCTATGCATATGTGTAAAGGAAAAGAAAAAGAAAAGCAGGGATACTAAGCTGTGATCAGAAGCAGGGGCAGGATTGTCTATTTCCATAGTCTGAATTTTTTCAAACAAGTATTACCTTTGTAATTAATAATAATAATCACAATCGTAATTTAAAATGAAGAGAGAAGTTAAAGGAATTGAATGAGTAAACTATGTGAGGCAAAGGAGAGAAAGGCCCACATCCTTTATCCAAAATCTTCAGCTCAGACAAGTTTTAGAATTAAGAAGTTTTCATGTATTAGAAAGGTAAGACTTGTAGAAACCGTGTTTTATGAAACATCCCATGGGTAATCAGACACGTTGATGGTTCTGTGCTGAGACACGAATAATCATATGAAGAGGGATATATAATAACTCCAAAAAGCCTCATATCAATTGAAACCAGATTTTGCTGCCAAATATATTTGTGCCAAACTTACACAAAACTTGTGGGTTTCCATTGCAGATAAGGGATTGTGGATTGGCAGTAAGAAAAGGAGTTTTAAAAACCAGATCTAGGGGATGACAGGTTCAAGACAACAGGGCAACTATGACTTCATAGAATGATACTGCTTTGGTGGTGTGACATTACTATTGAGCTCCTACCTGGGGCACAGCGACTTGATGGAGGCCCCCCAGACCTAGGTGCTTCCAGGGGCTCTCACTTCCTGATCAAGTACCCATGTCACTTTAGAGCAGCTCTCAGGGGCCAAAGGATCTGCATTTCTAATACATTCCCAGTGGGGCTGACACCACTGGTTGGGGGCTGCACTGTTGAGTAGTGACACCATAAAGTTATTTCAGTTGAACCAAAGTAGGTCTCTATATCCCTTCTATCCATCAGCCCATGGCAGCCACAGAGAACATGTCGAATTGTCCTACAAATCACCAGGTTTCTTTGATCGGGTGCCAGCAGGGAGAATACGACCAGTCGGGGCTATGGTAAGGAAGGGGACCCCAAACAAGAAAGGCCATACTGCTTTTGAAACATAAAGAAGCCTTAAGAGAGAAGGAGACCAGAACCAGAGAGCAAATAAAGGCTGCGTGAGAGGAGAGAAGAGGAGCAGAAACCTGAGTGAGACTACTTAATGCTGTTTTACAACCTGAGTGTCGGGACATCCCAGCCATATAGGCAACTGCAGCCTTCATGCAGGTGGTCTCCTTGCACAAAAGGTTACTTCTAGGGGTGGGCATGGGGAAGAGGCATGATGGGGAAGAGCCACTGGGGAACCTTCTGGGTGACAGCAGAGGGGTTGAAATGTTCTATAGCTTGATCTGGGTGGTGGTTACATGGGTGCTACATATATAAAAAGTCCTCCAGCTGTATGCTTAAGATTTGTGAATTTTACTGTGAGGTTGTCACATAGCAACTAAAATTGGAAAATAAAATAAAATGAGCCTCAGTCCTGGGATTGAGTAGGTGAGCCAGTCCTTGGGCCCTCTCAGAGCATTGCCCAAGAGGCCACTGAGCCATGAAGGAATGACAAATTGCCTAGGGGACTGCAATAGGGGACTGCATGCATTTACATGAACCAAACTAACTAGATGACATGCATCTACCCCAGATGCAATGATTAAACAAATGAAATGTATGCAAAGATGTCTTACGATTTCACAGTCACATAACGTGTGCAAAAGACCTTATTTGGCAAAGATCTCCCAATCCTTTTGTTCCTTTTCCCTAGTCACAGAAAATTTATTTGAAGCATCAATGTGCCCAGCTTTCTCTGAGCCGCCTTTTTGGGTAAGTGTGCCCTGTACTAGGGAGTACAGGTAACTTCTGGCCACTGAGACGTGAGCAGAAGTGAGTGAGACCACTGGAAGATCTCCTTTAAGAAAGATACACCCTTCTTTCTTTCCTCCATATTGCTGTCCTGCAGTTGTGATGACTGGAGCTCTAGCAGCCTTCTTAGATCATGAGGACAAGGAAGTTGTCTGTGGGTGGTGAATCAGTGAGCTGGAAGAAGTCTTTGGTCCCTAGTGATTTTATCAAGGCTCCTAGGCTGGCTGTTCAGCCCGAGAGAAAACTTTCTACCTTGTTTAAACCCTGTTATTTCAGATGATTTTCACAGCCAAGTCTAACCCAGAGAGGGTCCCTTTGCCTGTGTGTCATGGTGCCCTGAGTCTCTCATAGGGTAGTGCACATTGATCCCCTA
This sequence comes from Homo sapiens, assembly GCF_000001405.40. NCBI lineage: Eukaryota > Metazoa > Chordata > Mammalia > Primates > Hominidae > Homo > Homo sapiens. The sequence continues at coordinate 39,483,543 of NC_000023.11, forward strand.
CTGGCTGTGTGCCCTAGATGGTGGTATGGGGAAAGAGGACATCTTGGAGACCATCTACCAGAGAAGTGACACGGAAAGGATGGGATTTGGGAGAGTCAGATCGCACAAATGACTACAAGCTAGTACCACCCACCTCCTTATCGTCACCTTTACAATGTGACTTTATAGCTCCTCCCAGCAAGATGGAATCTATTTCTCTACCCTTTAATCTGGGTTGGCCATGTGACTTACATTGGCCAATGACAGAGTAACAAAAGTGGCCCAACCAGAGGTCTGAAAAGCATTTGAGCATTGGGACTTGCCCTCTCATTACTGTTGGAGCCCTATGATGGCCATGTGAACAAGCCTTGGGCTAGCCTGGCAGAGGATGCCAGATGATAGGAGAGAAGTCCCAGCCAGCTCCAGCCACCACATCAGCTGGCCATAGACAGATACATGAGCAAGGTTAGTGGAGACCTAAGGAGCCCAGCCCAGACCAGAAGAACCATCTGGCTAAGCCACAGACTGGTGAGAAATAAGAAACAGTTGTTGTTTTAGACCACTAAATCTTGGAGGAGCTTGTCAGCAATAGCTGACTGATACAGGGGACATGGCTTTTGAAAAGCCAAGTTCACACCACCTTACCCGAGGGCAGTGGTAGTGAGGAACGAATCGAAACCGATCAGGATAATACAAGACAGCCCAGCCCTTTGCCATTCCCAAGATTTCTCTGTGCCTAACTCTCCCCCACGCCTGGCCCATCTCTTAGCTAGGTATATATCTCCTCCGGGAGTCTGGGGAGGGCTCCAAGCTGACCTCTCCATTTCTCTTAGTGAGCAGTAAGTGAGGAGAGCAGGTGGCCACAGGCGGACAGCCATATAAGCATGACTTTCCTAGGGCAAAGGGAAGACTCAGCTCCAGGAGACAGGGAAGAAGCGGGGGTGGAGGAAGTCACAGCCCTTGGGGCTAGTTTATGCCTTTAAAACATGCAGATGTACAGAGAGACAGAACGAGTCTTTTCTATTATAAAATATGTGCTTAGCATATTTATGTCATAGTTTCAACATGTGCACTGAATCGAGTTATTGCATTAGGGAAGGAGATTTCCTTTGCTGCTTTTGACACACTTTGGTCTGCCTGCAGCCTTTGTGCAGGTGGCCTTCACACACAAAAGGAACCCTGGTGTCTGGCAGGGAGATGACCTGGGGTGGGACCCTGGCCCACAAGCCACGCCTGGCTTTGAGCTTCACTCAGATGCTCTCTAGTGTGTTGCTCCCAAGAAATGCAAAAGAAGGGGATTTTCTGCAAGGAGCTCCATGCAGAGCACTGGGGGCCCTGCTGTGCTGTTTACTTAGAGCAGCCCGCAGAAAGCTGGGGTGCTGGGAAACTTGGAAGACTGCCTGCACCCAGGGAGTTGGCCTCCTGGGCCAGCAGCCTGGGTGGAACCATGAGATGCAGGGCTCAGCTGGCAGAAAAGACTGACCTTGCTTTGACATGCAGCCTTGCCCCTTTTCCTCTCTGCACAAAAGCCCCTTTCATTTTCTTCCCTCCTCTTTCTCGTCTTCTCTCATTTCCCCACTCTCTTTCAATCTCTTTCCCCCGACTTTTTCTATCTTAATTGGCCATAACAAGGAACTGAATTCTTTTTATTATGTACTATATTTGTTGAATACAGTTTTATGTTCCTTGCTCTTAATTTTTAAAGTGGATGAGCTGAACACTTTATGGTTTTCTTTCCAAAATTTTTATATCACAGCAGTAGTCATTAGGGATGTTCACAAATATTCCGGTTCTCCATGTGGGCACGTCCGACACGGATGTCCCCTCCTGTTTTCGAGATACCTCATGGCCATGTCGCTTGTTTTGGCCAATTAAAAATGTGCGCACTCCTAGGTGGAAGTGTAACAGCCAGTGAGTTTTCAGGCCACTTGGTTTTCCTGCTGCTGTGGTGATGGGGGAAGCTTCTGTCGAGGTGAAGACTTTCTCAGCTTGGCATCTGAGGGGCTGCAGTGTGCATATTCTCCCTGCCAGCCCATATCAGGCACAGAGCATAGAGAATAAGCGTTGCTGTATTTAAGCCACTGAGTTTGTTACTGCAACATAGTCTTACCTATTCGAACTGATGCAGTCGTTTTACCGTACATCATCCTAGTATTAAGTATCTTTTCTAATAATAAATCATTTACTGCAATGTCAAAATTACCTATGCTGGTTTTTAATCTTTTGCATGGGAGGGGTCATGATCCCTTTGAAAATCTGATGAGGGCCAGGTGCAGTGGCTCACACCTGTAATCCCAGCACTTTGGGAGGCCAAGGTTGGTGGATCACTTGAGGTCAGGAGTTTGAGACCAGCCTGGCCAGCATGGTGAAACCCCATCTCTACTAAAAATACAAAAAAAAAAAAATTAGCCGGGTGTGATGGTGCGTGCCTGTTTTCCCAGCTACTCAGGAGGCTGAGGCAGGAGAATCACTTGAACCCAGGAGGTGGCAGCTGCAGTGAGTCAAGATTGTCAAGATCATGCCATTGCACTCCAGCCTGGGTGACAGAGTGAGACTCTGCCAAAAAAAAAAAAAAAGGAAAATCCGAAGAAACTATGAGGTCCCTTTACCTAAAAATGTCCACATGAAATTCTGCACGCAGTCGCAGGTGTTCACTCGCTCCAGGGTACAAAACTGATACTTAACCATCACTGCTCCTGCAACTTCAGTCCAAGGTACCAGGTGGAATAAAGTCTTCTTTTCTCCTCATTCTTGCTTCTGCCCTGCGGTCCTGAAACCATTGCAGACACAGAACTCTGACCATTCTAGCGGTGTTCTAATGACAAGAAGTCATGCATCATTTCAATTGCTGGAGCCTTAGCAATCATTGGATTATGAATAATTAGATTTCCACGAAGGTTCCCCATTAGGGTGAGTGAACATCTACAGGGATGTCCTTTACAGCAGACCAGGGTTTGGGCACTTCTAGGGCAACACCTCAGAAACCCCCTGGCAGGGTAGAATTGAAAATAAGTGGTAGCAGGGAGTTAGGGAAGGGGTGGTAGAATGCAATGACAAAGCACTTCACCATGACCCCATAGGCTTGTCCTCATGGATTTATTTGCATAAGAGCCCTTCCTTTATCTGTAACACCATGACCCTACATTTGGAGGAATAAATTCTTTTTTCACTACCGTACATGTGAGACCTTTTTGCCTTTCTGAATGTCAGTTTCATCATTTGCACAGTCTAAATTACTGACTGAAAAAATTCACTTGCAAGCTGGTTGTTCAGAACTAGTAACAAACGCTGCCCCCCACTACCACCACCACCATGAAGACAGTGTTTTATTTAAATGGTTGTCAATCTCCTTAGACAAATTACTGGTTTATCAGATGCATCTGAACATTAGAAAATGTTGGAATTCAAACGTAGGAATCTCTTAATTCAGGTCCTCAGTCCCCAACGTGCACTATTGCTAAAATTACCATTCTCTCTCACTCCAAGTCTCACTGTCTCAAAGTAGCCGAATGCATAAAGGGGTTCAGAGGAAAGCTATTTTCTTGGACTAATTCTCACTACAATGTGAGTGACTGGGAACCCCTTCATCCTTCATTCTCAGTGACTGGGAATCCCTTCATCCTCACATTTTTAAAAATAAATCTTAGAAACCCAATTGGATGCCTAATTGGTGGATCATGTATTTTAAAGTGAAGGCCAAAGTCAAGAGCAGTGAAGGGATGTTTTCTGGGAGTTTGTCTCCTGGGATCAACACTCCAAAGCACAGTTCTTAATTGTGAAAGCTTCACTTCGTCTTTCTACCAGCCCACACAGTTTCTAAAACAAAAGTATTTTTCAAACTAGCTCTTAAGGTCACCATATTGGGGCTTCCTGTGTGTGTTTTTGTGCATCTGAGGGGGTGTCGCAGACAAGAAAAGCAGCAGCTGTCCACAACCATGGGTCACTGATAAGTCCAGTGTCCATTAAGCCAGAGAATGTCCAAGAACAGAAGTATGCTCTATGCCAACTTCTCCCAGAACCTCCTATAACAAGTGAGTGGCATTGTCTGCAAAGCAATCTGGCGTCTTGGGAAAAGGAAACCCTTATTTGAGGGAGTGGGCGGCTGGGGGTGGGAAGAATAGATTTTTCATTCCTCAAAACCACTCGCAGAACATAAAATTAGTCACAGCCCCTTTATACTAGGAACAGAAATCAAATTCACATGGTGCCTAATTTTGCCTAAAGACACATCTCTTTGTGCCACAGGGCTATGTCCAGAGGTCTGACAGATGAGACAGTCTTCATTCCCTTCCAACTGGGTGAGGATGTGCCTCCCAGAAAGAGCTGGGTGCCAAAGAGGGCGTTATCATCTCTTCCTTCATTCAGCAGCTTTGTCTGCAAGATTGGAAAACGGCTAGTTGGTATATTTCGAGGGATCAAATAATTAGTTCTCTTGGAATCTCATTTTAGATTTTAATTCTTAGTCTTAGAGCCAAACTATAGGAGCAGAAATTTCTATCTGCGGCTGGAGGGATTCAGTTTCGGCACACTAAAAAAAGGCCCTGCTTCGGAGGCATTTTTCCATGCATGAATCAAATTATTCCAGCTGGGTTTTACCAACACGTAGGCAATCAAAACCTACTTTCACTTGCTATTTTATTCTTTATTTACTAGTTCTATAAATACTATGATGGGTGTGCTTTTATATTGAGGATGGGGGTGGCAGGCAGAGAGAACAGCTGCCTGCAGCCTTCAGTCCCATGCAGACCTCAGGTTGGTGGGGAGACAGGCCTGCCTGCCTCCTGCCCACCCCAGTCTTTGGGCTTGTGAGTATAGCCACCAGTCTTTCATTTGTCATACCTGTGCAGGGCACCTTTGCCACCCTCCTTTCCTTCCTAGGTTGAGAAGGCCAACCTGGTTTTTCAGAACGGGTACCCAAGTCTGCCAAGGAAACAAAAATAAAATACTCTTAAAATCCAGGGAAGAGGCAGACAAATACAAACTACAGACAATTCTGGCCAAGGCTGGTACATCTGGAAGTGGCATCTGGAGCAAGAAAGGGAACTTAAGATGAGGGGTTGGCCTTGGTGGCCTCCAGCTCTGATAGCTGATGATTTGATGAATTATACTTGCGCTCCAGGCCCCAGTGGATAAACCAGGATTAAGGGGTGAAGTGCCCAGGGAGGCAGATTCTGACTCAGCATCAGGACGAATTTGATAAAGATTAGAGTTGTCTAAAAATGAATTGGGCTGCCTTGGGGGTAGCAAGTGCCCTGTTTCTGCATTTTTTCAAGCATGGGATAACCCTGAGGAGCAGCCACAGAGAAGGGACTCAAAGCTCTAAGGAAGTTGATTTGGTGACAGTTAATGTCCTCTCCAACTCAGGAATCCCACAACCTCCGCTCCAGGGACTCTGAACTTCCAAAGGAAGTGGATGTGCCCCTCGGGCTCTCTGCCACCTTTCCTAAATAGGCATAGCTCCTTCTGCCTATGGGGACCAGAGATCCTCCAATTTGGGCCAGCACAGGGGCACATAAGCAAAGGGAGTCCACAAAGTCATCATTAGGGAGAATATAAGTGTCAGAGGGCAGAAAAGTGTTCCCCTAAAGGTTTAAAATGTGGAAGGCCAGGATATGCAAGCAGGCTCAAAGCTAGGTGGGGAAGGAGGGGACATCCAAGACACAGGCTCTCTCAGCGTCTGGGAAGTTGCCATAGAACAATCAGAGCTTCAGCATGCAAGATATCTTCTTGTTCCCCACTCCTCTTCTCAGAGATTCATTTGCAAGCCACCAGAGTTCTGCGGGGGCTCTTGCCATGTAGCAGTTGTTCTTATTTTGCCAGGACAGAGCTCTTAAGCCAGCAAGGACCTGCAGGTGGGACTCAAGCCACAGGAGCTGCAGGGCCAGTGATGACGTTCCTGCTCAGTGCCGGGGCAGGGAATGCCCACTTCCCTCCATCATCAGCTTTCCCATGTGAGCCATAGCCAGCCTCCAACCTCAGCCCTCTTCTGACAGACTGGGGCTGCCCACAGCTCTGTCAACCCCTAAAGGGCCTTGGGCTTCTGCCTGTCCTTCCAGGCCACCAGTGGCACACACCTGACTGAGACATGGAAGTGGGCCTCAGCATGGCCTGATGGCACTGTGGCCCAGCCATCCTGAATACTCACCTGATGAAGGAGGCAGGAATTCAAGATGGCTGATGTGCTGGGTTGAATAATGTCCCCCTCCCAAATCCATATTCACCCAGAACCTCAAAATGTGGTCTTGTTTGGAAATGGGTGCAAAGGTCCTTTCCCACTGGCGTAAGTCCAGTGAGACAGAACACTCACATAAGTCGAGCAAAGCAGGTTTATTACTCACAGAGTAATAGGCAGAAATAAAAAAGAGAAGCCTAGGACCCACAGTAAGCCAGTCCCCCAAGGCTCAGGAAAGCTGCTCAGGGTGGATGGAGTCTCTTCTGCATGTGCCCCATGTCACGTTGCAGCTGAGGGGCCCTAAAAACACTCGGTCCTGGATTTTATACCTGAACATCACTGGAATTGCTGAGAATAAGCATTACAGGAGAGCCTGTTCTAGAAGGACTGAGGACAGAGCCCAGGCTGTTCCAGACAGTTCTTTCTTATCAGAAGACATTGCATTCTTGGCATATTCTCCAATTATTCTGAGAACTATAAGCTGCTGGGTGGAGGGGAGTTAGGTCAGCCAAGGCCACCTGGGGACCTGTCCTCCTGCAATAGGGTCTTTGTAGATGCAATCAAGTTAAGATGAAGTGGACCCTAAATCCAATGACGGGTGTCCTTATAAGAAGAGAGAAGTTTGGACACAGACACACATAGAGGGAAGATCACCATGTGAAGATGGAATCTCAGATTGGAGTGATGCGTCTGTAAGCCAAGGAGTGCCATGGGTTGCCAGCAACCACCAGAAGCTGGAAGAGTTAAGGAAGGATCCTCCCCTAGAGTCTTCAGAGAGAGGATGGCCCTGCTGGCACTTGGATTTTGAATTTCTGGTCTCCCGATTTGGGAGAGCATCAATCTCTGTGGTTCTAAGCCATCCAGTTTGTGATATTTTGTTACAGCAGCCCCAGGAAACTAATTCAGCCTGCTTGGCTGCCTGCCCCACCCATCCCTAGCTCCAGTGGATTCTGGCTGGGCCTTGGGGCCTCTTGACTGATCTGGATTTCAGTGCATTAGACAAGGGGAACAGGCAGCTTTGCCTCATGGGCGTAGCCCCACAGAACTGGAATGACTGGAACCAAAACCACAAATCTTCTTCCCCCTTTAGTTCTCAAAGGGCCACCATCTCCACCCCCAAGCCCACCTCAACCCTCCAGCCCCTTGGTACAGCCCTGCCATCTGGACCATGACTGTCTTGAAGGTGTCACTCTTGGAAAAAGTCAACAATCTCACATCTAAGGGCACTATTCCCACTAAAGATCTAGGGGAGCAGGTACAAACCAAGGGTCCCACAGTCTGTGTCTGGCCTCTCCAGCACGGTTTAAAAAAATGCAAATTGGTAGCCAATGTTTAAAAATAGAAAGATTTTATACTAAACATTTTGTCCATTTCTTCTTCAAAATTAGAAAATCTGTCCTCACCTACTAAAGCCGAGAAGCGGATGGCTCCCTTTTGGGTCTGGACATCCCCACTTAGCTTTCCACAACCCCAGTGCTCCCTATAACTCACTTCCAGTGAGGCCAGCTATCAGTTGCCATAAATCATTTTTTTTCATTTTGTGGGTCTGGTATGGTGCTATTAAGAGGAGAATGAAATATTTCCTATACCCATGTCTCTATCAAAGGTGCAGAAAAGAAAGGGCTGTGTCTTTAAAGGAAAATGGTAGTGAACATATATCTTGGTGGAATTGGAGACTCTTCTTATGTCATTACTATGCAAAGCATTTCCCCACAGAACACAACAAAGCCAAGGATGCCATTCTGGAATGAAAAAAGAAGGAAAAACCAGCCTGCTCATTCCCTTACATCCCTGTCCCATCCCTGTAGGAGGCTGACTTTGCAACTCATGCCGAAAAGACTAAAGGTTCTCGAATTTTCTCTTTCCAAGCTTCCCGACAACATGGCCCTAACCAGGGTTCTCTCTGATCTCTCTCCAGTCTCCCCCGAATTCAACGGGACTTTTCAGAGGAAACGTGATAAAGTTTGCAAAGTGCCACTTCCGCTTTTGAACAGCTTTTATGGTCTCTGCTGCCTACATAAAGCCCCGCCCCCTTATCCACCAACTCCTCCCTCCCATGCAGCCTCATTCTCCACTCCCCACCCCCAGTTAACTCCTCGACCCACCCTGCTTAGCCTGGCTCAGCCATATCTAACTGAGCAGACGCTACTGACACCAACAGAGTGTTTACCTCTTTGTGCCTTTGAGCTAGCTTTTCCTTCCATCTCAAATGCCTTTCTTTATGAAATTGAGGTCTTGCTGGCCTCATTATCTCACCCAGCTCAGGAGCTTGAGGATGTCATGGCAGACTCCCAGAAGTCAAATTTTCATGCAGGCCTCTAGATTCCTGGAAAGATGACTTCAAAACCTTAGAGTGTTTAATCGTGCCATCTTAGGGGATTTACTGTGCTTCTCTAATAATAGATGATGGCCGGAACTTGGCCTAGCCTCTGGGAGCAGAGCAAAGACTCCCAGGAGGCAGGGTTCTCCCCTCACCCACATAAGAAGGGTAGCTGAAGAGGGAGAGTTCTGGCAAATCCTGTGTTTGAACCTAGCACTGGGGATGTCAGTTCTGGACACCAGTCCCCAGAAAACTCAGTCTAAGTGATACTGTTTGGGAGTCTGAGAGTTTTGTAATCATTCTGAAATCAAACAACATAATTTCAGTGGTAATTACTTGAGGAGGACAAAATCATTGAACCTCAGAGGCAATAAAACCTCAGTGACCTGGAAACACAAAGACAGCTGTGGGCATCATGACAGCCTGGAGCTTGGGGGTGAGGATGAAGAGTGGACTGGGGCAAAGATAGCAACTGCAGGAACTTACTGGCAAAGAGAGGAGTCTGAGTGCCCCTGGAATTGTCACCTAAGCTCCTAACACTCCCCTTCCTATCATCTAGCCTCCATCTGCTAACAAACTCCTACTCACCAGCTATGCCCCAGGTGGAATATTTGCTCCTCTGGGAAAGTTGCCCAGATCAGTTTTCCTTTTCCTGTCCTCCAACTTGACGGCTTTCGTAATACCTTTGCTGCCTGAAGCTCAGTACAGTAGGCACCCCATCAAACAGTCCTTCCTCCTCCGTCCCCTTGCCACCACAAATTACCCACAGGCTTCACTTCCCTAATGGTGCACTCATATTTCTTGTTTTCTGTGGCAGCCCTTTGATAAAAAGCCAGTTCTCCCTCTTAGCTATTCTCTGCTTTGGACTAGGTACTTTGGACTTTCTGGAACAAACTTGCTTCAGCCGAGGCACAGACTCAATTCCCCTTTGCTCCATGCTCTGTAGCTGTGTGCCGACTCAGCTACTCCCGCACACAGCCCTGGCTTCCAGAACTGCAGCCTGGGCCCAGTTCCAAGGGCCTTGGTTGCACAGTGTGGGATAGTAGAGATCTCAGCAATCAGGGCCATTCCCACCTGCATGTTCCTGCTGCTCATTCATCCTGCATCTCATTTCTAGTACCTCCTTGTATCTTTGTCTTTCTTGCCAACCTGTGCTTCTCAGAGGCCGAGACTCTGTTTTATCTTTCTATGTCTCTTCAAAACTTCATATGAGGCCTGACATCTAACAAATTATGATAGGTAATATTGTTTGTCCATCATTCTTTACTCCTTGTCCCTGACACTTTTTACTGTGGACAAAGTATATTTCCCCATCCTCTGACTCTGAGCTTGGTCATGGAAATTGCTTTGGCCAGTGGAATGTGGGTGAAACTGATAGTGTGTCAGCTACAAGTTAAAGCTTTAAGCTTCTGCCAGCCCTCTTGAAGCTTCTGTCCTCTGTTATGAAATAAGCATGCTCCAGGTAGCCATTGCTATTTCAGCCAGGGTCTCAGAATAAATCTATGTGGAGCAAGTATGAATCCAAACTGAAGTCTGGATTCAAATCTAGCATGGCTTGAACTGTAGCCAACCTCCACATTTGTGAGTATGAAATAAATGTTTGCAGTCGTAAGTCACTGACATTTGGGAGTTGTTTGTTACACAGCATGATTACAGGAAAAACTAATTAATACACAGTCCCTAAGGAACACTTCTGAGGGATAAACCAGTGGGGAACAAATAAGTGAAAGTAAAACTTACTCTCAAGAGACTAAGCTTAGCTCCAAATATAATTCACAGTAAATCAGTGGTTCTCAAAATGTGTACCCCAGCCCAGCAGCATCCATGTCACCTGGGGATTTTTAAGAAATGCAAATTCTGGGGCCTCTCCCCACACCTACTGAATCAGAAACTCTAGAGGTGGGGCCCAACAACCTGTATTTCTATAAGCGCTAGAGGTGATTCTAATAATCCACCCTTAAGTTTGAGAACCTCTGCAGTTACTGCTGAACTAGAACAGCTTCCTTCAGTCTAGGAATCATTCATTTCCTGAAATGCAGACATTCCAGAATTTTAAATGATAAAGCCCAATTAACCTAATGCCTTGACCATCTCCAATATCATCATCCCATTTAATCAAAGGTGACCTGAGACATTCCATCCAGGTACAGAACTTCCTAGTCCAGTGGCTCTCAACTTCAGCAGCATAATAGAATATCTTAGAAACTTTCAAAAATCCTTATGCTCAGGTCACACCCACACCAATTAAAACAGAATCTCTTGGGATGACACCCAAAATTCAGAATTGTTTAAAGCTTTCCCAGGTGATTCCAATGTGCAGGCAAGGTTGAGAATGGCCTTTCCATTTTCAAGGGACCGGGGCTGGCTCTGCAGCTGCCTGCTCTCATTTTCCACCATGCAAAGCATGGTGCATGGCCCTCCTTCCCCAGGTCTTCAGAACCTGAAGGCTTATTAGATATCCTATGACTTGGTGCATTTGCAGCAAGTTTAAGAGACTGAGTCTGACCAGGGAGGGCTTGGGGAAGCACAGAACACTGGCTATAAAGACATGGAGTAACTTCAGTTAGTCATTCATTCTTCCAACATATCCAGAGTACCTTCCACATGCCAGGCAGTATGCTAAGCACTTGCAAGTCTTAACAGCTGCAAAACTAAGCCAAGCAGGCTTGGAAGGTGAGGGCCTGTGTCTGCACAGAGGACCCCACGGGAGCTTGAGCACTGAAGCATCACTTACAGCAGTGGGTTCCCAGCCAGGAGGCAAGTGCCCAGGCCCCAGTCTGGAGGCCAAATGGCTGGCCACCCTCCATCTCAAGGGAGCTAGTCTGGGAAGCTTAATTTCACCCCTACCCTCCACTCCTCTCCAGCATAAGCTACAGGGAGCAAGGGCCTTTCTCTCTGGAAGGGCTCCCCATTGCCTTTCCCTCAGCTCTTCAAAATTCACGATAAACCTTCTCCTCACCCCCTGAAGACCCCTTTCTTGGTGAGCCATCTTAGGCACCGTTCCCCAGAAGCAGACCTTGAGCTGTAGATTCTGATGTGAGTGATTTCTGATGGAAGTGCTCCCAGGGGAAACTGGTAAGGGAGTGAAAGAAGCAGGACAAGTGAGCGGATTAAGCCAATTGAGTGTGCAATGTTGGGACCACTTCCACAGAGGGGAGCTCCAGCCTGAGCCTACTAGATAGACCCAAGGCAAGAAAGCTGGCCTTTCCTACACCTGTGCCCAACAATCATTGGTGCTCAGCAAGGGACCATCCTGTGGCCAGGTGAAGGAGGCAAACTCCTATGCATGTCATCTCTCTATGTCTTCAGGCAAAGTGGCTTTGGCAGCCTAAGAGCAGGCATGCAAAAGGAGGACCACAGGTACAGTCCCTTGGAAGCAAAACCACCTCAAAGCTACAGGGAGGGGCATGCAGAAATGGTAGCAAGGATCAAAGGAGGGGTTACCAAATTTAGCAAATAAAAATCCAGGATGGGTAGTTTACATTTGATTTCAGGTAAATGACAAATCTTTTTTTTTTTTATAAGTATACCCCATGTGCTATTTGGGATATACTTATACTAAAAATATTATTTATCTGAAATTCCCTGTAACTGGCCATCCTGTATTTTACCTGGCACCCCTAGTCTGAAGGCATCTGGTGGAGCTCTGACCATGTTTGCCTGCTCAGAGAAGAAACAGAGTGGGCCACTTTTGCTGTTCACAGAGGTGCAAGACACAGGCGTGATAATGTAGGCCTTTGCTGCTCCTCATTTCCTGATTATGCTGCTGCACATAGTGCTCTGTGGATCCATTAGTATTGCCCTGGGCCAATGCTCACAGCATTTGGAGTTTTTGACCACTGTGTCTTAGCTAGGGTCAAAGTTCTACACTGCGAAGTAGTGGGGAAACCAGTATTAAGTGTCTCATTAGCCCCTTTGGTACTTCCTCTGCATTAGATAGAGCTGTAAGGCTAACCCAGCACCACCCAATCCCAAAACCAGGGATGAAACGATGCCCAGATGCCAAGTGTGCCTGCCCTGCCTCGAAGACCAAGGTGCTAATGCCCTTCTGACAGCCTCAAGCCCTCAGCTGGCCTGTCACTTGGTCAGCCTGACCCTTTCATGAGGTAATTTTGCATCCTTTCACCAGTCTTTAAATAATGAAAAGAAGACTCACATAGTCCTGGAAGTTGTCCCGATGGCTGGCAGGACCTGAAAATAGGCTGGGATTGATTGATTGTGGTTATAACCAGCAGGCCCCCCCGTGGGCACCCCCGGCCCATGCATAATATGAAATATACAAACAGCAGACAGGGAACAAAGCCAAGACTATGGCTCTTTACTTTGATTTGCGATCAGCTCCTTTGAAATCCCATGTATTTAGAAGACTCTGAGAGTGAATATGATCCTGCTTCATAGCCCTGGTCTCTCCTAGGATCCTGAGACCTTTGGGGCTGAGAACGTAGATACAAAGTGTGTGCAATGTTTGAGGCTTTTGGTAGGGGCAAAGCAGAGTAAAGGGAGGAGAAGGCGGTGGACAATTCAATGCTTTCGTGAAATTAAAGTGTGGATAAGTGTGGTGATCACATTCCAGGCGGTCTCACTCATAATCATTTCTTAAATGAATTAAGACATGGGTGGAAATAAACAAAAATGCCTCTTGAATTGCTTTAAATGCTCTTAAAGGCTTGAGGTATTTTTAAAAGGTACTTCCATGTACAAACTTTAGGTATTTCATTTCAAAAGTATAAACACTTGAAAATCACAGGATTAACTAACTGGGTCCTCAAATTAATTGGAAAGAAACATAAGCCATTGTCTTAGGCTGAGTTCTCCCCAGAAGCAGACCCTGAGACAAGAATTTGAGTGTAAATGATGTATTTAGGGGGATATCCCAGAAAGCACTTGTAGGGTAGTGGAGAAATAAGACAGGGAAGGAAAGATGGGCAATAAACCATGCATTGTTGAGCAATGGTGCACAGCCAGAGCTTAACCCCATTCAGAAACAGTGTAGAAGAGTTCTCTTCTAACTATCTATGCCAAAGGATTCATTTTTTTTTTAATTTCTAAGATATTTTAGACTGATACTTTTTTTCTCCTCCTGATACTTTAAAATATATAATAAAAATGAATTCCTAGAAAAATAAAAAACAAGACATACAAAATACAAGCCCCAATTTTTTTATTATTGGGTTCAAAAGATATGAAGCTCCCAAATGCTGACTCTCAAGTTCTTTTTTTTTTTTCTTTTTGAGATGGAGTCTCCCTCTGTCGCCCAGGCTGGCAGGCAGTTGCGCCATCACTGCAACCTCCACCTACCGAGTTCAAGTGATTCTCCAGCCTTACCCTTTGGAGTAGCTGGGACTACAGGTGCATGCCACCACACCCAGCTAATTGTTGTATTTTTTAGTAGAGATGGGGTTTCACAATGTTGGCCAGACTGGTCTTGAACTCCTGACCTCAGGTGATCTGCCCGCCTTGGCCTCCCAAACTGCTCAATTTCTATACTTATTGCAAGCCAGTAATAAACAGTTCCCAGACTGGCACCAGTCCAGGGATCACACTTTGAACATGTATGTCAGAGTTAGGGGAGAGGGAGCTGAAGTATTTATGTGCCAATGCATGGGTTGAGGCTTGCTTTCAGGGAGAATTGGCTGGGGGAAGAAGGGTCAGGAGGAGAGGGCTGGCGCTACTCTCTTACTGTGTGCAGGCACTATAGAAGTCCTTGGACAAGGAAATGCAGCGGTGCTGGCAGTGGAAAGTGCAGCGGCACACTACAGTTATAAGGGCTAAAGCCCTATGGGTGGGGCAGCCACAGCATCCTGGATTCATATTGCAAAAAGGGACCACAAAAGTTATCAGCCAGCCTCTTCTACAAGAGATGGAGAAACTGGTCCCTGAGCAAGTCATTACCTCACCATAGCACTCAAAGGTTATTGAGTAACACCGCTACAGGCACTAGGGCAGAGGGAAGGGCTCTTTCCCCAATTGCCTCTGTCTTGCCGACCTTGGCTTTCTTCTAGACATCTGCTTGCCTAGTTCCTGGCACCAGAGGGACAACCGCCAACTGGGAGACAGGTGGTGTCATCACAGCAAGGCCAGCCCCCCGCAGGTGGGAGGCCTAGCTAAGCTCTCATCTGCCTGTTCATCTGCTGGGGAGAGGAGGAAAGGTCTGTGGATTTACTGCAAAGCCGGGGCTATAACACAGATCTCTTGGCTCAAACCTACAGTGTGACCCTCTGCAGCTCTGTTTCCTCATCCATAAAATGGAGATGCTAACCTGTGCCCTGTTTCTCTCACAAGACTGTTGTAAGGATCAAGTGAGATGAAAGCAGGGAAAAAGTTTTTGAGAAGTTACAAGTCCTCTACGGCTGTCAACTCAGAGAGGCACTAATTATTCAGAGATGAGTTGTCTGGCACCCTCAGATCTCAGAACACAGACCCCCAACTCAATAGTGGCTTTAAAGGGTCTCATGAAATTCAATGCAAGACTTTGGTTTGGATTCAGGATCAAAAACCTAATACTCTAAAACACATTATTGGGGAAATTGGCAATATTTGAAAAAAGTCTGTGTAGCAGATATTAATATTTTATCTGTCAAATTTGGTGAATTTTATCATTGCACTCTAGTTACACAGAAGAATGTCCATGTTCCTAAGAGGTACATGCAGAAGTATTTAGGATTAAAATGTTATGATGTCTGCAACTTACTGTCAAATGGTTCAACCATACAACTATAACAATGATAATAATAGCAACAATAATAAAACACACACACACACACACACACACACACACACACACACAGAAGAAAATGTAGTAAAATGTTAAGATATGCTGAATCTTAGGCTAGGCATTGTGGCCACACCTGTAATCCCAGCCCCTTGGGAGGCCGAGGCAGGTAGATATCTTGAGCTTGGAGTTCAAGACCAGCCTAGGCAACATGGAAAACCCCATCTCTACCAAAAATAGAAAAAATTCGCCGGGCATAGTGGTGCGCACCTGTGGTCCCAGCTACCCAGGAGGCTGAGAGAGGCTCGCTTGAGCTCAGGGGGCAGAGGTTGCAGTGAGCCAAGATCACGCCACCGCACTTCAGCCTGGGTGACAGAGTGAGATCCTGTCAAAAAAAAAAAAAAAAAAAAAAAGGATTTGTTGAATCTTGATGACTTGTACATATAGGAATTCATGTATGCTTTTTGTAACTTTTCTGTAAACTTGTTTTTTTAATGAAGTAAAAAGGTTTTGAAAATATCAGTCAATTATCACTCTCCTCAAAAAAAGTCTCTGAGCCTCTGAGCCACTCTAGACCCTGTACTAATACTGGAAACAGTACTTCCTAGTCCTTCATTCAGAGCTTACTCACTTATATTTGACACTAATTTCTTCTTGGGGGGTTATCTTATTTTAAAAAATTTTTATTTCCATAGTTTTGGAGGTACAAGTGGTTTTTGGTTACGTGGATGAATTATATAGCAGTGAAGTCTGAGATTTTAGTGCACCTGTCACCTTAGTAGTGTACCTTGTACCCAAGAGGTGATTTTTTCATCCTTCACACACCTCCCATCCTCCCCACTTCTGAGTCTCCAACTTCCACTATACCACTCTGTATGCCTTTGCATACCCATAGCTTAGTTCCCACTTATAAGTGAGTACATAAAGGTATTTGGTTTTCCATTCCTGAGTTTCTTCACTTCGAATAACGGCCTCCAGCTCCATCCAAGTTGCTGCAAAAACATTATTTTGTTCTTTTTTATGGCTGAGTAGTATTCCATGGTGTATATGTACATTTTCTTTGGCCTTAGATTTGTTGATGAGCAGTTAGATTGATTCCATATCTTTGTAATTGTGAATTGTGCTGTGATAAACATACATGTGCAGGTGTCTTTTTGATATAATGACTTCTTTTCCTTTAGGTAGATACCCAGCTGGATGGAATGGTAGGTCTACTTTCAACAAACTTGATTATCTGATTTATCAGCCCAGAACAGAATTAGACATAAAAAGGTAAAAGGAGGTAATGTCAAGTATAATAACAACAGAAAAAGTGATAGTTGACATGTGGATATCAAGAGGTGGGACAAAAAAAAAAAAAACCTCAAAAAGGCAGGCATGCAGCTGTAAAACCTCAGCACTGTAATGGAGGATGTCATGCTAAAGCCTGGAAAGGTCTCAAAGGAGAGTAAAGTTGTGACTCATCAAAGAACTCTGTGGAGCACAAATTCATGCCCTGAGTGTTCTCTTCTCTGCTCTATGCTGAGCCTACATCATTATGTAATAAGTGAGATGGTTGAGTATCTCTGTTCAGGAAGGCAGGGAAACATAACCATCAGAAACTGTTGAACCCTTTTCATTACTACTTGAAGAAGTGGCTGTGGCAGACACTGTTGGTTGCCTCTCCATCAGCCCTTTCCCTCCTACTTATTTCTTCATGTCACACCCCTACTACCCTAAAAGAGACTGAAACTACCATTCACTTTCCAGTATCCCTTCTAGCTAGACTATGACAAGATAACCTTTTAGGACCTGAGGAGGAGGCTTCTGTGGAGCCTCTGGGAAAGGTCCTCCTCCCTGATTGAAAAGGGTGTGTAAGAAGAAACTCTTTATGCCTTTCCTTAGACATGATTAGGTGAGGATATAATACCTGGAGCTGTGGCAGCCATTTTGCAATCTTGAGAAGATAAGCTAAAGATTAAAAACCAATATTCTGGACATGGAGGAGAAGGACAGGAAGCTCTTCCATTCTTAATGACCTGTCTAAAAAGCTGAATTAACCAACCTTGCAATCAGACATCTTGTTAGATGTTCTCGCTATTTAAACCACATTTAGTTTGCTATTCTATTACTTGCAGCCAAAAACATTCTTACAACACGCTGGGAAAGCATGTGTTTTCTGGAAACATCTATTTTTGCAGAGCCCTCCATTCTCAGCAATGCCTTACTGTGGAATGGAAGGTTGAGAAGGCTTGAACAAAATGTGGGAGTTGAGGGCCTGTTGAAAAACTCCTTGGAGGGGCAGTAAATACACATGGAGTTATCTTAGAATTAGGTCAGTCTAACAGGGATTCTAATACTGCCAGTATTTTTTTACAGGACCTCCTCACCGTGACTTCCCCAAACCAGCCACATTACAATAACCAAGGACATTTGCTAAAAATACAGATGCCGAGGTTCCTTAGAGTCTACAGAATCAGAATCTTGGGAGTACACAAACTGTTCATTCGCACCAACAACTTCATGACTTTAGTAAGGTTCCTGATGGCTTTACATCATGCAGCCTCCAGTCTGTGCCATCTGGTTGGCTCTCTCCACACTTCCTTCTCCCTTAAACCAACTCCCTCTCAAACACAAATAGATTCCTCTCCTCATATAGAGAGTTGCTTTCCCACCCCAACTCAGCTTCTATCCCACAAGGCTTCTTGATATGCTCCCACACAAATACAGTCCACTCCCTAAGAAGCATGTTAATGAATACAAATGTATCCATGTTATTGCATGGATGAAGATGAGCTGCAATTGTCAAATATGGTTTTTAAGTCAAAAAGGTTCTGAATTTTTCGGGAAATGAAAGAAGAGCATACTCACAGAAATTTTCCTGAGGTGTCCTGGGAGTTATTCTTATTTCTCTCTTGTGGGTGAAATTTGGCTTGTGGTTCTACTGTGTTTTCCAAATCAGTGACTTCAGTCTTTCCTAGCCAACCGTGTGAGGGAATTTATTTGGAGCCAACTGAGGCTTGCTTCAGGGCATGGGAGACAGTCATGCAGGGCTAAATGTGGAAAAGACCCATGGAAAAAGAGCATCTAACCCCCCCATTAGGGACAAGGACTTTGCTGTACCACTCCCCAAGCACTGACTGCCCATTTGTCCCTGAAAAAGAAAAAGGCAGAAGGGGAGTGTGGTGGGCTCACTTAACACCCATTCCAACACCTTTAGCTTGATTTTTTCTATTATGGGGCCCAAAAGCTAAAAACTACAATTCCCAGGAATCTGCACCATCAAGGGTCAGGCACATGATCGTTCCACCTATCAGTCACACGCATAAGATCTGAATGCAGATGCGAGCAACATGAGGCATCAGACCCATGCCAGGACATCAGATCTTCTGGCAAGAATTGTGGCAGAGGCATTTGGTTTGGGCCTGCTGAAGCAGAGCTTCTGACACCCAGTGCTGAGGGTCAAAGGTGCTGTAGGCAGAGGGGTCAGGGATGTTCCAGCTACAACATTCACTTGGTGTGGTTAGGTGTTTCCTGCTGCTACATTGTCTTGGCTGCCTTGTCCTGCCTCTGAACCACCCAAGGCCAGGTCTTTGGCCCTCCTGGGGACTCATTAGCTACTTAATTAATATATTTTAATAAATCTCTTTCTGCTTAAACTATTTCGAGCAGATGCTGTTGTTTGCAAGCGAGAACCTTGTGCTGTTGGGGAGGCAATTTAAATAACCCTCCAAATGAAAAAGAGATAAAACTAATACTTTTTTTTAAATATAAGTATTAAGATACAGCGTCTCCAGCAGCCCAGAAAACTCCCTTGCACCCATGCCCAATCAATTATCCTCTAAAAGCAGCCATTGTTTTGATTCTTATCACTGTAGATTAGTTTTGCCTGTTTTTCGAACTTGCTATAAATAGAATAAATCATATGTTATATTATTATTTTGTGACTAGCTTCCTTGCTCAACATTTCCTTATGAGATTCATCCATGGTCCTTCCTCTTTTGTTGCTGTTTAGATTTCCACAGCTTATTTCTCCATCCTCATATTGATGGACATTTGGGCTGTTTTTAGTTTGGAACTATCATGAATCAAGCTGCTGACATGAACATTCTGTGGCATATACCTACAAGCGAGATTGCTGAGTTGTAGGGTAAACTTAGGGTTTGCTTTAAGAGATATGGCTAAGCAGCCTTCCAAAGGGTTTGAACCAATTTCCACTCCCACCAGCCGTGTATAGGGCAAAAGGCCTTAGCAAAGGATTTTTGTCTAATTTTAAAATAGCTACGAACAGCAGAGAAGTCCCCAACTACAAGGACTGATCATTGGTGCAAGTGATATTGATTAAGAAAAATTTGAGGTGAAAGTCCCCAGTATCATAATGCAGAGATCATGGCCTGGACAGGCTAAGGTGAGAAAATCTCCACCCTTCAGTACCCAAGTAAGGTGCTGCTACATAGAGAGAACAGAGCACTACAATAAATCCTAAGGACCAAGTTCAGGGATGAGCCTACCATGAAAAAGTACAAAGGGACTACTAATTATTTTCTCCTTCCCTTTTCATCCCACCAGTTCCTGGTTAGAGTTCTTGTTCCCTCAATCATGCCCCCCTCCACAAGCACCCCACACAATCAGTCTGCTACTAAGAAGAAAAATCCCTGGGCGCTCATTCTGGAGTGTAGATGCTGAAGTTGTAAGGACCTGGTTTGAACCCTGACCAGAGCTGAGGCTAGGTGAGGCCAACGAGATGCCTAGTGTGCACAACATAAGGGTCAGCCCTTGCTCGACCCTGAGAATGAGGGTCTTCTTGCCTTTGGTGCCCTAAGTACCTCTGATCCTGACTGGTACTAATTGTATATCTTGGGCAAGTAGTTTAAATTCTCTAAGCCACAGTTTCCTGCTCTGAACAATGGGAATAATATAAATACCTACTTCAGAGGTACTAATCCTATAAAGTGATAGTCCAGCACTGAATTCTTAGTGAATACTCAATAAAGTTTTAACTGTTACAATTAAAGCAGAGCCAGGTTAATTTTTGCTAACAGTGCCATTGTTGGAAACTTGGGTGACCCTGAGCAAAAATTACTGAAACTCATACCTGTACTTGCTCCCACCCCAGTTTTATGCCACCTAATCACATATTCATCCCTCTCCTCACCATTCCCTGGACAACTCAGTTTGAGGCTAAATAATAGGTTTCACCTTGGCCAGCTTTGGCTATGATGGGCACAGTGCAGCCCACCTACCCAACTCAGAATCTCATCCCTAACACTCTCAAGGTCAGGCTTCTGGTCTGCTTAGGGCAGCTGGACTACCAGCCTTGGGTGGGGATAGACGTGAAATAAATCAGTAAGATGGCCCCCCAAGGTCCTACTTACCTGCAAAGCCAGAAAGAGATCCACAGAGACAGATGGATGAAATAAATCAGAGTTGTGGAAACATATTCCAGAATAAACTGGAGTTTTCTCCCCAGACAGAGTAAAAAGCTAAGCCCCCACACACTCTTCAAAAGTAAAGTATCATTCATTTCCTTTGCAGTGCATCACCAAGATGTGGTTGGGTTGGCTCATTATGTTCTGATCATTTTCTCTTCCTTCCCAGCCCAGAGTGTAGAGAAGTGGGCAGCGTCTTGCATACAATCTTGATCTCCTCTTCTCTTCCTTTCCCTTCCTTTTTCATCTCCTTCTCTCTCCTCTCCATCATGTACTCATGAAATTTATGTGGTATCAGCAAAATGAACAATGTGCACTAGGATTTTTTTAACTTTTTAATATGAAGAAATTGAAACATATACAAAAATAGATAGAACACTATATAATAAACTCTCATGTACCCATCGCACAATTTCAACAATTGTCAATTCATGATCAATCTTTCATACTCTCATCCACTCCTCCTGTCCCTGTATTATTTTAAAACAAGTCCCAGACAGCATATTACTTCGTCCATAAATATTTCAGTATGCATCACTAAAGATACAACCTCTCTGTTTAACAGCTGTAATAGCACTCTCACACCCCAAAATTAACAAAAATTCCTTAATGTCA
Organism: Homo sapiens; assembly: GCF_000001405.40. Taxonomy (NCBI): domain Eukaryota; kingdom Metazoa; phylum Chordata; class Mammalia; order Primates; family Hominidae; genus Homo; species Homo sapiens. Next base: position 39,504,749 of record NC_000023.11, read on the forward strand.
TTAAATATACAGTATTCAAATTTCCAATAGTCTCAAAAACATCATAAAAATAATTATGATACATAGTTTGTTTGCTTGAAATCCAGATCCAAGTAAGCTTAGGATTTTTAATTCATCTTTACAGTTATTCTTTTCTCCTCTCATGGCGACCTCTCTGGGGATGATTACATCATAGTTCTAAAATTCCTGCCCCCAATGTGCACATTGCTCACTTTGCTGATACCACATAAATTCCATGAATACATCATGGAGGAAAAGGGAGGGGCTTAGCACACACTCTTAATTGTAGCCCATCAGACTGCTATGTGCTAGGGCTCAAACTGTCGACACATCATAAATTCACAGAATTCTCAGCACGGGGTGGAGGGCTGGGACCCTTTTGATTGCAACCTCTCAGGGAACATTGTGTTCCCGGGTTCTGTCTGCTTTGCTAATTCAGCATCCATTCTGCCAGCACAGGGAGGGCTGGGGGACAGACTTGTTTCCAAAATGGACACTCTACCTCGTATGTGGTTTCTGCCTCCCATGTGTTTTCTGCCTCCCACGTGACTTGCTGGCTCCCTCAACTCCTACAAAGTTCCCGGCCTCATCCAGACCCCTGCTCAACCAGCTCACTCCTCAACCCTTTGCACACATGGTTCACTGCTCTATAATGGTCAGCAAGGGCCACTGGAGATTTCTCTAGGGCTCAGGCAACTACCTTGGATGAGGAATATGTTGAGGGAGGGCCAGAGAGTGTTGCAGGAGGTATCTCTGGCACTGCAGCACCCCAAGGAGATATGCGACTGTAGCAAGGACTCTCCCTTCTCATCTGTCTTCCCACACTGAAACCTAGTCACTGCACCTGTGCTTTATGTGAGCACATTTCAGGCAACTGGCCCTCTTCTAGACTCCGGAACCCTCCAGAAACTAATAAATCAGCCAAAGTCTTTCTCCTGAAAGTGTGGTCCTTGGACCAATAGCACTGGCATGCTTGTTGGAAACATAGAATCTGTCGGGCATGTAAGCCCAGCTACTCGGGAGGCTGAGTCAGGAGGATTGCCTGAGCCCAAGAGTTCAAGACCAACCTGGACAACATAGCAAGATCCTGTCTCTCAAAAAAAATGTTTTTTAATTAACTGAGTGTGGTAGGCATGCCTGCCATCCCAGCTACTCATGAGACTGAGGCAGGAGGATCGCTGGAACCCAGGAGGTGGAGGCTGCAGTGAGCCATGAGCATGCCACTGGACTCCAGCCTAGGCGACAGAGCAAGACCCCATCTCTAAAAAAAGAAAAGAAAAGAAAATGCAGAATCTCAGGCCCCACACTAAGCCAACTGAATCAGAATCTACCTGTTAACAAGATCTCCAGAAGATTCCTGTGTGTATTAAAGTTTGAGAAGTGTGGGAACAAGGCCAAGCTCCTGAGGAAAAAAGCTAGGGCCACTTTGCTACATTTCAGAAGCGGTTCTGCACCAAGGGACACTGTTTTTAAAACTATGAAGGCAGGGCCAGAGACAACTGGTCACTTTCTAATCAGCACTAATGGGTCTCAAAATGGAAAATGAGAGTCTTCTCTACTTGTACCCAAGGCACAGTGCCCAGCCCCCTCTCCCGACACCCACCAGTGCCCTTGGAGATCTCTGTTCATGGAGAACTTGCTTTTAAATGAGAGTCAATGGACCAGGTCGCGAATCTGTCAGATGCAGGAATTTCTGGTGCTCGTGACTGTTGTAATTAAAATCGTCCAAGTTGACTAAATTGGCCGAAAAGGAACCAGGCCCACGTGACTGCCGTTCAAAGGGGAGCAAAATAGCTCCTAATTTGTTAATTAAAAATATGAATGCACTCCACATGGAATGGCTGCGTGTTAAATTCTATTCAGATTCCATTAGAAAACAAATAAGCTCTGGGCCCTGATTAGAGGGACCCAGCTCCCCCAAATCTGTGAGGATTTGGTTGGGCTTTTTTCAGAGAACAAATTTAGAGCTTGCAAAGACCTTGCAGAGAAGTCAAATTCCTGGGGAGATTTCTCTGGTAAATCAATCTGGTAATTAGAAAAACACGCCAATAGATTAGATCTGCTCTCTATTTCTTCATCATACTGATGAGACTGGTTCAAAAAAACATATATTTCCAGAGAGACGGGTGAGGCATTTCCTACCTACTCGGAAATTCATCCACTATGGAAACTCATCTCCTGTGGAAACTGACAGCTTGGAGGCAGGAGGAGGGTAAAAGACAGACCAAAAAAAAAAAAAAGAGAGCTGATAATGAGGGAAGAGGGGACAGAAGCCACACCTGATGCCTGCTTGGCCTGTCCCTTTCTGTCACTGGTTGCAAATTGCCTCCCCTACCACTAAGCAGCCATGGGCCAGGCAGCTGAGCCTCAGATTCAGTCTGAGAATAAAGGCTGGGTTGCGTGCTTTCCAAGGGACCTGCCAGCACGTAGGTTCTGCTGTTCCTCAGGCCCCGAGTGTCCCTGAGGCTGCCTCTCTCAAGCTCTCCACCGCAGCTATTCTCCAAGCCCTGCCCACAAAGGGCCGATTGCTCTGAGGCAGTTTGGGGATTACTTATAGCCTGAGGCCGGATTGGAAAGTCTCTCTCCAGAGGAGTGGGGTTAATCTCTGCCTCCATGGGTTTTGTGCTTTCCTGAGGCCCACGGTTTTCTCTAGCAAACAGTGGAACCCGCTGGCATTCTCTTCTCCATCGCCGCTCTGTCCCCTTCTTTCCTTGAATGGGTGGATTCTGCCTACCATGCTGCTCACCACCTAGCCAACATACAGTGTCTTGGAGCAGGCAGGGCCCTCAATGGGGGCCCAAGCAGAGGCGGCATGTCCTAGCACATTAGATGCATCACATGTTTACCCCTTTGGCTCGCTGCAGCCTGCTAAAGGCATTTATAATGGGGCAGCTTACCAAGCTCTCAAAAGTGAGAAATTGTCCAGCACCTCTGATCACACTGCCCTCACCTGGATGGGGCCAATCATGCCCTCTCCTGGGGGATGCAGATCACCCAGGGCAGAGCCTGCCTCCAAGGGCCTTCTGAGCAGCAAGTCAGTGTCTGCAGGGAGTATTTCTCTAAAATGGCAGCAACTCAGGGCTGTGTCAGGATATATTTATTTCATAGACTCACTGGTGTTCTTTCAAGGTGTTGAAACTGTGGCTTTGCCTTTATTAGAATGAATAATTATTTTAACACCATTTAAAGTGGGTCATCAGAAAAGGTGCTATCTATATGTCTGCTGTTTTCCACCAAGAGAGAAGCTGAGGAACGTGGAAGTCAAGGGCATATGCTTGGAATTAGGCCGACTGGGTTCAAATTGCAGCTCCACCACTTACCATTGAGATGACCCTGGGCAAGTACTTAATGTAGCAGATGCCGCCAGTACCCAGCTTGCATGTGCTCGGCACTCACTATTCCCATTCAAGCTGGCAGCTTCTTACTGCAAGAACCTGCAAGAAGCCAAGAGGGCATTCTCTGGCTGTGGGAGCAAATGCCACTTTCCACTGGGCAGGATGGAGGTGCCAAGCAAGCTGAGACTCCCAGGAGCAGTCTTCAGCCAACAAGGTCAGGAGTTGGAGGATAAATATCCCAGCTCCCTCACCCTTGGGTGCAACAACTCCTTCTACACACTGTCTCCCGGAGTTCTCCAGCAGGATCAAGCTTCCATTATCCGCAGCAGGAACCTGCTATTATCTCTCTCTCTTACTCTCGTCTTTTCCCCCTACCACCCACTTCCTCCTGGTGCTTTCTGGGCTCACCACTTTTCATGTATCACTTGCAAATCTTAGATCAAGGTCTGCTTCTGGGGAAACCCCACCTAAGTCACTTTCATATTGACTTACCTATAAAATGGAGGCAATCACGGTACCCTGCTTATAGGAATTGTAATGAGGATTGAATGGGATGAGGCATGTAAAGGACTTAGCACAGTGCTTGGCACAGAGGCAACACTCCATAAGTTTCAGAAATTAATACTATTAGCAAATAGACTTAATAATCCAAAAACTTCTTTCCAGTCTCAAAGTCCTCCCCTCACAGTCCCCACCAACTCAATTCAGAGTCTTGTTTATTCATTCATTTATATTTCACACACAAAAAGACAAAAATAAATGTTAGATGGCTTTGAGATATCATAGGGACTAGCCCCTCTTGACTTGATCTTTTGGAGGGCTATTTCTCTAGTCCAAATAATGAGATGGGAGGTTCCCTAGATGCCACATGTTTTTCCTGTGGTTCTCTAGCACCTCCAAGCTTGCACCTCTAGGTAGGATGCATGAAGACCACCACCTCTCACTTCTTCACTGGGAGAACAGAGAACTGCTATTGTTAAAACTCTCTGAGACTTGCAAAGTCCTACCTCTCAATGCTTTTATGTCCTGTGTCTCCCCAGAAGCCAGCAGAGTCCTGGACAGCAGGAAAACATAAGCCCTGAAAGGTAGTGCCAAGTTCTATGGAGCCCCATCAGAGTTCTAGAACTTCACCACCCCCTCACCAAACTATACAGCCTAAGTCAGCTTTAGTGTATACACATCCCTGCCTCCCCCAGAGTTCTAGTTCTCCCAACCATTGGCCCTTTCTTTTTTTTTCTTTTTTTTTTTTTTTGGTACCAGGAGTGGGGTACAAACCCACTGGCCCTTTTAATGGGCCAGGCACATGTCACCAACCCCAATAGAGCTCTTAATCACTTATCCTCATTAACACTCTAGCTATCACTCAGTTGGAAGGGTGCCACATAACAAAACATCGCAAAACTTAGTGGCTTAAAACAATCACAAATGATTATTTATCTGAGGAGTCTGGGAGCTAACTAGGGAGATGTTTTGTGAGCTGGGGTCACTCTCCCAGCTGCAGCCATCTGGAGGCTCTACTGGGGCCGGATGAATGTGCACAATGATCTCATTCATAGTCATGTTGACTGTTGCTGCTGTTAGCAGGGTTGCTGAGGTTCTCCTCCCTGTGACCTCTTCACATGGCTGGCTTGGGCTTCCTCACAGCATGGCTACTGAGTAGCACAAGGGAGCATTCTAGGAAGACAAACTCCAATGCAGGACCACTTATGAAGCCTCTGCATGATGCTTGCTAATGTTCCTCTGGCCAAAGCAAGTTACATGGATGTGCCTGCACACTCAGTGTGCCAAGGCATTATATAAGGGTGTGAGTACTGGGCATTGACTTACCTATAAAATGGAGGCAGTCACAGTACCCTGTGTACCGGTTCACACGGAGCCAGCAATTTAACAGGTTACCACAGAGGGCACAAGCTTCTCAAGGCCTCCTCAGTCAGTCACTCACACAGTGTCAACCTCCTAGAATAGATAATCAAAGAAACCGGGGGTATTCCATCACTATTTCCCCATGTACCTTTTCCCTGATGGAGCTGACCCACTCAGCCTCAATATTTGGTGAAAAAGCCTCTGAGTTACTGGATCAATTAGGATTCTTCTGTTGAAAGCCACAGAAACTCAATTCAAATTGTCTTAAAAGAGAGAATTTATTGGTTCATGTAACTAAAAAGTCAAGAGGCATTGGCTTCAGGTATGGCTAGATCTAGGTGTTCAAATTATATCATTAATATTCATTCTGTCTCTATTCTCCTTCTCATTTATTGGTCCTGCTGTCCTCTGTGTTCATTGTCAGGAAAGCTTCTCTGAAGCAGTGACACAGATATTCCATTGGCAACTCCGGGCTTGTATCCTATTACCTATTACCTTGGAAATTACAGCCAAAAGAGTGCTTCTCTTCTCAAATAATTCCAACCAATGTCCCAGAATTAGGTTCCATTGACCAGGCTTGTGTCACATGCCTATCTATGAATAAATCACTGTATGGCTAGTGCTTGGCCTCTGCTGATGGGTCAAACCTGGGTCTCATGCTCACCCCTAGAGCTAAGGGTATGCACATCTGCCCCAACCAAACCTCATGCACTGAAACAGGAGAGAGATTATTTCTCAAATAACCACCAAGGTGCTATTACCATATAAAGGGGAGGCCAAAACACAAACATCCTTTCAGGTTACAAAATAAATAGCCGAGCTAACGAAACAAACTCCTGGGTCTCCTCTGCATCCTTGCATGTGCTCTCTCATGTAGGCATGTTTTTGACCATTTCAGTGCTCAGAAAGAGTCTTCCCACAGGGAAAGATATAAGAAGCAAAGCTCAAATCAGGAAATTTTCCTATTTGCTAACAACCCTGCTTCCAAGTTCTATAACGAGAAAGGTAAACAACTATTTAAAATAAATGCAGCACAATTGTTTTCTTATAATTATTATTATTATCGTCATCATCTGGTGATTCTGAGTGTGCTATCTAGTCATTTCTGAGACCACTCGTTATCAAGAATTAATTCTTCCCAGGATTACACATGCTCTCTTTCTAATGATGGAGAACACCACAATGTATCCATATGAAATGCTGAGAAGTGGGGAAATTTCCTGCTGATGACAGGGAACCTAGGGCCACAAGTTCTGTGAACTGTTATCTACAATGTTAAGCAGGACTGAAGCACACTGTAGCCTAGCAGGGAATCCCAGGAAGTCAAGGACATGACACTTTTCTTCAGCTGGTGCTAGACCAATACCCTCTCAGAGCAGGATGGGAGATAAGGAAAAATGGAAACAAAGAATGTGTGAGTTCATCACAAGATCATCACAAAGTGAGGGGCTCAGAGCACTGTTAGCAAAAGGGGGGTTGGCCCATTCTGCTCAGAAAGTTAAGACTTTGGCCCCCAAGCTCCGCATGGGGAGCTCTGGAATTGGAATGGCCCTTCGGAGTTGTCCCCATAGAGCTGATATGGCCAGGCCTTTATACCATCACATTGATTAGTCATCAGACATGAGCTGCCCCAGGAAGGGGTGTGACCTAGGGCCCCTACCAATGAAGTTGCTGAAGACTCAATACCACTCCCAGCAGCTGAGCCCACCAGTCCTTCCCTAAAGGGGAACTGGGGGGTACATCACAGTGCCTCCCTAAGTGCTATCATTTGCACTATTCCCCAGAGAAAATACTAGAGATGTAACAAAAACAGTGCTTGTTACTACATCCTTATATGCCACAGATGTCTCCTGTAACATCTTAACCTTCAGGAACAAAAGGTTGTAGCTGAATGAGCTGCCAGAGATTAAACTTGTGTCTTCACCTCTACTTTATTTAGAGAAGTACAAGGGAATCTCTCTGGTTCTCTTTGAGAACATGAGTCCTGACAGAGGCATGACATCATGCCAGTCTAAGTGGAATGGACCTTCTGTGTTTAAGGATCAAAAGTGGAAAGCCACCAGGCCAATGCGGGCATCCCTAAAGCCAGCGTGTAAAGGGATTTTTGTGATTTAAAGGTGTGGGCCCAGTTGTAGATGATCAAGCTCTGTTGCCTGAAAAAGAGAGTAAGATCAGCCCTTTGGGGTTACAGGGCCTAAAGGAGGAGTGTCTGGACCCTCAGGAGCAATAGAGGGGGAAGGAGAATAGCTGGGGAGGGGACTTTGGGCCCCAAAGGTAGTGAAGGAGCCTGTTGTAGCTTGTTTCTAGCTTGGTTTGTGGCATAGGAGACTGAGAGGCCTATAGAGATGGGAGCAGGGATCATGAGGCTGCCCTGAACAGTAGCTGCATTTCCCCCAGAACATTCCACAAGACCCTCAAGCAGGCAGGCCACCACCACAGCTAGATCCCACCCATGTCTATGCATTAAAAATAAGTCCCATGAACAAGCAAATCTTCCAGTTGCCCTGGAAGTCACAGGCTGGCTGCTCCTCAGTCACAGTATTAAGCCCCTCTCATTCCATCCCACACCTCCCTGCCCCTGGTAGGTCTGGTTTCCTGGTTTGAGAGGGATTTGGGATAATGTCTCTGCCCAAAAAACCTCTTCTGCTCAGTTTTACCCACAAACCTTTTAACAGAAGATGAGTCTTTTATTCCACAATATAGAGATGAAACTTGAATTGCAAATAATCCCAGGGGAGGCAACTCCTTTATCTGAATTCACACCAAGGTATAAAGGACAATGGAAAGAAGAGTGTCTAAAGGGAAAAGGAAGGGGCACTGATAGAGGGAGGGGAGAGGAGTAATAAGGCAGAGGAGTGCTGAATAGAACAGCTGTGATAGATTAAAAGCCATCATTTTCCTAGTCCCAGCCCTGATTAATACATATAGGTACGGTCTAATGTGACCCTGTTGGCCTGGACTCATGGTTCTCAACCATGGCCGTACTTTACAATCCTCTAGGGAGCATTAAACAAAAAAATGATGCCTGGGCCCCACCCCAGACCTATTAAATCAGAATCTCTGGGGGTAACACCTGAGAATAGGTATATTTTTAAACTCCCCAATCATTCTATAGGACAACCTGAGTTAGTGTATTAGTCAGCTATTGTCGTGACACTCCCATGTAACAAACAAACTCCCAATCACCAGTAGCTTACAACCACAGACATTTGTTTTTCTCACTCACAGATTTGCAGATCAGCTGCAATTCAGCTGATTTCAGCTAGCACCATCGGACTCCTCTCCAGATTGTAAACTGGGTTTAGATCTGCTGTACTTTGGTCATCCAGACAAATGGCTATGCAGGAGAAGTTCTCTCCAGGGTGATGGGTGGAGCATAAGAGGCCAAGCCAAACCATGCAAGCACATGGAAAGCCTCAGTGTACATCACAGCCATTAACTTTCCACTAGCCAAAGCGAGTCTCATGGTCAAGTCTAGCATCAAGGAGGTAGGAAATATAGCTGACTCCAGTAGGAAGAACCACAAAGTTACATGGCAAAAGCTATGGAAGTATCATTTCCTAACAGGGAGGGGGTCAGAATTGGAAATAGTAAGCTGATCTATCACAGTTGGGAACCATTAGCCTACAGGCTAAGGATTCATTCTTCTCCCAAGTGATTTCTGTAAAGGGATCCTGCTGTTTATGGGGTTCAGGTTCCCCACTTATTACCTGTGTACCACGAGCAAGTCACTTAACCTCCCTCATTCTCAGTCTTTCAGTGTGTAAAATGGGGATGGTAATTCCTAACCTGCCTCTATCAAAGGGCCGGAGAAAGGGGAAAGTAAATGAGTGCATGTGAGAACACACTGCTTTCTCTCTGCCTAGCCTCAGTGAGAAAGACCATTGCAACATATAAAAGAGTTGAATCAAAAGTCAGGGACACAGTGAACAATCTGTGTACATGTCTATGTGTGTAATTTAGAGTTCCTAAAGGTGCCTGGAGGTGAGTCAAGAGCCTGAGGCAGGGCCCTGAGCCAGCATCTCTCAGCCTGGCATGGCCTGGAAGGCCAGTGAAGGTCTGCCCTCCCCGACTTGGAGGCCTTGACCTAAGGCAGCAGATTCTGTTGAGTCATCTACAAGTCTATGAAGCACCTCCCCATCCCCGCTTCCCAGCTGAAGCTTTCATTTTCCTAGCTGCCAGTGTCAGCTGCTGAAGATGTGAGCATCCTTGAGATTCTGAGACGCTGAACATCTCCCCTTCTCGGGATTGCAACAGAGTTGGTTTCAACCAACGTCACCTCCCTTCCCATGGACAGCCAGCTTCTGACAACAGATGGATGCTGGACTATAAAGACACTGCCTCCTTCCTTCAATTTCAGGACAACTCAGCAGGGATATCCCAGTCCCAGTGGTCCTCGTGGGATCAGCTGACCTTCCAGTGCAATCCCATCCCAGTTCAACTTCTCTGCCCAGTTCAGCTTCCTGTATCCCTTATAGGTATTGATCCTATTCTCCCTGATACAGCTCTCCTTCCCTGCAAATCTCCAACCACAGCCTGCTTCCTGGAGAACCCGACCTAGGACAACACACCATGAGGAATAGTCACAGAGTTCTTTCCAGACCAGACCGAGGGCATTTCAACCTAAATCAGAGACCATCTTGGAAACCCTGAGGGCCCATCAGCCAAAGGGGCCCTCCCCTAGCCAACAAATCTTAGCCACTGGCCACAGACCACAGGTCACTGGAATGTGTGGTGTGGTAGTGTATTGTGTGACATCAGATGCTAGACTCGATCAGAAAAAAAAATAGAGTCCTCTTCAATAGAAGGACTCCAGCTGCAACTGAAGTTGGAGCCCCCAGGATGCCCCCTCCCTGCTGTTTGTGCTGTGAGTGTGTATTTGCGTGTGTATTTGTGTAGTTGGAGTGAATAAATGTTTAAATCAGTGTGTCAGTTATAATTACAGCGGCTCTCCCTTCTTCATCGCGGAATGATTCCTTCATGCTTAACGCCTGGAATGTCATTTTCCACTGTGAAATCCTTATTCTTCAAGGCCTAGTGCCAAAGTCAGCTTCTGATGCACTTCCCCCACCCACTCGCAGCTCCCCATCCCCCAGACTGGAGCCAGTCTCTCCCTCAGCTGCAACCCTGGCACTTGTGAGTTGCACTCAACATCCTCAGCATCTACTCTCCACCCCACATCTCAATCTCCTTGAGGGCAGGGGCCGTGGCTGCTCTTCCCCTCAGTGCTGGTTACACAGTGGGTGATTAATCCAGACCAATGAATGAAAAATGAGGCTGGGGGAGAAGCTGTGAATTCTGGCCATGCCCCCAGAGAAAGCACCCTAACCAGGTGTCTGGGGGTGCTGCCCATAGAGGTTTCCTGGAGCTATAAGATTCCCAGCATTCAAAAAGGAACAGACCCGCCCCTCCTGTGCCACACCTGGCCCCACCCCACACTTGGTTAGTGACCCTCCATGCAAAGTATCTGGTTTCCCTGGCACCTGGGAAAAGGCTGGAGAACAGCTGCCCCCACCCCACCCCAGTGTGAAAGAGGGGTGCCCCAGACCTCTATTCCCTCACTCTGGACTGGTTGTCTACACAGCTAGTGACAGGTGCCACCACTTTGGACTGACGGAGCAATGTGTGATTGGAACTGATCAAGTTATCAACATACAGTTTGATGGGTGTTTGGAGCGGGTGTTAACCTGGGGGAAAAGCCACTGATTTTCACTGGAAGTAAGCCTAAGTAGAAAGGCTCACCTTGCTGAAGGAGCTTTCCCTGCCCCCACTGCAGCCCCTTAACCCGCTCCCTTCCCATCCTTGGGGAGGGTCTCCAGGGAAGGCATGAAAGGTGGGAGGAATGAGGCACAGCCAGATCCTTGCTAATCCTCTCTTAAAACCGCAGCTGAGGCAGCCAAACGTGCCTGCCCTCTGAAGGGCCTTTCAGACAGTAGCGTGTGTTTGGGAAACCTTATTTTTTAAACCACCTCCCCAGTTCTCTCTCCCCCTAAAAATGAAAGAACCATCAACTCCTAGCCTGGGTTTCACCGTGCACTGTACTAGGGAAACCCCCCCGGGAAGACAGGCTCCCTGCTGGAGAAATGTTCCTCCTGCACAAAGCTCTGCAGCAGACCCCAGATGGGGGCTCGGGCCCCCATCCTTCTGGGGCCTGCGTTCCTCAGGGGAGAAATAATTGGCCTGTCTATAGAGCATCAGGATTCAAATAAAGCTTAAAAATGCACGCAGCCCTGAGAATTCTACAAATGTGGAATTACAAATGATGGCCCACCACCATATACACACACGTGCACACACAGCCCTGAAGGCCACCTCTGCTTTTCTCTCTGATTGTTTCCCAGATCCACCTGACTCAAATAAACCCACTCTCATTTGAACTGGAGGTAATCAGGGTGGAAAATACCCCGTTCCGTTGGTGCAGGTCCAAACTGTCACCATTTGGCATCCTGACACACCGATGTCCCCATCAGCTGTTAACGTCAGCCAAAGGGGCCCTCCCCCAGTCAACAAATCAGAGATTTCATTAACCAGCAAAGCCTCCCGGAAGGATGAGCGACCTCACGTGGGCCTCCCCCCATCTCCCTCACTGCCCCGCTCCCTTCTGCTACACAAACAGGCTCACAGCAACTAGATTGGATTCAGATCTTGTAGATGAAGAAATTCAGATACGACAGCAGCGCCTCGCCAGACCCGGAGCGAGGGCCAAGCCCCACATGGCAGCTGGGCTGCCTCGGTAATAACCACTCGTAATATCTGACAGAAAGAACCCACGCTGGTCATATCCGATCCTGCCACATGAAAAGAAGCATTACACCAGCCTCTCGGGGGCCGGGGCTAGGGGAGAGCCTCCGCACAAATCAGAAACATTTTCCACGAAGCTGCTATTCAAGGGCTGCAAAATCAACAGGGGCTGCTTTCCTAACATCCTGAGAGATGCTATTATTCTCCGGGCGGTGCAGCTCACAGAACGCAGCAAGGCCAGCTTAACCCGAATTCACTGAGCATTTGGCATTTCTGAGCTCAGAGGCCTTGAACGGGTGGGAACAAAAACCCATTCTGGTTGTGGGAGTGGGCTGTGGGGCTCCACAGGGGTGACATTCTAAATATTTAACAACGGAGACAGCCTGGGCCTCTGCCATTCAGAATGAGCCCCAGCCTCAGCCCTGGGGCAGGAACATGGGTGCCTCAGGCTATGGCAAGCAGCCCAGGTGGAAGGGACACTTGGGACAATGACAGAGAAGCATTTCAATACTATAGCAACTGGTAGGGCTATTGGGATGAACCCTGGTCCAGAAGCCCCTCCTGAGCCATGCTAGGGGGTGCCTGCTCATAGCATCTCATTCTTTGGGCCCACGACAGCCCTGAGCCACCCCTCCTCAGCCAAAAGCTTCCAGACACAGGGCCATGCCCTTGTAGAGCCAGGACTACATGATTGAGTCTTTCAAGGCCCATGCCCACCTGAAGCAGAAACTTACAACTCAAGGCTCCCAGCATGTTTCACCATGGCTGGATTTTAAATGCTGAGCGTCCCTAGACACACCCAACCACCTGTGATAAATACACAAGTAATGGCCCTGTCAATACTCCCCACCACCTCAAATTCTTGTCCTTCACATCTTTTCATTGCGGCAGCATTGTCCTAGCCAGGAAGAAAGGGCTAGATTCCCCCAGCCCTGTCTCTGTCTCTGCAACCCCAAGCTCCCAGCCCCGTCCTCCTCCTGGCTTAGCCTTGTACACCTATGGGGGTCTTAGAGGCCAAAGTCACTCAGGGACATTGAGTCTCCAAATCTTTACCTTTTTGGTGTAAGGCAGCTTTGTCATGGTGGACCTTGAGACATTCAACAAGATAAAGTGATCTCCACCCAGCAGTCACCTTGTTTGAGTGTTTTTGTTTTTTTTTGGTCTTTTTTTTTTTTTTTTTTTTTTGGAGATGGAGTTTTGCTCTTGTTGCCCAGACTGGAGTGCAATGGCATGATCTCGGCTCACTGCAACCTCCGCCTCCTGGATTCAAGTGACTTTCCTGCCTCAACCTCCCGAGTAGCTGGGATTACAGGTGCGCACCACCATGCCTGGCAAATTTTTGTATTATTAGTAGAGACGGGTTTTAGCCATGTTGGCCAGGCTGGTCTCGAACTCCTCAGCTCAGGTGATCCACCCACCTCGGCTTCCCAAAGTGCTAGGATTACAGGCATGAGCCACCGAGCCCGGCCTCACATTGTTTTTAAAGCAACAGATATTGAACTCATAAATAGCTGTCTACAATGACAGGTAGTGTATGCTGAAATCTCATGGGTTGGGATGAAAACAAATTAAGTGTATATAATTCACTTCACTCTTACTCAATTTCCCTGCCTGTAAAATCAGGCCAGTATAGCTTCTCTGTGCCTCAGCTTACTCATCCAGAAAATGGGATGAATAGGCACCCTGCCAATATCACAGGGCTACTATAAGGACCAAATGATATGTGTGAAAGTGAGCCTTGTAAGCTATAAAAATAACACCCCAAACGAGCCTCTAAATAGGCGAAACCCCTGCACAGCTAAAATGCTCTCTCTACCAAGTCTGCCCTAAGCCAGCCCACTGTGCCTGCGTTTTCTTGGCCAGTATTGCTCTAGTGCAATTGTCTGAGGACAAAACAGCCCCAGCACTCGGGCAAGGACCCAAGGCAAGACAGCCTCGTCACCTCAGCATTTCTATAAAAAGATTGCTCAGACTCTGGAGCCTGGCTGACAGGCAGGGCTGAAAGGGTGTGTGCATGTGTGCATGAGTGTGTGTGTGTGCACGCATGCACACGCACACATGCACGCAATGAAATGTTCTCGTAACAGCTGGCGTGGGCCAAGAATCCATGCTCACCCTAAATCCCCGAGCCCCACTGGCAGGAGGGGAATGGATTCAAGGAAGGGTAGAGAGGCTGAGAGAGAGAGAGAGAGCGCTGTGCATCGAAGAATAGGTCTGGGCAAAGAGATGTCTGCGGTGCTGGTCTGTCGCTCCGAGCAGCCAACACAATGGACCTCTGGGTGGGCTCAGAGAGACCCCCCAACCCCCCGACCTCCTGCCCGTGACACAGATAAGGACCTGGAGGACTGCTCTGAGCTTCTGTGTGTGCCCTGGGCCAGCCGGCAGCGAGGCCAGTCTGGTGTGAGTGGCAGCAAAGATAAACGGCGGCCGCGCGGGCATTGAATGCCCCGACACAAAAGGCCGCCTCTCCCCGAGTCCCTCTGAGGCCCAGATGGTCAGGGAAGCCCTTTCCCGCCTCACAAAGAGGATCGCTGCGTGTCTTTTTCTTTTAAAATGGAATAAAAAAAAAAAGCCATTGCTCACAAAGGACCTGGATGAAAAATAAACCCTTAAAAAAACCCAGCCTCTCCTCGCTCAGCAGCCCGGCATTTCTTCCGACTGTCAGACTTAGCAGATTGCTTTCTGGAAAGGATCCAATTGGCAAGACCTGCCGCTGTGCAAATGAAATTTTAAAACCCCATTCCTTGTTGCACTCAAAGAGCTTTTCTCTCTCTGCTTGTTCTACACGGCCTCGTAGAATTATTCTCTTGTCTCTCGTTGTATCAGAAACTAATATTCCCCCACTTTCCCTCCCCACGTGAGGGGTCCTCACCCCAGCTGGGGATTTGGGTAATCAGGGACGTCTGGAGCACCACTCCAGACCCCCAAGTTGATTCCCCACCTGGGCTTCATCTCACAGAATCACCTACTAATTAGGAGAGAGACTTGCTCCTGAAGAGAATAAACACTTCCACGCTGCCTCCCTCCCTCCCCGGCTCCCTGCCCCCGCCTCGGTAATGAGATAAGTGTTTGGGGGATGAGGGAGAGAGGATGACGGGGACGTTCTTCACACACAAGGTTTGACACCCGTCAGGCCCGTGACACTAGCTCTGTTTGGCTGGCATCCCCGTGGTGAAAAGTCAGCAGAAAAAAATAGCCACAGGACTTGTCTGGGTTTGACAGGCTGCCTCACAGAGTGATGAACTTGGAGAGAAGAAGCCACGTGATGTGTCGGAAAGTGTCCCAGGCCTGGGAGCCAGGAGACCTGGGTTCCAATTCCAAGTCTGCCCCTAATAACAGTGTACCAGGCACAGTGCTCGGCTCCATACATGTGTTCTGTTCTGCTTTCCTTGGAGCTAGTGTCATTCTCAGGTTAGATACCGGCACTATGAGACAGGCAAATGTTGCTCAAAACATTGCCTCATGGGGGTAGATTGCATTACTGGTCCCCATTCCTCATCCTTCCTTGTAGCCATGCCATTGGCCATGAGACTTTGCAGCTCTTCTCATATTTTCTCACCCCTTGATTCTGGGTTCAACCATATGACCTGCTTTGGCCAATGGAATGATCCAGAACAAACAATACACCCACCAAGTACCGACCTCAAGAGTCACGGCCAGTTCTGCTCACCCTCTTGTGTCCCTGTCATTCAATGAAAAGAGCTTCCTCTGAGTGACTGCTGCCCCTTAGCCTGAGCCCCAGATGAACACATGTGGAGCAGACCCAATTTATAAATGACCTTTAGGGTAATGACATCCCACCTCCCACTGGTGGCTGCCTGTATTTGACATTTTAAAAAGAAGGTACTCACTGCAGCAATCTTGAAAGATGTCTGTTAAATTCCACTCCTGCCCTATCTGGGGAAGGGGTATTAATACCTAATTATTCATCCATTCACCACTCACATATTTACTGAGCACCTACTCTGTGCTGAAAGCTGGGCCAAATACCCCCAGAAAGAAATATGGGCTGCCAGGCCATGACAATGCCATCCTCCAATAAAAGGAGGATGATCAAGTGGGAGAACAGCTTGGTTTCCTTAAAGCAGAGCGGTTTCCAAATCTCTGCACCAGGTCACTGAGTTAACCTGAGAAAACTAGTCAAGAATACTGGAAAAGAAAGAATACATCCATGATCAGCTGATCCATCAACAATAAGTCCTGATTTCTTCAGACGTAAGATGTCATTGACTAAGTTAAGACAAGGAAGAAAAGAAAAAGAAAAGGAAGTAAGGGAGGTAGGCAGGATACCATTTTAAAGGAATACATCAAATGTAAATGATGGCATCCTAATTTCAGAAATGGTAAAATGTGAAAAGAAAGTGTGTGTCATAACACCAGGGAAATTCATTCTCTTTTGTGCTCTAAGTCCACTGTCTGTTGAGAGCACAAAGATGCTTAACACAACTTTGGGGATTAAAGCACAGGATAGGCCAGGCACAGTGGCTCAGGCCTGTAATCCCAGCACTTTGGGAGGCCGAGGCTGGCAGTTCACCTGTGGTCAGGAGTTCGAGACCAGCCTGGCCAACATGGCGAAATCCTGTCCTTACTACAAATACAAAAATTAGCCAGATGTGGTGGCACACGTCTGTAATCCCAGCTACTCAGCAGGCTGAGGCAGGAGAATCACTTGAACCTGGAAGAGGGAAGTTTCAGTGAGCCAAGATCATGCTGCTGTACTCCAGCCTGGGTGACAGAGCGAGACTCCATCTCAAAAAAAAAAAAAAAAAGATACTGGAAAGATGCCAGGAATCTTTGTTTTCAATGAATCACAAGGCTTTGTCCAAGTCTCCAGGTGATGTGGCATGCCCCATGTGGGCCACCAATAAAATAAGTCTTCCAAGATAGTCTTCACCCAAGAGCCTTCCCACAAGCAGGGGCTATGCCTATTATTCAAGATGATGGGAACAGCTGCTTGAGCCATCCCTAAACCAGGGCTTCAAAATCCATCCAACCTGACAGTCCAAATGGCTCATTGAAAGGGAAGCCTATGCCCAATGGCCATGTGTGGCCACAAAGTCCACTGCAAGCCAAGGGCTTCTAGAGAGGAAGGCAGAAGGCTGGGGAAATCTTGCACCCAGCAGCTCCCATCCTGGGAAGTTCTGGTGAGTCACAACAAATGGAGTGGAGACAATGACAAAATGCCAGGACACTTCTGAACAGGCCTCAGTATTCAAAAGTGTCCAGATCTCAAGGGGCAGGATGAGGACAACGCAGGGCCAGGACTGGAGCTAGCTCGATTTGTCCTGGGAAAAGGTAGTCAAAAACCTGGGCAGGGGCCCAGCGTCAGCTCCAGCCGAGGCCCCAGAGAGCCAGAACAGTGGGCCATGCCAGAAGCTCCAAGACTCAGACAGAAAGACAGCCAGTGGCATCTTGAGGCCAGGATGGGAAGGAGACAGTAAGTTCATTTCGTAGGCTATCTAATGCCCAGGGGGAAACTCAGAGAGAACTTTCCACCAACTCTGCTAGCTGGTGGGGAGATAGCTGCAGCTGTTTTGCCAGGCTGAAGTCCGGGACTGAACCTGGAGGTAAAGCTCATCATTCATCACAGCCCAGGCAAGGCTAACCTCATCCTCCGGCTGCTTCACACCCAGGTCCCAGTTTCCCAGCAAGCCCTTCTCAGGACTGCCCCTCAAAAACAACAACAGTTGGGACATAGGCATCTAGTACTCACAGGTACAGATGTCCTGACTATTTGGCTCTTGACATGCTTTCAGACTGATTAGCAGGTAATTACAGCCCTGAGCACCCTACCTCAAGTTCTTCCCACCCACCCAGCCCTCCCCAGACCCTCCCCTAAGACCCAGGGACCTCCAAAGAAACCAGCAAGTAAACAGTTAAGACCCGCAGAGCAGGTGCCTGTGTCCATCCTAATTGGTCAGGGGCTGTGCCCTCCCAGTTATTAAATGTTTTGAACATGCCATCTGAGTATATGGCAAATGCCAAGTGTGGCGACCTGTCCAGTTAGTCACTGGCCTGGCATTTCCAACAGCTATGCCCTTCCCCAACCACTAATATGAGCAGAATGGGGTCTTCTCCATCCCACTCCCTCTAAAGAAACCCAGCAGGCCTACCAAATTCATGGTGACCAGGGATCTCCATGTCACTTCCCTTCAAGCCTCCCCAACCCATCCTGGTCTCAGCCCCAACTAGATTTTTGGATCTTGACCTAATAGGGACTTAATTTTCTGACTTTAACCTTGACGTTTCTGTAAGATGGTGATAAACATCACACAGCATGCCTAGTTTTTCATACAGCCCCTGATCTAAATCATGGACCAAACACTAAAAGTATTTGAGCAATGACCATCAATCTCCTTCAGTCACCTGCAGGCACTGGGGTGTCTTGTGCAAGCTGAGAAATTTCAGCCAGCACATCTGTCATCAGCAGGCCCAGCCCTGCCTGCTGCCACCTCCCTGGGGAGAATCCGTTCTACTTTGTAGGAGAGAAGGACCCTTTAGTTCATGTCAATTGGAGTATTTCCCCGCAATTCCTGACCAAAGGCATCTACTTGATGGTCCTGGCTGTTTCAGGCATAGCAGACCGTAAAAAGGGTATACTCAGAGAAGGTGGTTGAGTTCAAGGCCAGCCCAGCATCTGGGCCTCCTTGGGTGAGTCACAGGTGGGGCAGGTCTACTGTTGAGGACAGAGCTGCTCAAGTTAGGGTCTTCCTACCTCCTCAGAGACAGTCACCTTCTCACTCTCACTCAACCAGACCTGGCTTCCTGAACAGAGAGACCCTGGGGTGAAGAGGCTGGCTCTGGCATCCCCTTAGAGCAGGATGGTCATACCACAGCTCTGGAGGCTGAAATCTGGTACAGTCTGGTCAGGCCCCTCTTGGGATAGAGGTGGACAAGATCTTTGGCCACTCAAAGGCCCAGGTGGAGGCCAGATACCTGGCAGAACGCATTATATTCCTGATTCTGTTAATCAGGGTTCTCCAGAAAAACAGAACCAATAGGAGATGATAGACAAACTAAAATAGATGATCAATAGATGTTGAGATAGATAGATAGACAGATAGATTTATCATAAGATACTGGCTCATGCAATTATGGAGACTAAGAAGTCCCACAATCTACTGTCTGCCAGCTGGAGACCAAGGAAAGCTGATGGTGTAGTTTGAAGCCTGAAAGCTGGACAGGCAGTGGTGTAGATTCCAGTGTGGATCTGAAGGCCTGACAACCAGGAGCACTGAAGGCAGAAGAAGATTGATGTCCTAGCTCAAGCAGTCAGACACGGAGCTTGAATCTAACCTCCCTCCACCCTTTTGTTCTATTCAAGTCCTCAATAGGTTGGATGATGCCTACACACATTGCAGAGGGCCATCTGCTTGATTCAGTCCACCAATTCAAATGCTCATCTCACCCAGGAACATCCTCACAGGAACACCCAGAAATAGTGTTTAACCAGCTATCTGGGCATCCCATAGTCCAGTCAAGTTGACATAAAAAATTAACCATCACACTGACAAAGTCAGCTACTGGAGCAGTTAGAAAGGAGAAGTGGGGAGTGTCATTGGTATGGTCTGGCAAACCTGGGAATCACACCATTGATGTCACTGACTGAGCCTGGGGCTTCCTCCTCTAAAATAGCTGACACTGTCTGCTTCTGAGCTCTTAAGCATCTCCCAAGGTTAACAACAGATGTTCCCACAGCTGATTCAAGGCTGCAAAGCCTAGGAATTCTTATTAATTCATCCTGGGGAAATAAACCAAGATGTTACTCAGGCAAATGCCAACACCTCTGTTAAGAGGTCATTTATGGTGATAAGAGAACAAACCTAAAGGGTCCAAGGGCTCTAGTTGGACGAATTTTCTAAAAAATTTAGAGGACTGTTCTAGAGGACAGTTGGCAGATTGCAACATAAATAACATTTGATCCTTTCAATCATTTATTCATATTGAGCACCAACTATGCACCAGGCACCATCTTAGATCCTGAAGATGCAGCAGTGATGTAGGGGTCAGTGGCCAGTTGCAGAAAACAGAACCCACTTTTGCTAATTTGAACAGAAAATTATTAGTTGCAGAATCTTTGGCATTGCTATAGAAACAAGTTCTAGATTGAGCTTTCAGGAACAACTAACTCACAAACCACACAGCGGGACTAGGCTGTTAATAGACTGCCGGCTCTGCTGTGATGAGAACCTCTCCATGGTCAAAAAGCCACTGTCTCTGCTGTTGGGCTATACTGCTTCTGCCAAGACCCTCCCAACAAAACAGATGCCTAGCGTGCTGCCTCTCATCACAGGCACATGAATCAGCGCCCAAGTCCAAGACTTGCTGAGTCTTCCAATTGATGAAACCAAAATCACGTCCAGAACCCTGGCTACCTATCACACAAGCCAATCCACTGTATTTGCCATAAATGATAACCAAGACAGAGCTGATCCCTCCTTCACAGAGTTTCTGTTCTAGCTGAGGAGATGAACATTAAACCTCCAGTTACCTGATTAATCATCTGAGGAGAATTGGGATAAGTACCTAGAAAAGGAAGCATAGAGTGATATGATGGGGAATGTGACCCAATCTGGAAGGTCAGGGGTTTGCCTGAGGAAATGGCTGAAGGTAAAGAAGTTAGTTTGTTGAAGAGAGTGAGTGAGAACCTTCCAGAGAGGGGGAATGGCATGTATGCGCATGGCATGTGCATGTGGCTGGAGACTTGAAGGATGAACAGAAGATTCAGTGCA
Organism: Homo sapiens; assembly: GCF_000001405.40. Classification (NCBI taxonomy): domain Eukaryota; kingdom Metazoa; phylum Chordata; class Mammalia; order Primates; family Hominidae; genus Homo; species Homo sapiens. Next base: position 39,525,420 of record NC_000023.11, read on the forward strand.
ATGCAGGGAAGGCATTCTCAGCATGTGTAAGAACATGGATGCAGTGTATGGCTGGTCAAGAGTGAGCTCAGCTGCTGAGAACAGCCTGCCTGGGCACCATTGAAAGGTAGGCACACCCAGAAGTTAGAGTAATAACTACCACTTACCTCATGCCTACTATGTGCCAGACACTGGTTGAAGTATTTTTTAACAGTTAACTCATTTCATCCTCACGACACTATGCTGTTAGTATCCCTGTTTTCAGATGAGGAAACTGAGGCACAGAGAGATTAAGTAAGTGAGGTGTGGACTGAGTGGCAGAGGACTTTGAATGCAGAGTTCAGTAAATAGTGAATGAGTGGAACAGTTGAAATATGCTAATGGGGTTTATAGCCGATTCTGCACCTCACCCTTTCCCCATCAGTGCATATGGTCCTAACTCCCAGCTGACAGTACCTGCACCTCTTTGCCTGAGGGCTTCTCTGGTCAAAGCCAGCTCTGCCCACCTATCAGAAGGCCAGGCGTGCCATGGAATTACCAGCACCCCAGGAGCAGCCCTCCAACCAATGACTGATGGGAGGTGGAGGATAAATACCCCAGCTCCCTTGCCTGTGAATGGGATAACTGTGAGGCACATGTTCTACAATAATTCCCGGAGTTCCCCTGTGGAATTGAGCCTCAGCCACTCACAGTAATTTGCTTGCTAACACACCCTGAATTGCTGTCTTCCCTCCCCTGTCCTATATCCCACCCCCTACCGGTGCTTCCTAGGATCACCTCCCACATAAATTACTGTCACTGAAATCCATGTCAGAAGAGGTGTGACTGAAGATAGGTATAATTTCCGTGTGAGGCAGGTGGGAGGCAGGTATTATTCCAGGTGAGGCAGAGGGTGTGAAGTAGCCTGGCCATCATTTGTTTAGGCTGTGGGGCTCCTGTCCGCAGTCCCCCTGCCTTGTCAGAATCTTCACCTTATTCCTATACCAAGCCTCAGCCAGCCCTGAAGGCCAAGCATTGCTAGGTGGCCAAGCTGCCTCTGCAAAGGCCACAGAGTTTCCAAGCTCTGTTTGAAGTGGAAACTTACCTTTATGCCCTCCAGCAAAGGTCACTGGGAAAATATCACAAAACTTGGCCACTGCCAACTTCCTGTCCCTCCTCCTATCACTGCCCTCACAGCTGGGACCTACAAGGGCCCACTTCATGGGCAGGAAGGAGGCTTTCTTTTATTATGTAAATGGAAGGATTTTGCTCTGGGATCCTTGAGAGATGAGGGGCTTATCCCTCTGCTCTCCCCCAAGAGAGTCCTCCATAGGGCATAATATGACTCATGGCCTCTGCCATAGATTGAATGTTTGTGTCCCCCCTGCAAAATTCACATGTTGAAATCTTACCACCCGAGGTGATGGTATTAAGAGGTGGAGGCTTTGGGAGGTGATCAGGTCATGAGGGCTCCACACTCCTGAATGGGATTAGTGCTCTTATAAAAGAGACCTCAGAGAATTCACTAGCCCCTTCCACCATGTGAGGACACAATGAGAAGACACCATCTGTGAATCAGGATGGCCCTGACCAGACCCTGACTGGACACCAAATCTGTCGGCACCTTGATTTTGTACTCCCTAGTCTCCAGAACTGTGAGCAATAAATTTCTGTCGTTTATAAGCCACCCAGTCTATGGCATTTTGTTATAGCAGCCCAAAGAGACTAAAACAGTGTGGCCAAGAGTATTTTCCAAAGATAGCCACAGAAACATATGTATCCCATCTGCCATGCTCTTCTGACACTGTGACTAATGCTTCTCCCACAGAGGGGGCGGTCTCTGTTCCTCCTCTTGAATCTGAGTAAGGCCGATGATTATTCTGACCAATAGATTATAGTGCAGATGATATGATGTAACTTCTAAGGCCAGGTCATTCAAAGGAGCCAGTCTCCAACTGCTTCTCTCTTTCTCAGAATCTCACTCTGGGAACCCAGACACTATGCTATTAGGAAGCCCAAATCAGCTTATGGGGAGAGTCCACACAGACAGGGAGACAACTGAGGCCCCCCTGGCCAACAGCCAGCATCAGCTGCCAGACATTTGAGTGCACAAGCCTTCAGATGGCCCCAGTCCCCAGCCTTCGAGGCTTCCAGCAGAGACCCCAGACATCATGGAGCAGAGGCAAGCTGTCCCTGCATATCCTGTCCAAATTTTTGATCCACAGAATCCGAGTGTAAGGAATGAGTTCTGTTGTTTTAATCCACTAAGTTTGGGAATGACTTGTTACATAATCATAGTAACTAAAACACCAAGTTTCCCAAATTCCCAGAATTGGGTTGGGTTGGGTTGGATTTGACATTTGTCTGTCACTATGAGGATACCTCCAGGAAGATATCCTCTATGTCAGGGTCCTGGCCCCTGCACTCTTTTCCTAACACTATCCCTTGACTCGCAGGTCTGAAAGACACACGCCTAGTGTTTCTACAGTGACGTTCTTCCAAAGGAGATAGGGACAGCAATCTGTCTGCTATCAGACCACGCTGGCCTGATGCTGCTAATTCATAGCCACTCCTTACAGTCTCATCATGTCTCTTCTTTCCTTCTGACAGTAACCTCAGCACAATACCGTCCAGGACTTATGATCAGGGAGGCAGTCTTTCCTCCTCCTGCCTGATCCATAACACCCCACAGCCCAATTCAGGGAGGACTTGCCCAATTCAGGGAGTCCTCCATATCTACAGAAGCAAAGCAGCATTGCTGGACAGCAAGTGTCTGCAGAATTTATTTATTTAGTTGCTCATATCTATAAGTCAGGCCTCTCTCGGGCTCATTCAGATGTTTTTAACCTCCCTTTTGGCTCTTTCCATCTGCATGGCCCACTCACACTGGAAACTCTCTTAAATCAGCAATGTTTAAGCCCTGAGTCCAGCCCAGCCTTGTGGACAGATGGTGCTTTAGTGGTGACGCTGACAGTGACACTGATGTTGAGCATCCTAACCCATTACCCCTCCCCACAGGCACCTGGCGAAGGGCATGGTCATGTAAACCTACTCCCTTAGGCTTCCTCCAGCAACGAGTGCCAGGAGCAAAAAGCTCCATGATCCTGCGGTAGCAAGCAGAATCTCTAACTCCTTTTGAAATTGCTTTTTGCTTGGGAGCTGGGATGCCACTAACTAGCTGTGTGACTTTGGGCTAATTATGTCAACTCTCAAAGCCTCACGCTCCTTATGTGTAAAATATGCCCAGCCCCTACCTCAAAGATTTCACGAATGAATTAAATGAGATAATAAAGCATGCTTATCGAGGTCTCACTATGCTCTAGAAACTGCACCACACCCTCCACATGTAGTATTACTTCCTTCAGTCTGGAAGCCTGTGATAAACTTCTACCACCATAAGCCTAGAAACTCGGCAAATTATTTGATTATGATCAAATTTAACTATATTGAAAGGACTTGAAACAGTGGCTAATCAATTGGGACAGGAAAACACCTTGTAAACAGATTTGTTTTCTTTGTCCTGTGAAAGAAAGATGCACATAACATCAGAAAGGAAATCAACCTTTGTTTTGGTTCTCAAGGTGGCAGCGTGGAGGGAGCACTGACTTAAGAGCATGCCAACCTGGGTTCTCCTACATTTTCCCCACAGCAGCCACAGAAGTGGGGTCCTCCAGTAGCTTTCCATTGTGCAGGGGAGACAATCCAACGTCCTCACATGGCCACTGAGCTCTGTAGGAACTGGCCCCAGCCACGTACCTAGTCTCAGCACCAACCACACTCCCCTCCCTCATTTCGTGCCAGCTCTCTGGACCTCTGTGCTATTCCCTAAATGTGCCAAGCCCTCACTTGCCTCCAGGCCTTTGCCCTTGCTGTTCACTCTGCCTGGAATGCTCTCCCCAACAATATCCCTGGGTTCACTCTCAGGTATTAAGGCCTCTGCTCAAAGCAAGCCTTCTCCACCACCTCTCCTCTTACTATGCTTTTCTTTTTCCTTAGGGTGCTTATCCTGACATTTATTACACATCTGTTTGCTTATGTGCTTATTGTCTGTCTTTCCTCACTAGAATATAAGCCCTCTAAGGACAGGGACTTTGTTTTTAGTCATCATTTCATCCCCAGCATCTGGAATAGTAACGGATACATAGTAGGTGCTCAATAAATACTCATAAGGAGCAAATGGCCTTTCCAAAATGCTGCAGTTCATTGAATGATTCCCCTTTGCCCTATGAGTAAAGTCTTCAAGAGCCCTCAACATCTGGCCTCTGCACAGCTCTGGTTACCTCCCAACCCCATCTACCCCCACCACACACACGCACACACACACACACAGATGCACACACTGAGATACACAGACACATATGCATTCATATGCACTCACACACACAGATAACAAGTATACGCACTCATGAAACACACAAACATATGCATGGACTTACACAAAGACAGACATGTATATACAGACAGACACAAATACATACACATGAACACACACGAATACACATGCACACACACAGGAACATATATAGACATATATACAGGTACAACAGGATGGACAGACGTATACATACACCCAAACACACACAGAAACACACATTAACATGGACAGACTCACACAGAAATGGATATACACATGCATAAACACACAGACACACATATACACACAGACATACAATGATATGTGTATATATATATGTACTATCTTTATCTTTTTCTTTTCTTTCTTTTTTTTTTTTTTTTTTTTTTGGAGACAGAGTCTCCTTTGTCGCCCAGGCTGGAGTGCAGTGGCGTAGTCTCTGCTCCCTGCAACCTTCGTCTCCTGGACTCAAGCGATTCTCCTGTCTCGGCCTCCCAAGTAGCTGGGATTACAGTTTCATGCCACCACGCCCAGCTAATTATGTATTTTTAGCAGAGACGGGGTTTCACCATGTTGCCCAGGCTGGTCTCGAACTCCTGACCTCAAGTGATCCACCTGCCTTGGCCTCCCAAAGTGCTGGGATTACAGGCGTGAGCCACCACGCCCAGCCACATACATACTTTTTAGCCTACAGTTCCACAGGCACACCACACTCATGCTCACCTCCAGAATTTTACCATTTTGTGCATGCCATTCCTTCTGCCCAGCTGTTCTCTGCTGGACAGCTCCTGCTCATTCCTCAGGTAAAAGCGCTGACATTGTCCTCCCCAGGTCAGTATAATGTAGTAAAAATCACAGACTCTGGAGCCAGATGACCTGAGTTCAAAGTTTGGCTTTGCCACTTGCTAACTGTGTGAGCTTGGACAAGTTACTTAACTGCTCTGTGCCTCAGTTTCCTTCCCAATAAATTGGGATAGTGGTAATAATGCTTACCTCACAGTGTCAATTTGAGGAGTAAATAAGCTAACACATATGCTTAGAACAGTGCCTGGCCCATAATGAAGATTAGTTGGCTATTGTGGTTCTATCCTGACCATGCCTAAGATTGGATTAGGTGCTCCTCCCAAGTGCTTCTTAGCATTCGATGCAGCTATCTGTGTGTAGCCTGGATCTGACTGCACTGCAAATGTATGTTTATTGTCTTTTTCCTCACCTGGGCTCAGAAGCTGTAAAAGGCGTCCTATGCACTCAGAGCCCCAAGCCCAGGGCCTCCACACCAAGGTGCCCACCAAATATTTCCTGAATGCACAAATGCCCTTGGATGAGCCATTTGGCTGCCCTGGGACATTGCTTTCTCTTCTATAAAGTGAGATCACTGGATCAGAAGTTTTCTAAGATCCTTCCAGGTCAAATAGTCTACAGTTCTTCAATTCCATGCTTGACCCTCTATTCGAAGAAAAGTTCTTCCTTTATTATACCAGAATCCTAATCGGTATCTTTATGAAAACTCTTTCCAACTCTTCTGGATCTTTTCCAAAGGGAACTTACAAAATGATGGATGTCAAGGGCCCTTAGAAATGAGTTCAATCCTGACCTTTCACCTTGGAGGGGACCGAGGCCCAGAGACTGGAGAAGGCTTGCTCAAGTTCACTCAGCAAGCTAATGGAAGAACCAGTCAGACTTCAGGGGTCGTGGCTCACTACACTATTTTTTCTGCACAAAAAATGTGACTTGGAGAGATTTCTTTAGCAAAGGCATAAAAGTGAAAACCAGCAAGTGTTGGATGGAAATTTGAGAGAGGGGATGATTCCTATCTCTTTAAAGTATCATTTGGGGCTTTTGCTATAACAACACATAAAAATAACACCAGCTAATGGATTTAGTGAATTCCTGCCACTGGCTAGACATTGCACTAAGCACATGACACACTTTTCTCATTTAAACCTCCAAATAATGCTACGAGAAAAGTACCCATCTTACAGATGACAAAACTGAGGCTTAGAAAAGCAAAGTAACTTCCCCAAAGGTACCCAGGTAGTAAGTGGTAGAATGAGGCTCTGATCCAATGTGGTGTTGTGATTGCAGCTCCAGAAACCAAACTGCATACCAGCCCCTCCTATCAGAATGTTATCAACACATCCTCTCCAATTAAGTCAACATTCCCAGACAGATTGATGCATTTAGCAAAAACAAGTTCACACAGCAAAGTGTGGGCTGAGCATTTCTGTGCTATAACTTTTTCTCTTCTTTTTTATGATGACTTGCTGTGTAGGCAATGTGTGTGTTCAGAGAAGCAGATTATAGAAGATATAGGTTGTATCAGTCAGCTATTGGTGGGTAACAAAAACCACCCCCACACTCAGCAACATATGACAGTAAGCATTTGTTCTCATGCCCACAGGCCTGAAGGTCAGCTGTATGTCTGCAGGTCAAGTGGTCTAGGCTGGACTGGACACCAAGCAATGGGTTCAGATTAAGCCTCCCGACATGTCTCCTCATTCTTCTGAGACCAGCTGGCTTCCTGGGGTACTTTTCTTATGATGATGACAGACGTGCAAGATGACAAGTGGAAACCAAGGATACTACTTAAGGGTTAGGCTTGGAAATGGCAGGCCATCACTTCTCCCTACATTCCAGTGGCCATAGCAAGTTGCACAGCTAAGCCTAGCATCAGTGGGATGGGAAATAGATTCATCTCTAATGGGAGGAATGGCAATTCTCATGGATAGAGAGAGGAATCAGAAATTTGAAACAGTTATGCAATGTAGTGCATGGAGTCATTTAAAGCTTTTAAAAAGATAAGAGCATCAGCATGTTTCTATTTTGTGAAGATTGGGGGAGAAGGGAGGAGGAAGGAAGGGAACCAGTGTTACCTTTATTTCAAATGCTGGGACAAGATTTCTCAGTTCATTTTGAATTCAGGTCCAAGGTTTCCAGGGAGGGCTGAAGGATGCAGGGAGGCTTCTGGACTGAACAGAGGACATAGGAACAAGCGACTTCCTGAAGTGTATTCCCAGACTGATTAGTACAGCAATTATTGCCATCAAATCAGAGCTGCATTCGGCTTGCCGCCTGTGTGTCATGAAGAGCTGTGGCACTTCAAGGGAGCTTACGGGGAAGCAGGAGGGCAAATGCAGACAGCCCAGATACCTCCATGCACCTGAAATGATAACCAGATGGCCATGCTGCCTGTTGTGATGGCACCTCTCCTCCCTAATGCTTCTGCAGCTCCTCCTCCTCCCCTTCTCCCTCTTGAGCTAGCAGGGGGGAAATTCCACCAACACAGGGATGGGAAATGAAGTCAATGAGTCAGCTGAGCTCTTCCTGCCCCAGGTGTGTTGTCTTTCTCACTGCCTCCTATCTTCCCAAACAAGCCACTCGCTCTCTCTCAGGCCTCTTTCCCCACTTGTAACTACTGGTAAAAATCCTCCTCATGCCCTGCTCAGGAGATAGGAGCCATGTGGGCTGTGTGAGGCAGTAAAGTGTTTCTGAGGTGGCGATGAGGGTGGTTCTGGTCTCTGCCTTGGAGTCGGCAGGCCTGAACCAAATACATCCTTGCCACTGTCCAGCCTGGTGACCTCTCTAAGACTCAATTTTCTCATCAAGGAAATGATCCCCGTGGTGATACCTACCTCATAGAAATGCTGCAAGGGTTGCATGAGGAAGAACTGGACAGTGGCTGGAACAAAATTATACTCTGAAATTCATAGCTATTATCATCATATGTCTCCTAGACTTATGATGCTTGGACTGAACCTCATTCTAAATCTATGCAGACACAGTCTGTGGGTGTAGAAGATTTCAACATCAGCTCTGCCAAAGTGCAGCTTTGCCAATGGGCCCCCCAGAAGCTAATTCATTCATCCATCAATCCATGAATCCATCCATCCATCTCTGCATCCATCCATCCACCTATTCATCCATCCATTCAATAATTTTTGTTGGTCATCCACTATATGCCTAGAAACAATCCAGACACTGGGGAAATATGAAGAAATGTAGAACACAACCCATCTCTCAAGTAGCTCCCCATCTAGCAGGGCATCAATGCCTTCAAGCCTAGTACAGTAAATCTAAGAGATGGGAAGAGCCTAAATGTTCCTGGCTCAACTCCCACCCAAGGCCAGAGGGCCCCTGCTCTATTCTCAACAGATCCAGCCTCTGCTGAAGCAAGCCCAGTGACCGGGAACTCAGAGCCTGACCATGCAGGCAACCATGTCTTTTCAGTTCTCTGTGTGAGAAAAACATCTCTGTCTGACTTGGAGCTGAAATGTAGCTTCCTGTGATGTTTGGAACATTCACAGGCAGCTGTCCCATCCCCCCTGAGCCTTCTATTCCTTGAGCCAGACATTTGAGTTCCCTAAATGGCTCCTTGGATGAATCCTCACTAGGTGCCAACTCCTTCCCACGACACCCATTTTGTGTAAAGTGACAACATAGGGAAATTCACAAGACATGACATTGACCAGTTTGCTAAACCTGTGCTTTCTGGGGTGTTCGCAGAACACTAGTCCCACAGAGCTTAAGTAAATTGCAGGCTCCAGCAAAATAAGTGTTCATTGGCCATTCCAGCTGAGAAACTCTAGGTAAGCAAAACCAACCAGGTTCCGCTACTGAAAGATGTCGTAAAGCTTTGAAAGGGCTTGATATGGTTTGCTCCCGGTCCCCACCTAAATCTCATCTTGAATTGTACTCCCATAATTTCTGCATGTTGTGGGAAGAACCCGATGGGAGATGGTTGGATTGTGGGGGCAGTTTCCCCCATGCTGTTCTCATGGTAGTGAATAAGTCTAACGAGATCTGATAGTTTGATAAGGGGAAACCCGTTTCGCTTGGCTCTCATTCTCTCTTTGCCTGCCACCATCCACATAAGATGTATCTTGCTCCTCCTTGCCTTCCGCTATGATTGTGAGGCTCCCCCAGCCATGTGGAACTGTAAGTCCAATTAAATCTCCTTCTTTTGTAAATTGCCCAGTCTCGGGTACGTCTTTATCAACATCATGAAGACAGACTAACACAGGGCTCATGTACACCATGACTGCCCAAAAGGTGATATAGAATGCTGCAGTTCCCCAAATCTCTTGATCCCAGGACTTGACTCTGCTCATGGAGCATTTCCTGGAGCCATTGTTCCTCAGAGAACTCTTTATAAAAGGAGAGTAGTGTTTTTAAAATCCAGATTATAAGCACACAGGCAAGAAAGATAATTCTGAGTTGGTACAGAAGCCATCATGTCTTGCGTACACTCACCCAGGCTTTACATATCCTTGTATTCTGGCCCTAACTTCCAGTCGTCAGCACTGGACATCTGTCTGAGAGCCTTGTGGCTATCAGAGCCCACCATGCCTCTGTCTGCAGCAGGCTAGAATTTCTAGAAGCCTAATGACCTCTCCCCGGGAGCAGCTTTCAACCAATGACTGACAGCCCAGCTCCTCCAACGGTTGAGATAATTCTAAGGTGTATCGCCTACAGTCTCCCAGAGCTCCCAGCGGGATCAAGCCCATTTGCCCACACTGGTAACTGACTTGATAACACATCCTTTGTTGGCTCCTTCCCCTCCCTGCCTCAATTCTTCACCCCACTACTGGCTTTTCCTGCCATCTCCTGCCGAACAATAATTTACATTCAAATCCCTCTCCAGAGAGTGAGAGAGAGAAGAGGGATGTGTAGCAAGGGCAGGCCTGGGTGCGCCCAGCTCCTGCTCCTTCTCATCCTCCTGCTCCTTGATGCAGCCATCCTCACTGCCTCTCATCTGCCCTGAGTGACCACGGCTTCACTCTCTCTCTCTCTCTATCATGTCTCTCCTGTCTCTCTCTCTCTCTCTATCATGTCTCTCCGGTCTCTCTCTCACATGTCTCTTCTTTCTGTTTGTCAGTCTCACTCTAACACCTCTCCTATCTCTCTCTCTTTCTGTGTCTCTTGTCTGTTTCTAACACGTCTCTCCTCTCTCTCTCGTGTATTTTCTCTCTCTCTAACATGTCTCTCCTGTCTCATGTCTTTTCTGTCTGCCTCTCTCTAAAACATCTCTCCTGTCTCTCTCTCTCATCTTTTCTTTCTCTGTCTCTCTCATGTCTCTCCTCTTTCTCTCTTGTCTTTTCTGTCTCTCTCTCTAACATATCTCTTCTTTCTCATGTCTTTTGTGTCCCTCTCTCTAACACGTCTCTCTCTCTAACACCTCTCTCCTGTCTCTCTTTCTCTCATGTCTTTTCTTCCTCTCTCTCACGTCTCTCCTCTCTCTGCCTCTCTCACGTCTCTCCTCCCTCTCTGACAAGTCTTTCTTCTCGCTTTCTCTCTCCTGTCTCTAACATGTCTCTCCTGCCTCTCTCTCTCTCTCCCAGCCTCAATTTCCCCACTGCTTGAGGATTCCATCTGGCCAAGGTAGAGGAGGACTCCAGACAAGGAACCATCGGAAATAGGAGAGGGGTCTCTGGGGCACATAAATCATTCCGCAGCTCAGAGGCCTGGAGCTCCCAAACCCGGAAAGTAATTCCCAGAGCTCAGAATAACTTGGCAAGCTACTCCCAAGTCAGAGCGAGACTTGGGGCAAAGCTTCTGGGTCGCTGTTCTCCATGTTACTCTGGGTGTAACCTTGATCCCTCTGCCGAGGTAAACAACGGGGTCTGAATTATTTGGTTTGGAAACGAAAGAGGCCCTCGGGAGGTAAAGCGCCGCAGTAATAAATGAGGAGCAGAGACAGCTGTGCAGAGCAGGCCCGCTTCCCCTCCATCAGCACAAACCCGGGGCATCTCTAAAAGCTAAAAGGCATCACTCTTCTCTCCCGATAGCAGGGACCAGAGTTGCAGAAGCCACAAATCACTAAGCAAAGTGCAGAAGAATGTTCGCCATTTCTTGGAATGGAAATAATAATAAATAATAATAATCTGTTCCGTGTATTTAGCCAAGACATGTTCTCCAAGGAGCTTTGCACTCAAATTTATCGTTGAGTCCCCAGGGTCTGGATATTTTTTAATTAAAACTTTTATTGGGGGAAACATACAAATAAAGAGGCAACAAATGACTCCCAGAAGTGAGTTATGTGGAGGGTCACCGTCTTACATTTCTTTAGCATTTGTCTTTTTATTCTTTTGCCGTCTGGATGGTTGCAGCCTGATCAGTCCTGCTATGTTGCCTATTCATCGCATAAAAAATTAACCATAAGTACCTGTACTGGATGCCCTGAAAGAGAGAGAAAAGGCGTGAAAATACATTGAGCATCTCCTAAGTGCCAGGCACATCTGATACACATTATATTCTTAATTCTCATTACAACCCCGGGAGCTACCATTTAAGTGATTACTGTGTGCCTGCTAAGTGCTTTCAATGCATTACCTCATTAAATCCTCACAAAGTCCTCTGATGTGAGTTCTTTTAGTGGCCCCATGTTTCAGATGAGGACATTGAGGCTTAGAGAAGCTAAGAAACATGAGAAAACTCTCACAGGTGGAAGCAGGCTAGAACCTGGGTCTGCCTGGCTCCGGGACCCTAGTTTGCCCTGTGAAGGAGGGGAGGGGAGAGATAGGAGAGGACAGAGTATGGCCGTGTGCATCACGCTCTCCCAGAAGTGGTGCTGAGTCAAGGGTTTGGGGGCAGGTGAGTTAGTAAGGAAGCACTCCCAGGAGGAACCAGTAAGGGATTGGCGAGTAGAACAGAAAAATGGAGAAAGGCAAGCAAGGGTGCCAACTCAAAGTCCCACCCCCATCCTCATCTGGCAGGGGGCCTCTGGAGGGTAAATTTCATCCCAGAGTTTGTCCTGCCTCCAGGCAATGGAGCCGGGTTTTTAACTCCACATCAGTCACTGGCTATGGGTACCCTGGGGTGGGGTGCAGGGGTGGGAAGGGGGATAGCAAATTCCTAGACACCTCCAGCTCTCCATACCTTCGAGGAGGTTGCAGCTATTGGCAGCAGAGCCCCCTGATGTTGGGAATGGGCCCACAGACCTGGTACAAGGAATCCAGCAATATGTGCAACACTTGGCGACCTCACCAACAAAGATCCACCTGCATAGCCGAGATATGGATAAGGCTCCCATTCTTCAGCATGTGACCCTCCTCTTACCCCATATTTACGGTGGATTGAAAAACCCTGGGACTGGGCCATTCTGTTCTGGACATAACTGTCAATAGCCTGCCCCTAACGACTGGAGCCCGAGATACAGACCAACCTGGCCAGGGCTGAGGGAATGAAGCATGGGCTCTTGACCCAATTTAGCCAACAACCAAGCAGATGGTCTCACTAAGAACTGTGCCTCAGAGGTGGGGCAGGTCCTGCCAGGTCCTCTAGACTCGCAGCCACCGCTTAGCTGACAGCATGTGCAAGCAAAGGCAGCCAGGAGCCTGGGGGCAGAGCCACACACACACACACACACACACACACACACACACACACACACACAAAATCCTACACTCATAATCCAAGCTCTCTTCCTCTCTCTCTGTCTCTCTCTCTCACACACACACACACACACACACACCTCCCAGCTAGCCTGCCAAAGAACAGAAAAAAAAAACAAATCAAGATACACATTATGTGTTCCATATTTCTACATGTTGATAGGTGTCAGTAGCCGTCAGTGGAATCAATCTTCTATGGTGGGGCACTAAGGAGGTTTCTGCTGCTCTGCTGTTGCAAGCAAATAATGTCAAGTGAAAAAAAAAGTGCAAATTACAAAAGACCATGAACAGGATGCTACCTTTGTAAAATCTAAAAGCATAGTGTATATGGTTTCTGGATTCATACAGATGTAGTCCAAGTCTAAACCGAGCAGAGGATGATACACCAGCCATGGGATGATACTGATCTAAAAAAGGGATACTGATCTAGAAGAAGGGAAGAGGAGATGGAGTTTTAGCTATATTTGAAATTTTATATTTTTTTAATATGTGAAAGAGCAAAATATGGCAAAATGTGAACACTTGTCTAATCTCCATGGTAGGTTCATGGGTATTTTGTACTACTGCTGGTACATAATTTTCTATCTTCATAATGCTTCTTAATCCTAAATAATGTTTTCATGATTTTTAAATTTTCAACTAAAACTGAATGTTGGTATACCCTATGACCCCACCACTCTACTCCTAAATATGTACTAAGTGGGATGTGTTCACGAGCTTACCAAAAGACTCACACAAAAAATGTTCAGCCCAGGGCTATTTGTAATGGTCCCCCCCCCAGATATCTGCAAATCACCCCAGTGCCCATCAACAGTGGAATGGGTAAATAAATCATGGTGTGTACATGCGAGAGAATCCTATACCGACATGAGACTGATCCAATTACAATGCTCAGCAACAGGAATGGACCTCGCACACATTATGCTGAGCAAAAGAATCAGACATGAAAGAGCTCATAGTGTATGGCTCCATTTAGATGTACTTTGAGAACAGGAAACTTTTCCAATACTCTGTTGTAGAAGTCAGGATCATGCTTACCCCCGAGGCAGGTAGGGACTAGAAAGGGGAACAAGGGGTCTCTGAGGTGCTGGTCACAGTCTCTTTCTCCATCCAGGTGTCATTACGTGGGCATGCTCAGTTTGTGACAATTCATCAAATGGGTATGTATGTTATATACACTTTTCATTGTATGTTGTATTTGAATAAAATCTACATTAACTTTTTTTTCAAAAGTAAAAGTTAAGGCAACATAATGCTCTCTGACCGGACTATCACATGAAGGCCATTGTCCACCATTAATTTCTCAGCTCGGATTAATCTATTGATCACCACTATTGTAACATACTCAATATCGGACGTGAAATTATCGACCTGGAATAGCCTCTAAGTTGCCGCAGTAATGGGGGTTGGTGGGTGAGAGGTTCTGTTAATGGTATTTCACGGGAAGTATATTGCATCTCTTCATCCCTCCAATGGAATGTCCATTTTTAGCCCTGACCCCATCAGAAAAGAATTCATCCTGCCCCCAAAGGAAACTAAAGCACCCCTCCCTACACTGGACCGGCCACAGTTGGGAATCAAGTGCCCAAGTTACAGGAGGCACTGCTGGAACAGCTAAAGGAAAAAGCCACCCTGCCAAGTCTTTGAGAAAACAGACTTCCTCAGACATCAACCACTGACAAAAGCCTGGGTCTACCGGGACCTTTGAGCAGGTGCCTAAGCAAGAGAACAAGCCAAGGGCATGCAGCCCCAAGAGATGAAAAGGGCACATATATAGTGCACGTGCCTCCCATCTCCCTGCCAAGCACCTGGCAGACATCACGAATCAAGAAGGCCCTTGTACCTATGAGTCAGGGCCTCACAGCCCTTCTCCACACCCTTCTGGGAAGCCTGGAAGAAGAAGGTCTAGCAGAGAGGAGAGACTCTTCCCGGGGTTACATGGGCTAAGCAAGTAGTTGGGGGTCTTATTGTGTGATGAAGAGCAGTTAGACTTAGCACAGCACACTGTGGATTACTCTGGGTTCAATGTATATATTTATTCTTCTTTTAATTGAATAGTAAACATATATGATTTTTATTTCAGAAGGCAGACTGTTGTCTTTCTGTGGTCCTATGGTACTCTTTTGAACTATTGTTACAGTTACATAGTGGGCAGTGGGACCTACATCAGCAACCAGGTGCATGCACCCTTACCCCATAATAGGGACAAGTGGGAAGAGGAAGAAGCTGGGAACTTCTGTTTGATAATTGTGCACAAGCTAGACCACAGCAGGATGCTGAGGCCAACTGACTCCTTAAAGGTAAAAAATAATGACTTTCTGTGCGGAGAACATTCCTGAAGGAACGGGTTACCAAAGGACAGGGCTGCCATATTGCACATGGAGACACCATTCCCATTGCATGTTTTGAGATTTGCTTTATCTGGAGCTGTGGACATGGCAGCTCTGCCCACAAGTGACTGTGGGAAAGGTTGCCCACAGCTTGCTCCCTGGGGGACAGCAGAGGACCCTGGGAAGAGCCATCAGTCTGCTGGCCAGGATCAATCTGCCCAGCAATGAATGAAACAGAGCTGTATCTCCCATTCCACTGTTGTTGCCTGTGTGTCCAGCTCCCCAGACAGGGGAGAAATCAGGCCCCCAGGTCTCTTCTGCAACCCCAACAGATTCTGAGGCTTGGCTGCAGGCAGATTGGGGAGTTGCTGAAGATCCTGCAGACAGCCATCTATTATCACCTCCCTACCCTGGGAGGATTGACAGCCACACGCAGCCACAACGTGTCTCCCAGGCCAGTTGCTGATGTACCCCGTGGCTCAGATCCAACCATCAAAATGGCTTTTTTCCCCATGGCTGAGGTGGCAGACAGAGCCTTCCTCTCCTAGGGGAGGGTGAAATGGTGACTAGGTCGCTGTTAACCCCGCATTTAACCCAACTGCGCTCTTGGCATGTCAAGCCCCATCTCTATTCATCGCAGTGCTGCCTGCTCCCTGAGGTGACTGCGGTATGCCAGCTCATCTGCCTCCACTTAGCCCTCCATTCCTCACTCAGCTCCTTGGGGACACCCCTTTACTCCCCCTCATCCCCACCCTCCTGCTGCAGCCCAGAACTGGACCGGAAAAAACTTCTAAGGACTTTGCAAATTTGCATTCCATTTCATTCTCTGATTTTAGATCCAGATCCTTCAGCCATTTGTTCTGAGATTATAAAATGAATCCCAAGCCTCGGACCCTCTCTCCAGACTGAATGTCCCAAAAGTGAGCAGATTGCTGATGCAAAAGGGGGCAGAGGGGTAATTGTCCCCAGAAGCAGAGCACCAGGCATTTTCTGCCCTTGAGGCAGTATCACACTCCTCAAAACTGAATATCCTTCTTAAAGTCGCATTTGGCCTTTCACTAGGAAGGGTGCAACTAAGAAGAGGTGATAAGTGAGGTCAAGTCATGATCTGGGCAAGGGGCCACACATGGAACTGGCTCCCAAAAAGCCTTTAGCATCATACCAGTACATTTGGGCTTTGATTTGTTTCTAATTGGGAGCCCTTGAAACTTCCTGAAGAAGGGAGTATATAAGCAGAGTGATATTTTGGGAAGGTATGCAAGAGAAAAGCTTGGAGATAGAGAGCTGGTTAGAAGTTCTGTAATAGCTCAGAAGAGATAGAAGGACCTACTCACAGCAAAAATCCAGAAAGTTCCAAGAGGTAGGGGCAAGACATAAGGTTCAGCATGCAAAGAAGCCAAGGCATGAAGATTTGGTAAGATGGCCAAATAGGAACAGCTCTGATCTGCAGCTCCCAGCGAGATCAACACAGAAGGCAGGTGATTTCTGCACTTCCAACTGAGGTACCCAGCTCATCTCACTGGGACTGGTTAGACAGTGGGTACAGCCCACATAGGGTGAGCCAAAGCAGGGTGGGCCATCGCCTCACCGGGGAAGGGCAAGGGGTCGGGGAACTCCCTCCCCTAGCCAATGGAAGCCCTGAGGGACTGTGCCGTGAGGGACAGTGCATTCCAGCCCAGATACTTTGTTTCTCCCACAGTCTTCACAATCAGCAGACCAGGAGATTCCCTCAGGTGCCTACACCACCAGGGCCCTTGGTTTCAAGCACAAAACTGGGTGGCTGTTTGGGCAGACACAGAGCTAGCTACAGGAGTTTTTTTTTTTTTTTCATACCCCAGTGGTGCCTGGAATGCCAGCAAGAGAGAATCGTTCACTCATCTGGAAAGGAGGCTGAAGCCGGGAAGCTAAGTGGTCTAGCTCAGCGGATCCCGACCCCACGGAGTCCAGCAAGCTAAGATCAGCTGGATGGTAGTTCTCGCCACCAGCACAGTCTGAAGTCGACCTGGGACACACAAGCTTGGTGAGGGGAGGGGCGTCCGCCATTACTGAGGCTTGAGTCGGCAGTTTTCCCCTCACAGTGTAAACAAAGCTACTGGGATGTTCTAACAGAGTGGAGCGCGCTGCAGCTCAGCAAAGCCAATGTAGCCAGATTATCTCTCTAGATTCCTCCTCTCTGGGCAGGGCATCTCTGAAAGAAAGGCAGCAGTCCCAGTCAGGGGCTTATAGATAAAACTCCCATCTTCCTGGGACAGAACACCTTGGGGAAGAGACAGCTGTGGGCGCAGCTTCAGCAGACTTAAACGTTCCTGCCTTCCAGGTCTGAAGAGAGCAGTGGATCTCCCAGCACAGTGCTCGAGCTCTGCTAAGGGACAGACTGCCTCCTAAAGTGGGTCCCTGAACCCCATGCCTCCTAACTGGGAGAAACCTCCAAGCAGGGGTCAACAGACACCTCATACATGAGAGCTCCGGCTGGCATCTGGCAGGTGCTCCTCTGGGATGAAGCTTCCAGAGGAAGGAAAAGGCAGCAATCTTTG
Organism: Homo sapiens; assembly: GCF_000001405.40. NCBI lineage: Eukaryota > Metazoa > Chordata > Mammalia > Primates > Hominidae > Homo > Homo sapiens. The sequence continues at coordinate 39,542,986 of NC_000023.11, forward strand.
CAGTTCTGTAGCCTCCGCTGGTAACACCCAGGCAAACAGGGTCTGGAGTGAACCTCCAGCAAACTCCAGAAGACCTGCAGCAGAGGGGCCTGACTGTTAAAAGGAAAACTAACAAACAGAAAGGAATAGCATCAACACCAACAAAAAGGATGTCCACACAGAAACTTCATCCAAAGGTCACCAACATCAAAGACCAAAGGTAGATAAATCCATGAAGATGAGGAAAAACCAGCACAAAAAGGCTGAAAATTCCCAAAACCAGAATGCCTCTTCTCCTCCAAGGAATCACAACTCTTCACCAGCAAGGGAACGAAACTGGTCGGAGAATGAGTTTGACGAATTGACAGAAGTAGTCTTCAGAAGGTGGGTAATAACAAACTCCTCCGAGCTAAAGGAGCATGTTCTAACCCAATGCAAGGAAGCTAAGAACCTTGAAAAAAGGTTAGAGGAGTTGCTAACTAGAATAACCGGTTTAGAGATCAATCAAGCAGAAGAAAGGATATCAGAGACTGAAGATCAACTTAATGAAATAAAGCATGAAGACAAGATTAGAGAAAAAAGAATGAAAAGGAATGAACAAATCCTCCAAGAAATATGGGCCTATGTGAAATGACCAAACCTATGTTTGATTGGTGTACCTGAAAGTGATGGGGAGAATCAAGTTGGAAAACACTCTTCAGGATATTATCCAGGAAAACTCCCCCAACCTAGCAAGACAGGCCAACATTCAGATTCAGGAAATACAGAGAACACCACAAAGATACTCCTCAAGAAGAGCAACCCCAAGACACATAAGACACATAATCGTCAGATTCACCAAGGTTGAAATGAAGGAAAAAATGTTAAGGGCAGCTGGGTGTGGTGGCTCATGCATGTAATCCCAGCACTTTGGGAGGCCAAGGCAGGTGGATCACGAGGTCAGGAGATGGAGACCATCCTGGCTAACATGGTGAAACCCCATCTCTAAAAAAAAATACAAAAAATTAGCTGGGTGTGGTGGTGGGTGCCTGTAGTTCCAGCGACTCAGGAGGCTGAGGCAGGAGAATGGCGTGAACCCGGGAGGCGAAGCTTGCAGTGAGCTGAGATCGCACCACTGCACTCCAGCCTGGATGACAGAACGAGACTCCATCTCAAAAAAAAAAAAAAAAAATGTCAAGGGCAGCCAGAGAGAAAGTTCAGGTTACCCACAAAGGGAAGCCCAACAGACTAACAACAGATATCTCTGTAGAAACCCTACAAGCCACAAGAGAGTGGGAGCCGATATTCAACAATCTTAAAGAAAATAATTTTCAACCCAGAATTTCATATCCAGCCAGACTAAGCTTCACAAGCAAAGGAGAAATAAAATCCTCTACAGACAAGCAAATGCTGAGAGATTTTGTCACCACCAGGTCTGCCTTACAAGAGCTCCTGAAGGAAGCACTCAATGTGGAAAGGAACAACTGGTACCAGCCACTGCAAAAACATACCAAATTGTAAAGACCGTAGACACTATGAAGAAACTGCATCAACTAACAGGTGAAACAACCAGCTAGCATCATAATGACAGGATCAAATTCACACATAGCAATATTAATCTTAAATGTAAAAGGGCTAAATGCTCCAATTAAAAGACACAGAATGGTAAATTGGATAGAGTCAAGAACCACTGCTGTGCTGTATTCAGGAGACCCATCTCATGTGCAAAGACACACATAGGCTCAAAATAAAGGGATGGAGGAATATTTACCAAGCAAATGGAAAGAAAAAAAGCAAGGTTTGCAATCCTAGTCTCTGATAAAACAGACTTTAAACCAACAAAGATCAGAAAAGACAAAGAAGGGCATTCATTACATAATGGTAAAGGGATCAATGCAACAAGAAAAGCTAACTATCCTAAATATATATGCACCCAATACAGGAGCACTCAGATTCATAAAGCAAGTTCTTAGAGACCTACAAAGAGACTTAGACTCCCACACAATAATAGTGGGAGAATTTAACACCCCACTGTCAATATTAGGTGAATCAACAAGACAGAAAATTAACGAGGATATTCAGGACTTGAATTCAGCTCTGGACCAAGCAGACCTAATAGATATCTACAGAGCTCCCCACCCCAAATCAACAGAATATACATTCTTCTCAGTACCACATTGCACTTATTCTAAAATTGGCCACATAATTGGAATTAAAACACTCCTCAACAAATGCAAAAGAACGGAAATTATAACAGTCTCTCGGACCACATTGCAATCAAATTAGAACTCAGGATTAAGAAACTCACTCAAAACCACACAACTACATGGAAACCGAACAACCTGCTTCTGAATGACTACTGGGTAAATAACAAAATTAAGGCAGAAATAAATAAGTTCTTTGAAACCAATGAGAACAAAGACACAATGTACTAGAATCTCTGGGACACAGCTAAAGCAGTGTTTAGAGGCAAATTTCTAGCACTAAATGCCCACAGGAGAAAGCAGGAAAGATCTAAAATCGACACCCTAACATCACAATTAAAAGAACTAGAGAAGCAAGAACAAACAAATTCAAAAGCTAGCAGATGACAGCAAATAACTAAGAGCAGAGCAGAACTGAAGGACATACAGACTTGGAAAACCCTTCAAAAAAATCAATGAATCCAGGAGCTGATTTTTTGAAAAGATTAACAAAATAGATAGACTGCTAGCCAGACTAATAAAGAAGAAAAGAGAGAAGAATCAAATAGACACAATAAAAAATGATAAAGGGGATATCACCACTGATCCCACAGAAATACAAACTACCATCAGAGAATACTAGAAACACCCCTATGCAAAAAAAAAAAAAAAAAAAAAAAAACTAGAAATTCTAGAAGAAATGGATAAATTTCTGGACACATACACCCTCCCAGGACTAAACCAGGAAGAAGTCCTATCTCTGAATAGGCCAATAACAAGTTCTGAAATTGAGGCAGTAATTAATAGCCTACCAACCAAAAAAAGCCCAGGACCAGACGGATTCACAGCTGAATTCTACCAGAGGTAAAAAGAGAAGCTGGTACCGTTCTTTCTGAAACTATTGCAAACAATAGAAAAAGAGGGACTCCTCCCTAACTCATTTTATGAGGCCAGCATCATCCTGATACCAAAGCCTGGCAGAGACACAACAAAAAAGAAAATTTCAGGCCAATATCCCTGATGAACATTGATGCGAAAATCCTCAATAAAATACTGGCAAAGCGAATCCAGCAGCACATCAAAAAGCTTATCCACCATGATCAAGTCGGCTTCATTCCTGGGATGCAAGGCTGGTTCAACATATGCAAATCAATAAACATAATTCATCACATAAACAGAACCAATGACAAAAACTACATGATTATCTCAATAGATGCAGAAAAGGTCTTCAATAAAATTCAACACCCCTTCATGCTAAAAACTCAGTAAACTAGGTATTGGTGGAAAGTTTCTCAAAATAATAAGAGCTATTTATGACAAACCCACAGCCAATATCATACTGAATGGGCAAAAGCTGGAAGCATTCGCTTTGAAAACTGGCAGAAGACAAGGATGCCCTCTCTCACCACTCCTATTCAACATAGTATTGGAAGTTCTGGCCAGGGTAATCAGGCAAGAGAAAGAAATAAAGGGTATTCAGATAGGAAGAGAGGAAGTCAAATTGTCTGTTTGCAGATGACATGATTATATGTTTAGAAAACACCATTGCCTCAGCCCAAAATCTCCTTAAGCTGATAAGCAACTTCAGCAAAGTCTCAGGATACAAAATCAGTGTGCAAAAATCACAAGCATTCCTATACCCCAATAATAGACAAAGAGAGAGCCAAATCATGAGTGAACTCTCATTCACAATTGCTACAAAGAAAATAAAATATCTAAGAATACAACTTACAAGGGATATGAAGGACCTCTTCAAGGAGAACTACAAACCACTGCTCAAGGAAATAAGAGAGGACACAAACAAATGGAAAAGCATTTCATGCTCATGGATAGGAAGAATCAATATTGTGAAAATGGCCATATTACCCAAAGTAATTCATAGATTCAATGCTATCCCCATCAAGCTACCATTCACTTTCTTCACAGCATTAGAAAAAACTACTTTAAATTTCATATGGAACCAAAAAAGAGCCCATATAGCCAAGACAATCCTAAGCAAAAAGAACAAAGCTGGAGGCATCAGGCTACCTGACTTCAAACGATACTACAAGACTACAGTAACCAAAACAGCATGGTACTAGTACCAAAACAGATATATAGACCAATGGAACAGAACAGAGGCCTCAGAAATAACACCACACATCTACAACCATCTGATCTTTGACAAACCTGACAAAAACAAGCAGTGGGGAAAGGATTCCCTATTTAATAAATGGTGCTGGGAAAATTGGCTAGCCATATGTAGAAAGCTGAAACTAGATCCCTTCCTTACATCTTATACAAAAATTAACTCAAGATGGATTAAAGACTTAAATGTAAGACCTAAAACCGTAAAAACCCTAGAAGAAAACCTAGGCAATACCATTCAGGACATAGGCATGGGCAAAGACTTCATGACTAAAACACCAAAAGCAATGGCAACAAAAGCCAAAATTGACAAACACAATCAAATTAAACTAAAGAGCTTCTGCATAGCAAAAGAAACTATCATCAGAGTGAACAGGCAACCTACAGATTGGGAGAAAATTTTTGCAATCTAGCCATCTGACAAAGAGCTAATATCCAGAATCTACAAGGAACTTAAACAAATGTACAAGAAAAAAAAACCCCATCAAAAAGTGGGCAAAGGATATGAACAGACACTTCTCAAAAGAAGACATTTATGTAGCCAACAGACATATGAAAAAATGCTCACCACTTGTCATCAGAGAAATGCAAATCAAAGCCACAATGAGATACCATCTCACGCCAGTTAGAATGGCGATGATTAAAAAGTCAGGAAACAACAGATGCTGGAGAGGATGTGGAGAAATAGGAATGCTTTTACACTGTTGGTGGGAGTGTAAATTAGTTCAACCATTGTGGAAGACAGTGTGGTGATTCCTCAAAGATCTAGAACTAGCAATACCATTTGACCCAGCAATCCCATTACTGGATATATACCCAAAGGATTATAAATCATGCTACTATAAAGACACATGCACATGTATGTTGATTGTGGCACTATTCACAATATTAAAGACTTGGATCCAACCCAAATGTCCATCAAACATAGACTGGATAAAGAAAAGGTGGCACATATACACCATGGAATACTATGCAGCCATAAAAAAGAATGAGTTCATGTCCTTTGCAGGGACATGGATGAAGCTGGAAACCATCATTCTCAGCAAAATATCACAAGGACAGAAAACCAAACACCACATGTTCTCATGCATAAGTGGGAGTTGAACAAAGAGAATACATGGACACAGGGAGGGGAACATCACACACTGGGGCCTGTTGGGGGTTGGGGGGCTGGGGGAGGGATAGCATTAGGAGAAATACCTAATGTAAATGACAAGTTGATGGGTGCAGCAAACCAACATGGCACATGTATACCTATGTAACAAACCTGCACGTTGTGCACATGTACCCTAGAACTTTAAGTATAATAATTTTAAAAAAGAAAAAGAAAAGACTTAAATGTAAGACCTAAAACCATAAAAACCCTAGAAGAAAATCTAGGCAAAATCATTCAGGACATAGGCATGGGCAAAGACTTCATGACTAAAACACCAAAAGCAATGGCAACAAAAGCCAAAATTGACAAATGAAATCAAATTAAACTAAAGAGCTTCTGCACAGCAAAAGAAACTATCATCAGAGTGAACAGGCAACCTACAGAATGGGAGAAAATTTTTGCAATCTATCCATCTGACAAAGGGCTAATATCCAGAATCTACAAGGAACTTAAACAAATTTACAAGAAAAAAAATGACTTTTTGAAAAGTGGGCAAAGGATATGAACAGACACTTCTCAAAAGAAGACATTTATGCAGCCAACAAATATATGAAAGAAAAGCTCATCATCTTTGGTCATTAGAGAAATGCAAATCAAAACCACAATGAGATACCATCTCACACCAGTTAGAATGGCAATCATTAAAAAGTCAGGAAACAATAGATGCTGGAGATGATATAGAGAAATAGAAACGCTTTTACACTGTTCATGGGAGTGTAAATTAGTTCAACCATTGTGGAAGACAGTGTGGTGATTCCTCAAGGATCTAGACCCAGAAATACCATTTGAGCCAGCAATCCCATTACTGGGTATATACCCAAAGGATTATAAATCATTCTATGCTAAAGACACACGCACACGTATGTTCATTGCAGCACTGTTCACAATAGCAAAGACTTGGAACCAACCCAAATGCCCATCAACGATAGACTGGATTAAGAAAACGTGGCACATATACACCATGGGATACTATGCAGCCATAAAAAAAGATTAGTTCATGTCCTTTGCCAGGACATAGATGAAGCTGGAAACCATCATTCTCAGCAAACTAACACAGGAACAGAAAATCAAACACTGCATGTTCTCACTCATAAGTGGGAGTTGAACAATGACAACACATGGACATAGGGAGGGGAACATCACACACTGGGGCCTGTCGGGAAGTGGGGAGCTAGGGTAGGGATAGCATTAGGAGAAATACCTAATGTAGATGACTGGTTGATGGGTGCTGCAAACCACCATGGCATGTGTATACCTATGTAACAAACCTGCATGTTCTGCACACGTATCCCAGAACTTAAAGTATATATACATATATATATATACACACACACACACATATATATATGTCTCCATATATATATATAAAGAAGACAAAGAAGAAGCAGCCAAGGTGATGGTTTCCTCTTGAAGCCCACATGGACCAGAACCATAGATGTGCCAAAGGTGACATAGCCTCAGGGAACATTGATCCCAGCCATCTTTTGTCACAGTGAGGAAACTGAGACCAGAGGTCCAGAAGAATTGACTTTATTGAGTACCAGGCCAGGGCCAACCCCATTTGCTAAGGGCTTTATTGCCTCTCACTCCAAGTTCTCCCAATAACCCAATGTGCCATTTTTCTAGGATTATGTAAGTTGGCACAGAGAGGTTCAGGGATTTTCCCCAAGCCAGGGGCAGAAGCCAGTCTGCCTATTTAATCCATGCTGTTTCCTCCATGCTGTGCCACCTCTCCTGGAGAAAAGAGCCTGGTCCTCTAGAGACCAGCAGCAGCCTGAGAGAAATGGCCTTGGTTAGACCAAAGGGCAGGAGTGGGAGAGATGAGGCAATAGCACAGGGCTGCCAAAGATGGAGAACTTAAAGGGAGACCTCCACACCGGAATATTAGGTCGACTGCATGGAGCCCCTGCAAAGAGCCAAGGCGTGCTGACTCAAGCCTGCACTGAGTTGCCGAGAACCAGAAAGCTGGATTTACCTGTGAACCCTGTCGACAAGCACTCTCGTAAGAGCTGGACCACATTGGGAGAGGAAGAAAAACCAGAAAAGGCTCTCCCCAGGTGTCTCAGGTCTGGTTCCCTAGAAGCAGGGCTGAACTCAGACAGAGATGCCTATGCCAGTGCTTTCTGGAGGGAGGGTTCATGTGAGAAACCTGAAGAGGAGTGAGGGAAGCAGGAGAGGGCAGGACAAACAGCCAGATGGAGACATGATGCTACTGAAGTTGAGGATGACCAGCTGACCAACTGTTCCAGTTTGCCCAGGACAAAGCATTTTCCTAAAACTGACAGTCCCAGGAAAACTGGAACAAGCCGATCACCGCTGATAATCACTACTTCTCCTTGAAGCAAAGCGTCCAGGCATTTGTGTCCCTGGCAGAGGCCATTGGCTATGTCTGCCCACCATCCTCCTGGGTGGGGTGTGCAACCTCCCAGATATCTCTGAGTAAAGTGAATCCCGTTGACCAAAGGCAATTCCCCCGAGTAGGATGCAAGCTGCAAGCTGATGCTAGCCAACACCCAGTCTGGCAGACAGACGGGTGCATCGGCCAGATAAAGAGGATCTGGGCGAGGCATCAACACTGTCTGCTGCATGAAGAATGTAGTCTCTGAAGAACAACCTCCTCCCACTGCCTGCACCCTATGAGCTCGCATCCTGCCCCCTCCTCTACCTTAAGAGGCAGCAGAGTGACTCCAACCCTTATTGACAGACAGGCGTGTGCCAGAAGGATTCTGTTGGGGGCTGTTTGCGAGTAAATTGTCTCAGTCTTTTGCCTCGCACAGGTGCTGATGTCATCATTCAAGGCTTTCACCAGTGCCTCTTCGATGCAAATGAGTGAACGGCTCCAGGTTAAATTTGTGGTTCTGTTAACCATCAACAGCACAGAGCATAATAACTCATATTTATACACTCTAACCACATTCTACATTTAACTGAGCTTTGATAAAAATGAGAAAATGTTCAGCCATCCATAACCACCAATCATCTGTCATTACTTTTTTTCAGAATGCAAGGGCTGCTTGAGACTCCTTAGTAGTGTATCAACTTCGAAGAAAGTTATTAGTTAACGCTTTTAAAAGTAAAGTTTTTCTGGAATGCAACACATTCCTAAGGGTATGAAATGCAACACATTCCTAAGGGTTATATTAGGTTTCTTCAGGAGTTTGCTCAGCAAGCATTTATTGAGCACCTAGTATGCACCAGTTGGCTCTGTGCTGGGTACCAGGGGTAGAAGATGAATAGCATAAGTTCCTACCCTCAGATCACAATCCAGTGGGAAAGCCAGATATGGAAAAAAGACAAATTCCAATGAAAATGCTAGGGAATTGTAGAAGCACTATATGGCAAGGGGGACTTGCAGCTTTCCCTGAGAGTCTGATCTTTAAAGATGAAGAGTTTGTCAGATTGAAACAGAAACTTCTTCTCCAATATCTGTTCTCTCTTTTTTCTGATTTTTGGTCAAACTAAAGGACATCCAGAATAAAATGACATTTCCTAGACTCCTAAGCAGCTAGACATAGCCATATGACTAAGTTTTCTGGCTAATATGATTAAGTGACTTCCAGGAAGTGTCCTTAAAGAGAAGAGCCAAGCCCTTTTTCATCTCTGACTCGTTCCTGCTGGTTGTCGAACTGCAGAGGTAATGGCTGGAGCTTGAGGAACCATTCTGGACCATGAGATAAGTTTATGTTCTGAAGATGGTGGAAAAACCACATGGAAGAAGCCTGGGTCCCTGATACTTTGTGAAATTGCCTGAACAGCCTTGGGCTGTGTGACTCCAGCTTCATTTATGGAGAAATATACTTCTATTGTGTCTAAGCCAGTTATTTCGGATTTTCTGTCACTCACTGCCAAACTGAATCCTAACAGGCAAAGAAGTTAGGGCAGAGCAATTCCATTCCAAACTCTCAGGCTGTGGATGACTTTGGCTCTGCCTTTGGCTTATGTGGGTAATTTTTCTTTCCCCCTCCAATTTCCCATGAGCTCTTCTGCTTTTTCTCTTTCTTATTCCCTGTAGTAGATGTCAGGCTAAACTGACCCCAGAGCTCTTTTCAGGAATAGAGGACTTGCCGCCCCAGCTGTTGAGGGTGGTGTCAGCAAATAGCCCTTAGCTGTCAGCCCCTTGGGGGCATCATATCTAAAGTCATTTTTCCTCCCAATGTAGCCCCCATTAATGACCAACTGATGCATGGGGTGGGGAAGAGGCTTGGCCATTTCAGCCCAACTCAAGGCCACTCTGAGGGGCCGTCCCCTAGTTCCAGAGCTCCCCATCAGGTCAACCATGGCTGTCGTTTGGGTTGCCTGGCAGCTCAACTTTGCCTTCTGCCCATTCCTGCTTCCTTTTGCCTTCCCCCAGGCTCAGTCCAAAGGGCCTGCCTTCATTTTATTGTGCTGCACTTTAAACTCCGTCTCAGAATCTGCCTTCCAGACTTCCTAGACCCAACCTGCAACAATCCCTGGTTTCTTGGGTCCTAGACTCTGTCTCAATTGTTCAGCCTCTACTTTCTCTCTCATCTCTTAATAGCAATTTACAGCCGGTGACGTCAACACCTAACACCTAACAATTAGCACCTAATGCAATTAGCACTTAATATGAGCTTTCTGTGGCGCTAATAGAAGCCTCTCAGCTGAGCCCTAAGCCAGGGTTCCTTCTGGCCTTCTCCAAGTGGCCCACAGGGAGGCAACATGGGGAAACTGAGCCCTGAGTAGAAATCGGGAAACCCAGATTCCTTACCCACCTTTGTCTCCAGCATGTTGTGTGACCTCAGGCCAGCCACCCAACTTCTCTGTGCTTCAAATGCTTGAACTGGGAAGCAAAAACCATAATTTGGATTTTAGAGGACATTTTTGTAGCTAAACCAGGGGTTGGAAAACTGTAGGCTCTTGGGCCAAATCTGGCCTATCACTTGTTTTTGAGAATAAAGTTTTACTGAAACACAGTCACTTCCATTTGTTTACATATTGAATAGGGCTGTTTTTGTGCTACAGCAGCAGAGTTGAATAGTTGTGACAGACACTGGCTTTCAAAGCCTAAAACATTTACTAACTGGCCCTTCGCAGAAAAAGTTTGCTGACCCTGGTCTAAACAAATTAAGGGGCTATGATATCTCTTGCCTCAAAAGTTAGGACCACAGTCTTTCCGTTCATTCAATATTTATTGGGCATCTACTAGGTTAAAGGCCCACTGTGCCTGCAGTCGTGAACAAAGTAGGCCCAGCCCCTGCTCTCCTAGTGACTGCCTTCCAGTGGAGGAGTGCTACGGTTTCAGTGTGTCCTACAAAATCTCATGTGTTAAAAATTTAATTGCCATTGTAAGAGTGTTAAGAGGTGGGGCATTAAGAGGGGATTGGACCATGAAGACTCCACCCTCATAAGTGGATTAATGCCATTATCTCAGGAATGGGCTCCTGATAAAAGGATTTCAGCCCCCATTTCCTCTCTTTCTCTCACACTCTCTTCCCCTTCCACCTTCTGCCCTCTGCCATGGGATGACCCTTGCCAGATGCTAGCACCATGCTCTTGGACTTCCCAATCCCCAGAACCATGAGCCACATAAATTTCTTTGTAAAATAAATTACCTAGTCTGTGGCATTCTTTTATAGCAGCAGAAAATGAACTAAGACAAGGAGAGAGACAGTAAAAAAAAAAAAAAAAACTAATAAGTATATGCCATGGGGGCAACAAGTTCTGTGGAGAAAATTAAAGCAGGGCATGGGATACTAGGAGTGAGGTGGGGCAGGGCTGTGATTTTAAGTCAGGGGGGTAGGAAAAGGCTCTTCTGATGAGGTAGCATTAGAGTAGAGATCTGAGGAAGGTGCAAGAACAAGCCATGCAGATATATGAGGTAAAGGCATTCCAGGCAGAGGCAACAGCAAGTGCAAAGGTCCTGAGGCAGGGATGCAGCTGGTATATTAGAGACACATAAGAAAGCTAGTGTGGCTGGAGCAGAGCGGGTGAGGGAGACAGAAGTAGGAGTTGAAGCTAGGATGGTTGTGGGAAGCCAGACCCCAGAGGGCCTTGCTGGGCATTGCAAGGATTCTGAAAGCAGTGGGGTATCACAGCAGGGCTCTGAGCAAAAGAGGGGCATGCCTGACTTCAGTTCAAGGAGCCCTCTCTCTGCTGTGTGGGAAACGAACTGTAGATATCAGGGAGAGCTGCAGGGAGGCCAGTCATAATCCAGGTGAGAGGTGAGGGTGGCTCAGACCAGGAGGCACAGGAGAAGGTGGAAGAAGCAGTCAGACTATGAATGCTTCCAGGGTAGAGTCAACAGGCAAGCGTGATTGTTCCAGGAATGGGAAGGGGAGTAGGTTTACCCACTTTTGCCCTTTCCCCTGCTGCTCCTCAAATGGGGATGATGTGCCCTAAAGTCATTTTCTGGATGCCTGGCCCAGTAGGGATTTACTGGCCCTGGAAGTCCACCCTGTCAGAAATTATCTATGTGAGCCTCACTGAAGAGGGGAAAGTGTCTGTTCTCACCAAAGGGAGGTCAGCAGTTAGTGAAGATGGAAGAGATTCTCCCTGTAGCCTGCTCCCTATTTACTCACTGAAAAGTTCCAGTGGAGCCCAGAGCTGTTTCTGAAGCCAACAGGCAGAGGTCTCCTTAAACCTAAGTCAGACATATTCCCTCTCTGTTCAGAGCCCTCCTGTGATGCCTTGGGTTGAGATGGGGTCTATACCCCCCTCTTCTTGAACCTGGGCTGACCTTAGTGACTCTCTGCTAACCCATAGAATGTAGCAGAAGTGACACTGCAGGACATCTGAGGACAGGCCATGTGGCTTCCAACTGGCTCTCAGAACACTCACCCCAAACAATGCCAGCTGCCATGCAGTAAGTCCAGCCACCCTGAGACCACCATGCTGGAGGGTCCACCTGTAAGTTCACTTGTCAACAGTCTCAGCTGAACTCCAACTCCCCCATGCGTGCATGCACCATCTTGGACATCCAGCCCAGTTGAGCCTTCGGATAACTGCAGCCCCACCTGGCATCTGACTGCACCCCCAAGAACTGCTCAGCAGAGCCCTTCTCAAATTCCTGGTGCACAATACTGTCAGCAAAGTAAAGCCTTGAAATAAGTTGTCACACAGCAATAGTAATTGAAACACCATTGATTTTGGAGCCCTGCTGCCGAGGAGCCGTAGGTAGGCTAGAACGGATGACGCATGTTCCCTACTCACATGCAGAGAGGCAGCTGTCACAAGAACAGCATTGTGCCACTGTGGGGTTCTTTTCTTCTCCAGGATAACCCCCATTGGCCACTCAGGGTGATGGGGCCTTTGGTGTCCTGGGCCCTAAGGAACAATAAACATTGCTGAGTTTTTTATCTTTTTCTTTCAGTCAGCTTCTCTATGTGGGTGGCAGCATGGGAGGGGTGGGTCCCAAACCTCACAGTGTCACCCCCATGGGCTGAGCAGTGTCTGATGCAAAACAAAAAGTGGGGGCCACGAAGTCCAACGAGAGAGAGATTTATGCTTCTTACTCCCCATCTGCAAAGCAAAACAAAAATAGCTGAAACGCTGGTTTTCTGCTTTATCGGCTCTGTGAATAAGCATATAAATTTCTATGACATTTTTGGAGGCTTGCTGAAGGGGAAAAAAGCCATCCCCCAGGACGCAGCCAGCAGCGGCGGCAGCATATGGTTTGCTGAGAGCGGAGGCAGAGTGCTTGTATGTCTGTGAGCACTGAAAAAGGTGACTTTGTGGGTAATTTCAGACTCAAGGCAGTTTTCACCTTTTTAAAAAAAAGTTCCCCTTTTTTATTAAAAAGATAGTCTTGCCAAAGCCAAGGTAAGTGCCTCAGCCAGTCAGTCCTCAGCAGGAAAGGACTGTGCTATACACCCTGGGGAAGAGCAAAGGAGGCCGTTCTGATCCCGGCTGCCTTGCGATACCACACTTGGCCTCTGGAACAGGGGAGAACACCTCAGTAACAAGCTCACACAAGAGAAAGGGGAAAGCAGTCATCAAGACATGTTGAGAGACCCAAGTAACTGAAGAGCAGAATAGAAGTTTGAAGTTCTCAAAAAGAGACATGTGTGCAGTTTCATGGAGGTAGGAAAGACCAGCAAACTATTCAGCTCATTCCATACTTAAAATTCTACAATTAGAGTCATTCTCATCGCTCAAACCAAACAAGGGTTTTGTCCCCTTTTAGGTGGTAATTATGCCTTTCCCTGAAGTGCCTTAATATATTGTTTTCCTATCAGTCATTTTCACTTTAGTATAAATGAATATATTTAAAAGTCAACTGTATGAGGGAAGAGGGAGAAAGAGCACATGAGGGCATTGGGCTGAGGGCTGAGGGGAAGGAGAAAAGATAAAGGATAAGGAGAGAGGTTCAAGGAGGGAATAGAGAAAAGAAAGGTGTCCCAAAGACAAACCTAGCTTTCTTCACATTTTCACTCAGGACCCCAACCTGTTGCCAGGAGCCAGGCTGCCAAGGAGATAAAATGATTGAAAAGACTCAAAAAAAGAAATAGTACTAACAGAATCACTCTGTCCCATGGGAGGAAAAAATAGGCTGTTCTCTGTCCCTCTTTCCAGCAAACCCAGTTGATTCCAGGAGAGCAGGTCCCATCCTGTCCCTGCCTGAGGACTCCACTGCATTTCTCTGACCTGGACACCTAAAGAACAAAGTGAATAAATTTGTAGAATAAAGTGAAAACTTCTCACATTGGCATGCAAAGCCCATCACAGTGTGTATTTGACCTCCCTTTACAGCCTTATCTTCTACAGATGATCCAAGCACCCTGTCCCCCAGTTTTTTCTCGCCATTCCCTAGGTCCGTCCTGCATTCCCTCACCTCTTTCTTTGCTCACGCTATCTGCTCTTCCTGGATTGCCCTTCCCATTTTCACTGCCAGTCAAACTCCTACACATCTTTCAAAACCCAGAGACAGTGACATCCATTTCAAGAGATTTTCCAGGATCTTCCCATAGACTTCCTGCCTCCTCTTTCCTTATTCCTTAGCACATTGTCTGAAGGTATATTGTCACACTTTGCCTTCAGTCACAGTTTTGGTTTCCCCCCAAAGCAGAGGCTGGGACAAGGATCTGGGTGCTAGTTGTATATTTGCAAGGTGATCTCAGGAACCCCAGCAGGGCAAGGGGGGGCAACTCCAACCCCGCTTAGCCAAGGGTATTCCTTGGACATTAGCTCCCTGCACTTCCTTGTTGCTCCTGCATCAACCCAAGCAAGCTCCCCTAGTACCCCACAGAGCTTGTGGGCAATGGAACTAGAGATGTGGCCCTTGAAACGGGAAGCAGTTAATGTGCTAAAAACTGTCCACTCCAATTGCCCAGGAACTCTGGTGGCCTAGAGGGAAACAGGGCAGGGAATAAATAGTGCCCACTCCATGTACTAGTGATAGAGTTATTTACATATGTGTTCCTCTCCCCCATGATACTCTAAGAGCCGTATGGCTAAGAATTCTACCTTCTTTCTCTTTGTATTTTCACTTAGTGCAGATTTGTAGATGGGAGACACCTGGTAAATAGTTAGCAAATTGAATGGAGTCATTGCCATTTGTTAGAAAGGCTTTTACCAAGCACCTTGTGCCCAGGGCTGGGCTGGGGATGGTACAGATTTAAACCCATGCCTGGCAGCATCTTCTGCCCCATAGATCGGCAGCAGGAGTCACAGAAGCTGGGTCAGACACTTTGAACTTTCCATGTGAACAGACCAGAAAGTCTTATCAGACCCTGTGTTCACAGAGATGAGGGTTCTGTGTCTATAGCCAGAGAAGCCCTTGTCCTCCATCAGCTTACCTCCAATCAATCCAGGAAGGCAGCAAGGAAAAGGCAGAATTCCAGAAAGCTACTAGGGTGGTGAGAACCAGGCAGCTGGGGAACAGGTTGCTGCAGGGGTCATTTTTGCCATCCGGTCAGGGCCAGAAGCCTGCCTTCTGCACAAGAGTATCTCCAGATACTGTCACACTCTCCAACCTTGTTCCTTTCAGCCTCTGTCTGGCTCACTCCTCTCCAGCTACACTAGTGTCATAGGCTAAATGGCGGTTCCCCAAAAATATGTCCACATCTTAACCCTCTAGGACCTGTGAATGTAAGCTTATTTGGAAAAAGGTTCTTTGCAGATATATTTAAGTTAAAGATCTCAAGATGGGATCATCCTGGATTATCCAAGTGGGGCCCTAAATCTAGTGACAGATGTCACTAAGAGACACACAGAGGAAAGAAACGTGGAGAGAGCAGAAGGCCCTGTGAAGACAGAGACAGAGATTGGAGTGATGCAGCCACAGCCGAGGAACACCTGGGGTCCCCCAGAAGCTGAAAGAGGCATGAAGAATCCTCCTCAAGAGCCTCCAGAGGGGATGTGACCCCACCAACACCTTGATTTCAGACTGCTGGCCTCCAGAACCATAACAGAATCCATGCCTGTTGTCAGCCACCCAGTTTGGGGAAATTTGTCAGTGTTCCCAAGAGACAAAGAACTGACCTCTTTATTGTTCTTCAAACAAGGCACACACACTCCTACCTGAAGGCTTTCACACCTGCCATTACCTCTGCCTGGAATATCCTTCTCCCAGATGCCAGTGGGGCTCAAACCTCAACTCCTTCAGGTCAGCTCAGATGTCACTTTTTTAGGAAGACCTCATTGAACTGCCCCCCATCTAAATACATCACCCCACATACTCTCTCTACATTATTCATTTTCTTTCTTGGCTTTATTTTTTCCATAGCATTTATCACTTCCTAACATACTATAAAATGGGCTTATTTATTTTGTTCATTGTCTGTAGTCTCTCCTCCACTAGAAATTAAGCACCATGAAGGCGAGTGGTTTTTAACTATTTTGTTCACCCTTGTTTCTGTAACACTTAGAACCATGCCCGGCTCATGTACTCATTTGATAAATATTTAGCAAATAAAGGAATGATCTGAATACAGTAAGAACATTAAGGAAAAGCACATTCCACAGTGCTTTACACATAGCTGAATGCTTTTACCAACGTTACCTCTTTTGAGCCTCACGATAGCTTTGGGAGATGACATTATTGCTTCATTTCCCAGAGGAGGAGATTCAGAGAGACTAAATAATTTGCCCGAGGTCACAAAGAGGTGGAAGTAAGATTCAAACTCAGTCCTGTCTTACTTCAAACTCCACATTTTTTTTCAATATGCATACATGTAAGACACCATTGCTAGGGGGTTGCCAGGAGCATGGGAATGAACATTGTGAGTCAAGCAGAACTCATTATGAATCATTTAATATGTGTTTAATGCTCAATATTGTAAGATTGGCATGTATATATACACGTGTGTGTGTGTGTGTGTGTGTGTGTGTGTGTGTGTGTGTGAAAGAGAGAGAGAGAGAGACAGAGAGGAAGAGAGAGAGAGAGAAAAATTGAAATTGACAGTGATAGTTGCCAAAATCATTATCCCCATGTTATAAGTATCTGTAATTCAGACACATTCACTCAACAAACATTCATTCAACAAACATTTGATCACTTATTGTAGAACACACTGCCCTGTTCTTATCCCCTCCTGCCACTCCAAAGGTCACCTGCAGCTTGGTGGATAGTTCTGCCTGCCCCAATGGCTTCCTACCTCAGACATTCATCTCTCTGCCTTCAGGCTTCCTCTGGCAGCAGAAATGTGCTCAGCCCACACTGCAGGTGGGCTAGAAGTGACGGAGGCAACACCAAGGGACCACTATCAACCAAGAGAGGAGGGGAGGGTAGTAGTTTGTAGATATGCACCCCACCTTCATGACCCTTCAGTGGAAGACAACTCTGGATAATGTTCCTCGAAGTCTTCCAGAAGGCTCCCAGCAGGAGGGACCCTCATTTGCCCACCTGCTCCTTAGCACACTGTTTATTGGCTTCCCTCCCTTCCTTGTCTCACTTCTGCACACCCTTACTGGGCTTCTGGGAACTTTTCCCAAATAAACGATTTGCACCCACACCCTTAAGAGAATGCAAACTAGGACACTTGCCATGTGCAATGCACTGTGCCGGGAGTTAGAGATTCAGAGCAGGGTAAGCCATGGCGAGGTTCCCGGAGTCCCACAGTGACGGTCCCCACAATCGAGGAATCTGGAAAATCTGCTCCCTCTGGGATGTGGTACTCCCTCTGGCAGTGCAGATCAGCTCTACAAACTCTGGGGATGTGCCAGAAGGGTGACATATCACTCCGTCGTTTTCTGAAAACACCTTCCAGGGCCGCTGACAAGCCAAGCAAGAGAGTCAAGCTCATCCTGCTGTTGTGATTCATCACGTCTCGTTTCTGATCGTGAAAAGAGTTCAACATTCCTTAATCCTAGGAATATCTCCTGAGCATTCTGCTGGGTGCTGGGCACAGCGGCATGAGCCAGACAGACCCAGACCCCACATTAAGGCCACTCTCAACCTGGCCACCAAGGTGTGGCCCAAAGGACCAAGGTCTGCTGTGCCACTGAAGCCTAAAAGCACATGGCATAGATTCCAAAAGGCACATCCATGAGATGTGTCCCCAAAACATTTTGAGTGACAGTAGCCACCCAGCCATAGGTAAATACCTCCCAAGATGTCTCCCTCAGAGAACCACACTTATGAACAAAAAGCAGCTGTGGAATGCTGAGTTTTAATATGAGGTCTCATTAGGTTAAAATTATAGGTTTTTAAAAAATTATTGATGTTAAATCTAACAGATGGGACAAAAAGATGCAGAATACATCATCTTGGTTCCCCCAGAAGGCCCCAGAAAAAGTCAAACCAATGAGCAAACTGTGGCAGACTCCTTCCCAGAATGACACCCTCTACAAGGCTGTAAGGTTGTTCTGGGCTGAATGTCCAGCAAACCAAACCTGCCTGAGGCCAGCCATTGATCCAGTGGCCTGACTGACCCTAGGTCATCCTCAGATGTTTGGCCGAGCCTATGAGGGACCCTGGCCCTCCAGCACCAGGAGCCAGGAATTCTCTGACCCCTTTGAGGTTTGGCAGGTGCCAACCTCGAGATCAGTGCCACAAGCGGTTGTTCTGGGTTTTCTCATTTAGGCTGCCCTGAACTAAAGGCAGTTACCACCAGGTGAGGCCTGATTTTCCCTTTCCTCCTTCCCCTGAGGAGGAAGCAAGGAGTTCCCGATCCTCCTGCAGCCACATCCTCCAAAGAGTCTGGGGGACTAAGGGACAACATGATCTTCCAGTGCTCTCTGGCTTGAGATGGTCCCCAGAACCAGGCCTGGAGGGGCAGGCTGGTAATCTTCCGGCTTGTTGCCAGCAGGCTGTTGGGCACCCTCCCCACATGATTTGGCCCATTTGGCTTGCTTCTTGCAGATTCCTGAGTTTCTCTCCTTTTGTTTAATTCATCAGGAGCCAGTGGCTGATGGAATACTCTAAGATCAAAGGAAGAGGGAAAGGGCTCCCTGGAAGGCGCATCAGGCCTCTCTGGGAGGGAAACATTTTCTAATCCAGGAAATAAAAATCCTGCATTTTAGGCAGTGATTAAAGATGGGATATTCTGTGTCTCCAAGGATTGGGGAGGAGGAGAGAAATAATTTATTTCTTTCAATGCCACCCAGCACTAAAGGGGCAAGCTGCACTCTGCAATTCAGCAGCAAGATTGGAGGAGTGTAGGGTAGACATGGCAGGACATCAAGGCCTTCAGAGGGTGACACCACAAGGCGACTGTGCTCTGTCCATGGAAACATTCTGTAGAAAACCTGGGTTGTGCAAGACATCAGCCCCATCTCATAGGTTTACTCCTTTTCCAGCCCCACTCCAGATTTTTCCAGGATGCCAAAAGCAAAAGCACCCACCCACTCATCCATTGGACAAATGCTCACTGAGCAACTACTCCATGCCAGGAACTGGAAATACAATGAGGAGGAAAACAGATGCAGCCTCCAACCTCAAGGAATTTATACTCTTGTGAGATAGCCACACCTTTAGCAAAGAATCCTAAATAAATGTATGAGCTATGATGGTGCCATGAGCATTTCTAACAAGAGGATGTGAGCTAGTCTAGGTGGGTGAGGAACTCTTCCCTGAGAAAATAATTATTGAGATGAGACCCAAGGTCTGTGTAAGAGTTGACTGGGTACAGAAGGTGTAAGGAGAATTCTGGGCACATCTCCTTGATGTAGGGGATGCAGACAGTGATTATCAACTGTGTGAGTCCATTTTGCATTGCTATAAAGGAATACCTGAGACTGGGCAATTCATAAAGAAAGAGGTTTATTTGGCTCACAGTTCTGCAGGCTGTACACAAAGCATAGTGCCGGCATCTTCTGGTGAGGGCCTCAGGAAACTTTCAAAATGGCAGAAGGCAAAGGGGAGCCAGTGTGTCATAGAGTGAGAGAAGAAGCAAGAGAGAGAAGGAGGAAGTGCCAGGCTCTTTCAAACAACCAGATCGCACATGAACTAACAGATCGAGAATTCACTTATTATCCCAAGGACAGGACCAAGCCATTCATGAAGGATCTACCCCCGTGACCCAAACACCTCCCACTAGGCCCACCTCCAACACTGGAGGCCACCTTTCAACATGAGATTTGGAGGGGAAACACATGCAAACCATATCATCAACTCAAAAGGAGGGCCATCAAGAAAGGAGGAGAGCCATCCAGACACCATGTTCTTCTTGATCATGTTCACAACACCCCCCTAATCCCAATGCACTTGAATCTATTGGAGTCTCTAGATCTAACTACCCAATTTACAGGAAATACAAGTGACAGAGGGAGGTTTATATCCTTAAGCAGACTGAAAAACTCTATAAGACAAACAGTCTGGTTTTCTTCCACAAATAAATTGCAAAAGGAGAGAGAAAAAGAGGGAAAACTTAGAGACTTAGAGATAACTGTTTGCTATGTTTGGCCATTATTTGGATTCCAATTCAAACAAACCATTAGCAAATTATGACATTTATGAAGCAACCAGAAGTCTGAACACTCACTGGATGTTTAATACTGTTAAAAATTTGTTAATTTTTTTAGACATGATGATGTTGTTTCAGTTCTCTTTTTAAAAAGTCCCTATCTCTTAGAGATAGATACCAAAATATTTACAGACAAAATGATGCAATACTGCAATTTGCTTCAAAATCATATGGCTGGAGGAGAAAGGAATGGATAAGGGTATAGATGAAACAGATTGACCATGAGCTGGTCATTGTTACTGCTAGGTGCTGAGTACATAGAGATTCATTTTACTATTCTTTTCTTTTTATATATGCTTGAAATTTCTATAGTTAAAAGTTGTTTTAAGGACATCTCTAGCAAAGCCTACAGCATATGCAAAAGCCCCTGGACACGAAGGAGTCTGCATATTCCAGGTCCCAAAGGTGTGACTAGGCCTAGGGGGTGAAGAAAGTGTGTAGGACTGGGGGATGAGGGGGCTAGATTGTGTAGGGCCCTGGAGCCTAAAACTTGCCCCCTTGGAGCTTATGGGGGGGCTCCTTTGACCCTCGGGGTGAATACAATCCAGGGAAGTCAATTCTCCTTTTGCAAACCAAAGAGGGAGGGTGGAAACGTATAAATGGGCACCTGGCATATGAATACCTCTTGAATCACTGATGCAAGGGTCTCTCTTGCAGGTAGCCCAGTCACTGTGGGTCATTTCTCAGCTGGGAAACAAGACATAAGGCCAAGTAAACAGTCTTGAACTAAGAACACAAAAACACGGGTACACTATGCTTTCATTTTCTGTGGCTGCCATAACAGGTTACCACAAACTGGGTGGCTTAAAACAACAAAAATCGATTCTCTCATAGCTCTGAGGCTAGACATCCTAAATCAAGGGATCTGCAGGGGTAAGCTTCCTCCAAAGGCTCCAGGGAAAAATCTTTCCTTGCTTCTTCAGAGCTTCTGGTAGCCCCAGTGGTTTTTGGCTCCTAGATGCATCACTCCAATCTCTGCCTCTGTCTTCACATGGCCTCTTCCCTCTGTGTCTCCAAATTTCTCTCTCCTCATAAGGACACCAGTCATTGGATTTAGGGCCCAACTCATTCCAGTATGACCTCATCTTAACTTGATTACATCTGCAAAAGCCCTATTTCCAAATGTAGTCACATTCACAGGCATTGAAGATTAGGACTTCAACCTAACTTTTGTAGGGACACAATTCAACCCACCACACACTGCTCATCAAGTGGACCCTGGAGCTGGACACAATGGATCGATCTGGATCCACCACTGACCCCTCAGAGTTTCCACCCTTCCCAGAGTCTAGGGGTCCTGAGAACCTGGAACATCAGGCTAAACAGGCCCTAAATCATGTCTAATTCGGTCTCAGCTTTTGGGGAAATCCCAACTTCCACTGAGAATCTAATGAAAGCGATGGGTTCTCCCACTAGAAAAAAATGTTCACTTGCAGCTACTTGTAAATATTCATGTAGAATTTGGGGGGGTTCAAAGACCTCTAAAGCCTTAGGCTCATGGATCGCAGACAATGAAGGTCTGGGTTTAGTCTTCCAGACCAACATTCCTACCATGATTCAGTACTCAGTGCCTAGGATTCAGGCACAATTGGCATGCTATTTAAGGGGAGGGCAGTCATTTTTTTCTATAGAAGCAGCGTTCTCTCTCTCTCTCCACCACCTTCCTCACTCCCTCCCTTGTTGCCCCAGGCAAATAGCCTGTCAGAGAAAAAAGGCATGCCACATCCCAGTCCACAGAGCCCAGATAACTGCAGGAGTCAAGTATCCTCAGGTTTTCCAAGTGAAGTGCTTACGTCATTCCTTCTGGCTTTCAGTGAGCACCCTCCCTCCACCCCCACATATATCTTAGCCCTCTTTTCTATGTGCCAGGCCAGGGGCTCCCAGCAAGTGATCAGTTGTCTCCAAAGAAATCTACTTTCAGAAAATCCAGTGTCTTCTCTCTTCAACCTTTTATGTCCTCCTCTGGATTTAAAGTCCTTTAACTGGTTCTTGGATATTTCCTTTGAAAAAATCTGCATTTTGGTCTCATGTTGGAATTTATTAGCTATTATCTTTGGTGACCCAGGTGAAATGTGCAGTTTCAGGTCCTGGCCCAGAGGCTCAACTCTGGAGGCAGGTGACAGAGCACTGTCTGCTCCCCACTCCCATCCTCACACTGAGCTCGGCAAAGGGGAGGAGTTGTGCCTTCCTTCTCACCCAGGACCCACTTCTGACCAGGCACCAGAGAAGCCTATTGGTGTCCTGCAATGGTGGAATGGAATCTTTCAGGAGACCAGCCAGCAACCTCTCCATAAGCCTCAGTCCAAGTTCAAAGGATTGGGCCTGGGGCCAACATCAAAAACTGTAGCAGGTTGAATGGTGGTCCCAAAAGATATGTCCACCTGGAACCTGTGAATGTAGTAACCTTATTTGGAAAAACGGTCTTTGTAGAGTTAATTAAGTTAAGGATCTCAAGATGAGATCATCCTGGATCAAGGTGAGCCCTAAATCCAATGACAAGTGTCTTTATAAGAAAAGAAAAGGGGCGAAGGCACACAGAGAGGGTGATGTGAAGTTGGAGACAGAGACTGGAGTGATGTGGCAACAAGCCAAGGAATGCCAAGGATCCCTGGCAGCCACCAGAAGCCAGAAAAAAAGCATGGAAAAGAACCTCTTTCAGAGCCTCCAGGAGGAACCGACCCTGCCTACACCTGGATTTCAGACTTCCAGCCTCCAGAACTGTGAGAGAATCAATTTCCATTGTTTTCAGCCACTCAGTTTGTGAAAACGAATAAAAGACCAACCACAGCTGTCTCTCTCCCCTCTAGCTCCCATTTTCCTCTTTCCTTTCCTCCTGGAGGGCTCCTTTTCCCTGCCTGCCCCTGCCCCTGACTTTGGCTTTCCCAGGCAGATGAATACAAGCACACAGCTCTTGCTGGTCAGCTGCCGCGCCAGCTCCACAGACTGCCCCAGCCCACCCAGTGCTGATGCGACTTGCACTCAGTGAACTTGGCCTTAGGCAGAGTCGGTTCTTTAGCTTCTCCAGGCCCCAGGCCCTCTCTCAGTTCTTTCTCCTCTCACACTCAGTTCCCTCTGACTACAACATCATATCCTGCCCATACACCCAAGGTTTGTGCAACTCTACCAAGTGACCAGACGTCCAGGGTTCAGTCAAGCAACCAGCAGACTCACTGGGGCCCTGCTGTGTGCCCAGCACAGTGCCAGGCACTGGGACATAATAGTGAAGAAGAAAGATTGTTGTCTGCCCTAAGGCAGGTCTCAACTGACCGGCCTCCTCCTTCAGGACCCAGGAGGGCACAGACTGAGGTTGGCAACCTGATCTTCTTCCCCACCAACAGAAACCTATCAAGTCATCATCGCCACCTTCCCACCAGCTGGCCAGACACATAGAGGTGCCTCCTTGCCTCATACATATCTAGCCTCGACATTTCAACCCCTCAAAAAGAAAAGGTGATGGATTCTAGAGCCCCAAGAAAAGACCATCAGGATCCAGAAAATGCCCGTGATTCCACAAGTCTCTTATGAAAGACTGTCCCTCAAGTGCTGCTATGGATTGAGCTTTGTCCTCCCCAAATTCATAGGTTGAAGTTCTGACCCCCAGTGCCTCAGAATGTCACCATCCTTGGAACTATATTTGAAGATGATCACATCAAGATGAAGTTGGCCTTAATCCAGTATGACTGGTGTCTTTTTAAGAAGGGAAAATTTGGGCACAGACACACACACACACAGAGGGAAGACAATGTAAAGACACAGGGAGAAGACAGCCACCCACAAGCTAAGGCAAGGTCTGGAACAGATCCTTCCCTCATGGCCCTCAAGAGGAACCAACCCAGCCAACAACTTGATTTTGGACTTCTGGTCTCCAGTACTGTAAGACAATACATTAAAGCCACCCAGTCTGTAGTACTTTGTTATGACAGCTCTGGCAGACTAACACAGGTGCAAATATTGAGTGTGACAGTTCCACGAGACAATAAGATTGGGGGCAGTGGGCCCAAGGCAACCATCAAAAGGCAAAGAGGTCAAGGCAGAAGACAGGAACCCTTGGTATGGGCTCCCCTGAGCATCAGGAGTTCTGTGACCCCTCTCATCAGCTTTCCCACAAACAAGGCACAGTGTTAGATTCAGGCACACCTTGTCTCAAATCTGGAATGCTCCACTTTCCAGCTGTGGCACTTAGTCCAGATTCTGGGATGAGCTTTCTCATCTGAAATATGGGAGCACAAGCACCTTCACAGGGTTGATAGGATTGAGGATGAAATGTAGCTGGACCACAGGGGCCCCTCTCTGTGGGCTATGTTGGATTGGTTTCTGTATTAGTCTGTTCCCATGTTGCTAGTAAAGACATACCTAAGACTGGATAATTTATAAAGGAAAGAGGTTTAATTGACTCAAGGTTCCATGTGGCTGGGGAGGCCTCATGATCATGGTGGAAGGCAATGGAAAAGCAAACACAGATCTTACATGGAGGCAGGCAAGAGAGCTTGCACAGGGGAACTCCCATTTATAAAACCATCAAATCTCGTGAGACTTATTCACTGTCATAAGAACAGCATGGAAAATACTTGCCCCCATGATTCAATTACCTCCCACCAGGTCCCTCCCATGACACATGGGAATTATGGGAGCTACAATTCAAGATGAGATTTGGGTGGGGACACAGCCAAACCATATCAGTTTCCCTCAGAAGGAGACCCTGACATTAAAGATTAAGGATCTAAATGCAAACGGTTTATTTGGGAAGGTATCCCAGGAGTCCTCGGCAGGGAAGAATCAAAGTCATACAAGAAAGAAGGCAAAAAGGGGTAATTATTAAGCCAGCTATCACAGCAGTTATAGGTGCTTAACCCCAGGGGAAACTGAGAAATGGTATAAAACAGGTGCCTCTTGGTCAGGAATGGTGGCTCGCTCCTGTAATCCCAGCACTTTGGGAGGCCAAGGCAGGGGGATCACTTGAGGCCAGGAAATTGAGAACAGCCTGGGCAACATAGTGAGACCCTGTCCATACAAAAAATTTAAAAGTTAGCTGGATGTGGTGGCAAGCACCTGTGGTCCCAGCTACTTGGGAGGCTGAGGTGGGAGGATTGCTTGAGCTCAGGAGTTTGAGGCTGCAGTGAGCCATGATCATGCCACTACACTCCAGCCTGGGCAACAGAGCAAAATGCTGTCTCAAAAAACAAAACAAAACAAAACAAAAAAACAAACAAACAGATTGCCTTAGTGTTACTCTATGCGAAAGATGAAGGAGTTGGGGCATGTATCCACCATCCCCCATCAGGCACAGAATGAGGGCTACTCTTAGAGCACTGTTAATTTCTGAATGTAATTGTTTCCTATTGCTGCTATAACCAATTACTACACATTTCGTGGCTTAAAACAGCACAACTATATTACCTCCTGGAGGTCAGGAATCTGAAATGGGTCAGCAGGGTTGGATTCCTCTGGAGACTCTAGGGGAGACCCTATTTCCTTGCCCTTTCTAGCTTGGAGAGGCATCCTGCATTCCTTGGCTCATGGCCCTGCATCACTCTGATTTATTCTACTCTTGTCACATCTCCTTCTTCTCCTCTGCTTTCATTGTCACATCACATTCTCTAATTCTGATCCTCCTGCCTCCCTCTAATAAAGACCTACCCAGATAATCTAGGATCATCCCCACATATCAAGATCCTTAACTCAATCACATCTGCAAAGTCCCTTTTGCCATCAGGTATTATAATTGCCTTTCTGGCCTGCCCCACAGAGGCAGAGCAGCCTTCTGGGGTGTGGGATGCTTTCAGGTACAGACATGTAGATATTCTGAAAGAGAGCTTAGATATTGGTTCCCTCCAAGTCTCATGTTGAAATTTGGATCCCAGAGTTACAGGTGGGTCCTGGTGAGAGGTGTTTGGGTCATGGGAGTGAATTCCTCATGAATGGCTTGGTGCCATCCTCATGGGATTCAGTGAGTTCACACTCTTAGTTCCCATGATATCTGGCTGTTAAAAAGAGCCTGGCACCTCCCTCCTCTCTCTTTTCCTTCCTTCCTTTCTTGCCATGTGATGCCTCCTCCCCTTCCCCTTCCACTATAACTGGAAGCTTCCTGAGGCCTTCACCAGAGGCAGATGCTGGCACCATGCTTCTTGTACATCCTACAGAACTATGACCCAAATAGGCCTGTGTTCTTTATAAATTACCTAGCCTCAGGTATTCCTTTATAGCCACACAAATGGATGAGGACATAAAGGGTGAAGGGATATGGGCAGGGCACTGACAGAGAAATTTCTCTTTTGTTAGCAGGGCACAAAAGCAAAGATATGCAGGAAAAGTTGCTGAGTTAGCAGAGGCAGAGCAGGCAGTCATAGTGGTCTTAGAACTCTCAGACTAAGGGACATTTAGTTTCAAGACTAAGGTATTGAAGAGGAATGCATTTGCTAGAAAAGTCAAAAGAGCCATACTGACACATAAACATGTTGGGTCCTCACAACAAATATTTCATGATGGGGAGAGCGCATACAATGTTTCGCGTTTTATAGCTGAGGAAACTGAGGCCCAGTGACTTGCCCCAAGCTGTACAGTGGAGGAGAAAAGACCTGCTCTTGGATTTCCTGACTCATTACCCAGGGCTGCTCTCACTGGCCCTCATCTAGCTGCAGCACAGCCTGGAAGAGTCTGGAATGAGTTGGGCCTGTGGCCACATCTGAGAAGATGCCAGCCCCTCAGTCACTTAATCTTCTGCCTCTGAGCCTTTGGGTGCCTGGCTGAGCTTCTGGAATTGAGACAGACCCAGCAGGATTGTTGATGAATTTGATTGCTTTACCAGAAGTTTAAAAATGTATCTACTAAGGTTGAGCATTGTTTATAATCTATCTCTGGTAATTTGCCTCCTACGTGTGAACATGCAAGATCAGTTGCCAAATCCTGTCAATGATATCTCCCCAATCTCTCTCTCCCCCATCTGTCGCCTCTTCTCCTTTCCTATTCTCCCAGCACAGAACTCTATTGCCTCCCACCTGGACCACAGCAAAAGCCTCCTCGTGGTGTCCCTGTCTCCTGAATGTCCCTGCCCCAATTCATCAGATATTCTGCCTCCTAATGAACTCCAGCTAAGATCAGTGTGTGAGAGGCCCTCAGTGCCCCATCCATATTCCTCCAGATCTTTCCAGCCTGGTGTGTTCCAGCAGACTTCCACTTGCCAGTATCCGTATCTCTGCTTCAGAGGGTTTTTCCCAGAACCACAAGTTGGAAGGGCCAAGGAATCAGTGCCCCTAGAAAACAGCCCTCCAGCAATGACGGAAGGGGAGTTGGTAGATAAATGCCCCAGCTCCTGACCCACTTTGGAGATAACTCTGAGCCGTGTGCTCTACATTGTCTCCCAGAGTTCCCGTGGGACTGAACCCTAGTTGCCCTGGTAGGAGCTGGCTTAATAACATCCTTTATCTCTGCCTTCCCTTCCCTGAATTAATTCTCTACTCCCCTGCTATTTCCTACAACCACCTTCCAAATAACTCATTGTCCTTGATTCCTTCTCTCAGGGTCTTCTTCTCGAGATCCCAAGCTGAGACAATCAGGTTACTCACCTACACAACAACTTGCCAGAGAATGTCTCTCCATGCCCTCCTTAGCCTGCTCTCTAACACTCTCCAAGGCTGATCCCAGGCTAACTTTTCACTTGAACTCCAAGTCTCCATCATGCAGGTGACACAGAAGTCAAAGAGCATGGCAGTTTGCTGGTTTACATCCCCGTGCCTTTGGTAAGTTGACTCTTTTTATCTGGAATCTTGCCCTCCTTTTCTTACCATGTTTTCTCCATTCTATAAAAGTCAGTTCAGAGGCATACTTGAAAGGAAAAAAAAAGAATGTTGATCATTGTTGAAGCTGGGGATGGGTCCATGGATTGTTGTTATACTATTCTGTTTACTTTGTGAACATCTGACACTTTACATAATAAAAAGCTAAAATACAAAATCCATTCCTGTGTGTGACAGACATTGTTGGTGTCCTGCCCATATGTCCTCATTCCTACAGCATCCCTGCACACTCTCTGCCTTAGGGCATTCTGTAGTGCAGGGCAAATAGGAAGTGCCAACGATCTTACACTCTCCACAGCAGCTCTGCACCATGGATGCATGGAGTGGGCAAATAAACACGCTGGCTCCTCACCCTTGGGTATGATGGCTTTGAGGGTGACTACCTCCTGACAATGCCCAGTAGGACTGAGCCCCAGACGCTTTTTACCACACCCTGTGTTGACTTGTTCCCCTTCCCTGTCTGGCTTTCCCACTTCCAACTGGTGTTGGCTAGGATGCCCTCTCAAATGAGATCCTTTCACACAAATCCTAGGCACAGGATCTCTTCAAAGGGCAGTCAATCTAGGACAACATGTCACCATCACCATGAAAGCATAACTTCTTCCTAGATTAGAAGCGAGGTCTTCCTCCCCTGAGTCTCTGGGGCACATCATCTGGGCTCTGGAAGATTCAGGACAGACTCCTTCTTTAAAATTTTTGGAAGGGCTGGGTATGGTGGCTCATGCCTATAATCCCAGCACTTTGGGAGGCTGAGGAGGGAGGATGGCTTGAGCTAAGGAGTTCAAGACCAGCTGGGGCAACATAATGAGACTCCATCTCTACAAAAAAAAAAAATATTAAAAGTTAACCAAGTGTGGTGGCACATGCCTGTGGTCTCAGCTACTTGGGGTCTGAGGTGGGAGGATCATTTTTGCCGGGAGGTCAAGGCTGCAGTGAGCCATGATCAGACCACTGCACTCCAGTCTGGGCAACACAGAGAGACCCTGTAAAAAAAAATGCTTGGAAGGATGGCAGGATGGAACCTGGTAAAAAAGAGCTTATGAGGAGCTATGAGGCCTGGAGGCCAGGGGTAACTAAAAATAAATGTCTTATTAAATCTGGATGGACCAAGCCTCAGAGTGCCTTTAGTGCACGCTGTCCCATCTTAAGAGAGTCTTTCTGCAGAAATCATCATTCTGGTGCCTCACACTAATTGGTCAAGGGTGGGAACCTGCCTCAAGAGGTTGTATTTCTGCAGGCACCATGAGTGAGGAGCATATAAGGGCCTAGTTAAGAAGAAGAGACTAGGCAAGGATGAGGAATAGGATGGGAATCCAAGACCAACAGGATGGCACTAGAGGTGGCAGGTGCTGGGGGAAACCAGTGCCAAGCTTCCACATAGACCCTGGAAATGGCAGAGCCTCTGCTGGGGGTTCTGCGTGGATCCTGGGATCTGGACTCTAAGCTCCATGGCCCTGGGAGCCTCAGTGAAGGTCTTGGGGACCATGGTGGGCTCTGAGAGCATGGACAATGTTAGCAGGATGCTTTGACAATAAGCAGCTCAGTGACCATCACCATGGCTCTTCCCCCAGTTTCTAGTCTGCTAGTCCCAGGGACTTATAAGCCTCCAGAGAAGGAAAGGAACCTCCCAGAAATGACTGACCCTGGCAAGTGGGGCCTCTGAACCAAGCACAATAAAGCCACAAAAAATGTCTTGCCTTTAAGAGTTATGAACCAGACGTTTGTATGAATTTATCCCTTGGTGTCACTGGTGGGATTGACTTCCAAGGATAGGTTGGGAAAGACCTTGTGCTGTTTTATCTTAGGACATGTGCCTTGGGAGCCCTGAGCTATCATGCAGGGAGTCCTGCTACCCTATGAAGCCTCCATCCTGGAGACACCACATGAAAAGACCACACAGAAATATAGAGAGGGGTGGGGGGATTGGGAAGATGTTGGTGAAAGGACACAAAATTTCATTTAGAAAGGAGGAGTAAGTTCAAGAGATCTGTTGTGTATCATGGTGACAACAGTTAATAACAATATATTGTATACTTGAAAATTGCTAAAAGAGTAGATTTTAAGTGTTTTCACTATGAAAAAATAAGTATGTGAGGTAATGCGTATGTTAAGTAGCTTTCTTTAGCCATTTCACAATGTATACATGTATGAAAGCATTATATTGTATAACATAAATATAATTTTAACTTGCCCTCATATGTTTGTCACAGCACTATTCACAATAGCAAAGATGTGGAATTAATTTAAGTGTCCATCAGTGAATGTTTGGATTAAAAAAATGAGGCATATGTCACAATAGAATACTACTTAGCCATAAAAAAAAGAATAAAATCATGTCTTTTGCAGCAACACAGATGGAACTGGAGGCCATTATCTTAAGTGAAACAACTCAAAAGAAAAAGTCAAATACTGCATGTTCTCATTTATAAGTGGGAGTTAAATAATGTGTACACATGGACATAGAATGTGGAATAATAGACATTGGAGACTTAGAAGGATGGCAGGGTGGGAAGGGAGTCAGGGATGAGAAATTACTTAATGGGGACAATGTACATTATATTTGGGTGATGATTACACCAAAAGCCCAGACTTCACTACTACACAATGTATCCGTGGAACAAAACTGCACTTGTACTCCTTGAATGTATACAAGTAAAAATAAAGAAATTGCTTTTATAATTTTTATTTGTGATTATTATGAATACATATACTAGTCATACATATTTATGGGATACATGGAGTATTCTGATGCAAGCATACAATGCTGAAATAGTCAAATCAGGGTCATTGGGATATCCATCATCACAAGCATTTATTATTTCTTTGTGTTAGAAACATTCCAATTGCACTCTTTTAGTTATTTTGAAATATATTTTTAAAAATAAACAAACAAAAAGGAAATATAGAGAGATACCTGAGAAGCCCCACTTGTTCCAGCCCCAGCTGTCTGAGCCAACAGCCAGCATCAACCACCAGACATGGTAGTGAGAGACCCTCAGATAATCCAGCCCCCAGCTTCCCAGCCAATTCAGCTAACACTGAGTGGAACAGGGAAGAGCTGTCCCTGCTGAGCCCTGCCCAAATCGTAGACTTATGAGCTTAATAAATGCTATTGTTTTAAGCAACTAAGTTTTGCAGTGGCTTATAACACAGCAATAAGTACTCAGAACAACCATCCCTGCCCCCAAAAATTGTATGGTTGTTGCGTTCTCAAAGTCCTTTCCAACTGTGGCAGATATAACACTGTGTTCACCAATCCCTATTTTACTTACCCATTGTGTACACAGGAAGACTACATTTCCCAGCAACCTTTGCAGTTAGGTGGGGCCAAAAACTGGATTCTGGACAGTAAAATGCAGCCAGACTGAGACATGGTCTCCAACACTTTCCACACAGTCCTATATGCTCTCTTGTCCCTCCTCCATCCACTGGATGGAAAGGGCCAGTGGAGGATTCCAAGGCTGGAGAAGCTGGAAAGCGCCCGGGCTTCTGAATCACCTCATGGAAAAGTGAATGCCAAACACCTGCAGGTACTTAGCCACTGCAGGTGCTTAGCTACTGAAGGTGTTTAGCCACTGCAGGTGCTTAGCCATTGCAGGTACTTAGCCACTGCAGGTGTTTACCCACTGTAGGTGCTTAGCTACTGAGGGTGCTCGGCCACTGCAGGTGCTTAGTTACTGAGGGGGCTTAGCCACCGCAGGTACTTAGCCACTGCAAGTGCTTAGCCACTGTAAGTGCTTAGCCACTGTGGGTGCTTGGCCACTGCAGGCGCTTAGCCACTGAGGTTGGTTAGCCACTGCAGGTGTTTAGCCATTGCAGCTGCTTAGCCACTGCTACTTGAGGGTTGTTTGTCACAGCAGCTAGCCTTCTCTGAGTGATACATACCTACGCTACCTTATTTTCACCTCCAAATAACTATTTGAGGGAGGACAGGTAGTGGACACTGTTGAACTTTCACTTTGTATCTTCTGCCTATTTCTTAATTATTAATGTACCTCTCTTGGCTTCTTCACCAAACTATAAACTCCCCTAGGGCAAATTACCTGCCCGAGTAACTGTTGTATCCTCCAAAGACTTAACATGGGTCCCTGGACATTTTGTACAGACTCAGTAACCATTTCTCAGATGAACGCAATAATATTTGCTGATATTTATTAAGCAAATACTACAAATTCCATATATTTTAACATATTTAATCCACACAATAACACAATGAGGTGGTTATTATTACTACCTCTAAGTTAAGAAATTGAGGATCAGGAAGATTAAGTGACTTTCCCAAGGCCACGCAGCCAGCACTGTCTGGCTCCAAAGCCCAAGCTCCTCACTGCTGCTGCCTCTGCCTGGGCATGATGCAAGTGTCACACATTGTTTTCAATTGTCAGGACCTCTGAAGATAAAGGTCAACCCCAGTGCAGGTCTTTACTGCACACTTCCTCTGAAGAGGGCTTCACTTTCACCCAAGTGCAGAACGCCAGGCATGATGGCCTTGTCTTCAGTGTCACCGCACTTGATCCTCAAGCCTCTCCAGACCCACAGCCCCCAGCCGTGTGGCAGCTCCAGCAGGCAGCCTTCCTAACACACCTCAAGTGGCTAGGCAGCCCCAGATGCCTCCTACACCCTCCAACCAGTCACCGCAGGCCACATCGGGGCTGACAGAGGAGGCCCACAGAGGTACACAGGTGTGGTCCCTGGGTGCTCATCCACCACCACTCACACCTTTCCCAAGTCCAGCTTTGCATTCTGCTTCAGTGATAATGTAAACCCATCAAGAGAGAAAGAGAGCTGGAGATTGTGTGTGTGTATGTGTGTGCGCGCGGGCACGTGCGCACGTGTGCATGAAAAGATTTGCCTGGAAACACCAACCCTTCACCAAGGATGTTCCCAGCCCTCATTTGTACACACAGTCTTCAAACATCAAAGTGTTTGTTAAGCGTAAATATTTTTATTCGCTCCCCTCCTTCTCCTCCCGCTCCTCTTCCATCCAGGCTCTGAGCTCAGCGGATGCTGGGAGACCCCTCTGACTCAGAGCCAGCAGGGATGGTTTTTGGAAAAGGGCACTTCCAGGTCCCAGCGGGCAGCCGGCAGCTGAGCCTGACAGCCGCCCGGGACTTGGCTCCCAGCAGCAGGCTCCTAGCTTGGCGCCTGTTTCCATAGGAACGGGCAGGCCCGGGATTGGCGGCCGTGGGAGCGTTACCCACGCCGGCTGCTTTTCAAGTGGTCCCTGGGTGTACCTCCCCTCCCCTGCCATGCCTGTGCCTAGGCCTGCCCTGGAAAAGGGCCCAAGTATAGGGGAGCTGGGAGCTTCCCCAACACTCTATTCTGGGGCACCGAGAGTCTGAGCCAACACCTTGCTTGGAGCCCTTGTTTCTCTCCCGTTCCCTGCCTTCCTTCACTGGGTACTCAACGTTGTGCCCAGCTTCACTTTCGCACAGCATCCACCCGCCTGGCAGAGGACTTGGAGCCGATCTAGAGAGCCTGTCTGAGATCATGCTCAGAGACGGCACCAAGCCACACGGGCAGCCACTCACACTCATCTGGTAAAACCCTGTTATTAAGCGTC
Source organism: Homo sapiens (assembly GCF_000001405.40). Lineage (NCBI taxonomy): Eukaryota > Metazoa > Chordata > Mammalia > Primates > Hominidae > Homo > Homo sapiens. Next base: position 39,576,630 of record NC_000023.11, read on the forward strand.
TCTCTGCTTCACGGTTTCCTGTGCCCTGCAGGTCAAATTGTGCTCTGCCTCTTCATTTCCCTGCTACCCCTGTGCTGTGCATCTCTCATTATTAAACAGTAGCTGGCAAACGGTGGCTTTCTGGGCCTCGAAAGCCAGCACGATTATGGCTCTACCGGAGATAATTGGGAACCAGCACATGGATTGCTGCCTTGTTCCCAAGGTGGATTCTTGCTGCCAGCGGCTCTCCTCTGCCTCTCCTTTGAGGGGGTACCTCAGGGGAGACGTTCTTTGACTCTGTTCCCGGTTCTGGCTGTCGCCGTGCTTTGAACCCCAGTCTCCCGTTGTAGTTCCAGACATTGTCAGGCTTCTCTTCAGCCTCCTTAGGCCTCCCTGCAGATGCGGCCTCCTGAGATGGGGGTCAATCCAAGCTCTGCAAAATTCAAAGGGTGCTCCGGGAGAAGCTAGGGCTTTGCTGATGGGGTTGAGGAGTCTGAAAACTCCCGCTCAGAGCTAGAGGTTGAAATGCCAGCCCATCAGCAAGAACTAAACGGCTCTTCAGGCGGGAGGACACTCAGAACTATTGATCAAGGATGCACAGACTACATCTATAATTAGACCCGGAAAGCTGCTTGCACATCAGAAAGAGAGAGAGAAAGACACGACCGTGGCTTCACGAGAGCCAGATATGCATCAGGATTTCAAAAAACAAACAAAAACCTCACCGCTGAAAATGCCCTGTGTTGTTAATTCCTCTCTCTAAAAGGTTCCCTGTGAGTCACATACTTCATTCAGTCCTGTAAGGAGCAGCCAGAAGTTATAAAGCCCCTGCTCATAAGGCAGCAACAGCTGACTTTTGGGATGGATCACAGCTAGACCTCCCAGCTCCACGGTGGCTGTGACCTCCCAGACCAGGGCAGCCCAGCAGCCGGTGCCCTGAAAACCCAGCAAGCAAAGTTACTGTTGAGAAGTTTTGTTTGCCTTTTGCATTATTGGAAGTGGCAGGAAGAGGCTTGGTTTCTGGGCATTTTGTGGCATTTGTTCATTCTTTTGTATAATGAATCTGATTTGGGAACTGCAGTTAAAATTTGGAGGGGGAGAGTCCATTAGAAAGAAATACTATTTGCTGGGGCCGTGGAATGCTTGTGGCAAATTGCCCTTCCTAAGTGCTGTTTTTTGAAAACTCATTCCTGCGGTAGGAAAATAAAGCAGATTTCAAACACTTAAGAGATCATTTTTGGAATGGTCTAGATGCGCGCTGGTGTGCTGGTACATTTGCCTCTCATTGTTTTTTAATCACTATTTTGTCAAGTTTAATTGCTGCCACTCTAACAACCCAAACGGGAGCGAAACAAAATAGGGGATATCTATCATTGGTGAGAGCATTTTGATGGAGTTTATATCCATTTGCATCTTCTCCGCCAAATTAGGAAAAAGGAAAATAGAAAAGATTTTCTCCATTGCTGGTATAAGGATCATTTTCATTGGTCTGGGTGGAGAAATTCTCAGAGTATCAGGCAAATTGAGCAGCCTCCTGCACAGTGCCTTGTAGCCCTATAAACTGGATTTGGGGTATTCTTGCCTGGATGTTCCTTCCAGGGATATTATGAATTCTTACAAGTGCTACTGGGTAGTGAGGGCCTTGAAGGCAGAGAAAGACCTTGTCTTAATTATGCACACGGTGCCAGGGTCTGCTCCCAATTCTCCTTTCGGGTCTTATGTCAGACGCAGAGAAGCATCACTCAGAGCACCTTCAGGAAAGAACTCGCTGCCAGCTGCTTTGACTGTGGTTAGCTGACAGACTTCAGCTGTTGGCTTCAGCGGGGTTGGCCTCAGCTTTTGAGCTGATGTCACGTTCCTCTAGGGGTGGCCCCTGGCGGGCGGCTAAGCAGGCTGTGGTACTCAGGCCAGCTGTTTCTGTCCCATGAGGGGTTCCTCTGATGGCACCTTTGCTCGGAGCTCCCACTGGGCTGGCAGTGACTTTTCAGACCTGCATTGCCACCTGACGGCTCCCCCTGCCCAATCTTGCTTCCTCCCCTCCCCCTTCCATGGGTGCCCAATTTGATATGGTCCTTCCTGGAAGCCACTGAAGGACTAAATCATCTCTCGCTATCACTAACTTCATCTCAGCATCTGCTTCCTAAAGAACTCAACCTGAGACCGATTTTTTCCCCACAAGGCTTTTTAGAACTCTACTTCCGGCTGCCTTTGGTGACTAATGAAAATATACTAGGTGCGATGCTGAGTACCAGGAACACTCGGGGATTTTAGCAACCAAGGGAAAATGCCAGGCTAGCCATTGAGAACTATGGAGGGTGAAACCCAGTGTGCCTTCTGAAGAAAGCGGTTCAAATTCAGGTTTCCAGAACAGCCAGGGCACACGTTGCCTCTGGCAACTTGGTGTAAAAATGCAAAGAACCAGTAGTCCACAGGTTTCTCCTGCAGGTCCCGATGCAAAAGTAAAAGCTCAGCTCTGGGAACAGGAATTCAGAATTAGGGCCTGCATTAAACAGGGCCGGGGCTTGTTGTCACTTGAAGGTTTACAAAGCCCTTAGCTCCCCAAGCAGACTGCCTGTCAGCTCTTTGAAGGCCAAGACATGCCCATCTTGCTCGCCACTCCAGGGTCTAGAACTGTGCATAGCACATAGTTGTTGCTCAATGAACACTTGATGCATGGATTGAGTGATTGAGCCTCATAAATATCATTTCATTACTGTCACTGCAATGCTTCTGAATTGCCTTAAGGATGAAGTCCATACCCCTTCAGGTATGGACAAGAACGGGTGGTGGTCACAATCTGGCTTCCATGGACCCTCCCTCTATCCATAACTCATAGAATTAGCACAGTCATTGGCCCCCACTCTGGCTCACTTACCAGTGGCTCCCAGCCCCACTACTTTTTGGGCAAGCCAGTGCCCACTCATGCAGGGAAGCCTTCCCTATGCTTTTGCCTTCTGTCCCCTGCCGCTGCTACCAAGAGTAATGTAGGACCTTTAAATCCCAGGCACCCAGGCAAAAGAGAATTCTTTTCTATGCCACCTCCCAGGAGGGTCTGGGCCAAGATCCTTCATTAGCACTATGTCTTGTGCCATGCAGTAATAATGCCTCCCACTTTAATAAAGAATATTCTGGGCACTGTGGACTGTTCTATATACCTTATATATGTTAACTAATTGAGGCCCTAAAGCATTTCATGAGGTAGGTATTCATCTTCTTTTTTTTTTTTTTTTTTTTTGAGACGGAGTCTCATTCTGTCGCCTAGGCTGGAGTGCAGTGGTGCGATCTCGGCTCACTGCAAGCTTTCCTCCCGGATTCATGCCATTCTCCTGCCTCAGCCTCCCATGTAGCTGGGACTACAGGCACCCGCCACCATGCCCGGCTAAATTTTTGTATTTTTTAGTAGAGACGGGGTTTCACCATTAGCCAGGATGGTCTCGATCTCCTGACCTCTTGATCCGCCCGCCTCGGCCTCCTAAAGTGCTGGGATTACAGGCATGAGCCACCGTGCCTGGCTGTATTCGTCTTTTTACTGTTACTTTATAGTCACAGAACACACAGGGATTATGGAACTTGCCCAAGGTCACACAGCTAGTAAACACTGTGCCAAAGCAGTCTCATTCCAAAGTTTATGCTACCACCTGGCTCATTGTTTTCCTGCCTGTGTCACTGATGGCTGCACTGAGATCTCATTAATGGAAGGAACTCTGCCCATGGAGGGACAGTTGAAAAGATGCCAGTACTTGCAACTGTGGCCTCTGACAAACCAGTCCTTCACTGCCTTCACCTTGCCAGGTGCGCATCTACCAAGAACCTAAGCCAGCCAGCACGTGTAATCAGCCTTCGCCTACGAGAGGTCAAAGATGAAAGCTATGGACAAAGTTGTGGGGAAGTGGCTAGGGACACAAGCTTCCACATTCCCGGTCTGGTGACCTTGTGCTTCCCCTTCTGACAAGGAGCACTGGTGTGAGTGTGGACTTTGGGAAGCACCTGCTGGGTGTCAGGTCCAGGGCCACGCACGTTTCAGCCTCACGAGGCCCCTATGATGTAGATGCTGTTAGCATCCTCTGCATCCTACCAGTTTACACTTAGTAAGTGGCAGGACCAGGATTTGAGCCCAGGCAGGTCTGACTCCAGGCATAAGTATGTAACTACTGTGCTCCACCAACAAAAGCACCCAGTAGCCTCCCCACTGCCCCAAGTCGGTCCAAGGACTACCCCTCCTCTCTCTCCTCTCTCATCTCACTCCTATCTTCCCTTCACACCTCCCCCAGACTCCTTTCCCTTCAGCTGGTCCCTCTTGTCTCTCTCCCAGCCACCTTGCCTCCATGCCCTTCCCTCCACATTTGGTATCCTCTGCTGACTTTGAGGCCCAGCTGGAGGCTGCACTGAGCAGCATCCCTAGGCATAGATACTGCACAGTTTCCCCTGCCCTGACTGACAGCTGGCTGGCTCTGCTTCCCCAATGCCAAGGATGGCTGTGACAACCTGGTGGGCAGACACACGCTGTCCCGTGCCTTGGGAGGTCCTAGACTTTGTGCCCAACAGAAAGAAGAAATAACATCTATTGGCTCTTTCACATTGTGGGGGGCATGGTCCTCCAAAGACTTCACAGTGTTCTCCTTTGGAGATTTTATAGATTCCATTCATTCTTCCAGAAGCAGGTGATGAGGCCAGGTACTATGGGAGCCCACAGAAAACTGGGAGTCCTGCTCAAATATGCTGGCGGAAACCAGCACCAGGTTGGTAGAGACCAACAGCCATAAAACAACAAGAAGGCAACATAAAGGTGGGTAAGGCAACTGCTTCAACACGGAGGAGACCCCTACAGCAGCCCCTGTTGACACCACACCCCATATCCCCAAGCTCACCTGCAGCCAAGGTGGGCAGTTCACATGCTAACAGCTTTCCACCTCGACTGCCTGCCCACCTCTGCTCCTCAGTCTCAGGGCTCCCTCCAGAATCAAGGACAAGGAAGATGACATAATTTGTGGGGCACAGTGCCAAATGAAAATATGAGCCAAGCCTGGTGGTTTGCACCTATAGTCCTAGCTATTCTGGAGGCTGAGGTGGGAGGATCACTTGAGCCAGGAGTTTGAGCCTGCAGAGAGTTATGATTGCGCTACTGCACTCCAGTCTGGGTGACAAAGCAAGACCCTGTCTAAGAGACACAGAGAGAGAAAGGAAAGAAATTTTGGGACACCTTGTTTAAAAAGCAAGACACAAGCTTTTCCCACTCTTCCACCTGTGCACATTCTCTTAACCATCCTAGTAATTTTTATTTGCTTCTTAATGCCGAACTCCCTCTGGCAGGAAGTTATTCCCAGGGCAAGTGCAAATCCTCATTAGAGCTATAACCCACAACTTGGTGCATGCCCAAGCCCTCTGTGCCTTCCACCAGGATCCTGACAGGGGTGGTGAGCAGGAGCAGCAACAGGGTGGGGGCAGTGGAGCAGGCAACCGAGAACCCATCCTGGGAAGGCTGAGAGATTCCAGGCTGCCAGAGTATGTTCCATTGTCCATTAGATTTCCCTTATAAAACACAATTTCAAAGATAAAATTATTAGGAATTGCAAGATGGTGACTACAGGGCATTAAACCACAAGCACAGGACTCCCTTCTCCACTGATCATAGATAGACCCTGACCAGGGAAGCTTGCTCAGTCACGTGTGGGCTCACCACTAAAGTATGAGGAAGTGGATGGCCCTGAGGGAAACCCGCAATCAATGGGAGCAGGAGTCGGTGGATGAATGCCAACCTGTTCTCCAGTGGAACAATTCTGAGGCATATTCTCCACCTTCCACTCCAAGGATCCCAGTGGGATTGAGCCCAGCTGCCCACAGCAGCTTTGTTGGCTTTTCTCTCTCCCTTGTCCCACATGTATCCTCTCTTCTTGGTGCTTCCCACAACGTATACCCATTACCATTATTTCTATGTCTTCTTTAGTTTTGGAGAGAACCCTAACGGAGCTCCCCAACAGCTCAGGCAGGTGTATTGGTTTCCCAGGGCTGCCATAACAAAGTACCACAATCTGAGTGGCTTCAAACAACAGGAATTGATTTTCTCACAGTTCTGGAGGCTAGACTTTCAAAATTAAGGTGTTGGCAGTGCCATGCTTCCTCCAAAGCCTCTAGGGAAGGATCTGTCCTTGCAGCTTCCAGCTTCTGGTAGCCCCAGTAGTTTTTTCGCTTCTAGATTTATCACTTCAATCTCTGCCTTTGTCGTCACACAGCTGTCTTCCCTCTGTGTGTGTGTCTGTGTCTATTCTCTTTTTATAAAGACGCCAGTCATATGAATTAAGGGCCCACCCTACTCCTGAATAACCCTCCTCCAGTATAACCTCACCTTAAGCAATTACATTGAGAACAACTTTATTTCCAAATAAGGGCACAGTTTTAGGTACTGGGGCTCAGATTTCAATGTATCTTGGGGGGGAAGCACAATTCACCCCATAATAGGGAGTCATTTAAAAAGTCTTCGTGAAAGAGGACAACTTGACCTATATCTCTGAGCAATACTTCTCAAAGTATTGTGTCACCCAATCTCCCAGGAATCCTGTTCAAATGCAAATTCTGATTTGGTGGGTCTGGGTGGGACGTGAGAGTATGCATGTCTACCACGCTCCCTGATGATGCTGTTGCAGCTTTAATACAAGGGTCAGAGATGAGAAAATGGCTAGATATGCCTGTGTGCATCCTCCAAGATTCGATTTTAATAAACTACAGACTCCAGTGGCAACACTCTTCCCACTATGGAGAGAGAAAGCTGTCACTTACACTTCTGTTTGGTGGAGCTTTGGAGGCAGGCCATCTCATAGGCCACTGGCTAGTCTGTGACTTGGCTGCCTTTAGGGAAGTGCTCATCCACCCTTGGTCCAGCCGACACATGTAAGGGTGGTAGCAGCCTGTGGCACTGACCTGGAGACATTTCAGAAGGAATTTCTCAGAAGAAACCTGTGAGCATAGCAAGAATTCTGAGCTTCGGTTTTTCTAGTAGTGTAAACAATTTATATCAAAAGGATTTGAAAACTGAAACATGCTGTTCAAATACTGAGATGCAGACATTTTGGTTACTCAGAGGGTACTGGGACATGGGACAGTAAAGCAAACCAACCCAGACCTAACCAAGGCTCAAACCAATCCACCTATTTAAGAAAGAATGTCTTCCAACTCTCCAGAGTTAACTAGACCTCAGCAGCCTAAGTAAGTCAAAGGACACTAGGGGCCCTAACCCAGCTCTGTTGCAAGGAAATTTCAGATCTACCTAGTATATGTGCCAGTTCGGTTTCAATAATTCTACTTTACTAGGTGTATTAGTCAGCTATTTCTGTAATAATGCCACATAACAAATCATCCCCAAACTCAGTAATTTACCAAACAAGCATTTATTTTTCTTGCTCACAGGACTATAGGGGTGGCTCTGCTTCAGGCTTCTGAGTGAGTTTTAGTGGTTCCACATGCCTTCTCAGTCTCCATGGACCAGTGGCTACCTGGGACACATAAACAGCAGAAGTGCCAAGGGTCTGAGCAGAAACACAAGGTGTCTCTTAAGGCCTAGGCTCAGAACTGGCCCCCTGTTACTCCTGCCATGCTCCACTGGACGAAGTAAGTCACCCAGCCAAACCCAAAGTCAACAGGTGGGGAAATACATTCTGCCTAATCTCATGGGAGTTAGGTACTGAAAGTCACACAACAGCCTGCTGGTTTGAGGGATGATCACCTCAAGTCTCCTGACCCCTCTCATGAATGGTAACTTGCTCAGCAAGTAGCATATCAAGTAAATACTTTCCATTGATGACTTCCATCTTTACAATTTTTGTCACTAAATTTAGAATTACCAAAGCATTGGGTACCTTATGAATGCTTTGTTCTTGGAATGCAATGTTAAGTGTACTGTGCATATTACCTATGAAGAAGCTCCAGGAAAGAGCCACTCTGGCGAGTAAGTTACAAAGAGAAAACTCCTCACTAGGTTGTTAGAATGACTAATGAGAACTACTGAGATTATTTTTTCCATTTTAATAGGGTTTTGGTATTATTTTAGCCTAAGGTGGTATTCACTTAGGGACTCAAGAATGCACCCATTTTTTTTTCCTCTGGCAGTTACGACTTTGGCCGATGAGAAGTAACCCTAAGAGAGGTTCTTCAGGAGCAGAATTATTTCATAAGACAGAGGAACGCACTCTGTCCCAGAGAGTGAGGAGAGAGGAGCAGGTAGATGCTGTGGTTCTGGCCGAGAAAATGGGCAGAACCACAAATATGCTTATGCCTCTTCACACACAGATGACCCAGTGAGGGCAAGACAAGAGAGAGAGTTCTTACGGGAACATGCATACACCTCCTCTCCGGTCCCACCCCACGATTGAGGGAGGGGTCTTGTCTTTCTCTCTCTGGGCTCTGTTAGTTTCTCCCATCCCTCTCTGCACTCTCCTACCTGCCCTGGAGATCATCTACATTAGAACTCCCCCTCCTCACCTCAGCAGTGTCTCCCGAGGGCCCGCGAGTGCCAGGGCCTGGGGTGAGCACCAGGAGTTTTGAAGCCTTTAGCTACTGAGATAGTTTGGACTGACAGCATGTCAGGAGATCACTGAGGGATGCAATAACAAACACAGTGATTAAAAGTTGTTCAAAGTTAAAGTTAAAAGCTTGGGGTCAAATACAGGTGAGTTCAATTCCTAGCTCCACCATTTACTAGCTGGGGACCTAGGGCAAGTTGTTTAACTCTGGGCCTCAGTTTCTTCATCTGTAAAGTGGGAATAACACCACACACAGGGTTGTTGTTATTATATGATGTGATGTGCTTTGGAAAGAGGTCAGTTCTGCCCCTGGCACTTGACATTCACTCAATAGATGGAGGCTGGCGTGGGTCCACAAGCCCTTATCCAAACCATAGAGATAGACAGGTTTCAGAATTCTGAATTTTTCAGATTTTAGGAAGGTTATACGGTACATTTACCACATTTTACATGAAACCCCAGCAGGGTCTCGGGTAGCGCCTCACAATCAAACACTTCAACACTTCTGCAGCAAAAATGCATGAACAGTCACATGAACTGGAGTTAAATAAGACCCTAAATAATCTCACATCCATTCTGGCCAGGTTGTGCCATCAAGAGAGTTTTTTGCCAAACCATTGTTTTTGAGGCTTTGGGGACTTTTATACTGCAGGGAAGTGGCTCTATTAGTAGATTGCAGGTATTCTGACTCTAAGTGTGGGGAAGGAAGCCTCTGGGGCAGGAGGAGGAGTGGAAGGGGCAGGCAGTGTTGAGCAAAAGGCCTCAGAATGGAGGCAAATGGGAAACTGGCCACCAGGCAGAGAGTGGTGGGAAAGGAAGACAGACTGTTCCTGCATTTCTAGTAGCATCATTTTGCTCCCTAGAGGCCTTGAAAATATTCATTCCCAGACCCCCTCTATCATTCACTGAATAGCTGAATAAATGGATGCAAGGCAATGAATAAATAAACAAACAGAGAAGAGAGGAGATCAGCTGGCTCCTGCACCCTAAGAGAGACAGACAAGCCAGTCGCCCCTTTACACAGGGCATTCCAGAAGGTGTGCTGGAGGACCCCGGAGGATGGGAGGTGCCGGTCAAGGTGAGCATTCACCTGGCCACCAGCCACGGGGCAGAATCGGGCAGAGCAAGGCTGACCACTCACCAGAGGAAACTGGCCTGGGCAACAGATTTGGCTCTTTAGCCCAGGAGTTTTATAAGCCCCAGGAACCAGATAATTCTATTGTCCTGGTTTTGTTCCCAGGTTCCTGATAGCAGCCTCTGGTTGATTAGTAGTGACACTGTGTGTGTGTGTGTGTGTGTGCACGTGTGGGTGTTTATGAGTATGTGTGTGTGTGTGTGTGTGTGTTGCACCCATGTAACAACAGAGACACACAGAGAAAAGAAAGCAATTGTTTTTTCTGAGCCCAAAGGGAGCTGAGCTGGGGGAGAGAGAGGAGCATGTCCTCCTCCCTGTGTCTTTTCTTATTTTGCATTTCTCATTACATCCTCATGTCACGGGGCTGCTGGCTGATTTATAATTTATTGGTTTAGTGTCTCGTGGCAGGGAAAGGATGCTACGCTATATTTTTCAGGGACACTCAATTCAACTTTGGTGAAGCAGCCAGGGCCACAGCTGTGAGGGGCACAGAAGAAAGATGTGTGTGAGGATATGTGTGGCCACAGAGCCCAAGGTTGCCATGTCTGTCCCAGCTGAATGTCGTGCACTATTAGATACCAGCGTGGGCTTTTTGTTTAAGTGGAGGTTCTCTAATCAGATTTTGGAAATCCAATCTCAATCGGGCATGTGCATAACACAGCGACAATTTGGGGCACTGAGCTCCGAGGACTTGGTGTAGTCCTGCTTTGGACGAGTTCCCATGGCAGACCCTGAGACTGGGTTCATGTGGAAGTGATTTTATCAAGAAGTTCTGCCAGGAAAAAGGTAGGAGAGCATATTCGTTCATTAGGGCTGCTATAACAAAGAACCACACACTGGCTGGCTTCAACATCAGCGATGTATTGTCTCAGTTCTGGAGGCTGGAAGTCTGAGATCGAGGTGTTGGCAGGGTTGGTTCCTTCTGAGGGCTGTGAGGGGAATCTGTTCCATGCCTGTTTCTTAGCTTCTGATGGTTTGCTGGCAATTTTGGGGGTGCCTTGGCATCAACCCCATCTCCACCTTCATCTTTTCATGGCATTCTCCTGAGTGTGTGTCTGTGTCCAAATTTCCTCTTCTTATAAGGACACCAGTCGTATTGGATTAGAGGCAACCCAAATGATTTAAACTTGATTACCTCTTTAAGAGACCCTACTTCCAAATAAGGTCACAGCCTGAGGTACTAGGATTTAGGACTTCATCACATGAATTCAGAAAGGACAAAATTCAGCCCCTAACAGGAAGTGAGGAGGTGATACAAGGACCCGGAAGAGGCCAAGCAAGGGTGCAATGTCAAATAAAGTCCCACAAAAGAGAACCAGGGCCCAATCCCACAAGGGATTCCTAGAGACAGGGGAGGCCGGTCACCTTCAGAGGTGTCCCAGTGGGGGAGCAAGGGAGCTGGAATATTATTTAAAGAAGGCCCTCAGAAGGACTTCAACTCCCAGACACTCCCAGCCTTCCTGGAATACAGGTTATATGGTTTGGATCTGTGTTCCCACCCACAAATCTCATGTTGCATTGTAATCCCTAGTGTTGGAGGTGGGGCCTGGTGGGAGGTGGTTGGATTATGGGGGTGGTTTCTCGTGGTTTAAAACCATCCCCCCTTGGTGCTGTCATTGTGATACTGAATTATCATGGGATCTGGTCATTTAAAAGTGTGTGGCACCTCCCCATTCTCTCTCTTCCTCCTGCTCTGGCCATATGAAGTGCCAGATCTCCCTTTGCCTTCCACCATGACTGTAAGTTTCCTGAGGCCTTCCCAGAAGCAGAAGCCACTATGCTTCCTGTACAGCCTGCGGAACCGTGAGAAAATTACACCTCTTTTCTTTATAAATTACCCAGTCTCAGGTATTTCTTTATAGCAATAGAACAGACTAATACAACAGGTAACAAGGGTGCTGGCTGTGGGGAATTAAAACAACTGGAAAGCATCATGCATGAACATGGGAGAAGGCTCTCAAGGAGATGTGGGGAGCACTGACAGCATTTGCTGCGAGCCCCCAAGTTCCATGTCTACCTAGCCATGACATGGTGACTAACTGCCTCTGATAAGTAACCTAGTGTAGGTGGCAGACACATGCCTGTATCACGGCCTGGAGAAAAGACAAAGACAGGGAAACAAGAGCATAAATTCCCAGAAAAACCTAGATTGCTATTGATATTGAAAAGCCGTTGTTATTTTGGCTAGGTTTTTGTCACTGGTAGATTTTAACTGCAGCTTGAGGAGGGCTGGATGATGTACAGACAGATAAAAGACCTGGCCATTCCTGTGTGAAACAAGGAAAAGGAAATACACTTTGGGAAAAGTGGTTAGAATCTCTCTTGGGGTTAGAATCATGGTCTTTGATTGAATAACGTGGCAGAGTTTTGATTCAATAGTAATCCGATTTGGGTGGCACACCAATAATAAATTCTCCAGCAAACTGAAAAATTCTGTAGGGTAATAGAAAGCATTCGAACCCCATGGTTTTCATTGAATTAAATATGAAAATGTATCATACAATCGATATTGCAATATTTGATTCAATCAGCATTTCGGGATGGGAACCGTTTTCTTCCATTTGTTTTTATGCTGTCACAAAATATTTCAATTTGCTTCAGAATTTATTATTGACAAATCACCCTAACAGCCCTTGGGGGTTGGAGTGGGGAGCTTGTCACAGAGGATTGGCAGCTGAGAGATGTCGGGCCCAGAAAAATAGCCAGGGACTAGGGAATGCTCATGTGAAATTTCAGAAAGGGGCTGATTATACACAGCAAGGAGGGAGGTGAGGACATTTGTCACTGGGAGAGAGATGAGACAGGTGTCTTTCCTCTGGATGGGGCTACTCTTAAAGGGGTGTCTCAGCAGTAAGTGCGTGCCCTGGGTATAATTATGAGGCAGGCATAGGGAGTACCTCTGTCTCCTCTGCTCCCTGTGACCCAGGCCCCCAGAAGGAAAGAGCTTTCATCTGGACTCTAGGCATGCTATCTCTGTAATCCTGCAGTAGGTGGCCTGGTGCCATCTTATAAACACCAGTATGGAGTCTTGGAAACTTGGAACTGAGTCCAGGTTCTTCCACTAACTAGCTGTGTGGCCTTGGGTGAGAGGTTGAACTGCTCTGTGTCTCTCTTTCCTTAGTGTGGAATAGTGGTAAATTCTTACCTTCCTTGTAGAGCTGTTGCAATTATTAAGTGAATGCATATTAAATTAATGTGTGTACCATGCTCAGTACATCATAAGCAACCAGTAAATGGAAGCTATCATTATTACTATTATTACTATCATCAGTTATCTATTGCTAATAGTTAATTCATACTCTAAAACTTAGTGGTTTGAAAGAATAATGATTATACTGATCAGTTCTTCTGATCAATTCTGGGCTCTGTGGACTTTGGCTAGGCTCACATAGGCATTCGTGGTCAGTTAGAGGCTCGGCTGCGGACTGGCTAGTCCTGAGTGGCCTTGCTCACATGTCCAGACGTTGGCTGGCTGTTGGCAATGGTGGTGACAGGGTCATGGGTCTCTCAGCCCCCAGCAGACTAGTCCAAGCTATGACATGGCAGCTGGAGTCCAAGAGTAGCAAAAGGGCAAGCCCTGAAGTGCAGGCATCATTCAACTCTCAACTTATGTCCCATTTGCTAATGTCTCCCATTGGCCACATCATGAGAACAGCTCAGACTCAAGGGGTATAGAAAAGCTTCACCTCGAGATACAAAAATCCACATTATGAGAACATAGATTCAAGGAGGAGAAGAATCTGTGACCACTTTTGCAAATGGCTATAATCATTATCATCATAATTTCTCTGAAGGTGCTGATCATATCCCACCTTATGGAAAGCTATAGACATGAAAAACTTCCCATCAGCCTAACACTCCTTGAGGGCACAATATCTTTGCATCTTTTGTACCCGGCAAGGTAGCAATTCTGGAAAAATGCTTTCTGAATGAATTATCTAAGTAGAATTATATATGTTTATAAAAAGGAATATTTCTAGAAATGCATTCACACTAAAGAGTTAAGTCATCAAAGTGGCATGCCTCACGAGAATACTTGCATTTTTAAGCCAGTAGTAAGAAAGGAGTATAGTATAACACAAATAGAAACTCTGGGTAGAATTTTAGGAACCATGGATGGGTGGCTATTTTAAAAAATAACTCTTTCATATCCCTCAAACTGCACCATTTGACAACTTTCAACCCCACTTACAAGTAGGGCTGCCCTGCCTGTGGCTCCTGGGGAAAGTAGTAGCTGACAGGCCTTGCTCCATTTCCCAGATCTTAATTGTCTCCCATGGGGTCTAGACTTTACCACCCCACTGGCTTCAAGCATGCTTGGGAAGAGGGACAAAGAGCTAGCAGGAGTTCATTGGAATTGAGAAGTGATGGGACTAAGGTTAAGCTGGAATTGAAAGTCTGTAATCAGCCAGCTGATGTTTATCAAAAACCTACTGTGTGTCAGTAACTATTTTGGACACCACGGATACAGCAGTGAGCAAGACAAAGTCTCCACTCTCATCCTAATGTCTGATTCAAAGAGATCAAAGCCAGAGCAAGCAGGAGACAGGGGCTGTCTCAGAGGAGTGGTTACCACATGTTCCAAGTCCTGAGCACTAGTTTAGGTGGTTAGAAGTCTATTCCATCTCAGCTACTCACAACCCCAAGCTCTTCTTCCAGGCACTGGGGACAGCTGCAACATGGCAGGCAGAACAAAACCCTGCATATTCAAAGCAGATGTGTGTAGCATGCCCAGTACATTCTAAGCATAGGCAGTAGTCACTATCTTGAGCATTTACATGTATGAACTCATTTAGTCTTCACAATAACACTATAACTGTATTAGTGGGCATTTGCTACATAACAGATAATCACAAAACCTTAGTGGCATATAGCACTTGACATTTACTTCTCAATATCTGCAGGTACAGCTGATCTGGGCTGTGCTGGGCTGGGCAGCTCTGCTGATCTTGCCTGGACTTGCTTGTGCACCTGGGGGTCTGCAGGAGCGAGCTGATCTAGACTGGTGGCAGCTGAGGTGACTCAGCTCTTTCCACATGTCTCACAGTTCAGCAGGTATGTCTTTATGGTAATGGTAGAGGCATAAGAGATTAAGCCCCATTGCACAAGCCCGCTTCAAGCATTCTGCTTGTATCACATCTGCTCACATCCCATTGGCCAAGGCAAGTCACATGGCTAAACCCTGAATCGAGTGAGGCAGACCACTCTGTCCACTATAGGAGTGTAACTTTTTTCTTTTTTTTTTTTTTTTTTTTAAACAGAGTCTCACTCTGTCACCGAGGCTGGAGTGCAGTGGCATGATCTTGGCTCACTACAAGCTCTGCCTCCTGGGGCTTAAGCAATCCTCCCACCTCAGCCTCCCAAGTAGCTGGGACTACAGTCGTGAGCAACCATGCCCAGCTAATTTTTGTATTTTTTGTAGAGACGGCGTTTCACTATGTTGCCCAGGCTGGTCTTGAACTCCCGAGCTCAAGTGATCCACCCACTGCAGCCTCCCAAAGTGCTGGGATTACAGGTGTGAGCCACTGCACCCAGCCACTTGAGGGTAACTTTTCAAAGTTACAAGGCAAAGGGCATAGATTTAGGGAGGGCTGAAGGATTGGGACCAATAGTGTGATCTACCACAAAGAAGCTGGTACTATCATTAAGCCCATTTTACACATCAGAAAACTGAGCACAGAAAGTTGAAGGTACTTGCCCAGGGTAGCACAGCTAGTAACTAGTGTATCCAGAACTTGACTCAGGCCATCTGCTCTTACTCACCCCCTCTTTACCATTTCACTTCTTAGCTCTGACTTAATCCATAGATAAATCTAAGAGTATGGGATATATGGACTGTGTCTCTTTCAGGAAATCCTCCATAATTTTTTTTCCTCCCGCCTTTGGTAGGCATTAAGCCACAGTACATTCAAGGATAGACTCCGAATCAAATATCCAGAGTTTGTAAATTGAGTGTTACCATTTGGATGTGGAGCCACATGCTTTAACAATTAGCCGTGCTGGATTTTGACATGTGGGGAAGCTGAAGAGCCTGATGAGGACACAGCCTGAGAAGAAGGCCTCTCTCCCTGACACTGGGGGTGAGGAGAGAGGGATGCTGGAGAGGGGTTCTAAGGCAGCACCATCAGCCAAACCAACGTTTTACTCAGAAAATTGTCTTGGTCCTTTTTAGTACAGAAGAGCAAAGACATCCCAGTGTTTCCTACCATGGAGTAATATACCTTAGAACATTTTTTAGAGTCACAATCCTTTGAAAATTTATGAAAGTTAAGAACCCTTCATTCAGAAAAAATGTGCACACCCCACAATTCTCCATATAATAATAGGGGTATTGAGAAACCCATGTGTGTCCAGCATCTGTGATAGGGTTGTGCCATAATAATTTTAGGCTAGACCATTTGTAAAGCAGATGGCCATTTCAGCCCTGCAAATTTCAGTGAAGAGCACACAGGCTGTTTAACTTTGAACCACAGAACTTTCTGGCATACCTTTCAAGAGCAACTTGTAGCAAAATATACCCCTGGCTAGATTCCAAATCAAGAGGGGGTACTCCTTGAGGAAGAAGCTTCTGTCCTTCCATTCAGGCCTCATCCCAGCTACTCCAAAGATGTAACTGAAGGCCTACAACTCATATCCCTTCCTTCCCACAAGCCAGAAACAGAGTATCAGCCATGGTATTGTCAGTTTTCCCAGGGAGCCACAGATTTAGAATGATTCATTTCTGGCCTCAGTCCAGTTGGGAAAGTCTTTAGGGCTTTTCTGCTGTGAGAGGCAGTAGAGCACAGTAGTTAAGGCATGGATTCTTGGACCAGGAGCATGAAGAATATCAAATCAATCTCTTTCTCTCTCTCCCCCAACCTCCCTTCAGTCTTTCTCTCTCAGCTCTGCTGGTCCCTACTTCTGTTCCCATGTTGGCCCCATTCTCCCCTGCCACAGATAGGTTCTTTCCACAGAGGGGATGATGGCAGCTAGCAGCCTGAGCCCCCATCTTTCAACTTGCTATCAGAAAAGAAGAAGAACCCTTTCTCACTCTCCACCAGCATTCATCTTTCAGATCTCATGAAGAGCTCCTGATTGACCCTGCTTGGGTCATGTGATGCCCTTGAAGCAATCATGTTGGATCAGAGGATAATATCTTATGACTGGTCGGGCCTGGGTCACATGACCATCTCCCCCAGACCACAGAGGATGGTGGAGGAGGAATTCTGCAATTGGAAGACTGGTGCAGGGCAGACAAAACAACAGACAGCCACTGTAATTATTGAGCACCATCATGAGAAACAGCCCTATAAAGCTCATTGCTGGGCTGATCCTCGGGATGGGATGTTGTGGGGACATAGCTTATCATATCGTAAGTGTCCCTCAAACATTAGCATGCTTCAGAATGAGGAGGGGGCCTTGTTTAAACACAGATTGCCAGGCCCCAACACTCAGAGTACAAATATAAGACTGTGTATTTCTACCAAGTTCCCAGGTGATGATGATGCTGCTGATGCAGAAGACACTTTAAGAACCACTGGCATAGTGCACATTGCCCTCTGTAAAAAGACCCACATAGAAGGTTCCCATCTTGTCTCAGTATTATACCACAATGAGTGTTGCTTCTGACCAACTGGTTTATTTTGATTTGTGTAGACACTGTGAATCTTATAAATCATGTCTCCCTCTTGGGGCTGGCTGCTAGAAAGTTCAGAACTAACTGTGTGACCCACTTCTATCATGCGTAAGGGGCCACTGAGCCCCAAGTTCATCCACTAACCTTAACCCAACCTTCATTTTTTACTTTCCTGCTTGTTTTCCCTTTGGTCTAAAAAACGATTTGGTTAAAAGTGACAGAAACCAATTTGAACTTTGTTAAGTCAAAAAAAAAGGGGGGGGGGGGATGCAGATTTATGGTAAGGATACTGGAGTGTCCCCTGAAAGAGGAATGTGGTCAAGCCCAGGAACAGCTGGGACAAGGGTCTACTTGATCCCCCCACCTCTTATCATGACTTCTCTGTCATTTCCTCTATATGGCCCTCTCTCACTACAGCCCAGCTTTCTCCACAGGGTGCAAAACATGGTTGCCAGGCAGCTCCTAAGCTTTACCTTTTGAAGCCTCTGTCACCTGACCTAATGCTTGCCCCTATCCCAGGTTAAAACTCCCAAAGAACAGCTCTGATTGGCCCAGATCAGGGCAGATGCCTTAGTCTCAGGCCAATTGGCAGTGGTGTTGATGAGGAGTGGGGGAGGGTCTGTGTCATACAAAATGGCTGTTCCTGCACTAGGTATTGGTTTGAGGGACTATAGTTCTCATAAAGGAATGGTGGGAGGACAACCTCACAGGTGCCCCAACCTCACTCTTTTTCTTTGTTCTTTGTTCTTTTTTTTTTTTTTTTTTTTTTTTGAGATGGAGTCTTGCTCTATTGGCAGGCTGGAGTGCAGTGGTGCGACCTCAGCTCACTGCAACCTCCGCCTCCCGGATTCAAACAATTCTCCTGCCTCAGCCTCCCGAGTAGCTGGGACTACAGGTGCGTGCCACCACACCCGGCTAATTTTTGTATTTTTAGTAGAGACGGGGTTTCACCATATTGGCCAGGATGGTCTTGATCTCTTGACCTCGTGATCCACTCGCCTCGGCCTCCCAAAGTGCTGGGATTACAGGCGTGAGCCACCACGCCCGGCCACTCTTTTTCCTAATCTATTTTATTTTGTCTTCGTGTATCATATATCTTAATGTTAGCCACATGAAGTCATTTCCAGAGCAACACAGCTTAAGGGATAGACAGAAAGACAAGCAGGAACATATTAGTTGAATATTGTATAAGAGTTCTCTGGAGAAACAGACCAATAGAAGATAGATTCAATGTATATAGATACAGATACAGATATAGAGAGATTTATCGGTAGAGAGATTTTATTGTAGGGCATTGATTCCCCAATTATGGAGGATGGCAGGGTAAGGTAGCAAGCTGGAGACCCAGAGAGAGCCAGTGTTCCACTTTGAAGGCTGTCAAGCAGGAAGACACGACACAGCAGATGAAGTCCAAAGACAGTCTGCTATAGAATTTTTTCTTGCTCATGGAGGCCAGTCTTTTTGTTCTATTCAGACCTTCAACTATTTGGATGAGGTCCACCCACATTAGGAAAGACAATCTGCTTTACTCACTCTACAGATTCATATGTTAATCTCATCCAAAAACATCCTCAACAGAAACACCTAGAATAATATTTGATCAAGTATGTAGGCACCCCATGACCTAGTCAACAAATAAAATTAACCATCACAGAGATCTTTTTTAATTGACACAAATTCCATTTTATCTTATGTCTGAATCCTCAGCACCTAAACGAGTGTCTCATACGGTAAGAGCTCAGTAAACGTTGAATGAATAAATGATCAATGATATTTTTAGTGCCCTGGAGGGGAGGGCTTTGCCATTTAAGGGAACCCTGAGGTTAGGCCCTCTATAATGGAATGTGGGGAGTTGTATCCTAATTCACTCAATATTTGTGTTCTGACTTTAATTTATTGGGTCTCCTTCATACCCTCAGTAGAGCAGTTTAGTGATTTTACGTTTCTTTCCTCCTCAAATGACGGGGGCTGTGATGGAGAGACATACTTTTGTGACAGAGACAAGAATTTAGCCCTCTACTCAGCTTTAGGCCCCAGAATTCCCAGCTCACTGGGCTTCTGTCCAGGTGGTCTGAAAAGGAAACTGGACCAAATTGCCCACCTATGAGCCCAAGAGGCTGAGTGCACCATTCATGGCTGGTGCTGCCATGTGTCAGGTGGCCCATCCTGCAGGATGTCCCAGCAAAGTAATCAGATCAAAAGTGAGAACTTTCCACTCCTGGATCTGCCCCCCTGCATATGATCAGGGCAGGGGGTGTGAGGGCACACGTTTCTAGAGATGAGTTGTCAAATGATGAGCTGTTCCTCAGTTGAGAGCTTTGTATAGCAAAAGTTCCTGGCTAGCCACATTTGAAGGTGGCTCCAACACCACAACTGTGATAGAAGGCATTTGCAGAGATGCTTTGTTCAAATCCTATACTGAGACACTCAAAACATGTAGAGACTCTAGGCTGAAGTTGAAGAGTGTGACAGGAAATCAGCAATTCTCTGGTTTGCTGCACTGAGCCTCAGTTGTCTCATCTGTCAAATGGAGATGATTAACATAGCCTAGTGTTGCTGTCATCATTCAATAAGATTATTAATTTGTTTTTCAACCTACATTTATTGAGCACACACTGTATGTCAAGCATTGTGACACAGACATGGCCCCTGCTCTCAAGGCTATTTAAGGAAAATGAGCTGGGTATAACTGAGTTGTGCCTGAAGCAGTACCTTAGGGGCAGTGGCCACCACCATGACATGTGGGCAGAGTAGCAAGGACACCCATGAGATCTGAGACCTGCAGTCACAGGCTGGAGTTCAGAAGCATGTTTGTCACCTTTGTGCCTTTGCCCTCTCTGCTGGAAAAAGTTGTGCAGCCAATGTGACATCACTTTGGAAAGAAAAGGTGAATTCTTTAGGAGAGAGTAGGCTAAATATAGTGAATGAAATCATTCATCTAGATGACTTGATGACCCCAGCTTTTTATGAGGGGCATAGAAGTGGAAGGTGACATGGCCCAACAAGCACAGCAGGCAGAACCAGATTAAAATTAAGTAGGCAAAATATCAAACTCCGAAATGTTTTAGAAAATAAATTTTAAGTTACAGAAGCACATAAAGAACACTTGTCATGAATGTGCATGCAAATGCACCAACAACAGAGCCAGGCACACACAGTCGGTGCTCAATAAGTGTACATTTCTAGGTATTAATTTGAGGGGAAGCAGGATGGCACTCAGGTAGAAAACTTGACTTCCAAGTCCAATCGGCCTGGACTCATCCAGATTTGCAATTTACCAGCTCTGTAATGTACCTTCACTGGCACATCCAATAAAAACTTGGTGAGCACCTACTATGTGCCAAGCACTCTCATAGCCCCAGGGGTACAGCTAAGGGGGAAAAATAGACAAAAATCCCCAATTTTGTGGAGTTACATTCTAGTACGGAGAGACAGACGATAAACAAGTAAAAGATATAATATGTTGGAAGCTGATAAGTGTCACGGAGAAAAATAAAGCCAAGAAAAGAGATAGGGTCTAGGAAAGAGGATTGCTATTGGACATGTGACTTAACCTTTCTGAGCCTCAACTTTCTTATCTGTGAAATAATATAAGATCTCACCTCACTGGACACCCTTGATGATTACACTAGGCAATATAGATAAAGTGGCTAATAGCGCCTGGGCCCTAAGAAGGACTTAGTGCCGGGACCCTCTCTATTCCTCCCTTCACATGCTGAGGCCAACAGAAATCACTTGACCAGTATTCAGAAGAAACATCTTCCTTGCAGCATTTCAGAATATCGCTGGCCATTTTTGTCTGTATCTATAGTAAGGCCATAATCTTGACATTAGAAGATTTCAGGCATTTGCTCTCATTTATAGTCAAGCACCCTAGGTTATGGGAAACACACAGACTTGGGAACCAGAAAGACAGGATTTCAAATCCTAGCTTCTTCGCCTCTGCCAGCTGTCAAACCTGGAGCCTTGGATTCATTGCTGTTAAACTAGAAATGATGGTGCCTACAGCAGAGGAGAGGGTGAAGGAAATCATACGCAGCACAGCACGGAGCACACTCCCTAGGTGTAGTGGGAGCACAGCCAATTACTGTTCCTTCTCTTCTACAGGCACCAGAGAAACGGATTGTCATCTCCAGAAGCCAGCTGGTGACAGCATCAGCTCCTACATCAACATGTGGCACCTGTTTATGCCTTACCTGGTATCAGTCAGGCACTGCCAGGCAACAGTCTTCACCCCAGGAGGTTCAGATAAACAGACCTGAATGTAGGGTACACGTGCAGGGGTGCTGACAGGTGAAAAGAACCAGGAGGGGATGCTGAGTACCCAGAAACTAGGAA
Source organism: Homo sapiens (assembly GCF_000001405.40). Taxonomy (NCBI): domain Eukaryota; kingdom Metazoa; phylum Chordata; class Mammalia; order Primates; family Hominidae; genus Homo; species Homo sapiens. Next base: position 39,598,210 of record NC_000023.11, read on the forward strand.
CAGCTGGAAGGCATTACCACTCCTAGGGACAAGGGGAAGGAGTCATGTTATATGGAAGCCCAGGGAGAGGTGGGACCTTGGAGGCCTCCAGAGGAAGCCACACTGAGGGATGGGCATTGCCTCCCTTACAGCAGGGAGGGAGCAAAGAAGAAATACCCTGACCTCTCCCTCCTGCCACCTCCAAGTTATTGCTCCCACTGGCCAAACCCAAGAGAAAGCTTAGGGGGCCAGGTTCAGTGGTTCATGCCTCTAATCCCAGCACTTTGGGAGGCCGAAGTGGGAGGATCACCTGAGGTCAAGACTTTGAGACCAGCCTGGCCAACATGGTGAAACCCCATCTCTACTAAAAATACAAAAATCAGCCAGGCGCAGTGGCAGATGCCTGTAATCCCAGCTACTTGGGAGGCTGAGGCAGGAGAATTGCTTGAACCTGGGAGGCAGAGAGTGCAGTGAGCCGAGATCACGCCACTGCACTCCAGCCTGGGAGACAGAGCAAGACTCTGTCTCAAAAAAGAAAAAAAAAAAAAAAGAAAGAAAGAAAGCTTAGCTGGCAAGGGAGCCCAGAGAGGCAGTCCACAGACCTTGGCCTCTGGGACATAGAACATGGGGGAAAAGAGTTGAGACCGGATCTTGGAGGGCAGAGGACAACCAGCACACATCTGTACCATGATGTTTGCTCTGAAAACACTCTGGACATCAGCTGTTCCTTTACAACAGTGGTTCTTACACTTGAACGTGCCCCAGAACCCCCTGCAGGGCTTGTTAAATGCAGATGCCTGGGCTCCATCCCCAGAGTGGCTGATTCCATATGGGGCCTGAGAATCTGCATTTCTAACAAGCCCTCAGGTGATGTTGATGCTGCTGGTCTGGGGGATCACTTTTTTAAAAATTTTTTCTTTTTTTTCAGAGATTGGGTCTTGCTATATTGCCCAGGCTGGCCTCAAACTCCTGACCTCAAGCAATCCTCCTGCCTCAGCCTCCCTGAGTAGCTGGGACTATGGTCACATGCCACCATGCCCAGCTAGGGACCACATTTTGAGAACCACTGCTTTGTAAAACAAGATTCCTGGAAAGCAGCTTCCCTTCTTCCAGAACACAGGCAACTCAGAACTCTCCATGGCCAGCCATCAGCAGCCCCCCTCATCTGACAGCCACAGGCCCACCAACCCTACACTCACCCTGTCCTTCCTCTTCTCCAGGTCTCATCTTCTGCCTGATCCCTGTTAAGCCTCCAGGGCCTGCCTGCCTGGTTGCTCCACTGTTGACACCACATGCGTGTGCACACAGGCACATGCACCTGCACAAACACACAGTCCGATTAGCTGCACCTGGATGCCTGGCCCATTTTCTAGGGGAAGATGAGTCAACCACTCCTTGGGGCCCTGTAACATGCGGTGCTCAGGCCAAGAGGTCACGATTCCTGGTGACATGACATTGCCTATCTGCAGGCAGCCCTGCCACACAGTGGCTTCCCCTAACATCTTTGTGCGAGAGGATCATGCCTGGACTCCAAGCCATCCCGGTCTTATGAAACAAAAATCGCCCGTTCTGCATCAGCTAGATGGAATTGGGGTTTTCCACCACGGACAACCTAAAGCACCCTGACTGAAATGGAGCTTGGGAGAAAATATCTTCCCCGTGGGGATTTTTACAACTATCACCACAAAATGGGATGCTTACTCAGTCCAAAAAGGGATCAGTCTTCTCATGATTCCAGGGAGGGAGGAGATGAAGCCTGATCAGCCCCTACCAAGCCAGGATGTACGGCGTGTAAGGTGTGGCTATGTCATGTTAGATTCATACCTGCAGCCCAGCTGTGGGGAGTCTAGCCCCTGGGAATGCTGAACTAGCCCTCTATCCATCTTCCAGGCCTCAGGTGACCTACTCAGAAAATTCCCCACCACTACTGCCACCATCATAAAGCCCAGGTTGGGTCTCTCTGGTTTCCATTAGTGTGCATCTCAGGATGCGAGTGTTTGAGATTGGCCCCTTTCTAGCTAGGAGGTCTCCAGATCCGCCCACCCTGCCTGTCCTGCTGGCCCAAGCTCAGCAAACCAACCCTCTCAGGGAAGAGCAGTACCTGCAAGTCACAGGGGACCCTGTTATGATCTAATCCCCTATTCTGCATAGCCAAGAGGTTATTCTGGTTCTTTTGTCCTGGAACAAGATGGTATGATCTGGGCAACTGGCATCGTTCACCACAACACAGGAGAGGTCACATTTTAAATACCTCCCTCAAGGGTATCCGGTGTCATCCTGGCCTCAAAAGTGCCCAGTTGCTGCTAGAATCTTGAGAGATACTTGCCGGTTTCCCAAGCGCCCACTTGTGTTATTTCTGCACCACCACCCCTAATCTTTTTCCCGATCATGAGTACCCCATCACACAATAATTGCCTACCACCAATCTTTGCCCTGATAGTGATCAGCCTTGAAACCCTGACACCAGAAGTTTCTGTGGTAAACCTTCCAAGAGAGGAGGAAGAGGAGAGACTGTGGCCCATCTGCAGCCCGGCCTGGGCAGGGGAAGGAGGGTGCCCCACCATGGAGAGAGGGCAGCAGGCTGAGCCCCAGGAACCTGGGAGTCCCAGAAACCACAGGTAAGCATGGGGACAGAAAGGGACCCTGGGCAAACAGTGAGGCTGGTGGAGAGGCTTGGTGAGTTCAGTCCTGAGCCAGAGCCTGCCTAACCTCTGTGTGTCCAGACCCAGAACTGAACATGCATAACATGCATACATCCACATACTACACACACCACATATGCACCACACATACATATCATATACACACATACCACATACACGCCACACATATACACATCACATACACACCATACACACAAACATACCTGTCTACAGCTCCTTGTAAAATCCCAGTTCATAAAGCCATCTCTGGGATGCTTCCTTGATCAAACCCCCTCCCTCCTCACTGCCCAAATGCCATTTTTTCTCCCCCACCACTGCCCAGCCCCCCAGGAGTTGGGCCACTCTTTTCACCCCTCCTCCCACCCCAACCCCAGGCTTGTTTTCTTTTCCTGAGTGATTTTAGGTTCCCATCTGTCATCTTAGGTCATTAATCCCTAGACAGAAGGCCAAAGAAGCCTACCCCACATAGCCAACCCATTAACTAATTGCAAAAGGTGCCCGCGTCATATCACATTTATCCACTGAAACAGCCCCCTCGCCTGTGCCTCGCTTCCTGAGCTGCACTGATAAAAATGACAAGCCACCTGCTACTGCCCTGGATGGCATTGCCATGATGGATGACCCATGTCCTGAAAGGGTGGGGGTCAGCCACGGAGACTCATGTGGCAGGGCGATGAGGGGGCTGAGAGGTGGACAGGAGCAAGTGGTCAGCTGCCAGGGTAATTGTCTCCCCAACTGAGCATGATCTGAGACTTCCTGTGTCCCCAGATACTGCTGCTCAGCCCTGGATGCCCTAGATGACTGCCCGGGGATGGTCGGGCCTCCGAGGACAAGGACAGATGGGGAGGCCTGAAAGGCCCCCAGCCCCCGCCTGCTGGCAACTGTTCCCTCCACCCTTTCAGCTGCTGGTCACTGAGTCAGCAAGTTCAAGGAGACTGGCTTTTGATTGACCACCCACAGTCTGCAGGCAAAACCTTCTCTCTGACAGGGAGGCCTTGAATGCAGGTGGTCTCCAGAAGCTTCCCCTCCCCTCTACTGGGGGCTTAGAGGCCACACCAGCCCAGCGCAGGGACTGCCTGATGGCCTATTTCCCAGCAGGGATTGCCGGTGAGCCTGTGTGGGAGTGTGTGCGCACATCCTGCTTCTCTACTTCCAGGATCAAAATAAATTGCCTGATTGACAAACCTCCTCTGTAGTTCGTGTGCGCTGGGCCCGTGGGTCGTCCGTGGCTACAGATGCAGTCAGCTGACCTAATCCATTTATCTTATTTATACTGTATTCCATTTTCCATATGCAGAGTTAGGGCCTCCCGGATCTGTTATGCAAATTAGACATGATGATTTGCAAATGAGCAGAGGCTTGGCACTTTTTTAAAATTATCATTAAGAATGTTGCCACCCTGCCACTGGCGGGGAGGAGGGAGGCTGGAAGGGAAGAAATGAAGGCATGTGATCCAAAGCTTCCTTCTCTATGTGGCTGGTTGGCTCACCCCTCCATTCTCCCAGCCTTCTGAACCCCTGCTGACTCCTGTCTTCTCATATATTCACTCCATTGGAGGGAGCTGACGAGCACAGGCATCACTGGGGAGAAAGAAAAGGCTGGCAGGGGATTCACAAAGAGCTGAAAAAGGCCAGAGGGAGATGTCCAACAGCCGGGCTGCAAGTAGCCCTTGAAAGCTGGCACCAGCCATCCAGAGTCCCACAGCCCACTGCCTCAACCAACAAAAGACAGAGGCTCGCTGATGGATGTGTTACTTTTGTAGAGTGGGGAAGTGAGATGGGTGGATGGTGATTTTCCAGGGTTTTTCTTTAGGGCAAGTAAGTACCACCTGTAGGCTGTTCCATAGGATACTCCTCAATCAAATGGCCCCAGAACAAGCCTTGCACCACCAGATCTCATCCTGGGTGGGAACAGTAAGAAAGTGCATTATAACTCACAAGCATGCAACTTGACAGAGTCTTTTTTCTCCCTCATTCTCTCCTCAAAACCCCCTTCAGGCAGACGGCTTGGTTCAAAACTACACCAAGTTGGGCCTTTAGCTTAGTCCTTAGCCATGACCTATAGCTCAGAGGTCAGCATATGGATGAGATCAAGTGAGGGCACTCGCATCTGAATCTTCTTCGGGCACTCCAAGCAGTACATTGAAAGTGAGGCGCCACGTATGGTCCCACAAGGCATCATGGAAAATGATCCATCTCTGGCCAGCCAGATGGGGGCCAGTTGGGGTACCCAGACTCGAGAAATGGGAAAGCATCCCCATGTAAAGCTCCTCCACACCGTCATCATGTTCCTTCTGGTTTCCCCTGCTGGGGCTCCTGGCAGTCTGCTGTGTTGTTTTCTAGTGTGGTATTTGAGAAAGAACCCTCATTTTAGTTCAAAGTTCTGCAGATTAATTTGAAGCCAATATCTTACTTTTTTTTTAATACACTGGAGAAAAGAACATGTAATCCCAGCTTTTCCAAAAGCAGAGCAGAAGAGTTCAATAACAAAGTTGTATTTCACTTGGCAATCGGGGAAAGCTGCCCCTTTTCTTCCAAGTGTCCTTGTTTATTGTTCTGTTCCTAAGAATATCCAGAAGAGACATCTCCAGGGCAGCAGGCACTCTTTCACCAGGAATTTCAAAAATGGCATTCGAAACATTTTGCCAAGAGTTAGGCAAATGCAGGCGGGTCCCCAGCATGCAAATTATAGTGCCAGACATCAGGAACGGTATGGAGAGTTGTCTCTGACAAATAAGATGATGTTTGCAGAGTTTTTAATAAAATTAAATACAAGATCCTGAAGGAGATAATGCCAGATTTAACCCCAACGTGCCTGGTTTGCATTAAGAACCCACATACCTCCTTGCTATCCCTCTGGCTCTCAACACAAATCCAAATCTCCTTTGAATCTTGTCTTAATGTGTTTCACGAAGGGCAAGCCATCATTGGTGACCAAGCGGTGTTTTTAATTACTGTGTTCTGTTCACTTCTGTAAGGTGCTGTTGTTATCTTTCCAGCAGATACTTACAAATATGACTTCTTTGGAGGTTCCCTGTGATCTCCACAAGGACTACAACTGCTAATGAGAGCCAGGCAGGGCCCCAGCCAAGGGGGCCACTGATTATCAAGCCAAGAAACAACCAGACTCAGAAACTAATGAGCAGGCAAGGAGACCAAAACAGACTAAGAATATGGAGCACAGCACCAGAGAGAAAGGCCACCAAGACAACCTTAGGAGGGAGACGGAGAGGGAGATAAACTTTAATTCTATCAGAACATACGGTTGCTAACAGACAAGGCAGCTGTGTTGGTGAGAGCAGAGGGAGCTTTTTATTGGAGGCCTTGGAGATATGGCTGCAGCCCATCAGGGAAGGAACATGTGGGACATAAAAGACCGGATTTATTCCCCGAAGGCTCTTCTGACGTTGGGAGCCAATGTTTGAAAACCAGGTCTCTCCCCTGCCATTATTTTCCCTGTTTGAGATGACACCTACCCACCTTCCACAGGTCTACAAATCTGCTCTGCCATTCCAAGGTCATTGCAAATTCTATCCCATACCCTGGACTGCCCAGATGATCAGTGGTTTTATTAACCAAACATTTATTCAGTTCCCTCTATTGGCTAGGTTCTGGGAAGATGATTCTATGATGATCACTGCCCTGAAAGAAGAGTTAGGAAGATCAACATGGAAAGGAATACTTGGAGGAACTGGGACCCTCAATGGCTCTTCCAGTCATTGAGAAAGAAATCATGTCCTACCTTGAGACCTGCTCTTGTAGGGTCATTTTGATCTGAGATTTTACTCTGGAATTGTTTCAGACAGATGCCTTGGGGCAGAGACTGGTAGATGCTCACCAAAACTGTTTCCTCTTCCTGGGCGCACAAACTAGTTTTGAAGCTCCTTTTAATCTTGATGAGAGAACAGCTTTCACCAATCAACTATGAGCAAAAGGGATTAAGGACTCAAGAGGCAGGGTGTCTTCTCCGTTCTCTCTCTTGTCTCTTCTCTCCTCTTCCCTCCTCTCCTCTCCTCTCCTCCTCCTCCTCCTCCTCCTCGTCTTCCTCCTTCTTCTTCTTCCTCTCTCTCTCTCTCTCTTTCTCTCTCTCTCTCTCTCTCTCTCTCCCCTCTTGCTGCTAGTTGGATGATGTGCCAGGTTGGTCTTGAAGGCATATAGTGAAAATGGCAGAGGCACAACACCATAGGAGACTGATGTGCTAAGTCAAGCCCCCTAAAAGCAGAGCTTAAGAAGGAGTTTCTACCCAAGGGATTTCATGGCAGAATGTTCCCAGCAGAAGCTGCAAGGACTGAGAGAAGCAGGATGAGGCAAGGGGAGAATCTAAGCAAACAGGTAGTTTGAAATGAAGTTCAGCCTCTGATAGCACCGGAGCTCTGATGCTTGAGTAGCTCCAAGGAGTTGCATCCACTTGAGACCAAAGAGCCAGGCATTTGTACCCCTGTACCATTGCCTACGGGCTGCCCCCAGGGCTGCCTATCTTCTCAGGCATCTCTGGGTGGAGTGGCTGTCAACTCAGGGCAAATAGCTGGATCATGATGCAGCTGTGAGCAATTAGCATTTCCAGCAGCTGCAGGAGGGATGCCCCAGCCTGAAAAAGGAGAACAGAGAAAGGATGTAGTAGCCTCTGCTACAATGGGCCCCTGAAGGACTCCATGGAACAGAGCCCCAGCCTGCTTTTTGTGTGACGTGAACAAGAAGGAATCCTATACTGTGTTAAGCCACTGAGATTTTGGATTTGTTTTTTACAGCAGTTAGTGTCTGACTACTGTAATTGCACACCTAGTCTCCTAAACCAAAAGTTGGTGAACTTATTCTGTAGAGGACCATATTATAAATATTTTCAGCTTCATGGGCCATATGGTCTCTGTCACTGCTATTGGCCAGATTTGTGTTGTGGATCATAATTTGCCAACCGCTTATTCTAAACTATAACCCTCAAGACTGAAGACTATGTCTTGGAGTTCTTTCTTTTTCACCTAAGGACTAGGATAGAACTTTGCCTGTACCATACAACCACTAAAACCCAGCTGATTGATTTGAAAATTAAAAAATAAAATAAGGTTTTGGTTGTGGTTGTTACTTAATTTGATTTCAACTTGAGTGACCACAGAGGGCTGGCCTTTGGGGTCTGGTGAAGATTATTGTGGATTCTGAGCTCCTGTTGGGGATGGTTGGCTGCAGTTCCCCAGACCTCGAGACCGCCTGTCTCAAGTCTGTCTCACCAGGGAGAACAGAACTTGGCTGGAGAGATCAGCAAGGTTCAGTGCAGCAACAGGTGCAGCATGACCATAGAGGGCCCAGACATGCATAAGGATCAGTATCATCATGTCTTAGAATCTTGGGGCTGATTAAAAGTTGATCCATCCAGTGCCTAAGTCCCCTCTGCTACAATCTCATCTTGGTGCTCCCACATCCAGTTTTAATAGTAAATAGATGAATATTGCAGCCATAGCCATAGAAGAAGGGCAGAGTAACCAGAGGCTTAGACCCATATGCAATGACAGTCTGGTTCTCCCCACCAGGAAAGCTGCCTAGACCAGCAGAGGTACTAGCTGAGTGTAAGGGGAATCTAGAATGGACAATAGAGGTAGAGGGATGGTGAATATCAGTTATGGCCACACAACCCTGCTTTTGTAAGTTTCCCAGGAAATGAAACCATTTAGAATTCTGGAGGTCTTTCCAACTGGGGCAAACTCACCTGAGAAGCAAGTGAATCTCAAAAACACAAGGAGACAGAGTCCCATGTCGGAGCCAATGGATCTATGCCCCAGTGGCTAGAATATCAGCTGCTGACCACTCACAGCTGAGTCCTTCACTGGGCATTGCCCTTGATCACAAGAAACTGCCCTGCCCATATTTATGTTCCCCTCCCCCGAGATGGCCCCCAGCCATCCCTTGCTGATACAGGGATACAAATGCCTGACCCCTCACCTCAGTTTGGTGTGAAGAGCCTGAAGAGCCATCCTAACTCCAGAGTTCCCCATGTCTGCTGTGGCCTCAATTGCAACTGCTTTATGGGTTAGCCCCCCAGCCTGCCTTCCTGTCCCCTGAGTTACTACAAATAAACCTCCCACATGCAGAAATTGACAAGCTGATCCCAATATTCTGTGAAGATGTAACAGAACCAGAATAATCAAAATAATTTTGAAAAAAGGAACAAAGTTAGAGAACCAATACTTCCTGATTTAAAGCATACTACAAAGCTACAGTAATCAAATCAGTGTGGTGCTAGTATAAGGGTAGACATTTAGATCAATGGAATAAAATTCAGAGTCAAGAAAGAGAATCTTACACTTATGATCAATTAATTTTCAACAAGGGTGCCAATGCTTTTCAATGGGAAAGGATATTTTTTTCAATAGATGATGCTGGGACTATTGGATAGCCATATGCAAAAACATGAATTTAGATCCTTATCCTTCACTACACACAAAAATTAGCTCAAAATGAATCATAGACCTAAATTTAAGGGCAAAATTATAAAACTTTTGAAGAAAGCATGAGAAAATCTTTGTGACCTTGGATTAGGTAAAGTTCTTAGTTATGACACCAAAGGTACAATCCATAAAATGAAAAACTAATACATTGGATTATATCAAATTTTAAAACTTTTGCACTTCAAAAGACATCACTAAGAAAGTGAAAAGACAAGCCACAAACTGGGAGAAAATATTTGCAAATCACGTATCTGATAGAGGTCTTGTATCTAGAAATATATACATTTAAACCCTTACAATTCAATAATGAGGAGACAACCCAATTTTTAAAGATGGGCACAAAATTTGAATAGCTATTTCATCAAAGAATATATACAAATGGCCAAAAGGCACATAAGATGCTCAACATCATTTAGTCACCAGGGAAATGTAAATTAAAACCACAGTGAGATACCACTTCACACCCACTAGGATGGCTAGAATCAAAAAGATAGACAGTAACAAGCATTAGTGAGTATATGGAGGAACTGGAATTGCTAGTGGGAATGTAAAATGGTGCACTTACTTTGGAAAACAATCTGGCAGTTTCTTAAAAAGCTAAACATAAATTTATCATATGATCCAGCAATTCCACAGCTAGGTATATACCCCTGAGGAATGAGAACATACAACTACACAAAGACTTGTACATGAATGTTCTTAGCAGTACTATTCACAATAGCCAAAAAGTGGAAACTATCCAAACGTCCATCAACAGATGGATGGATAAACAAAATGTGGTATATTCACAGAATGGAGTATTATTCAGCTATAAAAAGGCATGAAGTACTAATAATACATGCTACAACATCATGCCTAATAAACGAATCCAGACACAAAGATTACATACCTTATAATTCCATTTACATGAAGCACCCAGAAAAGGCAAGTGTATAGAAACAGAAAGTAGATTAATGTTTGCATGGGGCTGGGATTGAAAATGGGTAGTGACTGCTAATGGGCATGAGGGATCTTCTTGGAGCAATGGAAATGTTCTAAAGTTGGATTGTAGTGATGGTTGCATGACTCAGTAAATTTACTAAAAATCTTTGAACTGTATGTTAAAACAGATAAATTCTGTAGTATGTAAATCATATTTCAATAAAGCTGTTTAATAAAAAAGATCCTTCAGCATACATATCTCCATCTCAAAGTCCATTTCCAGGGAACCCAATCAAAGACAACATATATTGCATTTTAACAGAAATGTCTATTACCTTTTATCTCTAGCCAAATTTGAGAAAATTGCAGTTTCAAGATGAAGAGCCCCAAAGTCTGCCCAAGCATACAGAGCTCATCCCCACCCCCCCACCCCAACACACACACACACCTTTCAAGCTTTCTCTGGCTTTATGTCACAGCCACCATCACTGTCACCCTTCTCTGACACAGTTCTGGAACCCAACACTGGAATTCCTTCCCACAAAGAAAATAACTCAACCCTTGCTCCCATGAAGCAGGGTTACAGGGCACATCCTACCACTTCCCATCATTTTTAATTATGAATTCTTATTTTTAATAGATGTTTCTATTCGGTACTATCTGTCATAATTCTTTGGCCTGAAAAGCCCAGATACCTTGAGGTGTAAACACGGATGATATAGATTACCTGTGTTTGCTGGGGAGTGAGGGTCAACGGGTTGGCAGGAATGAGCCCATGAGACAGACTAGGAAACAGAGAAGGGAAGGGGAAAAAAAAAAGACGAGTTGATAAACAAGAGCTCCGAGTTCATCCCCACAAGGCTGGCTGCTCATTGCTCGATGTTGCGAGACACTGACTTCTTAGAGGTTTGCAGTAACAGCTCGCTCGAGCTGGAAATTGCCGTGAATGTGCATGCTACCCGAGGCTGAGCTTGTAAAAAGAGTTCTCCGGCATCCTCGCTTCACTGACAGGTCTGGAACATCATGTGTTCCTTTGGGGGCCACTGAGTCTGAGCCCCAGCAACCCTGCCCCAAACATTTACTGAGCATCTATCATGTGCCAACAGAACTACCTCTGGGCTAAGTTCTGGTACAAACAAGCCATGAATGACACAGTTCCCACACACAAGAAGCTCGCAGATACAAAATCTAGGTGTTCTTTGTGCTGTGTGATTGTGTGAAGGAAAAATATCAGGGACAGAGAGGTGGATGCAGACAAGTTCACCCAGAAGGAAATGTCTCCAAAGGCTTCAAGTAAAGGGGATGCTTAAACAGTCTCTTAAAAGGACGGTTGCTCAAAGTCCAGGTGTTAGATTTCATCCAAAGGAGAGCAGCAGTTTAAGCAAAACCGCAAAGCAGTGCTGTCCACTAGAACTTTCTACGATGATGAAAATGTACTATATCTTTACCATCCAAAATGGTACTAGTAAGCACTTAAAATGTGGCTAGGGTATCTGAGAAGTGAAATTTTTAATTTTAGTTAATTTCTATTCATTTTAATTTAAACCAAACTATGCACATTTGGCTAGCAGTTACCAGAGCGGACTGCACAGCCCAGAGGCATAAAACAGCAGGGCCCATTCCCATAAGTGCAAGTCGTTGTATGAGACAGAAGCTTAGGGTGGCCAGGAGCTGCTACTGGAAACACAGTCAGAAAAAAAGAGACCAGATCACAGAGAAGCCTGTGGCCATGTCGGTTTCGCTTGCCCTGACAGCAACACAAAGACACCCAATTCACCCAAGCCAGTGAAGTAGCTGATCCCATCTCTGCCCTTCCACTGTTCTCAAAGCCAAGAGTTGCACACTCAAATGCCTACAACTAGTGAGAAAGGGTATACAGGCACGTCCTGGGCGTCTGGGCACTGCGTCCAGCTGGAGATTGCGAGTCCCATCGAAAGGGGGCAGCCGCTACTCGGCATCAGTTGTGCTACTGTTGTCTCCAAACACAGGCCCAGAATTGCCTGATCTTCAAATGTTTCAAGAGAAGCCAGAAATCATGACTTATTTTGTCAGTTCTTTCCATGTTTAAATGTTGGATACATTTTTTTAATGCTCTGCAGGCCAAGGAAAGTGAGTCTTAGGGCTGGAATTTGGTCCTTAAACTAGTTTGCAGCCAACGGTCCCCCTCCCTACTTCTTTTGTTGTCCCTGTCATGCTATATAGCATGCACCTGTGTTGATAATGGTCATCTCTCCCCAGCAGGCTCACCATTCCTCAAGGTCAGGGACCCAAGTCTTATTCATTTGTCATTCTCAGCACCTACACCTAGAACAATGCCCATAAATGGACTTTGTTTCGTAGATGTTTGTTGAATTAATGAATGACCTCAATCATTTGTGCATTGTTTTTGCCAGCCAAGGCAGTGGCTTGAAGAGACAGCAGCAAAAGAGTTAAAAGTCAGGAAATGAACTAGACTTTGGGATAAAGCCCCAATAATTTCTATCTTACCAGAAATCCTCTTCCCTGAAAATCTGCGGGCTGTAAATTAAGATCTGAATTGTTGTTTTGAGTGCAGCTTTCTCCAAACCACAGATTTGCAAACACTTCTCTTCCCAGTAGTTTGAGGCTGCACAACAGTCTTGTGCTATTAAATGTTGCTGAAAAGTGGGCTGAGACCACTAGGTCTCTTGTGAAAATTGCCAGACTTGTGGACGGATGGTGTGGGATTTAGCAAGATGCCTCTTCCCTGTCACCAGGAACAGCCCAGACATGAAGAGGCACTGGGGAAGGAGAATCTCTGACCTCCTGTTACCCACTAGAGCTGCAGGTGGCAGGGGGTGGTGGGGTGTGGTGTGGGACGGGCAGGTGGAAGGGAAGGGGAACGGGAGACTGGAGTCAGCAGGCGGCCTCCCAAAGTGGAGAATCCAGGTCCACGGTCCCCTTGCTTGTTCCGCTCCACATTCCTACAGCAGCTTAGGGAAAGTCATTTAAACTCTGTGCTCCAGTTGCTCGAAGCGTTGACTGGGAATAAATGTGCTACACAGCACTGCAGCTTCCTAAAGCCAGGTGGATCTTCATGCAGCAATTTCAAACTCGTGGCAGGAAGAGCAAGGCCTAAGCCAAGAAAAGCCACAGTGGAAGTTTTAAAAGATGGTGTGGAGGGGGTGTCACAATAGACACAAAAACGCCCGCTCCTAACATCCCCATAACAGCCATCCCAGTAGAAGCACACCACCGTGTTCCTGCAATTTTTCCTGGCCATGTTGGAGAGATTTTGGATGCCTGAAATTTGTCCTTGTAGAATCAAGGGTGAAAGGCACTGTGATGACTTTGAGCAGACCCCTTCATCCCCCACTCGCTGTACAGATGAGAAAACCGACGCTCACGGTCCTTACACGCTTTTTTCAAGGGCACACCCCTGGACTCCCCAAGCCCAGCCCAGCGCCGTCTTATCTCACACCATGGTGCTCCTTGCTAATCCATATATCTGAGCACACCACAGCGTCCTCTCCAAGTCACTGATGACAAAGGCCATTTTTCACAGGGGGATATAATCTGCTAAAATCTTCTCCTGCATTCCAGAGTAAGAGCTCCCATATTTCATGGAGCAGGTTAATCACAAATATCAACTGATGAAGTAGCAAGAGAGGAAAGAGAAGGAACCCTCTGGGTCCATGAAAACTTTTGAAATGGGACCCGTTTTGCTTCCCCTGTTTATGCAACAATAAAACATCCTAAAAGCTTGCAACATTTAGCAAAACTCTCTAAAATACCTGGATACAAAATAATATGCTCTTTAAACCAATAGACAATTTATTTAGGAAAGATAATTGATGAGTTATTTATATTAGTCCCCAGTGTCCAGCGCCACCATCATTGAGATGAAGTGCTCAGGACAGAGTGAAATCCCTTAATTACTCTCGTATGTGTTGCGTGTTGCAGGAAAGAAAACATAATGCAAAGTGCTTATATATTTCAGCAGCATAATAGCTTGATGAAGATTTCTAAATTTTTCAAAATGTCATTTCTTTCCAAAAGATGGATTATTTCTGTTGGGGTTTAGTCTACCTAATTATTCCTGCCTTGATTACTTAACTACTCCAGATATTTCATCCCTCCATGCTCTTATCACGTTCGGTATGTTAGAAGAACCGAGGCAGCTTATTAGCACAAAGTAGACAATCCTGTTTCCTGGCAGTTAGTGTGGGCGGGTGGGTTACACAGTGGAGCACTAGAGCCTCTCCAGCGCAGCCTCTATTCACTTGCAGTGGCCTGGGCTCGTCTGAGGCATGTGCTGTCAGAACTTTATTGCCTCTCCTAGACCAGTGTCCACCCTTCCCCCATCCCAGGAGCCAGAGCACGTGAATTCCCCTTTGCTCTCCAACTCTCTTTCTTGTACACGACACAAACCTTGAGTATGGGCTCTGCATTTCTCTAGAGAGCTGCTTCTCAAACTTCAGCCCAGAGGGCTTGTTAAAACAGAATGGCGGCCAGGTGCGGTGGCTCACGCCTGTAATCCCAGCACTTGGGGAGGCTGAGGCAGGTGGGTCACCTGAGGTCAGGAGTTGGAGACCACCCTAGCCAACATGGCAAAACCCTGCCTCTACTAAAAATACAAAAATTAGCTGGGCATGGTGGTGCATGCCTGTAATCCCAGCTACTTGGGAGGCTGAGGCAGGAGAATCGCTTGAACCTGGGAGGCAGAGGTTGCAGTGAGCTGAGATCGTGCCACTGCACTCCAGCCTGGGCGACAGAGCAAGACTCTGTCTAAAAAAAAAAAAAAAAAACCAGAGTGGTGGGGTCCCACGTCCCACTCCCCAGAGTGTCTCAGTCAGGAGGTCTAAGCTGGGGCCAGAGAATATCCCAGGTGATGATGCAGTTGGTCCAGGGACCACAGTCGGAGTAAGACAATTTTTTTTCCTTTTAAAATACTTTACAAATTTCATGCTGTGGTTATTGTCTGTATTAAACCGGAAATTGGGAGGTAATAGCATTTATTTGTTTGAGTTTGTAAATATCCAGTGTCCAGCTCTAGATTCAATGAGCAAAATAACTATTTAGGTAAAAGGTAAGGACCTCACTGAGGAAGGAAGGAAGGAAGGAAGGAAGGAAGGGAGGGAGGGAGGGAGGGAGGTTGGATGGGAGGGGAGGGGAGGAAGAAAGAGAGAAAGAGAGGAAGAAAAAGATATACGCAGTTGGAAAAGCCAGATTCTAGAACATCTCTGGAAGGTGTGATTCTAAAGCAAGCACAGCTCCACGGCTGGACTACAAGGAATGTGGCTTTTCTCTGTGTTTTCCTACTGCACGGGGCTAGCAGGGGTCGATTATCCTACCAACCTGAGTCATTCTTCACTAACGCGGGGGGCGATGGGCAGAGGGCAAGCCGGGAGGCCAGTGCCTGCCCGGGGCGCACCTGTCACGCTGAGGGAGGGCAGCCCGCGCCCTTTGGCTGATCCCACTGCCTGGAAACGAGCCAGACTCCTCTGCCTTTGAAATCCTGTTCCTTGGAGCAATCCCGGCTCGCTAGGTTTAATTGTTTCGTCTCTTTTTTTCTGGTTTATGAAGCCGCCCCGCCTGAAGTCCGCCCCTTGCGCAGCGGCCCGGAAAGGTGGGAGGAGTGCAGGCTGCGCTCCCCGCTCGGGGAGAGTCGGTTCCTATTTCCTGATTATAAAGAAGCATTCTTTGGGAGCTGATGAATTGCGGCGGGGCTAGGGCCGGCAGGACGCGCACCTGTGATGCTCTGCAGCCGCCGGAGTCTGTTTATGCATCAAATGTGCCCACAGATTTTTCCTGGTGCTTGGGGAGACGGGGGAGGCGGTGCGGGCAGCCTCCCGCCCCCCCGCTCCCCCCCGCCAAACACACACACACAGGTTTGAAAGCCTCTGAGACCTTGCTACTAAAAATGTGGTCTACGGACCAGCAGCATCACCTGGGAGCTTGTTAGAAATGCAAATCTCGGGCCCGCCTAGACCTACTGAATCAGCATCTGCATTTTAATGAATCCTGGGGTAATTCCCTATTTACGTTAAAGTTTGAGAAGCGCGACGCAGGGGTCCACGGCAGAGAAAAGGTTAAGAACTCTGATCTCAGACAAGGAAAGGGAGGAAAGAGGAGGGAAAGTCCAGTCCCGGATTTGGAAGGGGGAGCGGAGGGTTAACCCTGAGGTTTACCGCTGGAGTGGAAGACAGAGAAATTAACATATGGAGTGAGTTAGCGGAGAGGTCGTTGAAATTGGGAGTAAACACAGGCAGGGGACAGCTCAGTTTGCCCAGGGGGAGGGGTGGAAAGAGAAGAGATGGGGTTAAGTGGGTGCCACCCACACTCCCAGGAAAGTTGGGTAGGTTGCATGCTGTGACCTTTGGCTCCTCCTCCCGCGTGTTTTCTGAGACTCAACCAACACATTTTGGCACGCACACAGGGTAGACCACAAAACAGCAGAGGCCAGAGCTTGAGGGCAGGCGTGGAGCCGAGGTAAAAAGCACCTGGGAGTTTCTTAATAAGCAGGCTGACGTGGTGAAAAAAATTCTAATGCAGGAAGAAAGAGAAAGCACGTGGTCATAAAAAGTGTGCCCTGGCATCCTACATCCATACCCAAGAGGACATGCCTGGCAGAGAGTGCACCCGTGGAGCCAGGGTGACTGCAATCCTCTTGGGCCCAGATCAGCTCCTGTCTGTGCCCAAGAACCAGCTCGCTCTCCATTTTCTGCACTAGGGGAGGAGAGAAGAAGTCCTGAGAGTGTTAAAGAGCAAGTAATCCAAAAAGAAATGACATGGATTTGGCATAAGGGCCTTTCTAGGCCCCCATCTGACACCCTCTTGCCCTCACTTACTGTCAGCGCTGCTGGAACCAGGTGGTGGTGGTGAGGGAAGGAAACTTGAGTTACAGCTCCAAAGCAGGAGAGATACTTTCCAAATCTGAAGTAGGTGACACACTTCCAGACACCCCTCTATGGCTCTTTCTTCAGTCCTGTTCAACATTTTTTTGCAAGGGGCAGATGGACCAATGTAAGACAAACACCTAGCTGGGCGTGGTGGCTCTGCCCGTAATTCCAACAGTTTGGGAGGCCGAGGCAGGCGGATCACTTGAGGTCAGGAGTTCGAGACCAGCCTGGCCAACATGGTGAAAACCAATCTCTACTAAAAATATAAAAATTAGCTGGGCATGGTGACGCACGCCTATAGTCCCAGCTACTCGGGAGGCTGAGGCACAAGAATCTCTCTTGAACCCGGGAGGCAGAGGCTGCAGTGAGCTGAGATTGTGCCACTGCACTCCAGCCTGGGTGGCAGAGTGAGACCCTGTCCCCAAAAAAAAAAAAAAAAAAAAAAAAAAAAAAAAAAAAAGACACACACCTATCAAATTTCTGGTTGCCCCAAGCTGGCAGAGCAATTAAAAGACTGGATAATCTACTAGGATTCCAGTGATGTTCCCACAGACTGTTACAATAGAGATAGTCGCATCAGTATTTTTATTCATTCATTTATTTATTTTCCTCTGCATCCTCTTGTATAAAGGTTTTGAGACGATTTGCAGAAATTATAGTAAATTACATTCAAATATTTAAATAAAAATGCAAAAGTCGTATTCCGTTCTAGTACCAATTAAAATTAGCAGTCAAGACTGATGGGAATGGTGACATTTGATAGGGAAAAATATAAAGTCCTAGCCTCGATCCAGGAAGCAGAAGTCCAGGTATAGGATGTGAGGAATGTGTCTTAGTGACATCTTGGATGAAAAAAAGCTGTAATGGCCACTAAATTCAGTATAAGTAAAGAGTGGGGGATGGTGGCCGGAGAAAAAAGAATCCTGCTATAGGCTACAGTCAGATGTAATTGTCTATGAAAAGGGAAATGATAGTCCCACTCTTGTCAAGACCACTCCTGGCACATTCCGCTCAGTTCTGAAAGTCATACTTTGAAAAAGTCATTAGCAAACTGGACGTATTCAGAAGACAGCACCCTGGAGAGTGAATGATCATGAAACATGAAGCATAGAAGTAGACTATGTCCTAGCTCCTGTGTCGAGTACCAGAGGAATAACATCACAAAAATACATGGCCATAAACTTACAGCCCAGTGAATGAATCAGATAAATAAGTAAACACCAGGAAAAGAGCAGGCTAAGCCAGACTATGGAATCTTGGAAGAAATTGTGGAAATTATGAAACATTTTGGACTGGGTGACATCCAGCATTTATCACTCTCAACAGCTGAAGAAATGAGTGTCTCTATCTTACAAGGGGAAATCCAAGCAGTACATCTGCTATGGGGTACATGGATCTAAGAATCTGACCATCACGGCTTAAACAAATAAGATATAGTTTGCTCATGCGACAAGAAAAGAGGAAGTAGGCAAATATCTGTCCAAGAATGTCAGCACCTTAGTCTCTGCGATTCTTTTGGTCCCTCCCTCATGGTTACAAAATGCCTGCTACTGCTCTTGCCTTCATGTCTACCTTCTAGCAGGAAGAAGAGGAAAGAGCAGCACCTGTATCAGGGGAATAAAAACTTTCCCAGGAACCCACAGCAAACTTCTGTTTAGAGTCATCAGCCTAAAGTGTGGCCCATGGTTCCACGATGTGGTTCCTTGTCAGGAATGAGGGTTGGGTTAGCCAATCAACAGTGTCTGCCACAAATGAGTTTCAAGTTTCAGGCTTGGGAGCGTGAAGGGATGGTGGTGCCATCCACAGAGACAAGAAATACGGAGGAGGAGTAGGTTTGCTGGGCGCAGGAGTGGCAGTTGCTGAGTTCAGCCTTGGACATGTTGAGAAGCCTGTGAAATGTCTAAAAACAGAGATGGCACATGGACAGATAAGATGTGAGGGCTTAGATTGCAACTGAGAGATCTGTACTAAAACATGGATACAGGAGTCACCAGCAAAGAAGCGGGAATGAAAGCCCTGAGTACAAGTGAGGTCCCTCGGAAGACGGAGCAGAGCGAGTGGGCTAGAAGGCCTGGGGTGGGGGCCAGTTTGGCTTTTAGGCAGAATGTTGTTCGAAGAGAGGAGTCTAGAAGTATGCAGAGAAGAAACAGCCAGAGCAAGTGGGAAACCTGGAGTGACTGGTTCGCAGAGGCTGTGGGAAGAAAGTATTTCAAGGAAGGAAGGAGCGACAGGGACAGCCCACGCCGTGGACACTCACTCATCCCTTCAGCCCACCTGCAAGGTCATCTGAAGCTATGGGGCCATTCCCATGCATGCCGACAGCCTCTGCCAACAGCGATGACCTGTAGCTGGAGTGTGATGTATTGTCTGGTTTGGTTTTTTATTTAAGATGGAGGTGAGTTGGTGGAAAAGCCTCATAGAGAGAATGCATTGGAGGGACAGGTGGGAGGACAGTTGGTTAAGTGCCTCTGGAGGCAGGGGCCGGGAAACGTGTCTTGGTATAAGAGGCTATCTCTTCACTAAGCCTTCAAGTAGGGAGGCAAGAACAAGAGGCAGAAGGAGATAACTCAGTAGGTAGTGAGAAAAGGAGGGGCTTCTTACATGATGACCTTTTATTTTCACATCAAAGTAGGGAATAACAAGAGGAATGAGTTCATATTCCAACAAGACATGCACCAGAATGTTCATGGCAGATTTATTCATGATAGCTCCAAATTGGAAACCATCCAAAAGTCTGTTTAATCAAAGAATGAAATTACAAATTCTGGTTTATTTCATGCAATGGAATACCATACAGCAATGACAAAGATCAAACTAATTGCAACAACGTAGATGAATCTCACAGATATTATGTTGACCTAAAGAAGCCAGATATGAAATTTACATATGTAAGTGTATATATGTAAATTTGTATATATGTAAAATATGTACAGCATATACCGTATTTATGTGAAGTTCAAAAACAGGCAAAACTCATCTGTGGTGATAAATGGCAGAATAGTGGTTACCTGGGAAGGACAGGTTATTGTCTATGAGGGGTCCAAGGGAACTTTCTAGTTTCTGGGTAATGAGAACCTTTGGTATCTTGATTTGGGTGGTGATTTACATGAGTACAGATGTATGTAAATATTCATCAGATGACACTTAAGATTTGTGCACTTTACTGTTTGTAGTTATATTTCAACAATAAAGAAAACAAAAGTAGGGAGGTAGGATCAGTAGCAAATAAAATGGAAGATGACCAGTAAGAGACTGAAGACAGAGGTCAAAGCTTAAAGTAGCAGAGATTATTAGTCATGTGACTATTAGCCAGGGACTTAGTCACATGACTAAGGGCACAAAGAAAGAATGTCAAGAAGCATTTAAGGCCCAGATGAGGATGGATAACATGGATTTGCCATGTTGTAAGGCCACAGTGATGCGTTTTCTCCAACAGCACAATGGGCTTAAGAATAAAGATGTCCAGCAGTCACATTGATCCAGAATTAGAGTTTTGCAGAACAGATGAAGGGAAACAGAAGGTGGACAGAAAGTCAAGGATGGGATTCCAGCTTCTTCTTTTTTTTTTTTTTTTTTGAGACGGAGTCTTGCTCTGTTACCCAGGCTGGAGTGCAGTGGCGCGATCTCGGCTCACTGCAAGCTCCGCCTCCCGGGTTCATGCCATTCTCCTGCCTCAGCCTTCCGAGTAGCTAGGATTACAGGCATGTGCCACCACACCTGGCTAATTTTGTATTTTTGGTAGAGACAGGGTTTCTCTATGTTGGTCAAGCTGGTCTGGAACTCCCGACCTCAGGTCATCTGCCCACCTCAGCCTCCCAAAGTGCTGGGATTACAGGGGTGAGCCACCGCACCCAGCGGGATTCTGGCTTCTTCATTTGAAGCCAGAAGTCACTAGAAAACAGAGAGTCCTTAGGTTGAGGCAGTCAAAGCACAGGTGTTTGAGAAGGGAGAAGGGAGGGAGAGGTGGAGAAAGCTAAGATTTCAGACATGGAGCAAATTTGGCCATTGGTGTGGGCTACTGGAGCCATGGTATCTGAGGAAAGTGCTAGGAGACTAGAGAGGTTTACACTGGGGGAAAAGATGGCAGCAAGCACATCAGCTATATCCAACTGTTTCAACTGTGGTTATGTGCAAGAGAAATTAGATGTGTCTGTAGGAACTTAGTGGGGAAAACTAGGGCCAATCATGGGAGATGAACCCTGTGAGGCAGATATTGCCCCTTAATAGGTGTGCCTTCCACACCTAGATCCAGGGGTTCGGGTGCAAAGTGACAAATTGAGTGTAGAGACAGATTATCACCTCCCTTGTTCTAGCTTACATACTTCTATTAATGCTGTGCAGCTGGATAATGCTTTGCTATATTAACTTATAGATTTTTTTTCTGTCTGTATTATCCCCTTCCTTTCCCATTTGAACATGCTCCCAGCCTCACTTAATTTCACTGTTGACTCACCGTGCATGTGGTACTTGAAGTCCTCACGGCTTTTTCAAATGCACCTTGTTTAGCTTTCTCTCTCCATCCTGTTTACTTGGGCCACAAGAGTTTGTGGGAGGGAAAGTAACTCCTCACTCCAGAATTTAAGATAAGGGAAATAAGTTTGCCCCTGAGCAGTAAACTAAGCCATCAACATTTAATGTGTCAGAACAGAGTCACCTTGAACGGATGGAATTCCCAGGCCAGTGAGACTTGGCTGCAGCCTGATTGAAGTTGTTAGGAAATTAGAATGTGTCCATCAGACAGCAGGCTGGGGAGGTCCTGGCTGGATACCTTGCATTTTTCCCTCCGGCATCACTCTCCTTCCTCTTCCGCCTGTTCTGGCCCAGATAAGATGACCTGGCCTCATGCTTTCCTGGAGTTCAGCCAACAGGAAGCCCAGAAGGCGATCAGAGGGAACAAGGGGAGTAGGGTTCATTTACTTCTTCCCCTGGCTCCCCCTCCACCACCACCGCCCCACAAGGGCACCTCAAGCTGGCTGCACCCTTCACCAAACGTCATTCAGTGCCTCCCTTAAGGTTTCTTCTTCTATACTTGGGTTCTGGTAGCCACTCTATACCCCTCATTGCTTTGTGCTTAGGGATGTTACCAGCCCCAGGTTTCTGTGCTAACGTTTGTGGTTCCCTACCCCACACACCTCTGTAAATAGTACCTGTATTAGTCCGTTTCCACGCTGCTGATAAAGACATACCTGAGACTGGGCAATTTACAAAAGAGGTTTATTGGACTTACAGTTCCATATGGCTGGGAGGCCTCACAATCATGGCAGAAAGTGAAAGGGACGTCTCACATGGCAGCAGACAAGAGAAGAGAGCTTGTGCGGGCAAATTCCCATTTTTAAAGCCATCAGATCTTGTGAGACTCATTCACTATCAGGAGAACAGAGCAGGAAAGACCTGCCCCCCAGAATTCAATCATCGCCTCTCACTGGGTTCCTCCCACAACACGTGGGAATTGTGGGAGTTACCATTCAAGATGAGATTTGGGTGGGGACACAGCCAAACCATGTCATTCCACCTCTGACTCCTCCTAAATCTCATCCTCACATTTTAAAACCAATCATGCCATCCCAACAGTCCTCCAAAGTCTTAACTCATTTCAGCATTAATTCAAAAGTCCACAGTCTAATGTCTCATCTGAGACAACGCAAATCCCTTTCACCTATGAGCCTGTAAAATCAAAAGCAAGTTAGTAACTTCCTAGATACAATGGGGATGCAGGAATTGGGTAAATATGGCCATTGCAAATGGGAGAAATTGGCCAAAACAAAGGGGCTACAGGCCCCATGCAAGTCCGAAATCCAGCAGGGCAGTCAAATCTTAAAGTTCCAAAATGATCTTCTTTGACTCCATGTCTTGCATCTGGGTCACACTGATGTAAGAGGTGGGTTCCCATGGCCTTTGGCAGCTCCACCCCTGTGGCTCTGCAGGGTACAGCCTCCCTTCTGGCTGCTTTCATGGGCTGGCATCGAGTGTCTGTGGCTTTTCCAGGTGCATGGTGCAAGCTGTCAGTGGATCTACCATTCTGGGGTCTGGAGGATGGTGGCCCTCTTCTCATAGCTTCACTAGGCAGTGCCCCAGAAGGGACTCTGTGTGGGAGCTCCAACCCCACATTTCCCTTCCACACTGCCCTAGCAGAGGTTCTCCATGAGAGCCCTGCCCCTGCAGTAAGCTTCTGCCTGGACATCCAGATGTTTCCATACATTCTCTGAAATCTAGGTGGAAGTTCCCAAACCTCAATTCTTGACTTCTGTGTACCTGCAGCCTCAACACCACGTGGAAGCTGCCAAGGCTTGGGTCTTGCACCCTCTGAAGCCACAGCCAGAGCTGTACCTTGGCCCCTTTGAGTCACAGCTACAGCGGCTAGGAAGCAGGGCACCAAGTCCCTAGACTGCACACAGCATGGGGATCCACAAAATCATTTTTGCCTCCTAGGCCTCCAGGCTTGTGATAGGAGGGGCTCCCATGAAGACCTCTGACATGTCCTGGAGACATTTTCCCCATTGTCTTGGGGATTCACATTTGCCTCCTCATTACTTAAGCAAATTTCTCTGGCTAGCTTGAATTTCTCTTCAGAAAATGGGATTTTCTTCTCTATCACATTGTCAGGCTGCAAATTTTCCAAACTTTCATGCTCCGCTTCCTTATAAAACTGAATGACTTTACCAGCACCCAAGTCACCTCTTTAATGCTTTGCTGCTTAGAAATTTCTTCCACCAGATACCCTAAATCATTTCTCTCAAGTTCAAAGTTCCACAAGTCTCTAGGGCAGGGGCAAAATGCCACCAGTCTCTTTTCTAAAACATAACAAGAGTAAACTTTGCTCCAGTTCCCAATAAGTTCCTCATTTCCATCTGAGACCACCTCAGCCTGGACTTTATTATCCATATCGCCATCAGCATTTTGGGCAAAGCCACTCTACAAGTCTCAAGGAAGTTCCAAGCTTTCCCACGTTTTCCTGTCTTCTTCTGAGCCCTCCAAACTGTTCCACCCTGTGCCTGTTACCCAGTTCCAAAGTCACTTCCACATTTTCGGGTCTTTTCAGCAACACCCCACTCTACCGGTACCAATTTACTGTATTAGTCCATTTTCATGCTGCTGATAAAGAGATACCTAAGACTAGGCAATTTACAAAAGTAAGAGGTTTATTAGACTTACAGTTCTACGTGGCTGGGAGGCCTCACAGTCACAGCAGAAGGTAAAAGGCACATCTCACATGGTGGCAGACGAGAGAAGAGAACTTGTAGAGGCAAATTCCCATTTTTAAAGCCATCAGATCTTGTGAGACTCATTCACTATCATGAGAACAGCACAAGAAAGACCTGCCCCCATAATTCAATCACCTCCCACTGGGTTCCTCCCATGACACATGGGAATTGTGGGAGTTATAATTCAATATGAGATTTGGGTGGGGACACAGCCAAACCATATCAGTACCTTTGCAATAAGCCTTCCTTAGATTATCATAATGTGAGTGTTTGAACTCACTGTTTGCTGTTTGACCCCTGAGGGAAACCAAGTCAGAAATAGAAGTTGGGAGTGTCCACCTCACAACCCTCAGACAACTAGGCAGTTCTGGGACTCACCTGCAGGACCGGGGGACAGCCAATGGAATCATCCAGTCAACTGGTTTCTAATTGTAAATGCTCACAATAACCTTTCTGCTCATTCTAGCACCTTCATGTGAACTTGGATCCAGAGCTGGCTTATCCTGGCCATCATGAGATTCTGTTTCTGAGCCTACAAAGCTGAGAGCCACACCAGGTGGTAGACAGGCCACCAAGGTAAATGTCCCCCTGAAGAAAGCTGCCTGAGGCCCAACCAGCCCTGCCCCATGTCACAATTTGTCACTGTTGTGCCACACATGCCACTTTAATAGTGTGCACTGAAGACTAGACATCACGTAGAATCATAGGCTTATAGAGCTAGAAGGAGCCTTAGAGATGAGAAGGCCTGGTCTGGGCTCTTCATTTGAAGGTGAGAGTGCTGGCCACTAGAAAGGCTAGATAACTTGCCTGTGTACTATGCAGAGAGTGAGTTGGTCAGGGCCAGTCCCCAAGGCAGTGTCCTTCTGGCCACACTTTCCCACTGCCCCTCTACACAGGTGCATCTGTATGTGGGCTCTGGGATCAATCAGCCGGAAGAATTTTACAGACAGTAAGGGTGAGTTTGTCAGGGATATGGTGGAGTGCTAGACTCACTAAGGCAGACAGCGCCGGGCCTGTATCACCCTCTTGAAGCTTCTTAACGTCTCTGAATCTTCTCTTCATCTGCAAAATTGCAGAGAATAATACTGCATTGGAGATTAAGTTTCAACATGAATTTTGGAGGGATATAGCATTCAAAGCATAGCATGCCATCCTTGCCCCCCTCCCCCCCCAAAATTCATGTCCTTCTCACATACAAAATATCTTCATTCCATCTCAATAGCTCCAAAAGCCTTAACTCGTTCCAGCATCAACTTTAAGTCCAACGTCTCATCTAAATATCATCTAAATTAGATGTGGGTGAGACTCAAGGTGTGATTCATCCTAAAGAAAATTCCTCTCCAGCTGTGAGCCTGTGAAATCAAACAAGTTATGTGCTTCCAAAATACAATGGTGGACAGGCATAGGATAGACATTCCCTTCCTAAAGGGAGAAACAGGAAGGAAGAAAGGGGTGACTGGTTCCAAATGAGTTCAAAACTCTACAAAGCAAGCAACATTAAATCTTAAAGCTGGAGAATAATCTTTGACTCAATGTCCTGCCTTCTGGCCTCACTGGGACTCACTGGACTCAGGGGTCCATGGCTTTGCTGGGTGCAGCCCAGGTAGCTCTCCCAGGTACCTGCAGCTCTCCCAGGCTGGTGTTGCATGCTGGTGGTTCTACAGTTAGTTACAAGTCTTGGGGGAGGCCCCACCCTGTGGCTCCACTAAGCATTGCCCTAGTGAGGGCTCTCAGTGGTGGCCCTGCTCCTGTGGCACTTCTCTGCCTAGGCCCCAAGGCTCTCCAAGGCATCCATTAAATCTAGGTGTAGGCAGCCTCCATGGCTCCTGTACTCTGCATGCCTGCAGAGTTAGCACCATGTGAATGTCTCCAGGTTTGCCATTGCTGCCCACCTGAGCCTGCTGGAGCACAACCAGGTGGCTAAGGAGTGCTGTACCAGAATTCATGGAGTAGAAGCTTGAGGCAGCCCTGGGCAGCAGCCTCGAGGTTCCCTGGGCCCCTCTTCTGAAACCATTCTGCCCTCAAGGGGAAGAATCTAGGCCTCTGGAAATCTGGGCCTCTGATGGGGGTGGCAGCACCATTCTCCAAAATGCCTTTGGGGTCATTCTTCCAATGTCTTGCTAAATAGCACCTGGCTTCTGCCTATCCCTCCTAACTTCCTTATCAGCAGGTAGCTCGGCCACATTCTTGGTGTTCTCTCTCAAACACCCTTTTCATTCTTTACACGGCCAAGCTGAGAATTTCCAAATCTTTAAGTTCTGCTTCTCTTTTGATTATAAATTCGGTCTGTAATTCATTTCTCTCTTCTTGCATTTTACCATAGGCTTCAAGAGAAGCCATGCAGCACCCTGAGTACTTTGCTAATACCCTCGTTCATTGTTCTCAAGTTCTACCTTCCACAAAGCACTAGGACACAGCCATAATTCAGCTAAGTTTTTTTCTGCTTTGTAACAAGAACAACCTTTCCTCCAGTTTCCAGTCCACAGCATGTTCCTCACCTCCAACACCTCATCAGAATGGCCTTTACTATCCATATTTCTACCAACATTCTGGTCATGACCACTTAAGTAATCTCTAAGAAAACTGAGGCTCTTACTACAGTTATCCTCTTATTCTGCACTTTCATGAGAATCAGCCTTTATGGACCATTCGTGGTAATACAGGCTTTTTCTAGCCTATTCTTTCAAATTCTTCTTGCTTCCACCCATTACCCAGTTCCAAAGCTGCTTCCACATTTCCAGGCATTTGTTAGAGCAAGACCCTACTTCTTGTTACCAATTTTTATCTTAGTCTTTTCATGCTGCTATAACAAAATACATGAGACTAGGTAATTTATAAATAATAGAAATTTATTTCTTTCAGTCTTGGAGGCTGGGAAGTTCAAGGCACCAGCAAGTTTGATGTCTGGTGAGGGCTGCTCTCTGCTTCCAAGATGGCACCTTCTTGCTGCATCCTCCGAAAGGTATGAACACTATGTCCTCACGTGGCAGAAGGGATAGAAGGACAAAAAAAGCCTAACACTCTATAAAGCCTCTTTTATAAGGTCCTCAATCCCATTCATGGAGAAAGAGCCCTCATGACCTAATCACCTCCTAATGGCTCCACCTCTTAAATACTATTGCATTGGAGAATAAGTTTCTACATGAATTCTGGAAAGCAGACATTCAAACCATAGAAAATACCTTCTATCATGGTGTTATCATGAGGATAAAATATGATATTGCATATGAACTGGGGACTCAGTAAATGTTACTCTGAACTAAGTAGGAGTCTGAAAGTGTCCACCAGGTGCAAATGTAGGGCCACACCTTCCATCCTAACCTCACCACCTTCTTCCAGGTTGACATGAACACCCTTTAATACCAAGGACAAGGCAGCAGGTGTTGTCAGTGCCTCACCTATAGCCCCTCAGCCTACCCAAGTGTCACACTCTTAGCTGTGTTTTCTATTCCTCTGCTTGAGAGCTCTCTTTGTCTTTTTTTGAGTTTTACTTTATTTTT
Source organism: Homo sapiens (assembly GCF_000001405.40). Classification (NCBI taxonomy): domain Eukaryota; kingdom Metazoa; phylum Chordata; class Mammalia; order Primates; family Hominidae; genus Homo; species Homo sapiens. Next base: position 39,625,771 of record NC_000023.11, read on the forward strand.
AATTTACAAATAATAATTGTATATATTCATGAGGTACAATGTGATGGTTTGGATACTTGGATACATGTTTACATCACGGAATGATCAAATCAGGCCAATTAGCTTAACCATCACCTCAAATATTTATTTCTTTGTGGTGAAAACGTTTAAAATCTTCTCTTTTAGTGTTTTGAAATATGCAATACATTATTATTAACTGTCACACAGTATTGTGCAATAGATCACCAGAACTTATTCCTCATGTCTAACTGAACTGTGTACCCATTGACTAACATCTCCCCTTTCTCCAGCCCCCTCCCCAGCCTCTGGTAACCACCATTCTACTCTCTGCTTCTATTAATTTGACTTTTTTTTTTTCAGACAGGGTCTCACTCTGTCACCCAGGCTGGAGTGTAGTGGCATGATCTCGGCTCACTGCAGCCTCCATCTCCTTCGCTCAAATGATCCTCCCACCTCAGCCTCCCAAGTAGCTGGGACTATAGGCATGCACCACCACACCTGGCTAATTTTGGTATTTTTTAGCAGAGATAGGGTTTTGCCATGTTGCCCAGGCTGGTCTCCAACTCCTGAGCTCAAGCGATCTGCCCACCTCAGCCTCTCAAAGTGCTGGGATTATAGGTGTGCACCACTGCACCCGGCCGAGTTTGACTTTTTTAGATCCCACATATAAGTGAGATCATATGGTATTTGTCTCTATTCCTGGCCTGTTTCACTTAGCATAATGTCCTCCAGGTTCATTCATGTTGTCACAAATGACAGAATTTCCAGTTTTTTTTTTTAAGGCTACATAGTATTTCATAGTGTTTATATAGTACATTTTCTTCATTCATCCATTGATGGACACTTAGGTTGATTCCATATTTTGGCTATTATGAACAATGCTGCAATAAACATGGGGGTGCAGATATCTCTTCCACATACTGATTTCCTTTGGATATATACCCAGCAGTGGGATTGCTGGATCCTATGGTAGTTTTATTTTAGTTTTTTGACGAACCTCCATACTGTTTTACGTAATGGCTATACTAATTTACATTCTCACCAACAGTGCACAAGGGTTTCCTTTTCTCCACATCCTCACCAACATTTGATATCTTTCATCTTTTGATAACAGCCAATCTAACAGGTGCGAGGTGCTATCACGAAGTGGTTTTGATTTGCATTTCTGAGAGCGCTCTCTGGCTGCAGTGGCATTTTCAGACCACGTCTGAGGCAGCCTAGAAGTGCCAGGGAGTTTACACTCTTCCAGAACAGTCCACAAACAGTGAAAGCCACGGGTTGGTGAAGAAATGCCTCAGCTTCCTCATCCTCAGTGGGGGACAGTTTTGAGGACCTGTCTCCCTGAAAGGGTCCCTTGAGGGATTGAGCCTTAGTGTCCACATTGGAAACCCACCTAAAGCACCCTTTGTTGGCTTTCCTTCCTTCTTTGTCTCACTTCTCTCTCACTGTCCTTTCTGGGCTCACCTCCCAAATGAATTACTTGCACTGGAATCCTGAGGTCTGTTTTTAGGGGAGCCCAAACTAAGACCAAGGACAAGAGGGGGAAGGATCTCACAGAGTTTGGCTGAGTCCACACTGGGGTCCCCCTGCCCGAGCAGGCCCAGGCGGCTGGAGAGACTCAACCCCAGGTGCCATGGTGCTTCCTGGAAAGAATCAGCCTTAGGAAAGAGAAAACGATAAGCAGCACCTGGCCCAGTGCCAGAGAACAGAGCTGCAGCAGAGGACAGAACAATCTGTCACTAAAATCGTCCTCCTCCTCCACCCAGTGGGGTTCTGTCTGCACCCACGAGCAAAGAGATTTAGAGAAATAGCAAGGAAAATCTAAATGGTGGAGAGAATGAAGCACCTCACCTCTGCAGTGTTGATGGCCATAGAGAAGGCAGAGATGGGCCCAGGGCTCTCGATCCTGGATATCACTGGGCTGCTTTTAGTGACAATGGGTGACCCAGCCCGGCCATCCCAGCAGCCATTGCAGAGATATGGAAATAGCTTCTCAGCCTTCTGCCTCCAAAAGTGCCTCTACTTCACACCCATTAGGATAACTATTATGAAAAAACAGAAAATAACAAGTGTTGGGAGGATATAGAAAAATTGGGACACTTGTGCACTGCTAGTGGGAATGTAAAATGGAATAGCCACTGTGGAAACAGTATGATGGTTCCTCAAAACATTAAACATAGAGTTACCATATGATCCAGCAATCCTGCTTCTGGGCATATACCCAAAAGAACTGAAGGCAGGGGTGCAAAGAGGTATTTGTCCAACCACACTCATAGCAGCATTATTAACAATAGAAAAAGGTAGAAACAATCAAAGTGTGTATCGATGGATGAATGAATAAAAATGTGGTATATCCATACAATGGAATATTAGCCTTAAAAGAGAATAATGTACTGACACATGCTACAACATGGATGGACGTTGAAGACATTATACTAAGTGAAAGAAGCCAGACACAAAAAGACAAATACTGAGGACATTTATCTGATGTTCCTAGAGTAGTCAAATTTAGAGACAGAAAGTAGAATGGTGCTTGCCGGGGGCTGCCGGGAGAGGGGAATGGGGAGTTAATGCTTAATGGGTACAGAGTTTTAGTTTTGCAAGATGAAAAAGCTCTGCAGATGGATGGTGCTGATGGCCGCACAACAATGTGTATGTAGTGAATGCCATTGAATTGTACACTTAAAATGGTTTAAATAATCAATTTTATGTAATTTTACAATTTTAAAAATAAAATCAATGCCTCCAGCCCCCCATCCCATCTTCCCCCACCTCCTCCTCGCTTCCTCTCAGCATCCCTGCTTTCCTGATTTCTTTTTATTGTATTTTATTCGTGTATTAAATAGGAATGGGGTCTCGCTATGTTGCCCAGGCTGGTCATGAAGTCCTGGCCTCAAGCAATCCTCTCAACCTCAATCTCCCAAGGTGCTAACATTACAAGCATGAGCAACTGCACCTGGCCTCCTAAAGACATATGGCTTGGCTCTGTGGTGAGGTTCCTGCTCCTCCTCTTGCACCCATGAATTGACAACCAGTTTGTGATCCAAGCTTTAACTCTTAACACCTGTCTTAGGTCAGGCTCCCTTGAAGCAGAAGCTGAGACAGGGATTCTTATGCAAGTGAATGAATGAGCAAGTGCTCTCAGAAGGAACCTGCAGAGGAAGAAAGGAGGCAGGAGGTGAGAGGAGAAGAGGAGAAAAAGAGATGTGGTTCAGCTGAAGTCTCACCTTGGCTTGGTCCTGTGGGGAGCTCTAAAATGTGAAGGTACCACAGGCTCACCCACCTTGAGGCAAGGAAGTGGGTTTTTCTGCCTTCCTCTCAGTCAGCTATGGACTACTGACCACTGTGTGGCAGAGGGGGTGGTAATCTCCCAGACATTTCCCAGTGGGTGCTCTCATCCAACTGAGGGCAATTGTCAGGAGAAGGGAGCAGCTATGAGTCATCAACACCTGACACTCACAACAACCAGGGATAGGAGCACCAGCCTGCTAAAGGGAACCTGAGGCATCAGTGGCTTCTTCCATACACCCTTCCAGAAAACAAGTTCTGATCTCTGTTCCCTATCCCCAGTCCTGCACAGATGGATGAGAGACACCTCTGTTTAGCAGAAGCAACAGTGTCGGGGTTGAGTCCTGGCTCCAGAGTACACCATGTGTATCTCCTGGGCAACTTCATTGATTTCTCTCAGTCTCAGCTTCCACATCTATAAAATGGGAATGGGAATGGGACTGTGGTAGTTATTCTTTTGAATTAACTAGGACTCTCCAAATATAACTCCCTTGTTCTGGTAACAGGCCTCCCTTACCCCTTGCTCAGCCATGGGGCGAATGACACAGACCTAGCCAATCAGAGTATCCCATTCACCTGACACCTCAGGAATAAGACTGTGACTGAAGGAGGCCAACCAGAGACCTTCTCCAGGATTTTTTTTTTTCTTGAGATAGAGTCTCACTCTGTCACCCAGGCTGGAGTGCAGTGGCACTATCTTGGCTCGCTGCAACCTCTGCCTCCCTGGTTCAAGTGATTCTCCTGCCTCAGCCTCCCAAGTAGCTAGGATGACAGGCGCATGCCACCAGGCCTGGCTAATTTTTATATTTTTAGTAGAGATGGAGTTTCACCATGTTGGCCAGGCTGGTCTCAAACTCCTGACCTCCAGTGATCCACCCACCTCAGCCTCCCAAAGTGCTGGGATTACAGGCGAGAACCATCGCACCCAGCCCAGGATTGTTCTGACTGGAACTAGCAAGGAAGGCCCATTGCCTGAGGGCCATGGAGCTGGAAAGATGTCAGGTAGACATGGGCTGTGGCTGTGTTCCCCACCGCATGTGGGAGGTCTGACTGCCAGAGGAAAGGGAGGCCCACACCTAGGAGAGAGAATGAGAGAGAATCCTCTGCCCCACTAGACTCAATCATGCCTATGACCAGCCCCCTCATTCTCCTTCCTAGGTACAGGGGCCAATCAATTCTCCTTTTGTTTTTTTGTTTTTGTTTTTGTTTTTTTCTAGTTTCTATGACTTGCCTTAATCAATTCTTTGTCTAAGTTAGTTTGAGCTGGATTTCTCCCACTTACAAATAGAAGACAGCTGACTATTATAAGGAATGCCTGCCTTGCAGAGGGTTGTGAAGATTCAATGAGATAATACGTACACAGAGAGGTGTCTAATAATGGTCACTGTAATTCTCAGAAGGCCAGTACAAAACAGGGGTGAGAGCCACTTCCTCTGTTGTCTGTGAACATTATCTCATTGGACCCACAAGCAGTGAGCAGACGCCTTGTGGGTTCACCCTCCTACTCAGAATTTAACTCAAAAATCCCTTTTTGATGCCCTGACATTGTTTAAGGTTCAGTTCACCACTGAGCCTTCCTGGCACTACTCTTAGTGTTCTTTGCAACTGTTTTCTGTTCTTTGTTGGCTATCTGCCAGCTCTTCTGCATGATTTTTTTTTTAATTGTGTTCATCAGGGCCCCCTGTGTAGCAGTAGCTCTTCATCAGGTTCGTCTTTTCTTCCTCCTTGGGCTCCTTTGTGGTGGCCAACTTGGAATTTTATTTTTGAGTTCTTCCAACCTTCTGGATGGTCTCTTTAATGTCTCAAGCCGTGAGTTCCTACCTCTGTTTGCTCTAAAGCACTATTCCTCAAAATGCCTTCTGGGAACCCCCTGAATTAAGAACACCTAAAATTCCTGGCCCCACTCCCAAAGTACCCAATCAATCTTGGAGGCAGAGCTGCAGGGGAATCTGTATCAGCCCTTGTTCACGTATATAAACCCTTCCACACTGAAGCCTGAGAACCACTGTTTCAAGACTTTTGAAGTCTGACCAGCCCACTCTTCATGACCCTCTTCTGAGATGATGAACTCACCTTCACCCAAGGTCCGGTCTTGCTGCCTCACCAAATAGTTCCCGCTTCTTGGTTTGAATTTAACTCTAGTAGCAATTCCTCACTGGCCGCTCCTCTACCTTATAGGAGGTGAGAGTGTCAGCAAGGCAAGCCAAGAGTTAGTTCAGATGCTCTGCTCGTAGCTGATGAGAACTCTGAGCAACCACCCAATTGGTGGTGCCCTCATCAGTAGGTCTCTCACCTCTGGGCTAGTTGTGTGGTTGTAGTAAAGAACCATCATCAGTTTCCCCCATCTGGTCCAGCAGCCTGAAATATGCTTCTGCAACAATATGACTTCTGTTCCCTTTGCTTTTGATCTCCACCCACATGATTCCCAACACAGCCCTGCCCTCAGGACTGTGAATTTCCATGTGGGTGTGAATCTTTTTATCATGTGCAGATGCTTCACCTCCCTTCTAATTTTTTTTTTTTTTTAACAAGGTCAACCTTCCTATGTCTACTCCACCCACAGCCCCTTTCTGAAGATGGCCCTTCTGCTCAAGTGACTTTGGCGATAACTAATTGGACTAGTATTTCAGTTTGGGTTCCCCCAGAAGCAGACTGTGAGGCAAGGATTCACATGCAAGTAGTTTATTTAGGAGGTGATTCTGAGATGGACCAGTAGTGGAGTGAAGAAATGTGAGAAGGAAGGCAACCAATACAGGGTGCGTTGTCAAGCAAGTTACCACTCTGGATAACTGGAGCTCAGTGTTGCTGGAGAATAGTGTAGAAGACAAGCCTTGGGCAAAGAGGCAAAACAATTGGGGTAAAGGGGTAAAAGGATTGGGTGTTTAGACACTAACTCTTGTCAGTCACTAGGCATTCATACCCAGTACTTCTAGCTAGCCACACCTATCTGGACAGAACAATGACCAGAGAAGGCCCCAGGCAAAGAGATGTAGGGAGGCGCTGGCAGTTGGAAATGTGGCCAGCATGCATTGAAATGGTAAAAGCAAGAAGCTATGAACAGGGCACTCCCACCATCTGCTGCAACAAAGCATGAATCCCCTGGCTGGGGGAAACACACACCTATGTCAAAGTCTCTGAAAACTTGAACCAAGTGTCTTAGTTTGTTTATGCTGCTATAACAAAACACCTGAGACTGGGTAATTTACAAAGAACAGAAATTTATTTTCTCACAGTTATGGAGGCTGGGAAGTCCAAGATCAAGGCACCAGCAGATTTGGTGTCTGTGAGGGCTGCTCTCTGCTTCCAAGATGGCACCTTATTGCTGCATCTTCACATGGCAGAAGGCAAAAAGGCAAAAGGGGATGAATGCTGTATCCTCACACGGCAGAAGAGCTGAAAAGGAATGAACTGACTCCTTCAAGCCCTTTTATAAGGGCCCTAATCCCATCTATGACATTATGACTTAATGGGGTCCTCATGACTTAATCACTTCTTAAAGGCCCCACTTCTTACAACCATCACACTGGCAATTGAGTTTCAACATATGAATTTGGAGGACGCATTCAGACCATAGCACCAGGAGACACAGAAACCATGATCATATAGTATGATTGCTTGAATTGAGAAGCTCCACCAAACTGAGATGGAGCAATCTGTTTAAGCTACATAGATGCTAATGAATAAACAGGTACAAATCCACCCGCAATGGCATAGATGAGAATGGGGAGGATAAGCAAGGAAAATGAGAAATAAGAGAACATGTGGCTCCAGGAAAGAGAAGAGAGGTTGGCAGCCTTGGATCCTATCAGCTTGTTTGCAATGCCAGTCCTCGAACCACTGTTATTTGTCCCATGAGATGCACCGTGCCTATTTAATAAAGGTTTCTTTAATTGAACCAATGTAAGTAGGCCTATGTTCCATCTAACCAAAATCTATGAGGTCTTCTGTTGACATCTCAAATTTATTTTGTGTTTATACCCTGTACACAGGTATATGGATTTCTAAGGCAATAGGACTGTTCATAATGCCCTTTTTAATCCCTTTCTTGAATTCTACAAGGCATTTCTCCCCCACCCTCACCTGTTCCATTGTCTTTTGGCTCAGATCAACACATCTCACTGCAATGTAAGTTCTTCTCTGTCCTTGTGAGAAGTGTTGCCTCAATACTCCCAGCCCACCACAACAGTGCCTTAGGCCAAGATTCTCACCACATTATACATCTTATGTGAGAAATCCACCATGAACCCTGATCCTGGAATTTTTCTGCAGCCTGAATTGAGGGTCAATTTCTGCAGCCTCTATGCAGCAAGTGTGGTACAGGCAGGCTGATGACACAATCTTTAGATGCCACATGATCATGTGGTTAACCAGATCCCAGGAGAATCGGAGAGGGCCATCTGGGCTTGGAGTCAGAGAGTTTCCTGCAGGCTCTTTGCTGCATTGGTTTGTCAGGTCCTGGGACTCAAAAGCAAAACCACACAATCTAGCTTCTCAGGCCCTGGTAGCCACGTGTCTGTGAATTGCCACTAAAAGCCAAGTATCCAGGGCCTGGGTCTTTTCATTCTAGTTAAAGATCTTAATCTCCCAGTTCAGACACCCCTATCCTAGTCTTGATTCAAATTCTGTTCACTGGATCTGAGCTAGGGGCGCTCAATGAAGTCAGATTTTCTGGCATTTTATTTTTCCAATTTGCAAATGTAGCACTATGGTAATACAAGTTCTTTTACTTGGCTAGAAATTCTGCCCTAGCAGCATTTAATTAATGCATTACATTAAGAGTTTCAAATATTTCTTGGAAGTAGGTGGGAAATTAATATAAAACTAAATAAATAAGCATTTTCTTTCTTTAAAGCCAGTATTTTTGACATGCAACAAATGCTTACCAGAGTAAAAACTCAATTCACTGGCGCCTACGCTGATGAAAATCCTGCAGCAATCAGGATGTATTTTGGACACTGAGCTTTTAAGAAAAAAGATACAAATGAAATAAGCAGCACAGCTCCTTGAACCAAGCTGGTACTCTTAGACCATTTGGTGATAGACTTCATTTTTTTAAATGTTAGTATTTTTTTAGTTATAAAATTAACATGTAATCATGGTGAAAATTTCAAACTTGATATAAACAACAAAAAAAGTTCCTCCTACCCCTATCCCACCTCTAGTCCCAGGCCCAGAGGTATCCTCTATTAACAGCTTCTTCAGTGTTCCTCTAGAATTTTCCATGTATATACAAGTATATATACACAGCATAAATTTAGTTAATCTAATGGCATTATACTTAGCATATTATTCAGGCATTTGCATTTTAACACAACAGTATATTGGCTAACTTTTTAAAAGAAGAATTTAGGTATATCCTGGACTTGGTATAAATCCAGCCTCTGTCTTTTAAATTTGTAGTTCTATATGGAAAGAATTGATGTCCACTCTATAACCCTGAGGATACAAAATGCCAATTCACCAAACATTCCATTATGTTTAGTATCATGTAACAGTTAGCTTTTTCTGCACAACAAACTACCCCATAAGTCAGTAGCTTTAAACAATAACCACTTATTTAGCTTAAGGATCAGTAGAGTAGCAATATGAGCTGGGCTCAGCTGGGCTGCTCTGCTGGTCACAGGCAGGCACACTTAGGCACCTGTGGGCAGCTGCCAAATCAGCTGAGGTATCCCATAATCCAGTAAGCAAGCCCAGGGCTCATTCACATGGTGGTGGCCACAGGGCCCCTGGGAGTGTGACATAGTTTGGATGTTTGTCCCCTCCAAATCTCATGTTGAAATGTGATCTCCAATGTTGGAGGTGGGGCCTAGTGTGAGGTATTTCAGCCATGGAGGCAGATCCCCCATGAATGGCTTGTGCCCTTCCCATGGTAATGAGTTACCATGAAATTTGGTTGTTAAAAAGAGTGTGGGACCTCTCCACTCTCTCTCTTGCTTCCTCTCTCACCATGTGACACACCTACTGCCCCTTTGCCTTCCACCATGAGTAAAAGCTTCCTGAGGCCTCACCAGAAGCCAAGCAGACGCTGATGCCATGCCTGTACAGCCTGCAGACCTGTAAGCCAAATAAACCTCTTTTCTTTATAAATTACCCACCCCTGTGTATTAATTTATAGCAATGCAAAATGGAATAACACAGAGTGTGAGAGGGCAAACCACAGTGCATAGCAGTTTGTAAGCATCTACTTGTGTCACATTTGCTAAGGTCCCATTGGCCAAAGCAAATCACATGGCCAAGGTCAGAATCAAGGAGTGGAGAAAGCATTTCCACCTCTTGATGGGAGGTGGAGAATTTGTGGTCATTTCTGACACATGAAAAATGCTCATCATCACTGGCCATCAGAGAAATGCAAATCAAAACCACAATGAGATACCATCTCACACCAGTTAGAATGGCGATCATTAAAAAGTCAGGAAACAACAGGTACTGGAGAGGATGTGGAGAAATAGGAACACTTTTACACTGTTGGTGGGACTGTAAACTAGTTCAACCATTGTGGAAGTCAGTGTGGCGATTCCTCAGGGATCTAGAACTAGAAATACCATTTGACCCAGCCATCCCATTACTGGATATATACCCAAAGGATTATAAATCATGCTGCTATAAAGACACATGCACATGTATGTTTATTGCGGCACTATTCACAATAGCAAAGACTTGGAACAAACCCAAATGTCCTTCAATGATAGACTGGATTAAGAAAATGTGGCACATATACACATGGAATACTATGCAGCCATAAAAAATGATGAGTTCATGTCCTTTGTAGGGACATGGATGAAGCTGGAAACCATCATTCTCAGCAAACTATCACAAGGACAAAAAACCAAACACTGCATGTTCTCACTCACAGGTGGGAATTGAACAATGAGAACACATGGACACAGGAAGGGGAACATCACACACTGGGGCCTGTTTTGGGGTGGGGTGAGGGGGAGGGATAGCATTAGGAGATATACCTAATGCTAAATGACGAGTTAATGGGTGCAGCACACCAACATGGCACATGTATACATATGTAACAAACCTGCACGTTGTGCACATGTACCCTAAAACTTGAAGTATAATGAAAAAAAAAAGAAAAAAGAAAAAAAGAATTTGTGGTCATTTTTGCAATCTACCACATATTTTGCGGGGGATGTTGGGGGAAGGCAGGATCTCATTTTAAACAGAAAATCAAATTAACCAAATTTCCACCCTCACTCTAAATATTTGGAATGCATGAAATTTTCTAGGAGAAGTAGGAATGAGAACAGTCTGTTATGCAGAGCATAACTCTGGTACAGTGTGGAACCAGAGTTCTGGCTCCAAGTTGTGCTCTAGTTTATACTAACAGTCACGGATGATGTACTCATTAGAAACAGGAAAGGCAGCAAAGCAGTGGGATGTTCTAGCAGATTCTTCCTGATGATGCCCACAAATAAAAAGGTGGAATAAATGCACAGAGACTACCTAGAAACAGCACCCACAGCCACTTTCTTTTGAGGCTTGGTAATTTGGTTAATAATTAGAAGAAAAAACAATGTGATGGTATAATATCTTGAAATAATAACTGGATTTTCTTTCCTACATTTTTCCTCTTGCCTCTACAAGCCTTTAGTGCATCATGTCAGTGGCATCCATGATGTGTATGCACGTAGGAGGGGTGAGAACACAGCCTGAGACAAAGAAGCCATTTGAGTTTCCGCAAAGAGTTATAGAAAACTCAGAGCAGAAGCCAAAGTTTGAAAGTCAAGACTTTCTATGACCAGCAAAGAGTCCTTGAAAGAGTAAAGGTTTCTGTGTGCCGAGAGAATAAGAAGCTAAGGGGCTTGAAACAGACACTGCAGCTGCAAACAGCAGAGCAGGAAGAAGGCATGTTCCTGCCTCAAAGCAGACCAAGGTTAGGCCAGCCACCAAGAGGAGAGAATTGGAAGGGAGGAGATTTGAACTTAGATGATGGGCCCTCCATCAGAAGGGGCCCCTAGCTCACCCCCAAATAACCTTGCTGATCCCTGGGTCTGGGACAAGATGAATGCCAGAAGAAAGAGCAGATGAGTTTGGGTGAATCCCAGAGCAGAGGTGCTTTTCAGAGATACAATAGGTTTGGCAAAGATACTGCCCAAGGGGTAGAGTACGTGTGTTGGTAGGAGACGTCTTGGGCCTGGAAATGAGAACAATCTCAGAGAGCTGCTCACAGCTCAGCTTGGTCCAGAATAGCTGAGAGGCAGTCAGGAGGGTATGGAGAAGTTCCACAGCCAAGCAAGGAAGCTGCGGGTGATTGCATGCCCCCTGCCAGCTGGATGCAAAAAGGATACAGATGTTTTCCATGCACAAGCAGTGAAGGTGGTACTAATTGAACACCCACAGAGCCTGCACCCTCACCAACCAACCAGAGCAGGACAGAAACCAGCCTTCTACCAGAGGTCTTGCTCCCATGCCAGGACAACAGTCAGCCCAACAGAGCTCAGAAGCACTCGAAGTCGGGGGCAGAAACCTAAACTGATGGAGGTTTTTTTGTTTTTTGGGGGGTTTCTTTTTTGAGTTTTTTTTTTTTAAATCTGTAAGTGACTCAGTTTATATGGAGGGTTAGGTCAAGTTTTCTACAATTTGGTAAACTAGAGCAAACACCAAGCCAATTTCAGTTCAATTTCATAGAAATAAAAAATGTTAAATACCTCACTCAATGATTGTGAAATTTGTACCACACCTCTTCATTCCTTAATCCTCTCCCCCCATCTACTATAAGACATGGGAGAGGGTCCATTTGTTCATTCCTGGGGGATAAACAGGTATTTACTAACTGTAATTGTGTTATAAGCAATGAAAATGAAAGTAATTCTGATTACTAACATATTGGGCATGTTTGGCCATTGCGTCAATAAGACAAGCTCATGTGGACAGTATTCTTCTACTCCAGGCTGACTTAAGCATCTTGTAAATTGGGGTAATGACCCATCCAACGGGACCATGGAGACCAGGGGCCAGAGCATAGAAGTGACTCAGGAGAAGGGATCAGTGTGGCACAACTCCACGTGCCCATAAGTACAAGAGTAACTGGTTTGTTGGTGGATGGGATATCCATGGTTCTCAATCACCACATCATGGCTGCCTTCCCAGCAATGCACAGAGACAGTCAGGAGCCAACTGGTCTCATACTACCATTGGATCTCCTTTGCACATCTTGGCCAGATTTATCTTTATTGTTGTTATTGTGGTAGTTGTTGTTAAGCACAGTTGCTACCGTGCCCCTCCCCCCTTATCAACCATTTGTGGATCTCCATTGCCCAGCACTATAGTCCTTTCTTCTTAGCAAAACCCCAACAGATTAAACAGATAAACAAGGATCTCCACTTGGTTTTCTATCCCTCTGTTTGCTTAGGATTGGATTGGCTGTAAGAGAAATCCATCATAATACATAGATTGAATTTTATTTACTGCTAACATCAAAGAAATCTGTAATAATCATTGCATGATTGATATGGCACTCCTTGTGGTCTGGGACTCAGGTTACCCCTATTTTATTACACTGATGTGAATGGCTTCCAATGTCACTTCAGGATCAAAGATCTGCATACAGCCAGCTGGACAGGATGAAGAAGTTTGTACCTTATCCTGGACGTTATGTCAACTTCTACTTAAACCCCATTGGCTAAAACATGATAACATGGCCACACCTAGATGGAAGGGAGGCTGGGAAATGTAGTCTTTTTTTCTGGGGATCCATGCACCCTGCAAAAAATCAGGAGGACTATAACTGAAGAAGAAAAGAAGAACAGATGCTGGGGTCAAGTTGTCTTTACCACAATCCCCAAGGCAAGGCCACCCCTCAGGAACCTCTAAAGAGACAATGTACTCTGCGTAAGTTTTGGAAAATCCATACTTATTGGAAAAAGTCCAAAATCTTTATCCAGCTATGCAAGATGCTTCATAACATGAACCCAGCTTCCCTTCCTGGCCTTATCTTCCACAGCTCCATATCATGAGCTTTCTTGTGCCTATCTGAAGACTCTGTACCCACCTATACACCCATACTCATCCCTTCTGAAGACCTTGCTGGATGTGCTCCCTCACTCTTGAATGGCAACTCTCTCATTTCCTTTCTAAATCCTACCTGTCCTTTATGTAATCATAACAGGTATGCCACAAAGTCTCTTTGCATCCCTGGGGACACAATGGAGAAATGGAGACTGGATGATGATTAAATGAGATGAATTTCTAATATTTAATATGCCAGACCCAAGGAATGCAGAATGGACCCCTGGCAACTCAGAGGACAGTCTCTTACAGTGGGACATGGGACTCGGTCTTCATCAAGTCAATTCAACATTATTATCGTTGACACCAATAAGAGTCCTGATTATATCATGATGAAAGATAATTTCAAAGATAAAAAAGAGAAAACTTGCACATAATTTGAGACATGAAAGAAGGGGTATGAATTCTGTCTTACTTGAATATTTGGGGCCCTGGTTCCATTAAGACAAAATTTAATAGGAATAAAGGTAATATCCTGCATTTGGCTCCAAGAAGTCAATAGCACAGGTCCAGAGCTTGGCAAGCATATGTAAAAAACCTCAGTTTCTACTTGACAGCAAATTCACTGAAAGCCATTAGTATGGCTATCTAAAAAGGTCATTAAATCTTAGGCTGAATTGAAAGAAACATACCTTCCAGAAAGACAGAGAATAATCTAGCTCTCCTTTGATCTGATCAAGTCAAATCTACATTTCTTAAGCCCTCCCATTGTCCATGCCCTTTGCCATGTCACTTTAAAGATTCTCCCACAAAAAAGTCAGACTTCCCCTTCCCCCTTGGCTTTAGGTTTGGCCATGTGACTTGTTTTGTTAGCAGGCTTGACATGACCAAAGTTTGGAAAAGCATCTATACAATTAGCCTTGCTCTTTTATGCATCTGCCATCTTAATGAGAACATTCTTGGGTAAGCCCACTAGTCCCAGGAAGGGATGACAGACGCATGATGCAGACTGAACAGCCCTAGCCAAGCCTAGCCTAGATCAGCTGACCCCAGAAATGTAAGCAAGTCCAGTCAAGAACAGCAGAGTTTCCTAGTCAATTAGGCAGCCTAGATGACCTGGCGCCCAGCTGATCCAGAGACCCGTGAGCTAAATAAACGCTTACTATTGCATTCCCCTGGGATTTTTGTGGTTGGTTGTTACACAGCACCAGCTAACTGGAACAAGAACTGTGTGCAGTTCTGAGAGTCACATTTGATGAAGGACATTGACAAACTAGAGGGCAGTGGGAACCATGAAGGGTCACAAGGCCACAGAATATAAGGAGCAGTTGGTTACACTGATATCATTTATGCTGAAAAGGGGAGCACACGTTTTTCAAACATGTGAAAAGCTTTCATATGAAAGAGGAGTTCGATTTTGCTGTGATCTGAATATGACCCCCAGAATTAATGCATTGAAACTTAATGGCCAATGTGATAGTACTGAGAGGTAAAGCCTTTAAGAGGTGATTAAATGATGAGGGTGGAGCCCTGATAGATGGGATTAGGGCCCTTATAAAAGGGCTTGAAGGAATGGGTTTGCTTTCTTCTGCTCTTCTTTAGCAAGAAGACCTTCACCAGACACTGAATGCTGGTGCCTTGATCTTGGACTTCACAGTCTTCAAAACTGTGAGAAATAAATTTCTATTGTTTATAAATTGCTCAGTCTTGGGTATTTTGTTATGGCAGCACAAACAGACTCAGATTTACTCTTCATAACACTGAGAGTCCTAAAATCTTTTGAGACTGATTACAAAGGTAGATCCCACCTTTAGAGCTCTCTGGAATTAAAACAAGTTTTCAGAAACTGTGAATTATTCTTTGCTAGAAATATTCAAGTAGAGAGATGTCCTCTAAGCCTCCTTCTGACCTTGAAATACTTTGAGTGAACACCACCTGCCCCACAAAACATTTGCCTCACTGCTGTCCACCCTAAAGTGTCTGTTCTACTGTCACTCTCTCTGCTGGTCTCTGGCTTCCTGACTGTGCCAAACAACATCCCTCCCCTGCCCTTCTTCAGTTGTTTTGGTTCCTCAGCAACACCTCTCCCCACTGCTGGATCTGAGGTTTATGTTCTCAGTTTCAATGATGAAAACAGGACGCTACTCACCACACCTGGCTACATGTTGGGGAATGGCTTCTGTGATTTTCCTGGGCCTCTAATCCCACCAGAGAGGACCTAGTTTTGTGCCAGTTGCTGTCCGCACTGCCTAGCATGACACTCTCTTCCCCCACATCCCTCTGCATGCTTGATCAACAAGAGCACTCAAGCAGGTCTTCCTCAACCAAAACCTGACTAAGAATGACTTTCTAATATTAGCGACTTATAACTTAGCATGAATTGAAGCCCAACCCCTACCCTCTCTCCCAGGAGCACTTAGATTTTAAGCGCGTTCTCTTGCCGTGGAACGAAGCACGGTCGGCCTTGTATCTTGGTCAAGGAACTGACAGCCTTACAGTTTTCCTTTGGGAGCCAGCCTCACTTGGGCTTCTCCAGACCCTGTCTTTACTTTTATAAATAAGGATTAAAATCGAGTGGGCTACTTTATGTGTGAGTTAGTGCCTCTGACACCCGCCCAGGAAAACAGAAAATATTGGTCAACAATCTGATATTTCCAAGTAATCTCACATACTTAGCAGTAGGTAGAAATACCCTTCAGCCTGGGTCTTTTAAAGGGTCACTTTTTAAAAATGCACTAGTAGTGGGGGAAAGTCAAAGTAGGGAGACAGACATCGTGCCCCAAATTAGCAGCACAGTTCCTGTCAAGCATGTTTCTGTGAGAAGCAAAACCCAGCGGTCACAGCAAGTGTGTGGCCCCAGCTTGTCAGAGCTATTGATTGACTGCTCGCAATATTGCAGGTGATTTAAAGAGTTCCCTGCCACCTTGTTTGTTTAATGTCACCTCCATATGAGAATGTCAGCCTCTGACATGTTTGACTTCTCCACAGGACAAATGCCAAGCCACATGCTGTTGTCCCACCGACAGAGATTGTTCCCTACCCTTCGTCACAACAATGATGCCAACAATTTCTAAATGCTTCATTTAAAAGAAGCACTAACTAATTCTCGATAATCTCCTGATCGGTGCTGTAACATGACTCCGGCAAGGGGCCAGGAAAGCCTATCCTGTTCGTTTTTCTTATCTATACTTAGAAAACCTTCCAAAACTGCATCACACTTAGTGGTCCTCAGAGCAGCTGCTTTGTGAGCCGGCAGGCTGGAGGTTGGAGGGGGCAGGGCGAGGGCACGGAGAGGCAGCCGAGACTGTCTGGGGCCAGAGGCCAAACTTGGCCAACCCAAGACAAACACGGGCTGGAGATAAAAAGAGGAGAGGAGGAAGCACAGCCAGTGATGGCAGCAACAACACAGATGGAAAATAAACAGCACCGAGGGCTGGAAAAGCAAGGATCAGCGCTGTGGAGACAGAACAGAGGGGAAAGGGGTACAGGATGAGGAGGAGGAGTAGGGAGGGTCCCCCCTCCCAGTCACCCCACTCCCAGAAGCGAACGGTGTGAAAGGAAGAGGAGAGAGAAAAGGACAGCAGAGGAGAAAGATGGGGGCAGGAAGACCAGCATGGGGGCAGGGAAGAGTCTGGAAGACAAAAAAAGGAGAAAAGGAATGGAAGGAAAGGGGGAAGAATTTCAGGGAGAAAATAGAAGAGGGGAGGGGAAGAAAAGAAGGGGAATTGGGGGCAGAGGAGGAGCAATGACCAGCAAAGGACAGCCACAAAAGCACTTAGTGCCTAAGGTATGCCCATCCATAGACACGACTGATTCTTTTCAACGGAAAAAAGCAAAACAAAACAAAACCCTCCAACCTAGTCTGGTGTGTTGTTGAAACATAATAAATTTTTGGCACTTTTAGAGCAGATGTATGAAGAAATTAAGTTCAGATTTAAATTCCAGATCGTTTTTTTAAATGTAGTATGTTCAGATCCGTACGTAGAAAATCGAAGCCAAAAAAGAAAAAAATAAGATCTTTTTGTGTGAGAACCAGTGGTTCTCAATTGGGTGGTGGGGGAGAGGGTTGCTTCTCCAGGCGACATTTGACAATGTTCACAGACACTTTGGGTTATAACAACATGGGAGGGGGGAATGGGTGCTACTGGCATCTAGTAGGTAGAGGCCAGGATGGTGCTAAACAGCCTGTAAGGCACAGGACAGCCCCCACAATGAAAAATGATCTGACTCAAAATGGTAACAGTATGTTGAGAATGGACGGACCGGCAACGGCAGCATCACCTGGGATTCTCAGGCACATCCCAGAGCTACAGAATCAACAACTCTGGAGTGTATCTGAAAGCATTCTACATGTTAACCAGTCCTCCACATGATTCTGATGCACGCTCAAGTGTGAGAAACCCTGGTCTAGAGCTCCCCATTCCATACATTAACCACGAATACAGAGCTATTAATTCAAACAAAATAAGATTTAGAATGCAGTTCCTCAGTCACAGTAGGCAATTTCAAGAGCTCAGTAGCCACATGTGGCTAGTGGCTACCATATTGGACAGTACAGATCTAGAACATTTTCATTGCCACAGAAAGTTCTAGAGCTTTGTTCAGCAAGGCTTTCTCATGAACAGGAAAAGCCAACAGGCACGTAGGCTGAGGAAGGTTTCTACCCCAACGCAGTCACTGCCACCTCTACACAGAAGCATGTGAGGGTGAGCTGTGGAAAAGATAGGACCATGTGGTACATCTGAAAGAGCCCTGGGCTGAGGTCAGGAGGATGACATTTTAATTTCTGCATCTGACTTACAAACTTGTGGCACTGTCATGTGCTGGTTGAGGGACAAAGTGCCAGGCATTTTATCCTTTTCTGCCATAGACTTTTTTGACGCTCTGGTGAAGCTCATGGACTGCTTCTCAAAAGAAGGCTTGTAAATGCATAAAATAAAATAAAATTACAAAGAAAACCAATTACATTGAAATGTAGTTATCAAAATAAAAAAACACAGTTGTGCTATTGTAATATATATGCTTCTTTATTAACACAGTAATTAATAAGATAGAGTGGCAGGTCTAATAACCACTGTAATTTCAAAGAAGTGATAAGTGAAAGTGATATTTTGAGATCTGCATAACAACAGTAATATGATATGAAATATCTGTGATTTCTGTTGGAGACAAGGTCTCAGGTACTGCTAATACCGCCGTGATTTGTTGCCTGCATTCATAATTGAAGGAAACACTAAATCTCATTAGAAAATTAGTGGAAATAAAGAGGCAATTTTTTTTCATCCAAGTTCACAGCCTGATGCATTTAGAACCTCTGGTGGTGTGACTTTACTGTCCCCTGTCCTCCAAGGGATCCTCTTCACCCCACTAGTAGAAGCTGAGCAAATAGAAAGAGGGAAGAGACCCACGAGGGAAGTTTTAGGGACCAGACCTGAAAGTGACTGTGTGTACATCACTTCTGCCCTCACTCCACGGGCCAGAACTAGTGGTTGGGGTGGGGGTGCAGGAGCACTGTGGGGGAGGCTGAGACATGGTCGCCCTGACACAGGTGGGCACATTCAGTCTCTGTCACACCTAGCTACCTCAAAGATCAAATAAGAAAATGGATATGAAAGCGTTCTGCCTCACCGGAAAAAGAGTTTGATTTATTGAAAACAAAATTATCTTGAGAGATTGGGCACAGTGGCTCATGCCTGTAATGCTAGCACTTTGGGAAGCCGAGGCAGGCAGATTGCCTGAGCTCAGGAGTTTGAGACCACCCTGGCAACATGGTGAAATCCCGGCTCTACTAAAATACAAAAAATTAGCCAGGCATGGTGGCGGGTACCTGTTGTCCAAGCTACTGAGGAGGCTGAGGCACTAGAATTGCTTGAACCCAGGAGGCAGAGGTTGCAGCGAGCAGAGATTGCACCATTGCACTCCAGCCTGGGTGACAAAGCGAGACTCGGTTTCCAGGAAAAAAAAAAATTATCATTAAAGCTACAAACAAGATGGTGGGGGCCCTTCTTCCAGCAGAGAGCTGGAGAGACGAAACACCAGCTTGGGGGGAATACTTTAAGGGTGTTTCCAAGACTGGAGGTCTCAGCTTTAATACCAAAGCCACTCCTGCCCCACTTCCACGCCAGCCACCACTTTTCACCCCTCCCCTCCCCCACCCTGGGAAAACCTAGAAAAGTTTCGGGACTTCAGGCCTGGTGCAGCCCACCTCCCTCGGTCATTCAAATCAGGGCCTGGCAGGCCCCCAGGAGGGAGGTAACAAAATTAAAAATAGCCTCTCCTCCAAGAAAAAAAATTAAAAATAGATTCCAACCCACATGAAAATTTGGGTGGAAAGAAAGGAAAGGAAAACAAAATGAATCATCTTTATGTGTTTTGCTGAGCGAGAGCCCGTTGCCATGGCTACGGGGCCCTGTGTGCAGGCCTGGTCTTTTCCAGCAAGTTCAAGGCCCGCCAAAGAGCCAGTGGGGGCGGCCCTATCACCAATATGTTATAGCCATCGGATCCACGATCCCCCAACGCAGTCGCTGCCACTGAGCAGGTCGTATTAATGACTGTCACAATTAATTTAGTGTTTCCTTCCGTTGTGATCTATCGCTGTAATTGAGCAAACGAGAGGACTTGTTTGGGTCTCCTGGGAGTTTAGGGAAATCTTGCCTGGTTTTGCAATCTAGACAGTCAGGGGAGGTTATGCGAACTTGTGGAGAAGCCCGGTCTTAAATCATAGAGTGGGAAAGCCAGCTCTCCAGCCTGCATCAGCCAGCCGCTGTCTGCCTTCCTGGTGGGCTCGCTGGTGCTGCACGTGAAAGGCCCCATGAAGACAAGGAAGGGTAAGAGGATCAGCAAGTCCGCATGGCCTCACTGGCTGGTGAAACAAAGCTGGGACAGTGGCCCAATCCCCCCAGTAGGTGATGTGCTTGGGAGACACTCCCCCAGATTAAGAAAAGCTGGATTCATGAGGTCCCCTTCTCAGAACTGGAGTTTTAGGCCTTAACCTAAACTGGAAAGGGCAGCCTAGGGCTTTGGAGAAGGCTCTTGTCTCACATACACTTTTCTAAAACAGTAGTGTTCTGCCTTAAGAAAACCAAATACATTGAAAATTCAAACTTACAAAATAAATAAGAGGGACAGGGGAGGAAGAGAAAACTCACTTCATAAAGAATTTTTTACTTTAAAATAATTGGCCTGGAAATGTTCCACATAAGAAACAAAAGAGACATGTCAACTAAATTCAATATCTGATCTTAGACTAGATCTTATGCTATCGAAAGCATTATTAGGACAATTGACAAAATTGAAATATGAATGGTAGAACAGATTAAAATATTACACTTATGATAAATTTACTGAAGTGGATAACTATACTGTTGCTAACTGTACTGTGGTTCTATAAAAGAATATTCTTATTCTTAGAAAATATGAAAGTATTTAAGAATGAAGGGCCATGATGTATGTAACTGCTGTGGTCTGAATGTTTGTGTCCCTCCAAAACCCATATGTTAAAACCCTATCAATGTGATGGTTTTAGCAAGTGGGGCCCTTGGGAGGTGGTTAGGTCATGAGAGTGGAGCCCTCATAAATGGGATTAGTGCCCTTATAAAAGAGGCCTCAGAGATATCCCTCACCCTTTCCACCATGTGAGATCACAGCTGGAAGGCACCATCTGTGAATCAAAAAGTGGGCCCTCACCAGACACTGAATCTTCTGGCACCTTGTTTTTGGACTTCCCAGTCTCCAGAACTGTGAGCAATGAATTTCTGTTGTTTATAAGCCACGCAGTTTATGATATTTTGTTGTAGTAGCCTGAATAGACCAAGACAGCAACTTACCCTCAAACTGTATTTTAAAAATTATATATTGGTGTATGTGTATATAGATAGAGACAGAGAGAAGGTGCATGAATGATAATGCAAAGGAGTAAAATGTAAAATGTGAAAAACAGGTGAAAATGAATAAAGGGTGGTTGGCTATTCTTTGCAATATGATCATTCTTGCAACATTTCTATAAGTTTGAAAGTTTTTCCAAATAAATTTTTCTAATTGGCTTCATTTTCATTTTTTAATTTAATTTAATTTAATTTTTTGAGACAGAGGCTTGCTCTGTTGCCCAAGCTGGAGGGCAGTGGTGCAAACATGGCTCACTGCAGCCTTGACCTCCTGGGGTGAAGTGATCCTCCCACCTAAACCTCTCAAGTAGCTGGGACTACAGGCACACACCACCATATCTGTCTAATTTTTGTGTTTTTTGTAGAAACAGTTCTCACCATGTTGCCCAGGCTGGTCTTGAACTTCTGAGCTCAAGCAATCCTCCTACCTTGGCCTCCCAAAGTGCTAGGATTACAGGCATGAGCCACCACACCCAGCCCAGTTTTGTTTTAAATAGTCGACCTTCCCTGTGTGTCCAAGCATCATTTAATTCTGCAAAATTCAATTTACACTCAACTTTTTGGGGACAACTCTGATACATGAAACTCAGGTACATCTGGGATTGTATTCCTTACATCTTTCATTTATAGCAAATACACTCTACACCAGGGCTGTCCAATAGAAGTTTCTGTGATGATCAAATGACAGATAGCTTTACTGTCCAATATGGTAGCCAGTAGCCATATGTGGCTATCGAGCATTTGAAGTGAGGCTAGTCCTAATGGAGATGTGCTGTAAGTGCAAAATACACACCACATTTCAAAGGTTTCTTGTGAAAAAAATATATGGAAAGCATTTTGGGCATATTGGGTTAAATGTGTTAATAAAATTAATTTCACCTTTTTCTTTTTACTTGTTAATGTGGCTACTAGAAAAATTTAAATTACTTACATGGCTCACAGTTATGGCTCATTTTATATTTCTATTGGTCTAGAAAGTCACGGAAGACAGGCTGGTTCTGACTTGGCCTCTCCTGGCCCAACTGTTCTAGCACAGTGAATACCCTTGGGGAATAATGGATGATTTTAGGGTATCCGAAGAGCTGAATACTTCAGAGCCTGAGAATAGGCAAGGGAAAGAGTTGGCAGAGAAGTGTCCTAAATAGAGGCAGCATTTTGTAGAGAAGATGTTTTGTTCAAAGCCTACAGGCAAGAGAAGGCCTGGTGGGTTTGAGACACAAACTGGAGCTTGGAGTGGGAGGAGAGTGGCAAGAGCTTGGGTTGGAGATGTAGAACTTGTAATCCCCACTGAGAAGCTTGCATTTTTTCCTAAGCCCAATGGGAAAGCATCAAAGTATTTTAGGCTGGGAAGTGCCCTGATCCAAACTGAGTTTGTGAAAAAAAATCATTCTGGTAATTTCCTTAAGTCTGGCTGTGTGGTTGAGATTCCAGATTTCTCCCACTGTAGAACATTATCAGGGTGATCACTCGAGTCTCTTTTCCTTCCAGCCAAAAGACCATGATCAACAGCTCTCAACCAGAGGAGAGAACAGGGCCTCACAGAGGACAGTCCCAGTGTGGCCAACTGTATTTTCCAAAAATGCCCATATTATGGTCCAGTGTGTTCTTCCAGCCCCTTGTATTTCCCATTAAGAGGTGGAGTCTATATCTCATGAGTGCTCCCACCAATGGTGCTCAGCAGAAATGATGGTATGGGACTTCCAAGGCTAGGTCATAAAAAGGATGCAGCTTCTACCTGGCTCCCTCTGAAGACACTCATCCTTGGAACCCAGTCTCCACGCTGTGAGGAAGCCCAGACTACACAGAGAGGCCACAGCCAGCTAAGGTCTCAGCAGACAGCCAGCCTCAGCTGCCAGACACATGAGCATACAAGCTTTGTATTAATCATCATTCCAGCCCCCAGTCTTTGAATCTTTCAACTGAGACTCCAGACATCATGAAGCAGGGACAAACCGTTTCCACAGTGCTCTGTCCAGATTTCTGACCCACGGCATCTGTGAGCATTTAATAGATTGTTGTTTTAGGCCACTACATTTAAAGGTTATTTGTTTTGCAGCCCTAGTACTTGGAGCATCCACAGTATGGCCGTAAACATCCAAGCTTTATCGAAAGAGGGCAGCAGCTGCAATGCATGCTGGGGTACTGGGGTGAGGCCTAACCAATAGCCATTTGCCACAAGCCACTAGCCCTTAGCACACCGTGGGGCAGGGCACACACCAGCTGGTATCCACTGTGAGCCTAGTATTAAGCAGCTGGTAGATTGTTCTCCATTGGGTTTTCTAGAATTATCAGTGGCTTGGGCAACTTTGTAGAAGAAAGAGTCAAATAAAATGCCAAGCAGATTTAAAAGCAAAAAGTTTGACATTAAATAGGTGTTAAAATATGTGTCATCTCTCTTGCCTTTTAGCTCTAGAGAACCCCAATCATGACAATAATTAATATAATGGCTTGATTTATTGCTACTCTTCCTCAGGATCATATTTATTTCATTATTTTAAAATGTTTGAATTACCCAGGCAGGCTGGCTAAGGTAAAAGATTATAGAGAATGTTCTGCCAGAAAAAAAAAAAAGAAAGACAAAACATAATTTATAAAATTAGTAACATAAGGGAAAAGCAACTGTCCGTGTACTTGAAAAATAAGCTGGCTCTAGGCAATCTTGAAGGTAAAGTCAATTTTTTAAAAAACATAGAAGAAACCAAAGCCTGAATTACCTAAGTGGTCCAATGGAGTGTTTTTATGAACTGGTTGCTGGTGTCTCCTGACCCAGCCTGTGTTTCCTACAATGCCTGACGATGCCCCAAGGAAGAAGCAGTGATGTTGGCCTTCTTAGCTTGGGTCATGTTGTGGGTAGGGGAAAGTGACAGGGCCCTCCTTCCATGTGCAGTCATCCACAAGCACACACTCTGTTATCACCTGCAAGGAAAAAACGCACCCCTCTTGCCTGGACAAAATGCCCTCATGCCAGCCTACTACAGTGAGTCACTGGGTTGGGGTGGGGACAGAGAGAGCACAGACGAATGTGTCCCTCCCAGAGAAGGGAAAATCCAGAAAGACAGGATGGAAAAATCCTGAAGGGGTCAACCTTTTGAGTGGGAGGGGGAGAGAAAATGCTGGGAACTCTCATGTGGATAGCATCATGCCCTTTAATCCTTACAACAAGCGTATGAAGGAGATGCTTGTAATCCCCATATTACAGCCAAGAAAACAGAAGCTGTAGGTTTAATTTCACAAGACCACAAAATCAAAAATTATAAAACAATAATTATCAGATATTAATAACTACTATTTTTTGAGCCCTTCCTATGATCAGAGGAAGGATTCCTAACAACTTAACTTCCATTACATGGATATCATTATACACAATGTACAGATAAGAAGAGGCTAAGAGAGATAATTGGCCCAAAGTGATATGGTTTGATTATGGTGTCCCCACCCAAATCTCATCTTGAATTGAAGTTCCCATAATCCCCACATGTCATGGGAGGGACCTGGTGGGAGGTAATTGAATCATGGGGACAGTTACCTTCATGCTGTTCTCATGACAGTGAGTGATTCTCATGAGATCTGATGGTTTTATAAGAGGCTTTTCCCCCTTTCACTCGGCATTTCTCCTTGCTGCTGCCATGTGAAGAAGGATGTGTTTGCTTCCCCTTCTGTCTTAATTGTAAGTTTCCTGAGGCCTCCCCAGCCTTGCTGAACTGTGAGTCAGTTAAACCTCTTTCCTTTATAAATTACCCAGTCTCTGCTATGTCTTTAATAGCAGCATGAGAATGGACTAATACACATAGTTATAAGACTTACCCTGCCATCCCTCATCACCTCCCCGACCAAAATATCCCTAAGACTTTGTTCAGCCCAGAGAAACGGCAGGGCTGCACCAAGAATGGGAACAAGGCAGCAGGGTGGGTGAGCCAGAGGATAGGGTAGGGTGAAGCACCTGGAAAGGGAGGACAGTACTAATGGATACAGTGCAGAGAGTGTGTCCCCTGAGACAGACTCAGACAGAAAACAAGCTGCAGCAGCGTCTCTGTGGATGGTGGGCCCAGGGATTCACAGCCTAATGAACTAGATCATGAAATCTCATTTGCGTGTTTGATAGCTCCTGCCATGCGCTCGGGTTCACTTAGGACGAAAAGAAAAGGGGGGGCACTGGGAAAGGGCTCGTTTTCCGTGCTTTCAAAGAGTGGGAAGATTGATGGGGAGAGAGGTCCCAGGGGGCCTCCCAGGGAGGCAGACGTGGCCCAGTAAGCTCAGAGAGCTGGGAGGCCTGAGTCGTCACCAACAGCTGAATGGATGTCCTACACAAGCCCTGGCCAGCACGGCCGCCTGCATGGAGCAAGCCTTGCTGTTGACAATTCATAATTTAACTTACAAAGAAAGAAGCTATGCACATCCTCCTACCATCTCCCAGCAGGATGCTGTAGGAGGGTAGCCATGAGACCCCACAGAGCACCGCTTCTCAAACTATTGGTGATGAAGGACTAGTTGTTTCTTATTTTTTTGTTTTCCCAATCTGTCATGGACAAATCTTTGATAAAATACAACAAAAATAAATCACTGGAGAAAAAAATGAAAAGTAAAAAGTCCAAAGTTTTAGTATTTGGATTCAACAGATGTAAAATTACTCTGTCATATTGTTATAGAAGTTTCAGAATGCTTATTCTCAGTCTCGGTGCTATCTCGTCATTTATGGGTGACAAATTGTTCTTGAACCTGCCCTGGTCTGTAGACCACTCTTTAAATAGTGCTGTTGCAGAGGACTTCAGAACAGCTTGGCAGAGCCTCCTGCCCCCAGTTAGTTATCCAGCCTGAGGGTTTGGAGGTGGGGATGAGACATGCCTAAAGAGAAGATCTCTGGGCAATGGATTTGGCAGGACAAGAATCCATGGCAACCTTTAGTTGAAACCAAAATTCTACAAATGTTGGTGCTTGTTACACTTTCATTCATGACAACTCCCTGAGGGACCCATATTGCATTTGGTCTTCCTTAAACGGGGAAACCAAGGCTCAGGGCCGTTCTGGGACTTATTCAAGTTCACAAGGAGCTTCCAAAGCCCAGGTCTTCCTCCTCATTTCCAGTACCCTCTTCAACCAACTTCCTCGTTCTGATGGGAGGATGCCATTATCTACACAGGAGCCCCCTGAGGGAGATGTTCTCTTCTGCAAGGGCCCCTCTTCCTTGTGGTTGCTGACAGCTTCTGTGGGCATTGCTCAGATTCCTCCTAACACTCTTATCTGCCTTCCTCATTCCCTCTTTCATGAGGAATGGGATCCCAGTCCCTCCCAAAGGAAGGAGCTGAGCAAGATGCTAAATCACAAAACCTCTTCTTCTTGGCCACAGGAACCAGGAGATCCACCTCAGACATTTCCTCTCGCCCACTGTTGAATTGTACCTTCTGGAATTGAGAAGACATCCGGAACCATGGAGGTCTGGACCCTCTGAGCCCTTACTCCTGAACCCCTCTGTCTGAGCCTGTTTTCCTTATCACACTCAGAAGGGAAGGGGCTGTCCAACCCTGTTTCTCATCTAAGCCATCCACAAGCTCACGCTTGTAGACAGACCACCATCTCCCGGCCTGGCAGCTGTCAGCAACAGAAAAACCTGCTTTAGCCAGTTCCATCTTCGCCAGCAGATGTCACTACAGCCTGACCTCAGGTTACCCAAAATGAGTTCCTAATTTGGGTCATGAAGCTCTAGGAGGACCACGGACAAACACGCACCCAGAAGAGAATCCTTTTGCCCTTTTTCTTTTCTTCTATGGGGCAAACTTACTGACTGCCAGTAAGATGTTTTTTATACTTCTGTTTCACCATCTGTAAAATGGACATTTCCACCATGTTCCCTATCTTCCCTACAGGGATGCTGTGGGATTCTGGAATGCCTATGATGTTCCAGAACTAATTGGTTCCCCTCCTCACAGGACCTCAGTTATTTCCTCAAACAGAGGATAAAATTAGAGCACCTTTATGATAATTGACTTGCCTCGCATTTGCCTTAACAGATACCTGGAACCATCTCCACCTACTTCCGTTTCCATAGTAACAGAAGGGTCAAAAAAAAACTAACAAAATAAGACACCTAAGAGGCATAAACAAAATATGTGATGGTGTGGGAGGCTGTAAAGTTTTTATTGCCACCTGTTTGGGAAGACCTGCATAATTCAGTCGTGCTCCTGGCATTTGTGAGCAAAGCAATCACCCCAAAGTTGTGGCAATAAAGCCTTTATAGCCCCCCATGCTGGCACGCCCGCTTTCTAGGTACAAAGCCCCAGTTTGATAAACTTCCGCTTCTCACATTTGCATAATGGAAATGGACTAGATTTTAAACCCAGGCTGTTGGGAGGCATAACTCGCAGCTCTCCTGGAAGTGAATCACGAGCTTTCCTGGGTGGAGGTAGCTGGAAGAGGCACCGAACCCCACCGATAAGACCACAGGGCAGGGCAGGGGCACCAGAAAAGACCCTCCCCGCTCTCTTGGATGTAAGGCCGGGCCAGGTTTTGGTTGAAGGTCACATTGCTCCTGGGTCAGAGAACTATAACATCAAAGCGCCTTTATGGTAAGCACACTGGCAGAAAGAGCCTGTCTAGGGCAACTTTGGGGCAGAAAGGGTGGTTATAACCCAAGTATGTACGTGATGTTCTTTCCCTTCCGACCCTCCACCCCCATGCTGCTCTCTGGCACCCTCACATTTTCTGGTACCCCCTCCTCCAACCTGCCATCCATTGCCCACTATTCCCACAATTTTTTTGCAAAGTGTGCACATTGCGGATGGGGGGAAGGGGTAGCAGTGGCTGCGCTTGGTGCCTCCCCCTCTCGGGAGATTACTGCAGCCCTGCCGGCGCTCAGTGGTAAAAGTTTGAACGTGTCTGCAGAGCTTAATCAAATGCTAATTCCGTGTGGTGAAAGAATTTGCTGGAATCTGCAAGGGAGCTCCTGGCAGCAAGAAAATGCGTTGATTCACTCCCAAATCTGCTTTGCCCAAGCCGGGTGCGATTTAGACTGTAAAGCTGCATTAAATCACAAAGTGCTGTGTGGATCACACAGCCATCCTTTGTGTCGTTAATGAAGGGAAAAACAGGGCTTTATTCTGAAGCTTTGTGTATAATCAGATGCCATGTTGTAAAGCTCTGGAAAACACACCAGAAATCATAATTGGGAGGAAATAAAAGGGTTAGTCCAAAACAGCATATGATTTAAATAAGAAGGAAAAAGAAACTGCCCCCAAGATTTGTGCGTTTCAAGAATCAACTTTTAATTCATTCGCAGGGAGATTACAGAAGGGGAGGAGCAGCCTTTAAAATAGTATGAAAAGCTAGTTTAGATGTAAATGAGAGATAATGGGCTTTCACCAGAAAATAAGCAATGGGGCCAAGTTTGTGCCCAGGGCTGGGGGATGGGGGTGACATCTTGGCCTGCAGGGCTCCGGAGCCCTCTAGATCCAGGTGCCGCAGACAGCGTGGGGTTTGCGGCCTGTTAGGAGCAACGGGAGGATTTGGGGCACAGGGTCTGGTAACCAGCATTCGGAGGAAGAAAAAATGGTGTTGCCTGCCCGTGTTGGTTCCCAAGGGTCCTGGGGCTTGGCGGAGTTGGGGCTGGGGGAGGTCTTGATTGTTGCTTTAACACAGAAAATCTCCTTGGTGTGAACATTTTGAGGTCGGTAAGGAAAGGGGTTGGGGCTTTTAGGCTTGTCTTACAGCTGGAGTTAAGGAGCGCTGCGCGGAGCCCTCCCCAGCCCTAATTCACTAATGATTTGCTTATTAGTTCAGATCAGGGAGCCAGCTTCTGGAGAGATGTGAATTGGCATTGATTTAATCCTCTTCCCAGCACGCGTTCCCGGCCCTGGGTGAGGCTGGGAAGGGAGAGGGGGGCTGCCAGCCCTTTCAAGAGCAAGTTGCTGCTTCTCCTGTCTGGCTTTGTCTGCTTTCCTTACCATCTGCTCTCAGGCAGAGAGGAGCCATGGATGGAGGGGGCGAGCCCCAGAGTCCAAGCCCAGGCTCTAGATCTGGTTGACCCTAGTAATGCTGAGCTCAGTGGCCTCCTGGCAGGTACAGCATATAGATGAGATGCTGTGAAGGTCCCTCAGCTCTGGCATCTATCATTAGAGGGACTGGAGCCTCTGGAACATCTTAGTGGGGAGGAATTCTGCCCATAATGTATTTGGTGTCCTGTGAGCCAGGTGCTGTTTCATGTATGATGTCACCTGCCTCTCCGGTAGATACCATGATTATTCACACTTTACAAGGGAGGAAGCCGAGCCTCAGAAAGGTTAAGTAACCTGTCTAAGGTCACACGGGTAAAACATTGGAACCCAAGCTGTATAACTCAAATCTTTGATCTTCACCACACATTATGTGGTTTAATCTGAGCTGCTTCTGCTTGAACATACCTTCTTGTTTGATTATCTCTTTATAAACTGCCATTGAGAACATTTTTCTCCATCCTTCTTCTAGCTAGATGATTTAATAATGGCCAGGGACTTAGTATTCTAGAGCATACTGCCCATGGTTCATCTTAGTGACTAAGTACCCTTTTCTGAGCAAAACAAGAAGTACAACCCAATGTTTGTTTTTTCCAACCTGATTGGCCCAATTCTAGTCCCAGCTCCGCAGCTTTGCTTGGGTGGTTCTCATGATCTACACTCCCCATCCTTCCCTTCTCCACCTATCTAAAGCCTACCAATACCCCCAAGACTTAATTTAATCCATTAGCACCCACTCTCACCTCTCCCACAGAGAGTTCTCTTTTCTAGACCACCATTGGGCACTTAACACACCTTCCTGCGCCTATCTTTCCATATGTATCTGTGCTTTTCTCCTTTGTCAGCCTGAGCTTTTAAGAATGGAAACTGAGTCTTCCACTTCCCTACATTTCTAATTCTACAGTGTCTTGAACATAGTGCTCCCTCAGAAAATACTTGCCTGTTAGCTGATTAATAAAACTTGGGACTTGACTTACGGTTTCTTTGGAAATCTCTGGTGCATATCTTTTCAATCCCTGTAAGCCTGGCTACTCCTCAACAGAGATCCATTACAGATCTCACTCAGTTTCTGAATGCTATTAAGGGTCCAAATAAAGTTTGAGTTTCCAAGAAATCCCTGTAGTTGGCTTGTCCTCAAGTCAGTTCCAAAAGAATCCAACCAACATTTATTAAACTCCTACTGTGTGCCCAGGCACTGTGCTAGGCACGGAGGATATCAAAATTAATAAGATGTATAGGGTTTGCCTTTTCATCTGGAGTATGATTATATCCTGAACCAGACAGCCATTGCATGGGGCTCCCCCAGGAATGGTAAGCTTTGTAAGAATTGGGATAATGCCCAGTTTTGTTCACTATTCTATCTCTAGCACATTACACAGTAGAAGGCATGCTCAGTAAATGTATGTGGAATATGATTATGCAGAGAACTTTGCCATGTTAACTCACAGAATCTTTACCCCAACACAGTGAAATTCGTATATTGATTTCCATTTCATTGACGAAAAAACAGATGCAGTGACTTTATATAAGTTTCTGGAGGTCATATGGTAGGGGAGAGGCGTGGACAGACCCATGTCTGTCTGGCTCCAAACTCATTTATCACATCCCTCACCCAGGACACCCAGGACTCCCTCCTGAGTCGGTAGAAGATGGGGCAGAAAGGTATGAACCAATTCTGGCAAAAGTGTAAGTTACCATCGTCCCCTCAACACCCAATTCATAGACTAGCTTAAAAGAAATTGCTCAAAATGAGCCCACCTAGTCCTTGGTTTCTAAATACCATTTCCCATCAAAAGGAGGCAGCTTCCTTGGAGAAACAGATTAAAAGAGGCTGAAGAGACATGACGACTAAATGCAATATTGATCCTAGATTGGACTGTGGATCAGAAAAAGAACGTGCTACAAAGTACAGTATAGGAACTACTGACAAAATTTGACTATGGCCTATACATTAGATATTTTTCTATCGGTATAAATTCCTTGAATATAAAAATGGCCTTATGGTTATGTGGGAGAATGTCCATCTTCTTAGGCGAAATATATAGAGGTGAAGTGTCATGATGCCTGTACATTACTTTCAAATGGTTCAGGAAAAAGATAGACAGCCACATGTGTAAATATGGCACAATAATAATTCATGAATCAAGGCATGGGGCATATGGATGCTTGTATTATTTTTTCTACTGTCTGAAGGTTTAAAACTTTTCAAAATAAAAATTGAAAGAGGAGATAATTATGCAGAAATGGCCCTGAAAATGTTACCCACATCCACCAGAAAGGTCTGGAATGGAGACTGGGGGTCACAGTAAGTAGATAGCTGCTGAGAAAATGGGTACATTAGCTGATGTCCATTCTTACAAGAACACTCTCAAGAAGCTTTTGTGGAAACAGACCGTTTTTTATAGGGTTTTTAAATGCGAAAGCAAATTAACTACTACGTGCCATTAAATACAGAGCTATACCTGTGAAAACCCTTGAGTGGTAACCCAGGAGGAGGCAGAAGCAGGTTTGAGGTATCCCACCTCCACTTCAGAGACTAAAACCTGGGCCACTTATTACCTAAGGTAACACCTAAATGTCAAAAGGCAAGGACGGAGCCAGAGAGCAAAGCTTGCCTGTGAATACAAATGGGAACAGGCTTTCAAAATAAAGCTGAGGTTCAGGTTCCAATACTCCAAATGCCAATCAAAAGACTCATTTATTTTTTAAATATGTGGGTGAGAGTTGAGAATTACATCTGAAAGGCCACTATCCTGGAATAAGCATAGAATCATCCTGTAGATTTCTGAATATGCTTGTCTGCCTCAGCTTTGGCTTAGTGAGTTGGGCTGTGTGTGTGTGTGTGTGTGTGTGTGTGTGTGTGTGTGTGTGTGTGTGTTTTAGAATAACATGAGGAGGAGGCATTGCTAATTGAAGTTTTCATAAACGAGCATCTATTTGTGATTTTTTTTTTCCAAAATAAAAATTCGGGTGAAAGAAAAAAGAAATGCTCAGACCTGGCCCTGAAAATATCTATCAAAAGTGGATCTAGGGAGTGGAGATAGAATATTTGTAATTAAACCCTTGAGTGGTAATTACAAGGTGGTTGGGCGCGCTGGCTCACTACTGTAATCCCAGCACTTTGGGAGGCCAAGGCGGGTGGATCATGAGGTCAGGAGATGGAGACCATCCTGGCCAACATGGTGAAACCCTGTCTCTACTAAAAATACAAAAACTTAGCTGGGCCTGGTGGCGCGTGCCTGGAATCCCAGCTACTCAGGAGGCTGAGGCATGAGAATCACTTGAACCCAGGAGGTGGAGGTTGCATTGAGTCGAGATCGTGCCACTGCACTCCAGCCTGGCGATAGAGGGAAAGTCCGTCTCAAAAAGAACAACAAAAAAAAGAGGTTGGGGGGATGAATTTTAGGTCTAAAATTTTGCCATAAGTGGAACAATCATTGATGACAGTGATGAACTTTTATGTCAACACTTTGAGGAAGGGGTCAAACCCAGAAGGCTTTCTGGAGACAGCCTCCCTGCTAATAAAAGTTAGGATGCTTTGGTTTAAGAAGTCTCTGATTTCTGTTAGTGAAGTTCTGGTGATGCCTTTAGTAGCTAGTGGCAGAATTTCCTCCTAACACCCGGCAGTTGAGGGGTGGTCTCTAACTAGGGCAGCTTACAAAGCAGATGACCTTGTTCTCAAGTGGGTAAGTTCAGCTCACTGCCAAGGAAAACTCTCACTGTCACCATGATCACCCTGCTATACCAAACAGCCACTCTGAAAGCCAGTTATGGGTAGAAGTCCTGCTCAGGGCTCAGGAGAGCAAAGCCTCTCTCCTTCCTGGCTGGGCGCCATTTTGTTTCTCCCGGGGAGAAACTCAGAACAAAGGCAAGAACAGAGCTGAAGAGAACCAGGGGCAGACCCTGCCAACAGAAGATAGTTTCATTAAAAAAAAAAATAGGGACAGCCTTGTTCTTTGCTGTAGGCCATGGTTATTGCTGTTTGGGTTTTGCTTTTGCTTGTGGTAAGTAGATTATTGCAGAGAACAGAATAATTCAACCTTCTGCTCTGCCTTTGAAAAGTTCTTATAGAGAAGTGTCCCCAGGCTGAAATAAAAAATGAGTCCCAGCAGGCCGGGCGCGCGGTGGCTCACGCCTGTAAGCCCAGCACTTTGGGAGGCCGAGGCGGGCGGATCACCTAAAGTTGGGAGTTCGAGACCAGCCTGACCATCATGGAGAAACCCCGTCTCTACTAAACATACAAAATTAGCTGGGCGTGATGGCACATGCCTGTATTCCCAGCTACTTGGGAAGGGTGAAGCAGGAGAATCACTTGAACCCGGGAGGCAGAGGTTGTGGTGAGCCGAGATCACGCCATTGCACTCCAGCCTGGGCAACAAGAGCGCAACTCCATCTCGGGGGGGAAAAAGGGTCCCAGCCCTGAATGACATTGAGTCTTTGGAATGTATTTAGATTGCCTTTTTGGTAAGTTCCTTTCTCTAATTTTGTAAAAGTGCCATGTGCATTCAAAAAGAATATGTAATCTGTTGGTTGAATGTCAGATTCTATTCATATCCGCTAGTTAAAGTTTATTAATTGTGTGGTGCAAATCTTCAATAGCTTTATTTTTTGTCTCCTTTATTCATCAGTTTCAGAGGCAGGAATCTTAACATCTCCACCTACACTTCCTGGTTTATCTATTTTATTCTCTAGTTCTGTCCATTGTTGTTTTAAATACTTGAGGTTGTGTTGATAATTGTATAGAATGTAAATTCTAATGAAGATAAGTATTTCTGTCTGTTTTGGTCTCTGCTATCTCCTTCAAACCTAGAGCAATGCCTAGAATATTATAGGCATTCAATATATTTTACTGGCCGGGTGCAGTGGCTCACGCCTGTAATCCCAGCGCTTTGGAGGCTGAGGCAGGCAAATCCCTTGAGCTCAAAAGTTGGAGACCAGCCTGGACAACATGGCAAAACCCCATCTCTACAAAAAATACAACAAAAAGAAATTAGCTGGGTGTGGTGGTGCACACCTGTAGTCCCAGCTCCTCAGGAGGCTGAGGTGGGAGAATGGCTTGAGCCCAGGAGGCATAGGTTGCAGTGAGCTGAGATGGCGCCACCGCACTCCAACCTGGGTGACAGAGTGAGTCTCTGTCTCAAATATATCTACATGAATAAATGTGCTTTCATAATTGTTATATATTCTAGAACTATTATTCCTTTTCTCCGTATGTATGATTCCCCTTTGTCCTTTATGATATCTGTAGTTTTTAATGCTGTTTTGTCTGATATTAAAATTGCTGCCCCAGCTTTATTTAATTTATATTTCCTGATATATCTTTTTCCATTCATTTAATTTCAGCTATTCTGTATTCCTTAGTTTTAAGAATACAAAATAGATCAAGGACATGGTGGTTCATGCCTGTAATCCCAGCAATTTTGAGAGGCCTAGGTAGGAGGATTCCTTGAGCCCAGGAGTTTGAGATCAGTATAGACAATGTAGCGAGACCCCATCTCTACAAAAAAATATTAGCCAGATGTGGTGGTGTGTGCCTGTAGACACAGCTACTTGGGAAGCTGAGGTGGGAGGATAACTTGAGCCTGGGAAGTACAGTGAGGCTTTGAGGGTACAGTGAGCCGTGATTGCACCATTGCACTCCAGCCTGCCCAACAGAGCAAAAAATAATAATAATATAAAATAGCTGAAAGTAGACAATAGCAGTCTGGGTCCTGATAGGTGAGTTTGGCTCACTTATATTTGTTGTAACTACCATTAGGAATTCATTTTGCCATCTTATTTCCCATTTTCTACTAACTGTAATTTCTTTTTGTTTTCTTTTTTTCAGACTATTGACAATATCAAATGTCTCTCTGCTAGTTTATAAGCTACAAATTCTAAGTTTATTCTTCTGGTGATTACCTATACCGTCAATCAATTTGTTAAACTTATCAATACCTATACTGTGGCAGCTCGTATTTTCCAAAGATGGTCCCAGCAATATCCCCCGTGTCAATACTATTCTATGTCCCACAATCGTATTCTACAATGGCATATTGACACTCCTCCCATCCAGACAGAGTTAGGGGTGGAGGGTCTATATCCTCTGCCTTAACTCTGGGCAGACTTGTGATTTGAGTGTAACTTGAATGCATTGTAAGTGACACTCAATGACTTCCAAGGCTAGGTCCAAAAAGGCGACACAACTTCTACCTTGCTTGTTGGATCATTGGTGCTGGAGCCCTGAACCACCATTTTTAAAGTCCAACTATCCTGAGGCTGCCATGCTATAAATAGCCCAAATAGCCCACGTAGAGAGGCCAATTAGAGAGGCCCTGAGACCGTGTGAAGAGAGAAGAATGCCCAACCAGCCCTCAGTTGCTACAGTTCCCTGTTGTTTCAGCTCGACAACAACAGGCGGCTGTAGCAATGGGGGGCTGGATGGGCATCTCAATGTGCTTCTCCCACATTGCTTCAGCCACAGTCTAATTGTAACCACATGAGAGACTCCAAGCCAGAACCACTCAGTTAAGCCCTTCCAGAATTCCTGACCCACAGAAATCATGAGAGATAATAAAATGATTGTGGTTATTTTAAGCCACTAAATTTTAGAGTAATTTTTATATGGACATAACAACTGAAATAGATACATTTGCCTTAGAACAAGAAAAGTACTATATAGCATGTTCTAGCATCCTTCTCGTTTCTACCCACACTGCTACTGTGTTGATGTCCCTAGAATTTTGCTCTGGATTGATATGAATGTACTTGGTAGAATGGTGTCTGTTACCTTTTTGTTTATTTACTTATCTTTTAGCAACAGGGTGTCACTCTGTCACCCAGGTTGGAGTGCAGTGGCAAGATTATACCTTACTGCAACCTCAAACTCCTGAGCTCAAGCAATCCTCCCACCTCAGCCTCCTGAGTAGCTGGGACCACAGGCACAGGCCACCACGCCAGACTAGTTTTTTGTTGTTTTGTTTTGTTTTGTTGTTTGTAGAGACAAGGTCTCCCTATGTTGCCCAAGCTGATCTTGAACTCCTGAGCTCAAGCAATCCTCCTGCCTCAGTCTCCCAAAGTGCTGGGATTACAGGCATAAGCCCCCACTCCCAGCTCACTTTTACCTTTTTATAGAGCAATATGCATACTAAGTTATGAAATCTATCCTGCTGAGGATTCTGAATCTATGTATCATAAATTCTGAAAAATTCCTAGCTATTATGTCATTGAACATTTCTTCTCCCACATTGTCTTTATGCTTTCCCTCTGGAGCTCCAATTAGTTATATATGAGAATTTTTTATTCTATTCTCCATATCCTTTCACCTCCCTTTTCTTTGTTTCTCTGTGCTGCATTCTGGGTAATTCTTTGACATCACTCTCTGGTTCAATAATTTCTGTTTAACTTATATACTGAGATTTTTTATTTCAATGACTCTGTGTGTGTGTGTGTGTGTGTGTGTGTGTGTGTGTGTGTGTGTGTGTGTTTTGTTTTTTGACATTTCTTTTTTTTGTTTTGTTTTGTTTTGAGACAGAGTCTTGCTCTGCTGCCCAGCTTGAAGTGTAGTGGTGCAATCACATCTCATTGCAGCCTCAAGCTCCTGGGCTCAAGCTGTCCTCTTGCCTCAGCTTTCTAAGTAGCTAGGACTACAGACTCACACTACCACACTCAGCTAATTTATTTATTTATTTATTTATTTATTTATTTATTTATTTATTTATTGTAGAGACAGGGTCTTGCTATGTTGCCCACACTTGTCTCAAACTTCTGGCTTCAAGCAGTCTTCCCATCTCAGCTTCCCAACGCTCCAGGAATATAGGTGTGAGCCACCAT
This sequence comes from Homo sapiens, assembly GCF_000001405.40. Taxonomy (NCBI): domain Eukaryota; kingdom Metazoa; phylum Chordata; class Mammalia; order Primates; family Hominidae; genus Homo; species Homo sapiens. Next base: position 39,662,696 of record NC_000023.11, read on the forward strand.
GCCCAACCTCAGTGACTATATTTTTTTATTTCTAGAAGTTCAATTTAGTTTCTTTTAAAAATATACATGCATGTTCCTTTTCATAGTGTCTGTTTTTTCCTTTATGTTTTCATTGTTTAAAAACATAAGCTTTTAATCATCTTAAACATGCTAATTATGGGCCAGGCATGGTGGCTCACACCTATAATCCCAACACTCTGGGAAGCCAAGGCGGGTGGATTGCTTGAGCCCAGGAGTTCAAGACCAACCTGGGCAACAAAAGGAGACCCCCATCTCTACAAAAAAAATTTTTAAAAATGAGGCAGGAGGATTGCTTGAGCTGGGGGAGTCGAGCCTGCAGTGAGCCATGATTGAGCCACTGCACTCCACCCTGGGTGACAGTGAGCCCCTGCCTCAAAAAAAAAAAAAAAAAAAAGCAAATTTTATGGTCTCTAATAGATTGTTTCATTATCTGAAGTTCTTGAGTGTCTAATCCTGCTGTCTCTTGCTCATAGTGAAATCTTTTTTCAACTGTTTTATATTTTTGAATTGTGAGCTCATCATAAACACGGCTTTATGTGTAGGAATTTTGTGAGGCCTGATTAATGGGGTCTCCTGTGAAGTTTCGTTTTTGTTTTTGCCAAGCTGTCCAGAGGTTTCACTATCATTTTTATAATAATTTATGGCTGGGCACGGTGGCTCACACCTGTAATCCCAGCACTTTGGGAGGCCAAGGCGGGTGGATCACGAGGTCAGGAGTTCAAGACCAGCCTGGCCAAGATGGCGAAACCCTGTCTCTACTAAAAATACAAAAATTAGCTGGGCATGGTGGTGGGTGCCTGTAATCCCAGCTACTCGGGAAGCTGAGGCAGAGAATTACTTGAACCTGGGAGGCAGAGGTTGCAGTGAGCCGAGATTGTGCCACTGCACTCCAGCCTGGGCGACAGAGCAAGACTCTGTCTCAAAAATAAATAAATAAATAAAATAAAATTTCTGAGCTTGGGGCTCCAGCACCACATAAGGAATATATATTTAATTCCAAACCCTCATAAGATATAGTTCAAAAATTTCTCAGGAGACATTTTTTTTTCCCACTTGGAGCCTAGACCATGACAGACAAACCCCTCTGGGTCAATGGGCAGATTTTTTTCTAATCTACCCTCACACAGAGGTTTCCACTTTTACAGAATGTATGTATCACATGTCCAACTTTTTTGCCTTACAGGGACCCAAAGCATCAACTCTTTGTCACCCCCCCACCCACCCCTCCCACGACCTCAAGTGGACATTAAATGGTCTAAGGACCTAGAGTACAGAATCATTGTCTCTCCCCATGTGTCCCCACCCTAAAACAGTCACATAATCATTCACAAGCTCACTGCCCTAGTTTTCAGTACCTTTTTCATTCACAGCCCGTCAATTTCCTGTGTGCTCATCTATTCATTCAAATAAATATTCGTTTATTTCTAGATAACTGAGGAAAATGGGTTTTCAGGTTATCTTGATCACAGTATTTCCAGAACTAGAAGCAAAAATGTATTTATATAAGCAAATATGAAATCCACCAGTTTCTGAGATTTCTGGCCGTGATACTGATATTCTTTACTTAAGTATCTCTGACAGATAAATGTACTGGTTTACATTTGTGCACATATTTTTAAACATTGCAATCATAAGGGCTAGCCACTGCCCTAAGTTTCACTATATGCGATAGTAAAACTCCTGGCAGAATGTTTGGCCTGCTGAATGGAATTGTTCCTTCATAATTAGAACTCTGTCTTAGTATCTCTTCTGTTGGTCTCTACCTAAAAATACTCTTGCCTTTATATTTCAGTAGTACTATTAAGTCATTAACCAGAGAGGTAATTCTGAGTATGAGAAAAACATATATGGGCTTTGGATTCAGGAAGACATGGCTCTGTTTTGCTTCCCAGCTGGGTGTCCTTGGGCAATTAGTTCTATCTGAGCCTCAATTTCCCCATCTGTAAACTGAGGATGATGATACCTATTTTAACTGTATATTAGTCAGGGTTCTGCAGAAAGACAGAACCAAAAGGATACATAGATAGATAGACAGACAGATAGATACGTAGATAGATAGATAGATAGATAGATAGATAGATAGATAGATAGATAAGAAGATATTTATTAGGGGAATTGGCTCACACAATTATGGAGGAAGCAAAATCGCATGATAGGCCATCTGCAAGCTGGAGAACAAGGGAGGCTAGTAACATGGCTCAGTCCAAGTCCAAAGGCCTGAGAACTAGGGAAGCTGATGGTATAACTCTCAGTCCAAGGCCTAAGGCCTGAATAGGGGAGGCCACTGGTGCAAGTCCTGGGGTCCAAAGGTCAGAGAGCCTGGAGTTCTTATGTCCAAGGGTAGAAGAAGAAGGGTGTTTCCAATTCCAGGAGAGAGATGGGGCAAATTCACCTTTCCTCTGCCTTTTTATTCCATCTGGGTCCCCAGCTGATTGGATGGTGCCTGTCCATGTTGAGGACAGATCTTTCCCACTCAGTTCATCGTTCACATGCCCATCTCCTCCAGAAACACCCTCATAGAAACACTCAAAAATAGTGCCTTACCAGCTTTGTAAGTATCTCTGAAAGTAGTTAGGTTGACACCAAAAATTAACCATCACAAAAGGGTTGAGGTTAGAATTAGAAGATAATGTCTATAAAGTACCCTTCAAGAAATAGGTTCTTCAAGTATTATTTAATCCACTTTTGAGTTCTTTTCTTTTAACTACATAAGTATGCCACTTTGACATCATCCACAATGACTAAGAGGGTATTCCTTCAATTATGAGTTCCTTTATCTCACTGGTCACCACTTATTTCATTTTCTTAACATTAACAAAATTCCCCTTTTTATATGTTTTTGGTAATTTAAGGAGCAGTCGTGTTAACTTGAATTGCCTTAACAAAACCTCTATACCCAATAAATGTGCCTTCTTTCAGCCGTAAAGTTGATCATGGCTTTATCCTCATGTTTGTTGCTAGGATGATATAAGTAGGAAAGGCAAGTTCAGATGTAAGTATCTAGTTGGAAAATACCTGATTCAGAGGCTGTCAGAGCTGAAAGGGACCTTAGAAATCTCCAAAACGAGGAGTCTAAGGGACAGTGAAGAAAGCTGAACTTCCCAGGGTCACCCAACCACTGAGCAACAGAGCTGAGATCAAAAGCCAGACTTTCTGATGCCAGGAGCAGGGCTCTAACTGGAGTCATTTTCATGACCAAACGACAGAATTTGCAACTAACCTTTCGGTTGGATCATTTTGTCATCTGGAAGCAAGCCAGATCATCATTGTTAATAATTCCCCTTCCACTTTGTTTCAGTGGCTCTTTAAACCTATCAATTGTAGTTTTCCAGGGAGCCTTATGACTCAGCATACACAGTAGAGTTGAATAACTGTGTGCTCAATGAAATAATGAAGAACTATCTGACATTATGTGCCATGAATTCTAAGCCTGAATAGAACCCTTTTACATTCTGGATTTCTGTTAGAAGTGGTCCTTATTATTCTTCTGGCATTGCTATTTGTATATGTTTTTAATATTTTCCCCACTCAATAACTGAAAACATGCCTTCCTTTCATTCCTGGGTGGTTAATCCCTCTCAGACACAGGAAATTGGCAACCTTTCCATGATGAGTGGTCATCTCCAGACTGTACTCTAAGTGGTGACCACCCAATTGAGTGATGAATGCCATTTGTCAACAAGGAAACAGGCTGGGGCAGGGGTGAAAGGGGAGGCTCAGTGGAGATCCATTACTTCTATGAGAAAATTCAAATGTTTTATCTTACCAACAGTGGGTCGGGAATGTGCTGGATCTAGAAAGAGATGTATAGTCTCCTGGAGCTCAGCCAGATCCTGCAAGGGTCTTGAGCAGAATGGGAGGCTGAGGGTTAGTGAAAGCATGTGTCCTAGACTTTGGGAACAGCATCACTGTTACGGAACATGGCAGCAGGAAGGTACGAGGCCCATCAGCTCTGGTGATCTAGGTGGGCGGGGGTGGGCACCAACACTGATGCATCTTTGAGGTCTGACTGATGGGTTTGATCTAGCCATTGTTTGGGGTGATGTCCTGAAATCAGGTGGACCTTCCTCTAAAGTGAAGGGCAGTGTGTCCTTCAAAGCTTGGAGCTGAAATGTGGGACCCCATAGGATTGGGCTGGGTCTGGCAGCTCACCATCAGACTATGTCATATGGAAATAGCTGTGCCATGGAGGTCCCTGGCACAAAATAAATTATTCTCTCCTTGAGCCTTGAACCTTGACCGTGTCCACTTGAGACTTTTGGGCCACAAAACTCAATCCATTCACAACAGCCCTAACCTGGAAGGTAATACAGAGAGCTAGTTATTCCACCAAAATTTGTGTCCCCCGCTTTGCATAATATAGAGTTGTCATTGATACACAGTTGTGCAACCAGAGACTACATTTCCCAGCCATGTGACTAGTTCTCTCATCTATTGAATGAGAGAGAAAATGATGTTTATCACTCCCAGACTAAGGCATTTAAGAAGTACACCTGCTTGCCTCATCTCTGTTCTCTCTTTCCTTTTCTTTTAGACTGGAAACTGTGGACACTCAAGTCCTAAGGCAGTGGTTCTCAGTGTGGTCCCTGGGCCAGCAGTGTCTGCAACATCTGTTAATTCATTAGAAATGCACATTCTTACATCCCACTCCAGACTTACTAAATCAAACATTCTGGGGGTGGGGCCCAATCTGTTTTAACAAGCCCTCCAGGGGATTCCGTTGCTCACTAAAGTTTGAGAACTACTGTCGCTAGCTGATAGCAGAGCCACAAGAGAGAACTCTGAGTTCCTGAATCACCACATAGAAGACAGCCATATACCACCCAGAAAGATCTGCATCAGACTTTTCTATAAAATAGAAATAAAATTTGGTTGTGTTAAGACCCTGAAATTTGAGGGTTTATTTTTTGCAGCAGGCAAGATTAATACAGGCTGGAAGTCCAAACCTATCCCAAACACAATCGCAATATGGGGGGAGTGCTGAATATCACTGGACTCCTGACACTTAACAGGGGGTACAGAAGTGTCTTAATATAGCTACAGTTAGTGGTGGCAACAGTGGGAATCGAAGATCAGAATGTAGAGGCCACAATGGTGGATCATGCTGCTCAAACTAGCAGGCCTCAAGCATCACCAGGAAGAGTAAGAGACATGGCTAATGCTGAATGTATGTATCTCCCTGGGATCCTCTGCCAGTCTCACACGAATAATTTTCACAGGAAACAAGACAGACGCCAAGGACCATCTGCCAATTGTCAGCTGACTATCCAGCGATATAACCACCACCACTGGCAGACCAGGACAAGGTCCAGGAATTTTCCAGTGCCCATGAATCTACCAACACCTGGGTCTGTAACAGCTACTATCATGCTACGGGCCTCACTAGATTAGCTTCAGAAACACCTGCAAGAATGCAGGGCCCGGTAGGCAGAATTTTTAGATGACCCCCAGCTCCCAGTGACTCTTGCCTTTGTATAATCCCCTCTCCTCTGAGAACCTCTGAATATGATGAAATATCACTCCCATAATCATGTTACATTATATGGCAAAAGTGAGATCATCGTGGGTGGGCTTGACCTTATTATGTGAGCCCTGTAAAAGCCGAGAGTTTTCTCTGGCTACTGGCAGAAGAGGAAGGCAGAGTGACATGCTCCAGGAGGCCTAGAAGAAAGCAAGCAACCCTGTGGGCTGCCTATGGGGGCCACATGACAAGGAACTACGAGTGGCTTCTGGAAGCTGAAAGCAGTCCCCAGCCAATAGCTTTCCAGAAAATGGAGCCCCAGCCCTACAACTCCAAGGAACTGAATTCTGCCAACAACCAGTGAGCTTGGAAGAGGGTCCCAAGCCTCAGATGAGAACCACAGCCCCAACAAACACCTTGATGTCGGCCCAATGAGACCTTGAGCAGAAAATCCAGTGACATCATGCCAGGACTTCAGATCTACATAACTGTGAGATAATAAATTGGAGGTGTTTTAAGCATCTAAGTTGGTGGCAATTTGTTAAGCAGCAATGGAAAATTAATACACAGGATACCGTGAGTCTGCCAGGGCAGCAGACACTGCCCATGCTTGGCTCTGACCCCCTCAGATCCCTTTGCTGACATCTGTGTGTCCTCCCCCATCTTCTGTGTGCTTTTAGTTCTAACAGCCCACACCTGCGATTCTCTTTAGCCAGCTGGCTTGGGGCTTCTAGAGCCACTTTACCCAGTTTGTGCGGAGCTGGAAGTGCCTGGGAGTTTATGCTCCCCTAGGGAGACACTTAGTCAAAGAGCAAATGGCATGGGAGCATAAAATCCAGCTTCCCTGCCTCAAGTTGGGCTAAACTCAGAGGTATAACTCATGCTCCAGTGCTGCCCTGTGGGATCAGGTTAAGGCTGAGACTTGGCCCCAGATTGTGCCTTGCCTGGTTCCCTAGGCTTCCCTGCCCTGCTTCCCCAACCCCCTCACCAGTCTCCCCTGGGAGCCTCACCTAAGCAATCCTTTACCCCTTTCCCTCTCTGACCTCCCTCTCTCGGATGAAGGAAGAATCAGGTGAGATGATGTATGTGATGGCACTTTGGAACTGCCAAGTAGCCCCCCGTGTGAATTCCCTGATGTGCAGCTCTGCCTCTACCCTCCTCCTTAAATAGCAGTGTAGCAGAGTGAGGTGATTATCTGAGTGTCTGGTAATGGAGTTCCTTTCAGGGAGGAAATAGTCTTTGTTTAGGAAAATACCTTGAATGGGCAGGGGAGGCTCTAAAGGTATGCTTTAGAGGGAGACCACTAAATGAGGTCAATAAAATGCCTGTGCGTAAGGAAAGAACAGGAGAGGAGAGGAGAGGTGGGCTGGTGGGAGAGGAAGCAGTCAACAGGCACCCATCGAGGAAGGTGGCTGGTGAGGAATGCACAGTGGTGTGGTGAAGGGAGAATACAGACCATCAGCCATCCTTGCTCTGCCAAGTTATCTTGCTTATGTGACTCTGATGTAAATCTCCACCCCAATCGGCATAAGCTCGAACCTCAGAAAGTCAACTGTATGCACAGTTGCCCTGTAGGAGCGGCTTTGAGGAAAATCAGGCTCCCGTTCTTGGCCACCCAGGAGCAGGGGAAGAGGACACCTAGATGTCATTCCAGGTTCTGGTGGTATATGCCAGCTGCAGACTGGCAGGCTACATCGGCAGGCCACAGGCCAAGTGTCAGTCTCAGCATGGCCTTACCTGAACTCACCATCTCTCCCTCCCAAGCCCCATCCCACTACAGGGACTCCAGTACTCCCACTGCCCATTCACAAACTGTGGCAGTTCGGGTTTCTCCCAAAGCAGATCGTGAAACAAGGACTTGGGTGCAGGTAGTTCATTTGGGAGGTGATCTCAGAGGAGGGGTTGGGCAGTGAGACTGGGAAAAGAGGCTAACCTGGAGAATGTGTGGGCAACTGGGCCTCTATCTTGCTGGAGGACCTCTGAAGAAGTGCATAGAGCATACCTCAGAATTTCCCACCAGGCTGGGTGCAGTGGCTCACGCCTGTAATCCCACCAACTTTGGGAGGCCAAGGCAGGAAGATCACTTGAGGCCAGGAGTTTGAGACCAGCCTGGGCAACATACTGAGACCCTGTCTCTAAAAAAAAAAAAAAAAAAAAAAAAATTTTTTTTAATTAGCCAGGCGTGGTGGTGCATGCCTGTGGTCTCAGCTACTCCAGAGGCTGAGGTGGGAGAATCACTCGAGCCTGGGAGGTTGAGGCTGCAGTGAGCCGTGATTGCACCACTACTGCATTCCAGCCTGGGTGACAGAGTGAGACGCTGCCTAAAGGGAAAAAAAAAAAAAAAAAAGAATTTCCAAGCCAAAGCATGGGAAGGTGGGGTTTTACCCACTGTCCCTCATAGGTTGATAATTGCTCTGGGGAGCGTTAAATCCCTGAAACTTTGAGATTGACCATTGCCTCTGCTGAGCAGCTCCCACAGTGCCAGAGAAAGCCCTCATACAGAGCATCAGGGAGGCTTGGGCAGCCCAGGTGGGAAGCTGTCAGTGTGCAGGAGGGGCAGAGCTGCAGGTGAACTCAGAGATAGGCCACAGGCATGTGGGGTGGAGTGCCAATGGCATCTGTAGAAAAGCCTCAAGCTCTGCCAGCTCCTCCTCACCCTTATCCCTCTCATTCCCTCTCTCCCACCTAACTCCTGGGCATCTGCTATCACTGCTCCTGCCTTCTCATTCTTAGCCACTGCTGAAGCTCAGTCCCTCATTCTCTCTCTCCTAGAAACAATAACTTTCTGTTATGGACTGAATTTTGTCCACTCTGCCCCCTAAAAGTCATATGCTGAAGCCCTGAGCCCCAGTGTGACTAGTTTGGAGATGGTGCCTTTAAGGAGGCAATTAGCGTTAACGGAGATCATAAGGGTGGGGCCCAAATTCAATAGGATTGGTGTCCTTATAAGAACAGGAAGAGATGCTAAAGCTCACTCTCTCTCTTCCCACAGGCACACAGCCATGTGAAGACACAGCAAGAAGGCAGCTGTCTACAAGCCAGGGAGAGAGGCCTCACCCTAAACCACCCCTGCCAGCATTTTCATCTTGGACTTCAAGCCTCCAGAACTGTGAGAGAATAAATATTTGTTCTTTAAACCACCTGTGGTATTTTGTTATGGCAGCTGACCAATACATTTATCTACTGATCACCCCACCTCTGATTTTACTCCCTCCCACTGTGATCAGAGTGATCTTTCTGAAAGGCAAACCCACCCTGTCTCTCCCTAGAGCAAACATTTTTGAGAGCTCCTCAGCACCTCCAAGATCAAACAGAGATCCTTGGCTGGGTGCCGTGGTTTATGCCTGTAATCCTAGCACTTTGGGAGGCTGAAGCTGGGGGACTGCTTGAGGCCAGGAGTTCAAGACCAACCTGGCCAACATAGCAAAACCCTGTCTCTAATTTAAAAAACAAACAACAGAGATCCTTGACATTGGCCCCAATGTCCTCCATGCCCTGTGCACTTATCCAACCTTGCTCTTAACATTTTCTGGCTTGCTCTCAGTATTCTGGCCACCTCAATCAAACACGCCATCTCTTTATTTATTTTAGCTTCCCAACTATGCCATCTCTCTGCCACTGCAATACTATTCCTGCCTCCTCAAATGCCTTTCTCCCCGCTGTCCCCTGACAAATCCCTGCTCCTCCATCAATGATTCCTGCCTCACCCTTGACTGCTGCAGCCAGAGTCAATTCCACCTCCCTGTTTGTCATGACCCCAACCTGGCTTCTAACTTCTTCTGTAGCACAGGCTTATATCAGGCTTGTCCTCTACCTGTCTGCCTGCTCCTCTATGTATCCCAAGCATCAAGACCAGAGTCTGGGCCAAACACAGTGGCTCATGCCTGTAATCTCAGCACTTTGGGAGGCCCAGGTGGGAGGATCACTTGAGTCCAGGAATTTGAGGCTGCAGTGAGCCATGATCACAGCACCACACTCTAGCCTGGGTGACACAGCAAGATCTTGTCAAAAAAAAAAAAAAGTGTCTGACACATAGTAGATGCTCACATATTTACTAAATCAATAAGAGAAAGAAGGAATAAAGAATTATTATTTCATACGTCACTGAGTATTACGATAGAAAGAAACATTAAAGATAATATGGTTCAAGTTCCGTATTTTACAGAAAAGAAAAATGTAGTGACTATCAACGCTCCACTCTTCCATTCTTCTGCTTTCCCGTTCTGGTGAAGATCAGCCTGAGTTCCCACTGCCAGGACTCATCTCTGCCTGGTGGCTTTCTCTGGCCCCTGGCACCTGCCCTGCCTATACTTGCAGCAGGCCAGAAATGCTAGGAATTAATGTCTGCTGCTGCTCCAGGAGCAGCCCGCAACCAGTGACTGACAGGTGTTGGTGTATGAATACCCCAGCTCCCTCACCCCTTCATCAAAATGTCACTGTGGCATGTTCTGCACTGTCTTCCAAAGATCCCCAGCAGGACCGACCTCCAGTTTCCCACAGTAGAAACTAATTTGATAATTCCTCCTTTATTAATTTCCTTATCTTCCCTGCCATCCTGGGATTACTTCCCAAATAAATTGCTTGCATTTGAATTCTTGTTTCCAGGTGTCTTCTAGAGAAACCCAAGCTAAGACAGAGACTAAAGGACAAGGAATATGACCAAGGTCACACTGCTGTTCAATGCCAAAGCTGGGTCTATGTGCTGACTCCTGACTCCTTCTGCCAACAGCTCATTCTACTGCCCAGCACAGAGAACTTTCATGGTAATCCCAGGCCCAGGTTTGCATGAGAGCCTTTCCCTGTGGATTCAAAGAAAGAGGCCCCCTCACCCTTAGTGAGGGGCTGGGCCAAGCCTGCAATGTGAGTGCCAGGACTAGGGCCCCTTTCTTTTCCTTCACCACTGTGCTTCATCCAATTACTGGGTCCTTGCATTAGCACTGCCCATCCCTGGGGCATTACTTCTAAACCATTTCTCACCACCTCCCTTTGGAGCCCCAAACGTTCACCTCCCAATACAGACAATTCCAGCTGAAAGAGACTTTCTTTTGTGTGTTAGTTGGACTGGGCTACTATAACAAAATACAATACACTGGGTGGCTTATGAACAACAGAAATGTATTTCTCACCATTCTGGAGGCTGAGAAGTCTGAGATCAAGGCACAGGCATATTTGGTATCTGATGAAGACCCGCTCCCTGGTTCATAGACGGTGGCTTCTTGCTGTGTCCTCACATCAAGGAAGAGGACCCGGGACCTCCCTGAGGTTTCTAAGGGCACTGATCCATTCATGAGAGCTCCACCCTCAAGATCTACTGATCTTGAGTCCTCACCTCCTAATCCCATTCACCTTGGGGGTTGGGTTTCAACATATGAATTTTAGGGGGACACAAACATTCAGACCATAGCATTTGGAGAACCCCAAAATGTTCCAGCTTCACACCCAGCCCAGCCCTCGTCCCCACCCCTTTCCATTCAGGCTGAAGTGTATGGGAACACCGCACTGATTTCAATGAAGATGACAAATTCCAAGCCAAATACAATGAGTCTTATATTTGAAAGCTCATTTCAAGCCCCTAGAGCTCTGGGGAACTGGCAGTAAAAATCTTTCATTCATACAGCATACACATACAACACAAAAAATACATAAACACAATGCCCATAGGCAACACACACACAACATACAACACACACAGTGCAAATCTGGAATGCACACAACACCTAAATCCCACCAACACAACACACATACAATACAGGTAGTGCACATGACACATACAATGCATACAAATGTGACATATACAACATATAAACATAACATGCGCAACACACAGGGCACATGCAACCCACAAAACAAACACAACACACTTATACCACCCACTTGTCCACATACACACACACCACTTCTTTTCTTCCTGTCCCTTGCCCACCTGGGCAGGAGGCAACGTCTGAAGCAAGCATGGCACCAGCTATGATCTCGTCAACACATGCAGACTGCAAAAGGGTCAGGCTGAAGACAAGGTTATTCCAGTTCATTTCTACTCAGCATTTTAACTGACTTTCTCCTTTCTTTCTCATGCCTTGGTATTAATTAGCCCCAGGATTTAAGTCTGATGCATTAGGCAAAAACAATTCTAAATGCTTTTAGAGAAACAAATCCCAAATTAGCTGTGGCTGAACATGCATCTATCTGAAAGGCAGGCAGCGTGAACACTGACAGTGTAACAAACAGAAGAGAAGCCCCCTGAGAGGGAAGGCCAAAATCAGTGGTGTTTGTTGGCTGCCTGGTTCACAGCCTGGCCCTGGCACGAGCTGTGGGGCAGAAGCTCTTAGTCCACAGGAAGATGGGAAGGACCAAACAAGTTTTACATCCAGATTCCACATGAGAGAGTGACCGCAGTTCTCTCTCCTTTCCACATTACTCTCCCTGGCTTTCTCTTGTCTTTGGAATAACACTGCCTAGAAGCCTAGAGAGACCAATTCTAAGGCTGCTAGAGGCAAAATCCATCTCCAATTTCTCCCCGCTCCAAGCGGTAATCTCCCTCCAGCTGCCTGTCCTCCTCTGCAGTCCACAGGGTGGAGGGCTGGGCTAGACCACTGCAGGGGCTGTGGAACATAGCTCAAGGGCCTAACACCTCACATCATGTTCTGTCTTTTCCCCTCAGTAAGACTTCCTTAAATGCAGGGATGTGGCACCTTGGTGGTTAGGGACACCAGACTTGCAAATGTTTTCTGTGTTCAGTTGCCTAACTGGTTGTATCAGCTGGAGTTTGACCAGGGAAGCAGAACCACTCTAAGTGCTCTAAAGAGTCAGGAGTTATCATAGACATCAACCCTGCCCCAGTGAGGGAGCTGCTTCAGCAGTCTAGGGAAGGCTGCTGCTTCTGTGCTTGGTGATGGCTCTCAAGGCAGCGTGGGCAGCACTCAGGAAGAGAAGATGGGTGTGAAATGGAGGGGACCAAGGACAAACTGAGCCTTCGAGGACAAACTGGGACTTGCATCTATCTCTCAATACCTCCAACCTCAAAGGCATGGGTAACCTGCAGGCTAGGCCAGTGCCATCCACCATGTAGCCACACACACGCCAGCCCCAGAACTCCGAGAAGCCGAAGGAGGAGCTCTGGCAGGCACTGGAGGGGCTGTGGGCCCTGCTGCCACCCACACCAGCAAGGTGAGTCCACAGATCAGTGACAACACGTGTGAGCTGTGACAGCGCCTGCCAGCCTTCCTCCCAACTGTGAGAGTATAGGAATGGCTGCTGCTTCACTTCCACCCACACATCGCACATAAATTTCACTTCTGGCCAACCCCAAACAGAAAGAAAAAGGAAAGGAATTCTGGGAAACATAATTCAGTCCAGTTAGGTTCACACAGTACAAAGCCATCAACTGAATAATTCCTTCCCCATCTATTCAATGCCCCACCTCCAGTAACTCACATTTGCTCCAGATACTAAATAAGCTGGATTACTCGTGTATGGGTCAACTGTTGCTATGTAACAATCTCAAAATCATAGCAGCATCCAACAATGAGCATTTATTTCTTATTCACAAGACTGTGGGTCAGCTGGGAGGCTTGGTTCCACAAGTCTCTCATCCTCCTCCTGGGACCAGTGCAAGCTGGGGTGATGGCAGAGACCCAAGAGGACAGGCAGAAACTCATGAAGCCTCTTGAGGCCTAGGCCCCGAGCCAGAACATCATCCCTTCTGCTCCTTTCCATTGGCCAAGCAAGTCACATGGCCAAGGCCAAAGTCAAGTGATAGGAACATACAACTCCCCCTGTGATGAAACCATGGCCAGGAAGTGAATGCAGAGAGGGGTAAGCAATCAAAGCCAATGACTCAGCCCACCCCAAGGGAAACATTCCCTCCATCTAGATATATCTCTCCTGCCATCCCATCACCAACCCAAGGAGAGGGAGGGCATGCTTTTTACTACCTTTCTTCAACTTTGACTGCTCAGTTGATGAGTCTCAAGCTACATCTGTCTCATTCTTTTATCCCTGTCCTTCTACCTTTCTCTCATCCAAATCTTGTCTGGCTGGCGATCACAGGGGGAAAAAATCTCTTTTTCTTTTTCTTCATTTCATTTTTGAGCCAAAAACCATGTGATGCCACATGAAATTCTGCAACAGATACAACTGAACCAAGGAAAAGAAAGGCTGTTTTGAAGTTAAATTAGATAAAATAAAGAGTCAATGTCATCAATCTCTAACAACCCTTGAAATTGTCTAGAAGTACCATCCATAATCACTGCAAAGTTTCCATGTGCCTCCTCGGACCTAGCTAATTAATATCTGTTTCTCTTCAAGCCCCAGTATTGAGCTATAAGAAAATTTCTCCATTTAAAGTTACAGTTGGTGGTGTTTGTATTTAAGGACAATGATTACTTTCTACTAGCTTCTCTCTTAGGGTGCTCTAGAGGAGTGGCTGAGTTCAGCCACAGAATGCACTTGGCACAGTGCCCAGCACACAGCCAGATCTCACCACTGTTAGCCACTGTTAGTGTAGCCAGAGTCTTCATTACAAGAGCATAGTGCTATGGATAGCTACTGCTGCATAAGAAACTACCCCAAAATAGAGTGGTTAAAAAAAATTGCCATTGTATTAAGTTCACAGATGTCACGGGTCAGGAATTCAGACAGGGCACAGCACGGGTGGCCAGACTCTGCTCCATGTTGTCTGGGACCTCAGCTGAGAAGACTCCAATGGTGAGGAGTGATTTGAATGACTGTGGACCCACAGGGACTCACAGGGCACACCTCTCTCCTCTCTCCTCTCTGCTCCCCACCACCTTGTGGTCCCAGGGCTTCTCTGCATGGCCTCTTCAGCATGGTGGCCTCAGGTTTGCCAGGCATTTTACATGGTGGCTCAGGCCTCCAAGAATGAGTTTTCCACAAACATGGCGGAAGCCACATGGCCTTTTGTGACTCAGCCTCTGAAGTCACATTATATCACTTCTGCCATTTTCTCGTGACTGAAGTAGCCACAAGCCCACTGGACTCAAAGGGAAGGGATACAGACCCCAATTCTCAATGGGAGAAGCATGAAAGAATGTTCAGCCATGTTTTAAAGCCACCACTCTGCAATTTCTGGTACATTGACAGTTAAATAGGCTTTTGTGGGTTAACCAGGAACCTCAGAACTTTTCTTAGCAGTTTTTCTACGGGAACTGTGTTTTTAGGTCCCAATAAGAGACTTACAAGTTCACTTTGGAACAGAATTTATTTATAAGGTGGGACTTCCTGAATTCTCATTTCCCCCTCCAAAATGTCTAATACTGTGAACACTGCTACCAATAGTACTTCTTAATGCGCCATGCTGATTGAACACTTCCTAGGTGCTAGGCTCTATGCTACGTGGATTGTGTCATTGGATCCTCCCAACCACCCGATGGATGCTATGGTTATTTCCATTTTACAGATGGGGGAAGTGAGACTTAGAGAAGGCAACTGATAAGCCAAACGACATGCAGATGGAACTATGACCCAAATTTAGAAACCAAGTCTGTCTGATCCCCAAGCCCATGCTTAACTAACCACAGTGCATTGACCCAATAAATACCATTTGAGTAAACAAAAACCTCTGGAGATCCGTAAAGGCCAGAGGGCTCTCTCCAGGGGAGGAGGCCTAACAGGGGAACTGTCAGAGACGTAGCCATCAGTCCCCACTATGGGTGACTTGTTCTTGTGCCAGCAGGTCAAGGGGCACCAAAAGGACAGCCCTCTTTGCTGGGTGGATCTGGGTCACACAGTCCCTTCATGTGGTCAGAGCTAATTTGTGTCTTCTAGTCTTCCCTGCCTTGTCCCTAGCTCCCAGCCTTCTCTGCCACCACAAGTTCCATCTTTCCTAAACCAGAGCAAACTGAGCCACACTCAGCTTTTTGTCCCTAGGCATGGATGGGGAATGAAAGGCGTTTTTTGTCCCCTGCTGTACAATGCCATTTGTTCGGACGCAGCTCTGGGGCTGTGCAGGGGATGGGGGTTGGGGGGAGTGAGGCGAACACAACCCCCTTTCTCCAGAGCTGGGTAACAGACAGCCACTGCGCACCCAGCGGGAGGGCAGGCTTAGGCTGGAACGGCCATCGCCTGTGGGCTACTCAAGAGGAAAAGAGGTTGCTGCTCTGGTGAGCGTCCTGAGCTTCACAGTCAAGTGTCTGTGTCACCAGCACTGGCCATCCTCTCCCAACTCCCTGTTTCCCCAGCACCCCTCCTCCACACCGTCCTGCAGTTTAGGATGAGAAAACCCTCTTGTTTGAGGTCTTTGCAACAACCGATGAAAGCCTTTTTTTTTTTTCTTTTAAAGAATTCATCTCTGCATTCCAGTGGGGACATTTATCACCCGGTGCCCAGGCTGCAGACATCTCCCTCCTTAAGATCCTCCTGCCCAGAAAGGCAGCCTTGTCAAAGACATGAAACCATCCCCTCTGGACATCTGGACAAGGCGCAGCCCTTTGGCCAAGCACGAGGCCGTCCCGAATGCCTCAGACAGTCAAAGGAGAGCCCTTGTTCCTGATCCAAATGGCCCGGCTACATGGATGCAGCTGGGTAGAGTGGGGGCGGCGGGGGTGAAGAAAGGAGCCAGCCCCCTTGGCTAGCAGCCTCAGGCACCTCCACAGGGCAATCTGAAAGGCCAGCCTGCATTCGGAAGAAGCTTCTGAAGCCGCCTTAGTAACTTAGTAACTCCGCCAATAGTTAAGAAAGCTCAATTGGTAACCGGTAGTAGATAACTACTGCAATTGTCTGCCTAGCACCCCATCTTCTAGTGAAAGAATCTTTCTTCCTTCTGGGCAACCAATTTCATTAAATGATCTGAGCCTTCCACGACCCCCCCACCCGCCCCATACACTGGACTCCAGGACTCAGCCCTGGTTGGCCAATCAGCGTATTCCAATACCCGGGCACAGTCATTGGGCACTTAACACTAGGTCAGCCAATCAGAGCCCTCCTTGGGATTTTTCTCCCAGAGATAAGAACTGTTTCCACCAGGGTAGGATGAGGCCTGCAGCTGCCAGCAGCTATCTTTTCCACCATGTGGCTTGAGGCTGGCTGGGAAATGAAGTGACAGAGCCCTAAAATTAGTGTTTGAGCACCTAAATCCAGCTATGTCTGAAGCTATTTGTTGGACATTTCAGGTCTCTCCACCAATAAATTCTACTTTTTGCTGTAGCTGGTTTGAGTTGGGTTTCTGTCACTTGCACCCCAAAGAGACTGACTCATAGTTCCTCCTTGAACAAATATAAAGTCCTCATATTGGCATTTGAGGCTGTCTGTGATGTAGCCACAGCACAGACAACCCAGGCCCCATGGGGCAGCTAGGCCAGCCTTGTCCCTGCTCCAGAAGTATCAATTCCAGCCCAACCCTCCAAAAACATGGATGCCCCTGACAAAGTGACCCTGGGAGCAACTGTAACTTCAGGATTTCTGATCATCTGTGGCCTGAAGAAGCCCCAAGAGGAACTTTGCCCTGTGGTCTGGGCAAGGCTCTACCCTTGGTAGCAGGCCAGTAGCCAAGTCTGGGCACACAGCTCCCACCAAATCACGTCAAGCATGCTCACAGCAGCACGCTCTGGTGCCCCCGGTTGAAGGTGACAAAACAGGGATAGTCTCAGACTGCCCAGGGCCCAGCTGCTCCCAGCGGCATCTCTGGGGCAACCCTCTTCAGGGCCGGTTACCAATCCTCCAATGTGAAAGAGCTGCAGCTGATTTCTGGCTGTGCGAGAAGGTGAGAGCACACAGGATCAGCAATTTGGGCAGGGTGCCTTGGGCAGGCCAGGAGAGGAGCCCAGGGAGAGCTGGGCCTCCTGCTTATCTAGGCAGCTTGGGCCTGAGTGTTGCATTTTTACTCCACTAACAAGGGGCTGGAATTTGCTTCCCCAACTACAAGGTAAGAGACTCCAGTTACATTGATATCTCTCTCTCGACACCAACGCACTCCCAGTGCCTTGCACAGAGTAAGCATTATGGCAAAGCTGCTGAAATTGAAAGCAAGCTTTAGGCTCAGAATTGATGTTCAGGCACACTGGTAAAATTGAACCAAGTGTTAAGACATTGAAATACTGAGGCCAGGCGCGGTGGCCCACACCTGTAATCCCAGCACTTTGGGAGGCTGAGGCAGGCAGATCACCTGAGGTTGGGAGTTCAAGACCAGCCTGACCAACATGGAGAAACCCTGTCTCTACTGAAAATACAAAATTAGCCGGGCATGGTGGCATATGCCTGTAATCCCAGCTACTTGGGAGGCTGAGGCAGGAGAATCTCTTGAACCCGGGAGGCAGAGGTTGCAGTGAGCCTAGATCAAACCATTGCACTCCAGCCTGGGCAACAAGAGCGAAACCGCCTCTCAAAAAAAAAAAAAAAAAAAAAGATGTTGAAATACTTAGGCGAAGGTTAGTAAATAACCACCGACCCAAATTCCCTAAGGGTTTCTCCTGCCACCTAGACTGCCAACTTTCCTATAATCTGCCAGCTGAAGGGTTAACTCTGGAGCCCTAGCCCAGTCCCAATAGAGCACCAAGGGACCTTTTTGATAGGTGGGTGGCCAGGCCTTACTGGTGGTTAAATATTCTCTCATCATTAGTTAAGCAGAAAGCCGGTGGCTTGGGGGCGAGTGAACCAAAGGCCAAACCCTGAGGCGTGGGGCACTGAGTCCTCACCAAGGACACAGTTGGCCACCAAGCTTCACTGGCATTTCTCATTGAGCTTCCCTCCCCAATTCCTAACCTCTCTGCCAGCTCTGTGGTCTAGCACGTACTGTGTGTGTGTGTGTGTGTGTGTGTGTGTGTGTGTGTGTGTGTGTGTGTTGCGTATGCAGTGTGTGTGCACCTGTGTGTGTGTGAACAACCAGGCACAAAATCAACCTGAATGGATCCATTCCACCAGCCTTCTTCCCCCTCCATGCTCTGCCCCAAGTCATTTTCTACCCCACACTCGCTATTTCTCATGCTCTTCCCCGATGACCACACGCCAGATGAGAACATCACTGAGAGCCTACTTTATGCCAGACTCTTTACGTGTATAGCAGTCCTAAGTAAGTATTGTCACCTCCATTTTACAGAACAGAAAACTGAGGCTCAGAAGGGTTAATTATGTTGCTCCAAACCAAGAAGCAGGGCTAAGATTTGAACCCAGGTCTGAGGGAAGGGTACACCAACACCCACAACCTTCCCACTGTACTCTGCTGTCTCCAATATGGTCACATGCAAAAGAAGCTGCCTGTAGTGTGGCTAGCTATTTGGAACCATTCTGAAAATGGTCTGGCTCTCCTTCCCTGCCTGGATTATAAGCCCTCAGGTGCAGACACTCTATTCTTTCTCTCTCCTTGAGCCCCGTCTTCCTCCAGTACTGGCATTATTGAGGCATTCAATCAATATTGATTAAACTGAATATCATAAGATGCAGAGAACTAAGCCATGTGGCCAGGAGGGTGGCAAATCTTTTAAAAAGAGCTAGCTGCAGGACATGGTACTTATCTTCGGTCTATGAAAGAGAAATAATAATAGTATCTACTTAGGATTATGGTCAGGTTCACATGCAAAAAAAATGTTGAGTATACAACGCAGGGCTGACACACAGTAAATGCTCAATAAATACTA
The DNA here is from genome assembly GCF_000001405.40 of Homo sapiens. Taxonomy (NCBI): domain Eukaryota; kingdom Metazoa; phylum Chordata; class Mammalia; order Primates; family Hominidae; genus Homo; species Homo sapiens. The sequence continues at coordinate 39,681,764 of NC_000023.11, forward strand.
GATAATATTACTGTTATTATTCCCACCCAGTGGTCTAAGCTTGAAATAAGCTTTTTAATTCCCTTTGCTCCATGGCAGCTCTGCCAATTGCTTCCTTCAGTGAGGAAAACACCCAGGAAGACAGATCTACATAACCCAATGACTGTCTCCCGGGCTCTCGTGGCAGAATGTGAACTGCTTTTAAGGTCTCTCATAAACGCACTGCTCTACTGAGACCTTCGGAGGGTGGCGGGGGGGCTGCCGAGCGAGCCATTTTGTGTCTTATTTAGAAGCAGTCTTACATGCTGGTGTAAAGGTCGCTGTAATGCAGCCCACGTGACTGAGCCTGTGTCCAGCAAAAGTCCGTGGACAGGATCCCCTGTTGAACCCGTTCCTGCTTCCTGCAGGTCACCAAGCACAGACCCACTGCGTGCCTGAATGCCAAAATCATTTAATGATTTAAAAAGATTGAGATCAATGGCTTCAGCAATTTCTGGGAAGCAGTAACTCAGTGAGCTGTGGAAGGTTCTCAATTTGCTGTCTGCAGCCTGGCCCTATGGCAGGATTTATGCTGAATGGGCTCCACAAGGCAAATATATCCGGGGATCGGGCCCCATCCAATCACCCCGCCCAGGAAGTGCTGGCATACTAACATCACCCTCGCAGCTGCCAAGTCCCCCTTGCTCTGAGGGGCACTCTCTCATTTCACATTAATTAGAAGGCCATTTTCCAAGCATTTCCATCCCATAATGAAGGGCTTTCTGCAGTGGCTCAGTGAAATATTAAAACATCTGACTTGGAATCTTAAGAAAAATCCATCCTGCCTGCTCAGTCTGTCTGTATATTGTATAACCCTTTACATTCAGGGAGGAGTGGGGACGGAATAAGTTCAGAAATAAGGACAGCTTGTCCCAGATTCTGGCAGAGGAGATGGGATGATGAAGGGGGAAATGACTACACCACCATCATCAAATACTGACCACTGTGCTGTCCTCCTCACCCCACATCTGCTTCTAATGGGGAAATACGGGGAACGGGAGAGAGGAAGGGATGGGACAATATAGAACACAGGATGAAAATAAGAACCTATAAGAGGACAGAGTAGTCCCCTTGTGGTAGATGGTTATTTTGGTGGCTCACTGTAAACTACAACTCCCAGTATTCACCCCCTTGTGTAGTCCCCTCCCACTCTGACTCTGCCTGGCCATATGACTTGCTTTGACCAATGGGGCCTTAGAAAAAGCGATGCAGGCGGAAGCATGTGCACATTGTTCTCTTGGAACACTCTTGGGGTCCAGCCACCATGCAAAGCAGCCCAAGCCCTTTAGAAAGACCATGTGGAAGACCCCAGCCTTCTAACCATGCCGGCCAAAGAGCTAGGCATGTGAATGAAGCTATCTCAGACAGTCCAGTCCCATCTACCATTGCCTTCAGCCACACAAGATACCCCAAGCAAGACCAGCAGAAGATCCACCCAGCTGAGCACTAAACCCCGCAGAGTCATCAAAAATAATAAAAATCATTTTTGCCTTAAACTAATGAGTTCTAGGGTAGTTTGTTACTCAGCAATGAAGAAATAAAACATTCCGTTAGTTTCCCGTGAGAGAGGTCAAGACCACATTTCCTGGTGAGCCCTGATGAAAGTTCCACAGATGTCTGTCACTGGCATTCACTGATCTACTGTAGGTCCCCACTAACTGTCACCCTTCTGCTACCCACCCTACTCAGTAAAAAATAGGGTTTCTGCTAAATGCTTGCATCTACATTTCTCACACAGTATATCTTGATTATAAAGTGCCTCGCTCAGTCATGAACCTTTACTGTGATACCAAACCAGGGCTCTGGGGTTATAAGGATGTAAAATAAAATCTCCTTCATTCCACCCTGCATGCAAAGGGTGTGTTTGTATAAAGCACCGTATGGATGCTTAGAAATGAGGTCTGATTTACTAAAGGGTGCTAAATTATATAGATATGTATACACATACACACATATAGTGATTATATAATTTCTTGGTTCATGCTATATCAGAAACTAAACATTGAAAGGCTGTTTTGCTATGCGGAAGTCCTTGCTATAATGAATTAATAAGAACGCTGTGCAATCTACATATTAATTGTATGTAAATGGTGTTTTTTAAATGCTTTAAAACAATTTATTCCCCTGAGCATTTTAAATAGGCCCCCTGGAAAGTTGTTTATGTAGTCATTTGCTTGGCAAACTTCTCTCTCTTAGTGGGTTCCTTCAACCCACAAATGAGCACTTGAGGAAACCTTACTGCCCTCTTCCTTTTCTTTTCTAGGACCCAGGAGCAAGTGCCCAGAGGGTGGGGGCCTGGGATCTGCCCTAGTGGTTTTGAAATTGAATCACTTGTCCTTTGCCTCAAACGTCTCTTGTCCTTTCTTGCAATTAATGCCTATCCTTCATGAGGTCTGGGTAAGGTTAAAACGTCAGTGACAGCCGGGCGTGGTGGCTCAGGCCTGTAATCCCAGCACTTTGGGAGGCTGAGGCAGGTGGATCATCTGAGGTCAGGAGTTCGAGACCATCCTGGCCAACATGGTGAAACCCCATCTCTACTAAAAATACAAAAAATTAGCCAGGTGTGGTGGCAGGCACCTGTAGTCCCAGCTACTCAGGAGGCTAAGGCAGGAGAATGGCATGAACCTGGGAGGAGGAGGTTGCCGTGAGCCGAGATCACGCCACTACACTCCAGCCTGGGCAACAAGAGCGAAACTCCGTCTCAAAAAAAATCGGTGACTATCAGGGACAAAAGAGATTTAATCAAACCACAAAAAACTGCTCACGTAGCACTGTCATGTTCCCACCTGGGCATGGAAGGAGAAAGTTACACAAGCCAGACATCCCATAAGTTCCCAAGATGATCATTATTAAAGCAAACTAAATATGGCCTGAGAAGGACTCTGTACTTCTATATTTGGGTCCTTGTGGATGAACTGTAACCTAGCTTAGTAACCAGACAAAACTGAAAACCTAACTTAATAGTATGCACCTGTAACAATGGCTGGGTGATGGCCAATCCCAGCGGCCATACATCAACCACTCATTGACTGCTGAATGTTCAAACCGCCTTCAAATAAGGCAAATGCCGAGCTGTAACCAATCTCACTGTTTCTGTACCTCCCTTCCGATTCCTGTACGTCACTTTACCTTTTTTGTCTATAAATTTGTTCTGACCATGAGGCATGCCTGGAGTCCCTGTGAATCTGCTGTGATTCTGGGGGCTGCCCAATTCGCGAATCATTCATTGCTCAATTAAACTCCTTTAAATTTAATTCGGCTGAAGTTTTTATTTTATCATCATCAACATTAAAATGCCACAAGTCACTCAGTGCCTTCCCATCAAGCTAAAGCAATAAACAAGGAATTGTACAGCACCAAAACAAGATGTTCAATAAAGAAAATGCATGAATCTGTGACATGGAAAGAGCCACTTTCTTGTTTTGGTTTGTTTGGGGCTCCAAATAAATTAACCCAGTTTCCAAATTTTCAATTTCCAAATTAACTCAACTTCCCAGGGACCTTTCTGATAAGCAACGTTTCTAATAAATAAGTCCTGATGTAAGGCAGTCCTGTTATCCATCTAGAATTTCCCCACAAGCACCACAAAAGTATCATTCTATTTATTTTCTTGAGATACATACTCAAGAAGAAACGTGGATGGCCCCATATGTGAGGTGTACTTAGAATTCAGTGCCTCTCACCTGAATGTTTCAAGATGGGTCCTCAGAAAGCTGTTTTAAGTCTTTCTTCTCCCCACCTCTTTCTTCTCCCCACCGGTCTCCCTTGGGTTGGCTCCACTGATTTTCCCCAAGTTCCCAAGAACAGAAGCAAAAAGCTTAAGGGAACAATTAATGAAGCAGCTGCACGTCTTGACCTGGGGACATACAGCACGACTGCAGCCACCTTGGTGACAAAGGTAGCATTTGCATCTTATGGGCCAGGAACAAAGAAAGAAAAGAAGTAACAAGGGATACTGAATGAGCAATTACCTTGTTTCAACACAGTTTTAAATGTAGATGCATTACCTTATTTAATCCTCACAACAATATTAGGAAGTTGGTACTTTTATTATCTTCATTATATGGATGAGAAAACAGGTTCTGAGAAGTTCAGCAATTGACCCAAGGGGACACAGCTAGGAAGTGGGGGTGTGGGGTGCGGGGGTTTCAACCTAGGAACAATTCAGGACAGGCTCTAGGAGCTAAGCCCCCTAACCCATCAGATGCTCCAGGCCCTCTAAGAACCCTAGAGTGGCAGAGGGCATTCTGAGCTGACTTCTGAAAAGGGTGTATTCTTGCCGGGCATGGTGACTTATGCCTATAATCCCAGCTACTGGGGAGGCTGAGACAGGAGGATCGCTTGAGCCCAGGAGTTTGAATCCAGCCTGGGCAACATAGCAAACCTCGTCAAGAAACAAAGAAAAAAAAGAAGGAAGGAGGGAGGGAGAGAGGAAAGAAGGGAGGCAGGGAGGGAGGAAGGGAGGCAATGAGGAAGGAAAAGGGAAGGAAGGAAAGAAGGAAGGAAGGAAGGAAGGAAGGAAGGAAGGAAGGAAGGAAGGAAGGAAGGAAAGTATACATTCTGGGCCTGAACTGACCATGTGGCTTTGCCTGCTCCAACAGGACATTCTCTGAAGGAGGATGGGGCCAGCTTCATGTTCCCCAGCTCAGGAACCTTCAGCAGTGATGAGTCGAGGGTCCCTCTGCCTCCCTTTTGCAGTCTAGGCATGTGGGAAGGTGTCGAGAGCCACCTGCTGCTCTCAACACAGCCAAAGCTGGCCATGACCAAACCCTGGAAAGGGGTGTGGAAGCTGCTTCAGATTCACCAAAGCACCTAGGCTAGGGTGCTGAGGACCAGGTTGGCCTATTCTGTACCGTTGTGACACTCCAACCTCAGACCTGAAGTTCCCCATTCCCCCCCTCCACAAAGCCCCTCCCAGTCAGACGGCAGCATCCATGTCTTCCAGCTGGGCAGGCCGGTGAGGGCAGGTGGGTATACCGCCCCTCCCTCTTGGCACCCACTCTTCCCTGGCTGCCTCATCCCCAAGGCACAAGATTTACAAAGACTAAGATGTAAAGAACAATTGAAAACAGGACCATAAGGGAGGCCAAAGATTAATACACAAACAATGGAATCATGGGAGAGATATTTGGAGCCTCCGTGGAAGGAATATTTGAGGGTGAGGTCTCTCAAGTTCACCAATAGATCACCAATTGGCCATTGAATACTTTTGGTAAAAACCAGGTCCAGGGACAGCCTGTCATCCCCACTGACCCATCAGGAGGGAAGTAGACTGAGACGGGGGTCCTGAAGCTCCCCTGCTGTACCTGCTGTTAACCTTTTCATTGTTGGATGGAGGGGCAGGCGGAGGGGGCAGTGGGGGCAGAGCGGCAGGGCCTGGGAGAGGGGTACTTGGGGAGTTGAGGCTGTTTACCAAGGAGCACAGCGGATTTTGATATTTTAACAGCTGCTACGGCCTGGCTTGAGCAGGCCAGCTTGAGTATGACCCAGGACAGGGTCTCCTGGTGGCTGGGAACCCCCAGGTACACATGACTGCTCTGTAAGGCAGGTTCTCCCAGGCCCCCAGAAAGGAGTCCTCATGAAAGAGGGCCCCTTCTCAAGCACACACACTCTCTGCCACTACCACTGCAGATGCATGGCGTCCTGTAGGGCTAGCTCATGGAGATATCATCCCCACAGGGAGGACAGAATGATTTGCACTGAGCCTGAGCCTCTCAGGCTTGCTCTCTCTCTCTCTCTCTCTCTCTCTCTCTCTCTCTCTCTGGCCCAATGCCTGGTCTTTGAGGCTGCCTTTGTGAGAAAGAGGAGGCCAAGGCCCCCACTGGCTATTCTCTGTGCAGAGCTAAGTAGCCTGGGGGGCTGGGAGGAAGCCCTTGACCTCAGGGGCCCTAAACTGCGGCTGACAGCAGGCAGCAAGGGGGGGCCCTTGGGAATGGCGCTTTATTGAGGAACATTTGTCTTCATTTGGGGCAGTCTACATCTCATCCCACAGGCGTGCCCTGAGGCCCGAGTCTCCCTGACCCCTACCCTGACTGTCTCTGCACTGCAACCCCTGTCCCCTGCACTGGATTGAAGGGGAAGTTGTCTCTTAAAGCTCCTTGGAGCCAAGGTGACAGACGTCAGGGAAGAATAACAGGAAATTCCCTCACACCCTAGAATGCTCCCAGACCCTGCCCAGGAAAAGAGGCTTAAGATAGGGATGGGCACCTCACAGACTCAGCCCCAAAGACCTGGGTCCTCCCTGGCTAAGTGATTCTGCTAATTCCCACTCAAATTCAGCATAATAGTCATAGGTTTGGATAATGAAAAAATATGTACCTATGGTTTTCAGTATGCAAACTAAAGAATTAAATCTCCTCAAAATAATTGTGGTTGGTCAGGAGGCCCCCAGACACTGTCTTCTCTCTCATAGAAAGAGACTCTGGTGGAAAGGACTCTGCGAAGGGGCTTTAGAACCTGAAAATATCAGAGTGCAAGATTGTGGTGTGTTTTTCTTTTCCTGAAAAAGTCAGGATATTTAAAATGTTAGAAGACCACGAACTATGCCCTAGATGCTGCCACAAATCTGAGGAGCTGTTAATAAATCATCTCACCTCTCTGTGCCTCATTTTCCAATTTTTAAAAAATTGCCTAATCATCAAAGAGGCCCGGAAGCTAGGCTACCAAGGCGCGACGCTGTTTACACCCCAGACCCAGGTTCTCAGCTCGGCTTTGCTTGGGAAAGGCTCGGAACCTGTCTGGGCCTGGGGGTTTAGCACAGAAGGCTTTGGTTAGCTGCACTGTGCTGAGCGCAGCTCTGCAGCGAGGTTTAGGGAGCTGCGGTGCGTTAGGCACAAGGCACGTGGCGCGCCTCGCTCCAGCACTTTGCAAACGCACAGCAGCGCAGGGCCAGAGCGGCTGGCCCCCAGGGGTGGGGGCGACCAGGGACAGGAGGTCCCATATGGTGTCGTCGCGTTAAAAACGTAGGTCCTAAGGGGCGAGCCGCGTCCGACCTCCGCGCCCCTGCCCGACGCGGCGCCTCGCTCGCCGGCCCCGCTCGCTGGATTCATTTCCATCTGGAGCGCGGCGCGTCCCAACCGCCCTTATCTCGCCGCCGCCGCGGCTCTGCAGGCGCGGGCGCCCCGGGCTCCCTCCCTTCCTCTCCCCTCCCCCGCCCGCGCCTTTGTCTGGCCCGGCGGCGCGCTCGGAGCCAGCAGGGCGGGTAATTGGCGGCCGGAGGAGGCGAACGGCCCGGCCCGGCCTCCGCTAATGAGCGGGCGGAGCCGCGGGGAGGGCGCGGCAGGGCTCCGGCGCGGAGCCGGGGAGGGAGCTTCCGTGGCCGCGCGGACCCCGGGATGGCTCTCCGAGTCCCGGCCGCCCCCTCCCGGGCTGTGGCGGGGACCGGCGCCCTGAGGGGCATCCCTTCCTCCTCCCCTCTCCCTCCCCTATCCCGTCCCCGGCGCGCTCCAATTACCCTGCGGCCGTGCCAAGGCCTGCGGCTGCCCCCGGGCCGCCCCCGCGTCCCCGGAGAAATGCCAGGGACAGAACGCGCGGGCAGGAGGGCAGAAGGAGGCGGCTCCCTGGGGGCTTCGCTGCGCTGCAGGGGACCCAGGCGACCCTGGGGCACGGCCACCGTTGTTGTGGTGGGGGGGCACCCCCGGGGTCCGATGCCAGAGAGCTCTCTTAGGGAAGCCCTCAGGCAGCTGCGAAACCTGCTCCAGCATAGATGGTGATAAAACCCACCCTGGTTTCTAAATTAATTATACTCAATCCGCCTCGCTCTGCCGGCCCCGAGCTACACTTGTGTATCGAAGGGCGCGGTAGCCCCTCGGTGGGGGTGGAGGGGATGCTCTGTTGTTGGCTCCGAGAAACCCCCTTTCCAGGACTGTGTGCGGGAAGTGACAGAGGCCAGCGGAGCTTTAAGGAAAATAGGGGCAGGAATAGGGGACAGAGGGAAGCCTTTCTCCAGCCAGTACCCCCGTCGACTCCCCCTCCTGGAAGCCCGCCCTGCTGCCATCACTGGCCCGAGGACCCCGGCTCCAGGAGCGGGTCCCGCTTCCTGCGGTGCAGTACTCAATTGTCAGGATTTCTACAACAAACTGGCCCTTGTGCCTCCATGCTCAACTTTCGCTTATCTCCATTGAGCCCGGCTCCGTCTCCATTCCCGCCGGTGCTTTGTTCCCTAGCTGCGTTCTGGGTTCTTGAAGTCACTAATGCTTAGCATTAACAGGATCCTTCGTGGCCGCCCTTTCAATCGTGGCTTCTCAGACTTGGGAGCTGAGGTTCTGCCTGTGGAAGGAAGGGCCCACACCTCAGGGACTTGGGGGTCCATGGGGGAGCCCCACACTGGCCCCAGCACAGCCTTAGGGTATCACAAGCAGCCTAGGACAGCCCCAGAGAGGGAGTGTCCCAGTGGCTTCCAGGGTCACTTGACTTAATAGGGACTACCACATCTTAAGGGAAAAAAGGTCATTTTTCTTTCAAAGAGTCCCCAGCTAGAACCTTTCCCTTTCCTGCCCAGCTCCCACCACAGTGGCCACCTGGGAGCAGCCCACCCACAGAGAGCTTTTCCCCCTTTTTATTTACTTTTTTATTGAGGTATATACTTACATATTAAGTGTAACTGCACATATTAAGTGCACTGCTTGATTCATTTGCGCATATGTATATATCTGCATCATCATCACCCAGGTTAAATATGGAACATTGCCAGCAGCCCAAAAGGTTTCTGCGTATCTCAATCAGTCAACATCTCCCAACTCTTCTGATCTCCGTCACCATAAATCAGTTTTGCCTATTTTTATAAACGAAATGATGCAGCCTGCGCTCGTCGGTGTTTGGCTTCTTTCACTCAATGTCAGTTGCATCCATGCTATTGCATAAAACAGTAGTTCATCCTTTTTAATTACCGAGTGGTATTCCATTGTAGAATTATACGGCAATTTATGTATCCACTTGACTTTTGATGGACATCTGGATTGCCTCCAACTTGGGGCTGTTATGAATGAAGTGGTTATGAGCGTTGTTCTTTATTATATGTCTTTTGGTGGATACAAGGGCCTATTCTTGTTGGGTATACACACCCAGGAGTGGAATCGCTAGGTCATAAGGTAGGTATATGTTTAACTTTATTGCCAAAGAGTTTTCCAAAGTAGTTGTACCCAGTTAGCCTTTAAAGCTGCAATCAGGGCATAAGTGCTATTCAGAGAAATAAATTGCAGGCATAGCATAATAATGACGGCAGACATATGTTGAGCACTTAGAATGTGCTAGGCACTGGTCTAAAGGATTTGCATGTAATTAACACTTACGTGCGTTTCTATGCAAACTTTCTCACAGTGCCTAGTTTTGTCTTAGAATGTGCACAAGATCTCAGGGGCTGATCAGCACTGATCTTTGTATTGCCTGCCCCAATTAGGACCCATATACAATACTCTGTTGAATGAATCGGCTCCATTTTACAGATGAGAAAACCAAGGCACAGGAAAGTGGTGACTTGCTGGAGATTTGGGGGCTAGTAATGGGCAGGGCCAAGTCTGCAACTCAGGTCTCCAGGCTCATGACATTGCTGGCATTCTTATTAATGTAAGCCTGACTCCACTTGAAGCCTCCTTTGATTTCTTCCCTCTTATACCCCCGGTTGGCACTCTCAGCACTCCAGAGCTCCAATCTTTTGAGGCCCTTGGCTTTCATTATCTCTTCTTGTGTAATAAACCATCCGAAGACTTAATGACTTAAAACAATTCTTATTATCTCTTGGGTTCTGTGAATTTAGTGGACTCAGCTGGATGGTTCTTACTTGGGGTCTCTCAGGCAGCTGCAGCTGCAGTCATCTGCAGGCTGGACTGGGCTGGGTGTCCAAGACGGTGCATGCACGTGGCTGGTGGATGATTCTGGCTGTTGACCGGTAGCTCAGCTGGGGCTGAAAACTGGAGCACCTTCATGTGGCTTGGGCTTCTCACAGCATGGTGGTGGATTCTGAGAGGATGTGTCCCTGTCCCAAAATCAAGAGTTTCGAGAGGCAGGAAGAGGAAGCCACCAGGCCAATTAAGGGCTACACCAGGAACAAGTATAGATTCATTTCCATCATACTCCATTGGTCAAAAGAGTCACAGGGCCTCACCAGATTCAAAGGAGTGAAGACAGACTTGATGGATGAGTGGCAGGTCACATTGCAGAAGACCATGTGAGAAGGCAGCTATATTTATAGCCATCTTTGTAAAGTATACACCTTCCTTGCCCACATTTCTTGCTCCCAGTTGTAGGTCCAAGAGGGCCAAAAACATCCCTCCACGTCTTCGGTTTTTGAAGACACAGGGTTCCAAGGATTCCTTCCATTTCAGATCAAAACCACCACACTGAGTCTTCTCAACATGAGACCCTTGGCATGCCCCAACTGGACTCACCCTGTACTGTGTCCTGAGCCAGCTCACCATTCCTCCCTGGGTCCCTCCCCACACACATCAGTTCCTCTTCAAGCTCTGGTCACTGTCACCACTCTAGGATGTGAAACCTTAACCTTGCCCATCATGGTCCTCCAGCCCCAGCTGTCACTATCCAAGCCTTCACCCTCTAACAATCATCTCAGATAAATACAGACCCCTCTCAGGGCCCTGAGCAAACTAGGATTTTCCTGTAACTACCTAAGGTGTTTAGGGAGGCAAACCTCTACCCCTACACTGCATTGGAAAGAACAGAGACTTTCTAGTTAGAAGACTTGAGTTTGAATCCTTGTTCTATTGCTAACTGGCTGTGTGGTCGGGCAACAGATCAAACCTCTCCATGACTTGATGCCCACATCTGCAGAATGGACATAATTATTGGACCCACCTCATAGGGCTGTTGTGAGCATTAAAGGCAGTAACCCATAAACATCTGGCATAGTGCAATGGAAAGAATAGACACTCCCAGAACCAAGTCTTCTTTTCCCAGACTCCAAAGCCACTTTTTGAAAGTGAACTTTTTCATATGATTAGTTTTTATATGTGATGAATTTTCGCAAGCAAACCACACAACCCACACCCAGATCAAGAAACAGAACATGACCAGCACCTAGAAGTCCCTGCCCCCTTGCAGTTCTACCCATCCCCAAGATGATCCAGACCTCTAACACCCGAGATTAATACCTGGCCACATTTGTGGCAGCCACTTCCCCTGCACAATTGGCAAACAAGATAGTCATCTATCTGGTGTGATTTGGAAGGAGCCAGAAAATCCAGCTCCCACTGTGCCTACATTTCCTCCATGATTGAGGCATTCCATTGTGTTAAGCATTGCTCCCCACCCACGGTTCTCTTTGAAGATGCAAATCCATCTGTGTTGGGGTAACAGCAATTCCCTAGTCTCGTAGAAAAAAAATATCTGGTCAACTTTTCACGCCAGCTCCCAGCACAGCTGAACCTTATTCACCATCAAAGAGGCAGAAAACAGACAAGCACAGAAGAAGGAAGACAGACTTTACCTGCTTCATGATTTGGCCCAAGGCTCGTTAAGACTTTTAGCATATTTTTTAATCTCGTGTTTAAGGGACTTAAGCCACCATCAAATAGAGCAATTTCATCAAGCCATCCACTATACAGAAAAGAAGCAGGTGGTGATAAAAATGAATCTGGTGGGAAGGGTGGGGGGTGTGGACTGAGAGAGAGTGCCCGTCCCTGTTTTCATAACACACCTTTCTAAGTCAGGCCCAGGAGAGTTTCTGGCGCTATGACGTCATCAGATGTCAGGCCTTTGACAAATGAGGCCGGCCCGCAGCTGGAGCCTTTGATAAGCCATTTGCAGGCGTCTGGGAGACATACACGCTGGTCTTGGGAATGCATCCTAGCCCCATCTCAAATTCACATCTTTTCATGTTTTTTTTTTAAAAGCATGCCATGCATCTGTGAAGATTCATGGCTTAAAATATTTTTTCTTTTCTCTGACATTTCACCTTTTCTTCTTATTTTATTTTTTTTAAGGAAAAGAAAATATTCACTCCAAGGTTCATTTAGTTTCTGGGTAATAACTGTCAGATACTAACGGATAGCCCCATACATCCAGCATAAAATAATAGAATTTGTTGAGTGCCTTAGACATCCAATAATGGGTATGGTGGACAGTGTAGAGCTGAAGAAAGGTTTCTCTTGGTAAAAGAGAATGCATGCTATGGAAAACAAGACATAAAAGACGTTTATCAAAATGCCCTCCTGCACCTTCCTGCATTTGCATACACAAGTCCCCCTACCTAGAATTTTTTTTTTAACTTTCCCAGGCACCTCCTTTTCAGCCTGCAAGACTCAAATCAGCCACATCTCTTCCAGGAAGCATCCCCTTGCCTGTCTTCTGGACTCCCCCTCATCACACCCTGTCCCCATAGCATCCTGGGCTTGCTTCTGCCAAAGCACCCGTCATATTCCATTGTAGCCATCAAATGTACTATTGTCTTCTGCAAACTGCTAGCTCCTTGAAGACAGGGCTGGTGTCTTCTACACCTGCAATCTGAGCCCCTAACACTGTATGAGACTCAATCCAGCAGATGCTGTTGGTGCCAACCTGTGGCCCCCAGCCTTTACCACTTCAGTGCAAATCTCTCCAATTGCAACAGGCAGCATCTCCATCTTTGCCTGAGTGTTTCCTCTGGCTTCCAGAGCCCACTTTGCTGTTCCTGTGGAAGGCTGGAAATGCTAGAAAATGAATGCCCTTCCTAACAGCCCTCCAACAATGTCTGAAGGAAGTGGGCATACCCCTGTGCCTCCCTCCCTGGAGGGCAAAACTGAGGCTCATGTTTGACATTGTCTTCAAAATTCCTCAAGTGGTATTAAACTCCATTTTCCCTCATGGTAGTAAGCTTGATAACACACTCTTTGTTGCCTGCCTTTCTTTTCTTCCCTGTCTCACTTGCCCGCTCACTCCCCTATCAGTGTTTCCTGGGATCATCTCCCAAATAAACTACAGTACAGGTGGACCTCGGAGATATTGTGGGTTTGGTTCCAGACCACTGCAATAAAGTGAATATTGCAATAAAGCGAGTCACACAAATTTTTTGGTTTCCCAATGCATATAAAAGTTATGTTTACATTATAGTGTAGTTCATTAAGTGTGCGTTGCATTATGTGCAATGTACGTAGCTTACTTTACGGCCAGGCATGGTGGCTTATGCCTGTAATCCCAGCACTTTGGGAGGCCAAGGCTGGAGGATGCCTTTAGCTCAGGAGTTACAGTGTGCTATGATTGCATCACTGTACTCCAGCCTGGGAGACAGACTGAAACCCTGCCTCAAAATAAAATAGAATAAAATAAAATAAAACCTTAATTAAAAAATGCTAAATACCTTATTGCTAAAAATGCTAATGACCATCTGAGCCCTCAGTGAGTCATAATGTTTTTGCTGGTGGAGGGTCTTTCCCTGATGTTGATGGCTGCTGAGGGATCAGGATGGTGGTTGCTGAAGGTTGGGGTGGCTGTGAAAATTTTTAAAAATAAGACAACAATGAAGTTTGCTGCATGGATTGGCTCTTCCTTTCATGAAAGATTTCTCTGTAGCATGAGATGCTCTTTGATAACATTTTACCCACAGTAGAACTTCTTTCAAAATTGGAGTCAATCCTCTCAAATCCTGCCGCTGCTTTATCTACTAAATTTATGGAATATTCCAAATCCTTTGTTGTCATTTCAACAATGTTTACAACATTTTTACCAGGAATAGATTCCATCTCAAAAAAACCACCTTTGCTTATCCATAAGAAGCAACTCTTCACCCGTTAAAGTTTGATCATGAGATTGCAGCAATTTAGCCACATCTTCAGATGCCACTTCTAATTCTGGTTCTCTTGCTATTTCCACCACATCTGCAGTTACTTCCTCCATTGAAGTCTTAATCCCCTCAGTCATCCATGAGGGTTGGAATCAACTTCTTCCAAACTCCTGTTAATGTTGATATTTTGACCTCTTCCCATGAATCACAAATGTTCTTAATGGCATTTAGAATGGTGGATCATTTCCAGAAGGTTTTCAATTTACTTTTCCCAGATCCATCAAATGAATCACTATCTATGGCAGCTATAGCCTCATGAAATGGTTTTTTTTTTTTTTTTTTGAGATGGAGCTCACTCTGTCACCCAGGCTGGAGTGCAGTGGCATGGTCTTGGCTCACTGCAACCTCTGCCTCCCGGGTTCAAGCAATTCTCTTGCCTCAGCCTCCTGAGTAGCTGGGATTACAGGCATGTGCCACCAGAGCCAGCTAATTTTTGTATTTTTAGTAGAGATGGGGTTTCACCATGTTGGCCAGGGTGGTCTCGAACTCCTGGCCTCAAGCAATCTGCCCCCCTCAGCCTCCCAGTGTTGGGATTGCAGGTGTGAGCCACCACGCCTGGCCAAAATGTACTTCTTAAATAATAAGACTTGAAAATCAAAATTAGTTTTTGATCCATGGGCTGCAGAGCAGATGTCTTAGCAGGCATAAAAACATTAATCTACTTACACGTCTTCATCAGAGCTCTTGAGTAACCAGGTACATTGTCCATGAGCAGTATATTTTGAAAGGAATCTTTTTTTCTGAGCAGTAGGTCTCAACAGTGGGCTTAAAATATTCAATAAACCATGCCATAAACAGATGTGCTGTCATCCAGGCTTTCTTTTCTATTTACAAAACACAGGCAGACTAGATTTAGCATAATTCTTAGGAGAGGATTTTGGGAATGGTAAATGAGCATTGGCTTCAACTTAAAGTCACCAGCTGCAATAGCCCCTAACAGGGGAGTCAGCCTGTCCTTTAAAACTTTGAAGGTGGGCATTGACTTCTCCTCTCTAGCTATGGAAATCCTAGATGGCATCTTTTTCCAATAGAAGGCTGTTTTGTCTACATTGAAAATCTGTCATTGAGTGTATTCACCTTCATCAATGATCTTAGCTAGTAGATCTTCTGGAACTTGCTGCAGTTTCTCCATCAGCACTTGCTGCTTCACCTTGTGCTTTTATTTTATATTAAGGAGATGGCTTCTTTCCTTAAGCCTCATGATCCAACCTCTGCTAGCTTCCAACTTTTCTTCTGCAGCTTCCTTACCTCTCTCAGTATTCGTAGAATTGAAAAGAGTTAGGGCTTTGCTCTGGATTAAGTTTTGGCTTAAGGGAATATTATGGATGGTTTGGTCTTCTATCCAGACCAATAAAACTTTCTCCATATCAGCAATAAGGCTGTTTCACTTTCTCATCATTCGTGTGTTCCCTGGAGGAGCACTTAATTTCCTTCAAGAACTTTTCCTTTGTGTTCACAACTTGGCTATTTGGTGCAAGTGGCCTAGCTTTTGGCCTATCTTGGTTTTCAACATGCCTCCCTCAATTAACTTAATTATTTCTAGCTTTTGATTTAAAGAGAGAAACATGTGACTCTTCCTTTCACTTGAACACTTAAAGGCCACTGTAGGGATATTAATTGGACCAATTTCAATATTGTTGTATCTCAGGGAATAGGGAGACCCAAGGAGAGGGAGAGAGATGGGATGGCCAGTTGGTGAAGCAGTAGGAATACATACAACATTTGTCGATTAAGTTTGCTATCTTATGTGGTCACAGTTCATGGTGCCCCAATACATTTATAATAGTAACATCAAAGATCACTGATCACAGATCACCATAACAGATTTAATAATAATAAAAACGTCTGAAATATTGTGAGAATTACCAAAATGTGACACAGAGACACAAAATGAGTATATGCTGTTGGAAAAATGGCATTGATAGACTTGCTCAGTGCAGGATTGCCACAAACCTTCAATTTGTTTAAAAAAATGCATTATCTATTAAGTGCAATAAAGTGAAGTACAATAAAACAAGGTATACTTGTACCTGCATTTAAATCCTTGTCTCAGGGTCAGCTTCTGGAGAAGCCAAACTTTCACAGAACCACATAATAGATGCTCAACAAATGATTTTTGAAGGAATGAATGAATGATGGTTTATTATAGCACAAATACCAAAAAGAACTCTGTAGGGCTGGATTTTCTGTAGGGTCTGTATTATCCATTTTAAGTGACCACATTGAGTCAAAACAAAGTCTACTTGGAAAGCTTACTTCACTTTGGGCAAAGCAGACAAAACCAAGTGCCAAGGAACTTGGAAGATTGCATCATATGGCATTGAGGTAGATAGTTGTACCCAACTTAAACATTAGAGCACAGGGGAAGCCTTGTCAATTTGGTTTTGATTTGGGGCTGCTGGCCACACTGGTTTCCCCTATTCCCTCTTCTGTAATCAATCATGATGCAGCTTCAACTGGGCTTTGGGTTCTGTTTAAGTAAGAAGCTGGCAGCCTGTGTGTGTGTGTGCACACGCGCGTGCTGTCCTTTTCCCCAGGGAAATATCAGCAGCTGAGAGTCTGTGCTCACTGTGTCTCTCAGCTCCTTTAGCAAACACAAGGGGCTGGAAAATAAGGAAACTAGGGAAGGTGTTGTCAATAGTACACAGTCTGATTTTACTGATTGCCTTTCCTCCAATGATCCGCTGTCCATGAGACTCTAGCTTGGTTCTAAGAGACCATTTCCCACCCAGGCTGATGTTTCTGCCACCTATATGATCCAGGGGGGCCCTTTCTGGAGGTACTTGAGCTTATTGGAAACAAAGCTGACCACTGACGTTCCTTCTATTTGGAAAATTCTTTGAACTTTTTAGTCTACATTTTCAATAATCTAAGATGATTTGCCATCCTCATCTTGCTGTGTTTCCCAACAGGATTTCAGAATTGAGATTTTCTTCTTTAGTCCCTTTTATAGGCAAAAGAGACTGGAATATCCAATTGGCCC
The DNA here is from genome assembly GCF_000001405.40 of Homo sapiens. Classification (NCBI taxonomy): domain Eukaryota; kingdom Metazoa; phylum Chordata; class Mammalia; order Primates; family Hominidae; genus Homo; species Homo sapiens. The sequence goes on from NC_000023.11 coordinate 39,698,536, forward strand.
ACATGTAGGAAAAGGAACCCAACAAAAATAGCTAATATTTACTGAGTTTTATAATATGCAGAGAGCTCTGTGTCTATTATTTCCTTTAACCTTCACACAACCCATGGGGCATTATGATTATCTCCATCTGACAGATGAGGAAAGTGAAGCCCAGAGAGATAACAGAACTGACCTGGAGTTATAGTTTAGTAAATGGCAGCTCAAAGGACATGCCAAGAGGCCGCATTCTTAACCATGACACTCAACCCACTCAACATCTATTGAGCACTGATTATTGCTGGGGTTGTAATGTAAACATTACTTGCTTTTCTTGTTTAATCTTCTATTCAGTATGTTCTATTCAGTAGCATTTGTCTTCATTTGGGTTCCCCCTGTAGGGGTGGAAAGATGTGCTATATCTCTTCACCCATCTTAAGGGTCACAGCCCACACTCCTGTAACAAAAGACAGGTTAGCAAGAGAAAAGCATAACAGATTTATTTAATCAAAATTTTATGTAACATGGGAGCCTTTGGAAATGAAGACCCAAAGACCCAGGGAAAACTATTGTTCTGCTTAGGCTCCATGAATAATGGGGAGCTGTATTTTAGCATGTTCTCGCATTGCTATAATGATATACTTGAGACTGGGTAATTTATAAAGAAAAGAGGCTTAATTGGCTCATGGTTCTGCAGGCTGTACAGGAAGCATGGTGGCGTCTGCTTCTGGGCAGACCTCAGGGGGCTTTTACTAATGGTGGAAGGCAAAGTGGGAGCAGGTGTCTTACATGGCAGGAGCAGGACCAGGAGATGGGGGGAGATGCCCCAAACTTTTAAACCACCATCTCTCACTAGAACTCACTCACTATCACAAGAACAACATCTAGGCTGAGCGCGGCGGTTCACGCCTGTAATCCCAGCACTCTGGGAGGCCGAGGTGGGTGGATCACAAGGTCAGGAGATCGAGACCATCCTGGCTAATACCGTGAAACCCCGTCTTTACTAAAAATACAAAAAATTAGGGGGGGAGTGGCGGCGGATGCCTGTAGTTCCAGCTGCTCTGGAGGCTGAGGCAGGAGAATGGCGTGAACCCGGGAGGCGGAGTTTGCAGTGAGCAGAGGTCACGCCACTGCACTCCGGCCTGGGCGACAGAGCAAGACTCCGTCAAAAAAAAAAAAGGGAAAAAAAAAAAAAACATCACCGAGGGGATGGTGCTAAACCATTCATGAAGGATCCATCTCCATGATCCAATCACCTCCCACCAGGCCCCACCTCCAACACTGGGGATTACAATTGAACATGACATTTGGGCAAGGACACAGATCCAAACCATACCAGCAGCTGTGTAGAAATGTGATTGGACAAAAGGGTATGATTTAATGGTAATAGACTTAGGTGGGAATCCCAGCAAGGCCTGTTTGTTCCGTTTTTTCTTGGCCTCTCTGAGTAGCATTTCTTCCTCCTGAGCATGGGGCAGGACCCCTCTGGAATGAGGGCTTCAAGGGATAAGGGAGAGAGGAGTGACCTTTCTCGGTTGTATGGTTTGCTTTGGTGGAGAGGGGCTCTGGTTTCTATGACTGACTTCAAGGAAGACAGAGGGGCAGGGACAGGAAGGTAGGGTAAGGTCAGAGAGATCTTGCTTCTGAGGCCTTCCAATCTCCTGTAGTTCAAAGTACTGAGCAGGTCAAAGCACTATACTTTGGGGTATTGTGTTCTGAGCCCCCAAACCACAAAAGGAGACTGTGAAATTAGGATGTGAGGGCAAGTCAGTTATCTGGAGGAGATTCCAGAAGACACCAGTAGAGGAGTAGGGAGGTGAGGCAGGGAAGGGAAGGCAGTCACTAATGGGTGCGTTACCAAGAAACTTACTACCATGGGCAACTAGGGTTCAATCTTGCAGGCGAGCTTTGGGAGACACTGTGGAACATGTACCTCAATTACCCTTTTCAAGGGACAAGCAGGCTAGGGTAAGCATCTACCTATTCCCAGTTGTGGACTGGCTCCTTAGCCTGCTGCATGCAGGCAGAGTGGGCTCTGGTGCCTGAGGAAGCCAAGAGATGCAGATGCTAACAGTTAGAAGACAGTCCTACGTGCATTGAAGTACAAGGGAGAAGGAAATATGGGCAAGGTGCCGATTGTGACTGCAATAGTGTTATTATCCTCATTGTACGGACGCAGAAACAGAAGCTTTATAATCTATGATAGGAATCTGGGTTACTATAGATGAAGGCCGTAGTAACCAGAAATCTTGAGATAGCAAGGACAGAAAGCACTGTTTCTGCCCTTAAAATATTCCTCACTTTAAACTAGATCAAGGGGACCCCCCCAACCCTAGCATTGCATTGTTGAGGGGCTACTGGGTCTCCTTGGTATACCCTGAGGAAGACAGAGGCAGCAGACAGTGCTAAGAGAAAAAATGGGAATAACAAAATTGAAAAGAGAGAGATTTTGTATGCTTGCTATGGTGTGACAAAGCCCTAAATAGAAGAAAATTCCAGACCGCAAGAGCAATGTTTTAAAATTATTTTGATTATTTAAACAACAACAGCATCAATAAACAACATCAATAAAATGCCCTGTGCTTAAAGAGCTATCTCCAGGTTTGAGATAGAAAATGACATGTAATCAAAATGACTCTCCAACAGAAAATTCCCTGCTTTCACACCATGTTCAGGGGCCACAAACCCACCTTTGCCCAAGCACAGGAAGGAGGAATTGTCTTGAATAAAAACCTTCTTTAGAACTGGCCTGACTCTGGTGCCAGGTGCGGTGGCTCACGCCTATAATCCCAGCACTTTGGGAGGCCAAGGCGGGTGGATCACCTGAGGTCAGGAGTTCGAGACCAGCCTGGCCAACATGGTGAAACCCCATCTCTACTAAAAAAAAAAATACAAAACATTACCCAGGCATGGTGGCACAGGCCTGTAATCCCAGCTACTTGGAAGGCTGAGGCAGGAGAATTGCTTGAACCCAGAAGGCGGAGGTTGCAGTGAGCCAAGATCGCGACATTGCACTCCAGCCTGGGTGACAGAGCAAGACTCTGTCTCAAAAAAAAAAAAAAAAGAACTGGCCTGGTCTGATTCTGAAAGCCATGGTGCCCTCAGCAGAATGTTCCTAGAAAATTTGTTTATCCCAAGCGAGAGAAGCCAATTCTACTAAGGAAATGGCTCTTGAACCATAAAATTCAAGTCATTTCTTTTATGCCTCTTAGCAGTGCCATATTGCCAAGTGTGATAGGCCGAATAATAGCCTCAAAGATGTCCGTGACCTAATCTCTGGAACCTGTGAATATGTTACCTTATATGGAAGAAGAAACTTTGCAGATGTGGTTAGGTTAAGGACCTTGAGATGGGGAGAGTCTCCTGGCATTTTGGAGGTGTCCTCAATGTAATCACATGGCTCTTAGCTAAGGAAAAAGGGGAAGCAGAGGAGGAGGTCAGTGTGGTGCCATCTGGGAGGGATTTGACTGGCCATTGCTGGCTGCAAAGATGGAGAAAAGGGACCACGAGCCAAGGAATGTGGGCATCCTCTAGAAAGTTGAAAAGGCAAGGAAACAGAGTCTTCTGTGGAGCTTCCAGAAGGGAACACAGTCTTGCTGGCCCCTTGATTTTGACCCATTGAGAACATTTCAGACTTCTCACCTCCAGAACCATAAGATCATAAGTTTGTGCTGTTTTAAGCCATTACATCTGTGGTGACTTTTTACCACGGCAAAACAAAACCAACACGCCAAGATACCCTAGGAGTCCCCAAGCCAGCAGGCTGCTCACGTCCACCGTGAGCACTGTCGGGATAGAGTGACATCACAATTACCCCTTTGAGAAGTTCCAGGGAAAACTGCAGAGGATCCTGCTTGGAAGACGGACAACAGTAGTTCCCAGGAAATGTCAGGGAAGTCCCAGTCCCCATATCCACCTGGGAGCTAAACACCACAAAAATTAGCAAGCAGTTCCCCCTTCAGGGATTTACTACATTAAGCAAAAATTCTACTCCAGCTGTTTCTCCATATTCCGATGGCTGTAATTGCATCTAGAATCATAAACCAAAGGTTCCCAAACCTGTTTGGCCTCAGAATTACCTGGGGGTACTTGCTAAAGACACCCAAGGCTACACAATCTCTGCCCTGAAGTGCTTCATCTCAAGCCCCTTAAATCAGAATCTCTGATGGTGGGGTGTGGGAATATCTGTCTTGACAAGCATCTCTAGGGAGATTCTAGTATCTGTCTGTGGACCAGGATTTAGGAAACCTTGTTTAAACTACTCAGCTTCAGAGCCTCATGCGATACTTCAACCAGCTGAGATAGTTGGATTCCCAAACCCACAGGACAGCTGTGTTCATGAAAAGTTTTGCCATAAGAATGTAAACTTGGCTGGGCACAGTGACTCATGCCTGTAATCCCAACACTTTGGGAGGCCAAGGCGGGCGGATCACCTGAGGTCAGGAGTTCGAGACCAGCCTGACCAACATGATGAAACCCCGTCTCTACTAAAAACACAAATATTAGCCAGGCATGGTGGCAAGTGCCTGTAATCCCAGCTACTCGGGAGGCTGAGACAGGAGAATCACTTGAACCCGGGAGGTGGAGGTTGCAATGAGCCGAGATTGTGCCATTGCACTCCAGCCTGGGCAACAAAAAAAAAAAAAAAAAAAAAGAATGTAAACTTGCAACCTAAGAGGCTTTCACCTGGACAATCTTTAGCTGAAGGTTGGTCCCAGAACTCAAAGTCCGTCATGTCAGCAAAGGCCTCTGCATGCAGGTTCCAGCTCCACCACATTTCTCAGACCCCTGGCCGCAATCTTGATGCCCCACTGCTTCAAAACCTCCGTTACTAGAAAGAAAAACTTGGGCAATACCCAAATACAGCGGATACTGCTGGTTGACTGCTCACCGGCCTCTCTTCCTTTCTTCCTTGCTAGCAGAAGCCTGGTTTTGCTGGCAGGCAGCAACTGAGCAGGAAAGGTAGGACTCTCCCCAAGCCTCAGAGGCCCATTGCTGTAATCCAGCAATGGGAATCCCAATCCTCTTTGCCAGCAATTGGGAAAGAAATGATCCCATGACCCAATTCCAAATAAGGAGTCATAATTGGAAGTCTGCTGGGCATTTCAGAAAGAGAGTTTTTTCTCCTGATAGAAGAGAAAGCACTTCAAGCCAGGTGTGGTGGCACATGTCTGTAATCCCAGCTACTCAGTAGACTGGGGCAAGAGGATCACTAGAGCCCAGGAGTTCAAGACTAGCCTGGGCACAATAGCGCACCCTATTTTAAAAAGATAGAGAAAGAGAGAAAGCATTTCAAGAAGAATTTTTTCTACCCACTCTCTTCTTGCCTGCTTGGGACACTATTATGTGGGAACATAAAGCTTAGTGCTGTAACTGCCGTCTTATGTCCATAAGCTGACAGATTTAAAGGTTGAAAAAACATGCTAAAGATTGCAGAGCAGAAGGATGAAGAAGAGTAGCTCTTGATAAAAATCACCGGAGAGCTTGACCAACCTTGTAAACACCTACCTGCAGGCTTCTTGGCGTGAAGATTAAATAAAAGTCTGTATTGCTTAGGCTACTGTTACATAGTTACTCTGTATGGCAGTTTTAAAACATGACCCACCACCACCATGAACAGAAGAATGGATAAAGAAAATGTGATTTATACAGTTCTCCTTTGGCATCTGTGAGGGATTGGTTCCAGGACTCCCACAGATACGAAAATCCACAGAAATTCAAGTCCCTTACATAAAATGGTGAAGTATTTGCATATAACCTACACATATCTCCCTATATACTTTGTGTCATTTCTAGATTATTTATATTATATAATACAATGCCTACATGTCACTTTATTTGTGTGGATTCAACATATTAAGTTGGTGCAAAAGTAATTGTGGTAATGGCAAAAACCACAGTTACTTTTGCACCAACTTAATAGCACATGGCAAATTTGAGTTTTGTGTTTTGGAACTGTTTGGAATTTCTTTTTCCAAACATTTCTAAATATTTCAATTTGCAGTTGGTTGAATCCAAGGGTGTGGAACCCATGGACATGGAAGCCCAACTGTGTACAAAATAGAATACTATTCAGCCTTTAAAAAGGGGGAAATCCTGTCATTTGCAACAGCGTAGATGAGCCTGGAGGACATTATGCTAAGTGAAATAAGCCAGGCACAGAAAGACAAATACCGCATGACCTCACTCATATGTGGAATCTAATCAAGTTGAACTCATAGAAGTAGAGAGTAGATTGATGGTTACCGGAGGTTGGGAGGGCGGGGAGGGAGGGAATGTGGAATTGTTGATCAAAGGGTACAAAGTTCCAGATAGCCAGGAGGAATCGGGTTTGAGATCTATTGCACAACAGGGTGACTATAGTCAATAATAATGTATTGTATATTTCAAAATAAAGAATCCATTTCAAGTGTCTCACTACAGAAAATGATAGGTAAGCAAGGTGATGGATATACTAGCTTGATTTAATCATCCCATGCTGTATATATATATCCAAATATCACACTGTACCCCATAAATGTATGCAATTATTTGTCAATCAAAAATAATGTTAATCATAATTTTTTTTTTTTAAATGGAGTCTCACTCTGTCGCCTAGGCTGGAGTGCAGTGGCGCGATCTCGGCTCACTATAAATTTTTTTAAAAGATGACCCCTGACAATTTTTTTACCTCTCCTCCATTGAGAGGTAGGAGGTCTATGCCTCCTTCCGTTGAGTCTGGGTGTATGGCTACTTGATCAATAGAATATAATGAAGGTCTGTGTCAGTTTCTGGGCCTAGGCCTTAAGGAACAGGTCATCTTCTTCTTCCTGTCTCTTGGGACTCCTGCCCTTAGAACCCAGATTCCAGGCTGTGAGGAAACCTGAACAGCCTGTAGAGAGGCCCACGTGGAGAGGAACTGAGGTCCCTGGCCCTCAGCCTGGCTGAGCTCCCAGTTGGCAGCCAACTGCAACTTGCTAGCCATTTGAGTGAGTCACCTTGAAAGTGGATCATCCACTCCAAGCTGAGCAGTTCCAGCTGATGCCACACGGAGCAGAGATGAGCCTTCCTCACCAAGCTCCACTCAAATTTCAGATTCAGTGGAAAAATAAACATTGTTGTTTTAAGCCACTAAGTTTTGGAGTATTTTATTATAAATCAGTAGGTTACTGGGACACTCTGTCACTTGTAACTAAACTCTTTCAGATAGGTGCAGAGCCATTCTGTAGACCAGAAGTCTGCACATTTTGTGTGTAAAGGGCCAGAGAGTAAGTATTTTCACTTTTGCAGGCCATATGGTATCTGATACAACTATTTCACTCTCCCATTGTAGCATGAAAGCAGGCATAGACAATAAATAAAGGAATGGGTGTGGCCATGTTCCAATGAAACGTTATTTATAAAAGCAGGTGGTGGGCAGAATTTGACCCTTGGGCCATGGTTTGCTGACCCCTTCTGTAGATCGAGACTACACATTCTGCCTCCTCCCATGCCCAATTCCTTCTGTTAGTCCTTGTCCTTGTCTTGCTGTCATCCCAGAAGAGACCACTGGACATATTGTCATTATCCATCACAATGTTTTCACCAGCCAGCAGGAAAGTTAAAAAACTCAACCCTCTACTGTGCATTGAACCTGGGGCCTGACCAAAAAGCCTTCCACGAGCCTGTGATTTCTCCCAGGGAGCCCAGACATCAAAACCATAAAGACTCTTCCCCAGGCAAATCGTTACCCCCACTTGACACTCTATTTAATGGAAAGCCTTTCCCAGAAATAAGTATATTAAAATAAGCTTTGCATTTTTTACATTAACTGAAATTTGATGCAAATTGATAATAAATTACCTTCCCCTGCTCATTCATTTGGGAATCACATAAACTAGTTTACAGTTATGTATTATTACATTTCACATTAATATAGCCATAGGAAGCTAGGCTTTGGAGAAATTTGCTTCCCAGAAAACTATCAGAAATAGAGGAGGTAAAAGTGGGATTTGGTGGGATATCTGACTCTCCTAATGTGCTAGCCACTGAGAGTTGTAGAAAGTAAGGCATCAGTGCAACCCTTGAGGCCCAACTAATTTATCAAATGATCACTGTCTTATTTATCTGGCATAATTTTTGCAACTTCAGGATCTTACAGCATTCCTTTCTTTCTTTCTTCTATCCTTTCTTCCTTCCTTCCTTCTTTGCATCTTTTCTTCCTTTCTTCCACTAACTTCTATCTCAGTATCTTTGGAACCATTAGCACTACCTCTGGATGCAAAAGGTTTACAATTTAGTGGAGGTAAAGGTTAGACAAAGGTGCAAATTGACTAAAGGTATTCAAGGTAGAAGTTCTAAGTACACCTTCGCATCTAAAATAAAAGTTCAGTGGAGACTTCTGTTTAAAGATGGTGGATTGAACACACATTTATCCCTGCATCCTCTTGAAATATCACTAAACAACAAAAAGTGAATGTTTAAAAAGACAAAGCCACAAAGGCAAAGGAAATGGGCAAAGCGGCAAAGCAAGAAAAATTTAAAATATGGAAAGCAGGTGAAAGAGTAGTAACTAATTGGCAGACTTGAGAAAATGAACACTAAGCAAGCACTGAGGTTGGGGAGAGAGCCTAGAACCTCGTATGCAGCATAGAACTGCTCAAATGCCCAGAAATGAGTGACACCAGATGCCTCTAGAAGTAGAGGTAAATGGGGGGCTGAAGATAAAAGAATTGGTTAAAAGTCTGTTTAGAAGACCACACTCCAGGTTTCCTGCTCAATTTTACACAGATCTGCTACTGTCCTTCTCATGGGATGCATGGTCCCTAGACAGCATAAAAATGGAGATCTCTGGGCAGGAGGTTACCAGGCAGAGTTAAAGTGTGAGTACCATCTGAAAAAAGAGGTAAGTGAAGTTAACATGCCAAATATCAGGAATACCTATGCTCTTCTTCACTCACTCCCAGAATGATGTCAGGCAGACTTATACCCACCCCTTAGGAAGGAAACTGGAGTATCCTATTCTGAGGATTCTGGTTAGCCCAAACATAAAGGTCTGAAAATACTGATACTCACTCTTAAATATCAACTGATAGCCAAGGGTCAGCAAACACCTGTAGGAAGCCTCTAACTTGAAAAAGAGATGCCAAAGCCAATCAGCAAAAGGACATAACTTGGTAGAGACAAACACTATGCAGAGAAAAGACACCTGAAAAAAGAAAACTATTGTTAATATTATCAAAGAAATAAGATGGTGATAATAGTTGAAATTTACTGAGTATTTTTACTATGTGCAGATACTATTCTAAGCCCTTTACATGAATTAATTCATTTAATCTTCTCAATGACCCTATAAGGTAAGTAGGATTATTATCTTCATTTTTCAGATGAGAAAACTGAGGCCTAAAGAGATTAAAGAAGTTACCTAAATTTATGCAATGTGTAGGCTGGATCTAAACGCAAGCAATCTGGCTTCAGAGTCTGCGCTCTACCAAATAATTTTGCATCCCTGAAGCAAGAATAAGATGATATTTTAAAATAACTTTTGGAAAACCCCAAAACAAAACAAAAGCAGAAAAGCTCCTGAGAATTGAAAGCGAAGAAGTTAAAAAGGCATTAGGACTGTTGGAAGATAAGCATGAAGAAAGTTTCCAGAAAGTAGAGCAAAAAAGACAAAGAAATGGAAATTAGGAGTGAATTGATAAGAAAATTAAAGGCTCAGTCCAGGGGGCCCAACATCTGAATCATAGCCTTTCCAGAAGAAGAGAGAAATGAAGGAGATGCTATCTTCAAAGAAAAGAATTCAAGAAAATTTCTTAGAACTGAAAAATATGAATTTATAAAGTAAGTATCAAGCCTGATGGAAACGGCTCTACATACAGGCACACCATTGTGAAAGTTTAGAACCCAGGACAAAGAGAAGGTCCCAAAGGCTTCCAAAGAGGAAAAAAAAAAACCTGTGGGTTGCATTAAAAAGGTGAAGAATCAGAATTGAATCAGAGTTCTCAACAGCAACTGGAAGCTAAAAGATGATGGAGAAATGCCTTCAAAATGGTAAGAGTAAATCATTTCCAATTCTACATCCTACACCCAGAGAAAATATATTAAAATATTAATATGAGGAAGTACAATTTATAACCTGAAGACATTTGCAACCATGAAGTGCCTTAAAATTTACATTCTATGCAGCCTTTCTCAGAAGGCTAATGCAGGATTTCCTTCACAAAAACAGGGTAGTAAACCAAAAAAAGAAAGACATTGGATCTAGGAAACAGGAAATCTAATATGGAAGAGAATTATTACATCCCATTAAGAAAGGGGATCCCAGGAAGATGGTAAGGGAAAGACTGGGGAGGACAGTTATATAATAGGAGTAGGGAGGGAAAGAGTCCAAGTTAGAGTAGGCCAGAAGATTCCAGAAGTAATATCTTTAAGATGATGGAATTAACAGAAAGTTGTATGTGCTTGATTATATTAAGAGGAGATTTAGACAGCAAGGAAAGATCTGGAGGTTAACAATAGCGTACATAGAAAAATGCCTCAGTGATCTATTTCTGTGTAACAATCCACTCAAAACTTTAATGACTGAAAACAACCACCATTTTATTTGGTCACAATTTTGAGGATCAACAACTTGGGCTGGGCTCATCTGAGTGGTTCTGCTGGTCTTGCCTACTTATGCCTCTGCAGTCATTTGGTGGTTCGCTTGAGGCTGGATGGTCCAAGACAGCCTCTCTCACATTCTGGTGGTTGCCAGGCTATTGGCTGGGAAGTCTCAGTTTTCCTCCACATGGCCTTGCCAGCAGGATAGCTCAGACTCAATCACATCATGGTCTCAGGCTTCAAACTGCACCACATTTGCCAATGTCTGTGGCAGGCTGAAAAATGCCCCCCAAAGTATGTCCACATAATCCCCAGAACCTGTGAACATGACCTTATATGGCAAAAGAGATTGTTGCAGATGCAATTAAGATAAGGATCTTAACATGGAGAGGTTATCCTGGATTGTGGTGGCAGGGGAACAGAGGAGGGGGACTGATGTAATCACAGTGGTGCTTATAAAAAGGAGACAGGAGGAGGTGGAGTAAGAGGAGAAGGTGATGTAATGATGGAAGCAGAGATTGGAGTGGTGCACCTTCAGGATGGAGGAAGGGGCCACAAGTCAAGGAATGCAGGCAGCCACTAGAATCTGAAAAAGACAAGGAAATAGATTCTCCCCTCAGAGCCTCCGAAAGTAACTTCTAAAAGCCCATCTTTTGGCTTTAGCCCAGTAAAATTGATTTCAGACCTCCAACCTCCAGAACTGTAAGAGAATAAAACTGTATTATTTTAAGCCATTAAATCTGTGGTAATTTGTTATAGTGGCAACAGGAAACTAACACAATGCCCCATCACCAAAGCAATTCACATGGCTGAGCTCAGATTCAAGAAGCAGAGAAACCAGCCTAGAGGTGGGGGAGCGGCAAAGTCACATTGCAAAGAGGTGTGCATTCAGGGAGGAATTATTACAACCATCTTTGCAAATCATCTACCCCAGGGAGAAAGTGAGAAAATAGAACTGTGTACTGCATGGCTCAGCTGTGAATATTGTTTGCATAGTCATAATAATGTGAATGCTGAATATTGATCTAACCTAAATTAGAATACAAGTATTTTGAGAGAAAGTGAGACACGGAACAATGAGTACAGGGGAGGGTGGTGAAAGAGAACTAAATACTTATATTTCATCAGAGGAAGTCAATAGGTATTAAAAGATAAGGCCCATAACCGAAAAATCCTGAAGTAGCAGTATAAGCATGTTATTTAAAGAGGTAAATACCTGAAGAGATAGCCAAAGGAAAAGGAAAGGGGATGGATTTGCCAGAGACTTCTGTGTGCTCATAAAAAGCCTCGTAGAAGGATTTCACTGTTTAAGTTACATGCATGTGTCGATGACCAGGTACATAGAAACTAGTATTTTGAAAGGAAGGTGCACTACCTTTCTTTTGGTTGTTGTAAAGATATCATTTTATTTAGAACTGCTTCACTTATATAACAATACAATCTCTCACTTATAACCCAAAGCCAATGCTAAAAGCTACATTTTTTTCCTCACTGATGAACAAATAAAAATAAATTTAAAAGGCAACATTTTGCACAAATACATGTAGATAAAACTAAAGGGCCTCCAATAGAAATGAAGACTCCAAGCTCCATAGCCTGGAGGCTGATAAAAGGCCACCATAACGTTAGCAAGCGTTTGCCTGATAGTTATAAAGGTAATTTATACCCAGAACATTTCCACGCATGTGAGAGAATGACCCTCCATTTTACTACATGTTGTATTAATGTCAATCAATATATGTTTGAGGGCTTTATACATTATGGATAATAATGTTGGTGCTTTGCAAACCATTCCTCTTGGGGGAGCTACACAAAATTCTGCAGGAGAGAAGAGAGCAAAGCAACCAAGCCCTGGATGGCCAAGCTCTCTTTGGGTTCAGCAGATGTTAATCAGCTCAGCTATGCAAATGAGACTAGAAGCAGGCCAACTCCCAGACTGAAAACAGAAAATGCCCTGAGAGTAGGTGAGGCCATTTGAAATGAGAAAGTGGTATCTGGATGTGTTCAGGAAGGAGGTTGGCTGGACAGGGGACTTACTCCTGGCCCACGATGCTGTGCCAAGGAAAGACAGCCATGTGGGGGACTTTAGCCAAGTCACTTAGTTACTTGAACTTCTCGGTGGTTGCTTTGTAAAACTGGGCACATCAATCACCTATACAGATGCTCCTCAAGTTACAGTGGGGTTACATCCTGATAAACCCATCGTTAAAAATATTGTAAGTTGAAAATGTATTTAATCTACCTAACCCACCAAACATCATAGCTTAGCATAGCCTACCTTAAATATGCTCAGAGCACTTACATTACCCTATGGTTGGGCAAAATCATCTAACACAATAAAGGGTTGAATATCTCATGTAATTTATTGAATACTGTACTAAAAGACAGAAACAGAATGGTTGTATGGGTACTTGATGTACAGTTTCTACTGAATGTGTATCACTTTTACACTGTTGTAATGTCAGAAAACTAAGTGAAACCATTGAAAGTTGGAGACCATTTGTACTTGGAGTTGTCGTGAGGATTAGAAAATCTATATACAGTTTTATTTTATTTTATTTTATTTTATTTCATTTCATTTCACTTCATTTCATTTTTTAAGAGACGGGTTATCTCTCTGTCACCCAGGCTGGAGCGCCGTGGTGCTATCACAGCTCACTGCAGCCTCGAAGTCCTGGGATCAAGGGAACCTCCCACTTCAGCATCCCAAGTAGCTGGGACTACAGGGGCACGCCACCATGCCTAGCTAATTTTTTGATATTTTGTAGGGATGGGGCCTTACTATGTTGCCCAGGCAGGTCTTGAACTCCTGGATTCAAGCAATCCTCAGGCCTCAGCCTCCCAAAGTGCTGGGATTACAGGTGTAAGCCACTGTGCTGGACCCGTATATTTATTTTTGAAATGTTCAATTTCTGCTGGTGGTAAATTAAATTATTGGGCTTGATTCTTCCCCTTTCTCTGCTAACACAACTTCCGTCATGCAACTTGGCAGTCCATTCTCCTTCCCCAACTTGACTTTGAGCTTGGCCAAATGACTTCCTTTGGTCAATGGAATGTAGCTAGAAACCTGTATATCAGTTCTGAGCTTAGATCTGAAGAGGCCTCACTTGTTTCTGCTTGCCTTCCTGTGCCTCTGCCATTGGCCAGCTCTCCTGCTGGTCTAAGAGGGATGAGAAACATATGGAGCAAATCTGGAACCAACTTGCAGCTTAGAGTCAAGCCCAGCTGAGCCAGTCAAGATTAACAGAGCCATCCCACGTGTGAGAGAAATAAATGCCTATGATTGTGCTACTGAGATTTTGTGGGTGCTTTTTACACAGCAATAACTGACCGATACACATGGCCAAGCCAAGAGACTGAAAGGACAAGAGCAGGAGCTGGAAGGGAAGGAATCCAGGCAGCCCACCTATAGGCGGTGGCCATCTGGAAAGCACCTAGAGTGATATGATTTTAGAAGGAAGAAATTCCATGTGCTGAGAAGCTCAGGATATCTTACTAGAATTCTTAGGATAGGGAATTCTTACTCCATAAACAGAGAGTTTTATGCGTTTTTAAATATTTATGCTGTAGGATTTCTTTTTCTCTTTAACTTTTGTGGTGGCCTGCCCATTTTTCAAAGGGGAAAGAAAAAGACCTGTGCACACACGATAGGGCTAAAGAGAAAAAGGAACAGTAAATTCCTGGGGTCCAGGCACAGACAGGGAAATAAGTATAAAAACATTGCTGAGGAAAAGGCCGAAATTCGGGGTGATAAAATCAGGGAACACAGGTGGCTTTTCTTGTCTGGAGTTGCTTCTCCTCTAAGATCTGCTTCTCTCATCCACTGGAGCATCAGCACTGTGTTAGGTTGAAGCATGTAATTCTTTTTTGTTTGTTTGTTTTTTAGACAATGTCTTATTCTGTCACTCAGGCTGGAGTGCAGTGGCACAAGGCACAATTATGGCTCACAGCAGCCTCAACCTCCCAGGCTCAAGTGATCCTCCCACCTCAGTCTCCCAAGAAGCTGGTACTACAGGTGTGCACCACCACACTCAGCTAATTTTTGTTTATTTTTGATTGTTTATTTGTTTTATAGAGATGGTCTCCAACTCCTGGACTCAAGCAATCCTCCCACCTTGGCCTCCCAAAATTGTTGGGATTATAGGTGTGAGCCACCACACCTGGCCTCAAGCATATATTTCTTGTATGCAACCAAAATTTACTTGGGTTTGAATTGAAGGCATAATTCAAAGTTGTTTCACTAGACCCTGAACTTCTTGAGTGTAAGAATGTCTTACTTCTCTGTGCACCTCCTGTGTCTAGCACACTGCCTGGCCCATGTTACATGGATGGATGGATGGATGGATGGATGGATGGATGGATGGTCAGATGATGGATGCATAGATGGATGGTTTGGATAATGGATGGATGAATGAATGCATGCATGGGTGTATGATCAGATGATGGATGGATGGATGGATGGATAGATGGATGGATGGATAAATGGATGATTGGATGTTTAGAGAGTGGATGGATGCATACATGCATGCATGGGTGGATGGATGGATGGATATGTGAATACTCACTTCTTGTAATTTGTGGAAGTGTAAATATATACAGAATAGAGGCATTTTTGCTTAGAGATATTGAGCAAGGATTTCATCTAAGTTCTTAAATCACTTTGTATATTCTAAGTGCTCAAATATCTTTAGCATTATTGCTATCATTTAATAATATTTTGGAGCCTCCTTCACTAGCTGGTAGCTAACAGAACTCATTAAAACAAGTTCTCTGGTATCTAAGACCTTACTGTGTAATGAAATGTTAATGCAGTCTTTAAATTGCAACAGTATTTATATCTTTGATTAAATGTAATTTCTCAGTCTCATTAATTTATATTTTTTGTAGTCTAACTGCTAAGGTGTCAACTGGGGCAGGCATGTTACAACTGATGGCCAGGTGAACCAGATGGTTTCAGAAAATAGCTTCCCTGCCCCATGATGACAGAGTACACTGGGGCCCCAGCCAGCCCACTCTCAGATTGAAGCCACTGGTCACGAAGAGGATATGGTAGCTGGAAAACTCATGCACTGAGCACATCCAGATGAAGAGAACAGCCCATGGCATCGCAGGTCAGGGGCAGAGTATGTTTTCCCAAACACCAGTTGCCTCTGAATACCTTTCTGGTATGTTTTGTGTCTCTCTGATGCCCACGACTTCCCTCACTGCCACCTGGATTCTGCCTCCAACCTCTGAACACTCTCACATGCCTGAGAATACTCCTACCCACTACCTGCTCTCCCCTTCCCTTCCCTCCATTCCCACCTCAATCCTAACCTCAGCACCTGCCCCACCCCGGAGAGTATCCTCACTGGCCCAGACCCTCCCACTGGCAGCATCAAGAGATGCAAGGGGAATTTTCAGGAGCTGCTGATGGCTGCATTGCTAATGTGGCTGAGAAGAGTACCTGCAAATGTCGAGCCACTTATTTCTGTTCATTGATTTCAATTTGCTGTGCAGTCATCTCCTGGGCTCCCATTGGCCCAAGCACTCAGAGCCCTCTTCAAGGCACTGCTGAGAGGAGCTCTGGAGTTCCTGGGGCAGGCCAGTCCTTCATCGCAGGGCACAGCCCAGAGCTCCACGGAAGCAACTTCAGTATGTGGGCCAGCGCCGAGCAAATGGGAAAACATTTTGAAGCCGCAGGCTTCTCCTGAATTAAATATTTACTCATTTCATGCCTCTCCCTCTGTCCATGGAGAATCCAGCTCAAACTAAATAACAAAGGAGGTCAGGCTTGTGATCTGCACAAAAATACTTACCCTGCAATTATAGCAATATTGGGCCTTACAATTAATGCCAGGCCTGTGGAACTTGGAGAGGGTCCAAAGAAAAGCAACAGAAATGATGAAGGGGCAGAGAGATAAAGCTAGTAGGAAAAGCTAGAGAGGTAGGACTTGTTTTAAATGGAAAAGACCTTGGGGGTGGCTTAATTACAGTCTCCAATACATTTTGGGGCTGGAACATGGCAACATGGGATCTCTATTTCCACTAGGGACACGCTTAACCTCTACCACCAGGTTGGCCACCTCTTGTGTCCAAACATTTAGATCTCACTTCCCTGTTAATAAAAACACATTGAGCACTCACCCGCTAATTGTGCTCATTCATTTAATTTTAACTTATAGAAATATATCATTGTACTAACATTATCTTCATTATGAAACATGCGCAAAAATAGAAAATACTCAAGGGTGAAACAAACATAACTTTTTTTTTTTTTTTTTTTTTTTTGAGACGGAGTCTCGCTCTGTCGCCCAGGCCGGACTGCGGACTGCAGTGGCGCAATCTCGGCTCACTGCAAGCTCCGCTTCCCGGGTTCACGCCATTCTCCTGCCTCAGCCTCCCGAGTAGCTGGGACTACAGGCGCCCGCCACCGCACCCGGCTAATTTTTTGTATTTTTAGTAGAGACGGGGTTTCACCTTGTTAGCCAGGATGGTCTCGATCTCCTGACCTCATGATCCACCCGCCTCGGCCTCCCAAAGTGCTGGGATTACAGGCGTGAGCCACCGCGCCCGGCCCACAAACATAACTTTTAATAGACATTCGAAACTGTTCTTCCCACATCTCAGTGGGAGTCCACCTCGGAGTCCACTGTCTAGACTGAAGATACTCCCAGCCGCAAGACCTTCATGACGGCAGGGACCTTGTCATGCCTTTCTTGTCCAGCCCCATATCCCCAGAACCCAGAATGGCGATTGATCGGGATCCCCAGAAGCAGATCCTGAGATGGAAATTCACGTGCGAGTATTTGATTAAGGGCATGCTCCCAGTGGGAGGTGGGTAAAGGGAGCCAGGAAGCAAGACAGGGAAGGGGAGGGTGCCAAATACGAGGCGATTTCCTGCCAGGTCCCCGCAGAGGGAAGCTTGTGCCTGATACTGCCGGGAGCTCTGGAGTGCGAGTTACACCTCAGCAAGGGAGCTGGGCTTTCAGACTCTCCTACTGGTAGTCACTAGTGAACATGGCCTCGGGCCTGGAGCAGGCAAAGCGATGGACACCCCAGGATTTCTCAGGCTCTCTGGGGAGGCAAAGTGGTGCCAGTAGCCTGAGGGCAATCCTCTGAAAAGAAGCCCCCAGTGCTGGCTGGAGAAAGCACACTGCAGGGGGTTAGGGGGCTTGCAAAACATGGGGACTGTGTATACAAGGCGATGGGGGACAGCGACACTGTGCACTATGGTAACTAATTCATCGCATGTGCTCCATTAATGTTTACTGACTGGCGGACTGAACTGTGCAATGCATGCTCCCAAGTAGGTCCCCGTGCTCTCTGTGCAGGGCTGTGGAAGCTTTTTCCATGAGAGTGGCTGGGGTGAGATGGCCAGTTTCCCTGCCCAGGCCTGGATTGCAGAGGAAGCACCGTGAAGAGCGTGGGGAGCAGTCCTCAGGAGATTGAGGCCTTTGTAAAACACAGACAAAGACAAAGCGTTGCCCCAGAGGTGGTGATCTGGCAAGCTGGAACAGAGCCTGCACTTTCAAAAACCATTTCGCTAGGCTTGACTGAGCAGCAGGGACCTGCCGCCCCTGGAAATTTGGGCCAAGGACCGAATGCCCCATTTCCCAGCTCATGCTGTGGCCGTGTGACCTTGAGTAGAGTTTGGCTTCTCTCAGCGTGGACATTTCTGCATCTATTAAAATGAGGCAGGCCAGGCTTGCTTCCTGCCTGGTGCACATGTAAATATTCTGCTTCTGGAAAACTCAGGAGCCTTTGGAAAAAGAGAAATGACAAATACTCAAATACCTGCAGCCACGGGTTTATCCTTTGTAGCTTGGATGGGCGGGCAGCCACCCAACAGCAGAGTGACTTGTTAGATGTGCTCTGAGGGGCCAGAGTTTGTCCTAGGGCCATTTTCACAGAAACTAACACCCATGGTTCCCTGCTATGATGTTATCACCCTCTGTGCTCTGCACTCCATCTCAGATATATCACCATTAACATCTCACCATTCTTGCAGCATTCTTTAATGCAGAACTTTATTTCATCATCTGAAATGTTGTGGAGTTAAAAGTGTGTGGATGTGGATTCTAAGGCCACTGGATTTCTGAGCCACCAGACAATGATCAAATTTATATTTTTCTGTACCATCCACCTTTTAGATGGTGTTTATGTTTCATGTTAAATATAATTCTCTTTGGCTTCCCCAGCTGCCTGGGGCCTAGTTTTGCTCTGTCCTAGAGCAGCTCACCCAGGAGCTGTCTCTCCATGTGGCCTCTGGGGTCGATTTATTTTTCTCCCAATGCCTTAATGAGTGATGATTTCTAGAGACAATCAGATCGGCTGTGCGGGAGATTCAGCTCCATCATTATGACAGCCGGATACATCACAGGCACCATTTTTCAAACCCATGTTTTTCATCACACAGATATGACTTGATTAAACCTTTGTGATATTACATTGGGATATTTGAAAATAGCCTTTAGTGACCAGCATGTGGGTCTTGTTTCTGATAAATCTATTACTGCTACGTGAGTTACTTTTACATATAGGATTTGAGCGCAGAGACTTTGAAGCCAGAATGCCTGGGTCCAAATCCCAACTCTGCCACTTACTGCTGGGTAACTTTGGTCAAGTTACTCAATCTCCCTGTGCCTCAGTTCCCTGATCGATAAACCAGAAATAATATTAGTAATAACATACCTACCTTATAAGGCAGTCACCAGGGTTAATATGTGTGAAGTGCTTGGCACATAGGAAGAGCTATATATATATATAGTTGGCTATATATAGTTGGCTATATATATAGTTGGCTATATATATAGTTGGCTATATATATATAGTTGGCTATATATATAGTTGGCTATATATATATATAGTTGGCTATATATATAGTTTGCTATATATATAGTTTGCTATATAGATAGATAGATATATAGTTTGCTATATAGATAGTTTGCTATATATATAGTTTGCTATATAGATAGATATAGTTTGCTACATAGATAGATATATATATAGTTTGCTATATAGATATATATATAGTTTGCTATATAGATATATATATAGTTTGCTACATATATATATATATATATATATATATATATATATATATATATATAGTTTGCTATTATTATTATCATCATCATTATTTGCTCCACACTACTGGAAACTGATGTTTGAGAAGGGTAAAGGAACTCGCTCAAGAGGTGGGGACATAGAGCCAAATTTTATGTCCAGAATCGATTGTCTGTGCTAGCTGCTACCTGACATTTTTCTCCCTTCAAGGTTGGCCTTTATGTGAAGATAAATAAAAATGTTGCAGAGGAGGAGGAGGCACAAAGATAAGTTAGTTAGCCATATCCCAGACCTTCAACCCCAACAACAAGCAAAAGGAGCAACTGAAGTATACAGTCAGTCAGTCAGCAACCGAGCCTGGATTAAGCATTCACTATGTGCCAGCCCTTGAGGCTCTCCCATGCTATCTAGAGAGCTGGACAGAGACACAACTGACCCAGCACACCATAAGGCATGCCAGAAAAGACACCTGCACCAAGTACTAGGGGAAACAGATGTCTGGGGAGAAGGGACAAGCAGGGAATCTGGTTACTATTGTTGGCTCCCCTAGCTCATTCCTTGTATCAATCCGGTTTCCGTCCACACCTCTGTGTAACAAACAACCCTGAAGTCTCAATGGCTTATAGGAACAAGCATTGTATTTTCTTCAGTTGAGCTTGGCTCCAGGCTGCAAGTTGGCTTCAGGGCTGCTTCATGTATCTCTGCCTTCTAGATCCAGCAGACACCAGCACAGGCTCTGCCCACAGCAACCAGCAGGCGAGCAAGAGGCTAACACAAATGCACAGGCATATTTAAAGCTGTCAGTCTTGTTACTTCTTCTGACTTCCCATTGACCACAAGTCACATAGCTCAGCAGTATTAATGACACAGTGAAGTTCACTCTGCCTCCTCTGTCAGGTGTACCTGCAAAGTCACATTGGCATGGTTGTATAATCCTATCATCAGGATGGGGTAAAAAATTAGGAGCAAAATGCAATCTACCATGAGTGCCATGGGCGTGGGCAAGGGCAAGAAAGGAGAAGAATGCAAGTTTATACAAGCACTAAGAGCTGCTCCAGGAAACAGGGTGTGGCTATTATATTTATTAGGTGAGAGACAGACACTCGACTCAAATTCCCTCCCACTTAAGCAACACCAGAATACATTTGTTCCATAACAGGGAAGTCTGGGGGTTTATGGAATTCCAGTTTGACTCTTTCCAAAGGCTGAAATGATGTTGTCAGGATTCAGTCACACATTCTCCATCTCTCCATCCTGGTTTTCTGTCATTGGAAGTTGGACTTGTCAGCCTGAAGATTTTGTGGTCTTAACAGCTTGAGATCCCAGAGGGAGAGTCTTTCATAGCATTCACAAAACAAACCTCAGGGAAGCTGCGGATTGGCCTAGTTTGCCCATCTGAACATTCCTGAATTAATTACTATGACCCTAGCATAGAATGCTCTGGGTGACCAACTAGAAGGGTGGTGGCTTGGGGACACAATGATTGTCAGCCTGCTCAAGATCATGTGGAGTGGAAGATAGCCACTTCCCCAAGGGGAATAAGGATATTATTTCAGGACAAAGAGAAAATGAATGCCAGGCACTCCTAAAGATTCCAGGTCAGTAGGTGCTTCCATTATATCTCACTGCCTAACCAACCACCCTGGAACCTAGTGGCTAGTCTACCCTGGGCTCACTTATGTGGCTGCTATCACATGATGGGTTCACTAAGACTGGAGAGTCTAAAATGACCTCATTCACATGTCTGAAATTTGGTGCTGGCTATTGGCTGGGGTGCCTCAATTCTCCTCCACATGGCCCCTCACCCTCCAGTTGGCTAAACTGGGCTTCTTCACAGCATGGCAATCTCAGGGGTCCAAGAGAGGATGAAAATTCAAGCTGCTAGGTTTCCTAAGGCCTAGTCTCGGAAGTCACACAGAATCACTTCCACCACATTCTATTAGTCAAAGCAAGTTACAAGCCAGTCCAAATTCAAGGGGAGAGAAAATAGACTCCACTTTTTTTTTTTTTTTTTTTTTTTTTTTTTGGACAGGGTCTCTCTCTGTCACCCAGGCTGGAGTGCAGTGGCACGATCGCCAGGCTATTGTATTTTTAGCAGAGACAGGGTTTCACCATGTTGTTCAGGCTGGTCCCGAGCTCGTAAGTTCAAGTGATCCACCTGCCTCGGCCTCCCAAAGTGTTGGAATTACAGGCGTGAGCCACCGCTCCTGGCTAGGCTCCACTTCTTGATGGAAGGAGAGGCAAAGTCATTTGGCAAAGGGGCCTGGGGAATGAGAGGATTTGTTGCAGCCATCTTTGCAAACCACTGTAGGTTTGGGGTGAGCCCAGGACTCTTGGTTGCCAAGCTCCCCACACCCAGATGATATAGACAAGAGTGGTCGGGGCACACATTAGGTTCCTCACCACCGCAGTACCGCCCCTGTCAGACTGCTCCACTCACCCCCTACCCAAATCTCCCCTTCAAGGCAAACCTCAGGCACACACCTTCAGCAGGAAGCCTGCCTTATCCCTCTGCCCTCAGTCCACTCCTGCAGCCACTGTTCTAGGGTATTCTAAAACCACTACTGTAGTCTCTTTTCTTGCCTTTTCCACTGTGAACCTCTAAAGCAGAGACTTTCTCTCCAAGATTACCAGATCTTGGAGGGCAGAAAAAACATCTTAGTGACAAAGACCCTGCTCCATGGCACTGGAGACAAGGCAAGGCCCTCATCAACACTTAGCAACTGACAGATGGAGAGAGCTGCCACTCCCTGTGGGACTCTGCCTTTCTTCCAATGCCTCCTAAGATAAAAATCCCATCCCCGTGATTGGGTAGCTTTCCAGCTCTTTTCTACGGGGAAAAAAGAGTAAAGGTAGGGGAGCAAAAGGGAGAAGAGCTGAGCTATAAAACTGCTGAATCCAAAATGAAGGAGGGAGTAGAGCCAGTGTGCAGCTTTAATTCAAAAGAACAAAAAAGAATACTGCCATCACTACAAACCACAGGCTCTCTCAGTTCTTGCTACCTCACCACCCAGTAAAGCTGGCCCAACTTCAGCACTTTGCTTGCCTTCTGCAGCCTGGCTTCACTCCACGGGCAATGAAAACCAAAGCCCAAATGCCTTTCTTCCATTTCTCATTCATTCAGTTCTTAAGTAACCAGGAAAGAGTATCATATTAGGAATCAGAAGAAGTGGCATTATCTAATGTTAAGTGTGTCTGCTATTATCTAATCTCATTAGAGAGGCCAATGTAATATTTGTAATATATTGCTGGACTCGCATAAGAAAGGAACTTGATATAGGAACCCACAGGGGTTACTGCTACGAACTCTATGGAGTCCACCCTCACCCACCAAACCCCAGTTTCTAGAAAGTTCAATCGTGAAGTGTAATCCCACCATTTGGAAGAAACACAAGATCTCCTCCCACGCCATTCGGCAAACACCAGGGAAGCATCCTGCCCTTTTCTGGGGCTTCCATCTTTGACAAAGTTTCCAAAAAGTCTCCAGACCATCTGATAGGCATCCCATGCACATCTTATCAAAAGCATAAAGCTGCCTTATTTCCTTTGGCAGAGGTGCTTGTGACGTAACTCCAGAACCAGTGCTCAGCTGGAATGTGGACTGCCTTCCAAACGCATGCCACACTTCCTCACAGGGACTGCCCTTGCCTCTGCCTGGATCATTTGCGAGGTTTGAAACGCATCCATATTAAACATAGACTACAGCATTTTCCTTCCCATCAGCATTCCACAGACTCGATATCGGGAGACAATTCAGCCCGTTGTACTTAGGTGGAAGGCTGGAGTTCTGACAAGCCATTTCATGAGAAATATCCCTGAGAAATTGAGAGGGTTGGCTGACAGCTGGTCACCACAGTGTGATGTGTGCTGAGAAGGTCGATGCAGTGAGATCCCTTCGTTCATCCACTCAGCAAATGTTTATTGACTGGGTACTAAGGAGCAAGCCCCAGGGAGTGGTAGGATGCTGAGCCAAGGAGTGGACCCTGCCCTCAGGAAATTCACAGTCTGGCTAGGGAGCAAATTCCTTCCCAAACAACCGCTAGAGAATAATGCACAGCCTAGAAGTGGTAAAGCTTTAACCAGGAGACAGAAGAATTGGAAATAGTGAAGTCAGAGCCCCGGACGTTGTATGGAGGAAGTGAGATCCAGCCCATACCAGCTACTGGGCTAGGAATGAGTTCCTCTGGGCTCATCAAACCAGAGACATTGGAGATAAGATCTAGAAGGAGTAGAAGCCTGAGGAGGTGGTAAGATAGATTGGTGAGGCAGAGGGGTTCAGAACAGGCTCAAAACTCATTCCATGTTTTCTCTCTCCAACTGTCTGTCTTTGTGCCTGTATTTCATTTTGTCTTTTTTCTGTGTTTCCCTCTTTCCTCTTAGACCTCCTCCTTTTCATTTCTCCTCCTCCTCTTAATCTCGGCTGTGTCTGTCTCACTCCTTCCTTCATCATCATCTCTTTCCCTTTCTACATTCCCCTTTTAGATTCTGATTTCTTTCCATTCTTTTAACCTCTCCATCTTTTCATCCTTCAATCTCTTTTTCCCCTCCCCCAACTCTGAAAAAACTAGACAAAAGAAGAAACTAAAGGACATCTTTTTTGGCTCATTTACTTCAAGATTATTCTGCTTGATTTTTTTATTTTGAAAAGTAAGAAGTGAATCAGACTTTAAAGGGGAAAAAAATAAACAATATTCAAGTTTCAGATTTTCATAAGTTGCATCATGTGTGCTCTTCAGTAGGTATTGGCTGTGTTCACTGCTATCAAACACAGAAGAAATGCTGAGATTATTTTTTAAAAACCCACAGGGAAAAATAGCAAGAAAAAAAAGGTCAAATAATATGGACAAGCAATTCATAGATAGGAAACCTCTAATGAATAAAAAGAGGAAGAGATTGTCAACCTCCGCAAATTATCAGAGAGATGCAAATTAAAACAACATTAGTTCAAACATAAGACATTGGCAAAACTTATGAAGCTGAATAAAACCAAGTGCTGTAGAAGATGTGGGGAAAGGGGAACTTTCATGCACTGCTGGTGGAACTGCAAAGTGATATGTCATTCTGAGGGATTATCTGGCAATGCTTAGGAATGAAGTCTGTGTAAACCCTGTGACCCAGAAAGCCCCCAGGTCTTTACCCCAGAGATGCGTGTGATGATGGTAGGCACATATGACAGAATTCCATGTAGCAGTCAGAAACAATAGACCAGATTTACATACAGCCATGGACAGGTCTTTAAGACAGCGTGTTGAGTGCAAAAGGAAAAAGATTTATAGCTTTATATTAAATTACTATTCTTATAAATTAAAAGCACATGTATACCCACCACCCCCCCTCCAAAATGCCATATATCTTTTAAAGGAAATATATCAGAGTGGGTGTCAGACCTAGGGGTAGGATGGGGAGAGGAGAATGGAGTAGGGATGAAGGATGTAGAGGAAAAATAAGAAAACAAAACAAGAGGGATCTATGCTGGGATTGATGAGGCTGCCAATGAGGTGCATGGGTAACTCAACTCCGCATCTGAGGCCAGAGGACAGAAAGATGAGAAGAAAGAAATGAAGGGAAGGAGGAAGACAGAGAAGGGGGAAAGAAGACAAACATGGTCATTGTCCCCAAGGAGTGCATAGCAGGCCTGACAGGTTTTATTTTTAAGAGGAGAAAAATAAAGTTCAAAATTAAGCCTTTGAAAGACTTGTCCAACGTCATATGGCAAAGAGAGGCTTGATCCCAGGTCTTCGCATTTCTAGTCCAAGCTCTTCTCACTGCCTTTTTTCTCAAAATGCAAGGAAGTCATGTGTTCTCAATTGTCCAAATTCAAGCATTGTGCCAGATAACCAAGATGGCATCCAAAAGGATGAAGGGAGGAGGAAGGCTATTAAATAGGCTTGATCACATGGATGAAGACTCTGCTCTGACCATGCCAGACAGCTGGGCAGTGGCTCAGAGGGGCTGGTAGCCAGTGCTAAACAAAGCAGCAAGGAGATTCAACGCTTGAATGAATACCATTCCCATATCCTCGGGAAAAGGTGGAACTTGCCGAGAAACTATTAGGAGGCTTTCTCTACCACTCCTTTTGCTGCTCCGGGCTGCTCCAGAGATTTCCTTTCATCCTAACTCAGCTTCACGTAAATATGTATGCACTCAGGACTTGTTCAGTTGTAAAGGAGAGAAACCCCACTCAAACGAACTGAAGGAAGAAAACACAGGGGTGGGAATTATCTGTCCCCATAACTTGCCATTTCATGGAATGTAGCCCACTTTGGGCATAGCTGGATACAGAGCTTTGAGCTACGTCAAAGAACACAGCCTGTTCCTCTCTGTCTGCCTATGTCTCTCACTCTTTCTCTGTGTCTGCCCACCCCCCACACAACCCCCACGCCCCTGCTTCCTCTGTTTTCCTCAGTGTTGGCTTCATTCCAAAGCAGGATGTCCCCTCGCTCCCAGTAAAGACAGTTGCTGGCCAGTCCAGGCTGATATTCTACCCACTCAGCAACACCAAACACTGGAGAGTGTCTCTTTGCCCATAACAGTAAAAAAATTGCAGGAAGGGCTGCTATTGGTCTGGCTTGGGTCATGTGCCCAAGCCTGAACCAATATAGCAGCCAGGGGTATCCTGAGCTCTGATTGGCCTGGGTCATATACCTACCACCAAAGTGTGTGTGTGTATAGGAGGAAGTGTTAAGTTCAATACCAAATGTGGGTAGTGGTTACCCAAAAAGGAAATCAGGTTGCTATGTAGGCACAAAAAACAGATATCTACTACTGTGTGTGTGTGTGTGTGTGTGTGTGTGTGTGTATTTGTATATGTATTTATATATATCTGTATACAACTTTGTATGTATTTATTTTTTGTTATTTTTACATAGCTCATATGATCACATGGCTCAAAATCCCAAAGATACAAATAAGTGGACAATGAAGAGTTTCCTTCCCATGCTTATCCCAGCCACCCACCCAGTTACCTTTCTCCGAGGCAGCCAATATTATTGGGTTCTTATCTTTCCTGACAAACATAGTGTGTGTATATACAAGCCAACCTGCAAACAACCCTTTGCCCTCCCCCCACATCCCCTTTGTACACAAATGGATGCTTTCTATACCAGGGGTTCTGCCTCTGTTTGCATTTTGTGGTGGAGGGGGAGCAGTTTGACCCTGGAGGAGACACACCTTGGCAACCTCCCTATCCTCCCCACCCAAAGGCTGACCTGGGCAGGGCAGGGTAACTCACTGGGGCTCACAGAGCTCTCCCCAGCTGTTTGCTTGGGGAGAAGCCTCCGGCCCACAAGGGAGAAGTTGCAAGGGAATGCCCCAGGAGCTACAGTACCGGTGCACACGCACACACGGGGATCATGGCCTGCCTCAGACCTGACACCTATTTTCAGGCCAGGCTAGAAGACTAAGTGCAGGTCTGGACACCCCTAAGGAGGTGGTCACTCTACTCTCCCCGAGCAAGAAGGATTGGCTGAGCAGAATACAGCTCTGGTTGGAGGAGCCAGTGCTGAAGAGGGGAAGGGAGATGACCTTGCCAAAGGTGGTCACAGCCCAGGGCAGCTGTAAAGGGCTGGGCTTGAGCACCACCTTGGTTGGGGCCCAAGAGAGCCTGAACTTTGGCCTCTCTGGCAAGCAAGTCCCCATCCTGAGGCAAGCCACCTCCATCCTCTATCCCTGTCCTGAAAAAGAAAGAACCAAAGCGTGGCCTTCATAATTTGGGGGCCCCATTGCAACATATCCACAGCAGTGGTTTAGCTCTGCTGCTGGTTAAGTGCCATCCTTGCATAGGTGCTTTTCCAATATGATCCCACCTAACCCTCACAACCATACTATGAAGCAGGAAATAGTATGATTCCGCCTTTACAGACGAGGAAACTGAGCCTGAGCTGGGAGTGACTCAGCAAGGATGCAGACCCAGGTCTGGGCTGTACCATTCAGCCTCCCTGTGTGCAGGGGCTGGCAGGCCGTGCCCATGCTCACCTCCCTCCTTTCCCCCTGCTGCTGCTGGGCAAACTTCCAGCAGGACCACAAAAATCAGAAGTCTGAAAATGGCCAATCACAAGTAATGGTAAGGAGGCTCGAGTCACACCTGACATTCATTCACCTGTTGATGCTGAAACCCAGGACAGGTTTTTCCACGTGCCTGGAGCATCCCAGCCAAACGGAGGTGGCTAGGTCCTCTCCTTCCTTCCTCCGACCTCAGTGGGAGCTGCATGCTTCTAATGGCCAACGACGTGGAGAGGCGCAGAGCAGCTTGGAGCAGCGTGGGTCACAGCGGTTAAGTGTTGTCATAATTCTCTCCCCTGGAGCAATGAACTCCATCTCCCTCCAGTCTGTGTGGGAGGAATGTAATCCAGTTCTCCTTGGAACTCAGAGCACATAGTGACTCCTTTTTCCTTTTGTGGTCAGGAAATGAGTTTTGCTCTGTTTTTCACTTGGGGGCTTATTATGCAATTGCCTAAAATATGCAACGGGATGCAGATATTTATATGAGGATGTTGAAATGATGGCTTTTTAATGGAAGTAATCTAATTATGCCATATCTGTACCCTTTTCATTTTTAAAAAATTGTTCTTATGGTGTTTTAAGGAAGAAAAAATATGTGTGTGAGTGTGCATGTGTATGTGTGTGTCTGGGTTGTGTTTTTGTTTTTGTTTGGGGTATGTGGTTTTATTTAATCTCCCAGATTGTTTAAATGGATTGCAAAGGAAAAAAAGATCCAAAAAGTATATGGCTGTGATTTAACAAGATAATTAGCAGCTGCACTTTATAACAAAATCTAAGGCAATTATCACTTCAGGAGGACCCGGAGGAATCCCAGCTGCCAACATCCTGCTTCGCTGCCAGAGGGAATGACATCATAACTGCTCCAGACAAAGGGGAGGTGGTTTCTGGTCACTGTGATGTCACTTGCTCCAGCAGACAGTCCCAGACAGCTGGGAGACAGGTGGCCGCTTCCTAGGACATAAGAGAAGAGGATGAGCACCAAAAGGACATCAGTGCATTACAGGCACAAATCCTGCTTCCCCCAGGCCACTTCCATTGGGCCACCAAGACAGATATGTTTCCTCAGGCTTTTTGCCCCAAGCCCTCATATTACCTTCTTTTGAGAAGTTAATTGTTCTTCTCCTCTTCTCTGGAACCTCAGTTCTAAATCTTTATCCCAACTAATCAACTTCAGTGGCTTTTAGGGTCTTGCTCATGGTCAGGTTTACCACTTAGCTAAAATGTGTCCCTTCAAAGATGAGAATTGCTAAATTGCATTGGACAGCAAGTCAAAGCAAGCTTAAAAACAAGATTTGTATTTTCACCTCAAAGTTGCTTTCTTTCACCCTGTGGCCAATTATTTATCAATCTAGGCTCCCGGGTGCTTTTTTGATCAAAAACAGAGCACTCTAGCACAAAATTGTCTAATTCTAAATAGCAAACTGGAATTTGTCGTTGATTGAATTTTATGTGTAAAATTGAGCTAGGATTATAAGTTCTAGAAAATGTTTAAGTGTATCCTGGGATAGCCCACAACTGAATGCACCGTCGGTCTTTTGATGGTTCCAAAGGATGGATAAAACAGATCTGATTTCCTTGTAAATTGTACAAGTTACAGACCAGCAGGCTGACTCTCGCCACAGGCAGCCAAATGTGCCTCCCACCCACACTCGTTCGTGAAACTATAAAGTGGCAGCCAAGGTCTTGTACATCTCATTGCCAGATGACATTCTCGGTGCCCGGGTGGGAATCTGTCCTCTGTCCTCCAACAGATAAACCATGAAAAAATGTGTGCCTATTCATGGGCACTGTCTTCCACCATCCCCCAGCACCTTCTCCTTCCCTCCTAAAGCCATCCCCCTTTGGCCCAAGTTACAAACTAGGGGAGAATAAAAGGGTCAGGACATCTCTCATTCCTTCTCCCAGCCTCAGCTAGGAGGCTTCTGGGTTACATCAGAAATAAAATGAGACTTTAACAGAAACAAGGAAGGCTTCAACTCTTAGATCTCACTCAAATACTGAGGCTAACACCGGAGGTAACAAGGACAGGCATGCCCAGAGTTCAGCCTCCCTCTGGAACCGGGCAGAGTTCTGCAGCCGGGGACTAAGTGTACAGCCCACACAGCAGATCCTTTGGCCCAATGCCATTCTTAGCCTTCTAGAAAACTTCCTGCTTCCTTTATGGAAAACAGGTGTCCATGTCTTCATGCATTAGGCTAGATGCCAGGCAGGAGCCTGGTGTAAGGGGCTCCTGTTATCTATTGCTGCTTAACAAAGTACCCCAACCTTAAAGGTATAAATAACCAGTTTAGCACGTTCCTAGATTCCCTAGGTCAGGAATGCAGACAGAGTCCAGCAGGGGTGGCTTGTCAGTGGTCCCCAATGTCTGGGGCTTTGGCCGGGAAGACTTGGAAGGCGGAAGTGGCTCAATGGCCAGGGGCTGGAATCGTCTGGAGGTTTTCGTGATACAGTTTGGATATTAGTCCCTGTCCAAATCTCATGTTGAATTGTAATCCCCTATGTTGGAGGTGGGGCCTTGTGGGAGGTGTTTGGGTCATGGGGGCAGATCCCTCATGCCTTGGTGCTGTCCTCTTGATAGTGAATGAGTTCTTGCGAGATCTGGTTGTTTAAATACGTGTGGCACCTCTCCCCCAACATCTCTTGCTCCTATTCTGCCATGTGAGACGTCTGCTTCTGCTTTGCCTTCCACCATGAGTGAAAGCTTCCTGAGGCCTCACTAGAAGCCAAGCAAATGCTGGTGCTATGCTTCCTGTACAGCCTACAGAACTGTGAGCCAATCAAACCTCTTTTTATACAAATTACCCAGTCTCGGGTATTTCTTTATAGCAATGCAAGAATGGCCTAACACACTTCATATGTCTGGTGCTTGAGCTGAAATAATTCAAAGCCTGGAACAGTTGGCCAGTGCATCTACAGGTGGCCTCTTCATGTGGATTGGGCTTCCTCCCAGCATGGTAGCCACGAGTCAGACATCTTACATGGCAGCTTGGAGCTCCAAGCATGAATGTTACAGCAAACAAAGCAGAAATTGCATGGCCTTTTATGACCTAGTCTCAGAAGCCACACAGCATCACTCTTTCAGTAGTATTTTGGTTGAAGCAGTTACAACCCACCCCCACCCCCCACCCCGGATTCAAGGGGAAGGACCAGAGAACCTGCCTCTGGATGAGAAAAGTGTCAGAGAATTTCCTGCCATGTTTCAAAACCGTCAAGGGGCTGACTTCTGTACAGTACCCACTTTCACTGTCAGCCAGCCTTGAACACAATATTCTTTTATCAGTAGCAGTGACATTAGGGCAACACTGGGGATGGGGAGGAGAATGGGGAAGTGAAGGGCCATGAGCAAAACTTTGGTTTGTCTTTTTTCAGCATCTGATTCTACTCTCATTTCTTCGAGTCCATCATAGTCCCTCTTTTCCTACCCTCAAAGCCTGAGTGCAGGTGAGGTTAGCCCTTTACGCCACCCCAGGGCTTCTATCCTGAGAAGCAAAGTGCTAGAATAGAAAGCGATAGATAGATTGTCTCTGAGATTATGGCCTGGGTTCTTGGCACAGCAGGATTCTAGGGTGTTTGTTTTTCATTCCTGTCCCAAGAATGCACCTGATAACCTCCCTGGGCCTCTAAAAAAGCACCCATCATTTGTACAGGTCCTTCCAGGTGCTGAGATAGGAAAAAAGAGGGATCCCCAGTCAGGGCTGGAAGGGAAGCTACCTCCCCTCCTCTTGGGGAATTCAACCCTGTCCTTTTTATGATTGAGGGAACCAAAGCTTAGAGGGGCTGTGACTTGCCCAGGGTCACCAGTGTGTCAGCGGCTGAGTTGGAACTGTGCAGAATTCACCCTTCACCCTGGGGCATTTGCACCCTGGGGCACTTTCCACAGTCGACTGACTGCGGGGAGAAGTGGGAGGAGGTTACACTCAGGGCAAAGCCACTAAAGGCCAGCATTCGACCAGCTCAGCCAGCCTCCCTGGGCCTCTTGGCAGCTCTGGGCCTGCAGGGAGGGTCCTACCCACCCCAGCCAACCCTCAGAGGCCCCCCAGGCTGCCAAGGCCACGTCACCGCAGCCTGCGGTCTGCCCAGCTAATGGCAGCTGCTGCGAGGGGAGTGGAGCCGCAGTAATTACAGCATCAAGGAATCACAAATGGATCTGCAAAGATGACATTAGGAGCATTAGACCTGGCACGGCTGCCTCCGGAGAGGTCGCTGGGAGGAGGCTGGGGCTGGGGCCTGGGGATGGGAGACAGACGTGCCTCTGTCTCACCCCACCCCCTTCGTTCCCAACCGGGGCTGCGATGACAATGCCAGGATTCACAAGCCCCTCGCAGAAACCACATCGGCCGCCAGTCTCGTGTGTGTCAGCGAAGATAACAGATGTCTTTCACAGGGAAGTAATTGCTTGAAACACAACTGGACAACCCCCCAGGAGGTTGCATTACAGGAAGGAACCTTGCTTTTGGGGCCGAAGGTGGGGGGGTGGTGACCTGGTAGGCAGTCCCCTCCCCAATTCCCTTGATCCTTTGACATCCTAATGAGTTGTGCTGGCCTTGCCTCTTGCAGTCCGCAGCTCTGTGGAAGGTAATTATTATGTCAAGCCTGGTTGAGGGCGTTGGTGGTGGGGCGGGGCTTCCTGGGTGGAATTTGTGGCTGGAGGAATTCCCCAGAGGCTGGAAGGGGTTAGCAGAGGAAGAATTGGGGGAAGGGCCAGGCCTTGATCAGTTACCATCCTCCAAAGCCTGAGAAATGGGTCTGAAGCGGCAAGGCTGCCTTTGGCCAAAGCTAGCACCAGTAGGTGTCACTGTAGGAAAGGAGGGGCCCCCGGGGCTGTCTGCGGATGGGGCTGGTAAAAATAGAGCTCGCCTGTGTTCCCACTGCCAAGTCGCCAAGCCTGGTGATTTATAAGGCTGGGAGCAGACGTGTGTGTAAATGTTTTTGCGTGCGAGATGTGTAACCAACCGCGGGCTGGCTTTTTCAAACTTACGAGGAGAGAGTGAGGGAGGGAGAGAAGGGGAGCGAGAGAAGGCAGCCAGGGTGGGAAGCACATGGGCCACTTTTATGTAACACTCCTCTGATACACGCCGCAGTGGGGATTTATGCTCTCTTTGAAGTAAATTGCATCCCGGTGCACCATAGCATGAAAGTTAAGATTTACCATGGCTGGGACCTCCGAGACCCTGCTGGAAGCTAGAATAATTAGCACAGCATTTGGCTGCCTCTCCTCCTGCTCTGCGGGCGGTGACAGGAGTGGCACTAATAGATCTTCCAGGCCTGAGCCTCGTGTGTTTGTCATGGGGTCCATGGTGGCTGTGGGCAAGGAGGACCGTGATCAACTGGAGAAATGGAGGTGGGGGGAGGGACTGGGACTGACCTTATTGCAGGGGACAGTGGGACCTGCCCCACCAGGGAGGAGCTGGGTGACAAACCAGCTTGGCCCCACAGGGTTCAGGTGCCCCTCTGTCAGGGGTTGGGCCAGAGTGCGTGCTTCGGTAACCCAGGGAACTCATTTATAAAACAGATTCCAGTGCCAGACTCCCAGCTTGCTGCAGGTGGGAGTCCTGGGGCACTCCGCCAGTTTGGAGGTCCCCTGGATTATATCAACTCTCATATTTAATGTTTTTCAAAAGGCAGTGCCTAGGACTCCCATCCCTCCTGACTTTTCTCCCTCTTCTCCCCTCCTCTTCCTGCAGGCACCTTCCCTGTGTCATTTCTCAGAGGCCGTGCATTTTCATGCTGGAAAAGCTGAGACTTGAACTTGATCAACAAACCCCAGAGTCCCACAGGGAAAGTCCTAACAGCCGCCTGGTCACTCCAGTTCTGCCAAGAAACAGCTGCGTGGTCTTGGACAAGTCCCAGCCCTTCTCCAGGCTTCAGCTTCCACACTGTATCATGATGGGGTTGGATTTTTACAAGATCATCTTGAAGGCCTTCATTAACAGTCCGTGATATACTTGACTCTCCCCCTCCCCTGGACACCCTCATGGAGCTCTAAGGAATCAAAGCATAGAAGTAATGTCCCTCTGGGGTTCCAGGTGCTGCGGTAGTACACCAGTGTTGGGAAGAAGAGCTAGCAGCACCGCTCACTATGAAGATTCTAAGTGCCTACTCAGCAAGGGCTTTCCTGAGGTTGTAATAAGCTCCTGGATCAGTTAACTCTTCCGCAAGGCAGAGCAGCTTTCCAGACCCCACTTCATCATCACAATAAGTAAATGACAGCCTGGGCAACAAAGTGAGACCCCACCTCTACGAAATTAAAAAAAAAAATTAATTAGGCAGGCATGGTGGCATGTGCCTATAGTCCCACTTATTTGGGAAGCTGAAGTGAGAGGCTTGAGCCCAGGTTTTCAAGTCTGCAATGAGCTATGATCGTGCCACTGCACTCCAGCCTAGGCAACAGGGCAAGATCTTATCTCAAAAAAAGAAAGAAGGAAAGAAGGAAAGAAAAGAAAGAAAGAAAGAAGGAAAAGAAAGAAAGAAAGAAAGAAAGAAAGAAAGAAAGAAAGAAAGAAAGAAAGAGAGAAAGAGAGAAAGAGAAAGGGAAAGGAAAAGAAAACAAAAGACTCTCACAACATTCTTTTAAGGTTGCGAATAAAATTGTCCCCATCACACATCTGAGGAAACTGAGGCTTTGGCCCAAGTGAGTCAAAGGAGTGTGATGAAAATATAGATTTTGAAATCAAAATAAGTGCAAATCTCATCTCTGTGGCATGAGCTGAGTGAAATAGGATAAAGGGGAAATTCTCAAGGCCTCGGTTTTGCCATCTGAAAAATGGGCATTGAGTTGAGGGCTAAATGAGATAGTTCATGCAAAAAGGACTCACAAGGCTGTCTCCTTGTAGATGGGGTTAACGAACAGAAGTTCCCAGGCCACTGGCTGCAGGGTGCGTTTGTCTCCCAGGTCTTGCATGGTTCTTGGCAGGGATCAGGCCCAGTAAATATTTGCTGAACTGGATTACACCAATGCCACAACAGAGGCCTCACTGTCAAACCATGCTGGGGAAGTAGCAGATAAAGCTGTGAGGGCCACGGAAGGTTCTCAAAGGGATCAGGGCCAATAGCATAGAAAGAGGAAAAACTGAGTTTAAAAAGCTCATACTGCAGTCTGAAGCCCCATGGAGGCTGGGACCAGACTCAGAAGGGGACAAATGTTCTTGGGTAGATTCTGAAGGACAGATCCCCAAAATGTTCTGAGCAACCTTTCAGATCAGTTTCCCAAGCCTGGCAAATTGGGAAAAATCTGATCAATGAAGTGGAAGCAGCAGCCACAAATGCCACATGAGAGTTCTGAATGAACTGTCTTCCTGTTCCTCTCCCTTGCCCCCACCACACCCTCTACACCCTGAATTCCCATCTGCCATGTAGACATGGGTGTGGGAAGGAGAGATAAAGTGGAGGTTCCCTTTGGTGTAAATCCTGGACCCAGAAAGATAGGGGGATCTCAGAGTTACCTTAATAAATCATCAATCTCTGTCCCTGTTTCAGGTTCTCCAGCCTCAGGTGTCTTCCTGAGCTGAAAGCCAACGTGCATCCCAAACCCTAGAGATGTCCATAAAATCTGCTTTCTGCCCTTTGGAGAGGTCAGGCGTCAGTGAGGAGAACCTCCTCCATGTATGGGGCCTGAGGTTCCTCTGCATAATTACCTTTTGCACCAGGAGGCACCTCCCTTCCTTGAGATCACACCTGGGACACGAGACACAGACTTACAAAGCAGACAGGCCAGCAGAACATCCCAAGGCTCCTGGTCTCTCCTCAAAGATCAGGGATGGATGAGTGGATGGGAGGATGGATGGATGGATGGATGGATGGATGAGTGGATGAGTGGATGGGAGGATGGATGGATGGATGGATGGATGGATGGATGAGTGGATGGGAGGATGGATGGATGGATGGATGGATGGTTGGATGGATGGCTGGATGGATGGGTGAACAAGTGGATGGATGGATGAATGGACAGATGGACTGAGTCCCTCACCCTCTGCTGGATTCTTGCTCCTGTGCCTTATACCTTTTACAGTCAGGGGGTTTTCCCAAGTGTCTCACCTATTTTTCCTAACATTAGCTTTTAAAACATTCCCTTTTTTCTGCCCCTCAAAAGGTGACAAACAGCCAGATAACCTCTGGCTATCTGGAGAAATTGGCATGTTTAGTTAATTGCCGTTTCACATATATGACATCATGGAAAGAGGGAGAGCTTGGACACAGACAGACCCAGGTTTGAAAACCAGACCTAACACCACTAAGCTGTGTGACCTTGTGCAACCTACAAAACCTCTCTGAACCTGTTTTATCATCTGTAAAATGAAAGTCATAATCATGACCTCTCAGGAGTGTTGCAGGAAAGGAAATCATTCTCAAGAAGTGCCTGGCACATGGTAGCTATTTTCTTTTTAAAGGAGGGAGCTAGAGGTGGTAGAAAATAGCCTGGGCTTTGTCGTCTAAGTAAGTCTGGATTGGAACCTGCTTAACCACTCACTGTGTGGCCTTGAGCCAAGGTAGTGAATTCTGAACCTCAATCTCTTCATCTCTCAAAAGGGCTATTAATATGTACCTTTCAGGATTGCCATGAGGAGTAGATCTATTTTACATAAAGCTGCCAGTACATAGTAGGTGCTTAACAAATGGTATCCATGATCATCTCTTAAGAAAGGAGATGGGGAAACTGAGGTACAGAATGACCTGCTCAGATAATGAAAGAGTGATGGAGTCTTGGCTGCCTTCCATGTGGACCATGAGCCATGCCGAGGCACCACACAGAGCAACATTAACCATGCGTAGTCCCCACCCAGCAGCCTTCAAGCTTCTAGGTGATTGAAATTCAACTTGACCTCTGACTAGCTGCAGCACACAGGATGGGAGAGGGCCTGAAAGCTAATTTTGTTCTGTTTCCTGGACTCCCAGTCCAGTGCTCCCCTCAAACCTTCACAAGGTGGCATAGCCAGGTGATTGAATACTGCAAAGCCACACCACCATGCCCTCCAATCTTGATGCTACCACTTGGGGCTATGTGACCACTGGTCCTGGCTTGGCCTCTCTGTGTCTCAGTAATGGGAATGATAAACAGTGCCTATCTCAAAGGTTTGTTGTGCCTGTGAGATGGTGCCGGGCACATACAAAGTCCCCAATCAATGTTAGCTACGATTATTATTAGCTCTTTGCCACATAGAGCTTTGATCTCTCAAAGACCCATTAATCGCTCAGCCCCTTCTTCAAGGGATTAAAAAAAAAAACAGCAAATGAAATTCTACATGAAATCATCGCTGTAATGTTTCTGCTGCCAGGACAAATCATTAGGGTGGAGGTGGGAGGGGGGGACATGGCAGTGATACCACTGGCCAGAAAGAAGAAGGGACATTAATATAGCAGCTTCCTATCTAATGGCTGGGGAAGAGGGAGGGGGAGGGGGGGATTGCTGAAGGGAGAGGTTGCCGGCTGACTCTGCTGTCGGGGAAGAAGGGTCTGTCAATCAGGGCCCCCCAGGAGGTGAAGGGGTCCCTGTGCCCAGCGAGGAGAGGCACAGAGCCCAAGTGAGCTCTGGGAGAAGGTAGCCCCATGGACCCCTGTGAGGCCTGGGTCCTGGCCCAGCAGCCCTCCCTGAAGGAACCCCCAAATGTGGGCAGTGTCCAGCCAGTCTCCGGCTCAGATGCATTTAAGAGCAGGAGGCTTCTCAGGCTTAAGGAACCTGAACCTGCCTCTATTCTCCACAGCACAGTGGCCCGAAGCACTTCGCTATCCACGAGGCTGGCCCCAAGAGACAGCAGACCAGGGTTCGAGCTACCTCTCTGCCTCCCCCAACCTCCCCCGCCCTTTTCTGGCATGAATTTCCTCCACTGAAAAGCGAGGGGTTTGGCTGAGGTTGTGGTTTTGAAAGCTGTGTTGAGGGGACCCAAGGATGGGCCGGGGCCTGGTAGCGGCCAAGATTGGGTGTGGGTCTCCACCCTGCCCCTCCCAGAGCCAGCTCACAGCCCACCTTCAGCCCATTTGACAACTATGGCTACAGATGAACATGATTTTGATTAGCAAAAGGGGTTCTGCTACTTCAAAATCAAGAATGTAGAAAGCCCCTGAGTAGAGGGTCTCTAGCCACTCCTCCCCTGCCAATGTTGCCTGTCTTAGGAAGCACCAAGGACAGGCGGGGAAGCTGGCTTGGCCCTGGCTCTGGATCAAGAATAGAGCGCTGTGTCCAGAGGCCTTGCTGAATCTCCTTCCTGAGCAGCCGCCTGGCCCACGCGTCACAGTTTATCCTCCGGCAAGGGCTGGCTGGACACAATGCCTTGGCCCCGGGCCCACCTTCAGGAGCCAAACCCAACAGTCTCCTCAGCTTCCTGGCTTGTGCCAGCACACTGTTTGGCAAGAGAGGAGGTGACCAGCAGGCAGAAGGAGCTCCGGCACACCAGAAGGGTGTCTCGCTGGTCCCCAAGGGGCAGCTGGGAGTTGCTTTCTGAGCTCAGGCCTGGAGCATCTCAATGGGCAACATGTCCCACGGGGCTGGGTGGGTGGCAGACAGTGTGTGACGCAGGGCCTGCCAGAGCCCAGGACTTACCTTTAGGAGGTGGTGTGAACAACTGCACCCCCCACCCACTCTCTGAGCCTCCAATTCTAAATTCAGTCTTGGAGTCCCTGACCAGAAAGCAGGAACTCCTGGTTGAGTCACAGGGGTATATCACAGATGGTTTTCTTTTTCTTTCTTTTTTGAGTCAGGATCTCGCCCTGTCAGGCTGGAGTGCAATGACACAATCCGGCTCACTGCTGCCTCAAAGTCCTGGCCTCAAGCAACCTTCCCACCTCAGCCTCCCGAGTAGCTGAGACCATAAGCGCTCATTTCTTATTTTGTTTTTGGTAGAGACGGGATCTCACTATGTTGCCCAGGCTGGTCTGGAACTCCTGACCTCAAACGATTCACCCGTCTTGGCCTCCCAAAGTCCTGGGATGACAGGTGTGAACCACTGCACCCAGCCACAGATGTTTTCTCGCAGCACACTTTGTCACGGCTGAGGAAGAGTGTTCGCATGTTAGGCTTGCCAAAGCTAAGAATAGGGATAGGATTTCCTTGAAGTAGGAAAAGCGCCCCAGAAAGGACAGCCAGGAAGCCCATGGTTTGCTATACATTTTAACTGGGGTGCCCATCTGTGCCCTTTAGGGTAGGAGTCAAAGCCCCTCAACCCTGCATCCAGCCTTTCCCCACCACATGAACCACTGGGCCTCTCTGTGCCTCTGTGCCTATGCACATGCTATTTGCTGAGTGGAATGAACTCCCCCTCCCTCACCTACCTCCAGCCTTGTCTGCCTGGCAGGCTCCTACTCACCCTTCAAAACCCAGTTTCCCTTCTGTAAGGCCACCTTTTATTCCCTCCAGAGATTCTCACCCTCTCCTCTGTCTCCCTACAGTGTCTTACACACACACACACACACACACACACACACACACACACACAAATAAAGATAATAATTGCCACACAGTAGCTTGTGACAATTATCAGCTTTATTGGAAGAATTTGTTTTGGACTGTGTGGCTGGACTGTGAGCTCTTTACCATGTGTTTTTGTATGCACCGATACTTGCATGATTTGTATGTATTTTTGTCCTACCTACTTACAACAAATATCGGAGAGTGCATCAGGAAAAATAATAACCAGCATTTATCAGCAGCCCAGCATGTGCACAGCATCCAACAGACATTTCCCACAACACCCCTGCAGTGTGGGTACTATTACCCCATTTCACCAAGAGGGAAACTAAGGCTCAGGAAGGTTAGGTATCCTGCTGAGGTCACACAACCAGTAAAGCTAAGCCAGGACATGATCATTGTTCTTTTAGATTCCAAAGCCCAGTATTTTTTGTTTTCTTGTCCTGCTGTAAGGCCTTCCCTATTTCTAGCCCCAGGGCCTGCCAACAGATGCACTATCCATGCTCAAGAAGTAGATGAACCAGGTGAGAGCCAGACAGTGTGACCACCAACCGTCTGATATTGAGCGCCAGTGGGTGGCCCTTGCTTGAAGTGTGGTCCTCAGACCAGCAGTATAACCATCACTTGGGAGCTTGTATGGAATCTCAGGTCCCACTGAGACCTACTGAATTAAAATCAGCATTTTTAACAAGATCTCCAGGGCATTCGCGTGCATGTTAACTTCTCTATTTTACATCCCTGTTTCCATGAAGACAAACAAGAAGTTTCTGGTAGAAAGAGCTGGCAGAGTTGATGGAACAGGTCGCTTTTTAAAAAACACTTCCAAAGCTTTTCACCACACAGGTTGAAAGTGAAAATTTCCTTCCTTGTTCCACTTTGATTTTGCTAATTTCTTAGAACGTAAAAGGTATCAAAAGATATTTAACTACGTATGTTTTCCTTTCTCCGATATGTTCAGCCTTAGGAATGAAAAGTTGATGTTATGGAAAACCATTTGGCCTTTTCGACTAAAGCTGAACATAAGCATACCCTTAGCTCTACTTCACAGAAAGGAGTTGCCGGGATCCACCAAAAGGCATGTACTAGAATGTCCATAGCAAAGCTAACCCTACCCGAAAGCCCATTGGCAGCAGTGGGTAAATAAATGGTGGAATTGTCACACATGGAATACTACACAGCAATGAGAAGGAACAAACTACAACTACACTCCACAAGTCGGATAAATTTCACCATGATAATGTTGAACAAAAGAAGCCAGACCCAAAAGAAGACAAACTGTATGATTCCATTTACATAAGATTCAAAGATAGACAAAACTACTCTCTGTGTAAGGTGGGGACACCTCCCTTGAGGAAGCAGCAACTGGGAGATGACATGAAGGGGACTTCCTTGGGGGTTGTTGATGTTCTGTGTCTCTACCTGGGTGTTCTTATACACGGGTGCTCTTAGCTTGTAAGAATGTATCAAGCTGTACGCTCAGGCTTCTCTGAATGTAGGTTATACTTCAATAAAAGGTTAAAAAAAAAAGCTAATGTTGCCTAATGGCCTAAATTCTATGAATATGCAATAAACTTGCAGCATAAGAATTTTGTCCTGCAATTTGCTGCTGACTCCAAGTTCTGGAGGTGTCAGGGTAACAAAGCACCCCAGGGTGAGCATTTGACAGGAAGCATTAGCTGCCCCCCAGGAGCCTCAAATACCTGATGGGTTTTCTCCTGCTTAAAATTAAAAACCTGCCCGCAAAGATGCCGAGGAAGGGAGAATGCATCCACAACCCTCATTTTGCAATGTTATTAACTGTGGGCGTTGAGCGCAGTGGGTAGTGGATTCCTCTGCAACTGCTGGCTAGACACCAGGTTTCTGTTCCTAGGGGGTGAGGCCGGTGACTTCTTTATCTCTACATGCCCACCCCCCGACACACACACACACACACACACACACACACACACACACACACACACAGCCTTACCCACAAAGGCATGAAGATGTCTGTTGCTTAATAAATGGTTTCCTAAGGACCACAGCATTTTGGCACTAGAAAAAGTAATAATATCTCGCTTTAATTTTGCAGGTGCCGTGTGCCTAGCCATATGAAGCGCTTCATACACATTGTCTCATCGATGCCACACAACTACCCTGTGAGGGAAGGGCCAAAGTTATTCCCATTACAGATAAGGCTTGGAGGAGGTAAGACAGTAGCTTGCCAGAGGTCACACCATGACCCATGGCAGAGCTGGGATCCTACCCAGGCAGGGCGTTTGATCCAGAGCCTGCTTTGCCTCTAGGCTTCACAGCCTTGGAAGCGATGCCATCTAAGATCCCATCTTTGCAAATAGGGCCACTGGCCATGACTGCCGAATTTAGCAAATAAAAATACAGGCCACGCAGTTCAAATTGAATTTCAGATAAGCAATACATCCTTTTTAGCATAAGTATGTCCCATGCAATATTTGGGACACATTTATACTAAAAATTATTCATTTGTTGATCTGAAATCCAACTTGAACTGGGTGGCCTGTATTTTATCTGGTGCCCCTACCACTGGGGCCCACAGAAGTCAAGTGACATACAAAGTGACATTGGCAGTTTGTCAGAGTTGGAGGTCTGGGCCCAGGGCCCCGGGCCCCTGCCTCTTCCTCTGATGCTTTTTCAGCCAGCCGGCTGCAACTCCTCCCCAAACCTCCTCCCACTCTGTGTGTTTACAACCAAACCCCTCACTTTCCCCAAACCAGCAGCCTTCCCAAGTTTTGGTGGCTGCCAATGTCACCACATCACGTGACCAACTGCCATCATTCCCCTCTCTGAAGTCCTCTGGCCCTTTCTGTCCACCAGCAGGTGACCTACAAGGTGCCTTGGGGACACTGGCTGACTTTAGAACTGGTAAGTCTTCTCGCCCCAATAAGCTTGCAAACTCCATAAGGGCAGGGACCGCATGTCATATGTCTGGTATGCTACTAAGCCAGGCTTGCCATGCTAAGACCACCCCCCACAATGTCCACAAGTTCAGCCCAGTTCTAGGCTGTGGGGGGCATGAACCCTTCCTCAGGGGAAACCCAGGGGCTCCTGAATTCATGGCATGGTGACAGCTTTGCCACGGCGTCCTCTTCCACTGGGAACTCTGGTCTCAGCCACTAGGTGCTCCATTCATCTCTCACTGCACAATAAGCTACCTCTAAATTTAGATGCTTAAGCCAATGACAACCATTGATATTGCTCATGATGCTGCATTTTGGGCAGGCGTGGATGGGGACTAGAGGATTCACCTCCCAGATGGCTCACAGACAGCTGGCAAGTTGGAGCTGGTGGTTAACTGCGAGCTCAGCCAAAGCTGAAAACCAGGGGCCTCGGCTGCACTGCATGTAGCCATGGCTTCCTCACAGCATGGCAGCAGGGTCCCAAGGGTGAGTACCCCAAGGGAGAACCAGGTGAAAGCTGAATCACCTTTTATGGTCCAGTCTCAGGAGTCACATAGTGTCACTTCTGTCATACGCTTCTAGGTGAAGCAGTCACAAAGACCCACACAGTTTCAAGGGGAGGAGCAGAGAATTTACCTCTTGATAGCAGAGTGTTAACTTTCTGGAAAAGCACATGATACTGGAAATATTACTGTGGCTTTGCAGGGCTTGTTATTTGGGACCACACCCACAGCTTCCAACCAAGGCCAAAGTAAGACCTTTGGAGACCCTTGCCATTGAAAAGCCATGGCATAACTTTCCCAGGTATTTACTTAAAGCTCAAGAAATTATTTGTTAAAAAACAAAATCCAAGGCAACTGCAAAACAATATATTATATATGATGTCTTTCATGTTAAAACACATTCATAAAAATTCTACATTTCTGTATACATATATGTGTATGGGAATGCTTTTTTTTTTTTTTTTTTTGAGACACAGTCTCACTCTGTCACCCAGGCTGGAGTGCAATGGCACGATCTCAGCTCACGGCAACCTCTGCCTACCGGGTTCAAGTGATTCTCCCTCCTCAGCCTCCCAAGTAGCTGAGATTACAGGCACCTGCCACCATGCCTGGCTAATTTTTGTATTTTTGTAGAGACGGGGTTTCACCATGTTAGCCAGGATGGTCTTGAACTCCTGACCTCAGGGGATCCGCCCACCTTGGCCTCCCAAAGTGCTGGGATTACAGGGATGAG
This sequence comes from Homo sapiens, assembly GCF_000001405.40. Lineage (NCBI taxonomy): Eukaryota > Metazoa > Chordata > Mammalia > Primates > Hominidae > Homo > Homo sapiens. The sequence continues at coordinate 39,741,670 of NC_000023.11, forward strand.
ACACCGCACCCGGCCAGGAATGTAGTTTTAAAAAAATCTTAGAGAAGAAGCATCCAAGACATTAACAGTGATTATGTCTGGGAAAGGGACTTGGATTAGGGGCCACCAGGAGAAACAAAGAGGGCTGTGGCTTTATTCACATAGCTCGAGTACTTTACAGTGGAAATATACTCATGTGTTAGGTGGATAATTAAAAATAGAAGGAAAAAATAAGAAAGGGAGGGAAGAAAGAAAGATACAATGGTTTCCAGTTGTTAGAATAAAAAAGCAAAATCCTTAATATGGCCCATGTGGTAGATTGGATTACTATGCCCAACTTTGCCCTCTACCTAAGATGGAATCACTCGCACACCCTTTGCTATCTGACTGTATGTCTCCTAGCAGACAGGGTAGAAGCTATTTTCTTGTCCCACTGGCTTAGGGGTTGGCCTTATGACTGGCTTTGACCAGTGGAATGTGGACAGAGATAACTGTGTGCTGGCTCCAAACCTTGGCCTTAAGAGATTGTTTCCAATTGCCCTCTTGCGTTTACCTTAGCCAGGAGAAGAGCTCCCCGCAGGTAGCTGTTTCTCCTTCAGCCTGGGTCTCAGAATGACAGAAATGTGGTGCTATCCTTAGCCCATCCCAAAGTCAGGGGCCTAGCCTTGGTTTATAGAGCTATAGCTGAGCCCTGAACTACCGGCAATAGAAAGACCTATGAGGAAGAAATAAACGCTTGTTGCAAACAACTGAGGTTTGGGAGCTGTTTGTTAAGCAACATTATCCCAGCAGAAACCTGACTACTGCAGCCTCTAAGACCCTGGGTGATCTGGCCCTTGACGACAATTCCAGCCCCATCTCTCTTCACACTGCTGTTTTGTTCATCAAATTCTAGCCCCAGTGGCCAGTTTTAGTGTCTCAAAAGTTTATAGCTTTCCCACAAGGGATTCATTCTAAGTGGACTACTTTTTACCTTGATTTCGGCAAACTCCTACTCAAAATTCATCTCAGGAAAACTTCATCTGAACATTCACAACCTGTCATCTAGGTTAGTTTCCTCCTAGTTTGACTTTCTGATAATATCTTGTTCACCCTTCATACTGTTACTCTTCCTTAACGCAATAGATAATTTACATGTAATTTTTGGATTTCTGTCTCCTCCCTCCCTAAACTGTGACCTACATGAAGGCAGGGACCACCATGCTTATTTTGTTCATCAGTATGTTCTCGGCCAGGCGTGGTGGCTCACGCCTGTAATCCCAGCACTTTGGGAGGCCGGGGCAGATAGATCACCTGAGGTCAGGAGTTTGAGAACAGCCTGGCCAACGTGGTGAAACCCCGTCTCTACTAAAAATGCAAAACTGGCTGGGTGCGATGGCTCATGCCTGTAATCCCAGCACTTTGGGAGGCCAAGGTGGGCAGATCACCTGAGGTCGGGAGTTCGAGACCAGCCTGACCAACATGGAGAAACCCTGTCTCTACTAAAAATACAAAAAATTAGCCAGGTGTGGTGGCACATGCCTATAATCCCAGCTACTTGGGAGGCTGAGGCAGGAGAATCACTTGAACCCGGGAGGCAGAGGTTGCGGTGAGCAGAGATCATGCCACTGCACTCCAGCCTGGGCAACAAGAGCAAAACTCCGTCACAAAAAAAAAAAAAAAAAAAAAAAAAGCAAAACTTAGCTGGGCGTGGTGGCATGCTATTCGGAGGCTGAGGCAGGAGAATTGCTTGAACCCAGGAGACGGAGGTTGCAGTGAGCCAAGATGGTGCCACTGCACTCCAGCCTAAGCAACAGAGCGAGAGTCCGTCTCAAAAAAAAAAAAAAAAAAAAAAAAAAAAGGTCTCAGCAGTGGCAGTGCCTAGGACATAGTGATTTGCCGAATAAATGAAGATGGCTGAGTATTTCCTATCCTGCTACAGGACTCAGAGGATAGCTTCTTTCCCAGTAGGGGCAAGGCTGCAACAAAGGAAGTGGGATTTCATCTGAACCCTACGGTATGGGTAGAATCTAATACAACCAAAGCCATGGCCACAGGAAGCTCCATGACTCCAGGGAGTGGTTAGGGATGGAGCAGCTGGGCTAGACTAGAGGGTCAATACCAAGGTCAGGGATGTACAGGGGCCTTCCCTGGCCAGGTGTGGAGCTCCAACTCTCTCCAGCAGCCAGTGGACAGCCATGGATGGGTTTTCAGCGAAGACAGGAAGTGATAAAGGGTCAGAAGTCTCTTCTGGAAGACACTAGTGGCAAGGAGGCCAGTAGACTGGGTGTGAAGTCAGGGGACATAGGGGATAAGAGGAAAAAAAAATAAAAATAAAAATAAAAACACTAAGCAAAGACCAGTTATGGCTGAAGGGCAACACAGAGTTGCACTCCCACTAAAGGAGCTCTGTAAATATTTGCTGTGAATGACCCTGAATGACCTGGGGGGCAATGGTATGACTGCTAAGAGATGCGGGAAGACAGGAGAATGAGCTAGTTTGTTGGGGAAGAGAGTAAGTGTAATTTTATACATGTCAAGTTTGATGTGAACACAGGTTGTCCAGGAGGCAATTTGGAGATGGATATCGGAATTTGGGAGAACAGCTGGAGAAATTTAGGGAAACCCAAACTAGGGTTTCAGAAGCAGACTCTAAGACAAGGACTTGTGTGCTAGTGTTTTATGGGGAGGTGATCTCCTGAAACACTGATAGGAGAGTGAGGAGGTGAGACAGGGAAAAGAAGGAAGTCAATAAAGGGGGAGTCTGCAAGCAAATTAACACTAGGGGCAACTGGAGCTTAAGCCAGCTGGGGAGCTCTAGGAGACAGCACAGAACACACATGTCAGCATTAGCCCACCTGAGGGGCAGGGTGCTGGGATACTTACCAGCTCACTCCTATCAGTCCTTGCTTGGGGACTCTTCCTGGAAACCACTTATTCCTTGGCACTTGTAGGTTGCCATGCACACAAAAAGAAAGGGATCTGGTGGCCAAAGAAAGCCTTCAAGCAAGGAGAAGCAGGTTGCAGCAGCTTGAAATGGGTAGCTGTGCATGGAAATCAAATGGAAATGGTTATATTGCTATCCCAGTTATGTGTCAGGCACACCCCTAGATACTTACAAGTATTATCATGTTCCAGCAGGGCGTGATGGCACACACTTGTCATCCCAGCTACTAGGAAGGCCGAGGCAAGAGGATCACTTGAGCCCAGGGGTTTGAGGCCAACCTGGGCAACAGAGCAAGACCTCGTCTCAAAAAAAAAGAAAAGAAAAAAAAAAGTATTATCATGTTCCAACCTCAGAAGAGCCTTTTTATTTTATTTTATTTTATTTTTGAGACAGAGTTTTGCTCTTGTTGCCTAGGCTGGAGTGCAATGGCACAATCTCAGCTCACTGCAACCCCCGCCTCCCGGGTTCAAGCAGTTCTCCTGCTTCAGCCTCCTGAGTAGCTGGGATTACAGGCACGCGCCACCACGCCCGACTAATTTTGTATTTTTAGTAGAGAAAAGGTTTCTCCATATTGGTCAGGCTGGTCTCAAACTCCCGACCTCAAGTGATCTGCCAACCTCGGCCTACCAAAGTGCTGGGATTATAGACGTGAGCCACCACATCTGGTCAAAGAGCCATTTTAAAGATGAGGAAACAGCCTCAGTGCTAAAAGCGACAGGTCACTGAGACTCACTTTGCCAGAGGTACCAGCCAAGAAGAGATGGGATCATGGTGTCTGCAGGGCATTAGTAGCACTCAGAAACTTCCAGCCCCAAGAGCCCACTGTAGCAAAGGGAAATGAAGAGAGAGAGAATTCTTGGAAGAGCCATACTGATGATGACCACAGGAATAACTTGTCACAAAAGACGAAGTGAGAAAAAGACATGGAAAACCACATGATTGTAAGTCAGCAGGACTGAGTGATAGTAATTCTAAGATTCTGAGGGAAATAAAACATTTACATGGCACCGACGTGGACAGATGAGAAATCTACTCAGTAGTGTCTGATCGTGAGGATGAGAATATCCCCCCGAGGGAGTTCACTTTGGGGGTTCGCCTAGGGACTGCCCCACTGAATGCCAACCTGCACAGTTTATCTCACTCCTGGAAAGACCAGAGAAATACTGAAGGGCCAGGCATTGCAAATGGAACACCAGGCTTTCTCAGCCACATCAAAGCCAAAAAATAAAAGAAATTAATTTATTGATGCTGCGTGAAGGCAAAGAGTTGGTTTTGAAGAATTGTAACAAATGGCTGGGAAAATGTTAACCAAAAAAAAAAAAATGGAAAGCTCAGTTAATACTAAACAAATTATTAATCATTAGCAATAGTTGGGAAACAGGCCTGTGCAGGCAGATGAAATGAAATGGGGGCACAAAGGCTATAGAACAGGTAGATGATCAACTATCTTCAAGCATGTGGGAGGTTATTAGTTATTTTCTTGTAACTTGACGATTATTACCAAGACAGTGTGGGGAGAAGGAAGTGAAGAGGGAAGGGCAAGTATATCAGAATCACTTGGGAGCTTTCTCAAAAGGCAAGTGGCCCATGCTACCTTGAACTTTAGCAAATCTTTCAGAATGTCTACCTCATGCTCTCTCTGGTATCTGAAGTCTGTTGTCCCATAGTCTTGCCAAAGCTGCCATTTTCATGTCCTGAGAGTGGGCCTCACCACGTCTCCCCCTTCTGCTGGCTTCCCTACGAAGCAAAGAGCTCATGGAGGGTTCTTCCTCCCCCGTGGTACCTCTGACCATCACCCAGGCGAGACGGTTGAGCCCCTGAGAATGAGAACCTGGGCAGCCTCATCTGTCCTTGCCCCTCCTGCCCAGGCACAGTGCCCAGCACACAATCAGACTCCTGGCTGTAGAATGCATGATGCAGGCACAGCCCCACCTCCAAATGGAATAACCTTTCCCAGGCATTTCCTCAATACCAGGTAGGTTACTGAAGGGCCCATGGCCTCTCTGTAGGTGGAAATGGTGAAAGGAAAAATACCCACTCAGGGGCTTCAGGAGATTGGGCCAATGACCTCTTGAGAAAAATGTTAATCCTCTCAGCCACAAGAAGCAGCAGCAGTGAGCTAGAGTCAGTCTACACTGTCACAGGGCTGCCTGGGCTGCTGAGTGTCCCATGAGGATCATGGCTGTCATAGCTATATGGCTTTCGTGGCTATCGTGGCTGCTGTGGCAAGCCCAGGCTCCCCCAGGAAGAGCTGCCTAGGAAGATCCCAACCAGACAGCCCTTGTCCTGGACCCTGGGTGATTTATGGCCACGTCCATACACACACACTCGCTCATCCTGTCCACAGACTGAATCTAGGCTAAGGCCCATAAAATAGGCAACAGCTATTGGCAAATTCATTAATTAGGATTCTGTTTGTACTTTTATTGTGAAGGAAAATCATTTGTCAGCTTAAAGTCAGACCCAGTGCCTGATGAGAAGTGTTATTCTAAGAACGTATCGACTGATGGCTCTTCACGGCACTCCCTCTCTCCCATCTCTGCTGTCACACCCCACCCCCACCAGAGTCAGAGAAAGCCCCCTGTCCCTCCACTTTAATCAAGATCTGTGTGGTGGATTTTGTGAGTTGCCTTCCCAGTAAGCCTGCCTCCATCCCTTCTTCCCTGCCAACCTCATCCTGATTTTGTTCAGGGAAAGGGCAGTTGTATGCATCAAGGGCGACTGACCCCTCCAGCCCCAGAGAGTAGAGTTTGATGAGTCAAAGCCAATCCTGGCAACTCCATTTCCTTTCCCAATGACACAATTCTGCCCAAAGAGGTGTGAGAAGAAGTCGGCTAGAGCTCTTTGAAAAGAACTTGAGGAAGAAGTGTTCTTTCCTCAAGCCTTTGGACTTGTGCTGGAATGTGACACCTGGAGCCAATGAAGCCATCTTGTAAACAAGAGGCAAGGCAGAGGACCAAAGCTGACATGCTGAGGATGGTAAAGCAAAAAGTGGGACAAACCTGGGGCTCCAATGACATCAATGAGCACTGAATTCACCAACCGGGAATCATCCTGCCTCTGGGCTTCTTGATAGGAGAGGATAATAATCTCCCCATTGCCTGCATCATTTGGAGGAGTGGGCTTTTTATTATTAGAACTGAAGTCACTGACTACAGCTGCGAGCATCCTGCTATATTACAACCAACTAAAACTGCCTCCAGATGCCCATTCTGATGGGTGGCAATGCCCCTGCTCTAGATATTGCATGTGGTTGGCCAATTTCAGACCCCACCTCAGCTCCAGTTGCCCTGTCTTTACCGGGAAAGAATCAAAGGCCTTCACGTGAACTTCTTTCCATCAGCATCTTTTTTTTTTTTTTGAGACAGAGTTTCGCTCTTGTTGCCCAGGCTGGAGTGCAATGGCACGATCTCGGCTCACGGCAACCTCTGCCTCCCAGGTTCAAGCAATTCTCCTGCCTCACCTTCCTGAGTAGCTGGGATTACAGGCATGTGCCACCATGCCCGGCTAATTTTGTATTTTTAGTAGAGACAGGGTTTCTCCATGTTGGTCAGGCTGGTCTCAAACGCCCGACCTCAGGTGATCCGCCCACCTCGACCTCCCAAAGTGCTGGGATTACAGGCGTGAGACACCATGCCCGGCCTCCATCAGCATCTTGCTATCACTGGTGGAAACCACCTCCCCCCAGTCAGGAAGCTTCAGGCCACAGCATACAAAAGACAATACGCACACATACTCCAACACACATAACATCTCCCTCTATGTGGATGTCTCTAATATGGGTTGAATTGTGTTTCCCCCAAATTGTGTTTCCCCCAAACTGTTAAACTGCAGTATCTCATTATGTGACCTTATTTGGAAATAAGGTCATTGCAAATGTAATTAATTAAGATGAGGTCATTCTGTAGGGTGGGTCCCTAATCTGATATTATTGTTGTCCTTATTTTAAAAAAAAAGGGAAACTTGGACACAGACAGACACACACAGGGAGAATATCATGTGGACATTAGAGTCACATGGCCACAAGCCAAGGAACTACCAGAAGCTAAGAGAGAGTCCTGGAACAGATCCTTCCCTCGAATCTTCTGAGGGAGCGTGGCCCAGGTGACCCCTTGACGTTAGGCCTCCTTAGACTTTTGGCCTCCAGAAGTATAAGACGATACATTTCTGTTGTTCAAGCCACCCAGTCTGTGGTACTTTGGTACAGCACCCCTGGAAAACTAATCCAGTCTCTTGTATAAATATCCAGGTCATTATAGTATACGGAGGCACAATTCACCTATTAAGGACCATGGAGCCAAAGTCATACCGTTTAGGTAGAGATCAGGTCTTCTCTAAATTGTAAAGTCCCAGCCAGGCGTGGTGGCTCATGCCTTTAATCCCAGCACCTTGGAAGGCTGAGGTGGAAGGATCGTCTGGAGGCCAGGAGTTCAAGACCATCCTGGGCAACATAGCAAGATCCCCGTCTCTACAAAAAAAAAAAATTATTTAAAATTAGCCAAACATGGTGGTGCATGCCTGTGGTCTTAGCTACTGGGGAAGTGAGGCAAGAGGATCACTTGAGCCTAGGAACTTGAGGCTGCAGTGAGCCATGATCGTGCCACTGCACTCCAGCCGTGTGACAGAGTGAGACCCTGTCTCATATACACATATATAATAAAGTCCTATTGAGTGTCCTCAGACACAGAGCTAGCTGAGCAGGCCAGCTGGGTAGCTGCCCAAGGCACCAGCCTGTTAGAGGGTCCAAAATACCACTGGAATAAATAGAAATACCCATGCTGGTTGACGCAAGTTTCCACAAGCTCCTACCAAAGTAAACAGCAGCCTTATATGGAAATTTTAAAAACACCCGTGGCTGGCACTGACCCCTCTCTTTGGGTAGTTTTGTAATACACACGTATAGCTGCCATCAGCTAAAATTCTGAAATAAGTAAAGCATGGTGTAGCTTTCTTATTTACTACACACAAGGATTCATTATATTAAATAATTTGTAAACTCTTCAACATAACCCCGCCCAGTTGTCCTCCTTGAGAAATTGCCAAAGAAAACTGATGTGAGGGAAAGAACTACAAAAAGGGTAAGATGTTTTGCTGTTGTTTTAGACCATTAATTTTTCTCTAGCCAGGGTAGGTAAATTAGTAAGTAAATCTGTCCACACATAAAATTTTTTAATTAATAAGTTTGGCATAGTCTGCTTCTTGACCCACAGCATCTTTTCTCTCTTTTCTCCATGCTGAGAGAATGAGCAATTTTAGCGGGACACATGGCCATCCAGAATAAAGACTACGTTTCCCAGCCTCCCACTGCTAGGAGTGACCATATGGAGAAGTTCTGGCCAATGAAATACAATCAGAAGTATCACGTGATAGGCCTGGGAACTTTCCTTACAAAATAGCTGCGGGCACCCTCTGCTTCTACTTCTTGATCTTTTCCTCCTTTCTGCTGGCCACAGCATGGATATACTGACTGCAGCTACAGTAGTTGTCTTTGACCATAAGGTGACCTGGAGACGAGGCCATGCATGGCAGAGCAGCACAATAAAGGGAGCCTGGGTCCCCATGGACTTCATAAGCAGAATAGCCATGTCAGCCATGGACTGCCACCTCCAGACTGCTATGCAAGAGAGGAATACACTGCAGCCTTCTTTTAGATCTCTTTGTCACTTGCAGCCAAATGCTGTTCTGATAGGAAATCTGGTTTTGCCTGTATGAAGGGGCACCAAATCATTCCTCTGCCCAGAGGACTGCCTCTTCTTGGTCTGGCCTTGATCCAGGAAAGGATGGCTCTCTCTCCTGCTCTGGCTTCCATAAAGGCACCACTGGGTGGTAGGTGACACGACGGTGACCTTGTAAAGACGGAGACAGGGCTTTGGAAAGGGAAGAGTCCCAAGCCTCAAGTCTTGCATGAATGGGAAGGAAGCAGTGAGCCACTGCGGTAGATTTTGAAATGTGGCTGCAAATTCTTTGACATTTTTCTTTCCCATTAAGAGCTGGAGTCTAAATCCCTTCTCCTTGAACATAGGCCAGCCTTAGTGACTGGCTTCTAATGAATAAAATATGGTGGAAGTGATCCTGGGTGACTTCCAAGGCTAGGTCAGAAGAGATGCAGTGGCTTCCGCCTGGCTCTCTCTCGGGACACTTACTCTTGGAACCCATCTGCCATAGTGTGAGGAAGCCAAGCAACCACTTGGAGAGGCCACATATAGGTGTTCTGATCCACAAGTCCAGTTAACATACTAGCCGACAGCCAGCATCAACCACCGGACATGGTAGTGAGCACGCCTTCAGATAATCCAGGCCGCAGCTTCCAACCACCCCAGCTGCCACCAAGTAGAGCAGAGAAGACCCGTCCCTGCTAAGTCCTGCCCAAAGTGTACACTCGTGAGCAAAATTAATGTCACTATTTTAAGTCACTAAGTTTTGCAATGGTTTGTTATATAGCAAAAGATCATTGCAACAGCTGCCTGCTCTGCCCACATCCTTTATGCTAGCATATGTAGGTCCCCCAGCTACCACAAAGCCCTCTAGAAAGTTCCAACCTCATTTCTGTGGGTTCCTGAGAAAAAGGCAGGGATCTTGGGCCACACCTGGGCTGGGAGGGCTAAAGGGGGCACAGGTTGGCGGAATCAAGTGTCCAAAGTGGGATAGGTCACGGCAGAGGGAGCCAGCTGCCCATCCCTGCCTAGCAATTCTAACCAGAGAGCATGTGCATGTTGGTGTATACACACATGCACAAACACACACACGCACACATACACACACACACACACAAACACACACGAAGATGAACCTCAGAACAGAATCCCAGCACCCCAGGGTCCATGTGCAGCACTACTCACTCGCTATCTTGCCACCTAAAGATTCTCTCGGTAGGGCCCACCTGAGAGGAGCCAATTTCATTCCATGAAAGTGGACATTACATAGGTGGATCTTGACATGTCCAGGAGGATTTCTCTTTTTTTTTTTTCTTTTTTGGTTGAGACGAGGTCTCACTCTGTCGCCCAGGCTGGAGTGCAGTGGCGTGATCTTGGCTCACTGCAACCTCTGCCTCCCGGGTTCAAGTGATTCTCCCGCTTCAACTTCCTGAGTAGCTGGGAGTACAGGCGTGCACCCACCACACCCAGCTAATTTTTGTGTTTTTAATAGAGACAGGGTTTCACCATGTTGTCCAGGCTGGTCCCGAGCTCCTGGTCTCAAGTGATCCACCTGCCTCGGCATCCCAAAGTGCTGGGATTACAGGCATGAGCCACCATGCCCGGCCAGGAGGATTTCTCAAAATGAAGCCTAAGGTCCAGTAGCATTAAGAGAGGGAGAAGACACCTCCTGGGGGACCTAACTGCTAGGAGAATCTCTGTGGTTTTCTGCCAAGAATCAAAGCTCTCTCCCTGTTGTGAACTGAAGTGTGTCCCCCAAAAATGTATACGTTGAAGCCTGAACTCCCAGTGCATTTGGAGACAGGGCCTTTAAGGAGGTAATTGAGGTGAAATGAGGTCATGAGAGTAAGGCCCTAATCCAAAAGGACTGGTATCCTTATATGAAGAGGAAGAGACACTAGAGAACTTATCCTACCCTTTCTTTGTACTTGCACATAGGAAAGGCCATGTGAGGAAACAGAGAGAAGGTGGCCACCTGCAAGCCAAGGAACGAGGCCTCACCAGAAACCAACCCTGCTGGCACCTTCATCTTGGACTTCCAGCCTCCAGAACTGTGAGACAATAAATTACTGTTGTGCCAGGCACGGTGGCTCACGCCTGTAATCCCAGCACTTTGGGAGGCAGAGGCGGGCGGATCATGAGGTCAGGAGATTGAGACCATCCTTGCTAACACAGTGAAACCCCGCCTCTACTAAAAATACAAAAAATTAGCCGGGCGTGGTGGCAGGCACCTGTAGTCCCAGCTACTGGGGAGGCTGGGGCAGGAGAATGGCGTGAACCCAGGAGGCGGAGCTTGAAGTGAGCTGAGATTGCGCCACTGCACTCCAGCCTGGGTGACAGAGCAAGACTCAGTCTCAAAAAAAAAAAAAAAAAAATTACTGTTGTTTAAGCCACCCAGTCTGCCATTTTTTGTTATAGCAACCAGAGCTGACTAACACATTCCCTGAAAGAAACAAAGACAGAAGGACTGGGGGAGAAAGAAGACCCCAGGCCATCTTCACTTCATGGTCAGTGACACAGGGCAGAAGGATGGGAGATGAAAGGAGGGAGGGAGGAAGGAAGGGAAGAAAGAAAGGAGGAAGGAAGATATCGTGGGAAGGATCCGTACTTTAGGGCTCAAAGGCACCTTCACTTTCCTACCCCATCTCATCATTACTTCTTGTTTCCTCCATCTCCCCTTAATAGAGTCATGCAGGAAGCCCTTAGCTACTCTGCTGCCATCTGCCCTGTTTGAGTACAAGCCCAGCAGAGCTGCACTGCAGCCAACATAGACAATCTGGCAGGACTCCAAGACTTCCGGGTTAGGATCCCAGCTTGCAACGCGTTACTGAGCAATCCTTCATCTTGCATTCATTCAGCAAATTTTTGATCAATATTCATTCCGCAACTGTGGACCTAGTCGCAGCACTGAGCGAGGTACATGGGGTCCCTGCTTTCTTCTTCTGCGGGAGATGGACAAAGAACAAATAAATGTACAAATGTCAATTGGTAGAAAGTCCTATGCTAAGAACCAAACCAGGGTGCTGTGGTGGAGTGCCTGGGGAGCTCCCTCTGGTGAAATGTAAGCTGAGATTGGGAGGACACAAAGAAGCCAGCATGTGATTATTGGAGGAAGAGCATTCAAGGCCAAGAGAAGAGCTAGTACAAAGGCCCTGAGGCTGGAATGAGAGAGGTATGTTCTAGAAAGAGCAGGAAGGCCAATGTGCCTGGAGTTCCCCAACCGGGTGGGAGGAGGGGGAGTGAAGAATGTGATAGGAGATGACATCACAGAGCTCAGCAGGTGCCAGATCACATAGGGCTGGGCACACCAAGATAAGGAGTTAGGATTTCAGCTGGGGTTAGGAAAGGAGGTGACGTCATCAGATTGCCATTTAAAAAAAAAATTGCTCTAGCCATAAGATACTATTAGTTTTAAAGGGAAAAATAATAACATAGTGAAGAGAGCAGGCCAACACCACCTTAGCCAAGTGATCAATGTTAACATTACCGGTAATGGAACAAATGGGCATCACGTGCCTCCTGATACGATGCATGGAGGACACCCATCACTTGAGTGGCATTCCTGCGAAACATGCAGTATCTGAATCTGATCACGAGAGACATCAGACAAAGCCCAACTAAGGGTCAGTCTATGAAATCGCCAGCCCTTATTCTTCAGAAGTGTTCATGTCATGAAAGACAAGGATAGACTAAGGGACTATGCTGGATTATAGGACACACAACAACAGATTACACAACAGGCACACAACAACAGATTACAGTGTGCAATTCTGAATTGGATCCTGAACCAGAGAAATATTTCTTTTCTTTTGTTTTGAAGGACATTAGTGGAGCAACTGACAGGATTTGAATAAGATCTGGGGATCAGGTAACATCTGTGTAAATATCTGTGTATATTTCCCAATTTTGATAAACCGTACTGTGGTTATTTAAGAGAACATCCTTGTTGTTTTTGTTTTTAGGAAATGCACCCTGAAATATTTCAGGGTTCAAGGAGCATCATGTCTAAAATTTAATCTCAAAAGCTTCAGGGAAAACAGAAATGTGTGTGTGTGGAGAAAGCACACAAAAATTGGTAAAAATGTTAACATTGGGGGAATCTGAGGAAAGTAGATTCAGGAAGTCTTGGCACTCCTTTTGCAAGTTTTCAAGTCTGTAATTATTTCAAAATCAAAAGTTTACAAAATAAAAATTAAGGCTGGGCACAGTGGCTCATGCCTGTAATCCCAGCACTTTGGGAGGCCGAGGCAGGTGGATCACCTGAGGTTAGGAGTTCAAGACCAGCCTGGCCAACATGGTGAAACCCCATCTCTACTAAAAATATAAAAAATTAGCCAGGTGTGGTGGTGGGTGCCTGTAATCCCAGCTACTCAAAAGGCTGAGGCAGGAGAATCTCTTGAACCCAGAAGGCAGAGGTTACAGTGACCCAAGATCATGCCACTACACTCCAGCCTGCGCTACCGAGTGAGACACCATCTCAAAATAAATAAATAAATAAATAAAAATAAAGTCCACTCTGGCTGCCGGGTGGAGCATAAATATTGGGGGAGGGGCAGCATCAGGAGAGGTAGGACCAAGGATGGCCTAGGGTGCCGTGCTAGGAGGAGACAGGGCCAAGGCCTTAGAGTGTACAGAAATCAGGACCAACAGGCTTTCCATCTTAGGAAAGCCACTCTGTCCCCCACCATGCTGCTAACAACGGACCCAGCCAGTGCCCACCAAATGGCTCCTGCAGCCTTCCTTTGCAGCCACACTGAAAAGCGATCAAATGTGAAATCCCAGGGAGGCCAGAGCAATGCGGCCAGCACTCAGCTCCGGGAGGCTGGTCAGGGAAGGGAGAGATTGGCTGCAGCCCCTGCTGCCCTGTCACCTGTATCCACGAGTGTCCCCCACTGTCTGTTGCCCCCTTGGCCGGCCTCAGCCCCTCAGGAAATAAGACTCTCCAGGCCCCAGCAGGCCTTTTGACCCAAGCCGGGGCAGCCGGGGCTCAGTTCTGAAAGAATAAAGGAACAGGCTTTCTCAGGGGGCTGCCCCTCCTCGGCCTGGTGCAGGGGACACGTGGCACAGCCAGCAAGGCTGTCTAAACAAGCAGGGGTTGAGCTGCACACCAGGCGCCACGCTCATTAAACTGGGGGCCAGCCGCAGGGCTAATCAGCCAAGCGCCTCCAGACACCGTAGTCTTGCAGGTGGATGGTGCCCCTCTGGCCTGCACACGTCTCAGTGGAGGCCGGGTAGTCTCAGGATCCCGGACAAACGAGCCAGAAAAGCCTCCTTCTCCCACCCTACTCCATCATGCGCAGAAACCAACAGTACTGTGGGGGAAGGACAGAGGGAGGTTTACACTCCCCACACGATCGCCTTTGGGAAGGGAACTCTGATGGACTCCCTCCCCTGCTAGGCAGTTCACCATCAGACACCCACAGCCTGCTTTGCTGGATTAGAGGCAGCAAAAAAAGGAGGCCAAAATGTAGTCATGCTGATAGATTGCTATCAGCAGGCCCATAGGAGAGCCTGTTCCTTTATTCTTCTGAACTCTTTCATGGAGACGCCGCCGGCTCAGGCATGGTGACTCAGACGCTCCAGAATTCGGAGCAGCCAGGACCATGGGTCTGGGTGGGGACGTCAGCCTGTGTGTCAGGCCCAGCCCTGGCACCCAGCCAGCTGGGAGGCTGGGAGGCTGGAGGTTTGCAGGCTCATAAAAAGAAATCGCTTGTTCCTCTGCCAGACAAGAATGAGCCAGGTCCGGCGGAGAGAGAAGAAAAGCACTGCTGCTGTGGGATATTCATGCCCAAGATAGTGTCCTTCTGCAGCTCTGGAGGCTGACAAAGATCTGCTTCTTCGGAGCAGGCAGCAGCCACATCAGGGAAGAACTGCACCTCTGACCCACTTGCCGGTGACCCAGTTGCAGGAGAGGAAACTGGGGCGCCAGGAGATGGGATGACTTAGCCCCAGGTCCCCCACGAATGCCTGCCCCCCGACTTCCCTATGGCAGGGTGGACACTGGGAAATCTGAGGACACAAAGAAATGATAACCCATGCCTTCCAAGTTAGTCCGGCCCCTCAGGCGTGAGTGCTCATGCGTTTTGCCCAGACTGGGGCAAGCCTTAGATGTTTTCATATTTTTCAGAATCTCTCTTCTTGACTTGAAATGGCACGGCCAAAAGCATTGTTTCTCAAAGAAGCTACGGATGTAGGACCAGTCTTGTTTGTGTTTGTTTGTTAATTAATTCCAATCCGTTATGGACAGATACTTCTGTAAAGTACAATAAAAATGATTTGCTGGAAAAATGAAGCAGAAAAAAACACAACATAAAACACAAGCCCAAACCTCTACGGTTAGATTTAACAAACACACACATACTCTGTTGACTTGCTATAAAAGTTTCTAAACACTTGCTCCCAGTTTCTGTACTTAGCTCACTGAGGACAGGTGCCAGACAGCTGTGGACTGGCACTCACCCACCGAGCACACTTCAAGTAGCGGCGGCAAAAAGTCAAGGTCAAAGCAGATGGGTTCTGGCCGGGCACGGTGGCTCATGCCTGTAATCCCAGCACTCTGGGAGACCAAGGCGGGTGGATTACCTGAGGTCAGGAGTTCGAGACCAGCCTGATCAACATAGTGAAACCCTGTCTCTACTAAAAATACAAAAATTATCTGGGCATGGTGGCAGATGCCTGTAATCCCAGCTACTCAGGAGGCTGAGGCAGGAGAATCACTTGAACCTGGGAGGCAGAGATTACAGTGAGTCAAGGTCACGCCATTGCACTCCAGCCTGGGCAACAAGAGCAAAACTCTGTCTCAAAAAAAAAAAAAAAAGCATATGGGTTCTAATTCTAGCCACCTCTATCACTAACTGGCTGCATGCCTTTGCCCTCAGCCATACTCTCTTCTTTTGCACATAGCCAACTCACGAATCTACTCACACTACAGTCACATGTGCAAAAGAAGATCTCATTTCTTTACTTTGTCTATGGAGGATCCATTCTTGGTCGAGCATAGCAAGGCAGGGTGGGGTGATGACATTTTAGTTGTACAGAGTAGACTAAGTGCAGTACAATTGTTTAAATGGTCCTTTTAGGCAAATGCCCAGGCTCTCCCAGATTCCCACCCCACCACCCCTCTCTTCTACAAGATGGAGTTTAGGTGTATGGAGGAAGGGAATAGAACTTATGTCAGTGTTTCTCAAACTTTAATGTGCAAACAAGTCCCCTGGGGAGCTTGTGAAAAGTGCACATGCTGATTTAGCAGGTCTGGGGGCAGGCCTGAGATTGTGCACTCCTACCAAGCTCTTGGGTGATGCCAAGGCTGCTGGGCCTCAGAGCACACTTTGAACAGCAAAGGGGCATGAGACCTTACACAGGCAGAGAAATCAGGTCTCATTGCAGTGGAGTGGCTGGTCTAGGCTGCCCCTGAATGGTAACTGCTGAGGTGCAGATGGCTCTCCCTGACTAAAGTCTGAGGCTGGACAACTCCTGGCCCAACTCTGGGTGCATGCACTGTCATCCCCATCACCCAGACAGGCCAGCTGTGCTTCCCCTTGAAGACTGTGATGTCCGCCATCTGGACGGTGACCCAGGCCCACGGGGCCTCGACACACCTACTTTCCACCATCCCCACACAGGGGCACCATCGCCAAACCCAAGGAACTAAGGTCAGCTCTGCTTACCACACCATGCCACTCATTGAGTTTTTCTTAAGCAGAGTCCACTGGATGAATGCGGGGTGCCGCCTTCATACTGTGTCCTCTCCCAACCCTCCCTACAACCGGGAGCAAACATACCACTGCCTGAGGCATGCCCCCTCCCCTCTCCAACATACTTCCCTCCCTCGGGGCAGATCCCAGAGTAGATCACATTGCTTCCCCCAGCTCCAGCTCCATCTTTCCACAGTCCTCCCAGACCGGAGGAACAGCCTCTCCTGATGCCTCTTCCCATCCCTCTTGATACACTGAGTAGGAATTAAAGGAATGTAGGAAACCCTTTTCTCTCCACACAATGCCTGGCTTGCAACCCTATTTCCTCTTTGTGGATTCAAACACAATCTAATTTGACCAAAGCTGAGCAATGTCTTCATTCGTGAGCACTGGCTGCCGTTTATCGAAGCTCTGACATCCATGGGAAATACTGAAGTCCAATAAAAATACTGCCAAGAGCCAGGCGTAGTGGCTCACGCTTATAATCCCAGGATTTGGGGAGGCTGAGGCTGGAGGATCACTTGAGGCCAGGAGTCTAAGACCAGCCTGGGCAACGTAGCGTCTCTATTAATTTTTTAAAAAATACTGCCAAAAATGACTCCTGCTCCCTGTGAAATTCTCTCTCTAGCCCTGAGAATCTATGAAAGGGCCATCCTCTTGCCAACTTAGAAGCAGAGCACATTTCCTAAGGAGGCTTGGAGCTGAGGGCTTGGATGACCCTATCCTCCCACAGACAATCCGTAAGCACCTAGTGGGTGTCAGGCACCAGTGGGGGACCAGGGAGACAGGTGAGCCACACAGTCAAAGTCCTGCTTCCAAAGTGCTCACAAGCTTAGAGTAATGACATCACCACCATTACCTATGGTGACACTGTGATCTGCCACCCGGCCTCTCAGCTCTCAACCACATCAGGGTCTGTCTCAGCTGCTGAGAGCCGCCTGGCTGAAGCAATGGCCTCCAGGGTCAGCCCAGGCCCAAGGACTGATGACTGCAAGGGGATCACCTGGGGACAACTCAGCATCCCTGGCTGGGTATGCTCAGGTTCAGGGCAGGTCATCCCTGGCTAGGCTCCTGCTCATCACGTGGCCGGGTGCTGGAAGAGCTGCACCCAGATGGAAGACGCGTGCCAGTTGCAGAGCTGCGAGCTGTTGGCTGGGGCCTTGGCGCCCTGGCTGATAATCCCACGCTGTGTAACCCTGGGCTGAGTGTGCTACACCAAGAAGGGGAGAAGACAGAATATTCTAACAGGCTGTGGGCCCCCGCCGCCATCTGGATCTCGGTTTCCTCACCTCTGAGGGGTCTTTTCCAGTTCCAATATGCAAATGGTTCATCACTCGCTGTAGAATAGAATCAGAGCTGTGATATGCTGTCCACGTGGCCCACAGACTCAGGGAGGGTCTGAAACTCTGCCAGGGCCTACTGTGCTCCTTTCAGAGGAGCACCACCCCACCCAAGGCACCCCAGGGTGTCTCAGGAGGGCGGCCCAGGACCACTCCGAATGCACTGAAAGCTGACTGTGTTCAGTAGGGGAGAGGGGCCCCTTCTCTAAATATTTTCTCTCCAGGTTTGGCTGGAGACAGTCACAGCCGGTCAGGGGGCTCAAAGAGGCGCCAGGCCTGCCAAGAACCACCTGAGGATGGCGTTTGTGAGGAAAACCCAGGGAGCAGGGCTGGCCCACTCCCAGGCAGCAAAAGTACGGGGCCACCCTCCCCTTCCTGGGTTGGAGCCAGGGCACCCACTGTGGCTGGAAGGGAGAAAGGGAGTTGTGGGCCCAGGCAGCCCCCAGAAAACAGCCCGCAGCCCTCCAGTCAGCTGCCGCGTGTTTGTTTTCACAGCTGCTCCTCCAGCTCGGCTGTTCCAGTGAGCAAAGGAATCTGTTTGTCTGAGAAAAAGAATGTGGCAGAGAGGCGGGAGGCAGCCCCAGGCAGCCCCGGCAGCCTCCTCAGCTTCGGAGCTCACCAAAACCAGCCAGCCACCTCGGGGAGTCACCCAAGAGCCTAGATGGTAAGGTCACAGACTCAGAGACACCTTCACCTCCCCCGGCACCCTCCAGACAGCCCCGCTCCTCCGTGGACCAGGGCTTTGCCCAGAGACCTTGGGCAGGTGCCAGGCTGGCAGCCTGGGCACACAGGACAGAGACCCACCCGCCTGAGGTATTTTATTTACTTCTTTCTCATTCACAGACAACCCCCCACCACCCACACCACACACCACACACAAACACACACACACACACACACACACACACACACACTCTGAGAAGAAAATCAGTCAGCTGTGTGTATGAGGAAAAAGCTCACAGGACTGAAAGCAAACAAGTCTGCAGCCAGGCCTGCCGTGAGGGTGAAGACGAGCAAGCAGAGGGGCTTTCTGCCTCTCTGCAAGGACGCCCTAGGCCCCCTACCCTCGCCCCAGCCCCCAGGCCAGCCTAGTCCCATCCTAGACAGAAGAGGCAGAGCTGGGTCCAGGTAGGGTGAAGGCATTTGCCAAACCAGAGGACCAGCCACAGCCCCCTCAGGCCTGTCATCCTAGTTCTGGAGTATTCTGAGCCGTCAAGCAGGAGCCCAGGCAGAGCCAGTCCAAAGGGCATTCTCCTTTGGGCGGTTTTGGCCATGGGGAGACCTGGGATCCCAAAAGAAGGACTCTGCACTCTTTTGGCTGGAGTGCAGTGGTGCGATCTCGGCTCACTGCAACCTCCGCCTCCTGGGCTCAAGCAATTTTCCCACCTCAACCTCCCGAGTAGCTGGGACCACAGACGCATACCCATGCCCAACTAATTTTTAGGTGTTTTTTGGCTTTGTGTTTTGTTTTGTTTTGTTTTGTTTGTAGAGACAGGGTTTTGCCCTGTTGCCCAGGCTAGTCTCGAACTCTTGGGCTCAAGTGATCCGCTCTCCTTGGCCTCCCAAAGTGCTGGGATTACAGTTGTGAGCCATTACACTCGGCCACACCAGGCACTCTTGATACCTACTTCCACCCATACCCCTCACCAACCCCCTGCGCTGACCAAGAAGTTGCCCTGTGGGCTGGAACAGGGATGGAAGGGAAGCGAAGCTTCTGCTGAAATTTTCTAGATTACATCAGGCTGCCACCCCTAAGTGATCAGATTTGGTGTGGAAAGTTCCCCACTGCAATTGCAATCTGGCATGTGTTGAATCCCTCAGGTGTGTGGGAGTGGAATATATAATAACTAGTCCTCCCTCAATCTTTCCTAGTCAGATTACTCATCGAGATGCTGTTCAGCACCTCCCCTGGGTCAGCCTCTTCACATACAACACCTCTGAAAGGCTCTAGAAGGTTTGAGAACTTGCCCGAGGTGAGAAAGCAAAAGTGACCAAGAGAAGGTGTCTTCAGCTGGGCTCTCCCAGAAGCAGCCCCTGAAGCAAGGATTTGGGGCCAAGGGATTTATCTGAGGGCCAGGAAGTGGGCAGGGAAGGGAAGCAACTAGGAAAGGAGGTCACCAGACCAGAGCAAGCCACCAGAGTGAGACACTGGAGGCCAACCCCACTGAGCTTCTCAGAGAGACTCCATAAAAGATACCTCAATGTTACCCCACTTGGGGAGTGAGGGGGCTGGGGTATTTATCCTCTAGTTCCCATATATCATTGCCTGGGACATGTTCCCAAGGGCATTGCTGCCAAGCCCTCAGGTGGGGTTCTCATGCCCTCAGAGAACGTTCTGGACTGTTGAGTGTCAAAGGAATTGGGGCAGGCCACCAAGAACATCTGCTGCAGAAACTGACCACCGTTTGATGTGAAACCAGAGTCTTGCTGGGTTCCCTGCACCAGGCTGCCCTTTGCCTGGTACCTGAGACTGGGATGTCCAAAGCCCTCCACCTAGTCTGTGGAGTCAGCCTGCTAGTAGCTATGGTAGTAGGTGTGGGGAAAGGTGATAAGAGTGGGAGGAGGCAGAGGTACAAACAGCCTCCCCGTAGGAACCAGTTTGTACCACTTGAATGGGGTTGGGCTTTGGTGTTGGCCTCCCAATGGGGATTCCCTTGAGACCTGTGCACTGCAACCCTATAGGTAGGTGGGACCCTCTCAGAAGGGCCCCACATCTTGGGAGTGAAGACCTGAATCCAATTCCCAAATTTATCACTGTGCAACATTAGTCAAGGTACAGGTTGTGGATTGTCCCAGTGTCCGTAAAATGAGGTTAGTACTATCTCAATCCTCTAAGGTTTGTTCTAAGAGTTAGAAGTCATACTTCCGACCATAGTGTCCGGTCCAGGGCAGGAGTAGTTGGCCATATTTTTTTTTAATTGAGGTAAAATTTACATATCATAAAATTCACCATTGTAAATACTTTAAAGTGTACAACTCGGTGGCATTAAGTACATTTACAATATTGTGCAACCATCACCACTATCTAATTCCAGAACATTTTTTCACCCCAAAAGAAACCCTATATCCCTTAACCAACCACTCTCTACTCTCCCTTCCCCCAGCCCCTGGCAACCACCAGTCTACTTTCTGTCTCTGCGGATTTTCCCATTCTGGACATTTCATATCAATGGACTCATGACTCATACAATATGTGGCCTTTTGTGCCTGGCTTCTTTCACTCAGCATGATGTTTTCCAGTTCATCTGCGTGGTAGCATGTGTCAGTACCTCATTCCCTCTTATGGCTGAATCATATTCCATTGTATGGATAGGCCACATTTTGCTTAGCATTGATGGACATTAGTTTCCACGTTTTGGCTATTATGAATAGTGCTGCTATGTGTGTTTGTATAAAGTTTTGTTTGGACATATGTTTTCTTTTCTTTTCTTTTCTTTTTTTTTTTTTTTGAGACAGGGCCTCACTCTGTCGCCCAGGCAGGAGTGCAGTGGCATGGTCATGGCTCACTGCAGCCTCGACATCCTGGGCTCAAGTGATCCTCTCACCTCAGCCTCCCAAGTAGCTGTGACTACAGGTGTGTGCCACCACGCCTGGCTATATATATATATATAGCATATATAAAATATATACATAATATATATTAATATCTAATATAATATGTAATATATAACATACATAAATAAATATATAATATATAAATCTATAATATACATAGATATATAAATATATAACATAATATGCGATATATAACATACATACATAAATATAACATATAAACACATAATACACATAAATAAAACATACATAAATATTGTATATAATATACATAAATATATATATACACATATATATTTTTTTTTTAGACGGAGTTTTGCTCTTGTTGCCCAGGTTGGAGTGCTATGGCACAATCTCAGTTCACTGCAACCTCCACCTCCCGGGTTCAAGCGATACTCTTGCCTCAGCCTCCCGAGTAGCTGGGATTACAGGCATGTGCCACCACACCCGGCTAATTTTTTATATTTAGTAGAGACGGATTTCACCATGTTGATCAAGCTGGTCTTGAACTCCTGACCTCAGGTGATCCGCCCACCTCAGCCTCCCAAAGTGCTGGGATTACAGGTGTGAGCCACTGCACCCAGACCAATGTACATAAATATGTATTTTATAATATATATACATACATATATATACATATACATATATATACATATACATATATACATATATATATATATACACATACATATATACATATATATATATACCCATATTCATATATATACACATATACATATATATATATATATACATATACATATACATATATATATTTTAGACAGGGTCTCACTCTGTTGCCCAGGCTGGAGTGCAGTGGCATGATCTCGGCTCACTGCAGCCTCAGCCTCCTGGGCTCAAGCGATGCTCCCTCATCAGCCTCCTGAGTAGCTGGAACTACAGGCGTGCACCACCATGCCTGACTAATTTTTGTATTTTTAGCAGAGACGGGGTTTCCCATGTTGTCCAGGCTGGTCTCGATCTCCAGGCCTCAGGCAACCTGCCTGCCTCAGCCTCCCAAAATGCTGGGATTACAGTTGTGAGCCACCGCGCCTGGCCCCCAACCACATTGTTGTCCTCAGTCTGGTTCTCTTTATAATTTGGTTGGCGTGTGGTTCGATTTTTTTTCCTTTGTATTAGGCATTTTTTATTATCTGTACGGTTAACCTTTATTTTCTATTTTCTGATTCCTTTCATCACGACCAAACTTTACAAGTCCTTCCCTGGGGGCAGAACATGGATTTAAGATGCAATTCTTCAGAGGAAAATATTCCAGCTCCTA
Organism: Homo sapiens; assembly: GCF_000001405.40. Lineage (NCBI taxonomy): Eukaryota > Metazoa > Chordata > Mammalia > Primates > Hominidae > Homo > Homo sapiens. Next base: position 39,764,100 of record NC_000023.11, read on the forward strand.
AGAAATCACAGAATCCCTCTGATGGGTTAGGAGAGAGGTCGTTTAGTGTCACTGTTAAGAACACGGGCTCTGGAGCCAGACTCTTAGGTTTCTATCCCAGCTCTGTCACATGGGCAAGTCATTTAATTCTCTGTCTCAACTTCCTCACCTGTAAAATGGAGATAATAATAGTCCCCACTTGGTCGGGTTGTTGAGAAGGTTAAATGGTCGCCTAAGTATATCTGAGTTTATCTAAGCTCTTATAGTGAAGCAGGAAGATGAGATGGGTATCTCTCTGCTCTTGCCCAAAGCAGGCTACAGACGGGTTGGTTACTGGTTCTGCTCTAAGGACTGGCCTGCTGGACTCGCTGCGCTTCTCTGCCAGCTGTTCCCTCTTCCGCCTTCTGTTTGCTTTGATCTGAGGTTGACAGACCACCTGGCCTGCTAAACTGGGAAGGTAAGCTCATCCCATCTGCCCGTTCACCTGCCAAGAGTCCATCATTGTGGTCTTTGTGTTTATACGCCGAAGGGGGCAGCTGGGGGTGAAAACAGCCCAGCTTGTTTTGTCACTTGGTCTCCCCTGCCATGACTGTTGCCCTGTAATCCCCCTCCCCCAGGGCGGCTCAGACCCAGGAATTTTAATCAACCTGGAATTAGAAACTTTGTTAACACCAGTGGCTGGAGAAAGGCCTGAGGGGGGATTCAAATGCCTGTGACTTTCAGGTGGGGGAGTCGAGCCCTCAGGAAGCCAGTCTGTGGGGGGTGATGACATCATCTCAGCCACGCAAGCCCTGCAGAGAGAAGAGGGAGTCTCCCAGCTGTGGAGACGAGAAAACAATGATCTCCACGCGCCCCGCAGCCAGAGTGGAGTTCAAGTCCCTCAGCTTAAAATCAAATCTCCCCTTTGTTCCTAACTCTCCCCCACCACCCACAAATGTCCTGCAACTGTCATGGAGCGGCTACTACTAATAATAATCACTGGCCTTGTGTTGGGCTTTGCAAACTGTTCTCACATTCACTGCACCAGTGAATCAAGCAATCCTCTGTGAGGCCAGGGAGACAGGCATTATCGCTCCCATTTTACAGAGGAAGTGACTGAGGCTGCAAAAGATGAACAGATGGGTACAAGCGTGGTCAAGTTGAGTCTCAAGCCAAGGGTTCTATGTCTTAGCCTAAAGTGGTGGTTCTCGAGCTTTAGCACACTGGAATCCCCTGGAGGGCTTGGTTAAAAGAATTTGCTTTTCTAACAAATGTCCAAGTGATGCTGATGCTGTGGGGTGGGGGTCCACGCTCTCAGAATCTGTGGCCTAAAACTTTTGCCACTACATCGTACCTCCTCATTGTGTTAATAAAGAAGCGTTTCCAGCAGCTATGGATGGACAGATTTGGGTCTTTTCCAAAGAATCTGTTAATAGCAGCATATATCTGAAACATAAGGCAGGAGCAGCAGCCTCCAGCTGCTGGGTATTTCCCACAGAAGGGAAGGAGCCTGGACGAGAGAGGCTGGGGTAACCCAGGGTTTTGGCTTGAGCGCATGGGGTTAATTCTGAATCCCTTCCGGGCAGCCCACGTGACTGGGAAGGAGGAAGGTGGAATGATTGCTTATATACAGAACCATCAAGGTCTTGACTGTGTTAAAACCCAATCATTACTTCCAGGTAGTGATGCATTTTAGGCAATGTCTTCTGCTTATGCTCAGCAATGCATGAGTCTCAGAGCGGTGGCCAGAGAAATGGCGAATCGTCGTATATTGAGCGAGTGATAATGGAATCCAGGAGGTGGAAATTACAAGTTGAAAAGTAAAATCAATGCCCTGACTGTGAAATGACTGAATGCCTGGTGAGGAACTGTGTCGAGGTGCACCCCCACTCCCCTTACTCCACACCGACCTTTAAGACGCTCACCAGTTCAGAAGTTCCTTGAGGGCAGGAAGCATATTTTAATCACGGGTAATCATAGCATATCAGGGCAGAAATGGGCCTTAGAGAGCTTCCAGCCCTGGAGTGGCAAATCGGTTTCATTTTGGTGCCAGCTACAATCATTTAGTGGTGGCTGCCTGAAGCGCTGGGCCGAGAAGTGTTCTGCGGGTCTCTGGGCTCCTTGAGGAGTCGGCCATGATCAATTAGCGATGTTTACCATGGCCAGGGGAGTGGCAAGGAGGCAGCACTTTGCTCAGATTACCCAACCCCTATCTAGTCCAACCTGTCCCGCTGACAGATGAGGAAAGAACTGCTAAGCAGCTCTGTGTCCCCACCCACACCCCAGCACATTCTTGTCCCCTAGCAGCCATCCACTTCCAGGGGTCTGTGCATAGTATTCAAGGGTCTATGAACTTGAGTGGGAGAGACATTTACATCTTTGTTTCACTAAACTCTGAGATCAAGCACTTCCTTCCATGATGAATGTAGGCAACAAACTGTGGTAGCAACAGCAGCACCTGTGACTGTCACCAATAGAAACCACAGCTATCTTCCTAGCACATCAGAGCTGCTGCTGCTGTCTCTAAAGATCACTTACACCCCTCGCTAGTCACTGTGGTCTTTGTATGAAAGGATCGTAGTTATTAGACCCAACACTAAATCTTGTTACTTAATGCATTAATAAAGAAACACACATATTACTGATCCCGAAGTTGCTTCTTAATATTTGCATAACTGCATTTCAATAGAGAATTGGTTTCCTCTGTCATACTATTTTATGCAATTAAATTCATCATCCTGAGAAGGGGTCCATAGGCTTCACCAGATGCCAGAGGGGTGCACAGCCCAGAAATGGTTAAAAACCCCTGCCAAGGTTTGCTGATAGCAGTGCAGTGTGCCAGGGCCCCTCCTGGCCTTGGCTTCAGTCAGAGAAGCGGCAGTGGGCAATATGGGCGGTCTTTGGTACCTTGTATTCTTTGCTGTGATTTGGCAGCAGCTGGCAGCTGAGGCAGTAAGAATTGGCTGCTCTCCACTCTGGGGAGACAGCTGACCTCGGGGGCTCCCTGGGCTCAGATGCCCAGACGGTGACAGCTCTGGCCCTGCACCAGGCCTCCCCGGTTTGGCCTTCCACAGCGATGGTCAGTCCAGGTCACAGACACAGCAGCTCCATGCTTGGCTCTCGCCTTCTTCCCTCTCTTATGGCAACCCTTCCCTTCCAGTGTGCTGGGCGTCCCCCAGGAACCTGCAAGACAGACTTGACGGATACTTACTGCTGTGTCTGGGTGGCTGCTTTCAGCTCTGGGGTGGGGGTGGGGGCGGGATGGGGAGGAGAAGAGAGACAACCCAGAGATTTCAGTCCCGGAGCACAGGCCACATGAGCTCCGTTTCCACTTCATTTTAAAAATGCATCTACCCTCCTTCTTTCAGGCATGCAGATACTGAATTATAGGCTATTAGCCCTGGAAGGCACCTTAAAAATTATCTGTTCCACACATTTCCCCTTGCCCCCTGCACACACACACACACCCACCACACCACGCTGTTCACTTTATAAACCAAGGAACAGGCTGAGAGAGAGAACAGGACCTGCCCGTGTGGCACAGACCTGGAACTAGAATTCACGGCTCCAAACCACGAGGCCAGTCCTTTCTCCGACATTGCACAGCCTCATAAATGACGTAAGATTTTGGCATCGTAACCATCTGTCTCAGGGTAAGGACCGGTGAAAAATAAAATTGCAAATTCTTTTCTATTCCAAACCATCACTTGATTAAGTGAGGGGATTGAGGCCACCGCAGCTGCCCACTTCCAGGGGGCTTGGTTCACACTGGTTTCCCTGGAACTGGCACAACCCGACGATCTGTGGCAGAATTCTTGTTTGTTTTTGTTTTCAAAGACTCCTTGAGAAATCCTAGAAGTAGTGTGGGGTAAAGAGTGGAAGCCTCCCATTTTCCATCAGCATCACAGACAATTCCTCAAAGATGCTCCCTGGATTGAGGCTGCTCCTTTGCCCAAGGAATCTCTCCCGCTGCTTTTCACGACAACAAACTGCTTGGGATACAAGGTCCTTCAGTTACTTGGGACAGACAAGGAGCTGGAACAAACATCCCCTACATCTCCATGGCTTAATGGAATGTGCAAAAGGCTTATTTCTTGCCCACTTCACATCCCAACCAGGCATTCCAGCAACAACCTTCCATGGGGTGATTCAGGGACCCAGGCTTCAGGCTTCTTCCATCCCGTGGCAAAGAGCACTACCAACTTCAATATGTGTCTTCCAAAGTCAAAGTAGAACAGAAACAGAAAATGGAGGATCCTGAGTGGAAGATTTTTGGTTCAGGCACATCACTTCTACCTACTTTCCATAAGCTAGAACTCAGTCACATGGCCCTCACCTAACTTCAAGGAAGGTTGGGAAATGCAGTCTAGCAGGGAACCTAGGAAGCTGGAAAAATGGGTGTGGCAGGAACAGAGTAACCCTACCAGTCTTCAGTGTCTTACTATTGTCTTATTAAAAGTTCTTTTGGGCCGGGCACGGTGGCTCACACCTGTAATCCCAGCACTTTGGGAGGCCGAGGCAGGTGGATCACAAGGTCAGTAGTTCGAGACCAGCCTGGCCAACATGGTGAAACCCCATCTCTGCTAAAAATACAAAGAAAAAAAAATTAGCCAGGCATAATGGTGGATGCCTGTAATCCCAGCTACTCGGGAGGCTGAGGCAGGAGAATTGCTTGAACCCGGGAGGCAGAGGTTACAGTGAGCCAAGATCACGCCACTGCACTCCAGCCTGGGCGACAGAGCAAGACTCTGTCTCAAAAAAAGTAAATAAATAAATAAATAAAAATAAGTTCTTTTGGTTGCATGAGACAAACTAGCTTATGTGGGGCAGGAAAATATTGGATGGAGATGACCAAAAAGATGCTGGATACCTCACAGAATCCAAAGGAAAGCTGACCAAGCAGATTCAGGAGGGCCACATGAGGGAGTGGAGACCATCAATCACTTCTCATTCTATAGGACCCCATGGTTTTTGACTGTTTTCCTTTGCCTTCTTCATTCATTCAACAAATATTATTGAGCACCTACCATATGCTAGGCCTGGCTTCACAGCAGTGAACCAAACAGACCAACTCCCAGTGCTCCTGGAGCTGACATTACGCTCAATTCTCTCCCTGCAAACTGTTTTATTTCTTCTTTGTGCCCATGGTCCTGAGGATCGCTTTGTCATTGTGCTGGATATAATGGTGCTGGCACTTCCAGTCCTCCTCTTGCAGGGCTGTGGAGGGGCCATGTTGTCCTGTGGCTTCTCCAATTGCTATTTCTGCCCCTCTCCCCAGCTGGTGACCCCATCTTCTACCTACAGGATGCCTGGACAACTGGTTTATGCAGTCACTTGTGAGAGAGGGGATTCCTGTCCATCATTCAGACCAAGTGCCTTACTTTGGGTTCCCCTAAAAGCAGACCCAGAGACAGGATTTGGGTGTCAGTGGTTTATTTGGAAGTGAGCCCAGGAAGCACCAGTAAGGAAATGAGAAAGTGAGATGGGGAGAGGAGAAAGGCCAATAAAGGGTGAGTGTTTGAGCTGGTTACTACTGTGGGCAACTGGAGCACAATGCTACCGCACACTTCTGAGAGACAGCATGGAACATATTTCTGAATTGACCCACCAAGGGCAAAGAAGCTCACTATTTCTCCATCAACTCTTTGATGGTCATTGCTTGAGGGAGGTTAACTCCCCTACAGCTCCAGGCCTGCCCCACAGGCAGCCAATCACAGAATGCCCTCAAGCAGAAAGACTTAGGAAGCTAAGAGTGGGGCAACTAACAGTTACCGATACCCAGAGACCAAAGCTCAGTTCCTCCAAGTGTGGTCCAGGACCCTCCACTCAGAAATCACTAGTGCATAATGCATGCATAAAGTGCATAATGCAACTCATTATGTACTTCCCCAGCTCCACAGACCTTCGGGTTCAGAGTATCTGAGGAGGGACTGTAGCAGACACTTATTACACACTCTCTACGTGAGTGATGCCCATCAAAGATTGTGACTCAAGAAAAACATCCAGGCTGGGCGCGGTGTCTCATGCCTGTAATCACAGCACTTTAGGAAGCCGAAGCAAGTGGATTGCTTGAGCCTAGGAGTTCGAGACCAACCTGGGCAACATGGTGAAACCCGACCTCTACAAAAAATACAAAAATTCTCTGGGCATGGTGGTGTGTGCCTGTAGTCCCAGCTACTTGGGAGTCAGAGGCAAGAGAATCACGTGAGCCCGGGAAGCGGAGGTTGCAGTGAGCCGAGATCACGCCATTGAGCTCCAGTCAGGGGGACAGGAGTGAAACCCTGTTTCAAACAAAAACAAAAACAAAAACATCCAAATTCCCCACCATGGCCCACAAGACCTTCCTGACCTGGCCCTGCCTATCAATTAGACCCTGTATCCACCTCTTCCTCTCTCCATATTTGGCACCCTCTGATCCAGCCACATTGGCCTTTTTGCTGAGCCCTCCAAGCATGGTCCAGCCTCAAGGCCCTGGCATTGGCTTTTCCCACCATCCTATGCGCCTCTCTCTTCCCCATCTGCCTCACCTTGTCTGGTTCTCTACTCAAAAGCCCTTCCCTGACTACCTTGTCTTAAATGGCCTCCCACACACTCTCCTTGTTCAATTTGACATCTCTCTATGCAAGCTATAGGAGACATTCATTCACTTATTTGTTTGTTGCCTGGCTTCCCCACTAGAGTGGAAGCATCCTGAGGACAGGGACCTTTGCTGCTTTGCTCACCACTCAATCATCTTGCCCAGAACTGAGCTTGGTACATTGTAAGATGCCCAGGAAATATCGGGGGAACAAACAGATTTCTATTAATTCTATGTGGGTGGAATATCTGAGTACCTCCACCAGCTTCACGATTTAACTTTAGGAGTAGTCACCTCCTCATACATGAGGAGGAAATTGGACACAAGGGGCAAGGGTGGTTTTTCCAAGGCAGCAGCCTCAGACTCTAAAAAAGAAAGCCTTTAAAACTACTTCCAACCTCACCTCACACACCCCATCAGCCCCCCAAGAACCCACACCTAACTATCCACTGACCTCTGGGACTCTCAGGTCAGGCCTACGAAGAGAGACAACGTGAAAACCAGGAACCTAGGATCTTGAGCTGGGAAATTGGGCGTGGCGGGGGAGAAGGGGTGGAAGAAGCACACTGATTTAACTCTGTATCCCCAGTCCAAAGCACCCGCAATCAGGAGTCCATAAATTAGAATGAACCCATTCTAAGCCCAGCTCAGCCTCTGTTTCCTCATCTGTAAAATGGGTACAGTACTTACCTGTGAACATTGTTGCAAGAAGTAAGGGAGTTCATTAAATTCACATGGAAATACTTAGCATAGTACTTGGTGCATGGTAAGTGCTCAATAAATGCTATCTTAGGATATCTTAGGATTCTTTTTCCTCTTACTATAGTGCACATGGCACAGGGCCTGGCACAGAGGAAGCCCCGGAAAAGGAAAGGTGGTTTTGACCTGGTCCCTGGGGTCTCTCAGGTTTGGAAGAACCCAACAGTGAAGTGGTAGTTACCACCTAAGATGAGCACAGCGAGAGGGGTGGGGAGACCCTGCCCCAGAACCCCAAGGAAAGAATCGGTGCTAACTTTACTGCTCGGGCCTTTGGGAGGATGAATGCAAGTTGGCCGAGCCACTATTCTGGTATGCTCGCACTGCAGTTCCCAAGGAGAAGGCTTGGAAAGGCTCTTACACAATTGCCATCACCCAGCAGGGCGATTTCTTATATGTACTTCACCAAGTCCCCACTTAGAAACTCTATGGAAAAGGAAGACAATTCTCACAACCTCCATCATTTCCATCTGCAACCTTAGAACTTCATACTCACTCATTTTTATGAACATTGCTCTTTGATCCAGACCCCTCAACAGGAAATTTGGGGCCAAGACATGGCCCAACTTTGTCTTTTATTTGCCCCTTTTCTGGGACCTGCCACTTTGTCGTGGTGGTCAGCTAAAAGTGGGATTTGGCAAGATCTCACAGGGGAAAGATTATGAGATTTCAGTTGCTTCTTGTGTTTCAACCTCCTTTCTGATCTGGGAGGGGGAGAAAAAACCAGCCCACGTGGGCGACTCAGAAAACAAGCCGAGATAAGAGCTTATTGACAGGCTGGGCTAGCAGGCCCTTCATTCACACCGCTTCAAAGACAAACACTTTCCGTTTGTCGATTTGTTTTAGGCCTTGCAGAATCTGCAACTCTGTGGCCTTGACTCTAAAAATAAATCTCCTGCTATAATGACGAGGCTGTTGCAAAGAGGAAGGCATGCAGAGAAGGGAAGACGGAGGGAGGCAAAGCTGAGAGCAGGCGGGAGAGAAACCGAATACCCAAACAGGAAGAAGGGACATAGGGAAATGGCCCTGGCTGCTTCCTCCCAACCAACAGCCGGCCCCGTTGCAAAAGCCAGCAGCACCGGGAGGATGCAGCCACCAGGGCCTGGGGTTTATTAGAACCCAACCCTGCAGGAGGACTGCAGGCCTATCTAGCCATTTTGCCCTCTGTGACCCTGCTACTAACTGTGGTCTACAGACTGGGCTGATCAGCTGCCTCAGTGTCACCTGGGGGCTTGTTAGAAATGCAAATTCTCCAGCCCCACCCTCGACCTGCGGAACCCGAATCTGCATCTTAACAAAATCCCTGGGTGATTCATATGCGCATTAGTTCGAGAAGCCGGGGCCGGGTCCCTGGTGTTTCACCGAATGCAGCATAGATGAGTCAAACAGCCTCTTAATACTTCTCTCTGCAAACAAGAGGTGAGCTCCTCCCCCACTGAGGGCCTTACTTCGAGAACTTTGGATAGAGGAAGATAGAGGCATCAGTTAGGTCTCTTGTGGAGCGCAGTTCATTTTGTGAGAATATTGCATTCCCCACCCACCCCCAGGATCATTAGGAATTTCTGACCCATTTTATGATCATCCAACATTCACACGGATGCAGGGTGCAAACTCATTAAAGGACTCGTTACTCCAAGGGGTCTCTCTTGGAATTGTCCTTTGGGTTCTTCCCTCCCACCCTCATTGCTTTGTTTCTCCTTTTCTGTCTGAAATGTTTCCCATCTCCTCATCTTTTTGAAACTCCATTTCATGGCCCTGATGCTGAGATTTTGATACATGCTGACACCCCCTCCCTCTTCATTCTCCCCTCCCCTTATGTCTCACTGACATATTTCAACTCCCTCCTACTGTTCTCATCAGTTCTCTGAAGAGACCATCTTTTCCTCCTCTCTGCCTTGGTGGTCATAAACTCGGTTATTTAGTGTGGATTCTGGTTCCCCTCGCTCCTGCCGAGGCCAGGCAGGTGAACAATCAGGCCATTGTTTAGATGTGGAGCAGGTGACAAATAGTTATGGTTGCTCTTTGTTGTAATTCTAAATAGTGGCTGTCACTCATCATTGACTATAAAATGTACAAATGTGAATGATAAGAAAGAACATAACTGTGCCCCATCTTATCAAATTTATTTTAGCTGTGCTTTAAAATCAATTTAATTTGTAAATTATTCATGGCATGTAGCAACTATTACAGACTTGCACTACCAAAACCTATGCTTTAAAGATTGTACTAACTTTTTCAAGGCATTCTGTAAATGCTTTTTATTATTTTTTATTATGGAAGTAATGCGTATCTATTTTAGAAAATGTGGATACTACAGATGAGCAAAAATAATTATTTTATTATTGTCACCTTTAATCCTATGACCAAGAAAATCACTGTTAACATTTTAGTATATATCATTTCAGTCTTTTTTCATTCTATACATATACACACTTACATGGACAGCTCTCTCTCTTTTTTAGTGTCGTTGTATGTGCCAGGTTGTCACCCAAAGTGGCCGCCATCAATTCCTTCCCCCCTTGTACTGGAGGCCTTCCCACCCACCGCGTTCTGGAGCAGCATCAGGTCTGCCCTCCAGAGCCAACTGTATGCATTCTTTCCGACTCTGCATTTGGTGACATCCTGTTGATAGCTTGAGATCAGCCATGCTAGAAAATGCTACCAATCAGGGTTTTGTTTTTGCTTCGTTTTTTTTCCAAGTCATGCGGTTGTTAAACATTTACCAGCATACTGCTTTGTCGTTAGATGCCCAAGGCCACCTTCGTGGGCACACGACCCGAGCAGTCACACAGGACCCTGTGATCAGAATGGCCTCACTTGGGTTTAATACTCTGCTGTCTTCATCTTAAAATTCTTAATAATTTAATGTTTGAGCCCGTGCTTTGTAAGTGAAGTCTGATGGAACAACGGAGCATGCGCGTGAGTAGAGGAGATACAGACGATACGTGTGTCTGAGTTTTTTGTGGCTCCATTAGCATATGGTGTTGATGATGCCCCCTGAGCACAGAATTCTGGTGAGCCCACAATGCATGGGAGTTCAGCGAGATTCAATGCCAGTACAAGGTAAGCATTTTATATCTATGGAGGAAGTGGGGAGCTGACAGCCCTGAGAGGCCACACTTTCCATTTGAAACAGTACTTGATTGAGACGCAAAAAAAACAGAAGGCGATGATGGCATTTGAAAAAAACACAAATGACCAAGGCACCCTCTCATATTTTTTCTTGTGTTACTTCCATGTCTTAGCCAACCACTTACACTAAAAAGAGTGACATGGAAGGAAAGGGAAAGATAAAGCAGCCCATAATCTCTTTTCCTTCCAGTCCTTTCTGACTCATCGGTAAGCTGAAGGCACAGTCTTGGTAGAATGCAAGCATAGCAAGAAGTCAAATAAAACAGTTTCCACTGTTCGGGTAAGAACAAAATACATATGCATGTATGAGCTCCGAAACACAAATTGTGTAATTTCAGTGATTCTGCATACTAGTTAAATGCTCTTATATTTGCATTTAAAACTGACATTGCACAATATATAGATAAATGGTACATTCATGTTAATAATTTACAATTTTAATTTTTCTTTACTTAGAAGCACATTAAATAGTAAATAAACACCATAAGTCAAGAGAGAGCACATGGGAGAAAGAAAAAAGCTTTATATTCCAGTGCCTGCTGTGGTTCAAATGTTTTTGTCTCCTCCAAAATTCATGTTGAAACTTAACCCCCAATGCAACAGTATTGGGGGGTGGGGCCTTTGGGAGGTGATTGAGTCATGAGGGCTCTGCCCTCATGAATGGGATCAAGTGCCCTTATAAAAGGGCTTGCGGATCACATGAGGCCAGGAGTTTGAGACCAGCCTGGCCAACCTGGTGAAATCCTGTTTCTACTAAAAATACAAAAAATAGCCGGGTGTGTGCCTGTAATCCCAGCTACTCGGGAGGCTGAGGCATGAGAATCCCCTGTACCCAGGAGGCGGGGGTTGCAGTGAGCGGAGATCCCGCCATTGCACTCCAGCCTGGGTGACAGAGCAAGACTCCATCTCAAAAAAAAGCCAGGGGGGTTGGGGGTGGGCCTTGATGGAGGGAGTTTGTCCCTTTTCACCCCTTCTGTCCCTTCTACCATGTGAGGACACAGCGTGAGGATGCAGCAATAAGGCATCATTTTGGAAGAAGAGACAGGGCTGTCACCAAACATCAAACTTGCCAGCACCTTGATCTTTAACTTCTCAGCCTCCAGAATTGTGAGAAATAAATTTCTGTTCTTTTTTTTTTTTTTTTTTTTTTTCTGAGGCGGAGTCTTGCTCTGTCACCCAGGCTGGAGTGCAGTGGCATGATCTCGGATCTCAGCTCACTGCAACCTCCGTCTCCCGGGTTCAAGTGACCCTCATGCCTCAGCCTCCCTAGTAGCTGGGACTACAGGCGTACACCACCACATCTGGCTAATTTTTGTATTTTTAATAGAGTTGTTGGCCAGGCCGGTCTCGAACTCCAGACTTAAGGTGATCCACCAACCTCAGCCTCCCAAAGTGCTGGGATTACAGGCATAAGCCACCGCGCCTGGCCAAATTTCTGTTCTTTAAAAATGACCCAATCTCAGATATTTTGTTACAGCAGCAAAAACAAAGATGGAAACTTGAATGGCATTTATTCTTGTTTAGTTTTGGTTTTGTTTTTATCATGGGACCCTTCATTTTTATTTTGCAGTGGGCCTCTCAAGTTGTGAAGCCAGCTGTGACCATGCCACTTCCCCCACTGAGGGATGGAGTCTATTCCTCTGCCTCTTGAATCTAGTCTGGCCTATGACTACTTTAACCAGTAGAATTCCATAGAAAAGGACTATGTCAGTTGCACACTTCACCTTGAAGAGGACTGGAGGTTTTCACTTCCTGCCTCTTGGAGCCCTGAGCCAGCATGAATAAAGTCTAGGCTACTCTGCTGGAGAGAGGGACATAAGGGTGTCAGACGTGTAAGGGAAGAAGCCACCTCACACACCTCAGCCCTAGCTGCCTTCTAACTGCAACCACCTGAGAGACCCCAGGCAAAAACCACCCAGCCAAGCTCTGTTGACCAACAGAATCATGAGAGATAATAAGAAATAACAATTATGTAATGCCACTAAGCTTCAAGATGACTTGTTCAGCAGTAAGAGATAACTAGAACAGTGTCCCTCCCCTTTTATAACCTGTGTTTTTAGATTTCAAAAAGAAAATTCTAGATTTATTTCTTCCAGGAAATCATAATGCTAAGTAGCAAATACTATGACGTAGTAAGAGATAACTAGAACAGTGTCCCTCCCCTTTTATAACCTGTGTTTTTAGATTTCAAAAAGAAAATTCTAGATTTATTTCTTCCAGGAAATCATAATGCTAAGTAGCAAATACTATGACGTAGTAAGAGATAAGTAGAACAGTGTCCCTCCCCTTTTATAACCTGTGTTTTTAGATTTCAAAAAGAAAATTCTAGATTTATTTCTTCCAGGAAATCATAATGCTAAGTAGCAAATACTATGACGTAGTAAGAGTAGATCTCAAAGTGTTGTGTGCCTGAGATTTATTGGGCTGGGGCGGGGGGATGGGGGGATGCATTAAAAGTGCAGCTCCAGCCGGGCTAAGTGGTTCATGCCTATAATCCCAGCATTTTGGGAGGCCTAGGCGGGCAGATCATTTGAGGTTAGGAGTTCAAGACCAGCCTGGCCAACATGGTGAAACCCCATCTCTACTCATAATACAAAAATTAGCCGGGCTTGGTGGTGGGCACCTGTAGTCCCAGCTACTCAGGAGGCTGAGGCAAGAGAATTGCTTGAACCCAGGAGGCGGAGGTTGCAGTGAGCCGAGATCACACCACAGCACTCCAGCCTGGATGACAGAGAGAGACCCCGTCTCAAAAAAAAAAAAAAGTGCACCTCCTCTGACTTCAGACCCCCAGATTCAGAGTCAGTAAATCTGGGGTTATGGCCAAGGAATCTGTATGTTTACAAGCCCCCACATGATCCTAAGGCAGGCCTTTGGTGAACCATAGTTTTCAGAACACTGTTTCAGGGAGTACCAGTCCATGGTGGCAATGGGATATTGTTTTCAGTGTCAGAAGATTCCTATAGCTGCCCCACATCGAATTTTAGTATTTGATGATGGCCTGGGTGGGTTAACTGAAATAAAGATGGCCTGCCCATCACAGAACTTTCCTCATCAGACATTTGAAAAACAACAGAGAAAGCAAAAGACAGACTACTGTTCTTACATGTTGAACAGAAACTTATTCGGTCAGAGTAAGTGTACTACTCATAGAAGCATACATGGGAGTTGAGAGAGAGACTACCAGTTTTCCGCCTGCACCAGTCTCTTCCTTTCTGTCATCATTGCCAAAAGAGACATGGGTGGCCCCAAAATGTCACTGGGTTTCAGTTCTTCAGAGGGAAATGCTTCTCCTGGCAATGACAGAAGTGCAAAAGGGCAAGCCCAACCACGCAACCACATTTCAAGCTAGAAGGACAAAAGGAGGAGATGGTAGAAATACAACCCAGAAGCTGAGGCCACCTGGCAAAAGCTGGCACCACAGAGGAGCCCCAGCTGCTGCACGGATGCCACTCAGTGCAGAGAATGGGGAAGAGTTACCCTGGCGTCCTCCTGCATCTGGCCCCACTGACTTCCATCAGTGTCTCCCATTGGCCAGGCATACCAGGAAAGCAGAGGACATGGGTGCTGGGGAAATGGAGTTCTCTGTTGAGACAAAGCAGGGTGCGAAAGGGCAGGCATGGATCTGGGAGCAAACAGGTGACTGCAACAGCATTCACTTGGCCCACATCTGTCTGCACATCCAGGCAAGGCACTGCCCAAGCACTTTAGCGGTCACTGTCATTGCCCCACCCCTATCCCCTTGGCACTGACTGAGCCCAGGAAGAAGCATCTTACTGGAGACGCTTGCAGCTCTGCCTGAGGTCGTTTCCTGGCCACAGGAGCCTGCTCGGGCTGCCCACTGGGCAGGCTGAAGGCTTGGGGAGTTGGCGTTCTGGGAGTAACCCTTCATCAACAGTGTACAGGAGTTGGTGGCTACTTACTGCAGCTTTCTCACCCCTCCAGGTCCTCAGTGGGACTGGGTCCCAGCTGCTCACAGTTCTATCTGCTCATTAGTCAACATTCTGCGTTGACTTCCTCTCCTTCCTTTTCATACCCACTCCCATTCCAAACGAACTCCTTGCATGGGTTTGTCCAGGACCTAACCCTAGGAGAAGCCAGTCTAAGACAAACACCCCAACTCAACTCACAGCCAGCATTCGTGCCTTGTTGCCAGCATGCCCCGCAGCAGCCCAGAACCAGAGTGGTGGCAGTAAACCAGCCCCCAAGGCCAGAGAAGGCAGGCCAGGGCTGGGCCTCCCTGTATCCCTCCCTGGGATTTACAACCCTCCAGCCCTATTTGGCTCCTCCCACCCACGACAGAACATCTTCCCTTTCTTTCCTTCCAAGACAGGAAGAGCAGGATGAGAGAGGCTCAGGGACCCCCAACAGTAGAAGTCAAGGGCAGACTTGGGCGTGGAACATTCTCCCACAATCTCTATCCCATTCCCACTGCCACGCCCCATGATCTGCCCCCAGCACCCCACGAGAGGCCGCTCCTCCTCAGAGGGGAGTGAGTTAAGTGTCGCATTACCAAGGAACTGCCACAGTAGCCACCAAAGTGACTGCTCGTTATTTGAACACTTTCTTCTATTTGACTGAATACAGGAAAAATGTCACAAATAGAATATTCATCATCCCCCTCGCGCGCCTTTTCTTCCCGGCTTATCTCCCTGCTGTCATGTATGAATCCCGGCTTCAGGTTCATTTGGTATGTTGAGTGCATGCCCGGGGAGAGGATGCGCTGAAAGGCTTGCGCACATGCTCCGTGCCGCGCGACAGCCCTCCCTCCCCACTGGTGACACCCCACCAGACAAACGCCACTCACAGTGACCCTCAAGGGTAGGACACCGTCTGCCTAAGTGGAGGGGCCTTCTGCTCCATGCAGAGGGAACATAAAGGACCTGAGGAGCCTTCACAGCCATTTAGTGATTCTCGGCATGTCACTTTTACAGACACCTCAGCTTCCAGAGCTTTTATCCTCAGGTGCTTCTTAGAAGACGCAGGATGGCATCCCCACCCCACTTCAAACACCGTCTGTTTCAAGATCCTCAGAGGGGCTAACGCCGCCTGCCAATTTCTCAGCTAGAGTCATCAGCGTGCAGCGTCTCTCTCTGCCTCCTTTCCATCAGTGCCAGAGACTCCCCCAGCCCGCTCCTCCTCCAGCCAGGCCCCATCCTGCAGATTGCCATGTCAGGCTGCAGGGAACACGTTTCTAGGACTGGAAAATCAAAGTACTTATTGCCCTGACAATTAGATATTATGTTCAACTGCAGTAACACAAACCTGAAAACCAATGGCTTAAACAAGGGAGGGTTTTTTTTTCTTCTTTTTCTCCAGTAATATCATTCCAGAAGTGGGCCAGCAAGGGCTGATATGGCCAATCTACGAGGCCACCAAAGACCCAGCCTTTTTCTCCTTCATTCTTAGGATATGACCATCACCCCATGCTCTTATTAATAAGACGGCCACTGAAACTCCAGCCATCACATCCAAATTCCTCACAGGATAAAAAAAGAAGGGCAGAATGGAAGTCCCAAGCTGAATGAGCCTCTCTTATAAAGAGCTTTCCCAGAAATCCCACCCAAGAACTCCAGCCATACCTTGTTGGCAGGTCTGTGTCACATGACCATCCCTAGCTGCAAGGGAGGCTGGGAAATCTAAGCTTTTAGCTGAGCACGCTGCCATCATGCATGCAATTTCAGTTCTGTTAGTGTTATGGGCTAAGTTGCTTTCCCTCCAAATTCATACGCTAAACTCTTAACCACCCACACCTCAAAATGTGACTGTATTTGGAGATAGGGCCTTTACAGAGGTGATTAAGGTAAAATGAGGTCATTAGGTTGGGCTCGAATTCACTATGAGTGGTGTCGTTATGAAAAGAGGAAATTAGGACACAGACATGTGCATACAGGAAATACCATGTGAAGACACAGCGAGAAGACGGCCATGTGCAAGCCAAGGAGAGAGGCCTCAGAAGGAATCAACCCTGCCGAGACCTTGATCTCAGATTTCCAGCCTCCAGACTGTGCGAAAATCCATCTCTGTTGTTTAAGCCCCCCGGTGTGTGGTCCTTTGTTATGGCAGCCAGAGCAGACTAATCCAGATAGTAAGGAAGGAGAGAAGACCGGCTGTGGGTGGGCAATTAGCAAGACCTGGTGCATTTGGGGAGGCCAGGTCTTTATTACCTGGCCTTTTAAAGATATCTTTAAAGAACCTCGGCATACTTTTTCAAAGATCTCTTTTAAGATATTGTTTATCAGGTGGTGTCCTGAGGGCCTGCACCATCCCCACCCTTCCCGGCTCTCCCCAGCATTTCTCTTCCCTAGAAATGCTTGTGTAAAAACTGCGGCCTCTCTGGAATGATTTGAGAAGTACTGAAATAGCCATCCCTCCCTTCCATTGGCCATAAATAGCCTGAAAGTCTAAAGTTAGTGCTTCATTCCTTTGGTTAATCCATTATCCGTATGAAAGTGCAAATTAACTGGCAAATGATCCAGGTCTCATGAGCCCAGAGCAGGTTTGGATGGAGGGAGAGAGCACAGGACAGGGTCAGGGGTGGGAAGGGAGAACCAAAAAGCCAGAGGCCAGGAGGGCACAGAAGTCCCAGGTGGGGCTGCTACCAGCAGAGGAGTCTCTCAAACACTCTGGGCCTGTCCTACTTTGCTAAAAGGGAACATAGGAAGGTGCTGGGGTCAGGATCCAAATTTTCCCAGGGAAGACCCTGTACCTCTGCCCCATCCTAATGAAACTACATTTAGACACCACCTTTCTATACCTTCACTCCCCTGCGTTCCCTCACTTGCCCTCCAAGCTTCTCTATGGGAAAGCCCTAGAGAGTTGGATTGGGATGTCCTGCCTCCCCTTAGGTGCCCATGACACTGGTTCCCTCATGTGGGATGTCACAGACATGAGCCTCTGCCTTTGCTGAGTATGACAGAATATCTTGAAGAATTCTTTCAGAAAATGTTAAATTTCCCAAGTCTTTTTTTTTTTAATATAGAGATGGGGTCTCACTATGTTGCCCAGTTTGGTCTCTAACTCCTGGGCTCAAGCGATCCTCTGGGATTGCAGGCATGAGCCACCACACCCGGCCCCAAGTCTTTTATTTACTCATTTATTTATTTTCTCTTTTGAAACAGGCTCTATCACCCAGGCTGAAGTGCAGTGGCACTATCACTTCTCACTTGCAACATCAACCTCCCATGCTCAGGTGATCCTTCCACCTCAGCTCCCACCTCACCTCCCACCTCAGCTCCCACCTCACTTTCTACCTCCCACATGAGTAGCTGGGACTACAAACACACACAACCACGCCCGGCTAATTTTTGTATTTTTTTGTAGAGACAGGGTCTCTCTATGTTGCCCAGGCTGCTCTTGAACTCCTGGCCTCAAGGGATCCATCTGCCTCAGCCTCCCAAAGTGCTGGGATTATAGGTGTGAGCCACTGTGCCTGGCTCCAAGTCTTGTCTTTTCTTTTTTTTTTTTTTTTTTTTAGATGGAGTCTTGCTCTGTCGCCCAGGCTGGAGTGCAATGGCATGATCTCGGCTCACCACAACCCCTGCCTCCCGGGTGCAAGCGATTCTCCTGCCTCAGCCTCCCATGTAGCTGGGATTACAGGTGTGCACCACCAAGCCCAGCTAATGTTTTTTGGGGTTTTTTTGTTTTTTTGTTTTTTTTTTTTGTATTTTTAGTAGAGACAGGGTTTTGCCATGTTGTCCAGGCTGGTCTCATACTCCCGACCTTCTTGGCCTCCCAAAGTGCTGAGATTACAGGCATGTGCCACCATGCCTGGCCCCAAGTCTTTTCATGTCCAAAAATATATTTAATTTGCCCTCCCACTTGAATATTAATTGGCCAGTGTGCTGGCATTTACTTGTTATCACTCCACACTATACCTGCCCTTTTAAACTCAGCTCCATAGCGCTGGGGCTAGGAGCCTGCAAACTACATTTCCCAGCTGCCTTCCTGTTAGAGTCAGCCAAGAGGGGGCACTGGGAGGAGATGGAAAAGCAGGAGGAATGGAAAAGCTTCCAGCTTCTGGTTCCAACAGGGTGTCGTTGCTCAAATCTCAAGACGATTGTCCTCAGAAGTTTGAAGACCTCACGCCATTGTCTTCTAGCATTCCCACTGAGGTCTTTAACACCCAGTTACTACATTTCCACCCAGTTACTACATTTCATCTTTCTGGAGGATTTAGACTTTTTTTTTTTTCATTACCCTTGGAGTTCAGAAATCTTGATGCCTTTAGGGATGGGCCTTTTATAATTCTTCTTGTTTGGCATTTGGTCTGTTCTTTAAATCTCAAGATGGAAGTTTTTCCCCAGCTCAGGGAAATTGTTTGTTCTGTCACTACTTAGATTATCTCCTCTCTTACAGACTCTCTGTTCTTGGCTTCTGAGAATTCCTATTAGATAGAGAGTTAAATTTCAGGTCCTGCCCCATGTCTCTTAATTTTTCTCTTACACTTAAAAAAAAATCTTTTTATCTGTTTTGCATTCTTTGAGAGAATCTCTCAACCCTGTCATCTGTTCAGTCTTCAGCCATGGTCACTTGGCTACTCAGTCTTTCCAATGAGCTTATTATGTTAGCAATTGCACTTTTTGTAATTTCAAGAACTCTGACATATTCTTTTGACAGCAGTCAGCTCTCTATTTATGGATAGTACTTCTATTTCATTTAAATATCTCTCTAGATCCTGGGAGAATTCTGTAGGGATTAGTTCTTTTGTTTGTTTAGTTTGGTGCCTCTCTTTCACGATGTTGGTTTTCCTCAAATATGTTTGATAACTCTTTACTCTCTGTTCCTGTTATAGATGAAGGTCCAGGCTTATCTATAGTGGAGGCTGCTGTGTATTTTCTACACTCCAGTGAAAAATGCCTGTTCTCATGACAGCAAAAGCAAGCGATGGTTATGAAAGCCCAAACTCATTGCTGTTTTGGTGAAGAAGGGCTTGGATCAAGCCACTTTTCCTTTTAAAATGTTTAGGTACTATCTTATTTTGAGCTGCTATGACAAAATACTATAGACTAGGTGGCTTATTAAATAATAGCAACTTTCTTAAATAATTGATTAAATAATAAAAAATAAATTATAAATAAAAAATAAGGCCAGGCACGGTGGCTCATGCCTGTAATCCCAGTGCTTTAGGAAGCTAAGAGGAGAGGATCACTTAAGATTAAGAGTTCCAGACCAGCCTGGACAACACAGCGAGACCCTGTCTCTACAAAAAATTTAAAAATTAGCTGGGTGTGGGGGTAGACACCTATGGTCTCAGCTACTCAGGAGGCTGAGGTGGGAGGATCACCTGAGCCCAGGAGGTCGAGGCTGTAGTGAGCTGTGACTATGCCATTGTACTCCAGCCTGGGCAAAAGAGCGAGACCCTGTCTCTAAAAAGAAAAGAAAAGAAAGTGGATAAACTGTGGTACATTCACACAACAGAATACTACTTAGCAAATAAACTAAATGAACTACTGGCTGCACACACAACCTAAATGAATCTCACCAATGCAGTGTTGCACACGAGAAGCCAGATTTGAGAGTCCGTACTGTATGATTCCATTTAGAGAAAGGTCAAAAACAGGCAAAATTCATCTGTGATGTTAGAAGTCTGTGTAGTGGTCACCCTTGGGGGAGGGGGAGAATAGTAACTGGGAAGGGGCATGAGGTGGGGTTCTGGGGACTTGATTATATTCAATTCCTTGTCCTGAGTGCTGGTTACACAGGTGTGCCCAATGTGTAAAAATATACTCACTGTCTGCTTATATGTATGCATTTATGTATGTATATTTTGCTTTGATTTAAAAATTAAGCTGGGTGCAGTGGCTCACACCTGTAATCCCAGCACTTTGGGAGCCCGGGAGTTTAAGACCAATCTGGGCAATAGAGTGAGACCTTGTCTCTACAATTTTCTTTTTTTTTTAAGTTAGCCAGGTGTGGTGGTGCCTGCCTGTAGTCACAGCTACTCGAGAGGGTGAAGTAGGACCATCACTTGAGCCCAGGAGGCAGAGGTTGCAGTGAGCCCTGATCATGCCACTGCACTCCAGCCTGGGCGACAGAGCGATACATTGTCACAAAAAAAAAAAAAATGACAATATATAGACAAGATTGGCTGTGGGTTCACGGTTACTAGGGCTGGATGAAGGGTACATGGGGGCTTATTACAGTGTTTAGTCTACTTTCAGGTGTTTTAAAAACTCTCCATAATAAAAGAAATTTTCTTAGGTGACCTTATTTTAAAAATACATATTTTCCCCATGGGGGTGGGGGAGGATTGTGATTATTGTTTTTAGTTGGATGATGGGGGGATAATATCCAAATGCATTGCCCTATACTTTTTTCTATACTAGCAAGGGTAGATTCCCTAGCTAGGCCCACTTCTCCATTTAAAGACCCTTCAATCTTTCTGTCACCTCTCTCCTCAGTTGCCCTCCACATCCCCAGGAAACTGGCCTATACATTCAGGGACAATTGTTTTCACAAGAAGAAAGCTGTCCAGAGCTTCCATTAGCTCCTATGTGTTTTTATTGATTTATACCTGCCTTGTTCCAAAGATGTATTTAAGGTTTACAAAGATGCATACAATAAAACAGCATAAAATAAATTAGCAGTAAATTAGAGCAAATGACGTAAAGGGAAAACAAGGAGAGGAAAATAAGATGGAGCCAAGAGTGAGGTGATTACACAAAACACCTGCCATGAAACCTACTGCACTCACTGGAGACAGAACACAAGTTTGAGGCTGAGTTCCCCAGCAGCCCAGGGGAAAAAGGAAGCCGGGTTGCACTGTGACTTATATCACTGAGCCGAGTCAGTGATATAAAAACAAAGCACAGTTGGGAGAAGCACAGTTATTCCTAACATGGAGATCAGGGAGGCAAGTTTTTGCCATAGATTATCATAAATATAGTATCACAAACAACATTCTCACATTACACAGGGCAAAAGAACACACAAGACTGTCTTAACCTCACACCACCGTATTAGTATACTGCAACAAAAGCAATGATGCTGTTCAGGGAAAACTATGCCGCAGTGACTAACAGGGGTCTTACACTAAGGTGGCTTCACAAGGGACAGACTCTGGAATATCTCATGCAAAATTTCTTAGCCTGGAAACCATGCACCAGGATTCAGGGGTTCAGGAATCCTTGGCACAGTAAGCAAAAGTGTGTGCATCTGTGCACTTTTTCCAGGACTGGGTCCATAGGTTTCATTGCATTCTCAAAGGTGTCAGTGAGTCCAAGAAAAGTGAAGAATTACCCACATGGAGGAAAAGCAGCAGCACACACTTCCAAACTTCTCCATAAACTGCTTCTCCCTCACTGATGGCACATGAC